>NC_000002.12:134989618-137489618 GCF_000001405.40 Homo sapiens
TAAGTATTTCTCAAAGGCTCATAGGAAAAGAAGGGTCAGGTAGTTGAGAAACTAAGAATTGCAAATATCTTTCCAAAAACTTATAAATTAGACAGCTAGGAAAATCTTTCCACCACTGGGGGAAAGAAAAGAATTGCCTAATTTCTAAATAGGTTGAAAAAAGACAAATTAAAATATGTCTGGCCAGGTGTGGTGGCTCACACCTGTAATCCCAGCACTTTGGGAGGCCGAGGCAATCGGATCACTCAAGGTCAGGAGTTCAAGACCCACCTGACCAACATGGTGAAACCCCATCTCTACTAAAAATACAAAAATTAGCTGGGTGTGGTGGCAGGTGCCTGTAATCCCAGCTACTCAGGAGGCTGAGGCAGGAGAAACGCTTGAACCCAGGAGGTGGTGGTTGCAGTGAGCCGAGATTGTGCCAACTGCACTCCAGCCTGGGCAACAGAGTGAGACTCTGTCTCAAAAAAAAAAAAATGTCTAAGGGAGCTACTCAGCTCATTATGTAAAGAACAGAAACACTCCAGAAAAGCACTGCACATGGCAAGGCATAATTTTCCCAGGAACGATTTGCTACTCTAGGAACTATATGTGAGTTGTTGTTTTTCCAAGAAATACAGTTGACCCTTGAACAACAGGGCTTCAAACTACGCAAGTCCACCTATATGTGGATTTTCTTCCTCCTCTGCTACCTCTGTGACAGCACGACCAAGCCCTCCTGTTCCTCCTCGTCCTCAGCCTATTCAACATGAAGACAGTGAGGATGAAGACCTTTATGGTGATCCACTTCCACTTAATGAAGAGTAAATATATTTTCTCTTCCTTATGATTTTCTTTTTTTGTTTTTTTTTTTTGTTTGTTTGTTTGTTTTATTTTTGAGACGGAGTCTTGCTCTGTTGCCAGGCTGGAGTCCGGTGGCATGATGTCGGGTCACTGCAACCTCCACCTTCCAGGTTCAAGCAATTCTCCTGCCTCAGCCTCCCGAGTAGCTGGGACTACAGGCACCCGCCACCATGCCCAGCTAATGTTTTGTATTTTAGTAGAGACGGAGTTTCACCATGTTGGCCAGGATGGTTTCGATCTCTTATCCTCGTGAACCACCCGCCTTGGCCTCCCAAAGTGCTGGGATTAAGGCGTGAGCCACCACACCTGGCCCCTTATGATTTTCTTAATAACATTTTATTTTCTTGGCTTTATTGTAAGAATACAGCATATAATACATATAACACAAAATGTGTGTGTTAATCAACTGTTTATGTTATCTATAAGGCTCTGGTCAACAGTAGGCTACTGCAGCCATGTGCGGTGGCTAACATCTGTAACCCTAGCACTTTGGGAGGCTAAGGGGGAGTATTGCTTGAGGCCAGGAGTTCAAGACCAACGTGGCCAACATAGCGAGACCCTGTCTCTAAACAAAACAAAACAGAACACCCAGCACTTTGGGAGGCCGAGGCGGGCGGATCACGAGGTCAGGAGATCGAGACCATCCTGGCTAACATGGAGAAACCCCGTCTCTACTAAAAATACAAAAAATTAGCCGGGCGTGGTGGCGGGTGCGTGTAGTCCCAGCTACTCGGGAGGCTGAGGCAGGAGAATGGCGTGAACCCGGGAGGCGGAGCTTGCAGTGAGCCGAGATTGCACCACTGCACTCTAGCCTGGGTGACAGAGTGAGACTCTGTCTCAAAAAACAAAACAAAACAAAACAAAACAAAACAAAACAACCGGTAGGCTATTAGTAGCTAAGTTTTGGGGGAATCAAAGCTTATGTGTGGATTTTTGACTGTGTTGGGGACATCAGTGACCCTACCCCCTGCATTGTTGAAGGGTCAAGTGTAATTGCTGAGGATTTGGTTCTAAATTAGTGAATAGAGTTGTTTGGTTTTAATTCTCAAGTCAAAAATGCTAGCACTAATCTTACCTTGATGCTTCGGCCACTGTACTTCATATGAGAGGTCGAAAACTCTACAACAAGAAAAACAATAACTGGATATTCTTAGTAGTAGAAAGAAAACAGTCTCAAGCCAGAGTCTGGGGATGGAGTAATACAGATGCTAAGGGGTCTGAGGAAAAGTTGTAGAAATTGGAGGTTTCCCCTGTGGAATTCACACAGAGGTGGAATCATCACACAAAACTTCAGGCTGCTGCCACTAGCAGGGGTTGCTGTTTTATATTTATATCTCTATTCTGACAGAAAACCTGAGATCTCTGGACCAGAGAGCAGACCATTTATCACTCACAGAACATTGTAATGCCAGTTCCCCACAACCCAGTTCCTCACAGGGCAACGTGATGAGAGCCGGGTGTTGACCTGCACAGCTGGCAGAGCTGCATCACAGGAGGGAGCTCTGGAATGATGAGACTCAGGTGGTATATTGGGTGGTGGCACTTTAGCCCATCTTTCCCTCCAGAGAAGGAGAGAGCACTTTACTATGAATTGTAAGCAAATGCCTCCAGGAGAAAGATGACTCTATGTTTTATTACCCTAGAATATAAGCAAACAGCTTTTGGGAAAATCAGCCTCTAAATTTCTCTGGAGCAATACACTAACTTCGGAGGCGTTTCTGACATTCAGTCATCTTTTAACTTAGTTTCCTAGTGTTTTTTGCTTAGAAAGCCTGAACTGTGCAGAAATGTGAAAATATTCTTGTATAAGTGTCTCCCAACAGTTGTTTAAACTAGATCGACCATAAACTCTGAAAGGTGAGTGTGAGGAAGACTCACCTAGGGAACGAGATGGGACTTACTAGGTAGTATAAAACTTACAAGTTGTTCTCTTCTTACCAAAAAGTCAGAATGATCCCCAAAACCCCATGAACCACCACCACCACCACTTCTGCATAGTTTGGACTTTCTAAAGCTGAAGCCAAAAGCTCCAGTGTCTCCAGGGTCAAAACAGTTCACAGAAATGGATGATGTGGGACAGGAAGACACAGCAGTAAATCGAGATCATATGCCCAACTAAAGGGGCATCATTACCCAGCTCGCAGTGATGTTATCCAACCCAGATAGATAGTCCAGCCCTGCTACATCTTCCAAAAGAAGCCAGAGAGCTGCAGATTTTTTTTTTTTGAGACAGGGTCTCGCTCTGTCGCCCAGGCTGGAGTATAGTGGCATGATCTCAGCTCGCTGCAACCTCCACCTCCTGGGTTCAAGCAATTCTCCTGCCTCAGCCTCCCGAGAAGCTGGGATTACAGGCACCTGCCATCATGCCCGGCTAATTTTTTGTGTATTTTTTATTTTTTAGTAGACACGGGGTTTCACTATGTTGGCTAGGCTGGTCTCGAACACTTGACCTCGTGATCCACCGGCCTCGGCCTCCCAAAGTGCTGGGATTACAGGTGTGAGCCACCGCGCCCAACCCAAGCTGCAGGTTTTATGTGAAATCTCCTTCCCCCACCCTTGCTTATTTATTTAAAATTTTTATATTTTTAATTTTTTGTATAGACAGGGTCTTACTGTATTGCCCAGGCTGGTCTCAAACTCCTAGGCTCAAACAATCCTCCCTTCTTGGCTTCCCAAAGTTCTGGGATTCCAGGTGTGAGCCACTGGGCCTGGCCTCTCCTCCCTTGTTTTTCAATGTTGTGAGGGTCAAACAAATGTCTGTAGGTCCATTTCAGCCTCAGGCTGTCATTCTGAAGTTTCACACGGAGAGAAAAAGACTTCTAAGATTTAACACAGTAGAAAAGCCAATCCCAGGTGAAAAACAAGTCACCTAAGAAGAGGACCCCAACAGGCAACAGGAGGGGGCACAGGCATTCCCCTTGGACACAGCTGGCCATGGCACCTCCCCTTCATTCTTAATGCATTTACTCAACAATTATTTACTGAGTGCCTGCTGAGTGGCCAACACTGTCCCAGAAGATGGCAATTTATAGTTGTGGGCAGGAAAGACAGATCTTTGCTCTTTGCTCCCAGAGGTTGCATTCTAGAGGTTGAGGTTTTCTATTGAAAAGATGTTAGAAGTTAATCTAGAAATACAACTGAATATAATTTATAGTTGGGTACATAATGGATAGCATCCTGAATTTTTTAAAAAAACGCTTTCAAGTATTCTTATAAATATTTGAATATGTATTATCCAGTATTGGTCAGGAATTATGTGGGGTAAAGACTTTTGGTGGGAATGTAGAGGCAAGATCTTTCTGGTAGGTAATTTGGTAACATGTGTCAAAGCCTTTTAAAAATGTGTAGAGACCACTCTGAGCAACATAGCGAGACCCCATCTCTACAAAAAATGTTAAAAGTAGCCAGGTGTGGTGCCATGCACCTGTACTCCCAGCTACTCAGGAGGCTGTGGTGGAGGATCACTTAAGCCTGGAATATTGAGGCTGCAGCGAGCCATGTTTGCACCACTGCACTCCAGCATGGGCAACAGAGCGAGACCCTATCTCCAAAAAAGTAAATAAAATAAAATAAGTACAGAGTTCCAATTAAAAATGGCAGATTGAATGTACAAGCTTTTCTCCAATCCCTCCACAAATCACACTAAAATCACAGTAAAAGAATTAAAAAACATGTAAATAAGGACAAAAAATAAAAACACCCAAATGATAAAACAACAGATGAGCAATATCAACATTTTGGACAGAGAAAACTATATGGACGAATAATAACTGATTGAGTTGTCAGCTTTCTGTGTTCTGCCCAATGCTTGCAAGGGGACAGCCCAACCAGAAATAAGAATTTCAGAAAGGAATGGGAACTGAAGGTACCTCTGAAGACAGGGATGCAGGCAAGACTGAAACGAGAGGGTGCTCATAAGTCTGTGCTGGAATAAGTACTGGATTCCCTGCCCTGTCCCCTATGAGGAGTTACTCTTCTCCTTTCCTGGCAGTTGGCTGGAAGTTTACTCCCTGGAGGGCTTGAAACAAAGATGCTAAGGAGCTGGGTATGGCTGGGAGCAGAAATGGGGAGCTGGAGTGAAAATATGAGGACAAAGAAGAGTCTACACACTGAAATATGAACCCCATTCAGTGCCAAGAATGTTGCCTCCAGTCTCATAACCTACAGGCAGGTGTTTGGATTATCTCTCTGGGGAAAACTAGCTGAGAGAAAAGGTCCATTGATCTATACAAGCTGACACTTGGGAATCCCTCTATCAATCGTCCAGTTCTCCACCTATTCAGCTCCTTTGAGGCCCATTCAACAAGCTCACTCAAACATACAGAACTTTTTAGTGAAACTCTTTTAGATACAAATTCAACTGATATGTGAGGATATGTGATTCAACTGATATGTGAGGAAATGCTCCAATATGAACATACAGAGAACAGATCAAACTGAAAGAAAGAAAAGAGCTCAGAAGAATTAGAGACAACAAACAACTCTATCTTTCATATTCTCCGTGTACCCTTTCTCAAGAAGCTGCTGGGAAATATGCCCTAGTAAAAGAGGATTAAGTAAAGCAAGGAAGCCAGGCAAGGTGGCTCAAGCCTGTAATCCCAACACTTTGGGAAGCTGAGGTGGGTAAATCACTTGAGCCCAAGAGTTCAAGACCAGCCTGGGCAATATAGTAAGACCCCATCGCTACCAAAGAAATTTTTTTAAAGTAGCTAGGCCTGGTGGTGCATGCCTGTAGTCCCAGCTACTCAGGAGGCTGAAGAGGGAGAATGGCTTCAGCCCAGAAGACGGAGGCTGCAGGGAGCTGAGATCGCGCCATTGCACTCCAAGCATGGGTGACAGAGTCAGACTCTGTCTCAAAAAAAAAAAAAAAAAGTAAGGAAAGGAAGATTAAGCCACATATCCAGTACACAAGGATTCAACACAGCAAGGAGGCAAGGGAATTCCCAGGATGACACGAAGGGAATCTCAGATGGGCGGCTGGGCAGTGGATCCAGAGAGCAGGTGGTGTGGAGTAAAATTAGAGGCCAGGAGGGTCCAGGAGCAATGTCTCCAAAAACAAAAGGAACCAACAGATTGCCTGATATCTAATCACCTGTATTGAGATTTGTTTTATAGGTGCAATACACAGGATGGGATGAATTAGTAACAGATATACAAAAAGTAAGCAAATGAAGAAATGAAGTGGTTATTACTAATGCTGAGATAAATACAATGTCTAAAAGGAGAGGAAATGTAATCAACACACTATGGAGCTCAGCTGCAAATAATATTTTACCTAGTCATAATAACAGAGACATTGAATATTGATTTTAAAAAAATAGACACAAAGATTGGGAAAATTGGGCATTGCTTGTGTGTGAGGCAAGTAATGTAAAAGTAATAAATCTTAATAGATGAAGCCCAAACTGAACAATTAATAAATACCATTCTAAACATGATATTTAGCAATATGAAAGTACACACTAGAAGAAAGTCTTGTACTAGCTGTACTTTTTTTTTTAAGAGATGAGGTCTGTCACCCAGGCTGGAGTGCAATGGACTAATCATCATCCACTGCAGCCTTGGCCTCCTGGAATCAAGCAATCCTCCCACCTCAGCCTCCCGAGTAGCTGAGCCTATAGGTGTGCACCACCACAGCCACCTAATTTTTAAAATTTATTTTTATATATGTACTTTTTTTAGAGGTGGAGTCTGCCTATGTTGCCCAGGCTGGTCTCAAACTCCTGGCCTCAAGCAGTGCTCCTGCCTCAGCCTCCCAAAGTGCTGGGGTTACAGGCGTGTGCCTGTGCACAGCTAGTACTTCTTATTTCTTTTTTTTTTTTTTTTTTTTTGAGACTTCAAGTGATCCGCCCATCTTGGCCTCCCAAAGTGCTGCCCTGGACCTGATTATTGTTATTATTAATTAAAAGTGCATTTGTAATGGCTATGTGCCAGGTATGATGCCAAATGCTTGGAGGTTGAATTATTCTTGCTTTTGTAATCCGGCGAAGATGAACACGTAAACAAATAGTGACAATTATGCTTGATTAGTGCTATGTTGTAGGTAAGGTCAGGATCCTATAGCGGAACAAAGAAAGGGCAACTCATCCAGTCTTGGGAAGTTCAGGAAGACTTCCCAGAGGAAGGGGTTTCTAAGACAAAACCTGAAGGATGGCATAATGCTCCAGCAGAAAGAACAGTAGGTGCAAATATTCACATGCATGTTTAGGGAATAGAGGGCATTTAGTGTGCTAAAGTTTATCATGCTGCGAAGGAAGAGTGGCAAGATATGAGGCTGAAAGAGGCTGTTGAAGCTGAACACGGTGGCTCATGCCTGTAATTCCAGCACTTTGGGAGGCCAAGATGGGAGGATCACTTTAGCCCAAGAGTTCAGTAACAGCCTGGGCAACATGGTGAAACCCCATCTGTACCAAAAAACAAACAAACAAACAAACAAAACTAGCCAGGCGTGGTGGCATGCACCTGTAGTCCCAGCTACCCAAGAGGCTGAGGTGGGAGGATCGCTTGAGCCCAGGAGGCAGAGGTTGCAGTGAGCCAAGATCACGCCACTGCACTCCAGCCTGGGCAACACAGCCGGAATGTGTCTCAAACAAACCAACAAACAAACAAACAAACAAAAAACAAAAAAACGCTATCAAGATTTGGGAACTAACTTTGTAAATTTCAAGGAACAAGAGTCTAGGTCCACTTCAAGTCCAGATTTCTTATGAACTATTTTACATATAGCCCATCAAAACACTGCTTCACCATTATGCCAAATGAAACAAGCCAGACACAGGACAAATATTGCATGATTCCATTTCTATAAAAGACCTAGAATAGTCAAATTCGTATTGAGACAGAAAATAGAATAGTGGTCACCAGAGGCTTTGGGAGAGTGGGAAATATAGAGTTATTGTTTAAGGGGCACAGAGTTTCAGTTTTGCAAGAAGAAAATGTTCTGGGGATGAATAGTTGTGATGGTTACACAACAATGTGAATGTACTTAAATGCCACTGAACTGTACACTTGAAAATGATTAAAATGGTCAATTTTATGTTACACACATTTTAGCATAATAAAACAAAAAAAAATTTAGGCCAGGCGCAGTGGCTCACACCTGTAATCCCAGCACTGTGGGAGGCCAAGGTGGGAGGATCACGAGGTCAAGAGATCGACACCATCCTGGCCAACATGGTGAAACCCCATCTCTACTAAAAATACAAAAATTAGCTGGGCGTGGTGGCATGCGCCTGTAGTCCCAGCTACTTGGGAGGCTGAGGCATGAGAATTGCTTGAACCCAGGAGGCAGAGGTTGCGGTGAGCTGAGATTGGGCCACTGTGCTCCAGCCTGGTGACAGAGCGAGACTCCGTCTCAAAAAAAAAAAAACTTTAAGCACTGCTTCATTTAAATTTCACTTAAAATGTACCCTTCTCTTAAAATCCCATAATAATTATTCTTTTTTTTCTTTTTTGGTAGGATGTGTCACAGCTCCACTGGCATGCAGTCTCCCTCATTGTGATAAATCAATGAATGTAACTTGTTGGATTATAAGGTTGTTCCTGGTGGTTTTGGCTGGTTGGTTGAGGACAGTGGTAAACAAGTAGCAAAGACAATATTGCCGCAGGGGGAAATGCTGGCATCAGTGCTGCTATCTAGCAAATGAGTCTTGGGCTCAATGTAGTTGGAAGTTGGCTCTTAGACTTGCACATTAACTTGGGGATCCAGGAATAAGGCTAACGTAGACTCAAGTCCATAATGACCCTGGGACCTGGTAGAAGTAAATTCAATACTTCTGGCCAAAAGCATCCACAGCGTGGGCCCCCAAGATTCCCACAGATAAACATCAACCAAATATGAGCTCACAATGAAGATTTTCAAACACTCAAGAAAAAAGTCAACCATAGTGCAAATCAGTAGGATATTGATACTGAAATTATCAAGTATAGTTTACAAAATAATGTCTGAAATGTTTAAAGAAATAAGCAATGAAATAATCTAAACAATAAGATATTCTCAAAATATTTGCCTTCTATTCCTTGAACAAATATATAAACATTTGCACATATAGTGCTCTTTCTGCTGGAACATTATGCCATCCTTCATTTTACTTGTTTACTAGTTTATTGTCTGTCTCGCACCCCCATGACCCCCAGGAATGTAAATTACACAAGGGCTGGGGTTATTTTCTGGTATGTTCACTGCTTTATCTCTAGCATTTAGAACAGTGCCTGGCACAATACATAAATATTTGTTGACCAAAAGGACTCACTGTGGAATTCAATGTTCAACTTACCTTCAGATTTTCTTTGCTGCTCCTTCAGAAAATGAGGAGCATCTTCTCTGGTTACAGACTTGGAAATGTTCAGTTCTAAACAAGATCTTGGTAGCAAAAAGCCCAAGTTCACATTGCAGAGCTCCCTGGAACTTTCCTCTTTTTGCAAAACTAAGGGCCGCATGGTCAGCTTCTTTTTCCTGAGCTCCACCGTTTCTATTTCATTTGGATGAGAAACTGCATGTGCTTGTGCCCATTCTTGAAGCGATGAGTTTATCAGACTAAAGGGGGAGGGAAATGTTTGATTTAAAACTCAGTTGCCACATCTTCTGGATCTCCAGTCCTCAGTTCAGCCTGACATCACTAGAAAGTTTGAAGAACTACTTCCAAATGGTGCTGCTGAAAGGAAAGGCTGAATCCTGAGAGGGTAAGACATCTCCACCTGCTGACTCCTCCTGGCCTCCTTAGCCCTCTGTACCATCGCTTGGATGGATTAGGTTTCAGCTCACTCTCGTTTTCCCAATCACCATTTCCTTGCACAGAGAAATCAGAGACCAAGGGCAGGCCTGGGGGATGTACCCTTTTATCTCCACAGGTACTGACTAGCCCAGTGTTTCT
This sequence comes from Homo sapiens, assembly GCF_000001405.40. Classification (NCBI taxonomy): domain Eukaryota; kingdom Metazoa; phylum Chordata; class Mammalia; order Primates; family Hominidae; genus Homo; species Homo sapiens. Next base: position 134,999,335 of record NC_000002.12, read on the forward strand.
CAAACTATTTTTGATGAAGAACCAGCATTTAAATTTCCAGTCATTGTGAACTGATACTTTTGTAAAATATAAATGAATTGCCATAAAAATGGAAGAAAAATAAAAGACATGCAAAAAATAAGCCTCAATTTGTTTCACTACCCGATCAATGAACGTAAGTTATTTGCCAAATTGCTTTGCAACTTTTTTAATGGTCACCCTCGCAGCCTGTCCTGACCTCATCATGGACTAGTAACAGGACCACAGAACCACATTCTAAGTAGCTCTGCCCTGCAGTAGGGTCAGCAAACTACAGCCCGGGGACCAAATCCAGCCTTCAGCCTTTTTCTGTAGCTTTAATTGGATCACAGCCACACTCATTTGTTTACATATTGTCTATGGCTGCATTCAAATGACAGTTGCAGAGTTGAATCATCACAACAGAGACCATATGGCCCACACAGCCAAAGTGTTTATGATCTGGCCTCTGCCACATACTATTTATTGTGACCTCTACTTTTAAGCATTATTATGGATTCAATTACTAATAATGTAGGTTGCCATATGACTATCATTGCTTCATACTTCATTTCAAATCTGATACTTCAAAGAATATTCCTTACTTCTTTTCTTTTAAGTCTTCTTGGCTCATTTCTTGGGGAGGACTGACATCTCTTGGAAAAGTTACAGTGATCTCAACACCTGTAGAAACATACCACAGTAGTAGAAGGAAGAAAGTAATGAATTCCAGCGGAAAGCGGGAGACGTACTTTATTTCTGTTTGGCTAATCTCTTCTTAATGATTACAAAATGGACATTAATCAGGAGCTGAGGTTTAGCCATCTTTGTATCTTTCCTGTTCAGGATATGATAGATCCTAAATAAATGCTTGCTTAAAGAGCAAAAAACCATATAATAATATTTTACAGATGTAAAATAAAGTTTTATAACAAACTATGTTGTCCTCAGGATGGAGAAAACAGAACCACCTTCTATAAAGTGTAACGACACCTATCTCCCAGAACTATTGTGAGCATTCAATGAGATAATTTATGTAACACCAAAGATGTTTGCTTGTATTTGTAATTTTGGTCATCTCCTGTCTCATTTCATGAACTAATTTCCAGAATAACCCTTAAGACAGAAAGTTCCAACTTATAGAATACGCGCTTGCTCACAATATAAGATGTTAAGCAAAATTATGTAAAAAACTAGTGTGAACTATTCTAACATTGCCTGTTCTTTAAGGTGTGTTCATTCATTCCTTTTTTCCATTTAACGAACTTTTATTAAGGATATGCCAAGCCCAGCACTTAGTGCTGAAAACAGGGAAATAAACAAGATGCAGCTGAGGCCCTAGTAGAGCTGATAAGAAAATAAAGAATGCAGTGAGATAAGCACTGTGATAGAAGCAAGTGGTGATGTGGGAGCAGAGAGGCGTGTCCTTCCGGGAGGACGCAATGCTTGCCCCGGTATTCATTTCTATCCATTTATCTGTCAGAGCCATTTATTCACTCAATCTGCTTGTGCCTGGAGGAGCAATGGCTGTATGAGCTCCACTAATTAAAGGCTGGGGAAGGAGTATCGCAGGGAGGATAAGGTTAAGGTGTGAATCAGACATCCCTTTTCTGCCACTACCTGGGTGACCTTGGGAAAGTTGCTTAATAGCTATCATCATTATCTAAATTAGTAGATTTTTATTATTTTAAAGGACTTTGGATATATTTGTGTAATACATAGGAACTACCATAGTGAAAGCATTTTTGTTGTTCAATTTTTATACCTGTGCCATTTAATGAAACAAGTGCATTAAAAAAAAAAACACAGTAAAAAATTCCAAAATGAAAAGTTTTGTTTACAATCAGGCAAATGATAATAGTGTTTACTATCATTGTTATCCAATATTATGTTTTGTGCTACCATAAAAATGTAGCTAGCTTTGGTTTTCTTAATGTTTCTCAAAGGAGACAACTTGATTGCATGTTTTCTAATACTATACAATTGCATGGAACACTTGTCTAAAAATGAAGTTTCCCTGGAATAGTCCATTGTTTTTTAAGTTTTCAAAGAGGCTATCACCAGACTATGTAGCAAAAAATGAGAGACTTGGAATTATTGAGCTGGAAGGAACTTAGAGGTCACCTAACCCAAGCCTTTCGTTTTAGAGACGAAGAAACTGATAGCAATGAGTTTGCATGACATGCTCAAGGTCGTTCTCCTATTTGAAAGGAAGATGGATGTCTTTCATAATATTTTTGTAGTTATCCTTGAGTGCAAACACCTAGCTGACATGTTAGAGTGAGAAAAACATACAGCATACATTCCTAAAAACTAAACTGTCAGTGAAAAGGATGTTCTGGTACAAAAGCTAAATGTATTTAGTTCTTTGCTGTGGAAGTTAGAAAACTGAGTGTATTCACATGAACCATATTTAAGAACAACTGTACTTTTGCAGTTGTCAAGAATTAATAAACCCAGAATGTTTTCAAACAAATGTAATGTGCTTCAAAGTCTGTTCATCAGCTGACTTCTTTTTCAAACCAAGAAACAAAGATATAACAAGCACATGTAAGAAATACCTGCCTTTTAAGATATTGTTAAGAGCTAATGGCCACCGTCCTAATTGTTGGTCCTAAATTGGAAAAAAGATTACAGAATATTGATTCTGAAATCCACTAGAAACATACAGATGTTCTCTTTGTTCTGCCTCTTGAATACTGTGAGTTGCTGACGTTGCTGTGGATAAGGCCTCTCAAGCTACCCAGTAGGCCAGGGAAGAGGATGCATTGTCACAGGTAAAGACAAAACACTTGCTCTTAGCAAGTGCATTTTTCACATAATGAGGGTAAATTAACGCTATCAGAAAATATTACCATAGAGAGAAATTAAAAGACAACATTTCAACATAGCCACGAATATATTTTCTTTATAGAAGAGGTGAAAATGACATTCATAACCAGTCAGAAAAATGATCATTAATTTGTTGTTGTTAGTGTCAAAACCATTATTAAAACAAAAACTTAAAATCAGGCCCAGCTTAACTGATTTCAATAAAGAAAAATTATTTTCTCCAGAAAAGCCTTACTTTCCTGTTTGGTCTCCTTATTTTATTTTATTTTATTTTATTTTATTTGTTAAATTTCCGTGGGTACATAATAGGAGCATATATCAATGAGGTCCTTGTTCTATTTCAATGGATGTGCATATCTGTCTGGATTGCGAGCATGGAGGTTCAAAATATTTTGATGCCATCTTCACATTTTGATGATTTCCTAAATTGTGAAGCTCAACACAGACTTTAAAAAAAAAAAACAGCTGTATTTCCGGCTTCCTGCGCTGCTAGATTCAGAAAGCTTACTTCAGAGACTGATGCATGTGAGTTACATGAAAAAAGATAAGGTGCAGGCATGCTGTGTGCTGATGTGGGTACCAGCAGAGGGAGGGGGTTCTTACATTGATAGTGGGAGCGGCTCTCTGGTTATGGCAGACGTGGCATGATTTGAGGGTCAGTAGCAGCCAGTTTTGAAATGCAGTTATGGGAATCCTTCCTGACAATCCAACCTGGGGCCTTCCTGTTATGGACTGGATGTTCTGAATGTTTGTGTCCCCCACCGCACATTAATATGTTGAAGCCCTAACCCCCAAGTGTGGCTTATTTGGAGATGGGGCCTCTAAGGAAGAAACGAAGGTTACATGAGGTGTCAAGGGTGGGGCCCCGATCCAGCTGGATTTGTGTCCTTCTAAGAAGAGAGCTCACTCACTTGTGCTCTGCCTCTGTGTGCACAGAGGAAAGACCACGTGGGGACAGACCAGCCATCTGCAACCAGGAAGAGAGCCCTCACCAGAAACCCATCCCTGCTAGAATCTTGATCTTGGACTTCCCATTCTTAAGAACTGTGAGAAAATAAATGTCTGCTATTTAAGCCCCCCAGTCTATGGTATTTTGTTTTGGCAGCATGAGTGGACTAAGAAAGTTCCTCTCCTCTGGTTTTTCAATGGTATATGAACTTCCTAATATCTTTCAAAATTCCCTTCCTTTTTAACCCAACCAAGAGTAGGTTCTTGTATACCTGCAACTACAAATCCTGATGAATTTATACTGAATTAAAATATTTTTAAGCCCATTAGTTTTAGGGAATAGGCTCTCTTGTTCACTCATGAAAACAGTAAATTTGTAGGCTCAATTTCTAGTCTATAAGATTTGTGTCTGTTATGTTCTGAGAAAATAGTGTTTGTTTGTTTGTTTGTTTGTTTGTTTTGAGACGGAGCCTCACTCTGTCACCCAGGTTGGAGTGCAATGGTACAATCTCAGCTCACTGCAACCTCCGCCTCCCGGGTTCAAACGATTCTTCTGCCTCAGCCTCCCGAGTAGCTGGGATTACAGGTGCGCACCACCACACCCGGCTAATTTTGTATTTTTAGTAGAGACGGGGTTTCACCATGTTGTCCAGGCTGGTCTTGAACTCCTGACCTCAGGTGATCCGCCCACCTTGGCCTCCCAAAGTGCTGGGATTACAGGCGTGAGCCACAGTGCCCGGTCCATTTAAAGAGATTTAAACCGATATTTAAAATGAATATAATGGACAATAATATCTAAAACACTTTTATTTCAGAATTTCTGATTAGAAAGAGTAGCTAGCTCAACTGAAGTCTCTATCAACTGTGAGATGCAATTTTATCAGGAAGAGAATTGCTTCTTCCAAATGTGTAACTCAAGTTGTTAAAAGCTTAAAACTGAAATAACTTAGTGGAGATGCCTCATAAGTATTATGGCTCCCATATGAAAACTGAAAATATTGCAAATCAAGTTTAAAAGAATGACTAACATCCCAAATGGTGAGTTATCTCCATATGGAGCAGAATAAATGAAATATTTAACCTCCTGGAAGGTGCTTGGGACACCATTAGGCTTCTAAGAGCTTGGCTTTGAAGTCTATGAAAGTCGAAGGAGGACTGCAAGGACCGTTCTGAAGGGTTTCGGGGTTTATTTTCTTTCTGTTAGCTCTTTCAGGCTTAATGGTTTTCATAATTTTAATGGTTACTAAATTACTCTCGGCCCTCAGCCTGGGGAGGGAAGATTCCCAGTGGGCGTGAGAAAGGCAGGCGGCTGCCCAGGAGAGGGCAGCATCGCACCACCTCCCGGAGGAGACGCTACTCGGGAGAGCTGCAGCCTTCTGAGAGGTGCGAAGGGATGAGAAACACGGGCATCAAAGAGGGCGGCTTCCCTGGAGTGCTAGAAATAGAAGCCAGAAGATTGCCCGGGAGAAATTGCAGCAGTTCAAATAAACATTTACTTTAAGAAGGTTATGGATGAATAGATGACAGACAAATGGGATAGCCGTGGCAACTATGCTCTGAGGCGAGAATCTGCAAATACCTTGTGGTCTGTTAAGTGCAAGGGCACTTACGGTGTGACAGGATAACATGTTTGAAATGGGTGGTGTTCTGGAAGATTCCAGACTTATGGCCTTGTAAATAAAAGACCGAGACTTGGGGACTTTCAGGTCTCGTACACTCCCCCACCTTCCCCTCAGGGACAACGGCTCATGGAGACACGTGTGGTTCCGGAAGGGAACCGATCACTGAAGCCGCTGGAAGATTCTGAGAGGAAGAAATTGGGGAAAGGATGTTATCAGACAAAAAGAAATGGACAGGGAATGGGTCGGCTGAGCTGGAGTGAGGTGGAATAAAAGAGCCAGAGAGCATTTGCCTATTCTGGCCAGTCAAGCTGCCTAGACCCACTGATTCAGATATGGACCAAAAGGTAGTATTGTGAGTGGTTTTTCTTCTCCTTTGGGCTTTTTCTGTGTTTTCAAACTTATTTATTATAATTTTTTTAACTTTTATTGCAAGAGTTAAGCTCAGGGGTACAAGTGCAGGTTTGTTCCATAGGTAAACATGTATCATGGGGTTTGTTGTACAAATTATTTTATCACCCAGGTATTAAGCCTAGTACCCATTAATTATTTTTCCTGATCCTCTCCCTCCTCCACTCCCTCTACCCTCTGATAGGCTCCAGTGTATGTTGTTCAAACTTCTACAATAAGCCCTTCTGAAATTGGAGAGAAGCCCATATGATAATGTTATCTTTGTAAACACATCAAGGAGTAAAGCCCAGTACCTTCTGTCCTGGGTTGCCAGTCCTGTCTACCACCACTGGGATCTTCTTCTTCATTAACCAGTGTGGAATGACTGCAGTCACCATCTTGGTCGAACTCCTGCAATATCATAAAATTCAAAACTCAGTTATTAGTTATTCGATGTACCAGTTTGTTGGCAGAGTGAATGTTGATTTTTCTGGGCTAAAGATTTACACCATGGATTCCTTTTAAATTGGATAAAGTATTTAGGACTAAAATAATAAGAAAGTATCTGCCCTTGGAGCACTAGGCTCAGACAGTCATGGTTGTGATTAATTGCATAATCAAAAATGAGGAGCAAAGCTGAAATCACATCGACACATAGAAACTCAGTATTTTATACTTTATCATCTCAGTGCCCAGGCTGCTAAGCTGCCCCAAATTCCATCTGGGTAGGTAACTGGAAAGAATCCTTTGGCCACAGTCACAGTGAACAACCCCAAAGGAGCATGATCTTTTCCATAATGCCTCCCTGGGGCATCATTTACATATGGCAAGAATGGAAATCCCTGCCCCTGTGGAAGCTACAGATATAACCCTAGACTGAAAGGAGGCAGCAAAGCTGATTAAAGTCTTCCCTATGACGGCGTTCTGATCTAAATCATGGTGCATAACCTCTTAAACTTCCTTTTCACTCTCTAGAAAATAATCATTATAGTTGAAAACCAACTTGATTTACAAAAAGTACTCCAAACATTTTAAAGAAGAAATGTTTTCTTAGTAGAATTCATTGTTTTTGATAGTTTCCTTCATTCGAAGTTATAGCTGATGATTTTGTGCCTTTAAATTTCTAGAACCATGATAGATCCAAGTAATAGTTAAAACATCCCATCACAACCCGAATGTTACAACTATCTGTCTGGTTTCTATGATCTAGGTGGACTACCTATTTAAGGGGACTGATGGACAATAAGTCTTTGCCCTAAGTGCTCAAGCCTGTCATCTGAAATGTCAGAGAAGTGGCGAGTCACAAAAATTCTCTGATAGCTCATTTATTAATTCCCAAGAGAGCTAGGAAATTTCTTGCTTTTCTCTCCTTGTTCATTTTAATTGTCGTAGCAAATAATAAAAGTTGGCCAGGCATGGTGGTTCACTCCTGTAATCCCAGCACTTTGGGAGGCTGAGGCGGGTGGATCACTTGAGCTCAGGAGTTCGAGACCAGCCTGGGCAACATGGCAAAACCCTGTCTCTACTGAAAATACAAAAATTAGCTGGACGTGATGGCACACCCCTGTTGTCCCAGCTACTTGGCAGGCTGAGGCAGGAGGATGGCTTGAACCCGGGAGGTCAAGGCTATGGTGAGCTAGGGTCACGCCACTGCACTCCAGCCTGGGTGACAGAGTGAGACCCTGTCAAAAGAAAGAAAAGAAAAGAGAGAGAGAAAGAGAGAGAGAGAAAAAAGAAAAGAAGAAGAAAAGAAAAAGGAAATAAAAGTAAAACCTGGCCAGGCATGGTGAGTCACACCTATAATCCTAGCACTTTGGGAGGCCGAGATGGGTGGATTGCTTGAGGCCAGCCTGGACAACATGGTGAAGCCCCATCTCTACAAAAAATACAAAAATTAGCCAGGCATGGTGGCACGTGCCTGTAGTCCCAACTACTCAGGAGGCTGAGGTGCGAGGATCATTTGAGCCATAGGAGGTTGAGGCTGCAGTGAGCCATGATTGCACCACTGCACTCCAGCCTGGGCAACTGAGTGAGACCCTGTCTCAAAAAAAAAAACCAGAAGTAAAACCCTCCATTTATACAGTCATTAAAAATATTTTAGGTATTCAATCATAATAACTTAGTTGTCATACCTTACTTTTATTCAGCAGTTTATACTTAAACATTGTTTTTTAATTTTTATGGGTACATAGGTATATATATTTATGGGATACAGGAGATATTTTGATATAGGCATGCAATGCATAATAATGACATCAGGGTAAATGGAGTATTCATCACATCAAGCATTTATCCTTTGTGTTACAAATGATTCAATTATACTTTTAGTTATTTTTAAACGTACAATTAAATTATTACTATAGTCACCCTGTTGTGCTATCAGTACTAGTTCTTACTCTTTCTTTTCCTTTTTTTTTCTTTTTGTTCTCTCATTGGGTTGATTATTCATTCTTTCTAGCTATTTTTTTTTGTACCCATTAACCATCCCCCTTCCTCCCTACTCCCCACTACCCTTATTAATACTTTCTAAAGCGTTTTCTATCTCCTGGCAAAAGTTGGGTGCCCTACCTCAGACTATCCTGGTTGTCAATGGCGGATGGGTTCACTCAGCTCCTAGGCTGTTGTCAATTTCACTGCTTAACCTTCTCTGTATTTCAAAAATTCTACCATTATCTGGCAAATTCCTCCTCCTTCCTATCAAATCACAAAGGGGGATTTATTCTTCCTAGAACATACAAAAATACAAAAAAGTATTTTTTAAAGCAAAATTTAAAAAATCACCTATAACCTGACAACCAAAGAGCAAACACTGTTAACACAGGAATCATATTTTCTTTGTGTTTCTCTTAAGTATTTAAAAATATAGTTGCATCACATAATTTTTGTATCTGGCTTTTTCACTTAAGTGTAAATTCATAAGCAATTTACTAAGTAAGTGTCATTTTAATTTTAATGGAATTTAAAATTTCTTTCCTTCAACAAATATCAGAGGGTCATAACAGTACTTCTTTTTTTTTTTTGAGATGGAGTCTTGCTCTGTCGCCCAGGCTGGAGTGCAGTGGTGCGACCTCAGCTCACTGCAACCTCCACCTCCCGGGTTCAAGAGATTCTCCTGTCTCAACCTCTCGAGTAGCTGAGACTACAGGCACCCGCCACCATGCCCGCCTTATTTTTGTATTTTTAGTAGAGACGAGGTTTCACCATGCTGGCCAGGCTGGTCTCAAACTTCTGACCTCGTGATCTGCCTGCCTCGGCCTCCCAAAGTGCTGGGATTACAGGCGTGAGCCACCACGCTCAGCCAATAGTACTTCTTTAATAAGCCCCGTTAGTCTTACAATGTAACTCCCATGATGCTTAGTAGGTAATTTAAAATTCTTCACTCTTACACATAGTATTATTAAATATTTGCAACTAATACCCCAATTTTGCATTATTTCTTTAGAGTAGATCCCTAGATATGGAATTATTGACCCAAATACTATGAAAAAGTTGTTTTTTTGTACACACATTGCCTTAAAAGTAAAGTTTATCCCTATTTATAATCCACCAGCAGTGCATGAATGTGCTATATCATATCTTCTCCCTTATCATCATTCCTTTTCATTTAATTAATTAATTAATTATTATTGTTTTCCCTTCTTTTCACAGGTGTTTATATGATTATTGTTATTATTTTGAGGCAGTGTCTCACTCTGGCACACAGGCTGGAATGCAGTGGCACTATCATGGCTCACTGCAGCCTTGAACTCCTGGGCTCAGGTGATCCTCCCACCTCAGCCTCCTGAGTAGCTGGAACTATAAGTATGTACCACCATGCCCTGCCCCTTTTCATTTTATTTTTTATTTTTTGAGACAGAGTCTTGCTCTGTTGCCCAGGCTGGAGTGCTGTGGTGCAATCTCGGCTCACTGCAAACTCCACCTTCCAGGTTCAAGCGATTCTCCTGCCTTAGCCTCCCAAGTAGCTGGGGTTACAGGTGCCCACCACCATGCCTGGCTAATTTTTTTTTTTTTTTTTTGTATTTTTAGTAGAGATGGCGTTTCAATATGTTTACCAGGCTGGTCTCGATCTCCTGATCTCAAGTAATCCACCTCCCTCTGCCTCCCAAAGAGCTGGGATTACAGGCACCTGCCACCACGTCTGGCCGACTTTTCATTTTATTATATTTAATGTAATAGATGGAATTGGTCTTCTTATTATTGTTTGAATGTTCATACTTTGATTAATAGAAAAGTTGGAGATAGTTTTAGATGCTTATGGGTCATTTGAATTTTTCTTTTTTAGTATTATATATAGTTTTTGTGTAGATCCTTAGTCTAGAACACTCTAAGAGACCTCAAAACACATTTCTACCATTTCATTTAATTACAGTGATTCAGTGAAATTTTTATGCTGAGCTTTGAGAAAACAGCAGCCTTCATTTGGAAGTGTTAGTCATACAGCAGGTTCTCACATCAAGTTTCCATGTTGATTACTGGGCTGTGGTCAATCTCAGCTACTCAGTTCATTTGTCAGTTGGTCCTGTAGGAAAAGTTGGAAGCCGGCAGTGTGGTCATACCCACCTACAAAATCCATAATGATGACTAGCATTTACATATATAGTACCAGACACTGTTCTATATGCGTTACACATATTAACCCATTTATCTCGGAGGTTGCAAATTTTTTTGTGTGAAAAATCAGACCTTGGCAATGACCTTGAGCAGTGGGATATAAATAACCCCCACAAGCTCACCGTTCCAATAATGGAACACTAAGCATAAATGGGTTAACTAATTTAATCCTCACAACTCTAAAGTTAGGATCTATTATCTTCATTTTGTACCTGAGGCCCAGAAAAGTTAAGTAGCTTACACGAGGTCACACAGCTAGCCAGTGGCAGAGCCAGAATTTACACCCAGACTGTGAAATCTGGGTCCAGAGGTTGTGACCACTCAGTGATCTTGTTAGCATGAAAAGTTTGAAACAATGAATTTCAACAAGAACCAGAAAAAAAAAAAGAATTAATGAGCAAAATAAAGGGAAAGGATACTCAAACCTAATTGATAAGTTTTGCATAGAAAAAATAATAATAAAAGATGTGTGATCCCTATAAGTACCTGACAAAAATTTAAACCCTGGAACAAACTGAAAAACCATAAGTATCACAATCAAAAAGGATGTAGGGAGTAAGATCTACTTTGAAGGTGATGACGGAAGTGAAGACTCAAACAGAAACAGCTCAGAATTTTCTAACTTATTTTATAAATCTAACCAGCAATGACTTTAAGATGTGCTTGGGTGCCACAAGGAGGAGAATTGAAATAGTGTCATCTAGGAGTGAGTAAAAGAGAGAAAACATCAGAATAGCAAGTCCCAAACATAGATGGATTTCATAAACCATTGACAACACCACGGGAGCTGATAGATGGATAAGAAATAGAGCATCGCATTCTAGCCTGCAGACAACAGCATACCAAACATACAGAATGTAAAGGCACGATGGAAATCAGACGTGATTAAAGTTTTTTTATTTTTATATTTTAGAGACATGGGAGCTCACTCTGTCGCCGAGGCTGGAATGCAGCAGCACAATTATAGTTCACTGCAGCCTCAAACTCCTGTGTTCAAGTGGTTCTCCCACCTCAGCCTCCAGGAAGTAACTGGAACTACAGAGGCACGCCCCCATAACCAGCTAATTTTTTAATTTTTTTGTAGAGACAAAGTCTTATTATGTTGCCCAGGGGTGTCTCGAATGCCTGGACTCAAGGGATCTTCCCACTTCAGCCTCCCCAAGTGCCGAGATCACAGACATGAGCCACCATATCCAGCCTATGATAAAATTTTGAAAGAAGATTCTCCTCAGGTGAAAAAAGATGACTGGGCGAGTCTATAACGAGCCTCTCTGGAGCTGTCCTACATGCAAGGCAGCTGCTTATATTTGTAAACTATAAAAACCTATTTCAGACAACCAAAAAGAAAACAAAGCTTTCATTTAAAGAAAAGAGTGAAAGGGATTTAAACCCCAGTTAAACCACTAGGGAAGGAAAGGCAAATATAATACTGAAAAAGTCCATTTCTCCCTCAAAAAGGAGTTTAAACTTTATTTCGGCTACAATAAGAAAAAACACCTAATGAAAGGTTTTTAAAAAAAGTTTTGCCAGGCGCGGTGGCTCACGCCTGTTATCCCAGCACTTTTGGAGGCCAAGGCGGGTGGATCACGAGGTCAGGAGATCGAGACCATCCTGGCTAACACGGAGAAACCCCGTCTCTACTAAAAATACAAAAAATTAGCCAGGCGTAGTGGCGGGCCCCTGCAGTCCCAGCTACTCGGGAAGCTGAGGCAGGAGAATGGCGTGAACCCGGGAGGCGGAGCTTGCAGTGAGCCGAGATCGCGCCACTGTACTCCAGCCTGGGCGACAGAGCGAGACTCTGTCTCAAAAAAAAAAAAAAAAAAGTCTTAAAGTTGCCTCAAAAAATGTACTGATCAGGCACGGTGGCTCACACCTGTAATTCCTGCACTTTAGGAGACAGAAGTGGGAGAATCTCTTGAGACTAAGAGTTTGATGTTGTTTGTTTGTTTGTTTGTTTGTTTGTTTTTTAGAAACAGACTCTCCCTCTGTCATCCTGGCTGGAGTGCAGTGGTGTGATCATAGCTCACTGTAACTTTGAACTCCTGGGCTTGAATGATCCTGTTGCCTCAGCCTCCCAAGTAGTTGGTTCTACAGGTGCATGCCACCACACCTGGCTGAGGCCAGGAGTTTGAGACCAGCCTGGGCAACATAGTGAGACCCCATCTCTACAAAAATGTTTTTAAACATTTATTTCAATGTATTAATATGAAGTGATATAGTTAGTCCTTTTAAAAAGAAAATTGCTTAAATAGACCATAAAAATAAAAAGTATGTTTTTGTTTATCAATATCTTATGCATGACACTCACCTTAAAGATTTGTCTCTAGGTATTTTATTTTGATTACTATATAATATTAGTAACCAAACACAGTGCAACCTTCAATATTGTGACAACATGTAGCAAATTTCTCAGTCTCTGCACTGTTGACATTCAAGACCAGATAATTCTTGGCTGTGGGGGCTGTCGTGTGTCTGATAGGATGTTTAGGAGCGTCCCTGGCTTGTACCCACAAGATGCCAGTTGCATTCTCCCCTAGTGATGATACCAGAAATGTCTGCAAACATTGTCAAATGACCCCCTAGGGTGGGAGGGGTGGGAGGTGGGCGCTGGGAATCACTCCCTTGTTGGGAACCAGGGTACTAAATTCCACTTTGGTAGGAAGCAGACTAAACTACTTAGAAAATTTATAAATGCGCAAAGCTAAAATATTCAAATAGGATTTAAAAAGGAATGTTTCCATGGTAGCTCATCCCATCCCATGTCCCAGAGAAGTCTTGATTTAACCGTTTATTTTTAATTTTCACTTAATTTTTATCAAAATTAAACTGCACATGTAAAAAAAATCAAATAATGGTAAAAGACTTATACCGAGAAAAACAGTCACCGTTTTCCTCAGAGGCAACCACTTCCAAACTTTTAGCTGTTTCTTTTGGTATTTTCTTCCGTATTTCTGCATAGTTATCATGCTGTCTCTTGATTCATCAAAGTGAGGCATCATCTATTGACTTATTATGGCAGTTAATAATTTAATGTTCTTATGCCCTGCCTCCATCCTCCCAATACATTTACCTTCTTTGCTGTTAAATCAATAGTCAATGGCTAATTTTGATTATGAGGATATTGTACTATGTAGTAGTACAATTGTAATATAGTATGATTATGCTTTCTTTCTTGTATAACTGTTTTATTTTCCAGAACAAACCCCCAAACCCTTGTTTGTTTGTTTGTTTGTTTGTATGTTTGTTTGAATAGACTTTATTTTTAGGGACATTTTAAGTTCACAGAGAAATTAAGAGGAAGGTATAGGCCGGGCACAGTGGCTCTCGCCTGTAATCCTAACACTTTGGGAGGCCAAGGTGGATGGATCTCCTAAGGTCAAGGGTTTGAGACCAGCCTGGTCAACATGGTGAAACCCTGTCTCTACTAAAAATACAAAAATTAGCCAGACATGGTGGTGCATGCCTGTAACCCCAGTTACTCAGGAAGCTGAGGCAGAAGAATCACTTGAACCCAGGAGGTGAAGGTTGCAGTGAGCCAAGATCGCGCTCCAGCCTGGGCGACAGAGTAAGAGTCCGTCCCAAAAAAAAAAAAAAGAAGAAGAAGAAGAAGAACAAGGTATAGGGATTTCCCATATACCCCCTGCTCCCATACATGCACAGCCTCACCCATTATTAACATCGCCCTCCAGAGTGGTACATTTGTTACAGTTGTCTGTAGTTAACATTAAGGTTCACTCCTGGTGTTGTACATTCTATGGGTTTGAACAAATGTATAATGACCTGTATCCACCATTATAGAATCATACAGAGTAGTTTCAGTGCCCTAAAAATCTTCTTTGCTCTGCCTATTCATCCTTCCTTCCCCTCATCCCTTGGTTTTTTAATTTCTAGTTGGTTTATTTTATTTACTTTCTTATGTCCTTTTATTTAAAGCCTAAATCTTCCCAACCTACAATGGTCTTGCCACTTGGTGAAATTTATCAGACAACAATATCTGTTCTGTTTCCCTCCTCTGTCCTGCTCCCTGCCCCCACCCCAATCCCCCAATCATCTGAGCTCTTTGTTTTCTAGAGTTGCTAATTAGCTGAAGTCCTGGGACCTGCCTTCTTCATTATACCAATGATTCCCTCCTCTCTCTTGATCCTCTGAGTCACAGATCCTATTTTTTCCTCTTTCTTTATTTACTTTTTCAATTTAATAGAGCACTTAGTAGCTTCCTTAAAAGGTATATCAGAAGTAATATGTTTGAGATTTCTGTGTCTGAAAAATGTCTTTATTCAACTCTAATGCTTAACTGAGAGTTTGTTTGGGCATAGAATCCTAGTTTGAAAACCACATTCATTCGGGCCAGTGGTTCACATCTGTAATCCCAGCACTTTGGGAATCTGAGGTGGGCAGATCACTTCAGGCCAGGAGTTCGAGATCAGCCTGGGTGACATGGTGAAACCCCATCTCTACAAAAAAATGCAAAAATTAGCGGAGCCTGGTGGAGCATGCCTGTAATCCCAGCTACTTAGGAGGCTGAGGTGGGAGGTTTGCTGAAGCCTGGAAGGCGGAGGTTGCAGTAAGCTGTGATCATGCCACTGGCCACTGCACCCCAGCCTAGGTGACAGAGTGAGACCCTGTCTCCAAAAAAGAAGAAAAGAAAAAAAAAAGGCATGTTGTCCAGGCTCGTCTCAAACTCCTGGGCTCAAGTTATCCTCCCATCTCAGCCTCCTGAGTAGCTGGGACCACAGGTACAGGTATCCACAGCCATGCCTGGCTGAAAACCATATTCTTTTTTGTGTGTGTCAGATATTTGAAGACATTCCCTACTCCACCCCTTTTCCATTACTTTTGATTTTAGTATAGCATACATTCAGAAAAGTTCACTTACCATATGTGTATAGATTAATTTTAATAAACCCAATACATTTGTGTATCCAGGACCCAGATCAAATAAAAGAACACTACCAATATCCCCAAAGAACACTCTCATGCAAGTGCTATTCTGAATTCTAACACCATAGATTAGCTTTGTTATTCCTCCTTTTGTTTTTATATAAATAGACCCATACAGGATTTAATTTTTTATGTCTGGTTTCTTTTGCTCAACAGTGTATTTGTGAGATTCATCTGTATTTTTGCATGTAATTTTAGATCATTCACTCTCATTCTCATTTATGTGTAGTTTTACACTATGTGAATATACCACAATTTATGTATCCTTTCTATTCTTGATAGGCACTTGGGTATTTTCCATTTGGGGGCTATTATAATAGTGCTGCTATGATCATTATAATATGTAGCTTATGGTAAACATATGATGCATTTCTGTTAGGTATGTATTTAGGAGCAGAATTGCTGGATTATGGAGTATGCATATATTTCTCTTTAACAGACACCAAAAGACAGCTTTCTAAATTATTCTAACAGTTCATTCTCCCATCAGCAGTGCATGAAAGTTCTTGTTGCCCTACATCCTTGTCAACACTTGATATTTCCCAACTTGTAAAATTGTAATCATTCTGTGGATGTGCAGTGTTATCACATTGTTGTTTAAAATTACATTTATCTAATGACTAAAAGCTGAGCATCTTTTAATATATTTTGTTGGCCATTTAGACATCTTTTTTTTGCTAAGTGTCTGATCAAGTTTTTGCCCACTTTCTATTAGCCTATCTGTTCCTAATTTGTGGGAGTTTTTAAATTTTTTCTGAATGCAGGTCCTTTGTCAGATACATACATTTTAAGTATCTTTTCTCACCTTATGAGTTGCTTATTATTATCTTAATGATGTCTTTAGATAAAAAGAAATGCTTCATTTAATATAGCCCATTTAATTAACTTTTCTTTTATGGCAAGCATTTTTTGTGATGTGTGTTCTGTTGTAAAAATTGTTGGCCGGGCACAGTGGCTCATGCCTGTAATTCCAGCACTTTAGGAGGCCGAGGTGGGTGGATCACGAGGTCAGGAGATCAAGACCATCCTGGCCAACATAGTGAAACCCCATCTCTACTAAAAATACAAAAATTAGCCGGGCATGGTGGTGCATGCTTATAATCCCAGCAACTCGGGAGGCGGAGGCAGGAGAATCCCTTGAACCAGGGAGTTGGAGGTTGCAGTGAGCCGAGATTGCACCACAGCACTCTAGCCTGGCAACAGAGCGAGCCTCCATCTCAAAAAAAAAAAAAATATTTGTTGCCAGCTCCAAGGTCACAAAGATTTTCTTACATTTTCTTTCAAAAGGGTTAGTGTGGTCAGGCAAAATGGCTCACATCTATAATTCCAGCACTTTGGGAGGATGAGGCAGGGACATTGTTTGAAGCCAGGAGTTCAAGAACACCCTGGGCAACAAAGCAAGACCCCATCTCTACCAAAAACAAATTGAAAAAAATTATCCGGGAATGGTGGCATGTGCCTGCAGTCCCAGCTACTCAGGAGACTGAAGCAGGAGTTTTGCTTGGGCTCAGGAATGCTAGGCTGCAGTGATCTGTTCCAATCAATGTGGAATTGATTTTGTATATGGTGTGAGGTAGGGGTCAACATGCATATTGTTTTGTATATGACTATCCATGCAACCCAGAACCATGTATTGAAAATTCTTTCCCCTATTTCACTGCAGCATGAACTTTGTCATAAATCAGGTAATGGATTTATCTATATTTCTAGCAATATCACACTGCCTTAATTGATTTAGCTTTATAATAGGATGTGATATCTAGTAGTGTAAATCTTCCTACTTTGTTCTTCTTCAATATTGCCCTCAGTATTCTTGGCCTTTTGCCTTTCTATATGAATTTAGAATCAGCTTGTTAATTTACACACACACACAAACCTGCTAGGTTTTGATTGGGACTGTGTTGAATCTACAAACGAATTTGGCAGAATTGACATCTTTATAAAAGTAAATTTTCCAATCCACTAACATGTTACATCATTCTATTTATTTAAGTCTTCTTAAAATTTTCAGCAATATTTTACTACTTTCAGTGTAGAGGTCTTTTATTGCTCCATATATTTGTAGCTCCATATATTTGTAGCTTACAATGGTATTTTTAAGACATCTGGTGCCATTCCAGTTTCCTATCCTTTATATTATCTCTCTCTCTTTCTTTGAAAACTTTTAGGATTCTCTTGTAGCATCAGTGCTTTAAAAGTTCATAATACTTTAAGGTAATGTACTTAGTCACTGTCCTGCAATGATGGGTCTTGCAGTGATGGGTGCTTTAAACTTGAAAACTCATATCATTTGGTTCTGATAACATTTTTTTCTTTATTTTTCTCTCCTCCCTTTAAAACTATTTCTTCCCCTTCATTTCTTTGTGCTCCTGATGTCATCTGCATTCCTTGTTGTTTTGATGCTACTTTTCATATTGGAGGCTTTCCTCAAATACCTGATAACCCTTGGCTATCTTGGCTCTTCATATTAAGGAAGATAAAATATGACTCTAAAAATATGACTAGAAGTTCTCTATGTATATTGCTATTTACCTGTTGGTGGGCTTCGCTGGGTTAATCTGGTGAAATGCTTGTGTTTCAGGGAACTTAAAAATGTCAGTATCGGTAGGTTTATTTTCTGGGGTTATTAAATCTCCAGAAAAGAATCTTCCAGTCTTTTGGCTTAGTAGTATAAACGGGCTGCTGGCCATATGGGAGCTAGGTGGGGAAGGAGGATGGATGCAATCTCTCTGTCAATATTCAGACTTAAGCCTGCAGGTTGAGACCTGATTCCCATCTTTCACTTTGTATGTTGTTACTAAGTCCAGAATTCCTCCAGCTCAAATAATCCTCCACCAAATCTTCCTGCCTTCTGTGAGGGTGGGGAAGGAGTAGTGATGTAGTTACACAGAGTGGAAGTAGAATGTTGGGGATCTCTCTGCTCCTTATATACATTTTCAACCAAACCCTCCTGTTTTTCAACCTCATGCTAACTCCCAACGTCTGCAGTACCTGGTGCCTCTAATTCCTGGGCTTTTCCATGGTTCTTTGCAGTACATCATCTTGATTCTCATTAATATCCTTTCTCTGGAAATTAGGTTTTACCATTCTCCATGCTGCAAAATCATTTCTCACTTCTCTATCCACTTTCTGACATTTTATATTGTGACTTGGGTTTAGCAATGTATCCTACCATGTTTCACTAAATCTAAGATGTCCTTGATTAAAAGCTACACTGTTGTTTTATGTACCACTAAAAATGACAAAACGGTACCAATTTGACAGTGACAATTTTAAGATGTCTGACTTCAAAGAGGTTAAAATGCAAAGTACACATCTTAGAATTGATAGTAGTTTAGGCCGGGTACGGTGGCTCATGCCTGTAATCCCAGCACTCTGGGAGGCCGAGGCAGGCAGATCACCTCAGGTCGAGAGTTCAAGACCAGCCTGACCAACATAGAGAAACCCCGTCTCTACTAAAAATACAAAATTAGCCGGGCATGGTGGCCCATGCCTGTAATCCCAGCTACTCCAGAGGCTGAGTTAGGACAATCACTTGAACCCGGGCAGCGGAGGTTGTGGTGAGCCGAGATCGAGCCATTCCACTCCAGCAGCCTTGGCAACAACAGCAAAAAAAAAAAAAAAAAAAAAAAGAATTGATAGTAGTTTAATTGAAGAAAGAAGCTCAACATATATATTTTTTTAAGGGATTGGGCCTCTTGTTGGCCAGGCTGGAGCATAGTGGCATGGTCTTGGCTCACTGAGGCCTCAATTTCCTGGGCTCAAGCAATTATCCTGCCTCAGCCTCCTGAGTAGCTAGGACTACAGGTATACACCACCATGCCCAGCTAATTTTTAAAAGTTCTTGTAGAGACAGCTCTTGCTATGTTGTTCAAGCTGGTTTCAAACTCTTGCCCCCACAAAGTGATCCTACTGTCTTGGCTTCCCAAAGTGCTGGGAGTACAGGCATAAGCCACTGCACCTGGACCAGATCTTTTTTCTTTTTCTTTTTCTTTCTTTCTTTTTTTACAAAGATGTGAAAGTAAATCAGTGGAGGAAGTATGGTCTTTTCAACAAATGATAGAGGAACAACAGGCAAAAATACGTACCTCGACCTAAACCTTGTACTTTGTAAAAATTAACTCAAATTCCGCTGGGCGTGGCGGCTCACACTTATAACCCCAACACTTTGGGAAACCAAGGCAGGCAGATCACCTGAGCTCAGGAATGCGAGACTAGCCTGGCCAACATGGTGAAACCCCATCTCTACTAAAAATACAAAAATTAGCCAGGCGTGGTGGTGGGCACCTTTAATCCCAGCTACTCAGGAGGCAGAGACGGGAAAATTGCTTGGGAGGCAGAGGTTGCAGTGAGCAGAGATCGTGCCACTGCACTCCAGCCTGGGTGACAGAAGTGAGACTCCATCTCAAAAAAAAAGAAAAAAAAAAGCTCTAATTGGATTATGACTCTAAATGTAAAATGTGAAACTATAAATCTTTTAGAAGACAGCATAGGATAAAATTGTGTCCTGGGCTTCGGTGAACAATTCCTAGTCACAAAAATCATGATCCATAAAGAAAAAAATGGATGTTGTTTTTTATCAAAATTTAAAACTTCTTTTTAATAAAACATTAAAAGGATGAAAAAAAGTCAAATTATTTTCTTGACTAGGAGAAAATATTTTATGAAGCATATACCTAGAATATATAAAGGCTTCTCTAAACCTATCAGTTAGAAAGCAAATAATCCAATTAGAAAATGGCAATGGTGGCTCATGCCTGTAATCCCACTACTTTAGGAGGCCGAGGCAGGAGGATTGCTTGAGGCTAGGAGTTCAAAAAATTTTTTAAATTAGCTGGGTGTGGTGGCATGTGCCTGCAGTCCCAGCTAGTCAGGAGGCTGAGGTAGGAGGATTGCTTGAGCCTGGGAGATTGAGGCTCCAGTGAGCCATGTTTATGCCAGGGCACTTCGGCCTGGGCAACAGAATGAGACCCAATCTCAAAATAAATAAAAAATTTTTTGGACTTTTTTTTTTAACCAATAAAATATAGAGTAGTAGGATCTTTATTTGGGATATGTTAATTTTTATAAACATTCAAAAGGTACAAATGAGTAAACAGTGCAAATTGCATCTCCAGTTCTCTCTCTGTAGGCAATCACTGTTGCCAGTTTGTTGTACATCTTGGGTCTCATTCCACGGTTTTCTATGGGCTGCAATGCTTGTTACTAATACTGTTACTGTACTATAGGGGACTTTTTGTAAAGTCATTCATCATAGACAGAATGATAACCAGGGCCACGAGGAGGCACCTCCTTTTTGGTACCCTGTGATGGGTTTGATATGATCAGATTAATGATCTCCTTTTCTTTTCCTTTTTTTTTTGAAATGGAGTTTCGCTCTTATTGCCCAGGCTGGAGTGCAATGGCACAATCTTGGCTCACTGCAACCTCTGCCTCCCTGGTTCAAGCGATCCTCCTGCCTCAGCCTCCTGAGTAGCTGGGATTACAGGTGCCCACCACCAAGCCTGGCTAATTTTTTGTATTTTTAGTAGAGATGGGCTTTCACCGTGTTGGCCAGGTTGGTCTTGAACTCCTGACCTCAGGCGATCCACCTGCCTTGGCCTCCCAAAGTGCTGGGATTACTGGCGTGAGCCACCGTGCCTGTCTCTTTCTTTTTTAAAAAATTGAGACAGGGTCTTGCTCTGTCACCCAGGCTAGAGTTCACTGGTGCAATCATAGCTCACTGAGGCCTGAAACTCCTGGGCTCAAGTGATTCTTCCACCTCAGCCTCCCAAGTAGCTGCGACTACAGGCGTGTGCCATCATGACCAGCTAATTTTTTTTATTTTTAGTAGAGATGAGGTCTCTTTTTGTTACCCATGCCAGTCCAGAACTCCTGGCCTCAACAGATCTTCAGCCTCACAAACTGCTGGAATTACAGGTGTGATATGATTTGGCTCTGTGTTCCCCAGCAAATCTAATCTTGAATTGTAATCCCCACATGTCAAGGGAGGGACTTTGTAGAAGGTGATTGGATCATGGGGGCGGTTTCCCCCATACTGTTCTTGTGATAGTGGGGGAGTTCTCACAAGATCTGATGGTTTTAAAAGTGGCAGTTTCCCCTGCACTCTCTCTGTCTCTCCTACCACCTTGTGAAGATGTGCCTGCTTCCCCTTTGCCTCCCACCATGATTGTAAGTTTCCTGGGGCCTCCCCAGCCATGTGGAACTCTGAGTCAATTAAACCTCTTTTGTTTATAAATTACCCAGTCTCAGGTAGTATCTATAGCAGTGTGAAATGGACTAATACAAGGTGTGGACCACCACGGCTAGCCTAGACTTCCTTTTCAATATTAATGTACATAAAAAGGAAGGTACATTTGATTATTTAGTATGGATTCAGCTGAAACAATATTCTGTGGTACTGGAGACACATAGACACACACACACAGGCACGCTCACCCAGAGTAAAGAACTGAATATTTGTGTCCCACCAAAATTTATATGTTGAAATCTTAACTACCAATGTGATGGCAAGTAGGAGGTAGGGCCTTTGGGAGGTAGATTATGAAAGTAGAGTCCTCATGATGGGATTAGTGCCTCTTATAAAAGGGACCCCAGAGCACTAGCTAGCTCTCTGTCCATCAAGTGAGCATATGAGAGGTTGGCAATCTGCAGTCCAGAAGACAGCCCTCACCAGACTCAAACCTGCTGGCACCCTGATCTCAGACTTCCAGGACTGTAAGAAATAAATTTCTGTTTATAAGCTACCCAATCTATGGTACTTTGTTATAGCAGCCAGAACTGACTAAGACACACACACATACACACACACACACACACACACACGTGTACACACACATCTTATGCATGAGTCTCAGAGTTTACTAGCTAATTACTGCTCTGAGATTAAACTTTCAGAAGAGTGTCTTACCAAATATGCTTTTTTATGATTACACTTAAAAATAAAATTGTAATATATGAGTGTTATGAAGTATTCAAGCAACACAAATAAAGTAGTAGATGGAGTAGGCTGTCCGTTGTTTCTTTAAAGGGAGGCTCTTACCTCACTTCTGCTGATGCTTTGCAAGATGATGTTTTGATTTTTGGTAACTGTCATCAAATCAGTTGGAGAAGAGTTTGTATCATGACAAATGTCAAGCAATGACTCAGCATGTCTTTCTATCAAAAGAAACATAATAGTATGTTTTGATAAGATTCATCTCCAGCAATTTCAAAAGAAGATCTAGCTCTATGTTCTAAAATCAGCTCCATTTTGTCAAAGATTTTCCTGAAATAGTGGTCTGGGATCCTGATGAAGCTTCAAGCACTAATTTTCACAAGAAGAGATGTGAAGACAAGAGTCCACGGAGTGGATGGCTTACTATTTTTTTTTAAGGCTTTGATGGTAACTGCTATTACATAAGGACAAAAAAATCAAACAGGTAGTTTGAGATTTTGAGCAAGTGAAATATTTTTTAGAGAGTTAGGATGAATCGATCATCCTATCTGATCTGAGCACCCACCAAATTTTAAGCTGTATGAGAAATTAAAACTTAACAAGAGTCAGATTTTAGTTCAGCTTAAATCTAGTCACTTCATACTTAATGTCTACGTCGTCATTGCAAAACCCTCTGTAGGGTGCTGGGACATGAGTAAGAACTTTTTAACCATTAAAGCCATCAGCAGTTCAAGGTTAGGGAATCCTCTTCTCCAGAGCTGCGCAGAGGAAGGACATCTGTCTTCCATGTTTCCTGAGGATGACCCATCATTACAGACTTCTACTGGTGGAAGATTAGGAGATGCTTCTTGGCCTCTTCCAACTAAACCCTGAAAAACTACCATGTATTTTTCAGGGTACTGAAGACTTATTGCTGGCTCAATCGATACTGTATTTTCTTTCTCTGAATCTGTGCACTGCCCTGAAGCCCCTGAAGTTATTTCTTGGGAATTGAGGATAATTTCTGCACAATTTGGCTAACAACTGAAATCAAAGCAACACAGGGCCTTACAGACCATCCTATAATTTAAAAAATTTAGATCGCTCAAACTTTCTTCTTTAGTTTGTAGAAGGGAGTGATCATGAAGTTAAATTAATAGCGATCAACAGTTATCACTTCAAATGTTTGGGATTAATGGTTTGTGGTAGGCAAAGTTGCTAAGTGAAACCCTAATGATAAGCTGGAAATCACATTTGCTCTATAGTTGCCCAGGACAAAGACACTCAGCTCCTCTGAACACACTTCCTATCTAGTGATTAAAGCCACATTAAATGGACAGAGTTCCTAACACCAAACAGCAGACTCCCAGTTTGTACCCTAGGGACATTGCTCTCATATGTATCCCCTCCTGCTATCCTGGCTTCTTCTAATAAGCATTGGCTTCTTTCAACAAAAACTCCCCCTCTTTCAGTGGCTCCTCCATTTATCTTGTAGTGGAAACAAAATTGAACAAGTGATCTATACCCAGACTTTCCATTTCTTCATCATATTTTCCTTCTTTACTCTCTGCAATCTATCTTCTGCCTACATCCTGCCATTGAAACGTCTCACATCCTTACCACATCTGCTTTGTAATCTCTTTTCCAATTTAACATTGTTTCCTGCTCCTTTCTTCCCGCAACTCTCTTCTGATTCTCCTCCTCCTCTCACTTCCTGAGTCCTGATGTCCCCACCGCTCCTCTCTATCTGCGGGTGCACCTCCTCGGCTCAGCCCTCTGCAATTTTCTCACTCTCATCAGTCCCTCAATGACCTCACCCACCATCATGTCCTCACAATCTCCTCTCTGTAGAGAACTCCCAAACTAACCTTTCAACCGGTCCTTTCCCACAAGCCCAGTCCTACAGAAACTTGCTACTTGAAAGTTCCAATGTGCTCCCATTTTGTTGGTTGTATTTCCATCTCCTGCACTTTCCAGGCCTTAAAATTTAGTCATCTTTGACTCAAGTTTCTCAGCGGTTGTCTCTGTGTCTCCGCTGTCAACATCACATCTCGCAGTTCTGTGAATTGTTCTTTCACAATGTCTCCTAGACCCACCACTCCCAGCATCTCTTAGGCTCACTCTCACACCCCACCCAAGGACACATTCCCTAGTTCTTACCACCATACATATGGGCACTTCTATAATTTCTTAATAGAGATCCCTGCCTTTTCCCTCAGATGTAGCCAACACGATAGGAACAGGTTAATATTCCTAAAACATGGCCTTCATCATTCTCTGGCTTAAAATTCTTTAGTGTCTGTTTTATTGAAAAAAAAAAGTGATGTCCTTCAGCCTGACATCTAAGGCTCTCCCCTCCATGGGCCCAGTTTCTTTATGTATCTGACCTTCTGTTTCTCTTTTCCCTGACATGAACTTTCAGTTCTAGTTTCTTGTTTGCCCCTGGGATAAGCTATGCTCACTCCCAGCAAGGGGCCTCTGCTCCACAAAATCAAATTGCATCCTTTTTTCAAAGGTCAGATCAAGTCTCACCTCTTTCATGAAACCTTCTTAGGTATAGCTTTGTCCTCTGCCCCCGAAGCTTCAAACAGAAAGCGAATCAAACAATAAAGTCAGGCAGCTTTCACAAAGTCACACGCTGCTCAGTGGCACACTTTTCATTATACTTCTTGCTGTGGCTGTTTCTTTGTCTTTGTTTGGACTCTTTTCCTACCTATATCAAACCTTCCCACTGTTATCCAGCCTTCAAGAACCACTATAAGTCCCTCTTCCCCTTTCAAGTTTACAGCAAGCTCTCTCTGACTTATGTGATGTGCCCCTGACCATGCTGTATATTTTCAAAAGTTTAAACCTTGCGTTAGACTTCTTTGCATCCCCCAGAGCACCTAGTCGTGGGCCTTGTACAGAGTCACTGCTCCATAAATAGCCGTGGACTTGATTTCTTTAAATGGATCCATCAAACAGATGTAGAAAAAGAAAGAGATCTAACAGGAATTTTTGGGTTGGGAAATTATGCATGTGGAGTGAAAGTATTTACCTGGTTTTGGCATAGAACTCATTAAAATGTCCAAAAGCTGCTGTTTCTTTGAACTCTCTATTTGTGACACATAATGTATTGCTGATTTTCCACTAAAATCACAAAGTTTAGGATCTCTAGGAAGAACAGAATCAACATTAAAGTTTATTTAGTTGAATCTGTTGAAAAAAGAAAACTAATATGAGAGGGAAACATTTACATCAAATAAATAAAAAGTAATCTTATGTAGTTTGGGGATAATAATAATGATTTCAAAATGTGTGAATAGAGGATGACAATTTTACAAGATTTTAAATAAAAGGAATTTGCTGTGTATCTTTATTCCCATCCCCATTCTAAAAACATTCTGAGGTTTGCAGAGAATTCCCAACTTTGGACAAAAATTTTTATAATTCTTTAAGGGTACATAAAATCAAGTAAAGATAAAAACATCTTTTGTTGTTTTTTTTTATATTTTTAAATTTTTTTCAATGAGTCATAAGGATTAAAACATTTTGATAAATGATTGTCTTATCATTCCAAATAGCTCACTTGATTTTTTTCTTTTCAATAATTAAGCTAACTGCTGACTTTTTTGATATTTCTTTTTTCTAATGCTAACAGCTAGCTCTTTTATGATTCAAAATGGTGGAATGGCATAGAATCTTCTCTTTAAAATTAAGCTGATACTTTTATTTCATGGTCTCTTGGATGAGTGGAGCAATCTTGTCATAAAAACCAAAGTGTGCCTCTCCACATGGCCTTTTCTTTTCTTTTTTTTTTTTTTTTTTTTTTTTTTGAGGCGGAGTCTTGCTCTGTCACCCAGGCTGGAGTGCAGTGGCGCGATCTCGGCTCACTGCAAGCTCTGCCTCCCGGGTTCACGCCATTCTCCTGCCTCAGCCTCCAGAGTAGCTGGGACTACAGGGGCCCGCCACCATGCCCGGCTAATTTTTTTGTATTTTTAGTAGAGACGGGGTTTCACCGTGTTAGCCAGGATGGTCTCGAACTCCTGACCTCGTGATCTGCCTGCCTCGGCCTCCCAAAGTGCTGGGATTACAGGCGTGAGCCACCGCGCCCAGCCCCCACATGGCCTTTTCATTCCTCTTTACCTGGCTTTGTGGTTGGTAAGCCCAACTGGCTGATCTTAGGACCATTTACAACAGAACAAGTCTCTTCTTATCCTCTCTATTATGACAGCACAAGTCTCTTCTTATCCTATGTTGTACTGAACCCTTGCATTAGATATCAGCTCAGAGAAATCCAAAGTTAAATGATGAGAATCCCATTAATAGATTACAGTGAGGGAAACAATGATGAAACTTGCTTTACTTATCCTATTCTAGGACAAGGAGCAAGTTGATCATGGTCTCTGTCCTAAAACATTTGAATTTGAATCTCTTCGTTGCTATGGGACAGGGTAATGTGTCATGAGCCACAGTAATATTCTCTTATGGACTTTTCTTCATCAAAGATTGTAATTCAAAAGAAATAGCATAGGACTGAGAATTGGGGTTGCCACTACCTTGATATATGGCTTTAAGCAAGCCACTTATCATATTTGCAGAGAATTCCCAACTTTGGACAAAAATTTTTATAATTATTTAAGGGTGCATAAAAACAAGTAAAGATAAACTCATTGGGGCCTCTCCTCATCTGCCTAGATTAGGGTGTCTCCAAGTGGCATACCTTGATTTCCAGTATTCTGGACCCCAATCCAGACCTACTGAACATCTCTGGGATGACGTCCAGGAATCTCCACTTTTATCAATTGGCCAAACTATTTCTCAACACTAGGCTGAAGTAGCTTCAAAATTCCCTTTTCATTCCATTATACTAACTGATCCTTTTACAATATCTTGTATTCTTGACTATAATTTTGTTCTTGAAGCTCCCTCCTCCTTTTTTTTTCAAAACAAAATTCATATGAAGTACTGAGAAAGAGCTCAGGCCATCTGTTCTTATTTGATGACAAGATAACTAAGTAACAGCTTTAGGAAACTGCAATTGTAACATAAGAGATTGCTTATTAACCCTCTTATTTAAAAAAAAAGTGCATTGTTTATCTCCTCCCTCCTAAAAGAGCATTTGACATATAGTAATTTTAAGATAACTTGAAAACACTATTATAAATTGCTTTTCAGACATTGACAGTGTTTTCTGAAATAATTAGTAATATCTTGGGGGTAGAGAGCTGGATACTCAAGAATTATTTGACATTCCCAGTAACTACCAGAACAGTAATCATTTCAAGAAATGAAACAAAGAGCCAGATATCATAAGAATAATAGGTAGCAAATTTTAGAAACTGCACATCACTTTGCAATTGTGAAGTCACTTTTATGATGATGCATGTGCATTTGGCATATATAGTAGAAAACAGCCTGTAATCTCCACAGCTTGGGAGGCCAAGATGGGAGAGCAGCTTGAGGGCAGGGGTTTGAGACCAGCATGGGCAATATAGTGGGACTCCATCTCCACAAAAAATTAAAAATTAGCCGGGCATAGTGGTATGTGCCTGTAGTTCCAGCTACTCGAGAGGCTGAGGCAGGAGGATCCATGGAGCCCAGGAGTTTGAGGTCACAGTGAGCTATGATTGCATCACTGCACTCCAGCCTAGGCAACAGAGCAAGATCCTGTATAAAAAAGAGGAAAGGAAGAAAGAAAGAGAGAGAGAGAGAAAGGAAGGAAGGAAGGAAGGAGAGGGAAAAGAAAGAGACAGAGAAATAAAGAAAGAAAGAAAGAAAGAGAGAAAGAAAGAAAGAGAGAGAGAAAGAAAGAAAAAAGAAAGAAAGAAAAGAAAGAAAGAAAAGGAT
Source organism: Homo sapiens (assembly GCF_000001405.40). NCBI lineage: Eukaryota > Metazoa > Chordata > Mammalia > Primates > Hominidae > Homo > Homo sapiens. The sequence continues at coordinate 135,027,418 of NC_000002.12, forward strand.
GGGAGGGAGGGAGGGAAAGGGTAAAAAAGAAGCTTTGTGTCTCGGTTTACATGTGATTTCTGTAAATAACAATTGAATTGACACCCTTCAGCTGGGCTGACTAACTGCTCATATTCACGCATGATGCCTTAGGAGCTGGGACAGAACTTCCACAGGTTTGTACACTGTTAACATGTCAAGACTCTCAAACAGGTCCACATCTCTCACAGCCAGCATCAGAGGGGTCAAGCCATGTTGGTTTGGGAAATTTATATCCAGGAACTCTTCAGATGCCTTTAAAAACATGCAGCTTTATTTCTGTTGTGTTTTTACTGCATAGCTCTTTATGCTAATCTTTGCATTTTCATTGCTTGGCCAACGTTTCATTATAACTTCAATATGTTCTTTCTCAGTGTCTGTCCTGAAAGGGAACTGATGAGGTGAAAGAACACAAGCCAGAAAGACAGATCTGGGTTTCAATCTCAGCTGCTTAAGGTGGTTATTTAACTTCCCTGACAGGTTGTATCAGGGACACCCTGTTAAAAGGTGATCAAATCACCCTGATAAATTGAGGGTATCCAGTTGAATCATGTATAATTTTCATTTGGGATGTATTTATACAAAAAACTATTTGTTGTTTATCTGAAATTTAAATTTAACTGGGTGTCCTGTATTTTTATTTGCAAAATCTGGCAACCCTATTTGCTAAACTTCAGAGCCCTCAGTTGTAAGGTGGAATAGTAGCGTCTTCCTTGTAGGGTTATGTTGCTGATTGGTGCTAGAATGTAAAAAGTACTTAGCAGAGTGTCTAACACACAGTAGGTGCTCAGTAAACATTCACTGAATGAATAAATAATTTATAATAATACAGCAGCTCAGCCGGGCATGGTGGCTCACACCTGTAATCCCAGCACTTTAGAAGGCTGAGGCATGTGGATTGCTTGAGCCCAGGAGTTTGAGACCAGCCTGGGCAACATGGCAAAACCCCATCTCTACTAAAAATACAAAAAATTAGCCAGGCATGGTGGCATGCACCTGTAGTCCTGGTGACTCAGGAGGCTGAGGTGGGAGGATCACCTGAGCCTGGGAAAGTCGAGGCTGCAGTGAGCTGTGATCACGCCACTGCACTCCAGCCTTGGCAACATAGTGAGACTCTGTCTCAAAAAAAAAAAAAAAAATTTAAAAAAAACAACTAACTTACCTGTATTTACATAGTCAAATGGAGGGAGGCATATGAATGTAATTTGATGCCTTAATGAAAGTAAAACTTAATTTGGATAATTCAAAACTGAAAAGCTACCGCAGGCCAAAACACCTAAATTGTTCATTTTATAGACCAAAGAAATGCACTAATTTCCATCTCTATTTCACTTTATGCCATGTAAGTATACTCAGTGTCTCTACCTCAGCTTCTCTAGGGACAAACTAGAAATAATGGTATTACTTCAGCAGGGTACTGTGGGAATTAATTAGTTAATTTTTTTTTTTAGTCGCTAAGAAGAAACCACCTCTGATATCAATGTTTATTATTAGTTAGAACCAATATGAAAATTTTGAACTGAGAATAGTCTTGCAATAGCATATCAATTCAGCATCTGTTGATCAAGGTATAGATCCAGTTACAGGTACCAGTTTCTTAAAACTTGGTTCCTAATGTTTAGGGGTTAAAAATGTGGCTATAAAAACAGACATTGGGCCGGGCGCAGTGGCTCACGCCTGTAATCCCAGCACTTTGGGAGGCCGAGGCGGGCAGATCACAAGGTCAGGAGATCGAGACCAACCTGGCTAACATGGTGAAACCCCGTCTCTACTGAAAATACAAAAATAAAATTAGACGGGCATGGTGGCGGGCGCCTGTAGTCCCAGCTACTCCAGAGGCTGAGGTGGGAGAATGGCGTGAACCCGGGAGGTGGAGATTGCAGTGAGCCGAGATCGCGCCACTGCACTCCAGCCTGGGCGACAGAGCAAGACTGTCAAAAAAACAAATAAACAAACAAACAAAAAAACATTAGATTACAATTACAACTGCTGGAAACACCATTAAGTAAAATACATTGTCTTTCAAAAAAATTTCTAAGCCTCAGTTCGTGATGTCTGGCAATTTTAGACTATCATTTAGTCCAACAAAAGAATTTGAAGTATTGTTTGGTTTTGTTATATCTCTTCTTGAACTGTACCTGAGTGGAATATCTTTCACTTTTTTCTTTATCTGTTTGTGTCTTTACCATAAGGGATTAGAAGAAACTGTTTCCTAGCAGCAATTGATTTTCTTTCAGTTGGAAGGTCACATGGTCTGACAGTCTCTTTGAAGGTAAATGCCAAGAGTAGGCAATTGCCAGTCACCAATAATTAATGTCCTTGGTTATGCATATGATTTTGCAAGTTGCTTTGGGAAAAAGTATCTGTAAGTAGAAAATCTAAACACAAGGATCAATACCCTGAGAAGACAGCCCTTTAAAAATGTATCCTCTGAACTCTTTCATGACAACTAAATATTAGGCAAGGCATAGGCTCTCAGATTCCTTTTTCAGGATAAAGATAATAACAGCAACTGGTCCAAAGGGATCAAAGCAGCAATTGTACAAATGGCAATGATGCCAAGGGAACTCCTCTGAGCAAGTTGATAGTGGTCCTCTGGAGGCTTCCTGGGAGCAAATCATTTCCCAGGGGTGTTGTGTGACTTCTAGCACCCAGCTTGAGGAAGGTGGAAATCGACTGCTCCTGTGTTCTTTTATTATCTTGTTTTCCACCCCAGTGTCCTGTTTGATCCCCTTTCTTTTTTATATGTTTTGTCTGAAACTTCCTAGGATTATATTTGAAAAGAATTTATTTTTCTTTAAAAGGAGTCATATGTAGTCTGTGCCCTTTTCACCATCCACTCACCCACCCAAAGACAGAAACAAATATCAACTAACCAGTAAATGTTGAACTTGCTCAAGATCACCTTGCCATGAACTTTGTAGAAGTTGCATTTGGGGAGCCTGGATTCTATTGACTGCCAAGAGTTGTCTTTGGATATTGCAATTAGCTACATGAATTGCGGTTCGATTGCTGTAATTGCAAAGGGTGATATCTACTCACTTTTCCAGAAGAAATCCAACAACCTGCAAAATGACACAGTCTTAGTTAAATATTTTTAAGTACCAACAGTGTCTTCAGAGCTGGGTGGAAAACTGACTTAGGCATGGCTCTGATTCATCGGGATGTGGGTAACTGCTATTTGCCCTTTTTAATTTGGGGAACAAAAATCTCCATGACATGCATGATTTTTGGATAGTCTTTTTTGCAGGGACTAGAGATCTATGAGTATTGTATGTTAAATCCACACAAAACATTGAAGTTTTATAACTGTCTATAATCAAAAATACAAAACCAAAGGGAGCAGGCATGGTTTTGTGTGCCTGTAATCCCAGCTACTGGGAGGTTGAGGCGGGAGGATCACTTGAGCCCAGGAGTTCAAGGCCATCATGCACTATAATCCTACTGTGAATAGCCACTGCACTCTAACCTGGGCAACATAGCAAGATCCTGTCTCTAAAAAATACAAAAACAAAGATGATTCAGGCTTATATATCCTTGAATGTCACAAGTATTTCTGCAAGTGTTTCTAGAAAGAGAGTAAACTCTATTCAATATGGTGAGGGGACAGACTGCCCAGTTGCATGTTAAGAACTGTCCTTGGTGCTGAGACTGCACCAATGAACAAGACCAGCAGCCAGCCTTTAAAGTATTTGCAGTCTAGTGAAGAACAGAGACATATTTAAAAAAAAAAAAAAAGGCAATTGCAACATGGGGTGATAAATGTAACAAGAGAAGTGAATACAGGAGGATGATGGGGGCACTTCGACAAAATCTATTAAGATATCTTGGAGAGTCTGCGAAGACTTTTTGGAGAAAGTGATGTCTAAGCTGAGACCTGAGGAATCAGACTCAGCCAGGCAGACTGGGAGAAAGATTGTTCCAAGCAGAGGATACAGTGTGAATAAAGTACAGTGTGTACAAGAGGGCAAGTAATATTCAAAGCTTTGGAAGGAGTTAGGTATGTCTAGAGCCCAGAATAAGAAAAGGAAGAGAAGGAGATGTGGGTGGAGAAATCAGCTGTGCCTCAGTCCTGAAAGACCTGACAAACCCCTCTGAGGAGTTAGGGCTGTGTCTTCAGGGCAATAGGCAGACAGTGAAAGATTTTCCTCAGGAAAATGACATAATCAGGTCAGTGTTTTAGAAAATCACTCTGACTGCTGAAATAGATTGATGTGGGGAAGAAGGGAAGTGGGGAACCAGGGAGAGGACTACCACAGTGGCCTCATGGAGAGACGACAGCGACTGAACAAGAGAAATGGTAGTGGAGATTTAGTGGCTGAGGGCATAATCTAGGAACACTTAGGAGGTGGAATTAACAAAACATAGCCATTTATTCAATGTGGATGTTAACACTGAGCCAGAAATCAGGGATAATTCCAAGATACTGTCTTCAGTGTACTTTTATCTGTCTGCTGTACTGCCACGGCAGACCAGGCCACCATGGTCCCTTGTCTGAAGCAATGGAACAGCCTTCTCTCCATTTCAAGTGCTTCTGCATGAAACCCACTAGAAAGGCCCAAATCAAAAATTCAGATAACAGCAAGAGTTGGAAAGATGAGAAGAACTTGGAGCCCTCATACCACCATTTCTGCTGGTGGAAGTGTAAATGGTGCATCCACTTTGAAAAACAGTCTAGTTTGGGAGGCCAAGGTGGGTGGATCATGAGGTCAGGAGTTCAAGACCAGCCTGGCCAAGATGGTGAAACCCCATCTCTACTAAAAATACAAAAATTAGCCAGGCACAGTGGCAGGCGCCTGTAATCCCAGCTATTCGGGAGGCTGAGGCAGGAGAATTGCTTGAAACCAGGGGGCAGAGGTTGCAATGAGCTGAGATTGCACCACTGCACTCTGGCCTGGGTGACAGAGTGAGACTCTGTCTGAAAAAAAAAAAAAAAAAGAAAAGAAAAGAAAAACAGTCTGTCAGTTCCTCAAATGATTAAACATAGAACTCCCCTATGATCCAGCAATTCCACTCCTAGGTATGGTACTCAGGAGAAATGAAAACATATACTCACACCAAAATGTTTACAGAAGCATTATTCATAGTAACCAAAAGATGAAAAGAACCATTTTCTGTCAATGGATTGGATAAATAAAATGTTGTTTGTTTTTTTTTTAATTTAATTTAATTTTATTTTATTTATTTATTTTTTTTAATTGATCATTCTTGGGTGTTTCTCGCAGAGGGGGAGTTGGCAGGGTCATAGGACAATAGTGGAGGGAAGGTCAGCAGATAAACAAGTGAACAAAGGTCTCTGGTTTTCCTAGGCAGAGGACCCTGCAGCCTTCCGCAGTGTTTGTGTCCCTGGGTACTTGAGATTAGGGAGTGGTGATGATTCTTAACGAGCATGCTGCCTTCAAGCATCTGTTTAACAAAGCACATCTTGCACCGCCCTTAATCCATTTAACCCTGAGTGGACACAGCACATGTTTCAGAGAGCACAGGGTTGGGGGTAAGGTCACGGATCAACAGGATCCCAAGGCAGAAGAATTTTTCTTGGTACAGAACAGAATGAAAAGTCTCCCATGTCTACTTCTTTCTACACAGACACGGCAACCATCCGATTTCCCAATCTTTTCCCCACCTTTCCCCCCTTTCTATTCCACAAAACCGCCATTGTCATCATGGCCCGTTCTCAATGAGCTGTTGGGTACACCTCCCAGACGGGGTGGTGGCCGGGCAGAGGGGCTCCTCACATCCCAGTAGGGGCGGCCGGGCAGAGGCGCCCCTCATCTCCCAGACGAGGCGGCTGGCCGGGCGGGGGGCTGACCCCCCCACCTCCCTCCCAGACAGGGCGGCTGGCCGGGCAGAGGGGCTCCTCACCTCCCAGTAGGAGCGGCTGGGCAGAGGCGCCCCTCACCTCCCGGACGGGGCAGCTGGCCGGGTGGGGGGCTGACCCCCCCCACTGCCCTCCCGGACGGGGCGGCTGGCCGGGCAGAGGGGATCCTCACTTCCCAGTAGGGGCGGTCGGGCAGAGGCGCCCCCCACCCCCCGGACGGGGCGGCTGGCCGGGCAGAGGGGCTCCTCACTTCCCAGTAGGGGCAGCCGGGCAGAGGCGCCCCTCACCTCCCGGACGGGGCGGCTGGCGGGCGGGGGGCTGACCCCCCCACCGCCCTCCCAGACGGGGCGGCTGGCCGGGCAGAGGGGCTCCCCACCTCCCAGCAGGGGTGGCTGGGCAGAGGCGCCCCCCACCCCCCGGACGGGCGGCCGGCCGGGGGGGCTAACCCCCCCCACCTCCCTCCCGGACGGGGTGGCTGGCCGGGCAGAGGGGCTCCTCACTTCCCAGTAGGGGTGGCCGGGCAGAGGCGCCCCTCACCTCCCGGACGGGGTGGCTGGCCGGGCGGGGGGGCTGACCCCCCCACCTCCCTCCCGGACGGGGTGGCTGGCCTGGCGGGGGCTGACCCCCACCTCCCTCCCGGACGGGGTGGCTGCCGGGCGGAGACGCTCCTCACTTCCCAGACAGGGTGGCTGCCGGGCGTAGGGGCTCCTCACTTCTCAGACGGGGCGGCTGCCGGGCGGAGGGGCTCCTCACTTCTCAGACGGGGCAGTTGCCAGGCGGAGGGTCTCCTCACTTCTCAGATGGGGCGGCCGGGCAGAGATGCTCCTCACCTCCCAGACGGGGTCGCGGCCGGATGCTCTCACATCCCAGACGGGGCCGCGGGGCAGAGGCGCTCCCCACATCTCAGGCGATGGGCGGCCGGGCAGAGACGCTCCTTACTTCCTAGATGGGATGGTGGCCGGGAAGAGGTGCTCCTCACTTCCTAGATGGGATGGCGGCCGGGCAGAGACGCCCCTCACTTCCCAGACGGGATGGCGGCCGGGAAGAGGCACTCCTCACTTTCCAGACTGGGCAGCCAGGCAGAGGGGCTCCTCACGTCCCAGACGATGGGTGGCCAGGCAGAGATGCTCCTCACTTCCCAGAAGGGGTGGCGGCCGGGCAGAGGCTGCAATCTCGGCACTTTGGGAGGCCAAGGCAGGCGGCTGGGAGGTGGAGGTTGTAGCGAGCCGAGATCACGCCACTGCACTCCAGCCTGGGCACCATTGAGCACTGAGTGAACCAGACTCCGTCTGCAATCCCGGCACCTCGGGAGGCCGAGGCTGGCGGATCACTCGCGGTTAGGAGCTGGAGACCAGCCCGGCCAACACAGCGAAACCCCGTCTCCACCAAAAAAGTAAGAAAACCAGTCAGGCGTGGTGGCGCGCTACAGGCACTCGGCAGGCTGAGGCAGGAGAATCAGGCAGGGAGGTTGCAGTGAGCCGAGATGGCAGCAGTACAGTCCAGCTTCGGCTGGGCATCAGAGGGAGACCGTGGAAAGAGAGGGAGGGGGAGACCGTGGGCTGTGGGGAGAGGGGGAGGGGGAGGGGGAGGGGGAGGGGGAGGGGGAGAGGGAGAGGGAGAGGGAGAGCCAAACCCTATTTCTTGAGGGAAGCAAACCTATTATCTTTAGCCTAAAATCCCAAAATGTTGTATATCAAGAAAATGTGATATTATTTGGTTATAAAAATAAAGTATTGACACATGCTACAACATGAATGAACCTTGAAAACATTATGCTAAGTGAAAGAAGCCAATCACAGGAGACCACATACTATATGATTCCATTCATATGAAAATCCCAAATAAGAAAAGTTACAGAGGCCAAGCACGGTGGCTCACACCTGTAATCCCAGCACTTTGGGAGGCCGAAGCAGGTGGATCACTTTAGCTCAGGAGTTCAAGACCAGCCTGGGCAACTTGGTGAAACCCTGTCTCTACAAAAAATACAAAAATTAGCTGGGCATGATGGCACATGCCTGTAGTCCCAGCTACCTGGGAGGCTGAGGCAGGAGGATCACCTCAGCCCAGGAGGTAGGGCCTGCAGTGAGCTGTGATCGTGCTACTGCACTCCAGCCTGGGCAACAGAGTGAGATCCTGTCTCAAAACAAACAAACAGACAAACAAAAAACAATAAAAAAGGAACAGCTATACAAACAGAAAGTAGGTAAGTGGCTGCTTAGGGCTGGGGTGGGAGTTGGGAAGAAAGGATATAGAGTGATAGCTAAAGGATATCGGGTTTCTTTTTATCTTCTTTTTCTGGGGATGAAGTTCTTTTTGAGATGATAGGTGCTCTAAAATCAATTGTGAGGATTGCACATTAATATGAATATACAAAAAAACATGGAAGTGGCCACTTTAAGTAAGTAAATTGTATGGTATATGAATTTTATCTCAATAAAGCTGTTTTTGAAAATGGCTTTGCATGCCTTTATGGCTTTGCATGATCCAGCCCCTGCCTGCATTTCCAGCTTTATCTTGTGCCATTCTTCACCCTCCCTCTGCAAGATCAAGTCACCTTTCTATACTTCAAAAATGCAAGATTTTTTTTTCCTTTTTGAGACGGAGTTTCACTCTCGTTGCCCAGGCTGGAGTGCAATGGCACGATCTCGGCTCACTGCAACCTCCGCCTCCAGGGTTCAAGCGATTTTCCTGCCTCAGCCTCCTGAGTAGCTGGGATTACAGGCCCCCACCATGACGCCCGGCTAATTTGGTAGTTTTAGTAGAGACGGGGTTTCTCCATGTTGGTCAGGCTGGTCGCGAACTCCCAACCTCAAGTGATCCGCCCGCCTCAGCCTCCCAAAGTGCTGGGATTACAGGTTTGAGCCACTGGGCGCCTGGCCAAGATTTTTTTTTTCCTAACCAAGGCCTTTGTCTTTGCTGTTCCCTCTACCCCAATTGCCCTTCGTTTATGTCTTAGCATAAATACAACCACATCATTAAGGATTTCTTGACCACTTTCTCAAAAGACAAGCCACTCTATTGGTTACTTCAAAGTACTAATAACAATTTGTAATTTATTGAAGTGCTTCTTGTTTCCTTATTTGTTGTGTTTCACCTTCATTCAAATGTAAGTCCCCAAGAGCAAGAGATCTTATCACATGAATAAATATTTTATGAATGAGTGAATGAGTAGTTTAAGATAAATAGATAATGATGCCTTAATTTAATTCAATTTCAAATAATTAAATGTTTATTTGATTTCATAAGATGGGTAACACTGATGCTGGTGTCCCTCAGGAGGGTAAGGTTTGGGAAGAAAGATGATGAAGATAATTTTGGACATGTTATGTTTGGGATGTCTGTAATATACAAGTGGAAATATTTAGTTGGAGTTCAACATTATGTGTGTGTGTGTGTGTGTGTGTGTGTGTGTGTGTGTGTGTGTGATATGTGCTTGAGAATCAGGGGCCATCCTCACATGATTGAAGGACACCAACATTTAAGGGATGAGAAGAAACAACCCATAAAGGGGACTGGATAGAAGTTGCCAGAGAGGTAAGAAGAAAAACCAGGAGGAGGTCAAGGAAGAAAATACTTGAAGAAAAATTGGAGTCCAATGGTGCTAAGAGGTAGAAGCGGCAAAGGACATTGTAGGGAACATTGGCAAGAGCAGTTTCAATGGAGTAGTAGAGGAAGATGTCAGACTGCAGTAGTTTGAAGAGGTAAGTAAGTAGAGGCAGTGAGGATAAACCAGTAAAACATTCTTTTTTTTTTTTTTTAAGACAGAATCTCCCTCTGTTGCCCAGGCTGGAGTGCAGTGGCACTATCTTGGCTCACTGCAACCTCTGCCTCCTGGGTTCAAGCAATTCTCCGGCCTCAGCCTCTGTAGTAGCTGAGATTACAGGAACCCGCCATCATGCCCGGCTAATATTTGCATTTTTAGAAGAGATGGGGTTTCACCCATGTTGGCCAGGTTGGTCTCAAACTCCTGACCTTAGGTGATCCACCTGCCTCGGCCTCCCAAAGTGCTGGGATTACAGGCGTGAGCCATCACCTGGTTTTTGACAGCAGACCCGGATGGTTTATGTGATTTGTTCAGCTGAATGGATTCAGGACTTTGCGCAGCATTGTTGAGGTGAGTACTGTAGACTGGCCTCCTCCTGCTGCTTGGAGTTCTGTTGACAGTAGCTTTCATTGAATGTTATATGAGACAAATTGATGAATTTGGTCCCAGACTCTGTTGGTGAGATTAATCAGAGTGGCCAAGAGAGTGATGAAATAATGAGAAAGTTAATCAGATGCCAAGATAGTGTAGAAATGAGGGGTGGACATTGTTAGGAGGCATGTCTCCATGGGTCTCTTACATTTCTGCAGGTCTTGTGAGCAAAAGTGCCAAGTGTCTTTATTCCATGCAAACTTTTCAAGCTTATTTGTATAGTGAATGGCCTTGGAAGATAGAAATAGTGTCTCCTTCTGCAGCAAAGAGTAGCTTTGCTCACTGCACATTGTAAATTATTAGGGGTCTCTAAGTTGAGGGTTCCTCTGCTGTCATGCAACTCACTGCATGTTCAGGGGTCACCTGGTCCTCTTCCTATCACTCAGTGGGAATTAGGGCTTAGGGAACTAACACAAAACTGCTAAAATTCTGACTAATGCTATTGTTATGAATAAACACACTGCCCTTTTTCTCTGATCCAGTAGTTGTTTCTTCTGCTAGGAATCCAAGCAATTCTGGCACGCTAACTCATTAGCTGCGAGTAGGGTAAAATCCCAGATCCTTCATAGTTCTTGAGAGATGTCTGCGAGTGAAAGGGCCTGAGAGAGGAAAGGAAGTGGTTGCAGGAGGACATGGGATCAGGGGAGGTGTTTGCTTCTTTATGGGCTGGCAGAAGGCACTTATCTAAGCATTTTTAAATGCTGATGGAAAGAAGCATCATTGTTTGTAATGACAAGAATCTGGAGACCACCCAGATGTCCACCAGAGTAGGATAGGGAGATAAATTGTGTAGGCAGATAAATTGTGGCATATATATACATATGTGTATGTATATATTTGTATGTATATATTTATGTATGTATGTATATATGTATGTATATATGTGTATGTATATATTTAAGCTCTTTTTCCAGACCTCAAGCAATCCTCCCACCTCAGCCTCCCAAAGTGCTGGGATTACAGGCCTGAGCCACCATGACCAGCCATGTTCCTGCATAACTTGCTGCTTCTGTTCATTATCATGTTTTTGGGATTCCTCCATTTTGAAACATGAAGTGTAGCTACAGTTTTTCATTTTTAGTGCTATCTAGTGTTCCATTAGATAAAAATATATGCCACAATACAGGCACAGTGGTTCTTGCCTGTAATCCCAGCACTTTGGGTGGCCAAGGTGGGTGGATTGCCTGAGTCTGTCAGGAGCTTGGGACCAGCCTGGGCAACATGGCGAAACCCCATCTCTACTAAAAATACAAAAAATTAGCTGGACATGGTGGTGCACACCTGTAATCCCAACTACTTGGGAGACTGAGGCATGAGAATCGCTTGAGCCCAGGAGGCAGAGGTTGCTGTGAGCCGAGATCATGCCACTGAACTCCAGCCTGGGCTACCGAGTGAGACTCCATCTCAAAAAAAAAAAAGGTTATGCAAGAGCATATATAGTGTGAGTTTGTTTTTATAATATTCAATACCAGGAAAAAGCAAGTAATTACTTAGGCATGGATGCAGAGGTGGCCAGGAAATTATTAACCCAAAATTCAAGATAATGGTTAGCCAGGGTGGGGGATGCAATTCAAGACAGGCATATACAGAGAGGGCTTTTGAGGCATGGCAATGTTCTAATTTTTGGCCTGGGTGTTGGGTACACAGGTGCTTGTTTCATTAATTTTCTTTCTTTTTTTTTTTTTTTTTTTAGCATATGTGCTATATTTTATAATTTGTTTAAAAAGCATTCATGGAAAGGAGTCAAAAAAGAAAAAGAGCTTAAAACATAGTCAAGAGAGGCTAATTGAGGAAGCAAAGGTGACCAGGCAGGATTGAGGGTCCACTTGCATTTAAAGTACCAAGAACTGGCCAGGTGCAGTGGCCCATGCCTGGAATACCAGCACTTTGTGAGGCTGAGGCGTGTGGATCTCTTGAAACCAAGAGTTTGAGACCAGCCTGGGAAACATGCTGAAACCCCATGTCTCCAAAAAAAAAAAAATTAGCCGGGCATGGTGGTATGCGTCTGTAATTTCCAGCGACTTGGGAGACTGAGTTTGGAGAATCACCTGAGTCTGGGCAGGTTGAGGCTGCAGTCAGCCCAGATGGTGCCACTGTACTCCAGCCTGGTGACAGAGTGACCCTGTCTCAAAAAACAAAACAAACAAACAAAAAAACAAAGTCCCAAGAACTTATAGAGGCATCAACTTGTGCAGTTGAGTAAAATTTGTCTTTTCCAGCCTAGTTTCCCTATTCTTGCCCTTTCTATTCATGAAGCCTCCCTCTTTGCTGCCTCTCCCCAACTCTACATGCTCATATTGTTGCCACTTTTACCTGAATGCTTAAACAGAACTTTAGAAGTTATGGCACACAATGATATAACTGATGAATAAGACCCAAATGGGTTACTTTTTCATTAATGTCTCCATTTAATAAATATTTATTAACCCCTGGCTGGGTCAGGCTCTCTGCTGGTAGCTGGAGATACAGCTAGAACAAAGAGGACAAAGTCTGCTGCCCTTTTAAGCCTTATTATTCACGTATTTACCCCTGTTTCCCTACTTCCAGGTTTACGTGCATTTGTTAGAGCAAAGCATAAATTTCCAGGTACTGATGGAGTTGAGGGTCCATCATGTGGCGCCATTAGACCATTAGCTCCTCGGGGGTGGCATCTGTGTTTGATTCACATCCAGATCCACCATAAAATCTAGTGATCACCTTGGATATAGCAGGAATATTTGTGGACCGAGTGAGGAAATGAATAGAGATGGTTCCTATCTAGATTTACAGTATCCACCTCCCCATACCCCACTTTGTGTCTTCAGACATTCTTTCATGGCAATGGGTGATATCACTATTCACAAATATCTCACTCTCAGAATCCTTAGTTTGGAAGACTTTTTATCCTTGAGCCCAGCATGCCACATGTTACCTCTGTTAGATTTTCCTCTGCTGCAGTAATGAGAGGCGTATTCCACGTCTCTGGGTGCTGAAAGTCAAGGTTTCCGAGGATGGATTGGACTTCGGTAATATAGTCACAGATGAGTTCCACATCACCTCTTGAAACCACTTCTAGGAAATAATGAATCAGTTTATTTTTATTCATCTTGCTAGTTCCACATGATTGCCTTGAAAAGGAACGATTTAATTATATGAGAGCCAGCAAAGCTGTGAGTGGTTCAAATGTAACATATTCTGCCTTTACTGCCACCTGTTTCCTTCTTTTATGTATAAAATTCTTATAACAGTTTTAAAGACAATTTTGAAAATAGGGGGAAATGCCGCAATACCACCAGGCTTGGTTCTTTGTGTACATGCTGAATTAGGAAGAATAATAATTTCACCATTATTTTGGAAGATCTGCTGTGGTAGAGGAGAAGAGAGGATGTATCCACAGTAGAATGGAAACAGCACAAGCTTGGAGCCCAGTAGAACCTGGATTTAAATTCCTTCTCCACAGATTACCAACTGTGTGACCACGACCATATGGCTTATCTCTGGGCTGCATTTACTTATCTCTAAAATGGAAATGATTGTCCCCTCTTCAGAAGGTTGGTAAGGATCTGAAATATGATCTACAGAGGGTTGGCACATTCTACAGGTGAAAATTCTTGTTGGTTTTTTTTTTTAGCTTGTTTATTAACCACCTTATACGTATTTCCTTTCTGAAAGTCCTAGCTTCCCAACAATACTATAAGCTCCTCAATAGCAGGGACATTACATGACTTATCCTTTTGTCTCCTCTGTGATTCTAGCACAGTGGGAATCATTAAGGAGCACAGTGCCCACTGTTCTGGATTTTCCGGAAAGCCCTAATTTTAAATAACTCATATCAGTTTTCCAAATCATTGAAATATCTCAAATTGCAATTTTGGAGGTCACCGAACTACCCTCTCCTGCATGGAACCTTTTTTTTTTTTTTAATTTTGAGATAGAGTCTCACTCTCTCGCCCAGGCTAGAGGGCTGTGTCACGATCTTGGCTCACTGCAACCTCTGCCTCCTGGGTTCAAGCGATTCTCCTGCCTCAGTCTCCTGAGTAGCTGGGACTACTGGTGCGCCACCATGCCTGGCTAATTTTTGTAGTTTTTGGTAGAGACGAGTTGGCCAGGCTGGTCTCGAATTCCTGACCTCAGGTGATCTGCCCACTTTGGCCTCCCAAAGTGCTGGGATTACAGGCGTGAGCCACCGCACCCAGCCTGGAGTCTCTTGCTGTTAGTAACAGCACGACATCCTTTGTCAGGCTCTATACTCCAACTTCTGCTTCTGACACTACAGTCACTGTATGTAGCCACATGCTATTGATTCGATGTGCAATTTCCTTGCTATAATCTGGCATGAGATTGAAAGCAAAAGAACAAGAGGCTCATTTCATAGTATAAGTTTGTGGAGGATAGCTAAGAAAAACAAACAAGAAAAAGTCTAGATTTGCTCTTTAATGTTCTAAACACACAAATACCTTCAGAATTCATGGGCCAGACTACGTGAACATGTACAGAAACACAGAGAACATGTGTTCTGTTCTAGAAATAGTACTCTAGAACATGTACTATTTCACTCTAGAAATAGTACTAGCCCATGAATTCAGCCATTCATTAGGAAGATGCTATATGCCCTTCAGCAGCTTTCATTGACCAGTCCCAATAAACATAACACAAAATAGGTTAGATAAAATACAAGAAAGAACACACGTGATTAAGTGTCCATGTAAACATCAGATAATGAATCTTACAGATGTCAGAGAAATGGGCTGGCCATGTGATCTGGAAGATCCCCTTGAAAGAAGGCATTCATTGCCAGGTAGTGGCTCACGCCTGTAATCCCAGCACTTTGGGAGGCCGAGGCGGGCGGATCACGAGGTCAGGAGATTGAGACCATTCTGGCTAACACGGTGAAATCCCGTCGCTACTAAAAGTACAAAACATTAGCTGGGCATGGTGGCGGGCGCCTGTAGTCCCAGCTACTCTGGAGGCTGAGGCAGGAGAATGGCGTGAACCCAGGAGGCGGAGCTTGCAGTGAGCTGAGATCGCGCCACTGCACTCCAGCCTGGGCGACAGAGCGAGACTCTGTCTCAAAAAAAAAAAAAAAAAAGAAAAAAGAAAATTAAAAAGAAAAAAGAAAGAAGGCATTCGTGATATCTGGAGAGTCACAGTGAAGGAGAATGGGCAGCTCTGATGAAGGACAGGCATGAACTCAGGCCTCTATCTGGGGCCGAGGAGGAGAGAGTAAAACCAGATGGGAATTTACCCTGGATTCCCCAACACATCGGGAAGCCCATGGAGAGCTTTCAGCAGTGCGTTTTAGGAACATTGGTACTTTAGTAAGATTATTATGATGCAGAGGAAAAAGGCAGAAACAAAAATTTGAATGTGGCTGGGCATGGTGGCTCACGCCTGTAATCCCAGCACTTTGGGAGGCCGAGGGGAGGGGATCACCT
Organism: Homo sapiens; assembly: GCF_000001405.40. Lineage (NCBI taxonomy): Eukaryota > Metazoa > Chordata > Mammalia > Primates > Hominidae > Homo > Homo sapiens. The sequence continues at coordinate 135,042,866 of NC_000002.12, forward strand.
GAGTTCGGGAGTTCAAGACCAGCTGGGCCAACATGGTGAAGCCTTGTCTCTACTAAAAAATACAAACATTACCCGGGTGTGGTGGCGCGCACCTGTAATCCCAGCTACTCAGGAGGCAGAGGCAGAAGAATCACTTGAACCCAGGAGGCACAGGTTGCAGTGAGCCGAGATCAAACCACTGCGCTCCAGCCTGGGCAACAGAGCGAGACTCCATCTCAAAAAACAATAACAACAACAAAATTTGAATGTGAGGGTTCACAGGATTTGTGACTGATTGACCATAGACAATGAAAAGGTCCAAGAGGTTGGGGTCCAGGAACTAAGGGAGGACCCACTACTGGGCAGGTGATTCCTTTTACAGAAAGACAATAGATGAGGTCAGCAGCAGAGCCAGTATGTAAACAAGTGTGTGTGGTTGGTGTTCTTGGCTTTCAAAGAAATGGTGGCCTTAGCTCAGTGCAGTTTCCTGAACTTGCTTGAACATAAACATTTCCTTGTTATAAAGATTCCAAGTTTCCTTTAGTAGATCTGGGATGAGCCTGGCGACTCTCTTTCTTTGAAAGAGATTTTTAATAGACTTTTAAAAATTGACTTTATTACTTAGAGCAGTTTTAAGTTTTTTATGCAAAATTGGGCAGAAAGTACAGAATATTCCCTCTCCACTGCCCCCTACTGGCCTCGCCATCAACAGCCTGCACCAGAGTAGTACATTTGTTAACAATAGATGAACTTACAAACAGTATTATCACCCAAAGTCCATAGTGTAAATTAGGGTTCACTCTTGGTGTTGTACATTCTATGGGTTAGGACAAAGGTATAATGACATGCATCCACCATTTTAGAAGGTACAGAATAGTTCCATGGCCCTAAAACTCCCCTGTGTTCTGCCCATTCATTCCTCCCTCCTCACTAACCCTGGGCAACTGGTGATCTTTTTATTTCTCTGGGAGGCTCCCAATCAGTTGCCACATTAAAAGGCAACTTCTAGAAACACAGATCTTGTGATTAGAATTGAATCCACAATCTTTCTTGCAATCCACTTTGTTTTCTAATTGACATTTATCATTACTACCTGTTACTCCTTTTGATTTAAACTTGCTAGAATAGATATTAGTTTCCCCTTCAAATTTCTAGCAGAATACTTTGAAATAGTGAATGAATTCCTCAAGTCTTTATCTACCTTTGTTCAAAGTGAAGTTACATAATAATAACAATAATACAACAACAGCAATCATGCCCAACATTTATTGAATGCTTGCTACGTGTCATATGCTTTTCTAAATGGTTTACAGGTGTTTGTTCTATTTAATTCCAAATAACACCATCAGAACAGTTGTATTATTATCCCTATTCTATAGATGAGGAAAATGAAGCACAGACATTGGCAAAATGGTATCTCACTCCAGAGAGATGAGAGTGCTACTGCCCAAAAAGATGTAATGGAGCCAGGCGCAGTGGCTCATACTTGTAATCCCAGCACTTTGGGAGGCCGATGTGGGTGGATCACCCGAGGTCAGGAGTTCGAGACCAACTTGGCCAACGTGGTGAAACCCCATCTGTACTAAAAATACAAAATTAGCCAGGCATGGTGGTGCATGCCTGTAATACAAGCTACTTGGGAGGCTGAGGCAGGAGAATCACTTGAACCTGGGAGGCAGAGGTTGCAGTGAGCTGAGATTGCACCATTGCACTCCAGCCTGGGCAACAAGAGTGAAACTCCATCTCAAACAAACAATGACAACAAAAAAGATGTAATGGAACTAGTATTTAAAGGCACATTTGCAGAATAGTCTTATTTCCGTTTTCATGTTTGGACCTTAGCTAGATGGGGATGAGCTCATCATTACTCCTTGCTAGCCACACTGGATGGTGTCAGGCTTTCCTCTTGTTTTATTTTTTCCCTTCAGCTCTGATCCCCTCTGCCTGATAAGAACCCAATCTAATGTGCCTGAGAGGTATCCTCAATAAGTGTATATCCTTATAAGGCATGTAGTGCTGTTATATTACATTGGTTTTTAATTTACACAAATAATATTGTACTCTAGATCTTGTTAATTATTTGTTAACACTTTGCTTTTTAAGCTTTATCCTTGTACTTATATGTACAAGGTTTTTGGTTTTATGTTCACCGTATTTTATTACTCCCTTAGTGATGGACATCTAAGTTGTCCACTCCACAAACAACACTGTGATAAACATCCTTGTTTGGACCTTATTATGCACCCTGTAAACGTTTCTCTGGGGCAAGTGGGTCGAATGGATTTAATTTCACAAAGTACTGCCAGATTGTCCTCCAGAATGGCTGTATCAATTTACACTCCCACCAGTAATGCCTAACAGTTTTCTTTAAGCTCTTTTAAGAGAAGCAGACGTTTAGTTGATTGCTGTCACTTAATCATCATTATCTTAATCATTAGCATTTAATAAGCAGTGTACTTGGAACCTTACTAAGGGCGGAAGGGGCAGATGATATACTCAAAATCAGGACACAGAAATAATTAAAACCAATACACACATCTGTCCCAGTAAATTGCTTTGTAACTTAGATTTACATACTTGTTTTTGAAAATGCAACAGTATTTGCAGGATCATTTCAGGGGGAAAAAAGGTTTTCCGAAACAAAGGATAATTAAAACTTGTCTTTCAATAAAGCTAAAAATCAGATATTCAAATAACAACTAGGCAAGAAATAGATATTTATATCACACTTTATTCATAAAGTACTAATAAAACTTCAAACATTTTTCCCCCAAGGTTATTACCTAGCAATGTTATGGAGTTGTAATTTAACTTTTTAATGTGACCCTTAAGGGAGAGCATTTCATAAGTAGTATCTATCATCTAAAATAAAACAAAAAAATTTAGATTTAACTAAACTACAATCCCAAAATTATCAAATCAAATCACTGCAATACCGGGTAATGTGGTCATTATTTGGCCATTTATTGTCTCACATACTCAATAGAGACTGGAGGAAGACAATGAAGATGGAATGAGCACATAGCATTATCCCTATATGCAGGTCATTCTTTTAGTTAACATGCACAGACCATGGCTTTTAAAAATTATTTTTATTAGAGATGGGGTCTCACTCTCTCATCCAGGCTGGAGTACAGCAGCTTGATCATAGCTCACTGCAGCCTCAAACTCCTAGGTTTAAGGGATCCTCCCACCTCAGCCTCCCAGATAACTAGGGCTACAGGTGCACAGCACTATGCCCCGCTAGTTATTTTTATGTTTTATTTTTGTAGAGACAGAGTCTCACTATGTTGCCCAGGCTTAGTCACAAACCCACAGTGCTTTTTATTATTGAGCTCTATTTCCTCTTCCAACCTTCAATCTGTACATGTCCATTTTAGGTTTTTTTCATAAGAAAATATTTCTCAATTTTCCATTTAGAATTGTTGTTGTTATTGTTGTTGTTGTTGTTGTTACAGAGTCTCCCTCTATCGCCCAGACTGGAGTACAGTGGCACAATCTCGGTTCACTGCAACCTCCGCCTCCTAGGTTCAAACAATTCTCCTGCCTCAGCCTCCCAAGTAGCTGGGATTACAGGCACCTGCCACCTTGCCGGCTAATTTTTGTATTTTAGTAGAGACAGGGTTTCACCATGTTGGGCAGGCTGGTCTCGAACTCCTGACCTCAGGTCATCCACCCTCCTTGGCCTCCCAAAGTGCTAGGATTACGGGCATGAGCCACCATGCCCGCCCCATTTAGAACTGTTTTGGTCAATGATTTTTGAGGAATAGTGTTTCATTCCACAGAGGTTTTTAGTTTAGCATCTATTAAAACCCAGTCTTTTTTATTTTTAATTGCATGCATGGTTTATCTATTTGTAAAACCAAAACCTTTTGTTATAGTGTACATTTGATTTAGAACCTTATGCAATAAAGATTTAAAGCAACAGAAATCTCATTTCATGTTGAGAAAGCATGGTTAAGAACATATGTATACAATATTGATTGGTTACAAGAAGATTCATACCATGTAAAGTTTACACATATTTGGGTGATTAAACTAAAAGATTACCCCTAGGTATAATTCAATGAAGGCAAGTGTTTTTCATACACTTTTCTTGTCATTAGTAATTTAGCCTATGGTCTAGAGGTGCCTGCATAAGTATTGGAGGAAATCGTCACAATATTTGAAAAGTAAAAAATAGTTTATTACAACTCCAAGGATATTATTATTTGAGATTAGGACACAGTTTCTTCTATCAGTTTACCAGGCATTCCTCCTCTGGGACATCCTTTGGGGAGTAAAAAAGTTGCAACATACAGTTTATCTAAAATGAGATGAAAAGCAGAGATTCGGCTTACCTGTGCTGTGTTTTGCTGAGGGACGTGGCACACAGTTGAAGAAACACCAAGCCAAACAGTAGCCAACATCATCCTAATTCATTGTGGCACTGATTTCTGGGACAGCTGTAACCCACACTTCAACCAGGGATCCATTTAAAAACAGCATAGATTCAGATTTTTTTTTCAGTGTTGTACAGCCCAAATAATTTTTCCTTTTAAATTTTGTCTTTAATTAAGCTGGTCCTGCATGCACAAACCCTTTAGTTAGCTGCAAATAGACTGCTTAGTTTACAGGTTGTCTCCTAGGCAACCATCCACTGTGCATTTAGCTTAGAGAATTGAAAGCAGGACAGTCTCATCCAGGAAGGAAAACAAGTTTTGTATGCTCTTCCAAGTTGTTGCTTAAGTGCTTTAAAACTACCAAACCCCTATGTACTTCCATGGTTGGCACAATTACTGTGATCACCTGATGCACTGAGACTTTCTCTAAGAGATCCATGCCTTTGTAATCCCCACAAGGTGCCAGAAGGGCCCCTTTCAAAGCTGCATATAGGTCACAGAGTGAGAATCCAATCGATTACCACCAAACTGATTGCATTCTTAGACTCAGCCTTGAGAAAGCGCTAGCAGACAGAAATCCTTACATTACAACATACTTCTTCTCTAGATATGCTTGTGATATTCTGAAGCAAAAGCTTCAGTAAACAGACTGCATTTTTGTCTGAGTCCAGTGGTAATAAACCCAACTGCAAAAGACTTCAAATCATGGACTATGAAAACATAATCATGAGGAAGTGGACACAGGGCACTCCATAAGGTCACCCGGCATTTGTGTGCTGCTAAATTCTTTTCTGCCACTTACCAAAGGATGCAGGGGTTTCTCTTCTAAGGTAGGGCGTAACATTATATATTCTCAACTGAATGGGGTACGATATTCTATCGCAATAACAACAGCTGACATTTATTGACTAGTTCCTACGTTAGTCCATAAAGGACATGATTAATGTCATTTAACCCTCATAACAACTCTATGGAGTTGAAACAATAAACAGCATCATTGCCACGTTACAGAAGATGACACTGAGGCTTAGAACTTTTGAGCTAATGAATGGTGGAGCTAGGGATTGAACCTAAGCGGCCTGGCCACAATGTTGCAATACTACCTTTACCATGCGCAAGCACGTACACACACACACACACACACACACTCTCTCTCTCTCTCTCTCTCTCTCTCTCCTTTAGTGGATGAAGACTTCAGGGTAAAAACCATTCAGAGATTGTTAGATCTACGTAAACTCCCTCATTACCAATTCAACTTCAAGCTGCTTGACACCAATTTAAGCACACACAGGCTATTACTCTGTTTTGCTTCCTATGCTCTACTTTGCTTCTACTCCCATCAAGGTGAGTACTCTCTCAGCCTAACAGAGGAAGGTGCAAGTACCGTAGTTTCTGACTTTTAGGATTTCTGCCAGGTTATCCTAGGGTTCCAGCTTGTCTGCAATCCATGAATCTTTAAATTGGCTTCTCAAAAAGTAATCCTGGCCAGATGTGGTGGCTCACACCTGTAATCCTAGCACTCTGGGAGGTTGAGGTGGGTGGATCACCTTAGGTCAGGAGTTCCAGACCAGCCTGGCCAACATGGTGAAACCCCATCTCTACCAAAAATAAAAAAATTAGGCCAGGCGTGGTGGCTCACACCTGTAATCCCAGCACTTTGGGAGGCTGAGGTGGGTGGATCACGAGGTCAGGAGTTCGAGACCATCTTGGCTAACACGGTGAAACCCCGTCTCTACTGAAAATACAAAAAAAATAACCGGGTGTGGTGGCAGGCGCCTGTAGTCCCAGCTACTCGGGAGGCTGAGTCAGGATAATGGCGTGAACCTGGGAGGCGGAGCTTGCAGTGAGCCGAGATCGCACCACTGCACTCCAGCCTGGGCGACTGAGCAAGACTCCATCTCAAAAAAAAAAATTAGCCGGGTGTGGTGGCTAGTGCCTGTAATCCCAGCTACTCGGGAGGCTGAGGCAGAATTGCTTTGAACCCAGGAGGCGGAGGTTACAGTGAGTCGGGATTGTGCCACTGCACTCCAGCCTGGGTGACAGAGTGAGCAAGACTCCGTTCCCACCCCCCCCAAAAAATGTAATCTTCTGGCTATGCGCAGTGGCTCACGCCTGTAATCCCAGCACTTTGGGAGGCCAAGGTAGGAGGATTGCTTGAGCTTAGTTGTTTGAGACCAGCCTGAGCAACATAGTGAGACCATGTCTCTGCAAAAAATAGAAAAAATTGCTGGACGTGGTGGTGGGCACCTGTAGTTTCAGCTACTCAGGAGTCTGAGGCAGGAGGATTGGTTGAGTCCAAGAGTTTGAGGCTGCAGTGAGCTATGATCATGCCACTTCACTCCAGCCTGGGAAACAGAAAGACATCCTGTCTTTAAACAAAAAAGGAATCCTCCTTTTGTCTCTCATTTTGAGATAGAGTCATTCAAACCATTCTCTTTTTCAAGAAACTCAATGTTTAGAAATAGTGGAGGGATAGGCATACAAAACAAGGACAATATCAGGCTGCCCTAGGGCTGTGTCAAAAGCTCTAAGGAAGCATGGAAGGGGAGTGTCTGACTTCCTGGGTTGAGGGTGGGGGATGTATGTTTGCCTAGGGCTGCTTGAACAAAATGCCACAGACTGGAAGGCTTAAACAACAAAAATTTATTTGCTCACAGGGCTGGGCGCCGTGGTTCACACCTGTAATCCCAGCACTCTGGGAGGCCGAGGAGGGTTGATCACCTGAGGTCAGGAGTTTGAGACCAGTCTGGCCAATAAGGTGAAATGCTGTCTCTACTAAAAATACAAAAATTAGCTGGATGTGGTGGCACATGCCTGTAATCCCAGCTACTCAGAAGGCTGAGGCTGGAAAATTGCTTGAATCTGGCAGGTGAACGTTGCAGTGAGCCAAGATCTCACCACTGCATTCCAGCCTGGGTGACAGAGCAAGACTCCATCTCAAAAAAATATTTTTTTATTTGCTCACAGCTCTGAAGACTAGAAGCCCACGACCAAGGTATCAGCAGGTTGGGTTTCTCCTGAGGCCTCTCTCCTTGGTTTGCAGGTGGCCACCTACTCTCTGTGTCCCCACATGGCCTTTCCTCTGTGTGTGCACATCCCTGGTGTCCTAATCTCTTCTCATAAGGACACTAGTCAGATTGGATTAGGGCCCACTCTAGCGGCCTAATTTTAACTTAATCACCTCTTTAAACACCCTGTCCATAAATACAGTCACATTTTGAGGTACTAGGAGTTAGGGCTTCAACATATGAATTTTGAGTGAGAATCCAATCGATTACCACCAAACTGGTTGCAAATACAAATAAGCTCCTAACAGGGGGCAGAGAAAGTCTTCACAGAAGAGCAAATATCCAAGCTGAAACTTGAAGGACAAATTTTACCAGGTAAACTATAGACACAAGGACATTGCAGATTCTAAACGACAGCATGTCCAGAGGAAAGAGAAAGCACAGGATGTCGAAAACATTGTAGGTGCATGTTAAAAGAGGCTGTCTATTAAAAGAGAGTGGCAGACACAAAAGATGTGCTGCTCAGACCTCCCTTAAAGAAAGACTCACTGCCCAGCTGTAAGGCGTGTGGTTAGATGAACAGCCTACGGCTGTTGGGTTTATCAGGTTTGTCTAACTGTTGAGCCAAGGACCTGCTATTCTTGGAGTGCTTCCTCCAGCCAAAAACTGAGCAAACAGTGATAGCCAAGGCCACTGTTTTCTTGGGGAGATCCTGGCCAATGATTGACGGAGCAAGGCAGTAGTACAAGGGGCTACGCATTTCCTGATGCATAATTTTTGCCCTAGCACTTCCAGTTGGACTTCAGAGACTTCGCCAGCTTGGAATTGTAGTGTCTGCTTTTTTAGAGCACCAGTCTGAAAAAAAAATAGTGAAAAAGCAAGCTGCAGAGTGGGAGAAGGTATTTGCTACATATATAAACAATATAAAGCTCAGATGCAGAATATATATAAATAACTTGAAGGTGTTAAAATAAAGACAAGGCCAGGCACAGTGGCTCACACCTGTAATCCCAGCACTTTGGGAGGCCGAGGGGGGCGGATCACAAGGTCAGGAGATCGGGACCATCCTGGCCAACATGGTGAAACCCCATCTCTACCAAAAATACAAAAATTAGCTGGGTGTTGTGGCGCATGCCTGTAATCCCAGCTACTCGGGAGGCTGAGGCATGAGAATCACTTGAACCCAGGAGGCAGAGATTGCAGTGAGCCGAAATCGCGCCACTGCACTCCAGCCTGGCGACAGAACCGAGGTGGGCAGATCATGAGGTCAGGAGATCGAGACCATCCTGGCTAACACGATGAAACCTCATCTCTACTAAAAATACAAAAAATTAGCCGGGCGTGGTGGCGAGCGCCTGTGGTCCCGGCTACTCGGGAGGCTGAGGCAGGAGAATGGCGTGAACCCGGGAGGCGGAGCTTGCAGTGAGCCAAGATCGTGCCACTGCACTCCAGCCTGGGCGACAGAGCAAGACTCCGTCTCAAAAAAAAAAAAAAAAAAAAAAAAAAAAAAAAAAAAATGAAGCGTTTGTTGAACACCATGTTGCTCTTCCCAGAAACCAGGTAACTAGTATGATTTTATTTCAGGACAATCAACTGAGCAACTTCTTGCAGGGTCAGGGGCAGAGGGTAGAAGTGGTATTACAGCACCTAGTTTATTGCCTTACAATCAATAAATAGAGGGTGAATGAAAAGAAACCCAATAGTTAAAGTGTAAGCTAATTGGTACTAACTACAAATATGGGTTGAATGAAAACAAACCCAACATGCTTTAGGTTTTTTAATACAATCTTATCCACATGAGTTTAGGGTCTTGTCCTATCACCTTGGCTTCTGTTCCCTTTCTGTATTCATCACAGGAAATTTTCAAGTTTTATGAAACCAGCTAGAGCGGAGTTTTATTAACCAGCTGAGGGCGGACTAAAGACTTAACAGACCTGGGCGAAGAAGCAGCACTCCTACTTACTAGGGCAAGACTCATGAACAGGGGGCGGGGGCTCCGGGGGCGGGGACGCGCCCCGTTCTCTTTCGCTCTTCTTCCCGGCAGCCTTAGCGCCAGGCCCGGCGCTCCTCAAGATGGCTGCCGACAGTGAGGTGATTTCTTTGCTCCCTACTTAATCCTTGTCACTATCTAAATTCGTTCCTCATGTCTTCGCCTTGGGGCTTAATTTCTTTTTCTCTCCTTCCCCTTCCCGCAGCCCGAATCCGAGGTATTTGAGATCACGGACTTCACCACTGCCTCGGAATGGGAAAGGTGAGTGAATCGCATTTTTGGTTACCAGCTCCCATGGGCCCTGGCGTCCCCTAGCCGCTTCCCTGACCCCAGACACACCACAAGTGACGCCACTTGTGCGGGAACGGTAATACCGTGGGTCCCGGGTCTCCTCCCCCAGTCTTCTTTGGTCAACCGCAAGCCTCTTCCGCGTCTCGCGTCTGGCAACACCCGGCCCGCCCCCGTCAGCCAATCCCTGAGGCTCAGGCTCTCAGAAAGTTTTGTTTTCTCTCCTGTCAGACCGCTTCCCTTAGACTTTGGTTTTCTGGTTGTTACCCACTCGCAAGAAAAATTTCCGAGGCTGCAACAACCGTTCCGGTTTTCATTACCGTTTAACTCATTATCGTAAGCAGTAAACTTGGTAGGTTGTGCCGCACCTCATCCCGTGTACGTTGGTATACCCTTTTCAGGAGGAAGTCTTTCTTCAGAGTATTGGTAGTTGTCCATCTGTCACACTCCCACCATCTCCATGCTGTCTTTAATTTTTTATTTTTATTTATTTTTGGAGACAGAGTCTCAGTCTGTCCGCCCAGGCCGGAGTGCAGTGGCGAGGTCATAGCTTACTGCGGCCTCGAACTCCTAGGCTCAAGTGAAGCTCCCGCTTTAGCCTCGGGAGGAGCTGGGACCACAGGCACGCGCTATTACGCCCAACTAATTTTTTAAAGATCTCGCTGTGTTGCCCAGGCTAGTCTTGAACTCCTGGGCTCAAGCCTGGGCCGCCCAAAGTGCTGAGATTACAGGCGTGAGCCTCCGCCCATCCTGTCTTTTAGAATAACCTTTTTAAAAAGTCTGCATATGGTTTTGGAATGCTTTGATTTAAGTTGTTACATTAAAGTGGGTACTGTGCCCAGGCTTCCTGTGCCTGTCAAATTCAGATGAACAGCTGTCTGGGTGAAACTGTTCTATTACTGAAATTAGTTGAAAGCCAAGTTTGTGGAGGAGTGATAGCTTAGATCGAGAAGGTTTCTGTTAAGTGTCACAGAAACCCTTCAGTTTCCTGGGTGTTGAAGTCAGTGTTTACGCTGTTACAGCATTTTATAATCTTTCTGGTTGGGAGAGGAAATTTGTGGATGTCGTGTCATTAGGTGGCACAGGAAAATATAAAAGGTCCTTGTTGGAATAATAGTTAGACCTGTGGTACCCTTCATAAAAGTGTCAGTAAGACATAACCACACTGGCAAGACTTCATTGAGTAGGTACTGGGTGTCCAGAGCTATATACAAAGGGAAAAGCAGAAACTTGACCCATATATTTTTAAAAAACAACAAACAGCAAATAGTTAAAATGTAAGCCAGTTGGTACTACCTGTAAAAATAATAATTAAAATAATTATTATTTAAATAGGGGTGATATTGTGGACTACAATAGTTGGAGATATTTTCATAGAAAAGATAGGAAATGAGCTGGGCCTTGAAAGTGGGAAGTGGTTGGTTAAACATGAGAATGGACTGACATGGGTAGAGACATAGGTGAGAATGAATCTTTGAAGGGACTGAATGAAGAAATATATCTTCACTAGAGTGAAGACTGTCTATTGAAGGGAAATAAATAAGGTTAACAAGGAAGACGGGATTGGGTTATGGACATCTTCCCAAACTAAATACAGGAATCCAGATTCAGTATTCCTATGACCAGTGATTCTCATACTTTAATGTACATCAGAGTCTTAGATTGCTGGGCCCCATCCTCAGAGTTTCTGATTCTGTAGGTCTGAGGTGGGACTGAAAATTTTGCTTGTGTAACACGGTCTCAGGTAATTCAGATGCTGCTGGTCAGGAGACCACACTTAGAAAGAACCACTGCTTAAGACAATAGTGAGAGACCCTTCGTTTTAGAGTGGCCAGGTGATATGATGAAAGTGGTTTTAGGACATGATGTAGAATAATGGTGGGAGACTTAACTTGATTCATAATTAGGATGGTGATTTGTGGACTGGAATACAAAGGGAACCTAGAAGGGAGGATTGTAACATATTTCAGAGAAGATTTAGGTAATAAACTTGATGATACGTTAAAAGTGGGAAAAATCAAATGTGAACTGTAGTTTTTTGCCTGTAAGAATGAATGTAAGGAAGTGTCAAAGTGAGAAGATTTGAACCTGTTGATTTTGAAATAATTTGATGTCTTGAAGGTAGTTAGAAAAATGTAATTCAAATCTTGGAGGGTGGGGTAGGGAAACATCAGTTTTGAATGGAAAAATGATCACTTTCCCCTAGTTAAAAATATCCTGAAGTGGAATATTAAGTCCTTTAGCTTTGCATATGGAAATAATTATTAACACCGTTATAAGAACTATTGCAAAGTAGAAAATTTGGTTTTTGGCTTTTACACTGTAGTGTGCATTTTACAATTCATGAGAGAAAATGTTAAGACTTTGAAGTCTCAAACCTTGAGTTTAATTTTAAATGAAAGATCTTGTGAGTACAATATGTTATGAACTATATAGATAATTTATTGAGAGAACTGTATAGAAGCCCATAACTCTTTTTATCATTTGTTCATTGACAATATTTATTGAATCCCCATATGTCAAGCACAGTGCACATTACGGATTTAGGGATGTGGTGGTTAGTAAAACAGGTACGGTTTCTGCTTTTACTAAATGTGCAGTCTAGTGCATTACAGACACAAATCAAGTAATACAAGTCTGTAATTATGAGTTTATGTAAGAGCTAGAAAGGGAAAGAAACCTGGTCTTATAAGAGCCTATAACAGAGGGACCTAATATAGAATAAGGAATCAGGAAATGACCCTTCATTTCCTGAGAGCTTTTAAGGAAAAAATTACTTAGTTTTTCTAGTCAAATCTCAATACTTGTAGGATAAAGTCCAAGTCTCTTAGCTAGTACTGATAGAATTCATTATTCATACAATAAGTATTTTAAGACATTCCTGGCCGGGCATGGTGGCTCATGCCTGTAATCCCAGCACTTAGAGAGGCTGAGGCAGGCAGATCACTTGAGCTCAGGAGTTCAAGAGGAGCTGGGGCAGCATGGCGAAACCTTGTCTCTACTAAAAATACAAAAGCTAGCTGGGCATGGTGATGTGCACCTGTAGTCCCAGCTAGTCAGGAGGCTGAGATGGGAGGATTGCTTGAGTCCTGGAGGACAGAACTGCAGTGAGCTGTGATTACACCACTGCATTCCAGCCTGGGTGACAGAGTTGAGACCCTGTCTCAAAAAAAAAAAAAAAAAGACATTTCTTCTTTTACTGTAAAAACTATATTTTAAATAGTTTTCACTATAATAGTAATACCTTATAGTAGAATAAAAAATAAAAATCACCTGTAAACTTAACACCAGGAAATAACTGCTGTTAATTTTTTGACATATTTCCTTTTTTTTTCTTTTTTTGAGACGGAGTCTCGCTCTGTCGCCCAGGCTGGAGTGCAGTGGCGCGATCTCGGCTCACTGCAAGCTCTGCCTCCCAGGTTTACGCCATTCTCCTGCCTCAGCCTCCCAAGTAGCTGGGACTACAGGTGCCCGCCACCACGCCCGGCTAATTTTTTGTATTTTTAGTAGTGGCGGGGTTTCACTGTGTTAGCCAGGATGGTCTCGATCTCCTGACCTCATGATCCGCCCGCCTCGGCCTCCCAAAGTGCTGGGATTACAGGCATGAGCCACCACGCCCGGCCGACATATTTCCTTCTAACGTGTGTTAAAAACTTTTTTGGATCAAATATTAATATTTCTTTTTCTTTTTCTTTTCTTTTTTATTTTGAGACAGAGTCTCACTCTGTTGCCCAGGCTGGGGTGCAGTGGTGCAGTCTTGGCTCACTGCAACCTCTGCCACCTGGGTTCAACCAATTCTCCTGCATCAGCCTCCTGAGTAGCTGGGATTACAGGTGCCTGCCACCGCGCCTGGCTAATTTTTGTTGTATTTTCAGTAGAGACGGGGTTTCACCATCTTGGACAAACTGGTCTTGAACTCCTGACCTCGTGATCCACCCGCCTCAGCTCCCAAAGTGCTGGGATTACACGCGTGAGCCGCTGTGCCTGGCCTTTGTATATTTTCTTTTGATTGACATGATTTTTATTGGGTGCATATTAGTCCTCTGAGTGGATTAATTTACAAGTATTTCCTGCAGTTGGGCATTAAGGTAACTTCCAGTTTTTTTAGCTTCGTAAATATAGTATACATTTCATGCAAATTTTTGCTTGCCTGTGGATATATTAAATTTTTCCTCTTTGGTAAACATGTAAACTTGTTTCTAGAGCACTGATTTTCAAACCTAGTAATTGTCATTTGACTGACCTCCCCCATGAATTAGTGTATGAATTGATACTGCATTTAATTTTAAAGAGGAATTAGTAAGAAGCCTCAGATGAATCATAGATTTATTATTACTATCTTAAAACATAATTATTAGTTCATATTAGTTCATAATGTCACTGAAGGAAAAAATCTGTTGCCTTTCCATACAGTTTGACTAGAATTAACTCTAGTACTCTAGCAGTACTTCCAGGTGTTTAGAGAGCAATGTTGCTGTTAGATTGCATCATACTTAGCTTATATAAGAAGTCAACTTAGAGTAAGAATAATTCTTCTGAAAATGTCTTTGACTGAGACTTGACAGTTTTCATTTACTGATGTTGAGCATGTTGCTACTCAAAATTCAGTTCTCTTTTTAATAGGCCTTCTTGACCATTGGATTTAAAGATTGGTGACTAGTTTTAAGACCTGTCACTTATACTTAAAGTTGACATATTTACTTGCAATTTCTTGTCAGCTGTCCATTAAAACTTGTTTTAGTTTCATGAACCAAGTTACCAAATAATATTTTCTTTTTTTGTTGGGGGCTGGGGGGGTAAATCGGAATTCCTAATATATTTAAAGGAAAAGTTTATTTAAATAGGTCAGTTATTGTGGGTAGGAGAGAGATGATTGGTTTCATAATTTTATTTATTTATTTATTTTTGAGATGGAATCTCACTCTGTCGCCCAGGCTGGCGTGCAGTGGCGCGATGTCCGCTCACTGCAACGTCCGCTTCTATGTGATTTTTGTGCCTCAGCCTCCTGCGTAGCTGGGATTACAGATGTGTGCCACCACACCGGGCTAATTTTTTTTGTATTTGTGCTGGGCTGGTCTTGAACTCCCAACCTCAGGGTTAGGAATTCAAAGGGCTGGAATTACAGGCATGAGCCACTGCACCCAGCCCATAATTATCTTTAATAGTATCATTTTAGTCTGTCAGTTTTTATTTGTGCCCCAAATTTGTTTTATTCGTTTTATTAGAGATTCATCAATTCTTAATTTACATTTTATAGAAGGCAGAATGCTTTTGTTGGGTAAGCAATAGATATAAATGAATCAAAACCTAAGAATTCTTGAATGAAAGAAGATTATTTCTCTTACCCCATATCCATAAATTAAGCTAGCAATACTAAATGTACTGAGTCCTCTCTGGTCAAATTGTTAAAATATAAAAAATACCTTTTTAAAGAAATTACATAATAATAGGAAAAAAGGTGTGCTGTTGTATTTAGAAGCTTTCTCCCTACTTCCTAGGTTTATTTCCAAAGTTGAAGAAGTCTTGAATGACTGGAAACTGATTGGAAACTCTTTGGGAAAGCCACTCGAAAAGGTCAGATCTATTTGCTGGTGTCTCTAAATGACTATTTACTTTGAAACCTCTATTTTCCAGCCCTTTGCTGCATTTGGCACATTTGAATTAAATGTTTTTTAAAGTTACGTATAATCTATAAACATCAAATAGCATTTGGAAGAATTTGGATTTAAATCTGTGGCAAATGATATATGTAAGACATTTGTGAAATGTTTAATAAAGTTATATATATGTGTGTGTGTATATATATATATATAAAATGTCATTCTTTGTGAGTGATTCTTTGTGAGTGAAGTTTGCTTCTCTTTTGCCTTCTCCCTTGGAATGTTAAAACATGTTTTTAAAAGTTTTTTATTTGGTCAGAGAAACATTGCAGTGACCATCTTCTTTGGTAGCATATTTTGCTTACTAATGAGGAAAATTCTAGTACTTACCATTGACTTACTGTAGTTAACAACTATTTCACTCAGTTTTTGTATTTTATAATATCACTAATAACATCCCCCTTCCCTTTTAAGCTTTTTAACTTATGGATGTTTTAAGGATTTTATTTAAGAATGAAAAAATTACTCTTTGAAATTGAGGTAGAAATCAAATTCTAATCTAAAGTATTGGTAGTTTTATTCATAAACCACACCCCAAATGTTTACTGAAGAATGTACTCTGAGAACAAACCTGGATTCACTGTGAAGGGATCTAACAATTTGATTTTAAGTTTATGTAGATGCTTAGTTTGTTAGATAAATTCTTTTGAAATAAAATTTATGGTTGGTTTTATTACAACTCAATATTACTAACTCAGTGATAACTTATTAACTCAGTAATTATTAATTCAATAGTAATTTAATTATAATTTACCCTGTGTTAGGAACTTTGAGTTCTCAATATTTGCTAGGGGTTTTCAGCTTTGTGATGGTGATACTATCAAAAAAGAGACTGTCAAAATGCATTAGGAAGCCAGGCAACATGGTGAGACCCTGTCTCTTAAGGAAAAAAAATCTCCTTATTTGTATCAATATGAACAGAAAAAGTAAGACCACATATAAAAAATACATCATTCAAAGACTCTTGGCAATATATACATTGATTTACTACACTACATGTGTGAATAAAGAAAATGTGACGCTTTCAAACACGGGTCATTCTACTCCACTTGAAACAAATACATAACAATTGATATAGATGCCAATAAGATTAGAGGCAAAATAAGCTGGATATAGCTAGAATAGGAAATGATTTACACTACTAAGAAGAGAGCTAAACCGGGTACTTATGAGCTCTGATATTCTTTCATTCTTTGATTTACATGTATTTACTGAGTACCTGCTATGTGCCTGATGTGAAGAAATTGTGAACAAGATAAGATCAGTGTTGCCATTGAACATAAATTCTAGTGAGGGTGATCAGTAAAGAAACATTAAAATTTTATTTTATTATTATTTTTTAAATTGATATATGATAGATGTACATATTTTGGGGTACATGTGATAATTTGATACATGCATATAATCAAATCAGGGTACTTGGGAACCCTTAAATATTTATCTTTATGCTAAGAACATGCAAGTTACTCTCTTTTAGCTATTTTGAAATGTACAGTCAATTAGTGTTAACTAAAGTCACTCTAAGGGTTAAAGTTTTAGATGCTAAATTCAGTTTTGGGATTTAAGTGGGTAGTTATTTAAAGTAGGTAGCATACTGCCAGGCATGTAGTAGAGGCTAATGAAGTCATAGCTCCAGTCTGTTTCTCCCTACTAGATAGTAGTACATAAATAAGATACAGAAAATATGGGCAGATTTCAAGGTGAGCTGTAACTATGATGAATATGAAGAAAGTGTAGAGGACAGGGATTGTTTGGTGTAGAAAACAAAGTTTAGAGACTTCCTTTGAAGATTTTAACTTATATGAAGGACAGTGATTATTAATTTTCTCCTCCACTGAGGGGGAATTAAGGGAAATTATTTATTAAAAACCTTTAATTATGGAAAATTTCAAACATA
Organism: Homo sapiens; assembly: GCF_000001405.40. Taxonomy (NCBI): domain Eukaryota; kingdom Metazoa; phylum Chordata; class Mammalia; order Primates; family Hominidae; genus Homo; species Homo sapiens. Next base: position 135,060,070 of record NC_000002.12, read on the forward strand.
TATGAAGTAAACAGAATAGTATAATGAACTCCCATGTACCCATCACTTAATGTCAACAATTAATACTTTGCCATTTCTTGTTTGAGTGGTACCTCTGTTTACTCCCCTACCTCCACTAGATTTTTTTAATAGTTTTTTTTTGGGTAAGATTTATATACATTGTAATGGACAAAACTTAACTGCTTGATTTTTTTTTTTTTTTTTTTTTGAGACCGAGTCTCGCTCTGTTGCCCAGGCTGAAGTGCAGTGACATGATCTCAGCTCACCGCAACCTCCACCTCCCGGGTTCAAGAGATTCTCCTGCCTCAGCCTCCCAAGTGGCTGCGACTACAGGCACCCGCCACCACACCTGGCTAATTTTTTGTATTTTTTAGTAGAGACGGGGTTTCACTGTGTTAGCCAGGATGGTCTCGATCTCCTGACCTTGTGATCTGCCCGCCTCGGCCTCCCAAAGTGCTGGGATTACAGGTGTGAGCCACCGCGCCTGGCCAACTGCTTGATTTTGACAAATGTTCACATGGGTATAACTTACACTCCTGTCAAGATAGAGGTCATCTCTGTTACCCCAGGAAGATCCTTAGTGACCCTTTCTAGTTAATTCCCATGCCCTCCAGTCATCTGCTATTATTATTATTGTTATTATTATTATTATTTGAGACAGAGTCTTGCTCTGTTGCCCAGGCTGGAGTGCATTGGTGTGATCTTGGCTCATTGCAACCTCTGCCTCCCGGGTTCAAGCAAGTCATATGCCTTAGCCTCCCAAGAAGCTGAGACGACAGGCATATGCCACCTTGCCTGGCTATTTTTGTGTTTCTAGTATTTTGTATTTTCACCACGTTGGCCAGGCTGGTCTCCAATTCCTGGCCTAAAGCAATCTGCTTGCCTGGGCCTCCCAAAGTGCTGGGATTACAAGTGTGAACCACTGGGCCCAGCCTTTTTTTTTTTTTTTTTTTAAATAAACATAAATTACTGTCACCTGCTTTAGAACTTTACATTTAGGTGACCATAAATGTCCTTGACATCCTTTACTCACGATAATGTTTTTGAGATTCATCTAGGTTGTTGTACATACCAGAATTTCATTTCTCTTTATTGCTGTGTAGTAAGTGATCTGTTTTATGAATATACATGGTTTCTTTCACTTGTCCACATACGTACTATTAGGAATAAAGCAGAACATTATTGTATGAGGCCTTTTGTGGGCATATGTTTTTATTTCTCTTGAGTAAATACCTAGGATTGGAATCACTGGGTAATAGGATAGGTGCAACTTTATAAGAAACAGCTAGAGCTTTTTGTACTGTTTTACCTGCCCACCATCAATACATGGGAGGTTGTGTTGCTATACATTCTCACCAACAATCAGTTGTTTGCAGTCATGTATATTTTAGTCATCTTAATGGGTATGTAGTTTGTGCTTTTAATTTATATTTCTCATTTTGGTTTTAGTCTGTATTTCTGTGATGATATTAATATTGACCACTTTGAATTTTCATGCATTTATTAGCCATTTGTTTATCTTCCTTTGTGAAATGTCTTTTCAAGTTCTTTATCCATTTTAAAAATTGGATTTTGTTTTTATTGAGTTGTAGGAGTTCTTTTAGTTTTTTTTTGGTATATATATATTCTGCTTTTAAGTCTTTTCTCAGTAGTTTTGCTAGGTTGTGAAGATGTTTTTAATGCATTTTTCTAGAGGGTTTACCAATTTATCATTTAACCTTTGTTAAGGTCTATGATTTATTTTGAGCTACTATATGGAGGGAAGTAGGGATCAAGTTTCTTCTTCCTTTTTTTTGTGTATGGATATCCTGTTGTTCTAGAACCTACTTTGGAAAACACTTTTTCCATTGAGTTGCTTTGTCACCTTTATTGAGTAGTTGACCTAAGTGGTCTACTTCTGGAGTCTGTATTCTGTTTCATTAGTCTATTTGACTATCCTTATGTCAATACCATATTGTCTTTTTCTTTTTTTTTTGAGACAGAGTCTCACTCTGTCACCCAGGCTGGAGTGCTTGATCTTGGCTCACTGCAGCCTCCTGCCACCATGTTGGCCAGGCTGGTCTTGAACTCTTGACCTCAGCTGATCCGCCCGCCTCGGCTTCCCAAAGTGCTGGGATTACGGGCATGAGGCACTGCGCCCGTCGTATATTGTCTTGATTACTGTAGTTTCAGGTTTCCTAACCTTGGCACTATTGACATTTTGGGCCACATTGTTGTGAGGCTGTCTTATGCATTGTCAAATATTTAATAGTATCTTTGGTTTCTACCTGCCAGATGCCAGTAACATGTTTCCAGTTGTGACAACCAAAATTGTATCCAGATATTGCCAAATGCCCGCTGAGGGGCAAAATTGGCCCCAGCTGAGAACCATTGAATGGATTTTTAGTAAATCCTGATGTTAATGTAAATTCTCCATTTTTGTTGTTTTCCCAAGATTTTAGATCTTTTGTGTTTCAATTATGAATTTTAGAATAGGCTTGCTAATTACTATAAAAAGGAGTATGATTATGCTGAGACTGTAATTGGGGTTGGGTTGAATTTGTAGATCACTTTGGAGACATTTTAACAGTTTTGAAAGTTCTAGTCATGAACATGGCACATCTCTCCATTTATTTAGGTCATCTTTAATTTTCCTCAGCAACATTTTGTAGTTTTGGTAGAGGTCTTGTATATCCTTTGTTAAATTTATTACTAAGGATTTTATGTTGTATGATGCAAAAATAAATGGAATTGTTTTTTAGTTTTGTTTTCCAGTTGTTCACTGCTAGTACATAGATACATGGTAAAATTTTGTATGTTAACTTTGTGTCATAACGCCTGGCTAAACGCACTTATTAATCGTGATCATTTAATTGTTCTGCATTTTTCTACATTAATAATTATGTTGCACACAAATAGGGACAGTTTTACTTTCTTTCCAATTTTTATACCTTTATGACTGTTATTGTACTATCCCAGACCTTCAGTGACATGTTGAGTAGAACTGCTGCAAGTAGACATCCTTGCCCTCTTTAAATGTGAAGTGGGGGGAAATGTTCAATGCTTCAAAACTTAAGTTAACTGTAGGTTTTTTAATAGGTGTCCATAAGACTGAGTAAATTATTTTTTTAGTTTGCTGAACGTTTTTTGTTTTTATTGTAAATGAGTAGTCAAGTTAGTAAAATCTTATTTAGCATCTATTGAGATAATCATATAGTTTTTCTTTTTTATTTTCTGAATATGGTAAATTATGTTGATTAAAAATTTTTTTGTTGTAAAATGTAAGATTTACCATTTTAACGATTTTTAAGTGTAAAATTTAGTGGCATTTAGTACTTTCACATTATTGTGCAATCATTACTACCATCCACATCCAGAACTTTTTTCATCAGCTCAAACTGAAACTACCCATTAAACAAGAACTCTTTCCCCACCCTCAGTCCCCTGGTAACCACTCTTCTACTTTCTGTCCATGAATTTGACCATCCTAGGTACCTGATATAAATGGAATCATACAGTATTTGTTTTTTTGTGTGTGTGTCTGGCTTATTTCACATAGCATAATGTCTTCAAGGTTCATCCAGGGTTATAGCACATGTCAGAATTTTCTTCGTTTTTAATGCTGAATATTAATATTGTATGTATATATCACATTTTGTTTATCTGTTCATCTGTTGATGGACACTTGGGTCGCTTCTACCTTTTAGCTATTATAAATAATGCTGCTATGAACGTGAATGTACAAATATCTGTCAGGTTCCTGCTTTCAGTTCTTTTAGGTTTATACCCAGAAGTGGAATTGCTGAATTATTTGATGGTGCTATTTTTAACTTTCTGGGGAACTGCCATACTTTTGGCTGGCTACAAATTTTGTTTTTGTTTTCCTGAAAGATTTTGCCGTATTTTTGAAGGATAGTTTTGCTGAAGAGTGCTGGCTTGATGCTTATTTTTTTCCACTTCTATAAAGATGTAGTTCCATTGTCTTCTGTTCTCTGGAGTTTCTAAGGAGAAGGTAGATATATTCATATTTTTGTTTGACTTTGTTGTTTTTCTCTGGCTGCTTTTGAGATTTTTTTATTTAAAAAAATTTTATTTCAGCCATCTGACTATGATGTGCACAGATACGTTTTCTTTGTATTTTTGCTGCATAGGGTTTATATTGATATTGGATAAATTTTTGTTTTTCACCACATTTGGGGTGTGTTAGGTCATTATATCTTCAAAATTTTTTTGCCCCATTCTCTACTCTTTTTCTGTGACTTAAGCTATACTTAACATTTGACTTGTTGATCCTGACCCACAGGTGGGTCTCTGAGGTTCTGCTGTCAGTCTTTTTTCTCTCTGTTCCTTAGGTTGAATAATTTTTCTTGATTTCGAGTTCATTTTTTCTTTCTTCTTTTGTTTCCAACTTGCTGTTAAGCCTACCTGCTGTATTTTTCAATTCAGTTATTGTACTTTTTAGGTTTAGAATTTTCATTTGATTCTTATGAAAAACTTCCAATTCTCTGAGATTACTTATCTCTAAGTTTGTTTGAAACTTGAGTGTATTTATTATAGCTTTAGTCCTTGAGTGTATTTATTATAGCTAGTCTAATGCCAGTTGCATGACTAGGTCTTTTTGGGGTTGGTTTCTGTTGATTATGTTTTTTTTTTTGAGTATAGATCACATTTTCCTGTTTCGTTTTGTTTTTTTCCTGAGGTGTTTTGTTTTTTTTTTTTTTTGATATGTGTATCCAGTAATTTTAAAGTTTCATGCTTACATTATGAAATGTAGAGACGAAATGTAGTCTACATTTTATTTATAATGTAAGCATAAATTTTCATTCATAAAATTTATAACATTTATGTTGTGTTCCTCTGAAGAGTATTTTTTTTTTTTTTGGTTGTAGAGAGTGGTTTGCTTGGCTAGATTAAAACTGCATTCTCTTTTCAGTGATGGCAGCAGCTGAAATCTTTTCTTTCCAGCTTTTTCTTTGTCATCGTACCCTAGAATCTCCTCTGCACATGCATGGTTTAGCAGATAGCCAAGGTTTGGGACAGTTTATATATAAATTTGGGGGACTTACCCCCTTTTGGCTTCTTCCCTTCCAGAATTTACACCTCAATGTTAGAACTGTCCTGTCACCCTCAAACTTTGTCCGGTGTCACCTAAATTCAGTAAAGCTATATCTTTCTGCTTCCCGAGTTGTACACAGATTAGAGCCCCCTTAGATCAGCAATTCTCAGTGTGTGATCTGAGGACCGTTGTCTGTCTCTGAGAACTTTGCAAGGGGTGATCAGGGTCCCTGCCTTTTCCAGTTAGGTACGTGTGTACTTGAGGCCAAATTTTCTTCATATACTTCAACTAGAACAATGGATTGCAGTGATTCATTGCAGAAGCAGATATGAGAATATAGTTAACTTTTTAAAAGCTATACATTAAACAGATTTGCAAAAAGGTAGAACAGGGTTACTCTTCTCATTAATATTTTTGTTCCAGAAAATGTCATTAGAACTTATATGTTAAAATATAAAAAGTTCATCATTATTTGTAATGAATTAATAAATTACAATTTTTTCCTTTTCAATTTTTTTGTGTTTTCATGTCAGATGGTAATGTACCAATGTTGTGACAATGTTTGAGGGAGGCATATCTCATATGTATGCGTGAAAACTTAAACGTCACGCTTTCGAACTATGAAAGGATCTCTTAAAATTTCTAATACGGGATCTTCACTAATTTTTTTTTTTTTTTTTTTTTTGAGACGGAGTCTCACTCTGTCACCAGGCTGGAGTGCAGTTGCGCGATCTCGGCTCACTGCAACCTTTGCCTCCCAGGTTCGAGTGATTCTCCTGCCTCAGCCTCCTCAGTAGCTGGGACTACAGGTGTGCGCCACCATGCCCAGCTAATTTTTTTTTGTATTTTTAGTAGAGATGAGGTTTCACCATGTTGGCCAGAATGGTCTCAATCTCTTGACCTTGTGATCTGCCTGCCTCAGTCTCCCAAAGTGCTGGGATTACAGGCGTGAGCTACTGCACCCCGCCAGTAATTTTTAAGAGTGTAAGGGTGTCTGAGTCCAGAAAGTTTGAGAATTGCTCTTAGACAAAAAGGTATAAACAAGTGCCTGTTGTCAGATACACTTTCTTTTTCTCAATGGGTAAACTCTTCCCAGCTTCTGCCTGCATTTGGTCTCTCTCCAGAGCATTGAAAAATGGTGTTTTTGTCCAGATTTTATAGGAAAGTTTATCTGACAAAGCTGCTTTGCCATTACCAGAACCCAAAGTGCTGGGAAATGATTTTAAAAGGGAAGGAAATGGCAATTATTGAGCACCAGCTATGGTATTGGTATCATGCACTATAGTTGGGACTGTGTCTGTTAACTTAATCCTTAAACAGACTTCAACAGTTAGTTATAACCCTATTTTATGGAGGAGAAATAAGGCTTTGAGTTCATGTGGTACTGTAATTTTCCCAGTGTCATTTTGCCAGTAGTTTTGGTATAAGCGGGATTAAACCTAGGTCTTGCCTTCAGAACCCATGTTCTTTCTATTTTACTCTGTCCTTTTTGGTTTCAGAAATTTAAGTGTGTGTAAAATTACTTCCAGTGAGTATTAACATAGGTTTCTAAGGCAGATTTTGGGATTCTGTTGTCTGGGGCTTTATAAAATAGATAAAAATCTTGGTGGTATGAGTATGATCCTTGAAGGCAAGGGAAGTAAAGAAATGACCTTTTAAGTTCCTTTTAGCCTTGTAATTTTATGATTCTATTTAGCTAGCAAAAATTTTAAGTACTTTTAATGAAATGTTAAGTTTAGGTATGTCATGATCCAGTAATATAACTGTTTAGTCAGTGACTGACTCGTATCTCCCTGAAAAATTCATGGAAGAAGAATTAGCTTGAGAGTATTAATAGAATAATAATGACTACAATGATGTTGAAATGAGTTCACATTTTTCATACCCACTCAGTAGATGGGAATGACACTTCAGTACTTAAAGTTCATATGGCAAATTTAAAATGAATTTGAATTATAAATTTTCTCAATTAGAAACTTCCCAAACTAAGTTATAACAATAAGTCAAATTTGGGACTTATATAAACTTTATATAAACAGTTTAGATTCCTTTATTTGCATTATCTCAGAACATTTAGTTTTTTTATGGAGTATTAAAGTGGAGGAGTATATGTTTTATCAAAGCTGAAGTTTTTGGAAACTAAAGAAGGTTGAGGATCAGTCACTGATGGGAATGCAGTGTTTTTGAAATTCAGTAAATAAAAACAGAAGCAACATTGAGCTACTCACAACCTTGTTTGGAATGGGACATGTAAGATAAGGTTTGTAGTTTGTTTTTTTTCCTCTTCATTTTTATTTTTCCTTTAAATCGTAACCATAGTGTCTATAGCTTCTTTGGATATTATGTAGAAGAAAAAAAATAGGTGTTTTGTTATATCTCTGATTCATTCAAATTGGAAGTTTTGGGAATCTTGCTGTTATTGTTGTCAACATTTTTATTGTAATATAAAAATGGCAGGAGATATCTTTAAGAGGCAGAATAGCACACATAGGTGATGAAGAGTATGCACTTCAAAGTGGTACAGCTTGTGTTGGAATCCTAGTTCTGTTGCTTATTTGCTTTGTGGCATTGTGCTGTCTCAGTTACTGTTAGTCATTATTTATTGTTTTTGCCTTTCTGTCTTAATTGCTGTTATTATTTTTGAGAGAGGGTCTTGCTGTTACCCACGCTAGAGTGCGGTGGCACCATCTTGGCTCACTGGATGGAGCCTCAACCTCCTGGGCTCAGGTTATCCTTCCACCTCAGCCTCCTGAGTAGCTGGGACTACAGGTACATGCCACCATGCCCAGCTAATTGGTTAAATAATTTTTTTTTCTGTAGAAATAAGGTCTCACTATGTTGCCCAGGCTAGTCTTGAATTCCTGGGTTCAAGTGATTCTCCCGCCTCAGCCTCCCAAAATGCTAGGATTACAGGTGTGATCCACTGAGCCTGGCCTCTCTTACAAGTATTTACTAGAGTCAGTAAAATGATACTTGCTTAAGTAGAGTAGAATATAAACATAGAATTATTTAACACTCTATTGCAATAAAAACGATTGTTTCTTAGAGCACCTATCAGTTAAAAGCATAGCACCTAGCTGGGGGAAAGCTTTATGTAATATATTCTGGCTGAAAAAGCTCAAGTTTAATTCTGAGATAGATAAGAATTAAGTATCTTTTTAGACATTTTTAGTTCTATTATTTCCTAATTCTTTTATATATTTTTAATGATTTGCTTGCCATTTAGTTACAGCACAATAACTAAATTTGTGATAAGTGAAATTTTCAATATGCATTATGAATTTCACTTTGAACTTAAATTTGGTTTAAGGTATATGCCACTAAAGGAAGTAGACTATAAAAATTTTTCTTAAAAAAAAAAAAAGAGGCTGGGCGCCGTGGCTCACGCCTGTAATCCCATCACTTTGGGAGGCTGAGGTGGGCAGATCACCTGAGTTCAGGAGGTCAAGACCAGCCTGGCCAACATGGTGAAACCCTGTCTCTACTAAAAATACAAAAATTAGCCAGGTGTGGTGGCAGGCACCTGTAATCCCAACTACTTGGGAGACTGAGGCAGGAGAATCATTTGAACCGGGGAGGCAGAGGTTGCAGTGAGCTGAGATCACGCCACTGTACTCCTGCCTCGGTGACAGAGTGAGACTCCATCTCAAAAAACAAAACAAAACAAAACAATCCATGCTTATTTTAGACACTGTTTGATGTAATGAAATTTCTCTGTAATTCTAAACAACAAACATCAATCTGCTATGAGAGTTTTTCATAAATTAATACTCATTTTCATTACACGACGTGCTAACTTAAATTTTACCACTTGGCTGGGTAGGGATCACATTTTGTTATAATGAATGCAACAAAAAAGATTTTTCACAAAAAATAAGTTAACAAAGCCATAATCATTTACGGGAGATTTTGGCAGTTACATCTCTATTGCTGTGACTCTTAACCTTTTTTATGGTCTGGCATACAGAGGGTGTAATTTGGTATCATTAGTAATAACAGTTAATTTGATAATTCATTTATTACATACACAACACATTGCCTGGTATATGCTTAGTACATGTTTGTTGATTGACTCCCCAGAATACACGATTAACCCCTTGAACTTGTCATGTTCCCTTTGTATAAGATATGCAGTGTAAACAGACCACATTTACTTACCTGGGAATTTTGTTAAAATATGGTGATGGTGGCATTTTTAAAAGCATTATACAGAAGATGGAAAGTCTTCTGGATGGTCTTGTACCTTTTAAAATAACTGTAGTTTAATTTTTCTGCATTTAGTTTTATAATTAACCATTTTCTGTACTTTTTTTTCTTTATTTAGTCATTTTTCCCTTTAGGTTTTTGATTTAGTGATTTGATTTTTCCTTCTAATGAATTTCATATAAATTGGCAAGTTTTATGGATGAGTCATTTTCTAAAACTTTGTAAAAATGGTTGTTGAGAATTTCAATTGCATTTTTCCATAGAACAGATGTGTTTAAGATATGTTTACAGGGTAGCAAATAAAATATTAATTTTTTCTCTCTACTTTTGGGGCCATGTCATAAAAGATTCTTCATCATCTCAACTACTTCTTTTTGTTCGTTTTATTCATTTTTTTCATTTATTTATTTGTAGAGAGCCTACTGTGCAGTAGGAATTATCCCCCTCACTTCCTGTTTATTAAAACAACCTTCTACCCCTGCCCTCCCTCACCTCCAGATTATTAAACCCTTTTCCCTTTACTCCACAGTCATTTTATCTCAGCTGTCATACTTTCTGTGCCTCCCTCCAGGAAAGGAAAAAAAATTTTTATCTGAGGAATGGGAGCTTCTTTAAATTATCCATCAGAAAGAGTCATTTAAAATGTAACAGCAGTCTCACCTCTCCTGAGCTAAATAATTACCTTGAAGCCACTTGCCATGTGGGTTGTTAAATGATGCCAATGGCCATAAAATGCCATACGATGGGTATTATAATTCATACCCTGTAGTTCAACAATGTATAGCCAATCACTAATCAGTGTTATCTCTGTAAACCAATGAGAATTCCTGTCAAACAACTTGGTATCAGCTCACTCCTTGTTTCCTTTAAAAACCTGTTTGTAACAGAGGCAGACAGACAGACAGAACACCCCCCAAGGCAACTTGGAAATGTGTCCCGGGCTGCAGTCCTCAACTTTGGCCCAAATAAAATCCCTCTGTTATTTTGCCTCAGCTTCTTCTTTTAGGTCAACATGTGTAACTAATGACTTGGAGCTGTTCAGGCAGTTAGAGTTCAACCAGTTTAAAAGCCACATAGCTCATCGTGGATAGAAGGACTTTACCATGGTATATAATGGGTGTTCTTTCTGTCTTTAGTTTTTTAAGTAGAGATAGGGTCTTGCAGTGTTGTCCAGACTGGTCTCAAATTCCTGGCCTATAAAAGGAATTATTATTTTTATTTATTTATTTATTTTGTCAGCCAGCTGGAGTGCAGTGGCGCAATCTCGGCTCACTGCAACCTCTGCCTCCCAGGTTCAAGCAGTTCTCTTGCCTCAGTCTCCCGAGTGTCTAGGATTACAGGTGCCCACCATCACGCCCGTCCAATTTTGTGTTTTTAGTAGAGATGGGGTTTCTCCATGTTGGTCAGGCTGGTCTCGAACTCATGACCTCGTGATCCGCCCAAAGTGCTAGGATTACAAGCGTGAGCCACCACGCCCGGCCTGTAAAGGGAATTCTTAATCCAGAGTCTTGGGTCTCTTTAAATTGTATGCATTCTTAATTTTGAATGTGAATATGCACAATTTTCTTGGGAGGTGGTCCATAGCTTTTGTCAGATACTCAAAGGAGCCCATGACCCCAAAAAGGTTAAATAAAAGCTAACGTTTAAAAATATTTTGGTATATATTCATTATTTTAAAAATTAATGTATTTCATGTTGACAGAATTTATATATACAAAGGCTTACTTGAACATGTACTTTTGGGACAGCTTGTATGATAGAGACTACAGGTTTGTGTGGAAGCCACAGTTTATGCACATACAGGACTGGTAGTTTTTAAGTTGGTGAAATTTGTCCTTGATACCCTTCTACCATCTTACCCTTTTTCATAATCCTAGTATCCTGGCCTTGAGGCCCAGAGCCTCATTTTACTGGCCCTTAAATGCTCCAAAATTACCCACTTTTTTCCTTTGTTTCCAGTCTCTACCCCCCTAACTTCATCCCCTGTCCAAAATATTATGCTAATCCTAATCAGTGGAAAGCAGTTTTATTAATTTATTTAAAATATTTGAATGGATGGTAATTACTTGATGTTACAAAAATAGTTTGGTTTCATATTTTACTAAAATAGTCACAGAAACTTCTTTTAGGCTCCTATCTTTGAATTCCTTTCTGTTGTGGGTACGACTGGCTGGGGCTGGTGTTGCAGGTAGTAAAATAATTTACCAAGACAGTCGTAGGTTAAAAAAAAAAAAAAGAATTATTAGAGAAAGTATGAAGATACAAAGATATGTTGCAAGGGTGCAAGTGCAGCACAACAGAAAAGGGGCTGTCTGCAAAGAGGAAGGAGCTGGAGGGGCCTAAATGCAGGATGAGGTTATGTTCCTGGGGCTACATGCTCCCCTTCCATGTTGTTGTTTACCTATCAGGTCTCCACATTCCCCCCACAGCAGAACAATGATGACAAGTCTTTGACATTGAGGGTAGAGGTCTCATCTCCCAACCACTTCCTGCTAACCATGGGTATGGCAATGGCCCTGCCAATGGCTGTTGGTCTGTCAGGAGACTCTGTAGGTCATTGTCCTGGATTGTGGGACTTAGAATATTGTATTGAATCTTTCTTTCTTTCTTTCTTTCTTTTTGAAATGAGTCTCGCTTTGTCGCCCAGGCTGGAATCTAGTAGTGTGATCTTGGCCCATTGCAACCTCCATCTCCAGGGTTCAAGCAGTTCTCGTGCCTCAGCTTCCCAAGTAGCTGCGACCACAGGTGTGCACCACCATGCCTGGCTACTTTGTTGTATTAGTAGAGACGAGGTTTCACTGTGTTGACCAGGCTGGTCTCAAACTCCTGACCTCAAGTGATCCTCCTACCTCAGCCTCCCAAAGTGCTGGGATTATAGGCATGAGCCACAGTGCCCAGCCATATATTGGATCTTGTTGGAGGAAGGGACTTATCGGAGAGGGGGAGCATGTTAAGACATAACTAGCATTCAACTGAATCCAGGGAAGATTCATAAAAGTAGCAGGCATCATTGGGGAGAGACTTATATCCCGTTTGCAGTATCATTTGTAGGTGAAACTGTAGAATTCTAGAAGATAAAGTTTTGTTTCTTAAGCCAGTTATCAAAAAGGCAAAAAACCTTTTGCAGTGTGACTTTTTGTCCTTATTGGAAGCCCATTTGGGTAACCTGGAAGTTAAACTTGATGAAAAAGTGTTTGAATTTAGTTAGACACAACATAGGGAACCAATTTTAGAGAGACTATTATGCTTTAATTACATACAATATTCTTTTTATAAATTTCCTGTCATGATTTTCTCATGACTTACGTAGACCATCTATTATATGCTTGGACTTTTTGACTTGTCCTGAACATCCCTTATTTTTAAACAATGAGTTATTTTACTTTAGGACAAGAAATTACCATACAAGATCCTTTCTCATATAAAGTATCTTTTTTATAACCTTCCTTACCAAAAATACCTCTTTACCATTATAACCTTTAATTAGGCAGAAATTATTTTTCTTCTGTTAGTAAGTTATGGTTTGTATTACATGTTGCTGTGTGAGCCTGTGAAGGGGAGCAGATAGGGAAGTTGTCTACATACTGTAGAAGTTATCCCCCTTCAAGAGATTGCCCAGTTAGATTTCCTGCTAGGGTCTGTCTGAATAAGTGTGGGCTATTTTTAAGCCCAGGGGTAGGACTATGTAGGTTGAAGTTACTGGTTAAAGATTTAGGTAGCTTTCCCGGGAGAAATAGGGCTATTAGAGGGAAAGATGAATTCAGAGGTTGGGCACATATTAAGCAGACACCCATCTTGGAAAGTATATTTTTGCCCCAAAGGGGTGTGGAATATTTAGACATTGCCGAGGACTGGTGAGAGAATGGTAATTGGTCCCTTAAGTAATATAAAGCAGTGTGATTTTTTTCTTTTGGACAGAGAGAGGGAGTGCATTTGCCCCCATTACCCAGCAGGATTTGGAAGAGTGTTGCTCAGGGAAGGAGATTAGTACAGAGTAGGCAGCTCTTGAACCCAAAAGGGAAATTTATAATTTCATTTGCATCCTCAGAGTTGCCCTTGCCTTTGTTTTGTTGATGCCAATGTCTGATTTGGAAGCCAGGTAGAGCAGAGAGACCCCTCAGCTCAAGGCCATCAGTGGTTGGGATTATCCTGGGGGCCCTTTGGCCTTTAGGCAGTCCCATTTTTAATGGCTGAGCATGTGACAGAGGGGCAAGCTGTACAGGGTTCTTTCCCATGTATCTCATTGGGGCAGTTTGCCTTCTAGTGGCCTGGCCTTCTGCACCAGTGGCAGTTACCTGGAGGAGGCTGGGGGCTTATAAAAGCAGCCAGCACTTGAGCCTGACTTGTGTTCCTGTGTTTTTCTTTCTCTTTAGCCCTGTCCTCCTCATTCTACTCTCAGTTATAAAAGACTGAGGAGGTTAATTTGAGGATTTCTTGCATAGCAGCCATGCTAAAAGAAAATTAGACATTTCTTTTTGAGAGTCTGAGGGTTAAATTTATCCCAGTGCTTTAAAATGCAACCCAGGGGTGAGTCTGAGGGAATTGAGGGGCTTCATCCCATGATGGGACCGTAAAAAACGTCTGTTGGGGACGCAAACTGCAGTTTCTCCCAGGGCATCCCACCAAGGGATGAGGGATCCACTCACATCTGCTGAGGGACTTCTCGATGCACTTTCCAAAGGGGCATTCCACCTATTGGAAAGGATCTCCTGGCACTAGGGCCTTACACTGGATGAACACTAGGTGAAAGACCCCAGGTTAGTCTAGGTACGAATTGTGCTGGGTGCTCAATCCAGGTAGGAGGGGAAAGGGATGAGGGAAGACTCACTGTCTGGGTGCTGTTTGGGATTACCTGGTTTAAGATGTCTGGAGCAGGAGGGTTGGCTGCCTTACGTGGGAGAATTTAGAGTGAGAAAGAGGGGGGTCTGACTTCCCCAAAATGTGTATAGGTTTGCCCTGGTCAAGCTTCTGCCTGCCAGTTATGCCAAACGTAGGGATTGGGGACTTTCCAACAGAAAGGACAGGAGAGAGCCTTCCTCCCTTCTGGGCAAGGTGGCCAAACCTGTTCAGTCCCTAGCCTTCAGGCTATACCAGGGAGTGGCCCTGGCCAGTTGTCATTCATTGCCAGAGGAATATTAGAGTTTGTCTGCCAGAAGACTGAAAAGGAAAGCAAACTTTGAACTCTTACCCGATTGGGTGGCGGGTCAGACATCTTTTTACTGGCCCTGGCCAGGAACCTTCAGTTGTCTCTGGGCTTGGACACTGTCCACCAAGAGGTTGGAGTTGGAGGAGAGGGAAGGGAGACAGTAAGAGAAAGGTCCCCAAGCAGTCCCCAAGCACTCCCCAGATGGGCCACCAAAATGTTGCAGGTGCCACTGGTTGGGGCCAGTGTCATGGGCAGTAAAGGATTTACCAAGACAGTTGTAGGTAAAGACAGGCAGATTTAGAGAAAGTACGTAGATGTATTTAGAGGAAGTACGTATTAGAAAAAGCACGAAGATACGATACTGGCAGCACAGCAGAGAAGGGGCTGTCTACTAAGAGGCAGGAGCTGGAGGGAAGTTTTATAGGGTCATGCCAAAGGGGCCATGTATGGACGAGATATTTGGGAACAGAATGTTGTGCCAGCAGGTTGTTTGTGATTAGTTGTCTCTTGGAACAGTTGTTCTCCCCCACCTGGGACCCCTTCCTTGTTGCTTACTAATCAGGACTCCACACTTTGCATCATTTAGTCCTCAAGTTTTTAACGTTTAAAAAAAAATGCTTCTGGAATTTCAGTAAAATGTAAGAAAAGTTAAGTAAACACTTTAAAATTATATGGGGAAATATTTTGGGGCAAGGTATCTGTCTAAGGGCCTAGAAGGCTGTCCTGTGGAGCCAGTCCCCACTGTTTCCCTTGTTCTTTCTTTTCTACTTTTTGAGTAACAAATTCTTTCATTAAAAAATTTTAGAGACCTTTAATTACAAAAATAATGTAACCACACCAAATGATGCATATGTATAAAAAAGTGATAGTCCCTTCCTCATCACTTCTCCATTCATCTACTTTTCAGAACAACTTTTAACAGTTCCATGTGTGCACATTATACCTTGAAAAAAAGATGAGTAACTTTTTATTACAGTTATCTTTTTTTAAAAACTGTATCTTGGCATGTTTGCAAGATAGAACATAAACATCTATTGTTACTTTAATTCTTGCTTTGTAGTCTGTTGTATGATTATCATAATGTGTTTATACATGTTCCTATTGAAGAATATTTACTTTCCAGTTTTTGCAGTTAAGGTACTGTGGTGGTAAGCATTGTTCTACATACTCTTGCATGTTTGCCTTTTTTTTTTTAAATTTTTTTTTATATTTGCCTTTTTTTGGGGGGGGTCACTATTTCCTTCATATGGGGGTTTTCCTCAAATATCTGACGATCTCTATCTACTCATTTGAGAGTGAGGAACTAAAATTCGTGGGAGTCATAGGATCAAAAACTTTTTTATTTCATTGTGTGGTCACAGAGTGTCAGTCTCTGTAGGCATTTTCATTTGAGCCCACCAATCTCCTTGTGAATAGTCTTGCATATTTGTATGAATATTTCTGTAACAGATTTCTTTTTTTTTTTTTTTTTTTGAGACGGGGTCTCACTCTGTCGCCAGGCTGTAGTGCAGTGGTGCAATCTCAGCTCACTGCAGCCTTCGCCTCCTGCGTTGAAGTGATTCTCCTGCCTCAGCCTCCTGAGTAGCTGGGATTACAGGCGTGTGCCACCACTCCCAGCTAATTTTTTGTATTTTTAGTAGAGACAGGGTTTCACAATGTTAGCTAGGATGTCTCGATGATCTGACCTGCTGATCACCCGCCTCAGCCTCCGAAAGTGCTGGGATTACAGGCGTGAGCCACCGTGCCCGGCCTTCTGTAACAGATTTCTAAAAGTGGAATTACTCGGTCAAAGAGGACATGATTCTTATTTTTGATAAATACAGCCATGTTTTCTGCCAAAATAGTTGACTGCATTTATACTTTTTCCACATATGGTATATGAAAGCACCCATATCCTCACTCTGTCCACACTGTTTATTTTCATTATATTTTTTCTAATATAACAGACTAAAACTATCTCATTTTTATTTATATTTTCCTGAGCACTCATGAGATTGAGCATTCATTAGTGTTCATTAGATATTAGAATTTCCTTTTTGATGGCATGTTAGATATGCTGACCAATTTTCTACTGTCTCATTGGATTGCACAAGGGCTTTTATATTTTTATGAATGTTGACTCTGGGTTGCAGATATTTTCCCTCATCTGTCATTTTTCTTTGAATGTCTTATGCTTCACAAGAGTTTATATATATTTTTACTGTGGCAAAGTACATCATATAAAATTTACCATTTTTAAATGTATAGTTCAGTGGCATTAAATATATTCACATTGTTGTGCAATCATTACCATCATCCATATCTAGAACTTTTTTATCATCCCAAAGTCTACCCGTTAAACAATAACAACTTCACATAAGTGGCATCATACAGTATTTGTCCTTTTGTGTCTGACATGTTTCACTTAACATGAAACATGAAGTAATATCTTCAAGGTTCATTCATGTTGTAACGTGTCAGAATTTCATTCCTTTTGAAGGCTGAATAATATTCCATTATATGTATATACCACATTTTAAAATCCATTCCTTGGCCAAGCACAGTGGCTCATGCCTGTAATCCCAGCACTTTGGGATGCCAAGGCGGGTGGATCACCTGAGTTCAGGAGTTTGACACCAGCCTGGCCAACATGATGAAACCACATCTCTACTAAAAATACAAAAATTAGCCAGGCATGGTGGCTCACGCCTGTGGTCCTAGCTACTCGGGAGGCTGAGACAGGAGAATTGCTTGAACCTGGGAGGTGGAGGTTGCAGTGAGATGAGATCGAGCCACTCCACTCCAGCCTGGGCGACAGAGCAAGACTCCATCTCAACAACAACAACAACAACAACAACAACAAATCCATTCATTCATCTGTCATCTGTTGCTTCTATAGACTATTGCGAATAATGCTACTGTGAACATGTGTTTTACAAGTTTCTGTTCTACTTGCTTTCAGTTCCTTTGTGTAGGCTGGGCATGGTGGCTCATGCCTGTAATCCCAGCATTTTGGGAGGCCCAGGCAGGAAGATTACTTGAGGCCAGGAGTTTGAGACCAGCCTGGGCAACATAGCGAGACCCTATCTCTACCAAAAAAATCCCCAAGAAACTGCTGGTGTCACCTCTTTTGGGTATACAATCAGAAGTGGAATTGTTGGGTCCTATAGTAACTCTTCAATTTTTTGAGGAACCATCACGTTTTCCACAGTGGCTGTAGCAGTTTACATTCTCACCAGCAATGCTCAAGGGCTCCAGTTTCTACACTGTTATTTCCTGGTGTTTCTTTCTTTCTAAAAAAATAATGATCATTCTAATGAGTATGAAGTGGTTGTGGTTTTGATTTGCATTTCTCCAATAATTAGTGATGTTGAGCATCTTTTCCTGTTCTTATTGCCTATTTGTCTATGTTCTTTGGAGAAATGTTTATTGAAGTCCTTTGCCTATTTTTACAATTGGGTTATTTCTTTTGTTGTCGAGTTGTAAGACTTCTTTATATATTGTATATTAATCCCTTATGTGATATATGACTTACAAATATTTTCTCCCATTCATGGGTTGCCTTTTCACTCTGTTGATAGTGTACTTGATGCACAAAAGTTTTTAATTTTGATGAAATTCATTTTATTTTTTCTTTTGTTGCCTGTGCTTTTGGTGTCCTGTCCAAGAAATAATTGCAAATTCAGATGTTATGAAGGATTTCCCCTGTTTACTTCTAAGAGATTTATAGTTTTTAGCTCTTATGTTTAGACCTTTGATCCATTTTGATTTTTATATGTAATGTAACAAGAGTTTATATTTTTAAGTAGTGAGGTTCTTTATGACTTCTAGATTTCATACTGTATGTAGAAAGGGTCTCTTGACCTTACTATGATAAATTTATAATTCTCTATTTTTTAGTACTTCTAAAGAAGGATTTTTTCTTTTAACAGTTAGATATTCTACTTAGAATTAATTTTTGTGAGTGAAGTGAAACTTTTTGTTTTTTGTTTTGCTATTGGATAGCCAGCTTTTCCAAACTGTCCCATTGAATATGTTCCCTTTATTATGTACTGAGTTCCCATATGTATTTGGATCTGTTTCTGAATTCTGAATAATGTTTATTCCTATATACATATCATTTTATTTTAATTACTATAAATTTGTTATACATTCTGGTAGGACAAATATCCCCCCATTATTTCCTTCTTCAATCACTGGGCTATATTAGTCCCCTCCCCTCCCCTCCCCTCCCCTCCCCTCCCCTCCCCTCCCCTGCCCTCCCCTCCCCTCTCCTTTCCTTTCCTTTTGACAGAGTGTTGCTGTGTTGCCCAGGTTGGAGTGCAACCTCAACCTCCTGGAATCAAGTGATCCTCTGCCTCAGCCTCTGGAGTAGCTGGGACCACGGGCATGTGCCAACACACCTCACTAATTTTTTTATTTTTTGTAGAAATGTGGTTTCTCTTTTTTTGAGACGGAGTCTCGCTCTGTCGCCCAGGCTGGAGTGCAGTGGCACGATCTTGGCTCACTGCAACCTCTGCTTCCCAGGTTCAAGCAATTCTCCTGCCTCAGACTCCTGAGTAGCTGGGATTACAGGCACACGCCACCATGCCCGGCTAATTTTTTCTTTATTTTTAGTAGACACAGAGTTGCACCCTGTTGGCCAGGATGGTCTTGATCTCTTGACCTTATGATCTGCCTGCCTCAGCCTCCCACAGTGCTGGGATTACAGGCGTGAGCCACTGCGCCCAGCCAGAAATGTGGTTTCACCATGTTGTCCAGGATGGTCTTGAACTCCTGGGCTCCAGTGATCCTCCCATCTTGGCCTCCCAAAGTGCTGCAATTACAGGACTAAGCCACCACACCTGGCCCCTATACTACTTTCTGATTGTCTTTATTCCTTACTTCTCCATGCTTTCCCCTTCCTTACCTTCTCTTTCTCATTTGTTTTTCTCCTTCTAGTGTGTTCAGATGAATTCTCCTGAACTAATGCTGTCATTATATTATGAGACTTCACAGAAGCCTTCAATGGCTTTCCATTGCCTACAGGGTAGTCTGAACTAGGACTGATATTCATAGGCTTCCATGGTCAGGTCTCTAATTTCTCCACCTTTTTTCTCTACTCCCCTATAGGGAACTTTAGCTGAGTTGGGTTGTTTCCTGAATTTGCTGTTCAATTTCCTGCCCCAAATCCTCGTCTGTTCTTTCTTATCAGTTTTACCTTACCTAAAAGCTAACAGGGATCCAATTTTCTTCATGAATCTACTGATGGCCTACTTATCTGGCATTTAATCATGTCTTTAATTATGTCCTTAGTCATGTCCACTTACCCTACTGGTAAATGAGATGGTAAATCATTTTACCACTTAATAGTTTGGTAACCTGGGACAGGTTTTTCAGTCTCTTAACTTTTCTCATCTATAAAATGAGGTTGGCTGGGCGCGGTGGCTCACGCCTGTAATCCCAGCACTTTGGGAGGCCGAGGCGGGCGGATCACGAGGTCAGGAGATCGAGACCACGGTGAAACCCTGTCTCTACTAAAAATACAAAAAATTAGCCGGGCGCAGTGGCGGGCGCCTGTAGTCCCAGCTACTCGGGAGGCTGAGGCAGGAGAATGGCGTGAACCCGGAAGGCGGAGCTTGCAGTGAGCGGAGATCGCACCACAGCACTCCCGCCTGGGCGACAGAACGAGACTCCGTCTCAAAAAAAAAAAAAAAAAAAAAATGAGGTTAATACTTAACCTCATGTAAGTTTAATTTTGTATGCACAGGGGTACACACACATGAATTATCTGGCTTAGTAGGTACTTAGCAGATGTGAGTGAGTTCCTTTCTTGAAGAGCAGGAAATTAATTCATACAGTCTGCTTTTACTTTAAAAAATACTTATAATGAACTTCAAGTATATGCAATTGGAGTAATTCAAATCCTTGCTGGATATACATAAATGTGATACATACTTATGAGCAGATGAGAAGATCATATATACAGAGGAGAAGGTCAGATCAGGAAATAAAACACACAGGCTTAAAATGAAGCCAGGCTGGCTCAGAAAGGAGTATAGATTTTGACTGCTAAGGTAGGCCCAAGTGCCTATTAGATCTGAGTGCCCGAGATGATGCTAAATGGTACTTGTTTCCTTTAAAGAAGGCTTATTTGTGTTAACCAATGTACCTTATGCCTACGTGAATCAGTACCTGGCTAATTCTTTTCCCTGAGGATTTCTTATATTTGATCTGGTTTTTCACTTAACAGTTGGCTGTGTCCCCTTTGCTCAGGATCTCTTCCTATGACAGTTCTTAGGTAGTTGAATGTTCTCTGGTTGAATTGTGGTTCTTGGTGACTGAAGAAGGACTATCTCAAGTTCCCCTTTGTTTCTGAATTTCCCCTGTGGAATGAAAGTCAAAAGTTGCGTACAAAAGAGCTTTTGGACTGAGCCTCGATATCATTCCTTTCTGTACTTTTGTGCTTTTAGTGGGATGATCTTGATCCAGGCTGAAGGCCAGCCAGGCCACCTGTATAGAGTGGAATGTATCTAGATGACTGCGTTGTTTTTGTTCAATGATTAGAAACTATTTATTAATCCCAAATTGTCATGATCAAAATATCTATATCCATGTCTGCATAATACATATACTGAGCTGGAAATTTTGCCATGAAGCAAACGTTCATTAGTGTTAAGACCATATTACGTATTATATCCATGTCACAGCAGAGAAGAATTCCTTAAAATAGCAAATCTCCATTAGCCGGGCGTGGTGGTGGGTGCCTGTAGTCCCAGCTACTCGGGAGGCTGAGGCAGGAGAATGGCGTGAACCCGGGAGGTGGAGCTTGCAGTGAGCCGAGATCGCGCCACTGCACTCCAGCCTGGGTGACAGAGCAAGACTCCGTCTCAAAAAAAAAAAAAAAAAAAAAATATATATATATATATATATATATATATATATATACACACACGTGTGTGTGTGTATATATATATGTATATATGTGTGTGTATATATATGTGTGTGTGTGTATGTGTATATATATATAGCAAATCTCCATAACAATATGAATGGTGAGAGGAAAGTCAGCCTTCTAGATTAAAAGTGTTCTTCCACACTTTTGCTGTCTTTTGGGATTATTGTTTGTGGTCACCAGCAGACCAGATATCTGTTGGAATTGAGAGCTAGGTTTTTATTTGCATGCAACTTTGTGAGCATAATTGCATGTTTGTTTTAGGAAAGCTGCTTGAAAAATGTATGGTTCTAGGGTTACTTGTGACTAAAGAAACATTTGATTTATTTTATTCCAGAAATAGATGAAATGCTCAGTGAGTATTCTTTATTTTTAAAGATTTCTGCACATTCGGATTATAAACCGCCTGGGTTCTTTTAAGACAGAGTAGACAGATACAAAATATTGTGATTAAAAGAGAATCTTCTCAGTGTAAATTATTTTTAATTGGGCTGGGTGCAGTGGCTCACATCTGTAACCCCAGTATTTTGAGAGGCCGAGACGGGTGGATCACTTGAGATCAGGAGTTTAAGACCAGCCTGGCCAACATGGTAAAGCCCCCATCTATACTAAAAATACAAAAATTAGCCAGGTGTGGTGGCACACACCTGTAGTCCCAGCTAATCAGGAGGCTGAGGTGGGAGAACCGCTTGAACCCAGGAGGCGGAGGTTGCAGTGAGCCAAGATCATGACATTGCACTCCAGCCTGGGTGACAGAGCAAGACTCTGTCTCAATGAATGAATGAATGAATGAATAAATAAATAAAGATTTTAATTGAAATAAAATTTATATACCATAAAATTTACCAATTTAAGGCATATAATTCAGTGGTCTTTAGTATATTGATAGAGTTGTCAACCATTACCATAATCAATTTTAGAATATTTTCACCACCACCTAAAGAAACTCGATACTTGTTAGAAGTCACTTACCATTTTCCCCTAACCCTACACAACAGCTAACCTGCTTTCTCTCTATATATATTTGCCTGTTCTGGACATATCATATAAATGGAATCATATAATACACACACTTTTTTTTTTTTTTTTGAGACACAGTCTTGCTCTGTCGCCCAGGCTGGAGTGCAATGGTGCGATCTCAGCTCAGTGCAACCTTCGCCTCTTGGTTTCAAACGATTCTCCTGCCTCAGCCTTCCAAGTTGCTGGGATTACAGGTGCCTGCCACCACGCCCAGGTAATTTTTGTATTTTTAGTAGAGATGGGGTTTCACCATGTTGGTCAGGCTGGTCTCAAACTTCTGACCTCAGGTGATCCACCTGCCTCGGCCTCCCAAAGTGCTGGAATTACAGGCGCGAGCCACCGTGACCGGCCAATATGTACACTTTTGTAACTGGCTTCTTTCACTTAACATAATGTTTTCCAGGTTTGTCATATTGTAACATTTATCAGTGTAGTCATCCCTTGGTATCCTTGGGGGGATTGGTTCCAAGACACCATTCCCCTATCCCTGTTGTGGATACCAAAATTCCTGGATGCTCAAGTCCCTTTTATAAAATGGCATATTAGCAAATGTCCTACACACATTATCCCATATATTTTAAATCCTCTCTAGATTACTTATGATACCTAGTACAATGTAAATGTTGTATAAATAGTAGGTATACTGTATTTTTAAAATACATATATATTATTTTAAATTGTTGTATTGATGTTTTTTTTTTTCTGAATATTTTCAACCCACAGTTGGTTGAATCTAAGGATGTGGAATCTGCAGATATGGAGGGCTGATTGCTTTTCATTGCTGAATAATATTCCATCGTAGGGGTATACCACATTTATCTTTGACTATTGATGGGAATTTGAGTTGTTTCCACCTTTTGGTTACTGCGAGTAATGCTATGAGCATTCATCGCATTAAGTTTTTGTGTGGACATGTTTTTATTTCTTTTAGCTGTATATCTAGGAGTAGAATTTCTAGATCCTATGTTTGTTTTTAACCTTTTGAGGACCTATCAGACTGTTTTCCAGAGTGGCTCTTTCATTTTACATTTCTACCAGCCATGTATAAGACTCCTGAGAAACACTTGTTACTTTTATTTTTATTTTTTAGAGGCAAGGTCTTGCTCTGTTGCCCAGGCTGAATTGCAGTGCTACAATCATAGTTTACTGTAACCTCAAACTCCTGGGTCTCAAGTGATCCTCCTGCCTCAGCCTTCCAAGTAGGTAGAACTATAGGCATGTACCAACACATTAAAAAAAAATTTTTTTTTTTTTTCGGTTAGGGATGGAGTGTCATTGTTACTCAGGCTGGTCCTAAACTCTTGGCCTCAAGCAATCCTCCTGCCTAAGCCTCTCAAAGTACCGGGATTATAGGCGTCAGCCACTGTACCCAACACGGTTTTTTTTTTTTTTTTTTTTTTTTAATTATAGCCATCCTAGTAGATATGAAGTAGTATCTCATTGTGGTTTTGATTTGCATTTTTCTAATGGCTGATGATGTTGAACATCTTTTGATGTTTTTATTGGCTGTTAGTATACCTTTTTTAGAGAAATGTCTTTTCAGGTCCTTTGCCCATTTTAAATTTGGGTTGTTGACCGGGTGCGGTGGCTCATGTCTGTAATCCCAGCACTTAGGGAGGCCAAGGCGGGTGAATCATCTGAGGTTAGGAGTTCAAGACCAGCCTGACCAACATGGTGAAACCCTGTCTCTACTAAAAATTAAAAAATGAGCCAGATGTTGTGGCACATGCCTGTAATCCCAGCTACTTGGGAGGCTGAGGCAGGAGAATTGCTTGAACCCGGGAGGCAGAGGTTGCAATGAGCCGAGATCACTCCATTGCACTCCAGCCTGGGCAACAAGAGCGAAACTCCCTCTCAGAAAATAAAAACAATAATCAATTTGGGTTGTCTTCTCCTTATCCAGTTGTAAGAGTTCTTTATATATTCTGGATACAAGTCCCCATGGGGTACATAATTTGCAAACATCTTCTCCCGTTCTCTATATTGTAGCATGTATCATTGTGAGTCATCCTTTTACTTTCTTGATGGTATCTATAGTTTTAGCTCTTACATTTAGATCTGCAAACGATTTTTAGTTAATTTTTAAGTCTAGAGTAAGAAAAGGATCCAACTTTATTCTTTTGCATGTGGTTATCTAGTTGTTGCAGCAGTTCAAGACATAGGAATACCTTTTGGATGGGGTTGTTTGCTATTTCAGCTTGTTAGATCACAGTGTATATATTACTGAAATATATGGATATCCAGTATGTTACTGGTTAACATACTGGTTAGGAAATATTTTCTAGTACCTTTGGAAGTTACAGGGGTTATTATTAATACTGAACAAAGGTAACACCCTAAATACATATTAAGCATGTAGATACTGTTAAGTACCGGGGCTGCAAAGATGAATAGAACAATAGTCTTTGCTTTTCACAATCTAGGGGAGAAATAGACATGTAAATAAATAATTAGAATAAGGTATCGTTCTTGTATTTGAACAAGATGCTGAGAAATAATCACTAACTGTTTGAAAATAATCAAAGGCAGATTTTCTATAGGAATTAATATTTAGGTTGAGTTTTGAAGAATGAGTTAAAAGTATACTGAAAGAATGAAGTAGAGAAGAGCAGTAGGAATAGCCTATGCACAGGTGTATAAAGAAAGCACACCTCTGGGGAAAAACAAGTTGTTAGGCATAATTGTAATACAAGGAAGATGGAAGGTAGCTGTAGGGGTAAAACTGGAAAGGAAAAGGGTCAGATCTGTAAGCTTTGTATTTCCACCAACGTGAGAAACTTGGCTATCTTGGAGGTGCTCGTGTTGAAACATTTGTATATTATAACTTCTAATTATGTTACATTTTTATATCCTTTTAATGTCAGGTTTTTAAAATTTTTATACAATATGTGTAATACTATAATACATAATTGGAAATAAAAATATATGGAGGTGTATAATCAGATTTTTACTGATAGAGGTCACTGTTACAGATTATGGAAAGCTGTTGAATATTTTAAGTGGAGGAGGGAACAATAGCAGATTTGTATTTTAGGAAGATAACCACGTGGAAGAAGGATGGAAGGCTATTAAAACAGTCCAGGAAACATATTGTGAAGGGCTTAATTAAGGCAGTGATCTTTATCTTACTGAGGTCTTTGGCCCTCCAAAGTTATGGCTTAGACTCTATCTTAGTTACCTAATGTTTATTGAGTAGGTTGAAAGATAAGTGGAAAGGATGGTTGGTGCCAAATTATGATAATTAGTACCATGCTGTTGTTACATAATTGCCATTACTGTCTTTTCTTTAGGAAAAAGAGCATCTTCCTCTCACCAACCCTCACATTTTCCTCAGAAGTTATTTTTCTACTGCTTCTTTATCTCATTTTTAAGGGATATTTTATTGAATTTTTTATTTGTTGGGTTATGATTTATACACAGCGAAGTTTACAGAACTCATGTATGTAATTGTTTTAACAAATGTATATACCCATGTTACCACCATTCATATCAAAATGTAGAACATTTTTGTTATCCCAGAAAGATTGCTTGTTTCTCAATCCCAGAGGTAACCACAGTTTTGACTTCCTTCACTGTATATTTTAGTTTTTCCTGTTCTTGAGCTTTTTATAGATAGACTCATACAGTATGCACTCTTCGTATCTAACTTTTTTGCTGAACATGATGTTTTAAAAATTCACCCATATAGTATGTATGATTCTTTTTATTCTATAACTATACCACAGTACACTATCCTTTCTCCTATTGGTGGGC
The DNA here is from genome assembly GCF_000001405.40 of Homo sapiens. Lineage (NCBI taxonomy): Eukaryota > Metazoa > Chordata > Mammalia > Primates > Hominidae > Homo > Homo sapiens. The sequence continues at coordinate 135,086,143 of NC_000002.12, forward strand.
ATTTAAATTGTCTCCATTTCTGGATTATTATTATCAAAGCTTCTCTAGAGAATTCTGTAGATATCTGCTTTCCTTTCTTTGGGTATATTCTTAGGAGTGGAGTTGCTAGGTCTTAGGGTAGTTACATGTTTACTTTTATTAAAAACTGGCAAATTCTTTTCTAAAGTGTTTTATCATTTTATGCTCTTAGCCGTGCATGAGATTTCAAGTTCCTCTGTGTTCTCTGTGACACTTGGCATTGTCAGATTTTTATATTTAGTCATTCTGTTGGGTGTGAAATGGAATCTCATTGTGGTTTTAGTTTGCATTTCACTGATGACTATTGATAGTGAGTAGTCATCTGGTAATTAATCAGAATTACTGTTTATTGGTCATTCATAGCGCTTTCTGCTGTCTATTCTTTTGCTCATTAAAAAATTTGGATTGTTCATTTTTTTTATTATCCTCATATATCCTGGTTGCAAGTGCTTTTTCAGGTATGTATTTTGTTTTTCCTGTAGTCCATTGCTTCCCCTAATCTTTTTTTTTTTTTTTTTTTTTTTTTCCTTAGAGATAGGGTCTTGCTTTGTCACCCAGGCTGGAGTGCAGTGGTACAATCATAGCTCACTGCAGCCTTAAACTCTTGGTCTCAAGTGATCCTCCTGCCTTAGCCTCCCTAAGTAGCTGGGACTACAGGTGCACACCACCATGCCTAGCTAATTATTTTGTAGAGACAGGGTCTTGTTGCCCAAGCTGGTCTCGAACTTCTGACTTCAAGTGATCCTCCCTGATGGACCTCCCAAAGAGCTGAGATGACAGGTGTGAGCCACTGTGCCCAGCCACCTAATCGTTTTCTTAACTGTGTCTTTTGATAAGCACAAATTTTATTTAGATGAAGTTCATTTTCTCTATTTTTAATTTTATTGTTAGTGCTTTTTGTGTCTGGTCAAAGGAATCTTTGCCTATCCCAAGGTATTTGCAAGATCCCAAGATATTCTCATGTTTTCTTCCATGTGAATATTTAATTATTCCAGCACCATTTGTTGAAAAGACTATTATTTCCCCCCTGAATTCCAGTAGCACCTCTGTTGTGAAGTCAAATGTAAGTGCGAATGTTATTTCTGGACTCTATTTCATTGATCTGTTTGTCTGTCTTTATGCCTATACTATACTGTCTTAATTATTGTAGCAAAGTGTTAAAATCAGGTAGTATACTTATTCATCAAAATTATTTTAGCTGTTCTAGGTTCTTTGGATTTTCATATTAGTTTTAAAATCAACTTGTCAATTTCTACAAAATGCCTGTTGCTGATGTTTTGATTGGGATCATGTTGAATATATAGATTAACTTGGGGAGAACTGGTGTGTTCACAGTGTTTTATCTTTCAATCCATGTATGTGATGTATCTCTATTAGGTCTTTAATATCTCTCTGCAGTGTTTTGAAGTATTTTAGGTAGAGTTTTTGCTCATCTTTCATTAAGTTTATTCCTAGATAATTTCTTTTTTTAATTGTAGTAAGGTATTTTTAAAACTTTCTCTTTCCAAGCATTTGTTGCTAGTATATAAAAATACAGATGGTTATTATATATTGACCTTGAATTTCATAACTTTGTAAACTCATCAGTTTTAGTCATTTGTTTGTAGATTCTTTTGGATATTCTACATACATGATCAGGTAATCTGTGAATAGGGACAGTTTTCTTTTAAATCTATACATTTATCTCTTTATTTTCTGGTTAGGATCCTCAAAGGTAATTTTTAATGAATTACTAGGTCAGTTTTGATGAACTAGAATTGTCATTTCGGTTCGCATAGCAGATACATGCCTTACTGGAACTTGGTATCAAGTGACTATATCCTAATGGAATTGAATATGGGATGTTAGAGTGTTGTTTATCAGTTGAGTCTGTTTTGGAGACAGAACTTGGATGCCTTGTCTTTATTGAATACAATCAGATCTTCCTCTAGATAGTTGTTGGTTAAGGTTGACAATAGTACCGGAATCCAGAATTAGGGACAGACAGTATCTCTGTATCATTTAAAAAGATTTACTGCAAACTTGAAAAAGGGATTTCTCTCTCCTTTTCTGGACTTTCTTTTACCTAGTTTTAGCCATAACTGCTTTATATTGGGCATTTCTTCTAGCAAAACAAGCTCTTATGTACATTATCATATTACTTACTGCCTCTTGAGACTTTGGTATACGCAGTTGATGCCTTGATTTAACACAGGTCAACCTCATGGTAAAGAAACCCACCCCACACAAAAAAAATTATGATTTTTGGCCAGGTGTGGTGGCTCATGCCTGTAATCCCAGCCCTTTGGGAGGCTGAGGTGGGCAGATGACTTGAGGTCAGGAGTTCAAGACCAGCCTGGCCAACATAGTGAAACCCTGTCTGTACTGAAAATTCAAAAATTAGCCAGGCGTGGTGGTGCATGCCTGTAATCCCAGCAACATGGGAGACTGATGCAGGAGAATCGCTTAAACTTGGGAGGCGGAAGTTGCAGTGAACCAAGATCGCACCACTGCACTCCAGCCTGGGTGACAGAGCGAGACTCCATCTCAAAAAAAAAAAAAAAAAAAAGAAAGAAAAGAAAAAAAATTAAAATTCTTTGCCCACTTTTTGATGGGGTTGTTTTTTCTTGTAAATTTGTTTAAGTTCTTTGTAGATTCTGGATCCATTAGCCCTTTGTCAGATGGATAGATTGCAAAAATTTTCTCCCATTCTGTAGGTTGCCTGTTCACTCTGATAATAGTTTCTTTTGCTGTGCAGAAGCTCTTTAGTTTAATTAGATCCCATTTGTCAATTTTGGTGTTTGTTGCCATTGCTTTTGGTGTTTTAATCAAGAAGTCTTTGCTAATATGCCTAGGTTTTCTTCTAGGGTTTCTATGGTTTTAGGTCTTATGTTTAAATCTTTAATCCATCTTAAATTAATTTTTGTATAAGGTATAAGGAAGGGGTCCAGTTTCAGTTTTCTGCATATGGCTAGCCAGTTTTCCCAGCACGATTTGTTAAATAGGGAATCCTTTCCCCATTGCTTGTTTTTGTCAGGTTTGTCAAAGATCAGATGGTTGTAGATGTGTCGTGTTATTTCTGACGCCTCTGTTCTGTTCCCTTGGTCTATATATCTGTTTTGGTACAAGTACCATGCTGTTTTGGTTACTGTAGCCTTGTAATGTAGTTTGAAGTCAGGCAGCGTGATACCTCCAGCTTTGTTCTTTTTGCTTAGGATTGTCTTGGCTATATTGGCGCTTTTTTGGTTCCATATGAAATTTAGTTTTTTCTAATTCTGTGAAGAAAGCCAGTGGTAGCTTAATGGGGATAGCATTGAATCTATAAATTCCTTTGGGCAGTGTGGCCATTTTCATAGTATTGATTCTTTCCATCCATGAGCATGGACTGTTTGTCCATTTGTTTGTGTCCTCTCTTATTTCCTTGCCTCAGCAATCCCATTACTGGGTATATACCCAAAGGATTATAAATCATTCTACTATAAAGACACAGGCACATGTATGTTTATTGCAGCACTGTTCACAACAGCGAAGACTTGAAACCAACCCAAATGTCCATCAATGACAGACTGGATTAAGAAAATGTGGCACATATAAACCATGGAATACTATGCAGCCATAAAAAAGGATGAGTTCATGTCCTTTGTAGGGACATGGATGAAGCTGGAAACCATCATTCTCAGCACTCTTAACACGGGAACAGAAAACCAAATGCTGCATGTTCTCACTCATAAGTGTGAGTTGAACAGTGAGAACACGTGGACACAGGGAGGGAAGCATCACACACTGGGACCTGTTGCGGGAGGGGAGGGCTAGGGGAGGGATAGCATTAGGAGAAATACCTAATGTAGATGACAAGTTGATGGTTGCAGCAAACCACTATGGCACGTGTATAGCTATGTAATAAACCTGCATGTTCTGCATGTGCATCCCAGAACTTAAAGTATAATAAAAAGATTATGATTTTGGATGTGTATCATACATGACAGTTCAAATACTAATGAAAAGATTGATATTTGATGTACTTACGTAATAATACACACTTAGGACACTTAAAATAAGATTTAATTTAATTTAGAATTATAAATATCTTTCCAGGAATATATATAAAAATTCAGATGTTTACACTAGGTATAGCCATGAAAACATTTTAAAAATAGTAACTCACAGATTAATTGCTTATATATTTTCAATCTAGTTTGGGGCTATCTGTGCTTGGCTAGTTGCTTGGTTGGTATTTCCTGCCTTATGTGGTGCTATGCTGTAATGACTGTTTACCTCTCCATTGGAAAAAATAGCTATGGGAGATTAGAAGCTCTGTGGGAAAAATCCTTTTTTATGCTTAGGGTTCTGTATAAGTAAGGAGCTCTTTGGAACTCTTAATTAATATATGTTTTTCATTCAAGAAGTTGCTGTTCAAATGGAAAGACTTGAATGCCAAAGCTTGATAAAAGAAGCAGGAATCTGTTAAATAAGTGCTACAGGTGTCATGCCACTTAAATTGATTGTGCAGACTGCTTCTTTATGAAGCAATTTCTGGTGTCAAAAAATGCTATATGCTGTATTATTAATATATAGTGATGTGTTCATGATTTTATATAGAGAATCTTGGAAAAAATTATTATTAATCTTTGTAAGTCACTTGATCGTTAATATTCTAGGAGAAATTTCTTTTTAAAGGAACACTGATAAATCATTTATAAAATAATTTTCTCTTGGTTGCATTCACTTTTATGTTTTTCTTTGATTGTATGGAGGATATTTATAGGGCAGAAAAAGGGGAAAATATCCCTGTCGTTAGTAAATATAATGATAGCTATTGATTAAGGTAAATATTTTGCCATTTTATTGGTACATATAGGGTATATTTACTTCTGGCACATGGGAAGAGAAATCAGATGAAATTTCCTTTGCTGACTTCAAGTTCTCAGTCACTCATCATTATCTTGTACAAGAGTCCACTGATAAAGAAGGAAAGGATGAGTTATTAGAGGGTAAGTTATTTCTATATAATAATATTAACTTCTGATTTGTAGGAGTGGCTGTAATTTTGAATTATTAATTTAGTGTTCTTCCATAGTGTCAGTTTCTCTGGAACTGTTTTACATAAGCAAAGTTGTTTCACCACATCTGAGGTAGAGGATGAATTACATTGTCATTCATTTTTTAATTAATTAAATCAGCTCATATTTATTGAGTACCTAACATGTACCAGATACTCTTCCAAGCCCTACATTCCAGTAGGGAAGATAAGATAGATAAGTAAGTAACCATAATGAAAGTGATAAGTGCATCCTGAAGTACAGACAAAATTCTGTTGGAATTCAGAGGAGAAAAGATCACTTTTAATTGGGAGATTAGAGAAGGAGAATTAAGCAAGTAAGTTTGGCTTTGAAGGATTACAAATAAAGGAAAATCTGTTGATTAGAGGGTAGTATTTTGGATTTACTCTAGATTTTGGAGTCAAAACAAGTGGTTTAAAATTTTATTTTTTCTACTTGCTAGTTAGTTGCCCCATCTAAGCTTGAGTTATCTCAGTTGTAAAATGAAGTAATACTACCTGGAGGGCTAAGTGAAGATTTAATGAGAAATTGTACATAAGCAAGTATCTCAGTACCTGACCCATGCCAGGTACTCAATAAATGGTGTCTATAATTGTTAATAGGTCAAATCATCCAAAATCTTCTGTCCTTAGATAAACTAGTGCATAACAGTGAGTGAGCAAGATACTGAATAAACATGAACTTTGGAGCTGCCAGTCAAATATCCTTCTTCATTCACTAAGCAAATAAATAGGTAGAATGTGTTAAATTTTTTCTGATCATAACAGATTATCATTTGTAAGCTCAGACCTGAAAAAATCTGTGCTTTTTCTTGTGTAGGAATAGAATTTTGTTACCTTTTCTGTTACGTATATTCTTCTTAGAAACAAAACAATTAGATAACATATGCATTCAGATTCATAAACCAGGGCAGATAACATTAACCATATATACATATATGTAAGGCAGTTATACAGCAAAAGAAAATAATTAAGCCAGAATGTGAATATGAGAACTTTAAGAGGAAGAGGGAAGTGTGCGCAATTGTTGGGAGGTCTCATAATAGCCCAGCAATTTTCAGGTTCAACGTTCTGCCAATTAATGAAGGAAACTATTCAAGATAGCGAAAATTTAAGTGCTGTTAATTTAAGGGAAGATCATGCATCAAGGAAAAGCTGCTGTAGTAAAGAGGCTTAGAATCAGTGCTCTGAGATAAATAGATAAAGGAGACTGTGGTACAATGAAGGTGAATTATTTTTTTGTTTGTTTGTTTTTGAGACTGAGTTTCACTCTTGTTGTCCAGGCTGTAGGGCAATGGCGCGATCTCAGCTCACTGCAACCTCCGCCTCCCGGGTTCAAGCAAATCTCCTGCCTCAGCTTCCAAAGTTGCTGGTATTACAGGCACCAATCACCATACCCAGTTAATTTTTTGTATTTTTAGTAGAGACAGGGTTTTGCTGTGTTGACCAGGCTGGTCTTGAACTCCTGACCTCAGGTGATCCACCTGCCTCGGCCTTCCAAAGTGCTGGGATTACAGGCGTGAATCACTGTGCCCAGCCAAAGGTGAATGAATTTTAAGCTAGTTAAGGCATTGTTGCAAGTGTACATATAAAGTGCAGTTTTCTTTTAATTTGATTGTGATTGAGCCTGTAACTTATGGTGGGAGTTACAAGCCAAACCATCAGCTCAGTTTTACAGATACGCGTTTAAAACTATATTATCAGAGGTCAGGAGATTTGAGCACTAATCATTTATGTTATCAGCATTGTCTATTGCTTTTGGTCTGAAAAGCACCAAATCATTAGCATTCTCTTTAGTCTTTTAGCAAAATAAAAAGTATAGATCTGCTAAGCAATGATAGCTATACAACAAAAATTATTTTTGTGAATGGATACTATTTTTAATGCATTGAATTTGTCATGTATTTATGGGTATAATGATCTTTTATGTTAGTACCTTATCGTGGATAGTAATTTAAGTGTGTAAACATAGTTTAGAAGTGGGAAGCCAGGTAGAAGTTTTACAAGAACATTTAAGATGGACAGGGGGCCTAAAAAGGCTTGCTATGGGAGGTTATACAGAGTTGACATATCTCTAAATAGAATGTTGAAGAAAAGTAGAGGCAAGGACAGGCTAAGAAGAATAAATAAAGCTTTCTGGTAAGTGTGAGGAATTGTGTGAGTTGTGACTCAGAAGCAAAAAAATATTTTAAACATGGGAGTGGCATATGTCTTTTTTATAGGCTACTTTTATTTGAAGAAAAAAAAATGAGAGAGAAATCCCTCTCCCTGTACTCAAGAGCTATCTTTAGATATGAATCTTAAAGCAATATCAAAACTGCATGATCTAGCAAGACATGTGTTTCCTCAAAGCATGTTATAAAACTCTGCCTGATCATGAACATACTAACTTTTTCATTATCAAATGTTTTTGTAGATGTTGTTCCACAATCTATGCAAGATTTGCTGGGTATGAATAATGACTTTCCTCCAAGAGCACATTGCCTGGTAAGATGGTAGGTATATCTTTTACTCAGTATCTTTTAGTATGTGTGTTGCGGGGGACCTCAACACTGTCCCCAAGTTCAGTGATTTGCTAAGAAGACTCAGAGGACTCAGCATTTAATTGCAGCTGATTTATTGCAGAGACAGGATACAGGGCAAAATCTGCAAAGGGAAAAAACACATGAGGCAAAGTCCAGAGGAAGTACAAGCTTTTAAGAATCCTTTCCTAATGGAGTCAGGCAAGATGTACTCAGTTCCCTCAGCAACAAATTGTGACAAAGTATGTGAAACATTGTCTATCAGGGACAGTGTTAGAGGCTCAGCGCCCCAGGTTTTTAATTAGGGGGCTGGTCATATAAGCACCCTTTAACTGGTATATACCAAAATTTCAGGCTCCCAGAAGGAAAGCAGGTGTTCGGCATAAATTACATTGTTTGCATAAACAATTTAGGCTTAGTGAGCAGCTTAATCAGTTCTGGGAATGGTGAGAACCCTCCCCAAATCCCATTTCCCAGCTGTTGGCCAAGAGTTAACCTTGCAAGCAGGCTTTTCTTTTCTTTTTTATTTTTTTGGTTTGTTTTTTCTTTCAGTTTTTTTGTTTTTAATTATTGTAGATATATAGTAGTTTTACATATGTAATAGTTGTACATATTTATCTTTTTTTCAAAAGAAATGATAAATGCTTGAGGTGATGGATTCCCCAATTAAACGTTCCAATTCCATTCTTTTATTTATCTTGACATATACAACAAATTATTGTTAACTATAGGCACCCTATTTTGCTACTGAATGCTAGATCTTACTTTTTCTATCCAACTGTATTTTTGTCCCATTAACCATCCCCTCTTTATGCCCTGCTCCCCATTACCCTTCTAAGCCTCTGGTAATTCTACTTAGAGATATGTCAACTCTGTATCACCTCCCATAGCTAGCCTTTTTAAGCCTCCTGGCCATCTTAAATCTTCTTGTAAAACTTCTACCCAGCTTCCCACTTCTAACCCATGTTTACACACTTAAATGACTATCCATAAGACACTAACATCATTCTATTCTCTTATCTCCGTGAGTTCAGTTTGTTTGTTTTTTTAGCTCCCACATATTAGTGAAAACGTGCAATACTTGTCTTTCTGTGCCTGGCTTATTTCACTTAAATGTCTTTCAGTTCCTTCTATGCTCTTGTAAATGACAGGATTTCATTCTTTTTTATGGCTGAATAATATTATATTGTGTATATGTACCACATTTTCTTTATTCATTCATCTATTGATGGGTACTTAGGTTGATTCCATATCTTGGTTATTGTGAATAATGCTGTAGTAAACATGGGAGTGGAGATATCCCTTCAGTATACTGATTTCCTTTCTGCAAGCAGGCTTTTTTTTGTGAAACAGAGTCTCACTCTGTCGCCCAGGCTGGAGTGCAGTGGCGTGATCTCGGCTCACTGCAACCTCTGCCTCCCAGGTTCATGTCATTCTCCTCCCTCAGGCTCCCAAGTAGCTGGGACTACATGTGTCCACCACCACACCCAGCTGATTTTTTGTATTTTTAGTAGAGACGGGGTTTCACTGTGTTAGCCAGGATGGTCTCGATCTCCTGACCTCGTGATCCGCCCGCCTCGGCCTCCCAAAGCGCTGGGATTATAGGCGTGAGCCACCGCGCCCGGCCGCAGGCAGGCTTTTTTAAGGATAGCGGTCACAGGCCTGCTGGTTCATCTTTTCTGCACAATGTATTTCATAATCCAGGGTAGTGCTTAACTGTAGTCTCATGACAAGCATGGAACATTTAAATATCATAGAAATTTTAATACATATTATTGAATATTGAAATGAACTCAATATGTTGGATGTTGATCTGTTATGTGATAAAATCAAAACTCACTGTGTCTAAACTATAAATGTGATACATTAATGTAAGAGGTACAATCTTACCCCTCTTATCTGTGGTTTTGCTTTCTGCGGTTTCAGTTACCTGTGGTCAAGTGTAGTCTGAAAATATTAAATGGAAAATTTCAGGCAAAAACAACAAGTTTTAAATTGTATGCTGTTCTGAGTAGTATGGTGAAGTCTTAGGCCATTCTGTCCTGGAAGTGAATCATGCCTTTGTCCAGTGTATCTACAATGTATACACTACCTGCCCCTTAGGCACTTAGTAGTCATCTTGGTTATCGGATTGACAAATCACAAGAAGAAGGGTGAGTATAGTACAATAAGATATCTTGAGAGAGAGAGAGAGAGACCACATTTATATAACTTTTATTACAAAATATTGTCGTAACTGTTCTATTGGTACTATATATAGGAAAAAACAGTACATACAGGCTTTGATACCATCTGCAGTTTCAAGCATCCACTAGGGGTCTTGGAACTTACCTTCCACAGATAAGGAGGGACTATTTACATCACATTTAAAAGGTCTCTTCTGTCTTTTTCAGTTATTCCAAGTGTCTGTGAACTTTATTTATTTTGGATGGAGTGGTCTTAGAACAAACTACCACCAAAATGGCCCTAGTAAAGAGTATATATTTAAGAAAGGAGACCTAGTTAAAGGAAGTTTACATACTGGTTTGAAATTATTCTATTGTTATCAGTTGGTCTTTTGATTTTTTTAAATTAAAGAATTCTAAGGTAGGGGAAAATGACATTAATCTGTGTTTATCTTTTTCTTCATTTCATATAGCAAATAGGCTGTGTAGCACTTTTAAAAAAGAAAATTATTTGCAAATGCAGGTAAACGGGATAGTGTTTCATAAATATTCCTCTTTTAGTATGACCTTTTAAAAATTGTTCACTTAAACAACTAAAAAAGAAATGTAATAATTATATCTATTAAATTTAATTTAATCCTTCCACATTCCGTTCTGGCCTTTTAAAATATGAATATATACATTTAATGTGACTAAATTTATCAGAAGGCAGCATAGTATCAGAGCATGAGCTTTGTATGCATTAATTCATTCAACATTAATTGAACACTTACTTACTGTTTGGCTATATACTGAATTAGGTTTAATTCCTAACTCAGGTACTTAGTATCTCTGCAACTTTGGGCAAGTTACTTAATTTCTTGTAGTTTGTTTCTACACTGGTAAACTAAGAATAATAAATAATATGCACTTCCAGAGTAGTTATGAGGATCAAATAAGATAATGGCGCCTAGTATGTTTATCAAAATCTAAATGCTATTAACATGATTTCAGCCTTTTGGTATGTATTTCCTCACTGTTACATAGTTTGTGGTCAAAATATTAAATGAAGTAATGAAACCTTTCTATATATTAATATAAATAACTTGTTAGTAGGGTGGTTTTTGTAACCTTTCCATTTACTTTTAAAAATATTTTTAAAATCAACGTAGTAAAATTGGACTTTTTGTGGAGGTGAGCAGTTCTCTGAACTTCAACACTTTATATAGTTTTTTACTAGTATCAAAATCAGGAGATAGAACAGTTCTATAACACCCCCTCACCTCTGCTGCCAAAAAAAAAGCCCTATTGTCCCTTTTGTCTCTTAGTAAGCATAGGCACGTCCTTCCCACTTTTTTTTTTTTTTTTAAAGAGACAGGTCTTACTCTGTCACCCAGGCTGGAATACATTGATGCAATCATGGGTACTGTAGCCTTGAACTCCTGGGCTCAAGTGATCCTTCTGCCTCAGCCCCTTGAGTATCTAGAACTACAGGTGCACACCACCATGCCCGGCTAAGTTGGGTTTTTTATTTTTTGTTGAGACAGTGTCTTGCTATGTTGCCTGGGCTGGTCTTAAACTCCTGGCCTCAAGTGATCCTCCCACCTCAGCCTCCCAAAGTACTGGGATTATAGGTGTGAGCCACTGTACCTGACCACACTCTCGACATCCTTATAATCCCTGGAATCCCTGATCTTTCTTGGTCACTATAGTTTTGTCTTTTTGAGAGTGTCATATAAATAGAATTCTACTGTATGTAAATAGAATTCTACTGTATGTGACCATTGGTGACTGGCTTTTAAAACAGCATGGTGCCTTTGAAATCCTTTGAGGTGATTCTGCTTATCAATAGTTTGTTCCTTTTTATTGCTGAGTAGTATTTTATTGTAAGGATATACCAAGCTGTTTATTCAGTCATTTGTTGAGGGTTATTAGGATTGTTTTTAGGTTTTGGCATTTTTAAATAGAGCTATACTATAAATATTTGTATACAGATTTTTGTGTGAAAACACATTTTCAGTTCACTCGGGTAGATACCTAGAGTAGTATTGCTAAGTCATGTGGTAAGTGTATGTTTATAGGAAACTGCAAAACATTTCTAGAGTAGTTGTACCATTTTGCATTCCCACCAACAATGTATGAAAATTCCAGTTTCTACATCCTTACCAGCACTTGGTATTGTCAGTATTTGTTTTTAGCCATTCTTAGTAGGTGCATAGTGGTATCCTAATTTTAATTTTGAACATCTTTCGTGTGTTTATTTGTCCATTTATATCTTCTCTGTATTAACAGTGTCCAAGTCTTTTGCACATGTTTTAATTGGGTTGTTTGTTTTCTTTTTTGGGGGTGGGGGTTGTTTGTTTTCTTACTGTAAAGTTTTGAGAGTTCGTTGTATACTTTGGATGTAAATCTTTTTTATAATGTGTGATTTCCAAAAATTTTCTAGAAAAGACAGCACTAAGAGAAATGAAAAGATTATCTGTAACAGATAAGACTGTAACTTATCTTTTAATTTCTCTTAATATGTCTTTTCTAGAACAAAAGTTATAAAATTGAATGAAGTTCAGTTTTATCAATTTTTAATTTTAGGGATTGTGCTTTTGGTGCCATGTCTGAGGACTTTTTGCTCTAGGTCACAAATCTTTCTCCTATTAAAAAATTATTTTATTTTGGAATTATTCAAAATCTGAGGGTGAAAGCAGCTGTTTATGGATGCTGGGGATGGTGGTAGCAGATCCATTACCCAGCTGGCAAAAGGGGTGGCAGTGGCCTGTAATATTCTTTCCAAAAACCCCTAATCCCAATATATCCATTTTGATATTTAGATGTTACCTGATTTCTTTCAGCAGTGTCTTACAGTTTTCAGCACAAAGATCCTGTAAATGTTATATATTATGTTTCTACTTGTTGCTTTCTTATAAAGGAGCTATTGTAATGATATTATTTAAAAAATTTTTCATTTCCAGTTGTTCGTTTCTAGTATGTAGGAATATGGCTGATTTTGAGGGGTTAACCTTGTATCCTGTAACCTTGCTAAACACAATGACTAGTTCTAGGAGTTGTCATTTCTTTGGGATTTTCTATATATACAATCACTGTCTCTGAATATGGATAGTATTATTTCTTTTCTAATCTCTGTGCTTTTTTAAAAATATGTATTACAAGATACCATGAAGCAGTCTGTTCATTTTTTTTTTCTGTTTAAAACTGGCTAGGGCTTCCAGTAAAATATTGAATAGGAGTTGCTTATCTCAGGGGGACAGCATTTAGTCTTTTACTGTTAAGTGTGATGTTAGCTGTAGGTTTTTTCGTAGATGCTCTTTATCAGATTGAGAAAATTCCCTTTTGTTCCTGCTTTGCTGAGAGTTTTTATTATGAATGGATGTTGAATTTTGTCAAATCCTTTTTCTGTTTAAATTGATATGATTGTTGTTTTCTGCTTAAATTGATATGATTTATTTTCTTTAGATTTTTAATATGTTGATTGCATTGACTGATTTTTGGATATATAACCAGCTTTGCATTCTCAAGATAAACTCCACTTCTTTGTGGTGCAATTTGTATTTCTGTGTGTGTGTGTGTGTGTGTGTGTGTGTGTGTGTATGTATGTGTATTGCTGTATTTGATATGCTAATAGTTTGTTGAGGACTTCAGTGTCTATGTTCATGTGGGATGTTGGTCTGTAATTTTCTTTTCTCCTGCTTTGGTTTTGGTATCAGAGTAATGTTGGCCTTATAATGTGAGTCAGAAAGTATTTTGTTCTCTTTTATTTTCTTTGAGAGAGTGTAAAATTTTTTTTTTTTTAACCGTTTGATAGAATTTGCCTTTGAAACTTTCTGAGCCTGGCATTCTCATTTTATTGAGGTGGCAATTCCTTCTAGGGTCCAGGATGTAAGCAGAAGTCTCAGTTCCAGTACCTTGTCTCATGTATACCCATATCCCTGAGAGGTCATTCAAAACATTACAACCTCTGTAGTGATTTGGATTGATGGAGTAAATCTAAATATAAAGGATACAGAAGGAAGCTTGTGCGTTTAGGTTATATAGCAGAGAGATTGGTAATCTCATCAGAAAGATAGGCAGCTTCCAAGTCCCAGGGCCTCGTAAGCAGAGGCACAGTTATGGATGATGATATCTGAGTGATATTGTGCTTCTGGAAGCCTAGTTTCTGGGTGTAGACTTATTTATATTTATTATTATGAGACTGGGGCATTCTTGGACATAGCCTAATCTGGATGCATGCCAGAGACCACTTTCCCTGGGCTGGGTGTACCTTATCATCTCAGAGTTATATAATTCACATTATGACTGCTAGGCTAAAATACATGGTATTGTCAGACGTAAACAGACTTTTCTTCCATCATTCTTGTTCTCTTCAGTCTAGCACAGCATAGTCAGTTTTGCAAACAGTTTTATAAGTCAAACTAACAGACTTTCAGCAGTAAAAGGCTTACCCTATAAAATCCCAGCTCCCAGTGCCCAGCTGTTAGGGCCTATAGCCAAAGCTGATCATCCCCTGGTATTTTTCAGTCACCTTCTATGCTCGCTTTTGCCTTTCAGTATACTCTTTGTTTCTGTTACCCAGGAATCTCCTTTTTATTATTTCAAATTCAGCGGTGTATTTTGACAGCATTGTCATATTTGATCAGGTATTTCTGTGTGTTTTGGGACAAGGAGGGCCTGTGTCATGTTAGTTTGCCGTATGGTTGGAAGTCACTTTCAGTTTTGTCTTACTTGACCTTTCTTAAAGTTTAGGAAGCCAACAACAAAGCTTTTGAGAACTGTTTAAAAGTTAAGCATATTAAATGTATGTGTATTTTCTTTTATTCAACAAATATAATTTTTAAACATTTACTGTGATCCAGATACAGAAATATCAAGAATAAAACATGGTTACTGCCTTAGTAATCTATGGGATTAATAGATAAGGGAGTAGACAACAATAACATTTTGTGATAAATGCTCTCATAGGAGGCAGAACACAAGTTTGATGGAAACTCATAGGAGGTACCTGTAATTCAGACAGATTAAGTCAGGAAAATGTTTCCAGACAAGGTGATACCTCACATGAATCCTGAAAGACAAGTGAGAATAAACCAGGTGAATAAGCTTAATTAATAAGTTAGGTAAAAAGATACTTGAGGCAGAATTAGTAGAGGTGATGATGTTTAAATGCACTTTTGAAACTTGTAGGTAGTTTGGTAAGGTTGGGTATAGCAGTAGAGGGTTGGGAATGGGAAAAGATGAGAAGGACTTTGGTATGTGGGTATTTTAAGACTAATGTGAACCAGACATCTTAAGAGGATTTCATAATATTCTCCTTCTGTTTTATTCATATAATTTTTATTGTAATTGTTAATAAATACATTTCTCAAAAATTTCAAGGATACAGATTACTTGTAATGCTTCAGAGATACTGAAGAATAACATACACAGAAGTTTTCACCTAAACATTTATTTAAATTTGAATTTTAAAAAGTTAAACCAGAATTAAAGCAATGACAATGAAAATTTGAAAACGATTTTGCAATATATGCATCTGTACTTATTTATACCATAAATATACAATTAGTATAGGTTGACCCTGTCAGAGTGATTTAAAATTACTATATGATTAACTTATATTTTCAAATCAAATTCTAGAAAATAGATTTTTGGGATTTATGTCCAATGCTCAATTTTGGTAGTTCGAGTTTGTCTATTAATCTTTATCTATTTTAAGATCTTCTCGTTTCAGTTTTCATATCAAGCACCTCTCAGATTAGCTCCAAGCCTGTTTAACTTTGTTAAGGGACTTTTATAAAAGTGGACTTTAAAAGATATGTGGGCATGATCAATTTTATGTTCTTGGCAATGTAATTGATCTTAATGATGTGTTTTGCTGGATGTATTTCAGCCTTCTGATATACCTATCCTTTAAATACTTTTCTTTTTTTATTTTCTTTAAATATCTTCTAGTGGGTGTTTCCTGAAACCATCATTACAGATTTATTCTCTTGATTGTTATGCTTCATGATAATATAAATAGCCCTGGAAATGACACAGACTTTAACCGTAGCAAACATTTATGTCCAAATGGAAATTCATGAGCAGAGATTTTAATAGCAAGGTGTGGTAGGCAAGATAATGAACCCTGCTAGCCCCCAGAGATGGTCCACAACCTAAATCTTAGAACCTGTGGATATAAGTTATGTGGCAAGAGGAATTAAGGGAGCATTAACATTAACATTGCTTAGCAATAGACTTTAAGGTAGGGAGATTTATCCTGGATTATCTGGGTGGACCCAGTATAATCACAGGAGTTCTTAAAAGTGGAAGAGGGAGACAGAGGAGAGTTAGTGTCATAGCGGTATGAGAAGAACTTGGTCCCAGTAATGTAGGTTTTTAAGATGGAAGAAGAGGGCCATGAGCCAAGTAATGAGGGTAAGCCTCTAGAAACTGGAATGGGTTCTGCGCTAGAGCATCCCGAAGGGACACAGCCTTGCAGCTACCTTGAATTTAGCCTTGTGAGACCTGTTTCAGACTTCTGACCTGCAGAACTATAAGATGATCAATCTGTGTTTTTTTAAGTCACCAAATTTGTAGTAATTTATTACAGCAGCAATATGAACTAATACAGAAAGTAACAGCATGAAAGCTGTAGATGCCTGGAGAGGCTCTACTGAGAGTGGAACAATACACTGAAAGCACAGCTAGGTTTAAGGGAGGACACATTTTGTCCCCATGGCTCTGCCTTTGTTGAGCGTTGTCTTTGGGTCTTTAGCTTTAGTCATGCTTTATTGGTCACCACAAAGGAACAGTCCACAAATAATCTTGTGAAAACTGTGTAGTTGAATAATTATTATGGCTTTTAAGAAATATTCATTTTTGTCTGGGCACGGTGGCTCATGCCTGTAATCCCAGCACTATGGGATGCCAAGGCGGGCGGATCACGAGGTCAGGATTTCGAGACCAGCCTGGCCAACATAGTGAAACCTCGTCTCTACTAAAAATAACAAAAATTAGCCGGGCGTGGTGGCGCACACCTGTAGTCCCAGCTACTTGGGAGGTTGAGGCAGGAGAATTGCCTGAACCCGGTAGGCAGAGGTTGCAGCAAGTCAAGATCGCACACCAGACTGGGCGACAGTGCGAGACTCCGTCTGAAAAAAAAAAAAAAAAATCATTTTTGTGATTTTTTTTTTTTTTTTTTTTGAGACGGAGTCTCGCTGTATTGCCAGGCTGGAGTGCAGTGGCGAAATCTTGGCTCACTGCAACCTCTGCCTCCTGGGTTCAAGCAGTTCTCCTGCCTCAGCCTCCCGAGTAGATGGGATTACAGGCATATGCCACCAAGCCTGGCTAATTTTTAGTATTTTAGTAGAGATGGGGTTTCAATGTGTTGCCCAGGCTGGTCTTGAACTCCTGAGCTCAGGCACTCTGCCCACCATGGCCTCCCAAAGTGCTAGGATTACAGGCACGAGCCACCGTGCCCAGCCTTATTTTTGTGACTTTAATGTATTTTTTTCCTGGTAATAGAGATACATGTAAAAGAACCTGACAGTTTTGAGAAACCAGCATTTTAGACTAGCCCTAAGGACCTGTAAAGTGTTTTCATTCTTCCAAAAGTGAATGTTAAGAGGACTTCTTGTAATGGCAGTGTGAAGTGGTTAGTGATTCCTCTTTGCTAAAGGGGAATTTTTTTAAAAGGCATTAAACTGGACAGAACTGTCAAAAAACAACCATTTCTGGCTCCTCTTCCTGTAGCTGTTTCTGTCACCTCCCCTCTTCTCTCTAATCTATGTTGGTGATAACTGAGCTTTCTAGTCTAGGCTGGCCATGAAAATACCACCTCTGTTGCCAGATGAGCAGGTTTAATTCTTTGTTGGCGGGGGAGGGAAGGTACAAAAACTTTTGCCTTTGCCAAGCAAAAGGAACAGATTCTGTTGGGAACAGATGGGTAAAACCTGTACCTTTGTTAGACCAAGGTTGCAGTCCCAATTCGAGGCAAGTGATGGATTAGTCAAAAATTTAACAAGGAGATCTTGTATTACAGCCATAGAAAGACAGATACCCTCTCTACACATCCGTAGATGACAGGAAAACTACATATATGCAGGAGAGACCCAGCAGAGCTCAAACTGGAGTGCCAGTTGCAATTTTGAATGCATTCCCCAACCCACACACAGATCATTTAGCAGAAAGTGAAAGGAAAACCTTATAGGCTCAGGTGTTTGGGCATGATCTGTGCTCAAATTATTGGTTTACCTGCAAACTATACAGACAAGAGGTAGCTGCTAGAGAGCCAGGCTAAAACATTGAAAATAAGAATAAAGCAATGGAATAGAGATATCAGAGGCTGCACACTGTTGAGGAGACAGTTTCCTCAGTGTAAGTCCAGGCAAGTTATGAAATACAAACAAATTGAAAAAGCTAACAACCCTCAGAAAAGTTAAACAGAATATGGTCTTGCTACAATGTATTATCAAAATATAGAGTTTTCAACCACAAATTACTAGATGTACAATGAAACAGAAAAGTGTGACCCATACAAGGGGAAAAAATAGTAGAAATGGACTCTTAGTGGGTCTAGATATTAGATTTAGCAATAACATCAAAATATTTATTACAAGTATGTTGAGAGAATTGAAGGAAAGGGTTTTCAAAGAAATACTAACAGTGAGTTACATAGGAATCTCAATAAATAGAAACTGTAATAAAGAACCAAATGGCGGCCAGGCGTGGTGGCTCATGCCTGTAATGCCACCATTTTGGGAGGCTGAGGTGGGCAGATCACTTGAGGTCAAGAGTTCAAGACCAGCCTGGACAACATGGTGAAACCCTGTCTCTACTAAAAATACAAAATAAATAAATAAATAAATAAATAAATAAATAAATAAAATTAGCTGGGTGTGGTGGTATGTGCCCATGGTCTCAGCTACTCAGGAGGCTGAGATAGGAGAATCACTTGAACCCAGGAGGCGGAGGCCGCAGTAAGTTGAGATACTGCCACGGCACTCCAGCCTGGGCAACAGAGCGAAACTCCATCTCAAAACAAACAAACAAACAAAAAAACAAATGGAAACTCCAGAGTTGAAAAGTATAATTGAAATGAACTTTCTTCACATGGGCTCAAAAGCAGATCTGAGATGATAGAAGAAAGAGTTGGGGGATTTGAAAGATTAACAGAAATTGTCCAGTCCAAAGAACAGAGAAAAAAGTTTGGAGAAAAAACAGAACTTCTGAGATCTGTGGGTCAGTGTCAAGTGTTCCAAAGCATGCATGTAATGGGACTCCCAGGTGAAGAGAAAGAAAGTGGTAGAAAAACAAATGTGAGCTCTCCCTCTCCCTCTCCCTCTCCCCCTTCCCTCTCCCCCTCCCCCTTCCCCCTCCCGCTCCCCCCTTCCCCCTCCCCCTCTCTCCATGGTCTCCCTCTGATGCCAAGCCGAACCTGGACTGTACTGCCGCCATCTCGGCTCACTGCAACCTCCCTGCCTGATTCTCCTGCCTCAGCCTGCCGAGTGCCTGGGATTGCAGGCACGTGCCACCACGCCTGACTGGTTTTCGTATTTTTTTGGTGGAGACGGGGTTTCACTCTGTTGGCCGGGCTGGTCTCCAGCTCCTAACCGCGAGTGATCTGCCAGCCTCGGCCTCTGGAGGTGCCGGGATTGCAGACGGAGTCTCGTTCACTCAGTGCTCAATGTTGCCCAGGCTGGAGTGCAGTGGCGTGATCTCGGCTCGCTACAACCTCCACCTCCCAGCCGCCTGCCTTGGCCTCCCAAAGTGCTGAGATAGCAGCCTCTGCCCGGCCGCCACCCCATCTGGGAAGTGAGGAGCGTCTCTGCCTGGCCGCCAATCGTCTGGGATGTGAGGAGCCCCTCTGCCTGGCTGCCCAGTCTGGGAAGTGAGGAGCGCCTCTTCCCAGCCGCCATCCTGTCTAGGAAGTGAGGAGCGTCTCTGCCTGGCCGCCCATCGTCTGAGATGTGGGGAGCGCCTCTGCCCCGCCGCCCCGTCTGGGATGTGAGGAGCACCTCTGCCCAGCCGCGACCCCATCTGGGAGGTGAGGAGCATCTCTGCCCGGCCGCCCCGTCTGAGAAGTGAGGAGCCCCTCCGCTCGGCAGCCGCCCCGTCTGAGAAGTGAGGAGCCCCTCCGCCCGGCAGCTGCCCCGTCTGAGAAGTGAGGAGCCCCTCCGCCCGGCAGCCGCCCCATCTGGGAAGTGAGGAGCGTCTCGGCCCGGCAGCCGCCCCATCCGGGAGGTGGGGGTCAGCCCCCGCCCTGCCAGCCGCCCCGTCCAGGAGGTGGGGGGTGCCTCCGTCCGGCCGCCGCCCCGTCCGGGAGGTGGGGGGTGCCTCTGCCCGGCGGCCCCTTCTGGGAAGTGAGGAGCCCCTCTGCCTGGCCGCCACCCCGTCTGGGAGGTGTACCCAACAGCTCATTGAGAACGGGCCATGATGACAATGGCGGTTTTGTCGAATAGAAAAGGGGGAAATGTGGGGAAACGATAGAGAAATCAGATTGTTGCTGTGTCTGTGTAGAAAGAAGTAGACATAGGAGACTCCATTTTGTTCTGTACTAAGAAAAATTCTTCTGCCTTGGGATGCTGTTAATCTATAACCTTACCCCCAACCCGTGCTCTCTGAAACGTGCTGTGTCCACTCAGGGTTAAATGGATTAAGGGCGGTGCAAGATGTGCTTTGTTTAACAGATGCTTGAAGGCAGCATGCTTCTTAAGAGTCATCACCACTCCCTAATCTCAAGTATCCAGGGACACAAACACTGCGGAAGGCCGCAGGGTCCTCTGCCTAGGAAAACCAGAGACCCTTGTTCACTTGTTCATCTGCTGACCTTCCCTCCACTATTGTCCTATGACCCTGCCAAATCCCCCTCTCCGAGAAACACCCAAGAATCATCAATAAATACTAAAAAAAAAAATAAAAAAATAAAAAAGTAAAAAAAAAAGCAAGCTGAAAAAAAAAAGGAAAAACAAATGTGAAGAAATAATGGCTGAGAATTTTCCAAATTTGATTAAAAACACTCAGAACTGGAAGTCTTAGTGAATCTTAAGTAGGATAAACACAAAAGAGAACCACCCCTAGACATAGTATGGGCAACCTGCTGAATACCTTAGATGGAAAGAAAATCTTATAGGCAGCAAGAGAAAAATGACTTCTCATGTACTAGAGAACAATACCCTTGGCTGACTTCTCATCAGAAACAGTGGAGGCCAGAGGGCAGTGCAATGACACAAAGTTCTGAAAGGGAGAAAAAAAAAAAAAAACCACTGTTGACCAAGAATTCTATATCCAGTGAAACTATATTTCAAAAATAAAGATGAAATAATGACATTCTTATGTAAACAAAGATTGGCAGAATTCATCCTTGCCTTACAAGTAATACTAAAAGACATAGAGGGTAACTTGAATCCATAGAAAAGAATGAAGAGCATTGGAAATACTCTAGTAAATACAATAAATATATTCTCATAATTTAAAAAAAGCGTAAGATTGCTTAAGCAATAATGACAGCACTATATTGTTGGGTTTATAACATATGTAATATGTAATATATATGACAATATTGCACAAAGGAAGGGGGAAGGAATGGAGTTATACTATATAAAATTGGTAGATTTTACTAGAATAACCTGAATAGATTATAAATTAAAGATGTGTATTATAATATCTAAAAAAGTTACTAAAAATAAATTCAAAAAATGAATTGTTTGAGCACCTCCAGTTACCCAGGTATTTTTGTAAGTGATAGATATTTAACTTTTTTATACCATTTTTTTAAAGAGGTCCTTAATCTATTTCTTTCTAAGGTAATATATGTGAGAGTTGTAGAATGGTAGCATTCAAAGTAAGTGGTATGGCTGGGTGCGGTGGCTCACGCCTGTAATCCCAGCACTTTGGGTGGATCACGTGGTCAGGAGATCGAGACCATCCTGGCTAACATGGTGAAACCCCGTCTCTACTAAAAATACAAAAAAATTAGCCAGGTGTGGTGGCACATGCCTGTAATCCCAGCTACTCAGGAGGCTGAGACAGGAGAATCACTTGAACCTGGGAGATGGAGGTTGCAGTGAGCCGACATTGTGCCATTGCACTCCAGCCTGGGCAAGAAGAGTGAAACTCCATCTCAAAAAAAAAAAAAAAAAAAAAAAAAAACTACACAAAATAAGTGGTATGGTTTTATGATTTGCCTATGTGAGAGTAACAACAAATATATCAAATATTGGTTAACTTTTTGTTGTTGTTACTTTTGATCTTTATTGGTACAGGAAAGAAAAATGCATCTTAAAACAAAAATGAATGGTTGATTGTCCTACCTTTCTCATTTGGAGGATGGGATGCTAAAGCACATTTATATTTAAATATAGTATTTAGTATACATATGCAATCTGTTATTCAGATGAAACAGTTCTTTCATTAAGAAGTGCAATTGTGACATTTTAATTTGTGTTGATACATTTGATCTCCTAATAAATTTAAGTTACTGGGCTAGAAATTGTAGGAAATATAATGATTTATTAATGAAACTCACCCTAGTAGGTATGTAGTGGTCTCTCACTGTTTTAATTTCACTTCCCTGATTACATGTGATATGGAACATCTTTTCATACGCTTGTTTGCTATCTTTATATCTTCTTGGGTGAGGTGTCTGGTTGAAGTCTTTGGGGCTTTTTTTTTTTTTTAGCTTCGATTATGTTCTTATTTTTGAGTTTTAAGAGTTCTCTGTAGATTCTAGATAACAGTCCTCTATCTGAAATGTCTTTTGCAAATATTTTCTCCCAGACTATGGTTTTCTCTTTCATTCTCTTGACAGTGTCTTTTGCAGAGCAAAAATTTTTAATTTTAATGAAGTCTAGCGTATCAGTTTGTTCTTTTCTGGATTGTGCCTTTGGTGTTGCATCTAAAAGGTCATCAACAAACTCAAAGTTATCTAGATTTTATTCTGTGTTCTAGGAGTTTTATAACTTTGCATTTTATATTCAGGTCTGTAATCCATTTTAAGTTAGTTTTTGTGGAGAATGTAAAGCCTATCTAGATTAATTTTTTTGTATGTGGATGTCCAGTTGTTCTAACACCATTTGTTGAAAAGACTATCTCCATTGTATTGCCTCTGTTCCTTTTCAGAGATTAGTTGACTATATTTATCTGGGTCTATTTTTAGGCTGTCTATTCTGTTCCATTGATCCCTATTTGTTCTTTTGCCATTACCACACTGTATTGATTTCTGTAGCTTTATAGTAGTGCTTGAAGTTTGATAGTGTTAGTTCTCCAACTTTCTTCTTCTTCAATATTTTATTGGCTACTTTGAGTCTTTTTTTGCTTCTGCTTGTGAACTTTAAACTCAGTTTGTGGATATCCTCACGATAACTTGCTGAGATTTTGATTGAGATTGCATTGAATCTGTAGATGAAGTTGGAAAGAACTAATATCTTGATAATATTATCTTCCTATCCATGAATATAGAATATTTCTTTATTATGTGTGTGTGTGGTGGTATTGGTGGTGGTAACCATAATTATTTTGCCACTCCTCTATTGAAGAATATTTAGATTGTTTCTAGATTTTTACAATTAAATTAAAATATTATAGTGAAAATCACTGTACATACACCTTTTTGCATTTGTATGAATGGTTTTGTAGCATAGATATAAAGAAATATGTAATTCGTTTGAGTTTTGTCCATTTTAAATATTGATATATTCTTCCCTTTTGCTCTCCAAAAAAAATTTTTTTTTTTTTTAATTTTTTATTAAGAGACAGGGCCTTGCTCTGTCACCAGGCTGGAGTGCAGTGGCGCAATCTCGGCTCACTGCAAGTTCCACTTCCTGGGTTCACGCCATTCTCCTGCCTCAGCCTCCTGAGTAGCTGGGACTACAGGCGCCCACCACCACGCCCAGCTAATTTTTTTGTATTTTCAGTAGAGATAGGGTTTCACCATGTTAGCCAGGATGGTCTCGATCTCCTGACCTCATGGTCCGCCTGCCTCGGCCTCCCAAAGTGCTGGGATTACAGGTGTGAGCCACCGCTCCCGGCCTTTGTGTATTTTCTTTTGAGTGACATCCATCCAAGTCCTTTGCCCATTTTAAAATCTGGTTGGTTGTTTTTTGTTGTTGTTGTTGATTTTCGCTTATTTTTTTTTTAAAGCTCCCACGTAATGTTAGTTTACTTTTGATGAAGACATAGTCTCAGGATTCAAGTAGACCTATTGGGGAAAAAGTAGTGACTTATATTGACATTTTAAAGATCATAAAGAAGAGAGTACATTTATCAAGAGTGATATTTGAGGTAAATCCTTTTTTTTTTTGAGATGAGGTTTCACTCTGCTTCCCAGGCTGGAGTGCAGTGGTGTGATGATGGTTCACTACAGCCTTGACCTCCTGGCCTCAAGCAGTTCTCCCACCTCAGCCTCCCAAGCTGCTGGGACTACAGGCGCTCTCCACCATGCCCAGCTAATTTTTACAATTTTTTGTAGAGAGTGGGTCTTGCTATGTTGCCTAGGCTGGTCTTGAACTCCTAAGCTCAAGTGATCCTCCTGTCTTGGCCTGCCAAGATACTGGCATTACAGGTGTGAGCCACCACACCTGGCAAGGTAAATCTTTAAAGAATTTGTCAGGATTTGTGTATTTAGTAATGGCAGTAGAATGGATGGGGGGAGACATTTTATCAATAGATAGAGGAAAGAAAGGCTTAGGGGATAGAAGGTAGATTGCAGATAAATGGCAATTCAGTTTGGCTTGTTATTCATGGCTTGTATACAGTGGCATTGTGTGTGTGTACAGTAAGGAGGTTAGCAACAGCTATCAGTGTTAAAATGCAAATGTTCTTTTATCCAGCAACCACTAGAAATTTATTATAGAGATATAGATGTAGAAAAACAGTTGCAGTATTGTTGCAGCAGCATAAAACTGGAAATAAAGTACTGATCAATAGGGGATTGTACTTTTGAAAAGAAGCTTTACAAAGTGTATACAAATAATATAATTGTATTTGAGGGTAGGGTGGTTACGCAGATAAATGGAACATTTCTGGAAGAATAACCAAGAAACTGTTGACAGTGATTTTATACAAGTACAGAGGATGGAACGGGGATGTTCACTTGTTTTGTTTTCTTTCTTCCAGGGACATTTGAAAAAAAGAAAACTATTTTTCAAAGATCTTTAGAGCTCAATTTTTAAAGCTCTAGATTATTTTCATTATTTTATGCTGCCTCTGCATAACTAATTTTGATTTCAGGGCTAGGAGGGTGGAGGTAGGGTGAGGAAATGAAATAAGTTTTTGTCATCTAAATAATAAACATTATGAATTAAACTTAATTTTTTAAATCATTACTCCTGTTTGGGGCATTTCTTGAGGAGGATGTTTATAAAAATAAGGATTAATAATTCTTTATATACCAGAGATAATAAATTAGGCAAATGAGTAAAATCTCTCATAAGTTATTTTCTTTATTAAAAAATATTAAATATAAATACATTAAAGAGTGAATAGGAGAGGAATTTTCAGTATACAGGATAATCAGTTTGACTTTATTTTCATAAAAATTTGGCAGCAAATTTGTGACTTTAAAGGATATGGCAACTGAATGAGAAGTTTTAATTAATGTAGATGTCATAGCAAGATCAAGCTGCTTTATGATAATTTTTTAACCCCTTTTTAATGTGTTATTGAGTAAAAGAACACAAGAATTCTTTAATTAGGATACTTAGTAAACTGTGTTCTCACATTTAGAAAGGACATATACATCATTGCTGATAATTTTCCTGCAGTTTAGGGAATCTGTCAAAGTTTCTTCATCTGCAGACTTAGTGGTATCAGTTCATTAAAGCAAAGTTTCAATACTTGCCTCTTTTATCTTGTAAACTTAACTTTAAAGGCAAAACTATTGTTTAATGGTCCTTGTGATTTCAGCAAATTGTTTCTTTTTTTTCTTTCAAATATCAGATTTCTTTATACTTAAAATGTGCACATTATAGTTTACTTAGATACAAAATGTTTACTTTCCTTGTAGGTAAGGAATTTCACTGACATTTCCATGTCAATTAGCTTCTTTTTAGTAAAAATCCTTCCATTAAAAATAAACATTTAAATTACTCAACTATTATATTCATTAGTCTCAATACCTCTTAAAAATACTTAAAACTTTAGAAAATAGACTGTAAACCTTGCCTAAAGGAGGCATCCAGCTCTGAGCAGACCACACGGAATGTGTTAGAGCATGGCCATATGCATGGCCATACAACTCCTGGGGCCACCTCCACGATGGCCCAGCCCCACCACTGACCCTCTGCTGAAAACCCTGCCCCTCAGCAGGACGCAAGCTTGTCCCCCAAATAGTGGTGACCTCAAACTGTAATATGATGATGAAACCTACAGCCGATACTGCCTTCCACAAGGGTTTCTGGAAAGGCTGAAGCTGGAGACGGTAAACCGCAACACCGTCCCAGGTCACCCCAGCTAAAGACATTCTATACCAGCCAAAAGGCTAAAGTTTAGTTAAGGGTTCAAAGGCAAATACACTGAAACCCATGTGTAAACCTGCCTGGTTTTCAAGCTGAAAGAGAAACACTTTGGTGTCTTCAATAACCCAGGCCTGCACTGGATGAAGCAATGAAGGCAAGGTCACGGCTGCTAAAGCACGGAGAGGTTAAAAAGTGTGAAACCAGAAGAAACTCTTGAGTGAGAGATGTGAAGCAGCAGGCCGAGGCATCAGACACCTCTCCCACCACACACCTCTCCCACCAGACACTTCTCCCACCAGCTGCAGGGCTCTTGGCAGCGTTCTCAGCCCAGCCATTCTGTGACAGTTGTTTTAAGGAATCAGCTGTTGACCTTTTTTTCTCAAGCGGCAACAATAACATCAATATTACAGTGGTCTTATGAATACACCCATGTGATCAACTTGTTAGTAAACACATGGGTATACAACATAAAGTAGGCAAAGCGGAAAAAGTATTTACAACTGTCAAAGTCTCTCTCTCTCTCTCTCTCACACACACACACACACACACACACACACACACAGATGGGCACGCAAATATATCTGAGCCTATTTTAGCTGAATCAAATTTAGATTTCAGCAAATTGTTTCTAATTTGTAAAGAATAGAGGGGAACTAGTAGGTGGATGATGGAAGTGCTTCTTAAAGTTGAGGTCTTGTAGGTTCTGTTGCCATTAAAAGAAACACTTTTAGTTTAAACCTGACTTGTTAAATTTTCTGTAGTGAAATTTTTTTGTGCTTTTCAAGTAATGGATTTTTGTGTTCTGAGGTTTCCCCTGTTTAATGCAGTTAATTCTTTTTTTAAGGTATGGGCTACGTGAGTTCGTGGTGATTGCCCCTGCTGCACACAGTGACGCTGTTCTCAGCGAATCTAAGTGCAACCTTCTTCTGAGTTCTGTTTCTATTGCCTTGGGAAACACTGGCTGGTGAGTGGACATTTTTTAAAACCTAGACAAAAAAACTGTTTTTAACAATAATTTATGAAGGCAAACAGTTATTAAATGTTAGCTTTTTAACTGTAATTAGGAACTTAGTGCATATATATTGTTAAACTAAATTTGACTTGAGGTTACCTCTGTATCCGCTCCCTATTTAAAGAACTGCTACCTAACTTATTCCGTGTACAAACTGAAAGCTTAATTTAGGAGTATACTTTTGGAACAATTAACTGAGTCCCAGCCAGTCACAGCAGCTGAGGTTCAGTCAATCACAGGGCAACTGATCAGAGCATGCACAAATGAAGCAAACTCCGAGCTGTAACCAATCAAGCTGTTTCTGTACCTTACTTCCATTTTCTGTCTATAAATGCTGCCTGCCCACCTTACAGAGCTGATCTGTCTGAACCTCCACTGGTTCTGAAGACTATGTGATTCTCAACTCATTTTTGCTCAAATAAAATTTTTTTTTTTTTTCGAGACGTAGTCTTGCTCTGTTGCCCAGGCTGGAGTGCAGTGGCACAGTCTGGGCTCACTGCAGCCTCCACCTCCTGAGTTCAAGCGACTCTCCTGTCTCAGCCTCCCGAGTATCTGGGAGTACAGGTGTTCACCACCCTTGGCTAATTTTTATTTTTATTTTTTAAATTTTCAGTAGAGATGGGGTTTCACTATGTTGGCCAGGCTGGTCTTGAACTCCTGACCTCAGATGATCCGCCCGCCGCGGCCTTCCAGAATGCTAGGATTATAGGTGTAAGCGACTGTGCCCAGTCTTAAGTAAACTCCATTAAGTTTAATTAGTTGAAAATTTTTCTTTTAACAATATATCTGCATGTTTTTATACTGGAATTTGGTATATAAGGACAAAACTAATAAAACCTAAATGGAAGCCATTTCTAAAGGTAATCTTCCTGAAACAATTCAATGTATATCTGGAATAACTTTTTTAAAAGTTAATTTTCAGTACCTTTAGGCCCTATTCTTAAATGGAAGTATTTAAGAAAATGAAATTTGTTTAATCACTATTCTGCTATTTTGAATTGTATTTCATTTGCATATCGAATAGACTATGATACTCTAAATCTACTGGGGAAGAATTAATTTATTTTAGTGGATGTACTCCATGGTATATCCTAAGTGAATAATTTTGCTAGAATATTTACTAATGTAGGATTATTAACTTGGGGATATATTTGTACAATCCTTTCTTGTTATTTAAGGTAGTTATGTGCTATAAAGTTGCCACAAACACTGAGTTATCAATTCCTCATCTGTTTCTCCTAGGAGAAATACAGACTTGGGTTCCTTCGAGCCTCTGGTCACATTTTTTGTCAATCAGTTAATACATAACCTTCTTTTATGTGTGTTTCTGTTTAAAGATAGCTTATTTAATATACATTGTTGAGTCATTAACATTGAACTTGTAGCCAAAAGCAATGTAACTTGTGCATGAATGATGCTTCTGGGAAAATACGTGTGTTAACACGTATTCTCTCTAAGGCACATCACAACCTTCTTGTGCTTGGGAGCCTTACTTTATCTTTAAATGATGTGAAAAATATTTCACCACAATATTGGCTTAATTTATATTGTTTAATACCTGTAAGTTAGGTTTTATTATCACTTTGGAAAGACTAATATGAAATAATCACTTTTACTCAAGACAGTTTTCATTCTGATGTTTTCTGACTTTTAGCTGTTCTAAAACAATTTTCAGACTAATCAAAGTACTTCTAGATGATAGTTTCTTCAGTTTGGTATTGTAAGGAGAAAAAGGAACTAAGAATGTCTTTGTTATACACACAAACCTGTGTTTTTGTTGTGTTTCCAGTTTAGTGCTTTCAAATTCTTGAGATTAAAATAATTTGGAAAAAATTTGAGGTTCAGGTTTAATGTTTAATGAGCTTGTATTCCATTCCTATTTAATCATGTCTTGCAGTCAGGTGCCACTCTTTGTGCAAATTCACCACAAATGGCGAAGAATGTATGTAGGAGAATGTCAAGGTCCTGGTGTACGAACTGATTTCGAAATGGTTCATCTTAGAAAAGTGCCAAATCAGTACACTCACTTATCAGGTCTGCTGGATATCTTCAAATCAAAGATTGTGAGTTGGGATTGATATTGTCAGTCTTATCTGAGATCCAGATAAAAGTAGAGATTTGATCATTTTATTCAGCATATAGAAACATTTCTCTATAATATTGATAATGTAATTGCTTAGAAGAAAGCTATAAGTGACTACATAAATTACTTTGTAATTTCTAAGAAACAAAATATCCAATTGTATTTTTAGTGTACTCATGCTAAAGCAACAACTGATTTGTCTGTTTGTTTGTTCAGTCTGTTAGCATTTATTGACTGTGTTATCTCTTCTACTCCTTGTCCTCTATTGGTAATATTGCCAGTCTCCTAAGCTTAATGGGGCTCAGGTAGCTGCTTGTTTGAGCATTTGAAGCATTTGACTATGAGCTCCTTAAGGTCTAAACACTTTGGGTTCTGAATTGCATTTTTTCCCCCAAATCTTTATTTGATTTAATTTTCAAGGTTAATCTGGCTTATATCCTAGGCCTGAGAGCAGCAGGGCTAAATGGGACATGCTAAATATATTCTTATATTCTATAACAACACTGTCTATAGCTATGGAGGACTTGCCTGTGCTGCTCTGTGGGGTTGGGGGGAATGGGGCTGATGAGGGCTTAAGTTGAGGAGCTGTTTGTGAATACCTCTAGAAAACAGAGAAAGCTAGATAACCAATAGTGGAAGGGATCCTCTACTTAGAGAAATATTACTCTTAGGTTATTAGGATGCTGATTTAAATTTGGAGTATGTTAAGTGCTAAACATGACACTATCTCACTATCTCACAGTTGATTAATAAACTGACATCATGTGTCGTGTGATGGCTATTAGTCACATTTGGCCACTTAAGTGAGATAGTGGCAGCTTTAGCACTTAAATATTAAGTATATTGATTAGGATATTGATTATATGTATATTACAATGAAGTATATCGATTATAAATAAATATATTAATTATGATATATAATTATATATGTGGCATTCCTGCCAAAATGTTTAACATACTGTAAATCAAAACATGAGGAAGCAATCACATATTTTCAAAGTGAGCCATGTTTTGCAACAGTAACTGGTCAGTATCATGATAGGCAAAATAAAGGCTGGAAGCAATTCAGATTTAAGGAGAAAATGGAACCTGACAGCTAAATGCAACACATGATTCTTGATTGGATCCTTTTTCAAAACAAAATAGCCAGTAAGGACATTATTGGGACAATTGGGATGATTTTAATATGGACTGTATATTAGAAAATAGTATCAATGTTTAATTTATTGAGTGTGATAATTGTATTATAGTTGTATAGACTAATGTCCTTGTTCTTAGGAATTACATGCTAAAGTATTTAAGGGTGATTTGTTATGATGCCTGCCTTTTTCAGAAGATTCAGCCAAAAAAATGTCATATGCATAATATGTGTATGTGTGGCAAAGTGTTAATAATTATGAACTCCGTGAAAGTCATATGGGTGTTCATTATACTAGTTTTCCAATCTTTCTGAAGGTTTGAGAATTTTCAAAAGAAAAAGAATTATAAGAAAAAATTGCTGAAATTTCTTTTTAAATAGATAACATTTGTTAGAAAGATATTTAGGATTAGAATTTAATCATAAAAATATGTTTTTAATGTTGAGGACCTAAATAGTGTACTGGTAGGATTATTACTAACTAGATAAATCCCTTTGATATTAAAAAAAAAATAATGCATTTACGAGATTAGGAAATTAGAGTAAAAGCTTCCTTTTACCTCTCTGCCTGTCTCCTCAAAATGACAACTGTTAGCAGTGGCTTGTGATTATCTCCATTAGAAAAATTACAGGTGCTTCTATTTTAGAGAATTCCGTGTATATATGTAATTTTCTTTTCAAAAACCTTCTGGGCTCTGAAGTGCTATAGGTACTGCTTAATTCCACATATAGTTTGGGAAATTTTTGAAAAAGGCAAGTATTTATTAGTATCTTCTCCATTAGTTTTCCTTTGCTCTCACCAGAAGTCTTCAATTATATTTAAAATTTTTAGATCAAGTTTCTGGTCACATGGAAATATCAATACTTTATTTCTTCTTCTTCTTCTTCTTCTTCTTCTTCTTCTTCTTCTTCTTCTGCTTCTGCTTCTGCTTCTGCTTCTTCTGCTTCTTCTTCTGCTTCTTCTTCTTCTTCTGCTTCTTCTGCTTCTTCTGCTTCTTCTTCTGCTTCTTCTTCTTCTGCTTCTTCTTCTGCTTCTTCTTCTGCTTCTTCTT
Organism: Homo sapiens; assembly: GCF_000001405.40. NCBI lineage: Eukaryota > Metazoa > Chordata > Mammalia > Primates > Hominidae > Homo > Homo sapiens. The sequence goes on from NC_000002.12 coordinate 135,117,592, forward strand.
CTGCTGCTTCTTCTGCTTCTTCTGCTTCTGCTTCTTCTGCTTCTGCTTCTTCTTCTGCTTCTGCTTCTTCTGCTTCTGCTTCTTCTGCTTCTGCTTCTTCTTCTGCTTCTTCTGCTTCTGCTTCTTCTTCTGCTTCTTCTTCTTCTGCTTCTTCTTCTGCTTCTGCTTCTTCTGCTGCTTCTTCTGCTTCTTCTGCTTCTTCTTCTTCTTCTTCTTCTTTCTTCTTCTTTCTTCTTCTTCTTTCTTCTTCTTCTTTCTTCTTCTTCTTCTTTTTTTGTTTGAGACAGAGTCTCACTCTGTCACCCAGGCTGCAGTGTAGGGCGTGATTACAGCTCACTGCAGCCTCGACCTCCTGGGGTCACTGACTCCTCCCACCTCGGCCTCCTGAATATTTGGGACTATAGGTGTGTATCACCACACACAGCTAATCTTTGTATTTTTTGTAGAGACCAGCCTGTTGCTCATGCTGGTCTTCAACTCCTAGGCTCAAGCAATCCGCCTGCCCAACCTCCCAAAGTGCCAAGATAACAGGCATGAGCCACCGCGCTGGGCCTTAGTCCTTCTTCTTAAGAAATCATTAATGAATATGATCTTCAGATCTTTTATGTCACATCTCTTTTTTGAAGCTAGGGACTACATTGATCTGTGGAACCCAACTTACATCTTGGCTATTTATTAGCAGTAGTTAAAAAAAAAAGTTTTTAATCAGTTTATCTCATCATCTGACAAACCTAAAACTTACTTTTCTGATAAGAAACATCTCTCAAAATTGATTTGAGAGAATTGAACTTAAGAGCTGGTTTGGGTTCTTAAGTTTAATCCTCTTCTGCCATAATCCTCTAAATATTTGAAAACTTTCATAACTTCATCTTTTCTTTTTCATCTTAGACATTCTTAGTTCTTGAGATGTTCTTTACATTTTATGGTATTATATCATGACTGTTGATTTGGATATTTGTCTCTTTTAGAACTACTTTTTTATGTTTTGGGAAATTTAGTTTGTAGGCTCATTTTGAATGAGTTTCATTTTAAATTTTTAATGTTCACTCCCATCCATCCTCTCTAGTGATTCTGTAGTTTTATGGTTACTCCCTACCTGCAGAATATTTCAGAATTAGGTCTTAAAATAGTGTTTGGAGTCTCTTGCTCTGTAGTAATGTTGGGGATTTTGATAACTGGTCTTAGAATCTTGGGTTGTTTGCTCACCACATGTGGGTGAGGGTTTTTTCCCCTCACACAATAACCTCCAGTCCCATACCTTCCGATAAAGCCATTGTGCCAAGCAGGAGTGACATGTCCCAGTGTCTGGCTTAAGCAGAGAATCTTGCAATGCCCTCACACTGGACTGAGCCCTTTTGGTTTCATCCTAGGTTGTCAGTGCCGCCTTCCACACCTCAAGGCATGTGCCTTGAACCCCACTTATCCTCCAGGGTCCACAAAGATATTTCCATCATTTTTCATCCTAATCCTTCCTTCCTTCCTCCCTCCCTCCCTCCCTCCCTCCCTTCCTTCCTTCCTTCTGTCCTTATTTTTTTGAGACAGGGCTTCACTCTGTCACCCAGGCTGGAGTGCAGTGGCACGATCTTGGCTCACTGCAACCTCTGCCTCCCGGGATCAAGCGATTCTCCTGCCTCAGCCTCCCAAGTAGCTGAGACTACAGGCGCGCACCACTACTGCCCGGCTAATTTTTGTATTTTTATTAGAAATGGGGTTTCACCATGTTGGCCAGGCTGGTCTTGAACTCCTGATTTCAAATGATCCACCCGCCTTGGCCTCCCAAAGTGCTGGGATTACAGGCGTGAGCCACTGCGCTTGGCCATAATTATTTCTTTTCTGGGTATCTGTTTTTGTATTTATCTGTGTGACTGGATCAGAGGTTATGTGTCAAAGTGGCCTTGTTATGGCTTCTAGAACATTTGCTCCTTATTATAGGTGAATGCTCATTTGATATCTGGACATGACTAAAAAGTTGATATACTGACCAGCCAAAATCTCACCTTGCTGTTGGGCACAGGAGCCCAAAACTGAATTAGGTTTTTTGGGAGCAGCTGTCTACTATTGTGACTTCAAATTGAGTTTGTGTTCTTAAAGCTACTAGTGACATTTATAGATGCTGCTGCTGAGCTAAATGTAAATGTCATGTATTCCTTTGCTACTCAAAGTGTAGTCTCCTGAACAGCAGCATCTGGAAACTGGTTAGATATGCAGAAGAGTATTGAATCTGCATTTCACAAGTTCCCTAGGTGATTCCTATGCATATTTAAGTCCTATTTTATATTAGTTTAGATTAAGCATTATGAAGGGAAGCTGAGGTCATAGGATGTTTAAATGATAGTATTAAGTTTTGTGATTTTTAGTGAATTGACAGATAAATCTAAGTTTTCTTTTGTTAGCTGATTCATTAATCTATTTTGTGTGAGTGATCATTCATTTCTCTTAGTCTGAAATTTTGGTTAAATATTCAAGGGTGGCTTTAATTTGAGTTTATTTTCATTTAAAAGAAAAGACATCCTCTCCCCAAACCAAGTCTTATGCTTTATAATACTTTTACTTATTTGAAAAATGAATCACCTTTTTTTCACATTTAATATGTCTGAAGTGAATAGTAAGAAATGGTATTTTATGATTAAAATAGTAAAAGATACTTTAAAGAGCATTTTGCTTAATAGAATGTAATATCTCTTTTTCTAATAGCAGTTTAAACAGCTTTATTTTAAAGCTATGGCATTGTTTTTGAAACTTTTTTTTAGCTACATCAAATGAAAACATTTGTGGAAGCAGTATGCAGAAATTATGGAAATCCTTCTGTACACACAAATATGTGGACAAAAATACAGTGATTCTTTGGAAAGTTTACTTTTCCATTTTTTAAAATTCAGTCTCACAATTGCCACTGCTGTTCCTTACTATGGGATCTTTCCTCCTGTTCATCCCTGATCCACCTCTTGAGCTTTTGGACTGTGAGAATTTCTTCTGTGAAAAGGATTTCCTAAATTTTGCATCTTTGGCTCTAATGACTTCGGTGACTTATTTTTCCTTTGGAATGGCTAGAATATCATGTTTTTAATAACTAGAATATGCACACTATTGTTTAACACTAGAATCTGAAAATCCAGGTTTCATAAAGGTAGTATTAATCCATTCCATAAGTTTGAAATTTTGATGTTGAATTAATATGAAAAGGGTACCAGCATTTACACGGTATTGTCTTTGCATGTATTTCCTAGGGATGTCCTTTAACTCCATTGCCTCCAGTTAGTATTGCTATTCGATTTACCTATGTACTTCAAGATTGGCAGCAGTATTTTTGGCCTCAGCAACCTCCAGGTGAGATCATTTAGAACTATATTTAACTTACTGAATATAAATGGAAAAGAAGATACATTCAGAAATTAAAATTACTTAACAAGAGTTTCAAGTGTTTTACATTAGAAATATTTGTGATTCATTTTAAATGTAATATTATTGCTTTCATTGCCCTTATTTTTTTTCTCTTGAAGAAAAACTGTAGGTTTTCTAGAGATAGTATTACTCTATATTTGACAATCTGTCTTTGAAAGCCTTATTTATAAGGCACCCCTTGCTGTGGCACATCATGTGCCATAAATTACTATGTAGCGAATGATTAACATGTCTGTTTTTAGACTATTATGAGAGAAGAGCTGTTCTCAGCTCACCCTCATAAACTGAGAACACTCATGCAAAAAGCTTTAAAGAGAGTAATGTTTCAAGAAAGGGGGCTAAACAAGGAAAGCAGAGAAGAAAAATATATGTAGGGGAAAAATAATAATTAACTTGTATGTTATAGAAATATAATCAAAATCAATTTGCCTGCTTACCCTTGATAAACAGATTCATTCAACAATTATTAATTATTAACCTGAGACTAGGCGGTGCTAAGACAGCAATATGAGCAACACATTACCTAAGTTCTAGAAAAGCTCAGTTTCATGGACATATATCCTAAATAATATTTTGATTCCTGGGTGTTTCTTTCACATGTTTGATTATATTAAAGCACATCTAATAAGGAATATAATACAAACTTTTAAAATATAAGAATTTTACTAGCCTGAAAACGTTTTTTAATCTACTTCTCCTAAAGAGAAATAAAATAAACTAATATTCTTTACTGTTTATTTTTGTTCCAAATAGTTGGCTATTTATAGGATTGAAAAAATTGGTAGGCATGAGATGATATAAAAATTAATATAATACAGGCCGGGCACGGTGACTCACACCTGTAATCCTAGCCCTTTGGGAGGCCAAGGCAGGCAGATCACCTGAGGTCGGGAGTTCACGACCAACCTGGCCAACATGGTGAAACCTTGTCTCTACTAAAAATACAAAAATTAGCCAGGTGCAGTGGCAGGAGCCTATAATCCCAGCTACTCTGGAGGCTGAGGCAGGAGAATCCCTTGAACCTGGGAGGCGGAGGTTGCAGTGAGCTGACATTGCGCCACTGTACTCCAGCCTGGGTGACAGAGTGAGACCCTGTCTCAAAAAAAAAAGAAAAAAAATTAATGTAATATATCCTTAGCTTTTGGCAGTTATATGTACTACTACTATTTTATTTTATATACCACAAAATAATTTTCAACTCTAATGTACACTAAAAGGACCGTATCTAGACTACAACAGAGAAATAAAAGCTAAGCTTTAGATTTATATCAGAAGAAACACTCAAATGTTTGTGTTGGTAGTTTTAGTTCCCAGGTAACAGTACCCACTGGACAATTTACAGTCTATGTCTGGTTAGAAGTTTCCATTCTTATCTTCCTTTTTTTTCCTTCCAAGGCTACTCTCTTATAAAGCAGTTTTAAAGATTTCCTAAGGTAGTGTGGTCTGCTCGTGATCTGTGAAGAAGCCCAAGAGTTAGAACCTTAGCATTATAAGATTGCCAATAAGGTCTTTGTTAATCTTCTATTGTCAGGTTTTTAAAATGGGGATTAAAAATATTAACCTTCTCCCTCAGTAGATTGAAAGCCATATAAATTCTTAACATTTTCCTTTATAAGGGGGAAGGGACTGAACATATAATATGGATGAGATACTGTGCTTTTCATATTTTATATCCCATTTTGTATAATTTTCACTTACCTGTGAGACAATTATTATTATCTTTTGTTTTGTTTTGTTTTGTTTTTTGAGACAGAGTCTTGCTTTGTCACCCAGGCTGGAGTGCAGTGGCATGATCTTGGCTCACTGCAACCTCTGCCTCCTGGGTTCAAGCGATTCTCTTGCCTCAGCCTCAGCCTCCTGAGTCTCTGGGACTACAGGTATGCACCACCACGCCTGGCTAATTTTTGTATTTTTTAGTAGATATGGGGTTTCACCATGTTGGCCAGGCTGGTCTCGAACTCCTGACCTCAGGTGATCCACCCTCCCCAGCTTCCCAAAGTGCTGGAATTACAGGTTTGAGCCACCGTGCCCAGCCCAAGACAAGTATTGTCTTTCTTAGAGATGTAAGTTTCTTAACCCATGTAACTGGCTTAAAGTCATATGGTCACCAAGTGATAAAGTTTGCATACAAACACTAGTCAAACTCCAAGTCCGATGTGCTTTTCATTCCACGAGTTGCTTCTCCCTTTTTAATTCAGCTAAAACTTTTGTACAGTTATATTTTAGTAATAATTTTTAATTTACTAATTATAAAAATGTGCTTGTAATTTTGAAGCTTTTACAAACTCACTTGTAACAATGCTAGTCATTGTGATCTTTCTTATTATAAGCATTCTTTAGTTGGAAAAATGGAATTGACTTGAGAAAATTTACTGAATCAAGTAATTGATTCATATTTGATGACTAATTTTAATCATTTACTTAGGATGTAGATAAATATCAGATGTGATTTTAGCAAATATGGGAAGTTTTGTTAACTCAGTAGGCTTTAATTTCAGGAAATCCTAGTATAGTGTGAATAATTAAATATCACAATTTGTATTATTTCAAAGAGAAAAAAATCCTTTTGATGCCTTTTAGAAATGCTTATTACTTCCTCAGGAGAGATAGAACTAAGGGAATGATTTACCCTCTAAGTTCTCTTCCAGTCTAGTATGCCATTCGTAATGGAAAGGAGGTTCTTTTCTGATCTTTATATATTTCCATTTACTATCAACCAAAATATAATGTTATTAATGACGACAAATATACTAATTTCCTATTCAGAAATTACTGATAGCAAAACTGATTAATGTAGTTGGTGATTTTTAAATACTTGGATACTCTTTTTGGGTTATACTAATTACATTCTTTAAAAATGCAAAAAAATGTACAGAAATAATATTCTCTTGAGTAATATTTAAGGAATATTTCAGAAGGGCAAAATTTAGAATACCTGGCCTGAATGAAATACTGGATAAATAGGAAATAAGTGTGCCCTTTTACTGTAACATTCTCTGGGGAAGTCAAATATTGTTAGACTACATATGCTGTAAGTTGGTCTAACTTGCTAACTTGCTACATGTGTTCTCTTGCAGACACTTTTAAAGCTATGATATTCCAAAGGGCTTAACTAGATTAGACTCTTCTTTATTTTTTCCCAAATGATGGAAAAATATTTCTTTTGTTTAGACATAGATGCCCTTGTAGGAGGAGAAGTTGGAGGCTTGGAGTTTGGCAAGTTACCATTTGGTGCCTGCGAAGATCCTATTAGGTGAGAATTTCAACCTGTCATTTGAATTGTGGGAATATTTTACTTTGAATTTATATTGATATTGATTTCACTGTGCTTTATGATGCTATAGCTTGCTGGGATGAATGTAGTACTGGAAATAAAGAAAGACGTACACCTGGGCTGGGCACAGGCTCATGCCTGTAATCCTAGCGCTCTGGGAGGCTGCGGTGGGCAGCCCCTGAGGTCAGGAGTTCGAGAACAGCCTGACCAACGTGGCGAAACCCCATCTCTACTAAAGAATGTCAAAATTAACTGGGTGTGGTTGCGCACACCTGTAATCCCAGCTACTCAAGAGGTTAAGGCACAAGAATCACTTGAACCCGGCAGGCAGAGGTTGCAGTGAGCTAAGATCACGCCATTGCACTCCAACCTGGGCAACAGAGCAAGACTCCGTCTCAAAAAAAGAAAGAAAGACCTACACTTGCTTTATTTATTTTATAATTTTACATGAAAACTTTCTGAGATTTGATATTCATCTATAACTCAGCAAACTGTGTCCTTTGCCAAATCTGGCCATTAGCCTATTTTTGTATGGCCAGTGAAGTCAGGATGGTGTTTACATTTTTAAAGGTTATGAAAGAAAAAAAATAAAATAGAGACTGTGCATGGTTCACAAAACCTAAAATATTTACTCTCTGGCTCTTTATAGAAAATGTTTGCCAACTCCTGATTTATAACATTTTTCAAACTTGAGATATAATTTACCTGCCATAAAATTCACTATTTAAAAGTGTACAATTCAATGGTATTTTAATATTTACAGAGCTGTGCAACCATCATAATCATCTAATTCCAGAACATTTTCATAACCTTAAAAAGAAATTCTTCACCTCTTAGCCATCATTTCCCCTTAGTCTTCTCAGCCCTCCGGCTCTAGGCAAACACTGATATACTTTCTGTCTCTTTGGATTTACCTATTCTGGACATTTCTTATAAATGGAATCATATAACATGTGGCTTTCTTTGTGTCTGACTTATTTTAATTAGCATGTTTTCAAGGTTTGTCCATGTTGTAGCATGAATCAGTACAGTAGTACCCCCTTATCCACAGCTGGTATGTTGCAAGATCCCCAGTGGATGACTGAAAACATGGATAGTACCACACACTAAATATTTTTCCTGTGCATACAGATAAGTAGTAAAATTTAATTTATAAATTTGGCACAGTAAGATTTCCAGGTGATGTAATACAAAATAAATAAATAAATGTAAATGAGGCATAGTAAGAGATTGACAATAATAACTAATAATAACATAGAACAGCTATAACAATATACCTTAATGAAAGTTATGTGAATGTGATCTGTCTCTCTCAATATATCTCATTGTACTATGCACACTCTTCTTGTGATCACTCTGATCACCAAGACAGTTACTAAGTGACTAACAGGGCAGGTAGCATAGACAGTGTAGGTACACTAGACAAAGGGATGATTCACCTAATGGGGTGGGATGGCACAAGATTTCATCATGCTACTCAGAACAACATGCAACTTTAAATTTATGGATTTTTTTTCTGGAATTTTTCACTTAATATTTTCAGACTGCAGTTGATTTAGGGTAACTGAAGCTGCAGAAAGTGAAGCTGTGGATAAGGAGGAACTAATGTACTTCTGTGCTTTTTATGGCTGTAAATATACCATTGTATGGATATGCCACATTTTGTTTATCCATTCATTAGTTGGTGGGTTATTTATGCTTTTTGGCTATTATGTATAATGAGATGAATGTTTGCAAAACATTAACTTCATAAGGATGTGCTACCATTTGCTAAATAAGTTGTTTCCAGTATGTTGTATTATAAATAATGCCACTGTAACATACTTTTATTTCCTTGGTATAGTTTTCTAGAAGTATTAAATATAATTGCTGAGTCAGTATTAAAGCTTTTGGGTATATTTTATGTTTTTTAGTGAACTCCATTTAGCTACTACATGGCCTCATCTGACCGAAGGGATCATTGTGGATAATGATGTTTATTCGTAAGTATGTTAAGAGTAGTAGTACACTGAGATTAAAAAACTTCAGTAGAATAACTCTCAAATTGCTAGTAATTTTTATATGCATTTTTTATTATTTTGTTTTGATTTTAGTGTTCCCTTTTGTGTTTTATTGTCTAAGGACTTTGATTTCTTATGATGTTATTTTTTAAAAACTTATCCAAATGGCTCCATGTATCTGGATAAGAGTAAGTTTAAGGGAGGCTAAATGGATTGCTTGTCCTTCTATGTTTTCATTAGACTGCATTTTAATAAGTTCATGAATCTTGCAGATTGTCATAATTAGGATTTTATATTTATTGGTTTGCATTTTAGTGATTTGGATCCTATTCAAGCTCCACATTGGTCTGTTAGAGTTCGAAAAGCTGAGAATCCTCAGTGTTTGCTAGGTAAGGTATATTATGCTCCTTTCCTGAAATACTGCTGATCTGCCTAACTTCCAAATCGGAGACACTGCATACATTCTTTATACTTTGTCACCTCTTCAGTTAACACCATGTAGGAAAAAAATCATTGCCAATAGCAGTGAATCCTTTTTTGAATAGTGCCAGCAAATTCTCCATTATTTTCTCATTATCTCAGCTTTATGTTTCTGATGCTTTTATTTACTTTTTTTTATTTATTTTTTATTTTTTGAGACGGAGTCTCTGTCAGGCTGGAGTGCAGTGGCATGTCTCGGCTCACTGCAACCTCTGCCTCCCGGGTTCAAGTGATTCTCCTCCCTCAGCCTCCCGAGTAGCTGGGACTACAGACGTGTGCCACCATGCCTGGCTAATTTTTTGTATTTTTAGTAGAGACGGGGTTTCACCGTGTTATCCAGGATAGTCTTGATCTCCTGACCTCGTGATCCGCCCGCCTCGGCCTCCCAAAGTGCTGAGATTACAGGCATGAGCCACCGCGCGGCCTTAAGATGCTTTTTCTTTTTTTTTTTTTTTTCCGGATGCTTTTATGTTACTCCCTTTCCTTCCTCCTGTGGCATAGTCTGCATCTTCTATTTCTGTTATTGAAGCCCTTTTTGCCTTTTGTTGCCCCTCTAGACGTGTGTTATCTGAAGAGCACTGTTTTGTTTGTTTGTTTGTTTGTTTGTTTGTTTTGAGAGGGAGTCTCACCCTGTCGCCCAGGCTGGAGTGCAGTGGCGCGATCTCGGCTCACTGTAAGCTCCGCCTCCCGGGTTCACGCCATTCTCCTGCTTCAGCCTCCGGAGTAGCTGGGACTATAGGCGCCCGCCACCACGCCCTTTAATTTTTTGTGTTTTTAGTAGAGACGGGGTTTCACCGTGTTAGCCAGGATGGTCTCGATCTCCTGACCTCATGATCCGCCCGCCTCGGCCTCCCAAGGTGCTGGGATTACAGACGTGAGCCGCCGCACCCGACCTGAAGAGCACTGTTTTTGACGGTGCGCTTTAGAGCCCTTCTATAGAGTTGTGTCACATCTGCAGCCTATTTTCTGATATGGGAAAAGAAATGTGAATAATCTTATACACCTCACAAGGTTATTTGAGGGATCAAGTGAAATAACACAAATGGAAGTACTTTGAAAAATATTAATTGCTATTCAGATAATATTATTGTGTCTTATGTCTGGGATTCGTCCCCTTCCCTTTTTTTAGGTGTATCTCTTCCATGAAGTCTTTTGAACCCATCTCCTCAGTGTGCCTTGTCATCTTTTTCCTCCTTATATTTAGTACACATGAAAATATTTTCTCCTTTTCTTTATGTTCATCCATGCTACCTTAACTCTCTATCACTTGATATATTACCATTTAACTGATGGAGTTACCAAAGATTTATTATGACAGTAATGATGCATTTCTCTAAAGCATTGTTTTCTTGGGCTCTTTATCATTCATATGCTATTTGTCAAATGCTGATTAGTAGCTGCCATTTGTGCTAACTATATAATAGTGAATACAAAGATGTATAAGGTATAAGTCCACCATTGGTGAATTTGTCTAGGGTGTTAGGGCAACAGTATAGGGTCAATGTCAAGAGTATTACAGTTGGACAGACCTCAGTTCAAATCCTGGATTCACCAGGTTGGTCAAGTTTCTTAATCTTTTTAAGCCCCAGAGTCCTCATAAATAAAATAGAGATAACACTAGTACTTACTTCATAGGGTTATTGGGAGGATCAAATGAGATTATGTACCTGTATGTATGTGTATATATCACTTTTAACAGTGCCTTTGTTATAGTAAATGAACAGTAAATGGTTTCTGTTGTTTAATCGTTGAATTACTACATATTATGTTTACGTACTAAGTTGCTTCTTAGTAACATTATTATTCCTCATCTTGTTACTGTATGGTAATTGCTGAGGACCTTAGAATTGAAAGTATTCTCATTTTAGTTTAACGTTCCATGATCTTACCCTACCTCTTTTAATATTTTGTATGACTAGATTATAGACTTTTCCTACCTTTCTGAAGAAGCCTCAAAAAAGTTATGGGTTAATTCAGAATTAGTTGGTGAATTATAAAATTTAGATGTACTTGATGTATCTTAGTACTGATAGTATTTGTTAAGCATTCATTTATTTGTGTAAACATTGTAGCTGTTCAGAAGATTCAAATCGCTTTACCTCTGTTTATAATATGACAGACAGCTGGGTGCAATGGCTCATGCCTATAATCCCAGCATTTTGAGAGGTCGAGGCAGGTGGATTGCTTGAGCCCGGGAGTTTGAGTCCAGCCTTGGCAACATGGCAAAACCTCGTCTCTACAAAAAATACAAAAATTAGCTGGGCATGGTGATGCACACATGTAGTCCCAGCCTACCCAGGAGGCTGAGGTGGGAGGATCACCTGAGCCTAGGAGGTCAAGGCTGCAGTGAGCCATGATCGTGCCACTGCACTCCAGCTTGGGCGACAGAGTAAGACCCTGTCTCAAAAATAATAGTAATAATGGGCCGGGCGCGGTGACTCACACTTGTAATCCCAGCACTTTGGGAGGCAGAGGCGGGCGGACCATGAGGTCAGGAGATCGAGACCATCCTGGCTAACACAGTGAAACCCCGTCTCTACTAAAAATACAAAAAATTAGCCAGGCGTGGTTGTGGGTGCCTGTAGTCCCAGCTACTTGGGAGGCTGAGGCAGGAGAATGGCGTGAACCTGGGAGGTGGAGCTTGCAGTGAGCCGAGATTGCGCCACTGCACTCCAGCCTGGGCGACAGAGCGAGACTCTGTCTCAAAAAAAAAAAAATAAAATAAATAAAAAATAATAGTAATAATGACGGAAAGAATACCATTAATATGTAGCAGAAACTGAAATATCTTTATCCTACATGATTTCCTAATCTTCTAGAAACATGTCTTTAGCGTTTCTTCTTAATTTTATTAATGGATTTAGATTCTAGTAGTGTAGCAGTTGGGGAAAGATTACTACATACTTAGAGTAAGTTCTTGTTACTTACATAACTTAATGACAAATGGATACTGTGTCTCATTGAGGCATATAGTAAGTACTATTAGGTACAGTTATTTTTTTCTTTCCTTCTAGATGGAATTCTAAGGAAAAGCTTTTTAAATATCCTGGGACATGGAGAGAAAGAAAAGAACAAGGCTACCTTTGATATAGGATTAATTTTTGTTTTTTTCAATGGAAAAACTGAATGGTTTTACTTTCTACCATATCTTAGTTAATAGCTTTTGTGGAAAGATGTACTTTAATTTATAGGACTGATTTTTTTTTTTTTCAGTTAAGTGTCAAAAATAACTTTTTTTCCTACATAGGTGATTTTGTCACTGAATTTTTTAAAATTTGCCGTCGAAAGGAGTCAACTGATGAGATTCTTGGACGATCTGCATTTGAGGAAGAAGGCAAAGGTAACCTACATTTTTTTTTAACATTACTTTCAAATGTCTTACTGTTTTTCCTTGGCACATTTTTCAGCAACTTTTCATCTGTTTTCTCATTTTGAATTAAGTTGGATAATCAAGTTTTGATGGACTAGACAGCTACAGTTCCTTTCCAGGCTGTACCCAGTGCTTGTTAAGACATTAAAGGCATTTAATAAGTTCTTTCCACCAAAAATGTAAAATATTTTGAAAAGCAGAGTTTTAGAGGTTAAATTTTGAAGTCTCCTAGGGAGAAATAATTTGTGTGACACCATTGTCACTCATGCTTGCACATAAAGCTGAACATGTATATTAATATTTTATAATTCCAAGACCATGTAACACTAGTAAAAAGAATGAGTAAAATATTCTATATAATCATCAATTTGTTCATCACTTTCACCTGCTGAGGTTGGTGATATAATTTATATTTATTTCTGTTCTTTTTATAGAAACTGCTGATATAACTCATGCTTTGTCAAAATTGACAGAGCCGGCATCAGTTCCAATTCATAAATTATCAGTTTCAAATATGGTACACACTGCAAAGAAGAAAATCCGAAAACACAGAGGTGTAGAGGAGTCACCGCTAAATAATGATGTTCTTAATACTATTCTCCTGGTAACTAAATGTTCTGTCTTTATAGGTCTATATGCAGAATCATTTATTCATTATATAGCCAGTTCCTTTTATGTGGTAGGCAGTGACCTTGGAATATACAATGAGTAAAACAGTTACCACATTTAGAAAATTCCTACTAGTTTAGTGGTGAGAAGGAAAGTAAATAGTAGTTGTGATACCATGTTGCATGTGAGAAATCTGGCAAGGGGGCTGTGAGAGCACAGCAGGGGTGCATTTGTCTCTGTCTGGGCAGTGGGAATCAGGGAAGGCTTCATGAAGAGGGACATTTGAGCTGAATCTTGATGAAAAGAAGGCTTTAGAAGCAGAGGAATAGCAGAGGTTCGAGAGCATGTTGAACGGTTGATATTTTGTAGGGTGCTTCCCAGACCATGACCAGGGTTGAGGCTGGAGAAGTAGCAGGTAACCTGCCATGCTGAAGCACTGGCTTTTATCTTGCAGTTTAAGTAGAAGATCAACATGATTAGAATTTTTTTATTTTTTATTTTATTTATTTATTTTTTTTGAGACGAAGTCTCGCTCTGTCACCCAGACTGGAGTGCAGTGGTGCATCTCGGCTCACTGCAACCTCCACCTCCTGGGTTCAAGCAATTCTCCTGCCTCAGCCTCCCTAGTAGCTGGGACTACAGTCACGTGCCACCATGCCTGGCTAATTTTTTTGTATTTTTTTTTAGTAGAGATAGGGTTTCACCGTGTTAGCCAGGATGGTCTCGATCTCCTGACCTCGTAATCCGCCCGCCTCGGCCTCCCAAACTGCTGGGATTACAGGCGTGAGCCACCGCACCTGGCCCCGGAAGTATATTTTTGAAGGATTGCTTTGACAACAGTTGAGAGAAAGCTTTTAGTGAGAATGAGAGGGAGATGAATAGAGAGCTAAGGTGGCTCCTAGGTATAACAGAGTGGAATGGCCCCAGCCTGGGGGCCATCCACACCATGGTTTAATGTCTGCATGACTTACTGCATGACTTTGAATAAGTCACTTCAGTTTCCTCATCTAGAAAATATGGCTAACAAAACCTTGCGAGATTGTTGTGAGGATTAAAGGATCTTCTGTGACACTGCCTGGCATATATGGGTCTTTGATAAATGATAGCTATTCTTAACTGTAATTGTGGTTAAAATCATACTCCCGGAAATTTGTGCATTAAGACAATCTTGGGAAAAACCTTCAAGAAAAGTGTTGAAAAGAAAACTGGAAACTTAATGTTAATCTTATCCCCTGCCATTTATCTGAACAAAACTCTTAGCCAACTTTTTAGCTTGTACATCGTAAGATGTAGGTAGTGATACTTAGCTCAAACAGTTGTATGAGAATAGGATAATGCTGGTAATTGTGCCTTATGGCACTTGGCACATAGTAGTTCATCTAATTTTTAAAAGTCTATTGGACATGTTCTATAATGTGTGGCAAAGTATACATAGTAAGAGGGATTACTAATCAGCAGTACCACAAAACAATTGAGAGGAACAGTGATAAAAGGACTGTAAATAAATGTCTATAGAGAGCCTCCTTCTTAAGACTGTATTCTTAAAAGAATGTTATTCAAATCATGTAGCTCAGTTGTCATGTACACTGGATTTTTTTTTGACCACTCGTACATGTACATATAAACAGAAACCACATGGAAAAGGTACATTGGTTATTATAGGTTTAGACTGCTTCCTACTTTCCAGGGGTATCATAAAATAAAGCTGTGGGTCTTGAATATCATCTCTTAGTAGTCTATATATGAAAGCCTGTGGATGATGTAACTCTTCAGATCCTCATGAGTACATGAGTGTTTTTAAATTGTCTTTTGTGGTTTTGTTTTTTAGATAGTAGTAACACTAAAAAAATGTAATGGCCTTGGGTGAGCATGAAGTCACAGTGATGAGATTTTGCTTTTGCACCTTTCAGCTTACAGAATCAAGTGATTACTTTTAAGAAAAAAATTCTAATTTCTAAAATTGGCTAGTCACTGAAACCTTGTATATTTTCAAAGAAAAATAGAAAAAATTTGAGAGTGTAGAACAAACTGGCCAATACAACTGGAACATTTCTATTGTTAGAGCAGCAAAACCATTAAAAAGTTAAATAATGTCTATATGAGTTATAAAAATCAACAAAATAGGAAATGTGGTCTAAAATGTGATTATTTTTTTCCTTTCCTTCAAGTTCTTATTCCCTGATGCTGTTTCTGAGAAACCATTAGATGGAACTACTTCAACAGATAATAATAATCCTCCATCAGAGAGTGAAGACTATGTAAGTTGATGTGGAGTTCAATGTTAAAATGTTTTAAATGCACTGAATTTCTAGAGGTTCTATATATTTCTAGTTTAATAGCTTACTATATTTTTATTTTAAAAATCACCTTGGGAATTTTGGATGGCAGATCGTGGTTTCCACTTAGATAACTAGCACAGATACATATTTTGGGTAGCAAGAATTTTTCTGGAAACAATGAAAAAATAGCACAAATATACTCTACACAGCTGTAGGATTTCCCTCATTGTAGAGTTTTGGTGAAATCATTAAATTTGTGTTTCTCAGCAGATTCTTTTTGATATTTTAAAACTAGTTAGTGAATGGACAACTCTTTAATGAAGTAAAATGTGTAAAATTAGGTAAAATTTTCATGGTCTCTTTGTCTAGTCTTTGAAAAATTAAGAAGTTGAAGAATTTAAATGACAAGTGTAGATATATATCAACCTTTACAGTAGTTATTGTTGAGAAGTAGATTTGATGAGGTGAGAGAAAAAAGCAAAGGCTTTTTACATTTTCAGTTTAGATAGTTATGATTTTTGTTTTTTCAGACGTGCTCATTTTTGTAATTAAAAGATTTTTAAAACAACACATGAAATTTGGAATACTTCCTAAATATTCCACAGAAGAAATTGAAAGCTGTAACTTTAGCTTCATTAAACTATAGCTTTATCTTTTTTAATCTTAGTAGAAATCTTGAAAATGTGGGACTTCCTAAGAATAGTTTATGCAGTAGTGTATTAGACATTTGATAATGCCTAGTTTAGGTGGGATAGGTTAATTTTACAATTAAAATCTCTCCCTACGACCTTTTCAGTTATATGTGTAAAATATTTTGGTAACAAGTTTGCTTTGTTTCTATTTTGTTAAATTTAGAATCTCTACAATCAGTTCAAGTCTGCACCATCTGACAGTTTAACATACAAACTGGCTTTGTGTCTCTGTATGATCAATTTTTACCATGGAGGGTTGAAAGGAGTGGCACACCTCTGGCAGGAATTTGTTCTTGAAATGCGTTTCCGATGGGAAAACAACTTTCTGATTCCAGGGTAATAATTTCAATTTTCAATTGTTTGGATACGATTTTGTTTGTTAGCAGACATTTGACTTTTGACCTATTTTTTCCCCCTTCTAGGAAGTCTGCCCTAAGAAAGTGGCAAGAAGCTTAGACATGATTTATGTTCAGAGGTGTTCACTGCAGCAAATTTATTAATATAATAGAAAAAAAGGCAAAACCTAAATATCAAACATAAAAGAATAGTTAAATAAATTATACTGTATCTCTACAATAGAAAATTAGATTGATTACAGTTTTTCCCCCAATAATCTTTAATAACAGATGTTCATATTGTTTCTAATAAAGTAGAATATTTTAATGCATATACAAAGTACTTTTAATTATGTTGCTATATTTGTACAGGAAAAATATTATAAATACTGTGAAATGCTATCAGTTTTTCCCAGTGTGAAATTATACTTTTATTTTGTTCTTTATACTTTTATGCATTTTCAAAGTCTTTTGTAATAAACCTGTTTTTTGTAATTGACATTTTACTTAATCAAACAGAACATTTTCATTAGCACATAGGTTGATATTGCATAGTTTAGTGCTCATCTACCCATGCTATGATAGGAGAATCATGATTTTGAGCAATATAAAATGATTACTGATCCAAAAACATTTATATCATTTGCCAATCTCTGCTTAGCTGGATTCTCTCTTGGTTTTAGACAGTCCGCTCTGGAACATTTTACAGACCCAGAAGCATGTTGAATATGAGGGAGTGCCTCTGGCTGATTGCTGGGAACCTAGTAGTCTAGAGGAACCTAGAACTAGAGACAGTCCAAGGTCCTATTGAAATACAGGTGGAGATCTTGGTTTTTATAGTGAGAATCCACTGTAAGAATTTAGTACTGAATACACAAACTGATTTATTTTGTATGGTGTGAAATACTGTATGCTAGTACTTCCTGGAGTGGGTTCAGGGGCTTTTTCTCATTTTGAGTTTTTGTTAGCCTGAAAACTATCACTAATTTGCTGTTATGTTTTGAAATATCTATTATATTTGCTATTGGTGATTTGTGGACAAGGAGTATAAAATAAATTTTCATCTTTTAATTCTATGTGCTCCCCCTCTGGAATTCACTTACCTTACCTGTGGAAATCTAGTTTTGATTTCTTATCAATATAGCTAAAAATTATGGTAGTATAGAAAATAATCATATCTGAAGCAATTTTACTAAAACTAAGCTTTCTTTTCTCCTTACTTTATTTGATAGATTAGCAAGTGGACCCCCAGATCTGAGGTGTTGTTTACTGCATCAGAAACTACAGGTAAAGATTTCTCAATGACATGGATAAATGTGGTCTTGATTTAATCAGATTATTCTAATACTAAATGTAATAATGGGTTACATGCTGTTCTCATGGTGCTGCTGTAGGTTGCCTATAGTCAGTAGTCACTGCAATTCACAAGGTCCTGAGAAGTGGAGAGTGAAAATTAAATATTCAAGCAGTAGGTAGATTTTTATTTTTCTGTAACTAATTCAACTATAAATGTTATTTCTCTTTTCTTAAGATGTTAAATTGTTGTATTGAAAGAAAGAAGGCACGTGATGAGGGGAAAAAGACAAGTGCTTCAGATGTCACTAATATATATCCAGGGGATGCTGGAAAAGCAGGAGACCAGTTGGTGCCAGATAATCTAAAAGAAACAGATAAGGAAAAGGGAGAGGTAGGAAAATCTTGGGATTCCTGGAGTGACAGCGAAGAAGAATTTTTTGAATGCCTAAGTGATACTGAAGAACTTAAAGGAAATGGACAAGAGAGTGGCAAGAAAGGAGGACCTAAGGAGATGGCAAATTTAAGGCCGGAAGGACGGCTCTATCAGCATGGGAAACTTACACTGCTGCATAATGGAGAACCTCTCTACATTCCAGTAACCCAGGTAGGATGCACTAGTTCTTTCCATTTTAATTTATTTTGTGGTTTATATAACTTCATCCTAGTAGAAGATAGTGCTTTGAGTAAGGAAAATTATCCAAAAAGTCTATGTTTAGGCCAGATGCGGTGGCTTACGCCTGTAATCCCAGCACTTTGGGAGGCTGAGGTGGGCAGATCACCTGAGGTCAGGAGTTCAAGATAAGTCTGGCCAACATGGTGAAACCCTGTCTCTACTAAAAGTACAAAAATTAGCTGGGCACAGTGGCGCACACCTGTAGTTCCAGCTACTGGGGAGGCTGAGGCAGGAGAATCATTTGAACCCAGCAGTGGGAGGTTGCAGTGAGCCGAGATTGCACCACTGCACTCCAGCCTGGGCAACAGAGCAAGACTCTTGTCTCAAAAGAAAAAAAAAGTGTTTATGTTTAAAGATAAAGATATAGACTGTTTAAAGAAACTAAAGGTAAGGATTTCCCAATGACATAGATAAATGTGGTCTTGATTTAATCAAGGACCTTTAAAAGATTGGACAAAGTCTATGTTTAAAGATTAAAGAAATCTAAATAAACTTTTGGGGCTTTTAGGTTTGCCATTTCTGTAATTGAGAAATGTTTTGAAGTTTAAGTAGATCACGTCATCATATATAAGGTGATTTATAAACTGAGCAGTGAATGCTCAGATGTTTAAAAAAGAAAATCCAACTGCACTTATGTATGTTTTTGTTTAACTTGTGGACAAAGACTTATGGATAGGTGCAAAAAATAAATCCTCTTTTGCAACCCAGAACTCATTGTTCAGTATGAGTTTTGATACATATAAGAAGGGATATTATGATACCTGAGACAGTTAACTGATGGGAATATTGATAGCCATAAAGGTTGGTCCCAGACCAGGCACAATGGCTCAAGCCTGCAAGCCCCACACCAAGGTGGGAGTATTGCTTGAAGCCAGGAGTTCAAGACCAGCCTGTATAAGAAAGTAACAAACACCTCATCTCCACAAAAATTTAAAAATTAGCTGAGTATTGGGGCATGTGTCTGTAGTTGCAGCTACTCAGGAAGAGGAGGCTGAGGCAAGAGTATTGAGCCCAGGAGTTGGAGGCTGCACTGAGCTTTGATGACACCACTGTACTCCAGCCTGGGTAACAAAGACAGACCCTGTCTCTTAATTAAAAAAGATTGATTCTAGGACTGTGGAAGAGATAGTTAAACAGCATGGGATATGAAGGAAATCCTCAGCAGTATTAATTTTGCATTCCAATTTCATGTTGACTTGATACCTACGATGGCTTTTTGTTTTAAAGGCTTTTATCTTGAGAACATGATGTCTGTAGTTAAAGGTATTGGCGTATTCCACACATCTGTACTATTCTTGAGTATGATCGCTTAGGGTGTCAAATTGAGAACCAGGCAGATCCACCACCTACAGTAAAAAGGACCCTAAAGTAAATTGGTTGAAGAAGTTAGATCCCAAAGATTCTTGGTGAATTTTGAAGTCTTCATCAGTATATCCATATTAAAAGGAGATGACAGAAGCCAAAATAAAAGAATTATGGGCTAACAGGACAGCTGGATTAAAATAAGCATCAGTTTCATTAAAAAGGGCTAACTTGAAGATAAATCTTTTGACTCCAGCTCTTTAGAGGATCTGAAGTGACCTTGATGGACAGTGGAAGAAATCACAACATGGAATTACTTGAACAAAAATTTATTGACTTAAAGAAAAAGAAAAAATCCAAAAATATATAGAGAGAACAAAAGTAAATATCCTTCAATTATATGATTAGCTTTTATCTGTTCAAAAATAGTTTGAAGTCATATACACCATTAGGATGTAGAACAGCAATAACTCAACAACAACAGCAGCAATAGTTGTTTTTAAGGGTTTTGTTTTGTTTTTTTTTTGTTGTTTTTTTTTTGACACAGAGTCTCTCTTTGTCACCCAGGTGGGAGTGCAGTGGCATGACTGTAGCTTACTGCAGCCTTGACCTCCTGGGATCAAGTGATCCTCCCACCGCAGCTTCTCAAGTAGCTGGAACTACAGGTGCATGCCACCATGCCTGGCTAATTTTTCGTGGTTTTTATAGAGGTGGGGTTTTGCCCTGTTGTCCAGGCTTGTCTTAAATTCCTGAACTCAAGCCATCTGCCTGCCTCAGCCTCCCAAAGTGCTAGGATTACAGACATGATCCACTGCACCCGGCCTGAAAACATTCTATTGTGAAAATTGTAATCTAGTAAAAATGAAAGAGGCTCAACGCCTGTAATCCCAACACTTTGGGAGGCCGAGGTGGGGTTGGATTGCTTGAGCCCAGGAATTCAAGACCAGCCTGGGCAACATGGTAAACCCTATTTCTACCAAAAAAAAAAAAAAAAAAATTAGCCGACTGGGGTAGCGTACACCTGTAGTCCCAGCTACTCGGGAGGCTGAGGTAGAAGAATCAATTGAGCCCGGGAGGTTAAGGCTGCAGTGAGCTATGATTGTGTCACTGTTCTCCAGCCTGGGCAACAGAGCAAGACCCTGTCTCAAAAAAATAAAAAGTGAAAGCCACCATCCACTAATTTTGACTTGCATTCCTTGAAGTAACTAACAAGTATTATTGGTTTGGGTTATATTTCTTATAACTGTTTCTCTGCATTGATGTATAATACATATATGTGTGTACATATTAATACATGGTTTTATGGATTTTTTTTTTTTTTTGGAGACAGGATCTCATTCTGTTGCATAGGCTGGAATGCAGTGGCATGATCATGGCTCACTGCAGCCTTGACTTGCTGGGCTCAAGTGATCCTCTGACCTTAGCCTCCTAGGTAGCTGGGACTACAAGTGCTCACCACCATGCCAGGCTGATTTTTTCACTTTTAAAATTTTTGTAAAGATGGAGTCTTGCTATGTTGCCCAAGCTGGTCCTAAACTCCTGACCTCAAGCAATCCTCTGTTTCGGCCTCCCAAAGTGCTGGGATTATAGGCATGAGCCACTGTGCCCAGCCTCAATTTCTTATAAACAATTGGTATTACCAACCATATAAATTTTTGTTAACATGATGGTCAAAAGTAGTATCTCAGTGTTTTAGATTGTATTTTTCTGAATTTTCATGAACCTGAGCATCTTTTAATATGTTCGTTAGCCGTCCTTTCCTGTGAATCGCCTATGATTTTTCTTTTAGGTTGCTCCCCTGTTCTTATTGATTCATATGAATTCTTCATATTTTAGATGTGAATCTACAGTTATATATATTGTATATGTTTTCTGCTAGTCATTTTAAAAACATATGTTCATGTATTTACTTAATTATTGAGTTATAACTTAATACAATAAAGTGTACAGATCTTGGCTGGGCATGGTAGCTCATGCCTGTAATCCCAGCACTTTGGGAGGCCAAGGTGGGCAGATTGCTTAAGCTCAAAAGTTCAAGACCAGCCTGAGGAACATGACAAAACCCCGTCTCTACAAAAAATACAGAAATTAGCCGAGCGTGGTGGTGTATGGCTGTAGACCCAGCTACTTGGGAGGCTCAGGTGGGAGGATGGCTTGGGTCCGGGAGGCAGAGGTTGCAGTGAACTATGATTGCACCATTGCACTCCAGCCTGGGCAACAGAGCAAGACCCTGTCTCAAAAATTAAAAAAAAAAAAAATAAAAAGTGCACAAATCTTTAGTATACTGCTTGGTGAATTTTTTCATATTGATACATGCATATAACTACTTCCCAGATCAAGATACAGAAAATTCC
Source organism: Homo sapiens (assembly GCF_000001405.40). NCBI lineage: Eukaryota > Metazoa > Chordata > Mammalia > Primates > Hominidae > Homo > Homo sapiens. Next base: position 135,139,658 of record NC_000002.12, read on the forward strand.
CATCATCCTAGAACAGTGCTGATAAATAAAACTTTCTGTGAAGATGGAAATTCTCTACATTCTCTGTCTTTCCCATTCAATACAATAGCCATTATCCAAATGTAACTACTGAGTGCTTGAAATGTGGCTAATGTTTCTAAGGAATTAAATTTTTAATTTTAATTTATTTAAATTAAATAGCCAGATGTATTGGATAGTGAAGCCCAGGATTCCCCTCCAGCAACTCTTTCTCTTAACTTTTGTCACCATAGGTTAGCTTTGTCAGTTTTTGAACCTTTTAAATGGCATGCTTTGCTTACTCTTTTGTATATAAATGTAATCATACATTGTGTACTCTTTCGTTGTATAATCATACATTATATACCATTGAGCTTTTTTATTTACCGATTTTGAGAGTCATCCTTGTTGTTGCAGGCTTCAGTGTTTGTGCATGTGTTATTAGTATTCTATTCTATGAATTTGTCACAATTTGTTTATCCATTCACCCGTTGATGGGTATTTGGGTTGTTTTCACTTTGGGCTAATATGAATAAAGCTGCTGTGAACATTCTTGTTTCTTTTGGTAGACAAAGGCACTCATTTTCTTTTGGATATATTCCTAAGAGTAGAGTTATTGGGCTATATGGTGCAAATATGTTTTGGCTTTAGTAGATCTATCTAAATAGTCTGTCTAAGTGGTTGAACTAGTTAACCTTCTCACCAACAATTTATAGTAGTATAGTTATTCTACAGAATCCTCCCCATTTGATGTGTTCTCAAGACCACTCCCAGGTTTAGTGATTTTCTAGGAAGACTCATAAGACTTAGCCCATAATCATGCTCGTGGCTATAATTTATTACAAGAAGATCAGCAAAGAGAAAAGGCACATGGGATGAAGTTTGAAAGAGATGAGGTTTAAGCTTCCAAAAAGCTTCCCCTACTGTAGTTACACAGAGTGCACTTAATTCCTGTTGCAACAAATTGTGACCACATGTGTGAAATGTTGTCTTCCCTGGGAAGCTTGTTAGAGGCACAGCAGTGGGAGTTATCAGTAGGGGCTGGTCAAGTAGGCATCCTTTGCTTAGGCATAGGGTTAACCATACCAAAATCTAGACTCCCATAAAGAAAGTAGGTGTTTAGCATAAACCATATTATTTGCACAAAGTGTTTAGGCATAGTGAGTCATTTTTATCAGTTCTGGGAATGGTGGGAACCTTCTCAAAATCCAGGTTCTCAGCTGCCAGCCAAGGGCCAACTTTCAAGCAGGCCTTTCTAAGAATGGCAGTCTCAGACCTGCAATATTAACTCTTTTCTGCACACTTGATATTTTTGGTCATTTTAATTTTTGCCTTTCTGAAGGGTAGGAGGTAGGATCTTGTGGTTTTACATTTTCCTGAAGCATATATATATTTATTGCCCATTTGTCTATCTTCTTGGTGAAAAGCCTGTTCAAGGCCTTTGCCTATTTTTTTCTTAAAGCAGTTGTCTTTTTTTTTCTTATTACTTTATAGGAATTCTTCATATATTCTGGATATGAGTCCTTAGATACTTGTATTGCAAATATTTTGTTGCTTATCTATTCACTTACTTCTTTTTTTTTTTTTTTTGAGACAGTCTCACTCTGTCATCCAGGCTGGAGTGCAGTGGTGTGGTCTCGGCTCACTGCAGCCTGAGTCTTCCGGGTTCAAGCGATTCTCCTGCCTCAGCCTCCCGAGTAGCTGGGACTACAGGAGTGTGCCACCATACCTGGCTAATTTTTTGTATTTTTAGTAGAGATGGGGTTTCACTATGTTGGCCAGGCTGGTCTCGAACTCCTGACCTCGTGATCTGCCTGTCTGGGCCTCCCAAAGTGCTGGGATTATAGGTGTGAGCCACCGCGCCTGGCCTGTTCACTTTCTTAATGATGCCTTGGGTTGAAGAGGTGTTCTTAATTTTAATACAGTCTCATCTATCCTTGTTTTTCTTATGTGGTTAGTGCTTTTTGTGTTCTGCTTAAGAACTCTTTACCAAGTACTGAAGATATTTTCTTTTCTTTTGGAAGCTTTATTGTTTTACCTATATCATTTGTTTGTGACCCACCTCAAATTAATTGTTTGGTAAGAGGAACAGGTTAAGATTCTCTTTTCTCTATAGGGAGATTGAATTGTTCCACCACCACTGTTGAAAAGATCTGCCTTTTCCCATTGAGTGGCAGTGATATCTTTGATGTAAATCAAGCAACTGTATGTGTTTTGGTCTATTTCTGGACTATTTATTCTGTTCCGTTGGTCTCTGTCGTGTGCCAGTAATGTACTGTCATCATTATTGTAGCTTTATAATAAGTCTATCTGGTAGTGTAAATCTTCTAACTTTGTTACTCTTCAACATTATCTTAGCTATTCTAGGTCCTTTGCATTGTTATATCAATTTGAGAATCAGCTTGTTAATTTTTATAAACAAACACATATTCAAAATCTTGCTGGGATTTTAATTCAGATTGCATTGAATTTGTAGATCAATTTATGGAGAATTGACATCTTAATATTGAGTCCATTAAATATCTTCAATTTTATTTAAAGTTTCTGTTCATTTATCTCATTAGTGTTTTAGTTTTCAATGTAGAGGTCTTACATATCTTTCATTAGATATATTTCCAAGGTATTTGTAATTTCTTAAATGGTTTTATAAATGGTATTTTAAAAGTTCATTTTCCAATTTTTTTCCCTTGATAGATATAAACAGTTGATTTTTATATATTGACCTTGGATATAACAATCTTGCTACATTGACTTATTAGTAGTTTAGAGATTATTTGGAGTTTTCTACATACACAATCATGTCGTCTTTTAGTAAAGATGATTTGAATTCTGATTTTGCAATCTTTATGCTTTTGAATTACTTTTCTTATCTTATTGCAGTGGCTAGGACCTCCAGTACAGTGTTGAATACTGGACATTATTCTCTTGTTCCCAACCTCAGAAAGAAAGCATATGATAGTCATTGAAGGCACCTGATGTAGATATCACTTATCATATTAAGGAAGTTCCATTCCTAGTTTGCTTAGAGTTTTGTTTTTTGTTTTTTTTTTAATCATGAACAGGTATTGCATTTTATCAAATGTTTTCCTGTATATTAAGGTAATCCTATTTTATTCTCCCTTATTCCATTAATGTGGTTAATTGCATTGATTGATTTTTGAGTATTAAAACATCCTTACATTCCTGGTATATATCCCACTTGGGCTTTCCCTTTTTATACAGCTGGAGTTTATTTTTTTTTTTTTTAGGATTTTTATATTCATATGTCAGAGGTATTGACCTTTATTATGTTGTCCTTGTCAGGGAAGTGTCCCCTCTTTTTCTCTTCTCTGGACAAATTTGTATAAATAAGATTTTACTTCTTCTTCAAATGTTGAACATATTCACCAGTGAAACCACTCAGAATCTGAAGTTTTGTTTGTAGAAATATTTTCAAATATAGACTTACTTTTAAATTAGATTTCTTTAATAGATAAAAAACTATTCTTATTTTTTATTTCTTGTATCAACTTTGGCAAATAGTGTTTTTCAAGTAATTTTTTATTTTTCTAAATTTTATATTTACTGGCATAAATTATTTCATAGTATTCTTTTATAATCTTTTTAGTGATTATAGAATCTATAATGATATTGCAGTTTTAATTTTTAAAATTGGCATTTGGTATATTATCTCTTTTGTTCCTGATCTATAAGAGGGTTTTATTAATTTTATGAATCTTTCCCCTGAAAAAACAACTTTGGGTTTTGTTGATTTTTCTCTGTTGATTTTGTTTTCTATTTCATTGATTTCTTCTATTATTTCTTTGCTTCTACTTTCCTTAGAACTAATCTGCTATTTTTCTAACTTGTTTTATTAGCAGCATAGGTAATTGATATTCAACCTTTCTTCTGTAACATGCTACTTTTTTTTTTTTTTTTTTTGAGACGGAGTCTTGCTCTGTCCCCCAGGCTGGAGTGCAGTGGTGCGATCTCGGCTCACTGCAAGCTCCGCTTCCCAGGTTCATGCCATTGTCCTGCCTCAGCCTCCTGAGTAGCTGGGACTACAGGTGCCCACCACCACGCCTGGCTAATTTTTTGTATTTTTAGTAGAGACGGGGTTTCACCATGTTAGCCAGGATGGTCTCGATCTCCTGACCCGCCCGCCTCGGCCTCCCAAAGTGCTGGGATTACAGGCGTGAGCCACTGTGTCCGGCCCTAACATGTTACATTTTAAGCAGTCTCCTTAATTTGGGACTCAGATGTCATAATTCCTGAATATGTTCTCTTAACTCTTGCCTCTTCACTGTTTGTTCATACATTTTATCTTTTTGCATAGTGACACAGGAATTTTCTTGGCCACTTTGCCCGCTGGGGCCCTCTGTGGCTGGCAATGCTTCTGCCCAGGCCTCACTCAGCCCTGGGCCTGCCGCAGGAGGTGCTCTGTCCGCCAGGCTTGTGCACCAGCTTAGCTCTCAGCTGGGCTGAGCATGCCCTAACTCAAGCGTGCCCTAACCCACTTGTGTTACAGCTTGTACCCACATTCAGTGGGTCCCGAGTTCTTGTCCCACATCCAAGAAGAATGAATTTACGTTGACAATCAAAGGGTAAGGAAGGTGGAGAAGAATTTTATTGAGTGACAGAAACAGCTCTCAGCCAAAAGGGGCTGCGAGGGTGGTCTCCCACCTGAAGTCGGGTGGTTTCTCTCTAAGTATGGCTGGGTCCAGAGCTTTTATGGGCTCAGAATGGGGAGTGCTTGCTGATTGGTTTGCGAGTACGCAAAATGGGCTAAAACAAAGGCACCACTCAAAGGGGGGCATGACAATGTATAAAACCAAGTAGGGAAGGATAGGTGTATGTAAATAGGTGAAGGGTGAGGATTACTCAGAGGAAAGCATGCCAAGTAGGAAGAGAGTTTCTCAATCCAGTCTGTGGATTTACCCAGAACTTGTACCATGGCTTTCAGGCTTTCAACTATCTTTGTTTGAAGGTCAGATTTCACTGAGGACCTGCCTCTTACCTGCCTAGGCATTTGACTTTTTGCTGCCACTGTCAGTAGCATTATGGGAGAATCTTTTGACAACTTTTGTTTATTCCATTTGCCATTTGTGTTTTGTGTTTCCTTGTTTTGGGGGATTTATCACACTTTCATTTCCAAGTCCTAAAAATGATTCTTTTCTTGTAAAGAAAATGGTTCTTGTGTTGTAAATGCGGTATTCTCTCTTGCCTCTGAACTTTCCAGTTTCCTCTTACAGAGTCTTAATTTGCCATTGCACACAAGATGGTTGTACTGACAAATTACTGTTGATGAAATAAAGTTATTATCCTGAACTTTCTTTTAGAAAATGTGCTATTGTAGAGTAACAGTGGTTTATTTGCCATTTGCTAAGTCAATACTAACAGAGTTTTGCTTAATATTTTTGGTATTTATTCTTTAAAATTTGCTTATTGGTACATAATATTTGTACATTTTTATGGGGTACATATGCTATTTTGTTACATGCATAGAAAGCGTAATGATCAAGTCAGGGTGTTTGGAGTATCAATCGCCTTGATAGGTGATTGATAAATCTGTCACTTATTTATCATTTTTATGAGTTAGGAACATTTCAAATTTTTTCTCCTAAGTTATTTTGCAACACACAATACATTGTTGTTAACCATAGTTACCCTACTTTACTATTGAACATTAGAACTTATTCCTTCTATCTGTTTGTATCCATTAGCTAACCTCTCTTCATACCACCCCTCACCAACACACACACACATACACACACACACACACACACACACTTCTTAACCTCTAGTAATTATTCTAATTTTATGTAGTTTTTATTTCGTTTGCTTTAAGCCTACCAAACCTATAAGGAGTCACAGCATGATAGTTAGGAATACTGTCAGTGGAGTTAGATTGCCTGAGTTCAAATTCCATTTCTACCATTTAGCATATGTATGGATTGGGGTCATTATTTAATCTTTCTTTGCCTTAGTTTTTTCAACTATAAGTTCATAGTACTTCTTAACATCATTTAAATGAAATAGTACCTGATGAGTGATTAACATAATGTCTAATTCAAAATAAACACTTAAATTTTAGCTATTATTCTTCTGGAACATTTTCTTATATAAGTGGCTATTATTGCCCGTCAAGATGCAAGGATTACTTAGTTTTTGCAACTAGTCTTTATATTCTGAAATGGGTTGATGAATTATAATATTTGTACAAGGAGTTGTGTGCTTTCTGTTCTAGCCCTCAACTTGGATTTTGTGTGGTATGTGATAATATGCTTTAATAGTCATGAATTTTAATAAAGTACCAGGTATAGTGAAATAAATAATAATTTGAAACATGGATTCTGTTAACTTTATTATCCATGCCTATATTCTTTATTTACCAGGCATAATTTACTAGCTTTGGTTTTTGTTTTGTTTTTGATAGCCCATATGCTATTTGCTTTATTATACCTTTTTAAAAGTAAGTCAGAGTTTAGGTTTCTCATGATTAAATTTTAGTATTAGAACAGAATCTTTTAATGCTAGAAACCAAGTGTATAAGTGCATATTTGTTCTTTTTTTTTTTTTTTTTTTTTTTGAGACAAGGTCTTGCTCTGTCACCCAGGGCTGGAGTGCAGTGGTGCGATCATGATCTTGTCTCACTGCAACTTCTGCCTGCTGAGTTCAAGTGATTCTTGTGCCTCAGCCTCCTGAGTAGCTGGGATTACAGGTGCCCGCCACTAAGCCTGACTAATTTTTGTATTTTTAATAGAAATGGGATTTCACCATTTTGGTCAGGCTGGTCTTGAACTCCTGACCTCAAGTGATCTGCTCGCCTAGGCCTCCCAAACTGCTGGGATTACAGGCTTGAGCCACCGCCCCTGACTCCAAATGAATATTTGTTCTAATCTTGCTATGGCGAATGCAGTTGGTATTGAGGTCTTGTATAGACCTGGGTTTTAGGATGTAGCAGAACTGGATTAATATCCTGCATCACCATTTATTAACAGCATTGCTAATACAAGCTATGTTTCCTTTCTGAGCCTTGTTTTTCTCATCTTAAAAAACAGTAATAGATTAATTTGCGCATTCTAGAATTTTATGCAAATGGAATAACATTTTTTGTGTGCATTCTTTCAGCATAATTATCTTGAGATTCACACGTATTGTATGTATCAATAGTTCATGCACATTTTTAGGTTTAGTCGTATTCCCTTGCATGGATATACAAGTTTGTTTATCCATTCACTCTTGATAAACATTCCAAAAATAATGGGCATAAGGAAATTTCTGAGGTGATGAATACATTCAGTATGTTGATTATGTGATTATTTCAAGGGGGTATAAACACACACACACACACACACACACACACGAAAATTTATCAAATGTGCCTTTAAATTATTGTATGTTGATTCTACTTCTAAAAAGTTGTTTAGGGCTGGGTGAGGTCGCTCACGCCTGTAATCCTAGCACTCTGAGAGGCCGAGGCAGGTGGATCACCTGAGGTCAGGAGTCCAAGACGAGCCTGGCCACCATGACGAAACCCTGTCTGTACTAAAAATACAAAAATTAGCTGGGCATGGTGGTGCATGTCTGTAGCCCCAGCAACTGGGGAGGCTGAGGCATGAGAATTGCTTGAACCCAGGAGGTGAAGGTTACAGTGAGCTGAGATCGCACCGCTGCACTTCAGCCTGGATGACAGAGTGAGACTCTGTCTCAAAAAAAAAAAAAAAATCTTTTAACAAAGGAAAAATGAAAGTTTCTATCTTGTTCTAACACTTCTGCAGTTTTAAAACCCTATTTCCTTATCTGTTTAATAAATAAATAAATACTGAATTCTTAAAAAGCAATAATAGTTTGTATTACTCTAGTTTGTTCAGGATTAAGTCACATATCATATTCGAAAACACTTGGCATGTAAGTGTTCAGCAAAAGTTAATTTTTTTGTATCCTTTCTCCTTCCAGATTTTAATTAATAGTAGTCCCCTCCCCCCCCCTTTTTTTTTTGACTCGGGGTCTCACTCTGTTGCCCAGGCTGAAGTGCACTCAATCATAGCTCACTGCAGCCTCAATCTCCCAGGCTCAAGCGGTCCTCCCACCTCAGCTTCCTGAGTAGCTAGAATTATTGGCGCCCACGACCATGCCCAGCTACTTATTTAATTTTTTGTAGAGACAGGGTCTTGCTTTGTTGCCCATATTGGAGTCCCTATTTTTAATAAGCTAATTGTACATTTGTTTTCTTGGTTTGACTGGGTTAATAAACAGTCTGAAAAAGTTATTTTGGAAGCTCAGGCTTCTTCTTTCCTGAAATAAAAATAATACTTTTTAAATTTAGTGCTTTATTTTTCTTCAAAAGGCTGTGCTCCCTCTCATTTCAGATGCTTGAATTTTCACATTTGAATTTATAGTCTAAATCTGGACTGACTTACTCTTCTTTCAGTGTGCATCTTATGTATTTAGAAATTAATTTTTATATTTTGCCTTTAGGTAAATCTAGGCAAAATTTTAGTCCATTTTACTTTCTTATTTTAAGGTTAATTTTATTTGAATTATGATCATTATAAGTGTACTTATATGAAATGGTTGGAATTCAAAATGATCCCAGTTGAAACCAATGTAATTTCAAGCTTTAGAAGTTAGCTCAAAATGTGCCATTAATCAGTTGCCTCTTCACTGAAAAATAATGACTTTATATAGTTGCTTCATAAGAATTCGAACATACTTCTGTGTTCCATTTATGTAGACTTAGGTCACAACATAAAATACATGGCTAGAAAAAGTTTGAAGACTTTACCCCAATATACTAGAGCCAGGGCTAGAAGAAAATGTCCTTACCCAGTGGATTGGAACCAAGCTAGTAATTCTTTTTTTTTTTTTTTTTTTTTGGTGACGGGATTCTCACTGTTACCGAGGCCTGAGTGCAGTGGCGTGATCTTGGCTTACTGCAACCTCTGCCTTCTGGGTTCAAGCGATTCTCCTGCCTCAGCCTCCTGAGTAGCTGAGATTACAGGTGTACACCATGCTTGGCTAATTTTTGTATCTTTTTTTTTTTTTTTTTTTTTTAAGTAGAGATGGGGTTTCGCCATGTTGGCCAGGCTGGGCTCGAACTCCTGACCTCAAATGATCCGTCCACCTCGGCCTCCCAAAGTGCTGGGATTACAGGCTTGAGCCATCACGCCCAGCCTCAAGCTAGTAATTCTTAAAGTCAGCATTAAACTGATGTCCTAGATTCTCTTTTCTGTTTGCTGCTTGGTAGTTTTGCCACTTGGTGATCCTGGGCAAGGCGCTTTATCTCTGCACCTCATTTTCATCACTTGCAAAATTCCCTTACCCCTCTCAGTGATCCCATGGGTCCATGAATATAAGAATGCTTTGGGCATATTCAGAAACAGTATATGTGAAAATGTATGGCCCACATGCAACTTGCTGCTTATTCTCCTCTTTATCATGTTCTTCTCCATTTATAAGTGGCTCAAATTTCCAAGTGGGAGAGATAGTCAGTGTCCTCTCAGTATCTATTTCCTTCCTTCCCATCCTGTGATTTCAGGGCTGTAGGCCAATGAAATGTAGCCCCTTCTTAATAGAAAGAATGAAGGCCTCTGCTCTTGAGTATACTCCTTCATGAGAGATTGAATATAATTTGTGAACTTGACTGAAATATTTTGAGAAGTATACTGACCCTTAGTCAAAGAGAAAGTATGAAGCCTATAATATAACCTAAGTATTTTATCTTTAATTGCTAGTATCTATCGAGCATGTGCCAGGATCTGTTCTTCACAACAGTGAGTCACAATGAGGGTTGAGTGATTGCCCAAGGTCACAAAGCTGGGATTCAAGCACATAGCATATAGTTTCTGGAGCCCAAGCTCTTAACCATTATACAATACTACATTACAGGTTGTTATTCAACCCTAAATCTCAGTGTGAGATTCTTGCTTGGTACTTGCAGGATAATTAAAAGTGATGCATGTTCATTGTAGAGAAAAAATAAAAACTCATAGTTTTATAACCAGAGATGATCATTGTTAGAGCAATTTTTTTTTGGAGACAGAGTCTCGCTCTGTTGCCCAGGCTGGAGTGCAGTGGCTCGATCTCGGCTTGCAGCAAGCTCCACCTCCTGGGTTCACGCCATTCTCTTGCCTCAGCCTCCTGAGTAGCTGGGACTACAGGTGCCCACCACCATGCCTGGCTAATTTTGTTTTTGTATTTTTAGTAGAGACAGGGTTTCACCGTGTTAGCCAGGATGGTCTCGATCTCCTGACCTCATGATCCACCCGCCTTGGCTTCCCAAAGTGCTGGGATTACAGGCATGAGCCACCGTGCCTGGCCCTGTTAGAGCAATTATTTCTATATCAAACCATTTCTATTACTTATAATTAAAATTTTGTTGCAGCTAGTGATGACATATATAATAATATCATTAGGACTTCATTTCTTTATCACTAATAGGCAGGAAAATGTTGCTCAGTGGACCCAAATTCCTCTGTCTTTTACTATCAATCCTTGTCAAGGGAAACATGGTAATCTTATCTGTGAGGGGGAGGAGGCCTGAAAGTGGTATTTATTTTTCTTAATTCTTTTTTATGTAAGTTCTAAAAAACTTATGCATTTCTCTGAATTTTTAAAAATACTCATCTTGTGACTGCTATAGCTGAAATGACTGTTGTCTTTATTCTATTTTTATGGTACTTCTTTTTCTAAAAAGGGCTGTTTATGAGCCTTGTCCTTTTGTGCTTCACAGGAACCAGCACCTATGACAGAAGATCTGCTAGAAGAGCAGTCTGAAGTTTTAGCTAAATTAGGTACATCGGCAGAGGGGGCTCACCTTCGAGCACGCATGCAGAGTGCCTGTCTGCTCTCAGATATGGAGTCTTTTAAGGTGGGTCACACTTGCAGAGCTCTGGGGTCTATTTTGAGCTATTCTGGGATGAAACTGTGAAAATCACTCTGTAAAGTGGTATAAAGGCCTGAATGTCTTTTTGTTAAGTGTTTGGATTTCATTAGTAGTTCAACACTCTGCCACCATCCCCCCAGAGGACATAGTCAAACTTGTTTCTTAAGTTTTAAAAAAGCAAAGATCTAGTATTATTAATAGTTGAAAGTTGAGAATAGAATCATTTCTATATGTGAATTGGAGTGGTTTCTTTGTTTGTGTTCAGCCAATTTAATGGAAGACTTTTAGGAAACTTAGGATTTAACATGGGTCACTTCACTCAATGAACTTTTGAGTGCCTATTGTGTACCTTGCACTGTGACTAGATGAGTTAAGAAATACAGTGTTTACCCTCAGTTACAGTTGATTGAGGTTGTGGGAGGAGATATGTAAGGAACTGTCATGAGTTCTCTTATGGAGGCAGGGTCAAAAAGACTGACTCTGCTGAGTAGGTCATGAAAGGTTTCTCAGAAGAGTCACTATTTCAGATGAGTAGGCATTTGCTATCTGAAGAATATTTTAGGGTTAGATACAGGTCTGTATTTCGAACATACAGGATTCAGGGAATGGTGACATTTGGCTTATTAGCTTAAAAACTAGGAATGAAGAAAGGACTTTTATTTTTGAAAGCAAAGGCAAGTCCACGTATATGTTAAAACCCCAAGTGGGTAGCCCCATGGGCTACAGGGCTTCCTTTCCTACTGCTGATACTCTGAACTATCCCCAGGCGCAGACTTCCCTCTTTATTTAACCTGTGGTGGCCTCCACCTTGCCAATCCATATCCCCTACTCAGTCCTGCTTCTGTACTGTTTAGGCCAGTGTGAGTTTGATTTTTCTCTGAAACACCTGTGTATTATTTTTAAACATAAACACTCCACAAACACCTATGCCACTTTCATCCTTTTTTGCTAGCAGATTTAAGTGACAATAAAAGGGAGCCTTTTGTTTCCTGCTTATTTTACCCATCTTTTCTAAATGAAAAACATCTTTAGTGAACCTCTTAAGAGCTATATGTTTTCCTTGGAGACTAAAATGATACAGAAAATCTGCAAGTTCTATACTGCCATGTGACAAGAAACAGAGGAGTTGCTTTAAAACAAATAGTTGGTACAGTGGATAAAGAGAAGCCAGTTGGCTCTTGGGGCACATGTCAAACCAAAAGGTAGAGAAGGGAATTGGCTTAAGGTGTGTGTGCACAGCAGGAAATACCAGCCTCCGCAGCAGTAATTTTCCATCTGACCTCTAGCTGCCTTCAGAGTCATCTTTCCCTGTCCTGCTGCAGTGTCTTTGCAGAGGCATGCACGGGAGGACATTCCAAATAGGAACTACGGAAGTTTTTCCCCATGGAAACATACTACTCCTTCTTGGTAAAGTTCTATATAGTTCCTCTAACACTGCACTTCAGCAAAACTGTGATTCATTAGACTATTTTGGGCTAACCTGGGTACCTGCAAATCTTACATGACATTGTTTTAACCAGAAAATAGACAGTAATTTAAATAGTCAACTTACATATACACCCATATGTAGAAATCAGATAATACATTTAAGGAAATATGTAGTTATTCTAAAATAGATATGGTTGCCTTTACTTTTTGTATAGGGATGAGTTAGGGGCTCTTGAGAGTCCCCAGAGCATTGGAAGCATACTAATATGTGCCTGGGCACCTACACCTACACCTCAGAGTTCCAGAAGGAGAGGGTGGATTCTGGAGCATGCCCTTGTGGTACATACCTTTAACAGTAAAGAGAAGATAAGCTCAAGTGAACCTTGGCCTTCTCTTGGTAGCTATGTTCAGCCTAGTATAGTAAGGACAACCAGAAAGAAGAATTTTGGTATGAAATGCCTTTCTTCAATATAATCTATAGTGTATGAGTGAATATTATTTTCTTTTGAAGTTTATGCTCTTTACTCTGGGCCTCTGGTTTCCTAGGATGTTTTCATGTGGGTATGATGTTAACTGATTAAGATCTAGATCTTTGTACATGAATCCTGAGTCACCCAGTATCATGAAATAATCTTGACCCACTGCTTTTGCCATGGACCGTATCATAACCCTTTTACATTTGTGTTGTTGACAGTCAGTGAAGGATCTTCTAGGGGATATGCCCTTAGGGGTATATCCTAAGATGGTAGGGATGGTCATGCTGGTAGCCCTTGAGCTCAGTGAGGAGAAACTGGTAGTTTTACTCTTCACATTTAAGACAGAACATTCTCATCATGGTAGTTTTCATGCCCATCCTTAGGACTCTACTAGTACATCACTGGAACACTTGTAGAAAGACCTCTGTGCCTTACCACAAACACTGGGAAGCCTCGTCTTTTTTTCCAAGCTTGAAGTTAGAATCACTGAAAGGTTTTTGGCATACATCATCATTAATTCTATAGAACTATCCACTGAGTAAAACTTTAATCAGTTTGGTTCCAGAAGCCTGAAAAACAGTAGTTTGAATTCCAACTCGTTAACAGCACAAAACCAATTAATTTGATGGTAATTTGTTATATAAAGTACAAGAATTTGATGGCAGAATAGAACAGTTTTGAGGTTAGCTGACATTTATTGCAGAACCAGTATTGATTTATTGAGGAAAAGAAGAACAGAACTTTTCCATCACTGTGTTATTCTGATCATGTGGTGTATTATTTAATTTTTACTTTTCTTAGTATTGAGTAGTTATTATACTGTAATATGAAACTAAGCTGTGTAACACATAATGTGTTTAAGGAAATGATTTTCTCTTTACATCGAGTTTTTATATCCAAATTCATTGAATGAAAGTGTTTTCATTACTAAGTTATATAACACATAATGTGTTTAAGAAATGATTTTCTCTTTACATCGAGTTTTTATATCCAAATTCATTAAATGAAAATGTTTTCTTTTTCTATAAAGCTGAGAAAATAAAAATAAAATGCTTTTGATACTTTAACATCTGACCTATTTTAAAGGTGACATCCAAATTCATTTTACATATTAGATTGTAAAGATTAGATAGGCTTTTTTTGAAAATACAATTTTGCAAACAGGCTTATCAGTAACTGTTGATTTTCATTTGATTCTGCTGAATTTTTTTGTCTTATTTTAGGCAGCTAATCCAGGTTGCTCCCTGGAAGATTTTGTGAGGTGGTATTCACCCCGGGATTATATTGAAGAGGAGGTGATTGATGAAAAGGGCAATGTGGTGCTGAAAGGAGAACTGAGTGCCCGGATGAAGATTCCAAGCAATATGTGGGTAGAAGCCTGGGAAACAGCTAAGCCAATTCCTGCTAGAAGGCAAAGGAGACTCTTTGATGATACACGGGAAGCAGAAAAGGTAATTGAGGTTTGAGTCTCTAATACTAGAATGCAAATTACTGTTCTTATGATTTAGGAACTCACTGTCATAGACGTGAGAGTTTTGGACACACTTGAGGTGCAAAGCATTGAAATTCAATGAGCGTTTTATATATCTACTATTCACATTTAAGATTCTAGAACTAGTTGCAAATAGGGCAAATAATAGGCATGCATAGTTTAAACAGACTGCTTACCATTGAACTGTCTCACAGTATATGTTAAAAGTGTTAAAAATGGGTATGTCCTTTGAGCTAGCAGTTCTATCACCAAAACATTTTTTAAGGAAATAATGAGAAATATACAAAGATCTATGTATATAAATGATGTTCAACAAAGTTCTTAAGTGAAAAAGTAGAAACAACCAAAGTTTCCAACAACAGGGACTTGGTTCAATAAATTATGGTATATCCATTAGTGGCCAGCTTTACAGCAGCTATTAAAAAACATTTGGAGTTATGGAGAATATAGTGGCACCTGCCTGATATTTAATTGCCCTGCACACCTTCCTACCTCCTCCACCCCCCCAAGAAAATCCCGTGAAATCAATAAGTAAATAAATCCATGCATTCAGCATTACTAAGAGATAGAAATTGCAATGACCTTCAAATTAACAGTAAATAGAGAAATAAGCCAAATTCCAGTGGAGCTCCCACTGCTCTCAGTCTTTGCAGATATATTGAGTAGGGGGCAGGAAAAGAAAAAGAGCCAAGAGATACAGAAGACTTAGATGAAACACAAAGTCACCCCAGAAAGAGAGAGCCTAACACTACATGCCAAAACACTGAACACAGGTAGGGTTTGCTAGTTCACAGCACTTGCCACAGGGAAGGGACTTGAATGTAAACAGGGCTAGAAATGGAGCCTTGGAGAAAATCAGATATACAAAGAAGGAGTGGATGGGAATGATGAGAAAAAGGAAATAAGAGGGGAAAATTAAGGATCTTGCGGAAATGAAAGAAAAACAAGACAACCAGCCTCCCTCATCTCCCTCTATCCATTAAAGAAACTTCAGAAGAGGGCACTTTGAAGCTATTTGTGATATTACTAGGAATAGAAGAGAACAGACCACATCCATATAAAACTACTTTACAAAACAGAAAATGCAAATCAGCTCATTTCAGGTAATGAAAATATTTCCCAGAAAATCAGTCACAAAGCAGAAGAAAATTGTAACATAACATTCCAAACTGAATCAGATATCCTCAAACAGTTAAGGAGGATATGAAAAAACCATGTTTAATCAGAAATACTAAAATCAAGAACAGAGATGGACCAAAAAACCCCACAAAGAAATGAAACCACAACTGATTTAGCTCAGGATAGAAGTAAAAGAAAAAAGAAAACCATATAAAAAATGAAGACTAAATTACAAGAGGCCCAAGTTTAAATTTTATAAAGGGCATTGAAGAAAAGTGGGAAAAGAGCCCAGAAAATGAAAATGAGATATAGGAGTAAAAGGAATTGAAGAGAAAGTAGTATAAATGAAAGATAAGAAAAGTCAGAATATGCAATTCATTAGTTTCCTTTAAGGAGAAAAATCAGAATACTAAGACAGAACTAATACAGTCCCTATGGCTTAACAAAGAGGATACGTTTTGAGAAGCTCCTCATTAGGCAATTTTGTTATCATGGGAACATCATAGAGTGTACTCACATAGACCCAGATGGTATAGCCTACCACTCAGGCTAGAAAATTAGTGGAATACAAACTTTCTATTAAACAATATGGGTGAAAGGGGAAAATACAAATTGAAAGTACAGAATTTTTGAAAAACAATGAGGATGAAAACATATGAACCTATAGGCTATACTTAAGAAATTGATGAAAGGAACTTTCATAGCCCTGTATCAGTAAAAACAAAAGGATGAAAATAAATGAATTAAATTCCTAACTAAAAACCCTAGAAAAAAAGTCAAATCAAAAGAAAACAAAAGGAAGCAAATGAAAAGGAGAGAGTGTAGAGAACACAAAACAGATGAAATTAATGAGTTCAATCTAGTTCTTTTAAAATCAACAAAATAGAGAAGCCATTAGCTAATTTAATCAAGAAAAGGGAGAGCACATATATATAATAAAATAATAAATGACAAAAAGGGCACATATTAGTAACTACTGATACAGAGGAAATGTGTTAAAAATACTACTTTGCACATCTCTGTGTATGTAAATTTGAAAATCAAGTTGAATTAGACAATTTCCTAGGGAAATTCCTACCAAAAATATAATGTATATCAAAACTACCCCCAGTAAAAACAGAAAGTATAAACAGACAAATTTTCATAGAGACAATTATCAAGGAACTGCCACATTAAAAAGAACCAGGCCCAGATGGTTTCACAGGGAAATTCAACTAAATATCAAGAAACCATATAGTTCCAATGCTACATAAATTATTTCAACACATAATAATTGGAGGAAATTTTCCAACTTCTCTCTGTGAAGCAACTATAACATTGGTACCTAAACCTGGTAAAGATAGCATATTTTTAAAAATAGCAGACCAGTAATACTTAAGAAATTTAATGCAAAATCGGAAGTAAACAGACTCTAATATCATTTTAAGAAAACAATACATGTTGATCAAATATGAGGATGATTATTTAGAAGTCTGTTTATATAATTTGCTTCCTTAATAGATTTAAGTAGAAAATTGTATCTCTATTTATGCTGAAAAAACTTTTGATAAATTTAACTTAAAACTCTTGGGAAAAGAGTGGAATAGATGGCTACTTCCTTAAAATCAGAAAATATATAGAAACTTTAGTCCTAAACACAGCATCTTAATTTGGGAAGCCTTAGGGGTCACTAAGGTCAGGAACAAAGCAAGGATGCCTGACATCTCCACTGCCAATCAAAATTGTTCTGCAGGTATTAGCTAGTGTAATTAGCAAGAGAAAGCAGAGGCATGGGAGTTGAAAGAAGAACTCTGTTTGCAGTGGTATGACTCTATACTTGGAAAAATTCAAAAAGTCAATGTTAAAACTAATAAAAACAAAAGAATCCAGGAAGGCAGCATGATATATAGTTAACATACAGTAATCAGTAGCATTCATATACACTAATAACCATTTAGAAGATCTAAATATAATTTTCATTATAAGGGGAAAGTAAAATACTTAACAGAAAATATTTGAAATCTTAATGAAGAAAACAAAACGCTCCTCAAAAACACACTTGAACAACAGAAAGATAGCCCTCAAACTCCTAGGCTCAAGTGATTCTCCTGGCCCAGTTTCCCTAGTAGCTAGGACTACAGGTGAACACCATGATGCCCAACTAATTATTTTTCTTAATTTTTTATAGAGATTAGATCTCACTGTGTTGCTCAGGCTGATCTCAAACTCCTGGCCTGAAGCAATTCTCCTGCCTCATCTTCCGAAAGTGTTGGGATTACAAGTGTGAGCCACTGTGCTAGCCTATGCTTTACTTATTCCAAAAAAATAACAAGAATGGAAAGAGGAAAAATAAACCTGAAAGCAAGTTGAGATACATTAATCCAGCTGTATTTTAAATGAGTAACATAACCACACCGACGGGGATTGGTGAAGGGAGGATGGAAAATCTAATCCAAGTGATTTATCGACACATCAAATGTGTTTGACTGTATACTGTCAGTTGTGGTGGGGGATGGGACTGCAAGAAAAATCTTGAGGCCAGGCGCTGGTGGCTCATGCCTGTAATCTTAGCACTTTGAGAGGCCGAGGCAAGATCACCTGAGGTCAGGAGTTCGAGACCAGCCTGACTAATGTGGTGAAACCCCATCTCTACTAAAAATACAAAAATTAGCTGGGGGTGGTAGCACACGTCTGTAATCCCAGCTACTCAAGAGGCTGAGGCAGGAGAATTGCTTGAACCTGGGAGGCAGAGGTTGCAGTGAGCCGAGATCGTGTCACTGCACTCCAGCCTGGGTGACAGAGTGAGAATCCATCTCAAAAAAAAAAAAAAAAAACAAAAACAATCTTGAACCCTATTATTATCTAAGCTTGGTTTTTGTAATGATACGGGTACAGCAATTGTGAAACTCTTTTAGATGTATTATTGGTTGGGTGAAGTGAGTAACTAAATATGTTGGTGGTGTTGGAAGCCAGAATTTCTTACTGTGGAAGTGAGATGCAAATATGAAATAAAGGAAGGCAAGGAAGAACGCAGTGGCAATGAATTGGAATTGGAGGTATTGGTGTGGACTTACGAGTTTTTAAAATATGGATAGGTATGTGGGTATGGACATAGTAACTATTTGTGTATATGTATATACACAAGCAAACATTCCCTGGCTTTCTTCTGAAAGAGTCTAGAAGCACTGACACCCTCATAGCAGTGAGCACACATAGCTTGATTTTTTTTTACACATTCCTTTTTTTAGACATTTAGTAACCATGCTTTCCTCAGAAAAATGACTGATTTCAAGATTGAGGCAAGGAAGGTACAAGATGAACCTGGAACATCCTGGATTGCTCGACACTAAGGAAGTGCTTTAAAAAAAGATGGGGGCATTTCATAGAGAGCTAACTTGAAAGGACTCACATTGGCCAAATCTGGGACAATTTTGAGTTGTAAATATTTAAGGACAGGAATGATTATAAACCGTTGGAAAAAATAGGAATTCTTGGAACCATATTGATAATTAATGGATAAACAACTAGGGGAAAGGGGAAGTCATTTCCTACAGAGCAAAGATGAGTGGTAAATGTAGAGGATATGTTGGAGTTGGAAGTCTTCATTTTGCAACCATGTTCATAGTAAGGATTGGTTCACCAAGAATCATGAATATTAAGTCTAGGTGGAAAATTGAAGAGCATCATCTTGCATGATTTTTAAGTGTTTCTCTATAGAGTGCTTCTGCATTGCAAGGAAAGTGGAGAAATAGGACAGTATCTCCAAATTAACATCACCAATGAGGAGTAAATGGAGATCGTACACATTGGGCTATGATACTCTGATGGACCCAACACCACTTAACATGCCATTTGGTTCAGGAATGTAAAATCTTAGTCTAATTGTGAGGGAACATTAGATGAACCCAAAATGAGGAACATTCTATTTTAAAAAGATTTTGAAAAAAGAAAAATTTGCAGAAGTTTGGGGGCATATTAAAGACACAGGAGCCAACTGAAAGAGTTCCCAACTGGCCAAGACTGGAACAATTTGAACACCAAAATAAAATAATATTGGATTGTAACTCAGAGTACAAAATAAATATCCTTGAGTTCATACTGGTATAAATAATTGATTGGATATATAAATTAATGGGATAGAAGGGACAAATCCCCTGTGCAGAATTCTAAATGTATATAGATACTCCACCCTCAAGGAGGTGAAGCTAATTCCCACTCTGTAAGTGTGTGCTGCACATAGTGTGTTCCTCCCAGAGAGTACAGTGCACAGAGAGGGGAAAGGAGTGATGTTACAGTGCAGCAGCCCGACTGACACTGTCTCAGCCAGGTGGTGAAGGTTAACATCCACAGGCTAAGCCATACTGGCGGTATGTACTCCTGACATGATGTGATGACAGTGGCACTTTACCTCTCTGGTCTTCCTCCCAGAAATACATAACCCAGCTTAATCATGAGGAAAACATCAGATAAACCATAATTGAGGGAGTTTTTATGAAATACTTGACCAGAACTCAAAACTGTCAAGGTCAGTAAAAACAATGAAAACCTGAGAAATGTCACAGCCAAGGGAGCCTAGAAACATGACAGCTAAACATAATGTGGTATCTTGAAGGGGATCCTGGAACAGGAAAATGACATTAGATAAAAACTAAGGAAACCGCGTACATACATACATGCTGACAGCATTATTCATGACAGCCAAAAAATGGAACAAACCCAAATGTCTGTCAGTGATGAACAGATAAGACAAATATGGTCTGTCCATGCAATGGAGTATTATTCAGCCATAAAAAGGAATGAAGCACTGATATGTGTTACAACATGGGTGAATCTTGAAAATATTATGCTCAGTGAAAGCAGCCAGAAAACAATGGGCTGCATGTTGCGTCGTTCCATTTATATGAAAGGACCAGAATAGGCAAGTCCATAGAGACAGTAAGTTAGATTAGTAGTTGGCAGCAGTGGAGATTAGGAATGGGGGAAATCAGGAGTGGCTGCTTTGGGGTACTGGGTTTCTTTTGGGGGAGATGAAAGAAAATATTCTGGAATTAGATAATGGTGATGGTAACATAACCTTGCAAATATGCTAAAAACCACTGAAGTTATCCATTTTAAAGTGGTGAATTTTATGGTATGTGAGTTATAACTCAATTTTTAGAAACTAAGGAAATCTGAATACAGTATGGAATTTTAGTTAGCCAAAAAGTAGGGAGGAAGAGGAAACTATACTCAAAATGCCAATGTTATAAAAGACAGAGTGAAAAGCTGTTGCAGATTAGTTGAGATTAAAGAGCTATGATAACTAAAGGCAATGGATGATCCTTACCAAGACTTGTAGTGGTTGAGGGAAAGGGTCATAAAAGACACATTTTGCGGCCGGGCGCGGTGGCTCATGCCTGTAATCTCAGCACTTTGGGAGGTTGAGGTAGGTGGATAATTTGAGGTCAGGAGTTCGAGACCAGCCTGGCCAACATAGTGAAACTCCGTCTTTACTAAAAATACAAAAATTGGCCGGGCAGTAGTGGCCATGTGCCTGTAGTCTTAGCTACTCAGGAGGCTGAGGCAGGAGAATCGCTTGAGCCTGGGAGGCGGAGGTTGTGGGGAGCCAAGATCGCACCACTGCACTCCAGTCTGGGCCAACAGAGAAAGACCCTGTCTCAAAAAAAAAAAAAAAAAAAAAAAAAAGACACATATGGGATCAGTTGACAAAACTGCAATAAAGATAGTAGGTTAGATTACAATTATTTTTATCAGTGTTAAATTTATTGTATATAATCAGAATCATTTGCATTTTGATTATATAATAAAATATTTTTAATTTTAGGAAATACAGATATTTTGGGATAAGGGACATGAGTGTGCGACTTATTCTGAAATTATTCGAAACAAGTTTATGTCTATAGTATGTACACACATGAAAGCAGAGAAAGATGCAAGGGATCCAGAACAGAGGAGGGAGACAGGTCATACGTGAATCCAGGTAAAGGGGAATCACATATTTCACGTTATTCCTGCAAATTTGTTTTTCTGTGAATCAGGGGAAAACAAAATTCAGAAAGGTGGGTATTAGCAAGGATGTACAACAGAGGGAACTCATTACTCTAGATAAGAATGTAAATCTGTTGAAACACTTTGTAGGATAATTATGTTGTACATTTCCTAGTTCAATTGTTAGGTATATATCCTAAAGTAATTGCTGTACATGTCCCATTTGCACCAGGAAATATGTGCAATAATGTAATAGGAGCATCATTTGTAATAGCCAAAAACTGAGGAGCTATCCACTACTATTAGTGTAGGAACATTTTAATACAGCAGTGAAAATGAGTAAACTATAGCATATTGGAATGGTATACGAATATCAAAATACTGAATGAAAAAAAGCAAGTCACTGAGGGCTATAAACAGAAACACTCCATTAATATAAAGGTTAAAACTAGACAAAAGTAAACAATATATTATTTAAGGCTACATATGTGAAAAAAACCATAAAGAAAAGCAAAAGAATGATTTGTAGTTAATTCTGGGGATGGAGGGTACACAGGAGGACTTGGAAAAGCCTGGTAACATTCTGTTTCCTAAGCTGGTGTTTTCTTTAAACTATTTCTAATACTCTAGTATGTATATTTCTTAATTTAAAAAAAGTTTCAAATCAGACAAAACTCTCTAAGCCAAAAAAAAGTCCACCACAAGTCATTAAATAAAGCAAATAATAAAACAGTATGTAAGTTATTAATTTTTGTTAAGAAATTACATATGCATCTACATTTTTGTGTTTAAATGGACATACAAGTAGTTTGAGAGGATAAACACGAAAATGTGGTTTTGGGGAAGTAGGATTTCAGGAAAATTTCTGCATCACCTGTATTTTTTTTAAAATTTTGAAATCCATGAGCATTTATCAGTCAGACTCACATTATGAGATTATACTTCTTAAAATTTTTATTGATGTAAAAGAATTGTACATATTTATAGGGTTATACTTCTTTTATCTTTACTGTTGAATAAGGAGCCTAAAGGTAGGGTCCATGTTTTGTACATACTTCTCTGTATTCTTATAATAAGAATTGGAAAAAAAATAAACCAAAACAACTAAAACCAAAAAATGTGTGGGAAGTCACTAACAATGTTTAGAAATATTAAGTGAGAAAAGCAGGTTAAAAGGCAGTATTTTACATATTTAATATTAGTGCCCTTAGTACGTGTATTCTGCGTCTTAAAATGAAAATGCTCCACTGTCAATGGTTGTTTTCTCTTGGTATTGTAATCAGTCGGTAGTTTTTATTTTCTTTGTATTTTCCTTATTTGTGTGTATTACATAAGAAAGCAGAAAAAAATAGAATATTTATAATTATTAAAGATTGAAGTTCTTAGGTGCTTTCAGTAACATTATCCTCACCTTTGGGGTCGTGGCTGCCTATCTGGAGTGCTGTCTTGTTAAGGATTAAGATGAGTGGCTGAGGATTTGCACTTCTGTAAGTGGCTGCTTCATCCTTTGACACCTGCGCTGATCATTTGTGTGCGCTGCACCTCCTTCAGGTGCTGCACTATCTGGCAATCCAGAAACCTGCAGACCTTGCTCGGCACCTGTTACCTTGTGTGATTCATGCAGCTGTACTCAAGGTAAAGGAAGAAGGTAAATGTCATATTTAACTAGTCATTAGTCATTTCCAAAGTGAAAGTATATTTTGCTTAATTTATTTAATGCTGGCTTCAATCTTTTCTAAAATAGAAAGTCTCGAAAACATTTCTTCAGTTAAGAAGATCATAAAGCAGATAATATCCCATTCCAGTAAAGTTTTGCACTTCCCCAATCCAGAAGACAAGAAATTGGAAGTAAGTTTGATGTAGTGTCAGAATCTTGCCAAGTGTTCTCCTCAGTTGGCAAAAATAATTTTTAAGATGCGTTTTCAAAGGGCTTTGCTTTTTTGCCATCTCGCAATGTATGCCTCTTCCTTTTCTACCGCCAGGAAATCATTCACCAGATTACTAATGTGGAAGCTCTCATTGCCAGAGCTCGGTCACTAAAAGCCAAGTTTGGAACTGAGAAATGTGAACAGGAGGAGGAAAAGGAAGATCTTGAAAGGTAATTGCTATTTGGCTAATTCAGTTTTGTCTGCAGTAGGAAAAGCCACCACTCTCTTAAGAAAAATTGTAATAGGATATTAAGACTCTTTTGTGGTAATCATATATTATTTGAAACAAGCATTGTCTAGAGACAGAAATAATTATCATAGCATTTGACCTCTCCCGTATTTCTGAGTCTCTACCAGGTGTTTCCATTCTTCCCACTTTTAGAAACAGTCTCCCAGAGCCTCCTTTTCTAGGGATTCCTTGGTTTGCTCTTGGAGATGTGGTGTCTGGAATTTCTTGTGGAGGAGCTGTTAACTGTGTTGCTCACCCTGCCCCAAAACTTTGTTTTCAGCTGTTACTATTCCTTGACCACAGGGTGCAGGTGCTGAAACCATTTCTGCTTACTGTTCCTAGTTGTTTATTTTAAACAAGATTTGTGATAGCAAAGGTGCACATCCTATGTGCCTTGCGATTATGTTTTGAAAGATTGACCAGATGGCTTTTCTCAGATGAAGCAAATGATTGGGGCATTCTCTTTATGAGACTCGGCACCATTACCAATGGAGCTTAGATCAGTGTGAGGCCCTGTTCATTTTTTGCCCATGTTATTTGGAAGGACAATATTGTTTTAATGTGTGATAAAGTGTTCACAAATTAGCTTGTTCAGTGGCTTAAATTTGTCATCATTTAAAAATTTTCATTAGCCTTTCCATAATAAATGGCATTATTGATGCTAAATAATTAATATTGTATGGCAAGGCATTTGCTGTCTTTTAACAAGTTTGTGTTTGAATTTTATGTCTTTTGTTAGGTGAAGTTTTCTCCCACACTGCTTTGCTCTTGAAAATGTCTTCCTTTTAAATGAGAAGAATAAGCTCTAATCAAGGGACTCGTTTCTAAAATAGTAGAGTATGAATTAGTGAGCAGGTGGTGCAGGTTTGGTGGCTTTGTGCCTTCAACTCTGTTAGTTCCACCATACGTTATCTGTGACATACTTGGAAGTTCAGTGTTTCCAGCATCTAATGGCACAGTTTACAATTGCGACTTTGCCCAACACAAGTATTTTAAGCATATGTGCACGTGTGCGTGCACACACAGACACATACCCCTTAAAAAAAACAAAAACAAATATGGATCATTGCTTTTATTGGATAAATATAACTTGGTTTATATTATACAATTTTTTTTTCATCTTTTATTAACTGTAGCATTTTCTAAGCTTCTAGTCTGAAAAAAATAGACTGAATATTTTTTCTTACACTTTGACAGAGATAGGCTTTAAACATTTTTTATGAGCACAGGTGAAAAAGCAGGAAGATTGTCAGTTAAGTCGATAATAATTCCAAATGTCAATCTTATCTTGCTGTAAAATTTCACTCCAACCTTGTTGGGTTTAGCCAGTATCAGCTTGAGGATTTGTCCACAAAACTCCTGTGGGAGGATGGACGCCCAGTGGCCTGGACAGCTCACTTTCCACCCTTTCATTGCCTGTCTCTGTCTCCTAGGTTTGTGAGTTGCCTGCTGGAGCAGCCTGAAGTGTTAGTCACCGGTGCAGGAAGAGGACATGCTGGCAGGATCATTCACAAGCTGTTTGTGAATGCCCAGAGGGTATGTGAGAGTCATTATTGACTCCATCATAATCTCTCCAAACCTCTACTTGGGAAGAGGCTGTTTTAGTTCCCACACGTGGCTGATCACACTCATGTCACCTGAGTGTAAGTCTGGGCATTGGGTTTGAACACTGAAGAAACAATGACTTCTGAGTCTTCGAAATCCATTTGATTTCTTACATGTTGAATTAAAATGATAAGTATATTCTAGGACCTAAATTTTAAAAATTAGAAGAGTCCAAAATCCATTGTTATAGAAGCTGGCAGGGAGTCAGTTAGCAATGGCCAGTGCTGTGCTGTGGGAAAAAATGTTTACTCACAGGTACTTTCAAATGAGAATGGAGTTCAGTTTTACCATCTTTAAACCCCATGTAGGGCAAAGTGGAGTCACAACTCAGCTTGAATTATAAATATAATTGTTCTTGTAATGGTGAGGAGATCTACCTTTGAGGTTTCCTAGAAAAGAAGAGGAAAACTTCAGATTTTTAGGGCTGTGGAAACAGATTTCAGCACAGAAAGAAAGCCCAGTTTGAAAAATTATCATAACCATTACCTCTAGTAGTGAAAGTAAAGATTTTAAAATTATATTGTATCTTGGTTACTGGCTAAGGGCTCTGGCATCCTACAGATAATTCTCAGTTCAGGGCTCATTAATATTAGGGATTCTGATAAAGGCGTTATGTGCACTAATTACACGCTTCCCCTTATATGGCACTGTGATTACACTAGAATGACCCAGTTTTGAGAGTGTAATTTTCAGAAACAAATAAGAAAAAGAATTTCTATGTGTCTACACGTGGAATAACAACTGGATAATCCCTGTAGAGTTGGTCTGGAGTACAACTAGTTAATATATTCAAATTCATAGCCAAATACACTGATAGGAATTCTTAGCAAGAGCTAAAATCTGAGTTTGTTTATGGGGCAGCTCCCTAAACCTCAGAATTTCAAATTAATAACCAAATATTTATTTCCTTATAAATTAGACTTCTAGCAAACAATAGATGCTTGCTTTGATTTATTTTGTTTTTCTCTCTGGCATGAAAACAAGAACCGAGTTTGGTTCCACATCTGATAATATCTATCCAGTTCACTACCCAGAAGCTTACAAGCGCATTTCCTTGTTAGCTACCAATATGAATGTTCCTCATATTGCAAAAATTCTTTCCTCTTTGATCATTTTTAATAAGTGACATGTTGGCTGGGTGCGGTGGCTCACGCCTGTAACTTTGGGAGGCTGAGGTGGGTGGATCACCTGAGGTCAGGAGTTCAAGACCAGCCTGGCCAATGTGGTGAAACCCTTTCTCTACTAAAAATACAAAAATTAGCTGGGCGTGGTGGTGAGCACCTGTAATCTCAGCTACTTGGGAGGCTGAGGCAGGAGAATCACTTGAACCCGAGAGGCAGAGGTTACAGTGAGCTGAGATCATGCCACTGCACTCCGGCCTGGGTGATAAAACTCCATCTCAAAAAAAAAAAAAAAGTTATGTGTTAAGAGGATTTAAAATGTGAAGTATTTATATTTTTAGTCCTGAGATTGTTACTTATTTTAGATAACTAAGCAAAATTATTTTCCCCAAAATAGAAATAACCTCCTTACCCCCTCTACTGACTGCAAGTAAAACTTTGACAATATAGGAACTTTTATATTTATTTATTCATTTTTTAAAGAGAGGGTCTCACTCTGTGGTCCAGGCTGGAGTACAGTGGCAAGATCATAACTCACTGCAGCCTTGAACTCCTAGGTTTAAGCAATCCTCTTGCTTCAACCTCCCAAGAAGCTGGAGCCACAGGCATGCACCACCACGCCCAGTTAATTTTTATATTTTTTGTAGGGACGGGGTCTCACTTTGTTGCCCAGGCTTATCTAGAACTCCTGGTTTCAAGCAATTCTCCTTCCTTAACCTCCCAAAGTGCTGAGATTATAGGTGTGTGTGAGCTATCACACCTGGCCTAGAAAATTATAAGAAAATATTAATCACATAATCTCACTACCCATTGATGATTTAACATCTAGTATATACATATGTATATATAATTTTAAAAGTAGGGTTATATTATATAATTACTTCATTATTCTTGTTTTCCACTTAATATACTTAAGATATCTTTCAAAATCACTAAATACAGGAACATAGTATATCATCTTTCAGTAGCCTCATTGTATAGCTAACCCCCTTAATGGCTACTGAAATTGTACATCCATCTACATTATGTCATTTAAGAAAAGATTTTAAAGTTTTCAGACCTTGTAGTGAATGTTTTTAGGGAATTGGTAGACTGTGTAATACATATAACAAGCATCTGGTTGGTACATTTTTAAACTCAGTTTTAAATGTCTGGCTGAAGTAAACTGTTAGAATTTATTCATGTAACTTTTCATTAGCTGATACTTTATATCAATTTTACTAATTAGTCAAGATTTTAACACATTTTTTTAAAAAGTTGTGATGTAATTTCACTTGGTGTTTTTATAGCTTATAGTAATTCTATATATTTATAACTTTTCTTTAAAATTATAAATAGTAATAAGCCTTATCATGATTATAGGTATCTCTGGTATGTACATACTTAAATGGAATTCAGCAAATAAATGACTGACTGGATTTCGCTTCAGACTTGCTAGATTGAATAACTGTTAGGCACCTATTCCTAAATTCTATTTTTCAAGCCATGAACACTTTTTTTTTTTTTTGCATCATAATTCCCAGTAAAAGAGCTAGGTTTTTGTTGTTCATTTCTCCCATTAAATGACATCATATGTCACCTGTTGAGCCATGGATGCATGAGTAGTAGTAGATGTCTGCTGTAGTTGACAGCTGGGTGTGCTGTGTTTGGTGTGACTTTGTCTTGAATATTCTTTTGATAGGATCATGTTCCATAATGTAGTGCATACTGTCTTTGAAATAATCCTGAACTCCCTTGTCTAGCCCTATTTAAACCATCTTGCTTGTTTCCCTTTCATCACTGTTTCTTTTCTTACCCCTTCTCAAGCTGACTGAATCTTCTGATGAGGTAACAAAATAGCCTTTGCCCCTCATAGTTCCTTGTTCCTTCCCATCCCTCTAATTTCATAAGGTCATTAACACTAACCACCTCTCTCACAGTCTGGATTTGGCTTACCTACCTTGCTGATGTTTAGCGCAACATGATTTCATGTTTCCATTGCCAAAACAATTTTTTTTCCCAAATTGATGGTATTAAAAAAAGTACAGTAATCAGAATTAAAATTGTAGGCTGTAAATGAACATGCATTTTATGTCATTTCAATGAAAAAATAGATGCCTTTAATATTGCGAACTTCTCTTTTGTGGTCATTGCTATATGGGCCTCTATCACTTCGGCATCACATTAGCTGCCCAGCAAGCAAGACCAATGCCCCCACTTTTAATTTGGCAAGTGAACCTTAAAAAGAATCGATTAAAAAATTCTTACCCAGAGTCAAGATGAAAATCATCTTTTCACTCTGGAGAAAAACAGCTCCTTACTGGACTGAGGCTGTCAGACGTAGACTTGGGTCATTGCTGGAAGAAACATAGAAAGCAGCACAGCTCCGAGGTCCTTTTTCATCAGATGTGTAAATATGGCCTTCTCTCTTCAGAGCAGATTGCCTGGCAGTCATCATCCCTCCTGTCTGTCTCCAGCCCGGCTGCTCATGCAGTGTCTCAAGCTTCTTGCATTTGCTGTGTTATGTGGTTTTTGAGTAATCTTAACATATAGCTGACTGCATTACTGAGTAACGTGGGACATTTTCATATCTTTATTATGTTAATTCATCTGTCCTTCAAAAGCATCTGAGTTTAGCATTTGACCTGCTTTTGACTTTAGCATTTGATTCTTTTCCAGGCTGCAGCTATGACTCCACCAGAGGAGGAATTGAAGAGAATGGGCTCCCCAGAGGAAAGAAGGCAGAACTCCGTGTCAGACTTCCCACCCCCTGCTGGCCGGGAATTCATTTTGCGCACCACTGTGCCGCGCCCTGCTCCCTACTCCAAAGCTCTGCCTCAGCGGATGTACAGTGTTCTCACCAAAGAGGACTTTAGACTTGCAGGTGCCTTTTCATCAGATACTTCCTTCTTCTGATTCTTCTAGCATTACTCGTTGGTGGCTTCAGAGACAGTGCTGCCTCCTCCTGAGGGAGGGAAGGTACCAGGGAGAACCTGGGAGGTCCTGGAGAGGGCCCTGTCCAGTTGGGTGATCAGGAATCAAACCAGCATCGGAAAGACTTCCCAGCACCAAGCTTGAGCTGTGTCGTTTCGTGGAGGGGGCAGCGAGGATGGGCTTGAGCTGTTGAGAGATTTCTGCCCTAGAGATGGCCTTTGTATATGGGGGGGTGGTGGGGGGACACAAACACATCAGACACTCCGTCCTCACACTGGCAGGACGGTGTTCATCGCATTCTCTTCTGTGACCAGCCTCTAGGCTAGCGGCTGCATTCGTGGTCTGTGCAAACACTTCGTGGTTCTATATATCAGCAGCAAGTGTGCAAAATAAAGGACCTGTTAACTCAGATTTCTGGATATTTTGGTGGTAGCTTCTAGTCCCAGAATCTGTGTTTTTAAAATACTACATGACATTCTGTCTATTCAATCACCTGGTGGTCATCTTTCTTGTACTAATTAACTGTTGATGAGCATTTTGGATATTCTAGGAGAAAGCCTATAATTTCACATAGTTTCTCTTTTTCATGTAACTGTAACCTAAATGTATTACTTCTGATAAAACTATATATCAAATGTCACTGCAAATTAGTTTTATATCTGTCATGTGAGATTTGTCTTACTTATTTTTCTTTTGGTTGCCATGGAAGTTATGGCCCTGAAAATCGTCTCCCTCCCCTTCTCTTGCTGTACAGCATGCGTTCTCTTTTTGTGGTTGCTGGCTGGGTACTGTATTTAATGAAGTAGAGAATAGCACTTGCAAAAATACAGTCTTGGTACCTAGAGACTGTCATGCAGATAGTATAATTTGGTATATGTGCTAATGCATTGAGTAGAGGATTATTTTAACACACTATTTTGCTTTTGTATTTTAGTTAAAATAATCGATGGGGATGTGTAGCCCCCCCGTGTGAGGATGACATCACCACATTTCTAGTTTCATGGAGCTCAAGATGTCTTGTGTCTGTGTGGCTAGATGGCCTCTGCTTGGTAATCTTATTTTTAGGCCTAAAATTCCCACTTAAATCCAAAGTAAAAATGGTTATACTGAAGCATAAACCTTGCCTGTGTAATTTTAAAAAATTAATAGAGCTGTGCAAACCCTGTTATTTTTGTAAAAAAAAAAAAAAATACATATCTATATATAATATGTGTGTGTGTGTGACATATGCACACGTCTCTGTGTATGTGAAGTAGGGGAGGCCCTGGGGGATGACCTCCCAGCCTTTATGATGCTTTTCTCTATGCTGCTGGACTTCATTCTTACTGGTCCACGCAGATGCAGGCGGCCTGAGGCCAGTGCTGTACCAAGTAGAAGACGGTTCCTAAGGACAGAGTTTGTCTGTTTTCTAACAAAGAAAAATTCTACAAAGGAGAGGTTGGGCGTTACAAAGGCATTGTGAATCTAATAAAAGGAAAGTGTCGCTTTCTGTGGCGTTTTCTTTCATTTTCTCCCGCTGAGGCATTTCAGTCTAATTTCATGTGGTTTTGTGCTGTCTCAGCTCTAATGTTTGCAGCCTGCTGAGCCTAACAAGGCAGTGGTCTCAAGAACATTCTTTGTGCCTTTTTAAAGTACTCCATTTTATTTTTATGATAGTTATGTATTTATTTCACAGATATATTTAAGTACCCACTTTGTGTCAGGTACAGTACAAGCAATGAAGATAAAACAGAAACCAAAACACACTCCCTTACAGGGAAAACTGACACCACGTTGCCACAAAATGTTGAGTATAGTCAACTCTGCTGTGTGGATCGGAGGGCCTGCATTTATCCTACAAATAATTGAATGTAATCCTACATTCATGTATTCATTGGCAGTACGGAGTAATAAATGCAGCAATGTCATAAAGTGTTGTAGGAGTTTCTTCACCCAGGCTTTGAGGATCAGGAAAATTACCCCAGAGGGTGTGATTTTGGGATTGAGACCAGAAGCTGAGTAGGCACTGGGGAAAGCATGGGGGGCGTATGGGAAATGGCTTGCAGAGAACCAGGCATTCCTCCAGCCCTGTGTGCAATGAAATCATGATTTTCATTGTGAAGTGCTTTATTTCTCCACCTCTTCAATCTGGTCTCGGCCATGTCTTTCTTTGGTCAACAGACAGAGACTTGACAAGTCCTTGCACATTGGGGCTTGCCCTCCCTTCTTGCCAGGAGCCTTGAAGCCACTGTGAAGAAGGCCACTCTAGGGTGAGAGTTGGGGCAAAAGGTAACTGACAGGAGGGGGCAGAAAGCGTATTACAAGCAGAGGAACGGAATGGGCAAAATCCCAGAAATAAGGGAAAATGTCTATTTGGGGGGCAGCCAACATTTCTATTTGGCTGAAGTGTGGTATCTAGAGTGGGAAGGGGCAAGAAATGAAGATGGTGAGGTGAACTAAGGCAAGACCAAGAAGTTCGGGGGAAGCCGCAGCTACAAGTTAGGGCTTTGCCTTTGGGGCGGTAGTGAGTCACTGAAGGGTTTTGTGCAGGGGAGTGACATGGTGGGTTTTAGAAAGGCCACACTCTGGCAGGAGAGGAGATGCTAAGAAAGTATACAGCTGTCGTATATCTTGAGCTAAACTGTCTGCTCCTTAGAAGAAAGGTGGCAATTACAACTGCAATGTGT
This sequence comes from Homo sapiens, assembly GCF_000001405.40. Taxonomy (NCBI): domain Eukaryota; kingdom Metazoa; phylum Chordata; class Mammalia; order Primates; family Hominidae; genus Homo; species Homo sapiens. The sequence continues at coordinate 135,171,466 of NC_000002.12, forward strand.
TTTTTAATCCACCTGTGTGCCTGAGACCGTGCTCCTAAGAGGTGCACATGCTTGTGAAATGGCCTCTCCAGGGCCCTCCTACCCCCATACATTCCTATACCACTGTAATAATTCAGATTTTTCTTCAAGTTGGGGTATTTTAAAACCCTAAGCATTTATGTTTATATTTCATTCATTAGTCCAGCAAATGTTTATTGAGTACCTGCTATGTGCCAGGTACTGTTCTAGGCATCAGGGAGACAGCAGTGACTAGAACGTGGAAGACCTGGTGCTCAGGAAGCTCACAGTGTGGGACACCAAGTGTCAGCAGTGGGTCTAGGAAGGGAGTCTGTCTTCTAGGAGGTTTGATAAGGGAGGGGCTTACGAGGCAGTGACACTTGGGCAGAGACTGAAGTGAGGAAGCAGTCCTGTATATAGATGACTAGGAGAAGACTGCAGACAGGGATTGGCCAATGAAAAGCCTGAGGCAGGAGTGTACCCGGCACGTGGGAAGCACAGAAGGAAGGCCACTGTGGCTGAAGGGGAGTGAGGGGAAGAGGGGCAGGAAAGAAAGTTGCACACGTGCAAGGGCCAGATGTGTAAAGCTGTAGGAGTTGAGATTTGTTTTCTTGATTAAGAAGGGAAGCCATTGGAGAGTTTGAACCAGGGAATGTCATGATGTGACATTTAAAAATCTCTTTGGGGCTGGGCGCAGTGGCTCGTGCCTGTAATCCCAGCACTTTGGGAGGCCGAGGCGGGCGGATCACATGAGGTCAGGAGTTCGAGACCAGCCTGGCCAACAAGGTGAAACCCCGTCTCTATTAAAAGTTAAAAAAAAAAATTAGCTGGGCATGGTGGTGCACGCCTGTAGTCCCAGCTACTCTGGAGGCTAAGGCAGGAGAATTGCTTGAACCTGGAAGGTGGAGGTTGCAGTGAGCCAAGATCATGCCATTGCACTCCAGCCTGGGCAACAGAGTGAGACTCTGTCTCAAAAAAAAAAAAAAATCCCATTGGCCACTGTGTGGAAAATACACTGCAGAGGCTGGGGTGGAAGTAGTGAAACTAGTGAGACGAGGGGAGGTGAGAGCACTCTGGACTGGTGTGGTAGCCATGGAGGGTAAAAGGGATCAGATTTGATACAGATCTTGAAGGCAGAATGTGCAGAATTTACAAATGGATTCAGTGAGGGTCTGAGAGTCAAGGATGACTTGAAGGTTTGGGACCTGAGTGAATGATGCTGTCATTTACTACGATGGAGAAGACAGGGAAGAGCAAGTTGTGGGGCTGCTGCGAGTGATGAATTTGAGCTTGGGCCATGTTAATTTTTAGAGGTTTATTAGATGGCTGTGGTGGCCAGCCTCCTGCCTCCAACTCACACACCCTGTGAAGTCCCCCAGACCCACACCCATTGTACCAGGGTTAGTCTCTGAACAACAGAACATGGAGGAAGTGTTGGTATGTCACTCCCAAGGTTGGTTATAGGAGCCATTGCAACTTCTATTTTGGTTCGTAAAGAGAGGCCCACATGGTGCGGAATGGAAGGTCCCTGCCAACAGCCACATGAGTAAGCTTGGAAGTGGATCCTCCTGGCCTGCAGGTAACTGCAGCCTCAGGAGGGACCTTGGGCCTGGACCACCAGCTAAGCCACTCCCAGATGACTGACCCTCAGAAACTGTGTAAGATGCTTATTTTTAAACTGCTAAATTTGGGGGTAATTTATTATGCAGCAATAGATAACTAATACCCAAGCGGTTGGCTATATAAGTTTGGAGCTTAAGGAAAGGGTTAGGGCTTATAATATAATAAATTGGGAAACATAGATAGTACTTAAGCCATGGACAGTATGAGGTCACCCAAGCAGAAGAGGTCTGGGGATTGAGCGAGAAAGGAAGAGGAGGACAAAGACTGGCAGAAAAGATGAAGAAATAGTTACTAAGGCAGAAGGAAAACCAAACGTGTGATGTCTTAGAAGCTAAGAAAAAACATACTTCAAGAGGGTGGGAATTGATCAATTGTGTCAAATGCCACTGAGATGACAAGTAAGATGAGGACTAAGAGGCGACTGTTGTGTCTGTCTATGCAGAGGAGCAAATGCATTCAGAGAGAGGCAAATACTTCTTACTGGGAAAGAATAGAGAAGGGGCTGCCTCGAGGGCAGTCTGGGAAGGTCAGTACCCCTTTGCTAGCAGGGTGGGTGCACTTAAAACTTCTGCCCCAAACCAGGTGGGGTTTGGGTTTCTTGCATTGCTCCTTGCCAGGCATTGGTGGGCAGGATGTGGAAGGGGAGAAGGTCATGAAGCAGCTGCCAATTTGCCTCAGTCCAACAGGTGGCCCGTCTACTGTCCTGGCCCCTACTGCCAGCTCCTCTCTTCTGGGCACACTGTAACAGATAGGGGTGGGTGGGTGGATGGATGGATGGTTGGATGGATGGATGCCTCGATGCCTCTATGGCAAAAGAGGCCCCACTCTTGTGTTTAAATCTTCTGGCCTCTAATTTACGGTCATCTGGCATCATGAGACTAAGTTTGAGAATATTAGCTCCTGGAAGCCCAGGGACTCTGCCGCTGGCATTTCTTTGGCTCTCAAAAGTGGAACTTGGCTAGTTCTTGTAGCACAAACTCAAGCTACTTCATCTAAGCACAACTTCTCTGCCAGCTCCTCCCCTGGAAGCTTGTGATGTCTGACAGGTGGTCATGGATAGATCCCTCCAAAGTGGAAAGTCCCCCCTCTTGCAGGGAGCGTTCTTGGCCTTAGCTTAGCAGCCAAGGATGCAGCTGAACCAGAAGACCCCCAACTTGGGACCCCATCCGGAGAGGGTGGCGACATGGCCCAGCCCTCAGGGTTGGGCCCTGCCACCAGCCCACCACAAGCCCCATGACAGGAGCGCTGTGTGACCTGTGCTCTGGAATGGCCCCTCCTCTTCAGCATGTGCCCCAAAATGGGATGGTGTCCCAGGAGGCAGTCTCCGTCCCTCACTCATCCAGGAGTCTCCCAGCCTGCCTGTGTGCTGGGCCAGGGCCTTGCCTTAAAACAGCCTCCTCTACAGACACCTTTGCTTCCATTAAACTTTGCTTCAGAAAGGTGGCCTCGGCTGTGGCCAGATGGGACACCATCAAAGCTCTTCCAAAGCCCCCCCAGCCACAGGACGATTTGAGTAAATAATGACTTGTCCATGCTGTTTGTTCACATTCCTCTTTCTCAGCCCTATTTTGGCCCAAAACACTATTTTTGCCCATGTTACATAACGAGGGAACTGCATTCTTAGTAACCCACTGTCACTCTGCTGTGTTATCTTGCCTATATGAAAAAATGAAATATTTTTAGAGTGTGAATTTCCCAAACGTCCTCAACTATTCTGGGACTGAAGTCACAACATCACGAAGGGAGTGCGACGGTGGGAGGCCCAGCCTCCTCTGTGGCTGTGGCTGTGGCTGAGTCCCACCCAAGGGCTTCCGTTGCCACTGAGGCTGGGTTGGGACGTGCCCTATCCTGCCCTGTCCCAGTGGCAAGTGGCTGTCTCTGCACAGGGCTTTCCACTGTCAGCAGTGGACTCCGCAGCCTAGGAATACTCTTCATTGATTTTCTTGACTCCTGTTGTTACTTTGGGGAAAAAAACACAAGCAATGGCCTGTCCTCTTAGGGACTCAAGTAGGAGGCTGAAATCCCCATTGGGGGTTAGTCCAGGTGAGCAAATTACCCTGAATAAGTGTGTAGGCTCCCTCCCTGCCACCGAGGGACATGGTAAGAAGGCTTCCCCAACACAGGTGTTAGCAGGGTTAATGCTGTCCCATCAGTAAAGCAAACCTGTCCAAAACGCTCAGGGGTTTCAGGCCTTGCCATCTGGCTGGGGAGCCAGACATGTTTCTTTTGTGTGTTTATCAGCTCCCCAGGTGTGTCCTGGTAGACAACTGCTCCCAGGAGCTGGCATAGAAGCAAACCTGCAGGAAAAGCCAACCCACTCCAGGTGTGTGGAAGCTGCTGGCAGGAACCCAGCAAGGATCCAGCTGGGTTGTAATGGAAACAATGCAACCAACAATCCTTGAGCGAGCCGGGATAGATGTGGCCTCATCACTGAAGATTTCATCTGAGACCTCTGCAAATATCCAAATTGTATATGCTCTTAGAGCAGATCATTTTCTCACAGGTAAATAAAAATCTATGTTAAGTAGAAATTATGAGTGGCCCGTTCCCCTGCTACCCACTTAACTTTTCCTTTCTTCTGTGTGTTCAGACGGAGAGAAAAGACAAAAGCTATGTTGGGTCACTTCTCAGGACAGAACTTGGCAAAGTGGCCATAGAGCTAATTTAGGGGATACATTTTCAATTAGGAGATAGGTTTTCAAATTTGAATCCTAGGTTTTCAAATTCGAACTCTATCAGACGTGGTAGAGAGCTACTGATAAATTTGGCAAAAGATATGCAAGGTTTCCAGAGAGAAAATCATGAACCTTTATTGAAAAAGAATTAAAAGACATTTAAGTTGATAATGTCAATATTGCCATTGTTATATTATTTTGGTAACATACCATTGTTCTTGTACAGAAAGATAAGGTACCACAAAGATGTCCATTCTCCCCACAATGACATATGATTCCAAACAAAATCCCCAAAATACGGTTTTTGGTGTTTTTTGGTGGAATTAGAATAGTTGAATCTGAATTGTATATAGAAGTGCAAAAGGCCATGAACAACCAAGCAATTCTTGAAGAATAAGGTCATGGATATTGCTCTATAAGATAGACTTACTGTAATGCTATACTATAAAAGTATGGTACTACCCTATGATCCAACCGTCCCCCTACAGGTTGTCTAACCAAAGGAAAGGAAATCAGCATATCAAAGAGATATCTGCACTCCCATGTTGATTGCAGCACTGTTCACAACAGCCAAGATGTGGAATCAACCAGAGTGTCCATTGGCAGATGAATGGATTAAAAATGTGGTGCATGGCCCGGCGCAGTGGCTCATACCTGTAATCCCAGCACTTTCGGAGGCCAAGGTGGGTGGATCACTTGAGGTCAAGAGTTCGAGACCATCTTGGCCAACATAGTGAAACCTCGCCTCTCCTAAAAATACAAAAATTAGCTCAGCGTGTTGGCACATGCCTGTAATCCCAGCTACTCAGGAGGCTGAGGTATGAGAATCCCTTGAACCCGGGAGACAGAGGTTGCAGTGAGCCGAGATTGCACCACAGCACTCCATGCCTGGGTGACAGAGGCAGACTCTGTCTCAAAAAAAAAAAAAAAAAAAAAAAAAAAAAATATATATATATATATATATATATATGGTGCACATACACAATGGAATACTATTCAGTGATTAAAAAAAAGAATGAAGTCCTGTGATTTGCGACAACATAGATGAACAGAGAGGATATAATGTTAAGTGAATAAGCCAGGCACAGAAGAATGAATACTGCATGTTCTCACTCATATCAGGTATCTGAAGAAGTTGGTATCATAGAAGTAGAGAGTAGAATAGTAGTTACCAGAGGCCGGGGAGGTGGTGGGGGATAGCGGGAAATGGGAAGAAGTTGGTTAATGGGTACAAAGTTACAGTTAAATACGAGAAATAAGTTCTGGTGTTTTATTGCACAGTAGGGTGACTATAGTTAACAATACTGTATTGTTTATTTCCAAATAACTAGAAGAGAGGATTTTGAATATTCTTACCACAAAGAAATGACAAGTGTTTTATTGGGGGAACCCGCCCCCAGTATTTCAACATAGGTTCTTTCTATTTTCCATAAGTGTCGGCCAGCTGAGAAATAAAGAGAAAGAGTACAAAGAGAGGAATTTTACAGCTGGGCCACCAGGGATGACATCACGTATCAGTAGGACCGTGATGCCCACCTGAGTATCAGACCAGCAAGTTTTTATTAAGGGTTTCAAAAGGAGAAGGGGTGTGAGAACAGGGAGTAGGTACAAAGATCACATGCTTCCAAGGGCAAAAAGCAGACCTACTAATAAGGGTCTAACAAAGATCACAAGACAGAGGGCAAAAGCAGAACTACTGATAAGGGTCTGTGTTCAGCAGTGCACGTATTGTCTTGATAAACATCTTAAATAACAGAAAACAGGGTTCAAGAGCAGAGAACCGGTCTGACCACAGATTTACCAGGGCGGATTTTTTCCCCACCCTAGTAAGCCTGAGGGTACTGCAGGAGACCAGGGAGTATCTCAGTCCTTATCTCAACTGCATAAGACAGACATTCCCAGAGTGGCCGTTTATAGGCCTCCCCCCAGGAATGCATTCCTTTCCCAGGGTATTAAAATTAATATTCCTTGCTAGGAAAAGAATTTAGTGATATCTCTCCTACTTCCACGTCCGTTTATAGGCTCTCTGCAAGAAGAAAAATATGGCTCTTTTTGCCCGACCCCACAGGCAGTCAGACCTTATGGTCGTCTTCCCTTGTTCCCTAAAAATCGCTGTTATTCTGTTCTTTTTCAAGGTGCACTGATTTCATATTGTTCAAACACACGTTTTACAATCAATTTGTACAGTTAACACAATTATCACAGTGGTCCTGAGGTGATGTACATCCTCAGCTTACGAAGATAACAGTATTAAGAGATTAAAGTAAAGACAGGCATAAGAAATTATAAAAGTATTATTTGGGAACTGATAAATGTCCATGAAATCTTTACAATTTATGTTCCTCTGCCACGGCTCCATCCGGTCCCTCCATTCAGGGTCCCTGACTTCCCGCAACAGTGTTTGAGGTGATGGATATGCTAATTACCCTGATTTGATTATTGCACAGTCTATACTTGTATGAAAACACTGTACCCCATAAATATGTACAATTCTTATGGTCAATTAAAAGCAAAAGTTAAGGCTGCACATGATGGTTCACACCTATAATCCCAGCACTTTGGAAGGCTGAGGTAGGAGAATCACTTGAGCCCAGGAGTTCAAGACCAGCCTGGGCAACATAGCGAGACCCCATCTCTATAAAAAGAAAATAGTAAAAATGGCTGGGTACAGTGGCTCACGTCTGTAACCCTAGCACTTTGGGAGGCCGAAGCAGGTAGATTTCCTGAGCCCAGGAGTTTGAGTCCAGTCTAGGCAACATGGCAAAACCCTGTCTCTACAAAAAATACAAAATTAGCTGGATGTGGTGATGCATGCTTATAGTCCCAGCTACTTGGGAGGCTCAGCCCGGGAGGTTGAGGCTCAGTGAGACGTGATCATGCCGCTGCACTCCAGCTGCGGTGACAGAGTGAAACCCATCTCAAAAAAAAAAAAAAAAAAAAAAAAAGGAAAAATTAGCCAGGCTTGGTGGCATGTGCCTGCAGTCCCAGCTACTTGAGATCCTGAGGCTGCAGTGAGATGAGATTGCACTGCACTCCAGCCTGGGTGACAGAGGTAGACCCTGTCTCAAAAAACAGCAGTTTAAAAAAAAAAAAACCGTGGCACTGACTTAAAGTAGTCCAATAGAACAGATAGAGAGTTCAGAAGCAGACTGTCCATATAAGGAAACTTGAGTTTTGATAGAGACAGCAAGGCAGATCAGTGGGAAAAGATGGAATAGTCAGTAAACCTCTCATACAAGGATGAGAGGTTATCCTTGTATCCCAAGAGGAAAAATAAAATTGGAACCCTACATCACTCCCTACTCAAAAAATCAATTTCTGGTAGACTAAATACTGTTCTGTAAAACACAAATACATAAAACATTTAGAATACTATGTGGGAAAGTAGCTTTAAAATTCCAAAGCAAGGAGGTCTTAAATAAACACAAAAGAATATGAACCACAAAGGAAAAGATGGATACACTTGACTCCGTTAATATTAAGGACTTCTGTTTAATAAAGAAAGAACAGAATGAGGCTGGGTGAGGTGGCTCACGCCTGTAATCCCAGCACTTTGGGAGGCCGAGGTGGGCGGATCACGAGGTCAGGAGATCGAGACCATCCTGGCTAACACGGTGAAACCCCGACCCTACTAAAAATACAAAAAATTAGCTGGGCACAGTGGTGGGCACCTATAGTCCCAGCTACTCGGGAGGCTGAGGCAGGAGAATGGCGTGAACCTGGGAGGCGGAGCTTGCAGTGAGCCAAGATCATGCCACTGCACTCCAGCCTGGGCGACAGAGCAAGACTCCATATCAAAAAAGAAAAAATACAGAATGAGAAAAGATAAGCTAGGACTAGGAAAATACAGAATGGGAAAAGACAAGCTACAGAATAGGAAAATAAATTTGTACCTAGACAATCAATATGGATTATTGTGCAGAACAGACTTTATAATCCCCACCTTCAATCAGTAAGAAAAGACTAAAAACTTAATAGCAAAATACACACACACACAAAGATAGGAAGAGGTCTGTCATAGAAGAGGAAAGAGGAATGAGCAAAACACACAGGATAAGTTGTTCAACCTCATTAGTATTTTGAAAAATGCAAATCAAAATCACGAGACACCATTTCACACATACCAGATGGGCACACATTTTGAAGTTAGACAATATTCAAATGTTGACAAGGATTCTGAGCAACAGGAACTCATATTCATTGTTGGCAAGACTGCAAATTGGTGCAACTTTGGAAAATAATTTTGCATTACCTAATAAGGTTTGAACAAATACATATCCAACAACACAGTAGCTCTGCTCCTGGGATGTACTTTAGGGCAGTGGTCCCTAGACCAGCAGCATCAGTATCACGGGAACTTGTTAGAAATGCAAATTCTCCAGCAACTAGACCTACTGAGGCAGAAACTCTAGGGCTGGGGCCCAGCAACCTGGGTTTCAGTAAGCCCTTCAGGTGACTCTGATGCACATCCAAGGGTAAGAAATGTTTGCACACAGCACCAGGAGAGAAGAACAGCAATGTTCCCAACAGCACTTCTTTAGAGAAACCACAAACTGGAAACTCTGATGTCCTTCAACAGTGGAAAGGATAATTATTTTATATCAGAATAGTGAAAAGAAATGAACTACTATTATTACACTTATTGGCATGGTGAGTATCACAAACGTAAAAGTGACTGGCAGAAGCATGTCACAGAGACATATATGCAGTATAATTTCATTATCTAAAGGTCAAAAACAAGTAACTCAACAATAACCTGTTTAGGAATATGCACATACATGGTACTCTCATGAAGAAAAGCAAAGGGCTGCTTTCCACACAATTCAGGAGAGCGGGTCTGTTTATGGGGAAGGAAAGGGAACGTACTTGGGCAGCAGGGGACCAGGTTTAAAGGCAGAGGGAATACTCTATTTTTCAGCTAGGTGGGAGGTACACTGCTGTTCATTTTACTATTTTAAAAAAATAGTTTATATTTAGGCCGGGCACAGTGGCTCACCCTGTAATCCTAGCACTTTGGGAGGCTGAGGCGGGTGGATCATTTGAGGTCATGAGTTTGAGACTAGCCTGGCCAACATGGTGAAACCCTGTCTCTACTAAAAATACAAAAATTAGCCACGCATGGTGGTATGCGCCTGTAATCCCAGCTACTCAGGAGGCTGAGGCAGGAGAATCACTTGAGCCTGGGAGGCAGAGGTTGTAGTGAGCCGACATCGCACCACTGCACTCCAGCCTGGGTGACAGAGTGAGACTCTGTCTCAAAAATAAATGAATGAAATAAAATAAAAATAGTATATATTTCTATCCTAATGTGGGACTAAAAGTTTCCATCACAGAAGATGCAGGATTGCATTATCAAGTGGTCAATGCAAAGGCTGCAGCCAGTCCGCCGAGCCTGAGGCCTGAGTCTGAGGGTCCAGCTGGGAGCCCCCAGCTGGTCTGGCTTATGCAGACTGGCAGCAGCTTGCATAGTGATGGGGACAATTCTGGATCTTACGGCCGGGTTTGAAGGGATGAGTTAGGGAGGATAAGGGAGTGTGGAGTCCCACTTCTGCCTCTCCACCCCGGGCCTCAGTGGGGCCTTCTCTTTTGCCACCTGACCTCGCCGGCCCCTCCATGTCTCCTCTTCTCCCAGTAGGATAAGAGCTTTAGCCAGGGCCTGAGTGGAGGACGGAAGCCAATTTCCAATTTATGAGAACCTTTATAATAGTGCAGTTTTATTGTGTATGTCTTATGTATATCTTTATGTGTGTGGGTACACACAACAAAAAAAGGATATTTATGGTTGTGAGTGGTAATTTTTAAAAACTATTTCATTTACATGAGCATTTAGGAAAGTCATCTATCTTTATAAAAAATCCTTTTAACAAATATTTCCCTAAAATAATGACAGATGGTCAGTAAGTCATTCAGTCACATGACAGAGATTTAGCCTCTCAGTGATCAAACCCAGCACTCTGGCGGCTGCGTGTAAGGGGGTTTAGGGAAGGCCAGGCTGGAGGTGTGGCCATGGGAAGATGCCACCTGGGGCTGCTGCTCTCCAGGTACATGGATGCTACTGTTTCTGGGAGTCACAGGTAGGCGAGTGCTGCAGAAACACGATCATGTTCATCACTCGTTTCTCACAGGGCCTATTGGCCTGCAGTAGTGGAAAGGATAAATTTCCTCTATGCAGCCACAGCTGCATAGAGTATGGGAAAGAGCTGCAAGTCTTCTGGAGCTCAGGAAGGGTGCCCTCCTTTTGGGATCTACCCATCCTTCAAGATCGAATCCACAGGAGGTATTTATGCAAGGACTGGGGCTGACCCCACTAAGAAGGATTTAATGCATCCTCTCAACAAAAGACCTTCCCCAAGCACCCTTTTTCAACGACAGGAGGCTGGTCAGAGATCCTGCCATCTGGGCTGTTAGCAGATCTGTGTCTGAAACAAGCAGGTTTCTCAGGGAAACTTCAACCAGGCATTGTTTTTCACAGAAGGCTCACGTTTGACAGGAAAAGAATGGTATGTAAGTTCCAGGAGCACAGGGTTGGGTTCCAGGGTCAGGACAAGAAGCAGGGCACTCAGAAGAGCAAAAGGGACCGAACGCTGCAGCCCCGTTATGTTCCCGACCCTCAGAGGGATAGACCCTTCCCTGCTGCGGCTTTTAGCTCCCACCAGGTGGGAATGTGCTGGGCAGGGAACAAAGACTGTCTGTTCAAATTGTCCCCAAACCTAGCTCTGAGCACATTTCCTGATTTGGAGGGAGGATGGGAGGAGGTGCTTCCACTGCAGGACTTGATCTGGAAGGCTGCTTTGGACCTCCTGACTTATCCGGCCCAGGCGGCTTCAAAAACGCCAAGTTCTTACCAGGAATTACCAGCTGACTCAGTCATAGGGTTCTGGACAGCTTAGGATCCTCCAACCCTCGATTTCTTGATTTCAGCAGGAAGATAGTTCTTTTGTTACCCTTCTCTAAAAGAATGGAAAATGTAACACTGCGTTTCCATGGAGGCCTCTAAAGAAAGATCATTCTCCTTTAGAAGAGCATCCAAGAAATTATACTCAAAACAAATCTTCTTTTGGCAGGACACCATTTAATCAGCTGAAAGATATTTATACCTGTGCTTGTAATTCTATGGCTTGTCGTGGGAAGGGAGAAGAGGAAGTTAGGAATCAAATGCTCCCTCATTTTTCAGAGGAATGATTGGAAGACTCTGGGAAAACATCCTAAATTGTTAGGTTTGATATTCAGCCATCTTAAGTTCACTAGAAACAATAGTTTTCTTGTTAATAAAAATAACCATAAAAATAGAATAACAATAAGTAAGGGCAGAGATCATGTCAATTAACTGTGAGGATGTATTTGGTCCCTCCGTTAATCAGACTGATAAAACAGCCCATAGAGCAGATGCCTTAGCAGGAATTGTATACATTCTCACTGAGCACTGGAATTGGTGTTTTTTTCCTCAGCTATCCTGATTTGCTTCCTTTTGAAGATCCATGTGCTCTTCAGCCTTCCAGCAATACACCTATCAAAATGTTACCTGTTAGGTCCAAAAGCCTGGCCCATGGCTGCTCAGAATCAAGAGCGTTTGTGGGAGGTGGGAGTAGGATGCTGGATGAAAAGTTTACCCATAAAATACTCGCATGGGCTCCAAAATGATGCCCCCCAGCAGGCCTGGAAGCCAGCAACACCCAAGGACACCTGCACTTCCCAAGGTTGAGCACGCTCAGCTTGTTAAACACGAGGACACACAGAACTAAGTATAAACCCACCAGGGTTCCTTTGGGATATTTCCATGCACCAAGTATTTCTGAACAGAGTAAGCCAGCAAATGTCTCAATTCTTCCAGTGGCAAAATGAGGATATGATATCTGCCTTTTATTTGCCACAGAACACCTAAGATTCAGAACTGATTTTCAGCAAAACTACACAATGGGTGAAGCATGTATTTGAAATCCTGCCATTTCAAACTAATCATCCAATTTACCAATTGGTCAGGCCCACTCCTCAGACACCCCCACTTATGAGCCACCCCCCATTACACTTAATATGGCAGAGCCTTCATGCTAGCTAATCTAATGAATTACTTCATGCCTGCCCAGAGGAGGCCAGCTGTGACTGTCAGGATACATTGTGCCACGGATGGGCAAGCCTCTGAATCTGCTAGATGGAACATTCTTGAGGGGCAGGAGCCATGTTTTATTTACACTGCTCTTTAACCCACTTAAATGATATACAATATATGACTAATTAATTGAGCATGCACATGAGTCTATAGAGAAGTATATTTCCTATAATTCCTTTTAGCTAAGCTAGGTGGCATTTCTGTTATGAAATAGTTCAGATTTCCAAATATGTGTATGTTGGAAGGTATACAGAATGGCAATGATCACTGTGACTTAAACCAAACTTCAGAGCATGACTGTGCCTTAAAGAAAACAGGTAACCACTCTCTGGGTTTTCTCTTAACCAGTGCCTCACTTCTCTCTCTTTTTTTTTTCTTCGAGATGGAGTCTCGCTCTGTCACCCAGGCTGGAGTGCAGTGGCGTGATCTTGGCTCACTGCAAGCTCCGCCTCCCGGGTTCATGCCATTCTCCTGCCTCAGCCTCCCGAGTAGCTGGGACTACAGGTGCCCACCACCACGCCCGGCTAATTTTTTTTTTTTTTTTTTTTGTATTTTTAGTAGAGATGGGGTTTCACCGTGTTAGCCAGGATGGTCTCGATCTCCTGACCTTGTGATCCGCCCACCTCGGCCTCCCAAAGTGCTGGGATTACAGGCGTGAACCACTGCGCCCAGGCTCTTTTTTTTTTTTTTTTAATTAAAGAGACAGGGTCTCACTCTGTTGCCCAGGCTGAAGTGCACTGAAGTGATCACAGCTCACCGTAACCTCTAAGTCTTGGCCTCAAGAGGTCCTCCCACTTCAGCTTCCTGAGTAGGTGGGACTACAGGTGTGCACTGCCACACCCAGCTAATGTTTAAAATTTTTTTGTAGACAAGGAGTCTTGCTATGTTGCCCAGGTTGGTCTTGAACTCCTGGCCTCAAGCAATCCTCCCACCTCTGCCTCCCAAAGTGTTGGGATTACAGGTGTGAGCCACTACAAGCAGGCTGCCTTGCTTCTCTTCGTAGTTTCACCACATAGGAATGTATTCCCAAACAATACGCTATCAAGTTGAGGTTTTTTTGTTTTTGTTTTTTTTGAGACAGAGATTTCACTCTGTTGACCAGGCTGGAGTGCAATGGCATGATCTCGGCTCGCTGCAGCCTTGATCTGCCAGGCTCGAGTCATCCTCCTACCTCACTCAGCCTCCAAACAGCTGGGACTACAGGTGCACACCACCATGCCCAGCTAATTTTTAAATTTTTTGTAGAGATAGTATTTCGCCTTGTTGGCCAGGCTGGTCTCAAACTCCTGGCCTCAAGCTGTCTGCCCGCCTCGGCCTCCCAAAGTGTTGGGATTACAGGCATGAGCTACTGCGCCTGACCTGCTATCCAGTTTAGCTTCTTTTTGACCTTCTTGTAAGTGAAATCACAGTGTATGTATTGGTCCTGATTTGTGTTGTACTTTGTATATGTGACATCACCATGTTGATACACATAACTTCATTAATTTTCATAGCTATATAGTATTTTATTATGTGAATATATCCAATTTATCCATTCTTCTGTTATGAACACTTGGGTTCGTAACAGACTTTTTCCTGTTACAAACAGTGCTCTCTAAGCAACCCGGGGAGTGTCGCCTCCATCACATGCAGTTTCTCTAGTGTGTACATTCAGTGAAGGATCTGCACCTTTGACTTCATTTGATAATGTCCAGTTGTTTCCCAAAGTGGCTGAACTAATTTACAGTCCAACTAGTTCTGGATGAGGGTTCGTTTTAGTCTATATCCTTACAGGCTCTTGGGTGTTGTTGACAAAGACAATATTTTTTTTCTTTTACCAAAAATTTGATGATTGTAAAATAGTATCATTTTATGGTTTGGTTTTGTTTTGGAGACGGAACCTCACTCTGTTGCCCACCTGGAGTGCAGTGGCGAGATCTCGGCTCACTGCAACCCCTGCCTCCCTAGTTCAAGCAATTCTCCTGCCTCAGCCTCCCCAGTAGCTGGGACTACAGACGCGTGCCACACCACCTGGCTAATTTTTTATATTTTTAGTAGAGATGGGGTTTCACTATGGTGGCCAGGCTGGTCTCAAACTCCTGAGCTCAGGCAGTCTGCCTGCGTCAGCCTCCTAAAGTGCTGGGATTACAGGTATGAGCCACTGTGCCCGGCCTCTTATTATGGCTTTAATCTGCATTTCCTGAGGCTTACCATACTGTACTAAATTTGAAAAATTAAAAACCTTAAAAAATTCAGAAGTCCTCTTTGTCTTGCTCAATCAGCTCTATTAAAAACTTCCTGCAAGCAGCAGGAATTCTACTGCATGGATGTTCACAGCACGAATCCCCACAAACAGGGCAGAACTTCTCAGGGTTGTAAAATGAAGCTGAAGCTGCTGCCAGCACTGCTCTTATCACAAGTGGCAGGCCCTATGCTGGACTGAGAATGAAAGCGTTGCTGCTTCCAGAACAGAAGACGAGCACAACATGGCTGTGCACGCTTCCATCCCTGCTGGAAACTTACGGCCTAGAAGACATAACCACTCACCCACATGTTGATGGTTAGTCTTAGGAGGGATGGAGGGATTCCCTGTGGAGGCTTCTGTTTTAACAGCGACTTCCCAGCCTTCTACAGATTGAAGCCTGCCTTGCATGGGAACTGTCTCACCTAATCCAGTACGAATTTTGAAAAAGGAAGGAACAGAATGCCCTTCAGTAAACCCGGCCGGGCACAGTGGCTCATGCCTGTAAGCCCAGCACTTTGGGAGGCCGAGGCAGGCGGATCACCTGAGGTCAGGAGTTCGAGACCAGCCTGGCCAACATGGTGGAACCTCGTCTCTACTAAATATACAAAAAAATTAGCTGGGCATGGTGGCGGGTGCTTGTAATCCCAGCTACTAGGGAGGCTGGGGCAGGAGAATTGCTTGAACCTAGGAGGCGGAGGTTGCAGTGAACCAAGATCATGCCACTGCACTCCAGCCTGCAGGACACAGAAAGACTCCATCTCCCACCCCACACACATACACAACAACAAAAAAAAAAGAAAAAAGAAAAGAGAACCAAATCAAACCTTACCTCACACATCCCCTGTTTTGGAAGTGGGTGTTTACAGCCACGCTGCCAGTACAACAGCCACTGCCACATGTGGCTACTGAGACTGAGGAACTGAATTTTTAATTTTGTTAAATTTTAATTAATTTAGAAACTAAAGCAGAATAAAATATTTTTCTGCTAAGCACAACATTATTGTTTTGGTAGTGCTACATTTCACTTTAGCCATTGAAAATTTAGCATCTTTGATTGAGATGTTCTCTAGGTATACAATATATATTTTGAAATATTTAGTATGAAAATCACCAATTTTTATATTGTTACATGTTAAAATAATCATATTTTGGATACACTAGTTTAAGTAAAATATATTGTTAAAATATTTATCTGTTCCTTTTCACTTTTTAAAGCAGCCACTAAAAAATTTAAAACTACATATGTGGATGACATCAGGCAAGATGGTAGCGTGGGAAATATAGGACTCTGTCTCCCTATCTAGATAATTACACTGGCAGAATCTGTTTGATGTAACTATTCTGGAACTCTGGAGTCTATTCAAAGGCTTGCAGCTGCCAAAGGAAGGCTTAGACAGTAAATTGCAATTAATTTTGGTCAATTTCAGCTCTTTGCACGGTAGTGGCTAACCATCCCCTTTTCCCAGCTCCATGGCAGTCAGTCATGCACGTGTACTTGGTGCAGCTTGCACACAGCTTGTGGAATTTAGAGAAGGGAATTAGGACCTTGTCTTCCAGATATCAGGGATCTATGTTCTGAATGCTGCTTCTGATCATAGAGGTGCAGACACAGAGGCAGACTCCACTGTTGCAACCTCACCATCTGAAGTAGGTTTCAGAATATTTAAAGATCCAGAGCCTGTTACCTCCCGCCCCCTTTGTTATTCCCTCTTTTCCCTTTTGGAAGCCACATCTGAATAATGGAACATCAAAAAGCAGCTGCATATATAGGGAATTCAGAAAGTCACTACATATGTCCAGGGAAAGATTTAGACTCAGAAAATACCCAAGAAGAGCTTAAATTTACATCTTGGGTGAATGCCTGGCACAAAGTCACCCGACTACAGTAAGAACAGCAACAACAGGCTGGGTGCAGTGGCTCACGCCTGTAATCCCAACACTTTGGGGGGCCAAGGTGGGTGGGTCATGAGGTCAGGAGTTAGAGACCAGCCTGGCCAATATGGTGAAACCCTGTCTCTACTAAAAATACAAAAAAATTAGCCAGGCATGGTGGTGCACACCTGTAGTCCCAGCTACTCAAGAGGCTGAGGCAGAAGAATCGCTTGAACCAACCCAGGAGGTGGAGGTTGCAGTGAGCTGAGATCGCGCCACTGCACTCCAGCCTGGTCAACAGAGCGAGACTCTGTCTCAAAAACAGAAAACAAAAACCAAAAAAACAAAACAAAAAAACCAAAAAACAACAGCAGTAACAACCACAAACCCAGTAAACCACAAACCTTGGGGAAGAGGAGAATCTGATTTCCAGAACTGCCAAAATATAAAATTCAAATGTCCAGTTTTCAACAAAAAATTACAAGGCATACAAACAAACAGGAAAGTATAGCTAATTCAAAAGAAAAAATTAAATCACCAGACATAGTCTCTGAGAAAGACCAAACAGTAGAAAACTTTTTCCTAGACAAAGACTTTAGGACAACTGTCTTAAAGATGTTCAAAGAGCTAAAGGAAGAGGTGGACAAAGTCAAGAAAATGATGTATGAACAATATGGAATTATCAATAAAGAAACAGAAAACATAAAAAGGAACAAAAAAATGTTGAGTCAGGCGTGGTGGCTCATGCCTGTAATCCCAGCACTTTGGGAGGCTGAGGTGGGCAGATCACCTGAGGTTAGGAGTTTGAGACCAACCTGGCCAACATGGTGAAACCCTGTCTCCACTAAAAATATAAAAATTATCTGGGTGTGCATATTCTCACTCATAGGTGGGAATTGAACAATGAGATCACATGGACACAGGAAGGGGAATATCACACTCTGGGGACTGTGGTGGGGTGGGGGGAGGGGGGAGGGATAGCATTGGGAGATATACCTAATGCTAGATGACGAGTTAGTGGGTGCAGCGCATCAGCATGGCACATGTATACATATGTAACTAACCTGCACAATGTGCACATGTACCCTAAAACTTAAAGTATAATAAAAATAAATAAATAAATAAATAAATACTTTAAAAAAAATTATCTGGGTGTGGTGGTGCGGCCCTGTAGTCCCAGCTACCTGGGAGGCTGAGGCCCAAGAATTGCTTGAACCTGGGAGGTGGCGGTTGCAGTGACCTAAGATTGAGCCACTGCATTCCAGCCTGGGCATAGAGTGAGACTCTCTCAAAAAAACAAAAATTTTATTTTGGAGCTGAGAAGTACAATAACTGAAATGAAAAATTCATTAGAGGGATTCAAAAGCATATTTGAGCAGGCAGAAGAGAAAATCAGTGAATGTGAAGAAAGTACAATTGAAATTATCACCTGAGGAACAAGAAAGAAAAAATATTAAAGAAAAGTGAACAGAGCCTGTGGGATCTGTAAGACACCATAAAGCTGACAAACATATGCAGTATGGGAGTTACAGAAGAAGAAGAGAGAGACAAGTAGCAGAGACATTATTTGAAAAAATAATGGCAAAAAAAAAAATCCCAAATTTAATGCAATTTAGTGTTTATATTCTTGGATGAATATAAACGCAAAGAAACCCACATTGAGACACATTCTAATAAACTGTCAAACACCAAACACAGAGGGAATCTTAAAATCAGCAAAACAGAAGTCATTCATCACATCAAAGGGTGCTCAAAAAAATTATCAGCATATTTCTTATCAGAAGTCTTGGAGGCCAGAAGGCAGTAGGCTGATATATTCAAAGTGCTGCAAGAAATAAAATGGCTAACCAAGAATCCTATATCTGGCAAAACTGTCCATCAAAAATGAGGGAGTGATTAAAATACTTTAAAATAAATAAAAGCTGAGAGAGCTTATTACCACTAGACTAACTCTGCAAGAAATGCTAAAGGGAGTCCTATAAGTTGAAATGAAAGGATGAGACAGTAGATCAAAACCATATGAAGAAATATCTCCAGCAAAGATAAATACTTGGGAAATTATAAAAGCTAGTATTATTGTAACCTTGGTTTGTAACTCCAGTTTTTGTTTTCACATGACTTAAGAGACTAATGCATTAAAAAAACAATTATTAGTCTATGTTTTTGCACACACACTACATAAAAATAGAATCTTGTAGCATTAATAACTTAAAGGGGTTGAGATGAAGCTGTATAGAAGTAGAGTTTCTTTATTTTATTTATTTATTTATTTTTGAGACAGAGTCTCACTCTGTCACCCAGGCTGGAGTGCAGTGGCACATCTTGGCTCACTGCGACCTCTGCCTCTCAGGTTCAAGCGATTCTCATGCCTCAGCCTCCCGAGTAGCTGGGATTACAGGCGTGCACGACAACATCTAGCTCATTTTTGTATTTTTAGTAGAGACGGGGTTTCGCCATGTTGGCCAGGCTGGTCTTGAACTCCTGACTTCAGGTGATCCACCTACCTTGGCCTCCCAAAGTGCTGGGATTACGGGTGTGAGCCACCATGCCTGGACTAGAAGTAGAGTTTCTGTATGCTACTGAAGTTAAACTAGTATAAATCCTTCTCAAATTCTTCTAAGAACTGAAGAGGAGGAAACATTTTTTTTTCTTTTTTTATTTTTTTGAGACAGAGTCTCGCTCTGTTGTCCAGGCTGGAGTGCAGTGGTGCAATCTCAGCTCACTGCAATCTCTGCCTCCCAGGTTCAAGCGATTCTCCTGCCTCGCCTCCTGAGTAGTTGGGATTATAAGTGCGCACTACCACACCCGGCTAATTTTTTTATTTTTAGTAGAGATGAGGTTTCACCATGTTGACCAGGCTGGTCAAGGAAACAATTTTTAACTCATTCTATGAAGCCAGCATTGCCCTAATACTAAAGCCAGACAAGGACACCACAAGAGAAGAAAAATACAAACCAGTATCCCTTATGAACATGGATGCAAAAATGCTCAACAAAATACCAGCACACTGAATTCAGCAGCATATTAAAGGATTATGCACTATGACAAAGTTGTATTTATTCCTGGAATACAAGCATGATTCAACATATAAAAATGGATCATTGTAATACACCACATTAAAAGAATAAAGGACAGAAACCACATGATCATCTCATTTGCTGCAGAAAAAGAATCTGACAAAAAATTCAACACTCTTTTACAATAAGAACAATCAACAAACTAGGAATGGAAACTACCTCAACATAATAAAGGCAATATATTAAAAAAACATAATTAACATCATATTTAATGATTACAGACTAAAAGCCTTTCTTCTAAGATCAGGAACAAGACATGCCTGCTTTCACCATTTCCATTCAACACTAACAGAAGTTCTAGCCAGAGCAATTAGGCAAGAAAAAAAAAGAAAAGGCACTGAAATTGGAAAGGATGAAGTAAAATTATCTGTTTGCAGAGAACATGATCTTAATATAGAAACCCCTAGAGATTCCACATTTTAAAAACTCTGTAAAAACTAATAAATGAATTTAGCAAAGATGCAGGATATAAAACATGCAAAAATAAGTTTCATTTCTATACACTGAAAATGAACCAATTGAAAAGGAAATTTAAAAAACAATTCTATTTATACTAGCATCAAAAAGAATAAAATATGTAGGAATTAACCATGAAAGGGAAAGACCTATAAACTAAAATCTACAAACATTGCTGAAAGAAATTATAGACGATATAAATAAATAAATGAAAACACATTCCATGTTCATGGATTGGAATAGTTAATATAGTAAATGTGTCAATACTACTCATAGTGATCTACAGATTCAATGCAATATTTATTGATATGTTTTGGATATTTGTCCCCTCCAAATCTCATGTTGAAATGTGATCCCAATGTTGGAGGTGTGGCGTGGAGGGAAGTATTTGGCTCATGAGGGCAGATCCCTCATGACTTGGTGCTGTCCTTGTGATAATGAGTTCCTGTGAGATCTGGCGGTTTAAAAGTATGTGGTACCTCCTCCTGCTCTCACCATATGAAACACTGGCTCTTCCTTTGCCTTCTGCCATGAGTGTAAGGTTCCTGAAGCCCTCACCAGAAGGGGATGCTGGAGCCGTGCTGGTACAGTCTGCAGAACTGTGATCCAATTAAACATATTTTCTTCATAAATTACCCAGCCTTGGGTCTTTTTTTTTCTTTCTTTTTTTTTTTTGAGATGGAGTTTTGCTCTTGTTGCCCAGGCTGGAGTGCAATGGCATGTTCTTTGCTCACCGCAACCTCTGCCTCCTGGGTTCAAGCAATTCTTCTGCCTCAGCCTCCCGAGTAGCTGGGATTACAGGCATGCGCCACCATGCCTGGCTAATTTTGTATTTTTAGTAGAGACAGGGTTTCTCTAAGTTGGTCGGGCTGGTCTTGAACTCCTGACCTCAGGTGATCCACCTGCCTCGGCCTCCCAAAGTGCTGGGATTACAGGCGTGAGTCACCACACCCAGGCCGGGTATTTCTTTATAGTGACACAAGAATGGCCTAACACACCTATCAAAATCTTACTGATATGTCTGTAGAAATAGAAAAGTCCATCCTAAAATTTATATGGAATCTCAAGGGACCCCAAATAGCCAAAACAATCTTGTAAAGAAATCAGAGGTCTCACATTTCCTGATCTCAAAATTTACTACAGAGTTACAGTAATCAAAACAGTGTGGTACTGGCATAAAGGCAGACATATAGACCAATGGAATAAAGTACAGAGCCCAGAAATAGATCCACACTTACATGGTCAAATGATTTCCAACAAGGGTGCCAAGATCATTCAATGGGGAAAGGACAGTCTTTTCAACAAATGGTGCTGGGGAAACTGCACATCTACATGTAAAAGAATGAAGTTGGACCTTAGCTAATACTAAATACAAAAATTAACATGAAATAGATCAAAGACTTAAATGTAGGAACTAAAACTATAAAACTCTTAGAAGAAAACACAGGGGAAAGGCTTCAAGGCATTGGACTTGGCAATGACTTCCTAGATCTGACATCAAAGGCACAGGCAACAAAAGAAATAACAGACAAATTGGGCTTCATAAAAAATTTAAAACTTTTGTGTAAAGTTCATTCAACTGAGTAAAACGACGATTCACAGAATAAGAGAGAAGATTTGCAAATCACATATCTGGTAAGTAATTAATGTCCAGAAGATACAAATAACTCCTAAAGCTCAACAATAAAAGCAAATAATTCAATTCAAAAATGGGCATAGGACTTGAATAGATATTTCTCCAACAGTAATATACAAATGGCCAATAAGCATATGAAAAGATGCTCAACATCACTAATCATTAGGGAAAAGCAAATCAAGGCCACAATGAGATACTATTTCAAACCCATTAGGATGGCTACTATAAAACAAAACAAAATGAAAAGTGATGGTGAGGATGTGGAGAAATTGGAACCCTTGTGCATTGCTGGTGGGAATGTAAAATGTTGCAGCTGTAGAAAACAATGTAGCATTTCCTCAAAATATTAAACTAGAATTATTTGTTCCAGCAATTCCACTTTTGAGTACATACCCCAAAGAATTGAAAACGGAGTTTCAAACAGACATGTGCATACTCATATTCATAGCAGCATTATTCACAACAACTGAAAGGTGGACATAACCCCAATGTCCACGGATGGATGAATGAATAAAAAAAATAGTAGATAACAATGAAATATTATTTGGCCTAAAATAGGAAGGAGATTCTGACACATGCTTCAACATGGATAAACCCTGAGGATATAATGATAAGTGAAATAGGCCAGACACAAAAGGACAAATATTGTATGATTGCACTTATATGAAGTGCCTAGATTATTAGTCAAATACATACTGACAGAAAGTAGAATGGTGGTGTTTTACACTATTCTTGCATTGCTATAAAGAAATACCTGAGACTGGGTAATTTATAAAGAAAAGAAGTTTATGGCTGGGTGTGGTGGCTCACACCTGTAATCCCAGCACTTTGGGAGGCTGAGGTCAGAAGTAAAAGACCAGCCTGGCCAACATGGCTAAACCCCGTCTCTACTAAAAGTACAAAAATTAGCCAGGCATGGTGGCAGGTGCCTGTAATCCCAGCTACTCAGGAGGCTGAGGCAGGAGAATCACTTGAACCCGGGAGGCGGAGGCTGCAGTGAGCGAGATTGCACCACTGCACTCCAGCCTGAGTGACAAGAGCGAGACTCCGTCTCAAAAAAAAAAAAAAAAAAAAAAAGAGGTGTATTTGGCTCATGGTTCTGCAGTCTTTACAGGAAGCATGGTGCTGGCATCTGCTCAGCTTCTAGGGAGGCCTCAGGAAGCTTACAATCATGGCAGAAGTTGATGGGGGATCAGGCACGTCACACGGTGAAAGGAGGAGCAAGAGAGAGAGAGAGAGTGGCGAGGGAGGTGCCCCACACATTTAAACAACCAGATCTGATAAGAACTCACTATCATGAAGACAGCACCAAGCGATGAGGGATCCGCCCCCATGATCCAAACACCTCCCACCAGGCCCCCACCTCCAGATTGAGGATTACAATTCAACATGAGATTTGGGTGGGGGCAAATAGCCAAACTATATTAGGTGGTTACCAAGAACTGGGGAAAGAGTTAGTGAGTGCAGAGTTTCAGTATGGGATAATAAAAAGTGCTAGAGATGCATGGTGATTGATGATGGTTACACAATAATGTGAATGTACTTAATACCAATTTAAGTACATTTAAAAACAATTAAAATGATAAATTTTACCACAAAAATTACATATATGGCTTGTATTATATTTCTGTTGGATTGTACTGGTCTAGAAACACAACGTGTTTTATAGTTAATTGTGATTAGTGGTCATAATTCACAAATACTTTAAAAAAAAAAAAAAAAGCAAAAACACCCTTGGCAGGATTTATTTGAACAAAATCAGGTGCCTGACCTCTACTTAACTACTAATATGAAACCACACTGGCATATGGCACACTAAGGAAGGGAGTCATTTTTACTTACAAGCTGCAGCAGGCACAAGGAACCAAATGGGCCACAGAGATGCACATTAGGCTGGAGAAAGGGCAGGCATTGATGTCAGGGTGGCAGATGGTTTCTAAGGCCCATGGGGAGTTCAAGAACTAGTGGACACATGTCCAGGGTCCAGGGTTAGGGTAGTATTTGAGCAATGGTATTTCAATAGGGACTGATTTTGTCATCGTGCTATATGCACAAGATGGCATACAGTGATGCAACATGAAATACCTCTTCCTCAAACCTCAAGTTTTGCTAAAAGAAGAAATTTTTGGCCTCTCTCTACCCTCACTCCCTCCTCCCTAAAGGAAGCAGAGTGACTTATCCCATTGGCAAATTTAGGAGAAGTCATGGAGGATGAAAACGCCTGCCCCCTTTCTCTCTGATCAGCCTGTCTACAGAACAGACTGCTTTTATGTGCTGAGGACAGAAGCCCTCAAGTTTGGCCTGGGGATCCTTCTCTCATTGTCCCCAAGATGAAGTCAAGTGACTGCAGGCCTGGGTTTTGGGGTAAGTTTGCTTGCCCTCCAGGATAGATTAACTCTTACTTTCCTGCAGGGGGCCACCCCAGGGCCCCAGTTGAACACAGAGGCCCTAAGTATTAGAGAGCTTGACTGGTGCTGCAGATCCATGCATGACTTAGAATTCTCTTTTATTAACCTCAAAACTGACATTGTCAATTCCATCTGTCTGATTTCTGCATCTCATTTCTCAACTGGTTCCCAGTTTGATGTGGGGAGAGAGGCATTAGAAATTATCCTTCCTAAACCTCCTAAGAGCAGTTTTCAAAACAGTAAGAACAAAAACAGCATAGCAATATTTCATGTATGGCTTTAAAAAATACCCATTTGATGAAAGCCAAGACATAAATTAAGTCACAGTTCTGTAAGAAAGTATTATGTAGAAGGCAGGTAAAACATTTCTGCAGGATCGCAAAGGCTCTAAGCTGAAGCACAGCAATCTGGGTTACACCAAGAAGACTGGGCTGTGTCTGTGGCATCTGTGTGTAAATGATGCATGCCAAGCACTTGCTAGATTCAGGTAGCACAAGAGTGCTTTCTTTAACTCAATTTGGAGGCTAAAAGTTGAAATGATGTTGGGCTTTTTTTTTTTTTTTTTTTTTGAGATGGAGTTTCACTCTTGTTGCCCAGGCTGGAGTGCAATGGTGCAATCTCGGCTCACCACAACCTCTGCCTCCCAGGTTCAAGTGATTCTCCTGGCTCAGCCTCCCGAGTAGCTGGGATTACAGGCATCCACCACCATGCCCGGCTAATTTTTTGTATTTTTAGTAGAGACAGGGTTTCACCAGGTTGACCAGGCTGGTCTTGAATCCCTGACCTCAGGTAATCCACCCGCCTCGGCCTCCCAAAGTGCTGGGATGGGTTCTTTCTTTCTTTTCTTTTCTTTTCTTTTTTTTTTTGAGGCAGAGTCTTGCTCTGTCGCCCAGGCTGGAGTGCAGTGGTGCAATCGCGGCTCACTGCAAGCTCCACCTCCTGGGTTCATGCCATTCTCCTGCCTCAGCCTCCTGAGTAGCTGGGACTACAGGAACCCGCCACCACGCCCGGCTAATTATTTTTTCGTATTTTTAGTAGAGACGGGGTTTCACCATGTTAGCCAGGATGGTCTCGATCTCCTGACCTCATGATCCACCCACCTTGGCCCCCCAAAGTTCTGGGATTACAGGCATGAGCCACCACACCCAGCCTGGATGGGCTCTTTCTTAAACAGACTTTAGCTTCATATAGTTTAGGTGTTTGGCGGCTCTCCAATCTAATGATGACATCTAGTTGCAGGGAAGGCAGATGTGTTAGAGCAGAGAGACCATGAAATATAAACACTTTAGCAAATATGGAATAATTAACAATATTTTTAAGGTGTACCAGAGGCCAGTTTCCAGAAAATAGCTAGAAGCTACTGCTGGAAAGACCCTAGTCAATGATTTGAGGGAGGTAAGAGAGAAACTGCTAGGGCAGAGAGGCAGGTAGTTGGAACACAGAATGTATTTTAATAACAGTGACATTTCTCAATGGTAATTATGAACACAACCAGGGTGGCAAAAACACCCTTAACGATATAAAGCAACTGACAAACTTGAGATGGGATAAACCCTTTCTGGTAGTTGGATATTCAGATAGATTAGTGCAGTGACTAGGAGCCCACAATTTTCCAGTTCAAAAGAACAAATGGTGGAATGAGAGACAGGCTAATAATATGCAACAGAAAATGAGACATTATTTTTATAATTTATTTTTGATGTTTGATATCCATGATTCTGTATCCTATGAGTAAACACAACCTATTTACTGTAAAGAGCTCAAGAGCATTGACTTTTTTGTCTGTCATATAATTTAAAATGCCTCATACTTTTATTTCTAAAGAAACTACATTTTAAATGTTTCACTCAAGAATCTGAAGAAGGGATTTGGTTTATTAGCAAGATGTATGGGCATAAAATCCTTTTCCCATCCAGTTAAGAAAATGTAGAGGGTATTCACTTGTCACAGGAAAATCTCCCCAAGAAATGTACGTTGGGCTGTAATTAACGCCAAGAGTGGGCGTCTTTAAAAATTCCATATGAATTATTCCTCCTGGCTCTGGGGCTACTAAAAGCAACTTTACTAGTCATCAGAATGTGTCTGGGATCAATGTCACCCAGTGACGGGAACAGGAAGGCAGGCCAGCCTGATGCTGGCTGTGCAAGGTTTGAGTGTGTGAGCCCACCATGCTCCGGAAGTCCTCCCCACCCTACCCCTACCCACAGGCATATTTTCATATGGTTCCCTATCGTAAGCGAGTTCCTTCGTCACCTACCACTTCCCAGCTCTGTTCCCTGGACCCAGAGCCTTTTTTCTTTTTTGAGATGGGGCCTTGCTGTGTTACCCAGGCTGGTCATGAACCCCTGGGCTTAAGTGACCCTCCTACCTCAGCCTCCTGTGTAGCTAGGACTACAAGCAAGTGCCATCATACCTGGCCAGAGCCCTTTTTTGTTGTTGTTTTCTTAGCCTAAACTGTATCTTGCAGCTTCTCTGAGTCTTTTCAGAGCCAGGCCTATCCTTTTACACTCATTGTACCCACCTGTGTTTTCACTCCATCTCCATCTCCTGAGTGGCAGCAGCTGTCTTCTTCCTGGGGCATCTGCACTTCCTTCTGCACTCAGGATCTGCCACTTGCTCTGACACTTTCTGTGTCCCTCTGTCATAACCTCCCATTTGCAATACATAGTGGGGAGCTTCTGTTTCAGATTGTGAGGAGGAAAGAACAGTCCTCAAGATGCCCTTTCGGTCTCGGTTATTAGATCAATCTCTATCTTTATTTTCTGTCTCAGAACCCTTCATCTCAATGTGCCCCACAAGTAATGCAGACCAAATTAGGGGAAGGCAGGACACAAAGCTCTGAGACATGTCAGGAAGGGATGGGGACGGGCCAGTCAGTGTCCTGTACAGCAAATGCTCAATGCTCCTTACGGCATTTTTAATTAGTCAGAATTCTGAAACCTGGTATAGACTGAGCCTATCTTCATGGATTGTTTCACCTCAAACCATCACACAGTTCTTACATCTGAGAACTTTCTCCTTAGAATTATCACCTTAGTGTGATCTGAAGAGCAAGTTCCCCTCAAATTTGACCTACTTAGACCTCGCTTGCAAAACCCCATGCTGGAGGAAAGGCAGCGTGCCTGCTTCTTGGCTCTCAACCGTGACAAATCCTAGGTTACCTTGGAAATGAGGCAGAAAACTGCAAAGAGCACCTGACCAACTAAGCAGAAAGGAGGCCAAAGAAAGCCCAACTTCATTTATAAAATAACCAACATGACTTGATCTCATACAATGAAATAGAAACTGAGGAACAACTGTGGTTGTATAATCTTTGATTGTATAATCTTTCTAAAAACAAGTCCTTTATGTTGTAAAACACTAGCTATTAATTAACGTGGGAAAATGCTCAAACTAAAGAGGTATATGTCCTAATAGTATTTACAAACAGCTCCCTTTTGGGAATGTAATTCTTCCTCGGTCCTGTATTTTGTATAGTTCTGACTCTTTGCCCTCATGATTCTGACATATTGCAGGACTAGGCCCTGGGTTTGTTTCATCGTCACTCTTATTTTATGTCAATTACATTTTAATGTTATTATTGTATATTTAAATGCATATAACCATCTGATTATGCCTTATTATAAAGTGTTTTGTCATCATCACTCTTTTTAAAATAAGTACCAGAAACATACCTTTAATAACACAGGGTTTTAAAAACAGAAAATGAGAACCAGAAGACAAAGTGTATTTTGATAGTACGCTTAGTTTTTTTTTTTGTTTGTTTGTTTGTTTGAGACGGAGTCTCGCTCTGTCGCCCAGGCTGGAGTTCAATGGCGTGATCTCGGCTCACTGCAACCTCTGCTTCCCGGGTTCAAGCAATTCTCCTGCCTCAGCCTCCCGAGTATCTGAGATTACACGTGCACAACACCATGCCCGGCTAATTTTTTGTATTTTTAGTAGAGATGGGGTTTCACCGTATTAGCCAGGATGGTCTCGATCTATCTCCTGACCTCATGATCCACCCGCTTTGGCCTCCCAAAGTGCTGGGATTACATGCGTGAGCCACCGCGCCCAGCCAACAGTAAGCCTAGTTTTATTCATTTTTTAAAAAAAGATCTAAAAAATCAAGCTTAAGTGGCATTTTACATTTTATGTTTTCAGTTATTTAATAGTTTTAACAATTACTTTACACAGAACCCCCAAATTGTCCACAAACACCATAGGTACCTCATTTTGAAAAGGATATTTTTGATAAAGATGACTAGCTAAGAAATAAAGCAAGAAAAGCAACACCCAAAATGTGTGCCCCTAGCTCATTCTGGAGGTATTTAGTGGACAGTCTCTCTTGAATCCTAAGCAGGCTGGTCATGCTTGGCCCAGAATTCCCAAATAATGATTTGCGTCTGAAATTTCCCATAAGGTTTTGCAATGTTCCACTCATACCTATGACAGTCCAGAACAATACTAATCCAGAAGCATTTTTAGGTAATTGAGAGTACATTTTTTAAACACAATCTATGCACAATACAGTGATTAGGCATATTAGGGGTAAAGAGCTTTACAAAACATTGCTGAAACATAATTGCGAGTCTGAATCAAATCAAAAAGACCACAGAAATATTCAGTATTGTATCTTAGTTTCTGTTAAGTACTTTCAAAATGTATTTAATACTAAAAGTAATTAGTAGAAGAGAATTTGAATTCTTGATTTTTGTTCTGAAAATTTTTACTCTCGATATATTAAACAAACATGGAAAACTTCTGTATTAAAGTCTTCCACATGTAAACCATTTGTCATTCATTCATATATTTTTCTACTTTACTTCTTTACCAAAAATCGTGTGATGTCTGATCCATGCTTTGATGCTAGAGATTGTCTTCTCACCTGGCTTCTTTCCTTAGCTTGTCTGGCAGTTCTCTAAAAGTTAAAAAATATGCATGTGTACACGTTAGGAAAAAAGCACCGGCTACAAAAGCTCAAAAACTCTTTATATTGTTAGTTTGGAAAATCTACAGTCACTACACCCATTTTCCAGTGGTTGGCTATGGAAGAGTTACCAAACCACAAGGCAGAGTATCTCAGCAGCTCTGAGATCCTGAGGTCCTAGGTTCATAGGACCAACATAGCAGGAGAAAACATACAACTTGGGGGATGTCTTGCTACCCAGCAACAGCATGAATTCCTCATTTGGAGACTAGGAAGGCCCTGATTCTCCCATCCAAGTGGGAGGTTTTTTTTTTTTTTTTTTTTGAGATGGAGTTTTGTTCTTTTGCCGAGGCTGAAGTGAAGTGATGTGATCTCGGCTCACTGCAACCTCCGCCCCACAGGTTCAAGCAATTCTCCAGCCTCAGCCTCCAGAGTAGCTGGAATTATAGGCACCTGCCACCACACCCAGCTAATTTTTGTATTTTTAGTGGAGACGGGGTTTTGCCATGTTGGCCAGGCTGGTCTCGAACTCCTGACCTCAAGTGATCCATCCACCTCAGCCTCCCCAAGTGGGAGTTCTTAAGGCAACTTGGGATTACCCAGCGAAGAAAATCTACCCACTTCCTATTCTCTGATCCCAGAGGCCATTTCCAACTCAACAGATGAGCTGGTGCAGAAAATAAAATGACATAGACCAGAACTGGATTCTTCTGCTAATCCCACAAATAACATTTTTCATGAGAATCTAAAAAAATAATTACAGAAAGGGCTGCATTTTCTTTGGCTATTTCTTAATTCTCTTATAGGTCTTGAATTTGCTAATAACTTGCACATCTGAGAAATCAGATGACTTTTTTTTCCCAATTGAAGTCCATGTGAGGTGTTCCAGGCGGAAACAGTAAGGACAGAAGAGAAGCTTACGGTGGAGGGCGGTGGCTCACACCTGTAATCCCAACGCTTTGAAAGGCCAAGGCAGGTAGATCACCTGAGGTCAGGAGTTTGAGAGCAGCCTGGACAACATGGTGAAACCCCGTCTCTACTAAAAATACAAAAATCAGCCAGGTGTGGTGGCGGGTGCCTGTAATCCTAGCTACTCAGGAGGCTGAGGTAGGAGAATCAGCTTGAACCCGGGAGGCAGAGGTTGCAGTGAGCCGAGATCATGCTGAGATCACACCATCACACTCCAGCCTGGGTGACAGAGCAAGACTCTGTCTCAAAAAAAAAAAAAAAAAGTAGTAAAGAGTTCATACTTTATAAACATTGGCAAAGGATCTGAAATAGTACTCAAAAGTTTAAATATAACTGATTAGCATCTTTTAAAAACATCGATGTCTTTAGCAAACAAAACAATTGCAGGCCATTCTCCCTGCACCACATTGGCACCCACTGACCATACCCAGTGGCAGTTAAATGGGCTTCTGGGGCCATAAATGAGTAAAATTCTTTGGAAAACAGTTTGGTGATAAATTCCTACATTGTCAAAAATATCCAAATACTTGTGACTCCGTGATTTTTACACATGAGAATCTACCTTAAGGAATGACCTCAAAATGTAGAAAACAGGTTTGTTTACAAAAAATGTGCTTGGTGGCATGATATATAAAAGCAAAAAAATTTAGATAAATATTAATCAGTATGGGAATGGTTAAGTAAACTACAGTAGAGATCTGCTCAATAGAATACTGTATTATGCAGTCATTTTAGATGATATAAGTTATGAATGGTTAGAGTACATGAGAAATGCTTAGATCTTGCTGTAAGTGAAAAAAAGTTGAATACAAAGTTGCATATTGAATATTTCTATGATGATCTCAGCAGGTAAATCCCACTACCTTTTACTGGACTGCCTGTAAAAAATTCATCCTGGTAGATAAACAATAGTATGTGTTTTTTCCTCTCATTCTAAGCAACAGGTAACTAACTACCCAAAGATGGGGCAGAGTTAATTGGTTTCATACTTTGGCCAGCAATGAAACCTTTGCATGTTGAACTGAGTTGGTCCTAGAGATAACTTATCAATGTTTTCAGATATTTCAGGATATCCTTAGTTATATGCAAACATGTATCACTGCCCCAATTCACCAAACTTCCAGTTTGAGGATCCGGGTCTCATCAAGACAATATGTAAACTGTATTCATTTCTTTCTTGGTAGTGGTGCAAATGTCTTGGTCCTAGAATGAATGAAAAGGGAAGCAGCTTCTCTTGCATCTGTGACACGGGCCTTGAGAGGAAAGGCAAGTGTTGGGTGATGAAAGGAGTAAAATGTGCCTCGAATCTCAGACCAGAGATAAATTCATCCACATAATCTTCCACAACTGTGTGCACAATTTTCCATTTGACTTCTCAGGATGCAGTCAAAGCTATATGAGAGCTTCACTGACCTCTTTGTGACAGACTGTGCAGAGAGTC
The DNA here is from genome assembly GCF_000001405.40 of Homo sapiens. Lineage (NCBI taxonomy): Eukaryota > Metazoa > Chordata > Mammalia > Primates > Hominidae > Homo > Homo sapiens. The sequence goes on from NC_000002.12 coordinate 135,202,860, forward strand.
TGCAGGTTGTCCAGGGAACACTGTCCTCCTCCCCCATACACTGGCTTGATGTGATCCACCTGCCAGAAATGTCCTTCCCCTGGGTTTCTTATCATTTCATTTAGCTGCAATAAGAATACAAGATCAGCAATTTTCAACATATACTGCAAGAAGTGTTTGTTGGTTTTGCATTGTGCAATCATGTATGTTTATACAGGAAAATCATGGGGAAAAATACATCAGGAGAGCTTTTTATAGCTTTTATTGTGAGTAGAAAAAACCCTCTGTTAGAAGTTTGAAAGCAATAAGATGTGTTTCTGAAAGGTTTTTTTCTCCCTTAACCTAACTCATTTTGAAAAAATTACAAGAAAATATAAAATACCAAGACTCCTGACAGATTGGGAAAAACTGGTTTTTCTACACCTGTAAGTTAGTTTATATATTCACTAAACCAAATCTAAGAAAAGAATAAGAATAGATTAGAAATTTAAAACTTCTCAGCCAGGCACAGTGGCTCATGCCTGTAATCCCAGCACTTTGGGAGGCCAGGGCAGGCGGATCACTAGGTCAGGAGATCGAGACAATCCTGGCTAACACGGTGAAACCCCGTCTCTACTAAAAATACAAAAAATTAGCCAGGCACGGTGGCAGGTGTCTGTAGTCCCAGCTACTGCGGAGGCTGAGGCAGGAGAATGGCGTGAACCCGGGAGGTGGAGCTTGCAGTGAGCAGAGATTGCACCACTGCACTCCAGCCTGGGTGACAGACTCGGTCTCAAAAAAAAAAAAAAAAAAAAAGAAATTTAAAACTTCTCAATACTACTGAGTCAAACAATCTTTAATTGTTGACCTAAATGCTTTTGTCACTATACAATGGCAGTTTAATGTCAATAGCTATTACCTAGAACTTTTATACTATTCACCAGAGAACTTTCCAAGTTATGTGAACTGGAATGAAATTTCTAGAACAAATATCTGTAACTTGCATATTTGGAATAATTAAAGATGACCATTTAAAGTAGCCTTTATTTAGGCCAGTCCATATATACACATTTTATATTTAATCAATGATAACCTACATTAAAATGGGATGTATTTTATCATTTTACCTGAGGTAGTAAAACCAACTCACACCACGGCAATGCAGTTGTCTAAATATCACAAAGATGAGTATGGCACTTGCTTTTATTTCCTTCAACTTCACGGCTGCTGGCCATGGGAACCCATGATTATGTATAAAGCCTGTTTAAGCAAGCCTGTCAGGCACAATGACCTGATCAATAGTGCTGGCCCATGAGGAGTCACAAGAGGCAACAAGTTGGAGCAGTAAACTTTGTCCAGCTGACCTTTGTTACTGCCTGCCTTACCTTCTCTTCTGTGCTGAACTTCCCAACTTCTGTTAGAAGAAATGTATTGATTTTTGTTTTTGAGGTTGGCATTGTTAGAAGCTACTACAAATGGCGGTCTTGTGCATCAAGCAAATGGCATAGTCTTAGGGAAAAAAAAATCCATTTTGGTTTTGCCTTTTTAAACCAATTCCTTCTCTCTGAGCAGCCCCCACTCTGACAGACTCAATAATTCAGAAGATGCTTCTTTAGTTTTTCCAAGCAATTGTAAGGCAAATCACTTGAGGCCACTCTTCAATATCCTAAATTTGCCCACCTCTTGAAGGAATCACTTGATGTGGTAGTGCATGCCTGTAATCCCAGATGTTTGGGAGGCTGAGGCAGGAGGATCACTTGGCCCAGGAGCCAGGAGTTCAAGATCATCCTGGGAAACACAGTGAGATCCCAGACCCAATCTCAAAAAAAAAAAATATATATATATACATATATATATATAAAATATAAAAATATATACAATAATATATATTATATGTTTTATTATATATTATTATAAATATATATTTATATTATATATTTATATATATATTATATATACTTATATATATACATTATATATACATATAAAATCACTCTCTAGTCCTACCCAATTCGAGCCTATTGTGTTCCTTATTCTCAGAGCACTTTTGTTTTAGATGTCTATTATATTACTTCTGCATTCCTGGACAGGTTGCTTTCAATGACCTTGAGTCATTTTGTTGCATGTCTTCTGGAAGCCATCATGCTGAAACAGCAGTAACTGGAGTCTGACTGACATCCCTGGGATGTGTACAATATGTCCCTCGCCAATGAGACCAAAAGATCTTTCAGGAACTCTGGATATCATTAGAGAAATAGTGTATTTCCCTATCTCTCAGAGACATGCTAATTCATCTTTGCAGAAATGCCGATTAATTCATTCTTTCATAATTCAGCAACACTGTCCTAGGTAAATAAAAATATATAATTTGTCAAACTGGCAGGAATTCATCCAATATTTTAGTGGGCACACAGTGGCTGAGGGGTGATTCTTTTTAAATTAAGCACATTACAAAATTACATTTTATTTAGAGATACGGTCTCGCTCTGTTGCCCAGGCTGGAGTGCAGTGGCACCATCACAGCTCACTGCAGCCTTGACCTTCTGGACTCAAGCAATCCTCCTATCTCAGCCAACCAAGTAGCTGGGACTACAGGTGCATGCTACCACACCTGGCTAATTTTTCAGGTTTTTTTTCTTTTGTAGAAATGGGGTTCCACTAGCTGGGACTACAGGTGCATGCTACCATACCCGGCTAATTGTTCTGGTTTTTTTCTTTTGTAGAAATGGGGTTCCACTATATTGCTCAGGCTGGTAACTCTTGGCTCAAGCAATCCTCCCGCCTTGGCCTCTCCAAGTACTGGGATTACAGGTATGAGCCAACGCCTGGCCTAGTTTGAAATTTAGAATTGTTCAGATAGCAAGATTAGAAATCCAGTTGAATTTTGGAAATGAAAGTGAATATTGATGATAGTGTTCTATAAATAATAATTTGTCATAATTTGTTGTATTAAAATTACATTTTTCAATGCAATGAACACATATATGTGTGTGAGTGTATATACACATACATAGCCTCTGATTGTGATGGACTACATTTCTGGGTTATCTGTTTGCCTCTTGTCTTTCAATATTAACATGGAAAGGGGAATCGCCAGACCATAGGTGCCTCTTGATATACTGCACCACCTGTTAAGATCTTTTCCCAAAATAACTGAATGAGAATGAAACTAAGCCTCTAGATCTTACAATTCTTACTGAGAAAATTGGGGGAACAGAAGAACATGTCAAACAATACCTTGCAGATACAGGAAGACAAATCCAGAATGGCAAATGATCCAGTATATTCAACCATTGATAGTATGATAGTATAAAAAAGGAATGGGGTGCTATAATAGATTAAATGAAGCATAAGAGGCATTATAATCAAATATACTATGTGGGTGACATTTTGATTCTAATTTGAACAAAGTAACTATAAAATACTTTTTTTTTTTTTTGGAGACAGAGTCTTGCTCTGTTGCCCAAGCTGGAGTGCAGTGGCATGATCTTGGCTCACTGCAACCTCTGCTTCTCAGGTTCAAGCGATTCTTCTGCCTCAGCTCCCGAGTAGTTGGGATTACAGGTGCTTGCCACCACGCCTGGCTAATTTTTTATACTTTTAGTAGAGATGGGGTTTCTCCATATTGGCCAGGCTGGTCTCGAACTCCTGACCTCAGGTGATACACCTGCCTTGGCCTCCCAAAGTGTTGGGATTACAGGTGTGAGCCACTGAGCCCAGCAAAAGGCATTTTTGAGACAACCTGGGAAACCAAACATAGACTTAGTATAATTAAGGAATTGTAATTGTGTTGGGTGTGATAACTCATACTGGGATTATATTTAAAAGAAAGAGAGGAAAGGAAATGAGGACAAGCAAAGAGGGAAGGAGGAAAGGAGAAAAGGAAGGAAGGGAGGAAGGAAGGGAGAGAGAGAGAAAGGGGAAGAGGGAGGGGGGAACAGGGGAGGGAGAGGAAAAGAAGGATAGAAGGAAGGAAGGAGGTCTTTACCTGTGAGAGATACAGAATGAAAATATTCAAGAGTGAAAAGAAACGTTTGGAATTTTCTTTAAAATAATCTAGGAGATGGCCGGGCATGATGGCTCATGCCTGTAATCCCAGCACTTTGGGAGGCTGAGGCGGGTGGATCACCTGAGGTCAGGGGTTCAAAACCAGCCTGGCCAATATGGTGAAATCCCGTCTCTACTGAAAATACAAAAATTAGCCAGGTGTGGTGGCACATGCCTGTAATTCCAGCTACCCAGGAGGCTGAGGCATGAGTATCGCTTGAACCCAGGTGGCAGAGGTTGCAGTGAGTTGAGATTGCGCCACTGCACTCCAGCCTGGGTGACAAGGGCGAAACTCTGTCTCCAAAATAAATAAATAAATAAATAAATAATAAATAAATAAATAAATAAATAAAATATTCTAGGAGAAACAAACAAGTGAGTCAATGACAGATGAAAATGAATGCCAAAATGCTGTAAACTGTTAAAGCTGGCTGATGGACATATGGGTCCATTATTTTCTTTCCTTTTATATATCTGAATATTCCCATGTTAAAATGTACAAAATAGAGAGTCAATATTCATTACTCAGTACAATGCTGCCTTCTATCTATCACATGATTATAACTTACCTGTTCTAATGGGAGCTTTGAAGTCCAGGTAGCATACAGAAGATTCTTCCTCTGACTTTTAGGGGCATCTCTCAGACGTAAAAAGAGTTCTTGTGCGTTCACATTACAGAGCTGACACACACCATGTTCAGTTTCAAATACTTTGGCTCTCAGGTAACTGTTATTAGATCGAATCCAAAACTCTTCCTGACATTTCAGAGAGCAAAACCGTGAATCCCAAGAGTTCGCTTTACATGCTTGCTTAGTCTGGCAAGTGGGTTGCTGACAGCGAAGGCAAAGTGGATTTCCTTCATTATCCACAGCTTGCAAATAGCCTTTGGATGTAGAGGGCTTCACAGTGAGATCTGCCTGGACTGTGTATGGATTTAGAAATGGGACACAGGCTCCATCTTCAAGAAGTTTTCTACAATTGATAAAAACACTGAATAGGTAACTAATGAATGATTAGGCTAAATAGTAATTGCTTCATATAAAGGTTATCAAAGTTTCAATACGGATAAATAGTAAACACAGATCACAGTGTAGAAATAAAATAGTTACAGTCAGCACTCTATATTCCATGCCAAGTAAAGAAGAATGGTGTGTTACAAAAATTAATTGAATATAAATATGTTGCCTCTCTTGGGAATTAACACAAGGGGATGCCCTTGTGTTAAACGATCTGGAAACATGTGAAACATCTGGAGAAGCTGTTAGAAAATGCTTCTTCAGGCTGGGAAAGGACAGGCTAATGTAAAACCCCAACCAAAGCTTAGTGGCTACCCTGCTCCTTAAATATATGTGGTCACACACCTCATTAGCTCAGAGAGGTAATTACAAACTCTCTCCTCCAGCCTCTGCTAGCTCACAGGAAATAGAGTCACAGCCATAAAGTGACAGAGTGAAATAGCTGACAGTGCTGATAGGAATTAGAACAGAAGACTTGCTCTTATAGGTAAACGCAGAGTGGATGAAATTAAACATGATAGGATACAAAACATGATAGGATATGTGCTCAATTTGTTAGAATAAAAGAAAAGGTACACTACTCAATTTTGTTAGAAAGTCCTACTTGGGAAGTAACAACAGCTGCTTTGTCTGTTTTCCATGGTTGTTTGTTAGAAGAGTTAAAAGAAAGACTTCTAATTATGGAGCTCAAGATTCGGGGACAGAGCCCAGATTTAACCTCAGGTCTCCTGGCCTCTACCCGCAAGCCCTGGGGCAGGTTACTTAGTCCACCTGGTCTCAGTGTCCTTCTTCATCTCTAATGTTTAAAATGAGGACACCAGGTACCTCAACAGGTTGCTAGGACAACTGAAGAGCTACTATCTTGTGAAAGTTCTTTGTAACCTCTAAAGTGGTCATGCAAAGGTGAGATATTATTATGAAAATCAATACATAAATGTAAAGGAGTGGAATTAGTACTACTATATACTAGTAGTAGAAAAACCTTACTTTGTGAAAGGATCCCGTGGCCTGGACTCCTTTGTGATCAGACGGACATGGCCCCCAACATTCTTCACTTTGTCCATTGAGGCTACGGCAACATCTTCTTTGGTTATGTATCTAAAACAATGATATGTTAAATAGATTCCCTCTATCTCATATAAAAATGTCTCTATTGCATGTTTACATTGTTCCTTGCAAAAGCAATAGAAGAAAAAGCAAGCACAATTCTATTAACTGTGCTGAAACTCAAGTTAGAAAATGGAATTTTTACCCTTTATCTTGGTGTCCATTATGTGAGAAATACATCTCTTTGTTCCAAATTAGTTTTCTCAAATTTCTTTTTCTAAGAAATTCAAGAGTCATTCAATATCCTTTGGAGCAATTTTCATTTAGGGGAAAAAGGAGTCGGTGTGAGAATAAGAAATGATCAAATACACGCACAACTGACAGCCTTAAGGAAACTGCTTGGCAAGCTGTGCAGAAAATCTCTAACTGTATTTTACCTCCCTCTTGGCCTTCCCTTCAAGGCTTCTCCAAATCACCTTAGTCAGTTATAATAGTGTATCAGTGTTTGGGTAAACTGAGTTTCTTTTTAGTTAACCAGGTTCAATCACATCTTCTGTAATCTCAAGGTTGTTCCCCTTATTATCAGCCCATACAGGGTTTATGGATTCTTCCACAGAAATAAAGCCACTCTTGATATGGGATTCAGAACCTTATTACCCAACACTAACAATACCACACAATGTTCAGGGACTAGAAGTAAAGAGAAGTTATTCCCATTAAAGGTGATGGGGGAATTTAAGTTGGTAAAATGCAATTACCTGATTAATTCCTTCTTATTAATTGGCCTAGTTTCTCTGGTGGTTTACACCTATTGTAGATTTTTTTGGAAATTAGTTTAAACATGAATTTCTTAATATTATTGAGTGCTTCTTAATTAGGCAGCTTGACAATAAAATTAAAGTTCAATCACAATGGAATTGTGCAATCGTAGGTAAAATTTTAGAAATTTGCTTTATGTTATTAGGATAGATTTAATAATAAACAGGTTTCCTTTTTTAATAAACTATTTTATTAATTTTTGATTAGGTGATATAAGCACATGGTTCTAAATTCAAAAGGCAAACAAGCATGTTTATGGTGATGAGAAATTTTCTCTCTCACTCCCATCTTCCTTTTTCCCCTCCCCAAAAGTTACCTCTGTTGGCAGTTTTGTTTTTATTTTATTTTGACTCAAAATGATCTTGAGTCATTTTATTGCATGTCTTCTGGAAGCCATCACACTGAGACAGCAGTAACTGGAGTCTGACTGACATCCCTGGGATGTGTACAATACGTCCCTCACCAATTAGACCAAAAGATCTTTTAGGAACCCTGGATATCATTAGAGAAATAGTGTATTTCCCTATCTCTCAGAGACATGCTAATTCATCTTTGCAGAAATGCTGATTAATTCATTTTATTTTATTTTATTTTATTTTATTTTTTGAGACAGGGTCTCACTCTGTTGCCCAGGCTGGAGTGCAATGACACTATCTCAGCTCATTGCAACCTCCGCCTTCTGGTTCAAGCTATTCTCATGCCTCAGCCTCCCGTAGCTGGGATTACGAGCACGCACCACCATGCTTGGCCAATTATTGTATTTTTAGTAGAGATGGGAATTTGCCATGTTGGCCAGGCTGGTCTCGAACTGGCCTCAATTGATCCGCCTGTCTCAGCCTCCCCAAGTGCTGGAATTACAGGTGTGAGCCACCGTGTCTGGCTCATTTTAGAAATAGTTTATTTTTGGCCTGGCATGGTGGCTCATATCTGTAATCCCAGCACTTTGGGAGGCCAAGATGGGTGGGTCTCCTGAGGTCAGGAGTTCGAGACCAGCCTGGCCAACATATTAGTCTGCTAATAGTGATAGGTATCTCATCATAGATTTTAAAATTCGCATTCCTATTAAGAGTAAGGGGGAATATCTTTTCACACATTCACATGGTGAAACCCTGTCTCTACTAAAAGTACAAAAATTATCTGGGCATAGTGGTGTGTGTCTGTAATCTCAGCTACTCAGGAGGCTGAGGCAGGAGAACCGCTTGAACCAGGAAGATGGAGGGTGCAGTGAACTGAGATTGCGCCACTGCACTCCAGCCTGGGTGACAGAGAGAGACTCTGTCTCAAAAAAAAGAAAGAAAGAAAAATAAAATAAGAAATAGCTTATTTTTTTCTGAGTATAGGTGTATGCCTTTTATTTACTTACTTTTGCATTTCCATTGACATATCATTCACAGAGCATAAAATTCACCAATTTAAAGTTTACAATTAAGTGCATTAACAGTATATTCACAAGGCTGTACAACCATCATCACTAATTCCAGAATATTTTCATCACTCCAAAAAGAAACCTGAGGCTGGGTGCGGTGGCTCATGCATGTAATCCCGGCACTTTGAGAGGCCAAGGCGGGTGGATCATTTGAGGTCAGAAGTTCGAGACCAGACTGGCCAACATGGTGAAACCCTGTCTCTACTAAAAATATAAAAATTAGCTGGGCGTGGTGGTGCGCACCTGCAGTCCCAGCTACCTGGGAGGCAGGGGCAGGAGAATCACTTGAATCCGGGAGGCAGAGGTTGCAGTGAGCTGAGATCCCGCCACTGCACTGCAACCTGAGCAACAGATTGAGACCCTGTCTCAAACAAAAACAAAACAAAAAGAAACCCGTACCCACTAGCACTCATTTTTCATTATACCTTTTATTTTTAGAAATAAATAATAGCATAGCATATACACTAATCTTCACCTTGCTCTTTTTACCAAAACATGCTTCTCAGAGATCTTTCCTTATTATCATAGTTTCCCTATTCTTTTTAATGGCTCCATGTTATTCCATTATATGGATAAACCATATATTTAACCAGTCTCTCATAAATGGACATTTAGGTTGTTTTCATTCTTTGCTATCACAAACAATGCTGTAATAGATATCGTTATATATGATGTTTTCTACACATTATGTATCTATAGAATAAATCCCCAGAAGTAGAATTCCTTGGTCAAAGGTCTTAGGTGTTTTAAATGTGGGTAGATTTTGACAAATTTCTTTCCTCTAAGGTTATACCAGTGTATGTATCCACCAGCAATGAATAAGAGTATCTGTTTCTTCTCTTTCACTAGCACAATGTCATTTTTAAGAGTCTCTGCTAATAGTGATAGGCATCTCATCATAGATTTTAAAATTTGCATTCCTATTAAGAGTAAGGGGGAATATCTTTTCACATGTTTGCACTCTACTTGCATGTCTTTCTTAGAGCAAAAAGGAAATTAAGCCATCGTGCTCCAGTCTGGGCAGTAGTCGTAGTTAAAGCACAGTAAATTGTTTTAGAGTTCTTTTACTTGCCCTTTTAGTTCCCAAATTTCCTCCTTCTCTGGCCCCACCTCCAACAATTTCTTCAACCATTTTATTCCCTTGAAAAATGCACTTTGGGAAAGTATTTCTGTGAATTCTAAATGAACTCAAAAGCTTCCTAGCTTTGAGGGGCAATGGGATATTAAGCCTTGCCTGAGGTATTATTCAATGTTTAAAAGCTTAAAAACCTAATTCAGTAACTAAAAGATGCTGAGAAATCTAGTCAGAGATTTAGAAACTAAAAATAACCTTTTGCTTTCCTACAAGAGGTTTAAGAATAAATTTTTGGAAACCACAAGAAACAGACGAACAAATTCCAAAAAACGGAGCTGACAACTTTTCAAACGTAGTTGCAAGTTGCCGATACTTAATTTTCTACTGAGGTTTGCTAGGAAGTTCACCAACTCCCAAAAGGATTATGGTAAATCCCAATTTTAGTAAATAGAGAAGGGAGAATGTTGTCTACTAAACAAATTCCTGGATAGGGACGGGAGTGGAAGATGGCAATTTTTGCAAGAAAAGTGTACGTTGCAAAGTGGCCCACATCAATGAACACAATCTTGGGCTCTGGATTTCTGACCTGCTTTTGAGCTCAGCTGTAACCAGAGATTAAACAATTGGCATCCTAAACATGACAGGGCTCCAAGTGAATTAGGCCTGCCTCTGATAAATGGGACTCAGTAACCAAAACAGTGGCTGGTAATCTTGGCTACCATTCAAATGTAAAAGTGAGACATTCAAAAGCTGACTGCAAGCTCTGAGCTTGGATGGGGCCTGCAAACTGTTGGACATCACTGGCGGATAATCTGGTTGGAGACCTTTATCAATGTTTCTGGGGGAGTGCCCAAAGTCAGTTAACTATAGGTCTTTTTTCAGAACCATTCAGTACTTTTAAGAGAGAAATCCTCTAACGTCCTGCTTAGGAAGTAAAATGTCGCTGCTGTCAATCTGAAAGCTGTGCAAAAAAGGGGGTCCGAGGAGTTTCAGTTTTCAATATAATACCTCACTCTTTATCTCTACTGAGCCTGATGTTTCTAAGTCTGGAGACTCTCTGATTCAGTTTCTCTAGAAAGTAAATTGATAGGACAGTGTCTAACTGATCCTTATACAGACTGCCAGTCAATGCTGTTGTTCAACAGCATATTTCACATTTGCTTTCAGAGATACATGGTTATTCCAAATTACTGAGACTTAACTTGGGTTCTGCAGCAAGAATCAGAATGCTTCCCGATAGTATCTCCCTGCTGCAGGTACAGAGGTTTCATTTCATGATGCTGCTAAGTTGGTTTCCCTGGAGGCCTCTCTCTCTCTGCCTCTCTATAATCAGTCACCAAGTCTCTAGATATACCTCCTTAAGAGCTCTCTTCATTCTCTTTCCTGATTCCCATTGTAATAACTTAATACAGATCCTCATCGTTTTTCTCCAGGTATACTAGAATAGTCTTTTAACTTGTGTAGTAGGCAGAATTTTAAGATACCCTCTAGGATTCCTGTCCCTCCGTTATTTAATCAATCACTAATTTAGATAATGCTATAAAAGGACTTTACAGATATAATTAGATTACTAATCAGCTCACTTTAAGATAGGGAGATTACTGAGTGGGCCCAATGTAATCACTTGAGCCCTTAAAAGCAGAAGACGAAGGCAGAGAGATTCCAAGGAGAAAGATGTAGTGGTCCATGTGCTAGGACCACAGAGAGGCCTCTAGGAGCTGATGGTCCAGCCGACAGCCAGCAAAAAACAGGAACCTCAGTCCTACAACTGCAAGGAACTGAGTTCTGCCAACAATGTTAGTGAGCTTGGAGGTGAATTCCTTTCCAAGCTTATCAACTAGAGCCCAGCCAGCCAACACTTTGATTTCTGCCTTGTAAAATCCAGAGCATTACTAGAAAACTAGTAATAGCCAACTTGGACTTCTTACTTATAGAACTGTGAGATAATAAATGTGTGTTGTTTTAAGCTGCTAAATTTGTGGTAATTTGTTATGGCAGCGATAGAAAAATGTAACTTATCTCCCCACTTTGAGTCTTGCCCTTTTTGATCTAATCTCCCAACTGCTGCTAGAGCTAGCTCTTAAAAATACAAATCTGATTAATCTGCTGCTTGTTAACACAAGTTATATCCTTAATATATTATGTATATATAATTTTATAAATAATATTGTGTCTGACTTTGGTTTTATGAATTGACTTTTGCTTTTAAATCTGATCAGTCACCTTTCTCAGTTGGTACTTTAAGTGGTCATCCATGTCCGATGGAGAAGAAATAGTAGGACATGTCCAGAAATAGCTAGAAATTCAGTTATGAAAAGAATTATGATCATGTGAGAAAGAGAAGGTCAACAAAGACTGGTTACAAAAATGAGAAAGATTGAGAGGACTGGAAGTTTTGGGAAAAATAAAATAGGCATTGTGCTTTTTGATATATGTGTGCGTGTGTGCACTTATGTGTAAGTATGTGTATATATGTATATAAATATGTAACACATATATTTTAAATGTATTTTTATAGAAAATGACACACGCCCATGGGAAAAAAATCAACTGTTACAGAAGAGTTCAGGCTAAGAGTCCCAAACTGGCAACTTATGGATAAATTCAATTAGTCAAAGGACTTTACTGTACTCATACAGCATTAATTTACTGTACTCATACAACATTTTACATTTATTTATTCATTTTGAGACAGGGTCTTGCTTGATCACCCAGGCTGGAGTGCAGTGGCACGATCACAGCTTATCGCAGCCTTGACCTCCTGGGCTCAGGTGATCCTCCTGCCTCAGCCTCCCGAATATTTGGGCCTGTGGGCGTGAGCCACCATACCTGGCTATTTTTTTGGGGTTTTGTGGAGATACAGTCTCGCTATGTTGACCAGTCTCGTCTCAAGCTCTTGACCTCAAGTGATCTTTCCACCTTGGCTTTCCAAAGTGCTAGGATTACAGGTGTGAGCCACCATGGCTAGCCAGTATTTTTTTATTTTATTAATTTAATTTTTGTTTTGTTTTATTTTATTTTATTTCTGAGACAAGGTCTCACTCTGTCTCCCAGGCTGAACTGCAGTGGCACAATCATGGGTCACTGCAGCCTCGACCTCCAGGGGCTCAGGTGATCCTCCCACCTCAGTCTCCAAAGTAGCTGGGACTACAGGCACCACCATGCCTGGCTAATTTATCTGTTTTTTGTAGAGATGAGGTTTTGCCATGTTGCCCAGGCTGGTCTTCAGCTCTGGGCTCAAGCAGTCTGTCCTCCTTGGCCTCCCAAAGTTCTGGAATTACAGGCGTGAGCCACCATGTACCAGTATTTTATTTTTAAATCTGAATTTGAATGACTTCAGATGGGTTCCAAATCTGCCAGTTTGACATAGTCTCAGCCCATATCTCATCCTTTTTTAGTTTTATAACTGACCTCATTCATTCATTTGTGATTCTTGTTTTGTTTTTAGTCAAATGAGTTTGTAATCCTGGCATAAAGTGTAAAGTCCCTACTACCTCCAGAAATCCTCAAGTTTTATGCCCTAGAGCAAGATTTCTCAACAGTGGTAATACAGACATTTTGAAATGGATAATTCTGTTTTGGGGGGTGCAATCCTGTTCACTGTAGGATTCTCAGCAGCATCCTGGGCCTCTACCCACTAGATACCCCCTAGTCACATCCCTTACTTGAGACAATTTAAAATGTCTCCAGACACTACCATCCTACGGGACCAAATTGCTCCAAATTGAAAACCACTGTCCAAGAGAAACCCGTGATAAGAATTTCTAAGGTATCCTTCTAGACAATTTCTATGTCAGTAATAGCAAGTTGTGCAAATAGTGAAGTTTGTGTCTCCATCCCTTTTTTTTTTTTTACAATTTATATTTACCCTTAACAATTTATCACAAGTATTATTCCTTGTTCTTACAAACAAATAAATGTACCATATGCCATATGTTGAAACAGTGGAAAAGATTTTCGCTGTATGGAACTATCATAATTTATTTAATCAACCATGTTCTCGGTCCCTTGCTCCCCTCCAACCCCCTGGATTTTTTTCACCTGTGTGCATGGAAAAAGCTAGAGAAAGGAAACCTCTCTGATAAACTGATGAAATATAAGGATGAAGAGAGATTACAGGTGTATGGAGGCAGCAAGAGCTAAAGGGCTTTCTCTGCCAATGCTGCCATTTGGTTTATTGCTTTGCCATCTGTTTTGTTTTGTTTTGTTTCAGACAGGGTCTTACTCTGTTGCCCAGGCTGGAGCACAGTGGTACAATCTCAGTTCACTGCAGCCTCAACCTCCCAGGCTGAAGCGATCCTCCGGCCTCAGCCTCCCAAGTAGCTAGAACTATAGGAGTGTGCCACCTGGCTAATTTTTTTTTTTTTTTTTTATAGAAACAGGGTCTCCCTGTGTTTCCCAGGCTGATCATTGAACTCCTGGGCTCATGCAATCTACCCGCCTTGGCCTCCCAAAGTGTTGGGATTACAGGCATGAGCCACCGCGCGCAGCCTGCAATCTCTTTCAAAAGCAAGGATTGGGCTACAAAACAGCTGATCACTTTTCCTGATAATCCTTGCTTCATGCTAAGAAAAGAGTTTACAAAGAACAGGGATTTGAGATCACACATGGGGAGACTTGAGTGGGATAAAGATGATTGTGATGACAAGGAAGGAAATCAATGTACAGAGATTAGAAAGGAACCTGTAATGATAAGGACAAAACAGTCACAAATATCTGACGGTCAACCTTTCCTTTTATTTCATTTCCAATCATGGACATGATTATAGTTATCTTCCATTACTTGGGTGGTGATGCATTCAAATAGAACCAGCTCCCTTGCTGCACAGCATCATACTCACGCACAGCAGGGCAAAGCAGATGGGGTCCAGAGGCATGCTCTGATGTTCTAAGAGTAAAATGTATTCCTGCTGCTAATAAGTGTCCCAGGCTTGGCAGGTCATAGGTTGCACCATCCTGTGACTCTGGTCTTTTTGTTGATTGATGGGACTCATGGAGAGTAAGATCTGGACAACCTGATCTCTTTTAGCAGATTTTGTCAAATTCACTAGACATATAATTATCTTGTTATGAAACAATATGGCTGTGATTTTATGCATAATTTTCTCATAACTCATCAGGATTTCATTAGTGGTTCCAAAAGATGCCTCAGACCCCCCTGTAGAAAGAACCATGAAAAGTAATATAATACAAAATTTAAAAAAAGACAACTCATACCTTTTGGTGCAATTTTGTTTGGTTTGTTGCTTTGTGATCTCTTCCAAAGCAAGAATTGGGCTACAGAATAGCTGTCCACTTTTCCTGATTATCCTTTGCTTCATGGCAGTTAGACTACTCCATTCTCGAACAAATCTCAAAATCTGGCAGAAAATGAGATAATAAGAGTTAACAGCTCACAGGCAGATATCTTCCTTTGAATGTGAGCCTATTTACAACATCAGAAAACTGCTATTTTGTTATGTCCCCCAAATAGGCTTTTGAGTTCCATAACCTAAGGCTTTCTTCAATTTGATGCAGTTTTCATATCTTTATTGTAAACTACCTACAGCAGTTCTCAAGAGATATCTCTTTTTTTTCTTTTTGATAGGGTCTTGCTCTGTTGTCCAGGCTGGAGTGCAGTGGCATGATCACGGCTTACTGCAGCCTTGACCTCCTGGGCTCCAGCAGTCCTCCTGCTGCCTTAGTCTCCTGAGTAGCTGGGACTACAGGCACATGCCACCATACCTGGCTAGTTTTTCTATTTTCTGTAGTGACAGGGTCTCACTATGTTGCCCAGGCTCGTCTTAAACTCCTGGGCCAAAGTGATCCTCCTGCCTCAGCCCCCAAAGTGTTGGCATTACAGGTGTGAGCCATCTCACCCAGCCAAGAGATCTTTTTCAAGCCAAAGATTCTCTAAAGGCATGTTTCAGGACATGCAGTGTATGCCCTTAACACACATAGATCAACAGTGATAATATGCTCATTGAGACCAAAAAAGGTCTGGAAGTACATACCCTAGCTGGGGTCAAGGCAAAACTGGGTGACAGAATGATAGTGCAACATCTGAGAATTGCTTCGTAAATGATGCCTACGTTTTCACAGGAAAAAAAACATCAATAAATCTGGGACATTTTTAGTAGGGTTACCAGTCAAGTATACACAACTGGCTATTTTCTGGGACTCTGAGAATCAGGGTTAGATGATTCCAAGTAAATAGCTTACTGCTCCCTTTTCATTTAAAACAGGTATAGTTGACCTACGGGCAATGCTTCATTTCCACTCAAATGGTAAAAAAAAAAAAATCACCATTTTCTTGTAAAAATAGCACACAGCATGCTAGGTTAGTCCCTGCGCATGATGACCCTTCTTGGCAGTGAAGGAAAATCAGCCACAGATCAGTGTTAAGACCTCCCTGGCAGGAACTTGGCCTGAAGCTGCATGCTAGTGCTTCTGATAATGAATCAAGAATCACCCAATAAGGTATTATCTCTGCTCTGGGAATTTGTCATTGTTAGAACTTAACCTTAATAGAAAAAATGTGATTCTAGCAGATACAAATATCACAGTTGCTAATAGTGTGAATGAGAAATTAAATAATGTGAGGATGATTCTATCCACAGAAACAGCAACTGTAGGTGTGATCATTTGCCAAGGAAACAGATTTCACATATATTCTTAGCACTGGGTAATTAATAGGCACCACCTAGAATGATGAAAATGCAACCAGTGATTTGACTCTACAACATGCCACAAAGTGCTTTTTTAAAATTAAACTAAAAATGATCATTAAAATTACTAAAACAAGTTTATTTAAAGTAAATAAAGCCATTTTATTTAAAACTATTCTTACCAGTGAGCGATATTGTTTCAGCTGAAAGCTTGCTGGTAAATCTTCCCAAAGGTCTAATTTTATATCCAGAGGAATGAAATTACAGCTCATCTGTTTTCCATCCTGATGATAGATTAGGAAGACACTAATAATCCATTTTTGTATAGGCACTAGTAACTATTTTAAATGAAAATAATTACATTATGACACAATATGCCTAGTCTCCTAAAAGAAAAACTGAGGTGACACATTCTAGACAAGGGTCCACCAAAATGGCTCCTCTGGAGAAACTGTGAGCCAAGAAGAGGAGGCAGGCTCTCTACCGCACTGGATGCCTCCATTGCCCATGCCTAGCCCAAGGCTATTGCCTTCAGCCTGGAATCCTTTGTTTACTGCTGTGTCATACTCTTTTCTATTGACTAATCTTGGAAAGATGTATCAAAACAATAAAATTTGTACACTGCAAATTAATATAGAAGAATATTACATCCTTGAAGTTAACAGTAGCACAACCATTCCAAATTTGCAAATAAACTTCTTTATACTCACTGACAATACAAGTATCACATCAAAGAATGGTATCAAGGAATAGTCTTAATAATCTTCACCAAATGATATGCCTGTCCATTGTTACAGGAACAAGGAAGTAAAGAGAAGGTAGAAAGATCAATTCTAGAGAAATTACTTAAAAATTGGCTCCCCCAAAGCAATGTCACAGTATCAGTCAATGAGGACTGTCTGCCAATGGTACCACCTGGAGAGTAAGTGGAACTGCATTTAGGTCCCATCAATCGGTGCACAACATCCTGAAATCTTTTTTTTCCCTTTTTT
Source organism: Homo sapiens (assembly GCF_000001405.40). Lineage (NCBI taxonomy): Eukaryota > Metazoa > Chordata > Mammalia > Primates > Hominidae > Homo > Homo sapiens. The sequence continues at coordinate 135,219,887 of NC_000002.12, forward strand.
TTTGAGACAAGGTATCACTCTGTCACCCAGGCTGGGGTGCGGCAGCATGATCTCAGCTCACTGCAGCCTCAACGTCCTGGGCCCAGGTGATCCTCCCATCTCAGCCTCCCAAGTAGCTGGAATTACAGGCACGTTCCACCACGCCTGGCTAATTTTTTATATTTTTTGTAGAGACAGGTTTTCAACATGTTGCCCAGGCTGGTCTCAAAATCCTGGGCTCAAGTGATCCTACCACCTTGAACTCCTGGGCTCAAGTGATTCTCCCGCCTCCGCCTCCCAAAGTGCTAGGATTATAGGCATGAGCCACCACGCCCAGCCCCTGAAATCTTAAGGGTAGAAAGTAACCACATACAGCGGTGTAGTAGAGCTATTTCCTTTATAAAGGGGAAGAAGAACATCTCATACGAAAATCTATTATATCAACAATAGTTGAACTCATATTCTCTCAGCCAAAAAAAAAAAAAAGTTACAGCTCCCACAATTGCTTTGGAGAAAAACATACAAAAAGTAGGCACTGATTAAAAATTTTGAGGCCAGGCACAGTGGCTCATGCCTGTACTCCCAGCACTTTGGGAGGCCGAGGCAGGAGGACCACGAGGTCATGAGTTCGAGACGAGCCTGACCAACATGGTGAAACCCCGTCTCTACTAAAAATATAAAAATTAGCTGGGCATGGTGGCGTGCACCTGTAATCCCAGCTACTCCGGAGGCTGAGGCAGGAGAATCGCTTGAACCCGGGAGGCAGAGATTACAGTGAGCCTAGATCCCGCCACTGCACTCCAGCCTGGGTGGCAGAGAGAGACTCCATCTCAAAAAAAAAAAAAAAAAAAAATTGATATGTAATTCTAAACCCTGATATAGACTTGGGATTCTAGCTGAAATGAACAGTTCTAATATGACACAGGATGCTAAATGTCTGTTACTACTCTTCCTTTAAAGGGATATCCTTTTAGGCAGTGAACTAGGAATTTATTTTTTTTTTTTTTTTGAGACAGAGTCACACTCTTTTGCCCAGGCTGGAGTGCAGTGGCACGATCTTGGCTCACTGCAACCTGTACCTCCCGGGTTCAAGCGATTCTCCTGCCTCAGCCTCCCAAGTAGCTGGGATTACTGGTGCCTGCCACCATGCCCAGATAATTTTTGTATTTTTAGTAGAGTCGGGGTTTCACCATATTGGCCAGGCTGGTCACGAATTCCTGACCTCAGGTGATCCGCCTGCCTCGGCCTCCCAGAGTGTTGGGATTACAGGTGTGAGCCACTGTGCCCAGCCTTACTTCAGCTCTTTTAAGGTGAAAAGGAAAGCTTTCATCTCAGCTCTACTCTGGTTGTGAAAAGATATGTCAACAACTCATCTGCTTAGTGTCTTGTGTTTGGAAAATTATTTGGGTGATAACATTTTATGGTAAAGGGACATGTAAGTATTTAGAACAGTCATAAAAATATATTTGAGACCATTAACAGAGATGTCAAGAAGAAGCAGGCTACTAGGCTGGTGGCAGAGCCTGAATACGGGTCAGTGAGGTGGTCGCTGTGGTTTGGTTTGGCAGCAGGTGCATTATACCCTCTACCAGGAGCTTGCAGTTCTCTCCGTCTCCACCCCAACGGGGATAAAACATTGATCAGGTAATCCAAGAGGCAGAGCTTTCATTGTATAGAGTAAAAAAAGATTAAAGAATTTAAGGGCTTCTGGATTTCTGTGGTATGCTCTGCCTGGTGTCTGTCCTTTGGTTTCTCTACCCTCTTGGGACCATTTCTCTGTCCCTCTCATGTGATGGTCTGAGAAAGAGGCATGGCCTAAAGATCCCCCAACATGGGGCATGAGGGTGGCTCAGGCACTTAAACCTGCCTCAAGATGAATAAAGGAGTCATTGGTGCTCCCTGCAGCCTGGTTCACCATGTCAGAGGCTCCACTTGGTAGACCAGGCTCCAAACCTATAAGAGGAGCATTGATTACTGCCTGGCTTGGTTCTTGGTGTCTCTCTCTCAGTTATTGTCCATGCTAGAGGCTGCTTGGGGATTCTGGTATTCAAAATCCTAGCCATCTCCTCCTAAAAGAATATTATTACATGGTACACTATCTATCTATATCTATATTCGGTTTAGTAGAAAACCTGTAACTGAAAGTTTGGTCATCTCCAACATATTATCTTTTAAACATCGATATAATGGACCATGAGTTTTAAAAGTTTCAAATACTATCTTATATACTTATAAAGATTAGAAATTTAAAATTTTAGGCTGGGCGTGGTGGCTCACGTTTGTAATCCCAGCACTTTGGGAGGCTGAGGCAGGCAGATCACGAAGTCAGGAGTTCAAGACCAGGCTAGACAACACAGTGGAACCCTGTCTCTACTAAAAATAGAAAAATTAGCTAGGTGTGGTGGTGGGTGCTGCAATCCCAGCTATTCGGGAGGCTGAGGCAGGAGAATCACTTGAACCTGGGAGGCAGAGGTTGCAGTGAACCGAGATCGCACCACTGCACTCCAGCCTGGGTGACAGAGCTAGACTCAGTCTCAAAAAAAAAAAAAAAGAAATTTAAAATTTTAGACCAAATAAAAGTATTCATAATCTATCCAGGCCATAGATTCTCACATGGTTCCTGTGATCCTTTCAGAAAGTCATAAGTGTTTTCATACTAATAGTAAGATACTGTTTGCCTTTTCCACTCTCATTCTTTCACAAATGTATGGTGACTTTTTCCAGTGGCTACATGAAATGCTATCTCAACAAACTGAACGCAGAGATGGATATGGGAATCCCACTGTTTTCCATTAAGACTTTAGAGAAAATTGCTAAACATTTAAAACAATGACATTCTTCTCACTAAATATTTTTTTGACTTGGAAAATATAATTATTTTAAATAAAAAATGTTATTTTTATATATATATAATGGGTTTGTTTCTCTTAAAATATGCATTTACTCACTTAAAAATAATTGTTGGCCAGGCATAGTGGCTCACGCCTATAATCCTAGCACTTTAGGAGGCTGAGGCGGGCGGACTGTTTGAACCCAGGAGTTTGAGACCAGTCTGGGCAACACAGCAAGACCCTCTCTCTCCAAAAACAAACAAACAAACAAAAAACGGCCAGGTGGGTGGCTCACACCTGTAATCCCCGCACTTCGGGAGGCTGAGGTGGGTGGATCACAAGGTCAAGAGGTCGAGACAAGCTTGGCCAATATGGTGAAACATCATCTCTACTAAAAATACAAAAATTAGCCAGGCATGGTGGTGGGCACCTGTAGTCCCAGCTACCTGGAGGCTGAGGCAGGAGAATCGTTTGAACCCAGGAGGCAGAGGTTGCAGTGAGCCGAGATTGCACCACTGCACTCTAGCCTGGGCAACGGAGCGAGACTGTCCTAAAAAAAACAAAAAATACAAAACAGAAATAGAAAAATGTAATTGTTAATTATTCACATTTAAGTGAATAAATGAAAAAAACATTTTTTTTTTTTTGAGACAGAGTCTCATTTTGTCACCCAGGCTGGAGTGCAGTGGCGCGATCTTGGCTCACTGCAACCTCTGCCTCCCAGGTTCAAGCGATTCTCCTGCCTCAGCCTCCTGAGTAGCTACGATTAAAGGCACTTGCTACCACACCCAGCTAATTTTCATATTTTTAGTAGAGGTGGGGGGTTTCACCACGTTGGCCAGGCTGCTCTCAAACTCCTGACCTCAGGTGATCCACCCACCTTGGCCTCTCCAAGTGCTGGGATTACAGGCATGAGCCACCACACCCAGCCATAAATGAGTATTTCTGAGAGGCTCCATTTTAATTTCAAATATAGTAGACATCAATAGATATAACCCATACAAACAAAAGCTCTTTGGGGTTCTCAATAAATTTTAGGAGTGCAAAGGGGTACTGAATCTAAAAAGTTTGGGCACTACTAAGCTAGCCTATGGCAGGAATCAGCAATCATCTGACAAAAAGCTTCCTAACATTTACTCAACACAAATGGGCAGGTCTAGGCTTCTGTAAGGATGCTGCTGCTCCTGCTGCTGCAAGTGATCATTGCAGGAATTAACATTTATGGAGAGTTCATATAGGCCAGGCACTGTGCTAAGTGCTTTACAGGACTCAGCTTGTTTTATCTTTATAACAAATCCTGTCTGCATTTTATTTTTTATTATTTTAACAATTTTTAATTTTTAAGGGTACACAGTAGGTTTATATATTTATGGGATACATGAGATATTTTGATACTGGCATACAATGTGTAATAATCACATCAGGGTAAATGGGGTATACCACATTTTACAGTTGAGGAAATTGATGCACTGAGCAGTTGAGTAATGTGTCCAAGATTACATACTAACAGATTTGAACTGAAGCAGTCTAGCCCTGAAGTCTATGTTCTTAAAGACGTGTGGTTTTACCTCTCATTGTCTGTAGATTTAACACAGAAATTTGAGAATTAGCTTTGAGGAAAATAACTAGATGCTTATCTCAATGTTAATAAAATTAAGTATCTCCACTGAAAAGTGAAAAAAGGAAGTCTTTTTTATGTTTCAAGTTACAGAATCTGCATGACGCTTACCTTAGTATAGATGTGAATCCGGTCAGTATTCCTACTTGCACAGAACATTAAGGTGTCATACACTGGCAAAGTGTCTGAACTCTTCCACTGTTCTATTAAAGAAGACAAAAGAGAACCTGAAGGCTTATCTACCCTCTATCTAAAATAGCTTATTTTAATCGTGTGTAGGTTAGAACGATGAAATAGCTATATCAAAATATCAATATATTTAACAAAAAGTAATTGTCTAGGCTTGAAATAAAACTACCACGGTAGGCCATTGAAGAGCATATTGGCTTATATGGTAACCAATTGTTTTACATTTTTGCTAATGATCTAACAAGAAACAAACAGATTCAGAATTAGCTGAAAAAATACAAGTTGGTAGGCATAAGGAAGAATTTCCACCAATAAGAGCTGCTATTGGTCTTGAAAAAATTTAGACTAATCTATTCCTTTTGCTAGAGTAGATTTGAGACCGAATGAGCATCATTTTGATTATTAGCAGCAACATCGCTATGTTGAGGGCCACTTAAATGCCTGATTCCCTGTAGCCTGGTGCCTGACATTCACAAAAGAAGATAAGCAGACAAGCTTCTTTTCTGATAATCTCTTCTTTTTTAGCCCTTTCTCAGTCCTACTGTCCAATATATTTTGCAGGAGATACAGGATTATCAACGCAGGTCTAAATAACAATTATAGTTAACATTTAGTGAGCACATACAATGTGCCAGGCACTGTTGTAGGTACATACAGTAACACCTTTTAGAAATAAATAGTGCATTTTACATAGGAAGAAACTGAGGCACGTTAACTTACTTATGGTCATATGGCTAGTAAGAGGATGTAAAACCTGCAAGCTGGCTCCAGAGTCTGTGCTCTTACCTTCTCTCACAGTTCCTCAGTGATCTTTTAAAGTACTTTCCCAGACCTAGAAGTCTATGATTTGTTTGCCATTCTACTTGGCAATGTCATCATACTATTATTTTTCTAATCAAGGCATTGCCCACTTTACAAACTTGATTTATGAATTATTCCCTTATTTTGTAAATTCAAAAACGCACTTTAACATCTCTGAAACTGGCATGTCTTACAGCCAATAACAACAATGGCATTTTACAATCATTGCTGGCCATGTGGCAGTTGTAAAATAGTTGTCTTTGCCTTAGTATGGATGAGCTGAGTCATAGCTGTAATACTATTGTCACTTTTACACTACACATGAGGTATATGCATTGTTGCTACTATATGTATTTACTTTATTACCTTTAAAATGTCTTTAAATTTTTTCACTATGATTTGGTATTGAAATGAAAAGTTATCATGTATACCATAAAACTTGGATACAGACCAGGAAAGCATAAACTTGGTATTAAAGAAGCAAATGTGTATCACTGGAGGAATAACCAAAATATCTTATTTTCTTGTAAAGGAATAATGGAGTGCTTCATGGTACTGAAGGAAGCAAGAGCTCTGCAAATAGAGGAAAGTGTCTTACATTGGTTACTGAGATGTTCAAAAGGGTTGCCTATTACATGCCAAAGAAAGCAACTGAAAGCAGGAGAAATTGCCAAATCCCTCAGAATAAATGAAAGAAATGTCCAAGCAACAGAGGATGATGTGGCCTGGCCTGGGCTATCATTAAGGTATTGTGTCATAGCTTAATTGGCAGTTTTCTTTGAAGAACTATGCATTAATGCTTAAAGATCAGAAGCCATTCTTTGATAAAAATAACTGTAACAACAATTCCAAATCAGTTGATATTAATTCTTGATAGCTATCAGCTATATTAGGGAACATATTTCTCTTTTCAGTGTTGCCATGAAGTGTAAATTAATGGTTTGAGACTATAGATGATGCATCTATGGTCATTCTTCCAAACTCCTGGAATTCCAGAGAGAACAAAACTACAGTTCTAGAGTAGTATGTACCACTCTGGTTCTAAAAGAGCATATGTAGGTAGAATAAGCATTTAACATAGTGTGCCTACTTTGTTTTCTGTTTGTTTTTCATGGAAATCCATGTTAGTGGAAAGATGTGAAGCATACCTCTTATGTGGAATTCTCAGCCCAGTGATCTGAAAAGTCAAAAGAGGGAAGCACGACTAGGTAAGGGGTAAATGCTGGCATTGTCTGGAGTGAATGAGGGCAAAGCAAATTTCACTGGCAGAACAAAACTTCAAAGTGATTTTTAAAAAACATTTGTAAGTACAAGCTAACATGTTTTTATCAAGAGATCAATGTACAACTAACAAGCCAATACTTCCCTGCCATAGATGAAGAGACTCATAGCCCAGGTGATGACAATTGCCAGGTGTTGGTTCCTAGTCTCATATTTAGTTCACTGAGCCATATGCTGTCCCATTACCAGAGTTTCATCAGCACTTGAGAGTTTCTCACAGTGAGATCAAGAAAACTAGAGACACAAAAGAGTATAACCCACCTGAGTCTACACTGTCTACTTAAAAGCTGTTAAAATTAACAGATCTAAACAGATCCATTCCAAGACATGCTTTGGGAAGACCTTGAGGAGTTAGAAGGAAGGCTGAGAGAAGAAGAAAGAAGGATGCCTTGAGCTCAGAAATTCTTAAATGAACATTTCATTTTAAAGCTATGAGTCAGACTCTAAATTATATTAGTGTTTAATAGCAACTAACTTAGAAGAAAAGCTTCAACAGTCTCATCCCAACTATTGGGTTTATCTGAATAAGAATATCAATCTGTATGTTACTATGGTCACTAAATGAGTAACAAGGAAAATAACCCAAAAGTACTCAGTCTCTTGCCAGCTAGCCCATAAACGATAGTGAAATATGACATACAGGCTAGTATTTGCTAACCATCACAGCTATAAATAATGAATGGAATCAACCAAAAAGTAAACAAACCCAAAACACTGTATGGTTGGCTACAAATGCAGTCATGATTCATACAGTCTTGACATTATGTTCCCTAAAAACATTTTCTTTAAAATACTTTTTTAAAAATATGCCAATTAAGTATAACTATTTACAAGAATTTTTGTGTAAAGGATTAATGATATGCTAAGTGTTAGTTAATTATCTGTCAGTCTTACTGTTTTGTCCCAAAGCACCTCCCAAATATCAAAACAACACCCTTACTGTGTGAATGAGCTAGGCTTGGTTGAGGCTGGGCAACAGGCCTGGTGGCAGCACATGTAGCTATTTATCGGTTTTGCTCTATGTGTAATGTCTGAATGCCAACAGACACACTCAGCTCTTCTAGACATCTGGTGTTTAAGTATGTGGTTACAAATGGTTGGTATTTTTAATATAAAAGAGAGTAAAAGGAACCTGGAACAAGGTAGTAATTACTAATCTAATAACAGTATTATGTGTGAAAGTATATGGTTATTACTTGGATGCTAGAAATGGAAACAAGACTTACCATTACCTGGCTGGGATGTAAGTCCGTCTTCTTTCTCAATTTTTGGTGTTTCTTCCTTGCTGTCAGCCAACTGGCCAGGTTCTGACTGTGCAAGGGCTTGTTTTTCACAGTCTGAGATAGTTTGAACCTTTTTGGAGGTGTCTTTCTGAGAATCATCCTTCTCGTTTTTATCCTGGATATGGTTGAGGCTATCTATTTGCATAACTATTAAAATAAAAATTATTACAAAAATGTAATAATTTACATTTAAAAGTAAAGTAAAAAGAATGTAACAGTTAGGTCTTATAAAAAGAAAGTGAATAATGTTTATTCATATGTTCAAAACATTTATCAGGAGCATACTATATACCCAGTACTATTCTAGATGCTGAAGAGACAGCAGGAACAGGACAGAGAAATCCCTGCATTCTAGACTCCATTCTAAATGGCAGAGAAAGACAATAAAATTAACAAATAGGTAAATAGTATATTTTCAGATAAAGAGAACACAACTAAGTTTTGTTTTTTTTTTTTTTTCAGTAAGAAGGTTTTGGAGAGCACTACTATAGCAAAAGTCATGAGGACCAAGCTCTGAGAGGAGTCCCATTTGAGCTGAGAGCTGTTCATGGCTCTAGGAAGCTTGGACTCGGGCCTATATTCTTGGTCTAAATATTCTAAATGTAACTGGAAGCCATTAAAGAGTTTTAGGCAAAGAAATAAAGGATCACTTTGGCTGCTGTGCACTGAAGGATCAGATTAATATGGAGGCTATTGAGGTCTGGGAGAAAGATGGTGGCTTTAGAGTAGGATGGTAGCAATAAAGATAAAGTGGTTGGAATCAAGATTTATTTGGAGGTTACTTGATGGGTTGAGTGTGGGAGGCGAGAAAGAGACCAAAGATACAGCCCAAGTTTTTAGCATGATGTAGTAAAGAACAGGGAGGAGAAGATTTGGGTATCAGATGTGGCAGTGGTAGAAATATAAATCTAATAATTATATTTTTTATATATAGTAATATCACTGTTACTTAGACTATGTATTTCTCTCTAATCAGACTTTCTTATTCACAAAAGGTAGTTTTTATTTTTTTAAGTTGCTTGACAGATTCCTTATTGAATCATGGGTCTAGAAATTTTCATTGTTGCTCTTGGTATTGCAAAGGAAAAATCAGAACTATAAAACCCATATTAAATTATGACTTTTGTTGCTAAATCATTCAACTTATACATTTAATGTGAACTAACATTATTTTATAGTCACAATAGAGCTTATTTTTATTGCCTGTAGCAGTTGGGAATTGCATGCAATCATGCTAATTGTGACAGAGATATTACATGGAATAAGCATGTGATTCCAATTTAGTTCACAGACAACAGGTGCCCACATACAAATATAACCACTCAGAGGGCAGACTTGTCAATTTTGGTGGGAGTACCCAGAAGTGAAAGAGGGAAGACTCAGCTCCTCCCTACATTTTCCTTCAAATCAAAATTAAGACAGAGAGAAGAGCAAGGCAAGAGGAAGGAACTGCAATATCAGAATTTATATCTTAGCTGAGTCTTTGTCAATGCCAATATTTTTTTTTTTTTTTTTTTGAGACGGAGTCTCGCTCTGTTGCCCAGCCTGGAGTGCAGTGGCGCGATCTCGGCTCACTGCAAGCTCCGCCTCCCGGGTTCACGCCATTCTCCTGCCTCAGCCTCCCGAGTAGCTGGGACTACAGGCGCCCGCTACCACGCCCGGCTAATTTTTTGTATTTTTAGTAGAGACGGGGTTTCACCGTGTTAGCCAGGATGGTCTCGATCTCCTGACCTCGTGATCCGCCCGCCTCGGCCTCCCAAAGTGCTGGGATTACAGGCGTGAGCCACCGCGCCCGGCCGCCAATATTTTGAAGAGTTAATGTATGATGCAAAATTAGATGTGTACAATTATTACAACTGATAAAATACAATGTGTACTTCCAGTTTCCAAAACTGTCAACTTGGCATTTTTATTACTATAAAAATGCTCTATAGAATTGGAAACAAGAATACGCATGATCTTTTTCTTACGACAACCACGGGTATTAATAATCATTTCAGAAACTAAACATCAGAAAATGGTATCCCATGCTATAAAAACATACTTGAGGTATATTTATGATTTCTGACTTTAAAATAATATGTTTTAAAAAAGAATAAACTCAAAAAAACCAGACATCAAATTGGTTCACAAATGAAGATTGATCCATAGAGGAGTTTTGATGCTTTGACAAGCAAAAACCATGGCACAATGTATACTGACTAGGCAAAGAAGCTACATTAGATTATTTTGCCATTTAAACATAAAAATAATCCACAATTTCCTTAAAAACAAGTATTAGCTACAGAGGAGAGAAAATAGAAGGTCTATGAGTATAAGGCATATTTGCTACCATAGCAACAGAGCTTCTATTCCTGCTCACTGAATTCATATCCTGCTGACATTAATCAGAAATGTCCATTTGTGCCAAATTAATGCCATATCACAGACGTTTGGGGATATACATTCTTGACAGAACTGAGAGCTTTTCACATTCCATAAGGGATAAATTCAGTCTTCACTATAAGAAGCTCTTATTCCAATTTAAAAGCTAAAGTTGTGCTGAGTCACACTAACCCTGGATAACAGCAGTCTCTAAAAGCACAGGTTATCTGAAGACACCACTAACAGCCCTTACCTCCATGGTCACCTTCTATATACTCACCAGCACTGCCTTGAGGAGTCTCACACATTTCACAATAAGGTAACTCTGAATTATTGATATAGGTGCAGAGACTACATTGCCAGCCCTCTACAGGAAAGGCTGGGGTGGTTAACTGGGCCTTGGCCTCCTGTACACTTTCCACGAGTGGAGTTCGGATTTGCTTGGACTGGGATGGTGTCTCTTCCGACGGACTGCAGTGGTCTTCCGAGGCAGCCAATTTCAATCTTTTCGTTTCAGGTTCAACATCACTTTCATAATCGATGATATCTCTTGCAGCTGTTTTTGTAGGGTCTGATGACACTACAGTATTTTCCTCCCGGAATCTCTTTGATTCGTCACAGGAGGTCATCAACTGTCTTTTTTTAGGTTGTGGTACAAAAAATGATCGAATATCATGCTGTTTTTCTTTTTCGAACTAGGAAAAGCAAACAGTAGTTATCAAAGTAAGAAGCAATCTAATATGTTCTTCTTACATAAAAGAGCTTAACAAAATATTTTAATTAACCATATTGCCTTATCCTTTAAATACCTTTTGGAAATGAATTCATTATGCTCTGACTCTTCATATATACATATATAAATATATATATGTAAAACATATCCATGTACTTCCTGTGTCTAACTTTTTTCTCAGCACTTATTGTGTGCCAAGCATTTAACATATATTAACTCATTTAATCCTCACATCAGCTCTATGAAGTCAATACTAGTATTATTATAACATTTCGGAAGAAACTGCAGCTTTAGAGAGGTAAGATAACTTGGTTAGAGCAGTTATATAACAAAAATATACTTAATACATTACCCTAAATATATGTCACGGAAAAAAAGGCAACTGTGTATTCAAATATTTCAGGTCAATCAAGGACCTAAAAAAATGCTTTCACACCTAAAATATAAACACAATGCTCACACATAATGTTATTCATATGAAAATGTTTTCTTGACCAGGAAGCTGTTAATTAGGCTGGGTGCGGTGGCTCATGCCGATAATCCTAGCACTTTGGGAGGCTGATATGGCAGGACTGCCTGAGCCCAGGAGTTCAAGACTAGCTTGGGCAACACGGTGAAACCCCGTCACTACAAAAAAACACAAAAAAACAAAAAACAAACCCCAAAACAAAAATTAGCCAGGAGTGGTGGTGTGCACCTGTAGTCCCAGCTACTCGGGGAGCTGAGGTGGGAAGACTGCTGGAGCCTCGGAGGTTGAGGCTACAGTGAGCTGTGATTGTGCCACTGCACTTCAGCTGAGGCAAAGGAGTGAGACCCTGTCAAAAAAAAAACACACACAAAAAAACGGGGGATGGAGCCAAGATGGCCGAATAGGAACAGCTCCAGTCTACAGCTTCCAGCATGACTGAAGATGGGTGATTTCTGCATTTCCAACTGAGGTACCAGGTTCATCTCACTGGGGAGTGTCAGACAGTGGGTGCAGGACAGTGGGTGCAGCGCACTGAGCATTAGCTGAAGCAGGGCGAGGCATCGACTCACCCGGGAAGCGCAAGGGGTCAGGGAATTCCCTTTCCTAGTCAAAGAAAGAGGTGACAGATGGCACCTGGAAAATCGGGTCACTCCCACCCTAATACTGCGCTTTTCCAACGGTCTTAGCAAATGCCACACCAGGAGATTATATCCCGCGCCTGGCTCAGAGGGTCCTACACCCATGGAGCCTTGCTCATTGCTAGCACAGCAGTCTGAAATCAAACTGCAAGGCTGCAGTGAGGCTGGGGGAGGGGCGCCTGCCATTGCTGAGGCTTGAGTAGGTAAACAAAGTGCCTGGAAGCTCGAACTGGGTGGAGCCCACCACAGCTCAAGGAGGCCTGCCTGCCTCTGTAGACTCCATCCACCTCTGGGGGCAGGGCACAGCCAAACAAAAGGCAGCAGAAACCTCTGCAGACTTAAATGTCCCTGTCTGACAGCTTTGAAGAGAGTAGTGGTTCTCCCAGCATGCAGCTGGAGATCTGAGAATGGACAGACTGCCTCCTTAAGTGGGTCCCTGAACCCCGAGTAGCCTAACTGGGAGGCAGCCCCCAGTAGGGGCAGACTGACACCTCACATGGCCAGGTACTCCTCTGAGACAAAACCTCCAGAGGAATGATCAGGCAGCAACATTTGCTGTTCACCAATATCCGCTGTTCTACAGCCTCTGCTTCTGATACCCAGGCAAACAGGGTCTGGAGTGGACCTCCAGCAAACTCCAACAGACCTGCAGCTGAGGGTCCTGACTGTTAGAAGGAAAACTAACAAACAGAAAGGACATCCACACCAAAACCCCATCTATACATCACCATCATCAAAGACCAAAGGTAGATAAAATCACAAAGATGGGGAAAAAACAGAGCAGAAAAACTGGAAACTCTAAAAATCAGGGTGCCTCTCCTCCTCCAAAGGAACGAGCTCCTCACCAGCAACGGAACAAAGCTGGATGGAGAATGACTTTGACAAGGTGAGAGAAGAAGGCTTCCGACAATCAAACTATTCCGAGCTAAAGGAGGAAGTTTCAGCCAATGGCAAAGAAGTTAAAAACCTTGAAAAAAAATTAGACGAATGGCTAACTAGAATACCCGATGCAGAGAAGTCCTTAAAGGACCTGATGGAGCTGAAAACCATGGCACGAGAGCTATGTGATGAATGCACAAGCCTCAGTAGCCGATTTGATCAACTGGAAGAAAGACTATCAGTGATGGAAGATCAAATGAATGAAATGAAGCGAGCAGAGAAATTTAGAGAAAAAAGAATAAAAAGAAATGAACAAAGCCTCCAAGAAATATGGGACCATGTGAAAAGATCAAATCTACATCTGATTGGTGTACCTGAAACTGATGGGGAGAATGGAACCAAGTTGGAAAACACTCTGCAGGATATTATCCGGGAGAACTTCCCCAATCTGGCAAGGCAGGCCAACATTCAAATTCAGGAAATACAGAGAACGCCACAAAGATACTCCTCGAGAAGAGCAACTCCAAGACATACAATCGTCAGATTCACCAAAGTTGAAATGAAGGAAAAAATGTTAAGGGCAGCCAGAGAGAAAGCTCGGGTTACCCACAAAGGGAAGCCCATCAGACTAACAGCGGATCTCTTGGCAGAAACTCTACAAGCCAGAAGACAGTGGGGGCCAATATTCAACATTCTCAAAGAAAAGAATTTTCAACCTAGAATTTCATATCCAGCCAAACTAAGCTTCATAAGTGAAGGAGAAATAAAATCCTTTACAGACAAGCAAATGCTGAGAGATTTTGTCACCACCAGACCTGCCCTAAAAGAGCTCCTGAAGGAAGCACTAAACATGGAAAGGAACAACCAGTACAAGCCACTGCAAAAACATGCCAAATTGTAAAGACCATCGAGGCTAGGAAGAAACTGCATCAACTAACGAGCAAAATAACCAGCTAACATCATAATGACAGGATCAAATTCACACATAACAGTAATAACCTTAAATGTAAATGGGCTAAATGCTCCAATTAAAAGACACAGACTGGCAAATTGGATAAAGAGTCAAGACCCATCAGTGTGCTGTATTCAGGAAACCCATCTCATGTGCAGAGACACGCATAGGCTCAAAATAAAGGGATGGAGGAAGATCTACCAAGCAAATGGAAAACAAAAAAAGGCAGGCGTTGCAATCCTAGTCTCGGATAAAACAGACTTTAAACCAACAAAGATCAAAAGAGACAAAGAAGGCCATTACATAATGGTAAAGGGATCAATTCAACAAGAAGAGCTAACTATCCTAAATATATACGCACCCAATACAGGAACACTCAGATTCATAAAGCAAGTCCTTAGAGACCTACAAAGAGACTTAGTCTCCCACACAATAATAATCAGAGACTTTAACACCCCACTGTCAACACTAGACAGATCTACGAGACAGAAAGTTAACAAGGATATCCAGGAACTGAACCCAGCTCTGCACCAAGCAGACCTAACAGACATCTATAGAACTCTCCACCCCAAATCAACAGAATATACATTGTTTTCAGCACCACACCTATTCCAAAATTGACCACATAGTTGGAAGTAAAGCACTCCTCAGCAAATGTAAAAGAACAGAAATTATAACAAACTGTCTCTCAGACCACAGTGCAATCAAACTAGAACTCAGGATTAAGAAACTCACTCAAAACCGCATAACTACATGGAAACTGAACAACCTGCTCCTAATGACTACTGGGTACATAATGAAATGAACGCAGAAATAAAGATGTTCTTTGGAATCAATGAGAACGAAGACACAACATACCAGAATCTCTGGGATACATTCAAAGCAGTGTGTAGAGGGAAATTTATACCACTAAATGCCCACAAGAGAAAGCAGGAAAGATCTAAAATTGACACCCTAACATCACAATTAAAAGAACTAGAGAAGCAAGAGCAAACACATTCAAAAGCCAGCAGAAGGCAAGAAATAACTAAGATCAGAGTAGAACTGAAGGAAATAGAGACACAAAAAACCCTTCAAAAATTCAATGAATCCAGGAGCTGGTTTTTTGAAAAGATCAACAAAATTGATAGACCGCTAGCAGGACTAATAAAGAAGAAAAGAGAAGAATCAAATAGACGCAATAAAAAATGATAAAGGGGATATCACCACCGATCCCACAGAAATACAAACTACCATCAGAGAATACTATAAACACCTCTATGCAAATAAACTAGAAAATCTAGAAGAAATGGATAAATTCCTCAACACATACACCCTCCCAAGACTGAACCAGGAAGAAGTTGAATCTCTGAATAGACCAATAACAGGCTCTGAAATTGAGGCAATAATTAATAGCTTACCAACCAAAAAAAGTCCAGGACCAGATGGATTCACAGCCAAATTCTACGAGAGGTACAAGGAAGAGCTGGTACCATTCCTTCTGAAACTATTCCAATCAATAGAAAAAGAGGGAATCCTCCCTAACTCACTTTATGAGGCCAGCATCATCCTGATACCAAAGCCTGGCAGAGACACAACAAAAAAAGAGAATTTTAGACCAATATCCCTGATGAACATTGATGCAAAAATCCTCAATAAAATACTGGCAAACCGAATCCAGCAGCACATCAAAAAGCTTATCCACCATGATCAAGTGGGCTTCATCCCTGGGAAGCAAGGCTGGTTCAACATACGAAAATCAATAAACGTAATCCAGCATATAAACAGAACCAAAGACAAAAACCACATGATTATCTCAATAGATGCAGAAAAGGCCTTTGACAAAATTCAACAACCCTTCATGCTAAACACTCTCAATAAATTAGGTATTGATGGGATTTATCTCAAAATAATAAGAGCTATCTATGACAAACCCACAACCAATATCATACTGAATGGACAAAAACTGGAAGCATTCCCTTTGAAAACTGGCACAAGACAGGGATGCCCTGTCTCACCACTCCTATTCAACATAGTGTTGGAAGTTCTGGCCAGGGCAATGAGGCAGGAGAAGGAAAAAAAGGGCATTCAATTAGGAAAAGAGGAAGTCAAATTGTCCCTGTTTGCAGATGACATGATTATATATCTAGAAAACCCCATCGTCTCAGCCCAAAATCTCCTTAAGCCGATAGGCAACTTCAGCAAAGTCTCAGGATACAAAATCAATGTACAAAAATCACAAGCATTCTTATACACCATCAACAGACAAACAGAGAGCCAAATCATGAGTGAACTCCCATTCACAATTGCTTCAAAGAGAATAAAATACCTAGGAATCCAACTTAGAAAGGAAGTGAAGGACCTCTTCAAGGAGAACTACAAACCACTGCTCAATGAAATAAAAGAGGATACAAACAAATGGAAGAACATTCCATGCTCATGGGTAGGAAGAATCAATGTCATGAAAATGGCGATACTGCCCAAGGTAATTTATAGATTCAATGCCATCCCCATCAAGCTACCAATGACTTTCTTCACAGAATTGGAAAAAACTACTTTAAAGTTCATATGGAACCAAAAAAGAACCCACATTGCCAAGTCAATCCTAAGCCAAAAGAACAAAGCTGGAGGCATCACACTACCTGACTTCAAGCTATACTACAAAGCTACAGTAACCAAAACAGCATGGTACTGGTACCAAAACAGAGATATAGACCAATGGGACAGAACAGAGCCCTCAGAAATAATGCCGCATATCTACAACTATCTGATCTTTGACAAACCTGAGAAAAACAAGCAATGGGGAAAGGATTCCCTATTTAATAAATGGTGCTGGGAAAACTGGCTAGCCATATGTAGAAAGCTGGAAGTGGATCCCTTCCTTACACCTTATACAAAAATTAATTCAAGATGGATTAAAGACTTACCATGTTAGACCTAAAACCATAAAAGCCCTAGAAGAAAACCTAGGCAATACCATTCAGGACACAGGCATGGGCAAGGACTTCATGTCTAAAACACCAAAAGTAATGGCAACAAAAGCCAAAATTGATAAATGGGATCTAATTAAACTAAA
This sequence comes from Homo sapiens, assembly GCF_000001405.40. NCBI lineage: Eukaryota > Metazoa > Chordata > Mammalia > Primates > Hominidae > Homo > Homo sapiens. The sequence goes on from NC_000002.12 coordinate 135,236,959, forward strand.
GAGCTTCTGCACAGCAAAAGAAACTACCATCAGAGTGAACAGGCAACCTACAGAATGGGAGAAAATTTTTGCAATCTACTCATCTGACAAAGGGCTAATATCCAGAATCTACAATTAACTCAAACAAATTTACAAGAAAAAAACAAACAACCCCATCGACAAGTGGGCGAAGGATATGAACAGACACTTCTCAAAAGAAGACATTTATGCAGCCAAAAGACACATGAAAAAATGCTCATCATCACTGGCCATCAGAGAAATGCAAATCAAAACCACAATGAGATACCATCTCACACCAGTTAGAATGGCAATCATTAAAAAGTCAGGAAACAACAGGTGCTGGAGAGGATGTGGAGAAATAGGAACACTTTTACACTGTTGGTGGGACTGTAAACTAGTTCAACCATTGTGGAAGTCAGTGTGGTGATTCCTCAGGGATGTAGAACTAGAAATACTATTTGACCCAGCCATCCCATTACTGGGTATATACCCAAAGGATTATCAAACATGCTGCTATAAAGACACATGCACACGTATGTTTATTGCGGCATTATTCACAATAGCAAAGACTTGGAACCAACCCAAATGTCCAACAATGATAGACTGGATTAAGAAAATGTGGCACATATACACCATGGAATACTATGCAGCCATAAAAAATGATGAGTTCATGTCCTTTGTAGGGACATGGATGAAGCTGGAAACCATCATTCTCAGCAAACTATCGCAAGGACAAAAAACTAAACACCACATGTCCTCACTCATAGGTGGGAATTGAACAATGAGAACACATGGACACAGGAAGGGGAACATCACACACTGGGGCCTGTTGTGGGGTGGGGGAAGGGGGGAGGGATAGCATTAGGAGATATACCTAATGTTAAATGACGAGTTAATGGGTGCAGCACACCAACATGGCACATGTATACATATGTAACAAATCTGCACGTTGTGCACATGTACCCTAAAAGTATAACTAAAAACAAAAAACAAAAAACAAAAAAACCTGTTAATTAGGACAGCTTCTTTAGTAGACACATTTTAATAATAACCTTGTTTTCAAGAAATGTTATTTCTTTTGTTTAAGAACAGCTACATCATTGCATGTTTTTCATCTTTTCAATGTGTGAATCTCAGTTTCCTAATTAGAGTAAGTAGGATACCTATCTCCATGGTTAATTAGCTACAGTTAGGGCAAATTAAAGGATTTAGTTTCAGAGGTGGAGTTGGGAACTATGTTAGAAACACAGTGTGGCTGAATATATTTTCAATGATGGTCACACCAATTCTTATGTCATTTCACATGCTCTTCATACAATGTGACACTGACATGCCTCCATTGAGAGGTGGGATCTATGTTCTTCTTCCTTGAACGTGAGTAGACCTTTGTAACTGTCTCACCCAACAGAATGCAGTTAAAGTAATGCTGTGTGACTTTTTTTTTTTTTTTTTGAGGCAGAGTTTCACTCTTGTCTCCCAGGCTGGAGTACAATGGCGCAATCTTGGCTCACTGCAACCTCCGCCTCCCGAAAGTAGCTGGGATTACAGGTGTTCACTATCACGCCCAGCTAATTTTTGTATTTTTAGTAGAGATGGGGTTTCACCTGGTTGCCCAGGTGGGTCTTGAACTCCTGACCTGAGGTGATCCACCCGCCCCGGCCCCCACAAAGCGATGGGATTACAGGCGTGAGCCACCGTGCCTGGCCAATGCTGTGTGACTTCTGAGGCTAGGTCATTGAAGGTAATATGGCTTCAACTTGGCTGGCCCTCTGTCTCTCCCTTTCTTTCTCTCTTGGGACACTTGCCTTGGGAACCTAGCCACCATTGGTATGAGGAAACCCAGGCCACATGGAGAAATCCTGCGGTGTTCCAGTTGACAGCCCCAGAAAAGCTCCCAGGTGACAGACAGCACCAATTGCCAGACATGTGAGTGAACAAGCCTTCAGAGAAGTTTTCAGCCCCTGGCATGGGTGTCTTCCATCAAGGGCCACAGTCATCATGGAGGAGACATGTCATTCCTGTTGTACCCTGGTTGAATACTGCACCCATAGAAACTATAAGAAATAATACAAGGCTATTGTTGTCTTAAGACACTAAGTTTTGGAGCAATTTGTTATGCAGTAATAGATAACTAAGACAGACCCTGTAGATAATGATAGCAAAATACCATATATTGTAAATGATATTTTACATAATGAATATTATCTGTACTTCTTAGTGGTACTATATAAGAAAGAATTATAAAATTCATAAAAACAGAAAGATTAGTGGTTACCAGAGGCTGGAGGGGAAGGGGAAATGGAGAGTGATTGCTACATAATTATAGACTCTCTGGGGTAATGGAAAATTTTTGGAAATACTGGTGGTGGGTGCACAACACACTGTGAATGTAATGACACTAACTGTACACTTAAAAATGGTTAAAATGACAAATTTTATTTACCACAGTATAAAAAATCAAAAAAAAAAGGAAGCGAAAAAATAAGGAAGGAAAATTTAGGCTGTTCCCATATTTGTAAAATTAAAACATGTTATCATAGGGAAAAAGCTCTCTCCCCTGCTCCACTACTCCCAATAATGTAGAACTCTTATTTTGCATGGCTGCTAATTTATACGTTCTCAAATACTACAAAAAGTTATCTAATTAGTTGTGAAATATACAGAATTCAGATAAATATAGAGAATGAAATCATTAACCACAAGACACGATTTTTAAAACAATGCGTGAGGGAAATTAAAGAAAGAGCGGGCCAGGCATGGTGGCTCATGCTTGTAATCCCAGCACTTTGGGAAGCTGAGGCGGGTGGATCACGAGGTCAGGAGTTTGAGACCAGCCTGGCCAATATGATGAAACCGTGTCTCTACTAATACAAAAATTAGCTGGGCGTGGTGGCATGCACCTGTAGTCCCAGCTACTTGGGAGACTGAGGCAGAAGAACCGCTCAAACCTGGGAGGTGGAGGTTGCATGATCCAAGACCACACCACTGCACTCCAGCCTGGGCAATGGAGCAAGACTCCATGTCAAAAAAAAAAAAAGGGTGGAGGAAAGCAGAGAGATTAATAGACTGATGAAGTTTGGTGTTTTTTAAAAAAAGGTAACAGGCTGAGTACAGTGGCTCATGCCTGTAGTCCAGTACATTGGGAAGCCAAGACAGGAGGATTGTTTGATGCAAGGAGTTCTAGACCAGCCTAGGCAACATAGCAAGATCCTGTCTCTACAAAAAACAGAAAAATTAGCCAGGCATGGTGGCGTGCGCCTGTAGTCCTAGCTACTTTAGGAGGCTGAGGAAGGAGGATTGCTTGAGTCCAGGAGTCCCACACCAGTCTGGGCAACATGGCAAGACCCTGTCTCTTAAAAACAAAATGGTAACAAAGAAACAAATAGAATTAAACATTTAAAGAAAATATTCTATTCTGCACAATAAAACAGCAAAGAGAGCTTGCAGAATTTTGAAAATACTAGCAAATGTTCAGCAAACATGCACAAATTCTATCAGCTATTTCTAGTTAAACCATACTGTTTTTCTGATAGAGGTAAACTTTCTGTCCTTGCCTGTCTAGAAATGAGTTGATTTTGTCCTCATCTTTATTCAGTAGTTTTGCTGGGCATACGATTCTCCTTGAATCCTTCCTTTTTGAGACAGGGTCTTCCTCTGTCACCCAGGTTGGAGTGTAGTGGTGCAATCACAGCTCATTGGAGTCTTGACCTCCTGGATTCAAGTGATCCTCCCACCTCAGCTTCCCAAGTAGCTGGGACTGCAGGAGCATGCCACCATGCCTGGCTAATTTTTGTATTTTTTTGCAGAGATTGAGTTTCAACATGTTGCCCAGGCTGGTCTTGAACTGTTGAGTTCAAGTAATTCACCTGTCTTGGCCCCCCAAAGTGGTGGAATTACAGGCGTGAGCCACCATGCCTGACCTCTCAAATCCTTAAAGGCATTGTTCTGTTTCTTCCAATATCTGTTGTTGCTGAAAATGTTGTTCCTTGGTAGGCTGCACATTTTTGCTTTCTTTTAGGGCTTTTCAGGAACTTTTATTTTTGGTGTTTTAAAATTTCACAGTGATTTACCTCTATATAGTCTATATTTATATGCCTTTAAAAATTCTGCTCAGGACTTAAGATACCTTATTAATTTTGAATACTATTATCTTTAGCTCTCGAAAATTTCTATTATTCTTTGATAGTTCCTTCCTCTTAATTTTCTCTTTTTCTGGCATTCCTATTAGTAGAATGTTAGACTTACACATTTATGTCTTACCTTTTACTGTAATATTTTCCTTCTTTTTGTCTTTTTACCCTGTAAACTCTTAGTTTTCCTCTACTTATCTTTCAACCCTTCTATAGAATCATTTTAGTTTGGCAGTCATATTTTTAACATCTAAAAGTTCCTTGTTATTCTCTGTTCTTTTTTTTTTTTTTTTACCGTATTCTCATTTTATTTTTATGGGCAATATAATCTCAAATCTGAAACTACTACTTAAGAGTTTTTTTAAAATTATCTTCAGGATCAATTTGTGTATTAGTTTACTTTTGTTTATCTTTTTCATGCTATAGATTTTCTCTTCAAATGTCTAATGACACTTGATCGTCCCTTCCTTGAGGGATGAATGGGGAATGGGAGGGTTTCCTGGGAACTTAGGACACATGGGGCTAGCAGCAAGAAGATCTGATGGGACATGCTGACTGAACATGAGGGGTGAGGAAGATGCAGGGGCCTAGAGTAATCTTCAGACTCCTAGATTTTTGACTTGTAACATGGTAGGGATGATATTTTCAGTTACTGCAATAGAAAATACAGAAAGATAAATAGGTACATTAGAAGACCAAAAAAGAAGAGCTAAGGAAACAAGTTCACTTTTAGAAATGTATGAGAACTAGTGGTACTGGAGTAGAGGATTCCAGGAAGCAGGTTTGGAGTTCATAAGAGAGACAACTGAGGCCAGGCATGGTGGCTCACGCCTGTAATCCCAGAACTTTGGGAAGGTGAGGTGGGCGAATCACTTGAGGTCAGGAGTTCCAGACCAGCCTAGCCAACGTGGTCAAACCCCAGCTCTACAAAAAATACAAAAAGTAGCTGGGCATGGTGCGCACGCCTGTAATTCCAGCTTCTTGGGAGGCTGAGGCACGAGAATCGCTTGAACTCAGGAAGCAGAGGTTGTAGCGAGCCAACTTTTGCCTCTGAACTCCAGCCTGGGTGACAGAGTGAGACTCTGTCTCCAAAAAAAAAAAGAGAGAGACAATTGGATTTAGGTATCAGAGAACAATCATGGACATGCAGGTGGATAAAATCATAAAAGTGGATGTCATGCCACATAGAGGTAGTTCAATAAAGTAAGAAAAGGTAAAAAGGACAGAAAACAAGGGAACAAAATTAATGGCTGAATGAGTAAAAGATATCCAGAAGAAAACTCAAAGCAAAAAATCAGGAGGGTAATGGCTTTAGTGTGTGTTTCGGTTTTCCATTCATTATAGTAGACACTCAGTAGGTACTTTCTTTCTTTTTTTTTTTTTAAAGAGATGGGGTCTCAGTGTTACCCAGGGGGGGCTCAAACTCCTAGGGCACAAGCAATCCTCCTGCTCAGCCTACTAAGTAGCTGGGACCTACAGGCACACCACTGCACCTGGCTTTCGGTAGGTACTTTCAATCAGATCAACTTGTGTCCTTCCGTCCTGGGAAGTTTTCTTAAATTATTTTTTTCTTCCTCTATCTTATCTTTCTAGATCTCCTATTAGGAAAAAAGCTTCTGAACAGATTATTTAATTTTCTTCACTTTTCCTATATCTTTGTTCTACTTCTGGGTAATTTCTTCATTATCCTCCTTTCTTTCCTTATTTAATTATTAATTTCTGGTATTACAGTTTTAAGCTCTAAGAGCTTGTTGTGTTCTCTGATTTTTCCTTTTTCTTATTCATGTTTCATGAGCACACTGTTTTTACTTATCTGTGTCTACTGATGGTAGTTTTTTGTTCTGTTTTTACATTTTCTTCAGCTCATTACATTGTCTCTGTTTCTTTTGTATCTCATTCTTGGCTTACATGTTTGTTTTGGTTTCTGTTTTTCACATGAGAGGTGGCCTTCTGTTATCCACTGATATTTAATAAGATGCTAAAATGCTATCAGGAGTTCCACATGGGAGACTTCACTGTAGGGTCATCACAGACTCTTTTATGATCTCCTTCAGTCTCCACAAGTTTTTGCTTGGTCTAGTCAATTTCTCCACAGATGACACAATGTTAGCTACCACGGAGCTGATCAGAGAAAGGTGCTAAAGAGGCTGGGCGCGGTGGCTCACGCCTGTAATCCCAGCACTTTGGGAGGCCAAGGTGAGTGGATCATGAGGTCAGGATTTCAAGATCAGTCTGGCCAAGATGGTGAAACCCCGTCTCTACTAAAAATACAAAAATTAGCCGTGCGTAGCGTTGGCGCCTGTAATCCCAGCTACTCAGGAGGCTGAGGCAGGGAACCCGGCAGGCAGAGGTTGCAGTGAGCCAAGATCGTGCCACTGCACTCCAGCCTGGGCAAGAGAGTGAGACTCCTTCTAAAAAAAATAATAATTTAAAAAAATTACCATTAATTAAGGAATCTTTCTTAATCTGCTTGTTTTCAATTTAATGCCTTAACCATACCCTCAACCACCTCTCTTCCTGTACTTAAAAAAACTTTTTTTTTCTTTCTGAAGCAGGTTCTTTCTTTGTCACCAAGGCTGGAGTGCAATGGTGTGATCACAGCTCACTGCAGCCTTAGCCTTCTGGGCTCAAGAGATGCTCTTGCCTCAGCCTCCTGAGTAGCTGGGACTACAGGTGCATGCTGCCATGTCTGGTTAATTTTTGTTGTTACTGTTTAGACAAGGGTCTCCCTGTGTTGCCTGGGCTGGTCTTGAACTCCTGGGCTCAAGCGATCCTTCTGCCTTAGCCTCCCAAAGTGCTGGAATTAAAAGCATGAGCCACCATGCCCGGCCTTAAATTTTTTTTTTTTTAAGAAGAGCAAATAAAACAAACTGATGTCAGCATAGCTATATATATAAAATATATAATAGTCCACTATCATCTACACTGAATAATGTTTAAATAATACTTGAATCTTTTGTCCTATTCTATATTTTAAAGAATCTGTTTATTTAATGACTTATGTCTCCATTTCCCCACCAAAAAAAAAAAAAAAAAATTTGCAACATTTGTTAAAACAAAAGGAATCTTCCCAACAACAAAACAGAACAACAAAGAAGGCTGAACGTGGTGGCTCATGCCTGTAATCCCAGTACTTTGGGAGTCCAAGGCAGGCAGATCACTTGATCTGGCCAAACAGATCAAACCACCCTGGACAACATATCAAAACCCCATCTCTACTAAAAACACAAAAATTAGCTAGGCATTGGGGCTCACGCCTGTAATCTCAGCACTTTGGGAGGCCAAGGCGGGCAGATCACTTGAGGTCAGGAGTTCGAAACCAGCCTGGCCAACACGGTGAAACCCTGTCTCTACTGAAAATACAAAAAAATTAGTCGTGCGTGGTGGTGGGTGCCTGTAATCCCAGCTACTCGGGAGGCTGACGCACGAGAATCACTTGAACCCAGGAAGTGGAGGTTGCAGTGAGCTGAGTTCGCACCATTGCACTCCAGCCTGGGTGACAGAGCATACTCCATCTCAAAAATAAATAAATAAATAAATAAATAAATAAACAAACAAAACAACTAAAGAAACCTCCCCACAAAAAAAGAATTCTCAGGGCCTTCAAATACCAGCTTTACAGTTGATCTTCTTAATTAAGCTATTTAATTAAGCTATTTTAAAAATAACTTATTTTACTATTTAAGCAATGACTTATTTTGGGAAAATAGCATTTGAGAATTCTCATTATATGCTGAAGGCAGGTTGAGAGGTAAGGTTAGCAGTGACTGACAGTAATGAGAAACTGATGCTTACTTCTGCCATTATGGTAGTTTATGAACAGTGGCATGGGAGTAATCAGCATAGGTGATGTTCTAAAACAGAACATTCCACTTGGGTAATAAAATTGAGGCTTTAGTACATAAAATCCAGAAAACAAGGGAAAGGATAGAAAGGAAATCATTTTAATAATATTGTGAACCAAAAGGTACTCTTAAGAATACAATATTAGCAAAAGGAGAGAGCAAGATTAGCAATGACTATGGCTAATGTTATGATGGCTAAACTGAACAATGATGAATGCTGTCACAGGAAGTAAACCTTACAAGTTAGGGTCCTGGCCATAGGGCTGCCATAAGCTGGAAGGCCTAAAAGGAGTAAGGATTTCCTATGAGGTAATCAGTGAGAAACCTGATCCATGTCATCAACTGTGCTTTCTGATTGTAGCCTCTGGGCAATCAGCAGGAAGTTGGTTGAGGTCTCTTTGACATTTAGCAGCTATGACTAATAGAAAAACAAGTGAGAAAATCTCTTTGATATATTCTAAAGATAATTATACCTGCTGGATGGAAACAAAGAGGGTCTCCTGGTTTACTGAAAATGATTTTTTGTTTTGTTTTTTGAGGCAGAATCTCACTCTGTTGCCCAGGTTGGAGTGAAGTGGCACAATCTTGGCTCAATGCAACCTCCGCCTCCCTGGTTCAAGTGATTCTTGTGTCTCAGCCTCCCGAGTAGCTGGGACTACAAGCATGTGCCACCATGCCTGGCTAATTTTTTGTATTTTTAATAGAGACAGGGGCTGGGTGCTGTGGCTCACGCCTGTAATCCCAGCACTTCGGGAGGCTGAGGCAGGCAGATCACCTGAGGTTGGGAGTTCGAGAGCAGCCTGACCAACACGGAGAAACCCCATCTCTACTAAAAATACAAAAATAGCCGGGCATGGTGGCACATGCCTGTAATCCCAGCTACTTGGGAGGCTGAGGCAGGAGAATCGCTTGAACCTGGGAGGCAGAGGTTATGGTGAGCCGAGATCGCGTCATTGCACTCCAGCCTGGGCAACGAGATTGAAACTCCGTCTCAAAAAAAAAAAAAAAAAAAAAAGAGACAGGGTTTCACCATGATAAACATCTGAAGGTGGACTTGTGGTTTGAATAGCTCCATTTCTTTTCTTTTCTTTTCTTTTCTTTCTTTCTTTTTTTTTTTTTTTTTGAGACAGAGTCTTGCTCTGTTGCTCAGGCTGGAGTGCAATGGTGTGATCTCGGCTCACCGCAACTTCCGCCTCCCAGGTTCAAGCCATTCTCCTGCCTCAGCCTCCCAAAGTGCTGGGATTACAGGTGTGAGCCACAGTGCCTGGCCATCCTTGATGTTTTGAGACAGAGACATATCACCATCAACTCATGGAGACTCAAGCAGGTATTGGGAACATGTCTGGTTTATAAAAGAAGAAGGTGACCTTAAACAAGATACTAATTTGTAGATACAGATATCAAATAAAAATATGCTTCTAATGACTTTTCTGTTGTCTTTTTTTGTTAATTTTTCATAAAGTGTTCTCTTTTAGTAGAGCTGGCAACATTGCTACAGCTGTTAGTAGATTCACTGATTAAAGCATTTGGGAAAAACATAGTAAGAAATAATTGCAAACAGAATGCTTCCCAAAAAAATGCATATTTTCCAAAAATGTTAGATTCATCAACAACAATGACTCCCTGCTCCTTAAAGAAGGAAGAGTGATCTAAGCCTATAGTAATTTTTATCACAAAGCTTATGAGAAAAATATAATTATAACAACACGCCCATGTCATAAGGAAAGTGGAAGATAGAAGAACATATTCCTCTCTTCAGTTATACAGCTGAAACTCAGTTATTATGTTCCTGTCTTTTGTTCAATATTGTTTTTGAAAAACAAAAGAAAAATACTGCTTTTGGTGAGAAGTGCTGGGAATACAAACTGCAAAATGCTTAAGATGGCAAAATGCATGTTTTTATCTGAAAAGTTCAGAGTCCTAATCTTTTTGCCCTGTTTTTCACCATAGCAAACTACTGGTCTTTACAGACAAATCCCCTGGCTATGATGATAGGATTAAAAGCCAGTTATTAGAACTGAAGGAGAGGGGAAAAAAATCTAGTAAAACTCATAAAAAATAAAGCACTTCAAAGCTTGGTGCCATTCCAGGGAAGCACAGGCTACCAACAAAAGCACTGATGTCAAGTTTAATAGACTTTGATCAAAGGGCAGCTCTGGTAGGAACCATTACTGCCTCGTGTCATTTGGCTCCTGTTCCTAAAAATATTAATAAACCTATTTTACAAATGGGTGATTGGGACATCATGCTGGTCTCTTGAACCACAGAGGATTGATGATTGGAACTGGAACTAAAGAGCCCTCGTGAGCATTTGTAAACAAGCCAACAAGAGTCTGTTTTCAAAGGAGACAGAGTGACACAAGTAGGGTTTTAATCATCTAACTGAAAAAATAGATTTAAATTATTCTAAGAAAGAAATGACTGGTTTTTTTTTCAGATTTTCCAAAATGTTCATTCCCATACAGCTGAATAAAATACTGACAATATCCACTCTTAGGCACAACTACTAGTGTTTCTCTGCAGATAGAGAGAAAACAAAACAAAACACACAAAATAAAACACATTTTGATTTTTTTTAAAACCCAAAGTAGTAAAAAAGAAAACGTTATTACTTATTATTATTTTTTTTTAGAGACATGGTCTTAGCCAGGTGCAGTGTCGCATGAAGTGGGAGGTTAGACTCCTGTACATATCCCTAGGAAAGAGGCTGAATGCAGGTGGATAAGCAGCAACAGCCTGCAGGCCCCATTTCCACGGCAACTCACTTCCATGGCACCTCTAAAATTCCAATCAGCTACCAGAAGTGTCATTGCACCTCCCTAGGAAAGGAGGTCCTGAGGGGAGGGGCTAGTCACCATGTTTGCTGTTTGGGCACCTTAGCTGTTCCAGTCTTCCAGCTTTGGAGAGTCCAAGCGAAAGGGAGTGTGGAGGGTGGAAGGGATCCCCCAGCACAGCACAGCTGATCTACCAAAATGTGGCCAGACTGCTTTTTTTAAGTGAGTCCCCGATCCCATTCCTCCTCACTGGACAGAACCTCCCAACCAGATCACCAGCTACCTCCTTCAGGTGCCTTTGGACCAGCAACAGGCCTGTACCTCCCTGGGATGAAGCTCCTAGAGGGTGGGATAGGCTGCCATCTTTGCTGTTTCACAGACTTCACTGGTGATACCTCTAGGTACTGGAAAATCTGAGGTGACTAGGGACTGGAGGGGCCCTCAGCTACTTTAGTAGCCCTACAGAAAACTGGCCAGACTGTTACATGGGTGCCCATTCCCATATCTGCTCATTGGGTAGGTCCTCCAAGCCTGGGGCTCTAGCCATCCGCCACCAGAGCTATTGAGCCAGTAGCTGCTCGGCAACTCCCTGTACAGAGCCTCCAGGCCCAAAAGTATAAAAGCCCTGGGAGACAACATAGGCAATACCATTCTGGACAAACGAATGAGCAAAGTTCTCATGACAACACCAAAGGCAGTCTTAACAAAAGCAACAGTTGACAAGTGGGATCTAATTAAACTTAAGAGCTTCTGCACAGCAAAATAAACTATCAACAGGGTAAACAGACAACCTACAGAAAGGAATAAAGTATTTGCAAACTATGCATCTGACAAAGGTCTAATATCCAGCATCTATAAGAAACTTAAACAAATTTACAAGAGAAAAACAAAAAATTCCATTAAAAAGTGGGCGAAGGGCCTGGCATGTTGGCTCATGGCTATAATCTCAGCACTATGGGAAGCCGAGATGGGTGGATCACCTGAGGTCAGTAGTTTGAGACTAGCCTGGCCAAAATTGTGAAACCCTATCCTTACAAAAACTACAAAAATTAGCTGAGCATGGTGGCGTGCACCTGTAGTACCAGCTACTCAGGAGGTTGAGGCATGCAACTTGCTTGAACCTGGGAGGCGAAGGCTGCAGTGAGCCAAGATTGCACCATCACATTCCAGCCTGGGTGAGAAAGCAAGACTCTGTCTCAACAACAACAACAACAAAAAAAAGTAGGCAAAGGAAATGAACAGACACTTCTCAAAAGAAGACATATATGCGGCCAACAAGTATATGAAGAAAAGTTCAATATTACTGATCACTAGAGAAATGCAAATCAAAACCACAGTGAGATACGATCTCACACCAGTCAGAATGGCTATTAAAAAGTGAAAAAAATAACAGATGTGGGCAAGGTTGCAGAGAAAAGGGAACACATACACTGTTGGTGGGAGTGTAAATTAGTTCAACTATTGTGGAAAGCAGTATGGCAGTTCTTCAAAGGGCTAAAAGCAGAACTACCATTCGAACCAGCAATCCCATTACTGGGCATATGCCCAGAGGAATAGAAATCATTCTACCATAAAGGCACATGCACAGGAATGTTCACTGTAGCACTATTTGCAATAGCAAAGACATGGAATCAACAGAAATGCATGTCAATGACAGGTTAACTGAAGAAAAAGTGGTACTTATATGCCATTGAATACCATTTAGCCATAAAAAAGAATGATATAACGTCTTTTGTGGGAACATGGATGGAGCTGGAGGCTATTATCCTTAGCAAACTAATGCAAGAACAGAAAACCAAATACCACGTTCTCACTTATAAGTGTGATATGGTTTGGCTGTGTCCCCACCCAAATCTCAACTTGAATTGTATCTCACAGAATTCCCACATGTTGTGGGAGGGACCCAGGGGAAGGTAATTGAATCATGGGGGCCAGTTTTTCCTGCGCTAGTCTAGTGATAGCAAGTAAGTCTCATGAGATCTGATGGGTTTATCACGGGTTTCCGCTTTTGCTTCCTTCTCATTTTCTCTTGCCGCTGCCATATAAAGAAAGTGTCTTTCGCTGCCTGCTGTTGATTCTGAGGCCTCCCCAGCCATGTGGAACTTTAAGTCAAATTAAATCTCTTTTTCTACCCAGTCTCAAGTATGCCTTTATCTGCAGCATGAAAATGGACTAATACAGTAAACTGGTACCAGTAGAGTGGGGCGTTGCTGACAAGATACCTGAAAATGTGGAAGCGACTTTGGAACTGGGTAACAGGCAGAGACTGGAACAGTTTGAAGGGCTTAGAAAAAGACAGGAAAATGTGGGAAAGTTTAGAACTTCCTAGATACTTGTTGAATGGCTGTGCCCAAAATGCTGATAGCAATAGGGACAATAAAATCCAGGCTGAGGTGGTCTCAGATGGGGATGAGGAATTTGCTGGGAACTGGAGCAAAAGTGACTCTTGTTATGTTTCAGCAGAGACTGGAGGCATTTTGCCCCTACCCTAGAGATTTGTGGAACTTTGAACTTGAGAGAGATGATTTAGGGTATCTGACAGAAGAAATTTCTAAGGAGCAAAGCATTTAAGAGGTGACTTGGGTGCTGTTAAAGGCATTCAGTTTTATAAGGGAAGCAGAGCATAGAAGTTTGGAAAATTTGCAGCCTGACTATGTGACAGAAAAGAAAACTTCTCGGGAGAAATTCAAGCCAGCTGCAGAAATTTGCATAAGTAGCAAGGAGCCTAATGTTAATCCCCAAGACCATGGGGAAAATGTCTCTAGGCCATGTCACAGACCTTCATGGTAGGCCCTCCCGTCACAGGCCAGGAGGCCCAGGAGGAAAAAGTGGTTTTGTGGGCCAGGTCCAGGGTCCCTGTGCTGCGTTCAGCCTAGGGACTTGGTTCCCTGCATCCCAGCTGCTCCAGCCATGGCTGAAAGGGGCCGACGTACAGCTTGGGCTGTGGCTTCAGAGGGTGGAAGCCCCAAGCCTTGGCAGCTTCCATGTGGTGTTGAGCCTGTGGGTGCACAGAAGTCAAGAATTGAAGTTTGGGAACCTCCGCCTGGATTTCAGGAGATGTATGGAAATGACTGGATGCCTAGGCAAGTTTGCTGCAGGGTTGGGGCCCTCATGGAGAGCCTCTGCTAGGGCAGTGCAGAAGGGAAATGTGGGGTTGGAGTCCTCACACAGAGTCCCTACTAGGGCACTGCCTAGTGGAGCTGTGAAAAGAGGGCCACCTGTCCTCCAGACCCCAGAATGGTAGATCCACTGACAGCCTGTACCATGCTCCTGGAAAAGCCATAGACACTCAATGCCAGCCTGTGAAAGCAGCCGTGAGGGAGGCTGTACCCTACAATGCCACAGGGGCAGTACTGCCCAAGACCATGGGAACCTACCTTTTGCATCAGTGTTACCTGGATGTAAGACCTGGAGTTGAAGGAGATCATTTTGGAGCTTTAAAATTTGACTGCCTCACTCGATTTCAGACTTGCATGGGCCCTGTATCCCCTTTGTTTTGGCCAATTTCTTCCATTTGGAATAGCTGTATTTAACCTGTACCCCCATTGTATCTAGGAAGTAACTAGCTTGCTTTTGATTTTATAGGCTCATAGGCAGAAGGGACTTGCCTTGTCTCAGATGAGACTTTGGACTGTGGACTTCTGGGTTAATGCTGAAATGAGTTAAGATGTTGGGGGACTTTTGGGAAAGCATAATTGGTTTTGAAATGTAAGGACATGAGATTTGGAGGGGCCAGGGGCGGAATGATATAGTTTGGCTGTGTCCCCACCCAAATCTCAACTTGAATTGTATCTCCCAGAATTCCCATGTGTTGTGGGAGGGACACAAGGGTAGGTAATTGAATTATGGGGGCCAGTCTTTCCTGCGCTATTCTTGTGATAGTGAATAAGTCTCATGAGACCCGATGGTTTTATCAGGGGTTTCCTCTTTTGCTTCCTTCTCATTTTCTCTTGCCGCCAACATGTAAGAAGTGCCTTTCTCCTCCTGCCATGATTCTGAGGCCTTCTCAGCCATGTGGAACTGTGATTCCAATTAAACCTCTTTTTCCGCTGGGCATGGTGGCTCACACCTGTAATCCCAGCACTTTGGGAGGCTGAGGTGGGTGGATCACAAGGTCAGGAGTTTGAGGCCAGCCTGGCCAACATGGTGAAACCTCGTCTCTACTAAAAATACAAAAATTAGCTGGGTGTGGTGGTGTGTGCCTGTAGTCCCAGCTACTCGGGAGGCTGAGGCAGGAGAATTGCTTGAACCCAGGAGGCGGAGGCTGCATTGAGCCTGGATCGTGCCACTGCACTCCAGCCTGGCGACAGAGCAGGATTCCGTCTCAAAAAAACAAAAGAAACAAACAAACAAAAAAACCCTCTTTTTCTTCCCAGTCTCAGGTATGTCTTTATCAGCAGCATAAATGGACTAATACAAAATGGGAGCTAAATAATAAGAACTTATGAACACAAAAAAGGAAACAACAGATACTAGGGTCTACTTGAGAGGGGAGGTTGCATGAGGAAGAAGAGCAAAAAAGATAACTATTGGGTACTGGGCTTAATACCTGGGTGATGAAATAATATGTACAACAAACCCCTGTGACACATGTTTACCTATGTGTCACCTTCCCATGTGCCCCCAAACCTAAAATAAAAGTTAAAAAATATAAAGAAAAGATTAAAAAGATTATTTTGTAGAAAAAAATCCCATGACATCAAAAGTAGTATATGCAAATGCCTTTGGGAATGGCTGTCTCTTCCAATAAGGACAATGAGAATTTATAGCAAAATATCATATAACATATAGATTATTAGAATGTAACTCAGGGGGTTAAATTAATCCACTTATGTCTAGTGTGTACCTATGTACCATTATTTCTCTTTAAGCTCTAGGGCTGAGCTCCAAATGACTCTTGGACAACAGCTGAGGTTCAGAGACACCTCAAACTCAAGATGTCCTGAGTGAACCCTTCACCTCTGTCCTGAAGCCAGCTCCTCTTCTACCACCACAATCTTTTGGCTCTTCACTGCTCATCCAAATTAACTATAAAGTCCTCTGCATGGAAATCTCCAGTTTTAGACTAAATTAGATCTCTTTCTGTTGTTTCAATTTGTCCTCTCCTTATCTACCTGCATGCTGTTGGCTGTGGTGTTTTCCTTAAGTGCCTGCTTCAATCCCTTCTACTCTTTTTGCACTGCTGCTATTAGATAGGATTCCACTCAGGTCTCATTTTATTGATTCTACTGCTGAAATGTCTGGCATTTTTTGCCTCTCTATTGTCACTACCACTATTAGGAATTCAGGGTGGTTATAGTGCCTCAAATCCCCTCTAGGAATCCTTGACAAAGGGGCTTTATACATACCAATAGCCTCATGAATAAAAAGGAACTGGCTTTATTAGTAGACCTGTAAGTGCCTGATAGTACCAAAGTAAAATTCTGGTAAAAGCTATATTGAAGAACCCAGCTAGAACCCAAGGTCAAAAGTAGACTTCCTAACTTGTCAGCACAGATCTAGCGGCAGAGGTGGTGGTAGGGCCTGCCAACGCAGGCTTGTTTGCTGTGCTCACAGTGGAAGCAGAAAGCAAAGGAGAGGCATGCCTCCTGGGGGAACAGTAACTCACCTACCTTGAACTGTGACCCAACCAAGTTCTCAGGCTCTAAAAATCAGGGGGAGAAAGCCTGGACAGGGAGTGGAGAGAGAGAGAGAGATCCCTTCACCATAGGCTGAAACTAGATGGGAGACTATACTATGCTTTGCTTAACAACGGAGATACAGACACACTCCGAGAAATGTATCTTTAGGTGATTTTGCAGTTGTACCAACATCATAGAGTGTACTTCACAAACCTAGATGGTATAGCATACTATACACCTAGACTACCTGGTATAGCCTGTTACTCCTAGACTATAAACCTGTACAGCAGTTACAGTACTGAATACTATAGGTAACTGTATCACATGGTGAGCATTTGTGTATCTAAACATAGAAAGGGTAATACATTGTGCTACCATGTTACTATGGCTACAACCTCACCAGGTGATAGGAACTTTTCAGCTCCATTATAACCTTATGAGACTTCCATTGCATATGTGATCGTAGTTGACCAAAACATTATTATGTGGTGTATGACTGTAATCCATTCCCAAGTAGCACTGCCTCCAAGAACTTCTGTCTCTTCACCCTTCCATTTGTTTTTCACACTACCATTAGGACTATCTTTTGAAGACAGATATCTGATCATGTTATTTATCTGCTTAAAAACATCTCATGACACTACATACTTCCAGAATCAGGTCTCACTTTTTGGCATGGCAAGTGTGAGTTCCTCTCCAACTGGTTACTGCTAAAGTTTTAGGCTTCCTCTCCTTTAACTCACTTCTCATGTGCCCTAAGCTCACATATTTGTGTAGATTTTGCATTCTCAGAACAATTAATATTTGTTCATATCTCTGGGCTTTTAGGCATGCTTTTGGTGTTCCCTCTGCCTGAAATTGGACCTACTGCCTCTGAATTCATCCTTCAAAATCCAGCTCAGATATTTCCTAACAGAAACTTTCTCAAATGCTCCAGGTAGTTATTTATTCTGTCCTGTGTTCCCAGAGCCTGGCTTACATGTCTCTATTTTCATATTTATCGTATTGCATTAAAATGATTTGTTTACAACTGTTTTTTCCTAACTAAAGAGTAAGCCCCAAAAGAAAGTTAGCTATTTTCCTTATCTTCGCATTCTCAAAATTTAGCATATAGTCTTTTAAAAAAAAAACAGCTTTGGCCAGGTGTCGTGGCTCACGCCTATAATCCCAGCTACTTGGGAGGCTGAGGCGGGAGAATCACTTGAACCTGGGAGGCGGAGGTTGCAGTGAGCCAAGATCATACTACTGCACTCCAGACTGAGCAACAGAGTGAGACTCAGTCTTGAAAAAAACAAAACAAAAAACAGCTTTATTGAGATATAATCCATATACCATAAAATTCACCCTTTTATAGTGTCCAATTCAATGATTTTAGTATATTCAGACTTTGGCAACCATCACCCCTGTTTAATTGTAGAACATTTTCTTTTTTTTTTCTTTGAGACAGAGTCTTGCTCTGTCGCCCAGGCTGGAGTACAGTGGCGCGATCTCAGCTCACTGCAACCTCCACCTCCCGGGTTTACACCATTCTCCTGCCTCAGCCTCCCGAGCAGCTGGGACTACAGGCACACACCGCCACACCTAGCTAATTTTTTTGTATTTTTAGTAGAGATGGGAGTTCACCATGTTGGCCAGGCTGGTCTTGAAATCCTGACCTGGTGATCTGCCTGCCTCGGCCTCCCAAAGTGCTGGGATTACAGGTGTGAGCCACCGCATCCGGCCGTAGAACATTTTCATTACCCTCAGAAAGAAACCCTATACTCATTAGGCAATGTTAAATAAAATGTATGTGAAGCCATTGTTTTAGTCTCAGCTCCTACACTAGGACCCAAAAGACCAGACCAAACCAGGATGGAGTAACACATGCTAGGTGCCACTTAATCAAACTGAACTTAAAAACAGGCCAGTTTAGAAAAACAAAACAAAACAACACACACACACACACAGACACACACACACACACACAGCCCCCAGGGATTCATGGCAATCAAAAGGGGCCCAGTCAACCTGAACCAGCATGATGAGGAAGTTCTCTCTGCTTTACCCCTACAAAGAAAATAATTTTGAAACTATTAATCTGCTTTTCCTTCCTTGTTTCTGCTTCCTTTTCTGTTCCTTGTTTCTCCTTTTCTGCCTATAAAACTCACCCACTCTGCTCTGCTCAGCTTAGTGAAGCATCATTCTAGTTCATAAACAGGATGCTGCCCAATTCATGACTTGCTAATAAAAACAAATCAGGGCCAGGTGCAGTGGCTAACGCCTGTAATCCCAACAGTTTGTAAGGTTGAGGCAAGAGGACTGCTTGAGCTGAGGAATTTGAGACCAGCCTGAGCAACATAAGGAGACCCCCATCTCTACAAAAAATAAAAAATTAACCTGGCATGGTGGCATGATGATAGTCCTGGCTACTTGGGAGGCTGAGGCAGGGGGATCACTGGACCAGGATTTCGAGGCTGCAGTGAACTATGACCTCTCCACTGAACAATCCTGGGCAATAGAGTGAGAGTCTGTCTCTTAAAAACAAAAACAACCCTCCTCAAACAAAAAAAACCCAATCAGATATTTAAAGGTCAACTCATTAAAATTTTTTTTTTTTTTTTTTTGAGGCAGGGTCTTACTTTGTCACCCAGGCTGGAGTGCAGTGGAGAAATCACGGCTCACTACAGACTCGACCGCCCTGGGCTCAGGTGATCCTCTCACCTCAGCCTCCTGAGTAGCTGGGACTACAGGCATGTGCCACCATGCCCACCTGATTTTTGTATTTTTTATAAAAACAGGGTTTTGCCATGTTGTCCAGGCTAAATTTTGTTCTTTGACAGCAGTCACTGCCCATCCTCTCCTTGAATCTCTTAGCAAGTACTAGTCTATTTTGTGTCTCTATGGATTTGCCTATTCTGGCTAATCTGAATAAAAAGAGCCATACAAGAAGTGGCCTTTATGTCCTGCTTCTTTCACTTAGCAAATTTTCAGGGTTCATCCATGGTGTAGCATGTATCTTTTTTTTGTTTGTTTGTTTTTGAGACAGAGTCTCACTCTGTTGCCCAGGCTAGAGTGCAGTGGTACAATCTCAGCTCACTGCAACCTCTGCCTCCCGGGTATAGACAATTCTCCTGTCTCAGC
Organism: Homo sapiens; assembly: GCF_000001405.40. Lineage (NCBI taxonomy): Eukaryota > Metazoa > Chordata > Mammalia > Primates > Hominidae > Homo > Homo sapiens. The sequence continues at coordinate 135,256,449 of NC_000002.12, forward strand.
CTCCCGAGTAGCTGGGATTATAGGCGCAAGCCACCAGGCCCAGCTAATTTTGTATTTTTAGTAGAGATGGGGTTTCTCCATGTTGGTCAGGCTGGCCTCGAACTCCCAACCTCAGGTGACCCACCCGCCTCAGTCTCCCAAAGTGCTGGGATTATAGGCGTGAGCCACCAGGCCCAGTGCATGTATCCTTTTTAAGGCCAAATAATATTCCACTGCATGTGTCAGAGGCATTTGAACCAGAGCAACTCCATCTTGAACAGGGGCAGGGTAAAATGAGGCCAAGACCTGCTGGGCTGCATTTCAAGGATGTTAGGCATTCTTAGTCATAGGATGAGACAGGAGCTTGGCAGGACTGGTTTCACAACACACAGGTCCCAAAGACCCTACTGATATAACAGCATGCAATAAAGAAGCCAGCCAAGACCCACCAAAACCAAGATGGTAATGAAAGAGACCTCTGGTCATCCTCACAGCTCATTATATGCTAATTATAATGCATTCACATGCTAAAAGATATTCCCACCAGCACCAAAAGAGTTTACAAATGCCATGGAAACATCTGGAAGTTACCCTATATGGTCTAAAAAGGGGAGGAACCTTCAGTTCCAGGAACTTGCAACCCTGGAAAACTCATGACTAATCTACCCCTTGTTTCACATATAATCAAGGAATAACCATAAGCATACTCAGTCAAGCAGCCCATGCCACTGCTCTGCCTATAGAGTAGCCATTCTTTAGTTTCTTTACTTCTCTAATAAATGTCATTTCACTTTACTTTGTAGACTCACCCCAAATTCCTTCTTGCATGAGATCCAATAACCTTCTCTTGAGGTCTGGATCGAGACCCCTTTCTGGTAACATATAGATTAACCACACTTTGTTTACCCATTCATCAATTTATAACTTTTTTTGGTCTAACTTTTTTTGGCTACTATGAATCATGCTGCCATAATGTCCATGTCCAAGTTTTTGTGTGGACAGGTGTTCTCAATTCTCTTGGATGTACGATTGCTGGGTCATATGGTGACTTTATGTCTAACATGTTGAGGAACTCCCAGATGGTTTTACAAAATGGTTGCATCATTTTACATTCCAATCAACAATATATGAGTCTTCTAATTTCTCTACATCATTGCCAATACTTGTCTTTTTTATTTTAGTCATCCTAGTGGGTGTGATGTGATAATCTCATTGTGGTTTTGACTTGTATTTCATATAATCTTAATAGATGTTTATATAATGAATGATCTTTGAATGTCCTGTATGTGGCTCACATCCCAGAAACTTGGCTAAACCAAATTGAAGTTTTTCAATGTTGTATTCATTCCACATACATTTATTGAAGGCCCATGATATGCTAACTCTAATGCACCTAGTATGGATTGGCAAAGTTATGAGAACAGACCTTGAAGCAGAAAGGCCTGGCACTTTCTGCCCCAGCTGTGCCACTTATTGGCTGTATGACCTCGGGCAGATTATGTAACCTTTCTCAGATTTAGTGGGGCAAGTTAATAGTATCTTCCTCATGATGTTGCTCTGAAGGTTAAATAAGATCATGAGCCTGGAGTGGTAGCTCATGCTTGTAATCCCAACACTTTGGGAGGCTGAAGTGGGAGGACTGCTTGAGCCTAGGAGTTCAAGACCAGCCTGGACAACATGGTGAGATCCCATCTTTATTTAAGTAAGTTTTTTTTTTAAAGAAAGATCCTGAATGTTAAGGGCTTAGCACAGTGGCTGCAAGAAATAACAACTCAATAGATGTTAGTCATTATTATTGAGTGTATTAAAAGTCATAAAAGTAAATAAGACAAATGTCTAATAATAACATAATGTTATGTAAGCTATTGAGACAGTGAAGTAAAAAGGGCTCCCTGGAGAATCTCCAACCTGCCTGTGCATTGGGAGGATGTGGTGGAGCCTTGGGGAGTTAGCACCCATTGCAGGAAGGAGGAGCCTGCCCTCTCCTGTTCCTGGGTGGTAAAAGGGGATTCAATCTGTGAAGCGCAAAGCCTGCTAGCAGGACTCTCACCTTTGCTGAGAGTCCCTGTTTCCCTTTTATTTCTTTTCACACAATAAATGCTGCCCTTCTCACCCTACAATGTATCCGCATGCCTAAATTATCTTGGTCGTGTGACAAGAACCCGGGTTTTCCTACAACACTACGACATAGACATTTGTATGTCTCTATCTGTAACAATGAGGCTGCCCTCATGTCCTTATCAATTAGGCTATTATGCAGACTAATTACATAATAATTACAAAGTGCTTTGAATTCCTAAAATATATATTAAATAAATATTCTCATTTAAGATGTGCTGCCCCAAGAAACCAGTTCTTTACCATATTCAGAAAGAAGAGATTTTGGACAAGAGGGATTTAGATTTCACAAGTGCCACAGCTCCTGTGGTCAACTTTCTTTTTGCTGTTACCATGTATTCAACTGGACAATATGCAGGAAAAAAAGTTTATTTTTTGTATATACGAGACATTTTTAACTTGCACTTTTTACCACAACAAAGCAAACATTTCATACAATGTTGGCATTTAATTTAAAAACGTGTTTTCTTTTTGAATTTTGAGAACTTTGTTTCGTTTTTGTTTGTTTTTGAGACAGGGTCTCACTCTGTTGCCCAGGCTGGAGTACAGTGGTGCAATCATCCTCCTGAGCTCAAGCAATCCTCCCACCTCAGACTCCCAAGTGGCTGGGACTACACGTGTGTACCACCATGCCCAGCTAATTTTCTTATTTTTATTTTTTTTTAATGAGACAAGGTCTAGCCATGTTGCCCAGGCAGGTCTCAAACATCTGGGCTCAATGGAGACTCAGCCTCTCAAAGTGCTTGGATTACAGGCAAGAGCCACCGCTCTGGCCTGAGGGCATATTTTAAAATTTCATAATAATGCTAAAGAGCTCTCCTAACTACATACAATCTTTTGCAGCAGACAAGCAACCATTCTACATATTTTTATTTATTTATTTTTTGAGATGGAGTTTCGCTGTTGTTGCCCAGGCTGGAGTGCAAAGATGCAATCAATTTCAGCTCAGCACAACCTCCGCCTCCCGGGTTCAAGCGATTCTCCTGCCTCAGCCTCCTGAGTAGCTGGGATTACAGGCATGTGCCACCACGCCCGGCTAATTTTGTATTTTTAGTAGAGATGGGGTTTCTCCATATTGGTCAGGCTGGTCTTGAACTCTCGACCTCAGCTGATCCGCCCGCCTCGGCCTCTCAAAGTGCTGGGATTACAGGCGTGAGCCACTGCACCCAGCCAGAAAGCAGACATGTCCTAACCACAAGCAGGACTCATTACCCATACTAAATTAGAGTCCTTTTTTTTTTTGGCTCACCTATGAATCATTTATGCACCAAGATTCTCTTAGGATACTTTATAGTTTATATATAATGGATGAAAGGGGGCTTAGACGCCATCTAGTAATCTAGTGACTCAAATGGCTAGATAAATAATGTTGCTGATTATTGGAGAAAGGAGCAAAAGAGGAAAAGAAAAGGCCCTAAAGAGGTTAAGGGAAGGGCCCCAATTTCCCACAGCTAGAGCTAGAGGAAGAGATACTTGTTAGATGAAGGCAGCAAAATGAAAACCAGAGAGAGAAGGAGGCTCCCTATTTGAACACTCCACTCAGCTTGCTTTATTCAGAAACAGCCTTTCGTTGCTTAGAAATAACATACACTAATATTATCTATACCATTCTCCTGCCTGGAGATGACCTACATTATCACTCAATGGAAGCCACTGTAGAGAAATCAAAACACCTCAAAGCCAAAATAGTACTTAGAAGTCAGACACATTCAGATGTAGAAGAAAGGAAGAAGCAGTGGAAATTGGACTGACCACATCTTAGGCAGTGACCCTGGTGATGGACTCCAAGGCAAGACTGCTTACTTATGGGACAGCCAACTGGGCTGTGCAAAAGTATCTTTCCTTGTGGTGGTGGAATTTTTTCTTTTCACTTGAGTTGGACTTCAATTTGAGTTTCATTTGGGTTAATAAATACTGTAATTTCTTAAAAAATGTAAATACATCTAGCATGGGTAAAGAATTGTGACTCATACATTTGTGTGGATTAGTTTCATTTAAGGTATTATTCAAATACTTGAATAATATATATTCAAGTATATATATATTCAAGTATATATAGTATATATGTACTATATATACTATACTATATGTACTATATATGTACTATATATACTTGAATTTATATATACTTGAACATATTTATATATATACTTGAATATATTATTGACTATTATATATTCAAGTATATATATCAAGTATACTTGAATATATATAGTATATACAAACTATATATATTCTATATACTATATATATTCAAGTTTATAGTATATATATACTATATATTCTATATATATACTATATATATTCAAGTATATTTGATATATATAATATATACTATATATACACTTGACATATATATTGTATACTATATATAAAGATTTTGTATTTTTGTATTTTTATTCTATATATACACTTGATATATATATTATATACTATATATGTAGTATATATATACTTGAATATATAATATTCAATAATATACTGAAATATCCACAAGCTGTTAAAAACCATCCAATTAGAACTGATAAAAATTTTTGAGTCAAAGAAGTTTTTGATGTCAAATGGCAAGTTTGGTTAATCTAGGAAAGTTTAATTGAAAGTTGAAAGTTTTCTAAAAATGGAGATGCTGGAAATGTCCTTTAAAAGGCTTTGTAAATGGATAAAAAATAAATCAAATTCATAGGAAAATTCCCGTTGGAAATGCTGAAATTCTGGCAATGTTCAGAAGAAAAATAAGTTAATCAGTAGACTAAATTTCCTTAGTACCTGCCAACAAATTGAACATTTCTTAAACTGCATGAAGCTGGGAGGGTATAGACAGAGTGGTGAGAGGGCACACCCACCTAAAGTCAATCAAAGCACACTTCACTTGTTGGCCATACAATAAATAAGCAAATACCAACAAAGCAAAACTAACCAAAACCAACAAAAGATCCCTACATTCTAAGATTCCAATTTACATCAAACTGCGTCTGTATAAAGACAAGTATTGGAAAATCTATAAGACAACACTAAACTATGAAAGACACATACCTAACTCAAGAAAGTAAAATTTGGTATGGGTGATTTTTTAAAATTGTGTATACAAATATATATTTTTCTTCAGATAAACTTTTGAAAACAATAAACATACACATATGTAGGAAGATTTATTTCAAATTCTTAATATCTAGCTTAGAAATGAACTTGTAAACACAGTTTGATAGGAAATTTTAGAGAAAGAACAGCTACAAATCATAGATTTATTTATATATTTTTAAAATAGCTAGGATTTCTATTGACTTTATTGTAGACCAGAATATAATATAATAAGCATTGTTGAAAGAAACCTTGGCTGGGCACAGTAGCTCATACCTGTAATCCTAGCATTTTGGGAGGCTGAGGTGGGCAGATTGCCTGAGCTCAGGAGCTGGAGACCAGCCTGGGCAACAGGGTGAAACCCCGTCTTTAATAAAATACAAAAAATTAGCCAGGCGTGGTGGCGTGTGCCTGTTGTCTCAGCTACTTGGGAGGCTGAGGCAGGAGCATTGCTTGAACCTAGGAGGTGGAGGTTGCAGTGAGCCAAGATTGTGCCACTGCACTCCAGCCTGGCGACAGAGTGAGACTCCATCTCCAAAAAAAAAAAAAAAAAAAAACAAAGAAAACTCTTTTTTAAATTAAAAGAAAATCTTACAAATAATCTAATTTTTAGCAATATTTGACGGAATTACATTCTAATATTCTAGAAAAAAATTGTACTAGACCTCCAAATAAGATAATTAAAAATTTAATACAATTCTACATAAAATAATGTATTTTTATGCAATTAAACTTCACATTAAATTTTTAATTTTGTATTATCAGAAAAATGTAAATATTAATTTTATTCCTATAATTTCTGATCAGTTCTTTGAAAAATTAAAATTAAACTCTCTATAACTTTGACACCATATTACCTCAAAAAGACTAGAAGGCCAAGAGTGGTGGCGGTTCATGCTTCTAATCTCTGTGCTTTGGGAGGCAGAGGTGGGAGGATTGCTTGAGGCCAGAAGTTTGAGACCAGCCTGAGCCACGTAGTGAGACTCTGTCTCTATGAAACATAAAAAATTAGCCAGAAATGGTAGCACATGCCTGTGGTCCTAGCTACTCAGCAGGCTGAGATGGGAGAATCTCCTGAGTCCAGGACTTTGAAGCTGCAGTGAGCTATAATCATGCCACTGGACTCCAACCTGGGTGATAGGCAGAGAGCCTGTCTTTTAAAAAAATAAGAATTAAAAAAAAAAAAGGCTAGGAAACAGCAGACATTATAAATTACAAATTTCTCTAATATATTATTTCTTATTAAATTTATAAATAATCTGTTATAAGGTGAGACTGGGGGATTTTACATATAGCATTTGTTAGAGGTGAGACTGGGGGATTTTACATATAGAAATGTATAGTGAATATAACAAAAATCTATATATCCACCATTCAAAATTTACAAATATTAATATTGTACTTCTGATCTTTTTATAAAATAAAAGAAATAAAAACATTTTTGCTGAAGTTGCTATCACATTTTTATTCTTCCCCATATCCATTCTTCTCTCCCAGAGGTAACCAATTTTATAAATTTGATATGTATTCTTCCAATGTGTGTTTATGTTTTACTATATATATGTACTCATAAATATAGAATATACTGTGTGTGCTATGTGTTTTTAAAGCAACTTTGTGTTTTCAAGATCTCATCCTGTTGATACATATAAATATAACTCATTCACTTTAACTTCTAAATAGCATTTTATAAGATATGACAATCTACATATCCATTCTTCTATTGATGGGCATTTTGGTTGTTTCCATTTTTTTGCATTCTAAAAAATGACGCAGTAAAGATATTTGTGCATGTATCCTTACATATGTGTGAGAATATATTCTGTATATTGAAAAGAGCCTAGAAGCAACGATAGCCCAGAGGAACAACAACAACAAAAATCCTAATTTCTAAATATCACTCCACAGTAAAGGGAGTAAGTGCTCCTTAAAGAAATGGCCAATTCCAAGTCTGGAGCAAAAAAATTTAGGTGAACCTGTTATATATTGTGTGCCAGAAAGCAAGGAAGCACTCAGAGAATTATAAGGATGTGTTTTTTTAAAAAGGAGCCAGTTTAAAGGAGCTTTCATTAGCCAGATCTAAGTTTAAAAAGAAAAAAAGGTAAAGGATTATAACACATTAAATAATAATAATTGAAACCCCTAAGTTCATAGTAATTTTTTTTTTTTTTAGACAGAGTCTCACTCTGTCACCCAGGCTGGAGTGCAGTGGCGTGATCTCGGCTCACCAAAACTTCCAGTTCCTGGGTTTAAGTGATTCTCCTGCCTCAGCCTCCCAAGTAGCTGGGATTACAGGCATGTGCCATGACGCCCGGCTAATTTTTTTTTTTTTTTGTATTTTTTTAGTAGAAACGGGGTTTCACCGTGTTGGCCAGGCTGATCTCGAACTCCTGACCTCAACTGATCCACCCACCTCAGCTTCCCAAAGTGCTGGATTACAGGTCTGTGAGCCACCACGCCTGGTCCATAGTGGTATTTTTTTAAAGTGGGGAGGTAAATGTCTTCTTTACAGAAAAATGCCAACTAATAAATATAGAAGCAATGATGGAATTAGAAAAACCATTTCAGGCCGGGCGCGGTGGCTCAAGCCTGTAATCCCAGCACTTTGGAAGGCCGAGGTGGGCAGATCACAAGGTCAGGAGTTCGAGACCAGCCTGGCCAACATAGTGAAACCCTGTCTCTACTAAAAATACAAAAAATTAGTCAGGCATGGTGGTGGGCACCTGTAATCTCACCTATTCGGGAGACTGAGGCAGGAGAATCGCTTGAACCCGGGAGACAGAGGTTGCAGCCAGCTGAGATCATGCCATTGCACCCAGCCAGGGCAATAGTGCAAGACTCTGTCTCAAAAAAAAAAAAAAAAAGAAAAGAAAAGAAAAGAAAAACCATTTCAAAGGTGATTCATGCAAATATCATTAATGAACGCTAAAAACACTCAGTAAAAAGTTTTGGGAACGGGGGGTCACATGCTTTGAAAGTGTTATACCGCTACTTACTTACTAATAAATAGTAAAGGGGAAAATTATCTTTACAATTTGCCTTATTTTAGTGAGGTAGAGCTTCTTTTCATGTTTATTGGCTATTCAGGTGTCCTCTGATGCTCATATTCTTTGCCTATTTTTTTTTTTTTTTTCTGAGACAGAGACACAGTCTCACTCTATCGCCCAGCCTGGAGTGCAGCAATGCAATCTCAGCTCACGGGAACCTCTGCCTTCAGGTGGTTCAAGCGATTCTTGTGCCTCAGCCTCTTGAGTAGCTGGGATTACAGGCAGACACCAACACACCCAGCTAATTTTTGTATTTTTAGTAGAGACAGGGTTTCACGATGTTGACTAGGCTGGTCTCAAACTCCTGACCTCAGGTGATCCGCCTGCCTCAGCCCCCCAAAGTGCTGCAATTACAGGTGTGAGCCACCATGCCCAGCTCTTTGCCTATTTTTCTGTTGACTTGTTTATGCTTTACTAATTGAGTTGTATAAATTCTTCATATACTTTGGACATTGTAATGCAAATATCTTTACTGAGTCTGTGATTTATATACAGGACATTTTGTATAACAAAACCTGTGATTTCGATATACTCAAATATCTGAATCTTTTTCTTTACTATTTGCACATTTTAAGGCACATTTAATATACCTTTCCCTATTCTCAGTGTCATAAAGATAGCCTCCTATATTTTCTTTTGAACTCTGAATTTTATTCAGTTTGTTTATCCGAGGAGCTGAACAGTAAGTACTAAAACTGTTGGAAAACAATATTAATTTTTGGCTCTAAGAGGGTTTCCAGCTTTATGTGAAGTCTCCTTTCAACACCATAAATAATTGAGAGTTGCTATTTAAAACCATACATACAAAGTTATAGTTTCAGGATACTAAAAAAAATAGAAAAGAGTAAGGCATATAATCTTACGTGAGTGAACAAAGCTTCCTTCCTTAACTCTTCAGAACTGTCATTTGGAGTCCAAGCTTCAGCAAACTGCAGGAAATCCCATTTTTCCTTATCACCTTCCTCAGCCTGAATTTTTTCTTTCCTACCGTTCAGTGTGCTCCCTGTAACTTGAGCCTACAAGAGGAAAAAGTAAATGAATTTTTGAGCAGTTCACCTCACAGCTGAAATTCACTAAGTAACTTGATTTTGCATTTAAATCATAAGCTACCCACTAAGAAAATCTTACTGTTCCAACATATCATGGGCTTTAGTAATATAATTATCTTTGTAAACCAAAAATAAAATTATAAGCCTCCCAACCAACTTAATGGATTCCTCCTCTTGGCCAAGAGCATTCTAAAGTAAACCTGAAACACGCCAGGTGCAGTGGCTCATGCCTGTAATCCCAGTACTTTGGGAGGCCAAGGGGGGCGATCACCTGAGGTCAGGAGTTTGAGACCAGCCTGCCCAACATGGTGAAATCCCATCTCTACTAAAAATAGAAAAATTAGCCGGGCGTGGTGGCAGGCGCCTGTGATCCCAGCTCCTTGGGAGGGTAAGGCAGAAGAATCCCTTGAACTCAGGAGGCGGAGGTTGCAGTGAGCTGAGATCCTGCCACCGCACTCCTGTGTGACACAGTGAGACTCTGTCTCAAAAAAGCTGACCAGCATTAACATTAAAATAGAGATCTTAAGGCTGACAAAACAGACTCTTTGTAGCAACAAGATGCCAACATGACAGATAGCAGGCCCTAAAACAAATTGAAACCTTTTACTCCCTAACATATTTCTTTTGTATGAAATGGCTCTGCAGAGCTGTCTTTTGTGGGAAAAATTTACATTCTGTAGAGAATCCCCCTTCCATTCCAGGTCTTTATCCTGATCCAGGAAAGAATTAACTAAGGAGTCTGGCACCTTTTAAAGTCTAATAAGAGGCCAGGAGCGGTGGCTCATGCCTGTAATCCCAGCACTTTGGGAGGCTGAGGTGGGCGGATCACAAGGTCAGGAGTTCGAGACCAGCCTGGCCAATAAGGTAAAACCCCATCTCTACTAAAAATACAAAAACCAGCTGGGCGTGGTGGCGGGCGCCTGTAGTCCCAGCTACTCAGGAGGCTGAGGCAGGAGAATCGCTTGAACCCAGGAGGCAGAGATTGCAGTGAGCTGAGATCACGCCACCATACTCCAGCCTGGGCGATAGAGCAAGACTCCATCTCTTAAAAAAAAAAAAAAGAGTCTAATAAGAAACATTTACAATCTATTCTGTCTGAAGCCTGCTACCTGGATGCTTTACCTGCCTAAGAAGAACCTTGGTCTCCACAACTCCTTATCTTAACCCAGGTATTCCAAGTCTTCAGATAAACTCTTTCAACCAACTGCCAATCAGAAAATCTTTGAATCCACCTATGATCTGGAACCAATGCCTCCCTCCACCCCACCTTGCATAAAACCAAGCTGTAGCCCAACCATCTAAGGCACAAGTTCTCAGAATCTCCTGGGGCTGTGTCATGAGCCACTGTCATTCATATTTGGCTCAGAATAAATCTCTTAAAATATTTTACAGTTTGACTCTTCATTGACATCTAGTCTGTTTTCTTTTGCTTATAACAGAATATCTGAAATTGTGTAATGTGTAAAGAAAATGAACTTATTTCTTATGGAAGCTGAGAAGTTAAGGTTGAGGGGCCACATCTGGTGAGGGCTTCTTGCTGGTGGGTACCTGCGGAGTTCTGAGACAGCACAGGTCATCTCATGGGGAAGGGGCTGAGTGGTGCTAGCTTAGGTCTCTCTTCCTCTTCCTATAAAGCCACCAGTCCCACTCCTATGATAACCCATTAATCCCTCAATCCATGAATGGATTAATCCATTCATAAGGGCAGAACCCTCATGACCCAATCATTTTTTTTCTTTTTTTTAGAAGAGGGTGGGAAAGAAGGTCAATCATCTCTCTTAATGGCCCACCTCTCAATACTGCCACAGTGGGGATTAAGTTTCAAAGTAAGTTTTAGAGGGAATGAACATTCAAACCATAGCAATAATTATCCAAAATTATAATCCATTACCCAGTCAATGGTTCCATGCTTAATGAGAAAAGGTTTAACTGGAGAAGTTATACTATTCACTTTCTTCATAAAAACTTTTATTCTAATATTTATATGCTTTGAAACTTAACCAACATATGATCGGCCATTTTAAATATTTATATCCAGTGCTTAAAAAACATTTCATTGAAAAACAGTGCTATGGGCTGAATGTTTGTATCCCCCCCAAATTCAGATGTTAAAATCCTAACTCCCAATGTTGATGGTGTTCGGAGGTGGGGCTTTTGGGAGGTGATTGGGTCATGAGGGTGGAGCCCTCATGAATGGGCTTAGTCCCCTATAAAAGAGACCCCAAAGAGCTTTCTTGCCCTCTTTCCACAATGAGAAAGCAGTAGTCAGCAACTTGGAAGAGGGCCCTCACCAGAACTCAACCATACTGGCATCCTAATCTCAGACTTCTAGCCTCCAGAAGTATGAGAAATAAATTTCTGTTATTTATAAACTACCCAATATAGATTGGTACTTTGTTATGGCTGCCCAAACAAACTAACCCAGAAATAATCTAACCCTTTTTTTTTTCTTTTGAGACAGAGTCTTGCTCTGTCACCCAGGCTGGAGTGCAATTGTTGCAATGGTGCGATCTTAGCTCACTGCAACCTCCACCTCCTAGCTTCAGGCAATTCTCCTGCCTCAGGCTCCCAAGTAGCTGGGATTACAGGCACCTGCTACCATGCCCAGCTAATTTTTTTGTATTTTTAGTAGAGACAGGGGTTCACCATGTTGGCCAGGCTAGTCTCGAACTCCTGACCTCAGGTGATCCACCCATCTCGACCTCCCAAAGTGCTGGGATTAGAGGCATGAGCCACCACGCCCAGCCAGAAATCATCTAATCCTTAGTCAAGTCCTTTCTATAAACATTGTCAAGACTGAGGAAATGAGACAGCTGAGAGGACAGAGCAAGCAATGTCATTCCTACATTTTCTAGAGTCTGGGTACAGGCTACCTTCTGTCCAAAATTAGCTTGGAACTCAAGAATTCTTCTAGAAAAGGTTTATTCTTAGGTTACGCAAAGGACTTGGGGCTTGAAACATTACGTTTCCTTGCTAGCCAACCCCATCATTGTACCTCTAAAGTAGTAGAAGGGCTTGGAAGATAACAGGAGTACGTGGAAGTTCATGCCTCTCTTATTACAGAGGAGAGCAGACAAGGTACTACTACTGAAGCCTTTTCTTAACTTGGTCTCTATTATCATCATTATCTTGATGTGCTTAAGTATCCTTTGCCTGAAAACACTAAAACTCAGCCTCTTAACTCACATTGGCTATGGTTAATAGTAAGTAAGCTGCTAACTTGATTTAAATTCAAGCTTTACCTTGCGATTCAACATTCCCCACATAAGGGTGTCTAGGGTTCCATTTGCAATAAGGTAGTGAATATTCACAGAACTGCACTGGCCAATTCTGTGAGCTCGGTCTTCTGCTTGTTTTATATGTCCAGGGTCCCAGTACAACTCAGCAAATACAACATGACTTGCTGCAGTAAATGTTAATCCCTAAGTGAAATAAAGCAAATAAATTGAGAATGTAACATACAGCCAATATATAATAAAGTATTTCTGAACATGTTAAATGGAGAACACTGAAGGACTTGAAAACAAATTAGTTGTCTATTTTAGGCCAAATTAAGATTTAATTCATGAAAGGCAAATGAAGAATGTTTAATGCAACATAGCTAGGTGAACTACAAAAAACACATTTGAAAGGTATTTCAAAATTTCAAAAGTCAGCTTGATGTAAGTATATAAACTAAATCACTTTATTCTCTGATGATGAACGGATTCACATTACCACTGGAAAATCTAATAAAATACTTTATAAATGAGAATACAATTTCCAACATATGGTATCTATAGCAACCAGGCAGAGAGCATTTACATCCTCTTCATCTAACTCACACTGTCATGTTATAAAGCAAGAAAACAACGTCTCTGGTTATACTACTTTCTTCCTGTGATGTTATATTCCGAAGACCTGAAATTTACTGCCTATGTCTCAATATATACAATGCAATTGCATTTTCTGTACAACTGCATTTTCATGAATTTGAAATAGTGTGACATAAAAATATTAACTAAGTCTTGCTTTATAATCAATATATGAAATAATGCAAAATCCTCAAACTAAAAAATGTGTCAAACTAAAAAATGTGTCCAAAAATGCATGACTTTAATGTTGGTAGGCTGAATGAAATGTGAACCACGCTTATGCTATAGCCATATAGCAGTAAAATGACATTAGGTGGTAAACAGAAATATCTGCCTTTTTTTGAGTATTATTTAATCAATGCTGTTTGTTGTTCATATGCACCAAACTCCTATGAGTGACTTTTGTGACTGCTATGCTATTATTTTGATATGTTATTTTCACTTAAAATATTTTCATGTCACATAACAAAATCATGCTAGCATTAATTAAATGGTGGTACTAGTTCTCAAGCTGAAAAATTTACTGAAAATCAGTCTCTGAAAAAGAAGTTAGAGGTAATAAAAATACAGAGACAAATATATTAAACTGTACTGCTATTTAGGACTGAAAATGCCACAGAATATTAGAAATAATGCTGAAAAAATAAAAAGTAGTATTTAAGGAGAGACATCTTTAATTTTATAAAAAACATCATTTGATTATACAAGCATAAAGGGAAAATATGTTGGCAAGATCAATACCACTCTAAGCAGCTGCTAAACTATAATGTAAGATTCACAGTACCAAGAACAAAGACCTTTCTACTTTCCTTTATTCCTATGGAGATATCAGTCCTCAAGTATATGAGTCTTGATTTATATAAGGTCTTCAGAAGCACAGCCTTGAATAAAATGTAAGTGCCCCATACATTATTAATTTCAAAAGGTCCTAGACTCTCCTGTCTGGCTTTCTCCTACTTAGCACCTCCCCAGCTCTAAGTACTTCATTTCTAATTCTAAGCCCTTTTTGATGATATTCTCTGTGGCTGGAACAGTCTAACAGATAAATAACTCCGATTATTGGAAGTTTAACTGAACATGAGGGAAGCATTGAGACAACCCTCCTTTTGGTTAGAACTCCCAGAGAGTTGTGGAACTGCTTCATCCTCATAAAGTTTCTCTCTGTATATAATTTTATATACTTTAATTAGCCGAGTAAAAGCAGATCTTTGGCATGTACCAGCTTGGCTGAACAGCAGTATGCTCAATTACTTTTCCCTATGTTAAATATCCTAGCTTAGACATTTACAACAAAGTATTTTAGAATGCTGGCAGAAAAACAGTCCAGAAGATCCCCTCTTACCTACTGTGGCAGAGACTGCCATTACTTTCCCTAATATCTATCCTTCTCTTATTCCTTTGTAACATAACACCCAATTTTTAGCAGGGCTACGTGGAATAAAGAATACTCTTCCGAGCTTCCCTTGAAATTAGGTGTGGTTGTGGGACTAACTATAAGAGATGCAGTGTGCTTTTCTCCAGGCAGCTGCTTAGACTGCAGATAAGATGGAGCTCTAGCAGCCCTTTTAGATAAGACATACTTGCTAAGAGTGGTAAAGCAGAAAGCGAGAAGGGGTATAGGTCCTAAGGACTTTGTGCAAACATCAGGCTAGGCCTGGACTGTCTACATAAGAGAATTAAACTTTGTGTATTTAAGTCAGTCTTAATCTGAATTTCTGTTTACTTGCCTTCAAACTTAATCCTAAGGGACAAAACAGAAGCACTCCATAAAAAGTCCTGAGACAAGAGTTCTTTTCCCCCAGGCCACCTTGTCATACAGGTCCTAATGCAACACAATCAAGTAAGTGAAGGGTTGGATATAAGACAGGTATAAGAAAAGCCTATACAAATTCAAAGGAAGGAAAAAAGGTCAGGCAAAAATATTACAATCAAATTAACTATACTCTTCTTACTCTTCTTTGAAAGTATATTCTTTCAAAGACATCCTTTCCTTGAAAATTTAGGAGATCTGTGTCAAAGACATCGAGGCCTCTTTCTATTATACTTTCTGGAACTCTCTGAAGAAGAATTACTATTTATTATACAAGGCATCCAGATACAAAGTTACAAGTTTATAAACCAAAGTTATAGTGAATGGCCTTTTTTCTTATTTCAATGACATTTCATAACCAAATTTAGACTTGAAATTTCTTACCTGGCCAGCAGCCTGAATGCTTAGGATAGCCACGCGAGTGTCAGGATCCTTTTGAAACTGATTAACCAGATGTATTCTTTCTGAAGATGAAACACTTCCATCTATCCTAATGTAACGAGTCTAGCATCAACAAGGAAAACGGCAAAATTAGGACAAGGCCCTATGTACCCATCTCATTTTATATATTTTACAGCTTATTTTTATGGTCACATAACAAAATGGAACTTGGTTAAGGTGACAGATTGGTAAATGTTATACAAGAAGAATCTTAACCAAGATTTTTAATAGCTTCTTATAACAATTTCTTATTTTTTTAATCTTTTAAGCTACTTGAGGGTAGAGTCTATGTCTAATTCATCTTTATCCCATCAATGCCAAGGGCAATGCCTTGTATATAGCAGAAGCTCCACAAATCTTTTATGAATTAAGCTAATGTTGTCTTCAGTAAAATTCTACGTAAATTGACACGCAAACTTTAAACCATGGATCAGACTAACTCTAAAGTTATAAGATCACTAATTCTAAAGTGAAAATACAGCCAGACATGTGAGAAAAGAGAAAGATGATTCTGCCCACAAATCACGGATTCATGAAGAGTAGTACATTTATTTCTGAAATATCCCAAATATTAACTGGGAAAATAGAGCTTTTTTTTTTTTTTTTTTGTGACGGAGTCTTGCTCTGTCACCCAGGCTGGAGTGCAGTGGTGGGATCTCTGCTCACTGCAAGCTCCGCCTCCGGGTTCACGCCATTTTCCTGCCTCAGCCTCCTGAGTAGCTGGGACTATAGGCGCCCGCCACCACGCCCGGCTAATTTTTTGTATTTTTAGTAGAGACAGGGTTTCACAGTGTTAGCCAGGATGGTCTCCATCTCCTGACCTCGTGATTCCCCCGCCTCATCGCTCCCGGCTGGAAAATAGAGCTTTTAATTCTGGTTTTTCACATTATTAAACTTTAAAGAAATATGTGATATGGTCATCTCCAGAGAGGTGGGGCACTGAGGCACCCACACACATTTTTGAAAAGTAGGGAAACATTAAGTGTTAAACCGAACATTGTTGTCTTTAAGAATGATTTGAGTTGAGACAAGGGGGTTATCACTATGTGTTAGAATAGCTAAAAAGAAGTTATTATTGGCCGGGCGCGGTGTCTCACTTCTGCAATCCCAGCACTTTGGGAGGCCGAGGAGGATGGATCACGAGGTCAGGAGATCACGACCATCCTGGCTAACATGGCGAAACCCCATCTCTACTAAAAAAATACAAAAAAATTAGCTGGACGTGGTGGCGGGCGCCTGTAGTCCCAGATACTCGGGAGGCTGAGGCAGAAGAATGGCGTGAACCCGGGAGGCGGAGCTTGCAGCGAGTGGAGATCTAGCCACTGCACTCCAGCCTGGGCGACTGAGCGAGACTGTCTCAAAAAAAAAAAAGAAAAAAAAAAGAAAAAAAGAAATCATTATTCAACTTCTAAAAATGATAACTCCTAAATTTCAAAAAACCTTATTCATGTATGTAGTGCCATAGAAAATATAGCCTTAAATAGTTGGAACATATGAATATTCACTTTTATAAGGGAATATCCAAGTTAATTATTAAAAAGAATGTCCCGTATTAACGTTCTGTCCTCAAAGAGCAAGTATACATTAACCAGTAAACCATTTAATAGCCATTAAGGAAGATTATAAAATTCTCTCAGGGTCTTTCTAAAGAAAATACATTGTCAGGGTAGGAAAAGTTGGGGAAAAATTCACCTCCAACCCCATGAATATCTACATTTTTTTTTTTTTGAGACGAAGTTTTGCTCTTATTGCCTAGGCTGGAGTGCAATGGCGGGATCTCAGCTCACTGCAACCTCTGCCTCCTCCTAGGTTCAAGCGATTCTCCTGCCCCAGCCTCCCGAGTAGCTGGGATTACAGGCATGTGCCACCACGCCCGGCTAATTCTTATTTTTAGTAGAGACAGAGTTTCTCCATGTTGGTCAGGCTGGTCTCGAACTCCCGACCTCAGATGATCTGCCCGCCTCGGCCTCCCAAAGTGCTGGGATTACAGGTGTGAGCCACCGCACCTGGCCTATATCTACATTTTTAACTCTTAGTAAAGCTAAATGGGATTCTAAACATATCAGTAAAATGGATGTAAGAAAAAAAGACTATTATACTTGGAATCGATCCCAGTAGTTTTAAGGTATAATGGAATCAGAATAAGAAAAATATTACGAATCTAATTTCTTGCCCAATCATTTAAAAAATATTTAGGTTAATTAACTCTTAGAGGGTGTTTTTCAGAAACTATATGATAACCAATGAGAAAGTACCTTTTAATGTATAGCACTTTATTATAACTCTTCCTATGAAGGAAACACTAGAAGTATGTCTTTGGTAATATTAATGAACATATTACCTAATGTTTAAACAATGTATACTAAGTTTTTATCTTTGATAGAAACAAAGGAAGATGTTGTCACTCACTGGTGGACTATTGGAAATCAAGGTAGACCTAAGAAGATGCAGTAAAGCCACATGGCTTGATGGAGCTAACCTGATAAATTACTTGGGCCATATGTTTCAAATACATCTACACTAAATTTTAGTAATCATTTTCCATATATTGCCTGGAAGTTTAAATAGTATGACTGCAGTTGGGTACTAACATTGGCCAAGTTCATTCTTTCTTTCCTCTCTATGTCACCCACATTCAAAGGCCACTGTGTAGGTAAATAAAAAGTCTAACGTTTAACTGTCTACACCACTCTAAAACGGTATATCCAGGAACAAAAATAAAATTCACATTATAGCCTATCATGGCAGCATATCTTTTTTTTTAGCAACCTTTTTTTAAATTTTTTTAATTTATTTTTTATTTATTTATTTTTAGTATTTATTGATCATTCTTGGGTGTTTCTCGCAGAGGGGGATTTGGCAGGGTCATAGGACAATAGTGGAGGGAAGGTCAGCAGATGAACAAGTGAACAAGGGTCTCTGGTTTTCCTAGGCAGAGGACCCTGCGGCCTTCCGCAGTGTTTGTGTCCCTGGGTACTTGAGATTAGGGAGTGGTGATGACTCTTAACGAGCATGCTGCCTTCAAGCATCTGTTTAACAAAGCACATCTTGCACCACGCTTAATCCATTTAACCCTGAGTGGACACAGCACATGTTTCAGAGAGCACGGGGTTGGGGGTAAGGTTATAGATTAACAGCATTCCAAGGCAGAAGAATTTTTCTTAGTACAGAACAAAATGGAGTCTCCTATGTCTACTTCTTTCTACACAGACACAGCAACAATCTGATTTCTCTATCTTTTCCCCACATTTCCCCCTTTTCTATTCGACAAAACCGCCATCGTCATCATGGCCCGTTCTCAATGAGCTGTTGGGTACACCTCCCAGACGGGGTGGCGGCTGGGCAGAGGGGCTCCTCACTTCCCAGAAGGGGCGGCCGGGCAGAGGCGCCCCCCACCTCCCGGACGGGGCGGCTGGCCGGGCGGGGGCTGCCCCCCACCTCCCTCCCGGACGGGGCGGCTGGCCGGGCGGGGGCTGCCCCCCACCTCCCTCCCAGATGGGGTGGCTGGCCAGGCGGGGGCTGACCCCCACCTCCCTCCCAGATGGGGCGGCTGGCATGGCAGCATATCTTTAATCAATCCAGATAATTTGGTCAGTGGAAAATTATGAGATCAGTTAAGAAAAGAGAAAATTTAATAGTATATAATCATCATCATATAATATTAATATAATTTTCAAGAAAAATGTG
Source organism: Homo sapiens (assembly GCF_000001405.40). Classification (NCBI taxonomy): domain Eukaryota; kingdom Metazoa; phylum Chordata; class Mammalia; order Primates; family Hominidae; genus Homo; species Homo sapiens. Next base: position 135,275,512 of record NC_000002.12, read on the forward strand.
TGATAATTTATATACCATCATCTAAAGAAGACAAAAAACACCTCAACTATGAGACTACAACTGATGTTTAGTATAGTAAAAATATGCATTCTAAAAAGTATTTAGTTAAAAAATGGCAACATACCTTATTTTCGATGACTGCTTCTGTGCAAGCTTGGAGCATGCTTAAATGGTGAGCAAAAACCAGAAATTTAAGCGAATCATTCTGAAGCATCATCTTAATATAATCCTTTACAGCACCTGCCTAAATATTAAAAGGTAAACCTTATTAGTGTCATAAAAATGATTATTTAAAATTTATGTCACTTTTAATAAAGCAAGAAAAATGGCTTGAAAATCAGTAAATATGAACTTTTAGCTGCATTGTTCTCTAGGTAGCCTAAGGAAGTAGAAGCCCACATATAAGGAAAATGTAAAAGAAGAGGGACAAGAAGGGGAAAAACTGAGCAATTAAATGAGAAGAAGACAAGAATTAGAAGAATTAAAAAACAACACAACAATGGGTTTCAATGGAAAGGAGGTAGTCAAGTAGGCTATGGCCAAGAAGGAGTTGGCAGTTTTGTTTAGAAGGTGATTTTCAAAAAAGTTTATATATAAGACCAAGTAGAACAGAGTTAAGGAGAAAACAGAAAGCAAAAAAATCAGATGAAGAGCATTTTTTTTTAAAAGGGAAGATTGAAAACAGTAAGAAATCAGGGACTGAAGCTTAAGGTTTAAGGAAAGTTTTTTTTTTTTTTTTTTTACTTAAGAAACTTAGGTAGACTTACAAATAAGCAGTTCAAGGAGTACACAGATTAAGAGAAATGGAAATGAGGTCATTTAGCTTATCTCTGGGATGGAGAAGGTTCCAGAAGAGGCTGGAGTGATGGGATGAAGACAACGGTAGTGAGGTCTGAGAGAACAGGGGGACATATAGAACAATTATGACACAGAAGGAAGAAAATTTAAAAAGTTCAGATTAACAGGTAACTTGAGGCCAAGTTACTTACTAAGAGTGAAAAATCAATTTGATATGAAGCAAATACGAATTAAAGAGGATAGCATGAATTAAGTTTAAAATCTATGTATCTTTTAACTTTTAAAAACTGGTTATGTAGAAATTGTGGAAAAAGATACCAGGCTGACCACATTTAACTTCTGCTCCTTCTCAATGCTATGTTTAAAAGATAGCAAGTGTAAAGGGACAAAGAGAACTGGAGAAAAGTCAATAGCAACAAAACTTTGGAAGCTAAAAAGCAGATAATGACTGATAACTGATTAACCAATCTCACAGATCCTAAACTGGCTATGGAAAGTGGAGAAGCACTTGATTTACGTTGCAGTCACCTAAAAAGGTTCAGAAAATGACACCTCTGGAATGGGGGGTAGGAGTGTGGTTAGGAGGACCTGCTGAAATAATGTTTAAGTAGTTGATTATGTGCAATACTGCTATTTACCTTCTCTCTACCTATTCCATATAATAGGTAACTACCATAACCATTCTGGTAGAAAACTACAGACTTATTCTCTGGAGTGGATAAAATAGAGGGTATTTGGATGGAGGAATCCTATATTGATGATAGGTATATCCTACAAAACTCATGGGGATTACATGAAAGTTACAAAATAAATGCTGAGATCTGCCCCTCTGTCCCAGCCTTCTTTCCCCTATACTTCCCAAAACAGAAACAGGCTTATGTCCTTCAGGCAAGAGAGCAGAATCATATAAAGTGATTCTTTTCTAAGGAATCTGACCAGCCAAGAGAAAAAACTAAAGATACTGCTATCAGGGGTTTCCCAGGGAGACATCCCATTCAGATCACCATTTATTGAAGGCCACAGTCTATAAATTGTATACATGCGCAGAGCTTCTAGTCAGTGGTTAGTGTCTTTCTTGTAAATATAAGCAACCAACCAAAGATCAATAGATATTTGTAGAAAGCAACATGTATGAACGGATCACATATACAGAGCTAAGAAAACTGGAAGAGATTGCATTTATAAAACAAGATCAGTATGCTACAAAAAAAACAGATATAAAGAAGAAAAACAGTACTATCAGAAATGAAAAATATAATAGCAGAAATGGATAATTCATTGGTTATTAAGCTAAGGAAATCTCCCAGAAAGTAAACAGAAAATATAAAATATAGGCCAGGTGCGGGGGCTCACGCCTGTAATCCAAGCACTTTGGGAAGCCAAGGCGGGCAGATCACTTAAGGTCAGGAGTTCAAGAACAGCCTGGCCAACACGGTGAAACCCCGTCTCTACTAAAAATACAAAAATTAGCTGGGTGTGGTAGCACGTGCCTGTAATCCCAGCTACTTGGGAGGCTGAGGCAGGAGAATCGCTTGAACCTGGGAGGTGGAGGTTGCAGTGAGCCGAGATTACACCACTGCTCTCCAGCCTGGGCAACAGTGAGACTCTGTCTCAAAAAAAAAACAAAAAAAAAAAACAAATATAAAATGTAAAATAATTAGGTAGGGGATCAGGTCATGAGGGCAATATATGAAAATATATGAATAATAAAAGTCTCAGAAAACAAACAGAGAAAACTAACAAAAATCATCAAAGAAATAAAGTTCTACATAACTGAAGGGCATGAGTTTCCAAAATGAAAAATGGAAAAGACCCACTACGTGTCTTTCACATTGAATGAAAATAGACCCAGAACGAGGCTCATTATCAAGAAATTTTAGAACACTGGGACAAAGAAATGATTCTATAAGCTTCCAGAAAAGCGAAGAAAAGATTTCATAGAATCAAAATAGAATAACAATTCTGAATTGTATTGGATTTCTCAATACCAATACCAGAAATGAGAGAAAATGATTTCCCCATTTTTATATCCAGCTAATTAAAAATCAGATAGAATAGTAATATTTTCAAATATGCAAGGAATGCAAATAATTTGCTTCCAATATACCATTTCTTGGGAGGCTACTGGACAAAATGCTCCAACAAAACAAGGAAGTAAACAAAGAAAGAAAATAATATATAAAGGAAAGAGGTAAAAATCTCCAGGATGAGAGCTCTGCAGCAGGCCTAAAGAGTAACAGTTCAGACTGGAGCTAATCAGAAGGAATCAGGTGAAATTTCTTTAAGAAGATGAGATTAATACAATGCTTAATGTTTAAAGATATTGGGAGGAGGTTAAATAACTAGGGGAAACTTTGAGGATGGATTAGTGACAACTACACAGAAAACTAATAAAAGAAGAAAAGAAAAACCTTTATAATTATTAATGCCAAAGAAAATAAAATGAGTTGTGGAAGAAAACGTATCCATAGCATACCATGTTTCACCTGTAAATGTTATAAATATGGTTCTAATAATAAACATGGTGAATACTGATCAAGCCAAAATTGGTAATAAGTTCCTATATAATCAGTAAAACTATGATTATGACTTTCATGGAAGGATGGAAATAACAGGAAGATATGTGTGTGAGAGTGGGGCAATAGGGGACAGGGCTAAAATTTAATCTTCCGTATTAAGAAGCCAATTGATGACAGCTAAAATTACAAAGCAAATAGTAATACAAACAAAGCAGCAATATAAGTATGGTGTTGAGGGATTTGAAGTAAATACTAAAAAAAAAATCAGCTGAAAGAAAAGAAGGTTGTTGCCTTTGAGAAATAAGGTTAGGGGACTGTTATTTTTTGGATCTCTGGTCATTAAACTATGATACTATGTAGCTTTGGCAATAATAAAAAATTAAAAAGGAGGCATTTCAAAACTGAAAAATACCTACTTAAAATTCATACATATGACTATAAAGTCACATGACAGATTCTGCAAACTACATTTTGCATGTCTAAGTTTTCTAAACCACAGAAATTCATCATACAATGAGAGTAGGGGCTGTTAAGAACTTTAGCCTTGGATTTCAGTGCCTTGGAAAGTGGAAGTGAAGTACTGTCAAAATAAGGAGCTATAAATTCTGGATATGTTGTCATGGCAACTGAACCACTTTAATAAAGTGCATATTTGCCTAAAGAGCTATATTTACTGTGATAAGCCTTTCAAAATGTACATGTCAAGATGGAGTACTTTTAAGGTACATTCATTACTATCCAGTCCAGACTTACAAACTATATAATTGCTAAACCTCTAGTCTCGGATGGATTCCCCCTCCTCTTCCCAAGTGAGCAATTTTTCTTAGAGTCTCCTCCACTGATATCACCTGCTTCCATCACAACCAGAGATGCCAATGCCAAAGTTCAAGCCCCCCTTTTCCCACTCCTTTCCACTAGTGCTTCAAAAAGGTTTACGGTTACTAACATTATTATAAAGTTCAATTACATAACTGACTAAATAGGCTCTTAGGACTAACAAAGCAATTTAACCATCATTTGTGATATTGCTTTTTAGGAGAAAATGTGTTGGGAATACCAAAACATCAAAAGTAACAAATGAACTTTTGGGATTCTCTTAGGTTCTTAAGATGGGGATTACATAGATTTTCATTTTAAAATGTACTATGCATGCATTTTAACTATTTTGATTTTATCCTAATAAAAACTATCACTGCATCATCAGATTTTAAATTATCTGAACAGGAATTTGCTTCCAAACGATCTTAAGTACATAGTATGTGGAATAGCAGGTCCTCATAATAATCAGCATCTTGGTAGTGTCGGTTCAGGTTTCACAGAAGTTGCAGAAAATGCATGTATTCAAAACTCTATTTTATTTTACTAGAATTGATCTGTTAGTAATAAGCCTGTTAGTCGAAGATCTAATTTAAGTAATTAATGAAGACTATACATTATATCTTATTTAAAAAAATGCAGGCCAGGCGTGGGGGCTCATGCCTGTAATCCCAGCACTTTGGGAGGCCAAGGTGGGTGGATCACCTGAGGTCAGGAGTTCGAGACCAGCTTGACCAACACGGAGAAACCCCATCTCTACTAAAAATACAAAATTAGCCGGGTGTGATGGCACATGCCTGTGGTCCCAGCTACTCGGGAGGCTGAGGCAGGAGAATCATTTGAGCCCGGGAGGCAGAGGTTGCGGTGAGCTGAGATCACACCATTGCACTCCAGCCTGGGCAACAAGAGTAAAACTATCTCAAAAAATAAATAAATAAATTAAATAAAATACAACAATGAAGAGAATATTCATGATTTTTTTTTCAGTGAAGATGTACACATCTTACTTTCTGAAGTAAAAGTAGTTAAAGAAAAATCTGTATTGCACTAAAGACCTGTTAAAAGTTATTTGATTTCAAATTGTTGGCTTTTAAACAAATAATAAGAAAGAAAAAAAAGAAAGACAAAAACTTCAAACCTGAGCTATGACAAAGACTCTCCTTTGACCTAACTTTAGTTAGGCTCCCCTGAGCCCTCTTTGCAACTAAGCCCTCACCTTGGCCTTCAGTGTCCATCCTGTCCTTGCCAGGCCTGCATAGCCCAGTCTTATAGGAACCCCACTAAGTCATTTCAGTGAAAATCCCCCCACTCTTGATATTGGATCTAGTTCCTTATTCCGTACCTTTGATGTATAAACCCTTGGCCTGTCTTTAGCAAGAATCCCCTTACCCTTGATGTCTCCTCTTAGTAATTTTCCATTCATCAACTCTCTCAACCTACTTGCTGGCTATAAATCTCTACTTGTCCTTGTGTTTGGAATTGAGCTCAACCTCTCTCGTCTATTGCAAAAGAGTTGACCTCTACTGCAATAGTCTTGAGTAGTCTTCCCTACTGTTTTAACAAGTCAGAATAATCTTTTCTTTAACAGCTATAACTTGCAGCTAAGAGAGTGTGAGCACAAAGGAAGCTTCCCTTTAAGTCCTGAAGTCCTCAGAACCCAATCAAATGATAGTTTTGTTCAGGTATCGCATGACCTTTTAAGCTCTTTTTTTTTTTAAAGCTCTTTTAATGTCTTCTTAGTCACAGGTAAATTGTGATTGGTCTAAGCAAACCTAGCATTTTCCTTTCCCCTGCAAATGATTCTGACTAATATGACACCTGAGGAGTCTGCTGGGGGTTTCAAAAAAACATCCTCCCTGACAAAGGCACTCTTAGGAACACTTTTCCTTGCTTTGGACATTATAGGCTGCACTTGATATCTGATATCCCGGAATGCAGCAGTCATCTTGGGGCTATAATAGGAGCTGTTGAGGGCAAGCAGTGAACTGGGTCAGACAACAGAAGACAGAAGAACCTGGGTTCTCTCTCTTTTTTAAAAAATAGCTTCACTGGGATACAATTCACATACCATAAAATTCACTCTTTTAAAGTGTACAATTCAATGGCTTTTAGTACATTTGCAGAATTGTGTATCATCACAAAAATCACAACCTAACAATGTTAGGACCTTTTCATTACCCTAAAAAGGATTCCTTTACCTCTCAGCTGTCACACCCCAGTTGCCCATCATTTCAGCTCTAGGTAAACATTAATTAACTTTCTGTCTCTATGGATTTGACTCTTTTGGACGTTCCATATAAATGGAATCATATAATATGTGTTTTCTGAGACAGCTTCTTTAACTTAGTGTAATGGTTTCCAATCCATGTTGTAGCATACATCAGCACTTCATTTCTTTTTTAATGTCAAATAATATTCCATTGTATGAATATATATGCATTTTATTTACCCATCAGTTGATATACTCTCTTATTTTTATTCATTTATCTAGCTCACCTTATACTGTTCCTTAATAACTTATTTATTTTGTGATAGTTGATTTACTTACTATCCTTTAAAATTATCTTAAATAAGCAGAGCCAAGTACCAAAGTAAAGGAGAATATGCATTGTTTATTTACTCCCCACCTAGCTTCTGCAGCTCACCACAAAAGGAAGGCTAGACATTGTCTTCCGGTATCCCTTCCCCCTTTGCCAATAGTTTTTAATTTAGAAACTTTTTCATTAGCCTGAAAAAACATTTTCAAATCTGTTAGTAAACATTTCCAAATCTGGTAGGAGACAGCCTTCAGGAGAAGACTGGCAGTTTCCATACCATAATGTCAGGGCTTTGAACATTTTTACAGAGCCTCATGCCCAAATTTTCCCAAAGAAACACTAGTTTCACTTCAAAAGATGGTTCCAGTGAACTATCAAAAGTATTATTTTCTTATCTCAAGGAGTATTTTACTTCCTTATAAATATATCTGCAAATACAAATCTAATACCTCTAATACATTTAATCTTTTGACACTGATGGAGTTCCACAAGCAGCATGCTGAAAAGTAGATGGGATACAATACCTTGTGAAGAAGGCAATTCCAATTTAATATCTTAACCAGCATAGTTTTACAAAAAAACCCTGGGATCCTAAATCTTTCCATAAGGTTTTCAGAACAAGTTATAATAAGGCAATCATTATCAATCAATCTATCAATTTGGCAAGGATACATGAGAACATTCCTGTGAATGACCTAATTCCATTTACCCAAAATTTACCCAAATTTTGACAAAGTAAAGCCAATAGTATTATGAGCTTTAAAAAAGTTATTTTCATGGAGGTTTGATCATAAAAGTCACTGATCAAAACAGCTAATCTAGGCCAGACACAGCGACACATGTTTATAATCCCAGCACTTTGGGAGGCTGGGGCAGGAGGACTGCTCAAGCCCAGGAGTTTGAGACAAGACTGGGCAACATAGTGGGTGCCTGTATCTACAAAAAATTTAAAAATTAGCCGGGTGTGGTGGCATGTGCCTATATTCCCAGCTACTTGGGAGGCTGGGGCAGAAGGATTGCTTGAGCCTGGGAGGTTGAGGCTGCAGTGAGCTGTGATTGTGCCACTGCACTCCAGCCTGGGTGACAGAGTGAGACCCTGTCTCAAACAAACAAAACAGCTAATCTAATTCTTTTAAAACTGAATTCAGGCCAGGCACGGTGGCTCACGCCTGTAATCCCAGCACTTTGGGAGGCTGAGGCAGGTGGATCACGAGGTCAGGAGATCGAGACCATCCTGGCTAACATGGTGAAACCCCATCTCTACTAAAATACAAAAAAACTAGCTGGGCGTGGTGATGCACACCTGTAGTCCCAGCTAGTTGGGAGGCTGAGGCAGGGGAATCACTTGAAGCCGGGAGGTAGAGGTTACAGGTTGCAGTGAACCAAGATCATGCCACTGCACTCCAGCCTGGTGACAGAGCGAGACTCTGTCTAAAAAAAAAAAAAAAACTGAATTCAATTTTTAAAAACATTCTTGATTTATTTCTAAACTCCATCCACTAGTCATGACAATAAGATAATCAACTTTGTCCTACTAAAGTACAGAATACACCTTATTTGGGTGTTAAAAATCAAAATACACAGAATGTACAGACTTTAAAGTCTGTATCTTTTCCATGCCTATTTAGGGATGTTGAAAAATCACTAATAGGAAGCCAGGCATGATGGCTCATGCCTGTAGTCCCAGCTAGTCAGGAGGCTGTGGTGGGAGGACTGCTTGAGCCCGGAAGTTAGAGGATGCAGTGAGCCATGATCACACCACTGCACTCCAGCCTGGGCAACAAGAGCGAGACCCTGACCCTTAAAAAAAATCACTAATAGAAAAACAGGTAACACATTAATCCATGGTCACTAACAAATATTATGTCTATTAAGCTATCTTTGTTGAATGATGGCTAAGCACATGGACTGTGGAGCCAGACAGTCTGGGTTTGAATCCTAGCTCCATCACTTACAATGTGAGAGACATTGAGAAAGTCACTTAATCTCTGTGCTTTAATTTTCTCATCTATAAAATAAGATAAAAGTACCTACACCGCATAGGGTTGTGGTGAAAATTAAATAAGTTAGTCCATGAAATATGCTTGGATTAGTGATTGGCACATAGTGAACATTATAAAAGTATTAGCTCTTATTATTAGCATATTTCTCCAGTAAAATGCAAAAACTATTTCAACCTCTTCCACTTCCTTTGAAATCATAACCTATGACTCCTGGCTTTCAAACCACCCCTTGCCCAAAGAAAACAGAATCACATCTGAGAATTCTGTTACCTTTCCTTGTTTGTTTTGTTTGTTTGTTTGCTTTTGAGACGGAGTCTCGCTCTGTCGCCCAGGCTGGAGTGCAGTGGCGCGATCTCAGCTCACTGCAAGCTCCGCCTCCCGGGTTCACGCCATTCTCCTGCCTCAGCCTCCTGAGTAGCTGGGACTACAGGCGCCTGTCACCACGCCCGGCTAATTTTTTGTATTTTTAGTAGAAACGGGGTTTCATCATGTTGGCCAGGATAGTCTCGATCTCTTGACCTCGTGATCCACCCACCGCGGCCTCCCAAAGTGCTGGGATTACAGGCGTGAGCCGCCGCACCCGGCCACCTTTCCTTACTTTACTCATCCTCACTTCCTTTCCTTTTGTAACAAGAGAGGTTATTTCTTCTTTTTTTCTTTTCTTTTCTTTTTTTTTTTGAGACAGAGTTTTGCTCTTGTTGCCTAGGCTGGAGTGCCACGGTGCACTCTTGGCTCGCTGCAATCTCTGCCTCCTGGGTTCAAGCAATTCTCCTGCCTCAGCCACCTGAGCAGCTGGGATTACAGGCATGCAACACCACGCCTGGCTAATTTTGTATTTTTAGTAGAAACGGGGTTTCTCCATGTTGGTCAGGCTGGTCTCGAACTCCCGGCCTCAGGTGATCCACCCGCCTTGGCCTCCCAAAGTGCTGGGATTACAGGCATGAGCCACCGCGCCTGGCAAAGAGGTTATTTCTTCTTTTTCTATGGTAAACTCCTCTATTTGTGATTCCAACCTACCCATTCTTGCCACCTCAAAAACCTTACAACACTCAAGTGGATTATTTCCTTATCTTTAATAAAGCCTTCCTCCATGCCACATCTCCATATAGTTAATATACTCTTTCATCCTCTAAAATGGTAACATTATTATTTTATTTGCACTGTATTGATTATTGCTGACTTTCCTGCTAATGAAGAGGAGGCAGAGTGTCCCCAATTCAGAGCCAGAGATCCTTTCCGAAACTACAGAACTGGCACAAGAAGAAGCACTCTTCAGTCTCATATCTTCCCAGACCCTGTGCAGCAGGGAATATTGCAGTGGCCTCATTATACCTCACTGAATATTATAAATAGGATTCCACCTGTGCTAAGCTGCTGAGGCAATTAAAGAGGAAACACACTTTGTGCATAAGGAAAACGTGTTTAAAGTAATTTGCCTTCTGGAAAGTTGTTAAGGCACGAAGGAATGCTGCCATCCCTCTAGAGATAAGAAATTTTAAATTATGGGTTGGCTTTAATCCTTTTCATAGAAAAATAACTGGCATTTCTCCCAAAATGGTTTCTTCTAAAAATAAGGCATTGTTTTGATGTGCCTGTTGTAATGTACTTGAATTGAGAGATGGCTAGACCATATGTAACACATGTAACTGTTTTTTTTCTAGGAGAATATTATGCTGATCACAAATCTGAAGAATTTGTTTATTTTCATCCATTGTATTCTCAACATACATTACAAAGCAACAAAAATAATGATATAGAAGAAAAGTAATTGTCCTAATTATCAGAGATTCTCCAATAGTTGACTTTGTACTGGTAACATTGATTATTTTTGGTTCATTCCTTTACTATTTATCATCATTATTTTAAAAAATGTTCCATTGTTTTATTATTTATTTTTATTTTATTAGGTTTTTGGGGGAACAGGTGGTGTTTGGTTACATGGATATGTTCTTTAGGTGTGATTTCTGAGATTATGGTGCACCCATCACCTGGGCAGTGTACACTGCATCCAATGTGTAGTCTTTTATCCCTTACACCCCTCTCACCCTTTCCCCAAGTTCCCAAAGTCCCATTGTATCATTCTTACGCCTTTCCATTTTCTTTTTCTTTTTGAGAGGGAGTCTGGCTTTGCCACCCAGGCTGGAGTGCAGTGGTACAATCTCGGCTCACAACAACCTCCACATCCCAGGTTCACGCAATTCTCCTTCCTCAACCTCCCAGGTATCTGGGACTACAGGCACACACCACTACACCCGGCTAATTTTTGTATTTTTGGTAGTGACGGGGTTTCACCATGTTGGCCAGACTGGTCTCAAACTCCTGGCCTCAAGTGATCTGCCTGCCTTGGCCTCCTAAAAGTGTTGGGATTACAGGCGTGAGCCACTGCACTCGGCCTTATTTTTTGATTTTTAAATGATAGCCATTCTTACAGGAATAAGGTGGTATCGCACTGTGGTTTTAATTTGCATTTCCCTGATAATACGTGATGATGAGCATTTTTTCATTTTTTTTGGCCATTTGCATATCTTCTTTTGAGAATTGTCTATTCATGTCCTTAGCCCACTTTTTGATGGGATTATTATTATTATTTTTTTCTTGCTGACTTGTTTGAGTTCCTTGTAGATTCTGGCTATTAGTCCTTTGTTGGAGGCATAGTTTGTGAAGATTTTCTCCCACTCTGTGGGTTGTCTGTTTACTCTGCTGACTGCTCCTTTTGCTGTGCAGAAGCTTTTACATTTATTTAAGTCTCATCTATTTATCTTTGTTTTTGTTGCATTTGCTTTTGGGTTCTTGGTCATGAACTCTTTGCCTAGGCCAATATCTAGAAGGGGTTGTCCAATGTTATCCTCTAGAATTTTTATGGTTTTAGGTCAGATTTAAGTGTTTGATCCATCTTGAGTTGATTTATGCATAAGGTGAGAGATGAGGATCCAGTTTCATTCTTCTACATGTGGCTTGCCAATTATCCCAGCACCATTTATTGAATAGAGTGTTCTTTCCCCACTTTATCTTTCTGTTTGCTTTGTTGAAGATCAGTTGGCTGTAAATATTTGGCTTTATTTCTGGGTTCTCTATTCTGTACCATTAGTCTATGTGCCCATTTTTATACAAGTACCATGCTGTTTTGGTGACTATAACCTTACAGTACAGTTCAAAGTCATGTAATGTGATACCCCTGGATTTGTTCTTTTTTGCTTAGTCTTGCTTTGGCTATGATGAGTCTTTTTTGGTTCCATATGAATTTTAGGATTGTTTTTTCTACTTCTGTGAAGAATGATGATGGTTATTTTGATGGGAATTGCATTGAATTTGTTGATTGCTTTTGGCCATATGGTTATTTTCACAATATTGATTCTACCAATCCATGAGCATGGGATGTGTTGACGTGTTTCCATTTGTTAGTGTCGTCTGTGATTTCCTTCAGCAGTGTTTTGTAGTTTTCCTCGTAGAGGTCTTTCAGGTCCTTGGTTAGGTATATTTCTTTCCTTTTTTTTTTTTTTTTTTGCAGCTATTATAAAAGAGCTTGAGTTCTTGACTTGATTCTTGGCTTGGTCACTGTTAGTGTATAGCAATGTTACTGATTTGTGTACATCGATTTTGTATCCTGAAACTTTACTGAATTCATTTATCAGATCTAGGAGCTCTCTGGATGAGTCTTTAGGGTTTTCTGGGTATACGATCTTATCATTGGCAAACCATGACAGTTTGACTTTCTCTTTGCTGACATGGATGCCCTTTATTTCTTTCTCTTGTCTGACTGCTCTGGCTAGGACTTTCAGTACTATGTTGAATAGAAGTGGTGAAGTGGGCATCCTTGCCTTGTTCCAGTTCTCAGGGGGGAATGCTTTCAACTTTTCCCCATTTGGTATAATGTTCGCTGTGGGTTTGTCATAGATGGCTTTTATTACCTTAAAATATGTCCCCTCTATGATGATTTGCTGAGGGTTTTAATCACAAAAGGATGCTGGATTTTGTCAAATGCCTTTTCTGCATCTATTGAGATGATCATGTAATTTTTGTTTTTAATTCTATTTAGGTGGTGTATCACATTTATTGGCTTGTGTGTGTTAAGCTATCCCAGCATCCCTAATATGAAACCCACTTGATCATGGTGGATTATCTTTTTGATATACTGTTGGATTTGGTTAGCTAGTATTTTGTTGAGGATTTTTGCATCTGTGTTCATTAGAAATATTGGTCTGTAGTTTTCATTTTTTGTTATATCCTTTCCTGGTTTTGGTGTTAGGGTGATACTGCCTTCATATAATGATTTAGGGAGGATTCCCACTTTATCTTTCGGAACAGTTTCAATAGAATTGGTACCAATTCAGTTGTGAATCCATCTGGTCCTGAACTTTCTTTTGTTGGCAATTTTTAAATTACCATTTCAATCTTGCTGCTTGTTATTGGTCTGTTCAGAGTCTCTATTTCTTCCTGGTTTAATCTAGGAGTGTTGTATATTTCCAGGAATTTATCCATGTCTTCTAGGTTTTCTAGTTTGTGCACATAAAGGTGTTAACAGCAGCCTTAAATAATCTTTTGTATTTCTGTGGTATTGGTTGTAGTATCTCCTTTTTCATTTCTAATTGAGCCTACTTGGATCTTCTCTCTTCTTTTCTTGGTTAGCCTCACTAATAGTCTATCAACTTTGTTTATATTTTTAAAGAACTTGTTTCTGCTTCATTTATCGTGTGTGTGTGTGTGTGTGTGTGTGTGTGTGTGTGTTGTTTCAATTTCATTTACTTCTGCTCTGACTTTTGTTATTTCTTTTCTTCTGCTGGGTTTGGGTCTGGTTTGTTCTTGTTTCTCTAGTTTCTTGAGGTATGACCTTAGATTGTCTTATTAGTGCTCTTTCACAGTTTTTGATGCCGGCATTTAATGCTATGATCTTTCCTCTTAGCACTGTTTTTGCTGTATCCTAGAGGTTTTGATGGGCTGTGTCACTATTATCATTCAGTTCAAAGAATCTATAAATTTCAATCTTGATTTTATTGTTGACTCAGTGATCATTCAGGAACAGACTATTTAATTTTCATGTATTTGCATGGTTTTGAGGGTTCTTTTGTAGTTGATTTCTTTTTTTGTTTTTAAGACGGAGTCTCACTCTGTCGCCAAGGCTGGAGTGTAGTGGCGTGATCTCGGCTCACTGCAGCCTCTGCCGCCCAGGTTCAAGTGATTCTCCTGCCTCAGCCTCCCAAGCAGCTGGGATTATAGGTGCCTGCCACTGCGCACGGCTAATTTTTGCAGTTTTAGTAGCGACGGGGTTTCACCATGTTGGCCAGGCCGGTCTTGAACTCCTGAACTTGTGATCTACCCCCCTCAGCCTCCCACAGTGCTGGGATTACTGGCGTGAGCCACTGTGCCCGGCCATGGAGTTGATTTATAATTTCATTCCACTGTGGTCTGAGAGAGTACTTGATACAATGTGATTTTTTTGGCTGGGCTCAGTGGCTCAAGCCTGTAATCCTAGCATTTCGGGAGGCAAAGTCAGGTGGATCACTTGAGGACCAAAGTTCAAGATCAGCCTAGCCAATATAGTGAGACCCCATCTCTACTAAAAATACAAAAATTAGCTGGGAGTGGTGGCGCATGCCTGTAATCTCAGCTACATGGGAGGCTGAGGCAGGAGAATTGCTTGAACCCAGGAGGCAGAGGTTGTGGTGAGTCAAGACTCTGCCACTGCACTCCAGTGTGGGTGACAAAGTGAGACCCTGTCTCAAAAACAAAAACAAAAACATTCGATTTTCTGAAATTTATTAAGGCTTGTTTTGTGGCCCATCATATGGTCTACCTTAGAGAATGTTCCATGTGCTGATGAATATAATGTATATTCTGTAGTTGTTGGGTAGAATGTTCTCTAAATATCTGTTAAGTCCATTTGTTCTAGGGTACAACTGCAGAATGTTATGTACATATCTGTTATGTCCATTTATTCTAGGGTATAGTTTCAGTCCATTGATTCTTTGTTGACTTTCTGTCTTTATGACCTGTCTAGTGCTGTCAGTGGAGTAATGAAGTTCCCCTATATTGTGTTGTGGTCTATCTAACTTCTTAGGTATAGTAGTAATTGTTTCAAAAGTTTGGGAGCTGCAGTGTTAGGTGCATACATATTTAGGATTGTGGTATCTTCCTGTTGGACTAGTCCTTTCATCATTATATAATGTCCCTGTTTGTCTCTTTTAACTGTTGTTGCTTTAAAGTCTGTTTTTTTCTGATACAAGGATAGCTACTCCTGCTCACTTTTGGTGTCCATTTACATGGACTATCTTTTTGCACCGCTTTACCTTAAGTTTATGTGAATCCTTATGTGTTAGGTGAGTCTCCTGAAGACAGCAGATACTTGGTTGATGAATTCTTATTCATTCTGCCAATCTGTAACATTTAAGCGCAGCATTTAGGCCATTTACAGTCAACGTCAGTATTGAGATGTGAGGTACTATTCTATTAATTGTGCTAGTTGTTGCCTGAATACCTTGGGCTCCCCCCCTCCACCCCCACCCCATTGTGTCATTGTTTTACAGGCCCTGTGAGATTTATGCTTTAAGGAGGTTCTGTTTTGGTGTATTTCAAGGATTTGTTTCAAGATCTAGTTTCATGATCTTTTTGCGATGAATTTCCTGGGTGTTCTTTGAGCTTCTTGTATTTGGATGTCTAGATCTCTAGCAAGGCCAGGGATGGTTTCCTTGATTATTCCCCGAAATAAGTTTTCCAAACTTTTAGACTTTTCTTCTTCCTAGGGAACACCAATTATTCTGGCACCCAGGCTGGAGTGCAGTGGTATGTTCTTGGCTCACTGCAACCTCTGCCTCCCAGAGAGGCAAGCCATTCTCATACCTCAGCCTCCTTTTTGTATTTTTACTAGAGATGGGGTTTCACCATGCTGGCCAGGTTGCTCTTGAACTCGTGACCTCAGGTGATCCACCTGTCTCGGCCTCCCAAAGTGCTGGGAATACAGGCGTGAGCCACTGCGCCTGGCCCGGGAACACCAATTATTCTTAATTCTTTTTTTTTTGAGACAGAGTCTCACTCTGTCACCCAGGGTGGAGTGAGTGCAGTGGCATGATCTTGGCTCAAGGCAACCTCTGCCTTCTAGATTCAAGCGATTCTCCAGCCTCAGCATCCCAAGTAGCTAGTATTACTGGCGTGTGCCACCACACCTAGCTAATTTTTGTATTTTTAGTAGATACGGGGTTTCAACATGTTGGCCAGGCTGGTCTTGAACTCCTGACCTCAAGTGATCCAGCCCCCTCGGCCTCCCAAAGTGCTGGGATTATAGGCATGAGTCACAGCACCTGGCCATTCTTAATTATTCTTAGGTTTGGTTGTTTAACGTAATCCCCAACTTCTTGGAGGCTATGTTCATTTTTAAAAATTCTTTTTATTTTTTATTTTTATTTTATTTTATTTTTTTAATTTTATTATTATTATACTTTAAGTTTTAGGGTACATGTGCACAACATACAGGTTTGTTACATATGTACACATGTGCCATGTTGGTGTGCTGCACCCATTAACTCGTCATTTAACATTAGGTGTATCTCCTAATGCTATCCCTCCCCCCTTCCCCCACCCCACAACAGGCCCCAGTGTGTGATGTTCCCCTTCCTGTGTCCATGTGTTCTCATTCTTCAATTCCCACCTATGAGTGAGAACATGCGGTGTTTGGTTTTTTCTCCTTGCGATAGTTTGCTGAGAATGATGGTTTCCAGCTTCATCCATGTCCCTACAAAGGACATGAACTCATCATTTTTTAGGGCTGCATAGTATTCCATGGTGTATATGTGCCACATTTTCTTAATCCAGTCTATCATTGTTGGACATTTGGGTTGGTTCCAAGTCTTTGCTATTGTGAATAGTGCCGAAATAAATGTACGTGTGCATGTGTCTTTATAGCAGCATGTTTGATAATCCTTTGGGTATATACCCAGTAATGGGATGGCTGGGTCAAATGGTATTCCCAGTTCTAGATCCCTGAGGAATCACCACACTGACTTCCACAATGGTTGAACTAGTTTACAGTCCCACCAACAGTGTAAAAGTGTTCCTATTTCTCCACATCCTCTCCAGCACCTGTTGTTTCCTGACATTTTAATGATCGCCATTCTAACTGGTGTGAGATGGTATCTCATTGTGGTTTTGATTTGCATTTCTCTGATGGCCAGTGATGATGAGCATTTTTTCATGTGTCTTTTGGCTGCATAAATGTCTTCTTTTGAGAAGTGTCTGTTCATATCCTTCGCCCACTTTTTGATGGGGTTGTTTGTTTTTTCTTGTAAATTTGTTTGAGTGCATTGTAGATGCTGGATATTAGCCCTTTGTCAGATGAGTAGACTGCAAAAAATTTCTCCCATTCTGTAGGTTGCCTGTTCACTCTGATGGTAGTTTCTTTTGCCGTGCAGAAGCTCTTTAGTTTAATTAGATCCCATTTGACAATTTTGGCTTTTGTTGCCATTGCTTTTGGTGTTTTAGACATGAAGTCCTTGCCCATGCCTATGTCTTAATGGTATTGCCTAGGTTTTCTTCTAGGGGTTTTATGGTTTTAGGTCTAACATTTAAGTCTTTAATCCATCTTGAATTAATTTTTGTATAAGGTGTAAGGAAGGGACCCACTTCCAGCTTTCTACATATGGCTAGCCAGTTTTCCCAGCACCATTTATTAAATAGGGAATCCTTTCCCCATTGCTTGTTTTTCTCAGGTTTGTCAAAGATCAGATAGCTGTAGATATGCGGCATTATTTCTGAGGGCTCTGTTCTGTCCCATTGGTCTATATCTCTGTTTTGGTACCAGTACCATGCTGTTTTGGTTACTGTAGCCTTGTAGTATAGCTTGAAGTCAGGTAGTGTGATGCCTCCAGCTTTGTTCTTTTGGCTTAGGATTGACTTGGCAATGTGGGTTCTTTTTTGGTTCCATATGAACTTTAAAGTAGTTTTTTCCAATTCTGTGAAGAAAGTCATTAGTAGCTTGATGGGGATGGCATTGAATCTATAAATTACCTTGGGCAGTATGGCCATTTTCATGACATTGATTCTTCCTACCCATGAGCATGGAATGTTCTTCCATTTGTTTGTATCCTCTTTTATTTCATTGAGCAGTGGTTTGTAGTTCTCCTTGAAGAGGTCCTTCACTTCCTTTCTAAGTTGGATTCCTAGGTATTTTACTCTCTTTGAAGCAATTGTGAATGGGAGTTCACTCATGATTTGGCTCTCTGTTTGTCTGTTATTGGTGTATAAGAATGCTTGTGATTTTTGCACATTGATTTTGTATCCTGAGACTTTGCTGAAGTTGCCTATCAGCTTAAGGAGATTTTGGGCTGAGACGATGGGGTTTTCTAGATATACAATCATGTCATCTGCAAACAGGGACAATTTGACTTCCTCTTTTCCTAATTGAATGCCCTTTATTTCCTTCTCCTGCCTCATTGCCCTGGCCAGAACTTCCAACACTATGTTGAATAGGAGTGGTGAGACAGGGCATCCCTGTCTTGTGCCAGTTTTCAAAGGGAATGCTTCCAGTTTTTGTCCATTCAGTATGATATTGGTTGTGGGTTTGTCATAGATAGCTCTTATTATTTTGAGATAAATCCCATCAATACCTAATTTATTGAGAGTGTTTAGCATGAAGGGTTGTTGAATTTTGTCAAAGGCCTTTTCTGCATCTATTGAGATAATCATGTGGTTTTTGTCTTTGGTTCTGTTTATATGCTGGATTACGTTTATTGATTTTCGTATGTTGAACCAGCCTTGCTTCCCAGGGATGAAGCCCACTTGATCATGGTGGATAAGCTTTTTGATGTGCTGCTGGATTCGGTTTGCCAGTATTTTATTGAGGATTTTTGCATCAGTGTTCATCAAGCATATTGGTTTAAAATTCTCATTTCTTTTGTGTCTCTGCCAGGCTTTGGTATCAGGATGATGCTGGCCTCATAAGATGAGTTAGGGAGGATTCCCTCTTTTTCTATTGATTGGAATAGTTTCAGAAGGAATGGTACCAGCTCTTCCTTGTACCTCTCATAGAATTTGGATATGAATCCATCTGGTCCTGGACTTTTTTTGGTTGGTAAGCTATTAATTATTGCCTCAATTTCAGAGCCTGTTATTGGTCTATTCAGGGATTCAACTTCTTCCTGGTTTAGTCTTGGGAGGGTGTATGTGTTGAGGAATTTATCCATTTCTTCTAGATTTTCTAGTTTATTTGCATAGAGGTGTTTATAGTATTCTCTGATGGTGGTTTGTATTTCTGTGGGATCGGCGGTGATATCCCCTTTGTCATTTTTTATTGAGTCTATTTGATTCTTCTCTCTTTTCTTCTTTATTAGTCTTGCTAGCAGTCTATCAATTTTTTTGATATTTTCAAAAAACCAGCTCCTGGATTCATTGATTTTTTTGAAGGGTTTTTTGTGTCTCTATTTCCTTCAGTACTACTCTGATCTTAGTTATTTCTTGCCTTCTGCTAGCTTTTGAATGTGTTTGCTCTTGCTTCTCTAGTTCTTTTAATTGTGATGTTAGGGTGTCAATTTTAGATCTTTCCTGCTTTCTCTTGTGGGCATTTAGTGCTATAAATTTCCCTCTACACACTGCTTTGAATGTGTCCCAGAGACTTTGGTATGTTGTGTCTTTGTTCTCGTTGGTTTCAAAGAACACCTTTACTTCTGCCTTCATTTCATTATGTACCCAATACTCATTCAGGAGCAGGTTGTTCAGTTTCCACGTAGTTGAGCAGTTTTGAGTGAGTTTCTTAATCCTGAGTTTTAGTTTGATTGCAGTGTGGTCTGAGAGAGAGTTTGTTATAATTTCTGTTCTTTTACATTTGCTGAGGAGTGCTTTACTTCTAACTATGTGGTTAATTTTGGGATAGGTGTGGTGTGGTGCTGAAAAGAATGTATATTCTGTTGATTTGGGGTGGAGAGTTCTGTAGATGTCTATTAGGTCCACTTGGTGCAGAGCTGGGGTTAACTTTCTGTCGCGTTTATCTGTCTAATGTTGATAGTGGGGTGTTAAAGTCTCCCATTATTATTGTGTGGGAGTCTAAGTCTCTTTGTAGGTCACTAAGGACTTGCTTTATGAATCTGGGTGCTCCTGTATTGGATGCATATATATTTAGGATAGTTAGCTCTTCTTGTTGAATTGATCCCTTTACCATTACATAATGGCCTTCTTTGTCTCTTTTGATCTTTGTTGGTTTAAAGTCTGTTTTATCAGAGACTAGGATTGCAACCCCTGCCTTTTTTTGTTTTCCATTTGCTTGGTAGATCTTCCTCCATCCTTTTATTTTGAGCCTGTGTGTGTCTCTGCACATGAGATGGGTTTCCTGAATACAGCACACTAATGGGTCTTGACTCTTTATCCAATTTGCCAGTCTGTGTCTTTTAATTGGAGCATTTAGCCCATTTACATTTAAGGTTAATATTGTTATGTGTGAATTTGATCCTGTCATTATGATGTTAGCTGGTTATTTTGCTCATTAGTTGATGCAGTTTCTTCCTAGCCTCGATGGTCTTTACAATTTGGCATGTTTTTGCAGTGGCTTGTACTGGTTTTTCCTTTCCATGTTTAGTGCTTCCTTCAGGAGCTCTGGTAGGGCAGGTCTGGTGGTGACAAAATCTCTCAGCATTTGCTTGTCTGTAAAGGATTTTATTTCTCCTTCACTTATGAAGCTCAGTTTGGCTGGATATGAAATTCTGGGTTGAAAATTCTTTTCTTTAAGAATGTTGAATATTGGCCCCCACTCTCTTCTGGCTTGTACAGTTTCTGCTGAAAGATCTGCTGTTAGTCTGATGGGCTTCCCTTTGTGAGTAACCCGACCTTTCTCTCTGGCTGCCCTTAACATTTTTTCCTTCATTTCAACTTTGGTGAATCTGACAATTGTGTATCTTGGAGTTGCTGTTCTCGAGGAGCATCTTTGTGGCGTTCTCTGTATTTCCTGAATTTGAATGTTGGCCTGCCTTGCTAGATTGGGGAAGTTCTCCTGGATAATATCCTGCAGAGTGTTTTCCAACTTGGTTCCATTCTCCCCGTCACTTTCAGGTATACCAATCAGACGTAGATTTGGTCTTTTCACATAGTCCCATATTTGTTGGAGGCTTTGTTCATTTCTTTTTATTCTTTTTTCTCTAAACTTTTCTTCTTGCTTCATTTCATTCATTTGATCTTCCATCGCTGATACACTTTCTTCCAATTGATCGCATCGGCTACTGAGGCTTGTGCCTTCGTCATGCAGCTCTCGTGCCATGGTTTTCAGCTCCATCAGGTCCTTTAAGTACTTTTGTGCATTGGTTATTCTAGTTAGCCATTCGTCTAATTTTTTTTTTCAAGGTTTTTAACTTCTTTGCCATTGGCTCGAACTTCCTCCTTTAGCTCTGAGTAGTTTGATCTTCTGAAGCCTTCTTCTCTCAACTCGTCAAAGTCGTTCTCCATCCAGCTTTGTTCTGTTGCTGGTGAGGAGCTGCGTTCCTTTGGAGGAGGAGAGGCGCTCTGATTTTTAGTGTTTCTGGTTTTTCTGCTGTTTTTCCCCATTTTTGTGGTTTTATCTACCTTTGGTCTTTGATGAAGGTGACATACAGATGGGTTTTTGGTGTGGATGCCCTTTCTGTTTGTTAGTTTTCCTTCTAACAGTCAGGACCGTCAGCTGCAGGTCTGTTGGAGATTGCTGGAGGTCCACTCCAGACCCTGTTTTCCTGGGTATCAGCAGCGGTGGCTGCAGAACAACAGATATTGGTGAACCGCAAATGCTGCTGCCTGATCGTTCCTCTGGAAGTTTTGTCTCAGAGGAGTACCCTGCCATGTGAGGTGTCAGTCCGCCCCTACTGGGGGCTGCCTCCCAGTTAGGCTACTCGGGGGTCAGGGACCCACTTGAGGAGGCAGTCTGCCCATTCTCAGATCTCAAGTTGTGTGCTGGGAGAACCACTACTCTCTTCAAAGCTGTCAGACAGGGACATTTAAGTCTGCAGTGGTTACTGCTGCCTTTTGTTTGTCTTAGCCCTGCCCTCAGAGGTGGAGCCTACAGAGGCAGGCAGGCCTCCTTGAGCTGTGGTGGGCTCCACCGAGTTCGAGCTTCCCGGCCACTTTGTTTACCTACTGAAGCCTTGGCAATGGGGGGCACCCCTCCCCCAGCCTCGCTGCCACCTTGCAGTTTGATCTCAGACTGCTGTGCTAGCAATGAGCAAGGCTCAGTGGGCATATGACCCTCCGAGACAGGTGCGGGATATAATCTCCTAGTGTGCCGTTTGTGAAGCCCATTGGAAAAGCGCAGTATTAGGGTGGGAGTGACCCAATTTTCCAGGTGCCGTCTGTCACCCGTTCCTTTGACTAGGAAAGGGAATTCCCTGACCCCTTGCGCTTCACGGGTGAGGCGATGCCTCGCCCTGCTTTGGCTCATGCACCGTGCGCTGCACCCACTGTCCTGCACCCACTCTCCAGCACTACCCAGTGAGATGAACCCGGTACCTCAGTTGGAAATGCAGAAATCACCCGTCGTCTGCATCGCTCACGCTGGGAGCTGTAGACTGGAGCTGTTCCTATTCAGCCATCCTAAAAATTCTTTTTTCTTTGTCTTTGTCAGATTGCATTAATTTGAAAGCCTTGTCTTCGATCTCTGAAGTTCTTTATTCTACTTGTTCAATTATATTGTTGTAAGTTTACAGTGTATTATATATTTCTCTAAGTGTTTCTTTTATTTCCAGAAGTTATGATTGTCTTTTCTTTACGATATCTATTTCTCTGGAGACTTTTTTGTCCATATCCTGTATTGTTTTTAAAATTTATTGGCTGGGCTTGGTAGCTCACGCCTGTAATCCCAGCCCTTTACAGAGCTGAGGTGGGTGGATAACCTGACGTCAGGAGTTAATATCAGCCTGGCCAACATGGTGAAACCCTATGTCTACTAAAAATACAAAAATTAGCTGGGTGTGGTGGTGCACACCTGTTGTCCTAGCTACTGGGGAGGCTGAGGCATGATAATTGCTTGAACCCGGGAGGCAGAGGGTGCAGTGAGCCAAGATCGTACCACTGCACTCCAGCCTGGGTGACAGAGTGAAACTCTGTCTCAAAAACAACAAAATATTATGTAAGTTGGTTTTTACCTTTCTCTGATGCCTCCTTGAGTAGCTTAATAATTGACCTCTGAATTCTTTTTCTGGCACTTCAGATTTCTTCTTGGTTTTGATCCATTGCTGGTGAGCTAGTGTGATCTTTTGGGGATGTTAAAGAACCTTGCTTTGTCATATTACCAGAATTGTTTTTCTGGTTCCTTCTCATTTGGGTAGACCATGTCAGAGGAAAGATCTGGGGCTCAAGGGTTGCTGTTCAGATTCTTCTGTCTCAGAGGGTGATCCCCTGATGTGGTGCTCGCCCCCTTCCCCTAAAGATGGGCCTTCCTGAGAGCTGGACTGCAGTGATTGTTATTGCTCTTATGGGTCTAGCCACCCCAGTAGAGCTACTGGCCTCTGGGCTGGTACTGGGAAGTGTCTGCAAAGAGTCCTGTGATGTGATCAGTCTTCAGGTCTCTCAGCTGTGCATACTATCACCAGCTCTGCTGAAGATAGTAGGGCAGTGAAATGGACTCTGTGAGGGTCCTTGGTTGTAGTTTTGTTTAGTGCACTGGTTTTCTTGAATGCTGGTTGTGCTAGCAGTGAATTTGTCACATGTACAGACTGAGGATCTCAGGTTAGCCAGGATGTTACAGGCAGTGGGATTACCTGTTGTTTCCTCCTTTTTTGGAGCACGGTTGTTCTGAGTCGCTGTAATGGCTTGAGTTGGCTGGCCTCCAGCCAGGAGGGGGTGCTTTCAAGAGAACATCAGCTGCAGCAGTATAGGGGGCATACAAGCTTGTCTAAAGTCCCTGGACAAGTATTCCACTTTCTCGGGCGATGGACAGGACTATATAGATTCTAAGAGATTATGTCTTTTGTCTTCTCTTACCAGGGAGGGTAGAGAAGACCATCAGGTCGCAGGGTTAGTTGTGTCTGAGCTCAGACTCTCCTTGGGCTGGGACTGCTGCATCCACTGTGGGGGCTTGGAGTGTGGTTCTCAGGCTAATGGACTTATGTTCCTAGGGAGATTATGGTTGCCTCTGCTGTGTCATACAGGTCTCCAGGGAAGTGGGGGAAAGCCTGCAGTGACAGGCCTTATCCAGCTCCCAGGCAGCCAGCAAGGCCAGTCTCACTCCCACTGTGCTCCACGGAAAGCACTGAGTTTACATCCAGGCAGCTCTTGCCCCAGGCTACAAGCCTCCCCTGCTCTGCCTATAGCTTCTTCTGTGCTTGTATCTGCACTTCCCATTCTCCTTGAGCACCATCCCCCTCCCCAGGTTTTTGTCCAGGAAAATTTGCACTAGGTCGAAATTATTAGAGTTCAGCTGGAAGTTTCCTTCTCCTTGTGGCCCTTTCCCAGTTCCACTGGAAGCCCTCCCTATCGTCATTATTTACTATTTATCATTACCATTATTTGTTTTCTTTAAGAACTATCTGAAAAAGAGACCTTGATAATCTAATAACACCACTAAGGAGATAACAAACATACTTAAAATATACTTTGTCCTCCTAAGAAGTACTTCAAAAGGCAGACTAGCATAAATGTTTATATAGCACATAAATAATATATGCCAATACCATAATTCTGTAGCATAGCGTTGTACATATTAAAATTTATTAACAATATGACCTAATTTGCTGACATGACCTAATTTGAAGCCCTGTACTATCCTATTGTCTGCCTAGAACAGTGTGTAAGTTATGAAGCAAAGAAAAGATTACAGCAGAGAAAGAAATCTTTTATCTTGAAGATCTATAAAATTAGGATGGATAGAGACCCATTTGTTTGGAAGGCTTTAGGCATAACTCTGTCTAGAGCAAAGGAAGAGGAAAGATGACTCAATACTCTCTAGGCCCAATGCTCTCTAACCACAATTAGTGAACAGTGTTAAAAAAAAGAATAGAGAAAGTATTCACTTCCTCAGTTTGACAAGAACAAGATTTCATACTGCATACATTTATGTATTTATTATGGAATTATAGCCTTTGAAAAACTAAACACCACAAATAATGAGGAATTCATTTTACTATAAGTAATAATTAAGTATATGCCCTTAAAATAGCATATCCTATAAGTAGCTGCATATTTGCACCCATCTATTTACTTGAAAACTCATTATTCTCTTTAAATTTTTCCTTCTTATTCTTATGAAGATTTTAAAAAAACCATCATCAGGTGGCTTTAAATTATCTTCAAATTCCTCAACATAATTTTTCAAATGATTCATTGAAAACAAAAGTATTTCTAAAATGATGCTACAGAGTACAAAGAAAATTTCTACTATCTAACAGCTTGCACCTTGTTGTGTTTGGCACAGATTATGCTTAATGGGGGTCTGGGCACAAAATATATCTCCTATTTTTTCACAATTTTAATGAATGGCAGAAATATCAACCCAGTTGACCAAGCAAGAAATCTAGATTTGACCTTTTCCCTCCCTTCCACATTCAGTCAATCACCAATGTCTACTGATTGCACTGCCTTAATCTATCATGAATTATTCCTTTCCCAGTTAAGATATGATACAGCCACTACATTGGTTTAGATCACCAGCATTGTTCATCTAGATTATCAGTGAGCATCCTAAGTGGATTCTCTGCCTATTAGTTATTGCTTCCAATACATTCTCCACACAGCTAGTTATTCCTCTAAAGCCCAAATCTGATTATTGTACTCCAATCCACTGTACCTGACTGCTAAGAACCTTTAGAATAAATTACAAACTATGAACTGTGACTTTCATAATGTAGTTATAGCTCTCATTGACCTCCAGCCTAGTCTCAGTCAGAATTCCTCTTCTTTTTGAGAAGAGGAATTCCTCCTCTTCTTCCTCTGTCACCCAGGCTAGAATGCAGTGGCACGATCGTGGCTCACTGCAGCCTTGACCTTCTGGGCTCAAGTGATCCTTCCACCTCAGCCTCTCAAGTAGCTGGGAGTACAGGCACATGCCACCATGCCCAATTAATATGTTTATTTTTTTTTTTTTTTTTGAGACAGAGTTTCACTCTTGTTGCCCAGGTTGGAGTGCAGTGGTACCGTCTCACCCCACCGCAACCTCTGCCTCCTGGGTTCAAGCAATTCTCCTGCCCCAGCTTCCCGAGTAGCTGGGATTATAGGCACGCACCACCATGCCCAGCTAATTTTTGTATTTTTAGTAGAGATGGAGTTTCACCATGTTGGCCAGGTTCATCTAGAACTCCTGACCTCAAGTGATCTGCCCGCTTAGGCCTCCCAAAGTGCTGGGATTACAGGCATGAGCCACCACACCTAGCTATGTTTAATTTTTTGTAGAGGTGTGGTCTCACTATGTTGCCCAGGCTGGAGAATTCCTCCCTAGCACTGTATGCTTCAGGCATGTTGACCTACTTTTGGTTCCCTGAATATGTCTTTCCGGTTATTCTGTGAGTTTCCACAAACTGTTTCAATTGCCTGAAATACATTCCACCAGCTCATCTCCTTTCCATTTTACTCCCTCCCTCTGACAGGGTAAATCTTATTTGTTCATTCCTTGGGATGTCTTTCCTGCACCCTCAAGACTGGGCCAGGTATCTTCTCTCATGTACTTTCATAAGCATCCTGTTTTTGAAGCACTAAATACACACTATTGTAGCTGAATATTTATTTCATGGTCTTCCCCAGTAGATTGCAAGTTCCTTGAGAGGAAGACATTCTGTTCACCATACCTCCCTAGCACCTTGCCACATAGTAGGCAATCAATAAATATGTACTGAATTAATAGGAAAACATTTAATCAAAGAAAAGAAGCACCAACACTGGTATACATACAATATAATAATCAAATTATAATCTATGCTATTTCAAGTTCATTTACAAACTGGTTTGGGAGAACTCTGAAACTCATTTTCTCACAGAATCAACATTAAATGTAGATGATAACTAGCTACCTCCTG
This sequence comes from Homo sapiens, assembly GCF_000001405.40. Taxonomy (NCBI): domain Eukaryota; kingdom Metazoa; phylum Chordata; class Mammalia; order Primates; family Hominidae; genus Homo; species Homo sapiens. Next base: position 135,302,124 of record NC_000002.12, read on the forward strand.
AAAAGCCTATTTAATCTATAATGTAGGTAAACTGTATTATTCACAGTTACTATAGACTCTACTAAATATCAGTAATATTTCTGGGGAAAATGTATTAAGAATTCCAATTTGGTCATAGCTTGAATTAATTATTTCTGGCTGTAGCTCAGGAATAGAAATACACAGTTCCAATTTCCATAGGTGGTTGAGGACAGAAGTTCTATTAGAGAGGGAATGAAAAATGACTAAAAACTCTAGGGAACTGGGGAGGCAAGGATTGGCCTTCTGCTGCCATTAATCTTTGGGAACATTACCTAATTTAGGGACAACTACTTTTCATCTCTTTTCTTTTCCTTCAAGAATCCTAGGAATTAGATGCCAGATTCCTATTTATTGTCAACGCTTCTGACTTCAAACCAGGGTTTGTTTTTTTTTTTTTTGAGATGGGAGTCTCGCTCTGTCACCCAGGTTGGAGTGCAGTGGCACCATCTTAGCTCACTACAACCTCCACCTCCTGAGCTCAAGCGATTCTCCTGCCTCAACCTCCCAAGTACCTGGGACTACAGGCACGCACCACCACGCCCGGCTAATTTTTGTATTTTTAGTAGAGACAGGGTTTCACCATGCTGGCCAGGCTGGTCTCGAACTCCTGACCTCGTGATCTGCCCACCTTGGCCTCCCAAAGTGCTGGGATTACAGGCAGGAGCCACTGCGCCCGGCCCCAACTAGGGTTTTTTAACCACAGACAAGAAACGATCTAAAAGGTTCTCATATATGTTCTTTTTCCTTAAGCAAGCATTCTGTATTCAGTATTATATACAAAGAAAGCTAAGTAAGCAAACAAGCAAAAAACAAGAGAGTTATTAACTCTAGGAAAAACAACAGTCAAAGAAAAAAATTTAATTATAGCTCAACAGTGAGATGTTTAACAAAGTTATTATACTGTAAACAATGAACACTGATCTAACAAAAAATTATGATCAAACTGAAAATTAAGACATGGGAAAATGGAACAAGGAGAGTATATTGAAAATATTTTCTTCCAATCTATGTTTTGCATTTTCATTTTCCTAACAGTATTTTTCATACTACGTATATATATATTTTTTACCACCATGTGTTCAAGTTTTTAATCTCAATTTTTTCTTCAAAGTTTGTGCTTTTTGTATCCTGTCTAAAACATTGTCCTACCCAAAAGTTGGGAATATTTTTACATATGTATGCTCCTAAGAATTTTATAATTTTAGCTCTCATATTTAATTCTATGACTCATTTCAAGTTAATTTTTATGTGTGGTGTGAAATAATGTTCAAGACTTCTTTTTTTCCTTATGGATATCCAATTGTCTTAGTACCCGTTACTGAAAACTATAATTTCCCTATTGAGTTACCTTGTCTCCTTTCTTAACAGATCAACTGACAATCTATGTGAGGTTCTATTTCTGGACTCTCTTTTTCTGATTCATTAATTAACTTCTTATTAAGTATTTATATAATGTAGTGTGACTCGTTCAAAATTGTTTTGGCTATAGTAAGTCCTTTGTATTGCCACATAAATTTTATATTTAGTGTGTTAATTTATGCAAAAAAGACTACAAGGATTTTGATTAACAGCATTGAATATAAAAATTTACAGAGAACTGGCATCTTAACAATATTGACTCTTCTGATTCATGAACATAATCTATCTGTTGTTTATTTAAATTTGCTTTACTTATTCTAAACAATGCTTTGTAGTTTTCAGTACATATTTTTTGTTGACTTTATTCTAAATTAGTTCATGATTTTGGATGCTATTTCAAATCGTATTTTTAAAATTTCAGTTTCCAATTTTTATTGCCAGTATACAGAACGAGAAACGATTTTTATATGTTGAACATGAATTCTGGGACCTTGATAAAATCACTCTTCGATTTTCTATGTGGATAATCCTGCCTGTGAATATGGACAATTTTACTTACTGCTTTTTGATATGTACACCTTGTATTTCTTTTTCTAGCCTTAATGCACAGCTAAGACCAGAACCAGAACAATGTTAAAGGGAAGTGATGAGGAAAGGCTCTCTTGTCTTGTTCCTGATCTTAGAGGAAGAGCATCAGTCTTTCTGCATTAAGTATGATGTTAGATGTAAGTTTTCATAAATGCCTTTTATTGTGATAAAGAAGTTCCTTTCTATTCCTGATTTGTTGACAGGTTTTGTCAGGAATGGATATTGAATTTTGTCAAATGCTTACATTGAAATAATCATATGGTTTTCAATTTTTATATTGTTCATGTGATGATTTACAGTGATTAATTCAGTGTTAAACTTTGTATTGCTGGTATACTTTTTTACATACTGGTGGATTCAATTTGCTAATATTTTGTTAAGGACTTTCACATTCATTAAGAACACTGACCTATAGTTTTCTCATTATTTTGTTTGTCTGGTTTTGGTAACAGAGTAATCCTGAAGTTATAAAATTATTTGGGAGGTATTTCTCTTTCATTTCCTAAGAAATTTTTAGAATTGGTTTTACTTTTTATGTTAAATGTTCAATGGAATATAGCAGTGAAACCATTGAGGCCTCAAATTTTCATTATGATTTTTATTATGAATTAAATTTTTCTAGTTGATACAGGGCTATTTAGGTTTTTAATTTCTTTTTGAGTCAGCTGTGATATTTATGGAATCTATATATTCATATAAATTTTGTTGGCTTTCTTGACATAAAGTTGTTAATGATATTCTCTTATTATCTTTTTAATGCCTATAGGGTCTGTAGTGACAGTCTTTTTATTCTATTTTACTGCTGACATGGGTAAATTACTTTCTTCTCTATTTTTGTTTTAAGTTTTACAAGTTTTATTCGTTCAAAACAATCAGTTTCAAGTTTCTTTTTTTTTGTTTTTTGAGATGGGGTCTCACTATGTCGCCCAGGCTGGAATGCAGTGGTGCGATCTCGGCTCACTGAAACCTCCACCTCCCCAGGTTCAAGCAATTCTCCTGGCTCAGCCTCCCAAGTAGCTGTGATTACAGGTGTGTGCCACCGTGCCCGGCTAATGTTTATATTTCTAGTAGAGACGGGGTTTCGCCATGTTTGCCAGGCCTCATATGATCCACCTGCCTTGGCCTCCCAAAGTGCTGGGATTACAGGCGTGAGCCACTGTGCCTGGCCCCTTTTACTATTTGACATAAGGTTTGCTTTTTCTGATAAGTATAGCTATTCCTGCTCACTTTAGGTTTCTCTTTGTGTGGAACATCTTTTTCCATCTCTTTGCTTTCAGTCTATATGTATCTTTACAGATGAAGTGAATTTCTTGTAGGCAGCATATAGTTGGGTGATGTTTTTTGTTTTAAAACAATCCATTCAGCCAGTCTGTATCTTTAAAGTGAATAATTCAATCCATTAACATTTAACGTTATGTTTTACATGTGAGGATTGCCATTTTGTTAATTGTTTTATCGTTGTTTTCTGTATCATTTGTTCCTTTCTTTCTCTCTTATTTTTTATCATTGTGGTTTGGTGGCTTTCTGTAGTAGTAACATTTGAGTCCTTTCTTTTCCTCATTTGTGTATCTGCTCTACCAATGAGTTTTGTACTTTCATGTGTTTTCATGATGGTAGATACAATTATTTTTTTCCAGGTGTAGGGCTCCTTTAAGTTTTTCTTATAGGGCTGTTCTAGTGATGATAAATTCCTTCAGTTTTTCCTTGTCTGGGAAATATTTTATTTCTCCTTTACTTTTGAAGGATAGCTTTGTTGGGTATAGTATTTTTGGCTGAAAGCTTTTTTTTTCTTCCTTTCAGCAAATTGAATATATTATCCTAGTGTCTCCTTGCCTGTAAGGTTTCTTTTGAGAAATCTGCTTTTACTCTGTTGAACATTCCCTTATATGTGATTTGATGTTTTTCTCTTGCTGCTTTTAGAATTCTCCCTTTGTCTTTGACTTCTGACAACAATGTGCCTTGCAGACCTTTTCAGGTTGTATCTATTTGATAAGTCTTTGAGCTTCCTGTATCTGGATGTCTACAGCTCTTGCTAGACTTGGGAAGTTTTAAACTATTACTTAATTAAATATTTTTTCTATGCCTTTGCCCATCTCTTCTCCTTCTGGAATACCCCAAATTTAAATATTTGGACACTTTATGGTATTCCATAGGCTTTCCCCATCCCTTTTTATTCTTTTTTCATCTGACTGATTTTTTTTTTTTTTTTTTTCTGAGGTGGAGTCTCACTCTGTCACCCAGGCTGGAGTGCAGTGGTGCAATCTTGGCTCACTGCAAGCTCCGCCTCCTGGGTTCACGCCATTCTCCTGCCTCAGCCTCCCGAGTAGCTGGGACTACAGGCACCCGCCACCACGCCCGGCTAATTTTTTTTTTTGTATTTTTAGTGGAGACAGGGTTTCACCATGTTAGCCAGGATGGTCTTGATCTTCTGACCTCGTGATCCACCCGTCTCGGCCTCCCAAAGTGCTGGGATTACAGGCATGAGCCACCGCACCCGGCCTTTTTTTTTTTTTTTAAGACAGAGTCTCACTCTGTCGCCCAGGCTGGAATGCAGTGGTGCAATCTTGGCTCACTGCAACATCCGATTCCTGGGTTCAAGCAATTCTCCTGCCTCAGCCTCCCGAATAGCTGGGATTATAAGCAAGCACCACTACACCTGGCTAATTTTTTGTATTTCTGGTAGAGACAGGGTTTTGCCATGTTGGTCAGGCTGGTCTCGAACTCCTGACCTCAAGTGATCCTCCTGCCTCAGCCTCCAAAAGTGCTGGCGTTACAGGCATCAGCCACTGTACCCAGCTTATTTTTGTATTTATTAGTAGAGATGGGGTTTCACCATGTTGGCCAGACTGGTCTCTAACTCCTGGCCTCAAGTAATCCTCCCACCTCAACCTCTCAAACTGCTGGCATTACAGGCATGAGCCACTGTGCCAGTCAAATGTTTTAATTAATGAATTTTATTTTATTTTACTTTATTTATTTTTTAATTTTTGAGACAGGGTCTCACTTACTCTGTTGTCCAGGCTGGAGTGCAGTGGCATGATCATAGCTCATTGCAACTTCTGCCTCCTGGGCTCAAGTGATTATCCCACCTCAACCTCCTGAGTAGTGGGACCACAGACGTGTACCATCACACTGAGCTAATTTTTGCATTTTCAGTAGAGATGGGTTTTTGCCTTGTTGCTCAGGCTGGTCTTGAATTCCTGGGCTCGAGCAATCTGCCTGTCTCAGCATCCTGAAGCACTAGGATTACAGGTGTAAGCCACCACACCCGGCCAGATTTTTTATGATTACATTTTATTTCCACTATTGGCTCATAACTGATACTGTGTTTTCTATTTCTAGCATTTCCATTTTACTGTTTTACAATTTTCATACTATTTCTAAAATTCTCCATCTTTTCTTGCATGTTGTTTATCTTTTCTATTTGATGCTTTAACATATTATTCATAGCTATCTTAAAGCCCTTGTCTAATAGTTCTACAATCTGGGTCATTTCTGCATCTGGCTTTATCAGTTGCTTTATGTCTTGGCAATGGTTGTTTTTTTAAATGTCTTTTTTGTTATTTTGCAATTTCTATTGAATGCTAGGAGTTATGTGTAGAAGGATAGTACAGACTGAGGAAATGATAGTTACATCCAGAATTGAGCATGCTTCTTCCTTTGAGGTGATGATAGTATGGTGGGGGAGGGGACTGAGTGAATGTAGTCAGCGCTGAGTTCTGTTTAGGTTCTCTTGTTACATTTACCTTTGGAGCACCATGAACCTCAAATTCCCCCAGCAATGGGATACTTCTAGCTTGTAATACTGTGTGTCAAGGGTTTTGCTAAGTGTTCCTGCCACATTCTCAGCTTTCAGTAGTCCTGCACGCCTGTAGGATAGTAGGTTGTCTCTCTTTCCCAGTGGTAGATTGATCTTGAAGGTTTCTCAGTGTTAAGTTCATAGTGGGGGTTGGGGGACCTTTTGAGTCTCCTGGTACCAACTCAGCATAAGACAAATTTTTTGCTGCAGCTGAGCCTTGGGGGTGGGACTTTCTTGGTGTTCCTGTCCCCCACCACTAACAAAACTATGTCTTGTAACTGCAGGTGGTGCTAAAGGGGTCTCTGCCTCTACCCTGGCAGTAACAGATCTCTGTCTTATATCAGTGCAGGGTCCTGAGTCCAACAGGGTTTCCTGCCCACTCCCCAGGGGTAGGCAGCATTTGTCCCTATCCCATCACCAGAAGCAGTCCATCATGGACTAGGCTTTGAGGTTGGAGGAGGGGGTACTCTGCCTCTTCCACAATGGCTTAAGGCTTTTGTTTAGTGTAAGAAAGGGGTATTGAAAATAGGCAGAGTTTTGAACTTCTGCTCCACTAATGGATATGCTCTCAGGACTCCCAGCTAGCACCTGCTAGATGCCAGTGGAAATAAAGCCTGTGAGTGAGTATAAACTCCCCTGTGTCAGGACCACTTTTATTGTGATCTTTTTTCTTTCTTTTTTATTTAAATTTTGTTTCTGAAAAAAATTTGTTCTTTTTTGTTTGTTTTGTCTTTTCCTTTGTTTGTTTTTTATAGAATAGAGACGAGGTCTTCCTCTGTTACTCAGCCTGATCTCGAACTCCTAAGCTGAAGGGACTCTCCTACCTCGGCTTCCCAAAGTGCTGGGATTACAGATGTAAGCCACCATGCCTGAGTGAACATTCATAAAAGCCTAATTCCTTCACTTATAGTAGTGCTAGAACATTAGCTATTTTCTTCATATCCACCTTTATAATAACCACCTCTTCTTCCCCTTCTCCGCCAAAGGAAAAAAAGTTCATATGTTCCATTTCTTCTCTAAACAAACTAGTAAAAAAAGGAAGTTTCCTCTACATAAGAAAAGTCATCTAAAAAAACTTAGTAATAACATCATTTTTTTTTTTTTTTTTGAGATGGAGTCTGGCTCTGTTGCCCAGGCTGGAGTGCAGTGGTGCAATCTCGGCTCACTGCAAGCGCTGCCTCCTGGGTTCACGCCATTCTCCTGCCTCAGCCTCCCATGTAGCTGGGACTACAGGCACCCGCCACCATGCCTGGCTAATTTTTTGTATTTTTTAGTAGAGACGGGGTTTCACCGTGTTAGCCAGGATGGTCTTGATCTCCTGACCTCGTGATCTGCCTGCCTCGGCTTCCCAAAGTGCTGGGATTACAGGTGTGAGCCACCGCACCCAGCCGCAATAACATCATATTTAATGGTGAAAGACTAAATGCCTTCCCCCTAAGATTGGCTACAAGGTAAGGCTGTTCAGTCCTATCATTTCTATCCAAAATTGTACTAGTCTTCCTTCAACGTAATAGGCAAAACAAATAAATAAAAGGCATATATATTACAAGGAAGAAATAAAAATGTCTTTATGTGCAGACAAAATGATCCTATATCTTCTAGAATTAACCAAAAATCCACAAGAACTAATAAAAGGAGTTCAGCAAGGTCACAGAATAAAAGGTTAATATAAGAAAATCGATAATAATTCTATACTTAGCAAGGGAAACCTGGAAATTTACATTTTAAAAAATGCCATTTACAGGAGCATAAAAGGACACAAAATACCTATGGATAAATCTAACAAAATGTATTAAAAAAACTAGAGAACATTGTGGGGATAAATTAAAAGTGAACGATACTCTTTTCAGGGACCAGAAGACTAAATATTATTCAGAAGTAAATTCTTCCAAATTAGTCAACAGATCCAACACAATTCCAACAAAATTGTATACACTTAAAATGCTGATTCTAAAATTCATACAGAAAAGCGAAGGACCTACAAAAGACAAAGCAATATTGAAAAGGAATACAGTAGGGTAAACACTATATAATTTCAAGGCTTATTTATTTATTTATTTTTTGGAGACAGAGTCTTGCTCTGTTGCCCAGGTTGGAGTGCAGTGTCATGATCTCGGCTCACTGCAACCTCCACCTCCTGGGTTCAAGTGATTCTCCTGTCTCAGCCTCCCGAGTAGCTGGGATTACAGGTGTGCAACACCACGCCCAGCTAATTTTTGTATTTTTAGTAGAGATGGGGTTTTGCCATGTTGGTCAGGCTGGTCTCAAACTCCTGACCTCAAGTGATCCACCTGCCTCGGCCTCCCAAAGTGCTGGGATTACAGGCATGAGCCACCGTGCCTGGCCTTCAAGACTTATTATAAAGCTACAGTAATCAAGCCATTGTAGTATAAGGCTGATGAATAGACCAATGAATGAGAATAGAGTTCAGAAACAGACCTACACATACATTGCCAATTGGTTTTTGGTGAAGGTGCCAAGGAAATTTAAGGAGGGCAAAATAGTCTTCTGTGTTTTGATGAGTGTTGTAACAACTGAAAATCCATATGTAAAATGACAAACCAAAACAAAAATAAAAAAATCAGAACTGCTACCTTTATTTTGTAGCATATAAAAGAATTATATGCTACAAAAATAATAGTTTATAGACCTACATCTAAGTCATCTATCACTTAGCTATGGGATATGTTCTCAGAAATGCATTGTTAAGGGAATGCTGTCATTGTGAGAACATCACAGAGTGTATTTACACAAACCTATATGTTATATGTATTTTTATTTATATATATATTTTTCATATGAAAAACCAAAGGACCTAGCATCATTACTGAATACCAATTATTTCTCCTACTTGATCTGCAATGCAATGTCAAGTGCCATTTATTATGTTTCTATATATGCTCCATTATAATCTTATGAGACCAGTGTTGTATATGTGCTGCTTTGTTGACTGAAATTTGATTAAGTAGCACATGACTGATAACCTAAAGCTATGGCATTTTTAGAAGAAAATATAAGAGGGTATCTTTGTGAACTTAGATTAGGCAAAAATTTCTTAGGACTCAAAATACAAAAAAAAAAAGGAAGAAAAAAATTGATATACTAGATTGTTTCCAAATTTAAAACTTCTGTTCTCTGAAAGACAATGTTAATAAAATAGAAATCAAATCCATAGACTTGGAGGACATATTTGTAAAAGATATATATATTACAGAACTTGTTTCCAAAATAAAGAGTTCTTATTACCCCATATAAATATGGACTCAATATGAACAGATACTTCACAAAAGAAAATGAATAGACAAAAGGCACCAAAAAACATGCTCAACACCATCAGTCATCGGGAAAAGAAAAATTAAAAGCACGATGAGATGCCACTACATACCGACAATAACGGCTAAAATGAAAAAGATGGCAATACCTAGTGCTCACAAAGATATCAAATGGAACTCTCATACAATGTCAGTAGAAATGCAAAATAATATAGCTACTTTGAAAAACAATTTGGCAGTTTTTTTTATCAAGTTAAATCTATACTTTTATGACTCACCAGTTCTATTTCCAAGTATTTGCTCAAGGAAAATGAAAATATATGACTACACAAAGGCCTGTACATGAATGATTATACCACTTTGACTTACAATAGTCTAAAACAGAAATATTCCAAATGTCCATTAATAGGTGAAAGAATAAAAAAAAAAAAAATTTTAGGGGCCAGATGAGGTAGCTCACACCTATAACCCCAGCGCTTTGGGAGGCTGAGGCAGAAGGATCCCTAGAGCCCAGGTGTTCGAAACTGCAGTGAGCTATGATTGTGGCACTGCACTTTAGCCTGGGTGACAGAGCAAGACTCTGTCTCTCAAAAAAAATTTTTTTAAAGTTTTGTTCCCATACATTGGAGGATGTAAGGAAAGCAATAAAAAGGAAAAGTAATAACATATACAACAACCTGAATCAATCTCAAAACCTTTATGCTAAGTGAAAGCAGCCAGACACAAGGCTACATGCTATTGTTCCATTTTTGTGACATTCTGGAAAGTGTAAAACTATAGTGACAGAAAGCATATCTGTGGTTGCCAAGGTATAGTGATGGGTGGAGGGGAAATGCTACAAAGGCACATGGGGGAACTTTTTGGCATGACAGGAATATCTCTATTTTCATGGTACTGATGTTTATCCAACTATACACATTTGTCAAGCCTCATCCAACCATACATTGTATTTATTTTTTTATTTTATTTTATTATTTTATTTTATTTTATTTTATTTTTATTTTATTTTATTTTATTTTATTTTATTTTTATTTTATTTTATTTTATTTTATTTGAGACAGAGTCTTGCTCTGTTGCCAAAGCTGGAGTGCGGTGGCACAATCATAGCTCACTGTAGCCCAGATCTTCTGAGCTAAGCGATCCTCCCTCCTCAGCCTCCCAAGTAACTAGGATGACATGCACACTACCATGTCTGGACCAACTATACATTTTAAAAGGATAAATTTCACTTTATGTAAATATACCTCAACAATCCTCATCTTAAAAAAGTATGTTACAAAAAAAATCTCAGAATCAAGAGGGGTGACACTCGTCAGTATTTACAGGTTCTACCATGGTGGTAAAAACAACTACCACAAATATATGATAAGTTTACTTGACAGTTACACTAATTTTACTAAATTCTAAAATCCTATATTTTTCACTTTTAGACAAACAGAATGTGAGCAAAATTACCTCTGTAGGGTACTGAACATGGAATATCAAAGGAAGATGACTGACAAATAAAAAAAGATTATTTGCAGTAATAATGTAGTAAAACCATGGGAATACTAATAATAAAGATGAATATAGTTCGGGCACGGTGGCTTACACCTGTAATCCCAGCAGTTTGGAAAGCCAAGGTGGGTGGATCACTTGAGGTCAGGAGTTCAAGACCAGCCTGGCCAACATGATGGACCCTGTCTCTACTAAAAGTATTAAAAAAAAATTTGCCAGGCATGGAGGCACGTGCCTGGAATCCCAGCTACTTGGGAGGCTGAGGAAGGAGAATTGCTTGAACCCAGGAGGTGGAGGTTGCAGTGAGCTGAGATTGAGCCACTGCACACCAGCCTGGGCAAAAGAGTAAGATTCCGTCTTTAAAAAAAAAAAAAACAGAAAAGAAAAAAATGAATATATATATAATTTAAATGAGAAAGTATAACGTATAGTATCCTCCCGCATCAAAATATACCTGTATATTGGAAAAGATAAATATATGGTTGGATACAGCATTACTGTTTACTTTGAGTATGTCTGAATTTTTCCATAAAAAAGAGTTAAACAGGCTGGGCATGTTGGCATGTGCCTGTAGTCCTGGCTACTTGGGAGACTGAGGCAGGAGAATGGCTTGAACCTGGGAGGCGGAGGCTGCAGTGAGCCGAGATCACGCCACTGCATTCCAGCCAGGGTGACAGAGTGAGGCTCCCAACTCAAAAAAAAAAAAAAAAAGAGTTAAACAATAGCAAAGAAATTCTGCAATATATAAATAACTTGCTTAATTAAAAACAGTAAAAGACATTGAATAATTTGTATGAAGACAAATACATGATGGCCCAGCAAAGAGTACCTTGGCAATAGCAGTTTGTTTAAACATGCGAGTTATCAACCCCATGACTGTCTCCATGGCACCTGAATTTGGAGTTCTCATTATTTTTTCCCACTCTTCAAAGCTGGTATTCAATTCCTATGTGGGAAAAAATAACACTGTTTATGAATATAGCATAACGAACAGAACAAATTAATGCAATCATGAATCATGTCCTACTTTTTTTCCTTTTCTCTATAGAAAGATATAAAAAGAAAATCCCCAAAGATTCCAACATGTTCATTTAAAAACATCAATGCAGAGGTAGGTCAGTCACATTTTCAAAATTATAGAAACCAATGATAAGCTGTGGGTGAAAACAAAGCCCTTTGCTAACAGCATAAATCAAACAATTATAATTTCTTCTTTTTTTTTGAGACAGAGTCTCGCTCTTGTTGCCCAGGCTGGAGTGCAATCGTGCAATCTCGGCTCACTGCAACCTCCGCCTCCCGGGTTCAAGCGATTCGCCTGCCTCAGCCTCCCAAGTAGCTTGGATTACAGGCATGCGCCACCACGCCCAGCTAATTTTGTATTTTTAGTAGAGACAGGGTTTCTCCATATTGGTTAGGCTGGTCTCGAACTCCTAACCTCAGGTGATCTGCCCACCTCGACCTCCCAAAGTGCTGGGACTACAGGCGTGAGCCACCGCACCCTGGCCTATAACTTCTTAAGAAGATACATTCTGTAAAATGAACATAAGAAACATAAGAAAGCAGAGTAGTAAAAATGTATAAAGCAGCTAAGTACTTTTGTAAAAAGATGTGGTTTGATTTAAATAAAGATGGGGAATATTAAATAAAATTAATATGAAGTACAAATATAATCATATGTTGATTCCATTTTATTTTTCTTTCTAATACTAATAGATAAGAAAATCAGATTGTTCTTATTTTAGAAGTAACATATTGCTCAATGTTTACAAAATGCTTATAAGCTTTCAAGATAACAATGAAAAACTCTGTTAATAAAGTCATTTTCAGATTTGCAGAAATTTCAGAGAATATATAAGCACTGCAGTCTCCAAAAGTAAACATGGATGAGGATTAGGTAAGGATTAGTAAACTGGTTTTCTGATATACTGAATTTCACGTCTTACAACATGGTCACAGAGTTTTAGAATTTCAAGAATAGGGCTGCATGAAGTTTTTCTAGAAGAGAGTTATTCATACTTTAAAAAGAAATTCTAGAGCAAGGAACACAATTTCCCTTGCTAATTATTGGGTTTCACACCTTCTATTTAGAATTCTTTTTTTTTTTTTTGAGATGGAGTCTCGCTCTGTTGCCCAGGCTGGAGTGCAATGGCGCGATCTCGGCTCACTGCAACCTCTGCCTCCTGGGTTCAAGCTGATTCTCGTGCCTCAGCCTCCCGAGTAGCTGGGATTACGGGCACTCGCCACCACACTCAACTAATTTTTGTATTTTTAGTAGAGACGAGTTTTCACCATGTTGGCCAGCTGGTCTCAAACTCCTGACCTCAGGTGATCTGCCGACCTCAGGTGATCTGCCCACCTCAGCCTCCCAAAGTGCTGGGTTACAGGTATGAGCCACCGTGCCTGGCCGATATTTAGAATTCTTAATACTACATCTCTGTTGCAATTGAAGTTCTTTTTTCAGCAAAAATACTTTTTTTTTAAACCACTAGGTTACCATATCTTTTTATGCATCTGATGAATAAAATTGAATTCTTCCTGCTTTCTTGCTGAAATACAAAACCAATGTATAGGCTCTATTAATTAAACCTATTTTAAGAAAGCAAACCTTTCCTTCTGTGAAATATGAAATACGTATAATCTTTAATAGTGTAATTCAAAATTATTTAAAGTAAGACTTTAAATCAAGCAACGGTTCTCACCTTGGCAGCTGCTGATGGAAGATCAAATGGAATACGCTGTCTGACTTTAGGGGGTAGCTGGGTTAAAACTTCAGTCTTTAATCTTCTAATCATTATGTCACTTAATAGCTGGTGAAGTTCATTAAGATTTGATGCCCCTCTACAATCCCACTGAGGTCTTTTACCAAAATATCTGTTAAAATGAAGACAAAACATGTAGCAAAATTGAATGCTGGAGTTAAGAAAATAATTTATCCAATGTGCTCTTCCTTTTAATGATAAGGAGCCATGACACTGTTTTCATTGATATTTCTGAATGAATATTAGTTTCAAAAAGCTCAGCCTGAAAAACAGTAATGAATAAGATTTGACACTGCTTTAAACTAGAGAAGATGTTAGTGTCTAAGCATACTGTTTACACTGAGTTAATGCAAGGCTGTGATGAACTGATGACTGTGAATTGCACTAGGTCACTGTTTGTAAATGGGGGTGTTATTGGCATTTTGAGTGGGCTCACACATGGTGGTGTTTTAGCAGATCTATCCATAAAGTAGGCATGAACTGCCAGTGCATCAGCCAGTCATTATAATAACCAAAACCACCCAGAACATTTTCTGTGCCCTCTAGGAGGAGATATTATCTCCAATAGGGCTGTTAAAGCATAGCAGATTGATTACATGGTGGTCTCTTCTTCCTTTGAAATACTTCTTCCTTTCTAACCCTTTCCTGGATTGACAGCAAAGGGATAAAATAAAAGAACACAAAATTACTATGAAAGAGAGAATGAGAGGAGACATCAGAGAATAAGTGCTTTGAAGAAATATTTAGAAGGCATAATGCAGATAGAAAAGTGGTAACTGACTTGGCAAAAGAAAGGAAGCGATAACTTAAACTGCTTGCAAAAGACAAGTTATTCTCTAGACCTTTCAGAAAATTAGAAGCTCAAAGCACCAAGTACTGTGAACAAATGTTAACAGAAGGGTTGAAATCTAGTGGATCAATTGAACTTACACATTAGGACAACCGATCCAATAACATATCCCTATCAATGTGACAACCAAAATACCAGCCCATAAAATTCCCAATCATCTCCTAGGGGTCCATACTACCCACTACTGAAAACAGCTGTTAGAGAATAATTAACAAATAAAAAATTCCTGTTAGGTTGGATTATGATTACTAATATTAATAATTTAAGTAACTATCATTTTACTGGATAAAAAATACTGGGTGTATTTTAGCACAAATAGGTGTCAATTTGAGAAATGTGGAACTCGTTAACATTAGCTTTTTAAAAAATAAATATTAAACATAAACAATACACATAATATTAAAAAGATATACTTGTAGCCGGGCACGGTGGCTCACGCCCGTAATCCCAGCACTTTGGGACGCCAAGGCGAGCAGATCACGAGGTGAAGAGATTGAGACCATCCTGGCCAACATAGTGAGACCCTGTCTCTGCTAAAAATACAAAATTTAGCCAGGCATGGTGGTGTGTGCCTGTAGTCCCAGCTACTCAAGAGGCTGAGGCAGGAGAATCGCTTGAACCCGGGAAGCAGAGGTTGCAGTGAGCCGAGATCGTGCCACTGCACTCCAGCCTGGTGACAGAGCGAGATTCCGTCTCGAGAAAAAAAAAAAAAAAAATATATATATATATATATACTTGCATGTAGAGTCAATTACATAAGTATAGTGAATGAATGGAATCTACTGTATGATAAAATTATACACATACCATTTAGTTGTCATCAATAAGAAATTTACTTGTTTAAAAAATCTAAGTGCTGTCACTATATAAAAATTTTTAACGGATTTGCTTATAATTGTTATAAATTGAATTGCTGAAACTTGTTCATTAAAATTTTTTGACTTCCTTTAATGCATCATGTCCCCATATTTATATTAAAAATTCACACACTAATAAAAATGGGAAAATACTTGCCAATACCTGTTCTGCACCTATTTTTCCATTCATACACTTAGGTATACTTTGATCACACGGTCACAAAAAAAATCTAACATTCAGAACTACCAATATTGGGAAGAAGTTGGTAGGTGGTGGTTTTTGTTTTATTTTGTTGAAAATGCAGTGTTTGCCATTAAAATGGATTCTTAAGCACACTCTCCACTTACATGAGACATTGTACAGGTGTGCAGTATGCTAGCTGGAGGCCTTTTGGTATGACTGCTACATGCTGGCAAAGACAACACACAATTGTCTTCAAACAGGCTAACCACATAGGCCACACTTGCCTCCTGCAGAGTACCAACAGTTGTACTCCCAAAATGCAGATCTGTTTTGAAGTCTGAGCAATCTATTTTCAGTGTGTCATAGTGCCAGGACCTGGTCTGTAACAGTGAGGATTTCCTCACTGCTCCAGGGGAGGGTACACTATTGAGAGAAGTTTCAGCTAGTTGCCTCGTGGGTCTTATGCCACTAGTTGATCCTAAGCGCCATATGCCTGGTATGAACCATGGTTCAGAGGAATTATTTCTTGTTACCCACTCTCCCCACCCACATCTCTTTCATCTAGAGCTTCGAATGCTAGTGGTGGCGTTTGTTCTAAAGAGTGGTGACAATAACACATTTGCCAAAACCCCAGCCTCATGTTTGGGGTGCAAAGGGGAAATAAGAGGGATTAGGGAGGACTAGAAGAGGTGCCACCTGTAAACCTTTAGTCTCTTTAAATTTGCTGAATTTGAAGAATTTGCCCAACATCTCATGGATGGTAATAGTGGTGCTGAGATTTGAACTTGGGCAGTCTGACTCCAAAGTCTTGCTTTACTAAAAGCCAACTTTTACCTAATAATATAAAAATTATATTAAATATATTTCTTGGGATTATTTTCCTATGCTATTTACACACTATTTTGTGTGTGTGTGTGTGTGTGTGTGTGTGTGTGTGTGTGTGTGTGTGTATTGGGGGCAGCTACACAAAAGCAGGAGATTCTGAGACTAGGAAACATTCCTAACTTTAGGTTTTGGCCTTTATTTTTCTTAATTCTCAATTCCTACATATATAAAATGGGAAGATCCACTGTTTGGGGGATGGTTGAATAAACTGTGGGGCATGCCAACTATGGATTATTAAGCAACTATTCATAAGAATCACTTAGATCTTTATGTAAGGGGTAAGATGAATGTTGAAGATATATGTTAAATGATAAATGCAAGTCTCAGAGTAATATGTTGGGTATGAAGGATTATGTAGTATGTGTGTAGATGTGTGTATATATGTATGTCTGTATAATAATGGAAACAGTTCCAGAAGAACACACATCAAGATATGATACATTGCTTAACTTCGGGGTCATAGTTAAAGAGACCGAAAAGTTTACGTGAAAAACTGGGGTTTTGTTACCCCATTTTGTTTTCACTTTGTCTATCTGAAAGTTTACAATAAGCAAATAATGCTTTTGTAATTAAAATTCAATGACGTAAAAAGAATCTTAAAAAAAAAATACCTTCAATAGCTCCCACTTCATAGCATTGGTCTCCAAAGTGTGGGGATGGGTAGACTCCAGAGGCGTTCAAGTCAACCCACTGAGGGGCAGAAGGAACTTCCTCTACATATTGTATTCTTATCTCAGCTTTCTAAATTAGCTTCTCTTTCATGTAAGTTTTAAAATATACATAATGCTTAGAATAGTAACATGAATATAATTCATGCATTGGCAGTATGCTAAAAAACAATGCTTTAAAATGGGGTGTATACAGAGTTGAGAAGAGGGGCAAGTGCCTAGCAGGCATGGGCACAACTTGACTGACAGAATTGGCCAGTAAAGATACAATGAGCCCTTTTTAGAGTTAGACACTTTTGTTACTTAAACAGAATTACGAATAAAAAGTGAAGTACAAATATGAGTCTATAATGAAAAAAACACAAGTTACACAAAACAAAAAATTTATAAATGCTTACAGATGTTCCTAAATCCAGAAAAATAACACTTTTTAATTAACCACTTATCACATCTATAATGTTTTTTCAACATTGTCCACTGCTTATGCTTTGACTGCCTCTTCAGGTGACAATAACTTTGTAATATTTGAGAAATAGGATACTTCAGTCTTTACTCAAGCATGGATGATCGAATTTTGTTGTTTATTAATGATAATTTTTTAAAGTTTATTTCAAGTTTATAACTTACTGTCATACTCTGTGTGTGTACATATATTTCTAATTATAATCAAATTTGAAAAAAATCTCTATCAAATTTCTGTCAAATATAAGCTATAAGAATTGAAAGAATTATTCGCAGATTATCCTCTGGCTCTCTACATTTCAACCTTGCTTCTCTTCCAGTACTCACATGTTCCCAGCATCTGGCACCATAAGACACGTTCGCACTGCAATATGTCCACTCACCCATTACCAGGATTATTTCTGGAAGCCATTCCTATACTAGGTTGGCTAGCAATAACCTAACTAAATACATAAATATAACCCACTAAATCCAAACCAAACATACCGCTAATATAATTTCTTCTTAGCCTGATCCCAACAACACTTGGTGATAACTCCATCACAAAACACAAGGAAAAATATGAGAAGAGGAAGATGTGCTGAAAAGAGATCTTTTAATATATTGAAAGTGTCTACTTCTATAAATTTGACAGGGACATATGATCCTGTGAAAAGTGCCAAAACTCCCTCCTAGGGTCTTGAAATGGCCTAAAAAGTGAGTGATTCTTTTTTTTCCCCCCAAGAGATGGGTTCTCACTATGTTGCCCAGGCTAGAATACAGTGGCCATTCACAGGCACAACCATAGTGCACTGCAGCCTCGATCTCCTGGGCTCAAGTGATTATCCTGCTTCAGCGACCTGAGTAGCTGGGACTACAGGCACATGCCACCAGGCCGAGCTAAAAGTGAAAGATTCTGAAGATTAAGGTCCATAGTTGCATGGGAAGGAAAGAAAATTATCAAACAAATTTGTAAATGCATTATCAAAGAGGTAAAGTGCATAGAACAAAGAGAAAAGGTGTAAATGAATAAGAAAAATATGTTTAAGGACAAAGTATAAGCAGTATGCTTTGGGGGTAGGTTTAAAACAAAAGGATACTTAATTCCTAACAAACTAAAATTAGCAACAACCAAAAAATTGTAAATGCCCCTAAAGACATTTATGAAACATGAACTTTCTTTTGAGCTTAGAATAATTATTTTCTCATTCAGTTTTACAGAGTAAGTAAAAATTCATTTATTCTTTTCTAAATTGAAAGAATAAACATACGCCTTTTAATCTCCTTTTGATCATATATAATTTAAAAAAGTCATTTCCCAGTAGCATTTAACATTAGCTTATGATGATGAAACAGGAAGTTTATGGCCAAGAACATATATGCTTATCTGTGTTCATGAACAAACACACATACACATGCAGAGTTAACTTTTGACTTTGGAAATCACCCTCTGGTTTTTTAAAGTTAGGTTCTCTTGTGCCTCTTGTAGCAATCCTTTCCTCTCATCCTTGGCTCCTGGCAACCATTAATCTGTTTTTTGCCTTAGCAGTTCTGCACATTCTGGAATGTTATGTAATATAAATAGAATTATGCAGTAAGTAGCCTTTTAAATCTTATTTCTTTCACTTAGCATATTGCATTTGAAAGTTATATATGTTATTGGGTATATTAATAGTTCATTGCTTTTTATTGTCAAGTAATACATTCCAATGTATGGCTATATCACAATTTCTGCAATCACATTAGTTGAAGGACATCTGGATTATTCCAGTTTTAGGTGATTATAAATAAAGCTACTATAAACAGCTGCATACAGATTTCTGAGTGAACATATGTTTTCATTTATCTTTACTAAATACCCAGCAGTAGGATTTCTGATTTGTATTGTCAGTGTATGCCATAATGTTTCCAAAGTGGTTGAACATTTTGCATTCCCAGCAGCAATGTAAGCAATGTAATTCCCAGCAGAAAGTTCCAGTTGTTCGGTAACCTTGCCACCATTCTAATGCACGTGTACTGGTATTTTAACTCACATTTCTCTAACGACTAAGGTCTTGGGCATTTTTTCATGTGCTTATTTGACTTCTGTATATCGCCTTAGGTCAAGCGCCTTTCTAAATCTTTTAACTGTTTTTAAAATTATTTTGTTTTCTTATTACTGAGTTTTGGGATTTTTTTTTTTTTTTTTGAGACAGAGTCTCATTCTGTCGCCCAAACTGGAGAGCAGTGGCACGATCTCAGTTCACTGCAATCTCCACCTGCCAGGTTCAAGCGATTCTCCTGCCTCAGCCTCCTGAGTAGCTAGGACTACAGGTGTGTACCACCATGCCGGGCTAATTTTTGTATTTTTTTATTTAGTAGAGATGGGGTTTTGCCATGTTGGCCAGGGTGGTCTCGAACTCCTGACCTCAGGTGATCTGCCCACCTTGCCTCCCAAAGTGCTGGGATTACAGGTGTGAGCCACCCTGCCTAGCTGAGAATTTTTAATATATTATTTTAAAAATTCCTTTTGTGTACTTATAAATTTATATATTCCTTTATCAAATATGTAGTTTACAATTTTCTCTCCAAGTTTATGGCTTGTCTATTCACCTCTTAACAGTGTTGGGGAGAGACATTTTAAGTTCTGATGAGGTGAAATTCATCACTTTTGTCTTTTATCGTTCATGAAGTTTGTGCCCCATCTAAAAAAATCCTTACCTAACCCAAAGTCCCAAATATACAATCCATTTATCATTAAATTTTGCATATTGTGTAAGATATGGTTTGGGTTTCTTCTTTTCACATATGGATGTCCAATTGTTCCAAGAGCATGTATTGAAAAGACTAGCTTTTCTCCAGTGAATTGTCTTGCATATTGTCAAAAATCAATTGATCACATATATGGGTCTATTTCTAGATTCTATATGTTCCAGTGATTTACATGTGTCTCCTGATTGACGACTGTAAAGAAAAATAGTGTGAATCTTATTCTTTTCTTCTTTTTCAAAGTTCTTTTAAAAAAGGAACTTTGTCTTTGCATATAAATTTTAGATTTAAAATGTCAATTTCTACAAAATCTTGGGTTTGATTGTTATTGCACAGAATCCACTGAACAATTTGAGGGAAACTGCCATTTAAAAAATATTGAGGCCAGGCACGGTGGCTCATGCCTGTAATCCCAACACTTTGGGAGGTCAAAGTGGGAGAATTGCTGGAGGCCAGGAGTTCGAGACCAGCCTGGGCAACATAGCAAGACCCAATCTCTATAAAAAATGAAAAACAATTAGCTGAGTGTGGTGTTGTGCTCCTGTAGTCCTCCCTACTTGGGAGGCTGAGAGAGGAGGATTGCTTGAGCCCAGGAGGTTGAGGCTACAGTAAGCTATGATTGTGCTACTGCACTTCAGCTTGGGTGACCAAGCAAGATCATGTCTCTTAAAAAAATTTTTGTTGACCAGGCGCAGTGGCTCACGCCTGTAATCTTAGCACTTTGGGAGGCCGAGGCAGGTGGATCACCTGAGGTCAGGAGTGTAAGACCAGCCTGGATAACATGGCAAAACCCCATCTCTACTAAAAATACAAAAATTAGCTATGAGTGGTGGCGGGCACCTGTAATCCCAGCTACTTGGGAGGCTGAGACATGAGAATTGTTTGAACCTGGGAGGCACAGGTTGCAGTGAGCCAAGATCGTGCCACTGCACTCCAGCCTGGGCAACAAACTCTGTCTCAAAAAAAAAAATTTTTTTTTTTTTAGTCTCCCTGTCCACAAACATGGTATACCACTCCATTCATTTAGGTCTTCTTTTATTTTTCATTAGTGTTTTGCAGGTCTTGTAAGTTTAACTTTATAAACAATTATAAACAAATTTTCAAACTGTTTTCCAAAATGGTTGTAGTATTTTGCTTTCCAACCACATAAGTTTAACAATGAAACAGTTTGACACATGATAGAATTGGGGGAAAATTTACAACACTCTGTTCTTATATCAAATAATAGTGCCTTGCAAATGTAACAGAATGTTTAGTTCTGGTTTATCATCCAAGAAGAATATTATAGACTAGACAAGATTTAGAAAGGGGACACAATCTAATTGTTAACATAACAGAGGGAGATAATGGAGTGTGGAAGTTAGAGGAGGATACATTGAAAAACTGAAATTATTCAGAGTGAAATGATGATGACAGATTACAAATAGAATTGACAAAGAACAGCCCAGATAAACAGAACACAAACTTGCTCCCTAAATACTGAACTATCAAAGTGCTCTGAAAGTGGAATAAAGGTATCATCATGAAAAGAGTAGAATGTAAATTACAAAGTAATTGGAGATCATCCCATCGGTCAAAAGAGGGACAATTTGATGATCAATAAGGATTATAAATAAAATTGATTCAAAAAAAACATGAGTTAAAAACTCTCAAATACTCAATAAACTAGAATTAGAAAGGGTCTTTCCTCACCTTGATTTTTTCTCTTTTTTTTTGAGATGGAGTCTTGCTCTCCATCTCAGGAGAGCACTCCATCTCCAGGCTGGAGTGCAGTGGTTCGATCTCGGCTCACTGCAACCTCTGCCTCCTGGGTCCAAGTGATTCTCCTGTCACAGCCTCCTGAGCAGCTGAGATTACAGGCATGCAACAGCCACCTCCAGCTAATTTTTATATTTTTAGTACAGATGGGGTTTCGCCATGTTGGTCAGGCTGGTCTCGAACTCCTGACCTCAGGTGATCCGCCCACCTCGGCCTCCCAAAGTGCTGGGATTATAGGCATGAGCCACTGTGTCTGGCCCTCATCTTGATTTTTTTTTATTATTATTATACTTTAAGTTCTAGGGTACATGTGCACAACGTGGAGGTTTGTTACATATGTATACATGTGCCATGTTGGTGTGCTGCACCCATTAACTCATCATTTAACATTAGGTATATCTCCTAATGCTATCCCTCCCCCCTCCCCTCACCCCACAACAGGCCCCGGTGTGTGATGTCCCCTTTCCTGTGTCCAAGTGTTCTCACTGTTCAATTCCCACCTATGAGTGAGAATATGCGATGTTTGGTTTTTTGTTCTTGTGATACTTTGCTGAGAATGATGGTTTCCAGCTTCATCCATGTCCCAACAAAGGACATGAACTCATCATTTTTTATGGCTGCACAGTATTCCATGGTGTACATGTGCCACATTTTCTTAATCCAGTCTATCATTGTTGGACATTTGGGTTGGCTCCAGGTCTTTGCTATTGTGAATAGTGCCGCAATAAACATACGCGTGCATGTGTCTTTATAGCAGCATTATTTATAATCCTTTGGGTATATACCCAGTAATGGGATGGCTGGGTCAAATGGTATTTCTAGTTCTAGATCCTTGAGGAATCGCCACACTGTCTTCCATAATGGTTGAAACAGTTTACAGTCCCACCAACAGTGTAAAAGTGTTCCTATTTCTCCACATCCTCTCCAGCACCTGTTGTTTCCTGACTTTTTAATGATCGCCATTCTAACTGGTGTGAGATGGTATCTCATTGTGGTTTTGATTTGCATTTCTCTGATGAGCAGTGATGATGAGCATTTTTTCATGTCTGTTGGCTGCATAAATGTCTTCTTTTGAGAAGTGTCTTTTCATATCCTTTGCCCACTTGTTGATGGGGTTGTTTTTTTCTTGTAAATTTGTTTAAAATGTAATACTTATACCCTGAAAGCTACACAACATTGTAGGATTTCTTTTTTAATTAAATAAATGGAAAGACATTACTGTTCATGAATTTGAAAACTTACTATTATAAAGATGCTAAACTCCCAAAGTTAATCTACAGATTCAATGCAATCTGTATCAAAATTCCAGCTGACTTCTTTGCTGAAGTTGACAAGCTGATACAGAAATTTACATAAAAATGCAAGTGACACAGAATAGCCAAAACAACCTTGAAAAAGAACAAAGTTGAAGGACTTAAACTTGCCAACTTTGAAAATAAAAAGCACTGGACACCACTGTAAGTTGCTAACAAAACAACTTATTACATTGAAAATTAATAAATGAGAAGGAAAAAATTTATCCTGCCTTTCTTAAGCAAACTGAACCAGTGAATGTCCACATAATAAATTATGATGAGGTTTTATTTTAAAGAGGCATGCCAACTATTTTTTTTTTTGAGATGGAGTCTCCAGGCTGGAGTGCAGTGGCGTAATCTTGGCTCACTGCAAGCTCCGCCTCCCAGGTTCACGCCATTCTCCTGCCTCAGCCTGTAGCTGCGACTACAGGTGGCTGCCACCATGCCTGGCTAATTTTGTTTTTGTATTTTTAGTAGAGATGGGGTTTCACCATGTTAGCCAGGACGGTCTTGATCTCCTGACCTCATGATTCACCCACCTCAGCCTCCAAAAGTGCTGGGATTATGGGTGTAAGCCACCGCACCCGGCCATGAGGCAGGCCAACTATTAAATGAAGAAAGTGTGTTAGAATATCACCATTCTGCAATGTCCAAAGGCTTAATAATGTACTGAACATTCACAGCTGCTAACATCATAAAAAGAGAGGCTTTAGATATCTCCTAACAGAAGAAAACATCACTACAAAGGAGAATTGTCTCCAAATATTAGAAGTTTCTAGATCTAAATACGAACATGGAAATACAGAGGACAAAGGAACATGTTAAACAACACCATGAGGATGCAGGCAGCAGAATCTAGATTACAAAAACAATTTAGATTCTTCCACAATGGAAAAATAAATAAATAAAACAAGGAAATAAAAGAGAAACCCAAGACTTCAGTGACATCTATCATTTGCTGTATGTGAGCCTTATTTGGGTACTGATCTATACAAACTACAGGGAAAAAACTAAAAAGAACCCCAAAAAACAGTAAAATTATGTATTCACAAAACAACTGGAAATTTCAACCTTTACTTCATTTTTTATAACATAAAAAGTGCATTTTAATTATGTAAAATTAAATATGTTTTATGTGTGTGTGCATGTTTGTGCTTTTCCATAGGTTACTGGGGTACAGGTGGTCTCTGGTTACATGAATAAGTTCTTTAGTGGTGATTTGTGAAATTTTGGCGCACCCATCACCCAACCATTTACTGCATTTTTAATGCAATCAAGGGATTTAATGCAATTAATTTTAATTTTTAAGGTATAATAATGGTATTATAATTAATTACTTTTTAAATGGGGATTAAAATTTATAGTTTTTTTTAAATTTTACTTTTAGTTCCGGGATACATGTGCAGAATGTGCAGGTTTGTTACATAGGTAAACGTGTGCCATGGTGGTTTGCTGCACCTATTAACCCATGACTTAGGTATTAAGTCCCGCATAATTATTTTTAAGAACAGTCCCGGCCAGGCATGGTGGATCATGCCTGTAATCCCAGCACTTTGGGAGGCTGAGGCGGGCAGATCATGAGGTCAGGAGATTGGGACCATCCTGGCCAACACGGTGAAACCCCATCTCTAATAAAATACAAAAAATTAGCCAGGCGTGGTGGTGCACACCTGTAGTCCCAGCTACTCAGGAGGCTGAGGCAGGGGAATTGCTTGAACCTGGGAGGCAGAGGGTGCAGTGAGCAGAGATCACGCCACTGCACTCCAACCTTGCAGCAGAACAAGACTCCATCTCAAAAAAAAAAAAAAAAAAAAAAAAGAACAGTCCTTCCTTACTCTTTAGAGACATATGTGAAACATTTTATAGATAAAATACAATCTCTAGGATTTCCTTCAAAATAATATGGAGTAGAAGAGGTAGATGGGAGCATAGCAAAAATAAAACTGGTCATGAGATAATCATTGTTGAAGCTGGGTAATGAGTACATGGGGGGTTCATTATACTATAGGATGTACTTTTGTATATGTTAATTTTTTCCATAATAAAATATTTAAAATATCAGGGAATAAACTAAGAAATAAAAGTCATGAAATCCAGGAATGTGAGGATCCAACAGAGCAGAATGGCCCAAGGAAATTCAGGGTGACAGCTTTCTGCCATGCCTAAAGAAAAATTGGTTTAGATTGGAGCATAACAGAAGGCTGTGGGAGGAAAATCTCCAGGAAAACGAAAAAAGATTATTTTATGTGCTTATAAGACATGTTGGAAGTTGACAGATTGGTTGGAGTCTTTCAGTGAAAAAGCAGCAATAGCTATATAGAAAACCAAACAGATGGGAAAAAAATGAATTATAAGGTAAACAAAAAGTTGACTAAGAAAGGAACAGTCAACTTCTTGATTTAGTAGAGAATAATATTAATTTATTTAGTCCATTAATTTAATATACTTAGTCAATAATATAAAACTGGACACTGAATTACCAAATAATTCAAATACTGGAAGGAGAACAGAAGAAAACGGGTGTCAAAGGGTGTTTATATTCTTGTTTTTTCACTGTTTAGTTATGTGATTTGACAAGTTACTTAACCGTTCCAAATACAGCTTAACCTTTCCAAATACAGCTTCCTCATCTATAAAATGGACATACTATCATCTGCCTTGTAGGATTGTTAAAGGAATTAAAGATAATACATCTAAAACACATGGCATAGTATCATATATAAAATATAATCATATAGCCAATAAAAATTATGTATTTTAGTTACTGATATCAAAAAATGTCCTAAGATAGTATTGTGATAAAGACATATTACAGAAAAGTGTGTACAATATGATCTTATTTATATAAAATTGCTTATCAATTCATCCTTCTTTATGTACTTAAGTAGAGAAGCTGTCTAGAGGGAAAGTTACGAAAGCACTTCAGTTGACTTTTAATTTTTTTTTTTAGTTAAAGCCAATTTTTATTATTATTATTATACTTTAAGTTCTAGGGTACATGTGCACAACATGCAGGTTTGTTACATAGGTTTACATGTGCCACGTTGGTTTGCTGCACCCATCAACTCGTCATTTACATTAGGTATTTCTCCTAATGCTATCCCTCCCCCAGGCCCCCACCCCCCAACAGGCCCCCATGTGTGATGTTCCCTGCCCTATGTCCAAGCATTCTCACTGTTCAATTCCCACATAAGAGTGAGAACATGTGGTGTTTGGTTTTCTGTCCTTGTGATAGTTTGAGAATGATGGTTTCCAGTTTCATCCACGTCGCTGCAAAGGACATGAACTCATCCTTTTTTATGGCTGCATAGCATTCCATGGTGTATATGTACCACATTTTCTTAATCCAGTCTATCATTGATGGACATTTGGTTTGGTTCCAACTCTTTGCTATTGTGAATAGTGCCACAATAAAGATACGTGTGCATGTGTCTTTATAGCAGCATGACTTATAATCCTTAGAGTATATATCCAGAAATGGGATCACTGGGTCAAATGGTATTTCTAGTTCTAGATCCTTGAGGAATCGCCACACTGTCTTCCACAATGGTTGAACTAGTTTACACTCCCACAAACACTGTAAAAACATTCCTATTTCTCCACGTCTTCTCCAGCATGTGTTGTTTCCTGACTTTTTAATGATTGCCATTCTAACTGGTGTGAGATGGTATCTCATTGTGGTTTTGATTTGCATTCCTCTGATGAGCAGTGATGATGAGCATTTTTTCATGTGTCTGTTGGCTGCGTAAGTGTCTTCTTTTGAGAAGTGTCTGTTCATATCCTTTGCCCACTTTTGGCTGGGGTTGATTTTTTCTTGGAAATTTGTTTAAGTTCTTTGCAGATTCTGGATATTAGCCCTTTTTCAGATGGGTAAATTGCAAAAATTTTCTCCCATTTTGTAGGTTGCCTGTTCACTCTGATGATAGTTTCTTTTGCAGTGCAGAAGCCCTTTAGTTTAATTAGATCCCATTTGTCTATTTTGGCTTTTGTTGCCATTGCTTTTGGTGTTTTAGTCATGAGGC
This sequence comes from Homo sapiens, assembly GCF_000001405.40. Taxonomy (NCBI): domain Eukaryota; kingdom Metazoa; phylum Chordata; class Mammalia; order Primates; family Hominidae; genus Homo; species Homo sapiens. Next base: position 135,329,127 of record NC_000002.12, read on the forward strand.
CCTTGCCCATGCCTATATCCTGAATGATATTGCCTAGGTTTTCTTCTAGGGTTTTTATGGGTTTAGGTCTAACATGTAAGTCTTTAATCCATCTTGAATTAATTTTTGTATAAGGTGTAAAGAAGGGGTCCAGTTTCAGCTTTCTACACATGGCTAGCCAGTTTTTCGAGCATCATTTATTAAACAGGTAATCCTTTCCCCATATTTGTTTTTGTTGGGTTTGTCAAAGATCAGATGGTTGTAGATGTGTGGTGTTATTTCTGAGGCCTCTGTTCTGTTCTATTGCTCAATATATCTGTTTTGGTACCAGTACCATGCTGTTTTGGTTACTGTAGCCTTACAGCATAGTTTGAAGCCAGGTGGCATAATGCCTCCAGCTTTGTTCTTTTTGCTTAGGATTGTCTTGGCAATGCAGACTCTTTTTTGGTTCCATATGAACTTTAAAGTAGTTTTTTCCAATTCTGTGAAGAAAGTCATTGGTAGCGTGATGGGGATAGCATTGAATCTATAAACTACCTTGGGCAGTATGGCCATTTTCATGATATTGATTCTTCCTATCCATGAGCATGGAATGTTCTTCCATTTGTTTGTGTCCTCTTTTATTTCACTGAGCAGTGGTTTGTAGCTCTCTTTGAAGAGGTCCTTCACATCCTTTGTAAGTTGGATTCCTTTGTATTCTCTTTGTAACAATTGTGAATGGGAGTTCACTCATGATTTGGCTCTCTGTTTGTCTGTTTTTGGTGTATAGGAAGGCTTGTGATTTTTGCACATTGATTTTATATTGTGAGACTTTGCTGAAGTTGCTTATCAGCTTAAGGAGATTTTGGGCTGAGACAGTGGGGTTTTCTAAATATATAATCATGTCATCTGCAAACAGGGACAATTTGACTTCCTCTTTTCCTAACTGAATACCCTTTATTTCTTTCTCTTGCCTGATAGCCCTGGCCAGAACTTCCAACAATATGTTGAATAGGAGTGGTGAGAGAGTGCATCCTTGTCTTGTGCCAGTTTTCAGAGGTAATGCTTCCAGTTTTTACCCATTCAGTATGATATTGGCTGTGGATTGATCATAAATAGCTCTTATTATTTTGAGATGCATTCCATCAATACCTAGTTTAGTTACAGTTTTTGGCATGAAGGGCTGTTGAATTTTGTAGAAGGCCTTTTTGCATCTGTTGAGATAATCATGTGGCTTTTGTCATTGGTTCCGTTTATGTGATGGATTACATTTATTGATTTGCGTTATGTTGAACCAGGCTTGCATCCCAGGGATGAAGCTGACTTGATCGTGGTGGATAAGCTCTTTGATGTGCTGCTGGATTGTTTGCCAGTATTTTATTAAGGATTTTCGCATCGATGTTCATCAGGGATATTCATCTAAAATTCTGTTTTTTTGTCATGTCTCTGCTAGGCATTGGTATCAGGATGATGCTGGCCTCATAAAATGAGTTAGGGAGGATTCCCTCTTTTTCTATTGATTGGAATAGTTTCAGAAGGAATGGCACGAGCTCCTCTTTGTAATTCTGGTAGAATTCCCTGTGAATCTGTCTGGTCCTGGACTTTTTTTTGGTTAGCAGGCTATTTTTGCCTCAATTTCAGAGCCTGTTATTGGTCTATTCAGAGATTCAACTTCTTCCTGGTTTAGTCTTGGGAGGGTGTATGTGTCCAGGAATTTTTCCATTTCTTCTAGATTTTCTAGTTTATTTGTATAGAGGTGTTTATAGTATTCTCTGACGGTAGTTTGTATTTCCGTGGGATGAGTGATGATATCCCTTTTATCATTTTTTATTGCGTCTATTTGATTCTTCTCTCTTTTCTTCATTAGTCTTGCTAGTAGTCTATCAATTTTGTTGATCTTTTCAAAAAACCAGCTCCTGGATTCATTGATTTTTTGAATCATTGATTTTGGTTTTTTGTGTCTCTATCTCCTTCAGTTCTGCTCTGATATTAGTTAAACTATTTCCTGCCTTCTGCTAGCTTTTGAATGTGTTTGCTCTTGCTTCTCTAGTTCTTTTAACTGTGATATTAGGGTGTCGATTTTAGATCTTTCCTGCTTTCTCTTATGGGCATTTAGTGCTATAAATTTCCCTCTACACACTGCTTTAAATGTGTCCCAGAGATTCTGGTACGTTGTGCCTTTTTTCTCATTGGTTTCAAAGAACACCTTTATTTCTGCCTTCATTTCATTATTTACCCACTAGTCATTCAGGAGAAGACTGTTCAGTTTCCATGTAGTTGTGCAGTTTTGAGTGAGTTTCTTAATCTTGAGTTCTAATTTGATTGGACTGTGGTCTGAGAGACAGTTTGTTGTGATTTCTTTTACATTTGCTGAGGAGTGCTTTACTTCCAATTATGTGGTCAATATTAGAGTAAGTGTGATGTGGTGCTAAAAAGAATGTATATTCTGTTGATTTGGGGTGGAGAGTTCTGTAGATGTCTATTAGGTCTGCACTGTGTTCAAGTCCTGGATATCCTTGTTAATCTTCTGTGTCGCTGATCTGTCTAATATTGACAGTGGGGTGTTAAAAAGTCTCCCATTATTATTGTTTGGGAGTCTAGGTCTCTTTGTAGCTCTCTAAGGACTTGCTTTATGAATCTGGGTGCTCCTGTATTGGGTGCATATATATTTAGGATAGTTAGCTCTTCTTGTTGAATGGATCCCTTTACCATTATAGTAATGGTCTTCTTTGTCTCTTTTGATCTTTGTTGGTTTAAAGTCTGTTTTATCAGACACTAGGAGACTTTTACTTTTTTAAGAAAATGTTTTTTTCTATGTGTGGTTTGTTAAAAATAAGTATGAATAACTTTCCAAAATGAAATAAACTATCTTTAAATCAATAAAAGTAAAGGAAATGAAACAACTTATAAAGACAATGTTAATGCATGGGACAAGGCATTCCTAAGAGAAAATTAGCAGATGATAGCATTCATTACATGTAAGATAGATAAAACTTTGTAAAAATAATTAGATCTATAGACAAGAGTAGAAATAAAAAATGAAAACAGTTTACTTATTAGTATAGTAGAATTATGGTATTTTTCCTTTCCATTTTTATTGTTATAGTGCTTAATACATAAGTACATATATTTTAAAACTTCTTACTCATATTAAGCCAAAATCTACCTCCCTATTAAGTTCCACTGCTTGATACTAGTTTTGCTCTCTGAGGCCACAAAGACAGAAGTCTAATTCTTTTAGAACATGACAGATCTTTAAATATTTAAAAACCTGCTCCCCTTAGGGCTTCTCGTTTTCAAATTCCTGTAGGCTTCATAAGATCAAGTACTATGTCTTATTCATCTTTGTATTGCCGGCAGCTCTGAAATAATGTCTTAAATATAGTAGGCAATCAATAACATTAGACATTTTTGAACTGAATATGAGATTCCTCTCATTATTCTGGTCACCCTTTTCCAGATATGTTTTCATTTGTTAAAATGCTTCTTAAAACATGGCTTCTAGTTCCCTCTTAGTTCCTCACACTCATTGTCTTCAATGACCCTCTAAAACCTACTCCAACTATCCCTATGGTTACAACCAGGTCCTAAGAAACCGTTCTACCTGGTAAATTGAGACATTCTACTCTCTACTTACCCCATCCTTCGAAGGTGCTTGTTCATTCATACTCACTATGTCTTTACTATTGCATCAATACATTTCAGTCAACTGACTCCTCTAATTTCCAAATCCATTATATTTTTTCTGTCTTCACATCTTTCCTCAGCCCTGTTGATTTCTGAGTTCATACATTACCTTTGTTCTTATAAATATAGTTTAAGTTCCCTTGTCCCACAGTCCATGCATCATAAGCTGTTGAAAAAATCCAATCTTGAATGGATCCAACCTCAGGATCAAAAAGGCCTGAAGCCTTTTCCATGCCTGTATCCAGGCTGCTGGGTGTGGCTGGAGAAATTGTACCTTAGAGAAAACTGGTTCCATTACAAATCTGCAGTTGCTGATCTCAAATGATTACTAGAGCTGTTAACAATCCTACCACACTAATCTCATTCTCATTTGGTAAAATTTCAAACCACATCAACTTTCATGAAACCTTTAACCCTCTATTTTTCCATTTCTCTGAACCTATGATTGTCCTTCCCATTCCACAGAGAAAATATAAACTGTACAAGGCAAACTCTCAACTTCCTGCCATCCCCGAAAGTACAGTATATTTCCAATGATACAATGACATGCAACCATAATGTATACCATTTATGTATATGAAAAAAAGACAAAAAGGGAAAGTACAAAACAATGTTTATGCTTATATTACAATCTTTTTAAAACAATGAATTTGCCTGAATATGCACACAGTTTCTGAGGGAAGATTAAAAACTACATACAGTCGCCTATAGGGAGAACTTAGGTAAAAGGGATTTTTCAATGTGTATACTCTTCCATAGGTTAGAATTTTGAACCATGTGAAATATCTTAGATAATAAATCAAATCTATAAATCTAATGATGTTTGTTTCATGCTCTAAGTTTTACATTATAGGGACTAGGGGAGGCGGAAATGGGGTCAATTATTTAATGGGTACAGAGTTTCAATCTGTAATGATGAAAAAGTTCTGATGATGAAAAGTGGTAATGGTTGCACAACAACAGAATGTACTGAAACACATTAGAATGTATTGAAAGTCACTGAATTGCACATTTAAAAATGTTTAAATGGTAAATTTTGTTGTACATATTTTACTGCAATTGAAAAACCTAAAACATATACAGGCAACTGTATCTACTGAACTGTACATTTAAAAATACTTAAATGGTAAATTTTGTTATGCATATTTTACTGCAATTAAAAAACTACAATACTGATAACTAAAAACCAAACTACCCTGCAATGTCTTCTTATTGCCATTATGATGAAGAACAAGACTCTGTATATTATCCCTACCTAACTCCGTCACTATCTTGAAACTCTCTTCTTTTAGTTCTAGAATATTCAACTAGGTTAGTATTTGACTTGAAAACTCAGTGAAGGCTGGACTATGTGGGTCTTGTTCTCTAATGCATATCTGATGGCTACTACATGGCTTAGCATGTAAGAGGCATCCTAAAATACTTTCAGAATGAATGGATAAATTCAAAATTAAACTGTACTCTAAATGCAGTCTAATCAATGAATGGAGTAGAAGCACCCCTTACTCCAATTTAGCCTAAGGTTATTCAAAACCACAAATCTTTTAGAACTGAACTATTGATAAATAGGTGAGGGTTTCTCAAATCCCTTCCACACAAAGCTGACTTTCTAAGTCTCAATGCAGAATACATATTCTATTAATATTTATCTAATTATTTTTCAAACATATCTCTGCCATCCACTATATTAACTATTTCTCTCAGATTCGAACCATTTGCCAATGGAATAGACACAACCTCTATTCAGCCATGGGTGAGAACATTAAATGCAACAATGCTGAGGACAAAGGAGGGACAGTGCAATTCCATGAGAGACATTTTTTTTTAATTTAATTTAATTTAGGCCAGTCGCGGTAGCTCACGTCTATAATCCCAGCACTCTGGGAGGCCGAGGCAGGTGGATCACGAGGTCAGGAGATCGAGACCATCCTGGCTAACATGGTGAAACCCCGTCTCTACTAAAAATACAAAAATTTAGCCAGGCATGGTGGCGCGCGCCTGTAGTCCCAGCTACTTAGGAGGCTGAGGCAAGAGAATCGGTTGAACCTGGGAGGCGGAGGTTGCAGTGTGCTGAGATCGCACCACTGCACTCCAGCCTGGGCGACAGAGCAAGACTCCATCTCAAAAATAAATATATTTTAAAAATAAAAATAAAAATAATTTAATTTAATTTTAAGTTCCAGGATACATATGCAGGATGTGCAGTTTGTTACACAGGTAAATGAGTGCCATGTGGTTTGCTGTACCTATCAACCCATCACCTAGGTATTAAGCCCCGTATGCATTAGCTATTTATCCTGATGCTCTCCCTTGAGACATTTCTTGAAGCTGACAATGACCCATTAATTAACAATCTTTAGGTATGTCTATAAATACTTTTAATTTGTATTATCATGCAGCATTTTTCCTCTCATAAAAATTTAGACAACGAATTCTCCTTAGAGGTGGAAATGGTACAAAATATCAATGACAAATAACATTTTAAAAATTGATGAATTATTGTCAAGATATTCTAGACACTATTCTGGGTGACACAGAATAGTGTCTAGAATATCTTAACAGTAATTCAAACATAACATTACATTAACATAGTAATTCAACAGTAATTCAAACATAACATTAACACACCATTGGAAGAGGCTGGGCGCTGTGCCTCATGCCTGTAAATCCTAGCATTTTGGGAAGCTGAGGTGGGCAGATGGCTTGAGGTCTGGAGTTCGACAACAGCTTGGCCAACATGGTGAAACCCTGTTTCCACTAAAAATACAAAAATTTGCCTGGTGTGGTGACACATGCCTGCAGTCCCACCTATTTGCGAGGCTGAGGCAGGACAATCTCTTGAACCAGGGAAGCGGAGGTTGCAGTGAGCAGAGATTGCACCACTGCACTCCAACCCAGGCAAAAGAGCAAGACTCTGTCTCAAACAAAACAAAACAAAACAAAACAAAACAACAAAAACAAAAACATAATATTAGGGACGACCAATATGTCTTCTCACAGCATACTTTTTGAAGACAGCTGCTGGTAACAGGATGCTTGGCTGGGTTATCTATGTGTTCTCTTTTTCTATGTAAAAGAATATTTATTAAAGTTGCCATTCCCTAAGTTTTCATTACTTCCAGGGGGAAAAAAAAACAACATAAAAGGAAGTGAGATAGAGCAAGCCATTTAAACTCACCAAGTGCTTATAAAATGACAGAGGGGAACTGGGTGATCTCCAAAGTCTTTTAGCTTTAACAATTGATCATTCAATGTGCTAATGGTTGACAACTGAGTATGTTGCCTTCTCCAAATCATATTTGTATTTATAGTTTCTTCTAAATATAACCCTGTGAAGTGAATGATGTAAGGCATTTTGGATAAGAGATGTTCTGGTTGAGTAATACTTCTGCTGTCTGTCTCAAGTCAAACCAGGTAGCTGGTTACCTATACCCTAACTTCTCATCCCTGAACTACATTTGCATTAGTACATTTCTGTTTGTCATTACTTAGGTATTTAATACACTTTATAAAAGCAAAATTATATTTTTGCTGAAGCTTCACTTAACTTATTTTGAATACAGTCATGACATTTCAAATATAAAATATGGGTCTAGAACTGAATAACTAACCAAAATTTGCATTCTGCAAAATTATAGTGTGAAAATGACACCTTCACAGAATCAAAACATTATGGAAAAATATATAGCACTCCACAGACTAACTTAAAATGCCAGGAAGTGACTTGAGCTGAGTTAGAGTCTATGGAACCATAGTGCTTTCAAGGTAAAGAAGTAAAGGAATAACATAAAACTTCTGAAATGGAACCTGAAAGAAAATGCCTTTTGAGAAGCATGATATTAATCTTGAAATGGCTTTCTCCAGAAAACAGAACATGTCCTCCACAATCATAAAGCATTTCACAGAGATGAATTTTTTTATGAAACAGGGTAGGCATTAAGTAAGAAAGAGACAGGTATACTCTCTCTTTCTGTTGTCATATGACAAGTTCTAGTCAGGAAACAAAAAAAGAAATGCTTATTGACCACGTGGGTTGTTCCAGACTCCAAAAGATAAATGCAGGTAAGTATGTTTGTTTTATGTGGGCAAATTTTAGGCATTTACAGTCTGCAACAATTACAATTAAGGGCTTCCCACCAATACCTAGCATCATGAAAAAAAAAGACCTATGATAGGAACAAAATGAATATTTAGAAATGACATGCCAGGAACCATGGTTTTTGGCTATAAGGAACTGAAACTCTGAATCAAGATTGTTTAATAAAAAAAGAAACGTTTTACAACATGAATAAAAGGAATTCAGAGTCCAGGAAGGCTCCTGGATTGGTCAACTCTTGTATTCCTTGCACCTTGTCACTGTGCCATTAAAAAGCTTGCCTAATCTAAACCCGATACCCACCATGGTCAGAAGACAGCTACCAGAAGTAGGTAGGACAACATGCTTCTTTGTTCATATTCAGCTTAAGATGCTTATCTTGTCCTCCATCCTGGAAATAAAGCCTTTCTTCAGCATGCTTGGCACAAGACCAACCCTAGACCGTTAACAGTTGTCTGAAGAATACTATGTGTTAACTGGCTTAGAATGACCAGAATCCATCAGGGAAAAAGGATACAAAGTCAACTTCCCCAGAGTGCTATAGATATGTATATATAACTGAAGTAAATCAGAAACCTGCTTGGAAGGAAGACGGGGTAGACAACTAACAGTGTTAACTACATTTGCTGCTGTTGATTTCCTAGTGGAGGGAAGGGATATTAATTTGTGGCACTGTAGCAAAATCATTATAGTCATTTCCATGCACTGTTAAAAAAAATCACTTGGTAAAGACTAAAGAGTTATTACTTTGGTCAAACTAGCATCTAAATGGATTTATAGTTTAATCAAAACTGATGTTAGCAAATTAATTATGCCCCCAGTTACCAGAAAAACAACTAAGAACTGTGTCACAGAACTCTCTCAGTCCAAGTCACAAAACTATATTAAATTAAAATTCTTAATAGAAAGTAGCCAAATTATACTAGTTTTTCCATTTTTTTCTTTTATACAGAAGTAGTAAAATAAATGTAACAGTGTCAGTTACGTAAGTACTCCTCTTAGTATTTCACTTAATATAAGAAGAATCCCTGTTTTGCTCATGATTTTTAAAGTCAATATGAAGAAACAAAACTTTGAGCTGGGAAAGATTATCCAAATCACTTAGTTCAGCCATTTTATTCCAGAAGCTCCAAATCTAAAGTATAAGAAATGCTTCTCCAAGATGACTGTGCTGCGTATTTTTTAATACTATGTCAATTTTCAGAGCAATTTTAAGTTATATCTGAGTAACCCCATTAGTTTGACAACATCTGTGAATTTAGCAGATGAATGATGTTATTCATGTCAAGAAGTTACATGGATCTAGCATACAAAAAAAACCCAGATCCAGTATTCAATAATTCAATAAACATTGGATATCATGTGCCAGGTGCCGTGTTAGCCATTGGGAATAGAATACTGGAAAAAACAAGTGTTCTGCCCTCAAAGAGCTTCTAGCTAGTAACTCACTCCAATGAGGAATACAATGCAGGTCAAGTTCCCTATCAATCTGATCACTTGCCACTGCAAACTGGTCTCTTCTTATAAATCTCCAGCCAGCTGGGTAATCACACTATGCTGAACAGTTAAACTAACAGCATGCAAAGTGGACACCACAGTGCCGCGTGGCTTCTATAGAGAAGTCTCAGAGACTGTCAGTTGGGTCAGGGGCATCAGAGGCTACCATGTTGACAATTTCAAGACATCCAGGGAAAATCAGTGCGTGTGTTTTACACATATACATTTTAAAAAATACAAAAGATAACACAATTTTCTGTAATTTCCTTTTCTTTCAACACTGTATCTTGGAAATGAGTTGCATCAAGATTACACAGTATTCCACTGTATGGAGGTACAATAATTTACAGTAAGTTCTCTACAACTAGTTGTTATCCAATCATGTATTATTTACTAAACACGCAATTTCAATTTTGCATACATGTGCATATGTGTGTATGTGTATATCTATATGTTGTGTATTTAATAAATATGTGAATAACACATGTATAAGAACACACATGAACAATTACATACAATAGTATATATGAACAAGTGTAAGATAAACTTATATTTTAATTGCTAGAATAAATGTATGGGCTTTTCAATGTTTGGTAGGTATAGTGAAATTTCTATCAATAGATGGTATAGGCCAGGCAGGGTGGCTCATGACTGTAATTCCAGCACTTAAGGATGCTGAAGTGGGAGGATCGCTGAAGCCCAGAGTTCCAGACAAGGCTGGGCAACATACTGACACCCCGTATCTACAAAAAAAAATTTTTTAATTGCCAGGTGTGGTGGCTCATGCCTGTAATCCCAGCACTTTGGGAGGCCAGGGTGGGCGGAACACCTCAGGTCAGGAGTTCGAGAACAGCTTCACCAATGTGGTAAAACCCGTCTCTACTAAAAATACAAAAATTAGCTGGGTGTGGTGGTGCATGCCTGTAATCCCAGCTACTTGGGAGGCTGAGGCAGGAGAATCGCTTGAACCCGGGAGGCAGAGGTTGCAGTGAGCGTGCCACTGCACTCCAGCCTGGGTGACACAGCAAGACTCCATCTGAAAAAAAAAACAACAAAAAAAACAAAGAATTAGCCAGACATGGTAGTGCATCCCTGTAGTCCCAGCTACTAGGGAGACTGAGGTGGGAGGATCACCTGAGCCAAGGCAGTTGAGGCTACACTGAGCCATGATTGTGCCACTGCACTCCAACCTGGGTGACAAAGCAAGACCCTGTCTCAAAAAAAACCCAAAACAGATGGTATAGCCATAACATTCCTTTCAACAATGTAAGACAGTTTGTTTCTTCATATGCTCATGATATACTGTTTTGTTAAATGTTATAATTTTTATAACTGTAATAGGTAAAACTTTGTCTTACTGTAGTTTCAATTTAAATTCCTCTTATCAATTAGATTTATGCAGTTAAAACCTATTTGTATTTCCTTTTCTATCAATTATTTGTTTACATTTTTTGCACATCTTTCTCAGTCGCTGAAATTAGCCTTCTCTTTAATTCGCAACACATAAATAATTTTTCCTTAATTAGAAATTTTTTACTTTATAGATATTTTCTAGAAGGGTGACACCTTTTAAATTCTTACACAATCAAATATATTCCTTTTTATGACTTCCCTAAAACAAAGTTATAAAAGAATTCCTCTATGTTTTATTTAGGGTTTTATTTAATAATGTTTAAATATTTTATTCATCTGGAATTTATTGTTGTGTAAGAAGAAGGGAAAGAATCCCTGTCCCTTTTCTTTTTTTTTTTTTTTTTTAAGACAGAGTCTTGCTCTTGTCGCCCAGGCTGGAGGGCAATGGCGCGATCTCGGCTCACTACAACCTCCGCCTCCTCAGTTCTAGTGATTCTCCTGCCTCAGCCTCCTGAGTAGCTGGGATTACAGGTGCCCGCCACCACGCCCAGCTAATTTTTGTATTTTTATTAGAGATGGGGTTTCACCATGTTGGCCAAACTGGTCTCGAACTCCTGACCTCAGGTGATCTACCTGGCTTGGCCTCTCAAAGTGCTAGGATTACAGGCGTTAGCTACTGCGCCCAACCCCCTTTTTTTAATACTCTAGTTTTTCATAACTTTCTTGGCAATTGTTGCTTATTTATTTTTTCAAATAACATTTAGAATCAATTTTCTGGATCTACAAGAAAAATATTCTTATTTGAATATATTATATCTACCTAAGTTCAGAAAAAAGTAAAATCTTGGCCGGGTGAGGTGGCTCACACCTGTAATCCCAGCAACTTGGGAGGCTAAGGCAGGCAGATCATGAGGTCAGGAGTTCAAGACCAGCCTGGCCAACATGGGGAAACCATGTATTTTTTGTATTTTGTAAAAATACAAAAATTAGCCGGGTGTGGTGGCGGCACGCGCCTGTAATCTCAGCTACTCGGGAGGCTGAGGCAGGAGAATTGCTTGAACCTAGGAGGTGGAGGTTGCAATGAGCCAAGACCGCACCATTGCACCCCAGGCTGGTCAACAGAGTGAGATTCCGTCTCAAAAAAAACAGTAAAATCTTTATAATACCAAGTCTTTTCATCAAACAGGAGTATGTCTTTTTATTTATCTTTTTATATGTCCTTTAGTAATATTCTTGAGTCTTATATCTTTTATCTTCATTGTATTTTAGAAATATTATTTGTGTAGAGAAAGACAACTGACTATTTATTGATTGATTGATTGATTTTGAGATGGAGTCTTGCTCTGCTGCCCAGGCTGGAGTGCAGTGGCGCTATCTCGGCTCACTGAAAGCTCCACCTCCCGGGTTCACGCCACTCTCCTGCCTCAGAGTAGCTGGGACTACAGGTGCCCGCCACCACACCTGGCTAATTTTTTTTCTTGTTGTTTCTTTTAGTAGAGACGGGGTTTCATCATGTTAGCCAGGATGGTCTCGATCTCTGGATCTCGTGATCTGTTGCGGGAAGTCAGGGACCCCAAACAGAGGGACTGGCTGAAGCCACAGCAGAAGAACATAAATTGTGAAGACTTCATGGACATGTATCACTTCCCCAATCAATACTCTTATAATTTCCTATCCTTGTGTTTACTTTAATCTCTTAATCCCATCATCTTTGTAAACTGAGGATGCATGTCACGTCAGGATCCTGTGATGATTGCATTATCTGCACAAATTGTTTGTAGAGCATGTGTGTTTGAACAATATGAAATCTGGGCACCTTGAAAAAAGAACAGGGTAACAGCGATGTTCAGGGAACAAGGGAGATAACCATTAGGTCTGACTGCTTGGGAGCCAGGCAGGACAGAACTGTATTTCTCTTATTGCTGAAAACGGGTAAGAGAAATATCGCTGAATTCTTTCCCCAGTAAGGAATATTAATAATTAACAGCCCTGGGAAAATAATGCATTCCCAGGGCAGGGCGGGGGGCCTCTAAAATGGCCGCTCTGGGAGTGTCTGCCTTATGCAGTTGTAGATAGGGATGAAACACGCCCTGGTCTCCTGCAGCGCCCCCAGGCTTACTAGGATTAGGAGATTCCAGCCTGGCAAATTCTAGTCAGACTGGTTCTCTGCTCTTGAACCCTGTTAAGATGTTTATCAAAGATAATGGGTGCACAGTGGGACATGAACTTAATCAGCAATTCTAGTTTCACCCTGGCCTTATGACCTTGCCCTACCCATTTGCCTTGTGATATTTTATTGCCCTTGAAGCATGTGATCTCTGTGACCCACAGCCTATTCGTACACTCCCTACCTTTTGAAAATCGCTAATAAAAACTTGCTGGTTTTACGGCTCAGGGGGCATCACAGAACCTGCCAACATGTGATGTCTCCCCCGGACACCCAGCTTTAAAATTTCTCTCTTTTGTACTCTTTCCCTTTATTTCTCAGACCAGCCAACACTTAGGGAAAATAGAAAAGAACCTACATTGAAATATTGGGGGCCGGTTCCCCCAATAGTGATCTGCCCACCTCGGCCTCCCAAAGTGCTGGGATTATAGGCGTGAGCCACCACGCCTGGCCGACAACTGACTTTTTAATAGTAACTTTGTGCTAGGATATCTTAATCTATTCTTCTTTTGAACATGTTTCAGCTGATTCTCAGTCTTCCAAATAAATAACATCAGCTGTAAATAATGATAACTTTTTCTTTCTTGAAAATGTTTACCTCTTTTAATAGAGATGGGGTCTTACTATGTTGCCTAGGCTAGTGTCAAACTCCTGGGCTCAAGTGACTGTCCTACCTTGGCCTTCCAAAGTGCTGGGATTACAGGTGTGAGTCACTGTGCCCGTCTTTTTTCTTTTTTTTTAAGTAAAAAAATTTTTTCCTGACAAAATTAGCCTCATATCCTCTTATTGTTCTTTTGAGTAATTGAATTATCAGTTCTCCAGAGTACAGGTAAGCTGTGGTAATAGTGAACATCCTTTTCTGGATTTTAGTGTTTCATGTGGTAGTGCTTTGGGATTGAAAGACACCCATAAACATATATACACTTATATATATGTAAAGACACACATATACATATATACCCTAAATTTATTAAAAACTGTAATCAAGGGTAAATGTTGGCTGGGCATGGTAGCTCACACCTGTAATCCCAGCACTTTGGGAGGCTGAGGCAGGTGGATCACCTGAGGTCAGGAATTCAAGACCAGCCTGGCCAATATGGCGAAACCCTGTCTCTACTAAAAATCCAAAAAAAAAAAAAAAAAAAAAAAAACATTAGCAGGGCATGGCAGCACACGGCTGTAGTCCCAGCTACTTGGAGGCTGAGGCAGGAGAACTGCTTGAACCCGGGAGGCAGAGGTTGCGGTGAGCCGTGACTGTGCCACTGCACTCCAGACTGGGCAACAGAGTGAGACTCTGTCTCCAAAAAAAAAAAAAAAAAAACAGGGAGGGTAAATGCTATATTTTACCTAAGGACTTCCAGCACATATAGAGATGATGAGGTTTCTCTTTGTCATTATTAATATGGTGAATTATATTTATGTCTTTCTTAATATTCAACTTTCCTTGAATTCCTAATGTGAATGCCATTTGCATATAATCAATATATTAGGTTTTTAATGAGTTTCTGGATTTCATTAATCTATTAATATTGAGGATTTCTGCATTTGTAGTCTCGTTTTCATTTTTTGTGCTATCTTGTCTGATTTTGGTATTAAGTGTTAGACTGACTTCATAGAAACAATTTAGAAGAATTCTATCTTTGTACTTTGGAGCCCTTTAAAAAGCATCAGAAAACCATGACCATGTGGTGTTATTTAAAGGAATTATAAAAAAAAAATGCATTGGGAAACAAAACATGAGAGACTCATATCACATATAAAGAGATTATTTTTGTAATATATGAAGATTTTCAGCATATCAAGAAAAAAGCCAATACATTTAGTAGACAGAAGGGCAAACAGCACACATAGACAACTGACAGAAAAAAAGTACAAATTACTCATATGTGTGAAAAAATAATGCTCAAATGCATTTAATGACATAATGGGCAAATGTCACAAGCTACTATCAGTTCACATTGGCAAGAATAAAATAATTCACATTTCACTATGTTTGAAAAGTATGGAAAAAGAAACAATCTGACACTAAGCTGGTGGAAATATAAAAAGCTATACCTTCCGTGGAGTATGATTTGGAAAAATCTAATAATATAAAAATGCACATGCCCTTTAAACTAGCAATTTCACTTCTATAACTTTATCTTAGATTTTTCCCCTATGCATATGGCATGAAATACTAAAATAGCTAACAATTATCAAGTACTCCCTATGTATGGTCACTGTTCAAGCACTTTAGAAATATTAGTTAATATAAGTCTTATAATAACTCTCCAAGGCAGGCATAATAATTTGCCATTTTTTTTGAGCTGAAGAAACTGAGGTATGAGGAGATAAAGTTACTTTTCTAAAATGAAGCGTTCGGCAATAGCAGACGTGAAAATAAAACACAGGTGGTCTAGCTCTAAATTTCCATGCTCTTCAGAACTATAAAATACTACCTCTCAACATGTGCAAAGATATTCATTGCTGCATTGTATGCACAGCTATATACTACAAACGTCCAATAAGAGTAGACTGCATAAATAAATTCTAAACAGTAGAATAGATACAGCATTTAAAATGAATAACAGGCTGGGCGTGGTGGCTCAAGCCTGTAATCCCAGCACTTCGGGAGGTCAAGGCAGGCAAATCACCTGAGGTCAGGAGTTTGAGACCAGCCTGGCCAACATGGTGAAACCCCATCTCTAGTAAAAATAACAAAAATTAGCCGGGCATGGTTGCGCATGCCTGTAATCTCAGCTACTCAGGAGGCTGAGGCAGGAGAATTGCTTGAACATCGGAAGCGGAGGTTGCAGTGAGCCGAGATTGTACCACTGCACTCCATCCAGCCTGGGTAACGGAGCGAGACTCCGTCTGAAAAAAATATGATAAAATAAAATAAAATGAATATCAAAGCTCTTTGAGTAACTGATATGGAAAGATCTACAATACATACTAGACGAAGAAAGCAAACTGCAGAATAATGCACAAATTGTGCTATATATGTTGAAATAAAATGAAATAATATTATACACATGTAATCATACATGCTTGTTCACCCAAAGGGTATCTTCAGAAGGATACACAATAAAGTGCCAACACTGCTTACATGGGAAGGGAAATGGTTTGCTGAGAGACAAGAGTGGAAGAAACACTTAGTTTTTACTTTTGTATAATTTACATGTAAATCTAGCCAATAAAAATAAATAATTTCAAAAATAAAAAGTAGAAAGTAAAAAATAAAAACAAAGGAAAACTTTGCCATTATCTATTACTTTTATTTATTTTACATATAGGTCATCCACCTATATGTATAATAGTCCACCAATTATTTCATAGCTACCACAAATTTGTAAAACACTGGAATAAAGAATGATTAATAACCTGAGGTCAGGAGTTCAAGACCAGCCTGACCAACATGGTGAAACCCCATCTCTATTAAAAATACAAAAAAATTAGCCGGGCATGGTGGCGCATGCCTGTAATCCCAGCTACTCAGGAGGCTAAGGCAGAAGAATCGATTGAACCCAGGAGGCAGAGATTGTAGTGAGCCATGATGGTGCCACTGCAGTCCAGCCTGGGCGATGGGAGTGAGACTCTGTCTCAAAAAAAAAAAGAATGATTAATAAAGCAATGTTCACAGTAAACATGTGAGGAAAAAATTTACGGAAAATAGTTTAACTTACCTGATGTGTGCATTACAGTATCTTTTTGCATAGTCGGTCCATCTTCCAAATTTTTGTGGAAAGAGAGCTTCAATCTGCATAAAAAGCTATAATAATACAAGTGTTTGTAGTATGTTGTAATATTTTCAAGTAAATTATTATTACAATGATAAAACCATTTAACAAAATAGTAGGAAGTATAAAAGAAAATCCAACTGTTTATTCCTCAAATCCCCTCACTACTATTCATCAGGGATAACCGTTATCTGTTGTATAAATATACATTTATACATCTTTCTATGTTGATATAAGCATATGTTTATGCTTTTATTCACATAAGGAGGATCATATCATATATATTGTTACACTAGAATTTTGTCCCATAAAACATGTCTCAGACACTTAAATTACACGTGTCTATTTTTAGTTTTAAAACCTTATATAGACAATAAAATAATAATGCACTGCTTAAAAACTGAATAGCAACCCATTATGATGTAGATGTACTGTAAAAGATTTAAACAGACTCGTGATATTGGACATATAGGCTATTTCTAGCTTTTGTTTTGTTTTGTTTTTTGTTTTTGAGACGGAGTCTCGCTCTGTCGCCCAGGCTGGAGTGCAGTGGCGTGATCTTGGCTCACTGCAAGCTCCGCCTCCAGAGTTCACGCCATTCTCTCGCCTCAGCCTCCCGAGTAGCTTGGAGTACAGACGCCCACCACCATGCCCGGCTAATTTTGTTTTTGTATTTTTAGTAGAGACGGGGTTTCACCTTGTTAGCCAGGATGGTCTCGATCTTCTGACCTCATGATCCACCCGCCTTGGCCTCCCAAAGTGCTGGAATTACAGGCATGAGCCACCACGCCCAGCCTATTTCTAGCTTTTATGAAGTTACTAATATTAACAACTTCATATAACTGTGTGTGTATATATATATGAATATATAGGTATAGTACATATATTTATATCTGTATCTATTAATCATCTATCTATCCATCCATCCATCCATTCATTCATCCATCCATTTGCATTTCTATTAGAGGTGATGTAGGATTATATTTAGAAATGGAATAGCTGATTCTAAGGTACATGCTGTTTTAAAGTTTGATAATGTTACCATGTTGCCCAGTAAGAAGATTATCCCAATTTACACTCCCATCAATAGTATCATGAAATCTTTTCATTTTTACAGCTCTGATAGGCTACACACAGGACTGTCTCACTGTTATTTTAATATATTTTTAAAAACCAACAGCTTTATTGTGACATGTAATTCATATACTATTCAAACTTTGAAAGAACATAATTCAGTGGCTTTCAATAGATTCACATAGTTGTGCATCAATCATGACTAATTCTATAATATTTTTATCACCCCCCAAAAAACCTCCACACCCATTAGTAGTCACTGCCTATTTCTCCTCTCTTCCAATCCTGCCAACTACTAACCCACTTTCTGTTTCTATGAATTTGCCTATTCTGGGCATTTCATATAAATAGAATTATACAATATGTAGCCTTTTGTATCTGGTTTATTTCACCCAGCATAGTGCTTTCAAAGTTAATTCATGTTGTAACACATATAGTATTTTCATTCCTCTTTAGGTCCAAATAATTCCATTGTACGGCTATATCACATTTGTTTATACATTCGTCAACTGATGGGCATTTTACTTGTTTCCACTTTTTGAATATCATGAATAATGCTACTATGTAACTATACACATGAGTATATAATTTTTGGTGAGAATTTGTTTTCAGTTCTCTTTTTTTTTTTTTTTTGAGACGGAGTCTCGCTCTGTCGCCCAGGCTGGAGTGCAGTGGTGCGATCTCGGCTCACTGCAAGCTCCGCCTCCTGGGTTCACACCATTCTCTTGCCTCAGCCTCCCGAGCAGCTGGGACTACAGGCGCCCACCACCGCGCCCGGCTAATTTTTTTGTATTTTTTCGTAGAGACTGGGTTTCACCTTGGTCTTGATCTCCTGACCTCGTGATCTGCCCGCCTCAGCCTCCCAAAGTGCTGGGATCACAGGCGTGAGCCATTGCTCCCGGCCTGTTTTCAGTTCTCTTGGGTATATACCTAAGAATAAAATCGCTGGGTCATACAGTAACATTTTAAGTAACTCCTAAATTTTTCTAAAGTGACTTCAGTGCTTTATATCCATTTAATATGACAACATATTCAGAAATAACCAATGGGCCAAAGAAGAAATCACAAAGGAAATTAGAGAACATTTTGAGATAAAGGAAATTGAGAACACAACATACCAAAACATGAGTTGCAGCAAAAATAGTGCTTAGAGGAAAATTAATAGTTGCATATGACTATGTTAAACAAGAAGAACTCAAATCAATAACCTAATTTTTCACCTTAACACACTGGAAAAGTAAGAGCAAACAACCCACAGCAAATAGAAGGAAGGTCACAATAAAGATAAGAGTGGAAATAGACTGGGTGTGGTGGCTCAAAACTGTAATCCCAGCACTTTAGGAGGCTAAGACGAGCAGATCACTTGAGGCCAGGAGTTTGAGACCAGCCTGGCCAACATGGTAAAATCCCGTCTCTACTCAAAATACAAAAATGTGCCGGGTGTGGTGGCATGCGCCTGCAATCCCAGCTACTCGGGAGGCTGAGGCAGAAGAATTGCTTGAACCTGGGAGGTAGAAGTTGCTGTGAGCCGAGATCATGCCACTGCACTCCAGCCTGGGCAACAGAGTGAGACTCTGTCTCAAAAAAAAAAAAGAAAAGAAAAGAAAGAAAGAAAAAATTAGAGAACTCACACTTCCTAATTTCAAAACTCCAAACTTAGAATTTCTAATTTTATATTCTTTTTCTTAGAAAAAAATCCCAAACACAAATTATACAATCATCAGGACCCACAAAATTGGTATTTACCCTTGCTTTGAATAGTGGCTACCACAGGTGAAGAGTGAAAAGTACTGACATGTCATCAGAGTAGGATGTAAGAGCCACTGTTGTACTGTTAATGTTCTATTTCTTATGCTCGATTATAAGTAGATGAGTATTCATTTTATTATTGTCATTTGAAATGTATGTATCTTTTGTATACTCTCTTTTATTTTTGAGACAGAGTCTCACTCTGTCACCCAGACTGGAGTGCAATGGTGAGATCTCAGCTCACTGCAACCTCTGCCTCCTGGGTTCAAGTGATTTTCCTGCCTCAGCCTCCCGGGTAGCTAAACTACAGGCACAGGCCACCATGCCCAGCTAATTTTTGTGTTTTTAGTAAAGATGGGGTTTCACCATGTTGGCCAGGCTGGTCTTGAACTCCTGGCCTCAAGTGATCCACTCGCCTCGGCTTCCCAAAGTGCTGGGATTACAGGTATGAGCTACTGAGTCCAGCCGACTCTCTGGACTCAGTAGGACTGAGTATCTTGAAGGATACGTTTCATGATTTTTTTTAAGTATATCATCACCCCTATTATTCATTGACATAATTTGTGGACATAATGTCAATTACGTGGAGCTACAGCACTGTCAGTGGGCATCCAAGAGTAAAAACTATAAAAGGTAAAATTAAGCATTTTATCATCACTATCTATGTACTTTTATATGTATCTCACAAGATTTCCAGGATAGAATTGAAAAGCAGAGCTTAGGTAATACTGTTAGACAGGGCAATGACAATAGCTGTCACCCAGGCTTGGCTCAAAAATTAATATAACATTGGCTACCATATGTTGAGTGCTTACTATGTGACAAGGCATAGGGTGAGGAACTTTCAAAGCAGTATTACCTTTAATTCTCCCAGCAACCCTACATGACAGCCCATGTTTTTCTAAGATTCAGTGTTCATTAGTAAACAGAGCCTCCTTAAACAACACTAAACCTTACAGACATTTCTTCCATCATGTCTTCTTCCTAACCCTTTAACCATTCCACGTACTACCCATCTCTTAGAGTAGCAAAAGCTAAATGGGGTATCAAACACATGCCTTATTCTTTCATTCTAAGCAGATACCTTATCTGGTCTGCACGTAAGTTTTAGTTTCTCTTTACTTTTCCAAATGTGACTCTTAAAGTGAAAGAAGAACAGACAGAAGCTCTGAAATGCAGTGTAAAAGAAATAAGGTAGATTCAATCCCAACCCTAAGAAGCTTATAATGTAAAATAGGATAAATGAAGATTAAGACCATAGAAGAACCTCAGGAACACATTATGAAGAATATTATAAAGTTGTACTAAATATGGCAGCCTTATAATAAAGGTAAAAGCTATGTTTTATACATACCTACAAGCTTGGCTAAGGCTTAAATGTAAATATATTAAAATAGCCATGATAAAACATACGTACTATCTAGAAATTCCCAATGTACTCCTCTAGCATTTAAGGCATCTAATTTGAAATTAAAAATTGCAAAACAGGTGGTTGATTCAATACGCCTCCCACCCCCCTTCTCTTCTTTTAAGTTCGAAGTATAAGGATTGTAATACCTCTTCAGGCCTTCCTAAAGCTGGTGTTCCTGTAAGAAGAATGGCTCGTCTGGCTTTCTGTACTATTGGCAATAAAATCCTGCTGCGAGTTGCATTTCTGGATTTCATGTAGTGTGATTCATCCACTATAACTACTTTGAAGTTCTGATTATTCAGTGCATCTATCAAAGTCTTTGCATCTGCGGTTAAGAGACCATAACCCAGAACTGTCACTTTACTGGTCGACATTCTCCTAGAAAAGAAAATCCATGTACTTAAAAAATATCTCAGTAATGACGTTATCATGAACAATACAACTCTCTTGGGAAAAAATACAGAGGAGAAGAAAGAAGAATAGAGGAAAAATAAAAGGAGATGGTACTACTACTGAAACTCTGAAGATTTCACAATCCTCAAATATAATAAACCAGGATCCAAAATTTACAGTTTTGGTTAACCAAAACCAAAATTTTAGTTAAATGATCTTTGAAAGATTTTGACATCCAGCAAGCCACATTAGTTTCTGACAATATTTGCTTCTATGCACCTAGGATCATGCATAAAATGGATACTTAAATATTAGTTGACTCTTCAATGAAACTTTCACACAAATAGGATAGCAGTTTTTCAATCCAGATGCTACTGGTATTTTGAGCAGGACTAAGTGAAGCTCTGCAGTGCACTGAACAGGCCCTCCTGCTCAAAATACCAGTAGCAGAACAGACTTAACAGGGCTGTTCAGTGCACCGCAGAGCTTCATTTCCTGGTCCTACCTATTAAAGGACAGTGGAGTCCGAAGCTTTTGTGACAACAAAAAGCTTCCTGGACCTGAGATGATAAAATGTGAAGTGTGGTTAGAAGAAGCGGGTACCACCTCACATCAAGAACCATTAAGCTAAAATGATCCCTGATCTTTAGATTTCTATAATTCATACATCTGTAATATTCTGTATCTTGCTGTCAATAAATTATTCATTTACATATTTATGTCTCTTACCATATCATGAGATTGGTAAGGGCAGGGAATGTGTCTTATTCATCTTTTAGTAGTATTCATACACAGTGCTATGATCCCAAATAAAGTTTGTAGAATGAAATAATTAGACAAATAAATTCAATAATACTAAGACATATCACTTTTGCATTTTCTATATCACCAGAAAAAAATACAGGACAGAGCCAGTCTTCTTCAATTCTCTATCCTCTAACAGAAAAGGTAGAGCTCCTAAGCAGCCAGAACCACTATGGCTACTGCATTTTAAGCCCTGGATTAATCTACTTAATACAGAGACCTATAATTTTCTTTTTTTTTTTTTTTTTTTTGAGACAGAGTCTCGCTCTGTTGCCCAGGCTGGAGTGCAGTGGCATGATCTTGGCTCACTGCAAGCTCTGCCTCCCAGGTTAATGCCATTCTCCTGTCTCAGCCTCCCGAGTAGCTGGGACTACAGGTGCCCATCACCACACCTGGCTAATTATTTGTATTTTAGCCAGGATGGTCTCGATCTTCTGACCTTGTGATCCGCCCGCCCTGGCCTCCCAAAGTGCTGGGATTACAGGCGTGAGCCACCGTGCCTGGCCGAGACCTATAATTTTCTCACTGTATTCAAACACCAGAAGAGCCTGAAGAAGAAAGTAATAGGTTATTTAATATTACTAACTAACTTAGGTATACTGAGAGCAACATATAGGAGACTGGCTTCAAAGGCCACTGCAGCAATCTGTAGCTTCTATCCTACCATGTCTTGACTTGTAAACAGTCCAGGCATAACTGATATAAGCCAGAAGGAAAGTATATGTATTTGTGGTGGACATATTGGTATACACCTAAACCTGTTTCTTTAAGTACCTGGAAGACATTGGGTAGTTTTTCTGTCCTTAACTAACATCCTCCAGGAAACTTATACTCTGGAGTTGTACTCCTATCTAACATATCCCAAATACTATTCAAATAAAAATATTATCCACCATTTAACTGCAAGAGTGTATTTTCAAAATAATATAAAAACTAGATGCCCTAGTGGCTATAAAAGATGATAGAAGAGTCATTTTAAGAAAATTTAAATGTGAACATTTAAATAAGGTTTATCAGCCAGGTGCAGTGGCTCACGCCTGTAATCCCAGCACTTTGGGAGGCTGAGGTGGGTGGATCACCTGAGATCAGGAGTTTGAGACCAGACTGACCAACATGGTGAAACCCCATCTCTGCTAAAAATAAAAAAAGTCAGCCAGGTGTGGTGGTGGTGCCTGTAATCCCAGCTACTCGGGAGGCTGAGGTAGGAGAATCCCTTGAACCCAGGATGCAGAGGTTGCAGTGAGCCGACATGGTGCCACTGCATTCCAGCCTGGGCGATAGAGTGACACTCCGTCTCCAAAAAAAAAAAAAATTAATTAATTAAATTAAATAAATAAGGTATACCAAACAGATGATGGTTATGGAGGCCTTAAAAAATTCTACATTCTCTAAATTTGTAAGTCTTTTCAATTTCATTCAGTTTTATTGGAGAGGAGATTTATTTATAATAATTAGGATAAGATAGCAGTTTTTCCATTTTAACCATGTAAATAGAGTCCAGATTTTCTTGGGCCCATAAAGATACATGCTACTGAATTAGCATTTCAAGGTTGAAAGTGAAAAGGCCCTCCATACATTTTGTGTTTCCTCCTTCCACATTCGTAAGACAACTTTATTTTTAAATATACCTTTTATGTTAACAGTCTTAGAGAATACAATACAGTACAATAATACCAAAATTTAAAAATCTAAGTATTAACAGATATTTATTTCAGTAGATGTACTGTACTGCTTTTTATTTAAGGTTCAGAAATAGATAACTTTGAACCTCCAGAGACATAATTTGTATGAATCACCTACACATTCCATGTAATAACTCATCAATACTCAAACTGATTGTCTTATTCTAATTGCTAGAAAGCAAAATGAGGAAAAAAATACTAACACTATAACAGATTTTAGAGTGAGAGCTTCAAATAAACACAAAGCAAATATTTTCAAGATATAAAATATTAAAATTATAAATAAGGAAAATCAAACTTACTAATGAGTCACACACAAAACTTGCATATTAATTAACAAATTGGAAAGCAAAATCCACTGAAGTTGCTGATAATAAACGATCACAAAGCTTCAAGTCAATCAATGAAAAGTTGTGAGATTTATTTCTGAACCTTAAGATGGTTTCAAATATGTTTAAGGTATATATAAAGTAGATATACTACATATATCTTTAAAAGTATACGTATTTTACATTTACTTTAAAAATATACCATAAAGGAACTTAGAACTAAAATATACTATTGGGTTTTAGATAAATAATTCATATTTTAAAATGTAAAATAAAATTCTCCATACTACTTACTCCACTTCTAAATTATTATCTATTGGTGATATTGCATTCTAAAACATGAATATATACCAGGTACACACAAGGAAGACTTTTCTCCTTAAATATTAAACAGTTGTTCTTACCTAACATCAGTTTTATTCTGAATAACATTGATTTCTTCTGGACTTAGCTCTGGGATCCATTTTTCAATTTCTTCTGTCCAAGGGTACCTCAGAGACGAAGGGACCACTATTAACAGAGGCCATTCCTCTTTATAGAAGTAAGTAATTCCAATTGCCTGGATTGTCTTTCCTAGACCCATCTAAATTAAAAAATAAATAAATGTTAATAATAGAGCCTAAAATATTTTAAAAGAAAATATTTATCAAACATTTTATTTAAGAGTATTATTAGCTGGGTGTGATGGCTCATGACTGTAATCCCAGCACTTTGGGAGGCTGATGCAGGTGGATCGCTTGAGCCCAGGAGTTCGAGACCAGCCTGGCCAACATGGTGAAACCCTGTCTCTATAAAAAAACGTACAAAAAATTAGCTGGGCGTGGTAGGACACACCTGTAGTTCCAGCTACTTGGAGGCTGAAGTGGGAGGATTGCTTGGACCCAGGAAGTTGACGCTACAGTGAGCCTAGACTGAACCACTACACTCCAGCCTGGGTGACAGAGTAAGGCTGTCTAAAAAAAAATGTATTATCAAAATAATTTTCCAATGTAAAATTAGTTGGATTATACAGTTAATAAAAAGTTTGAGATAATAAGGACCTGTAAAATTCATTAAGCAAATCATATTATGTTCAAACTATTCATGATTGAACTTAAAGAGACAAAATTACTCCTAAGGTTAAATATTATGTTGATTTTATATAATTAGTTTTATAAAATGTATGTAACCATTTATAGTCTCTCCTCTTAGACTATAGTAAATGTCTTAACAGCACAAAACCATGTTATTTCAAAACTAGAGTAAGTCCTGAATGATGCACATTTTACAAAACAAGCAGACATAGAGAAGTTAAATTATTTAAATCACAGCTGGCTGATGCAAAACTCGTATGAGATCCCAGGTCTCAGGTGTCTTCCCACTTGATTTGTATCCACACTGTCACAATGCCTGACTTCTAAGCTGTTCCAATTTAAAAAGTAGTCACTTAGTGAATATTTATAGTGTTTTTGTTCAAAATAGCCAGAAACTGGATATAACTCAAATGTACTTCACCTGTGCATGAATAATCAAATGATGTCATATTCATACAATGGAGTACTATTCGGTAATAAAAAAAGAATGAACTCATGCTCTACACAACATGAATACATCTAAAACGCATTTCGGTAAGTGAAAGAAGCCAGATTCAAAATCTACATACTCTATGATTCTATTTATATGTCTCATTCTGGAAAGTAAAACAAAAGGGAGCCACAGCAGATCCGTGGTTGCCAGGGGCTGGAGGTGGGGGAGGGGAATAGCATGAGGGAACTTTTAGGAATGGAGTCGGTCTATACCTTGATGTTAGTGGCTGTTAACATAACCTATGCATTTTTTAGAACTCAGAATTGTACACTAAAAATGGGTGAATTTACATAAAAGTGTGAATTATACCTCAATAATCCTTACTTTTTTAGTAGTTACTATGGCAAACAATGGGAAAGAGAGACTAAAAGACAGGCCCTGTTTACCAGACTATACAAAGAGAAAAAAGAAAAATGCAGAAACTGAAAACAAAGAGTTTAAAAATGAATTTTAAATGCTGAGCAAAACTAAAGAAATGAGAAAAGAGCAGATTTTGGACTTTAAGCAAGTTTCCATTGAGAAAACTTTATTATTTTGTTTATGTATTTTTCTTTTAACTGCTCCTGTTAACAACAAAAAAGCAATCTTAGAATTCATGCAAAGTTATATTTACACATTCGTTGGATAATAATTAGTATGTTTCCGTGTCTTCAAAGCCCTCCAATTTTCACACCCGAAGCCACTCAAACATCACTGGATTCTGGGAACAACTTGGTTCCAATACAGCAGAACTTTAACAATCACAGATCTTTTTTTTTTTTTTTTTTAAGACGGAGTTTCACTCTTGTTGCCCAGGCTGGAGTGCAATAGCACGATCTCGGCTCACAGCAACCTCCACCTCCCAGGTTCAAGCCATTATCCTGCCTCAGCCTCTGGAGTAGCTGAGGTGGCATGCCCCACCACGCCTGGCTAATTTTATATTTTTAGCAGAGACGGGGTTTCTCCATGTTGGTCAGGCTGGTCTCAAACTCCCGACCTCAGGTGATCCACCCACCTCGGCCTCCCAAAGTGCTGGGATTGCAGGCATGAGCCACCGCGCCCGGCCAACAATTACAGATCTTTACCTGGCTAGAGTTATTCAGTGTGCCACTTCCCCGCCTCAACAACTCTGCCAAAAACAGACTTCCAGGAACTGAGGCTTGGCCCTATTTTTTGTGTGTGGACAATACCACTAACTTTGTGCTATGGTTAGGGGTCTTTGGTTTTGTTTCCTGCCATGGTTTCATAACACATTTTCTTAATTTCAATTTATCTGGAAATAGGATCTGTTTTGCTTCCCTGGTTTTCTGGAAAGCAGAATTCTCTCTCTGCAACCCAGATTCTATCACTAGAACCTCAGCTTCTTGCTGCTAAATTTACTTGGTGCCAGTCACCTGTCTATCTATACATTTTGCACTTCATGTATGACTAACAATGTTCTGTGTTGGCTTGCCAGACAACTCTCTCCCAAAGACCGCCACTCCTCAAAATTTCCTCATCTTGTCTACTGAGATCAGGTATGTAAGCCTTCAATAGGATACGTAGAATTGGGACTTGAAACAATAGGTAGAATTAAAAAAAAAAAAATTTCAGTTAGATAGAAGGAATAAGGTGAAGAGATATATTGTCCAACAGGGTAACTATAGTTAATAACAACATACTACATTCTTAAAAATTGCAAAGAGAGTAGATTTTAAGTGTTCCCATCACAAAAAAGCATGTGAAGTAACGCATATGTTAATTACCTCAATGTAGCCATTCTACAATGTATACATATTTCAAAACAACATAATGTACACCATAAATATATATAATTTTTATTTGTCAAATAAATATTTTTAAAGAAAAAATAAGAAAAAGAAGTTTTAGGTTGACGACAGGCGAAGAAAAGGGAAACTAGCATAAGTATGGGTAAGAATAAGAAGAATCCTGATATGCTGGGAAGTTTATTTGATTAGAAGTTTGAATATTTTTGTCTTCTAGTTCTCTAATTCTGTATTCTTGTATCTAATCTATTAAATCTACTAGAATTAACTCCAGATGTTATTTTTCAGTTCTAAAATGTCCATTAGAATCTGTTTTTGTTGTTGTTTTTGTTCTAACATGTTAAAAATTCTTGGGGTTTTTTTGTGTGTTTGTTTTTTAGATAGGGTCTTGCTGTGGCTGGAGGGCAGTGGCGTAATCGTGGCTCACTGCAGCCTCGATCTGGGCTCAAGCAATCCTCCTAGCTCAGCCCCCTGGGTAGCCAGGACTCCAGGCATGTGCCACCATGCCCAGCTATTTTTTTTGGTACTTTTTGGGCAGGCTGGTCTCGAACTCCTGAGCTCAAGCGATCCACCTACCTTAGCCTTCCAAAGTGCTGGGATTATAGGTGAGGGCCACCATGCCCGGCCTAATAGATTACATTCTATTAATTACATTTTTTACAATCTATTACATTCTTTTTAATAGATTACATTCTCCTTTGAAACGTCTTTTTGTCCACCTTTTTGCTGATTTTCTTGATGATGTTGTTGTTTTATATTTGAGACAGTGTCACTCTGTCACCAAGGGTGAAATGTAGTGGCATGATCTTGGCTCACTGCAACCACCTCTACCTCCTGGGTTCAAGTGATTCTCGTGCCTTAGCCTCCTGAGTACCTGGGGACTACAGGCGAGTGCCACCACGCCTGGCTAATTTTTGTTATTTTTAGTAGAGACAGGGTTTTTGTTTTCTTTTTCTTGAAACGGAGTCTTGTTCTGTCACCCAGGCTGGAGTGCAGTGGCATGATCTCGGCTCATTGCAATGTCTGCCTCCTGGGTTCAAGCGATTCTCCTGCCTCAGCCTCCCGAGTAGCTGGGATTACAGGCGCATGCCACCACTCCCGGCTAACTTTTGTATTTTTAGTAGAGACGGGGTTTCGCCATGTTGGCCAGGCTGGTCTCAAACTCCTGACCTCAGGTGATCCACCCGCCTCGGCCTCCCAAAGTGCTTGGATTACAGGCGTAAGCCACTGCGCCTTGCCAAGACACGGTTTTGCCATGTTGACCAGGTTGTTCTCAAACTCTTGACCTCAAGTGATCTGCCTTCCTCAGCCTCCCAAAGTGCTGGGATTGCAGGTGTGTGCCACCATGCCCAGCCAAAAAAATAAGTTATTTTAAAGTCTCTCTCTGATAACAACATCTGATCTCATGTGGGCTCTATTTCCTTTTCCTTTTGGTACCAGTTTTTCAGGATCCCTCATATTTTCTAATTTAACACCAGATATCTTGAGTAAAAAATTCACAGAAGCTTTGGGTAGTAGTATCTTCTCCCAAGAGGGGTTAGGTTAAGTTTTCTTAGGGAAGGCAAATTGAGTAACGGCAAATACCTCATTCCTTTTAAGACTTGGTTTTACGCTTTTAAAGGGCAAGTTTACTCATTGTTGCCCTTATTCCCAGCGCCTGCTATTTATTATAGAAGATGGCCCTTCTGGGGGTCAACAGAAGCCAACGCAAGATATCTGTAAACAATTTCTTACCTCAACAAGGCTCAACCCCATCTCTGTCTACTTAGTACCACAATACTGCTAAAATCTTGGCTTAGTTTTTATCCTTCCCAACTCTATATTTCTTCTAGGTTTCTTGGGATCTCATTCTGTGCATGTATAGTTTAGGAAATAGCCAAAGACTTAAGGCTAACGTGTATGCAGATTTTCTTTATAATTCTCTCAAGTTTCCTCCTCTCTGAGATTTTTATCTTCGTATCTACATGCACAGTGCATAGTTTGGGAAGTAGACAGAATAGTCTCTGAGAGAAACAAGTAGAAGCAGCCTGTTTGACTTATGTTGCTTAAGGCTTAAGGAAGATAAATTGAATATTCGGTGATGAATTTAGGCAGCTGAAAAGGAAAAAACAAATTATGGGAGCTAATAATGTATTATTTTTGTTAGGTTTTCAAAATTCTGAACATTTTCTTCCTGTTCCCAGCTATCATATCATACTTTCCTAATAACCTAAAAAAATACGACTGCCATTTAAGAAGTATGAAATGTAAAACATTAAGTACCAATTAAGAAATATGAAGTCATTTTAAAAAGAAAAAAAAGTTTCTCAAGTCAAACAGTCTTCAGTATAACTCATGCAAGGATTGGTCTTGCAAAGCTGATGTGCTGAATATAAGAATAAGCAATGGAAGCAAACAGAAGGATAAAATAAAGAGTCTCACTCCATTTTTTGATGTTTACATGCAAGCCCTCTTACCCTTCTGCCCCAATTGTGTACAAGCAGATACGAAAGTGTGGGTGCTATTTCCTTTGGCACTGGTGGGAAATACAAGCTATGCAAGCCCCGGCCCACATGGTAAGAACCCTCACCTTAACCCCACCCCATAAGCCCAATAAGAGACTATGCCTGTCTCTTCTCCTTGTTTTTTTTTCAAGTCATTTTTATATCTACTTGGGAGCCTGCCCTCCTCATCCCAGAAAGACTTGTTATGTCAGTAATAAACCCTTTCATACCCTCTTCATGTCTGGGTAGCATCATCAGCCTCGACATCCAAATGAAATTTTGAGTGGAAAGGTCCATTGCATCTCTTCAGGGTGACCATGATAAAGGGAAAGCCATCTTTCAATATACGTTAATAAACTGGCATTGTGATTTTTATAAAAGAGTTTCCTTGAGCTTTATTAGCTAGAGTAAAACATCTCAGGATTTGATCAACTTGCTGTCACTGAAAATAATAAATTTCTTGGTTGGGTACAGTAGATCACATCTGTAATCCCAACATTTTGGGAGGCCGAGGCAGCAGGACTGCTTGAGGCCAGGAGTTCAAGACCAGTTTGGGCAACAGAGAGAGACTCTGTCTCTATAGAAAAATTTAGTAATCCCCAGGTGTGGTGGCATGTGCCTACAGTCCAACTAATGGGGAAGCTGAGGTGGGAGGACTGCTTGAGTCCAGAAGGTTGAAGCTGTAGTGTGCCATTACCACGTCACTGCACTCCAGCCTGGGTGACAGAATGAGACCCTGAAAAAAAAAAAAAGGAAACAAAGAAAAGAAAAAAGAAAAGAAAAGAAAAGAAAGGAGAAGAAAAGAAGAAAAGAAAATTTCTTAATCTACCCATTTCCTAATCTACTTGAAGATCATACCCTATGGTATTAGGACTGACACTGACACTCAGTTTTTGTCCAGCTATCTTTCCTGGTAAGAACCCCCAACTTCTTATTCAGCATCTCTTTAGTTTAAAGATTATGTAGTGAAATGACTAAAAGTGATTCTCAGAAATTAGAAAGATATTTATCAATACAAAGTGAAACATTTGGGTACTATTTTTCTTAGGTATTTGTTTTTGGTTGTTCATTTTTGGGACATGGTGAGGTAGGAAATAAAGTTTGATGAAACAAACTAGAAAAATACATAGTTCTAAATTAGAAAATAAAAGTATATTGGCATAATCTCATATTCCCATTAAAGAAAGGAATAATACATAGAATGACTCAGTTCTAAATAAAATTTGAAAAGGACTACCTTTTAAAATAAACTTTTAAGGCCAGGAACAGTGGCTCACACCTGTAATCCCAGCACTTTGGGAGGCTGAGGCGGGTGGGTCACCTGAGGTCAGGAGTTCGAGACTAGCCTGGCCAAAATGATGAAACCCCGTCTCTATGAAAAATACAAAAAAATTAGCCCGGCATAGTGGCGCACACCTGTAGTCCCAGCTACTCGGGAGGCTGAGGCAGGAGAATTGCTTGAACAGGGGAGGCGGAGGTTGCAGTGAGCTGAGATCATGCGTTTGTACTCCAGCCTGGGCGACAAGAGTGAAACTCCACCTCAAAAATAAAGAAATGAATAAATAGATAAAACAAAATAAACTTTGGCTGGGCACGGTGGCTCATGCCTGTATCCCAGCACTTTGGGAGGCCAAGGTGGGCGGATCACAAGGTCAGGAGATCGAGACCATCCTGGCTAACACGGTGAAACCCCATCTCCACTAAAAATACAAAAAATTAGCCAAGCGTGGTGGTGAGCACCTGTAGTCCCAGCTACTTGGGAGGCTGAGGCAGGAGAATGGCGTGAACCCGGGAAGCGGAGCTTGCAGTGAGCGGAGATTGTGCCACTGCACTCCTGCCTGGGTGACACAGTGAGACTCCGTCTCAAAAAAATAAAATAAAATAAAATAAAAAATAAACTTTTAAAACATGTACTTAGATTTTCAGTTTTTGTTTTTATTTTGAGACAGGCTCTCACTGTCACCCAGGTTGGAGTGCTGTGGCCTGGCCTGATCACAGCTCACTGCAACCTCAAACTCCTGGGCTCAAGCGGTTCTCCCACCTCAGCCTCCTGAGTAGCTGAGACTACAGGTGCACACCACCATGCCTGTTTTTGGTTTGTTTGTTTGTTTGTTTGTTTGTAGAGATGGGGGGGTCTCACTTTGTTGTCCAGGCTTGTCTTGAACTCCTGGCTCAACCAATCCTCCTGCCTTGGCCTCCCAAAGTGCTGAGATTACAGGCGTGAGCCACCGCACTTGGCCAGATTTCAGTATTTTGAAAAGAATTGAAAACAGCATAGCATTCAATTATAAAAGCAACAACACACTTCAAGTAATTTAGGCATACAGGAATAACTACACTCAACATGTGGTTCAAAGCCCTGGGCTCTAACAACAATAGAATTTGTTAATGTGGAACTCTTCAGTGTTTCATCACCATTAAGGCTAAATCAATGATTAAGAATCAAAGTCTTGAATAAACAATAGTACAAATGTCCAGGTAGCTACATAAGAATTAAATAGAATACATTAACCTCAAGAACACATTTCATCAATGTTTTCAAAATTGTAAATCACCATTTTACTTAGGAGAATAATTTTAGGTTTCCTAAATGTTTTATTCTATGAAATTATTAAGAGCAATTAAATAACAATTATCCTGATACATAAAATTTCAGTTTCACTTTTTTATACTGTGATTACTTTTATAAAGCAATTTTTATTTCTATGCATTAAAAATGCTCATTGACATTTTTCGAAACTAAAAACTTTTCCGGTTTTAATGTTATAAGCAGCTTGTTCCTTTGAAGGCAGATAGGTAGGTTTGTCTTTAAAATAGGTGGCCTGTTTGTTATAAAAGAGATTGCTTTGGAGGACCCTTTTAGGTATGCTTTTAAAATCTTAGTGAGGATTTCAATTAAGAAAGAAAACCCGCATAAAGAAATAGCAGACTGAAATACTATGTTCTGTTACTTATTATTAAGGGGGTATATATTTTAGCAGAACCACTTTCTTGTTCTTGTACATTGTTAGTGCTATTTCCAATAGAGAATTTTAGATGGTACACGTGATTATTTGTTCTTAGAATTGTGTGTGTACGGCCGGGCACAGTGGCTCACGTCTGTAATCCCAGCACTTTGGGAGGCCAAGGCAGGTGGATCATGAGGTCAGAAGATGGAGACCATCTTGACTAACACAGTGAAACCTTATCTCTACTTAAAATACAAACAATTAGCCGGGCATGGTGGCGGACACCTGTAGTCCCAGCTACTCGGGAGGCTGAGGCAGGAGAATGGCATGAACCTGGGAGGCGGAGCTTGCAGTGAGCTGAGATCGCGCCACTGCACTCCAGCCTGGGCAGCAGAGCAAGACTCCGTCTCAAAAAAAAAAAAAAAAAGAATAGAATAGTGTGTGTACATTTCAATTCTGTCTTCTTTTCTCATAAGGGACTAGGAAAAGAGAACAGACCATATGGGTATGCACATAGCCCTGATCTTCTTCTTACTCAAGACAGAAGAGTCTATGCTTTGGGAACTGTGCTATCACTTTCCTGATGGTTGGTTGGTACTTGTGTGCAGGAGCAGGCTTTCTCTTGAAGGGAATGCACTGGGAACAGAGGAAGGCAGAAAGGAGATGGGCCTTAGAGAGCAGCAGGATGAGAGGAAAAAAACTTATTTATCTAAAGGGAGGGCACTGAGTCGGGGATGGTGGCAGAACTTAAGTAGAGTTGTAGTCCAAAGCATGGCTTAGAGATGCCCATATTGGGACTAGAAAAAGAAAATCAGGGAGAAGGCTCTGGAATGGTCTGAGAGGCTGGATATAAGCAAATATATGCCCCTTTTTATTTTTTTTCCTAGACATGGGTCTCTCTATGTTACTCAGGCTGGCCTCAAATTCCTAGGCTCAAGCAATCCTCTGGCCTCAGCCTCCAGAGTACCTAGGATTACAGGTGCACACCACTGTGCCCCACTTGAGCAAACGTGTTTTAAGAATAGACATTTCTAGTGGCAGTTAGATGTTATGCTTTTAATGTGGTATTTTTATCCTCCTCCAGTCTCTAGTAAAGTTTTATTCAAAGTCACAGCTTTACAAATGGAATAAAATGTCATCAACTGATAAATCTGAGTAAAGGGTATATGGATGATCTTTGTATTATTTATGTTCCTGAAACCCTTCTGTAAGTATGAAATGACTTTCAAGTAAAAAGATTAAAAAAAAAGTTACAGCTCTACAACGTAGTAGCAGTCGTGCTTGGTGGAAGGAAAAGAGGGCTGTTCTACACTTCAAAAGTAGTAGACAAAAAGAAGTGATAATCTATATCACACAGTGCCAAAAGAAGCAAAATTTCTAAATTCTTATTCATTTATTTGAGACAGGATCTCGCACTGTTGCCCAGGCTGGAGTGCAGTGGCATGATCATAGTTCATTGTAACCTCAAACTCCTGGCTCAAGTGATCTTCCTGCCTCAGCCTCCCAAGTAGCTGGGACTACAGGCAAGCATCACCTCACCCAGCTCATATTTAATCTTAAAGAGTCACAAGACAGTAAAAAATGAGATACTTAACTATAATGGGAACTGCTCACATGCATATGTATTATTCATTCAACAGTACCATTCCTCAGATAAAATTTGAAGTTCAGAAATAAATTTTCCATAATTTTTGTACGTTTTAAATCTGTTTTGTAAAATTAAAACCAAGTTAACAAACTTAATTAAGATTCTAGTCATTTTTTTCCACTTGCATTGTAGTATAGGAGCCTCAGCAATTTCTTAAAATTGAGAGCCCAACACAGCACAAAGAAAATAACTACAAGTGCTTGGGTAGGGTAGGGAGAAAGAAAAGGAAAGGACAAAAAGAAATGGGGGGAAAAAGTCCAATCTCCCAGTTATGCTCTAAGTTCTTACAATCTATTATACCTAGGCATCATTTAGATACATGTTAAAAATTCAGACTTCAGGACAACACCTCAAATTCTGATTCAATAGAAATGGACTTTTAAAATAAAAATCCCTTTGGGAGGCTGATATGTGAGGATTGTCTGATGCCAGGATTTTTGAGATCAGCCTGGGCAATATAGAGAGACCACATCTCTACAAAAAATACAAAAATTTGCTGATGTGCTGGCATGTGCCTGTAGTCATAACTACTGGGGAGGCTGAGCTAGGAGGATTGTTTGAGGCCAGGACACTGCACTTCAGCCTGAGTGAAACAGCAAGAACTCGTCTCTAAAAATAAAAGAAATGAAGGAAGGAGGGAAGGAGGGCAGGAAGGAAGGAGGGCAGGAGGGAAGGAGGGAAGGAAGAAGGGAAGGAAGGAGGGAGGGAAGGAAGGAAGGAAGGGGCAAGCAAAAATGATTCTTATGTGGATGACTCTCAGGTTGCATTTTGAGAATAACTACTATAATGATTAAACTTTGGGAAAAAAATCTTAGCTTTGCCTAATTTTTGGCCATTTCCTCATCAGGAGAAACAAACAGATAAAAACACGAAAAACACTTCCATGATTTGATTCTTGAACTTTTAAATCATTTCTGGGGTATCTGGTTTCTTGACTGACCTTTAATTACAATTCCAAGGCAGTATAAACATAGTGCTTTCTACCCTGCTATATAGTATGTAGAATAAATTTATCTAAAACAGAATTTGGGGCTGAGCACAGTGGCTCACACCTGTAATCCTAGCACTTTGGGAGGCTGAGGTGGGCGGATAACTTGAGGTCAAGAGTTTAAGACCAGCCTGGCCAACATGGTGAAACCCCACCTTTACTAAAAATACAAAAATTAGGCCAGGTGTGGTGGCTCATGCCTGTAATCCTAGCTACTCAGGGGGGTTGAGGCAGGAGAAATCGCTTGAGCCCTGGGAGGCGAAGGTTGCAGTGAGCTGAGATTGCACCACTGCTCTCCAGCCTAGGCTATGACAGAGAGAGACCCTGTCACAAAAAAATAAATAAGGCCAGGCACGGTGGCTAACGCCTGTAATCCCATCACTTTGGGAGGCCGAGGCGGGCAGATCACGAGGTCAGGAGTTCGAGACCAGCCTGGCCAATATGGTGAAACCCCGTCTCTACTAAAAATACAAAAATTAGCCGGGCGTGGTGGCACACACCTGTAGCCCCAGCTACTCGGGAGGCTGAGGCAGAAGAATCGCTTGAACCTGGAAGGCAGAGGTTGCAGTGAACAGAGATGGTGCCACTGCACTCCAGCCTGGGCAACAGAGACTCTGTCTCAAAAAAAAAAATAAATAAAATGAAATAAAAATAAATAATAAATAAATGAAAAATAAAAATACAAATATAAAAGTTAGCCAGGTGTGGTGGCGGGCAACTATAATTCCAGCTACTTGGGAGGCTGAGGCAGGGGAATTGCTTTAACCCAGGAGGCAGTGGTTGCAGTAAGTCAGGATTGCACCACTGCACTCCAGCCTGGGTGACAGACCAAGATTCTGTCTCAAAAAACAAAACAAAAACGAAATTTGGCTTTTCACTTCACAATCTACTTGAATTAGCTAGCAATTTTATAGAAAAAGACTAATTTCAGAAGTTTAATAAAGGCACTGAAAGGGTATCTAATTTGCACCTTGCTTTGATTATATATCTCAGGTAATCAATTAAAGTGCTATATATAAGGCTCAATGATCAACCTTAACTGTTTAACAAATTGGAAGAACAATAACTTGCATCACTAAAATTTCTATACGTAATGAACACAGTGAAAATATAACATATTCTTAAAAAAAGTGTATGAAAAATACTAAATTTTCTATGTTGTTTACTAACACTGAATTTGTTGATCACAAATGTAAACAAAAGGGTGTTTCAAAACACATGAAGATAAGGATTAGGAAACAAAGAGCAGATAAGAAGCATTTGCACTTGGCAAACTTGATTACTGCCATTAAGGACCATAGATAAGTTCAGTTGGAGATTTTATAAAAGGAAGATGAATAAATCCCTTGCTTAGTATCATAAATAATTACAGCGTGATGCTTTATATCCTTTTTAATGTGGCAACACTATAATTAATTTGAAGACATCATAATTAGAAAATAAAGAACCCTGTATTGAAATTCAGACTAGTATATTAAAATACTATGTTCTGCAGTTACATAATGACACATAAAATTATGGTGGAAGTAAAATAAATAAATAAAGACACCACTTATTTGTAACAAAGGGAAAATTATTTCTGCTTTTAAAATAAGGAATCAAAAGCACATCCATCAACAGCTTGAGACAAAATTTTTGCAGGTTATTAGGATGCTTTCGGTTGAACAAGTACTTGGATTAATCTGTCAATTCATGTGTTGACACATAGCAATCACTTCAGAATAAACCATTAGAAAGAATTCCAAATCTCAACTAGGTAATTTTTGGAAATGTTAATTAAACAATGATGGAGATTCCCTACTCAGATTCAGAACGTACACCCTTTTAAGATGGGTCTCGTATATATTAAAAAGAGGGAGAAAGAAAGGACGCCTTTGTGAAAGTTTTTTTTTTAAGAAAAGTACAAATTAACTTACCTAATGGTTACTAAATCGTTACATAAAATGAAAAAGGAAATAAGCAAGAGGAAAACAAAATGCTGGTTAATCACATCCTCTGCCAGTTGCCAAAATACAACAATTGACTAAAAATTGAGCCCTAATGAGTTGAGTAGTTTCAAAAGTTAAAACATAAAGGAAGGCCACTGAATACTGAGATTAGGCTGGGTATTATGTGCAGAAATGAAAACAAGAATATGAATCAAATGAGACAGCAAAATCAATTTGTTATTCTAAGAAAGACATGGAATGTTACAAGTAAAATTTGCTGTTTAAATTGAGTTAGGCAATAAAAGAAAAAAAAAGGACTACTAAGAAAAAGAAAGAGAAAACTATCAATTCTTGTAAGTATTTATTATTTAAAAATTAATTTTTAGGCCGGGCGTGGTGGCTCACGCCTGTAATCCCAGCACTTTGGGAGACCGAGGTGGGTGGATCACGAGGTCAGGAGATCGAGACCATCCTGTCTAACACAGTGAAACCTCGTCTCTACTAAAAATAAAAAAAAAAATTAGCTGGGCAAGGTGGCAGGCGCCTGTAGTCCCAGCTATTCAGGAGGCTGAGGCAGGAGAATGGCGTCAACCCGGGAGGCAGAGCTTGCAGTGAGCAGAGATCATGCCATTGCACTCCAGCCTGGGCGACAGAGCGAGACTCCATCTCAAAAAATAATAATAATAATTTTTATATATTTAAAGAACGTTGGCACCAATGATTTTTACTCTAAAAACCACTCCAACTCTGCTTTGTAAAAATGGCCGTGCAAATATGTGCTAATTACCTTGATATTTGCAAGTTGGTGCTCAGAATTCATACTTTAGGACAGGAGGCTCTGGAGTGGTGGCCCATAGTGTGATCTCTTGGACCTGTATGGTAAGAACCTCAGTTTATAGTGTTTAAAACTCAGATCTGTGTAAAAATGTGACTCCTGGCTTCTCTCAACAACTCAGGACTGGTGGCAGCCACGTCCCCGTGTAGACAGTGGACTGGAGGCGGGGACTGCTCCTTAGCTGGGGTCCTCTCATCCCAGTGTGCCCATGTCCCTGCGAGGACTTCACTCCCTGGAGGCCCTGTCTGTATCTGCTTTTGGGATGCCTGCCTTAAGGATTGATGTCAAGTCTTTATAAACAATCACTGTGTGTGTGTTTGTGTTTGAGAGTGCGTACATGAACAAGAGAGAGAAAACCAAAAATCACAAATCTGGAAAAGTTAATAAAGATCTAGAACCTAAAAAAAATAAATAAATAAATAAACCACCCCATTGTCAAGGTAGAGTTTCCTGGGTCTAAACCATATGGTTTTCTTCTCTACGGTAGCATCTACATAAATTGTTTCTGCATTAAACATAGTGATAGATAACTTTTCCCTATAATGCAATGTCACCATGATCTCCAGGGTAGTACTATGACAAGGTGAAAAATATTCAGTTTCTGACATTTTTATTGGATAGAGATGTCCCTTGTTTTCCCAATATAACTAAATATATTATTGAATAACTTCTCTTTTACTCAATAGCATGAATTAACTGAGAAGTTATTCAATAATGTTTATTAGTTATAATAACCAATAATAACAGGTTATTATTGAATAACTTCTCTGTTCTTTTGTCTTCTAGTAGAATTAGTAATAGCTCCAAATTTCTTAAATGAATCTATACATAGAATATACTCAAAAGAGCACAGTCTGTCAATTATTACTTAAGGAATTCACTTTTAATCTATAAAAAGAAATGAGATGTCAAAACTGATAATGTCATCACATGCTAGTCACATTCCTAATTTATTAAATATTATTCATGTCAAAATTTTAAAATGACTTTAATTTTGTAGAATCAGTTGATAAGAGAAAATGCAATACATAATGAACTTCAGAAAAGTTAATGAGAAGGTTATCTAAAAATATCTTCCTAAGAAAAAAATTTCAAATTGGGTTAAGAGTCAAAATAAATGTTATTTGCTATGTACTAATAACTACAACAATAAACAATAAATAATGAAAGTTAGTTTTTAGGAGAAAATGAATATGTTAAGACCAAATCTGGGCTTGATTTTATTTTACTGAAATATTAGTGGCATTAAAAGCAGTGAAAATAGTTCATTAAATTCATGGTTAACATCATGTCATAAACTAATAAGTTAAAATAAAATAACAAAATATTATGAAAATGTTGAAATAAAGTAGTAAATGGTAGGAATCAATATTGAAATAAAAAAGTAAGATAGCTGGGTGACTGTAGTTAATAATAATTTAATTGTACATTTGAAAATAACTACGAGTATAATTGGATTGTTGCAACACAAAGGATAAATGCTTGAGGAGATGGATACCCCATTTACCTTAATGTGATTATTACACATTGTATGCCTGTATCAAAATATCTTATATACCCCATAAATATATACATCTACTATGTACCCACAAAAATTAAAAATTAAAAAAAGACAGCTAACTCAATCCATGAATTAATGATCTATTATAAAATAACCTAAAACGTAAATTTCAAATAAAAATGTACTGAAAAATAGCAGAAAATTTCAGCAGACAGCATTTACTCGTCTTTTCTAATATTATTTATCAATAATAGCCTCAATACCAACATTAACAAAAATAGATAAAGAGTCATTTCATTTTGCCTGTAAACTCACTTAGGACAGAGAAGAAAAAGGCTTTGGAGGGGTGAAAATAAAAAATAAGATGCAGACACATAACTTAAAACACTCTATTAGATTAAGTAAAGGGCCTAACTTGTCTCAGTAGTTGATAACTTTGAGTAACAAAAAAGGTTAAATTATGTTCAGAGTACAATGTTTAAAAAAACAGAAATACATAGAAAGTATTTGAAAAAAATGTTTCTTTCAAAACTGTTACGGTAAAAAAAAAAATGGAATGCCTGGCTATCCTAAAAACTCTGACTCTCTAGAAATATCTCATTTCCTATGGGCTTAAATATATAAAATTTCAAAACAGTAAAACATTGCCATCATTACAAATATATTTTATTAATAGTTTGTTTCTAAATTAATGTTTAAAAAATTGAAAGCAGTATGAGAAGATTAGAACCTGCAGAAAATGTCAAAGATTAAATCATTCTACTGAAAACTTCTGAACCACTGATGAGTAAAATTAGATAAAGGTTAAGAGAAAGAGACACACTTTGCCTCACTATAATATATAAGAAGAGGACACGAAGCTAAGAATCAAGAAAAGTCAATCTTACACTTGTTTTTTTAAAGCAATGCAAGTTTTTTACAAATAAAATATTATACAGAAACTCAACATTTGTAAAGCCGAAAAAGTGAGACCACTATAGCCGAAGTAAGGTGGGGACCTCATAGTCCCATACCCTCAGTCTCAACCTCAGTTCTGTGAAAGACAGTTCTGTGAAACAGGGCTTGCAAATCATTGAGGGTTGCTCAGTCAATAAACTCCTCAATTTTCGTTTTTTCAATGCTGGTTTTCTACTTATTTCTTTTACAAGACCCACTTCCAATCTACCTCCTCCACAAACCCTTCCAACTTAATCAATATGAAATTAATGGTTCCTTCCACAATAGTATCATAGACTTTATATTGTAAACTTCACTTCCAATATTTCCAGTACCCTACATTTTACAGATACCACACAGAGCTATACACCCCCACTCATCCTTACTTGATTAGAGGGAGGGCATGTTTCTTTTTTTTTTTTTTTTTTTAATATCCTCGAAGATCTTTATCTATACACATACAGATAAATAGCTATAATTTTGTGTGTTTTGAGGGACGTGGCTTAAACAAAAACAAGCTCATTTTTTACCTATTGTTCTATAATCTTTTTTTTTTTAACTTTTTTATTTCCATAGGTTACTGGAGAACAGGTAGTGTTTGGTTATATGAGTAAGTTCTTTAGTGGTGATTTGTGAGATTTTGGTGCACCCATCACCCAAGCAGTATACTCTGCACCCAGTTTTAGTCTTTTATCCTTCACCCGCTTCCCACCCTTTCCCCGAGTCCCCAAAGTCCATTGTGTCATTCTTATGCCACTGCATCCTCATAGCTTAGCTCTCAGTTATGAGTGAGAACATATGATGTTTGGTTTTCCATTCTTGAGTTACTTCACTCAGAATTAATAGTCTCCAATATCATCCAGGTTGCTGCGAATGAAGGCATGTTTCTTAATCCATAGTTCTAAGAACTTACCAAACAGAAGACTCAATAATATTTATTTGTTGCATACAGGAGTAAAAGTTAGATTAATCAATGGATACAGGAAAAAAATGGCTTTAAAATGTTTCAGTACAAAGAGTTAAGACTTGTATTGATAACCATCCCTAGCTACTCTACATGAAAAGTTGGGAGCCTTTATGTATATTCTCAGTTGTCCAATTCCCAATACAGATGTGGGAAGAGGCCCATTGATGTGATTTGGCTCTGTGTCCCCACCCAAATCTCACCTTGAATTGTAATAATCTGCATGTGCCAAGGGTGGGACCAGGTGGAGGTAACTGGCTCATGGTGGGGGTTTCCCTCATGCTGTTCGCATGATAATGAGTGAATCTCATGAGATCTGATGGTTTTATAAGCATCTGGCATTTCCCCTGCTTGCACTCATTCTCTCTCTCCTGCCACCCTGTGAAGAGGTGCCTTCTGCCATAACCTTAAGCTTCTTGAGGCCTCTCCAGCCATGTGGAACTGTGAGTCAATTAAACCTCTTTTATACATTGCCCAGTCTCAGGTATTTCTTTACAGCAGCATGAGAATGAACTAACACACCAATAAAGTTGTGGCCTCTTTGGATTTTTAAGTTCTGTCAAAATTTAAGCTCATTACTCAAAAAGGAAAAGGAGGTTACAGGGTGGGATTTAATTTTAACCATTCTTCCCATTTTTAAACAACTGCTAGTCATAAAGAACATTTCACTTAATAAAAACTGGTATGGTAGGAATGTTTGCAACATTTTCTTTACGATGCACTTGGAGGTGTTAATGTATTAATATAATAACAATACTTAGGGTGAGATGATGCTATTAGTGCTTTGTGCTTTTCAAATGCTGATGTGAACTTAAACATTAAATTCCAGGAGGATGCTTTGTGTCTGTATCTATCTGGGTATGGTTTAACTCACCATCACTGCCACCTCTGCTTTTCATTTCGAATTTTGTCTAAGACTATTGAGAGAATACCACAATAACCCAGTTGTGCAAAACAGCAGGAGCTCTCAACAAAATTACATCAGCTTCCAAAGAAATCAGGACAGACTTCTTTAAAATTGAAGATGCAATCAATTGCATTTGTACTCTGCTAGTGGTCAAGATAAATTTTTAGGCTGAGAAATGACTTAAACTTATTTAGAAAACCAAGAATACTCTATGCTAGACATTTTAATAAAGTTTTTGAAAAGATTCCTGTCAAGGGCTGAATGTTTTTTCTCCAAAAAATTCATGTTAAAATCTCTAACCCTGAATGTATCAGGAGGTGGAGGTGGAGGCTTTTGGAGGGAAGTCATAAGGGTGGGGCCCTCATGAACCAGATCAGTGTCCTTTTAAAAGAGACTTCAGCCCACGCACGGTGGCTCACACCTGTAATTCTAACACTTTGGGAGGCCAAGGCAGGCAGAACACTTAAGGCCAGGAGTTCAAGACCAACCATGGTGAAACCCCATGTCTACTAAAACTACAAAAATTAGCCAGGTGTGGTGGCAGGTGCCTGTAATCCCAACTACTCGGGAGGCTGAGGCACGAGAATCACCTGAACCTGGGAAGCAGAGACTGCAG
The DNA here is from genome assembly GCF_000001405.40 of Homo sapiens. Taxonomy (NCBI): domain Eukaryota; kingdom Metazoa; phylum Chordata; class Mammalia; order Primates; family Hominidae; genus Homo; species Homo sapiens. Next base: position 135,372,111 of record NC_000002.12, read on the forward strand.
TGAGCCAAGATGGTGCCACTGTGCCAGCCTGGGTGACAGAGCAAGACTCTGTCTCAAAAAAAAAAAAAAAAAGAGACACAGAGAAACTTAAGACTTCAGAAAGCAATCTCACCCCTTCTGCCATGTGACACATCAAGAAGATGGATGTCTATAAACCATCAGATACTGAATCCGTTGGCGCCTTGATCTTAGACTTCCCAGCCCCCAGAACTGTGAGAAATACATATTTGTTTTTTAAGCCACCTGTCTATTGTATTTTTGTTATAGGAGTCAGATGGGATCAAGACAATCCCCAAACCCACTTAAAGGAATATCTGCTACTTTATCTCCATGCTTAGGATAACTGGAGGTGGGTGGTAGAAGGCATGGATCTAATTTAAAGCACTGGTTAAAAGGCCAGGTGCTGGCCAGGCGCGGTGGCTCATGCCTGTAATCCCAGCACTTTGGGAGGCGGATCATGAGATCAGGAGATCGAGACCATCCTGGCTAACATGGTGAAACCCGTCTCTACTAAAAATACAAAAAAATTTGTTGGGCGTGGTGGTGGGTGCCTGTAGTCCCAGCTACTCAGGAGGCTGAGGCAGGAGAATGGTGTGAACCCGGGAGGCGGAGCTTGCAGTAAGCCAAGATTGCGCCACTGCACTCCAGCCTGGGCGACAGAGCGAGACTCCATCTCAAAAAAAAAAAAAAAAAAGCCAGGTGCAGTGGATCACACGGATAATCCTAGCACTTTGGGAGGCCAAGGCAGGATTGCTTAGGCTAGGAGTTTGAGACCAGCCTGGGCAACACAGTGGACCCTGTCTCTAAAAAAAAATTAAAAAATTAGCCTGATGTGGTGACATACACCTGTAGTCCTAGCTACTTGGGAGGCTAAGGCAGGAGGATTGCTTGAGCCCAGGAGTTCAAGGCTGTATTCCAGCCTAGGCGACAAAAGCGAGACTCCATCTCGAAAAAAAAAAAAAAAGCACTGGTTACTGATAGACAAGACCTCCATTTGTCTAGGTGATGAGATCTTTTCTTTTTTCTGACTAGTTCAAGTGATCTTAAGTCAACATAAAGAATAAATTAATAAAAATTCATTCATTTGTTCAGGAGACATTAACTAGAAATACATTCTCAGGCACTGTGGTAAGTACATATGGCTCCTAGGAGTTCCAATCTGTGGAGAAAACCAGACAAGTACGGTAGGATATGATTCAAACTACAGCAGAAGTGAGAGCAGACAGGAACCAAAAGGCAACCAGAGATGGCAATATAGAGGTAGTGATATCTGAAGAATGTTTTGAAGGATTACTTTTTAGATAGACTTGAGAAAAATATGAGACACAGAAGAAGGAAAGGAATTAATCAGAGAAAGAACTACACAGAAATAGTAAAGCATAAAAAGTCATGATGGGCTGGGTGCAGTGGCTCACACCTGTAACTGTAGTACTTTGGGAGGCCGAGGCAGGCGGACCACTTGAGGCCAGGAGTTCGAGACAAGCCTGGCCAACATGGCAAAACCCCGTCTCAACTAAAAATACAAAAATTAGCTGGGTGTAATGGTGCATGCCTGTAATCCCAGCTACTCGGGAGGCTGAGGCATAAGAATCGCTTGAACACAGGAGACGGAGGTTGCAGTGAACCGAGACTGCCCCACTGCAATCCAGCCTGGGTAAGACTCTTGTCAAAAAAAAGAAAAGAAAAGAAAGAGGGGAGGGGAGGGGACGGGAGGGGAAAGAGAAAGAAAGAAGGTCATGGTGTTTGAAAACAAAAGAAAAAGAGCAAGAAAACTAACATTTGTTGGGTATATGAGACATATTCTTCCTATGCTTTACATAAGCAATCCAATGGCAAAAGTATTATTATTGCCTACTTTAAACAAGAGATAATTGAAGCTGAGAGATCAATTAACTGGTCCAGTGTGATGTAAACAGTAATTGGTAAAGATTACAACAAATAGATGGAACTGTCTCTAGAATTTCTGCCAGAGAATAGCAGAAGAAAATGGAAGAAACAGGTAGTGGCTAGCTTGTGAAGTGCTTTACTCTATCGGCCTGTAATCTCAGCACTTTGAAAGGCCAAGGTGGGCGGATCACCTGAGGTCAGGATTTTGAGACCACACTAGCGAACATGCGAAATCCCGTCTTTACTAAAAATACAAAAATTAGCTGGGTGTGGTGGCCAGTTCCTGTAATCCCAGCTACTCAGGAGACTGAGGCAGGAGAACTGCTTGAACCCAGGATTGGGAGGCTGCAGTGAGCTGAGATCACGCCACTACACTCCAGCCTGGGCGACAGAGCAAGACTACACTAAACAAACTAAACTAAACTAAACTTCTGCTCTGTGAAAGACAATGTTAAGAGAATGAAAAGACAAGCCACAGACTGGAAGAAAATATTAAAACATATCTTTTTTTTTTTTTTTTTGAGATGGAGTTTCGCTCTTGTTGTCCAGGCTGGAGTGCAATGGCGTAATCATAGCTCACAGCAATCTCTGCTTCCCAGGTTCAAGCAATTCTCCTGCCTCAGCCTCCTGAGTAACTGGGATTAGAGGCACCTCCCACCACACCTGCCTAATTTTTGTATTTTTGGTAGAGATGGGGTTTCACCATGTTGGCCAGGCTGGTCTCAAACTCTTGACCTCAGGTGATCTGGCCGCCTTGGCCTCCCAAAGTGCTGAGATTATAGGAGTGAGCCACCGTGCCCGACCTAAAACATATCTAATAAAGACTTGTACTTAAAATATACAAATAACTCTTAAAACTCAACAACAAAAAAAGAAACGATTTAAACATGGGTATAAGATCTGAACAGAGACCTCACCTAAGAAGATATGCAGATGGCAGATAAGCATATGAAAAGATCCTCAACAACATAGGTGAATAGAGAATTACAAATGAAAATGAGATACTACTACACATACATTAGAATAGCTAAAAGAAAAATGATAATACCAACGGCTAGTGAGGATGCAGAGCAAGCGGAACTCTCTTTCACTGCTAATGGAAATGGAAAATGGTATAGCTAATACAAAAGACACTTCGACAGTTTCTGTTAAAAAAATATGGTCTTGGCCGGGTGCAGTGGCTCACGCTTGCCACATTCTTCAAAACTGAAGAATGTATTGAAGGATTACTTTTTAGGTAGACTTGAGAAAAATATGAGACACAGAAGGAAAGGAATTAATCAGAGAAAGAACGCTTGCAGTCCCAGCACTTTGGGAGGCCAAGGCAGGTGGATCACCTGAGGTCGGGAGTTCGAGACCAGCCTGACCAACATGGGGAAACCCCATCTCTACTAAAAACACAAAGTGGCCGGGCACGGTGGCTCACTCCTGTAATCCCACCACTTTGGGAGGCCAAGGCGGGCAGATCACGAGCTCAGGAGATTAAGACCATCCTGGCTAACATGGTGAAACCCCGTCTCTACTAAAAATACAAAAAACTAGCCGGGCATGGTGGCGGGCACCAGTAGTCCCAGCTACTTGGGAGGCTGAGGCAGGAAAATGGCGTGAACCTGGGAGGCGGAGCTTGCAGTGAGCCGAGATTGTGCCACTGCACTCCAGCCTGGGCGACAGAGCGAGACTCCATCTCAAAAAAAAAAAAACCCACAAAGTTGGCCGGGGTGGTGGAGCATGCCTGTAATCCCAGCTACTTGGGAGTCTGAGGCAGGAGAATCGCTTGAACCCCGGGAGACGGAGGTTGTGGTCAGCCAAGATTATGCCACTGCACGCCAGCCTGGGCAACAAGAGCGAAACTCCATCTCAAAAAAAAAAAAATATTGTCTTACCATATGTTATGGGTTGAATTGGGTAACTCTCTCCCAAAAGATATATTGAAGTTCTAACCTCTAGTATTTCAGGATATGAAATTATTTATTTAAAAATAGGTTTGCTGCAGACATAAATAGCTAAAATGAGGTCATATTAGAGTAACCTTAATTCAATCTGACCAGTGTCCCTATAAGGGAAGAGGCATAGACACTCTGGGAGAATGGCGTGTGAAGACAGAGGCAGACAATACAGTGATGCATCTACAAATCAAGGATTGCTGGCCTTCACTGGCAAGTAGGACAAAGGCATGGAACAGATTATCCCTCGGAAACATCAGAAGAAACCTACCCTGTTGACACCTATTTCAGACTTCTAGCCTCGAGCTATGAGAGTAAAAATTTCAATTATTTTAAGCCCCCCAGTTTGTGGTACTATCTTATGGCAGCCCTAGGAAACTAGCACACTATATGATCTAGCAGTTTCACACTCCTAGATTTGAAAACCTATGTTGACACAAAAACCTACATGTGAATATGTACAGCAGCTTTATTGTCAAAAACTGGAAGCAATCAAGATGTCTCTTCATCTTTGTGAACGAAAAAACGAACTGTGGTACATCCATACAATGCAATATAAATCAGTGATAAAAAGAAAAGGCTATCAAGCTACAAAAAGACACGGATGAATTTTAAATGCATATTGCTAAGTTAATAAAGCTGGTCTGTAAATATCATACATATAGGATTCTAATTATATGATATTCTGGAAAAGGCAAAACTATGAAATTGTTAAAAATATCAGTGGTTACCAGGGGTTCAGCCCTGGGGGAAATTGAATAAATGAGGCACAAGGGATTGTGTAGGGTAGTGAAACTGTCCTGTATGATACTATAATGATGAATACAAGACATTAAGCATTTGTGAAAATCCATTGAACTTTATCGCATAAAGAGTAAACCTGAATGTACGCAAATATTTTAAAAATAACCGAGGAGGGCAAAGATACCAGGATGGAAAACAAAATGTGATAAAAGAATGTATATGTATTACAAATGTCTGAAATATCCTCACTGGAGGATGTGGGGGAATAAGGTGCTGACCTGAGTAACATTGGAAATGAATGGAGTCTATAAGAATAAAGTCAAAAGGAACTGTACATTACACCATGCTCTAGCCAATAAAGTTCTTTCCCATGGAGGTACAGGTTAACAACTGTGAAACTGCTATTCATGTATACTGGAAATCAGCAATTAAGTAAACAGATGGCAGATGGTGGGACCCACTGTTAGGGTTAAAGATTACAGATACTTAATGTGTGTGCATAGCAATGTGTGTGTACAGCATCTGCAAACCAAGGAATGTCAAGGATTCCTGGCCTTCACACCCTGCTATACATGTACATATATATGTATATCTATGTATAAATACACACACAAGTTAGTATATATAATCTCCTTGCTCTATAAGCTGATAGAACCTAGAAGGACACCCCTGGAGAAATGGAGCACCCAGGTCCTCATTCTAGTATCGATCTTCAGTAAAATGAAATTAGTTTTTTTTTGAAAAATGACTGATTCTAGACTGGGACAAGAAATGCATAGATGAGCCTGAAGCATCCTGTAGTACCAGAAAGTAAGAAAATGCTCAAAAACCCAAACCAAAACAAAAAACTTCTAAAATGAAGGGGTTATGTCAAAGGGACACAGGAGTGGGTTCCCAATTGCCAAAGCTGAAACAATTTGAGCAACAAGATAAAGAAAGTAGTAATGAATTTTAACTCAAAGTATACAATTAATATCCATGAGTCCACACTGATACAAATACATGATTAAGTAAATAAATGAATGAATGAATTCCAAATAATTTATGTATTTACTCCAGCTTTGTGATGGTTAATACTCAGTGTCAACTTCATTGGACTGAAGGATACAAAGTATTGATCCTGGGTGTCTCTGTGAAGGTGTTGCCAAAGGATATTAACATTTGAGTTAGCAGGCTGACAAAGGCAGACCTACCCTTAATCTGGTTGGGCACAATATAATCAGCTGCCATGGTGGCTAGAATATAAGCAGGCAGAAAAATGTGAGAAGAGAGACTGGCCTAGCCTCCCAGCCTGTATCTTTCTGCTGTGCTAGATGCTTCCTGCCCTGGAACATTGGACTCCCAAGTTCTTCAGTTGTGGAACTAGAACTGGCTTCCTTGTTCCTCAGCCTGCTGATGGCCCATTGTGGGACCTTGTGATCATGTGAGTTAATACTTAATAAACTCCCCTTTATATATGTATCTATCCTATTAGTTCTGTCCCTCTAGAGAACCCTGACTAACTCAAGTTTAAGAAAGTAAAATACATCCAGGCACAGTGGCTGACACCTGTAATCCCAGCACTTTGGGAGGCTGAAGCAGGCGGATCACTTGAGGTCAGGAGTTCAAGACCAGACTGACCAACATGGCGAAAGCCGGTCTCTACTAAAAATACAAAGATTAGCCAGGTGTAGTGGTGGGTGCCTGTAATCCCAACTACTCAGGAGGCTGAGGCAGGAGAATTGCTTGAACCCGGGAGACAGAGGTTGCAGTGGCCGAGATCACGCCATTGCATTCCATCCTGGGTGACAGAGTGAGACTCCATCTCAAAAAAAAAAACAAAACAAAAACGTAAAACACAACTCTCCATTCCTAAAGTATGGGCTGTGAATAGTTACTTTCTTCCCAAAAATTCAGTATAAAAAAAGGGGGGGAAATGAGTAACTATACAGTAACAAAACCTGGCAAACACTACCTTAAGCCAGGTGATTGGGATTAACATTAACAGTGATAAATCATATTGATAGTATGCATACTTTGTATGATGTGATGACAATAGCACTTCACCTCTATGGTCTTCCCCCAAAAAACATATTCCCCAAGTATAACCACAAGGAAAGTACCAGTTGAATTCCAATTAAGGGACATGCTACAAACTACCTAACCACTAATTTTCAGAACTGTAAAGGTCTTCAAAAACAAACAGTGTGTGAGAAATTGTTACAACCCAGAGAAGCCTAAAGAGACATTGCTAATATGCAGAGTAATGTGTTTCCTGGATGGAATCCTAGTTTTATTTTTATTTATATATTTTTTAAAAGGACATGAGAGAAAAACTGAGAAAACCTGCATAAAGTATGGTCTTCAGTTAATAATAATATATGAATATTGGCTCATTAATTGAGACAAATGTACCATACTAATCTAAGATATCAATAATAGGGGAAACTGGGTGTGGGGTATACAGGAACTCTGTAATATCTTTGTAATAATTCTATAAATCTAAAATTGTATTAAATTAAAAATTTTTTTAAAAGAGCACATTCAAAAATAATAAAGTTGGACTTAGAAACAAGGAAGTAAGCAGGCAGGTGACACTGATTTAAAGGACTACCGTGTAGTCTCACCAACACACACTTTTAATGCTATCACCTTCATTCTAACTTCACTGTCTTATTCCTTTGAGCCCTATGTCTTCCAAATTCTTCTGTCCTCAAGAATACTGTCTCAAAAATAGAAAGTCTGGTACCTGGGGACTGTAATGTAATTGACAGTGAGAGTTGGAGCTGAATCACTCCAATTATTTCACTTGAGGTCAAATATCAGGTCCCGGCATCTTCTAGTTATATGTCCTTGGGCAATTTAATTAACCCAGAATTTCATATCCGGCCAAACTAAGCTTCACAAGTGAAGGAGAAATAAAATCCTTTACAGACAAGCAAATGCTGAGAGATTTTGTCACCACCAGGCCTGCCTTACAACACCTACTGAAGGAAGCACTAAACATGGAAAGAATCAACCGGTACCAGTCACTGCAAAAACACACCAAATTGTAAAGACCATCAATGCTATGAAGAAACTACATCAATTAACAGGCAAAACAACCAGCTAACATCATAATGACAGGATCAAATGCACACATAACAATATTAACCTTAAATGTAAATGGGCGAAATGTACCCATTAAAAGACAGAAACTGGCAAATTGGATAAAGAGTCAAGACCCATCAGTGTGCTGTATTCAAGAGACCCATCTGATGTGCAAAGACACACATAAGCTCCAAATAAAGGGATGGAGGAAGATCTACCAAGCAAATGGAAAGCAAAAAAAAAGCAGGGGTTGCAATCATAGTCTCTGATAAAACAGACTTTAAGCCAACAAAGATCAAAAGAGTCAAAGAAGGCCATTACATAATGGTAAAGGGATCAATTCAACAAGAAGACTTAACTATCCTAAATATACATGCACCCAATATAGGAGCACCCAGATTCACAAAGCAAGTTCTCAGAGACCTACAAAGAGACTTAGACTCCCACAAAATAATAATGGGAGACTTTTAAAACCCCACTCACAATATTAGACAGATCAGCAAGACAGAAGGTTAACAAGGATATCCAGGACTTGAAGACAGCTCTGCACCAAGCGGACCTAATAGACATCTACAGAACTCTCCACCCCAAATCAACAGAATATACATTCTTCTCAGCATCACATCGCACTTATTCTAAAATTGACTACATAATTGGAAGTAAAGCACTCCTCAGCAAATGTAAAAGAACAGAAATCACAATAAACTGTCTCTCAGACCACAGTGCAATCAAATTAGAATTCAGGATTAAGACACTCACTCAAAACTTCACAACTACATGGAAACTGAACAACCTGCTCCTGAATGACTACTGGTTAAATAGTGAAATAAAGGCAGAAATAAAGATGTTATTTGAAACCAATGAGAAAAAAGACACAACGTACCAGAATCTCTGGGACACATTTAAAGCAGTGTGTAGAGGGAAATTTATAGTACTAAATGCCCTTAAGAGAAAGCAGGAAAGATCTAAAATTGACACGCTAACATCACAAGCAAAAGAACCAGAGAAGCAAGAGCAAACAAATTCAAAAGCTAGCAGAAGGCAAGAAATAACTAAGATCAGAGCAGCACTGAAGGAGACAGAAACACAAAACACCCTTCAAAAAATCAGTTAAGGGCGGTTCCAAGATGGCCAAATAGGAACAGCTCCAGTCTACAGCCCCTAGCATGAGCGACGCAGAAGAGGGGTGATTTCTGCATTTCCAACTGAGGTACTGGGTTCATCTCACTGGGGATTGTGGGACAGTGGGTGCAGGACAGAGGATGCAGTGCATTGAGCGTGAGCCTAAGCAGGGTAAGGCATCACCTCACCTGGAAGCGTAAGGGATCAGGGAATTCCCTTTCCTAGCCAAGGGAAGGGGGTACAAATGGCACCTGGAAAATTGGGTCACTCCCACCCTAATACTGTGCTTTTCTGACCGTCATAGCAAACGGCACACCAGGAGATTATATCCCATGCCTGGCTCGCAGGGTCCTACGCCCACGGAGCCTAGCTGATTGCTAGCACAGCAGTCTGAGATCGAACTGTAACACAGCAGCAAGGCTGGGGGAGGAGCGTCCGCCATTGCTGAGGCTTGAGTAGGTAAACAAAGCGGCCTGGAAGCTCGAACAGGGCGGAGCCCACGGCAGTTCAATGAGGTCTGCCTGCCTCTGTAGACTCCACCTCTGTGGGCACTGCATAGCCGAACAAAAGGCAGCAGAAACCTCTGGAGACTTAAATGTCCCTGACAGCTTGGAAGAGAGTAGTGGTTCTCCCAGCACACAGCTGGAGATCTGAGAACGGATAGACTGCCTCTCACGTGGGTCCCTGACCCCTGAGTAGCCTAACTGGGAGGCACCCCTAAGTAGGGGCAGACTGACACCACACATGGCCGGGTATCCCTCAGAGATGAAACTTCCAGAGGAACGATCAGGCAGCAACATTTGCTGTTCACCAATATCCACTGTTCTGCAGACTCCGCTGGTGATACCCAGGAAACCAGTCTGGAGTGGACCTCCAGCAACTTCCAACAGACCTGCAGCTGAGGGTCCTGACTGTTAGAAGGAAAACTAACAAACAGAAAGGACATCCACACCAAAACCCCATCTACATGGCACCATCATCAAATACCAAAGGTAGATAAAACCACAAAGATGGGGAAAAAACAGAGCAGAAAAACTGAAAATTCTAAAAATCAGAGCGCCTCTCCTCCTCCAGAGGAACGCAGCCCCTCACCAGCAACAGAACAAAGCTGGACGGAGAATGACTTTGACGAGTTGAGAGAAGAAGGCTTCAGACGATCAAACTTCTTCGAGCTAAAGGAGGAAGTACGAACCCAATGCAAAGAACTTAAAAACCTTGAAAAAAGATTAGACGAAGGGCTAACTAGAATAACCAATGCAGAGAAGTCCTTAAAGGACCTGATGGAGCTGAAAACCATGGCACGAGAACTACGTGACGAATGCACAAGCTTCATTAGCCGATTCGATCAACTGGAAGAAAGGGTATCAGTGATGGAAGATCAAATGAATGAAATGAAGCGAGAAGAGAAGTTTAGAGAAAAAAGAATAAAAAGAAACGAACAACGCCTCCAAGAAATATGGGACTATGTGAAAAGACCAAATCTATGTCTGATTGGTGTACCTGAAAGTGACGGGGCGAATGGAACCAAGTTGGAAAACACTCTGCAGGATATTATCCAGGAGAACTTCCCCCATCTAGCAAGGCAGGCCAACATTCAAATTCAGGAAATACAGAGAATGCCACAAAGATACTCCTCGAGAAGAGCAACTCCAAGACACATAATTGTCAGATTCACCAAAGTTGAAATGAAGGAAATGTTAAGGGCAGCCAGAGAGAAAGGTGGGGTTACCCACAAAGGGAAGCCCATCAGACTAACGGCGGATCTCTCGGCAGAAACTCTACAAGCCAGAAGAGACTGGGGGCCAATATTCAACATTCCTAAAGAAAAGAATTTTCAACCCAGAATTTCATATGCAGCGAAACTAAGCTTCATAAGTGAAGGAGAAATAAAATCCTTTACAGACAAGCAAATGCTGAGAGATTTTGTCACCACCAGGTCTGCCCTAAAAGAGCTCCTGAAGGAAGCACTAAACATGGAAAGGAAAAACCACTACAAGCCACTGCAAAAACATGCCAAATTCTAAAGACCATCGAGGCTAGGAAGAAAGTGCATCAACTAACGAGCAAAATAATCAGCTAACATCATAATTACAGGATCAAATTCACACATAACAATATTAACTTTAAATGTAAATGGGCTAAATGCTCCAATTAAAAGACACAGACAAACTGGCAAATTGGATAAAGAGACAAGACCCATCAGTGTGCTGTATTCAGGAAGCCCATCTCAGTGCAGAGACTCACATAGGCTCAAAATAAAGGGATGGAGGAAGATCTACCAAGCAAATGGAAAACAAAAAAAAAGGCAGCAGTTGCAATCCTAGTCTCTGATAAAACAGACTTTAAACCAACAAAGATCAAAAGAGACAAAGAAGGTCATTACATAATGGTAAAGGGACAAATTCAACAAGAAGAGCTAACTATCCCAAATATACATGCACCAAATACAGGAGCACACAGATTCATAAAACAAGACCTTAGAGATGTAAAATGAGACTTAGACTCCTATACAATAATAATGAGAGACTTTAACACCCCACTGTCAACATTAGACAGATCAACGAGACAGAAAGTTAACAAGGATATCCAGGAATTGAACTCAGCTCTGCACCAAGCGGACCTAATAGACATCTACAGAACTCTCCACCCCAAATCAACAGAATATACATTCTTCTCAGCACCACACCTCACTTACTCCAAAATTGACCACATAGTTGGAAGTAAAGTACTCCTCAGCAAATGTAAAGGAACAGAAATTATAACAAACTCTCTCTCAGACCACAGTGCAATCAAACTAGAACTCAGGATTAAGAAACTCACTCAAAACCACACGACTACGTGGAAACTGAACAACCTGCTCCTGAATTACTGGGTACATAATGAAATGAAGGCAGAAATAAAGATGTTCTTTGAAACCAACGAGAACAAAGACACAACATACCAGAATCTTTGGGACACATTTAAAGCAGTGTGTAGAGGGAAATTTATACCACTAAATGCCCACAAGGGACAGCAGGAAAGATCTAAAATTGACACCCTGACAACACAATTAAAAGAACTAGAGAAGCAAAAGCGAACACATTCAAAAGCTAGCAGAAGGCAAGAAATAACTAAGATCAGAGCAGAACTGAAGGAGGTAGAGACACAAAAAACCCTTCAAAAAATCAACGAATCCAGGAGCTGGTTTTTTGAAAAGATCAACAAAATTGATAGACCACTGGCAAGACTAATAAAGAAGAAAAGAGAGAAGAATCAAATAGATGCAATAAAAAATGATAAAGGGGATATCACCACCAATTCCACAGAAATGCAAATTACCAACAGAGAATACTATAAACACCTCTACGCAAATAAACTAGGAAATCTAGAAGAAATGGATAAATTCCTTGACACATACACTCTCCCAAGACTAAACCAGGAAGAAGTTGAATCTCTGAATAGACCAATAACAGGCTCTGAAATTGAGGCAATAATTAATAGATTAACAACCAAAAAAAGCCCAGGACCACATGGATTCACAGCCGAATTCTACCAGAGGTACAATGAGGAGCTGGTACCATTCCTTCTGAAACTATTCCAATCAATAGAAAAAGAGAGAATCCTCCCTAACTCATTTTATGAGGCAGCATCATCCTGATACCAAAGCGTGGCAGAGACACAACAAGAAAAGAGAATTCTAGACCAATATCCCTGATGAACATTGATGCAAAAATCCTCAATAAAATACTGGCAAACCGAATCCAGCAGCACATCAAAAAGCTTATCCACCATGATCAAGTCGGCTTCATCCCTGGGATGCAAGGCTGGTTCAACATATGCAAATCAATAAATGTAATCCAGCATATAAACAGAACCAATGACAAAAACCACATGATTATCTCAATAGATGCAGAAAAGGCCTTTGACAAAATTCAACAGCCCTTCATGCTAAAAACTCTCAATAAATTGGGTATTGATGGGATGTATCTCAAAATAATAAGAGCTATTTATGACAAACTCACAGCCAATATCATACTGAATGGGCAAAAACTGGAAGCATTCCCTTTGAAAGCTGGCACAAGACACGGATGCACTTTCTCACCACTCCTATTCAACATAGTGTTGGAAGTTCTGGCCAGGGCAATAAGGCAGGAGAAAGAAATAAAGGGTATTGAAATAGGAAAAGAGGAAGTCAAATTGTCCCTGTTTGCAGATGACATGATTGTATATCTAGAAAACCCCATCGTCTCAGCCCAAAATCTCAAGCTGATAAGCAACTTCAGCAAAGTCTCAGAATACAAAATCAATGTGCAAAAATCACAAGCATTCTTATACACCAATAACAGACAAACAGAGAGCCAAATGGTGAGTGAACTCCCACTCACAATTGCTTCAATGAGAATAAAATACCTAGGAATCCAACTTACAAGGGATGTGAAGGACCTCTTCAAGGAGAACTACAAACCACTGCTCAATGAAATAAAAGAGGATACAAACAAATCGAAGAACATTCCATGCTCATGGGTAGGAAGAATCAATATTGTGAAAATGCCCATACTGCCCAAGGTAATTTATAGATTCAATGCCACCCCCATCAAGCTACCAATGACTTTCTTCACAGAATTGGAAAAAACTAAAGTTCATATGGAACCAAAAAAGAGCCTGTATTGCCAAGACAATCCTACACAAAGAAAAACAAAGTTGGAAGCATCATGCTACCTGGCTTCAAACTATACTATAAGGCTACAGTAACCAAAACAGCATGGTAGTGGTACCAAAACAGATATATTGAGCAATAGATCGGGAACAGAGGTCTCAGAAATAACACCACACATCTGCAACCATCTGGTCTTTGACAAACCTGACAAAAACAAAAAATGGGGAAAGGATTACCTGTTTAATAAATGGTGATCAGAAAACTGGCTAGCCATGTGTAGAAAGCCGAAACTGGATCCCTGCTTTACACCTTATACAAAAATTAACTCAAGATGGATTAAAGACTTGAATGGTTTTAGACCTAAAACCATAAAAACCCTAGAAGAAAACCTAGGCAATACCATTCAGGACAGAGGCATGGGCAAGGACTTCATGACTAAAACACCAAAAGCAATGGCAACAAAAGCCAAAAGAGACAAATGGGGTCTAATTAAAGTAAAGATCCTCTGCAAGGCAAAAGAAACTACCATCAGAGTGAACAGGCAACATACAGAATGGGAGAAAATTCTTGCAATCTACCCATCTGAGAAAGGGCTAATATCCAGAATCTACAGAGAACTCAAACAAATTACAAGAAAAAAACAAACAACTCCATCAAAAAGTGGGCAAAGGATATGAACAGACACTTCTCAAAAGAAGACATTTATGCAGCCAAAAGACACATGAAAAAATGCTCATCATCACTGCTCATCAGAGATATGCAAATCAAAACCATAATGAGATACCATCTCACGCCAGTTAGAATGGAGATCATTAAAAAGTCAGGAAACAACACATGCTGGAGAAAATGTGGAGAAATAGGAATGCTTTAACACTGTTGGTGGGAGTGTAAACTAGTTCAACCATTGTGGAAGACAGTGTGGTGATTCCTCAGGGATCCAGAACCAGAAATACCATTTGACCCAGTGATCCCATTACTGGGTATATACCCAAAGGATTATAAATCATGCTACTATAAAGACACATGCACACATATGTTTACTGGGGCACTATTCACAATAGCAAAGACTTGGAACCAACCCAAATGTCCATCAATGACAGACTGGATTAAGCAAATGTGGCACATATACACCATGGAATGCTATGCAGCCATAAAAAAGGATAAGTTCGTGTCCTTTGCAGAGACATGGATGAAGCTGGAAACCATAATTCTCAGCAAACTATCACAAAGACAGAAAACTAAACACCGCATGTTCTCACTCTTAGGTGGGAACTGAACAATGACAACAATTGGCCACAGGGCAGGGAACATCACACACGGGGGCCTTTCGGGGGTGGGGCCCTGGGGGAGGGATAGCATTAGGAGAAATACCTAATGTAAATGATGAGTTGATGGGTGCAGCAAACCAACATGGCACATGTATACCTATGTAACAAACCTGCACGTTTTGCGCAGGTACCCTAGATCTTAAAGAATTAAAAAAAAAAAAGGAAAAGAAAAAGAAAAAGATAACAGTGAAAAGATACCGAAAGAAGGGGGAATAATACTAGTGAAGGACGTCATTTGTTTCTAAAGCTAGGGAGAAAAGATCACAGCAGACAGCTAAAGTACACAATACTCCAAGTGAGTATTCAAGAGTTTATAAAAAAAAAAGTAGGTTCAATAACACAGATGTAAAATTGCTCTCCCAAGGCTTTTCACTATTTGATGAGTCAACAGTCATCACATGAAAATCTATTTTTAATTTACAAATCAAAAAGTGGTTGACCTTTAAATTATAAATTGTACTTCCTTCTCTGGCTTCACCACTGTTTTATAATAAAAGCAAGAGAAGGAAAACCATATTAGAAAACAGAATGAAGGTAGAGTTCATATAATTTACATATATAGAAGTTCTTTTTACTTCAGCACATTTAATTTATTAACTTTCATCCACACTGGCATGGTAAGATTCCATAAAAATAGCAGTCCAACTCTACCACTAAATAGATTATTAGTGGTTATGAGCTGTGATCTTACGTCTTGTATGTCATTCTGTTTATTTCTATGGCCTGATTCTTGTATTCATGTATAAAGTTGAAGATTTTTTCTTAATCAACATTATAAATAGGATATAACATCATAAACCCTGTCAAGTCAAATAGGTGTAAAATAATGGGTCTTCAAAAATGCTGGTGAAAAGAGAGAAGTAATTAAGTAATTATGATGGACAGGAAGGTGGAAGTTTTTTTTAAGTATTGAGGAAATATTAAACGGATTTTGCAATGTATTTAATTAAAAAGTAAGAATGGTTTTGAAAGATGACAACATGTGAATCAGCCAAATGTGAAAAGTGCTATGTAATTGTAAATCACAAGAAATGGAAAAGTGATTTGTATAACGGGAACACTCTTGCTGGCTAAGGGTTCATGACCTCTGCATACTCGTTAACTGAGGATAAGGGTGTGTTAGAGAATATAAGAGTTAAGAAGGTGTCTTAGTCTGTTCTCACACTGCCAATAAAGACATACCCGAGTCTGGGTAATTTATAAAGGAAAGGGGTTTAATTCACAGTTCCACATGGCTAGGGAGGCTCCACAATCATGGTGGAAGGCGAAAGAGGAGTAAGGTCACATCTTTTACACTGCAGCATGCAAGAGAGCGTGTGCAGGGGAACTCCCATTTATAAAACCATCAGATCTCGTGAGACTTACTGGCTATCATGAGAACAGCATGGGAGAGACCCACCCCCATGATTCAACTATCCCCCACTGGGTCACCCCTCCCATCACATGTGGGAATTATGGTAGCTACGATTCAAGATGAGATTTGGGTGGGGACATAGCCAAACCATATCAGAAGGGTTATGGTGCAGATCAAGTGTTTATCTGAATCCATGGTGAATTCCATAGATTTAAGGTGCATCTAGATTTCTACAACATCAAAATGAGGACCAAAGTACCAATGGTGTACCATAACTGCTAAGATTTTTCACCATGACTTACTTGTGGAAATCATAAAGGATGCTGTTTGTTACCTTTTATAATATATTTTCTGTGGACCTCAGCTGGTCTGTTTGGAAAAGAATTTATACACATGCATATACATATATGACATATATGTTCTATACATGTATATATATAAGAGGAAATAGTTATGGCTAGTCTTGAGGTTTTGGAGAATGAGTTCATATTTCTATTTGTTGAAAACATATTCAAGGACTAAAAACGTAAGCCTCTTTCAGTCATTTGGACTCTCAAATTAATTAATTTATGAAGAGCCATTTAGAGCTCATCCTGTTTTAGGCCGGGCACGATGGTTCACACCTGTAATCCCAGCACTTTGGGAGGCAGAGGCGGACGGATCACCTGAGGTCAGGAGATTGAGACCATTCTGGCTAACACAGTGAAACCCTGTCTTTACTAAAAATACAAAAAATTAGCCGGGTGTGGTGGCAGGTGCCTGTAGTCCCAGCTACTCGGGAGGCTGAGGCAGGAGAATGGCGTGAACCTGGGAGGCGAACCTTGCAGTGAGTCGAGATCGTGCCACTGCACTCCAGTCTGGGCGACAGAGCGAGACTCCTTCTCAAAACAAGAACACAAAAACAAACCAAAACAAGCAAACAAAAAACAACAAAAGAACTCATCTTGTTTCAAAAGAAAAATTTCTGTTTATTGTTTCCCAAATGTCTATGTCTTGTTTCTCCAATTATATCGCTAAAGTTCTTCACTGGCAATGACTCTTTTTCTAATTATAACATCTAGTCTAAATAAACACCTATTGAATGAAAGAAGAGTTCAAACTAAAAAATTAGGTCATTATAAATTAGCATGAACTATGAACCCCTATATCAACATTTCTGTATAGGACTCATGTTATTCCTTAAATAAATCCTTAAATTCTCTATTCATGTTTTCCTTAAAAACAGACTACAGGCCAGGCACTGTGGCTCACGCCTGTAATCCCAGGACTTTGGGAGGCTGAGGCGGGTGGATCACGAGGTCAAGAGACGGAAAACACCTTGGCCAAAATGGTGAAACCCCTTCTCTACTAAAAATACAAAAATTAGCTGGGCGTGGTGGTGCGCGCCTGTAGTCCCACCTACTGGGGAGGCTGAGGCAAGAGAATTGCTTGAATCCGGGAGGCAGAGGTTGCAGTGAGCCGAGATCGTGCCATTGCACTGCAGCCTGGGCGACAGAGCCAGATTCCGTCTCAAAAGAAGAGACTACAGAGATAAGCCATTGGTGGGAGTCTATATGCAAGCAAAACTAAATCATAATTAATTGGGAGAAGTTTTTGATGATTCCACTTTTATTTTTTAACAATTCAGTTTCCATTTCCTTCATTTCTAATATATTTTGAAAAGTGTATGTTTTGCTGTTATTCTTTTTTTTTTTTTTTTTTTTTTGAGACGGAGTCTCACTCTGTCGCCCAAGCTGGAGTGCAGTGGCATGCTTTCGGCTCACTGCAAGCTCTGCCTCCTGGGTTCATGCCATTCTCCTGCCTCAGCCTCCTGAGTAGCTGGGACTACAGATGCCTGCCACCACGCCCGGCTAAATTTTTATATTTTAATAGAGATGGGGTTTCACCGTGTTAGCCAGGATGGTCTCAAACTCCTGGCCTCATGATCCACCTGCCTCGGCCTCCCAAAGTGTTGGGATTACAGGCGTGAGCCACTGCGCCTGGCCGTTTTGCTGTTATTCTTAAAGACATAATGAAAAACAGCAACACATTTCTCAAACGGTTGTTAAAAATTAGAACTTTATTGACTTACATTAGTCTGAGAATGTACACAAAGAATATCATAGTTCATGTAACAAGAGCCTCCATTTCAGAGAGAAAACACGAATAGGGATACATATAAGCACATGCCATTTAAATCTATCAGATTGTTGAGTGATAATAAAATACCATTTCAGAACTATGTTTCAAACTCATAGGAAACAATAAACAATAACCTTTAGAACAGAATCTTTAAAGTTTAGCTTTTAAGCAAGTACTATTATAACAGAAAAGCTTTTTGGGGGGCTGCATTTCAAAACTCATTCATGCATCCTAGGTAACAATTTGGGGTCACTAATGTTAATATTAACATATGTATCAGATGCATGTCTAGAAAACACACACACACACACATTCATTCATTCTCATTCTCTCTCCCCCTCCCTCCTCACCCTCCCATCTTTCTCTCTCTCCCCATCCCCATATACAGACATATAGTCATATGGAGAAAGAGTACATGGAAAATAGCAGACACTAAAAACAAGCTGTGTAATCTTATAAAAGACATAAAAACCATTGAAACACTTACTTCATCAGCCACCATACACCTGGAAAAAAAAAAAAAAAAAAATTAATTATCAGAGTGAACCTTTTTCCTTTTTTTTTTGAGATGGAGTCTCGCTCTGTCACCAGGCTGGAGTGCAGTGGTGCGATCTCAGCTCACTGCAACCTCTGTCTCCCAGGTCCAAGTGATTCTCCTGCCTCAGCCTCCTGAGTAGCTGGAACTACAGATGCGTGTCACCACGCCCATCTAATTTTTGTATTTTTAGTAGAGAAGGGGTTTCACTATGTTGCTTAGGATGGTATCGATCTCTTGACCTCGTGATCTGCTCGCCTCAGCCTCCCAAAGTGCTGAGATTACAGGCGTGAGCAACTGTGCCCGGCCAAAGTGAACCATTTTTAAAGTTCTGATTAAGTAGCTTGCCAGAAAATAGTTCATAAATACTAAAGTAGTAAGCCAGAGAGAGGTGTTTATAAGTATGAGAACATGGGCCAGTGCTGATTTTATATGACTCTCCAGCTGCCAAAGGCATATGGCTACGTGGGAGTGTTAGAGCTTCAGATGTGCTGTTCCCACAGCCCACCCATGAAGATAGTTACAATGACCCTTCAAAAACGTGAGCAAAGTGGTAAGTGATTGTACCAATGACCACCCTCCTCATCCTTAAACCTTAAGATTGGTCTTCCCTATAAAGAGAAGAATGCTGCATTAAAATATAAGAAAATAAGTGTGAATTACATATTAGCATAAGTTAAATACATAACTATATATGCTAAGCCTACCTTTAAGATGAGTTTTTATTTCTTTCTTTTTTTTTTTTTTTGAGACGGAGTCTCGCTCTGTTGCCCAGGCTGGAGTGCAGTGGTGCGATCTCCGCTCACTGCAAGCTCTGCCTCCCAGGTTCATGCTATTCTCCTGCCTCAGCCTCCCGAGTAGCTGGGACTACAAGCACCTGTCACCACGCCAGGCTAATTTTTTGTATTTTTAGTAGAGACGGGGTTTCACCGTGTTAGCTAGGATGGTCTCGATCTCCTGACCTCGTGATCCACCCACCTCGGCCTCCCAAAGTGCTGGGATTACAGGTGTGAGCCACCGCGCCTGGCCGCTGAGTTTTTATTTCTATTACTTTGCTAAACTTTCTTTTCTCAGTTCTTTCTTATTAACCTGTATAAATAAATTCTATGCAATGATAATTGAGGATGGGGGCATAAACTCAAGTATTAAGTAGCAGAAAAACAAGGGGCAAAGGGAAAGAATAGCAGGCATGGTCAGGATCATCGGGTGTTCCTTTGAGACAGCAAACATATGATAAGGGGTAAAACTAATCCCTTAAGTGAGGATATTTCCAGACAACCTAAAAAAATAGCTGGAATATTATAAAAATTGGCAAGAGGCCAGGTACAGTGGCTCATGCCTGTTATCCCAGTGGCTCAGGAGGGTGAGGTAGGAGGATAGATTGAGGCCAGGAATTGGAAGCCACACTGAGCTATGATTGTCCCACTGTACTCCAGCCTGGACAACAAAGGGAGACCCTATCTCTAAAACAAAACAAAACAAAATGAAAATACAAAAAAAAAAAAAGGGGGGGGGGGCAGGAAAAAAACTTTTTCTATTTTATTGTTCCTTTATTCCCAGTTGTCTTGATATCATATAATCTTATAAGATTTATTTCTATATATAAAATACAAATCATGGCCGGGCACGGTGGCTAACGCCTGTAATCCCAGCACTTTGGGAAGCCGAGGTGACTGGATCACCTGAGGTCAGGAGTACGAGACCAGCCTGGCCAACATGGTGAAACCCTGTCTGTACTAAAAGTAAAAAATTAGCCAGGTGTGATGACGCACCCCTGTAGTCCCAGGTACTTGGGAGGCTGAGCAGGAGAAACACTTGAACCCGGGAGGCAGAGGTTGCAGTGAGCCAAGATCATGCCACTGCACTCCAGCTTGGGCAACAGAGTGAGACTCCGTCTCAAAAACCACAACAACAACAACAACAACAAATTAAGCATTTGGAGTAAATAAATTACCAATGAATGCATTACAGTTAAATGAAAATGAAATTTCATTGTTCAAAAAGATGTCAGCTTACCCAATAAATATGTTTTTTGGTTTTTTTTTTTCTGAGACAGTCTCCCTTTGTCACTCAGGCTAGAGGGCAGTGGCACAATCACGGCTCACTGCAGCCTTGACCTCTAATGATCCTACCACCTCAGCCTCCAAAGTAGCTGGGACTACAGGTGTATGCCACCACACCCAGCTATTTTTTTTATTTGTAGAGACAGGGTTTCACTATGTTGTTCAGGTTGGTCTAGAACTCCTGGACTCATGTGATCCACCCACCTAGGCCTCCCAAACTGGTGGGATTATAAGCGTGAGCCACTGCACCTGGCCCCAATAAATATCTTTACAAAAAATAAAATTCAAATACTTTAATTGAAAATTAAAACATATATAAGAGTAAAAAATTTATTACATTCTTTGTAAACAAGCCAACAGATTAGAAAACTAAAAAGCAATACTTGGAAAAACATGATTTTTTTTCCAGGAAGATTCATGTATAGATTTCAAAGCAAAACGAGAACATGAACTTTTTTTTTTTAAGATGATCATTATTGACAGCTAAATAAATAGACTGGAAGATGCAGTACGTGGATTATCTTAAAGCACAGAACAGAAAGCAAAATAAATGGAAATACTGAAGGAATAGAAAGACTTGAAAATAGTCCCAGAAGACCTATTTTACAAAAAATAGGTGTTCAAAAAGAGAAAAAGCACCAGATGGAGGAGAGGCAACAATTAAGTAAATAATAAAGGGAAATTTCTCTGGGCTGGCTTTTGGTGGATAAGTGAAAAGGGAAACCAAGTTTCAGGATGGATTAAAGACAAAAGACAAATATCTATTATACCCTTGTAAAATTCATTAATTTTACAAATAAAGAAAAAATCTTCTAAGTGTCCAGAAAGAAAGAACAATTATCCATAAAGAGAAAACTAGGACTGGTACTGGTCTAATCATCAACTCTAGAAGCTAGAATAAAATGCAACAGGATCTAAACTAACTGAAACGAAAAGCAGCAGAAGTTATTAACCTTTTTTTTTTAGATGGAGTCTCACTCTGTTTTCCTGGCTGGAGTGCAACGGCACGATCTCGGCTCACTGCAACCTCTGCTTTCCAGGCTCAAGCGATTCTCCTGCCTCAGCCTCTCGAGTAGCTGGGTAAACAGGCGCCCGCCACCATGCCCAGCTAATTTTTTTTTTTTTAAGTAGAGACAGGGTTTCACTATGGTGGCCAGGCTGGTCTCAAACTCCTGATCTCATGATCTGCCTGCCTTGGCCTCCCACAGTGCTGGGATTACAGGCATGAGCCACCATGCCCAGCTTAGAAGTTATGAATCTTATACTCAGCCGAGATACCCCCGATTTGTTACGGGATGGCAAAAAGATATTTAAGGCTATTCAAGATTACCAAAATTACACCACTAAAGCAAACCATTTCAGTAAAAATACCTGAGAAAATAACCAAACAATAAAAACACCTTAACATAGATTCAAGATAGGAAAAAAGGAAAAGGGAATCTGGTAAGCAATGAAGCTTGATATGTGATAATTTAATGGACCATATACACTCTAAATAAAGACTAGAAACAGAAGGGACATAATCCAAAAATCTGAATATGCAAAACTGAAGGGAGGTAAGGAGATGGGAAGCTGAAATTAAACTAAAGCAAAACAGATGATATTTTAGTCAAGAGACTAGATGTGATCACCTAGGAAGGAAGAGTATAGAGACAAGGGAGGAGGAAAAGAGGAGATGTTAACTGGGTATAGAGTTTCAGATTTACTAGATGAAAAAGTTGTTACCTATACCTTACATAATAAGATATAGTTAACACTACTACACTGTAAAATTAAAATGGTTAAGGTAGTAAATTTTACATTGTGTTTTTTTACCACAAGGGAAAAAAAGCCTTGGAGCACTACAACAATGAGAAGTCAAGAGAGGGGAAGAATCCAGCAAAAGAGAATGAGAAGGAATGTCTAGTTATGTAAAAGATACTAAGCTGGGTGTAGTGGCTTATGTCCATAATCCCGAAGTGCTTTGGGAGGCTGAGGCAGGATTGCTTGAACGCAGGACTTTGAGATCAGCCTGGACAACATAGCAAGACCTTGTCTCTACAAAAAAAAAAAAAAAAAAAAAAGTACACTCTTCACAGAAACAGAAAAAACAATTCTAAAACTTATATGGGACCACAAAAGACCCAGAATAGTCAAAGCCATCCTGAGCAAAAACAAAACCGGAGGAATCACATTATCTGACTTCAAGTTATACTACAGAGCTATTGTTACCAGCAAGGTACTAGCATAAATACAGACACACAGACCAAAGGAACAGAATAGAGAACCGAGAAACAAATCCATACATCTACAGTGAACTCATTTTGGACAAAGCTGTCAGAAACATACACTGGGAGAAAGGGCAGTCTCTTCAATAAATGGTGCTGGGAAAACTGGATATCTGCATTCAGAAGAATTAAACCATCTCTCACCGTAAACAAAAATCAAATCAAAATGGATTAAAGACTTAAATCTAAGACCTCAAATCATGAAACTACTACAAGGAAACACTGAGGCGATACTCCAGGACACAAGAATGGGCAAAGATTTCTTTTTTTTTTTTTTTTTAATTTTTTTTAGTTTTGAGACACAGTTTCATTCTGTCACCCAGGCTGGAGTGCAGTGGTGCAATCTTGGCTCACTACAACCTCTGCCTCCCACGTTCAAGCGATTCTCATGCCTCAGCCTCCTGAGTAGCTAGGACAACAGGCGCACACCACGACGCCCGGCTAATTTTTGTATTTCTAGTTGAGACGGGGTTTCACCATTTTGGCCAGGCTGGTCTCAAACACCTGACCTCAAATGATCCACCTGCCTCGGCCTCCCAAAGTGCTGGGATTACAGGGGTGAACCACGGTGCCTGGCTGGGCAAAGATTTCTTGAGTAATAACCCACAAACACAGGCAACCAAATAAAATGGACAAATGGGATCACATCAAGTTAAAAAGCTTCTGCACAGAAAAGGAAACAATCCACAAAGTAAAGAGACAACCCACAGAATGGGAGAAAATATTTGCAAACTATCCATCTGACAAGGGATTAATAACCAGAATAAAGAAGAAGCTCAAACAACTCTTCAGGAAAAAAATCTAATAATCCAATTTTTTAAATGGACAAAAGATCTGAATAGATATTTTTCAAAGGAAGACATACAAAGGGCAAACAGTTATATGAAAATGTGCTCGACAGCATTGATCATCAGAGAAATGCAAATCAAAACTATAATGAGATATCATCTCACCCCAGTTAAAATGAAAGACAGGCAACAACAAATGCTGACAAGGATATGGAGAAAAGGGAACACTTGTACACTGCTGGTGGGAATGTAAATTAGTATAGCCACTATGGGGAACAATTTGGAGGTTCCTCACAAAAACTAAAAATAGAGCTTCCATCTGATCCAGCAATCCTACTGCTAGGTATATACCCAAAGGAAAGGAAATTAGTATATCAAAGAGATATCTACACTCCCATGTTTATTGCAGCACTATTCACAATAGCCAAGATTTGGAAACAACCTACATGTCCATCAACAGATGAAGAGATAAAGAAAATGTGGTACATATACACAATGGAGTACTATTCAGCCATAAAAAAGAATGAGATCCTGTCATTTGCAACAACATGGGTGGAACTAGAGGTCATTATGTTAAGTGAAATAAGCCAGGCACAGAAAGACAAACTTTGCACGTTCTCACTTATGTGTGGGAATCCAAAATTAAGACAACTGAACTCATGGAGATAGAGAATAGAATGATGGTTATTAGAGACTGGGAAGGGTAGTGGTGGGGTAGGGGGAAAGTCGGGATGGTTAATGGGTAAATAAAAATAGAATGAATAATATCTAGTATTCAATAGCACAACGGGGTGACTATAGTCAATAATAATTAAATTGTACATTTAAAAATAATTAAAACAATATAATTGGATTGTTTGTAACATAATGAATAAATGCTTGAGGTGATACATCTGCTTATTATGCATTGTATGCCTGTATCAAAATAGCTCATGTACCCCATAAATATATACACTTACTCTGTACCCACAAAAACAAAAAAGAAAAAATTTAAAATAAAATTTAAAAATATTAGCCAGGTGTGTTATCCACGCCTGTAGTCTCAGCTACTAGGGATGCTGAGGCAGGAGGATCCCTTGAGCCCAGGAGATTGAGTCTGTAGTGAGCTATTATTATCATGCTACTGTGCTCCAGCCTGGGCAACAGAGTGAGACTGCATCTAAACAAACAAACAAAAACAAACAAAACCAAGAGACCGGACAAGGTGGCTCATGATTATAACCCCAGCACTTTGGTAAGCTGAGGTGGGAGGATCACTTTAGCGTACCAATCTGAGACCAACGTGGGCAACATAGCGAGACCTCCTCTCCACTAAAACTAAAAATAAAAAACTAGGCAGGTGTGGTGGTGTGTGCCTCTAGCCCCAGCTACTTGGGAGACTGAGGTAGGAGAACTACTTGAGCCCAGGAAGTTTAATCTGCAGTGAGGCATGATCGTACCACTGCACTTCAGCCTGGGCAAGAAAGCCAGACCCTGACTCAAAAAAAAAAAAAAGAAAAGAAAAGAAAAGAAAAACCTTTTATTTTCACTTTAGGATGGGTATATCCTGTTGAAGAAATAAGGAAGATTTCTATTATAGTTAAAGATGGCATTTGAACATGCTCATGTAGCTCCTCTTCTTCTTAAAACTTTTTAACCAGAAATATTGCTTAATTTCTTCAGCCAAGAACCCATTTCTAATTTAAGTTATTTTAGCAGGAGGGCTACTAAAAGTAACCATTGTTTCCATTGGTAACTGTGAATACATGCTAGGGATACAGTGGGCTTCCATGCCTGCTTTCTGCTACACTCTGGAAATGTCCTGCTTGCTGTGCTTTCAATAAGCTACAGTATTCTGCTGCTTTTACAGCCCTAGATCAAGAGGAAAGCTGAAAGTTACCATGTAACCCTTTCCCTTACCTCTCCTCCCCCAAAACATATACAAGGAGGAGACACATACTTAGGGTCATTGTCTGCATATGTAGCAGAAGTGGCTGTTTCTCCATATCTTGCACATTTATGAACTACATATCTTTGGAGAATTGCAGCAATAAGGATCATGTCCATTTGCTCTCCACGTTTTACATACCTGTTCTTTTTCTTTTTGTTTTTCTTATTATTTATTTATTTATTTTTTGAGATGGAGTCTCGCTCTGTCACCCAGGCTGGAGTGCAGTGGCGCCATCTCCGCTCACTGCAAGCTCTGCCTCCCGGGTTCACGCCATTCTCCTGCCTCAGCCTCCCAAGTAGCTGGGACTATAGGTGCCCGCCACCACACCCGGCTAATTGTTTTGTTTTTTTAGTAGAGACGGGGTTTCACCGTGTTAGCCAGGATGGTCTTGATCTCCTGACCTCGTGATCTGCCTGCCTCGGCCTCCCAAAGTGCTGGGATTACAGGTGTGAGTCACTGCACCTGGCCCTACATGCCTGTTCTTAATTTCATCTACTAGCTTCTGACTCCTGACTTCCACTGTTAAAGGTATCAAGTCTTGAGCTGCACATTTCATTGTATCTTTTTGCCCTTACTCTTTTTTTCTACCTCCTTTGAACAAACAAAAACCATTTCTTTTGTCACTTTTTTTTTTTTTTTGAGATGGAGTCTTGCTCTGTCGCCCAGGCTGGAGTGCAGTGGCGCTATCTCGGCTCACTGCAAGCTCCGCCTCCTGGGTTTACGCCATTCTCCTGCCTCAGCCTCCGGAGTAGCTGGCACTATAGGCGCCCGCCACCATGCCCAGCTAATTTTTTTTTTTGTATTTTTAGTAGAGACGGGGTTTCACTGTGTTAGCCAGGATGGTCTCGATCTCCTGACCTCGTGATCCGCCAGCCCCGGCCTCCCAAAGTGCTGGGATTACAGGCGTGAGCCACTGCACCCAGCATTTTGTCACTTTTTTTATTGATCAGTTCTCCTTGGATTTCTGTGTAAACTGGGTTTTCATATACCTATCCAACCAATTAAAGTATTTTCCCTAAGTGATGACAACCACCTAATCACACTGTGTTCAGTACACTTGTTGAATCTTTGGCTTGTCATAGTTGCTTTGGTTGGCTGTTTCACATCCATAGTGTGACTGTGATGATAGTGTGATTTGCAAATGAACTACGCCTAGGTTAGATGATGATTCTGGAGAAGATATGGGTTTTAAAAGATATTTCATTGATTTACTTGAACGGCCATACATGTACATGGACCAACAGTAAAAAGGCACAATAGAATATACAGTGAAATGTTTCTCTTCCCCCTGTCACCTGGTCTCCCAGCTCCCCAGGCCCCTTCCGAGAAGCAACCTCTGGACCTGCTTTCTTATGTATCCTTCTAGAAGTCTATGAATTTATAAGCATATGTGAATTATAGATCAGAAATACAGTGTTTTAAAACTACAACCTCAGATAGTATTAAAGTGTACATTCAATGGGTGGCAACATATTAAGTATGCCATCGACAAAAATTCACAGGTTTTTAAAATATGAACAATGTTATAGGAAATAAGATCACAGGCTAAAGTTTTAGAGTAAGACTGACTAAGCTGCACCCTGGAAGGAATGAGGGTGAACACATATAAACTGGAGGGTTTTTTTTACATTGTCTTTTCATAGGCATGCCACTTATATTCTTAAGAGAAGGGCATACAAGGTTAGACAGAAGATTTTCTTTAGACACTTTAACTCACAACATGATGACAAAAATGAAAAATGTTTAGTATTGTTACTAAAAATATTTAGTATTGCTTAGTATTCTATGTTTTTCACTTATAACTGAGTTGTTGTTTGAGTGCTGTTTGTAAGGAATGCCAATAACATGCTTTTGAATGAGAAAGATCTTGGTACATGGTCACGGGGAAGGGGCAAAACACAAGATTCTATCAATTCGAGACTACCATTTCTGTAACTGGTGATCTCTGTGTCATTGTAGCTCTTTCAGTGTATAAGGCCTAATTTGTTTTTCGAAAAGGTTTTCGTATTTTTCTCAATTCTGAACTTAGGACTTTGAATTTATTC
Organism: Homo sapiens; assembly: GCF_000001405.40. Taxonomy (NCBI): domain Eukaryota; kingdom Metazoa; phylum Chordata; class Mammalia; order Primates; family Hominidae; genus Homo; species Homo sapiens. The sequence continues at coordinate 135,399,943 of NC_000002.12, forward strand.
CTATTAAATTACATCCTGGCTGGGTATGGTGGCTCACACCTGTAATCCCAGCAATTTGGAAGGCCAAGGCAGGCGGATTAAGAGGTCAAGAGTTTGAGACCAGCCTGGCCAACATGGTGAAAACCCATCTCTACTGAGAGTACAAAAATTAGCCGAGCGTGGAAGCGGGCTCCTATAATCCCAGCTACTCGGGAGGCTGAGGCAGAAGAATTGCTTGAATCTGGGAGGAAGAAGTTGCCGTGAGCCAAGATTGCACCACTGCACTCCAGCCTGGGCAACAGAGCAAGACTTCATCTCAAAAATAGTAATAATAAAAATAAATAAATAAATAAATAAATAACACCCTATTGGCATGGACTCTGTGTGTTCACTCTTCTGATAAATCCATATTTTGTTTCTTTGTCTAGTCTTTTTTTTTCTCTAAATGGAGACGTGCTCTGTTGCCCAGGCTGGAGTACAATGGCATGATCTCGGTTCACTGCAACCTCCGCCTCCTGGGTTCAAGTGGTTCTCCTGCCTCAGCCTCCCAAGTAGCTGGAAATACAGGCAAGATGGGGTTTCACCATGTTGGCCAGGCTGGTCTCGAACTCCTGACCTCATGATCTGTCCACCTTGGCTTCATCTAGTCTTAATAGAAAGGTCTTATGTATCAAACTAAAGTCATAACTTTTGGCACTGTACCAGAAACTTTCTTTAGGTCACTAATTCTTAAAAGGTTGTTCACCAATATATTCTAAGGCAGGGGTTGGCACATTTTTTTCTAATGGTAAATATTTTAGGCTTTACAGGTCATGCATGCCAATTGTCTGTCACAACTACTCAACTCTGTTCTAACACCGGAAAAGCAGCCAATGACAACAAATAAATGAATGAGCAGGGTTGTGTTCCAAAAAAACTTTATTTATCAACATAATTGGTGGGCCTGGTTTGGCCTACGGACAGTAATTTACAAACTTGTAAGGAACTCAGAATTCTCTTTGTTAACTGTTAAGTCATTTAGATTAAATTCCAAAAAATATTACCATAAGTATATTCTGGGTCATCTGAACAACTACTTTAAAATCAGGCCTATGTATATTTAGTGGTCCCTTTTGCATTTAGGATTATATGAGAAATCCCTTCCCATTTACCTATATTAAACACTTCTTATTGCAGAATGATGAGTAAATACGTTTTTACAATAGTCGGACTTAGGGTAGTGTGGAATTGAGACATCACCAGACACATAGGGGTGCATGCACGGAGAACATCATACTCACGAGGGAACTGATTTCTTTTAGCTTTTAAAATTTAAACTTTAATTATCAGTAATTATGAGAGCAAATATGAAGGATTTTTCTTTCCCGGATTGCAGACATAGTTAGATACCTACTTGAGAGAGATTTCAATAACACCCCAAAGTTGATGTGATCTTTATGTGATGAAGATGGCTATAGTGCTTCCAAATCATCCCTCGATAAAAACGGCCTTAGAAGTTGTGGTAGAGCTTGCTGTTGCTTTTCCAAAATCCCTTCTCCCCTTCCCCCTCACAAACACACCCTGTCGGTGGGGGGCCTGTGGTGAACTAAACCTCTCCTTTTCCAATCTCTTTTTCAACTAGCTGTGGTTATATGACAAAATGTGGCCAATGAGGCCTTAGTCAACATAACTAGGTGGTGATTCTGAGAAAGCTTGTTAAAATAGGGTTGACTCAGTTAGCACATGTCGTTTTGTCTTCTTCCTTTCTTCCTGCATCACGCAATGATGCCAAATCTGGAACCGTAATAGCTGCTTTGTGATCTACTAGGCAGAAAAGGACAAGAAGATTGGAAAGGTGTGGCTCTAAACTCCTGTTAACTGCAGGAGAAAATAGTCCAATATATTTTAGCTATTATTATGTGCAGCTGAACTCAATTCCTCATCATTAAAAAAGGAAGTATAGGATATGAATAAACTTTCAATATTTAAGAGACATGAGGCTATTAGTTTTGGCCATAAAACCTCAATAGCATCAATTTAGCATCTGCCAAATAATACTATCATATTAAATTAATACTGTTAACTGAACTATTTTTATTTTGCCTTATTTGTATTTAATTTTGAAAATTTTTCATATTTTGAAAATATTTCCTAAAAGCTATAAGTATATGAAATTTTTTAACCTAGTTTTGGTGTGTACATATTTAACATAATACAAAAATTTTAAGTAAACAATGAGGCTTTTGGAAAATATTTTTCCTTTGAAATGACTTCAGTGATTAATCACATACGAGGACTGCTCTAGAGTTATTCATTCATCTTGATTTGAGGCAATAATTTAATATTTCAATGTAAACTTTATTGCATATACACGTGTTAGTTCATTCTTTCTCTCTTTTTTTTTTTTTTTTTGAGACGGAGTCTCGCTCTGTTGCCCGGGCTGCAGTGCAGTGGCACGATCTTGGCTCACTGCAACCTCCGGCTCCCAGGTTCAAGTGATTCTCCTGCCTCAGTCTCCCGAGTAGCTGGGACTACAGGAGCCCACCACCACGTCCGGCTAATTTTTTGTATTTTTAGTAGAGATGGGGATTCACCGTGTTAGCCAGAATGGTCTTGATCTCCTGACCTCATGATCCACCCAACTCGGCCTCCCAATGTGCTGGGATTACAGGGCTTAGCCACTGCACCCAGACTTTTTTTTTTTTAAGACAGTTTCGCTCTTGTCACCCAGGCTGGAGTGCAATGGTGCGATCTTAGCTCACTGCAACCTCCACCTCCTGGGTTCAAGCGATTCTCCTGCTCAGCCTCCTGAGTAGCTGGAATTACAGGTGCGGGCCACCACGTCCAGCTAATTTTTGTATTTTTTGTAGAGACGAGGTTGCACCATGTTGGCCAGACTGGTCTGGAACTCCTGACCTCAGGTGATCTACCCACCTCAGCCTACCAAAGTGCGAGGATTACAGGCATGAACCACCGCACCTGGCCAGTCCATTCTTTTTCAATGTAACCTTATTGCATAATACACATGTATTAGGCCATTCTTCCACTGCTATAAACAAATGCCTGAGGGGGTGCAGCCAAGATGGCCAAATAGGAACCGCTCCAATCTACAGCTCCCAGTGTGGGCGACGCAGAAGACGGGTGATTTCTGCATTTCCAACTGAGGTACAAGGCTCATCTCACTGGGGAGTGTCGGAAAGTGGGTGCAGGACAGTAGGTGCAGTGCACCCAGCAGGAGCCGAAGCTGGGTGAGGCATTGCCTCACACGGGAACCGCAAGGAGTCAGGGAATTCCCTTTTCTAGTCAAACAAAGGGGTGACAGATGGCACCTGGAACATCAGGTCCCTCCCACCCTAATACTGTGCTTTTCTAACGGTCTTAGCAAATGGCACACCAGGAGATTATATCCCGCACCTGGCTCGGAGGGTCCTCCGCCCACAGAGCCTCGCTCATTGCTAGCACAGCAGTCTGAGATCCAACTGGAAGGCGGCAGCAAGGCTGGGGGAGAGGCGCCCGCCATTGCGGAGGCTTGAGTAGGTAAACAAACCAGCCTGGAAGCTCCAACTGTGTGGAGCCCACTGCAGCTCAAGGAGGCCTGCCTGCCTTTGTAGACTCCACCTCCGGGGCAGGGCATTGCCAAACAAAAGGCAGCAGAATCCTCTGCAGACTTAAATGTTCTTGTCTGACAGCTTTGAAGAGAGCAGTGGTTATCCCAGCACGCAGCTGGAGATCTGAGAACAGATAGACTGCCTCCTCAAGTGGGTCCCTGACCACCGAGTAGCCTAACTGGGAGGCACCCCCGAGTAGGGGCAGACTGACACCTCACACGGCCGGGTACTCCTCTGAGACAAAACTTCCAGAGGAAGGATCTGGCAGCAACATTTGCTGTTCACCAATATCCGCTGTTCTGCAGCCTCCGCTGCTGATGCCCAGGCAAACAGGGCCTGGAGTGGACCTCCAGCAAACTCCAACAGACCTGCAGCTGAGGGTCCTGACTGTTAGAAGGAAAACTAACAAACAGAAAGGACATCCACAGCAAAATCCCATCGGTACGTCACCATCATCAAAGACCAAAGGTAGATAAAACCACAAAGATGGGGAAAAAACAGAGCAGAAAAACTGGAAACTCTAACAATCAGAGCGCCTCTCCTCCTCCAAAGGAACACAGCTCCTCACCAGCAACGGAACAAAGCTGGATGCAGAACGACTTTGACGAGGTGAGAGAAGAAGGCTTCAGATGATCAAACTACTCTGAGGTAAAGGAGGAAGTTCAAACCCATGGCAAATAAGTCAAAAACCTTGAAAAAAATTAGACGCATGGCTAACTAGAATAACCAATGCAGAGAAGTCCTTAAAGGACCTGATGGTGCTGAAAACCAAGGCACGAGAACTATGTGACAAATGTACAAGTCTCAGTAGCCAATTCTATCAACTGGAAGAAAGGGTATCAGTGATGGAAGATCAAATGAATGAAATGAAGCGAGAAGAGAAGTTTAGAGAAAAAAGAATAAAAAGAAACGAACAAAGCCTCCAAGAAATATGGGACTATGTGAAAAGACCAAATCTACATCTGATTGGTGTACCTCAAAGTGACAGGGAGAATGGAACCAAGTTGGAAAACACTCTGCAGGATATTATCCAGGAGAACTTCCCCAAACTAGCAAGTCAGGCCAACATTCAAATTCAGGAAATACAGAGAATGCTACAAAGATACTCCTCGAGAAGAGCAACTCCAAGACACACAATTCTCAGATTCACCAAAGTTGAAATGAAGGAAAAAATGTTAAGAGCAGCCAGAGACAAAGGTGGGGGTTACCCACAAAGGGAAGCCCATTAGACTAACGGCGGATCTCTCGGCAGAAACTCTACAAGCCAGAAGAGAGTGGGGGCCAATATTCAACATTCTTAAAGAAAAGAATTTTCAACCCAGAATTTCATATCCAGCCAAACTACGCTGCAAAATCATGCCAAAATGTAAAGACCATCGAGGCTAGGAAGAAACTGCATCAACTAATGAGCAAAATAACCAGCTAACATTATAATGACAGGATCAAATTCACACATAACAATATTAACCTTACATGTAAATGGACTAAATGCTCCAATTAAAAGACACAGACTGGCAAATTGGATAAAGAGTCAAGACCCATCAGTGTGCTGTATTCAGGAAACCCATCTTACGTGCAGAGACACACATAGGCTCAAAATAAAGGGATGGAGGAAGATCTACCAAGCAAATGGAAAACAAAAAAAGGCAGGGGTTGCAATCCTAGTCTCTGATAAAGCAGACTTTAAACCAACAAAGATCAAAAGAGACAAAGAAGGCCGTTACATAATGGTAAAGGGATAAGTTCAACAAGAAGAGCTAACTATCCTAAATATACATGCACCCAATACAGGAGCACCCAGATTCATAAAGCAAGTCATGAGTGACATACAAAGAGACTTAGACTCACACACAATAAAAATGGGAGACTTTAACATGCCACTGTCAACATTAGACAGATCAACAAGACAGAAAGTTAACAAGCATATCCAGGAATTAAATACAGCTCTGCACCAAGCGGACCTAATAGACATCTACAGAACTCTCCATCCCAAATGAACAAAATATACATTCTTCTCAGCACCACAGCACACGTATTCCAAAATTGACCACATAGTTGGAAGTAAAGCACTCCTCAACAAATGTAAAAGAACAGAAATTATAACAAACTCTCTCTCAGACCACACTGCAATCAAACTAGAACTCAGGATTAAGAAATTCACTCAAATCCGCTCAACTACATGGAAACTGAACAACCTGCTCCTGAATGACTACTGGGTACATAACAAAATGAAGGCAGAGATCAAGATGTTCTTTGAAACCAACGACAACAAAGACACAACACACCAGAATCTCTGGGACACATTCAAAGCAGTGTGTAGAGGGAAATTTATAGTACTAAATGCCCACAAGAGAAAGCAGGAAAGATCTAAAATTGACACCCTAACATCACAATTAAAAGAAGTAGAGAAGCAAGAGCAAACACATTCCAAATCTAGCAGAAGGCAAGAAATAACTAAGATCAGAGTAGAACTGAAGGACATAGACACACAAAAAACCCTTCAAAAAAATCAGTGAATACAGGAGCTGGTTTTTTGAGAAGAACAACAAAATTGATAGACCGCTAGCAAGACTAATAAAGAAGAAAAGAGAGAAGAATCAAATAGACGCAATAAAAAATGACGAAGGGGATATCACCACCGATCCCACAGAAACACAAACTACCATAGGAGAATACTACAAACACCTCTACACAAATAAACTAGAAAATCTAGAAGAAATGGATAAATTCCTTGACACATACGCCCTCCCAAGACTAAACCAGGAAGAAGTTGAATCTCTGAATAGACCAAAAACAGGCTCTGAAATTGAGGCAATAATTAATAGTTTACCAACCAAAAAAAGCCCAGGACCAGATGGATTCACAGCCGAATTCTACCAGAGGTACAACGAGGAGCTGGTACCATTCCTTCTGAAACTATTCCATCAATAGAAAAAGAGGGGATCCTCCCTAACTCATTTTATGAGGTCAGCATCATTCTGATACCAAAGCCTAGCAGAGACAAAACAAAAAAAGAGAATTTTAGACCAATATCCCTGATGAACATCGATGCAAAAATCCTCAATAAAATACTGGCAAACCGAATCCAGCAGCACATCAAAAAGCTTATCCACCATGATCAAGTGGGCTTCATCCCTGGGATGCAAGGTTGGTTCAACATACGAAAATCAATGAATGTAATCCAGCATATAAACAGAACCAAAGACAAAAACCACATGATTATCTCAATAGATGCAGAAAAGGCCTTTGACAAAATTCAACAACCCTTCATGCTAAACACTCTCAATAAATTAGGTATTGATGGGATGTATCTCAAAATAATAAGAGCTATCTATGACAAACCCACAGCCAATATCATACTGAATGGGCAAAAACTGGAAGCATTCCCTTCAAAACATGGCACAAGACAGGGATGCCCTCTCTCACCACTCCTATTCAACATAGTGTTGGAAGTTCTGGCCAGGGCAATCAGGCAGGAGAAGGAAATAAAGGGTATTCAATTAGGAAAAGAGGAAGTCAAATTGTCCCTGTTTGCAGATGACATGATTATATATCTAGAAAACCCCATCGTCTCAGCCCAAAATCTCCTTAAGCTGATAGGCAACTTCAGCAAAGTCTCAGAATACAAAATCAATGTGCAAAAATCACAAGCATTCTTATACACCAATAACAGACAAACAGAGAGCCAAATCATGAGTGAACTCCCATTCACAATTGCTTCAATAAGAATAAAATACCTAGGAATCCAACTTACAAGGGACATGAAGGACCTCTTCAAGGAGAACTACAAACCACTGCTCAATGAAATAAAAAAGGATACAAACAAATCGAAGAACATTCCATGCTCATGGGTAGGAAGAATCAATATCGTGAAAATGGCCATACTGCCCAAGGTAATTTATAGATTCAATGCCATCCCCATCAAGCTACCAATGACTTTCTTCACAGAATTGGAAAAAACTACTTTAAAGTTCATATGGAACCAAAAAAGAGCCCGCATCGCCAAGTCAATCCTAAGCCAAAAGAACAAAGCTGGAGGCATCACACTACCTGACTTCAAACTATACTACAAGGCTACAGTAACCAAAACAGCATGGTACTAGTACCAAAACAGAGATATAGACCAATGGAACAGAACAGAGACCTCAGAAATAATGCCGAATATCTACAGTCATCTGATCTTTGACAAACCTGACAAAAACAATAAATGGGGAAAGGATTCCCTATTTAATAAATGGTGCTGGGAAAACTGGCTAGCCATATGTAGAAAGCTGAAACTGGATCCCTTCCTTACACCTTATACAAAAATTAATTCAAGATGGATTAAAGACTTACCACGTTAGACCTAAAACCATAAAAACCCTAGAAGAAAACCTAGGCAATACCATTCAGGACATAGGCATGGGCAAGGACTTCATGTCTAAAACACCAAAAGCAATGGCAACAAAAGCCAAAATTGTCAAATGGGATCTAATTAAACTAAAGAGCTTCTGCACAGCAAAAGAAACTACCATCAGAGTGAACAGGCAACCTACAGAATGGGAGAAAATTTTTGCAATCTACCCATCTGACAAAGGGCTAATATCCAGAATCTACAATGAACTCAAACAAATTTACAAGAAAAAAACAAACAACCCCATCAAAAAGTGGGCAAAGGATATGAACAGACACTTCTCAAAAGAAGACGTTTATGCAGCCAAAAGACACATGAAAAAATGCTCATCATCACTGCTCATCAGAGAAATGCAGATCAAAACCACAATGAGATACCATCTCACACCAGTTAGAATGGCGATCATTAAAAAGTCAGGAAACAACAGGTGCTGGAGAGGATGTGGAGAAATAGGAACACTTTTACACTGTTGGTGGGACTGTAAACTAGTTCAGCCATTGTGGAAATCAGCGTGGCGATTCCTAAGGGATCTACAACTAGAAATAACGTTTGACCCAGCCATCCCATTACTGGGTATATACCCAAAGGATTATAAATCATGCTGCTATAAAGACACATGCACACGTATGTTTATTGCGGCACTATTCACAATAGCAAAGACTTGGAACCAACCCAAATGTCCAACAATGATAGACTGGATTAAGAAAATGCGGCACATATACACCATGGAATACTATGCAGCCATAAAAAGTGATGAGTTCATGTCCTTTGTAGGGACATGGATGAAACTGGAAACCATCATTCTCAGCAAACTATCGCAAGGACAAAAAACTGAACACTGCATGTTCTCACTCATAGGTGGGAACTGAACAATGAGAACACATGGAGACAGGAAGGGGAACATCACACACTGGGGCCTGTTGTGGGGTCGGGGGATGGGGGAGGGATAGCATTTGGAGATATATCTAATGTTAAATGACAAATTAGTGGGTGCAGCACGCCAACATGGCACATGTATACATATGTAACTAACCTGCACGTTGGCAGATGTACCCTAGAACTTAGAGTATAAAAAAAAAAGAAAAAGAAATGCCTGAGGCTCAGTAATTTATAAAGAAAAGCAGTTTAGTTGGCTCATGGTTCTGCAGGCAGTACAATAAGTATGTTGTTGGCATCTGCTTCTGGTGAGGGCCACAGGAAACTTACAATCATAGTGGGAGGTGAAGGAGGAGCAGACACATCATATGGCAAATGTAGGAGCAAGAGAGTGAGTGGGGAGGTGTCACACACTTTCAAACAACCAGGTCTCACAAGAACTCACTATTGTGAGGAAAGCACCAAGCTATTCATGAATGATCCACCCTCATGATCCAAACATCTCCCACCAGGCCTTAACTCCAACATTGGGGATTACATTTCAACATGAAATTTGGAGAAGATATCCAAACAATATCACTGCATAAACAGAATTAAAAACAAAAAACACATGATCATCTTCATAGATGCTGAGAAAGCATTTGATAAAATCCAACATCGCTTTATGATAAAAAAAAACTCTCAACAAATTAGGCATCAGGGATATACCTCAAAATAATAAGAGCCATCTATGACAAACCCACAGCCAACATCATACTGAATGGGGAAAAGCTGAAAGTGTTCCACCGAAGAACTGGAACGAGACTAAGATGTCTACTTTCACCACTCCCATTCAACACAGAACTGGAAGTCCCAGCCAGAGGAAGAGAAAGAAATAGAAAGCATCCGAAAAAGAGGAACTCGAATTATCTTTTTGCACTGATGACATGATTTTACACCTTGAAAACCCTAAAGATCCTTCCAAAAGACTCCTAGACCTGATAAACAAGTTCAGTAATGTTTCAGGATACAAAATCAGCATACAAAAATCAGTAGCATTTCTATACACCAATAATGTTCAAGCTGAAAACCAAATAAAGACTTCAGTCCCATTTACAATAGCCACACACACAAAATAAAATACCTAGGAATACATTTAACTAAGGTAGTGAAAGGAAAGATCTCTATAAGGAGAACTTTGTATGAAACACTGATGAAAGAAATCATAGATGACACAAACAAATGGAAAAACATCTCATGCTCATGGACACAAAGAATCAATATCATTAAAATGGCCACAGTGCCTAAAGCAAAGTACAGATTCAATGCTATTCCTATCAAACTACCAATGGCATTCTTCACAGGACTAGAGAAAAGTATTTTAAAATTCATATGAAACAAAAAAGAGCCCCAATAGCCAAGGTAATTCTAAGCAAAAAGAACAAAGCTGGAGGCATCACACTACCCAACTTCAAACTATACAACAGGGCTACAGTAACCAAAACAGCATGATATTGGTACAAAAAGAGACACATAGACCAATGGAACAGGATAGAGAGCCCTGAAATAAGGCCACACAACTACAAGCACCTAATCTTTGACAAAGCTGACAAAAACAAGCAATGGGGAAAGGACTCTATATTCAATAAATGGTACTGGGATAACTGTCTAGCCATATGCAGAAGAATGAAACTGGAACTCTACATATCACCATATATAAAAATTAACTCAAGATGGTTTAAATACTTAAATGTAAGACCTCAAACTACAAAATTCCTAGAAGAAAATCTAGGAAAATCTCTTCTGGACACTGGACTAGGCAAAGAATTTATGATTAAGACCTCAAGAGTAAATGCAACAGAACAAAAAATAGGTATATGGGACTTGCACAGCAAAAGAAACAATCAACAGAGTAAACAGATGACCTACAGAATGGGAGAAAATATTTGCAAACTATGCAACTGAAAAAGGACTAATATCTAGACTCTATAAGGAACTGGAACGAATCAACAAGGAGAAAACAACCCCATTGAAAAGTGGGCAAAGGGCATGAACAGACACTTCTCAAAAGACATACAAGTTGCCAAAAAACATGAAAAAATGCTCAACATCACTATCATTTGACGAATGCAAACTAAAACCACAATAAGATACCATCTCACACCAGTCAGAATGGCTATCATAAAGAAGTCAAAAAATAGGCCAGGTGTGGTGGCTCATGCCTGTAATCCCAGCATTTTGGGAGGCCAATGTGGGCAGACTGCTTGAGTCTAAGAGTTCAAGACCAGCCTAGGTAACATGGTGAAACCCCAACTCTATTAAAATTACAAAAAATTATCTGGGCGTGATGGTGCACACCTGTAGTCACAGCTACTTGGGGGCTGAGGTGGGAAGACTGCTTGAGCCCCAGAGGTTGAGACTGTGGTAAGCCCTATCATGCCACTGCACACCAACCTGGGTGACAGAGTGAGACCCTGTCTCAAAAAAAAGAAAACATATATAACAGATATTGGCAAGAATATGAAGAAAAGAGAACACTTATACACTGCTGAGGGGGGAGGTGAGTGTAAATTAGTTCAACCCCGATGGAAAGCAGTAAGGAGTTTTCTCATAGAACTAAAAATAGAATTACCACTCAAATCAGAAACCCTACTACTGGGTATTTATCCATAGCAAAAGAAATTGTTTTATCAAGAAGACACCTGCACTCATATATTTATCACAGCACTATCTACAATAGCAAAGTCATGGAATCAACCTAAGTGTCCATCAACAGTGGACTGAATAAAGAAAATTTAGTATATATACACCATGGAATATTACCACAAAAAAGAACAAAACGATGTCCTTTGCAACAACATGCCTGCAACTGGAGATCATTATCCTAATAGTTACTGAAATTAAAATAACTCAGAAGCAGAAAATCAAATACCTCATGTTCTCACTTATAAGTGGGAGCTGATCAATGGGTACACATAAAAATGAACAATGGCCACTGGGGACTCCAAAAGGGGGTAGAGGCAAAGGCGGGCAAGGGTTGAAAAACTATTGAGTATGTTCACTATTTGGGTGATGGGTTCACCAGAAGCCCAAACCCTCCCATTACGCAATATACCTATGTACCAAACCCATACATGTACCCCTCTGAATCTATAATTTTTTAAAAAAGAAGTGACTGCACCCTTCTTCTGCCTCTGAATAAACTTATACCATAACATCAGTAACATTTGGTACACTTATTTGTTTATACGGTTATCTCTTACTTAAACTAAGGGCTTAGCACTGTGCTTGATGCTCAAAGGTATGTTTTGTGAATGACTAAATAAATAATAATGTGTATTTGATGGCTACAAAAATTGAAAAAAATTTTTGATATATACTTGCTGTAACCTCTACATGTCCACAATATAGAGACTATAACAGAAATGCTCAGGTTTTTTAGCATATAATTCAATAAATCAAAACAACTAGATTAAATATGGGCTAGACATGGGCTGCTTCACCTACAGCTGATTAGTAGACAAAATGGTGTCACGTTATATTCTGAGAGGCACTCAGTTTGTAACAAAACTATTTCACTTATTCCTCCATCTATCAACATTGAGTTATCAAGTATATCCACATTTTTATTAATGAAGTGATTTTAATATTGTAAGTCATTTTTACTACTTATAAAATAATTATAAACTAGATCAAGTAGACCTGGCTTACTTTTTGTTGCTTTTTTATATAAAATATATTTTCGTTTTTAACTACAAAATATTCTAATGAATATTATTATCTAATTAAGCCCTAAAAATTTTCTACTAGTTCCTGCAGGCATAATCAAGTTTTTTGATCTGCAGTTTTATGAATAAGAATAAATAATTGTGTAAAAGCTAATGTGTGAAATAATGGCTCAGTGGGAATTATTATACATCCTGAAAATAATAAATTCTCTCAAAACAGCTGAGGTATACCTTTTTTAAACCATCTAGTAAGATGCAGAGACTATTTCCTGTTTTGTTCTTCATTAGTGAAAGTTATAGGGCAATTTTCTGCTAATGGAATCAGACTAATGAAGCATATTTTCAAGATATTATCAAGCATTAGACACTAGTTTAATTTTTTTAAAGCTTATGAACAGAAAAGGCAGTTCTTCTTAAAAATTCATTAGGTTTTTGGAATACACAAGGATTTATTTGTATTACTCTGGATCTATTATGTACCTTGAAATTATTACAAGCTTTCATGTCTTTCCTGTATATTACTGATGTTTCATAATAGGTAAAAAGAACTAAAACAAAACAAAACACTGAATGTTATTTTAACTAGTTTTTCAAAGTTATAACATATGTTGCAAATATAGGCTGCTTCACATAAAGCTTTTCTCCTCTTTCTTCCCTATTAAGACACTTTAGGACACTTCGGATATATCCTTCCACGTGCTTCTGAACATTGCTGAGTAAGGATATGATGTCTAGAGCTGCTAAGGATGACAAAGTAGAAAGATGACATGAATAGACTAGTGAATCAACCAATCCTAGATCTATCCCTCTCTTACGTGTTATGTGGTCTCTTTAGTGATTAAGCCATTTTGAGTTGTATTTCTGTTATTGTACAACATCCTAATTCAAAGTATTTACAAAACCAGGTTTTAAGGCCAATCACATTTCCTTCAGTTTATAATGGCTACATTTGAAGCTACCATCCTCTGTAACTTCCTTATATCTGTTGTGAGTATTTATTTACTGACAACAGCAACAAAGGTTTTAAGATACTTTTCCATTTACAAAGTACTATCTCTCCTCATTTGATCACAGCTTGGTTTAATTGGCTTAGTGATTTTCACAAAAACACATGAGACTAGGAAACTGAGTACAGAGATCTAGGGTATTTATAATTATATGCTAGTTAACAAGAGTCTACTTTAAGCTTTTACAGAAATGCAACAGACTAATTTGATACGCAACCAAGATAAACTCAGCCCTCTATTTCCACAGGTTTTGTATCTGTGGATTAAACCAACCAACTCTACAAGCCAGAAGAGAGTGGGGGCCAATATTCAACATTCTTAAAGAAAAGAATTTTCAACCCAGAATTTCATATCCAGCCAAACTAGGCTTCATAAGTGAAGGAGAAATAAAATACTTTACAGACAAGCAAATACTGAGAGATTTTGTCACCACCAGGCCTGCCCTAAAAGAGCTCCTGAAGGAAGCACTAAACATGGAAAGGAACGAGTACCAACCGTGGCAAAATCATGCCAAAATGTAAAGACCATCGAGACTAGGAAGAAACTGCATCAACTAATGAGCAAAATAACCAGCTAACATCATAATGGCAGGATCAAATTCACACATAACAATATTAACCTTACATGTAAATGGACTAAATGCTCCATTTAAAAGACACAGACTGGCAAATTGGATAAAGAGTCAAGACCCATCAGTGTGCTGTATTCAGGAAACCCATCTCACGTGCAGAGACACACATAGGCTCAAAATAAAAGGATGGAGGAAGATCTACCAAGCCAATGGAAAACAAAAAAAGGCAGGGGTTGCAATCCTAGTCTCGGATAAAACAGACTTTAAACCAACAAAGATCAAGAGAGACAAAGAAGGCCATTACATGGTGGTAAAGGGAACAGTTCAACAAGAAGAGCTAACTATCCTAAATATATATGCACCCAATACAGGAGCATCCCGATTCATAAAGCGAGTCCTGAGTGACCTACAAAGAGACTTAGACTCCCACATAATAATAATGGGAGACTTTAACACCCCACTGTCAACACTAGACAGCTCAATGAGACAGAAAGTTAACAAGGATACCCAGGGATTGAACTCAGCTCTGCACCAAGTGGACCTAATAGACAGCTACAGAACTCTCCATCCCAAATCAACAGAATATACATTTTTTTCAGCACCACACCACACCTATTCCAAAATTGACCACATACTTGGAAGTAAAGCTCTCCTCAGCAAATGTAAAAGAACAGAAATTATAACAAACTCTCTCTCAGACCACAGTGCAATCAAACTAGAACTCAGGATTAAGAATCTCACTCAAAACTGCTCAACTACATGGAAACTGAACAACCTGCTCCTGAATGACTACTGGGTATATAACAAAATGAAGGCAGAAATAAAGATGTTCTTTGAAACCAACGGGAACAAAGACACAACATACCAGAATCTCTGGGACACATTCAAAGCAGTGTGTAGAGGGAAATTTATAGCACTAAATGCCCACAAGAGAAAGCAGGAAAGACCCAAAATTGACACCCTAACATCACAATTAAAAGAACTAGAAAAGCAAGAGCAAACACATTCAAAAGCTAGCAGAAGGCAAGAAATAACTAAAATCAGAGCAGAACGGAAGGAAATAGAGACAAAAAAAAAACCCTTCAAAAAATTAATGAATCCAGGAGCTGGTTTTTTGAACGGATCAACAAAATTGATAGACCACTAGCAACTCTAATAAAGAAAAAAAGAGAGAAGAATCAAATAGACGCAATAAAAAATGATAAAGGGGATATCACCACCGATCCCACAGAAATACAAACTACCATCAGAGAATACTACAAACACCTCTACGCAAATAAACTAGAAAATCTAGAAGAAATGGATAAATTCCTTGACACACACACTTTCCCAAGACTAAACCAGGAAGAAGTTGAATCTCTGAACAGACCAATAACAAGACCTGAAATTGTGGCAATAATCAATAGCTTACCAACCAAAAAGAGTCCAGGACCAGATGGATTCACAGCCGAATTCTACCAGAGGTACAAGGAGGAACTGGTACCATGCCTTCTGAAACTATTCCAATCAATAAAAAAAGAGGGAATCCTCCCTAACTCATTTTATGAGGTCAGCATCATCCTGATACCAAAGCTGGGCAGAGACACAGCCAAAAAAGAGAATTTTAGACCAATATCCTTGATGAACATTGATGCAAGAATCCTCAATAAAATACTGGCAAACCGAATCCAGCAGCACATCAAAAAGCTTACCCACCATGATCAAGTGGGCTTCATCCCTGGGATGCAAGGTTGGTTCAATATACACAAATCAATAAATGTAATCCAGCATATAAACAGAACCAAAGACAAAAACCACATGATTATCTTAATAGATGCAGAAAAGGCCTTTGACAAAATTCAACAACCCTTCATGCTAAAAACTCTCAATAAATTAGGTATTGATGGGACGTATCTCAAAATAATAAGAGCTATCTATGACAAACCCACAGCCAATATCATACTGAATGGGCAAAAACTGGAAGCATTCCCTTTGAAAACTGGCACAAGACAGGGATGCCCTCGCTCATCACTCCTATTCAACATAGTGTTGGAAGTTCTGGCCAGGGCAATGAGGCAGGAGAAGGAAATAAAGGGCATTCAATTAGGAAAAGAGGAAGTCAAGTTGTCCCTGTTTGCAGATGACATGATTGTATATCTAGAAAACCCCATCGTCTCAGCCCAAAATCTCCTTAAGCTGATAAGCAACTTCAGCAAAGTCTCAGGATACAAAATCAATGTGCAAAAATCACAAGCATTCTTATACACCATCAACAGACAAACACAGAGCCAAATCATGAGTGAACTCCCATTCACAATTGCTTCAAAGAGAATAAAATACTTAGGAATCCAACTTACAAGGGATGTGAAGGACCTCTTCAAGGAGAACTACAAACCACTGCTCAATGAAATAAAAGAGGATACAAACAAATCGAAGAACATTCCATGCTCATGGGTAGGAAGAATCAATATCGTGAAAATGGCCATACTGCCCAAGGTAATTTATAGATTCAATGCCATCCCCATCAAGCTACCAATGACTTTCTTCACAGAATTGGAAAAAACTACTTTAAAGTTCATATGGAACCAAAAAAGAGCCCGCATCGCCAAGTCAATCCTAAGCCAAAAGAACAAAGCTGGAGGCATCACACTACCTGACTTCAAACTATACTACAAGGCTACAGTAACCAAAACAGCATGGTCCTGGTACCAAAACAGAGATATAGATCAATGGAAGAGAACAGAGCCCTCAGAAATAACGCCACATATCTACAACTATCTGATCTTTGACAAACCTCAGAAAAACAAGCAATGGGGAAAGGATTCCCTATTTAATAAATGGTGCTGGGAAAACTGGCTAGCCATATGTAAAAAGCTGAAACTGGATCCCTTCCTTACACCTTATACAAAAATTAATTCAAGATGGATTAAAGACTTACCACGTTAGACCTAAAACCATAAAAACCCTAGAAGAAAACCTAGGCAATACCATTCAGGACACAGGCATGGGCAAGGACTTCATGACTAAAACACCAAAAGCAATGGCAACAAAAGCCAAAATTGACAAATGGGATCTAATTAAACTAAAGAGCTTTTGCACAGCAAAAGAAACTACCATCAGAGTGAACAGGCAACCTACAGAATGGGAGGAAATTTTTGCAATCTATTCATCTGACAAAGGGCTAATATCCAGAATCTACAATGAACTCAAACAAATTTACAAGAAAAAAACAAACAACCCCATCAAAAAGTGGGCAAAGGATATGAACAGACACTTCTCAAAAGAAGACATTTATGCAGCCAAAAGACACATGAAAAAATGCTCATCATCACTGGCCATCAGAGAAATGCAAATCAAAACCACAATGAGATACCATCTCACACCAGTTAGAATGGCAATCATTAAAAAGTCAGGAAACAACAAGTGCTGGAGAGGATGTGGAGAAATAGGAACACTTTTACACTGTTGGTGGGACTGTAAACTAGTTCAGCCATTGTGGAAATCAGGGTGGCGATTCCTCAGGGATCTACAACTAGAAATACCATTTGACCCAGCCATCCCATTACTGGGCATATACCCAAAGGACTATAAATCATGCTGCTATAAAGACACATGCACACGTATGTTTACTGTGGCATTATTCACAATAACAAAGACTTGGAACCAACCCAAATGTCCAACAATGATAGGCTGGATTAAGAAAATGTGGCACATATACACCATGGAATACTATGCAGCCATAAAAAGTGATGAGTTCATGTCCTTTGTAGGGACTGGATGAAATTGGAAATCATCACTCTCAGTAAACTATCGCAAGGACAAAAAACTGAACACTGCATGTTCTCACTCATAGATGGGAATTGAACAATGAGAACACATGGACACAGGAAGGAGAACATCACACTCCGGGGACTGTTGTGGGGTGGGGGAAGCGGGGAGGGATAGCATTAGGAGATATACCTAATGCTAAATGACGAGTTAATGTGTGCAGCATAGCAGCATGGCACATGTATACATATGTAACTAACTTGCACATTGTCCACATGTACCCTAAAACTTAAAGTATAATAATAATAAAAACAAACAACAAAAAATATAGTAAAAACAATACAAATAAAAAATACAGTATAACAATTATTTACATAGCATTTACATTGTATTAAGCATTATAAGTAATCTAGAGATAATTTAAAGTATATGGGAAGACATATGTAGGTTATGTGCAAATACTATGCCATTTTACATGAAGGACATGAGCATCTGTGGGTTTTCGTATCCACTGGAGTACTAGAACCAATCTCCTGCATATACCAAGGGATGACTATACTATTGTTTTGTAGTTTTTATTTTAAACAAACTTCTGGCCCAAGAATAAGAATCACAGACTCAAATGTTTAATGCATTTAGAGGTTTTTTTTTAAAATCTAGGGCTTAATTAGCTTTAGTTTCAAATATCAACATGCATTGTATGTCATAATAGCCTCAGAATATACAGGAAAAAAGTCCAAAAGGAGCTATTAAGTTTGGATCTGGAGCATATGCTAAGAGCCAAATGTACACATTTAGGACTTATATATGGGTGGTACTTAAAACTATGAGAATGGATGATAGCCTCAGGAATTTAGGTGAAACAAGAACTGAAAATGACGAAAGACTCAACACTGAAGACGGTGGGCAGAGGAGGAGGTACTAGGAAAAGAGGCAGAGATGAGAGCTTAAAGAAGAATCAGAAAAGCTGAGGGGCCCAGAGGAGCTTTTCTAGGAAGCAGTGGTTCCTCCTGAGACACTACAAAGAGGCTGAGATAGATGAGAGTTGACAATGAAGGTTTTCCTAACTATATATACCTGTCACTTGCCAAAGTAATGAAAAATAAGGATTCTCTCTTTTTTTTTTTTTTTTTTTTTTTTTTTTTTGAGACGGAGTCTCGTTCTGTCACCCAGGCTGGAGTGCAGTGGTGCGATCTCGGCTCGCTGCAATCTCTGCCTCCCGGGTTCACGCCATTCTCCTGTCTCAGCCTCCCGAGTAGCTGGGACTACAGGCACCCACCACCACGTCCGGCTAATTTTTTGTATTTTTAGTAGAGATGGGGTTTCACCATGTTAGCCAGGATGTTCTCGATCTCCTGACCTCGTGATCCACCCGCCTCAACCTCCCAAAATGCTGGGATTACAGGCCTGAGCCACCGCACCTAGGCTTTTTTTTTCTTATTTTCAACCAAAGTTTTCCTTTTCTTAGTTTTCATGATGTTACAATACTATTTTGTGTACATTTTGGATTTTACATAAGATTAGGAAAGGTATAAATCAATCGTAGGTTATATGTGACATACACACGTGTGTGTGTGTGTTTATGTGTGTGTGTGTGTGTACAGAGAAAGAGAGAGAGAAAGATAACCTAAATAACAGGAAGACTCTGAGAGAAAATCATGTTTATTTGGAAATAGGCACTGAAATGGGAATATGCATGCCATAGTAAACTGTATGCATCTGTAGGGAGGTAACAGAAAACAAGGGTTTTTAAGGGTAAAATAAGGATTGCACCCATATACAAGTTCTAAACGAGAAATTGTTTTGAGATAACTATCCTTGGCCACGGGAATCAGTAACAAGGATGGCACCAGTCTAAAGATAGTTGCTGGGCACATGTCCTCACAAAGGTTTTTTTTTTTTTTCCTTAAATAAAAAAAATTATACTGCTCCTTGCAGAGCAGGGCTACCCCATAGGCAGTGTACCCAGAATACCCAGAAGTATTATTTTATATAAGGTTGGATGGCCTTTGTGCAAAGTTGTGGTTTTTGCAGTCTTTGGTGGTAGTTGTTGTTATCAGGCATTTGTGTCTAAGAATCCTCCCTTAACAGCCTTCCCTGGCTCTGTTTGTTAGGTTTTGTCTTTGATAGGGTTTTTAACACAATAGAATTTGTTTTGATTTTGGAAACTTTAACTCGCTCTCTCGCCATATACATATATATGTACCTTTAACTCTCCATATATATGTACCTTTTGTGTACATTTTAGATTTTACGTAAGATACATATATATATCTTAGATTTATATATATATATATATATATATATATATATATAACTTATAGAGGATATTTCTAGAAGGCTACACAACAAATTAGTAACTTTCTGCCTCCAGAGTTGCCAGTATCTGGGGCACTCCTGAGGAATAGGGATTAGAGAGAGACTTTCCACTTTTGTATCTCTTTAATGGTATACATGTGGATTTATCATCAATTCAAAAAATTAATAAAATTAAAACTGATAAATAAAGGCCATTTTATCATGTTGCACTTGTTTTACAGTTTAAGGAAAAATATTTTTAGACATCACCGTGGCTGAAAAATATGTTGTGACTTGGTCCACTGAACCCAGGATCTTTGTAACTTAGTCTATGGTGAGGTAGTAGGGGAGTTTATTAAATTAATGTTAATTAAGCTAGTGTTGGTCAAATATACCATATAAAAGAATAGGTTGTGATTCATTCCTAACTAAGGACAGACTACATATGAATGTCCAAATGGGGCTAATTGTCTTTGAGCTAATATCCTACTTCTGAGGCTGAAGTGTGCATGGTAATTGATAAAGTAGATCTGTTTTCATGTCCTGAATCCTGTACTTAGGATTCCAAAGAGAGTAAGAGTGCTCTTCTTATATCTGTGCACCTCATTAAATTCTCGGAATAATCAAAATATTCTTTTGGAGAGTTTTCTTGTTTTCTTTATATCAATATAATTTATTCAAAAGAGATATAAGTACTATAGAAAAAGATGTTTTTATGTAAAGAAATTAAAGGAAAATTTTAGGCTAGATACATATTGTTCAGTTCTATGGGTCTTCAGTAATTTAGCTGGTGTTTAAAATGATTCTCAGGAAAATATAATGCTGTTTACTTTTCTATTTTCTATCTGTATCAGAATTTGGATTAAAAATAGTAAACACCGAGTATGTGCATCCAAAGATATGGCTGCTGGAAACACTGGAGTCTATATGTATTGATATTGTAAGTGGATGATTAATGTAAGGAGCCTCAAGGTTCTGGAAACCACTCTGAAATGAAAAGCTGCTTTTTGAAGTCTGCAGTCAAGCTGGATAAATTACAATTGAAGCAATTAACAATGAATTTGAAACAAAGAATATAATTTACTTCTTGTAACTATGGAAAACTGAACTGCTTGTAAAATTCTGATAGAATTGTGTAGCTGTTGGCACACCAAACCAGATTTGGCAAATACAATGGATTGTCTTTAATGAAGGAAGTTTTCTTTTTAGCTGCAGGTTAAAAACCCTATAACTCAGATCCTATTTGACATTTTCCAATGAAGAAAAAAAGCAATTTTTATTTCCATGGATAACTGTAATTATGGAGAGGCCTCCTTTTACAAAGTAGACTTCATTTGTAGTCAAATATGGTATGAAATTTCTATAAAGTAAAAAGTATTATTAGCCATATTTTCCCCCTTTTATAGTAGCACTTTAAAGCTTCCATTAGTCATCTTTCTTAATTTCTTTCTCACTGTTGACTCCTTCCTCCCTCTTCCAGATTTCCAACATATTCCACAGCTCCTGCCCTATTTTTAAACTTTTCTTTGCTACCAAAATTCCTCTCTGACTACTCTATATCTGTTGCTTCCATTTTTCACTATCTACAATCTCCTTAACCATTTTTTAATGATGTTTACAAGTGACCTGATCATTAGTTAGTACGGTGGCCTTTTAGCCCTCTTCTTTTGCAACATCTTTGTGGTATTTTATATTGTCAACCCATTTACTCTGTGGTTAATGTCTTTCCCTTTGGCTTCTTGTTCTCCTCCTTCTTGAATACTTTTATTTCTTTTTTTTTTCCTTTTTTTTTTTTTTTGCTTTCTAAAAGAATGTTTCCCAAGGTTCTGGCCATGCAAAATTTCCTTCATCTCTCTACAATTTACACATGAGAACCCTATTTATTTCTACATTTATCATTATCTTCATGCATAGCTTCTTATTTTTATTCATTGTCTTGGATTGATTTCTAAATTCCTGAATCACATTTTTATCTGCCTGCAAGGTGTCACATTCGTAGAGTCAATAAAACACTTACTGGGTTGTCTATTCTATTCTATCTTTTTTTAATTCTCTTGACCCCAGTTTTCCTGACAGCTACGTTTTTCTGCTCCCCTTATAAGATAAATTCCTGAGACAGTAATCTATACTCACTGTTTCTCCTTTCCTCTCATCTCTCTTGAACCCACTCAAGTGAGGCTTTATCCCCTACTACTCCATCACAGTTACTCGTCAAAGCCATGAATGATATATCTTGCCAAATCAAATGGTCATTTCTCAGTCCTCATTTTATTAGACTTCTCAGCATCATTTGCTACAGTTGTTCATTGTCTGCTGGTTGAAAATATTTTTACTTGGCTTCTAGAATGCCATATTCTTCTGGTATCTTTCTTTAAAAAAGGCGGGGGGCAGGGGGGCGGCGGGGGCATAAACCCACAGGACAGAAGGAGAAAAAAGCAAGTAAATTCCAGAAGGTGGAAAGGAGATGAACACTTGAAAAGCGCCTTAACAGAAAAGAATGGGGAATTCTACTTCAATAGGGGACAGACCAGAAAAGCAACCTGATTGTCACTGATGAACCCCCAAAGAGCCCAGAAAATGACAGAAAAAGGTATTACTGCAGGAGGAGAGGGTGTGAAGATGTGAAGAAAATAGAATGACTGGTTAAAAGTTTATAAAATCATTAGATTTACAGGTCTCCTACTTGATACAAAGTTTTCTCACATTCTATTAGAAGTCTGACTTTCTTCTCTAGAGAGGCTGAAACAGAGTATTTTAGTTTCCAAGGGCTACTGTAAAAAAGTACCACAAAGTGGGTGGTTTAAAACAAAATAAATTTGTCTTCTCACAGTTCTGGAGGCTAGAAATCTAAAATCAAGATATCAACAGGGTTGGTTCTTTCTGGAGGTTTTGAAGACAATCTGTTCCATGCTTCTCTCCTATCTTCTGGTGGATGCCTGGAATCCTTGGTGTTCCTTGGTTTGTAGGCACATCATTCTAATCTCTGCCATTCTGCTTACACAGCATTATTCCTTGTATTTTTCTGTGTTTAACTATCTCCCCTGGCCAGGCGCACTGGATCATGCCTGTAATCCCAACACTTTGGAAGGCTGAGGCGGGCTGATCACCTGAGGTCAGGAGTTTGAGACCAGCCTGGCCAACATGGTGAAACCCTGTCTTCTACTAAAAATACAAAAATTAGCCGGATGTGCTGGCAGGTGCCTGTAATCCCTGCTACTAGGGAGGCTAACACAGGAGAATTGCTTGAACCCAGGCGGAGGTTGCAGTGAGCCAAGATCGTGCCACTGCACTCTAGCCTGGCGACAAAGTGAGACCCTGTCTCAAAAAAATAAAAAATAAAAAATAAAAAATAAATTTCTCCTTGTAAAACCACCAGTCACTGGATTTAGGGTTCACTCTAATCCAGTATGGTCTCATCTTAAATTGATCACATCTGCAAAGACCTTATTTTCAAAGAAAGTCACATTCCCAGGTACTAGGGATTAAGACTTCAACACATTTTTTCAGGGGACACAATTTCATCTACTACCCAGAGGATTTATAGAGTTGGAACAGTCACAGTGGAGGGTAGGGGGATATGAACTGAAAATAGGAGAAACAGGTGAGGTTTTACAAAATTTGAGGAAAACTTTCAGGCTTCTTTCCTAATTTAAAGAAAACCAACAGCTAGTTTTATATTTTTCAGGTAAAGGTCTGAAAGTATCTTCTCTAGACAATCAGACCAGCCCACAATAAATGATCTGAATATGCTACCATCAAGAGTTCCTCCAAGAGATCAACTCAGCCAAATAATCTACAGCAAAGACTGCAGTCAACAACCCCACAACCTCATTTAGTCAGGGTGCTTCTGACTGCCTTTTTGCTGTCCTGATCTTAAACTGAAGCCGACAGAGATGGATCACTAGACATTTAAGAACAGCTAATAACATGAAAGACAGAATGCAAAACTCTGTTTAAAAAAGCAAGTCGGAGAAAACACTGATGATTTAAAAAGAAAAGAAATTAAGAAAAGTTGTCATTAGTACCTTCAGAGAAGTCTCACTCATGAGGCAAGAAGAGAATACTAGTAAAATAAAATATTCAAAGAACAAAAGAGAGCTGTTTGAATTAAATATAATAGCATTAATATAAAAGTTCAATAGAAGTACTAGAAAATAGATTTGAGGAAAATTTTCACAAAACAGAGCAAAAAGATGAGCTCAAAAAGAGGATAAAGAGATAAGAACATTAAAGGACCAATTCCAAGACATCTAATATCTGAACAATGTAGAAAGAAAGAAAACAAAATAAAAAAGAATAAACATAATATTAATGGTAATAATTCTTTTAAAACCCCCAAACTAGGCTGGGCGCAGTGGCTCACGTCTGTAATCCCAGCACTCTGGGATGCCGAGGTGGGCAGACCACTTGAGGTCAGGCATTCAATACCAGACTGGCCGATATGGTGAAACCCTATCTCTACTAAAAATACAAAAATTAGCCGAGCATGGTGGAAGGCACCTGTAATCCCAGCTCCTGGGGAGGCTGAGGCAAGTGTATCACTTGAAACTGGGATGCAGAGGTTGCAATGAGCCAGTATTGTGCCACTGCACTCCAGCCTGGGTGACAGTGCAAGACTCTATCTCAAAATAAATGAATAAATACATAAAATCCCCAAATGAAAGGAAATTAGTTTCTATATTCAATGGGTCGAACCAGTGCCCAGCACAAAGTCTGAAAATAACTCTAACCCTAAAGCCACTCCTACAAAATTTCAGAACAATGAGGAAAACAGGAGATCCTAAAAGCTTCCAGAAAAAGGTTTCACACAAAAGGTACCAATTATACAAAAGACTGCATACAAATGATGAGGTATCAGAACAAGAAAGCTTAGAAAAATATGGAGCATATAAAGTCAATGGATTTGAAGAGGAATTCCAAAAACTAGACGGCAGAGGGAGCAATGCCTACAAATTCTGAGAAAAAAAAATTTATAGGCCAGGATTATATACCTAGTTGTACTGTTAATCAAATGTTAGAGTGAAATAAAAACATTTTAAGACATGCAAGGCTCTCAAAGCATTTTTCATGCAATATTAGCTCCCTGAAATTCAACACAAGAGTGGTGAATAAAATCTCCAGGATGATGAGGTAAAGAAAAAAACAAAACAATAGCTACGCAGCATACCCAGCAACAAATTGTACTGAAAAGGTCAGAAGTTTCTGGACGAGACATCTAAAAGATAAAAATGATAGAATACTTAATGTGTCTGAAAGTATTGAGAAGAGATTTACCCAAGTAGAAGTTAGTTTGGGTTTAATTAATAATAAAAAACATACAAAGTTAAGCAAGTGAATAAACCAATTACTAACTCCAGAAGATGAAAATATTGTGTAAGAAAAAGAAATGACAGTAGGCTACATGGCTCTGCTGTGAGTAGATTTTTCCATAATCAAAAAACTGTAAATGACAGAAATTAAACAACTTGCTCCCGAATGACTTTTGGGTAAAAAATGAAATTAAAGCAGAAGTCAAGAAAGAAATTCTTTGAAATGAATGAGAACAAAGATACAACATACCAGAATCTCTGGAATCCAGCTAAAGCAGTGTTAAGAGGGAAGTTTACAGTGCTAAACACCCACATCAAAAAGTTATAAAGATCTCAAATAAACAACCTAACATCACACCAAGAGGAAATAGAGAAACAAGAGCAAACCAACCCCAAGGATAGCAGAAGACAAGAAATAACCAAAGTCAGAGCTGAATTGAAGGAAATTGAGATACGAAAAAAAAACCATACAAAAGATCAATGAATCCAGGGATTGGTTTTTTGAAAGAATAAATAGATAGACCACTAGCTAGGCTGATAAAGAAAAAAAGAGAAGATCCAAATAAACACAATCAGAAGTGACAAAGAGGACATTACCATTGACCCCACACATACACAAAAAACCCTCAGAGACTATTACTGACAGCAAACAAACTAGAAAACGTAGAAGAAATAGATAAATTTATGGAAAAATACAACCCTCTCAAGATTAAGCCAGGGAGAAACTGGATCCCTGAAAAGACCAATGATGAGTTCCAAAACTGATTCAGTAATAAAAAGCCTACCAAGCAGAAAAAGCCCTGGACCAGAAGAATTGACAGCCAAATTCTACCACATGTATAAAGAAGAGCTGGCACTATTCCTACTAAAACTATACCAAAAAATTGAGGGGGAGGGACTCCTCCCTAACTCATTCTATGAGGCCAGCATCATCCTAATACCAAAACCTGGCAGAGCCACAACAACAACAACAACAACAAAATATCAGGCCAATATCCTTGATGTGCACAGATGCAAAAATCCTTGACAAAATACTAGCAAACAGAATCCAGCAGCACATCAAAAGCTAATCTACCATGATCAAGTAGGCTTTATCCTTGGGATGCAAGATTGGTTCAATATATGCAAATTGGCCGGGCACGGTGGCTCATGCCTGTAATCCCAGCAGTTTGGGAGGCTGGGGCGGGCGGATCACGAGGTCAGGAGATGGAGAATATCCTGGTTAACATGGTGAAACTCAATCTCTACTAAAAAATACAAAAAAATTCAGCCAGGCTTGGTGGTGAGCGCCAGTAGTCCCAGCTACTTGGGAGGCTGAGGCAGGAGAATGGCATGAACCCAGGAGGCGGAGCTTGCAGCGAGCCAAGATGGTGCCACTGCACTCCAGCCTGCGTGACAGAGAGAGACTCTGTCTCAAAAAAAAAAAAAAAAAAAAAAAAAAAAAAAAATATATATATATATATATATATATATATATATATATATATATATATATGTGCAAATCAATAAATATGATTCACCACATCAACGGAACTAAAAACAAAAACCACATAATGATCTCAATAGATACAGAAAAGGTTTTCAATAAAATTCAACATCACTTCACATTAAAAACTCTCAACAAACTAGGCATCAAAGTAACATACCTCAAAATAATAAGAGCCATCTACAACAAACCCACAGCCAACATCATACTGAATAGGCAAAAGCTGGAAGCATTCCCCTTTAGAACCAGAGCAAGACAAGATGCCCACTCTCACCACTCCTATTCCACATAATACTAGAAGTCCTCGCCAGAGAAATCAAGCAAGAGAAAGAAATAAAAAGCATCCACGTAGGAAGAGAAAGAGTCAAACTATCTCTATTTGCAGATGATATAATTCTATACCTGGAAAACTCGATTGTCTCTCCCAAAAGCTCCTAGATCTGATGAACAACTTAAGCAACGCCACAGGATACAAAATCAATGTACAAAAATCAACAGCATTTCTATACACAAACAATGTCCAAGCTGAGTGCCAAATCAAGAGCCCAATCCATCCACAACAGCCACAAGAAGAATAAAATACCTAGGAATACAGCTAACAAGGGAGGTGAAAGATCTCAACAACAAGAATGACAAAACACTGCTCAAAGAAAACAAGCAAATGGAAAAACGTTCCATGCTCATGAATAGGATGAATCAATATTGTAAAACAGCCATAATGCCTAAAGCAATTTACAGATTCAATACTATTCCTATGAAACTGCCAATGACATTCTTCACAGAATTAGAAAGAGCTATTTTAAAATTCATATGGAACCAAAAAAAAGCTTGAATGCTCAAGGCAATTCAAAGTAAAAAGAACAAAGCTGGAAGCATCATGTTACCTGACATCAAACTATACTAAAAGGCTATAGTAACCAAAACAGCATGGTACTGGCACAAAAACAGACACATAGACCAATGGAACAGAATAGAAAGTCCAGAAATAAGGCCTCACACCTGTAACTATCTGATCTTCAACAAAGTTAACAAAAAAATAAGCAACATGGTAAGGAACACTTATTCAATAAATGGTGCTGGGATAACTGGCTAGCCATATGTAGAAGATTGAAACTGGATACCTTCCTTTGATCATACAAGAAAATCAACTCAAAATGTATTAAAGACTTAAATGTAAAACCTAAAACTATAAAAACCCTAGAAGAAAATCTAGGAAATACAATTCTGGACATAGGCCATGGCAAAGATTTCATGATAAAGCCAGGTGCAGTGGCTCATGCCTGTAATCCTAGCACTTTGCAAGTCAGAGGCAGGTGGATCACCTAAGGTGAGGAGTTCAAGACCAGCCTGGCCAACATGGGGAAACCTCATCTATACTAAAAAATACAAAAATTAGCCGGGCTTGGTAGTGTGCACCTGTAGTCTCAACTACTTGGAGGCTGAGGCAGGAGAATCACTTGAACCTGGGAGCCAAGATCGCGTCATTACACTCCAGCCTGGGTGACAGAGTGAGACTTTGTTTCCAAAAAAAAAAAAAAAAAAAAAAATTCATAATGAAGATTCCAAAAGTAATTGCAACAAAAGCAAAAATTAACAAATGGGACCTAATTAACTAAGGAGATTCTGTACAGCAAAAGAAATAATCAACAGACTAAACAGACAACTTACAGAATTTTGGGAGAAAATATCTGCAAAATATTCATCTGACAAAGGTCTAGTGTTCAGAGTCTGTAAGAAACTTAAACAAGTTAACAAGCAAAAAACAAACAACTGTTTTTAACTTTGCCATTTAACTTTAACTTTGCCATTTAAAGATGGGCAAAGGCCACGAACAGACACTTCTCAAAAGACATACATAAGGCCAATAAGCATATGCAAAAATCCTCAACATCACTAATTATTAAAGAAATGAATATCCAAACCAAGATGACATACTGTCTCACGCCATCCGGAATGGCTATTACTAAAAAGCCAAAGAATAACAGATGCTGGTGGGGTTGAAGAGAAATGGGAGTATTTATACACCGCTTGTGGGAATGTAAATTAGTTCAGCCACTGTGGAAAGCACTTTGGAGATTTCTCAAAGTACTTAAAACAGAATTACCATCTGACCTAGGAATCCCATTACTGGGTATATATCTAAAGGAATACAAATTGTTCTACCATAAAGACACATACACGCATATGTTCATCACAGTGCTACTCACAATAGCAAAGACATGGAATCAATCTAAATGCCCATCAACAACAGACTGGATAAAGAAAATGTGGTACATATACATTATGCAATACTATACAGCCATAAAAAGGAATGAGATCATGTACTCTGCAGCAACATGGATGGACCTAGAGACCGTTATCCTAAGCAAATTAACAAAGGAACAGAAAACCAAGTGCCACATATTCACTTATCAATGGGAGCTTATCAACATGAGTACAGATGAACGCAAAGAAGAAACAACAGACACTGGGGCCTACTTGAGGGTGGAGAGTGGGAGGAGGGAGAGGATCAGGTACTATGCTTATCACTTAGATGTCAAAATAATCTGTACTCCATACCCCCATGGCACACAATTTACCAGTATAAGAAACCTGCACATGTACCCCTGAACCTAAAAGTTTAAAAAAAATAACTTGCAACATCAAATATTTATCTAACCAAAATTATAATACATCTATACCGAGAAGGTAAGAATGAGAAGTAGTGTGTGATGTGGGAAGCAGAGTCAAAGAGAGGCAATTTTTCATCTTCCATATTGGAGAGTTAACAGAGAATGCCTAAAACTGGAAAAACAAAAACTTCAACATACATACATTATTTAGAGATACGGGAAACGGTAGAGAGAAAGATTAAGGGAGCGTAGGAGGCAGCCATTTTAACAATGAAAACTATATAGTTACTGACCCTTTAAACTATATTCATGTAAAACTCTGATAAAAAACAAAAGTAAAGTTGATAATGAAATGAAGAACTTTCCAGTGTATAAAAATCAAACCAGGCTGGGCCTGGTGTCTTATGTCTATAATCCCAGCACTTTGAGAGGCCAAGATGGGAGGATCGCTTGAGCCCAGTAGTTAGGCAACATGGTGAAAACCTGTCTCTACAAAAAATTCTTAAAATTAGCCAGGCCCACGTGGTGTTGCACGCCTGTGGTCCCAGCTACTTGGGCGGCTGGGGTGGGAGGATCACTTGAGCCCAGGAGGCTGAGACTGCACTGAGCCACGATCACACCACTGCGTTCCAGCATGCGTGACAGAGCAAGACTCTGTCTCAAAAAAAAACAAAAACAAAAACAGAAACAAAAAAAACAGGTACAAGTTAAATAAATGCAAGGGTCTGGAAAGATTCATTTCTTGATGAAGAGAGCCATAGTTTTTCTTAATGATATGATCGCAGGAACTATGTTTTCTTCACTACATTCAACATAAGGTACATATGTTAAGGATACTAATGAGGAATTATTCCACAGAGTTTAGTTTTACTTCAATAAATACTGCTTGACTTTCTAATATATTATAAAGTAAGAAGATTAAAAAAAAAAAACCCAAACACATAGTAAGGTGCAGAGTTTTAGAGCATATAGAGGCTTGGTCCAGATTAAAATGTATAAACATTTGTTCAAATAGATGAATTGTCAGATAAAATAGGAAGTAATCTTGTTTTAGAGGACATAAACAGGATTAATAGGTAGAATTTACAGATAGAAATATTTCAGCTCTAAGTAGAGTTTTCTCAATATAAGACTAATCGAATTTCAATACTTACTACAGAACTGCAATAATCTAAACAACATGGTATTTTTATAAGAATAGATATATAGATTAATCAAACAGGATACAGTTGAAAAATCATCCATATATGGTCAAATGATTTTTTACAAATGATTTTTGAGAAAATAATTTGGTGGGGAAACGACAGTCATTTCAACAAACGGTGACAGAATAACTGGATTTCCATACGTAAAAACAAAAACAAACAAAACTCTCAACTGATACCTCATACCATATACAAACTTGAAGTAGAAACACAGATCTATATGTAAAACTATAGCAAAAACGGTACAACTTGTGAAAGAAAACATAGAATATCAGCTTGAATCAACGGCTCATGCCTATAATCCCAGCACTTTGGGAGGCTGAGGCAGGAGGACTGCTGGAGCCCAGGAGCTTGAGGCCAGCCTCAGCAATGATGTGAGACTCTATCCCTAAAAAAAAAAAAAATAAATAAATAAAATAAAAATGAGCTGAGTGTGGTGGCACATACCTATAATCCCAGCTACTCGGGAGGCTCAAGTGGGAGGATCACTTGAGCTCAGAGAGTCGAGGCTGCAGTGATCCATGATCGCACCACTGCATTCCAGACTGAATGATACAGTGAAACCCTGTCTCAATGTGTATATGTAAATATATATGTAAAAAAAAGTAGATGATATATATTGATTATATATTACCAAATATTATACATTATTATATATAATTTATGTATTTACATACATATTTGGATTATATATGTATCTTTGTGATCTTGAGTTAGGCTTTTTCTTAGAGAAGACACAAAAAGTATGAAAAGTAAATTGGACTTCATCAAAATTAATATCTGCTCTTTGAAAGACACTTTAAAGACAAGGCACAGGCTGGGAGAAGATATAATAGCTGATAAAGAACTTATATCCAGAATATATAAACACCTTTTATAATTCAATAATAAGGAGACAGACAATCCAATTTTTAAAATAGGCAAAAGATTTGAGCAAATGCTTGACTAACAAAAATATATAGATAGCCAGTAAGTCAAGACAATGTTGTCATCATCTTTAGTGATCCGAAAACTGCAAATTAAAACCATAGTGAAATACCATTATATACCTACTAGAATGTCTAAAATTAAAAGGACTTATAATACCAAATGCTGGCAAGGATGCAAAGTCACTAGAACCTCATGTATTTGCTGGTGGAAATGAAAAATATATACCAAATTTAAATAGTTGTACGACATTATGAAGGTATATAACACTGAACTGCATACCGTGAGCCGAGGTAAAGGCTTAAAAATTGTTTAAAAAAAAGGCTGGCCGTGGTGGCTCATGCCTGTAATCCCAGCACTTTGGGAGGCTGAGACGGGTGGATCACCTGAGGCTGGGAGTTCGAGACCAACCTGACCAACATGGAGAAACCCTGTCTCTGCTAAAAATACAAAATTAGCCGGGTGTGGTGGTGCATGCCTGTAATCCCAGCTACTCGGGAGTCTGAGGCAGGAGAATCGCTTGAACCCAGGAGGCGGAGGCTGCAGTGAGCTGAGATTGCGCCATTGAACTCCAGCCTGGGCATTAAGAGTGAAAACTCCATCTCAAAATAATAATAATAATCCCAAATGGACCATAGTAAAAAAAATTTTAAAGATTCAAATATTTCTAGAGGAATTTAAAAAAGACATATACATTCACTCAAATATATAAAACATTACATGAAAATGGGAATTTTTAATGCTTTCAATAAGTTATAGAAGTGATACTGCTTTTTGTGTTCTAAAATTTTGAGTCAAGATCAGCAATAAACATAAACCCTAATCTACAGAGTAAAATGCAATTTTATAAGAAAGACTTCCTAATAATAATAACACAAGATGAACATAAAGTTTGGTAAACTTTATGGTTTTAAGAGTTAACCATAGCTGACAAGCTGGACTGTTAACACTTATGAATGCCAGGTATTCATAGATGGTAATACTGGGCACTTAGGTAGAGCTTAACCTTGTAAATCAACTATTCTTCCATTCTTCCCCTCCTCTAGGCTTCAGCTGGCCCAAACAGGAACGTCTGAAATGTAGGACAGTCTTATCTAAAATGTCTCAAAGAAGGCCAGAAAGGAACAACAACAACAAAAAGTTAGGAGTTGGAGTTGAAGGGCTGTCTTAAATAGGAGGCCAATACTCTTCAGAGGCTAGCAGGAACATTCTGTCACTGTTCCAAGTGAACCAGAGGAAAATCTCCCTTACCCCGACTTCAAATAGTCATGGCTATTTGGCATTAGGAGCCTGTGCCTCTGGAAAACAAGGACGAGCTAGACTGAAGTGCTTATTTTTCCCCTGCTCCATGGAGAAGTCATCAGTTTACAGCTGGGGAGATTATCAAAGGTATCCAAGGTGAGTGGCCTAACCTATGTATGCTGGGCTGAAACTCTGGCAGGTCTAGGTAAACTGAGGCAGGTAACAGGGTATTATATGTGGATAAGGAAGAATGAACCCCCTAAGATAGAAGATCTTGACATAAAGAAGAAATCAGAGTTCCCAGCCTGGGCAACATAGTGAAACTCCGTCTCTACAGAAAATACAAAAATTAGCCAGGTGTGGTGACGTGCGCCTGTAATCCCAGCTACTTGGGGTGCTGTGGCAGGTGGATTGCTTGATCCTGGGAGGTTGATGCTGCGGTGAACCGTATTTGCACCAATGCACTCCAGCACGGGCAACAAAGTGAGACCCTGTCTTAAAAAAACAAAACAAAACAAAAAACAGCAAAGAAATCAAAGTTTAAAAAGTAGTTGATCAAAAATAGGACACATAGACTTACTCCTTCCAGGAAGAACCCA
Organism: Homo sapiens; assembly: GCF_000001405.40. Taxonomy (NCBI): domain Eukaryota; kingdom Metazoa; phylum Chordata; class Mammalia; order Primates; family Hominidae; genus Homo; species Homo sapiens. The sequence goes on from NC_000002.12 coordinate 135,433,488, forward strand.
AGATAGGCCTACTCTGTGATAGAAGGTAAAAATTCTCAGATTCAAAAACACTAGATGAATTTGACAAATGAAAACAATTTTGGGCTGGGCGCAGTGGCTCACACCTGTAATCTCAGCACTTTGGGAGGCCGAGGCAGGCAGATTACCTGAGGTCAGGAATTCGAGACCAGTCTGGCCAACATGGCAAAACCCCGTCTCTACTAAAAATACAGAAATTAGCCAGGTGTGGCTGGGCACAGTGGCTCACGCCTGTAATACCGGCACTTTGGGAGGCCGAGGCGAGCGGATCACGAGGTCAGGAGATCGAGACCATCTTGGCCAACCTGGTGAAACCCTGTCTCTACTAAAATAAAAAAAAAATTAGCTGGGCATGGTGACGTGTGCCTGTAATCCCAGCTACTTGGGAGGCTGAGGCAGGGGAATTGCTTGAACCTGGGAGGCGGAGGTTGCGGTGAGTTGAGATAGCGCCACTGCACTCCAGCCTGGTGACAGAGCAAGACTCCGTCTCAAAACAAAACAAAAAAATTAGCCAGTTGTGGTGGTAGATGCCTGTAATCCCGGATGCTCGGGAGGCTGAGGCAGGAGAATCGCTTGAACCCAGGAGGCACGGGTTGCAGTGAGCCAAGATCATGCCACTGCACTCCAGCCTGGGCAACAGAGCGAGAGACTCCATCTCAAAAAAAAGAAAAGAAATAAATTGGGGGTGGAAAATTGATCCAGGGCAACCTCAGGCAGGGTTGTCCCTGAGGAAATACGTTAGATGTCCCAAATATTAACAGGCGGATCTGAGTCCCTTGCCTGCTGTTGGTGATACTCTGGCAGAGGAACAAAGTCAAATGGCTGCCCACAAAATGTCAATGGAAAGCTATGAGTAAACAAAGAGAAGACTGAATGATGCAAAGGCTGAAGAAGTAAATTAGGAGAGAACTAGGATTTAAGAATAAAGCCAGTTTTACACTGCATGTTCTGAAACATTGGAGAAGGAAGATAATCTATCAGTTAAAATGGTGATTGATGTGCAACAGCCCTCAAAACACAGGGCTAGAAGTGAGTATTTAAAGGAACATAGTTTCTCTTATAGCCCAGTTATCAGAATCAAAACCTGTTACTCTTTATTTTGTCATTTTTATCCCCTGTGCTGGCACAAAACCTGAGGCAACAGAGGTTAATTTATAAATATCCAGATTTACTATCATGAATCCTGTTTTTCCATTAAATATGAGTGTACTTCACAGGCCAAACTGTTCAGAAGATAAGACTATAAACTAATCTAAGCTGAACAAGAAAGGTGCACATTATATATGCATTCTTAAAACTACACATGGAGTTTTTGTAAATGAAAAGCTAATTTCTTACTTATTTTCATTATCTGATTGTGTTTTCTTTGGCGAAAGATCCTAAACTTAAATTTTAGGCAAATGCAGCAACAGAAAAGATACACAGAAAAGAAAACAGAAAATAATTTTCTTTTCTCTCTTTTTTTTTTAAGAGTTAAACTTTTTTTTTAAATTTGTACTTTAGGTTTGGGGGTACATGTGAAGGTTTGTTACAGAGGTAAACATTCGTCACAGGGGTTTGTTGTACATATTATTTCATAACCCACATATTAAGCCTAGTACTCAATAGTCATCTTTTCTGCTCCTCTCTCTCCTCCCACCCTCCCCCTTCGAGTAGACCCCAGTGTCGATTGTTTCCCCTTCTTTGTGTTTATAAGTTCTTATCATTTCGCTCCCGCTTACAAGTGAGAACATGTGGTATTTGGTTTTTGTGCCTGCGTTAGTTTGCTAAGAAGAATGGCCTCTAGCTCCATACATGTTCCTGCAAAAGACATGATCTTGTTCTTTTTTATGGCTGCATAGTATTCCATGGTGTATATGTATCACATTTTCTTTATTCAGTCTGTCAGTGATGTGCATTTAGGTTGATTCCATGTCTTTGTTACTGTGAATAGTGCTACATTGAACATTCACATGCATGTGTCTTTATAGCAGAATGATTTATATTCTTCTGGGTATATACCCAGTAATGGGATTGCTAAGTCGAATGATAGTTCTGCTTTTAGCTCTTTGAGGAATCACCATACTGCTTTCCACAATGGTTGAACTAATTTACACTTCCACCAACAGTGTATGTGTTTCCTTTTCTCCGTAACCTTGCCCACATCTGTTATTTTTTTGACTTTTCAGTAATAGCCATTCTGACTGGTGTGAGATGGTATCTCACTGTGGCTTTGATTTGCATTTCTCTAATTATCAGTGATACTGAGTTTTTATATGCTTGTTGGCCGTACGTATGTCTTCTTTTGAGAAGTGTCTGTTCATGTCCTTTGCCCACTTTTTAATGGGGTTATTTTTCTCTTGTGAATTTTTTTAAATTTCCTTATACATGATGGATATTAGGCCTTTGTGAGATGCATAGTTTGCAAATATTTTTCTCTCATTCTGTAGATTTTCTCTTTACTCTGTTGACAGTTTTTTGCTGTGTAGGTTGTAAGTTTAATTAGATCCCACTTGTCAACTTCTGTTTTCGTTGCAATTGCTATTGGTATCTTTGTTATGGAATCTTTGTCCACTCCTGTGTCTAGGATTGTACTGCCTAGATTGTCTTCCAGGCTTTTTATAGTTTTGGGTTTTACATTTGAGTCTTTAATCTGCCTTGAGTTGATTTTTGAGTATGGTGTAAGGAACAGGTCCAGTTTCAATCTTCTACATATGTCTAGCCAGTTATCCCAGCACCATTTATTGAACAGGGAGTTTTTCCCCCATCGCTTGATTTTTGTCAGATAGTCATAGATGTACAGCCTTATTTATGAGCTCACTATTCTGTTCCATTGGTCTATGTGCCTGTTTTGTAGCAGCACCATGCTGTTTTGGTTCGTGTAGCCTTGCACACCCAAAAGCTCCTCTATCTGATAAACAACTTCAAATTGGCAGGATACAAAATCAGTGTACAAAAATCACTAGCATTCCCATACACCAACAACAGCCAAACCAAGAGCCAAATCAGAAAGGCAATCCCACTCACAACTACCACAAAAAGAATAAAATACCTAGGAATCTATCTAACCAGGGAGGTGAAAGATCTCTACAATGAGAATTACAAAACACTGCTCAAAGAGATCAGAGAAGATACAAACAAATGGAAGAACATCTCATGCTCATGGATACAAAGAATCAATATCATTAAAATGGCCATACTGCCCAAAACAATGTACAGGTTCAATGTTATTCCTATGAAACTACGAGTGGCATTCTTCATAGAATTTAAAAAAACTATTTTAAAATTGATATGAAACCAAAAAAAAAGCCCCAATAGCCAAGGCAATCTTAAGCAAAAAGAATAAGGCTGGAGGTATCACATTACCTAACTTCAAACTATACTACAAGGCTAGAGAATTTTCATAGCAGTACTATTCATAATAGATTAAAATGGAAACAACACAAATGTTCATCAATACTAGAATGGATAAATTGTGCCATATTCTTTTTTTGAGACGGAGTCTCGCTCTGTTGCCCAGGCTGGAGTGCAGTGGTGCGATCTCGGCTCACTGCAACCTCCACCTCCTGGGTTCAAGCGATTCTCCTGCCTCCGCTTCCTAAGTAGCTGGGATTACAGGTGCCCGCCACCATGCCCAGCTAATTTTTGTACTTTTAGTAGAGATGGGGTTTCTCTATGTTGGTCAGGTTGGTCTCGAACTCCTGAACTCATGATCTACCCACCTCAACCTCCCAAAGTGCTGGGATTACAGGCGTGAGCCACCGGTGGCATATTCTTGATATAGAATTCCATATAGCAATGAGAATGAAGTATTTACAACTACACAACATGACAAGATAAAGTTAATAAACATAATGCTCAGTGAAGAAAGCCAAACACAAATGAGTGTACAACGTGTTATTCTATTTGCATAACGTTCAGAAACAAAGTATCCAATGATGTACAAAGGCAGAACAGTAGTTTGGAGATGAGGGAACAGTGACTGGAAAAAACATACCATAAACGTCCTGGATTTGGGCAATACATATTTCCAGTTTAGATGCTGGTTATACAGGAATGTTCCATTTGTGAGCAATTCACAGAACTGTTCACTTATGATGTGGGCCCTTTCTGCACATATGATATACTTTAGTAAAAAGCTTACTTTAAAAAATCAAGAAGAGACTTTCTAAAGGATTTTAAGTTTAAAATTATTTTTTCATACAAAATAACCACACTCTGAGTTCATAAATTTCAATTCTCATAAAAAACATCCTATTGCTACAAAATATAAGAGAATCTAATATAGTTAATTTGGTGTGTCAACATGACTGGGCTAAAGGATGATGAGATAGCTGGCAAAACATTATTTCTGGGTATGTCTGTGAGGATGTTTCCAGAAAAGATTATCCCTCCAATCAGCAGACTGTGTAAACATCCACTCTCACCAATGTGAGTGGGTACCATCTAATCAGTGGAGAGTGTGAATAGAAAAAAAGGTAGAGGAAGGGTGTATCTGATGTCTGCTTGAGCTGGGAAATACATGTTCTCCTCCTCTGGGACATGTGTGCTCCTGATTCTTGGGCCTTCCGACTTGGACTAAATATCACCACCAATTTTCCTGGGCCTCCAGTTTGCTGTTGGCATATCATAGGACTTCCCAGTCTCCATAATTGCTTGAGCCAATCCCTCACAATGAATCTCTTCCTATATCTCTCTCTATATACTGTTGGTTCTGTTTCTCTGGAAACCCTGACTAACATGGAAAGCAATATTTTCATGTCTATACATTTTTTATTGGGAGGCTGAGGCGGGTGGATCACCTGAGGTCAGGAGTTCGAGACCAGCCTTCCCAACGTGGTGAAACTCCGTATCTACTAAAAATAAAAAAATTAGCCAAGCATGGTGGCGTGCACCTGTAATCCCAGCTACTCAGAAGACTGAGGCAGGAGAATCGCTTGAACCCAGGAGGCAGAGGGTGCAGTGAACCAAGTTTGCACCATTGCACTCTAGCATGGGTGACAAGAGCAAAACCCCGTCTCAAAAAAAAAAAAAAAAAAAATTGTTAATTGTATTTCCTGGCCATAGTTCCTATTTTTAAAAAGACATAGTACGGAAGAGCTTATAGTAAAGGGCAACTGCCTCCATCTTGATCCCTTCTCACCTCAAGTCCCAATCCTACTCCTGAAGACAACCTTGATAATCTTAAATAATGTACTTATTTTACAACTCCATTATGTATTAACTGAAGACATTATCTGTTGACTTCTGTGGAAAGAGAAAATCATAAGTCCATGTTCTTAAATCTCAATCTGACTAAAAAAATATCTCTGAGGCCAGAACACTGGGCTCTAATGAACATCTCTGAGGCCAGACAGAGCACTGGGCTCCTTTAATGTTAATGAAGAACTTTTAAAAAGATGAGACTGATTTTGAAAACTCTGCAGGTGATTCAAATGCACAATCAAGGCTGATACAGGCTGAGTCAGATAAAAAAGGAGAAGGCTGAAATATATTTACCTTACCTTCTAATTACTATAAAATTTAAAGTAAATCCATAATTATTTTGTACGTTATATTATCTGTATTTGCTAATGTATAGCAAATATGGATACTATAAGAAATTTTAAAAGTTGAGCTTCTTCCTAAGTTTTTTGCCAAGAAAAACAAATGACAGGTTCCAAGGACTACTAGCATGTAACTTTGTATCTAAGGTCTGTCAGAGGAAACTACATTTGTTAAAGTATCTTTTATAGAATACTTTGCCTATGCACTAATAAATGTCAACTGTGTTTGCCAAATGAAGTTGATTTTAACATCCAGATAATAATTTATTCATAACGACCTCATTGATCTAGCTCTAATTAACTCAATCTATATAAAAAAAGATGATACAGATTCTCATAAAATTAGGAACATGACTAAAGGGACATTTCCTCTTTGCAAGTAAAATAAAATAACTAACAGATTAACTTTGAAGCAAAATGCAGAATCTTGTTTTGTTACCACATCCCACTATAAGAGATTTGGCTTTCCACTAAAAAAAAATTTTGGTCCACTTCCAGCACCCTTCTACCTCACCTCCCCCTTCATTTTCACAATGATAATAGTTATAAGAATGACTCTACCACTCATCACATTCGTGATTTTAGAAAATATATTTAAGATTCTAGGACTATTTCTGTGAAATTTAGCTTTATGGTTCTCAAATTTGACTACACACTGGAATCACCTGGCAAACTGAAAACAACAAACAGATACCTAGCTTTCCCTGCCAGCAAAGATTTTTATTTAACTGGTATAATGCAGTTTGATGAAGTTTGGGGATCAAGATTTTGAAAGCTTCTCAAGTGATTTTAATGTGCAACGAAGTTTCAGAACCACTACATAGGATGAAGATTTTTAGTAGCAGTGACCATGCCTTTCGCTCACAACTTCTATCACCTGTACCTTTAAAAAACATTTTTCAGGCTGATGCAATTTATGTTATATTCTAGAACCATAATTAAGACTGCCAGACTTTGGATATATAGCTAATTCTAATTAAAAAATCAATACACAATGTAGTCTCAGGATTTATGTATTGTTCAGAGCAGAACCAAGCTGTGCTCTCAGGTTATATTTCTTCCCTACTATCTACATCAAGGCCAGGAGAAGTTTCTTATACTTCAAAAATTCCTCAAAATCATATTACTTTTAATCTACATAATGTTTTTGGACACTAACTTTCTTATCTAGTTATTTTGTTTTCCTGAACTTTCTGACCATCTCTCTTGAGATAAGAAATAAATATGTCTATTTTACCACAGTCCAATATGGTGAAACCCCATCTCTACCAAAAATGAGAATCACTTGAACCCAGGAGGCAGAGGTTGCAGTGAGCTGAGATTGCGCCATTGCACACCAGCCTGGGCGACAGAGCAAGGAAGGCTCTGTCTAAAAAAAAAAAAGCATATACAGATTTTCAACTGCGTGAGGGACCAGCACTCCTAACTCTTACATTGCTCAACAGTCAACTGTGCAAGAAGGATGCTATATGCTATTGCTGGCTTGAAGATGGGGGAGCCTATATGGTAAGAAATGTGGATGGTCCTTGGAATCTGAGATTGAGCCAGGCTGACAGCAAGCAAAGAAACAGGCACCTCACTCCTACAACTGCAAGGAAATAAATTCTGTGAACAAAAAGAAGGAGCTTGGAAACAGATTTTTTCCATGGATCCTCCAGATGAGAACTCAGTCCAGCTAACACTTTGATTCAGCCTTGTGATATTCTGAGCAGGGTATCCAGCCATGCCTTGCCAGACTTCTAACCTACAAACTGTGAGTGACAAATGGGTATCATTTTAAGCTACTAAGTTTGTGGTAATTTGTATGCAGCAAACGGAAACTAACACTGGGATCCCAAACTTATGAGAACAAATAATTAGTGAATTTGATAGAGCAATAGAAATTATCCAATCTGAGGTACACAGAGAATAAAAGGTTTAAGAAAAATGAATGAAGCCTCAGACAGAGACCTTTGGGACAATGCAAAGCATCCCAACATTCATATAATGGAAGGCCCAGAAAAAGAGAGAAAGGGGCAGAAAAAAAAATACGGAAAAATCAGGGTCCGAAACTTCCCAAATCTGAAGAAAAACATTTACTCTCAGACCCAAGAAGCTCAATGAATCCTAAGTCAGATAAACACACAAAAGAAGCCCACATAGATACATCAGGGTCAAACTGTTTAAAGATAGAGACAAAGAAGAAATATTAAAAGCAGAAAGAGAAAAACAATTTATTATGTACTGGAAGCAATGATACTACTAGGGGCTGACTTTTCATCAGACCAACAGAGGCAAGAGGGCAACCGAATGACATTCATGGTGTAGAAAGAAAAAATACTGCCAACCAAGACTCCCACATCCAGCAAAACTGCCCTTCAAAACTGAAGGTGAAACAAAGACATTCTCAGAAAAACAAAAACTGAGAGAATTTGTTGCTGGCAGACCTTTCCTACAGTAGTTTTATATATGTTTCACAACGGTAAATATTTAAGTATATATTAATATAAATATAAATGACTGAATACACACATGCATACACATATTTTTCTTTTTTCTCTTTATTTAAAAAAGATTTAAAATGAATAATTATAACACTATATTCTTACATATAATATATACTTGTATAATACAATACCACAAAGGGAAAGAAATAGAGTGATACTGGAATGAAACGGCTATATTTTACCAGAATTAAGTCAGAATTAAGTCAATGTTAAACTCAAGTAGACTGAGATATGTTAAAAATATGTATTATAATTCCTAGAGCAACAATTAAGAAAAAAAACTTTTTAAAAGGCTAAAAATTTACATTGGTAAGCAAAAGGCATTTGTTTTAACACAAAAGAATGGAGTCAAAGAGAAACAGAGGCATCATCTCTGCAGCAATCTCCCTAAAAGTCCATCATCTCAGTCTAAAGTGAAGGAACATAAGACAAATCCGAAATGAGGGACATTCAACAATGAGGGATATATCGCCATATGTAGAAAGCTGAAACTGGATCCCTTCCTTACACCTTATATAAAAATTAACTCAAGATGGATTAAAGACTTAAATATAAGACCTAAAACCATAAAAACCCCAGAAGAAAACCTAGGCAATACCATTCAGGACACAGGCATGGGCAGAGACTTCAGGACTAAAACACCAAAAGCAATGGCAACAAAAGCCAAAATAGACAAATGGGATCTAATTAAACTAAAGAGCTTCTGCACAGCAAAAGAAACTACCAGCAGAGTGAACAGGCAACCTACAGAATGGGAGCAAATTTTTGCAATCTACCCATCTGAAAAAGGGCTAACATCCAGAATCTACAAAGAACTTAAACAAATTTACAGGAAAAAAACAAATAACCCCATCCAAAAGTGTACAAAGGATATGAACAGACACTTCTCAAAAGAAGACATTTATGCAGCCAACAAACATACAAAAAAATCCTCATCATCACTGGTCATTAGAGAAACGCAAATCAAAACCACAGTGAGATACCATCTCACGCCAGTTAGAATGGCGATCATTAAAAAGTCAGGAAACAACACATGCTGGAGAGGATGTGGAGAAACAGGAACGCTTTTACACTGTTGGTGGGAGTGTAAATTAGTTCAACCATTGTGGAAGACAGTGTGGTGATTCCTCAAGGATCTAGAACTAGAAATACCATTTGACCCAACAATCCTATTACTGGGTATATATCCAAAGGATTATAAATACTACTACTATAAAGACACACGCAAACGTATGTTTACTGTGACACTATTCACAATAGCAAAGTCTTGGAACCAACCCAAATGTCCATCAATAATAGACTGGATAAAGAAAATGTGGGCTGGGCGCAGTGGCTCATGCCTGTAATCCCAGCACTTTGGGAGGCCGAGGTGGGTGGATCACAAGGTCAGGAAGTCGAGACCATCCTAGCTAACATGGTGAAACCCCATCTCTACTAAAAATACAAAAAATTAGCCAGGCATGGTGGCGGGCGCCTGTAGTCCCAGCTACTTGGGAGGCTGAGGCAAAAGAATGGCGTGAATCTGGGAAGTTGAGCTTGCAGTGAGCCAAGATCCCGCCACTGCACTCCAGCCTAGGCTACAGAGGGAGACTCCATCTCAAAAAAAAAAAGAAAGAAAAAGAAAAAAGAAAAGAAAAGAAAATGTGGCACATATACACCATGGAATACTATGCAGCCATAAAAAAGGACGAGTTCATGTCCTTTACAGGGACATGGAAGAAGCTGGAAACCATCATTCTCAAAAAACTATCACAAGGACAGAAAACCAAACACTGCATGTTCTCACTCATAAGTGGCAGTTGAACAATGAGAATACACGGACAATGGGAGTGTCGGGGGGGACACATCACACAGTGGGGCCTGTCAGGGGGTGGGGGGCTGGGGGAGGGATAGCATTAGGAGAAATACCTAATGTAAATGATGAGTTGATGGGTGCAGCAAAACAACATGGCACATATATACCTATGTAACAAACCTGCACGTTGTGCACATGTACCTCAGAACTTAAAGTATTTAAAAAAAGAAAAAAAAAAGTACATTAGTAAGCAAAAGGCATTTGTTTAACACAAAAGAATGGAGTCAAAGAGAAACAGATGCAGCATCTCTGTGGTACTCTCCCCAAAAGTCCATCATCTCAGTCTAAAGTGAAAGAACATCAGACAAATCCGACGTGAGGGACATTCAACAAAATACTGATCAGTACTTTTCAAAAAGTATCAAGGTCATGAAGGATAAGGAAAGATTAAGAAACTACCACAGAATGAAGAGACTAAAAAGACACAATAATTAAATGCAATGTAATATCCTGTATTGGATTAACAAAATAAAGTAACAAGTCACAGACTGGGAGAAAATATTTTCAAATCTTGTATTTGATAAAAGCTATGTAAGAAGAATATATAAAGAATTCTTTAATAAGAAGACAGACAACCCAATTAAAACTTAGGTAAAATATGTGAATAGACAATTCACTAGAGACAATACTTAATGGCAAACAAGCACATGAAAAGCTGTTCAACATCATTACTTACATGGAAATGCAAATTAAAGCCACAATGTAATACACATTATTAGAATGGCTATAATCAAAAAGACAAAAAAAAAAGCGCTGATAAGAATGAGGAGAAACTGGAACCGTCATATGTTGCCATAGGGAATGTAAAATAGTATAGCCACTTTAGAAAACTACTTGGCATTGTCTTAGGAGGTTATATAATATATACAGTTAACATACAACCCAGTAATCCTACTCTTAGTTTTTCATGCCAGAGAAATGAAAACAAATATCCAGAATTGCATGGGAATGTTCATAACAGCTTTATGCATAATAGCCCCAAAGTGGAAAAATACAAATCTCCATCAATTAGTAAATTTATAAACAAAATGTAGTTTACCCATACAACAAAATACTCGGCAATAAGAAGGAACAAACTACTGATTTATACAACAAGGATGAACCTGGAAAGAAAAGCCAGACACAAAAGATTACACAGTTTGCCAGAGAGCTGGTGACTGGAAAAAAATAGGAACCCCCCAAAAAAAGATTAGACAGTATATTACTTCAACTACGTGAAATTTATAGAAAAGGTAAACTGTAAAGAAGGAAAAAAAGCAACATCATTTGTTGACTAGGTCTGGAGGTGGGGACAAGGATTGACTGAGTACAAAGAGGCACAAACTTTTTGGTAAAACGGAAATTCTAAAAGAATTCTAGTGATGCTAAAACTGATCAAACTGTGTATAGTTTATAACACAAATTATACAGTTATGTGTTAATTTTTTATATGTAGATTATACTGCAATAAGCTATTAAAGCGGTAGGCGTGGGCGGGGAGGGTACAATCAAAAAGAAGAAAACATATGTCTCAAATTATGCTAATAGTTTTGATAAAATAAGAAATGAGCAATGATCACTGGATTTAGCTACTCTGGGGAGTATTAGTAGCCTCCGTAAGTGTAATTTTGGTGTTATGGTTAGCATGAAAACCCAACAACAATAGGACCTGAAAAATGGAAGCAACAAATACACATAATTATTACATGGAATTTTGCAGTAAAGAAGTAAAGAAATATAGTGGTAACTGGAGGAGAATATGCAGTCAAGAGTAGGCTGGTTTGGTTGCTTTGTTTTTAAAGGGAAAAATAGGCCGGGCATGGTGGCTCATGCCTGTAATTCCAGCATTTTGGGAGGCTGAGGCAGATGGATCACTTGAGGTGAGGAGTTAGACATCAGCCTGGCCAACATAATGAAACCCCATCTCTACTAAAAATACAAAAATTAGCTGGTCATGTTGGCAAACTCCTGTAGTTCCAGCTAATGGGGAGGCTGAGGCAGGAGAATCGCTTGAACTCGGGAGGTGGAGGTTGCAGTGAGCCAAGATGGCTCACTGCACTCCAGCCTGGGTGACACAGTGAAACTCCATCTAAATAAATAAGTAAATAAAGGGGAAAATAGTGTGCTTTTATGGTAATAAGAACGATCAATAGAGAATGGATTGAGTGGGAGAAAATCTATAGAATTGCCAGAGCAATGTTCTTGAGTACATAATAGGAGGCAATGGTTGAAACTGCATGACAAGGGCCAGGTGCAGTGGCTCACACCTGTAATCCTAGCACTTTGGGAGGCTGAGGCGGGTGGATCACAAGGTCAGGAGTTCGAGACCAGCCTGGCCAAGATGGTGAAACCCTGTCTCTACTAAAAATACAAAAATTAGCCGGGTGCAGTGGCGGGTGCCTGTAATCCCAGCTACACGGGAAGCTGAGGCAGGAAAATTGCTTGAACTCAAGAGGCAGAGGTTGCAGTAAGTCGAGATTGTGCCACTGCACTCTAGCCTGGGTGACAGAGCAAGACTCCATCTCAAAAAAAAAAAAAAAAGAAAAGAAAAACAAAAAAAATTGCATGACACGGCCTGGTGCAGTGACTCACACCTGTAATCCCAGCACTTTGGGAGGCTGAGGCGGGTGGATCACATGAGGTCAGGAGTTCGAGACCAGCCTGGCCAACATGCTGAAAGCCTGTCTCTACTAAAAATACAAAAACTTAGCTGGGCATAGTGGTGAGTGCCTGTAATCCCAGCAACTTGGGAGGCTGAGGCAAGAGAATCGCTTGAACCCAGGAGGCAGAGGTTGCAGTGAGCTGAGATTGCGCCATTGCACTCCAGCCTGGGCAACAAGAGCGAAACTCAATCTCAAAAAAAAAAAAAAAGAAAGAAATTGTATGACAGAATCAACAGACGGATAGTTCATCCAGGGTATTAGGGGAGACGATAAAATACAGGGGTAAAAAAGCAGAGACATGAGTAGATATAGAGAGCTTATAATACTTCTTGTCTGATAGCTTCATTTCCTTGGAAACGGAGGAAGCAGTGTCATCAACTGGGTGTTAAGATGCAGGAGGAGGTGTTAGAAATTTGAGGACATGGGAGAAAGAAAGAAATAGTTGTCATGGAGAATGATAGAGAATGAATAGTGCAGTATAGTATGACTGCCAGCCAGAGCATGGATTTAAAGCTAGAATAATTGGCAGGTTTTTCTCCAACCACCATTAGAAGTACGGGCATACAGGAACAAGCTTGATGAAAAGTCGGATTTAACCAGAACTGTCCTAGCCACATGAGGACAGAAAATAAGAAGGAGCAAGAAATTTGAGAGTGTATTTGAGGAAAGTATTAGAATGATTAACCATGGAATTTAATCTAGGTATGAAGAAAAGAGGCTATCAGGAGAGTGAGAGACTGTGCAAAGGTGTAGCGTTTGGAAGGATCAATAGATTGTAGGTCCTGGTAGTGTTTTGACTAATTGTTGGAACTGGAGTAGAAAAGGTGTGAGCTGGAAAAATAAGACGTGAAAATTTTCCTTATGAAATTTATTTGATAATTCCTTCAATTTAATGTTTAATTTTCCTATTTTATTTTCTCTTTATGAAGTATCTCTTAGCTATGTGTTTAACCTCTTGGGTTGTTCTGTTTAATTTTCTTTCCTCTATTTTTCTGTCTTTTTAGGTTCCTTGTTTCAACCCTTTTTATTTTATTTTATTTATTTTTTGAGAGACTCTCGCTCTGTCTGTCACCCAGGCTGGAGTGCAGTGGCACAATCTCAGCTCACTGCAACCTCCACCTCCCGGGTTCAAATGATTCTCCTGCCTCATCCTCCTAGCTAGGATTACAGGCGCGCCACCAAACCTAGCTAATTTTTGTATTTTTAGTAGAGATGGGGTTTCACCATGTTTGCCAGGCTGGTCTTGAACTCCTGACCTCAGGTGATCTGCCCGCCTTGGCCTCCCAAAGTGTTGGGATTACAGACGTGAGCCACTGTGCCTGGCCAACACTTTATTAAGTTTTAAAATATCAAGAATCATACTTTTGATTTATAAGAGCTCTTTCTTATTCTCAGCCTGTTCATTTTTCATAGCCATTTTTCATTTTATAAATGCTGTGGCTTTTCAGCATTCTCTATGTTTCTCAGAATATTTTTTCTGAAGTATCTTATGTTCCCTGAATAATCTGCTTCTTCTGAGGACAGTCTCCCTCTTTCAAAATGCTCATTTGCTTCCTATGATGGATGATCACTGGTGGTTCAGAATGAAGGGGTGGACTTATAATTCTAGGTAATATGTTGTGTTTTATCCCTTCTGCTGTTGGATATGTAGAAAAATCAGCTGCTAGGTCCACTAAGTTTCCTTCTATTTTGTACTCTGGGCTGGAACTACCTCTTTTTCTATTTCAGCTGTCAGCAATCTTCAGTAAATTTGCTGAACCTTTTCATCTACAAATGACCAGTCTCTCTTCACTATCATGGGTTTATTTTTTATACTTATAATGAGTTTTAATGAGATTTTGAGAGGGAAACAAGGGAAATGACAGTGGTTACTTATTCTACCATTTTGTACCAGAAGCCATATTCTTTTTATTTTACTGAAATGTATTCGACTAGAAAGCCCATTTAGTTAGAGTAATTTTGGAAACTCTAGAGTATTGTACAAAGATGAAGAGTTGCCATAGTTTTGCCTCCTGGACAGAACAGACCCGACTTCCCAAATATGTATGCTAAATTACAAAGGAAAAGGAAATACTTGAGCTCCTTTAATATTTAGTATTTTAGAGTTCTTGTTTTTGGCCAAATCTCCAGGTCTATCGGGCTTAAGCAAGATTAAAAGAAATAGAAAAATACACAAATAGCCTAAGTAGATAAGAACTAGGCATTATGATTCATGATCTTTCCTCTTTTAACAAAGATTTCCTGCGCTCTCAGCTGCACACCAATTTTAATGAAAACCACTCTTGGCAATTAATTGTTGAGTTGACATCAATAAAATGTTGACATTTATCTGAACAGCCGCTATACATTTACTTTGAAAAATCTCAAAGTAATCTTATGATGAAACTTCAATCACATCAATCTGGAATTCAGTCTCTTTGTAAAGTAATAAAAGATATTTCAGTTGAACAACAGTTGGAAAATACTAAGACATTCACTATAACACAAATTATTAGCAATCACATGCAAAACACAAGAAATAGGAGTAAAGACTTTATGCCAATTGCTGATGTCCTCCATAAACACATATGAGTGGGCAAATTATTCATTAATGATAAAAATGAGAAGGAATTAATGTATTAGTCTCAAAAGGCAGACTTCATGCACTCTGATTAAAGACTAATAATGATTTATAAGGCTCAAATGGAAGCCAGAAGAATGCTGGCCACAGGTACTTCAGATATAGACAAAAGAGCTCACAAAAAAACTTTGTAAAGAAGGGGAGAGGACCCAAAATTGTATGTGAAATGTGTGTATACATGTAAACATGCACATGAATAATAGCTAACTGTGGCAGACTGTACTGTCTAAAAATGGCTGCACCAATACTTCCCATCACACAAGTTCTTCTTGCAAGGTGACATTGACCCTCATCCTACTAAGAGAGGAGTCTATGTTTCCTCCTCTGGAGATTATGTGGGCCTATGACTAAAATAGAAATAACCTAGTACATTGTAATACTAGGTGATTACAACTACACTGTAATACTAGGTGATTTCTGAAGCTGTCATAAAAGATAGTCTTCCCACTTGATCCTCTTGGGATGTTTGTTCTTGGAATTCAGTAACCATACTATGAGGAACTAAAGAGATCAAATGAGGGTGTCCATAG
Source organism: Homo sapiens (assembly GCF_000001405.40). Taxonomy (NCBI): domain Eukaryota; kingdom Metazoa; phylum Chordata; class Mammalia; order Primates; family Hominidae; genus Homo; species Homo sapiens. Next base: position 135,449,164 of record NC_000002.12, read on the forward strand.
CACCAGGTGAGATTCCAGCAAAGAACCTAAATCAACTGACAGACATGTGACTAGGAAAGCCTCAAAGATGACACCATCCAATACAATTGCAATGAGAAATCCCGAGTGAACCCAGCCAAACCCCTGAACCATTACAGATAATAAAACAAGCAATGGTATTTTAAGAGTTGTTTTGGCTGGGCGTGGTGGCTCATGTCTGTAATTCCAGCACTTTGGGAGGCCAAGGTGGGCGGATCACCTGAGGTCAGGAGTTCGAGACCATCCTGGCCAACATGCGGAAACCCCGTCTCTACTAAAAATACAAAAATTAGCCAAGTGTGGTGGTGGGCACCTGTAATCCCAGCTACTCGGGAGGCTGAGGCAGGAGAATCACTTGAATCCGGAAGGCAGAGGTTGCAGTGAGTCGAGATTGCTCCACTACACTCCAGCTTGGGTAACAGAGTGAGATTCCATCTCAAAAAATAAAAAATAAAATAATTGGAACAATAATAATCACTGAGTAACTCATCTGTGCCAGGCACTGTGCCAAGTGCTTTACAAATACCATTTTATTTTATCCATATAACTATTTAATAAGTAGGTTTATTATCATCCCCATTTCTTTCTTTTTTTGAGGCAGGGTCTCTCTCTATCATCCAGGCTACAGTGCAGTGACAAAACCTTGGGTCATCACAGCCTCGAACTCACAGACTCAAGCAATCCTCCTGCTGCAGCCTCCTGAGTACCTGGGACTATAGGCAAAGACAACCATATATGACTAATTTTTGTATATTTTGTAGAGACAGGGTCTCACTGTGTTGTCTAGGCTGGTCTCAAACTCCTGGGCTCTCAGCCACCCAAAGTGCTGGGATTGCAGGCATTAGCCATGGCACCTGGTCCACATTTTGTAATGAGTAAAATGAGATTAACAACGGTTAATTAAGTCCACAATAAGTGGTAGAGCTGATAATGAAACCAACATCTGTCTCCTTCCAAAGGTGGAGTCTCTTGCAATAGAAATTTTATTTTAGAATAACTTGTTTATTCTGGGAGGCAAAGCTTGCAGTAAGCCGAGATGACGCCACTGCACTCCAGCCTGGGTGACAGAGCACTCCGTCTCAAAAAAAATAAACAAATAAAATAAAATAAAATTAAAAAAAAAAAAAAGAATAACTCGCTTATTGAGAGCTTATATAACAGGCAATATTTGAAGCACTTCATATGCATTAACTCTATTAATCCTCAAAAACACCCTATGATACTAAAAAATTTTATGTTTCTATTATAGATTAGGAAACTGAGGCTCAGAGAGGTTAAGTAACGTATCCAAGGTCAAACAGCTAGTAGTAGAAGACCCGGCATTTAAACTGAAGCAATTGAGCTTCAGAGCCTTCTCATACTGCTTTTACGAGACTCTTAAAACTATAGAAAGAGTTCTAGCCAAGAGAGTAACAGACTGGATTTAACCCTCTATCTAAATCTGAAAACAAAGAAACAAAAAAAAATGCAAAATAAACAATGGGTTTTAAGACACTGGACATGAGACAACAAAGGCCAGTGATCCTTGAAAGACAGAAATCAAAAGACGTTAGCCTATGAAAGCCAAAGAGTAAGCCTAGAGAAGAGCTTTCAGGGGGGACCCAGATGGAGCCTCAGAATATCCAGTCTCTGTGAGTTGAAGAGGGGGAGCTGAGCATCTGGGAAGGCCAAGACAATTAAAGTTCACATGAGAGAGATATCCATATCTACTACATCCAAACATCCCTTCAAGTCTTTAGCCTAGTACTCTTCAATGCATGCCAGTGAGCAAACTACCAAAGCACAGGTAAAGAATCACTTGAAAGATTTGAGGGAACAATCTCCAGACCAGGAATTGTTTCTGCTCATAATTCACACAGAATATTGTGTACTCAGAAGAGTTTCTGCCTTCACAGTGGGGCAAAATCATCTTTAAATTAAATACTGCTTTAGTCCTATTTGACGAAAGTTAAAGAGCCAGGCCCTAAAGGATCAAACCGTTTCTAAGTAAACTAGCTATGTCCTAGAATAAAGCTCAACAATATTCCTATGAATATTAAAAATTTCCAACACTAACATGGAAATATATACCATGTCTGGCATCCAGTAAAAAATTACTGGCCGGGTACGGTGGCTCATGCCTGTAATCGCAGCACTTTCAGAGGCCGAGGCAGACAGATCATCTGAGATCAGGAGTTCAAGAGTAGCCTGGCCAACATGGAGAAACCCCGTCTCTACTAAAAATACAAAACTTAGCCAGGCAAAGTGGCACATGCCTGTAATCCCAGCTACTTGGGAGGCTGAAGCATGAGAATCATTTAAACCTGGGAGGCGGAGGTTGCAGTCAGCTGGGATCACACCACTGCACTCCAGCCTGGGCAACAGAGCGAGACTCCATCTCAAAAAAACAAAAAAACAAAAAAAAAACAAACCACTAACACTAAAAACACCTGATGAGCTAATAAAAACAGAAACAAAAAATCACACACACACAGAAATTACCAACCACACAAACTCCAGGAAACTGACCAACAATGAGGAGGAAAACCAATCAACTAAAACCAGTAGTTTAAACCACTAGAAGGATATTAAAACTGTTACTAATTACAGCATTCCATATGTAGAAGAAGCTAGAGAAAATGACTTAGCATGTTTGAGATATGTGACGCACAAAAAATCCAAACTAAACTTCTAGAGGTGAAAACTAGAATGTCTGAAAAAGATAAAAATACATTTGATATGGTTAACAACAGATAAGACATTGTAGAAGAAAAGATTAGTGTACTTGAAGACAGAGCAAAACATCCAAAATGAAACAGAAGGGGGAGAGAAGTCAAAAAATATAGGAAAAATTATAAACATTTGTATTAGTCTGTATTCATGCTGCTGATAAAGATATACCAAAACTGGGAAGAAATAGAGTTTTAATTGGACTTACAGTTCCACATGGCTGGGGAGGCAAAAGGCACTTCTTACATGGCAGAGGCAAAAGGAAAATGAGGAAGCAGCAAAAGCAGAAACCCCTGATGAACCCATCAGATCTTGTGAAACTTTATTCACTATCATGAGAACGGCATGGAAAAGAGGCCCCCATGATTCAATTACCTCCCCCTGGGTCCCTCCCACAACACATGGACATTCTGGGAGATACAATTCAAGTTGAGATTTGAATGGGTACACAGCCAAACCATATCATTCCCCCCATGGCCCCTCCAAATTTCATGTCCTCACATTTCAAAACCAATCATGCCTTCCCAACAGTCCCCCAAAGTCTTAACTAATTTCAGCATTAACCTAAAAGTCCACAATCCAAAGTCTCATCTGAGACAAGGCAAGTCCCTTCCACCTATGAACCTGTAAAATCCAAAGCAAGTTAGTTACGTCCTGGATACAATGGGAGTACAGGTATGGGGTAAATACAGCAGTTCCAAATGGAGGAATTGGCCAAAATAAAGGGGTTGTAGGGCCCATGCAAGTCTGAAATCCAGCAGGGCAGTCAAATTTTAAAGCTCCAAAATTATCTTGTTTGACTCCAGGTCTCACATCCAGGTCATGCTGATACAAGAGGTGGGCTCCCATGGTCTTGGGCAGCTCTGCCCCTGTGGCTTTGCAGGGTAGAGCCTCCCTCCTGGCTGCTTTCATGGACTGGTGTTGAGTGTCTGCAGCTTTTCCAGGCACACAGTGCAGGCTGTCAGTGGATCTACCATTCTGGGTTCTGGAGGACGGTGGCTCTCTTCTCACAGCTCCACTAGGCAGTGCCCCAGTAGGGACACTGTGTGGGGGCTCCGACCCAACATTTCCCTTCCACACTGCCCTAACAGAGGTTCTGCATGGGGGCCCTGCCCTTGCAGCAAACTTTTGCCTGGGCATGCGGGTGTTTCCATACAGCTTCTGAAATCTAGGCAGGGATTCCCAACCTCAATTCTTGATTTCTGTGCACCTGCAGGCTCAATAACAAATGGACACTGCCAAGGCTTGGGGCTTCCACCCTCTGAAGCCATAGCCCAAGCTCTACAGTGGCCCCTTTCAGCCATGGCTGGAGTGGCTGGGACACAAGACACCAAGTCCTTGGGCCTGGCCCACAAAACCATTTTTTCCTCCTGGGCCTCCAGGCCTGTGATGGGAGGGGCTGCTGTGAAGGTCTCTGACATGGCCTGGAGACATTTTCTCCATGGTCTTTTGGATTAACATTAGGCTCCTTGCTACTTATGCAAATTTCTGCAGCCAGCTTGAATTTCTCCTCAAGAAATAGATTTTTCTTTTCTACTGCATCATCAGGCTGCAAATTTTCCAAACTTTTATGCTCTGTTTCCCTTTTAAAACGGAATGCCTTTAACAGTACCCAAGTCACCTCTTGAATCCTTTTCTGCTTAGAAATTTCTTCCGCCAGATACCCTAACTCATCTCTCTCAAGTTCAAAGTTCCACAAATCTCTAGGGCAGGGGCAAAGTGCCGTCAGTCTCTTCGCTAAAACATAACAAGAGTCACCTTTGCTCCAATTCCCAACAAGTTCCTCATCTCCATCTGAGACCACCTCAGCCTGGATCTTATTGTTCATATAACTATCAGCAATTTTGTCACAGCCATTCAACAAATCTCTAGGAGGTTCCAAACTTTCCCACATTTTCCTGTCTTCTTCAGAGCCCTTCAAACTGTTTCAACCTCTGCCTGTTACCCAGTTCCAAAGTCACTTCCACATTTTTGGGTATCTTTTCAGCAACGCCCAACTCTACTGATACCAATTATTGTATTAGTCTGTTTTCATGCTGCTGATAAAGACATACCCGAAACTGGGAACAAAAAGAGGTTTAATTGGACTTACGGTTCCACATGACTGGGGAGGCCTCAGAATTATGACAGGAGGCGAAAGCCACTTCTTACATGGTGGCAGCAAAAGAAAAATCGGGAAGAAGCAAAAGTGCAAACCCCGATAAACCCATCAGATCTCATGAGACTTATTCACTATCACGAGAATAGCATGGGAAAGACTGGCCCCCACGATTCAGTTACCTCCCACTGGGTCCCTTCCAGGAAGAACATGTGTTAATAGGAAATATTGGTGCAGCCATTTTTAGACAGTACAGCCTCCCACAACACATGGGAATTCCAGGAGATACAATTCAAGTTGAGATTTGAATGGGGACACAGTGAAACCATATCAACATTCATATTATATAAAAACATTGTTTCGGAGCCTTTCACAAATAGTGACCAGGCTCTCATTATTAATTTATTGGGTCTCTCACTCTCTCTCTTTTTAAATCTTTAATTTTTTTTTAATTTAATAATCTGAACAGCTTTAGGAATACAAGTGATTTCTGGTTATATAGATTAATTGCAGAGTGGTAAAGCCTGGGCTTTTAGTCTACTATACACCCAAATAGTGTACACTCTACCCAAAAGATGACTTTTCATCCCTCACCCCCTTCCCATCCTCCCCTTTCTGAGTCTCCAAGGTCCATTATACCACTCTGTATGCCTTTGCATACCCATGACTTAACTTCTACTTATAAGTGAGAACATTTGGTATTTAGTTTTCCATTCCTGAGTTACTTCACTTAGGATAATGACCTCTAGTTCCATCCAGGTTGCTGCAAAAGACATTTTTCATTCTTTTTCATGGCTGAGTAGTATTCCATGGTATATACATACCACACTTACTTTATCCACTCATTGGCTGATGGGCACTTATGATACTTCTGTATCTTTGTAATTGTGAATTGTGCTGTGGTCTTGGGTCTCTCTCAATGCGCTACTACAATTTAGAATGGAGAATATTAGGAGAGCAAATTTTCCATTCCCATTCTCCAAATCCAACAGTCTTGCTATTTTTTTATTTCAGCCAACAAAAGAGGCACCAGAAACCACAGAACAATTATATACAAGAGGTATATATAACTTAGGCTGGGTCAAGAAGAATACACAAATGAAAACTATCTTTATGTCAATGACCTGCTCAAACTCTTTCAGTGTGCCTGGCCACTGAATGGGATCACAATGCCTTCTTATACTTTTTTTTTTTTTTTTTTTTTTTTTTTTTTTTTTGAGACGGAGTTTTGCTCTTGTTGCCCAGGTTGGAGTGCAATGGCACGATTTTGGCTCACTGTAACCTCCACCTCCCAGGTTCAAGCGATTCTCCTGCCTCACCCTCCCAAGTGACTGGGATTACAGAAATGTGCCACCACGCCTGGCTAATTTTGTATTTTTACTAGAGACGGGGTTTCGCCACGTTGGCCAGGATGGTTTTGAATCCCTGACTTCATGTGGTCCACCTGCCTCGGCCTCCCAAAGTGGTGGGATTACAGGCGTGAGCCACCATGGCCGGCCGACTTCTTACACTTTCTAACTACAAGAGTTTCTTTTTCAACCTTCTAGTTCACCCTCCAAATGACTCCATACTACTACTGAGGCCAACTATTGATTTTTTTCTTTTTTTTTTTTTTTTTTTTGAGACGGAGTCTCACTCTGTCCCCTAGGCCGGAGTGCAGTGGCGCGATCTCGGCTCACTGCAAGTTCCGCCTCCCAGGTTCACACCATTCTCCTGCCTCAGCCTCCCGAGTAGCTCAGACTATAGGCGCCCACTACCACACCCAGCTAATTTCTTTTTGAATTTTTAGTAGAGACGGGGTTTCACCGTGTTAGCCAGGATGGTCTCGATCTCCTGACCTGGTGATCCACCCACCTCGGCCTCCCAAAGTGCTGGGATTACAGGCATGAGCCACCGCGCCCGGCCCAACTATTGATTTTTTAAAAATTTCAGCTTGCCAGTATCTCTAGTTGATTATTGTTTATGGATAAAATATTCCACATCTCTAAAGGATTAAATTATTCCAAAATCTACTTTGCTTATTTCCTTGAATTAATTTTATTTGTTTAGTTCATTGCCTGTCATGATACTGGCTTTGGAGATTTTTCTTTTTTTGTCATTATTTTTTGTGAGAATTACATTCAGCTGGTATGTTGATTAGGGTAGACTTGGCTATATAGCAAATAGACTCCAAAACATGTAAGAATTCATCTGAAAAAGGAATTTATTTCCTAATCACATAGTAGTAGGAGAAGGTGTTGCTGATTTGCAAGCAGTTCTCCTCCATGTGGTAACAGGAATCCAGGCCCCTTACATCTTGAGGTTTTGCCAACACCTAGGTTCTCCATCTAGCTGGCAAGGGGGAATAGCAAGAAAACACATGTGGGAAGTGTCTTCTGCTAATATTTCATTGGCTAGAACTCAGTCACATGGCCTTACATTACCTGTAAGGAAAGTAGGGAAAAGTAGGCTAGCTATATCCTCAATAAGAGTAAGAAACAAATTTTGGTGAACAGCTAACAGTGTTGTCATAGCCATTCTGTTAAAGCACTATTCATGACAATCTATTTTTAGAGAAGAGATGGGAGGTGCTTTGGAGTAGACTGTATTAATAGTTAATTTTATGGGTAAAGTAGTTCTCATTCATCCCGAGAATGCCAGCCATGGGAAGCTGTGGTGATCTTTCCAAAGGAACCAGAAAGCCACACTTACTGATTCATCTGAAGTTAGATTGTTACATTACTAGATGCCTGCCCAAAGAATTTTTTACGTGGATACAAAGTACAGGATTGGGGAACAGTCTATTCCTAAAGAACCTCAAATTATCACTCTACTGACTGCCTCTGGATCTCATTCTCATTTAAGAATCTACCACCTCTGACAGCAGAACACCTTTCAAATGGTCTCTAAATTCTGAAATAGAGAAGACTGTAGGAGGGGCAGGATTGACAAGGAAATTAGTAAATTCAATATTTTCAATGGAAATATAATTCACTTGCCCTGAAATTCACTCTTTTAAAGCATACAATGCAGATTTTAATGTATTCACAAAGTTGTGCAATCATCTATCTAATTCCAGGACATTTCATAAATACGCCATCATACAATAAGTGGCCTCTTGTGTCTGGCTTCCTTAACTCAGCATGATGTTTTCAAGGTTCATACATGTGATACAGTGTATTAGTATTCCATTTCATGGATACTAGTCCATTTTATGGATTCAGCACATTTGTTTGTCCATGACTATTTGGCTTCATTCTACTTTTAGGATAACATGAAAAATAGTGAAAGACCAAATGTATACATGTTTTTGTCACCATATATTCTCAATTTTCTTGGGTACAATACATCTACAAGTGGAAGGGCTGGATTATGTGGTAACTTTATGCATACCTTTGTGAGGAACTAGCAAACTGTTTTTCAAAGTGGCTGCACTATTTTACATTCCAATTAGGAGTGCATGAGGATTTCAATTAATCCACATCCTTGTCAACACTTACTATTGTCTTTCTTTTTGATTATAGCCATCCTCATGGGTAAGATTAAAGATGTTCAGCATCTTTTCATGAGCTTATTGGCAATTTGTATATCCTCTTTGGATGAATGTCTATTCATATTTTTTGCCCATTTTTTCATTGAGTTATCTTATTATTGCTGAGTTATAAGTTGTTTATATATCCTTGATACAAGTCCCTTATCAGAAACATGATTTTCAAATATTTGTTCCTAGTCTATGGGTTATCTTTACACTTTATTGATGATGCCCGTCTATTCATATCCTTTGCCCATTTTTTAATTGAGTTATCTTTTTATTGCTGAGTTATAAGTTTTTTATATATTCTTGATACAAGTCCCTTATCAGAAACATGATTTGCAAATAATTGTTCCTAGTCTGTGGGTTATCTTTATTAATGATGTCCTTTAAAGCACAGAAGTTTCTTAATTTAATGAAATTCAGTTTATGTACTTTTAATTTGGTTGTATGTTTTTAGGTGTCATATCTATGAAGCCACTGTCTCCTACCAAGTCACAAAAATTTACACTTAGGTTTTCTTTCAAGTTCTAGCTCTTACATCTTTGATCTATTTTGAGTTAATTTTTGTGAATAGTGTAAAGTAGGGGTTTATACTTCGTACTTTTGTATGTGAGTTAACTATTGTTGCGGCACTATTTGTTGAAAATACTGTTCTCTCCCCCAATGAGTAAGCATACTTGTTGAAATCAACTGACCATAAATGTATGCTTTTATTTCTAGTATTCCACTGATCGTGTGTATGTCTCTCTTTATGCCAGTACTTATAGTCTTCATTCATTACTATAGCTATGTAGTAGTTTCAAAATCAGAAGTATGAGACTTTCTCAAAATTGTTTTGGCTATCTTGGATCCTTTGCATTTCATATGAATTTTAGAATCAGCTTGCCAAGGCTGCAAAAAAAAAAGGCAACTGGAATCTTGATAGCTATTACACTGAATGTGTAATATCAGTTGATTTTAGACATGCTGCATATATGTCTACCAGACATGCAAAAAAGATGTTACATTTAGAATTCAGAGAAAAATGATCACATTTATTACATACCACGTTAACCACTTATGAAATTGGTACTTCAGGGACACTGAACTCTACTGATGACAGAGGAAAATCATTCTAGGAATAAAAACTATTTAGAATCAGAAAATTCTTCCAGACAGTCCCTAGATCTAAGTCGGGGGAAGAAAACAACAAAAAAGTTTATGAGGAGACACAGAGATCTATTCTAATCCACCCAGTACTAAATTCAATAGTATCACTAATATTCCTATATTTTTAAATTGAGTTGTAGGGTGATATGTGCTAAATTTATTATTTTGCTATTGTAGAAACAGTACCTTACATACATTACTTTGACTATAATCAAATATTCCCAAATTATAAAAAGGGACAGAAAGAAAAAAATAAAACTCTGATCAAAGCAGGTTAAATCACTGCTCAAGGTCAGACACCTAACTAATATTCAAACTAAAACAAGAACCCAGGTCTCCTAACTCCCAAAGACACTGTGGTTTGTAGATTATAAGCTAACTTTTTTGAACCCTCTCTTCCCGTCATGATACTTCTTATCACCTTCTTTTGGGTAACTGATAAAAACTAAATGAAAGTGATCCTGACTATTTCTTACATATGTGACAGACTCCCAGACTGTCACAGTTCAGACCGGCCTAATACTGTATTAATGGAATTGGTAGCTATGCAGAAAGCATAATCATTCGACTTTGTCAATTCTTTCTGCCTCATTCTTCTCTTAAACATAAGACTACTCCCATATACATGAGATATTTGGGGCTACAAAGTCACCAATAGGCTTCTAAAACTCATCTCTTCATCTCATTTTAATACACTTTCAGCTTACTGAGACAATGTCAGTGCCCAGCTTGCCTAGTAAAATTTGAAGCTCAAATCAAAGCACAAAGGAAGAAGCATACCATGCCCAGAGAAGAAAGAATATTACTATAATTTCCTCTTATTATAAATGTCCTATTACTATTCTGTCAAAGAAAGACCCTAACAGAAGAAATTAGGATTCTTTGCTCCAATGAGGAATTTTATCACTGTCTTTGATTTTTTTAAAGCAATTGTGTATCTCTATCTGCTTTTTAAAATCTGAAAAACATAAAGGTCTAAAAAAGTAAGATATACACAAAGAAAAAAGTTTTCATCCAGTTCCAGAGCTTAACATATCTAGAAATTCTCCTTATGAAACAAATCTTCTAACAACATAGTTAACTTTAGAGGGATCTATTCAGAATGACAACATAAATTTCTGGGGTACCAACTCTGAAAACAACTAAGAAAAAGGAATCTTTGGGTTGATATATTTATATTAATTTGACAGCAGCCAAAAGATTAAAAAAATAAAAATAGAAAAATTTCAAGTAACAAATCTTTCATTGATTCATCCTAAATATTAAAGTCTAAAACTCTGGTTCTGAAGTATTTTTTTCCTGTCAATCTCATTCTCATGGGTACTTCACTATTATCAGTAAGATTTCCCATTATACAAAGTACCTTGAAACAGAAAGAGAAACACATCAGAATATTCAAGGGTGTAAAGGTGGTGAATGGGGCAGGGGTAGGGGGTGTGGAAAGAGGGTCAGGATGTGCGAAATTTTTAAATGTCCCTTCCTGACTTGGCTCAGAATTGCTATTTGACAATGTTTTACACCTGTAGCTGCAAGAAGTCCTTACTCCAATGGTGACTTTTAGTTTAATTTTTCTGTTTACTGCTTAAATATTAGCAAACTTTCAAACAGCTAACTTTTTTTTTTTTTGAGATGGAGTTTCATTCTGTCATCTAGGCTGGAGTGCAGTGACGTGATCTCTCAGCTCACTGCAACCTCTGCCTCCTGGGTTCAAGCGATTCTCCTGCTTCAGTCTCCTGAGTGGCTGGGATTACAGGTGCCCGCCACCACGCCCAGCTAATTTTTAAAAAATATTTTTAGTAGAGATGAGGTTTCACCATGTTGAACAGGCTGGTATCGAACTCTTGACCTCAGGTGATCTGCCTCCTTCAGCCTCCTAAAGTGCTGGGATTGCAGGTGTGAGCCACCGAGCCTGGACGAAACGGCTAACTTTTGAACCTGAAAATTTCCACTCATCCAGAAGCATTATCAATTATGTAATATTTATAACTTGCTGCATGATGAAACTGCATAAAATAAACCAAAGTAAGTTTAGTTCCATGAATCTTTAGTATCTAAGGCAATTTTCGTATTTTCTCAAAGGCAGTAGGCAATGAATTTAACAAATTATGCTTCTTGCCCCAACAAGAATCTCAGAAAAAGAAATTAAATCAAGTATTCTATTTTTGCCTTAAAATAAATATATTTTATAATACATATAAATCATAATACAAACTATAATCTTATAGAGCTGTGCTGTTCAATATGGTAGCCACTAATGACCAATTTTTAATTAATTTAAATTAACTAAAAGGCAATAAAATAAAACATTCAGTCCCTTAGTCATATTAGTAACTTTTTAGTAATCAATAACCATAGTAGCTATCAGGTGCTGTATTACACATCTGTAAATATAAAACATTTCTATCACTGCATAAAGTTCTATTGGATAGCAATAGAGAACAGGCCTGAAAATGACCACTGAAGCTGATATTCCCCTTCCGGGTGGGTGTGAAAACTTTATATAATCACTTTCATCACTCCTGTATAGCTCATGTATACATTATTCACATATTATGCTATAAATAAAAATGGCTGGTATACTTGTTTGACCTTCACAACCAAATAAGTGATAAACAACATGCCTTTAAGATAAATCTGGCCAGGCACGGTGGCTCACGCCTGTAATCCCAGCACTTTCGGAGGCCAAAGGGGGCAGATCACCTGAGGTTGGGAGTTCAAGACCAGCCTGATCAACGTGGAGAAACCCCATCTCTACTAAAAATACAAAAAATTAGCCGGTCTTGGCGATGCATGCCTGTAATCCTAGCTATTTGGGAGGCTGAGGCAGGACAATTGCTTGAACCTGGGAGGCAGAGGCTGCAGTGACCCGAGGTCACGCCACTGCACTCCAGCCTGGTCAACAAGAGCAAAACTCCATCTTAAACAAAACAAAACAGATAAATTTGACAAGTTCACAAAGCAGGTCTTTTGCTATAGATAATTATAATCTATAGCTCAGTACTATGAATCTAAAATCATGAGCTTATAAGCAGAAAACACTGTACCTGGACTAGACAGCTCTACGTAGCATCGTAGGCACTGGAGATGATACTAGTTCTGAAGTCAAAAAAATGATTCAAATATAGGTTCTGCCACTTTGTCTGAGAAACCTTAAATTCATTGAATCTAGTTTCTTCACTAGCAAAATGGAAAATATAGTATACGTCTGAAAAGATCGTTAGCAGGATTAAATAATTTAAAACATATAAATCATTTAGCAGTCTCTAGGCAAAGTAAGATTCAGTAAACACCCCTAGCCTGGAAAAGACTAATTTTAATAATAAGTAAATTTAAAAGTTTTACAGGTGCGGGATAGAGTTGGACTAGTTCTAAAGAATAGCAAAGGAAATTGGATGGGAATTCAAAATAGAAGGCAAATGCAATTTAAAGTAGACTAAAAACATTAATTACCTTATTTGTTCAAGTTTCAGATATACACATTCATACATATATATGAATAAACTGCTGTACCACAAATAAAAACTTTAAGGACCAGGTAAAAACATAAAGGCACTGATGGACACTTTCCACAACAAATCTATCAGCTTAAAAGCCTTTTCTACTTCAGTTGATTGTAAGTACTCCAAGCTCCTCCTTCCCTATAAATGAAACCCTAGGGGTCACTTTGAAAGCTTCTTCCCAGGGGCTGCATCCAGTACAGAAATAATCTTTGGCTACAATTCCACGTAACTAAAAAGAGTAGACATATATAAGCACACACAGTATTTAAAGCCGTGGCAAATGTAGCCTATTCTCAGGCAACTTTCTGTAGCCTCTTCTGAGGCAACTTTCATATTATAATAATTTTTCCTTAACTCTGTCCTTTCTGTAATTTTCTTCCTTTCTTTCCCTTCCTTCCTTTCTTTTCCTTCCTTCCTTCCTTCCTCCCTCCCTCTCTCTCTCTTTTTCTTTTTCTTTTTTTTTTTCAGTCTCCCTCTTTTGCCCAGGCTGGAGTGTAGTGGCACTATCTCGGCTCACTGCAACCTCTGCCTCCCAGGTTCAAGAGATTCTCCTGCCTCAGCATCCCTACCAGCTGGGATTACAGGTGCCCACCATCACACCTGGCTAGTTTTTGTATTTTTAGTAGAGACAGGGTTTCGCCATGTTGGCCAGGCTGGTCTTAAACTCCTGACCTCAGGTGATCCACCTGCCTCAGCTTCCCAAAGGGCTGGGATTACAGGCATGAGCCACCATGTCCAGCCCTAATTATTTTTTATTCTATTATTGTCTTTTCTCTAGCTCATTCACTAATAACTCTTCCCTCCTCAGAGGAAACTAATTGAAATGTCATGTGAACCAAAGTATTTAAGGTTAATTTCATGTAAGTCTGAGATTTGCTTTTAAAAAAATATCCAAGCTGGATGCAATGGCATGAGCCTGAAGTCCCAGCTACTTAGGAGGCTGAAGTGGGAGGACAGCTTGAAGCCAGGAGTTCAAGATTAGCCTGGGGAACACAGTGAGACTCTGACTCTAAAAAAAATTGTTTTAAGTTGCTAAAAATTACATATAAATATATCTCCAGTGGGAGGCACAGGGGTTGGGGGTGTGTATACTTGAGTTGGTAACTGTTGAAGCTTGTGATAGGCACATAAAGATTCATTATATTAATCCTCTTCTGTTTTATATATATAAAACATTTAAAACAATGTTTTGGAAGGATGGCATCAGTAACTAGAAATTTTCATTGGTCACTTACAATATTCCTATCTTTCCATAAGATAGGAATATGTTGTTTTTTTTTTTTGAGACGGAGTTTTACTCTTGATGCCCAGGCTGGAGTGCAGTGGTGTGATTTCGGCTCTCTGCAACCTCCGCCTCCCAGGTTCAAGCAATTCTCCTGCCTCAGCCTCCTGAATAGCTGGGATTCCAGGCACCTGCCACCACGCCCGGCTAATTTTTTGTTTATCGTAGAGTCGGGGTTTCGCCATGTTGGGCAGGCTGATCTCGAACTCCTGACCTCAGGTCATCTGCCCGCCTCAGCCTCCCAAAGTGCTAGGATTACAGGCATGAACCACCACACCCAGTCACCTTTAGGTCTTACTTAACAACTGCCTGTTACCCCTATCTTTCCTTCTATTTTTCCACAAAAGTATACCAGAAAGTTTTTCTTCATTGACAGAAGTGTACCTTAGAACTAGTCACAAAAATTGACTTATTAGCTTGGGAGTTATTAACTTGGGAACCAAGTTTAATTCAGACAATCAAGTACATTGACCCTGAAGGGAAGAGTTCCAAATCCCTTCATCTATAAAACCATGAGCTTCTACATCTTAAAGTCTGTATCGTCTGTGGAAGACACAAATATGTACTACTCTCCTAATTTCAGGGAGTGAAAAGAACAACAACAAAAACAGAAAAACAGGTTGAATAGTAAAATCTCAAGGATCAAGGATGTGCTATGGTCAATTTCAACAGACAGGTAAGGTCAATCTTAAAACAAAATTGAGTTATCATCCATGAAAAGAAAGTGTTTCTCAGAGGAACATAGGCTTTTATTTATTTTTAAATATAAATGCTTTTCCCCTTCAAAGGGGAAAAGTATAGGAGCTGAGGTAACACACAGAACTAAACAAGTTCCTACCTCCTTTTGTTCTTCTTTCTTCCTAACAGCCCCAGAGCCCTCAATGTTTTCAGAGCTGGCTAATACTGGTAGTGGTGGCAGGTGAAGCAATGTGGAGGCACAGGGATCCATGTCACACTGTTCGCCTTAGGGTGGAAGTTGCAAACTCACAGTCTGGTTTACAGAAGGATCTGCTTTGGCCTCAGAGTGCTTGGGAAATTCACATTAGGTGCTAACATTTCAAAATCAGAATAATTCACAAAAAACCTTTAAAAAGTGAGAAATTTGGCAATGTTGGATGGGTACTCTGGCCTGGCAATAATTGGCTAAAGCTGAGAAGCAGCTGTCCCCCTGAGATATGAGGCTAGTCCTGCTTTGCAATCAAGCTGCCACATCGGTATCTGTTACCTGCCTGGTGCCTGCAAGTTGATTTCAAGAGAAACTGACAGGTAGTTCTTAAGATCTACAATAGGAAAGGCAACTAAGCCATGTACGTATTCCACAGCTTGGACATGCCAATCATCTGACTGCTGGGGTATAAGGATCTGTCTTTCATTTAATATTTTAATAGCTAACAAGAGTTGCTGAATGGGACTTTGTTTAGATGTGTTGGGACACTACCTCTGTTTCAAAAGAGAATTACACAAACCACTCGAATGCCATATAGTTAGAAGCTTTGTTAGTCTGGGCAGGCAGGATGAACTAAAAAATAGCCTCAGCCTGGAGGGCATGCTATCACCAAGAGAAACTAAAAATGGGGCGGTAGAAGGCATTTCAGTCTATAGGAGAGCAAATGGAGAACAAAATCGAAGAAGTTGAGAAATGAAATGGTATACTCAGTTCCTCATGTGTGGGAGGTATTTTGTAAACAATTCCTGCATGTATTGATAAACCTCTTCATTCCATCAATGAAGATAATGAATCCAAAGCGGACTTATCAAAGAACACCAAGGTAAAATATCAAAGATTCAGAAACCTTTAGTTCTGGTCCTGTTTTAAAGTTCATGTAAACATTTCCCCCTTAACTCATGGTTACCTAATTTTGTCATTATCTTACCCATTGGTTCCTATGACAACTTATCAAAGAACACCAAGGTAAAATATCAAAGATTCAGAAACCTTTAGTTCTGGTCCTGTTTTAAAGTTCATGTAAACATTTCCCCCTTAACTGATGGTTACCTAATTTTGTCATTATCTTACCCATTGGTTCCTATGATAACGAAATGAAATCTATATCCAAAAGTACAAGTCTAAGTTATTAATCATTTATTTTCAACTTCACATATTCAGTTCATGTTCTGAAAATTGATTCAATCCACAAAAAGAAAACACAGGAATTCAAAAAAAATATGAAATGTCAAAGACTTCATGACTAAAACACCAAAAGCAATGGCAACAGAAGCCAAAATTGACAAATGGGATCTAATTAAACTAAAGAGCTTCTGCACAGCGAAAGAAACTATCAGCAGAGTGAACAGGCAACCTACAGAATGGGAGAAAATTTTCGCAATCTATCCATCTAACAAAGGGCCAATATCCAGAATCTACGAAGAACTTAAACAAATTTACAAGAAAAAAACAAACAACCTCATCAAAAAGTGGGCAAAGAATACGAACAGACACTTGCCAAAAGAAGACATTTATGCGACCAACAAACACATGAAAAAAAGCTCATCATATTTATTGAAACAAAATAACAAAATAAATTTGATGGTTTCACCTAACAGACATTTTGCAGACCAAGTAGCTGATCATTTAAATTAGGTATTTGAAGAGAAATATCAACTAAATGCTAAGGACTCACTAAAATAATACAGAATCTGAAAAACACAATATATGAAGAATGGATGGGCCAGGCGTGGTGGCTCACGCCTATAATCCCAGCACTTTGGGAGGCTGAGGCAGGCAGATCACCTGAGGTCAGGAGTTTGAGACCAGCCTGGCCAACATGGTGAAACATTATCTCTACTAAAAATACAAAAATTAGCTGGGCGTGGTGGTGCATGCCTGTAGTCCCAGCTACTCAGGAGGCTGAGGCAGGAGAATAGCTTGAACCCGGGAGTCGGAGGTTGCAGTGAGCTGAGATCATGCCACTGCACTCCAGCCTGGGCGACAGAGTAAGACTCCGTCACAAAAAAAAAAAAAAAAAAAAAAAAAAAATAGAAGAAGAAGAATAGATGAATAAACTATTATAAGAGAAAAAATGTTTGGAGAGGCGAGGATCATGTTTAAAGGAAGCATGGTGTGGTGGAAAGACAGTAAACTGCAAGTTAAAAACCTGTGGTTTGAGTTCTGAACTTGCCACTAAAAGCTGTTTGGAATCTTGGATTAATCACTCAACTTTGATGGGTCTCAGTTCTCTTTTTTATTAAATGATCCATAATAGTATATAAGGATCCTTCAGCTTTAGAATTCTATGATTTGTGTTGATTTTTTTTTTTTTTGAGACAGGGTTTCACTCTAGTTGCTCAGGCTAGAGTGCGATGGCACAATCTCAGCTCACTACAACCTCCACCTCCCAGGCTCAACCAGTTCTCCTGCCTCAGACTCCTGAGTAGCTGGGAATACAGGCACACACCACTGCACTCAGCTAATTTTTGTATTTTTTGTAGAGATGGGTTTCACCATGTTGCCCAGGCTGCAAGTGATCCACCTCCAATGGCCTCCCATAGTGCTGGGATTACAGGCGTGAGCTACCGCGCCTGGCTTTATGATTTGTGATCTGAAAAGTTATTGCATATAAAAGCACTTAGAAAAAAGGTTAGATTCTTTAAGTGTGATGCTATTCTATTATTTTACATGGTAGGTTTTCATTACCTTTAAGGTAGATGAGCTGTAGGAACTATGTCTCTCTTGGTCCAATTCCTCTTCCGATGGCTTAATGTGTATTTCTCTCCACATCTCCTAGACCCAGGCTTGAGTGGCTTTCATTCTCTGCTCCCATTTAAACAAATGAGCAGAGCATTATCTCACTTTTTCCTTTGTACCAGGGAGTCACAACTTTCTCTCTTAAGACTCCCAAATACCAACCCCTCCTTGTCCATATCTACAGTTAAGACTCCCAGATGAATGCCAAGAGCACTTCTAATCCATATAAGGTTGTTGTTTCAGGTATATCCGGGATACTTAAAGGACAATGTGCACAAGCAAAGCAGCCCAATAGGCCAATACATGAGATAAATTAACCACCTTTAATTTCCCAATACAAACCTTAACTCTTCATCTGTACTATGCCCATCTCTGCCCTCCCAGGGGGTGTTCCTTCTGGCAAACTCTAAATTGGTGTTCTGGGTCCTAATCCCTCTTACATTCTCAGAAACCTTTACTATTGAGGATCCCCCCTTCTTTCATCTGTACTTTCTAATTGTCTCTCTTTGCTGGATAATTTTTATCAGCATTTATACATGCTAAGCATTGCCCATCTTAAAAACAAACAAAAATGCCTCCTTGGTCCTTACTTTGCCTCTCTAGCTTCCAGCCATTCTGTCCCACCTCTTCACGGCCTAGCTTCCAGCCTTACTTTGTGTCTCTCTCTCATTAACAGCACTCCAGACCCTCTGAGCTTTTTTCAAGTTCTTTAAGCACTGGCTTGGAATCAAAATGTAAGCTGCCTTGTCCATTTATACTGGTAAGCTTAGGCAAATTACTTTACCTCTGTGCTTTAGTTTTATGGCTTGTGAAGTGGAGATACCAGCTCAATATACATGTGTTGAATAAATGAGTCTTCTGCAGAATTTATATTTTAGAAAACACATAGTTACCTTTTCTTTATAAAGTTGGTAGATAATCCAGGCATCTTATTCTTCTATTTCCCTTTTATTACCTGCTACTCACTTTATCATTTATTAGTGACACCTTAATGCTTATCAATGATCACAGATGGAAAGAAGCTTGGATCAGTACAAGTACTACTTGATAAATGCTCTAATTACCGCAAAATTTTACTTAAAAAGCAAGAAGAAACATGCTTAAAAACATCTTCTGGAATATATGTGGATTACTCTTCTGTATAATGTTTCCCTAATCATTATGTTCCTTTTACCTGAAATGACCTCATAAAAATTCTCTTCCCATATCCCACCCTATCTAGTTAGTAAATGCATATTTGTCCTTTAAAACCCAGTTTAGACATTAGTCCCCTGAGAAGCATTCCAAGATGAACTTTCCTTTCATGCCATCTTCAACCAGTATACTCTATGTATTTTCAACACACTTCCACTGTGACATCTACACAATGTAACAAAATTTATGTATGCTCTGCAGCTAGGCAATGCATTTCTTAAAGACAAGACAACGTCTTATTCATTTCTGTATCTAAGGGCCTCTCTCTGTGGCCAATATATAGCCACTCAGTGGACATTTATTTGAACTGCCACCAGAAAGCAAAAACAGTATTTAGACCCTAAGTTGTAGAACACTGGTTTAAGAAACAAAGTCCAATCTTACAAAAATGTTAATGCAACAAGAAAGTATTATGAGAAATGAGTTTTTGCCCATAGAACTTATTTTATCATTAAGCTAGAAAGACAAAGTAAAAAATTCTCACAGATCTGACAGACATATTTGCAAACAATGATTCAGTGGAGAGAACTAAGGATCAGTGGTCATAAGTAGCCTGAATTCTATTTCTATCTTTGATATTATCCAACACTGAGAAAATTATCAAGAATTATCTCCTTCAACCTACTATTTGCATACAGTAGGAGTGACAACTACAATGGAACCATACACGTTAAAGTATTAAATTATAAAAAATAAAGATGTCACATAAATCCAAGGAATGATCACTATAGTTACAGTTATGACTGATTACAATTCAAAACTAAACTTCTGAAGATACAATTCAAAACTAAACTTCTGAAGACCCTGCTGATCAAATTAAGTTTCCACTGACTAAGAAAAGGTTCAGAAAGATTTACAAATCAATATTTTTCTAAGTGTTCAACACATCTTAATTAAAATTTAATCTGATACACACACCAACATGCATGCAGACACACACACACACACACACACACATATATGTGATAAACATATACATCCTAGAAATTTGGATTTACTTAAAATTCTTTCATGAGTCCTCTTTACTAAAACAAATAAACAGTTTGTAAAAATAACATTAATTATTTGATCACAGCTTTAGTTACATGATCAAGTATGGAAATTCTAATACAAATAACTATCACAAGGAGGGTTATTTTAATCATTATCAGTTAAGAACATAATTAATAAATTTAAATTCATTTTTTAAATCTGGAAAATATAACCATACTAATGTATAATAGAATTAATTCAGTTTGAATAGCATCCCATTTTGAGAACCGGGACAAACTTCCTTGAAAGTTTGTTAGATTTCTTTTTGTACTGGAGGTGGACAAACAAACGCCAACAAAAAATTCTCCATACAAACAAAATCTAACTTGGGATATTCAACCAAACAATATTTTGGATAATATAATAAATACAGTTAAGGATATTTGGGCCGGGCACGGTGGCTCACGCCTGGATTCCCAGCACTTTGGGAGGCTGAGGCAGGTGGATCATGAGGTCAGGAGATCGAGACCATCCTGGATAACACGGTGAAACCCCATCTCTACTAAAAAATACAAAAAATTAGCGGGCGTGGTGGCGGGCGCCTGTAGTCCCAGCTACTCGGGAGGCTGAGGCAGGGGAATGGCGTGAACCCGGGAGGTGGAGCTTGCAGTGAGCTGAGATCACACCACTGCACTCCAGCCTGGGTGACAGAGCGAGACTCTTACCTCAAAAAAAAAAAAAAAGAAAGAAATATTCTAGGTTGGGCACGGTGATTCACGCCTGTAATCCCAGCACTTTGGGAGACTGAGGCAGGCAGATCACCTGAGGTCAGGAGTTTAAGACCAGCCTCACAAACATGGCGAAACCCCATCTCTACTAAAAATACAAAAATTAGCCAGGCGTGGTGGTGGGCACCTATAATCCCAACTACTCAGAAGGCTGTGGCAGGAGAATCGGTTGAACCCAGGAGACGAAGCTGCAGTGAGCCGAGATTGAGCCACTGCACTCCAACCTGGGTGACAGAGTGAGACTCTGTCTCAAAAAAAAAAAAATTCTAAAATACTCTAAAAGTAGGTATGTTTTATTATTTTGATCTTAACTAATTAAAAAACTGAAGCAGGCCAGGAGCGGTGGCTCACGCCTGTAATCCCAGTACTTTGGGAGGCCGAGGCAGGTGGATCACCTGAAGTCAGGAGTTTGAGATTAGCCTGACCAATATAGTGAAATCCCATCTCTACTAAAAAATACAAAAATTAGCTGGGAGTGGTGGCAGGCGCCTGTAATCCCAGATACTCGGGAGGCTGAGGCAGGAGGATTGCTTGAATTCGGGAGGCGGAGGTTGAAGTGATCCAAGATCACGCCACTGCACTCCAGTCTGGGTGACAGATTGAGACTCCATCTCAAAACAAATCAAAACAGAACAAAAACTGAAGCACGGAGAAGTTAATTACTTCAAATACGGAGTCAAGCTTTTTCATCCTACAGAAAATAATTTTTTTAATGATCACGAAATTTCTTTCTTTTTTTTTTTTTTTGAGATGGAGTCTCACTCTGTCGCCCAGGCTGGAGTGCAGTGGCGCAATCTCGACTCACTGCAAGCTCTGCCTCCTGGGTTCACAGCATTCTCCTACCTCAGCCTCCTGAGTAGCTGGGACTACAGGCGCCCGCCACCACGCCCAGCTAATTTTTTATATTTTTAATAGAGACGGGGTTTCACCGTGTTAGCCAGCATGGTCTCAATCTCTTGACCTTGTGATCCGCCCACCTTGGTCTCCCAAAGTGCTGGGATTACAGGGTTGAGCCACTGCACCCGGCCTCACTTTTTTTTTTTTTTCAACCAGAAAGATATCCACCAAGGCAATGAAAGAAATTACAGAAATTTCTTTAATGAATATAGAGTTCCATTAAGCAGCCTGCTAGAACATAGTGTAAAGAGAAAGTGTACATATTGGCTTTTTCTAGTGTGGGTGTCCTGGTATTCTTGGGATCTTTCACCTACTCATATGAGTCAGTTTTATATAACACTGTAACACATAATTTCCCTCCTACACACAAGCCAACACTTCAGCAATAAGATCTTACCATAAGTTATTTAAGGAATATGGTAACTTGCAACATTTTAGTATTTTATAAAATGTGCAAACAACCAAATTATTACTATGTCAGCAACAAGCTCCTTGGCTTCCAAAGAAGCATTCACTGTGTTTCAGAGTTTTGGGGAGATGTTAAGAAAATATATAAATTGCTTCACTGTAACAAAATATCGTAACTATTTTTAAAAACTTCATATTTTATCAAATATTAGTCATTTTGTATGTAAAGAAAGGTAATTAGGCAGTGATTTTGCAACTATATATTTACTGGGGAATTATTTCCATGGCTACTAAAGATAAGTAACAGGGTTCACGAAATGCAGAATTGATTCAGTTTTCTCGATAGTACATCAAACATTCCATTTCTGAAGGGTAATGGAAAGGGTATACCTAAAATCAAGTTACCACAAATACAAAGGGAATATCTAGATCTTTTTTATGGTATAGGCTAAAGTTATTTTGCCTTTAGCATTACCAAAAATCAGTCATTACATGACTAGTCTTTGGAAATTATTATATTCTGACATTTTCCATTGAATTATTTATCATGAAGAGACAACTTCAGTCTTCTTTCACTGGAAGGATGAAGGCTCCCAAAGGAAGAAAGCAAAATAGAAAGGAAGGAATGCAAAGTGAAACAGCAAATAAATGTAAGAATGAAATTCTTCCCTGAGAGACTTGAGAGGCTCATGGCATTATAAAGAAAAGCACCAACTTTATATCTGATGGGAAACTAATTTAAAACAAAACATACTGTCATAGATAACCTCATAGTATATGAATAATTTCTATCTTATAGTGTATTCAAATTAGATATGACCTGTTTAAAACTCACAGATGTGGCCGGGCACGGTGGCTCATGCCTATAATCCCAGCACTTTGGGAGGCCGAGGCAGGCAGATCACAAGGTCAGGAGATCGAGACCATCCTGGCTAACACGGTGAAACCCTGTCTCTACTAAAAATACAAAAATATAGCTGGGCATGGCGGCATGTGCCTGTAGTCCCAGCTGCTGGGGAGGCTGAGGCAGGAGAATGGCGTGAACCCGGGAGGCGGAGCTTGCAGTGAGCTGAGATCGAGCTACTGCACTCCAGCCTGGGTGACAGCGAGACTCGGTCTCAAAAAAAAAAAAAAAAAAAAAAACTCACAGATGTTCACAAGCTTGGGATTATTTTGGGATGCTTGCATTGTCACTATTTGACTTTTTTCCCCCAGTCTTGCATTATGACATGTCAGAATCTATGGTATAACAGAATGCCATTGTCCATATTTCATCATAACAAGAATCTGCAATATTCTCATGGAAGGCAGAGTGGTGGAACAGAAAGAGTAAAGCAAAAATAGGTTGAAATATCAGCCACCTCTGTTATTGGCTTATAAGTCTTATACCTCAGACAAATTACATTGAGAGTTGAACAAACAGGAGGCTGTTAATAAATTTGTATAAATGAACCACTTTAAGCTCAATGTGGTTCATTTACAGGTAAAGGAGAGCTAGTAGTAAGTTTATACATCGTAGGGTTGTAGCCTTATATATGTAACACTTCTAGCATATAATATGTGCTTTTGAAAATCAAATTCACTTTCATATTCATTCCTATACCCTAAGAAAGTGGACCATTCAATATTACTAGTACAGCTGTACTATAAGCATTTTAAATATACAGTCAAATGGCATTAAGTACATTCACTTTGTTGTGCAACCTTCACAACTATCCATCTCCTGAACTTTATCATCCCAAACTAAAACTCTACCCATTAAATGATAATTCTCATGATGTCCCTTCTCCATAAACTCTGGTAGCCACCTTCCATTTTCTGTTTCTATGAACTTGAATATTCTAGGTACCTCATGTAAATGAAATCATATAATATTTGTCCTTCAGTTATATCTAAAGGATCAAATAATCCAATGGTAACAGCAACTCATCTACCAAAAAGACCTAAAATAAACATATGCAAACATACCAACACCACAAAAATCTATTTTTATGATCAAAGAATTTGAGCTGGGAAAAGGACATTGATATACTAACCAATTTTATGGCATAACTGGAAAACTACTACCATTGCCCACATAATGCTTTATAAGTACTAAGTAGCAGTATACATATGAAAGGACTCAGGTAATGTACATTGCCTTTGTCTCAAGATAGCTAGTAATATGCTAAAAAAAAAAAAAGATGGAAAGGAAAAGAATATGGAAATACACATTCGATTTTAAAATGTGTTTTCATAATAGTGTATCATTCCACATCATTAAGTAAGCCCACAGAATTATTCTGGTGCCTATGAATAGATAATGGTGTCTTCGTATTTGTCTTAAATAGAACCAAGGTCATTGTCAAAGATTTCTGGCTATGACACAATGGCCATCTTTCTTTTAGACCCCCAGGTGGCAGTGTGGCCCAGGGCAGAAGTCACTTTCTCAGCTGCAAAGCTTCCATCCTACCCAATATAAAAATATCACTTTTTATAGAAGAAACTTACCTTGCCTGATAGACACACTTATAAAAACTAATGTAGGACACACACAGAGGCTCATGCTTGTAATTCCAGCACTTTGGGAGGCTGAAGCAGGCAGATCAATTGATCTCAGGAGTTTGAGACCAGCCTGTGCAACACAGTGAAACCCTGTCTCTACCAAAAACAAAAATACGAAAAATAGCAGGGTGTGGTGGCTTGCGTCTCTAGTCTCAGCTACTTGGGAGGCTGAGGCGGGAGGATCACATGAGCCTGGAAACCAGAGGTTGCAGTGAACCATGATAGCACCCCTGCACTCTGGCCTGGGAGACAGATCAGGACCCCATCTCAAAAACAAACAAACTGACAAAAAACCAAAAGACTAATCTAGAATGCTAAAACCAACAATTAGTTCCAGTTCATTTTTAGTAAATAATATAAATTCATTGGATTCTGCCATGTTTGACTCAACCCGACTCTAGCCTTACTTAAATTTCCTCTTTCAAGGGATTGATATAATTTGGATGTTTGTCCCCTCGAAATTTCTTATTAAAATGTGATCCCCAATGGTGGAGGTAGGGTATCGTGGGAGGAATCTGGCTCATGGGGGTGTGGTGCCCTCCCCACAGTTAGAAGTGAGTTCTCACACGTTTAGTTACCATGAAATCTGATCATTCAAAAGAAGCTGGCGCCTCCTCTCTCTCTTGCTCCCTCTCTCACCATATGACATGCCTGCTCCTAACCTTCCACCATGAGTAAAAGCTTTGTGAGGTCTCACCAGTAGCCAAGTAGATGCTGGTATCATGCTAGTACAGCCTGCAGAACCAGAGCCAAATAAACTTATTTTCTTTATAAATTACCCAGCATCAGATATTCATTTATAGCAATACTACAAGGACTAATGCAAGGATGGATAATGAAATATTTTCGAGAATACCTATAGTTCGGTTTAAATATAGTACAGTTACTATGATAAGCTGAAAGTTCAATATCTAGGTGTTCAAAGTTATTTCTTCTAAGGTAGGGGAAAGAAAGGTTTTATACATACCAGTGAGGTATCATAAACCGAGAATTGAGATGCAACTCAAAAGGGCATTACCTTAATCCAAAAACACACCACCCTTGCACTCCCATTCACACACTGACTTTCAGGATGATACTAGCCATCTGCCTCTGCCTTCATGAACTGGTAAGAACCATGGCATGCTTGTTCTGCAGACAAAAGGGCTGTTCTACCTTGCACTTCATTTGTTGGTTTCCTCATTTGTTGATGCCTAACAATGGGATCAACCATTCACTTACCCAGTAGCCAGTTTTATTGTTAGAAATGTAACACATTCTTCTGTATTTTGTAACTATTCCCCAATTTCTAGTTTCTGAATAGAAAAAACCCTTTCTTACACAGTCTGTACTTACACATGAAGCATTCACTTAACATTGGGGTCCCATTTATGTCTTCACTGCTAGAGAGGAACCTCTTCCTGCCCTCCATCCACTTCTCTGTCTGCAGTCATTTTGAAAGCCTCAGTTTGCAGAGATGATTCATCTATTCATAAATATGTAAATAACTAACTCACAATAATTAAATCTAAAGCTTCTTGACTATATCTTTTGAACTGGGCATCATGTTGTCATGCTCAATTTCATAGAGTTTTAAGAGTATACCCATGATCATAATGGTGGCATGGGCATACTCTTGACATGGATGGAATGAACAGAACCTAAAGCCAGCTTTGGCTAAAGCTCATGCTTCTTTTGTGCTATCCCAGTGTTATTAAGTACTTAAAACAATGCTAAGCACTACACAGATACTTTCCAGAAAGGCCAAGTTTTAAAGTTATTTCATTAGGTTATTTTGGGGATTCACAAAAACATACACAGTGCCAAAGGATATTTAAATTAACCAAAGAAAAAATTAAAGTGGCTAATAAGGCAAATAAAAATATTAAAATTTTGGCTGGGTGCAGTGGCTCACACCTGTAATCCCAGCACTTTGGGAGGCTGAGGTGGGAGGATCACCTGAGGTCACAAGTTCAAGACCATCCTGGCCAACATGGTAAAACCCAGTCTCTACTAAAAATACCAAAATTAGCCAGGCATGGTGACAGGTGCCTGTAATCCCACTTACTCGGGAGGCTGAGGCAAGAGAATCGTTTGAACCCGGGAGGCGGAGGTTGCAGTGAGCCAAGATTGCACCACTGTACTCCAGCCTGGACAACAGAACAAGACTCCATCTCAAAAGAAAAAAAAGAAAAAAAATTAAAATGTTTAGTGAGCTTGCTGATCTAATAAAAGTTAAAGAGTCAACTAAACTCAATGTATGGAGCTTATATGGATCTTCATATGAATAAACAAACGGCATGAAAACACTTTTGAAATAAGTGGGGACATTTTAATATGTACCAAATATTAGATATATTCAGCAATTAAATTTTGATAGCTGTGATAAATAACATTGTATGTATGAGAAAGTTTCTTATTTGTTAGAGATTAAAATGACAGAAGTATTTATGGGTAAAATATAATTTCTTAAATTTACTTTTAAACATTCCAGGGAAAGAAAAGTATGTCTGTAGATAAGGGACAGGAAACAGAACAATCAATAACTAGCAAAATGTTCATAATTATTAAAGTTGGGTGATAACCACACAAGGGGTTCTTATACTCTTCTCTGTACTTCTATATACACTTGAAAATTCCTATAATAAAAATGTTTAGATAAAACAAAAGGCAGTACTGTACTTTGTACATTTTCTTAATGGTACTAAACACTAGGTAATTAAGTTACAAACCTCAGTTGAGAGAAAACCAGAAAATCCAACAAATATTGAGCTCTCCATATTTCTTTTCCTTTTTTTTTTTTTTTTTCTTTTCTTTTTTTCACACTGGGTCTCACTCTGTCTCCCAGGCTGGAGGGCAGTGGCATGATCATGGCTCACTACAGCCTTGACCTCCCAGGCTCATGAGATCCTTCCACATCAACCTCTCAAGTAGGTTGGGATTATAGGCATGTGCCACCATGCCTGGCTAATTTTTAATTTTTATTTAAAAGAAATTTTTTATAGACACAGGACCTCACTATGTTGCCCAGACTGGTCTCAAATTCCTGGGCTCAAGCTATCCTCCAACCTTGGCCTCCCAAAGTGCTGGGATTACAGACATAAGCGACCATGCCTACCTTCTCTATATTTCTAATAACATATTTTACTGTTTTAAACTCTTATCATATTTGCTTATACATCATCACTTTTTAATTAGTGATTTTAAATTTAGTGTTTAATTTTCATTTTACTTGCTGTTGAAGTATAGTATGTCTTTTTCTCTGTTATGTGTAAATATACATACACATAACCAGAAAGAGGGAGAAAGAAGGATGGATATGCATATGTAATATGAAAATTACCCAAAATAGAACTTCAAAGGCAAGCGATGATTAGAGGGGAAAACAGTCATAGTCTATACTAATTCTCTGGAGTTTTCCAAAGTCTTAGTTATGCTGATTATTCTCCATTTGCTCTCTCCTACAGAATACTCCCTTGACAACCAGCTTCTAATGGAGTTTGATCAATGGAGGTTATACAACAGGAAGAAGGAATGGTAGAGGAAGGTCTGGTAGTAGCTGGATCCTGCCTGCGGCCCCTCTTCCTTACCTCCAAGGCCCACTGGGCTATACTTGTTCTCTCAGGCCTAGGAATGGTCATGACTGGCTGCTATCTATTGCCGGTTTTTGGTAACTGAAACTAACTGTTGGCTCTCTTAACCTTAGACCTCTGAAACAGCTTTCCACTAAGATCTTTTAAGTTGAATCATCTGAGTAAATTTCTATTTTTTGCTTGAACTGACTAATGAAGTAGCATAAGAAAATACAGTAGGCCAGGTGTGGTGGCTCAGGTAAGTAATCTCAGCCCTTTGGGAGGCCAAGGCTGGAGGACTGCTTAAGCCCAGGAGTTGGAGACCAGCCTGGGCAACACAGTGAGACTCCATGCCTACAAAAAATTATTAGCCAGGTATGATGGTATATGCCTGTGGTTACAACTCAGGAGGCTGAGGTGGAAGGAGGACTGTTTGAGCCCTAGAGGTGAAGGTTGCATTGAGCCATGATCATGCCACCACACTCCAATCTGAGTGACAGAATGAGACCCTGTCTCAAAAAACAAAAAAAGAAAAGAAAAAAGAGTGTTAACAGTTCAGTCTGGAAACACACACACATATACAAACACAAAACAAACACACCCAATTTTTTATTGCTTATTAGAATTTTTCTTTTTGATAAATTACCTAAAATAGAACTATTTCGATAGTGTCTATGCTTAAAAATATATATATACATACACACGTCTATAAATATACATATATACATTGTATGTATATATAATGAAAAGCAAAGTACATGTAATAGTTTTGGTAAACTTGTTACTGAAGTATTAAAAACACAGAAATTATGTAAATCTCAAGTATATGGCTTAAGAAAATTCAAAAATTTTCATAAAAAGAGCATACCAATGTAAATAGCACCAAGTTAAAGAAACAGAATATTATCAGCACCCCCCCGAAGCCTCTCTTGTGGCCCATCCTTTCACAA
Organism: Homo sapiens; assembly: GCF_000001405.40. Lineage (NCBI taxonomy): Eukaryota > Metazoa > Chordata > Mammalia > Primates > Hominidae > Homo > Homo sapiens. The sequence continues at coordinate 135,478,423 of NC_000002.12, forward strand.
CACCGCCACCTCCACTGAATGCTATGCTGGCCACTGACTGACACTGAACACCATAGATTAATATGTTATTTATATTTCACGTAAGTGGTTATACATAAATTAGTATCTTATATAACTCTTATGTAAATGGACATATACACTTAATGTATGTATGTACAATTAATATATGTCTTTTATGGCTGGTTTCTTTCACTCAACACTATGTTTGAAAAATTCATCCGGTTGTTATGGTAGTGATAAATTTGTTCATTCTCATTGTTTTAAGTTTTCCACTATGTGAATATACCATGATTATCTCCCATTACAGAGTGGATAGACAGCTGAAGTTAACTATTATGAATAAGGCTGCTATTCCTAACTATTATGAATAGGACTGCTATTCTTTTGTTTTATATATATAAACATATATGTGTTATATATGTTTATATGTACTTAATACATGTTTATGTATACCTGTTATATGTATATATGTATATTTTATGTTCTATATGTATATATGTAAACATATGTGTATACATACTTATATATGTTATATATACTGATATACCTACAGGAAGGATTACTAGCTCTCAGAACACACATACGTAGACACTGCCAAACAGTTTTCCAAAGTAGTTGTGCCAATTTCCCCTTCTAACAATAGTATAAGACAGTTAACACTGTTTCACATCCTTGCTGGTATTGTCTTTTTTTTTTTTAATGCAGTCATTCTGGTGGATATGTATGTAGTGGCATTCCAATTTTGTTCTTATATATGCATATCTCCAACAGAAATTAATACATATGTTCACCAACGCAACTTAATTTTATTCCGAAATTCACAGGCTAGAGAATCGTAGAAGGGTACTTTCAGATAAAAAGTCTGATAAAGTAGGTTTATCTACAATGAAAACAGCAGTTAAGTTCACCTATTTAAAAAGTACACCTATTGGCCAGGCACGGTGGCTCATGCCTGTAATCCCAGCACTCTGGGAGGCTGAGGCAGGCAGATTACCTGATGTCAGGAGTTCAAGACCAGCCTGGCCAACATGGTGAAACCCCCATCTCTACAAAAATACAAAAATTAGCCAGACATGATGGCGGGTGCCTGTAACCCCAGCTACTCGGAAGGCTGAGGCGGGAGAATCAAGCTACTTGGAAGGCTGAGGCGAGAGAATCGCTTGAATCCAGGAGGCGGAGGTTGCAGTGAGCCGAGATTGTGCCACTGCACTCCAGCCTGGGTGACAGAGCGAGACTATCTCAAAAAAAAACAAAAAAGGACACCTATTGATACACGCATACATAACACTTTCAGACACGGAGAGCCAAGTCTCTCTATAGACACTCTTATGGGACCCACCCTGCTTGAAGAGGGGACACAACTATGATGCTATTCTACAAATCAAATTAATACTATTCAGAATGCCAAGATACGGTTTCTCATAAATTAGATGAATCAGGCAGTATGCAATTAATTAGCAAATTTTTGTAACTTATCTCTTTTGGTTTTTTATACCTATACTTACGATTAATTCATATTTTCTTTTTTTTTTTGAGACGGATGCTCTGTCACCCAGGCTGGAGTGCAGTGGTGCCATCTCAGCTCACTGCAAGCTCCGCCTCCTGGGTTCACGCCATTCTCCTGGCTCAGCCTCCAAGGTAGCTGGGACTACAGGCGCCCGCCACCATGTCAGGCTAATTTTTTTTTTTTTTTGTATTTTTAGTAGAGATGGGGTTTCACTGTGTTAGCCAGGAAGGTCTCGATCTCCTGACCCTGTGACCTGCCCGCCTCAGCCTCCCAAAGTGCTGGGATTACAGGCGTGAGCCACAGCGCTTGGCCTCATACTTTCACTTAATTACCCTTACCCTGTTAGGCTGAGATGATAAGCATGGAAATTCATGCCCTTGAAATAATTTAACAAAGAATCTTCTTATAGTAAAACCACCAGGTATTTTTTGAAGAAAATGTTTGTTCACTGATGCAAAAATTCAATCTAGTCAGCCAAATAATAAGGATTATAAGACAACAAAAACAGCACACCTAAATGGGTAATGTAACAGAAAACTTTTCAATTTTAGGAGAGAAAACAAAACAATGAAAGAAATTAGGTTGTCATCAAGTGATACTTTTAAAGAATAAAAATTACTATGAAATCTTCTCTTATCCTTTTTGCAAAAGCCTTAAATACTACAAAGGTTTTTTTTAATCTTTTATTATTATTATTATTATACTTTAAGTTTTAGGGTACATGTGCACATTGTGCAGGTTAGTTACATATGTATACATGTGCCATGCTGTTGTGCTGCACCCACTAACTCGTCATCTAGCATTAGGTATATCTCCCAGTGCTATCCCTCCCCCCTCCCCCCACCCGACAACAGTCCCCAGAGTGTGATATTCCCCTTCCTGTGTCCATGTGATCTCATTGTTCAATTCCCACCTATGAGTGAGAATATGCGGTGTTTGGTTTTTTGTTCTTGTGATAGTTTACTGAGAATGATGATTTCCAATTTCATCCATGTCCCTACAAAGGACATGAACTCATCATTTTTTATGGCTGCATAGTATTCCATGGTGTATATGTGCCACATTTTCTTAATCCAGTCTATCATTGTTGGACATTTAGGTTGGTTCCAAGTCTTTGTTATTGTGAATAATGCCGCAATAAACATACGTGAGCATGTGTCTTTATAGCAGCATGATTTATAGTCCTTTGGGTATATACCCAGTAATGGGATGGCTGGGTCAAATGGTATTTCCAGTTCTAGATCCCTGAGGAATCGCCACACTGACTTCCACAATGGATGAACTAGTTTACAGTCCCACCAACAGTGTAAAAGTGTTCCTATTTCTCCACATCCTCTCCAGCACCTGTTGTTTCCTGACTTTTTAATGATTGCCATTCTAACTGGTGTGAGATGGTATCTCATTGTGGTTTTGATTTGCATTTCTCTGATGGCCAGTGATGATGAGCATTTTTTCATGTGTTTTTTGGCTACATAAATGTCTTCTTTTGAGAAGTGTCTGTTCATATCCTTTGCCCACTTTTTGATGGGGCTGTTTGTTTTTTTCTTGTAAATTTGTTTGAGTTCATTGTAGATTCTGTATATTAGCCCTTTGTCACATGAGTAAGTTGCGAAAATTTTCTCCCATTTTGTAGGTTGCCTGTTCACTCTGATGGTAGTTTCTTTTGCTGTGCAGAAGCTCTTTAGTTTAATTAGATCCCATTTGTCAATTTTGGCTTTTGTTGCCATTGCTTTTGGTGTTTTAGACATGAAGTCCTTGCCCATGCCTATGTCCTGAATGGTAATGCCTAGGTTTTCTTCTAGGGTTTTTATGGTTTTAGGTATAACGTTTAAGTCTTTAATCCATCTTGAACTGATTTTTGTATAAGGTGTAAGGAAGGGATCCAGTTTCAGCTTTCTACATATGGCTAGCTAGTTTTCCCAGCACCATTTATTAAATAGGGAATCCTTTCCCCATTGCTTGTTTTTCTCAGGTTTGTCAAAGATCAGATAGTTGTAGATATGCGGCGTTATTTCTGAGGGCTCTGTTCTGTTCCATTGATCTATATCTCTGTTTTGGTACCAGGACCATGCTGTTTTGGTTACTGTAGCCTTGTAGTATAGTTTGAAGTCAGGTCGTGTGATGCCTCCAGCTTTGTTCTTTTGGCTTAGGATTGACTTGGCGATGCGGGCTCTTTTTTGGTTCCATATGAACTTTAAAGTAGTTTTTTCCAATTCTGTGAAGAAAGGCATTGGTAGCTTGATGGGGATGGCATTGAATCTGTAAATTACCTTGGGCAGTATGGCGATTTTCACGATATTGATTCTTCCTACCCATGAGCATGGAATGTTCTTCCATTTGTTTGTATCCTCTTTTATTTCGTTGAGCAGTGGTTTGTAGTTCTCCTTGAAGAGGTCCTTCACATCCCTTGTAAGTTGGATTCCTAGGTATTTTATTCTCTTTGAAGCAATTGTGAATGGGAGTTCACTCATGATTTGGCTCTCTGTTTGTCTGTTGATGGTGTATAAGAATGCTTGTGATTTTTGTACATTGATTTTGTATCCTGAGACTTTGCTGAAGTTGCTTATCAGCTTAAGGAGATTTTGGGCTGAGACAATGGGGTTTTCTAGATATACAATCATGTCATCTGCAAACAGGGACAATTTGACTTCCTCTTTTCCTAATTGAATGCCCTTTATTTCCTTCTCCTGCCTCATTGCCCTGGCCAGAACTTCCAACACTATGTTGAATAGGAATGGTGAGAGAGGGCATCCCTGTCTTGTGCCAGTTTTCAAAGGGAATGCTTCCAGTTTTTGCCCATTCAGTATGATACTGGCAGTGGGTTTGTCATAGATAGCTCTTATTATTTTGAAATACGTTCCATCAGTACCTAATTTATTGAGAGTTTTCAGCATGAAGGGTTGTTGAATTTTGTCAAAGGCTTTTTCTGCATCTATTGAGATAATCATGTGGTTTTTGTCTTTGGCTCTGTTTATATGCTGGATTACATTTATTGATTTGCATATATTGAACCAGCCTTGCATCCCAGGGATGAAGCCCACTTGATCATGGTGGATAAGCTTTTTGATGTGCTGCTGGATTCGGTTTGCCAATATTTTATTGAGGATTTTTGCATCAATGTTCATCAAGGATATTGGTCTAAAATTCTCTTTTTTGGCTGTGTCTCTGCCCAGCTTTGGTATCAGAATGATGCTGGCCTCATAAAATGAGTTAGGGAGGATTCCCTCTTTTTCTATTGATTGGAATAGTTTCAGAAGGAATGGTACCAGCTCCTCCTTGTACCTCTGGTAGAATTCGGCTGTGAATACATCTGGTCCTGGACTCTTTTTGGTTGGTAAGCTATTGATTATTGCCACAATTTCAGATCCTGTTATTAGTCTATTCAGAGATTCAACTTCTTCCTGGTCTAGTCTTGGGAGAGTGTATTTGTCGAGGAATTTATCCATTTCTTCTAGATTTTCTAGTTTATTTGCGTAGAGGTGTTTGTAGTATTCTCTGATGGTAGTTTGTATTTCTGTGGGATCAGTGGTGATATCCCCTTTATCATTTTTTATTGCGTCTATTTGATTCTTCTCTCTTTTTTTATTAGTATTGCTAGTGGTCTATCAATTTTGTTGATCCTTTCAAAAAACCAGCTCCTGGATTCATTAATTTTTTGAAGGGTTTTTGTGTCTCTATTTCCTTCAGTTCTGCTCTGATTTTAATATTTCTTGCCTTCTGCTAGCTTTTGAATGTGTTTGCTCTTGCTTTTCTAGTTCTTTTAATTGTGATGTTAGGGTGTCAATTTTGGATCTTTCCCGCTTTCTCTTGTGGGCATTTAGTGCTATAAATTTCCCTCTACACACTGCTTTGAATGCGTCCCAGAGATTCTGGTGTGTTGTGTCTTTGTTGTCGTTGGTTTCAAAGAATATCTTTATTTCTGCCTTCATTTTGTTATGTACCCAGTAGTCATTCAGGAGCAGGTTGTTCAGTTTCCATGTAGTTGAGCGGTTTTGAGTGAGATTCTTAATCCTGAGTTCTAGTTTGATTGCACTGTGGTCTGAGAGAGAGTTTGTTATAATTTCTGTTCTTTTACATTTGCTGAGAAGAGCTTTACTTCCAAGTATGTGGTCAATTTTGGAATAGGTGTGGTGTGGTGCTGAAAAAAATGTATATTTTGTTGATTTGGGGTGGAGAGCTCTGTAGATGTCTATTAGGTCCGCTTCGTGCAGAGCTGTGTTCAATTCCTGGGTATCCTTGTTGACTTTCTACAAAGTCTTTTCTTCCCCAGACAGACAATTAAAACAAATTACTCTGCCAGGATTTCCAGAAAAAATAAAATTCACTTTATGTCAGAACAATAGCCATACAAAGAGTATGAACTAATGAAAAAGGTAAAAAAGAAAATGTACAATGCTAAGCCTAATAATTTCATTCAATCACAAGCTTCTTACATCTCCTGAATGAATAAGTACATGACAAATAGCAAATGTTCTTGTTCAACTGTATACTATAAATTTCATGTATTATTACATTGTCAATTATTTTTAACCATGTATATTCACAATATACATATCCAGAAATAAATACATGACATAAATATGAATTAATAAAAAATTAGGCAATGTATCTAACACTAAGCTTGATGGAGCAGAGATTCAAAGATTTAATGCATGGTTTTTTAATATCTATGAAAAAATTGGGAGAAATCTAAAAATCTCAAATGGCAAAACAAAAAGATAGGTTACCAAAAGTATTAAATATTTCAAAAACCTGTCTTGGTTTTTAAATATTTAATAAATATTAATAAAATAAAATTAATTAAAATATTTAATAAATATTTTAAATATTACAGTGGCTCACACCTGTAATCCCAGCACTTTGGGAGGCCAAAGTGGGCAGATCACTTGAGGTCAGGAGTTGGAGATCAGCCTGGTCAATACAGTGAAACCCCGCCTCTACTAAAAATACAAAAAAATTAGCCAGGTGAGATGGTGGGCACCTGTAGTCCCAGCTACTCGGGAGGTAGAGGTGGGAGGATCACTTGAACCTGGGAGGCAGAGGTTGCAGTGAGCCAAGAATGCGCCACTGCACTCCAGCCTGGGCAACAGAGTGAGACTGTCTCAAAGAAATATGAATAAATAAAAATAAATATATTTTTAAAACCCCAATAACTGAGGGAGTATACCTAGAAAGAACACTTCAGGCTATACATCTCAGAGAAACAAAACAAAACAAACAAAACAAAACAAAACAAAACAAAACAAAACAAAACAAAACATAACATAACATAACATAACATAACAGCCAAACACAGTTCCAAAGTAGGAGGAATAGCTGTGTTGCAAAGTCAAGAATCCCTTCTTTACAGCAACACACGATGATATGTACACTGTCTATCCCAGGGGCCAGTCTGGGTGCAGGAGAAGAGAAGCAGGCAAGGCTCAACGACAAATGCTGAATGTAGGAAGTAGTCATATTAAGGCAGGGGCATGTATGAGAGACTTTGCCCTGCTAGCCATCTTTCTTTTGATTCAGAAGATACAGGCATACCTCCAAGATTTTGTGAGTTCAGCCCAGAATGAGATAGATTATTACAATAATTATTATAGCAGTCACCATTTACAGTGTCTGCTCCCCTAGAGGCACTGTGCAGGGTGCTGTCATAAACATGGCATTTAATCTTTATAGTTGGTCACAATACTGTCAGAATGATACAGGCATACCTTGGAGATATTGCGGGTTCCGTTCCAGATCACGTCAACAAAGCTAATGTCGTAAAAAGGTGAGTCACACAGACTTGTTTCACAGTGTATATTAAAGCTCTGTTTACACCATAATGTAGCCTATTAAGTATGCAATAGCATTATGTCTAAAACAATGTACATATCCTAGTTGTAAAACATTGCTAAAAAAGGGTAATGAACATGTGATCGTTTAGAGAGTTGTAATCTTTTTGGATTACATTTTCTTCTTATATCTCCTCAGACATGAATAAGTAAATGACAAATAGGAAACATTCTTGTTCAACAGTATACTAAAAATTTCATGTATTAATACATATATCAATTATTATTAACCATGTATATTCACAAATACACATATCCAGACATAAATATGGAGAGTGAAGGGTTTTACCTCGACGATTGTTGATGGCTGCTGACTAATCAAGGTGGTGGTTGCTGAAGGGTGTGACGGCTGTGGCAATTTCTTGAAAATAAGGCAACAATGACTTATGCCACATCAATTGACTCTTTCTTTCATGAAAGATTTCTTGAAGCATACACTGCTGTTTGAAAGCATTTTAGTAACAGTAGAAGTTCTTTCAAAATTGAAATCAATACTCTCCAACCTGCTGATGCTGTATCAACTCAGTATACGTTTTATTCTTAATTTTTTGTTGTCACTTCAACATTGCTCACAGCATCTTCACCAAGAATAGATTCCATCTCAAGAAACTGCTTTCTTTGCTCATCCATAAGAAGCAACTCCTCATCGTTCAAGTTTTAATGCAAGATTGCAACAATTCAGTCACATCTTCAGGCTCTACTTCTAATTCTCTTGCTATTTCCACCACATCTGCAGTTACTTTCTCCACTGAAGTCTTTTTTTTTTTTTTCAATATAAGAGGAGTCTTGCTCTGTTGCATAGGTTGAAGTGCAGTGGTGTGATCTCAGCTCACTGCAACCTCCACTCCCAGGTTCAGGCAATTCTCCTGCCTCAGCCTTCTGAGTAGCTGGGATTACAGGTGGTTGCCAGCATGCCTGGCTAATTTTTGTATTTTCAGTAGAGATGGGATTTTGCCATGTTGACTAGGCTGGTCTCAAACTCCTGACCTCAGGTGATCCACCCGCTTGGCCTCCCAAATTGCTGGGATTACAGGCATGAGCCACTGCACCCGGTCCCCTCTACTGAAGTCTTGAACCCCTGCAAGTAATCCATGAGGACTGGGATCAACTTCTTCCAAATTCCTATTGATTTGACATTTTAACCTCCTCCCATGAATCATGAATGTCCTTAATGGCATCTAGAATAATCCTTTCCAGAAGGTTTAAAATTTAGTCTGCCCAGTTCCATCAGAGGAATCATTATCTTTGGCAACTACAGCCTTACAAAATGTATTTCTTAAATATTAAGACCTGAAAGTCAAAATTACTCCTGGATACATGGGCTACAGAATGGATGCTGTGTTACCAGGCACGAAAACAACATTCATCTTGTATATCTACAATAGAGCTCTTGGGTGACCAGGTCCATTGTCAATGAGCAATAATATTTTGAAAGGAATCTTTTTTCTCAGCAGTAGGTCTCAATGGTAGGCTTAAAATATTCAGTAAACCTTGCTACAAAGAGATGTACTGTCATCCAGGCTTTGTTATTCTACTTATAGAACACAGGCAGAGTAGATTTAGGATAAATCTGAAAGGCTCTAGGATATTCAGATGGTCAATGAGCACTGGCTTCACCTTAAAGTCACCAGCTGCACTAGCCCCTAACAAGAAAACCTATCTTTTGAAGTTTTTAAGCCAGGCATTGACTTCTCTCTAATTATGAAAGTTTTAGATGGTATTTTCATCCAATAGAAGCCTGTTTCATCTACATTCAAAATCTGTTGTTTAGTGTAGTCACTTTTATCAATGATCTTAGCTAGATCTTCTGAGTAACCTGCTGCAGCTTCTACATCAGCACCTGCTGCTTCACCTTGCACATTTATGTTATGACGATGGCGTTTTTCCTTAATCCTCATGAACCAACCTCTTTAGCTTCAAATTTTTCTTCTGCAGGTTTCTCACCTCTCAGCCTTCATAAAACTGAAAAGAATTAGGGCCTTGCTCTGGAATTAGGCTTTGGTATACGGGAATGTTGTGACTGGTTTGATACTCTATCCACACCACTGAAACTTTCTCCACATCTGCAATAAGACTGTTTTGCTTTCTTATCTCTCATTTGTATACTGGAGGAGTACATTTAATTTCCCTCAAGAACTTTTCCTTTGCAATCCACAACTTGGGCTAACTGTCTGGCACAGGAGGCCTAGCTTTTAGCCTATATCCACTTCGACCTGCCTTCCTCACTAAGCATGATCATTTCTAGCTTTTGATTTAAAGTGAGAGATGTATGATCTTTCCTTCTACTTGAACACTTACAGCCCACTGTAGGGTTATTAACTGACCTAATTTCAATATTGTTTTGTCTTAGGGAATACAGAGGCCTGTGGAGAGGGAAAGAGAGGAAGAGCCAGTCGGTGGAGCAGTTAGAACACACATAATATTTATCCATTAGGTTCACCATCTTATATGAATTGGTATCATTCATGGTACCCCAAAACAATTATAATAGTAAACTCAAAGATCACTAATTACTGATCACCATAACGGATAATGAAATAGTTTGAAATATTGAGAATTACTAAAATATGACACAGAGACACAAACTTAACACATACTGTTGGAAAAATGGTTCTAAAAGACATGCTTAATGCAGGAATACCACAAACCTTCAACTTGTAAAAACCACAATATATGCAAAGCACAATAAAGCAAATTATAATAAAACAAAGTATGCTATATAATCAAATATAGCATACTATATTTGATTATACTGTATAGCATATATATTTGATTATACTATATAGCATACTATATTTGAATATACTATATAGCATAATTTGTAAAAACCACAATATATGCAAAGCACAATTTGTAAAAACCACAATTTATGCAAAGCACAATATATGCAAAGCACAATTTGTAAAAACCACATATATGCAAAGCACAATATATACAAAGCACAATTTGTAAACACCACATATATGAAAGGCACAATATATGCAAAGCACAATTTGTAAAAACCACAATATATGCAAAGCACAATAAAGCAAATTATAATAAAACAAACTATGCTATATAATCAAATATAGCATACCATATTTGATTATACTATATAGCATATATGTTTTATTATACTATATAGCATACTATATCTGATTATACTATATAGCATAATAAAACAAAGTATGCTATATAATCAAAAGAAATCAATTACATACAAAAATAGTGTCATATCAAAAGAAATCAATTACACACAAAAACAGTGTCATAAGGAGAATAGGTGTTAGTCTATAACATTGCTCTAGCCCATACTGTTTGCAAGATGACCTTTTGCAAACAGTATGATCAGGAAAAAATGTTTCTCATTGAATGATGAGCAGTCATTCTTAAAAAAGGAATCTACAAATAAAATGAAGGAAAGAAAAAGGAAAATCAAATGGAAACACATAAGAAAAACAGTTATGAAGCAGATGAAAATTATAGTCAAATATGTTCTCACTCATAGGTGGGAACTGAACAATGAGAACACACGGACACAGGAAGGGGAACATCACACTCGGGACTGTTGTGGGGTGGGGGGAGGGGGGAGGGATAGCATTAGGAGATATACCTAATGCTAAATGATGAGTTAATGGGTGCAGCACACCAGCATGGCACATGTATACATATGTAACTAACCTGCACATTGTGCACATGTACCCTAAAACTTAAAGTATAATAATAATAAAATAAAATTAAAAAAAGAAAATTAGTCAAATATGTTGCCACAAATATAAACTTAAAGAAGCAATCACCTCTATAACACAGAAAACATAAAGAGGAGATGCAGGAGCTCAGGGGAGCTATGGTCAAAAAGATGAAGAAATAAAATGTGAACTTACAGGTCAGAGAAATAAAAAAAATACATAAATAAACAAAACTGAAATGAAGGCCAAATGGAAGCAGAAGAGAGAACAGGTACTACTAAAATAGGAAAGTACACACAGGATAGGATTGAAAAGGAAATTTTCAAAAAGAATTTAAACAAAAAAAAGGGTTTTGGAGAAAAAAATAAATTAAGAATGCAAAAGAGAAAAAAACAAGTGATATAAATAGGCCAAGACAAATCAACAAATATAAGCATATTTGATGTCTTCAAAGAAGCAAGCCAAAATGAAAAAAGTAAAAAACTGCTCTCAGTGTAATTCAAGAGAAGTTTCCAGAAGTAGAAGAAAAATGTAAACTAGAAACTAAAAGAATATGGCACGTCCAAGAAAAAGAGAAACACAAAGGTCAATGCCAAGACATATTCTAGTACTGGACTGCAAAAAATGGGTAGTGAGGTAAAAAATTGATCACTTCTAAGTAGAAAAAAATCCAGTGAGTCCTCAGACTAGTCTGTAGCAAACAGTGAGCACTGCCTACAAAATCAGCCAGGAAATAAAGTGGGCCTGAGGAATTTCTTACCCCACAGATGTGTAATTATAAAGTGAGTGAAAGGATATTTTTAGAATACGAGAGAAAATATTTACAAAATGTCTATCTGATGAGAAATTAATAGCCAGAATATATAAGAAAACTCTATAGCAAAAAAAGAGAAATATTCCAATTAAAAAATGGACAAAAGATCTCAACAGACAATTCTCAAGGAAGATATATAAACTGCCAACAGGTATATTAAAAATGCTCCACATCACTAATCATCAGAGAAATGCAAATCAAAACCACAATGAGATATCATCTCACCCCAGTTAAAATTGCTTTTATCAAAAAAAATGGGAATAAGGGATGTTAGTAGAGAAAGAGGAATCCTTGCACACTGTTGGTAGGAATGTAAATCAGTACAGCTGCCATGGAAACCAATATGGAGATTCCTCAAGAAACTAAAAATAGAAATACCAATGATCCAGCAATTCCACTACTGGGTATATATCCAAAAGAAGAGAAATCAAGAGATATCTGCACTCTTATGTTTACTGTAGCAATGTACTCAATAGCCAAAATGTGTAATCAACTTAAATGCCCACGAGTAGATAAATGGAAAAAGAAAATGTGATATATATATACACAATGAATATTATTCAGCCATAAACAAGAATAAAATCCTCTCATCTGCAGCAACATGGATGGAACTGGAGGTCATGATGTTAAGTGAAATAAGCCAAGCACAGAAAGACAAATATCACATGTTCGCACTCATATGTGGGAGCTCAAAAAGTGAATCTCACAAAGGTACAGAGTACCTTAGTGGCTACTAGTGGTTGGGAAGGGTAGTGGGGAGGGGAGGATGAAGAGGTTGATTAATGGGTACAAATATACAGTTAGATAGAAGAAATAATACCTAACGTTTGGTAGATCAGTAGGGTGACTACAGTTAGCGTTAATCTATTGTACATTTCAAAATAACTTCAACCAAAGGACACCGTACAGAAACAAAAGGGACCGAGGGAAGCAATGAAAATACTTCACTATTTAAATAATACTTAACTATTTAAATAATCTGGTTTACAGATGAGAACATAAGTTATAGATAATCACAACACAGAAATTACATACCTAACAGAAGGTAAAAGGGAAACAAAGGCAAAGTTTAAAGTTGGTAAAGAAATAATGTTAAGTATTTTTTTAAATTAATTTATTTTTTTTGAGACAGTCTTGCTCTATCACCCAGGCTGGAATGCAGCGGCACAATCTTGGCTCACTGCAACCTCCACCTCCCGGGTTTATGCGATTCTCCTGCCTCAGCCTCCCGAGTAGCTGGGATTACAGTAATGTGCCACTATGCCTGGCTAATTTTTTGTATTTTTTTTTTTGAGATATAGTCTCACTCTGTTGCCCAGGCTGGAGTGCAGTGGCGCAATCTCAGCTCACTGCAACCTCCACCTCCCTGGTTCAAGCAATTCCCCTGCCTCAGTGTCCCAGGTAGCTGGGATTACAGGTGCATGCCACCAGGCCCAGCTAATTTTTTTTGTATTTTTGGTAGAGATGGGGTTTCACTGTGTTAGCCAGGATGGTCTTGATCTCCTGACCTTGTGATCTGCCCGCCTCAGCCTCACAAAGCGCTGGGATTACAGGTGTGAGCCACCACGCCCAGCCACATGAGTATTTTTATAAATGAAAAGTGTAAGTATTATTAAAGATACAAAGGTGAACATCAAAAAAATAACCAATTGATATCGTGCTCAGAAAGGACAGAGAGGGAGAAAAAGGCAATATACCAATGTCACTGCATATAACTGGGAATAAGAAAACAATACGTAATAAAATAGAGAACAGAGTATATTACACAAAACATTAGTTATAAAGATAACCAGTGGATTCCAAACCAAACCTTTAAATTACTAATGGTTTATACTAAACGAAAACAGGAAAACATGGATTATATAATGACATATTTAGTGGATCATAGAATGATCATATAATAACATATTTTTAGGCAACAGAAACCATAACAAATACTATGATAATTGCATAAAGACTAAATATAACTCTAATATCAATGAATGAAAGTGAGTTTAACACTGTTACTTAAGAGAAAAGACAAACTGAGTAACAAAGTGAAACCTAACCTTGTAACATAAAAATTTATCTAAAGGTTTCAAAAACGTTGAAAATAAAAAGATGGTTAAAGGCATGCTAGGAAAGCATGGACAGAATGAAATAGTTGTTGGGATACTAATTACAGATCACATTCAGAGGACGAAAGGAAAGAACTAAGTGATTTTATAATAAAGAAATTTTATAATGATAAAGAGTATAATCCAGAATGAATGAAGACTTAACTGTAAGGTGTCTGCTCCCAGTACTATGGTGTTTTAGATATTCTAAAAATCCCTCCTTTTGCAAACACCTAGAAATGCTAAATTAGGTAAAACATTATCTTTTAAAATGTAGCACCAGTCTGAAGAAAAAGTAAAGGTAATTTACAATGTTCAATGAAAATTTACAAAGAGAAAGTCAAACATACAGTGATGAGTGATAAAAACACATGCTACACTGAAGGTGTCTACAGAAGCCACCAACAAAGAACCTTAGGACTGAAGAACCATGCAGAGCAACAAGAATAAGGCCCTAGACCTAAAAGAAATAGATAGTGGAAATAAGAGTCCTAAATAAAGCTTCAGCCTAAGAAAGCTGGAGATTAAATGAAAATGGAAGAAGGGTGACAATAGAAAAAGGGATCCAGTGGCAAAAGGAAACAAACAGGAAATAGATTTAGACATATGTGGTCAATCAATTTTTCACTAAAGTGCCAAGGTAATTTATGGGAATGATAGATTTTTCTACAAATGGTGCTGAAATAACTAGATATTGGTATGAAGGAAAACAGAACCTAGAACTCCTACCTCACCCCGTATTTAAAAATTGAGATGATACCAAATATATATATATATATATATATATATATATATATATATATATATATATATATATATATATATATATATATATATAAATAGAAAAAGGAAAACTATAAAGCTTCCCGAAGAAAACAGAAGACGATTTTGTAATCTTCAGGTAGGAAATGACTTGTTCAAATATAAAAAGCACTAACTATAAAAGGAAAACTTGATGAAGTTAATTTTATTAAAGTTAAAATTTTCTGTTCATTAGAATACTATACTACAAGGAAAATCAAAAGGAGGCTACAGACTAGGGAAAATATTCACAAGATACATATCTGGCAAAAGTCTTATATCTAGAATATAAAAAGAACTTCCAATAAATAATAAAAAGGCAACCCAATTAAAACAAGGGCAAAACATTTCAGTACTTTACAATGTATCTATTATATGTTGTATATAACATATATAACTATATAAGGATGATCTGTAAGTTCAGGGAAACATGTTCAATATTATTCAGAAAGTACAAAGTAAAACATAATAAGCTACATCTCGAATAGTCATTCATTTTGAATGCCTAAAATAAAAAAGGCTAACAACATCAAATGTTGACAGAGATGTGGATCATCTAGAACTCTCATATATTGTTGACAGATGGGAAAAAGTTGGACAGTTTTTAAATAAAGTTAAAGCACACTCCACCCAAAGAGCTAACAAGAGAACTGAAAACATGTCCATAGATGGACTCATCTAAGAATGTTAAGACTATCTTTATTCATAAGAGCTCTAAACCAGAGCCAACCCAAATGTCCATCACCAAGTAAATGAACAAAATAATTGTGACATATTCAGAGGTAAAACAACATAGATGAAATTGCTAAAACATTATATTGAGTGAGAGAAGATCCACATAAACTGCATGATTCTGTTTGTAGCATGTTCCAAAACAGAGAAAACTAAGATACCATACAGTAAGAAATTCATGAGTCCATCTGAAGGATGGATGGATGGGAAGATGAATGGATGGATAGAAATAGAAAGGAGGGAGGGAGGGAGGAAGGGAGGGAGAGAGGGAAGGAAGGAAGGAAGGAAGGAAGGAAGGGAGGGAGGGAGGGAGGGAGGGAGGGCGCGGTGGCTCACGCCTGTATCAGGAGAATGGCATGAACCCGAGAGGCGGAGCTTGCAGTGAGCTGAGATCGCGCCACTGCACTCCAGCCTGGGTGACAGAGCAAGACTCCGTCTCAAAAAAAAAAAAAAAAGAAAAGAAAAAAGAAGGAAGGAAGGAAGGAAAATAAAGGAAAGAAAGAAAGGAAGGAAAGGAGAGGAGAGGAAAGGAGCAGAAGGGGGGCTCTTCTTTACAATAAAATGCCAATTAATAAATCATTTTACAGCCATCATGACAAAATTTGATTTGAACAGGAATCATCTATGTATGCTAAATCCAAGAGAGGGAAAATCAGAGAAGGAGCAGCATATTTGCACGGTCATAATATCTCATGTTAATTGTTACATACTAAACAACTGTGAGAAGCAAAAATAGTAACTATACAGTGAAACTGGACCAAACTTTGGCCAGGAACTTGGCCTTGGGGCTAAGAGGCTCAAAATAATACCCTGAGAAGAATATGACCTCAATCTCACTATGTACTGATGCAGGAAAGATTGCATAATCTAAATCTCACTGTGATGAAACATTATAAAAATAAGTTGAGGCCAGTGTCATGAAAGGGTAAGGAAGTGTCCCACATTAAAGGAAACAAAAAGATATCATTAAATGCAGTAAGTGATCCTGGATTAGATTTTCATATTGAACAAAAAACATGCTATAAAAGACAGCATTGGGACAACTGACAAAATATATTAAAGTATTGTATAATAGTTAAATTCCAGCCATGTGCAATGGCTCATGCCTGTAATCCTAGCACTTTGGGAGGCCAAAGCAGGAAGATCATATGGGGCCAGGAGTTCAATAGCAGCCTGTACAACATAGCAGAACTCTGTCTCTATAAAAAAATACACTGGGCACAGTGGTGTGCACCTGTAATACTAGCAACTTGGGAGGGTGAGGTCAGAGGATCACTTAGGGCTGTGAATACGAGGTTACAGTGAGCTATGATTGTGCCATTGCACTCCAGCCTACGTGACAGAGTGAGATCATGTTTCTAAAAAAACAAAACTAAGAATAAAAAAAAATAAAAAGTTAAATTATTAAATTTGGTAACTGTGCTGTGTCTATATAAGAGAATGTCTTTATTTTTAAAAAACACATACTATATTATAGTATTGCATATTATTCTTATTTTTAAAGCAAGTTTATTAGGAAAGTAAAGGAGTAAAAGAATGGCTACTCCATAGGCAGAGCAGCCAGTTTCGCAGATTAAAGGAGCATAATGTATGCAACCTACTCTCAAATGGTTTATAAAAACATGAATGCAAGCATAGGTGTATATATGTGTATGTTGTTTGTGTAGAGAGAGAGAATAATAAAGTAAATGTGGCAAAATGTTAAAAATATGTGACTCTAGGTAAAACATACATAAAAGTTATTCTCTATTTTTGTGACTTTTCTGTACATTTGAAATTACTTCAAAAAGTTGAAAAAAATACAGCACCAAGTAACTATAAAAAATATACTTTAGTGACAGAAGTCAGATCAGTGATTTTAATTTAGGAGGATGGGGTTGTTTAGAAAGAGGCCTACTCTGAGTGATGGTAATGTTTTATATCTTGACTGAGGTTTTTGAAAACACAGGGGTATTCAGTGTATCAGAATCTACAAAACTGTGCACCTCAAATCCATATATTTTATTAAATTAAATTATACTTAATTTTTTAAGCTAACAAGGAAATTTAAAGCTTGGCAGGAGATGAAAATTAATGATCAAAATTCATAATAGTAAGCCTACCTAAAAATGAACTTGAGGTTTGAATTTGTATTACCTGTGTGATCTTGGAAACTGCAAGCCAAGAATCTAATTTTGCAAATCCTCCATTGAAGAATTTACTCATTTACATCTCTCAAAATTTCCACAGACTGGCCAGGCGTGGTGGCTCATGCCTGTAATCCCACCACTTTGGGAGGCCAAGGCGGGTGGATCACCTGAGATCAGGAGTTTGAGACCAGCCTAGCCAACATGGTGAAACTCCATCTCTACTAAAAATACAAAACATTAGCCAGGCGTGGTGGCGTGCGACTGTAATCCCAGCTACTCGGAAGGCTGAGGCAGGACAATCGCTTGAACACAGGAGGCAGAGGTTGCAGTGAGCCAAGATGGCACCACTGTACTCCAGCCTGGGCAACAAGAGCAAAACTCCATCTTAAAAAAAAAAAAAAAAAAAAAAAAAAAACGAAATCCGCAGATTAAGATTATTTATTAAAACAAAATTTAAGACATCTGCAAATACACTGGGAAATAAACCATCACATAAAACAATAAAAGGCAAAATTAACCTCTAAAGGACCTCAAATATGCAAATAAGTATGACTTACATAAATAAGTATGTTCTAAATATTTAAAGAAATACGACACAGAACCAAAACATTGCAAAAAACAAGACACTACCAACATAAGCAGGCAGAGCTGAACTCGATATTCTAGGAGTTAAAAATATACTTTCTGAAATTAAGAACAGAAAGTTAAATGTCCCTGTTCTCCAATTTCAAGAAAGGAAAGGACTAACTGTTCTCTGGTAGTCAGCTAATCCCTAAACTATACACAGAAATTTCAGACAGTCCTTAAACACTCCTGTTTTTGAAAGTCTTCAGGCTTCCAAAGCCCAATGCGATACCAACTCTTCGCTTTGTTTAGAATGTCATGGCTAAGAAGCACAGTTCTCCCTTGCTTATCAAGAAAGAAATTGAGTGGTTTCTCATTTCAAGTATATTGAGTGATGGTCTCATCCTTAAGAGAATCCAATAAATTAATTAACAGCAAAAGATAAAATCAGTAAGCTTGAATATGGCTAAATACAAAATATCAAAACTGCAGCACACACAAAAAAAGATAAGAGATATACAGGACACCGAAAGAGCAATTAAGTAAATGTAAAAATAATTCATATTCATGGAATGAAATACTCTGTATTATAAATATATAAATTCTCCCCAAACTGATCTATAGATGCAGTAAAACTCCATTCACAAATCCAGCACTTTTGTGAAAATTGATAAATGACTTCTACAATTTATATGTAATGCAGAGTCAATAATAGCTGAGACAATTTTGAAAAAGAGTAAGGCTGAAAGATTTATACTGCCTGATACCAGAATATTTATTATAAAGCTACGCTAAGAAGTATGAAGAAGTATGGTACTGACACAAAGATGGCAAACAGAGAAACAAAACAAAGAATCTACAACTGCACTATTCCATATGGTAGGCACTAAACATGTAACTATTTAAATTTGAATTAATTAAAATTAGTAAAATTAAAAATTCAATCATTAGTTGCACTAGCCACACTTCAAGTACTCAATAGCCATCTGCAGTGAATAGCTACTGAATTAAACAGTACACATAAAGAATATTTCCATCACAGCGGAAAGTTCCATTAGACAGCACTTATCTAGAAAGGTATACACATAAAATTACTTGATTTATGACAAAAGTAACATTACAATGCAGTAGGAAAAAGTCTTTTCAATAAATTGTGCTGGATCAAGTAGACATTCATATGTAAAAATAAATTTAAAAATAAGTAAGTGAGGCTGAGCGCGGTGGCTCACACTTATCATCCCAGTACTTTGGGAGGCCAAGGCGGACAGATCAACGGAGGTCAGGAGTTCGAGATGAGCCAGGCCAACATGGTAAAACCTTGTCTCTACTAAAAATACAAAAATTAGCTGGGCATGGTGGTGTGCACCTGTAGTCCCAGCTACTCAGGAGGCTGAGGCAGGAGAATCGCTGGAACCCAGAAGGCAGAGGTTGCAGTGAGCCAAGATGGTGCCACTGTACTCCAGCCTGGGCGACAGCGAGACTCTGTCTCTAAAAAATAATAAATAATAAATAAATAAATAAATAAATAAATAAATAAATAATCCTGATGTCTACTTCATACCATATACACAAAACAATTCCAAGTAGATTGTAAATCGAATTAGTGTAAAAATTAAAACAATAAAGCTTTTAGAGGAAAACACAGGAAATCTCTTCATGACTTTGTAGTATGTTGCGGGAAGTCAGGGATCCCAAATGGAGGGACCGGCTGAAGCCATGGCAGAAGAACATAAATTGTGAAGATTTCATGGACATTTATTAGTTCCCCAAATTAATACTTTTATAATTTCTTATACCTGTCTTTACTGCAATCTCTGAACATAAATTGTGAAGATTTCATGGACACTTATCACTTCCCCAATCAATACTCTTGTGATGCCTGTCTTTAATCTCTTAATCCCATCATCTTCGTAAGCTGAGGATGAATGTCACTTCAGGACCCTGTGATGATTGCGTTAACTGCACAAATTGTTTAAACAATATGAAATGTGGGCACCTTGAAAAAAGAACAGGATAACAGCGATGTTCAGGGAACAAGAGAGATAACCATTAAGTCTGGCTGCCTGAGAGCCGGGGCCATATCTCTCTTCTTTCAAAAGCAAACAGGAGAAATTTCACTGAATTCTTTTTCTCAGCAAGGAACATCCCTGAGAAAGAGAATGTGTTCCCAAGGGAAGGTCTCTAAAATGGCCGCTTTGGGAACATCTATCTTTTTACGGTTGTAGATAAGGGATGAAATAAGCCCCAGTCTCCCATAGCGCTCCCAGGCTTATCAGGACGAGGAAATTCCCACCTAATAAATTTTGGTCAGACTGGTTGTCTTCTCTCAAACCCTGTCTCCTGATAAGATGTTATCAATGACAATGCGTGCCTGAAACTTCATTAGCAATTTTAATTTCTCCCCATTCCTGTGATCTCGCCCTGCCTCCATTTGCCTTATGATATTTTACCTTGTGAAGCATGGGATCTCTGTGACCCACACCCTATTTGTACACTCCCTCCCCTTTTGAAAATCATTAATAAAAACTTGCTGGTTTTGCAGCTTGGGGGGCATCACAGAACCTGGCAACATTTGATGTCTCCCCTGGACATCCAGCTTTAAAATTTCTCTCTTTTGTACTCTTTCCCTTTATTTCTCAGGCCAGCCGACACTTAGGGAAAATAGAAAAGGACCCATGTTGAATACTGGGGGCTGATTTCCCCAAACAGTAGTAGACAAAGATTTTTAAAATTTGATGAAAGAAGTGCCAGCCATAGAATGAATGCGGATAAAGATTATGTAAGATGACATTAAAATTGAGAATCTCTGCTTATCAGAAGACATCATTAAGACAAGGAAAAGGCAAAACACAACCTGAGAAAATTTACTTGCCATAAATATACCTGATAAAAGACTCATATCCAGAGTATACATATGACAAAAGGACTCCTACAAAACAATAAGAAAAAGGCAAATAGACAATCCAGAAGAAAAACAGATAAGAAATGAACAGGCATTTAAAAAAAGATGTCCAAATGGCTAATAAGCGTATGACAAGGTATTAAATTTTACTTATCATCAGAGAAATGTAAATAAAAACCTCAATGTACATCACTATATACCTACCAGAATATCTAAAATGAAAATAAAGATAGGCAAAATGAAGTGTTGATGAGGATGAGATATAAGTGGAACTCTTAAACACTGTTGATACAAGTAAAGATTGGTGAAATTACATTGGAAAATGTTTAGCAGTGGTATGGTTTGTATTATGTATCACCCAAATTCATATGTTGAAGTTCAAACCCCCAGTACCTCAGAATGTGACCTTATTTGGAAATATGGTCACTGCAGACATAATTACTTAAGATGAAGTCATTAGGGTATCACCAATGTAACCAATATGACTAGTGTCCATATAAAAAAGGCAAATTTGGACCCAGAGACATAAACAGAGGGAAGACAATGTGAATAGAAATAGGAAGAAAACAGTAGCCTACAAGTCAAGAAAGAGAGCCCTGGAAAAGACAATTCCTTCACAGCTCTCAAGAGGAACAAACCCTGCCCACACCTTAATTTTGGACTGCTAGCCTCCAAAACTGTGGGAAAATAAATTTCTGTTGTTTAAGCCACCCAGTTGCGGTATGCTTTTATGATAGTCCTAGCAAACTAATATAGGCATTATCTACTAAAGTGGAAAACATGCACAACCTATGACCTAACAATTCTTCTTGGTAGATATACATCAGAAATGTGTATATATATTCACCAAAAGATTTGTATAAGAACATTCATATCATTACTATTCTATGAGCCCCAAACTAGAAATAACCCAAATGCTCCATAGTAGAATGAATAAATTATGGTATATTCACATGATGGGATTTTACATGGCAATGAGAATGAACGAACTACAACCGCATACAAAAACATAGATTGAACTCACAATAATGTTGAGAAAAACAAGATACAAAAGAATATACAATTACAATAATATAGTTGAACAGGCAAAAGCAATCTATAACGTTAGAAGTCAGGATAGTGGTTACTTTTCAAGAAAAAGGAGATAGTAATGATTGGGAAGAGGCAAGAGGGAGGTTTCTGTGATGCTGGCAATGTTCTATTTCTCGATCTTGGTGATGCTATACTGTGAAAATTCTTCAAGCTATACATTCATAATCTATGTACCTTTGTCCATGTAAATTACATATCAGTAAAAAAAAAAAAAAAAAAAAAGTACTTTAAAAAACTGAACAGGTTGGTTAAACAGCAGATTAGACCAGCCGGTTGTGAATTCTATGAGAGAACTTGAAAACAGTCATAATGTAGCACAGACAGAGAAAATATAAGAGACATTAATAGAAGCATAGGATGAAGTAAAAAGGTCAAGTATAAATCTAACTGGAATTGCAGCAGACAAAACAAATGGGGGAGAAGCAATATTTGAAGAGGGAATAGCTGAGAATTTCCTAGAATCAACAGACACAAATCCCAGATTTAAAACGCACAATAATCCTAAACAGGATAAATAAAAAGAAAACCATACTGAATAGAGTATAGTGAAACTACAGAACTCCAAAGACAAAGAGAAAATCTTCAAGTCAGATGATGCACAAAGGAACAAAAATTAGACTGATTTTTTTTTATTTTGAAAAATTTCAAACTCATAGAAAAGCTAAAAAGAATAATTCAATGAGTGTACCCCACAGATTATGCCACTCACCAATGAAGACACCCACCAGAATATACTCCTCACTAAATTCACACTGTTAACATTTTGGCTCATCCACTCAAAATGTTTCTGAACATAAGTCCTTCCCTTTTGGGAAAATGTAGAAAGTATAGCACTAACAATAGCACTATTATTCTTTGTCTGAAAATTCTTTATCATGCATTTATCAGAAACAAGAACATTCTTCTATTCAATGACAACACCATTACCTCATCTAAGATAATCAACATTAATCCAATAACACCATCTAAAGAGAGTCCTGATGAAATTTTCCCAGTGATCTTAAAAGCGTTCCCTAAAGCTTTTCTTTTTGCTGATCCAGGATCTAATCAAGGCTCGTGCATTACTTTCAGATGGTATAGTTATTAGGTCTCTCTCAATTTAGAGACTTTCCTTGATACACTACTTCCTTTGATTTTTGATGACACTGAATCCTTTGAAGAGTCCAGGTCAGTTGTCTTGAAAAAATGTTCTACATTCTGGATTAGTTGGACTGATTCGCCATGATTCCTAGATCAAATGTTTCCAGTAAGAACACCACATAAGGTAATGTTACGTCTCTCCCGTGCACCACATTATGCATGTGGCTGTCCCACTATTAGCAATACCAAGCTCGGCCATTTTGTAATTTTTCCCTTTGTAATAAATAAGTCATCTGTAAGGTGATATTTTGAGACTCAAGGGTATTATCAATGACAATTATGGAAGCCAGAAGACAGGAGGATACCACCTTCAAAGTGCTAAGAAAAAAATAACTATTACAGCAGACCTATATTGCCAATGAAAATATTACTGAAGAATGAACTCAAGATAAAATATATCCTTAAATTATTTTTAAATCCTGAAATTATTATTTCATGGGCAAGTAAACAAAAAACTTGATGGGAAACATTGCCAAGTTTCCATTTGCCAAAAAACATAATAAAAAATTTCCACTACTAACATCATGCTTTCCGAAAAGAAAGGACAATTCTAAGCTTCCAAAAAAGAAGACTTAAGCTCAAAATAAATGAAAGTTCTCTAAAATGAATGAATTTTGCTTTATGAACAGCACACTTTTTATTTTCTCATTTTGCTACATGTATCCATATTTTGTTAGGACTGGTTAACAGTCCAGGGACAAGTGTTTGGAAATTACTAAGTCTAGCTATGAAAAAGGGAAAAGGCATTTTATTTCACCATTATGAAGAACTCGGGCTTCTTTTTTAACCACAGTAATTAGGATTATAAAATCCATTTCATAGTTAACGAATCTGAAGTATGAATTGTTAAAGAAGCATGCACAGCATCACAGAGATAGTAAGTGGCTCAGATTTCAACCAAGTCTAAACCTAAAGCGTACGTTCTTTCTACTCCGCCATAGTGAGAAGCCCAACCACACAAGTATGAAATACCTAAAGGAGTTAAAGGCTGTCAAATGGCAGTTTAAAATATCATTTGTGACTGAATCTTCAGGAATCTGAGGACCGTTAACACTGTGAATATGGAAGAGTACAACTTTTCTAACTCCATAAAAGCAATGGAAATCTACAGAAGTGATGTCTAGGCTGGAAAAACTGAGAAGATGCAGGTGTAAGGTGAAAAACACCAGATATATAACCTTAAGTGTCAACTAACAGCTATAAATACAAATGTGTACAATAGACACAAACTACTAATACATGAATCTCACTCAGTAAGATTACAATAATTTTAAGAAGTTTTTCATAAACAGCACATATTACTGGATTCCATTTATATAAACCATTAAAAACAGGCAAAATACAAAACATCAGATCAATGTGAGAGTGGGGACTGACTGAGAAAGGGAATGAAGTAACTTTCTAGGATGATGGGTTTGGGTTATAAGAGTATATGCATTTGTCAAGGTTTGTACATTTCATTAATTAAATCTCAACAGAAAAAAAAGTCTGTAAACAAATACGAATTCTGGTTAATCATACATATATTTAAGTATATATGGGAAAGTATAATGATGTCTGCAATTTACTTTGAAATGAATGAAAATAATAAAAGGGACTGATGGGACAGAAGGATAGAAGGATGGATTCATAGATAAATACGTGATAGACCAAGCATGGCAAAATGTTAATAATAAACTGTGGGTGTTGCCTCTACCAAGCATTTACTCTAACATTCTTTCAACTTTGTTGTATGTTTTTTAAACTGTTCATAATAAAATGTTGAAGAGAAAGTATATGATATATGTGACTGTGGAACTAAGACAATGTTATCCTTAAAAATATAGAAAACCATATAATGGCCCAATTTGATGGAAGAGATCATATAACTATCACAAAGTTTGAAAAAAGTAAAGAAATACAGACAGTAGTATAAGGTACTCATAAAACACACCCAGAAGTTGCTAAATCTAAGGTGGAAAATAAAAAGAATAAGAATACAATGGATGGGTGCAGTGGCTCATGCCTGTAATCCCAGCACTTTGGGAGGCGGGGCAGAAGGATCACTTGAGCCCAGGAGTTCAAGACCAGCCTGGGCAACATGGTGAAAACCCATCCCTTAAAAAAACACAACAAAAACAAAAATTACCCGGGTGTGGTGGCGTGCACCCTGTAGTCCCAGCTATTCAGGAGGCTGATGTGGCAAGATTGCTTAAAACCAAGAGACAGAGGTTGCAGTGAGCCAAGATCGTACCACTACACTCCAGCCTGGGTGAAAGGGCAGAGTCTATTAAAAAAAAAAATCCTTCTGGTAATAGACAAAAAAACAAAAAACGATGGAAATAAGTTGAATTAGTTTCATGTGAAAGCAATACATTCTAGAAAACTGTCAATATATGAGTTGCTGAGAGTATCTGATAACTGAAATAATTAAGATAACTGAACATACTTTCTCTTAAGAAATCACAATTGGTTCAATATATTTCAACATGAAGTATAAGTCAACCATAGTAAATGGATAAAGCTAACTTGGTCACAATCAATTCTACTAAAGAAAGACTGTGAATACACGAAAAGAAAGTTTGAACAGAACTTTGTTTTTAATACACTTTCCAGGAATTTAACATTTTTAGCATGTCTTCAAAGAACTTTACCTGCCATTTCTTTTGAGGGCAAAAATGATGCCATCTTTCTGGAATGGAAGTAGCTTTGCTCTTAGTCTGTCAGGCAAAAAATCCAGCAGATTATCAGATTCATTTGTCACACAAGAAATGTGAGGTGTAAGAGACTTTTTTATGTTATGAACCCTAGGCATGATGATCCTAAAAACAAAGAAACAACAAAAAAGGGAGGGGTATAAGAAATAGATATTACTAAGTATGTTACAGAATCACATATAAATAATATTAAAGTACTTATAAATAGCTTTGACATACCATTTATATAAACTAAATCATATTCTCACAGTAAGCTACTAAGAAAATTCAAAGCACTGAGTTTGAAAGCAATTACTTAATGCACTCTCTAGGAACTCAGCATGCACTATTTCATTTTGAGCCATAATACCATATACTATACACCAGTTTAACACCACAAATTTATTACTAAAAAATTATAAATAAACTAGATTTTTCACAAATCGAATAATTTTTAAAATAAGGGATGAATCTGCTAGAGAAAGATGAATCCTTTAATAATTCATCCTTTTATGGATCCACATTTTCATATCACACCAGATTTTCTAAGAGTGAGGTAAAGCTACATTTAAAAAAATTATAAAATACAAAGACATTAACTCCAAAATCAAATTTATACTAATTAAATTAATGTAATATTATTAAATTGTTTAAATATTAAAATTAATTCTTTTTAATGAGCTGAATCCACAGTATAGCACTTTGCCTGATTAACACCTTCCTCACCCCCTGGTTTTCCACAGATGTTACTGTAATTTTCTATGACATAAAAATGTCATATATCTGTAAATTCTTATAACTCTGGAAGAAAATGTCCTATTATACAACTACACTATAATGCCTATCAAATAATAATATTTTGTATTTAGATGGTACCCTGCCTTCTGTTTATATATTATCTCATCTTTAAAAAAAAGTTTGCGGGCCAGGCGCGGTGGCTCACGCCTGTAATCCTAGCACTCTGGGAGGCCGAGGTGGGTGGATCATGAGGTCAGGAGTTCAAGACCAGACTGGCCAATATGTTGAAACCCCATATCTATTAAAAATACAAAAATTAGCTGGGCGTGGTGGCGCTCGCCTGTAGTCCCAGCTATTTAGGAGCCTAAGGCAGAAGAATCATTTGAACCCAGGAGGCAGAGGTTGCAGTGAGCCAAGATCATGCCACTGCGCTCCAGCCTGGGCGACAGAGTGAGACTCTGTCTCAAGGAAAAAAAAAAAAAGTTTGCTTTTTTCCTCAATTACATGCAGACTTATATAACTATTGCTCTCTTCCATCCAAAAAAGTAACCAACTTCTGTGTCTACTAAGAAGGTCAAGAACAAAGCAAGTATTTATTTATTAATAACAAATAGGTACTACATGCCACAACCTAGAGAAGCAAGACCCACGCACTCGTAGGGTTTATATTCTTCAGGGGAAAACTAAAAATTAGCAAATAAATAAATATGACGGTTTTTCTTTTTTGTTTTCAGCTACACCTGATCGAATGGGAAGGATGATTAATTATAATATAGCACAAATAGTGTAAGGAATTTAAGAGAGTACTGGTCACTTTAGGTAGGCTGACCAAGAGTGGCCTGTCTTAGGAAGTGCTGTTTGGCTTATGGTCTGAAAGATGTAAAAAGCCACCCAGGATCAAAATTAAGAGAAGAGCAGTCCGAGGAAAGAGCATCACTGCAAAGGACCCAAATTGAGAAAGGGCTTGGTGTTTTCGGAAAACAGAAAGAAGGCTAAGGTGGACCAGACACAGCAGTTCATGCCTATAATCTCAGCACTTTGGGAGGCCAAAGTGGGCGGATCACCTGAGGTCAGGAGTTTGAGACCAGCCTGGTCAACGTGGCGAAACACTGTCCTACTAAAAATACAAAAATTAGCTGGGTGTGGTGGCACAGGCCTGTAATCCCAGCTACTCAGGAGGCTGAGGCACAACAATCACTTGAATTCAGGAGGAGGAATTTGCAGTGAGCTGAGATCGCACCACTGCACTCCAGCTTGGGTAACAGAGCAAAACTTCATCTCAAAAAAAAGAAAAACAAAAGCCAATGTGGCTGATGATCCAAAGGAGGGAACGGTGTAAGATGAAGCTACCGAGATAAACAAGAGCCAAATCATATACAGCCTTGATAATAACTTTGGATTCCTTTTTAAGAAGGAATGCTAATGGAGTTGTGCTGTCGCATACACCATTAACAAAATGTTTAATTAAAATTAAAATTAAAAATTCAGTTATCCAGTTTCACCAGCCATGTTTCACGGGCTCAACAGTAACATGTGTCTGGTAGCTATGATATTTAATAGTAAAGATACAGAACATTTCTCTCTTCACTTAAAGTTCTATTGGACAGTACTCAATGGAAGGTTTAAACAGGGGAATGACACAATCTGACTTACATTTCAAAAAACACCTGAAGGAGACAAAGATATCAATAAGGAGGCAGGAGATAAATGTTCTTATAGGATTTGGCCACTCAACAAAGCCTCCACTGCTTCAGTAGGCAATTGAATTTAGAAATGATTTATGAGTCAGTTCTGTCTGAATAAGGTCCTCATAAACACTCATGAGTGGCCCTCCCTAGGACCCTCTCACCACCACCACCCCCATAACAAAACTTAGCAAGGAATAGAGAATGGAGCAAAAAGGGAAAGCATGAAAGCAGGAAAACTGTTTTCAGGTTGCAACAGACAAGGCAAAAAACCTTTAGCAGTGAAACTGAAAAGATTCACGAAGTATATCAGAGGTAAAGCAAACAGCATCTGCTGATGCGGTACATGTAGAGAATAACAGAAATGTAGAATCAAAATGTGGACCTAGAGTGATGGAGTTAGTGATGCAATTGGCTGGGATGGTAAGGACTACAGAATAAATAAATTGGGTAGAAAAAAAATCCACAGATTTTCTTTGAGATGGCTATAAGATAAGAAGTGGAAATGTTGGGTATGCTTGAAAATATATGAGTCTGAAGTTCCTATAGGGAGAGATAGAGAATGGATACACACAAGAAATATCAGACACTTTCCCAGCCTGCCTTAGAGCTACTAATCAGATATACTATTGTGGACTTTAGAAAGTCAAAACTCAAAGGAGCAGAGATTAAGTAAAATTCCTTCTGGCAAGGCTAACAGCAGCAGAAAACCATGTCCACTTTCCAGAAGTAACAGGAGTTTCAGAAGCACTTTTTAGGGTCAATGGGATAAAGGATGTAATGTTTTAGGGTGGAACACTGGCAAGAAGTTAAGTAAAAAATTTTAAAAAAAAATGTTGCTGTCTATCATCTTTATTCAAGACTCCTTTTTTTTTTTTTCTTTGCTGGGTGCAGTGGCTCATCGCTGTAATCCCAACACTTTGGGAGGTTGAGGCAGAATAGCTTGAGGTCAGGAGCTGAAGATCAGCCAGGGCAAACAGCGAGATCTTGTTGCTTACAAAAGATCATAAAATTAGCTGGTTGTGGGGGTGCATGCCTGTAGTCCCAACTACTTGGGAGGCTTCAGAGGACTGCTTGAGCCCAGGAATTTGAGCTATGATCTTGTCACTGCACTCCAGCATGGATGACAGAGCGAGACTCTATCAAGAAAAGAAAGAAAAGAAAAGAAGGAAAGGGAAAGAAAAGAGAGAGAGAGAATAACAAAACAAAACGACTCCTTTACATTTTACTTAGTAAAAAATTTTAATAGACACTCCAAAAAAATCTGGTAAATTGGGGTCACTTTGCCACTTACATGATTTATTTTTATGAGGACTGACTCAGGCACAATATTTGTTTTTTGTTTTTTGTTTTTTTTCTTTTGAGATGGAGTCTCACTCTGTTGCCCAGGCTGGAGTGCAGTGGCACGATCTCGGCTCACTGCAAGCTCCGCCTCCTGGGTTCACGCCATTCTCCTGCCTCAGCCTCACGAGTAGCTGGGACTACAGGGGCACGCCACCATGTCAGGCTAATTTTTTGTATTTTTAGTAGAGACGGGGTTTCACCATGTTAGCCAAGATGGTCTCAATCTCCTGACCTCGTGATCTGCCCGCCTCTGCCTCCCAAAGTGCTGGGATTACAGGCGTGAGCCACCGCACCTGGCCAAGGCACAATATTTGTAAAAATAAACAATGAAATTAAAGTTATATTAATCAAAAATTTGTTTTAATAGGCACAAATAAGAGAAAAAATTAAATATGAAGATAAAAGAAATCTAAAACATTATGAAAATGTACAGAAAAAAATTTCAGTTGAATTTAAGATTATAGTGTGGTTCATTGATGATTTAAACAGATATTTGGATAAATAAAGAACTTAAAAATATGTAGTGGTACAATGTAATGAATAGAACATGAATGTTTTTGTTAATCCTAAAAATAATTTTTAAAATATTCTTTTCTATTTATAGGATCTAAAGTAAAAAAGGTGTAATAAAGAATATCTCATGTAGGTTCAGCCATATAGGTTTAATTGCTACAAAAAGTCAGTTGTAATCAACATTACATTAATAAAAGAAGATGCACATTTTAACTTCATTCTAGATTACCAAGAAATTAACAGTTACAATAATGTGCATACCTTTTTAATAATGAATACTTTATTCAGTTCAAAGGTTTAACTTAAAAGGTTTTATTCAATATATATATACTAATTTACTTATAGCAAGGCGGGGGGAGCCTATCAAAATGAAACCAGGAATACATAATTTAAAAAAAAATTTTCTTCCAGAAATATTTTAATAAACATTGACCATTTCCAAGAAACACCCACTGCATGCCCACCAATGAAAGAGAATCATAACAAAATAGAAAATTTACCATATGGCTATGATTTAAAGAAAAAAAAATGTGGACAGGAGCACATCAGCAAAGTCCATTATTAAAGTCACATTCCTTCTTATGGGCTATGAATAGGAGTCCGATTAGATACCAGAATAAAACTTACTACAAATGCTGAACCATTTAGGTCAAAGAACCTCTACAGAAGCATCTGTCTTCAAAGGGATTCTAGTTTGAGACTCAATTTTAGAATAAGGTATAACAAATAATGTTAACGGAAGACATACAAGGTGATAAAAGAGGGTTTCTACAATTCCCCACATGAAGTATAAGTCAACCATAGTAAAACCTAATAAAACAAATCTAGATATTAAAAACAATATCTGAACCTAATAAAACAAATCTAGATATATTAAAAAATTATTTTTCTTTAAACAATTGCCAAGACTAAAATCAAAGATAAACAGAAGGCACAACAGTTTTGTTCTGGTTGTTATCTGGGTTTTGGGAATATTTTGTCTTTTGTTTTTTTACAAATACAAATTAAACATGAAAAAACTCTACTTCAAAAAAACTAACAGTTCAAGAAAAGCCCATCCAGTTGCATTCTAGACATTTAAAACCTATACCACAATATAAATTTCAATGGTAAAAACGGTAGGTTTTAGAATTGTTTTGTGATCCTATATCAAAAGAAAAGTTCTATTCCTTTTATTGTTTTTAAACATACCAGCAAGAATCAAAATTGTCAAATTTTCCAAATTTTAAACATACCAGTGAGAATCAAAATTGTCAAATTTTCCAAACCCACTGTAAAAACAGGTTTTAGAAGTGTTTCGTGATCCAATATCAAAAGAAAAATTCTATTCTTTTTATTCAGTTTTTAAACATACCAGCGAGAATCAAAATTGTCAAATTTTCCAATGGCAATTTCTCCACACCAGAAAGTGGTTGTGACTCTCAAAGAAGTAACAATTTGGGGTTTTCCTGCCTTCAAAATGTTATCAAATCCTGTATTTCTCACAGGCTTTTGAAACACACAGAAAGTAAGAAATATTCCAATGAATGAAACGTACCAAATGTCAGTAATACGCAAGACACATTCCTTTGGGGAAATGG
The DNA here is from genome assembly GCF_000001405.40 of Homo sapiens. NCBI lineage: Eukaryota > Metazoa > Chordata > Mammalia > Primates > Hominidae > Homo > Homo sapiens. The sequence goes on from NC_000002.12 coordinate 135,510,231, forward strand.
CTGTTAGGAAAAAAATCCAGTCTGTACATGCAAAATAAGCAAGGAAATTCAGTCTTTCTTTCTTCTTCTTCTTGAAAAATCCGTTACTCCTAAAATATCATTCCACAAAATTGGAAGTGAAAGACTAAAGGTCAGGAAAGGGAAGAGAGGGAGAAGGAGCACACATCATTAACACACAAAAGAAGTAAAATTATACTAACTTAAGCAGTTTATAACAAACTGGGGTCATACTCCAAGATACCAAAGGCTGGTCAAAGAAATTCACCATTCTGTAGGAGCTAGGGTTTGTATGGCCGCGTGAAGATCCATGAAGATTCACTGCCATGGAGCAAGCCTTCTTCCCACTCCAAATCCTGCTTTCTGCACCATGCCTCCATGAGGAGGGCCTCTCATTCCACCACCCAGCCCACATAGAGGGCCTCCAGGTCCCCTAAGGCGATCATCTCGTCAGTCCCCTTCCCTGGCAGCTCGAGTCTTCTTCTCTTCCACATTCAGACAGACCTCACCTCTGAACATGATGGGCCTGTTGCGAAGGACCTTCTGAACAGGCTCAGAATCATCAAAACAAAACCAAAACTGGGTAATTTCCCACCACTGTTAATGTGCAACTCCACCACGTTCCCATAATTTTGAAAGAAATCTTTAAGCTCTGATTTGTCCACTTCATGAGGCAGGTTGCCAATGAAGAGTTGGTGACTGTCAGGGTGTCTCACCACTCTTTGGGGTTCAATGTCACCTTGCTCACCAGCCTCACAGATCGGTCTGGGTCCCCTTTGGGGAGGAATATTTCTTCGTTGTTCTCACATCCTTTGATCCCTTTGAGGTTTCTGTGGTGGAATCTGAGATTCAGGCTTAGACTCTGTACAGGGCTGTGAAGCTAGTACTTTACCAACATAAGGAGGTATCCCAGTAACTGGAACAGCTCCACTGGGTTGAAGGTTGTTACTGGTCACAGATGCCCAAGAAAATGTCCTCAAGTCTTCCCATACTGTCTGAGATATGTCTGCAGGTGCTGGAGAAGAACTCTTCTGAGCATCCTCAGGAGCAGTTTCTTCTAATACTAGCTCAGACTTTTCCTCTTGGATTTCAGATACACATTCTTGTTCTGGTTCTGGCTCAGGATCAGGCTCCAGTTCAGCAACTGGCTCCTCTAAATGTTCTTCCACGTCATTACTGACAACTGCCTGATCACAGAAAGTTCCAGAATCATCAGGTACCACCTGAGGTGTTTGCTGTCTTTTCTTCACGTTCCTCTACTACTTCTTCAGACTCCTCCTGAGGCTCAGTGACAAACCCACCAAAGACCTCATCTTGCTATCTGAAGATATCATTGTGAACATAGAACTGATTTGCAACAGACCCCTCAGGAGCAAGTACGAACATCTGCATGAATCTCCTCAAAGCCTGGTTGTTGTTAGACAGAAGCCCCAACACCTGGACTACCACACCATCATTTAGTGTGGCATAAGCATCAACATGGAGAATCTTGGTGTGGCAGTTGCTGAAGTTTCGTGACATCACTTTCCTGTGGATTTCTTTCTGTCCATAAACTGCATCTGCTAGCTTTCTATTTGAATCCAATCCCCCATGGACATAAGAAGAGTTCCTTCCATAAAATCTATGCAGCATGTCTGGGGCCTAGTTCAGCAGTGTGTAATGCTGTCTCACAAATTCCCACCCAACCAGCAGGGGACTAGCCTTCTCCATCACCATTGCTTTGGTCAATTCAAACTGAGGGGAAAAAGTCAAATATGTCCAAACCTGTGCGGCTGAGCTGGAGAGGAACTAACTCTGCTACACAGCACTGATGATGGCAGAAACCCCTCATGCAACTGTGTCCGCACCAGCAATACATAATTTTTAATACCATGTTATTAAAATCAAAATGACAATATTGGCTAGGGAAATTTAGTGAAAGCAAAATCTAGTAGAACTTATTTTCTAAGCAATTTGCTTGGTATGGTACGCAACACTTGAAAAAAAGAAAGAAGGAAATACTTTCTATCTTTTTAGGTCAAGATAGTGTTTTTGTACTCAATTGAGAACAAGGCAAATTCAACTGGAATTCACTGACTCATTTAAGTAAATAGTAGAACTGTACTGAGGAGAATCAGATATTGTTAAAATACACTACCTAGAGACTTATTTCAGAAACAACAAGTAAATGGCGGGTCAGGACAACTATATAAACTTTGGGGAGATAATTTTTTTTTTTAATTAAGAATGTATTGGATGAAATTTACTGCAGAATAAAGAATTAGTAAATTAGAAAAGATATTAAATGTAAATGGACTAAAAACAAATGAAAAGATTCCTATATTAAATTAAAATATATATAAATTTACATGTTGCTTTTAAAAGACATACCCTTAAATAGGAGGATTCATAAACACTGAAAGTAAAAGAATTAAAAAAGACATATTATACATGCCAAAGTATAGCTAGTATTGCTTTACATTATAAGATAACATAGGTTTCAGGCAAAAAAAAATTATTAAAATAAAGAAAAGCATTTTATAATGATAAAAGATTTATTAGAAAAATTTAGCCTCAAAATATATCTTAATAAATATACAAGGCAAAAACTGATAAAAATAAAAGGAAAATTTGACACAACCATATCTATCTATAACCACAGTGGAAAAGTTTAACACATGTCTCTCAGTAATTGATTATGCAAGTTGATTAAATTGTAACAGGATAAAGATGATTTCAAGAATACAATAAACAAATCTGACCCATTTGGTGCAAAGACAGGAGTATTATTTTCAAGCTCATTGTGTGAAGCCAGCCTAAACAATCTCACAAGCACATTACAAGAAAAAACATACATAATACAATCTCTCATATTCATAGGTAAACAAAATATTAGCAAACCAAATATAGCAGTAATTAAAAGACTAAGACACCAAGACTAAAATGGGCTTATTTCAGGAATGCACAGCTGATTATACTTTCAAAATTCGATCACTGACAAGCTGATTCTAAAATTCATATGGAAATGCAAGGAACCCAGAATAGCCAAAACAATCTTGAAAATGAACAAAGCTAGAGGACTTCTACTTCCTGGTTGTAAAATTTACTACAAAGTGACAATAATCAAGGCAGTGTAGCACTACTAGCATAATGACAACCAGCTAGGTCAATGGAACAGAACTGAAAGTCCAGAAATAAGCCTTTACATTTACAGTCAATTTTTTGACAAGGGTCCTAAGAGGATTCAATAGGAAAAGAGTAACTTTTTCAACAAATAGTGCTGAGACAACTAGATGTTCATATAAAAGAATGAAATTAAACCCCCACCTCATGCTGCATATGAAAATTAACTTAAAATGGATCAAAGATTAAAACATAACAGTTAAAACTATAAAACTTCAAGGAGAAAACACAAGAGTAAACCTTTGTAATCTTGGGTTATGGTATGGTTTTAGACAACAACACTAAAAGCAAAAACATGAAGTCTTTGAACATGCCTATGTCCTGAATGGTATTGCCTAGGTTTTCTTCTAAGGTTTTTATGGTTTTAGGTCTTATGTTTAAGTCTTTAATCCATCTTGAGTTAATTTTTGGATAAGGTGTAAGGAAGGGGTCCTGTTTCAGTTTTCTGCATATGGCTAGCCAGTTTTCCCAACACCATTCACTAAATAGGGAATCAATAGGAAATCCTTTCCCCATTTCTTGTTTTTGTCAGGTTTGTCAAAGAGCAGATGGTTGTAGATGTGTAGTGTTATTTCTGAGGCCTCTGTTCTGATCCATTGGTTTATATATCTCTTTTGGTAACAGTACCATGCTGCTTTGGTTACTGTAGCCTTGTAGCACAGTTTGAAGTCAAACTAGGTAGCGTGATGCCTCCAGCTTTGTTCTTTTTGCCTAGGATTGTTTTGGCTATACGGGCTCTTTTTTGGTTCCATATGAAATTTAAAGTAGTTTTTTCTAAGTCTGTGAAGAAAGTCAATGGTAGCTTGATGGGGATAGCATTGAATCTGTAAGTTACTTTGGGCAATATGGCCACTTTCACAGTATTGATTCTTCCTATCCATGAGCATGGAATGTTTTTCCATTTGATTGTGCCCTCTCTTATTTCCTTGAGCAGTGGTTTGTAGTTCTCCTTGAAGAGGTCCTTCACCTCCATTGTAAGTTGTATTCCTAGGCATTTCATTCTCTTTGTAGCAATTGTTAATGAGAGTTCATACATGTTTTGGCTCTCTGTTGGTCTATTATTGGTGTATAAAAATGCTTGTGATTTTTGCATACTGATTTTGTATCCTGAGACACTGCTGAAGTTGCTTATCAGCTTAAGAAGATTTTGGGCTGAGATGATGGGGTTTTCTAAATATACAATCATGTCATCTGCAAACAGACAATTTGACTTCCTCTCTTCCTATCCGAATATCTTTTCTTTCTTTCTCTTGCTTGATTGCCCTGGCCAGAACTACCAATACTATGCTGAATAGGAGTGGTGAAAGAAGGCATCCTTGTGTGCCAGCTTTCAAAGAGAATGTTTCCAGCTTTCACCCATTCAGTATGATATTGGCTGTGGGTGTGTCATAAATAGCTCTTATCACTTTTAGATACATTCCATCAATACCTAGTTTATTGACAGTTTTTTTTAGCATGAAGGGGTGTTGAATTTTATGGAAGGCCTTTTCTGCATCTATTGAGATAATCATGTGTTGTTATTGGTTATGTTTATGTGATGGATTACGTTTACTGATTTGCATATGTTGAACCAGCCTTGAATCCCAGGAATGAAGCTGACTTGATCTTGGTGGATAAGCTTTGTGATGTGCTGCTGGATTCAGTTTGCCAGTATTTTATTGAGTATTTTCGTATCGATGTTCATCAGAAATAATGGCCAGAAATCATCTTTTTTTGTTGTGTCTCTGCCAGGTTTTGGTATCAGCATGATGCTAGCCTCATAAAATGAGTTAGGTAGGAGTCCCTCTTTTTCTACTGTTTGGAATAATTTCAGAAGGAATGGTACCAGCTCCTCTTAGTACCTCTGGTACAAATTCGGCCGTGAATCTGTCTGGTCCTGGGCTGTTTTGGTTGGTAGGCTATTAATAGTTCTCTATTTCCTTCAGTTCTGCTCTGATCTTAGTTATTTCTTATCTTCTGCTAGCTTTTGAATTTGTTTGTGATATTAGGGTGTCGATTTTAGATCTTTCCTGCTTTCTCCTGTGGGCATTTAGTGCTACAAATTTCCCTCTACACACTGCTTTAGCTGTGTCCCAGAGATTCTGGTACGTTGTGTCTTTGTTCTCATTGGTTTCAAAGAATTTATTTACTTCCGCCTTCATTTCGTTATTTACCCAGTAGTCATTCAGGAGCAGGTTGTTCAGTTTCCATGTAGTTGTGCGGTTTTGAGTGAGTTTCTTAATCCTGAGTTCTAATTTGCTTGCACTGTGGTCTGAGAGACTGTTTGTTATGATTTCCATTCTTTTGCATTTGCTGAGGAGTGCATTACATCCAATTCTGTGGTCAATTTTAGAATAAGAGTAATGTGGTGCTAAGAATGTATATTCTGTTGATTTGCGGTGGAGAATTCTATAGACGTCTATTAGGTCTGCTTGGTCCTGAGCTGAGTTCAAGTCCTGAATATCCTTGTTAATTTTGTCTCATTAATCTGTCTAATATTGACAGTGGGGCATTAAATCTCCTACTATTATCGTATGGAAGTCTAAGTCTCTTTGTAGGTCTCTAAGAATTTGCTTTATGAATCTAGGTGCTCCTGTATTGGGTGCATATATATTTAAAACAGTTAGCTCTTCTTGTTGTACTGATCCCTTTGCCATTATGTAATGCCCTTATCTCTTTTGATCTTTGTTGGTTTAAAGTCTGTTTTACCAGACACTAGGATTGCAACCCCTGTTTTTTCTTTTTTTTTTGGCTTTCCATTTGCTTGGTAAATATTCTTCCATCCCTTTATTTTGAGCCTATGTGTGTCTTTGCACGTGAGATGGGTCTTCTGAACACGGCACACTGATGGGTCTTGACTCTATCCAGTTTGCCAGTCTGTGTCTTTCAATTGGGGCATTTAAGGTTAATATTGTTATATGTGAATCTGATCCTGTCATTATGATACTAGCTGGTTATTTTGCCCATTAGTTGATGAAATTTCTTCACAGTGTTGATGGTCTTTACAACTTGGTATGTTTTTGCAGTGGCTGGTACCAGTTGTTCCTTTCCATGTTTAGTGCTTCCTTCAGGAGCTCTTGTAAGGCAGGCCTGGTGGTGAGAAAATCTCTCAGCATTTGCTTGTCTGTAAAGGATTTTATTTCACCTTCACTTTTGAAGCTTAGTTTGGCTGGATATGAAATTCTGGGTTGAAAATCCTTTTCCTTAAGAATGACGAATATTGGACCCCACTCTCTTCTGGCTTGTAGGGTTTCTGCTGAGAGATCCACTGTTAGTCTGATGAGCTTCCCTTCGTTACCCAGGTAACCCAGCCTTTCTCTCTGGCTGCCCTTAACATTTTTTCCTTCATTTCAACCTTGGTGAATCTGACAATTATGTGTCTTGTGGTTGCTCTTCTCAAGGAGCATCTTTGTGGTGTTCTCCATATTTCCTGAATTTGAATGTTGGCCTGTCTTGCTAGGTTGGGGAAGTTTTCCTGGATAATATCCTTAAGTGTGTTTTCCAACTTGGTTCTATTCTCCCTGTCACTTTCAGGTACACCAATCAAAAATAGTTTGGTCTTTTCACATAGTCCCATATTTCTTGGAGGCTTTGTTCATTCCCTTTCATTCTTCTTTCTCTAACCTTGTCTTCACACTTTATTTCATTAAGTTGATCTTCAATCTCTGATATCCTTTCTTCTGCTTGGTCAATTTGGCTATTGATATTTGTGTATGATTCACAAAGTTCTCATGCTGTGTTTTTCAGCTCCATCAGGTCATTTATGTTCTTCTCTAAACTGGTTATTGTAGTTAGCAATTCCTCTAACCTTTTTTCGAAGTTCTTAGCTTCCCTGCATTGGGGTAGAACATGCTCTTTAAGCTTGGAGAAGTTTGTTATTACCCACCTTCTGAAGCCTACTTCTGTGAATTCATCAAACTCATTCTCCGTCCACTTTTGTTCCCTTGCTGGCGAGGAGTGATCCTTTGGAGGAGAAGAGGCATTCTGGTTTTGGGAATTTTCAGCCTTTTTGTGCTGTTTTTTCCTCATCTTCGTGGATTTATCTACCTTTGGTCTTTGATGTTGGTGACCTTCAGATGGGATTTTTGTGTGAGCGTCCTTTTTGTTGATACTGATGCTACTCCTTTCTGTATGTTAGTTTTCCTTCTAACAGTCAGGCCCCTCTGCTGCAGGTCTGTTGGAGTTTGCTAGAGGTCCACTCAAGACTCTGTTTGCCTGGGTATCACCAGCAGAAGCTGCAGAACAGCAAAGGTTGCTGCCTGTTCCTTCCTCTGGGAGGAGGCACTGCCAGATGCCAGCTGGGGCTCTCCTGTCTGAGGTGTCTGTTGACCCCTGCTGGGAGGTGTCTCCCAGTCAGGGGGCATGGGGGTCAGGGACCCACTTGAGGAGACAGTCTGTCCCTTAGCAGAGCTTGAGTGCTGTGCTGGGAGATATGCTGCTCTCTTCGGAGCCAACAGGCAGGAACATTTAAGTCTGCTAAAGCTGTGAGCACAGCTGCCCCTTCCCCCAGGTGCTCTGTCCCAGGAAGATGGGAATTTTATCTATAAGCCCCTGACTGGGGCTCCTTTCTTTTGGAGATGCCCTGCTCAGAGAGGAGGAATATAGAGAGGCATTCTGGCTAGAGTGGCTTTGCGTGCTGCGGTGGGTTCCGCACCCAGTTCGAACTTCCCAGCAGCTTTGTTTACACCGTGAGGGGAAAACCGCCTACTCAAGCCTCAGTAATGGCAAATGCCCCTCCCCCTACCAAGCTCGACCGTCCCAGATAGACTTCAGACTGCGTGCTGGAAGTGAGAATTTCAAGCCAGTGGATCTACTTAGCTTGCTGGGCTCCATGGGGTGGGATCTGCTGAGGTAGAACACTTGGCTCCCTAGCTTCAGCCCCCTTTCCAGAGGAGTGAATGATTGTCTCGCTGGTGTTCCAGGAGCCACTGTGGTATGAAAAAAACTCCTGCAGCTAGCTTGGTGTCTGCCCAAAGGGCTGTCTGGTTTTGTGCTTGAAACCCAGGGCCCTGGTGGTGTAGGTACCCTAGGGAATCTCCTGGTCTGTGGGTTACGAAGCCCATGGGAAAAGCATAGTATCTGGGCTGGAATGCACCATTTCTCACGGCATAGTCCCTCACAGCTTCCCTTGGCTAAGGGAGGGAGTTCCCTGACCCCTTGCACTTCCCGGATGAGGAAACGCCCCACCCTGCTTTGGCTTGCCCTCCATGGGCTGCACCCACTATCTAACCAGTCTCAATGAGATGAGCCAAGTACCTCAATTGGAAATGCAGAAATCACTGGTCTTCTGAGTTGATCTCGCTGGGAGCTGCAGATTGGAACTGTTCCTATTCAGCCATCTTGCCAGCCACCATAGTCCTGTAACTTGTAGTTATGGAGCTGGGTCACAAACTCAGGTCATGTGGCTATAGATGTCATATGCCACATTTTCAGCTGCTATTCTATACGCTTCCCCTACTGAGAAGATCTATCTGCTGAGAGGCACTGCAGCATGTTATTTCCTTGTTTGCTTAATCTTGCTTCCTACTTCTGTTTGTTGCTATCAAAAATTCCAAAATAATAGGGTTCAGGAGGGAGAATTTGGAGCTGATTGTTGGACAGGGGAAACTGTTTCTGTCCCTCAGATTAGGTGATTTATCAGGGAGAGCCCATTTATTATTTTTAATTCCATTTATTATTTTATTCCATTTACACGACCTACTTGAAAGGACAAAATTTTAGAAATGGATAATAGATTAGTGGTTAGGTTGGGGTGGGATAGAAGTGGTTGTGGCTATAAGAAGGCAACATGAGGGATCCTCCTGGGATGGAAATGTTCTCTATTTTGACTGTGTCAATATCCTGGTTGTACTGTAGTTTTCTAAGATGTTACCACTGGAGGAAACTAGGGAAAGGTCCACAGTATCTCTCCGCATTATTTCTTACAATTTCCCGTGAATTTACAATGAACTCAAAAAGTATGATCTTTTTTAGATTAAAAAAAACAAAACACCCTGGCTTGGGCATGATGATTACACCTGTAATCCCAGAACTTTGGGAGGCAGCAGCAGAAAGATCACTTGAGCCAGGGAGGTCCAGGCTGCAGTGAGCTAAACAGAGCAAGACTCAGAAAGATAAAACTCCAAGATCATGTAGCTAACAGCAGAAGTAAGACCTATATTTGGGTCTTTCATCCCTTTTTATCACACGAATGCTCCATCTCTACTTCAGGGCTAAATCCCACTGAAAATATCTATTTTAAATATTAATATACTGGTCCTATAAACAGTTATATCCTATGAAAAGTAATCATCCAACTCCCTGAATTTCATTTTTTCATGCATTCAACAAATGTGTATTCGGTTGTTCACATGTAGCAGACATTGTGCTAGGCTCCAGATATATAATAGTAAATATATTATTACATGCAGTTCTGAAGAAAGACTACAGGGGAAGTACTGGGTGTTAAGGGAGCATACACACGGGACTAATTTTTCAGATTAGAGTGTTTGGAAGGCTTCTAAATATACATACATCAAAGTTCATACTTCAACAACATTAACCAGAGAGGAAGGGATCAAAGAGTGTTTTAGGAAGAGGATATGGTATATATAAAGGCTGTGAACCGGAGGTAAAAGGAAGGAAGCAAGCAGTAAGGAATTCTCTGTCTTCATCTTACCGGACCTATCAGTAATCACTCCCTCTTCATTAAATCTTTTTTTTCCACTTAAATTCTTTTTTTTTTTTTTGTTTTGGTCAGGCACGGTGGCTCATGCCTGTAATCCCAGCACTTTGGGAGGCCGAGGCGGGTGGATAATTTGAGGTAAGGAGTTCAAGACCAGCCTGGCAAACATAGCGAAAACCCATCTCTACTAAAAATAAAAATAAAAATAATTAGCCGGGCATGGTGGCAGGTGCCTTGCCTGTAATCACAGCTACTGGAGAGTCTGAGGCAGGAGATCGGTTGAACCCAGGAGACGGAGGTTACAGTGAGCCAAGTTCATGCCACTGCACTCCAGCCTGGGTGACAGAGTAAGACTCCACCTCAAAGAGAAAAAAGGATTTCTTTTTTTTTTTTTTTTTGAGACAAAGTCTTGCTCTGTCACTCTGCCTGGAGTACAGGGGTGCAATATTAGCTCACTGCAACCTCAAACTCCTGGGCTCACACAATCCTCCTGCCTCAGCCTCTCAAACAGCTTGGACTACAGGCATCTGCCACCACACCTGGCTAATTGTTTTTTTGTTTGTTTTTTTTGAGACGGAGTCTTGCTCTGTCACTTAGGCTAGAGTGCAGTGGTGTGCTCTCGGCTCACTGCAACCTCCGGCTCCTGGGTTCAAGCAATTCTCCTGTCTCAGCCTCCCGAGGAGCTGGGCTTACAGGTGCCTGCCACTGCGCCCAGCTAATTTTTGTGTTTTTAGTAGAGACGGGGTTACACCATCTTGGTCAGGCTAATTGTTTTTTTTTTAATTTTTGTTGTGATAGGGTCTCATTACATTGCCAAGGCTGGTCTGGAACTCCTGGCCTTAAGCAATCCTTTCACCTCAGCCTCCAATTACTTTAAAAGCAAGAATATTACAATCTTTCTTTCTACAGGCAACTGTTTTCAGATTAATGATAAAATAATTCCCACTTATTGGGTGACCTCTTTCTGCAAACCACTACACTAGGAAATTTTAGAAGAAGTCTTGAAATTCTCAAAACAACTCATAAGATAAATATAATTATCCTCACGTTAAGGACAAGAAAATTTAAAAGTTCAGAAATGTTATATAACTTACACGAGGTTTAAAAGTTAGCAACTGGTGACATTAGGCCTAGAACTCAGGTTGGTCTAATTTAAAAGTCTGAATTTTTGCCATTATGCAACATTGCCTCTCCAAATCACTCACTCAAGAAATACTTAAGAAGTACCTATTATGGCCGGGCATGATGGCTCATGCCTGTAATCCCAGCACTTTGGGAGGCCGAGGCAGGCAGATCATGAGGTCAGGAGTTCAAGACCAGCCTCATCAACATGGTGAAACCTTGTCTCCACTGAAAGTACAAAAATTAGCCGGGCATGGTGGCAAGCTACTTGGGAGGCTGACAGAGGACAATCGCTTGAACCCGGGAGGCAGACATTACGGTGAGCCAAGATCGTGCCACTGCACTCCAGCCTGGGCAAAAAAGAGCAAACTTCGTCTCAAAAATAAATAAATAAATAAATACCTACTATGCTTCAGACACTACAGAAGGTATTGGGTAAACAATGATGAATTTGTGCCATTGTAGCCTCACATCCAAGCCCAGGGGAAATGACAGCTGTAAACAACACAACACAATGCGATAAGTGCTATGAAAATAGAATATATATAAGGCACTACACATAAGAGGGAACATTGGCTTTATACGGCAGCAAGTAATCAAAAAAGCCTTCACTTGTGAGAAAAAATGCTTGGTATGGTACACCTTACTTAAATACCAGATGCCACTCACGCTAAAACTTGAAGAGTGGAGTCTGCAGACAGAGAATCATGATAAGGATATTCTAGAGAGTGTGGGAAAGACAGTTTCTGGGTGCCAGATGAGTTGGTCTCCCCTGTGTGAGACACCCATGGGGAGCCATGGGCGGCCTCTGAGGAGAAAAGTCTCCTTACTGCCTTCATGTCTTTATGCTCCTAGAGCATAACAGCTCTGCAGCATGCCACAGGTTGCTCAGGGAAATAACACTCCCTTGAAGCAGGGGAGTATAATCAAACAACTTGGATTCTCCTGAAACCCACTCCCACCAATTTCAGTCCCGAAAAGTTAAAGATCTTAAGTAGTTTAGACACACGCCTTTGCTCAAGGAAATTCACAGAAACCGCCACTGCTATAACATCTTATTGAATGACTCACAAGTTCTCCTTCACTGATTAATCCTTTTCCTCTTCCCTTCCTATTCCTCCCATTTGCCCTAAGAACAAAGAGCTTGTAAACCAATAAATTGGGTGGAGGCCAACAGCTTGAGGCTACGAGCAAGCCTCCGATGCTCCAGTCCCCTGGACTCGCCTTTTAAACTCTTATTCTGTCTCTTTCTAATTCCTTTGTTTCTGCTGGACTTGGGGTACCCGCCGGGTGGTGTGGGGCTGGTTTCCCCAACAGGGAGAAAAAAGCCACAGTTGCAAAGGCATAAAGTTTTAGAAAATCTGGCCAGGCAAGGTAGCTCACGCCTGTAATCCCAGCACTTTGGGAGGCCGAGGCAGGCAGATCACCTGAGGTCAGGAGTTCAAGACCAGCCTGGCCAACATAGTGAATCCCTGTCTCTACTAAAAATACAAAAATTAGCCAGGCCGAGATCACACCACTGCACTCCAGCCTGGGTGACAGAGTGAGACTCCATCTCAAAAGAAAAAGAAAAAAAAAGTTTTAGAAAATCCTAAGCAGTTTAGTATAGCTAAAGAATAAGATCCTTGTGACATGTAGTAAAGAAGTAAAAACAGGCCAAGTCAAAGAGGTGCCATGCTAAGAGTTTGGACTTTTTTCTGTAAGGAATTGGAAGCAATTTTTAAAGTGTAATCAGATTGCGATTTTACAAAGATTACCTTGTCAAGTTTAGAAAAATGAATGTGGGGGCAGGAATAACCTTTTAGAAGGCTACCACAAATAGTCCAGGTAATACAATTCATAATCTCTTCATAGACTCCTATATCTAATTACCTACCTGACATTTTGGATATCTCCAATATCCAAACAGACATTTTTAGCTTAAAAGTCCAAAACCAGTCTTGATTTCTCACCAAATTTGTGTGCCCCTGTAGTCTCAGTAAATAGTACAACCATGCAAGTTACTCAAACTGGGTTTCATTCTTGATTTCTCCCTTTCCCTAAACCACCAAGTTGAATCCACTTATTATTCATTATTCCCAAAATATTAATGTATCTCAAGTCTATCCTTTTCCCCCCCAAGTTCCACTGCTATCACCAAATCCAAGCCATCATCACCGCTCAACAGGATTAGCACAACAGCTCCCAACTGGACTCCTCTAAATTTCCCTTAATACCACTTGGTTTCCTTAAAGTACTTATTGTAATTGGCAATTATTCTTCTCTGTTTCCTTAAATTTTGTCTCTCACTTCTGTTAGAATGTCTTCATAAATCAGGAATCATAGACTTTCTTATGGTTTTATTTCAGGACTCTAGCATCTAGCATCAGCCTGATTAACGGAAACAATATTAATAAAAAAGCAACACACACTTATTATGTGTCAGGTACTGTTTTAAGTATTTTATGTATTAAATCATTTGATCCTCACAAAAGCCTCTAAGGTAGGTATTCTCATTATCTCAGTTTTACAAATAAGGAAACTGAGACACAGATGGTCAACTAATCTGCCCAAGGTAACACAAGTAAATGACACAACAAAGAATCAAGCCTAGGCAGACTCCAGCCTATAGTCTTGATTATTCAGTACCTCTTTCAGTAGATGCTCAGTAAATATTCCCTGAGCAAATAAACACATGAGAGAATACAGAGGGTAGAACAGATTTAGGGGTGAAGATTGTGGGCCATGATTTGGGACATGCTGAATTTGAAGTACTTGGAGAAGGCTGTGAAGTACAGTGGGATAAACAGTTTTAAGTTACAGATAAGCATTTAGAAGTTATCAGGTTCTCCTGGAAGCCACCTACAAAATACAAGTATCTATATTTAAAAAGTGATTATATAATTTAAAAAATAAGATGGGCTTTTAAATTGTAACCATTTTGGTCGAATTCTTTTTTCTTTTTTTTTTGAGAAAGAGTTTCGCTCTTGTTGCCCAGGCTGGAGTGCAATGGCACAATCTCGGGTCACTGCAACCTGGGCCTCCCGGGTTCAAGCTCCTGCCTCAGCCTCCTGAGTAGCTGGAACTACAGGCATGCACCACCACAGCTGGCTACTTTTTTGTATTTTAGTAGAGACGGGGTTTCACCATTTTAGTCAGGCTGGTCTCGAACTCCCGACCTCAGGTGATCCACCCGCCTCGGCCTCCCAAAGTGCTGGGATTACAGGCTTAAGCCACCGCGACCATCCTGTAGAATTCTATAATAGAAATATGTTTTAACAAAGCATAGAATGACCCATTGATTCTCGATGACACCCAAGAAAAATTCTGTATTGTTACTATGAAATGAAATACTTGGCTTTAAGAAGTCATATTTGGTATATATATAAATGTCAAACTTGCATTTTGTTAAAATATGAAAGTGCAGAGATTTTTAACTTGACAAAAATCTAACTAATAAATTACAAGAAAAGCTGAGAATAACAAGAAAATGACTGAAAAAGAAGAGCGGGAACACACCTTACCTCTAGACACCAAAACATATTATTACAAAGTTACAGAAATTAAGATAATGGGTATGGTACAAGTCAAAGAAAAGAGAGAACAATGAAAAAGAACAGTGTCCAAAGAGAACCATGTATAAATGAGAATTGTGAATATGATAAAATTATATTTTAAATTAATGGGTATGGAGAGATGAATTATTTAATAAATGGTATTGGGTTTAGCCTAAAAAAGATTAATCTTTATTTTGTTCCTTATACCAAAAAAATTACAGATAAATTATAAAATACAAAAATGTTTTAATTAGATATATAATTTTTTTACTAATCTGGGGTGGGGAAAGCATTTCTAAGCATCACAAATAAATTAGAAGCTATAAAAAAAGATGGATAGATTTGGACACTAAAATAATTTAAACTTCTAGCCATAGGAAGAAAACATTAAAAAGTTAAAAGATATTTCAAAATGGGAGTAAAGATGTGAGAAATATGACAAAGAATTAACAGCCTATGAAGTAATTTTTAAAAAATATTAAGAGACAATGACAGCAACAGGCTACACAAAAGAGACTAAACACCAAAGGATAATAAACATAAAAAAGATGCTCTACATCAATAGAATTCAACTAGATACAAATGAAATATAATGAACCATCACCTTTTAGATCAGATTGAATAGAGTAAAACATGGGAAATGGGTGCTCTCAAACACCATTAGTAGGAAAGAAAATGGGAACATCCTTTCTGAAGAGCAACTTAGAAATCACAGAGTATTTGTGGCTAAAAAACCTACTTCTAAAAGGTTAGATTCAAGGGATAATCAGGGAAGCATACAAAGAGAGTGCACATGACAGCATTACCTATAAAACCTAGTCTATTCAGCAATCGTACTTCTGGGTATATATCCGAAAGAACTGAAAACAGGATTGGGCCGGGCACAATGGCTCACGCCTGTAATCCCAGCACTGTGGGAGGCTGAGGCGGGCGGATCACCTGAGGTCAGGAGCTCCAGACCTGCCTGGCCAACATGGCGAAACCCCGTCTCTATTAAAAATAAAAAAATTAGCCGGTCATGGTGGTGCGTGCCTGTAATCCCAGCTACTCGAGACAGTGAGATAGGAGAATCGCTTGAACCCGGGAGGAGGAGGTTGCAGTGGGCCGAGATCACACCATTGCACTCTGGCCTGGGCAACAAGAGCAAAACTCTGTCTCAAAAAAAAAAAAAAAAAAAGGAAATCCTATCATGCTCTGCACAGATGAACCTTGAAGACATTATAGAAAGTGAAATAAATTAGCCACAAAAAGTGAAATAGTGTACTACATGATTCCACTTACATGAGGTATCTAAAGTATGTAGTCAAATTCAGAAACAGAAAGTGGAATGGTGGCTGTGGTGCAAAGGATACAGGGGAGTTGCAGTTGTTGTTTGATAAGTATAGAATTTCACATCTGCAAGATGAAAAAGTTCTAGATAGCTATTGCACAAGGTACATTTAATTGTACTTGAGGACTAAGCTATGATTTTTTTTTTTTTTTTTTTTTTTTGAGACGGAGTCTCACTCTGTCGCCCAGGCTGGAGTACAATGGCACTATCTCGGCTCACCGCAACCTCCACCTCCCAGGTTCAAGCCATTCTCCTGCCTCAGCCTCCCGAGTAGCTGGGATTACAGGTGCCCGCCACCACACTCAGCTAATTTTTGTATTTTGAGTAGAGACAGGGTTTCACCATGTTGGCCAGGCTGGTCTTGAACTCCTGACCTCAAGTAATCTGCCTGCCTTGGCCTCCCAAAGTGCTGGGATTACAGGCGTGAGCCAATGAGCCCAACCTGATTTTTTTATTTTACCCAAATTCCTAACTAAGGGGTCTAGGGAGTCATGCCCTACAAACCATAAATTCTCATCAGGGGGGTTTTATTTGAAACTATATATTGTGATTTATTTTTCAATCTGACTGTGGCATAACATTATGAGACAAGGAAGAAATATTTAACCCCAAAATATATTTCCTTGCCATACCTTAAAATTGTCCTGCAAAGTCTCTTGTGGTTAAAATCCATATTCTATAGTGAATCCCCTTCCCCCTTTGTTTTCCTACCTTCCTTCCCAAATCCAGCAGATAATCAACTAAGAGCCAGATACCCTTTTAAGTCCGATAAAAAACAATTTACAACCTGCTCTCTCTGAAGTCTGCTATCTAAGAGCTTCCTCTGTACAATAAAACTTGGTCTCCACAATCCTTTATCTTTAACCTGAGCATTCCTTTCTGTCAATCCCAGGTCTTCAAACAACCTCAACCAATTGTCAACCAGAAAATGTTTAAATTTACCTATAGCCTGGAAGTCCCCACTTTGAGTTGTCCCGCCTTTCTAAACCAAACCAATGCATTTCTTAAATGTATTTGATTGATGTCTCATGCCTTCCTAAAATACATAAAACCAAGCTGTACCCCAACCACCTTGGGCACATGTTCTCAGGACCTCCCGAGGGCTGTGTCATGGGCCATGGTCACTCATATTTGGCTCAGCATAAATCTCCTCATATTTTACAGTTTGACTCTTTTTGTCGACAATCATCTGGCACCCACACATGGGGCCTCAGAGAAGACTCAGGGTCACACTATACATTTAAAAATGGTTAAGATGACCAGGCACGGTGGCTCACACCTGTAATCCCAGCACTTTGGGAGGTGAGGTGGGTGGATCACTCGAGGTCAGGAGTTCGAGACCAGCCTGGGCAACATGGTGAAACCCCATCTCTATTAAAAATACAAAAGTTAGCCAGGCATGATGGTGCATGCCTATAATCCCAGCTACTCAGGAGGCTGAGACAGGAGAATCACTTGAACCCAGTTGGCAGAGGTTGCAGTGAGCCACTGTACTCCAGCCTGGAAGACAGAGCAAGACTCTGTCGCAAAATAAAAAAAGAAAAAAAAAGATGGTTAAGATGATATATTGTGTTATGCGTTTTTAACACAATAAAAAATAAATTATTAATTGAAAACAATGCAAATATCCATCAGCAGGGAATTGGTTATGCTAGAGCTATACAATAAAGTAGCTATCACAAATGATAATACTGGTATCTATTCAGCCACAACCATAGCCCACTGTTGCAAGTTTTTTCAATTTAAAAAAAGCAAAGCATTATATCATTAAAACATGTGTCCATACCTGTAACTAAAGACAGAGATATGTGTAAACAGTGGCATCTCTTGGTAATAGAATTGCAGATGACCTTTACTTTCTTTTTTACATTTTCCCGTGTGGACTAAGTATTACGTACATGGCAAAAGATGGCTTACAAGAGGAAGTGACTGCCACCATTGGCTCCAGAATCCTGGGATGGAATTTTGTTTCCCTCATCATTATGTGTCTGGCACACGTTGAAGGATTAATAAAAATTTGAAAGGCAAGATGAATAGTGGTTAAGAGTTCAGGAATTAGACAGGCCTGGATATGAATCTCAACTCAAATTTATTTAATAGGGGCCTCAGACCTTAAAGCTCTTTTTTTTTTTTTTGTGGTTTGTTTGAGACAGAGTCTCCTGTGTTGCCCCAGGCTGGAGTGCAGTGGCTCAATCACAGCTCATTGCAGCTTTGACCTCCTGGGCCCCAGCGATTCCCTCACCTCAGCCTCCTGTGTAGCTGGACCACAGTTGTGCACCACTACGCCCAGCTAATTTTTTTATTTTTTGTAGAGACTGAAATTTCCTATGTTGCCCAGGCTGGTCTAGAACTGCTAGACTCAAGTGATTCTCTTGCCTTGACATCTTAAAGTGCTGGGATTACAGGTATGAGCCACCAGGTCAGACCTCTACAAGTCTTATTTACCTTCATTGAGCCTCACTTTCTTCAAATATAAAAATGTCAAGAAGACTTACAGTTTGTCATAAGGAAAATGTACTTATCACACATAACATCATTTCTGGCTCAGACGAAACTCAATAAAATGATGGCCATCATTACTATTTAGTGACTAGATTTACACTGGAAGAACTCCTGACACAAACAAATAAAAAAAAAAACTAAGCATCTACAGTAGACTGCATTGCTAAATTATCACTGAATATCCTAATTGCATTAAAAAGCAAGAGACAACACTTTGCCTGGTAGATCTACAAAAATGTCTTGCTGCAAGGTATGGTTACATTCCTATATCTAGCAGGATTACACTATAAAATTTACCATCTTACTTTGTATACAAACATCACTCGTTAGTATTGGACACAGATTAGTGCTTTAGTAAAAACAATGCAAAGAGGAAAACGTGCTTATTTTAATCCAAAGGTAGAATGTAAAGAAGGGACCAAATAAACATACAAAATGTGACTAAAGAAGACTTGACTTAGAGATTGAAACAGTAAGTGACATTACAATTTTGTTTAGCCTCTCTCTTCCTCACAACTTTTGGACAAGGAGCCTGTCTTTTTAGGCACTGCTCTACCCAAAGTCTGGTATAGTACCCAATACAGTGTTAAGCGCTCATACCATAAATACAACAGGATTTATAAGAGAAAATCTCAGTAAAATCATGGAGTAAACTGAATTAGAATTTATCTGAGAAAGTCTCAGTCAAAATAATAAAGCAAAGAGTTTAAGAATAAAGGGCACACGCATAGGGAGGGAAAAACCCTTTTCTGTAACTTGTATCTTCTTTATTCAATCAGTTTTCCTGGGTACCTTAAATGGAATGTCCAAAAGTATACATACAGTCGCCCTTGAACTCTGAAGGAGGCATAAATCAGGGCCTTACGTGCTAAGATTATTAGGCTGTGGGCTCCATGTGGCCGATGAATAAAGGCATCTTTTTAGTGATGCCTTTATTCATCGGTGTATTATAGTTGGCACCCTGTAGTCACACGTTTTTTGTTTTTGTTTTTGTTTTGAGACGGAGTCTCGCTCTGTCACCCGAGGCTGGAGTGCAGTGGCGCGATCTCGGGTCACTGTAACCACTTCCGAAGTTGAAGCGATTCTCCTGCCTCAGCCTCCCGTGTAGCTGGGACTACAGATCCTACAGATCTCTGCCACCACGTCCGGCTAATGTGTGTGTGTGAGTTTTTAGCAGACACAAGATTTCACCATGTTGCCCAGGCTGGTCTCGAACTCCTGACCTCAAGTAATCCTCCCGCCTCGGCCTCCCAAAGTGCTAGGATTACAGGTCTGAGCCACCGCGCCTGTCTGCCACTCGTTTAATAAATGGTCGTTACTCAAAGAGTGGTGATGGGGCCACTCTTGATTATCAATCCTTCAAACAGAAAAGCCCTTTTCTGTGACTCTTTTCCTTCCAAGCTGACTTTAGAAGTGTGTTTGTGGCCGGGCGCGGTGGCTCACGCCTGTAATCCCAGCACTTTGGGAGGCCAAGGTGGGCGGATCACGAGGTCAGGAGATCGAGACCATCCTGGCCAACATGGTGAAACCCCGTCTCTACTAAAAATACAAAAAATTAGCTGGGCTGAGTGGCGCGCGCCTGTAATCCCAGCTACTCCGGAGGCTGAGACAGGAGAATGGCGTGAATCAGTGAGCCAAGATCCCACCACTGCACTCCAGCCTGGGGACAGAGCAAGACTCCGTCTCAAAAAAAAAAAAAAAAAGTGTGTCTGTAAATGTAGTTCAGAACTTCGGAGCCCTGTCTTTACAGTTCAAACTGACCACGCGAAGACTAAAGGCAGTAGAGGTACTTTCTACAAATTTAGCCGTGCAATCTAATAGCGAGCAGGCCGAGACGCCCGCGATTGAAGGCCGGGGTGGAGAAAGTAATAAGGGCCCTGGAAATTACCCCCATCCCATGTCACCCACTCTTTCTTAAAATGCCATTAAATTCCGTTCAACTTTTTATCTCCCATGCAAGAAACTAGCGACTTGCCAGCCACGCCACTTCCAGCCAGTCACACCTGGCGTATTCGCCGCAGAATCTCCAACTCCCGCCACAGGTTTGGGACGTGTCCGCCCCTAAGCGGAAGTGACGTTCAACGGGACAACGTGAAAGTAGATGAGTTTAAATACGTACTAATAATTTAAAACCCCTATGGTATTTTGAGGAAACTCTTCCGGCTACCCTTCTTCCATCACTTCTCTCCCGTTAGGGTTGCGAAAAGGGCTCTGTACAGCCTCGCGACAACTCGTTCTCCGCCCTAATTTCAAGTCATTCAAAACTCTGTCCCTTTTCATTGGCTGAAGCGGCGGCATGGGTACCTCTCAGGAACTACAATTCCAGCCAAGCACCGCGACAAGTGAACGGAGGAGAAGTTATGAGTAGGGGAAAAGCATGTTGGGAATCGTAGTCCGCTCCAGGCCGAAAAGAGCAATCACCCCGCCCTCCGCCACTGAAGCTGGAGAAACCAGGTGTTCGTTTCAGAACCCGTTAGCGCTAAGGGGAGGAGCCAACCCCTTAAGCAGCATGCCTCACTTCGCCCCACATGGAGGATAATTTTCCTTTACCCCTAAAAAGCACTATAAATACCCACTGAGGAGATCTGGTTGTCTTTTAAATACCTCGAGTCAGTAAAAACTCACGAAACTCCGCACCTCAGGCTCCAACTCGTGGGAAAAGGTAGCTCTTTTACAAGTGGGCAAAATGGCTGTCCTCCTAGTTTTACCATTGGTTGGCTTTTGCGTCCTTCAAGGGCGGTTACTTACCACGGATTGGTTCTTTTTCTCTTGAGGTTGGAGGAAGATTTGGCACGGCTCTCCGCGGCCTGGGAGGAGGTAAAGGGGTGGAGAGAAGACAGTTTTTTTCAAGCTTGATTGGGCAAAACTCATGTCACTCCGGGGACGTACAACCTATGAATAGTCGGCTGCCGCTCAAAGAGAACGAAGAGGCGGGGCTAGTGCGTGGTGGGAAGGGGCGGGATTCTGCCAGCCGCGGCTGCCGCTGGAGCCGGTGTCCGGGCTGGTGATGGGGTTAATTCCCTTTCGTAAGACTCTTACTTGCACCCACCCAGCCCCGCCGTCGCCCCGCCGCGCCGCGCTCCAACCGCCTCCTCCTCCTCAGTAACGCGGGTAAGAGATGCCCTTCCCTCCCCCGTCCAGCTCCCCGGGAATAACGCGCCTTGCTCCCCTCCCCCGCCCGCCAACCGGTAGCGCTAACGGAGAAGGAGGCAGGCAGGGGAGAGATGTGGTGTGTGGAAAGGTGGCCTTCCCCGCCGGGTCGTCGGCGCTTCAGCCAGGGCCTTCTGACGTCCCGCTGCTGCCAGCCCGCCGTTAGGTCGGGTTCCGAGTGAGCCAGGCTCGCCTGGCCCGCGGCTGCGGCTCCGGCTGCAGCTGCAGCCACTGCCTTGTGCCCACCGCCCCCACCCGGGGGCCATGTGAAAAGCAAACCCCTCGAGGCCTAGCGGAGGAGGCAGGGGAAAGGTTTCCGAGTCCCTGCCATGGCTGCTGCTGCTGCCTCCGCGGCTGCTCTTGCAGCCCCAGGGACTCGGGAGCCAGCCACAGCAGGCCTGCCAAGAGCGTGGTACTGCTCTCTCGTGTGGCTGGCGCCGGTGCCCCGGGCTCCCCCGGCCGCCCCACGGCCGCATCCCCTGGCCTTGCACCAAGAGAATTTTCAGCTTCGACCGGTTGGTAAAATGTAGGTACATTTTCCCTGTGGTACCAGAAAAAGCACAATGGGAATATTAAAAAGAAAGTTGAATGACTGTCAGTGCCACGGTCCCCCGGGATCAGATTTACACACGTTTTGATTCCTGAGCCTTAGGCTGCCAACAAATCTTTGTGGGCTTTGAAGTTTTTTGGTGTTTTGTTTTCTTTTGTTGCTGTGACTAGGTGCAAAGGGTGACTCTGTTGAGCTTGTTTTTATAAAGAAACTTAAATTATTGGGACTATCATGCTCCGTGTGTAATTGTCCTGGGATAGTTAAGTAAAAGGTGAAGAAGAGGTGCTTTCCAAATTAGGATTAGTGAACAGCAAATGGTTTTTCTAATAAAATTTTCTAAATATATATATATATATCTTCATGGTTATAGTTTACCTAATTGTAACTGTAAGAAACCTTTTTTAGCTTAAATATCATTGATGACAAAAACTTTTAAATGAAAAGATGATTAAAGTCAAACTGAAAGTCTACCCATTTATAATATGTGAAACAAGATCTTCTAAGTAATAGGATACCAGTCTGACAGGAATAATTGGACACGTCTCAATTTCTAAAAATTTGGCATATTTGGCTATTTTTAGGGCATTCTGTTATGATTTCTTCATCACATTTTGATGGAGTACGCTCGTCTTTTCAAATACCACTCTGCTTTTATGCCTGGAAGAATATGTCTTTAAATCATGGATTCTATAGTCTGTAGTAGACATAACTGTGATCAGAGATAAAATTCTAGGCCCATTTCTGAGGTTTACTTGTTAGCAGAATAAACTTGGGTTCTGAGGAAACATCTGAGTTTTGATCATTTCTTCAGGGTTTGAGAAGACTATGGTGGCTTAATGATCTTCTGTATTCCATAACTAGTACACCTAGTTACAGAATTGACATAGATACATTCAGGTCCTGGAGGAAATTTGTGGTATCTATTAAAAAAATGAAAATTGCCAGTCATGTAGTAGTCACCTGTAGTCCCTGCTACTCAGGAGTGTGAGGTGAGAGGATCACTTGAGCCCAGGAGTTCAAGGCCAGCCTAGGCAATATAGCAGAACATGGTCTCAAAAAAATAAAGAAATAAATACACAGCCTTGGAAGGCAAGTCCCCTGAGATCCCCACAGAGTTCCTGTAACATATATTGCCAGCTGCCAGCATAGTATTTTCCAGAACTTAAGAGTTAATTGATAAATTATACAATCGATACTTTCAGATCTTGGGTGATTTATATAGAGAAAGAGCTGTTGAAAATTTAGGAGTCTTCTACATTTTCTTCCTGGCTGTTGGATCCCTCCATGAACCTCAGTTCGGTTTCCTCATCTGTAAAATGAGGATGATAATGCTTAACTTAGGGAGTTATGAAAATTAGAGATAAATATATAATAGTGGCCGGGCGCGTTGGCGCACCTGTAATCCCAGCACTTTGGGAGGCTGGGCGGGCGGATCACCTGAGGTCGGGAGTTGGAGACCAGCCTGACCAACATGGAGAAACCCCGTCTCTACTGAAAATACAAAAAATTAGTCGCTCATGGTGGCGGGCACCTGTAATCTCAGCTACTCGGGAGGCTGAGACAGGAGAATCGCTTGAACCTGGGAGGCAGCGGTGAGCCGAGATCAGGCCATTGAACTCCAGTCTGGGCAACAAGAGCGAAACTCCATCTTAAAAAGAAAGAAAACAGAAAATTAGAGGTAAAGTATGTAAATCCCCTAGCATTGTGCCTGACACAGTTTGTGCAATAAATATTAACTGTTATTTTCATGCATATTTAGAGAATGGGTTTGTTGTTCATATGCTGAGGGTGTTGTTGCAGCCTTAGAACACATTCTGTTACTGAAGAGTACCATGGGTGTATTAATTTATATAGTGACTTAAGCACAGTTTGCGACTAGTTATTTTTGATTAGCTTATGGAAGTTTTTTTGACTTTGAATTAAAATGCAAGTGTCTGTGGAATACATTTCAAATGGATTATTGGGAATAAAAATTAGTGTACTCCATGTAGTGGTTAACTATTGTAATATCTTTTAAATTTTATTTAGCTGTTAAATGTTTCAAGCTCTAGTTTATATACTTGCTATCCATATTCATTGTGCTACCAGATGACATTTGAACTGTTTAATACAGAGTTAAGATTAAGCAAATCATTTGAAATTGTTACAACCATATGTGACTACAGTTTTGTTGCTGTTCTTTTTAATTCTCCTTATTTATCAACACTTGAGTGTTTCTTTTCTGTGAAACAACTTGTGAGAGGTGCTATTCCTTTCTCTTCAGAGGCATTTCTGAAAATTTACTGAGTCTTCACATATAATAGTGTTCTTGGAATTTGTATAGTTAAACAAATTTAAGGTTAGCATGAAGACAGTTATATTATGAAGTCTTTCTGACAGGAATGTCCAGTCAGGGTTCAAGACAAGCTGCACCTTATGCAAAATAACGAGGTGAGGTATATATATGGTGGGCCTCCGAAGTCATTGAACCTGGTACAAATGGGTGCTTCTCCAAAGAGGTCTTACATGACAGTAGCAATAGAAAATTATATAAACTTGAAATAAGCTTTGTCAAATATTATGCAGAAGATGTGCATTGCCATGCCTTGCAAGTAATAGGGTTTTTTTTCTTCTTTTTTGAACTGGTACTTTAATATACCTAATTACATCCATTTGAGTTAGTATTAAGTTTTAATTTCTCAGAAATAAAGTAGTGAAAATTGGTAGCAGTTTTGTTTTTCCCATTCTTGAGAATATTACAGTGATAAACAAGGCTTGATAGGTTTGTAAAATACTATTGCTATTTGAATTAAAAAATTTCACTATTGACTTTCCATATTCTATTGTAAATAAGTTGGGGAATTAGTGTGTCAAGGGGGTGTGGTAACAAATGGTAATGTAATTTTCAAATTGCTATTGCAGCACCAAACCACAGAATCAATACTCTGTCTTTATAACCACATTTGCATATAGGGATAATAATTTATTTCTTATAACTTAAGATAACTAAAATGAAGGGCCAGGCGGGGTGGCTCACACCTGTAATCCCAGCACTTTCGGAGACCGAGGCAGGCAGATCACAAGGTCAGCAGTTCGAGACCAGCCTGGCCAGTATGGTGAAACCCTATCTCTACTAAAAATACAAAAATTAGTAGGGCGTGTTGGCGGGTGCCTGTAGTCCCAGCTACTCGGGAGGCTGAGGCAGGACAATCACTTGAACTCAGGAGGTGGAGGTTGCGGTGAGCTGAGATTGCACCACTGCACTCCAGCCTGGCGACAGAGCAAGACTTTGTCTCAAAAATAAATAAATAAATAAATAAATAAATAAATAAATAAATAAATATGAGATGGCTGTTGTGAAGAGAAGGAAGTCAGTTTTTTCTCAGTATAATTGTAAACTTTAAAAAAAATTAAATCATCTTCCACTTAATCCCCGAGACTTCCCATAATGTTTAGTAATACGGACATGTGCAAAGAATTAAATCGTATAATTAAACAAAATTTTGTCAAGTTAACTTTGCTTCTCAAATAAGGAAGTTATATAATTAAACACATTTGCTTGTACCTAATGAGACGTTAGCATCAACATGACTGTATATCATTTCCAGAATTTAATTCAATTAGTTATTGGCTGAGGGATGAAATAGAGATGAAACTAAATCCTGGCCTCAAACTAGTTTTGTACCTTATTTTCCAGCAATTTGGTTTTTTTATATCTAGATTTTATCTTTACTATTTTCCCTCATCTTACCCATTCTTAGTCTCCATACACACCTATTAACTTTAATTTCCTTTTCTGAGAATTTTGAAAGCCCTATAGTTTATGATCTTTTTTCCCTCTTTGCCTTGTGAATTTTATATTTGTGAGTTTTTTCCAAATTTCTACCTGTCAGCTCACTTCTTTAGGCAAGGTGTAAGGTTTTTGAGCCCCCTTATTTCATTTTTTATTTTTTTAAGAGACAGGGATTCACCCTGTCACCCAGACTGGAGTGCAGCGACAGGATCATAGCTCACCACAGCCTTGAACTCTGAGGCTCAAGGGAGCTTCCCATCTTATGCTCCCAAGTAACTACGACTACAAACTTGTCACTAGGACTACAGGCATATGGCTAATTTTTTAATTTAGTAGAGACAGGTTCTTACTGTGTTACCCAGGCTGGTCTCCCACCTCCTGGGCGCAAGCAATCCTCCTGCCTTAGCCTGCCAAAGTGCTGGAATTACAGGCATAAGCCACTGCACCCAGCCTATTTCATAAATAGTGGATTGCACAGCATGTTTAAATCATGTTTGCTTTACTAAAGTTTTTATCTACAACTCCCTATAACAACTTCATCTGCAAAAGAAATTAGGTAGAGAAAATAAACTACATTTGTTTTTATTCTTGACCATTCTCGAGAGGGAATAACTTGATATTGTCTGATCTAAGCGTTTAAAATAGTGAATTTGACTTGTCACAACATTAGTTTGATGAAAGACAAATATAAATTACTTTTGTGGGTTAGTTGTACAATTAACTTTGCTAACCTGTCCTATAAGGCAGAGGTCCCCAACCCTTAGGAGCTGGGCCACACAGCAGGAGGTGTGCAGTGGACCGGTGAACATCACCACCTGAGCTCTGCCTCCTGTCAGATCAGCGGTGGCATTAGATTCTCATAGGATTGCAAACCTTACTGTGAACTGCGCATGCAAGGGATCTGGGTTGCGTGCTTCTTATGAGAATCTAATGCCTGATGATCTGAGGTAGAACAGTTTCATCCCATAACCATCCTCCTCACCGCCTGCACCATCTGGGGAAAAATTATTTTCCACCAAACAGGTCCCTGGTGCCAAAAAGGTTGGGGACTGCTGCTCTTAGGACAGAAAGAAAGAAGTTCCATAACTAGAGTAAAATATCACCTTACAGTATGAGGTAGCTTAACTGTGGATTTACTTTGTTACCTTGCCCCTCAGTGGGGAGAGAAGCTCTGGAATTTAAAAAAAAAAAAAAAAAAAGTCTTACTGTTGTGAAGTCAAAATTCTTTGTACGTGTATGCAACATGTATACAAAACAATAGCTAAAGTGAGCATTAGTCTGTCTTTTTTTTTTTTTTTTTTTTTTTTTTGAGATGAAGTCTTGCTCTGTCACCCAGGCTGGAGTGCAGTGGCGCAATCTCGGCCTACTGCAACCTCCACCTCCCAGGTTCAAGTGATTCTCCTTCCTCAGCCCCCCCAAGTAGCTGGGACTATAGTCACGAGCCATCATGCCAGCTAATTTTTGTATTTTTAGTAGAGACAGGATTTTGCCATATTGGCCAGGGTGGTCTTGAACTCCCAACCTCAAGTGATCTGCCCACCTCAGCCTCCCAAAGTGCTGGGATTACAGGCGTGAGCCACCATGCCCAGCCTAGGCCTTCATTTTAGTGAGCCCTTATTTTATTTTATTTTATTTTATTTTATTTTATTTTATTTTATTTTATTTTATTTTATTTTATTTTACTTAGAGTCTCACTCTGTCGCCCAGGGTGGAGTGCAGTGGTGCAGTCTCGGCTCACTGCAACCTCCGCCTTCTGAGCTCAAGCAATTCTCCTGCCTTAGCCTCCCTAGTAGCTAGGATTACAGGCATGAGCCACCGCACCCAGTGGGTTCTCATTTTAAAAACGTTCTTGGGAAAGATGCTTCCTTCATACAGAACTACTGAGTATCTGTTTGTTTTTTACTGGGAACAACCCAAATGTCCTTCGCTGCGTGAATTATTGAACTGTGATACATCCATACCATGGAATACTATGCTGCCTTAAAAAAGGAACAAACTGCAGTCACACCTTGTTTAACATTAGGGATAAATTCTGAGAAATGTGTCATTAGAGAGTTTTGTTGTGCCAACATCATGGAGTGTGCTTACACAAAACTACATGGTATATAGCCTTATAGATATCTAAGTTATATGATATGTATGGCCTGTTGCTCCTGGGCTACAAACCTATACAGTATGCTACTATACTAAATACTATAGACAATTCTAACACCATGGTTAAGTATCTGTATATGTAAATAAAGACAAGGTATGGTAAAAATAAGGTGTAAAATATTTTTAAATGGTATACCTAAGGCACTTACCATGAATGTGGCTTGCAGCACTGGAAATTATGGTAGGTGAGCCAGTGAGTGAATGCAAAGGCCTCAGACATAATTGTACACCATTGTAAACTTTATAAATGCTGTATACTTGGGTTCCACTAAATTTATAAAATATTTTTCTATCTAAAAAATTAACTTGTTTGCAGTAACTTTTTACTTTATGAATTTTAAAAAATTTTTAAAGTTTTGACCCTTTTTTAGTAACAGCTTAAAATAGACATATTATAGCTGTACAAAAATATTTTTTCTTTATATCCTTGCCCTATAAGCATTTTTCTATTTTAAAAGGTTTTGGAGTTTGTTTTTGAGACGGAGTTTTGCTCTCGTCACCATCACCCAGACTGGAGTGCAGTGGCACGATCTTGGCTCACTGCAACCTCCGCCTCCTGGATTCAAGCGATTCTTCTGCCTCAGCCTCCCAAGTAGCTGGGTCTACAGGTGCCCACCACCATGCCCGGCTAATTTTTGTATTTTTGGTAGAGACGGGGTTTCACCATGTTGGCCAGGCTGGTCTTGAACTCCTGACCTCAGGTGATCCACCCACCTCAGCCTCCCAATGTGCTTGGATTACAGACGTGAGCCACCACGCCTGGCTTAAAAGTTTTTGTTGTTGTTGTTGTTGTTGTTGTTTTTCCTTTAAAATTTTTTGTTAAAAACCAAGATGTAAACACATGCATTAGCATAGGCCTGCACAGGGTCAGTATCATCAGTATCATTGTCTTCCATCTTTGTATCTTGTCCCACCGGAAGGTCTTCAGAGACAATTACACACATGACTCTGTCATCTTGATGTTAATGTCTTTTTCTGGAATACCTCTTCAAGGACCTCCCTGAGCTGTTTGACAGTTAACTTCTGATTTTTTTTTTAAATAAGTAGAAGGAATACACTCTAAAATAATGATAAGAAGTGTAGTAAATGCATAAATCAGTATCATAGTCATTTATTACCATTATCAAGTATTACGTGCTGTACATATGTATGTGCTATACTTTCATATAGTCATATGCATATAGCAGTGCAGTAGGTTTACACCAGCATCACCATAAACACGTGAGTAATGTGTTGTGTTATGAAGGCTGTGATAATCCTTAGGTGCTAGGAATTTTTCACCAACATAGTCTTATGGGACCACTATCATTTATGCAGTCCATTGTTGACTGAAATGTCATTATGCAGTGCGTGATTGTATTGATACAGCAACTAGAATGGATCCCAAAAGAATTGCAGGCACACCTAGGAGATACTGCGAGTTCAGTTCCAGACAACCATGAAAAAGCGAGTCATATACATTTTTGGGTACCCTGGTGCATTTAAAAGTTAGGTTTACTACTGATGTTATCATTTGAAAAAAAAAAGAGTTTTATACAATTCTGTAGTCTATTTAAAGTGTGAAGAGCATTATGTCTAAAAAATGCACATATCTTAATTTTTAAATATTGCTAAAAAATTTTAATCATCTGAGCCTTCAGCAGGTTGTAATCTTTTTGCTGGTGGAGAGTCTTGCTTCAGTGTTGGTGGCTGCTGACCCATCAAGATGGTGGTTGCTGAAGGTTGGAGTGGCTGTGGCAATATCTGAAAATAAGACAACAATGAAAACAATGTCCACGTTGATGGACACTTCCTTTCATGGAAGATTTCTCGATAGCATGTGCTGCTATTTGAAAGCATTTTACCCCCAGTAGAACTTCTTTCAAAATTGTAGTGAATCCTCTCCAATTTTCCTACTAATTTACAACTAAGTTTGTGTAATATTCTAAATCCTTTGTTGCTATTTCAACAATGCTAACAGAAATAGACTTACCAGGAGTAGAGTCCATCTCAAGAAACCACATTCTTTGCTCATCCGTAATCATGAACAAATAATGATATCATGAGCAGCAATTCAAGCACATCTTCAGGCCCCATTTCTGAATCTAGTTCTCTTACTGTTTCCACCACATCTGTAGTTACTTTATCCAGGGTAGTCTTGAACCCCTCCAAGTCATCCATAAAGGTTGAAATCGATTTCTTCCACACTCTTGTTGATATTTTGTAACTTCACAGATGCGTAGGTGGTCAAAAAATAAAAATCTTTAAAAGTTGATATTTTGACCTCCTCCCATGAATCACAAATATTCTTTTAAGACATGGAGGTGTTGCTCTGTTGCCCAGGTTGGAGTGTAGTGCTGCTGTCATAGCTTATTGTAACCTTGAACTTTGGGGCTCAAGCAGTTCTCCCACCTCAGTGCTGGTGCATGCCACCACATCCGTCTATTTTTATTTATTTATTTATTTATTTTTGTAGGGACAGGGTCTTGCTCGTAGCCCAGGCTGGTCTCAAACTCCTGGCCTCAAGCAGTCCTTCTGCCTCAGCCTCCCAGAGTGTTGGGATTATAGGCATGAGCCACCATGCCCACAAATGTTGTTAATGGCATCTAGCGTGATGAATCCTTTCCAGAAGGTTTTCAGCTTACTTTACCCAGTTGCATCAGAGGAATTACTATCTTTGGCGGCCATGTAGCCTTACAAAGTGTATTTCATAAATATGAGACTTAAAAATAGAAATTAATCCTTGATACATGGGCTGAAAAATACATGTGTTAGCAGTCAAAGGAACATTCATTCTTTTTACATCTCCATCAGAGCTCTTGGGTGACAAGGTAAATTATCAACGAACAGTAAGTTTTTTAAAAGGAGTCTTTTTTTTCTGAGCAGTAGGTGTCAACAGAGGGTTTTAAGTATTCGTAAATAGCATATCTGTTGTAAACAGATGTGCTGTCATCCAGGCTTTGTTTCATTTATAGAGCACAGGCAGAGTACTTTTAGCATAGTTCTTAATGGCCCTAGGATTTTCAGAAGGTTAAATGAGCGCTGTCTTCAACTTAAAGTTAAGTATCTGCATTAGCTTCTTTTTTTTTTGGAGACAGAGTCTTGCTCTGTCACCCAGGCTGGAGTGCAGTAGCGCAATCTCGGCTCACTGCAAGCTCCGCCTCCCGCCTCCTGGGTTCACATCATTCTCCTGCCTCAGCCTCCTGAGTAGCTGGGACTACAGGCGCCCGCCACCATGCCCGGCTAATTTTTTTTTATTTTTAGTAGAGACGAGGTTTCACCTTGTTAGCCAGGATGGTCTTGATCTCCTGACCTCGTGATCAGCCTGCCTCTGCCTCCCAAAGTGCTGGGATTACAGGCGTGAGCCACCGTGCCCAGCCAGTTGACCTAATTTCAATGTTGTTTTGTCTCAGTGAATAGGGAGGACCAAAGAGAGGGAGAAGAGATGGGGTATCAGCCAGTTGGTGGTGCAATCAGAACACCTACAGCATTTATCAACTAAGTTCACTGTCTTATATGGGTGTGATTTGTGGTCCCCTAAAACAATTACAGTGGTAAAGATCACTGATTGCAGATCACCATCACCAGACATAATAATGAAAGAGTTTGAAATATTGCAAGAATTACCAAACTATTACACAGAGACATGAAGTGAGCACATGTTGGGAAAATGGTACTGATCGATATGCTTGACTCAAGAGTTGCCACAAACCTTCAATTTGTTAAAAAAAAAAAAAAAAAAAAGAAAGAAAGAAAGAGAAAAGCAATGTCTCTGAAGTGCATATAGGTTGAGTATTTTTTACCCAAAATGTGTGAGACCAGAAGTGTATTGGATTTTTTCAGATTTTGGAATATTGAAATATCTTTGGGATGAGACCCAAATTTAAACAGGAAATTTATTTGTTTCATGTGTACCTTATACTCATAGCCTAAAGGGAATTTTATACACTATTTTAAATAATTGTTTGCATAAAACAAAGTTTTGACTGCAACTCATCATGTAAGTTCAGGTGTGGAATTTTCTACTTGTATTGTTAAGTTGGTGCTCAAAACTGTTGGATTTTGAAGCATTTTGGATTTCACATTTTCAGATTAGGTATACACAACCTGTGTGTGTTCCTGTATAGTACTAAGGGGGAAAAGTACCTATTTTTAAATGAATATCCTCTGCAAAATAACATTCATATATTTAACATAGTTCAATTGTGTTATTTTTACTAAGCCATGTTCACATGTATAGAGCACAATAGAAATACCTCTAACACTGAACAAATCCAAGTTACAGTTTTTGTTTTCACTTTGTATACCTTGTTTTTTTCTAAATGTCAGTTCTTTTCTCATTCTCCTTTTGTTAGGTCTTGCTGTCCTTTCATTTTTTAACTCCTCGTCATTTAAACTAAAAAGAATCTGTTATCTGTATTTTTCATTGTCCAGTTGCTATAATATGGTTTTGTCAAGAGGCATTATTCAACCAGATATTTATATTATAAGCATATTATCTGTAAGATGAAATAAAAGATTTCATCCCCTATAATGACATACCAAGCATCAAACTGGCAGATGATAACTAATTTGAGGGAAGAGGGTAATGTAAATGCTTAAGTTACACTATGGTTACTATATGACCATGAGACGGCGTCTCACTCTGTAGCCCAGGCTAGAGTGCAGTGCTGCAGTCTTGGCTCACCACAACCTCCACCTCCCAGGTTCAAGCAATTCTTTTGCCTCAGCCTCCCGAGTAGCTGGGATTACAAGTGTGTGCCACCATGCTGCTAGTATTTATATTTCTAGTAGAGATGGGGTTTCACCATGTTGGCTAGGCTGGTCTCAAGCTCCTGACCTCAAGTGATCTGCCTGCC
The DNA here is from genome assembly GCF_000001405.40 of Homo sapiens. Lineage (NCBI taxonomy): Eukaryota > Metazoa > Chordata > Mammalia > Primates > Hominidae > Homo > Homo sapiens. The sequence continues at coordinate 135,542,987 of NC_000002.12, forward strand.
TCAGGCCTCCCAAAGTGCTGGGATTACAGGTGTGAGCCACTGTCCCTGGTCTAAATGTTTTAAAGCAATGGGAATGGAATGTGAGGAGATCAAAAGTAAAAGACCACCAACTTGGGGAGGATACAGTCTCTGTAATATGTAAAATGGATGATTAATTTTTGTGTATGGTGTGAGATAGGGGTTCAGATTTATTTTTATACGTGAATATCTAGTTTTCTGCACCATTAGTTGAAAAGACTGTTCTTTCCCCCATTGAATTGTCTTGGCACTGTAGTTGAAAATCGATTGATCAAAAAATGTGGTTATTTCTGGACTTTCAATTCTATTTCGTTGATTTATATGTGTGTCTTTATGCCAGTGCCACACTGTTTGATTATGTACCTTTGTAGCAAGTTTTGAAATGAGAGCTCCAATTCTGTTCTTCTTTTTCGAGTTTTTTTTTTTTTCTTTTTGCCTTTGGCTATTCCAGATCCCATTTATTATTCTATATAGTTTAGGGTCAGGTTGCCAGTTTCTGCAAAGAAGCCAGCTTGGATTTTAATTGGGATTGTGTCAAATATGTAAGTCAATGTGGATAGTATTGCCATTTAAAAAATATTAAATGAGAAATTTTAAAAAATATTTAATGATTAATAAGAATGATAAACATTGCAAGTTTACATGATACCATATTTTGTACAAAATAACTTAAAAAAGAAGAATCCCATTGTTTTAACATTTTTGCAAATTTCCTTAATGTCTGGCTTAACCGAAGAAGATGGCTGGGTTCACATACCTGCTTTTGCATTCACTCTGATATATGTGGTTTGGGTTGAAATATAAGAAGACAATTTTGGCCAAACATAGATACAAAGATAAAAAGGGGAGGACCTCATGAACTTTTTGAAAGGATCTTGGTGACCCTGCAGTGGTCCTCAGACCACACTTAGAGAACCACATGTTGAATGGAAACAAGTATGTGTTTGGAAACTCAGAGACCTAATTGAAATTCACAGCTCTGCCTCTTAACAACTGAACAAGTTAAGTTACTTAGCCTCTCAGTCTGTTTCTTCATTTATAAAATGAAGATAATGACATCTCCTTTTAGGGATTTTGTAAGGAGGAAACAAGATAATGCCTGTAAATGTTTTGGTATGTGGAAACCGCTAAAGAAATTATGCTGTTTTCATTCATTTATATTTGTCGACCTCTCGCTATAGGATTAGCTAATTTTTTTCCAGTGAAAGGTACAAATAGTTGGGAAATGAGAGAGGTTGGAATTTTAAATATACTTATGTAGTAAAAACACATCATATAGACATTCAGCTGTCAATTGTTGACTCCCAAAAAAGGACACCAGAAAAAATGTGTTGATCAAAGTTGTATTTATTAGATTTACTGGAATAGGGGCAAACACAACTTGACAAAGTCTTAGTAGTCTCAACATGAAAACTTTAGTTTTTTATAGTGGTATTTACAGTGAGCTGAGCTGTATTCATATAGTTTCCTATTATCCGGCCTTTTAACTACAAATGTTATTGAACAAGTAAAGGAAAGGGAAGGGCTAACAAAAAAAGGTAAAAATTTCCAGAAATGGAGGAATAAAATTAGTAGCACCTTTAAAACCATTTGCCACTCACCCTAATCCCACTATCAACTGTTGAAGAATGAAAGAAACTGCAAAAATTCTCCATTAAATTAGAGCACAGGGCCAGGCATGGTGGCTCACTCACGCCTGTAATCCCAGCAGTTTGGGAGGCTGAGGCGGGCAGAATACTTGAGGCCAGGAGCTTGAGACCAGCTTGGGCAACCTGGCGAAACCCTCATCTCTACTAAAAATACAAAGAAATTAGCTAGGCATGGTGGTGCACTCCTGTTAATCCCAGCTACTGGGGAGGCTGAGGCGTGAGATTCGTTTCAACCCCAGAGGCAGAGATTGCAGTGAGCTGAGATCGTGCCACTGCACTCCAGCCTGGGTGATAGAGTAAAACTCTGTCTAAAAAAAAAGAGCATAGTGCTTTAGCATGTATTTTCCCTGTTAAAATTAATAAAATGTAAATAACCCCACCTCCTTAATGATTCCATAAATACTGACCCAAATCATATACAAAGTTCTAAAAAATAAATTCCTGTGGTTAAAACTCTGTATTATTCCAATGGTAATTTTAATTTTGAATGTATCTGCAAAACTAAAGTGATAGGATTGTTGCCCACCCAGGACGTTATGGATTCACTCAGCATTCATTCATGAAATATTCGTTGATAATTTACTATGTGCCGTGTACTGCCTATATAAAGCAGAGAGTACTTGCCCTTATGGATTTTATTTTCTAGTGAGTGAGACAAAGAATGAAATATTTAAGTATAATATAGTGTCAGATAGAAACTATTGCAATGATTTTAAAAAAGGAGGTTGAGGTTAGAACATGATGGAATGGAGCGTAGGGCCTGTTTTACACAAGGTAGTCAGAGCAACATCTCTTGACATTCAAGCAAACACTTGAATGAAATGAAGGAAAAAGCCATGAGATATATCAGGGAAGAATATTTTGGATGGAAGGAACAGAAAGTACGAAGGCCATGAAAGAAGTACACACTTGGATGAAGTTGCAGGTACACTTGTTTACTGAAGTTCAGCAGTGTTTTCCTGTAGACAATTGGGAATTAAAATAAAAAGTACATAAAGAATACTGGAGGTGTGGTTCTGGGCTGTCAGCTAGGTGTATTCATTAGTTACGTGAATCATTCCCACAGTAGTCTCTTCATCCCAAATGTAGTGGATTTGGGGGGACACTTGTGACGTCTAAACACCAATCTTTAATCTCCATATATCAAGGATTTCCTGTCTTCTTAGTGTTTAAACAAAAGATGCCATAGTTTTTCTTAAACAAAAGTACCTGTGTTTAGACAGACTGATAAATCTTAGCTATTAGAATGTGAGAAGTCATCCGATCCAACCTCAGTGGTGTGGGACGCATCCAGGGGCAATCACCTGGGCAGCTTTTCCTAAAATTGTGTGCTTTTCCTTGTCTGTCTTCTTCCAGGGGATATCAGAATAGGGGAAGAGGAGATGCCTGGCTCATGCCTTTCGAGCAAGTGCCTGTGGGTATCTGAAATCAGGCAGATAATGTTTTTATTCTTTGCTTGAACTATTCTAGTGACAAGAGCGCATTCCTAAGAGAATGTTTGTCTCCACATTGTATTTCTTTGTTTCAGGGTCTGAAGATTACCAGATAAATTTTTGTTCTGTTCTCTTTTTTGTTCTTTTTTTGGATATAGGGAGGAAGGCGATAGGCAGGGGAGAGGAAATCGACCTGGTCCCAGACACAAGTGAGATGTTATCCTAAAAGTGCATCAGTGTCAATGTCACCTGTGCCCTCTTCCCTTCCCTTCCTCTCCACCCTGAAGAGAATAGAATAGATGGGATGGGAATAGGGATGGGAGACTTTGTTTGCACTCAAGACCCTCCAGCCTGGCTCAGTTGTGCTAAAAAGAGGAAATGGTGGACAATAATTCTATAAATGTCCTCAGTAAGTAATTATCTCCCCTTTATATTCCCCTTGGCTGTTTGGCACCCTTCTTAGGCTTATCAGGTTGTATTACATATTGTTGCTGACTAAGATGCTAGAACCAGTACCCAAAGCACATGAGATGTTATCACAGAGCCAGGCAACCAGACCATGATGTTATCTGTGTGATTTTAGTTTTTGTCTTACTCAGGATGGTTTGACCACAGAAAAGAAATGGTTACGCTGGAGTGCAGTGTCACTATCTTGGCTCACTGCAACCTCCACCTCCCGGATTCAGGACATTCTCCTGCCTCAGCCTCCTGAGTAGCCAGGATTACAGGCGTGTGCTACCATGCCTGGCTAATTTTTGTATTTTTAGTAGAGATGGAGTTTCACCATGTTGGTCAGGCTGGTCTCGAACTCCTGACATCAAGTGATCTGCCTGCCTTAGCCTCCCAAAATGTTGGGATTACAGCCATGAGCCACCGCGCCCAGCCAAGAAATGTTTTGAAGGACATTATAAAAACCTTTTTTTAAGATCATTTTAATAAGTTGATTTGAGAAAGAAGATGGTCAGATTGGTTTTGTCTCGAGTAATTTTGATAACTCCTCCATCTTTTGAACTCAGACACCTATCATATTGTTCAGTATGCTTGACAAATTATAAACATTTTGGTGGAAGGCATGGGATAGAAAACTGAGCCTGTGTAGAACTTAACTACATTTCTAAAATTAAATTAATTTTTTAGAACTTTTTTTAAGTAGCATTTTTAAAAATCAAAACAGTACATGCACATAGAAATCAGTATGGTGGGTCTGCATTTGACTATCATTCTCATCCTCTGTTTTATCATCAGGATTCATGAGTTACTTGAAGAGAATGTTTCTAGCACCAAAAATCAAATGAATTTTTTTAATGCTTCCATCAGTTTATCAGAATTATGTCACATTGTTACTTCTTATGACTGTCTTCGATTTTTTTTTCTGGAGTTTCTAATTGTCTTTTTTTTTTTTTTCTGGTTGACAAGCAATAGTGCACCATCAGCATATCCTCAAGATTATCCAGTCTGTGTTTCCATGAGATTTTTCTCCTGGAATCTTATGTCCCGCTCACAGGTCTCATTCCTTCACTGCCCTACTAGGTTGAATCAACTGTTTGCTGAATCTTATGGCTCCTTCTCTTGTTTTTTACATTAATTTGTCTAGGTAATAGTCTGAGATATTTTCCCGAGGAAGGTTGCTTAGGAAATAAACCTTCTGAGAACTTATATGTCTGTAGTCTTTTTTCTTTTCTTTTTTTTTTTTTTTTTTTTTCTTGAGACAGAGTCTTGCTCTGTCGCCCAGGCTAGAGTGCAGTGGCACGATCTCGGCTCACTGCAATCTCCACTTCCCAGGTTCAAGTGATTCTCCTGCCTCAGCCTCCCGAGTAGCTGGGACTACAGGCGCGTGCCACCACACCCAGCTAATTTTTGTATTTTTAGTAGAGACAGGGTTTCACCATGTTGGACAGGATGGTCTCGATCTCCTGACCTCGTGATCCACCCGCCTTAGCCTCCTAAAGTGCTAGGATTACAGGTGTGAGCCACTGCCCCAGCCTGAAGTCTTTTTTCTGACATCAGACTTGATTGATGCATAGAATGCTAAGTACAGAATCATATTCCTTTTGTACTTAGACATATTTCTAGTGTCTTCTAACATCTAGATTGCTGTTAAGAGACCTGTTGCCAATCTGATATTTCATTTTATTTTGAAATTTTCCAAACGTACACAAAATTTGATAAATTACTCAATTTTACAGTTAACCTTTTGCTCTTTTTGCTTTCTGCCATATTAATCCATGTTTTATGCATTTTAAATTAAGTTGCAGGTATTATAATAGTATACATCACCCCTAAACACTTGGACATGCATATGATTAACTAGAGTTGAATGTTTGATTGCTTTTTAAAGGCACATATGCATTTAGAAAAATGCACAAATCATAAATATGTCATTCAATTAGTTTTTGACAAATTGTATACATGTCTACAACCCATACATCCATTGAGATATAGAACATTGCTGTCACCCAAGAAAGTTCCCTCATTCTCTTTCCCAGTCATCGCCCCCCCACCCCATACCCCAAGAGGCAACAACCAAAATTTCCGATTCTTTTCCATCATATATTTGGCTGTCTAGGATTTACATAAATGAAATGATACAGTATATACTCTGTGTAGGGCTTCTTCCATTCAACATGTTTTTCAGATTTATCCATTTTTGCACATATGAATATCCTTTTTATTACAGAATCGTATTTTATTATATAAATACACAGTTAATTTTTCCTTTCTGTTGATGGCTTCCAGTATTGTTTCTATTTAGTAATTTAAGAATGTTTTAAATCTTCGAATAAGAAATACCTGCTAACATGCAGTGCACAAAAATCTACTTCTTAGTCCTACATTTCTTTATTCCTAGTTTTTGAAATTTTGTTAATACAAAATTCAGTCAATTTAATACTGTCAAACGTTTTATGATTTCTTGTTCTCAGTAATAAGAGCAGGAAGAAGATTATTTAAAGTCATCCCCTTTTTAAAAAAGTTTTGAACATTTGTATTGAAACTAGAATTAACCTTTCTAACTCTTAATTGACTTTAGGTAAATAGGTGTTTATATTAATTAGGTGTAATTAAGTATGTATCTTTCCTAGAATGCATTTATATGCATATGCAGCATATGAAGTCATTTAATTTTAAAGAACACATATTGTATGGTTTGGTTTTGTTTTGGTTTGTTTTTTAAAAAAATGGGGTCTTGGCCAGGCACGGTGGCTCACACCTATAATCCCAGCACTTTGGGAGGCAGAGGCAGGTGGATCACCTGAAGTCAGGAGTTCTAGACCAGCCTGGTCAACATGATGAAACCCTGTCTCTACTAAAAATACAAAAATTAGCTGGGCGTGATGGTGGGTGCCTGTAATCCCAGCTACTCGGGAGACGGAGGTTGAGGCAGGAGAATCCCTTGAACTCGGGAGGCGGATATTGCAGTAAGCCGACATTGCGCCATTGCACTCCAGCCTGGGTGACAAGAGCGAAACTCTGCCTCAAAAAAAAAAAAAAAAAAAACAAAAACAAAATGGGGTCTTGCTATATTGCTGAGGCTGAACTGAAACTCCTGGGCTCAAGGGATACCCAGCTTATATAGTTCCTTTTATATGATATATTCACAGTGGGCAAATCCAGAGACAGAAAACAGGTTAGAGTTTACCAGGAGTTGGGGGAAGGAAAAAAATAGTTATTCCTTAAATGGAATGGGTGTTTTACGGGGTAATGAAAAAGTTTTGAAACTAGAGATAGCTGGTAGAGACAAACATTGTGAATAGACTAAATACTACTGAATTGTACCTTTAAAAATGGTCAATTGTGTTTGATTTTCACCTCATTTAAATAAGAATACATTACATATGTATTTCCCTTGACACAAAGATGTGTAACTTTTGTATTATAAATTTTCCTTTGTTCTTTGGTAAAGATTATTGTCAGTTCTACTTTTCATAGCTTTTGGAATGGCAGTTTATATTCATAAGACCCAAGTTTAAAATCTTTTCATGATCTGGAATGTCTTTTCCAGCTGAAGTTTTGTTAAGTCCATATGATAAATTACAAATGAAATATTTTGGTTGTCATTCTATGTTACACGAACTATTTTTTTACACACTCCACAGCTTTTTGTGAGTGTTGATTTTCTTTTTTAATGAATGCTGATTTTGAAAATTAAAGCAAAGAAAGGGTAAAGGGTGTTTTTAGTCTAGCATTTAAGTTTTATTTGTGATATATGGAAATTTCTTTATGCCTTTTCTTAGGCAAGCAGCTTTCATACAGCTACTCTACCATGTTTTTGTTGCATTTACCTTGCTACTGAAATGGAGAACCCAATGGTAAAATAGGTGGCAGTTTAAGAGAATTGACTTAAATGTTAAGTTTGTATCACTTGTACTTCATTAGCATTTAACACCTATACTGTAATTTTAGAAAGGGCTTATCTTTTCTCATGTCATTTTTTTCTTGGCTTATGTGGCATTTGTGAAAATGCTTACAGAAATACTGGTCCTACGATAAGGGGTAATTGGTGTTCTTGTTTGTGAAAGTCACACCAAGGTCACAGAAATGGCTACTGATTAAATTGTTTCCATCATCAAAGATATACCTCTGCTCATGACTTAGTGGAGATCTATTTGAGTCAAAATTTCAATATAAAATATTGTGCCTTCTTTCTTTTTTCTCCTCTTTCTACTTGTCCTCCTCTTATAAAAGTTCAACTTTATGCTTGTATCAAGTATAAATCATTTTAGGAATCAAGTCAATTAATGTGCCTTTATCCCCAAAATTTAATGGGTTTATTAGGGAAATTTTCAAAATGGATAGCTTGTCAGGCATACTACAATTATACTTCGTATTTTGTTCAGACTTTGTAATGTTCTTAGAATTGTTAGTTGCTTACAGCAAATTACATATGCACTTAGAAGACCTTCTGTCTTGACTCAAGTCATGAAGGTTAAGAAAAAAATAAATCCATCCACCAGTGGACAAGGGACCTATACCATGTAATCCAAATTTGTAAGTTATATATAGACAGGTGGCTGAGGAAATCTATAATTTCCTCATTGATAATAGTTTTAAGATCATAGGCACAGAGTAGTGATTCCCTGCCATTCTATCGTTAACACTTTTATCTAGCCAATGCATGGCAGTAGGTTAGTAGGAGATGCAGGCAAACTGACAAGTTTGTTTTTCCTCATAGAAAATTAGAAACAAAATTAGAAGTGGGAGAGGCTGCCCGCTGTAGCTGCACTAGCAGCAGGAACTGATAACTAAAATCAAAGAAGGAAAGAGAATTATAAAAGGTATTAAGTAGTTTAAAACTATTCGGGACCATTTAGCACAGAATAAATTGTCCATGTACCTAGTAGAATGAAAAACTGCCAAGGTTATTCTATTGCACTCTGGTATTTTGTTTTTAAAACAATAATGAAAAAAAAACAGTGCAACAGTCATCTAGAAAATATACTTATTCTTTGACTATGCCAAGTAATTAAGATATTACGAAATAATTGAGTGTACATTAAAAGTTAAATCACGTTGAATTGCATAGGAACACTGATAGTTATTTCAAACTCACATTAGTGAAGTAGTATATAATTTATAGTTTTGTCGTTTTACATTGTGGGGTATTAGGAGAATCTTTTCAAATGGAATTCCTAGAGTGATTGCTGTTTGAGATCGGGGGGTGTATCTTTCTGGTTTCTTTCTAGTTCTATAGCTTTTTAAATTTTTTGAGTGAAATGTCAAAAATTATTGTAAACTGATTTGAGAGTTGTTTTCATTATCTGATTCATTAAGCTTCAGATTTTAACTCAGTATTACCTTGAAGGCAAATGTTTATTTTAATATGAAAATGATAGTTCATTTGTTGATGCTAGTATTTATGACTGTATCATAAATTAACATGAGCTGCTTAGAGTCTAATTGCAAAATTGAAAAGTTAGCATAAATTATCCATCATATAAATGAAAAATAATTTCAGTTTATTTAGTAAAGAAGTTTTTGTGTCTAATGTGCAAGGGATTTTGCTTTCAGCATTGTAAGATTTAATAGTAAAATATATGCTGTAATAATTATGAAAGCATACCTACATCTCTTTTAACTTATGGCATGACCTAATCCAGAATTTTTTTTTCTTTTTTGGGGGGTGCGGGGAGGGACAGGGTCTTGCTCTCTCACCCAGGCTGGAGTGCAATGGCATGATCTTGGCTCATTGCAACCTCTGCCTCCCGAGTTCAAGCAATTCTCCCCCCTCAGCCTCCCAAATAGCTGGGATTATAGGCACACACCACCACACCTGGCTCATTTTTGTCTTTTTAGTAGAGACGGGGTTTCGCCATGTTGGACAGGCTGGTCTCGAACTCCTGACCTCAAGTGATCCACCCGCCTCAGCCTCCCAAAGTGCTGAGATTACAGGCATGAGCCACCACACGCGGCCTAATCCAGAATTTAAATTCTTCACAGTATAGACTAAGTCAACAACCAGTGATAGCTTCACAATTTCTAATGAGTGACTTGAGAGTGACAATCTGATAGTTGACCCTAGGTACTTTTTTCACAGCAAAAATACTATATTTATTTAGATTGTATATTAATTAAGGGAGGCTTTAGAGGAAGTTGATAGAGATATTGGTTCTTAAAAAGCCCAGGTCATCATTGGCACTCCAGTTTAAGTTAGCTTTCTTCACTGTAATGACTTGAAAAAGTAGAGTTGTTAGAAATTTGTAATTTCTTACTCATTGTGCAAACCAGGACATATTTTTAAATGAAGTAAATTTTGTGAAGTGGAACAGTTTGATAGGTAGTTTGTTGTTAACATTGCTTTTTTTTTTCCTCAGAGACAGGCCCTCACTCTGTTGCCCAGGCTGAAGAGTGCAGTGGCATGATCATAGCTCACTGCAGCCTCACCCTCTTGGGCTCAAGCGATCCACCTACCTCAGCCTCCTTAATAGCCGGGACCACAGACATGTGCCACCGCATCCAGTTAATTTTTGTAGAGACAGGGTCTCACTGTGTTGCCCAGGGTGGTCCTGAGCTCCTTAACTCAACTGATCTACCTGCCTTGGCCTCCCAAAGCACTGGGATTACAGGCATGAGGCACCGTGCCTGGCTCTAACATTGCTTGGCATCCATTCTATGAATAGATTTCTTGGCTATCTAGATTATGTTTGCTTAGATATTTGAAAGAGTCTTTCTGAACTAAAGTTCAGGCAAATGGGAGGAAATTCAGTATTTCATACTGAAATGAAGTACAACCCTCTGTTCCTTTTTTATAAAGTGGCATTTGTGCTTTTTAGGATCACAATATGTTGTGGCAAAAGGCAAACAGCAGTGATTTGTACAAAATTTCAGCAGATCCAGATTAGCAATAATAATGTTTCCAAGTCATCACCATGGAAAGAGGAGTAGGAAGGAATTGAGATGTGTAGCAGTTGCAGAAATCAGGGATTCAGGAGCATCAAAATATTTGAATGTCGGTCAAGCTGATGCCCGATCAAGCACTGTTATAAGAAGGTTTCAAAATGTGATGTTTTTACAAGTTTGTATATAACCTGACTTATATGAATCATGTTGAAAGTGGCCGATGTTAATATTCTGCTATTCTGCTGAGGTTTTTGTATGTGTTTTTTGTTTGTTTGTTTGTTTGTTTTTGAGACGGAGTCTCACTCTGTCGCCCAGGCTGGAGTGCAGTGGAGCCATCTCAGCTCACTGCAACCTCTGCCTCCCGGGTCAAGCTATTCTCCTGCCTCAGCCTCCCAAGTAGCTGGGATTACAGGCGTGAGCCACCACACCCGGCTAATTTTGTATTTTTAGTAGAGACAGGGTTTCGCCATGTTGGCAAGGCTGGTCTCGAACTTCTGACCTCAGCTGATCCGCCCACCTTGCCTTCTCAAAGTGCTGGGATTACAGGCATGAGCCACGACGCTCAGCCTCTGCTGGTTTTTTAAACAAGTTTATTGAGATATAATTCGTGTACTGTAAAATTAACCCTATTAAAGTGTACAGTTCATTCAGTTTTTATATATTCACAAAGTTATGCAACTATCACCATATCTAATTATAGAACATTTTCATCTCTCCAAAAAGAAACCCCATACCCATTAGCAGTCCCTTCCACATTCTCCCTCTTCCCCAGTCCTCAGCAACCACTACTTTTCTGTCTCTATAGATTTGCCTATTCTGGACATTTCATATATGTGTAATCATATAGTATGTGGTCTTTTGCAACTGGATGCTTTATTTAGCATAATGTTTTTGGGGTTCATCCATGTTGTAGCATGAATCAGTACTTCATTCCTTTTCATTTCTGAATAATATGCGTTTGAATGGATATATGACGTTTTATTCATCAGTTGGTGGATATTTGGGTTGTTTCTGTTTTTTGGTTATTGTGAGCATCACTCTGTAAACATTCTTGGACAAGTTTTTATGTAGATGTATGTTTTCATATCTCTTGGTTATATGTCTAGGAGCAGAATTGCTGGGTCATATTGGTAACTATGTTTAACCTTTTGAGAAACTGCCAAACAGTTTTCTAAGGTGGCTATACCATTTTGCATTCTCATCAAGCTGTGGATTAGGGGTGGGCCCCTATTTCAATATATTAATAACTGGTGTCTATAAAAAGGGGAAATTTGGAGACCGTTATTCATACAGGAAAAATGCCACATGAACATGAAAATGGCCATTTACAAGCCAAGGATAGAGGCCTGGAACAGATCCTACTTGACCATTTTAAGGAACCAACCCTGCCAACACCTTGATTTTACCCTCAGAACTGTGCAAAGTTAAATTTTTGTTGTTTAAGCTACCCAGTTTGTCATACTTTGTCACAGAAGCCCTCGCAAACTACTACATAAGTGGTCCATGTCCATTCTGTCCTAGCAAATAGGCAAACTTCTTTTGTTTTGATGACACACACTCCTGCTGTGACATACAGTAGTAAACTTAAAAGTAAAATAAGTCGGGCGTGGTGGTTCACGTCTGTAATCCCAGCACTTTGGGAGGCCAAGGTGGGCGGATCACGAGGTCAAGAGATGGAGACTTTCCTGGCCAACATGGTGAAACTCTGTCTCTACTAAAAATACAAAAATTAGCCAGGCATGGTGGTGCGTGCCTGTAGTCCTAGCTACTCGGGAGGCTGAGGCAGAATTGCTTGAACCCAGGAGGTGGAGATTGTAGTGAGCCGAGATCGAGCCACTGCACTCCAGCCTGGTGACAGAGCAAGACTCTTGTCTCAAAAAAAAAAAAAAAAAGTAAAATAGATGTCATCTGTCCTGACGGAAATACAAATCAAAGCCATAGTGAGATACCTTTGTGTCTATAATTACAAAAATCAGATAATAACAACAGTTGAAAAGGATGTAGACAAATTGGAATCCTCATATACTGCCAGTAGGAGTGTAAAGGGTGTGGTCATTTTGGTGAGTCTGGAAGTTCCTCAATTTGTTAAACACTTAAATAAGTAAACATGAGTTACCCTGTGACCCAGGAATTCCACTCCTAGGTATATAACCAAGGGAAATGAAAATATGACCAAACAAAACTGTACACCAACGTTTATAGCAGCACTATTTATCGTAGTGAAAAAGTAGAAACAACCCAAATGTCCGTCAACTGATGAATGGATAAGCAAAATGTAATATCCATGCAGTAGAACATTGTATGACAATACGAAGCAATGAAGGGCCAGGCGAGTGGCTCATATCTGTAATCCTAGCACTTTGAGATGCCAAGGCGGGAGGATCCCTTGTGTCCAGGAATTTGAGATCAGCTGGGGCAACATAATTTCTACAGAAATTAAAAAAATTAGCTGGGCATGGTGGCATACATTTGTGGTCCCAGCTACGTGGGAAGCTGAGGCAGGAAGATCACTTTAGCCCAGGAGGTTGAGGCTGCAGTGAGCCATGATCTTGCCACTGTACTCCAACCTGTGCAGTGGAACAAGACCCTGTCCCAAGTGGGGGGATGGGGGGAGGGAAGGGAAGGAATGAAGTGTTGACACATGTTCCAATGTGAATGAACCTTGAAAACATGCTAAGTAAAAGAAGACAGTTACAAAGGACCATGTACTGTATGATTCCAGGCATACAAAATGTCCAGAATAGGCAAATCTATAGAGACACAAAGTAAATTAGTGGTTGCCTTGGGCTGGGAGAATGGAGGGGATTAGCAGGTGATGACTAAGAGCAGTGGGGTTGTTTTTTGTGGTAATAAAAATGTTCTAAAATTGATTGTAGTGAGGGTCACACTACTCCGAATATACAAAAGCCATTTAATGGCTTTTATACCATTCGGTAGTAATATGCCATTGTATGGTATGTGAATAATATCTCAGTAGAGTGGTTTTTTGAAAACACTAGAACATATATGATCAAAAAATGAAAAAATCAACTAGACCTGGTAATCTGTGTTTAAGAGTAGCAGTTGATTGATCATTTATTATGCATGTGCTATGTCAGACTTTTTTTTTTTTTTTGAGATGGAGTCTCGCTCTGTCCCCCAGGCTGGAGTGCAGTGGCGCAATCTTGGCTCACTACAAGCCCTGACTCCCGGGTTCACGCCATTCTCCTGCCTCAGCCTCACGAGTAGCTGGGACTACAAGCACCCACCACCACACCCGGCTAATTTTTTGTATTTTTAGTAGAGACAGGGTTTCACCGTGTTAGCCAGGATGGTCTCAATCTCCTGACCTCTTGATCTGCCCGCCTCGGCCTCCCAAAGTGCTGGGATTACAGGCATGAGCCACCGGGCCTAGCCCAAAACTGTCATTTTGAAGCAACACTTACTAGAATTCATATAGAAAAAAAAAACTATTAAAATTCCTCTGCTTAGATTCTCTAGGTCTTACAACTTTATCAGCTACCTGTTTACCTAGATCATATTGCTCTAGCATCCTTTTTTTTTAAACCCAAAGAATTCTTCACTGATCTTGCTTATTTTAGAAATATTTTTAGCTTTACTTGTAAGAAAGGTACTGCTCTTTAAAGATTGAAGAGCATAAGATGAAGACTGAAATGTGGGATCTTACTGCCTTTTTTCTTTCTTAATCAGTGACTTTTAAACCTCTATGAAGATCCAGATCTAGAATTCTAGGACAAGTGCCCTTGTGGTTCTACTTACTCTACGGTGGTAATTAGCAATTTAGTAACCTTAAGGAAGTATTTTGTTGTTAGTTTATTGCTCTTTTTTTCCTCTACTAATTTTACTTTTTTTTTCCTTTTTACTGTCCATATTTAACGTAAGTATATCCTTTGTATCTTTTTCTTCCCATACTATAACAAGGGTCTTGAAACTCTTTATCTCTGATTATTCTACTCCTGCACTTTAAATTGTAAGTGATACAAATCCAAAGCATACAAACTCAACAAAACAGGAGTCAGAGAATTTACTAAACTCATCGAATGCCAGGTCCAGAAGTTAAGAGGCAGCCAGGTTCAGGTCTCAGATGGTGTAATCCGAGTCTTATTTCTTCTCCACAGGTATTCTGTAGACAGCTTCTTTCATGTTGCCAGGAAAAATTGGTTACTATAAATCCTGACTTACTTGGTCCTTATGGCTCTTGATCCCGATAGCAGTGAGCCAGTGGCAAGGATGATCATATGGCATATTCTGAATGACCCAGCTTAAGTCACATGTTCAACATTGAACTGTGGCCAGGGACTGGAGTATAGTTCATGTCTAGGTCATGTTCTCACTCCTGGGGCTGGAAGTGGAACTTAACTGCCAGGCAAGGCTGCTGACATTGAGTGATATTATTACCAGGAGAGGTGGAGGAACAAGGTATTCAAGAGACAAAAATAATAGAGGCTAGTAAGTGTAGTTAGTATACATTGAACAAAAAACATGGGCCCATGTACAAAGGAATGACATCAGATCTTAGAATACATTAAAACTATGTAATTCTTTGAGTTGCATGGAGCCCACAGTGCTAGAGAAGTACGTATTTTAAGAGATACAGTGGATAATGATAAATGATAATGGGGCTAAAAGTAATAAAACATTAGAAATATCGAGTTATAGATTAATTGGTTCAAGTGTAATGCCAATTCTTTAAGCACACATCATAAGCAGCTGATACGAAAACATCAGTTTTCACACATTGGTACCATCCAATAGAGTTGTATACAGTGATGGAATTGTTTCGTATCTGCACTGCTCAACATGGTGGCCACTAGCCATATATGCCTGCTGAGCAGTTGAAATGTGTCTAGTGTAACTAAAGAACTGAATTTTTAATTATATTTAGTACTGAACAGCTGTATGTGGCTGGTAGCTACCTTATTAGACAGCACAACTATCTAAATTTGGAACAACTTGATCAATATCCTGCCTCCTATATTTAATTTAAGATATTGGGGAGTTTTACAAACCTTGCTTGCTGTTGTTTTCCCATTTGTAAAATGAGAGTAAATATCTTATAATAAATAACCTTAGTGGGTTATTTTAAGGATTAATTGACTTAATCCATGTAAATGTGCCTGGCACTCACCTAGCATTTAGCATTTAAGTGTTAGTCTTTATTGTCATTGTTATATCACTACCTTAGAATGGGAGCTAAAGAAATGAGTAGCCAGTAATCCAACAGTTAAAAATTTTATTGAACATCTTTGGAGCTGTAGCAGTTGAACAGTTTATTAATGTGTATATTATTATGGACTGAGTACAGAATATGTAGTTTGGGGAGATTTAGGGATGAACATTTCAGTACTGTCTTGGCAATTTAAAATTTTTATCAAACAAAGGTTTCTGTACATATTTCATGGTGATTTGGTCAGTATTTTGTTTCTAAGGTGGTTAAATGTGTTTTTAAACTTTTAAAATGATAATCATCTTCCTTTTAGGATTCCTTAAGGGTTTTCTTCTCTGAAAGTCAAAATGTAATTTAAAAAGTTTAAAGGGTTACTACTTTTTAGCCTGTCTTAACTTTAAAATTGTTTTACAAAAACTTAAAACTAAAATACCTTATCAGTGGTATTTATGATTCCACAAAGTGTGTGTGTGTGTGTGTGTGTGTGTGTGTGTGTGTGTGTGTGCATGCGTGTGTGTGTGTGGTTTTGTTGTTGTTGTCGGAGACAGGGCCTCGCTTGGTCTCCCAGGCTAGAGTGCAGTGGCATGATCACGACTCACTGCAGTCTCGACCTTCTGGGCTCAAGTGATCCTCCTGTGTCAGCCTCCCACACAGCTGGGACTACAGGCACATGCCACCACATCCAGCTAATTTAAAAAACATTTTTTTTGTAGAAATAGGGTCTTACCATGTTGCCCAGGCTAGTCTCAAATTCCGGGGCTCAAGCAATCCTCCCACCTCACCTTCCCAAAGTGCTGGGATTACAGGCATGAGTCACCATACTTGGCCCACAAAATATATTACCTTCTTGCATTCCTTGCTAGATTGTTATTTTGTCCCCTGAGATATTTTGGGATGGTAGAAAATCACCAGGTCCATCCTGCATTTCTTCTAATTTATACTATTTTTGTGCCTTTTAAAATATCAACCCTTGGCTAGAAGTATATTTATATGCCTTAATCTCTGTATTATCAATTATTAGATACTTGGGCTGAGCCCCTTGGACCATCTCATTTCCCTCCTTCCTGCAGTAGGATCCAACTATTTACTACTGTCTGTAATTCAGTATTTTAGACACTTGTTTAGTAGTTGGTTGTCTCTTATCACTAGTTGATTGAAGGAACTGTCTATCTCCATGAATGTTTGAAGTATGCCCTGGCAGAGCTCTTTATGTTTTTGGAATGTGGAGCTGACTATAGCTTTCTCTCAGTAATAAATTCATCTAAGTAATGAAACATTCACTTACTAAATAAAAGGAAAAAGAGATACACTCTTAATTTATGCTATGCGCAGTAGATAGAGTTGAACAAAAGTTTTAAATATTTCACTATCATCATGTATAATTCAGTTCGCATCTGTTCCATAACTTACTAAATCAATTCAGTGAGAGGGCTGAGATTTTGAAATGACCAAATGACAAATTTTCCCTGCAGTGATGGCATGGAAATCACTTGGTCTTTGTTTACAAAGTTGGCGCATGTATATATTATTCTGCAGGACCTATTGATTTTTCCACTCTAAACCACTTAATGTTTAAAATTTCAAGTTCTTAGGATTTATTAGTAACATTGTGAGCATACTAAAAATTGAAGGCTGTGTAAACCAAAGAATTTAAACATGCTGCAGGTGATACTTAGATTCCCTTTGTCTCAGTTCTAACTCAAACATGAAGCATTTTTACTTTACCACAATCTATGATATTTTGACACATTTCTTTCTGAATCTTTTTTCAGGCTGGAGTGCAGTGGCGCTGTCTCGGCTCACTGCAAACGGCCTCCCAGGTTCAAGTGATTCTCCCACCTCAGCCTCGCGAGTAGCTGGGACTACAGGCATGCACCACCACATCCGGCTAATTTTTGTATTTTTAGTAGAGACGGGGTTTCACCACGTTGACCAGGATGGTCTCAATCTCCTGACCTCGTGATCCGCCCACCTCAGCTTCCCAAAGTGCTGGGATTACAGGCTCTTTCTGAATCTTTCATTTAAACCATTTCACTAAAAATGAAAATTATAGTTGAAATATTTAGAATCATAGAATCTTTGGATAAGAATAAAAAATATACAAGTTGTGGTAGAGACTTGAGGTGCTTATCTGTACTCAGTTATGCTTTCTGGGCATCTGGAACAGTACACTTCCCAGTCCCGTTGCACTTAGGTGGTACCAGGTGACTCATTCTGGAGTGTGAGGAGAGACTGTCGTGGAGGCTGTATGTTAAGATGGCAGAGCCACTTACAGAAAGAAGCCAGGAACCCCAAACTTAAAGCATCCTGAGTCTCTGAGTATGACATGGAAGGCAGATAATAAATATAAATATAAAAGTTGTTCTTAGTGCAAGGGACATACAGAAACAGGCCACAGGCCCTAGTTTACTAACTTCTGTGCTTGTCACCTGAGTGGTAACAAATGTATGGTACAACCAAGACAAAAGTCTTTCTGTTAATCCAGTAAGTTTTAAGGGTTAATTATCACAGCATTACTTGACTTACTAGATCACAGGTGATCTCATCTAACTGTCTGACTCCGTCAGATTTCTAAAGAATGCTTCTGATACCAGGAATCTCTGCACTGTACATTCTGTGAGATGACCTGTTCCATTGATGGACAACTTTGTAACAAATTTTTCTCTTTTTAGTGAGCCAAAGTCCTGATTACATTTTATCTGTTGGTTCCAATTTTGCCTTCGGATAAGTTTTATATTTTGTGGCAGCTTTTCATTATCCAAAGATAGTTTTCAGGTCTCCCTGGTCTGTTAACGTGGAGAAAACAGAATAAAATAGCAAATGACATTTTAAAAAATGTTAAGCTTGGTGGGACGTGGTGGCTCACACTTGAAATCCCAGCGCTTTGGTAGGCCAAGGCAGGCGGATCACTTGAGCACAGGAGTTCATGACCAGTCTGGGCAACATGGCAAAAACCCGTCTCCACTAAAAATATAAAAAATTAGCTGGTTGTGGTTGCATGTGCCTGTGGTCCCAGCTTCTCAGGAGGCTCAGTTGGAAGCATCACCTGAGCCCAAGATGTCGAGGCTGTAGCGAGCCACCATAGAACCACTGCACTCCAGCTTAGGTGACAAAAGTGAGGTCCTGTCTCAAAAACAAAAAAAAAACCAAGCTTAAAATAAAAGTTGTATTAACTAGAATATAATAAACTACATTTAACTTTAGAAAAATTAACTACACAAGCGGTAAGAAGATTTGACCCAGTTCTGAGAAAAAAACTGTCAGCTTAGTATAAAACAATAAAATGACCGTTAAAGAATTAACTGAATTATAGGCTTGGCGTTTTGTTTATGGCAAATATTTCTCTCCTGTACTGTGAATGAGTCCAGCCATCTATTACATTAAAGGCCACCAAGTTTTAAAGGAAAAATTGACAAAGTTAGTCTAGAGGAATGGTCACCAGAATGTCTCAACAAAAGTCTAGATACCGTTAACACAGTGAATGGCTAAAGGAATTAGAGATACTTAAAGAGAAACAGCCCATTGCACAATATCTCATAATCTCAGATAGTTACAATGAAATCTGTCTTTTATAAATTTTCTTTCTCTATCTTCACAGCGGTGACTAATAGCTGTTCGTAGGAATGAGGCGTATGGGCATCCAGGCTTTACATTTGATCTTTCTAGCCAACATCTTTCAGTTATGTGTTTGACCATCATCCCCAAAGCTTCTATAGGATATTTGGTCAAGAACTTTTCTGAAATCATACAGCATATAGTCTGTAGTATATTAACAACATACTAATTCTATCAAAAAAGAATTTAAAGTTGAGTATTAGATGATATGACTTATTCTGTCAATGCCAATTCTTAATTATTTGGTCGCTTATTATTTTTTTCTAGTTGCATTTCTTCTAGTAATCTAGATTATAATTTTGGTAGGATTTGGCATCAGATATACTAAGCCATAAGTCTTAAACTTACACCATTTGTTGCAAATTGAGAGTTCACTTACCAATATCTAGACTTGAAAAATCTTATCTCCTTAATTGAATAAAACTTTCCTTCTCAAATTTATTTACACCTTCAGGTTCATGAAGACCTGCACAGTTGAACTTATTTTAAGTGGCCAGGTGCTTTCATCTTTACATTCCTACTTTAGTCCCATACTTTATCAGGTATCTTTTTAAAGCCAACTATGCTAAGTCAACTAACCTTATCTGGTTGGGATAAATTCATCTTTAGCAAAGGAAAACGTCCTGTTTCAACCTCAGTAAATGTTAACTGTTCCTTTTATTTCATTTCTTATGAAAATAAATGGACCATTTTATCCTTTTACTTTGTGCCTTTACTGTTTGCTGTCAGGTTGATAACTAGGGCGACCACATTACCTGTTGCCCAGCAAAAATAATAGTATCCCCTTTCATTATGAAAAGTATTCCAGTTTGGATAAGTTATTTGGTCATCCTCACTGTTGTTTACCATTTTTGGCAATGATTGGCAGAAATGTCTTATGTGAGTGTTTCGTTTCATTTGGCTGATAACCTAATTTTTTCATTTACCCCTTGCAACTAACAAGTAGTCTATGAGATCATACTCAGGCACTCTGAAATCCTTAGCATGGGGAATAAATGCGTGCATGTGTGTCACTCTTGTGCTGGGGCCATATAATATAATTTTTGCTTATGCACTGCCAAAGCAAACTTAAGAATTGCCTTTTAATTTAAAGCAAGAAAAATCTTCTTTTTTCTAAAAACTTTGGTGCATTTCCTGATTTGCT
This sequence comes from Homo sapiens, assembly GCF_000001405.40. Lineage (NCBI taxonomy): Eukaryota > Metazoa > Chordata > Mammalia > Primates > Hominidae > Homo > Homo sapiens. The sequence continues at coordinate 135,563,348 of NC_000002.12, forward strand.
GAGAATGAGAACTGTGTACATATCTTGTTCCATTTTGCTCTTGCTGCCACGACTCCTAGGTCCAGATTTGATCCACTGTCAATTCTGCATCAGCGTTTTTGGTTAGCATATGTCTTCCTTTCGGTAAGGGTGATTTATTTGATTTTATTGTATACTTTTTGGCTCTTTAGTAGCCATTTAAAATTTTTGGCAAGGTATTTGGTATAAAATCATAACAACTATCTTTGTAGGACTCCATAATGATAGCCATTACTATTTAAATAAGTTGGGACCAGGGTGCGGTAAATACCCAAAGCCCAGTGGAATACGTTTATAATCCTGTTATGGGAGGAAAAGACCAACCACTAAAAATAAGCTAGCTATACAACACCAGCCTTAATTTTTTTGTGGTTACAGTTTAGCTCTTATGTATTATTCTATATGTGTTAGTCCATTTTTGCATTGCTATAAAGGAATACCTGAGCATGGGTAACTTATAAAGAAAAGTGGTTTGTTTAGGCTCAGTGTTCTGCAGGCTGTACAGGAAGCGTGGTGCCAGCATCTGCTCCTGGCGAGGGCTTCAAGGAGCTTACAATCATAGGGAGGGTAAAGGGAAAGCAGGCACATCACATGGTGAGAGCAGGAGCAAGAGAGAGTGGGGAGGCGCCGCATGAATCACATCCTCTATGATCTCAGAGCAAAAACTCATTCATCATCACAAGGACAGCACCAAGCCATTCATGAGGGATCTGCCCCCATGACCCAAACACCACCCACCAGGTCTCACCTCCAACATTGGGGATTACATTCCAACATGAAATTTGAATGAGACAAACATCCAAACTATATTACTGTATATTTTGTACCTCTACCTAGACAGTAAGTTATATGCAGCTTCTTTCTTACCATGTGTAATATTGTACTTAGAAATGAGATAAATGAAATGTGCATTCTGCAAATGGTGAATTTAAATGTTGCAGAAAAATTTCCTTTTTTTGTTTTGTTTTGTTTTTAAGACAGTCTCACTCTGTTGCCCAGGCGGGAGTGCAGTGGCACCATCTTGGCTCACTGCAACCTCCGCCTCCCAGGTTCAAGCGATTCTCCTGCCTCAGCCTCCCAAGTATCTGGGATTATAGGTGTGCACCACCATGCCCAGCTAATTTTTTTATTTTTGGTAGAGATGGGGTTTCAGCATTTGACCAAGCTGGTCTTAAACTCCTGACCTCAGGTGATCCACCCGGCCTCTGCCTCCCAAAGTGCTGAGATTACAGGCGTGAGCCACCAGGCCCAGCCTAAATGTTGCAGAAAAATTTCTATAGTGCAGAGTAGAGTGAGATTGGTCTCAAAGTGTCACATTTCCCATATGTGTAGGTCCTAGCACATAGATTTTCTTTATATTTTTATAAATAAATATGTAATACACATTCATAGAGGACAAAATACAGATAAGCAAAAATATGAAAACTAGCCACCAATAAATTACTATTTACTGTTAATATTTGGTGTATAACCTTCCAAACTTTTAAAAGTATATTTTCTACATTGCCTGGCAAGTAGTTATCACAAAATGGATAAAGTATTCCTTTTTCTTATTTTAACTAAAAATCAGATCATACTGTACATACCATTTTATGGTCTGCTTTTTTGTTTCACCTAAAATGTCATCATCCTCTTCTGCTGCCAGTAAGTACATTTCTGATTTTATTGAATGTACTGTATTTCCATTTAACACAGCCAGTTCTAGTGTGTACAGTTTTTCAGTCTTTTAAAACAACACTTGGATGTATGCTGTAATTTTTTCTTTAGGATAAACTTTCTGTAAGTGGTCTTCCTGGTCTTCCTGGATCAAAGATATATTCAGTATAAGGCTTTCATACTGGTAAACTGACCTCCAAAGAGTTTGGACCATTTTTCACAACAGTTTATGAGAGTGTACATTTGCTGAGCCCTCCTTGCACTTGGCAAAATTCTCTTCTGTCCTTGCCAATGAAAAAAAATTATTATTATTATTATTATTATTATTATTATTATTATTATTTTTAAATTTAAGAGACAAGATCTCATTATGTTGCCTGGACTGGACTTAAACTTCTGGGCTCAAGGAATCCTTCTGCCTTAGCCTCCTAAGTAACTGGGATGATAGGCACGTGCCATTGCATCTAGTTCAAAAATGCTGTTTTAAAAATTGCTTTTCTTTAATCAAAAATCGCTTTTCTTTAATCAAAAATCTTTCGTTTCTTTGCGTTGGACTACCTCTTCATTTCTTTGGCTGTTTCAGGTATGTTCATCTTTTTCTTCTTTACTTGCAAAATTAAAAATATAACTTGATAGTAATTATTAAATCTTAATTAGTAGAAATTACTGCTCAGAGCCAGACTTGATTTTCTTTTTTTTTTCTTGTTTTTTGCAGTTTCAACAGTAAGAAACTAAATCACTGCCTTGTACAATAAAAAGCTCTATGTTGGGGTGATCAGACCCAACACCAGGTCATGGGGGCGATGAGTCCGGTGGAGTCAAAGGAATGAGAAAAAGACAGTTTGAGAGAGAAAGTGGGACCGGGGAGCCTACGCTATTTATTGGTGATCAAACAAAGAAACAGGTGGTGAGGATGTGGGGATTGAAAGAAACTGGTGTATCAAGTGAATGAGAAACCTATGGCTACTTGAGATAATGGGAGTGCTAGAAGCAAGGAGCTAGCAAGTCTAGCCGACATGCAAGCCCTGCCTCAGCTTCTCTCCCAACACTCAGCTTTTCTCCCAACAGATATATTTGAAACTTAACTTCAGATATACATATAGTAAAATTGAAAACTTATTAAAATAACTTATGATTCATATATTATGTTTGCATCTTATTTTATCTGATTGTCTACCCTGAACAACTTCTACCTGCCCTGAGCTAGACACACCCTTTTGAAGCAGATAGAAGGCTAGGGGTTTTGAGGGGGGAAGCAAGGGAGTTTTTTGCTTTAAAAAAACTTGGCAATTGTTTTGTAATACTAATCTAGAATATATGTAAAACTCTTTGTACTATCTTACATAGCGTCTTTATGTGAAAAGGGATAAGTTAGGGAGTAAGAGTGATACTGCCCAGAGATCTCACAAGGCATCGTTTACATTATTGAAATACAGTGCTTGTGGCCTCAACTTTGAGAACTCGGAAATTTTGTTTTTGTAGATTCACATAAAATAAGCTCAGGTTATATATGCTAATGATGTTTGCAGAGATTGAATAAATCTGAATGCCAGATTATTAATTTACTGTGAAAGTTGAGTAGTGCTTCTGTCAGCATTACCAGTATATTTTCTTCTTCAGGTTAATCTGCATGAAAATCCAAACTATTAATTAGAAGGCTGTTTGGTGAGCAAGAGGTTCAGATTAAGGTTTGTTAGTCGTTTGGATGGTTCTAGGGAAGGAAATGATCAAAACTGTAAGCCCAGCGCGGTGGCTCACGCCTGTAATCATGGTGAAACCCCGTCTCTACAAAAATACGAAAATTAGCCAGCATGATGGCGGGTACCTGTAATCCCAGCTACTTGGCAGGCTGGGGCAGAAGAATCACTTGAACTTGGGAGGCAGAGGTTGCACTGAGCCGAGTACTGCCATTGCACTTCAGCCTGGGCAACACAGCGGGACTCCGTCTCAGAAAAAAAAAAAAAAAAAAGTAGACCCCAGCGAGATGCTTTCTACCTTGCTGTTATTGGCACTACTGGCTCTACCACACGTCTTTGTGGTCAAGTTCTCAGTGTTTTCAAGTGTGAAAGAATTTGTTTTTAATTTAAAAAGTGTCTGTAATAGTGCTTGGGATACAGATGAGTGTATGAATTTTTTGCAGTAACTGAGCAGTATCCTACCAATCTGCAGCCCGTAGACAGGTAGTCCCTGCTATCTCCTAACAATCCTGCTTCTCTTTATACATTTGGTCCAGTTAGAGCCCAATATAATTAATTGGTACTTATTCCTTGGAATTATACACCCAGGTACTTTGGGTGCTGTTAATTTCTTGAGTCATATATAGACAGTAACTTCATTTTTCCCAAAGATGAATGAGTACATTGTGTATATGCATACACGTACACTCAATAAGCTTTACTTTTCACTCCCAAAGTGTGACCTTTTACCAGTGTGGGGAAGGGGTCTAGGGGCTTACTGCTTGACCAATGTTCTGGTGAGAATGGTAAAGCTGAGTATTTCACCTGTTCGCCTCTAGAGCTTAGTATCCTAGAGTATATCAAGTTGCATCTATTTTATCTTCCCTTTAAAAAAGTAAAGTAAAATTTTAAAATCTTTAATTAAATATTTAAACTATGGGTTTTCTTTATTGAAAGGGTAAACCATGCCCAAGTCATTTACTGTTCTCATTTCAGGATTTTCCTGTAGGTATTTTTTCTATTTTTACCTTTGTTGTTTTTTTATTTTTGATTTTTTTTAGAGATAACGTCTCACTCTGTTGCCCAGGCTGGAGTGCAGAGGCACAGTCATAGCTCACTGCAGCCTCAAATTCCTGGGCTCAGGTAATTCTCGCACCTCACACTCCCAAGTAGCTGGGACTGCAGGCGTGCATCACCACACCTGGCTTTTTTTTTTTTTTTTTTTTTTTTGCAGGGGAGAGATAGGATCTTACTCTTTTGACCAGCCTGGTCTCGAACTCCTGGCCTAAAGGGATCCTCCTGCCTTGGCCTCCCAAAGTGCTGGGATTACAGGCCTGAGCCACCATGCCTGGCCACATTTTTGTGTTTTTTTGTTTGAGACAGGGTCTTACTCTGTCACCCAGGCTGAAGTGCAGTGGTTCAATCACGCCTCACTGCAGCCTCAACTTCCCCAGACTCAGGTGATTCTCCCACCTCAGCCTCACAGGTAGCTGGGACTATAGGCACATGCCACCATGTCCACTAATTTTTTGTAGATATGGAATTTCACCATGTTGCCCAGGCTGGTCTCAAACTTCTGGGCTTAAGTGATCCGCCCACCTTGGCCTCCCAAAGTGCTGGGATTATAGGAGTAAGCCACTGCACCTGGCCACAGTTTTTTTGTTTGTTTGAGGCGGAGTTTTGCCCTTGTTGCCCAGGCTGGAGTGCAGTTGTGTAATCTCCGCTCACTGCATCCTCCACCTCGCAGGTTCGAGTGATTCTCCTGCCTCAGCCTCCCGAGTAGCTGGGATTACAGTGTCCGTCACTACACCCGGCTAATTTTTTGTATTTTTAGTAGAGACATGGTTTCACCATGTTGGCCAGGCTGGTCTCGAACTCCTGACCTCAGGTGATCTACCCGCCTTGGCCTCCCAAAGTGCTGGAATTACAGGCGTGAGCCACTTGTGCCCGGCCTGGCCACAGTTTTTTTAACCTTTGAAATAGAGTTAGTATTCATACAAGTTTAACAATACTTTTTTAAAAGAAACAGTTTTTCATTTAAAAAACACTTCTATTCATAGGGCGTATTGGTGACCTCTCGGAAGAAAGGGATAAGGAGTCGTCACTTGGCCGGTAAGGGAAATAGACTCAAGTGGATGAGGTCCAACGATTCAGTCTTGAGATTTCACTGCCCTAAAAGTCAAATAATGTGTAAGAGGACAGCGAAGGGAAGACTTCCTCCTCCCCCACCCCCACCTCAGGAAATCCTGATCTTAATTCTCACTCTGTATACCCAGTCACTCAAACCAGAAACTTGGGCATCATATCTCCTCTGTCTCCTCCAGTCCAGTCACTTACTAAGTCCTGCAGTTTTTACTGTGGCCTATTTAAGTTTCAGTGGTTTAATATTCTGGAATACATAGGCTAGATTTGCCCTACTCTGTAGGAATAAATCAGAGTAGATGGTGATGTTTGTCAGTTAAAACTATTAAGAATGTAGAAGATTTTTTTTAATTTCGCAATTACTGCCAGGCACGGCAGCTCATGCCTGTAATCCCAGCACTTTGGGAGGCCGAGGCGGGTGGATCACAAGGTCAGGAGTTCGAGACCAGCCTGGACAACATAGTGAAACCCCATCTCTACTAAAAATAGAAAAATTAGCCAGGCATGGTGGCGCACGCCTGTAGTACCAGCTACCTGGGAGGCTGAGGCAGGAGAATTGCTTGAACCCGGGAGGCAGAGGTTGCAGTGAGCCAAGATTGAGCCACTGCACTCCAGCCTGGGCAACAAAATGAGACTCCATCTAAAAAAAAAAAAATTCATAATCACAGAGAAATAGGTAGTATATCAAAGTAGTTAAGCACATGGATTATAGAGCCAGACCACTCACTTCAGATACTAGACTCTACCGCTCACTGGTTGTGTGACCTTAAACAAGTTAGTTAACCTATCTGTCTCAGTTTTCCCAGCTCAGAGATTAGGATGTTAGTACAACTTGCCTCATAGGGAATGCTTAGAACATACCTTTCATATAGTAAGCTCTTTTTTTTTTGTTGTTGTTTTTTTTGGAGAGGGAGTCTCGCTCTGTCACTCAGGCTGGAGTTCAGTGGCACAGTCTCGGCTCACTGCAAGCTCCGCCTCCTGGGTTCACGCCATTCTCCTGCCTCAGCCTCCCGAGTAGCTGGGACTACAGGTGCCCACCAACATGCCTGGCTAATTTTTTGTATTTTTAGTAGAGACTGGGTTTCAACATGTTAGCCAGGATGGTCTCGATCTCTTGACCTCGTGATCTGTCCGCCTCGGCCTCCCAAAGTGCTGGGATTACAGGCGTGAGCCACCATGCCCGGCCAGTAAGCTCTTTTTAAGTGTTAACTCTTGATCCATTTGTTGTTTTCATTCAAGAATTAGAAAAATCGATTTCCTCAGCTGATGATTTTGAATTAACTATTGATTGTAAACATCTCTTTTATTTACTAGGATATTTGAGATGAGGAATTTTAAACAACTAAATTATTCTTATTTTCTGCCACTTAAGCTTGTGTTCCACCAACTGCATCTAGAATAATTCTCTGACCTTTCATTTGCTACACAAGTTCAGTTATCTCAGTATTAAATGTCATGTAGGGTAGTAAAGTATCTTCCATGTGTAATGATGTGTCTGTATGCTGTAGGAATACATAAGCAAATATTGCCTTCTACTTTGTGGCCCATGTACTTGCAAACAAAAAATCTTTCATTTGATTTCTGTTAGTGATTAGATGACTGTGTTACAGTTACCTTCAGCCTCTCAAGAATCTATTTTGTATAACTTAATTAGCAGCTGAAAAGAGGAGAGAAAACTTGTTTATATACTCAAAGGGAAAGAAGAACTTTTTTGGAAAAACAAATTATGGATTGCATTGTGCATCCCACACCTAATGCTAGAATCAGTTCCCCTTTACAACTGTCTGAGGACCTAGGATAAAAATTAGTTCTCCCAAAGTTGTAGAAATGAGCACAAGAAGATAGAAATTAAGTAATTCACAGACTTCGTTGTAGAGATTATGTGTAATAAAGCTTCTTGCCAGTATTGACAAAGTCCTTGTTGCTCTTACATGCCATCAAATGTACAATTTTATTGTTCCAGGTCCTTTGCTCTTTTATTTAGCTTTGTTGTCTTAATTTTAAAACTATTTTCGTTTTTAAAAAATCATCTAGCCTGAAGTGTCACAAAAGTATTTTCAACGTGTGTGTTGTAGCCTAATGGTGGGAAGACTCATTTAGGCAATGACTTGATCAAAAATTGCATTTTGACCCCTCAGAAAAGTCAATATACTTATTAGCATTTTTTATTTACTTTTCTTGAGGCCAAAAATAACTATACATTGTTTTTTAAAACATGCCTATACTGCCAGAAATTCCTGGAGTTGCGACATATTTTTTTAGTTAATGAGGAATATAAAATGTTTGTTGAAAAATGTTTTTCAAGTATGTCAGATTCAGATAAATTGGGTTTCATCAAATTAAAAAGTTTTATATTTTATAGGATGCCATCAAGAAAGTGAAATATTTTCACAGATGGAAAAAAATATTCACAAACCATGTATCTGATAAAAGATTTACAGGATGTTTACTAGCAAAATTTTATTTTATTATTTTTTTTTAATTATTCATTTATTTATTTTTTAGAGCTGGAGTCTTGCTGTGTTGTCCAGGCTGGAGTGCAGTGGCACAATCTCGGCTCATTGCAACCTCCACCTCCCCGGTTCAAGCAATTCTTCTGCCTCAGCCTCCCGAGTAGCTGGGACTACATGCGCACACCACCACACCCGGCTTATTTTTTGTATTTTAGTAGAGACCAGGTTTCACCACGTTGCCCAGACTGGTCTCGAACTCCTGAGCTCAGGCAGTTCGCCCGCCTCAGCCTCCCAAAGTGCTAGGATTACAGACGTGAGCCACTGCACCCGGCCTAATTTTATTTACTTTTTTAAGACAGGGTCTCACTCTCTTGCCCAGGCCAGAGTGCAGTGGCACAATCACAGCTCACTGCAGCCTCTACCCCTGGGGCTCTAGCGATCCTTTCACCTCAACCCCCAACGGAGCTGGGACTACAGGCACACTCTACCATACTGGCTAATTTTTGTATGTTTTGTAGAGACGGGGTTTCACCATGCTGCCTAGGCTAGTCTCGAACTCCTGGACTCAAGCGATCTACCCGCCTTGGCTTCCCAGAATGCTAGAATTATAGGTGTGAGCCACTACATGTGGCCTGCAGAATTTTATTTTGTTTTATTTTATTTTATTTCGAGACAGTGTCTCACTTCGTCATCCAGGCACCACGTCATCCAGGAGTGCAGTGGTGCCATCTCGGCTCACTGCAACCTCCACCTCCCGGGTTCAAGCAATTCTCCTGCCTTGGCTTCTCCCAGGTGGCTGGGATTACAGGCACACACCACCACGCCCAGCTAATTTTTTTGGTTTTTGTAGAGACAGAGTTTCACCGTGTTAGCCAGGCTGGTCTTAAACTCCTGACCTCAAGTGACCCAACCTTGGCCTCCCAAAGTGATGGGATTACAGGCATGAGCCACTGCACCTGGCCCCAGCCTGCAAAATTTTAAAAAATGATAAAGGACGTGTATACAGAATACATAAGGAGCTCTTATGACTCAATAGTAAAGACACATAACCCAATTTAAAAGGGGCAAATGATCTGAATAGATATTTTTCCAGAGAAGATACACATAAGGCCAATAAGCACATAGAAGGATACTCAACATTTTAGCCATCAAGGAAATGTAAATCAAAACCAAAATTGAAATCAAAACCACAATGAGATACAACTTCATGCCCACTAGGATGACTATAATAAAACAACACACACAAGAATTGGTAAGGATGTGGAGAAATTGGAACCGTCCTACATTGCTCTTGGGAATGTTAAATTGTACACAAATTGCTGGGGAAACAGGGTTGTCATTTTACCCAACAAGTCAACCCAGATATATAGGCAAGAGAAATGAAAACGTGTTCTCACAAAAATTTGCATAATACATGAATGTTCATAGCAGCATATTTATAATAATCAATAGATGGAAACAAGACAAATGTTATCAGCTGACAAATGGATAAACAAAATGTGTATCCATGAAATGGAATATTATTTTCACTGTAAAGGATGAATTGCTGATAAATCCTACAGCTTGGATGACTCTTGATATCACTGTGCTAAGTGAAGGAAATCAGCCACAAAAGACCATATATTGTATGATACCATTTATATAAAATGCCTAGAATAGGTAAATCTATAGAGACAGTAGATTAGTGGTTGTCTCGGGCTGGATGGGGAATGGAGGAATTAGGAGGCAATAGCTAAAGAGGGCAGTTGCTCTATGGGATGATGAAAATATTCTAAAATTGATTGTGATTGTTACATAACTATGAATATACTAAAAAGTATTGAATTATACACTTTAAATGGGCAATTATATGACATGTCGTTTGTATGTCGATAAGCTGTTACCAAAAGAAAATTTTCAAGGAGGACTTCCAAATAGCTAAAGACAGTAGTGGTCATCGATCTACTGCCTCCCAATTTTCCTTCAAATAAATATAGAATAAGAAGGACAAAAATCTATACAGAATTTGAAGACATAGCATAACTTGAAGAGAATTTAAGACTTCAGTATAACTGTAACTAAAAAGAGAGCACTCACCAGATCCTGGCATGTGATCTCTTCATACTCCCATTCAGCTCCTGCCTGCCGCAAGACTTTGTGGCAAGCACAGGCAAAGAAAAATGAACACAAAATGGAGAGGGAATCTTAACGTTATCTAAATGTTCAGCCAGAAGAAGTCCATCCTAAGTCTGAAAATTCTTTTTTTTTTTTTTAAGGTTTCCAAATAGAATAAGAGTAGGGATTATAAGGGAGGGACTTAAAAATACATACAATCTGAAGAGGCAGTCTTCAAAGTGCGTAGCTTATAGGGGAGAAAAAGAAGGTACATAAGAAGAGGAGAAGCACCCTTTGGCAGTTGAGTGGTGAAAAGGTAATAAAGCAAAGGAGGAAATTCAGAATGCAGCAAAACAAAGAGAACCACAAAGTTACAGGATTCATAGCCAACTGTTCCCCCCACAACAAAACAAATAATTGGCAGGACTTTGCTATACTAACAGAAGAGGGCACTGTTAAAATAGGAATCTTGTAAAACATCCCAGTAATATGGTGCTTTAATAAAAAAATTTATAGCAGTAAACACATTTATCTGAAAAAATGAACATAAATGAATTAAATTTCCAGCTCAAAACAAAATTTAGGAAAACAAAGTAAACCTAAAGAGCATACCCAGAAGGAAATAATAAGGATAAAAGCAGAAATTAATGAGGTAGGGAATAGAAAAACAAGACCTAACAAATCTGTATTCTGAAAATTTAAAATTATAAAATAGACAAACGGTTAGCTAACTTAATCATGTAAAGGAAAGGAGTAAAACATAGATATGCAAAATAAGATAAAGCGGTAAATAACCACTAAAAATAATTTTTAAAAAATTTTAAAATCACAAGAGACTACTTAGCAGACCTCACTGCAGTTATTTGAAAACCTAGATGAAATGAGTAATTTTCTAGGGAAATGCATATTACCAACATGGAGTTAGAGAAGTTGAAGAGACTAATTTCCATAAAAGAAATAATTCTTCTAAACTATCCCACCAAAAGGCATTAGACCTGAATGGTTTCACAGAGCAATTCTATCAGACCTTCAAAGACCAGATAGTTCCACTGCTGCATAAATTGTTCCAGAGCATTGGAATGTTGGAAAGCTTCTGAATTTCTGTGAAACAAATATAGTATTGATACTTAAACCTGGTAAGAACAGTATTGAAAAAAGAAAGCTATAAATCAGCATCCCATAAGAATATTGATGCAGAAGTGCTAAATTAAATATTATCATTGTGAAGTGATATACCATGACCATGTGAGATTTATTTCAGGGATGCAGGGCTGGCTTAATGTTAGGATACTCATTAACATACTCCCTATTGATAGATTTGTGAGGAAAACTCAGTGTCTCCATAGGTGCTGAAGGAGCCTTCAACAAGACCACCCATTTTGTGATATTTCTCTCCCGCTCTCTCAAATAGGGATTGTGGGATACATTTTTGAAATGATAAAATTTATATATCTTAGTCCTAAAGCCAGGAATCTTATATATAATGGGAAATACTAGAAGTATTTCCACAGTATACAGAAACAAGGCAAATGTGCACTATCTTCACTGCTGTTCAACATTATAATGGAGGTATTAACCAATATAGTTAGATACATCGATTTAAGGCATAAGAATGGGTAAAGAAGAAAGACTATCTCTGCAGATTATATGATAACGGGTTGAGCATCCCTAATCTGAAAGGCTCCAAAATTCAAAACTTTTTAAGCAGTCACACGATGCACAAAGTAAATGCTTATTGAAGCACTTCAGATTTTGGATTAAGGGTGCAATGAAAATAATGAAGAAATTCCAAAATGCAAAAAAATTCAAAATACCTCGACCCAAACTGTTTTTTGGTTTTGGCCAGAGTGCAATGGCACAATCTTGGCTCACTGCAACCTTGACCTCCCAGGTTCAAGCAATTCTTCTGCCTCAGCCTCCAAAATAGCTGGGATTACAGGCACCTGTCCCCACACCTGGATATTTTTGTATTTTCAGTAGAGACAGGGTTTCACCATGTTGGCCAGGCTGGTCTCGAACTCCTGACCTCAGGTGATCCACCCGCCTGGCCTCCCAAAGTGCTAGGATTTACAGGCGTGAGCCAACATGCCCGGCCCAACCCAAACATTTTTGATAAGGGATAGTCAACCTGTAATATGGCTGGAAAACTACAGGGGATCACTGGTAAAATTAATCCAAATGATAATAGAATTCAATAAAATAGCAGGATATAAAATTAACTTAAAAAATCAATAGACTCATATACAGACAGTAGCCAGTTAGCAGTCAGTCACAATGGTAGAGAAAACTCCACTTACAATAGCAACAAAGATTAAATACTTATTAAACATAAAAATGTACAAAACCTACAGGAAGAAACTTTTTCAATACTTAAGTCATAAAATTAGATTTGAATAGGATGGCTCATCATTATAAAGATGTCAGTTCTCCTTAATTTCTGAAATTAATGCATTCACAGTAAAAACACCAAGAAGCCTTTTTTACTTTTTAAGTTAGACAAGTTGATACTAAGTCTTATGGGAAAACAAACATACAAGAATAGCCAGGAAGAAACTGGAAAAGAAAAACTGCTGGTGGGACTAGCTCTACCAGACATTAAAACATATACTATAAAGCTTCTATAATTGAATCTGTGTGCTACTGTCACATGAATAAATAAATAGAGAAGTGGAATAGAAAGCCCAGAAACAGACACAGGTACAAGTGGAAATAATAAAAATGGTATCTTGGGCTGGGCTCAGTGGCTCACATCTGTAATCCTAGCACAATGGGAGGGCAAGGCAGGGGAATGACTTGAGCCCAGCAGTTTGAGACCACCCTGGATAACATGGCGAAACCCTGACTAAAAAATTAGCAGGCATGGTGGCTTCTCAGGAGGCTGAGAGATGGGACAATTGCTTGAACCCGGGACATCCAAGACAGCAGTGTGCCATGATAGTGCCACTGCACTCCAGCCTGGGTGAAGGAGTGAGACCCTGTCGCAAAAAAAAAATAAAAAAAAGTGTTAAATCACTGAGGTAGAAATTGGCTTTTTAATAAATGGTACCGATATATCTGAATGTCCCAGATAATAAATGATACCACTGAATAAATAGTACTGAGATATTTAGAAAGAGATAAAATTAGATACACATCTTGTACCATGTATAAGAATAAATACAACATGTACACAGGTTTTCATAGCATTATTCATAACAGCCAAAAAATTCAAACTTATATGTCCATTGACTGATAATTGGATAAGCAGAGTGTGGTATGTCCATACAATGAAACATATTTCAGCAATAAAAAGAAAAGCAGTGATACATGCTACAATGTGGGTGAAACTTGAAAACATTATACTAAGTGAAATAAAGCAGTCACAAAAGGCCACAGGTTGTATGATTTCATTTATATGAAATTTCAATGATAGGCAAGTCAATAAAGTGTGAAAGTAGATTAGTGGTTGCCGGGGGCTAAGGGAGTTTGGTCTAAAGAGGGGTGACTGATGAAAGGTACAGTAGTTTCTTGTTGGAATAATGAAAATGTTCTAAAATTTATTGTGATGGCTACACAACTGTATGAATATACTAAAAGCCACTGAACAAGACACTGAATGAATTTAAATGGATGAATGTATGCTATATAAATTATATCCAATAATTAGCTGTTACAAAAGAAAAAAAAAAAACCTCCAAACAGGTTAAGAATCTAAATGTTTAAAGAGAGAGAAAAAAAGACCATATAAGAAAACCCATGTTTTCTTATTTAACCTTTGTGTATGAAAAAGGCTTTTGGGCTATGACTCAAAATGCAGAGACAACCAAAGATTGACAAATACGTCTATATAAAAATAAGAAAATTTTACATGGCAAAAACCGACATGAAAAAAAGTCAAAAACACAAGCTGACAAACTGGAAGAAAATTTTTTCAACATATACCTTAGCCAAAAGGCCTATAGCACTAATGTATACTACACTTGATTTTAGCCAAAAGGCTAAGAAGCCATATCCCTAATATATAAAGAACTCTTAATAATTAAATGACCAAAAAAAAAAAAAAAAAAAAAAAAAAGCCTTGAGCACCAAAGGACCAAAGACCTGATAGAAAAAATGGGGAAAAGACATAAATGGACAACTCACAAACAATGAAAATTGGGCCTTAAGCACATAAAAAGTTTTAAGTTCATACAGAGAAATAAGCTCACGCCTGTAATCCCAACACTTTGGGAGGCCAAGGTGGGTGGATCACCTGAGGTTTCTCAACCTCGAGACCAGCCTGACCAACATGGAGAAACCCCGTCTTTACTAAAAATACAAAAATTAGCCAGGCGTGGTGGTGGGCGCCTGTAATCCCAGCTACTTGGGAGGCTGAGGCAGGAGAATCGCTTGAACTCGGGAGGCAGAGGTTACGACGAGCCAAGATCGCGCCATTGCACTCCAGCCTGGGCAACAAGAATGAAACTTCATCTCAAAAAAAAAAAAAAAAAAAAAGTGAAACAGCACTTAGACGCCATTTCTCATCTACCAGATTAGTGAAAACTAAAAAGAATGACAGCTAATTCTGTGCAAGGCACCTTCAGATACTGCTGGTAAAAATACACACTAGCATAGCTCTTCTTCTGAAGAGCAGTGCCTAATAAATTGACATATGCACTTATCTTTTGACCCAACAATCCCACTTCTAGGAATCTTCTCTAAAGAAGTTTATCCATTTTAGGAGTGTTTGTAATTGCAAAATATTGCAAGTAGCCTAAATACCCATGCAGGAGAATGATGAATAGATGATGGTACAGCCACACAATGGAGCAGTACTGTGTCACTGTAAGAAAGAATGAGGAAAATCGCTGAACTACTTGCAGTGCAATTAAGGGAATTAAGTATGAAGAGTATCTATAATATGCTACTCTTTATGAAGCAGGGAAATACAGGCACAGATGTCAACTTAATGTGTGAAAGAAATACCAGAATGATAAACTAGAAACTATTGAAACTGGTTTCTTACAGGGAATACATGAGAATGGGGTAGAAAGATTGGGAGTAATGGGAATAAGATAGTAGGGATAGGGAGCAGCACTTCTCTGACTATAGTTTTTTATATGACTTTGACTCTCAGAACCCTGGTAATTTTTTACGTAGTCTCCAGAAATAACATAAAATAACTTAGATGTTGGCAAGTGTGGAGAAAGGAGCCCAAAATGTAATGCAAGCACTAACAGATGAACAATATTAACTTGATTTATGAAGTCAATGAATAACACTGACTTGAGTGGGGAAGAAAAGAACTAAGTAACTTTGGAAAACAGTATTTTGATTAGGCATTCTAAAGCTAAACACAAGACAAAAAACAAATATTGTAAGTAGTAAATGTGTTTCTCACAGAGGTATCGCTTAGGAATTCTGAAACTGCCTTTTGTGTAAAGTTTTAAAAATAAGTGAATATATTGTAGATAATGAAAGTCAGACTTCTCATTGTTGTATAAAGAAGTTACAGATTAAGATAGTAGGCTAGAATTAACCCTGTGTTCATTGACTGGAGTTTGAGGTATCCATATGAAGTCGTGGTTTTTAATATATATGTATATATGATGTATGAATACAAAAATACATAATACAGATGTGTGAATATGTGTATACTGTACATACACATATTCCCGAGCTCTGTCCTGAGAGAGCCAGAGGAATGATATCCTAGTAAGCACATTAGTGTTCGGATCTTCTTTAAATGCCATTCTCCAGTAAAGGGAACCATGGGTCCTTCGAAAAATGGTTGAGTCTGGCGCAAGAATAATACAAGATGTGCCTGGAACATCACGTGGCGCCAGAAAGTAATTCAAAAAATGATTAGGGCATGTTGAAAGGACAACAGGAACCAATCTGTTGGAACTCCCAATGGCCCAAAGTGGGATAATTTGAGAAACAAAATAATGAGAATATTAGATTGTAACCCACAAAATAAAACACATGTACAGGCATTTAGGTAGATAAGATAGATGGGAGGGATAGGAAGGACAGCTCTTCCTTACATGGAATTCCAATTAGCATAGATGAAAAGAGAGAAATAAAAACCATCATTAGGCAGACAACACTATGATAAATATTGCATGCAAGAACTATCAGCAGATACTCAATGGAGAAGTTGTGATGAAAAGCAGGATATTTTCAAGGTCACAAAATATCTCCCCACAAGATATGAATTACAAAGAGAAAAATGGTAACTATGGGGTGGCGGGGGGGGGTGGAAATGGCAGATACCACCTTAACCAGGTAAAGTAGAAGTCACTAGTAATCTGAGACACGCCAGCGTCATGTGTTCCCTGATGCACTGAAAGGGCACAATTTCACTTCCGCGGTATCCCTACCAAAAATGCCTAAGTTCAGTCTAATCATGAAACTGGTGGTGTTTGCTTAAGGAATCTAAATAAGGTCTGTAGATTAGTTAATAGTGTTACATCAATGTTAATTTTCTGATATCAGTAATTGTACTATAATTTTGTAACACATTATAAGGGGAAGTTGGATGAGGTATATACAGGAAGTCTGTGCTATTTTTGCAACTTTTCTCCGAGTCTAAAATTATTTCCAATAAAACATCTTTAAAAATAGGGGCCGGGCATAGTGGCTTGTGCAGCACTGTAATCCCAGAACTTTGAGAGGCCGAGACAGGCGGATCACTTGAGCCCAGGAGTTCAAGACCAGCCTGGGCAATATGGCAAAAACCTGTCTCTACAAAAACTAGCCGGGCATGGTGGCATGCACCCTTTAGTCCTAGCTACTCGGGAGGTTTATGTGGGAGGATGGCTTGAGCCCAGGAGGTGGAGGTTGCAGTGAGCTGAGATCGCACCACTGCACTCCAACTTGGGCAAGAGGGACACCCTGTCTCTAAATAAATGAATGAATAAATGATAAAGGTTTGAGGTACCAGGTATCTATTGTTACCTAAACTCTTGTTATCTGAGCTCAGAAGCCAGAAAAATTTTCATGACATAGTAAGCTTTGCTATCAGGGCTCTCACTATTTGAACTAAGACTGAATAGAGTCACAAGAGATACTTGTATTTATTATTGGTTTTTTTTGCAATATTATTGGAATTTGTTCTAAATAGAATTTATTCTTATTCTCCTGGAGTCAACCATTGATTTCTTTGCTTGTTCTCTTAATATACTCTCCCTTAGAGGACTCATCCATTTGATTGGCATCAGCTGTCACCCTTTAAGTGAAAAATCTGTACATGTCACTCTCCTAATTGTCTTCATTATCTCCCTAATGAGTTTCAGGAAAAGTCCCAGCTCTTAAACTTCACTCACAAGGCCTTGCCTGTCTGCTCCTACTTACATCTTCAGCTTTATTGTTTTAAAACAACAAACTCTTAGCTTTCCTTGAACTTGCAGCTCTTGCCTTGCTGAGCTACTCTGAAATTCACTCATTCCTTGAACTTGAAGCTGTTGCCTTGCTGAGTTACTTTCAGATCCACTCTTCCTAATGCTTTTTGGATCTTGTTCATATTGTTCTTTCTTCTTCTAATTCTTTGTCTTATTTCTTTCCCTGGCTAATTCTTTCAAATGATAGCTTAAGTATTAGTTCCTCCACAAAACATTCTTTGACCTTCAAAGACTGGCTTTCAGTGTCCCCCTCAGATACTTCCATGGCATCCTTTAGTTCCCCTGTCCTGGCACTTACTACTCTATTATAATGCTTATATCTTATACTAGACCATCTATGGTATGAAGAATAAATTAGAAGGCAGCAGAACCATTTTAAAGGCTGGAGACCAGTAAGAAGCCTCTTGGGGAAATCTAAGCAGGAACTAATAATGGTTGCCTATATTAAGGTAGTAGTGAGGATGGAGCCCAGAGATACTGTATGAAGAAAGTGGGGTATAAGATCCTTGAGAGCATTGTCTGTCCTGTTTCCCTGTAGATCCACAGTAGGGGAACTCTCATGCGTCCTTCCTTATACTCATAATTCCAATTCCATTTCCCACCTGTGGAACATTTCACTTTACCTTTAACGGTCTTGGTGCCTTATTTCTATAATTATCTGTGTAGTCTTTGAGGCTGGAACTTTGGATACCTCATTTCACCATTGGTTGTGGACTGTTGATTGACCTCACCTGACTGACTAATACCACAATCTTTCCTCACCACTTATTAATAGTATCTCCTCTCTATGACATGTTAAGTTGAAGAGGATGATTTAGGATTGTTTATTTGCTTAATGCTTGTTTACTTGCTTTTGGTGAGTGGTGAACAAGAGTAGAAATTAGTATTTTTGCCCCTATCCCAGTTGACCATGCCGAATTTCCTACTTCTAGTGGCATCAACATTCTTTTATTTATCCAGGTTTTCAAGTTTCTGAATTTTTATTAGCCTTCTAAGTTTTACTTTGAAGTATCTCTCCACTGTCTTCATTTTTCTTTCCCAGTTAACTCTCTGACCTTAACTCATGGTACCTTATGTCTAAATTATTGTAAAATCTCTCAGTTTATGTTCTTAATTTCTTTGCATCATTATCCTCAACTTAGATTCATAAGAAGTATATTGACTCTAAGCCTTGACATCAAATTATCTTGGTGAATTGATTTTTCCTCAGAATTTTAAGGACTAAATGAGATAATAGATGAGTGCTTTGTAACTGTATATCCCATATCTCTTGATTTATTCCCTCCTTTTAAAAATCCTTCCATCTTGCTGGGCTCACACCTGTAATCCTAGCACTTTGGGAAGCCCAAGTGGGCGGATCACCTGAGGTCAGGAATTCGTTACCAGCCTGGCTAACATGGTGAAACCCCGTTTCTACTAAAAATACAAAAAAATTAGCCAGGCATGGTGGCGCACACCTGTAATCCCAGCTACTTAGGGAGGCTGAGCCAGGAGAATCACTTGAACCCGGGAGGCGGAGGTTGCAGTGAGCCGAGATTGCACCATTGCACTCCAGCCTGGGCAACAGAGCAAGACTGTCTCAAATAAATAAATAAATACAAATTATTTAGTCAATGGTTTTAATTTTAATGAAAATTAAAAATGGATCATAGGAAGTGAATTTCTTACCTCCTTTTAGGTTATTACAATTTTATGTTCAGTAAAAGCAGAATCTTAAGGGAATGAGGAAGCTTCCAGAGTTGAAATGCCTTGGTCGTTTTGTGTCCCTGGGCTGTTGGCAGTGTGACTCTGCTACAGAATACCACTTGGGGAGATCAGCTTACTCAGTACAGGGTGCAGGGAATGGGGGAAGTCTGGAGGGCCAGAAACCCACACTGCGTGGTATGGAGTAGTGGAAAAGAACCCTCCCTTAGGAGGATAACATCCTCTGCAGTCTATTTTTATATTTCAAAGTGAGGTATTTTTACTTCAAATTACAGTACTGTATATAGTTAATAGGAGAATGTTGTATATTTGCTAATAGAGGATTATTGCTATATAATGGTCTCCTTCTGCCCCTGTAACATTGTAAAGAAAAAATAATCCTAACCAGTTTTTAAAATGTTTTAAATTCTTAATAAATAAAAAATGCTGCAGTAAATATAGATCTTTACTTCAAAAAGAAAAGGAAAGGAGGCCTACTGGAAAGGGTTACACAGAAAAGTTTAAAGTTATAAAATAGACACACAGATAGCCTTCTGTCTTCACCAGTTCTTAACATTTCGGCACATTTGCTTTCTCTCTCTGTGTGTGTCTCTGTTTCTCTGGCTAATGTATTTTTATCACACCCAAGAAATTTAACGTTTATAAGATGTAATCATTTAATATACCAACCATGTGTATACTGCTTCAGTTGCTCCTCAGATTCCTGAATCTAATCAGATATAACACTTTGCATTTTGTTTACCGGTCTCTCTAGTCTTCTGTAATTTTCCCAGTTTTTTCCCATAATACTGATTTTTTTTTCAGCATTAAAGCTAGCTCTCTTGTAGAGTAGTCCACAGTCTGAATTTATCTGATTGTTTCATGATTAGATTCAGATTAAATATTTTTGGAGAAATACAGCATAGGTGATTTTTTTTCCCTGTTGCATTATATCAGGAGGCATGAAAGGTTAGCCTGCATGATTATTGGTGATGTTAAATTTGATCACTTGATTAAGGTAGAGTCTGCTGGTAGAAAACATACCTTTGAAATTAAAAGTTATCAGTAACCAAAGATTATCTTGTTCAATGACCATCTCTCATCTAATAGGTTTTGTCATTTATTTATGATCCTTGCCAGAATCAGTGATTACCTTAGTGGTTGCAAAATATTGATTTTCTACTTCAAGAGATGTGTTAAATTTCTTTTAAAAATTGTTACCCTAAGATGGCCCTTGGCTATAGTAATCATTTGCTCTTTTTATTTAGAATGTATTAGGAAGTATGTGAGAGGATTAGGTTCAAATGTTGTCTTTACCTGTAAAGGTTGAGATCTTTAAAAAGTTCCGCAAGAGCTAAGCCACCAGAAAAATAAAGAAGAAAGTTTATCAGCCATGTTAGTAATTCGATTTAGATAATTAAATTTCTGATGTTAGTCCCATAGTTGCCCCAGTTCCTATCATTCAGATGGGTATTATCTTTTTACCTTATAACCACAGTTAAACCCTGTAGAGTCAATATACTTCTATTTTTGCAGAAGTTGCTGGACATTCCAAAATGGATAGCACAAAATTTAAGGTGCAAGCAAAAAGTTAAATTTTATTAACTCAAATTTCAGCTGGGCATGGTGGCTCACACCTGTAATCCCAGCACTTTGGGAGGCCAAAGCAGGTGGATCACTTGAGGTCAGAAGTTCAAGACCAGCCTGGCCAACATGGTGAAACACCATCTCTAATAAAAATATAAATATTAACCAGTTGTGGTGGCAGTTTCCTGTAATCCCAGCTACTCGGGAGGCTGAAGCAGGAGGATCGCTTGAACCTGGGAGGCAGAGGTTGCTGTGAGCCGAGATTGTGCCACTGCTCTCCAGCCTGGGTGACAGAACGAGATTCCGTCTAAAATAAATAAATAAATATTAACTCAAATTTCTGTTATTGAGGATTTATTTGAAAGTTTTCATTACCTGACCTCGGTAGCATGTTTAAGCACAGTTCCACAACATCATTAGAAACCTAAACCTGTTTCATATTTGTGTTTTAACATTTGTAAGGTAGAGACACAGCCAACTCATACAATTACCAGTGTAGCATCCAAAAAGAATATTAAAAGATAAGATTCTGTCTTACTAACAAGTTGTAGATTATTCCTAAATTAACGGTTTATTATCACTAAAGCTCACTATTAACAGCGAAGTTACTTCCCTTCATAATTAGAGGAAGGCCTCTACTTGACAGCAATAAAACTGTATTTTAAGATATTTTTAATTATGACTTTTCACTAATTCACAATTACTTGAGTTTATAAGGCCTACCTAACAATTTCCAAAGCTTGGAGAGAGAGAGAATCTTTTGAAATGTAGTAGAAAATATTCATTTGTTTTTGCTACAGTGTAAGTGGGTTGCTTCATTATTCTGCATTTTAGCTTGTCCATCTGTTTCATAACAAGAGTTTCTGTTACAGTTTTTAAGAAAAGCTGCCTTGAAATATGTTTCTCATAAGTAACAAAGATTTTATCTGAGAAAAAAATCATTTATACCCTTTGGCAAAAGCAGTAGCTCTTTATGGAAAAAAGTTAGGAGCTTGGATATTTGTTTCTTGGGTACCTAGGCTGGCACTTGATTTTTACCAGAAAGTTCAGGGTGCAGTAAAAGATTGTACACTGGAGAAATTTTAGGTAAATCAGCGGGAAGCTTCTCAGATAAGTCTCAGTGTTGTTAGCTGCCTCATCACCTTTGTTGTTTGAAGATTTAGGAAGATTTTGTGGATTTCTATGTATTTTTAACAATCTACTTCTAGGGCCGAGTCTATTTTTGGAAAGGTGTTAATATTTTTTCACATTATACTATAAAGCTGGTATCTTTTAGTGTTTGTCAAGTTGGTATAAAGAAACTGCTGGTTTATTAATCCGTAAGGTTGTGTAAACTCTACATGACTTAACATTTTAGTGACATAGAAAAGTGGGATTTCTGGTTGGTGTACAGATCTTTCTTCACATCGTGCAGGTAACGTATGAGCATTGTCTGATGGATCCTTACAACATTCCTGTATGCTTTTGGAAAGTATGATCTTTGTTTAACAAAATGGGAAACAGAGGCACATGCTATACCCAGCTATCACAGAAAACAATAGTTAGAATCCAGAAAACATACTCATCTGGTTTAGTGTGTTGCCCAATAGATGCAATTAGTATTCTGTTTTATCTTATTTGTTTGCCTTATAATTATTAAACATTGTTTTTTAAATTTGGTTTTGGTTGATTCCTTTTCTTCTAAGTCCGCCACTTGAGCTAATATAGCCAACAAGCATCTGACATGAGGCAGAATTGTCCTCGGATCACAGTTCTATTGCTATCTCCATCTGTTGGTATGAAGAAGTAATGCTCTTGCCAGAATAAGCAAGCTTCTTTTAATTTTAGCAAAAACAGATTAAGAAATAAGGAATTGTGCTGTTAATTCATTTTCTTTGTGACAGGTAAAGTCAGTTGGAAGATGCAAAACTGTCACAGGAAGTTAGCTATTACAGACAAATTGCCTTTTTTTAAGGCTTTTTGTTAGTAATACTAAAAGTGTCAAAGAGAGTAATTTAAAAATGATATATTAACCATACCTAAATTATTTATGGCTTGTTCTTTAAGGAATTATAGAAAAATATGGTTGTCTCAACTTTTTTTCTTCAACCTGGGATCAGGCATTGTTGTGCAACAATATTTTAATAGCGAGAAATCTCAAAAATCCTGACAGTCTTTGCATATTCACAGTTTCATGGGCTTTTGCATCATTGCTTCTGAATTGCTAATGAAGAGCTCAATATAGCTTCTGATGCATTTCAGATATTCTGGGTGGTGACTGGCTAGAGTGTTACTGACATCACAACATACAGCTGTTGACTTTCTATTGTCTGAGTCCTCCTCGGCAAGTGCTTTAGACTGCTCTAGCAGGCACTCCCAATGCCAGACTAATCAGCTGGATGTGTGCAGTGAGCTCTATAGAGGAGCAATGCAGAGCATCAGTTTACAGGTACTATGGAAAGAACATCTCCTTAACTCTGTATGATGAAGCAAATACCAATACAATGAAGGTATGTGACTCAATTCTTTTGCTAAATTTGTATAGAATGTAATCTGATACATGAAGTATTCATGTTCACTTAGTACCATAATTTTTGTTAGAGGATGTGTGATAAAATTCTACTATATTGAAAGTGAGAGCATTTTAAAATTGTCTTTGTTTATTTTTGCAAAAATATATTTGTTTAGGTTGGTGGAGTGAAAAGTAGAGTCATTTACTTCTCAGCTGTAGCACCAATTTCTTCTCCCCACCCCTCACATGTTTGATATTTCTTGTAACTTACTGATAGAATGGTTTACCTGTGTGCTAATTGGTATTTGTGTATAGCACAGCAAATTGTCAGCTGGAAAAATGACTTCTCTTTCAAGTTCATCTTAAAATAGACATACTATATGGCTTGTTGAATTTTAAAAATTTTATTGTGGAACAAATACAATGTGAATGAGACTTTTGGAAATTAAGAAGCTAAGAATCTTAACTTTCAAAACTCATGGTAACGGTTTTCTACCCTTTTGGGGGAAGAGGTAGAATAATTTTTAAAGTGCTTGTAACAGCAAAACCTAGATCTGTCATTGCTATGATTAACATAATCAGATATCACATTGCAAAAGAGAGCAAATGCTAATCAAACTATGTAATTTTTGAGGAGTATCTTATTCCTAATTATACAGTCTGAAAACTTTGACATTTACCTTGATACTTTGATTCCTCAAAAGTGAAATCTCATCATGTAGGTGATACTGAATGACTAACACATGTCCATTAGTGTAAAATTGAATTGTTTAGAAGGTTTTTGAGAGTTTTGCTTGCTTTTTATCTGGAATTAGCTGAAATTTTAACAGCATTTGGAATTGTTATGATATGAATTCCTTCCCCCTCCATTTACAAAACAATTATTTTGTTCTTAAGAAATAATTCATCTCTTTTCTAGAGGAAATAGGAAGAAAATCACTAAATGGCCTTTTATCAACGCTGAATGTCATTGCTCTTTCTTTTGTCTATTTCTGATTCCCAACTGTGTAAGTAATTAGGGTCATGAAAATATTAATAGCTATTATTAAAATTAGGGTCTTCTATCAGATGCATTGCTTCACCCTAATGCCAAGAGAATTTCATTATTTTTAAGCCTCAGATTTTAAGTTTTTTCTTGAGAACTATAAAAGAAAAAATTAAAATAAGCAACACATACTCTCAGTTCTTACTTACAACTGCTTTTATCCATCCTTTGTCATATTCTGCTTTGCTTTTTCATACTTTTGCTCATTTTCATTTCTTCTTTTTCCTTTAGGATTCTGTTTGTCTGTGCGTCTCTATCTTGCCCTCCCTCTCTTTTTCTGTTTGACTTTCTGAATATTTGTCTCTCCCTCTTGATTTATCTCATCTCTCCCTCCATCTTCCATTCTCCCTATCCCCACCCATTTTTCTCCCCCTCTCCCTCTACATTTGTCTTTCCTACTTTGTCTCAGTCTGTCTCCCTTTTTTGTTCATCTACCTGGTGTTTCAGGGTGTCTCTCCCTTTCTGACTAAATCTATCTTAATCTCTCTCTCTCTCTCTTTTATCTTTCTACCTCCCTCCTTCCTCTTTTCTTTCTCTTTCTGTCTTTCCTTTTCTGCCCCTCTGACTCTCTCTCCCTGTCTGTTTCAGTATTTCCCATTCTCTGTCTCTTGCTTTCCCACTGTGTCTTGGTCTCTTCCTGTCCCTATCTGTTAGTCTCTGTCCATCATTCCCTCTTCCTTTGTCTGTTTCTCTATGTGCCCTTCTTTCTTCTCCCTCTCTCATCCTTTTGCTCTTTCTCTCTACCTTTCTGTCTCTGTGTGTCTCCCTGGCTACACCTCTTTCAGTCTCTCTGCCTCCGTCCTTCCCTCTCTTGGCACTCTGCTCCCTTTCCCACCCTACTCCCAGATCTTTCTCTTTTCTGTCTAAGCTTCAGTCACACACATTCACTCTGCAAATTTTCATTCTCATACAGGTTTTCAGTTCATTGGAGCCAGATCTGCACTTAAATTTAAATTTTTTGGTGAATTAATAAACCATTAGATAAAGAAATTAAATACTATATTTTAAATAAACATGATTTACTGTTTGCTCAGTTTTTTAATTTTGAGAAACTTATGCTTGAGGTCTTATAAGTGGATTGAAGTCATTATTTAAAAATTTTTTGTCTTCTAAAGATATATGTGTTAGGCTACTATTAAAGGGAATTATTTTTCTCTTAAAGGATTTTTCCATTAATTTTTAAGATTTATAGAAAGCAATTTAAAATTTTTTCCTTTTAAGGATACATAAGATAATACCCCACTTCATAGTTATATTTCAGATTATGGGTAAACTTGTATTTAAAACTTGTATTGACTTTTTTATACCATCTGTATTTTTCAAATGTGTTAACAGCAGATATATGCTAGTATTTTCTTCTTTTGTTTTTAACCTCTTGTTTTGAAATAATTATAGATTTATAGAAAGTTGCGAAAACAGTACAGAGAGTATTTTTTAATGTTTTCCTCAAGATTTTGTATTTTGTATCTGAGTATTTAAAATAGAAGAACAGACGCTCATTTAGCATTTACGTGTTTAGATAATCACAAACCTAGCAACTGTCATTATATTGTTTTCATTTTGTAAAGCAGATTAAAATACCATTTGATTCAAGCATAGTATATATTAATAGCAGTATGGCTTTGTCATAACTAGCATAAAGCTATCAGGAAAGAAAATTAGATTTACAAGTAACAAGTTATATATATAAAGTATTCAAGAAGCAAAGAAAGATGTATAAGATGAAAATCTTCTCAGAGCTGAGTTAAATGTCATTTTCACATACAGCTCTTCCTCCTCTGAAATTATGTAGCATTCCTTGTTTCTGCATTCTTTTGATGTCTCTCCTGCTTTGTATAGTTTTCATCTCTGCTCTGTGATCCCCCTCTGGTTGTAGGGGACAAAAGGTGGAAATGAAACAGAACCAACAAAATCATCATCTCTAAATCTTGCCATACTTGCACAGCTGACCAACCCTCCTTCTGATTAATAACTGAGATCTTTAATACAGTTAATATAATTTATTTTTTCCAAACCGAGTTCCTCTAAGCCCCAGGGTACCACAAAAGTACTTCAGGAAATAGAGAAAAGCCTGAAGCCCAGTTAACACTGCTCTACTCATCCCCACCTTCTCACTTGAACAGAGCAAGTTTATATAATAAATATATGTTTCCACAGTTTTAGTTCTCCAGAAGCCTATATATGAATCCTACTTAACCCTTATTTTATATTTTATATATGTATGTTATAAAGTGACTTGGATAATATATCTGTCACATTATATAATATATATTATGCAAATCTGTTACATTATATAATATATATGATGCAAATCTGTCATCTTATAAATATGCATGTCATTTTATTATAATATACATAGATATAAAAAGGGGGTTGTTAGCTAGGATTCATGTATAGGCTTCTAGAGAACCAAGCAGTCCCTAAAAGCATGTGTAAACTGTGAACATACACGTGTGAGTAAGCACATGTGATTGCTGCATTTCTGAGGAGAGGATCCTTGGGTTTAATAAGATTTTCAAGAGGGATCCTTTCATGGCCCAAAAATAAGTAAGAGTCACTGCTTTATAGTGTTTATAAATCATTGCTCAATATGCTTTGTTAATTTTAAATTTTCTCTCTTTTCATTTTCAAATGCTTAGAAAGTTATGTAGTACCTCTACAATAGCAGACACATCAACAGAGATCACATACAGTTTTTGGAAGTAGTTTGAAAATATACAGTGACTGATTACTAGGCACATCAGATGTCAGACTTCAGCTTGGGGTCACTAGAGAGAGAGAGCAGAACATTTTTTTATTCCAGTACTTTCAGAATGCTGGCTAAACCACAGCTTTCCTTAACAGGTAGAAAATGAATGACAAAAAAACTGTATGCCCCCTTGAGCTCCAATGAGACAATTGTAAAGAAACCCATGGGTTAAATATGAATAACTACTAAAACAATTTGATGTGGTAGACATAGCTAGGAAATAAAGCCACAAAAAAATAAAATCTGAAATGCATTAAACCCATTGAATTTTTGTGTTTTGTGCAAAGCCATAGGAAGTTGAGCCAATTAAATTGGACAGGTACTTTAAAGAGAAATTATATCTGCTAGCTCTACATGTATAGTATGTAGTGTGAACTATGAGAGATTGTGAGCTTTTTAGCAGTGTTCACCCATGCCCAGCAGCAGCACCTTCAAGCTGTAAAATTGTTTGCACTTTGTTGTACACATCCTTTTATAGAGTATGAAGGCAGATGATGGCAACTGAAAGACAGCACCTGTTCTGCCTCAAGCTGTTTTTAAGCTATTTTTACTGGCCACAAAATGCTCTTTGACAGAAAGAAGAAATCAAACGTTTTCTAGCCTTTTCCTTCTAACATAATCCTTAGGTGCTTTCTTGAGAGAGGGCTGTGATCCTTTGTTAGAAAAAAATGTAGTTGGCAATTCAAGAAATAAAGGGTGGCACATTAGTAGTTATGAAACTGAATGTCTACCAATTGTAACCTAAATTAAAATCCTATAAAGGAAACAGATTTTTTGGTGTAGGAAGGAAATGGGTCATGTTAGATCTACCAATTCAACTGCTAGAGAATGTGAAGTTTCACATTTTAAGCCATCAAAGAACCATTGGGTGGGTTAATGTGCCAGGAGCCCAGCGTGAATTTTGCTAAGATTCTTTGATAATAAGCTTTGTACCTTTAAGACCTGTAAAGGATTTTCATTGTGACCCTATAATAAAAATGAAATGTTGGTCATGGGTAAAAAGTATATAGAGATACATTCATTTAGTTATATATTAGTAGGGTAGAGAAAAATATATCAAGCGAAATCGAATTTTGAAAGCATGAAGAAAATACCACATCAAAGTCTAGCTAAAATACGATAAGACTGAGGGTTTCTTATAAATAGTCCAACACTTGCCAAAGTCTGTGTAAAGCAAATGCCTACTCATTGATGGCATTCTGAATGGCTAAATTTTAGAAACCAAGATTATGCTCATAATGATGTTCACCTTATGAACTGCCAACATTATCATGCTATGAACAAAGCACAAAACACATTAAAGAATATAACTTAATGAGACTAAGTTATGCACCCACAATGACTTTTGACACTAATGTGCAGTTAGGCCAGACAAGTCCTACACAAGACTGCCCTCACTTCAGCCACTGGGCCACCCTGCTGATCAGCTGGCTACAAATTTGGAGGTTCCCTCAGACTTAATTGACTAGAATAACTCAAATTACACTCAGCATTAGAGCTTTATTGTACCAAAAGAATACAAACCAGAACTAGCCAAAAGGAAAGACACACAGGGTAAGGTCTAGGTGAGTCCCAAATGCAAAGCTTTTGTTCTCTCCCCATGAGGTCAAGATGTATTGTCTTTCCTGCACATTGGCGTTTGTTAATTTGCAGACAATCAGGGAGGCTCACCCAAGCTTCAGTGTTCAGAGTTTTTATTGGGATCTCATTACATTGGCATGATTAATTGAATCATTGGCCATGCAATTGAATTCAATATCCAGCCTCACTTCCTTCCTTGGAAGTCAGACAGTTTATCACATTCCTCAAAGCCCCAACTTTCTAATTAACATGTTTAGTCTTTCCAGCCAGTCCCCATCTGGAATCACCATCTTAACATAAACTATATCATAGTAACCTCATTAGCATACATTATCAGGACCCACCATGAATGACAAAGACATTTCCATCAGTCCAGAAATTCCAAGAATTTAGAAGCTGCCTACTAAGGACAAAGGTCAGCCAAATTTTCCATTACACAATATCTTATTTTCCAATTATTGATAATGTCTTTGGTGTACCCTATGTGGGAAGTAATTTACTTTTATGGTAATTATATGTGAGATAACTCCGAGGTCAAGACTGAGTGAGTGATCTTTCTCCTTCTGACCACTTCCCTTTAGCTGATTTTGTACCTTAAAAGCATCTCTAAACAGATCACTTTTGAAAGAATGAATGATTTTTTGAAAAATGAATTGTAAACAATCCAGTATGGAAACAAACAAAAAAAACTATGTTTTCTCTTACATGCCTGTTATCTTAAGCTCTCCTCTCACATCCTTATTATCCATAGCTCAGTTTCCAGGAATCCAAACCTTTTGAATGTTCTTTGCTGTTTATTTCTCAAAGCATGACTAGATGGTAATACCAGTTTGGGTTTTTTTTTTCCTCCATGTAGTTTTTTATTATTTTTTTTTATTTTTATTTTTTAAGAGGCAGGGTCTTGCTGTGTCATCCAGACTGGAATGCAGTGGCGCTATCGTAGTGTACTGCACCCTCAAACTCCTGAGCCCAAGGGATCCTTTCTTGTGGTAGATGGGACTGCGGGCATGTGCCACCATACTCTACCTCCGTGTAGTCTTTTTTTTTTCTTTTTGAGATGGAGTCTCACTTTTTCGCCCAGGCTGGGGTGCAGTGGTGCCATCTCGGCTCACTGCAACCTGTGCCTCCTGGATTGAAGCGATTCTCCTGCCTCAGCCTTCCAAATAGCTGGGATTACAGGCGCCTGCTACCACACCTGGCTAATTTTTGTATTTTTAGTAGAGTTGAGGTTTCACCATGTTGGCCAGGCTAGTCTCGAACTCCTGACCTCAAGTGATCCACCCACCTCAGCCTCCCAAAGTGCTGGGATTACAGGCACGAGCCACCACTCCTAGCCCTGTGTGTAGTCTTTAAAAGAGATTTTACCTCATGCCAATCAGATCATATTACACCCTGAGTTATTTATTTCAGTCCTGCATTTAGCACATACATGGGGAGCTCTCAGTATAACCCTGGACTATGGTAGGTTCAGAATTAAGGCAAAATACATTTTACCCTCACTAGCACTATATTAGGAGGTCATTAACTTCAGGTTTAGAGTTACATTAATGGCCCTGACTTTCTTGCATTGTCTCTTACCTATATCTGCCAATATCTAAACCCCTTTAGAATCTCACCAGGTTATCCCCAGGATTATCCAGGATCTCCTCATGAGCTCAAGAACAGCCGTTTCATGATCTTCCAGTTTTGTCTTTCTCTGGCCCACTGCCCACTACCATTTTGCTAGTGTTTGCCACGAATTAGCTCATGTCCATGCCAAAGGTTGTATCTCTTAGTGTTCCCAACATGTTTAGTCTTCAGGGTACCATATTCTCTAGAATTTTCTTTTTTATTTTATTATTTTATTTATTTTTTTGAGACGGAGTCTGACTCTATCACCCAGGCTGGAGTACACTGGCACAGTCTCGGCTCACTGCAGTCTCCACCTCCCAGGTTCAAGCGATTCTCATGCGTCAGCCTCCCAAGTAGTGGGATTACAGGCGCGCACCACCACACCCAGCTAATTTTTGTATTTTTAGTAGAGATGAGGTTTTGCCATGTTGGCCAGGCTGGTCTCAATCTTCTGACCTCAGGTGATCCGCCCGCCTCAGCCTCCCAAAGTCCTGGGATTACAGGCATGAGCCACTGCGCCTGGCCTTCTCTAGAATTTTCTATGTACCAGCACCATGCCATCCTCAGAGAAGTTAGGCAAGCCATTCACCCGCTTCTGTGGTGGGCTTGGTCACCTGGGCACCAGGAGCTGCTTGTCTCCCACATCTCCCCTGCTTTGGTTCTCCAGTGAAAACACTTCCTTTAGCTTTTGCTTTCATTTAAACTAGGATCACTGCTACATTAAGATATATGTATAGTTCTTTTAGTACTCTAGCATTCCTAATTTCCAGCTTTTTATGTATTGATTTGGCATTTTAAATTACGTTTCTTAAGCTACTATACCATACAGTGATAAAAAGTCAGATCTGGAAATGGCTGTGAAAAAAACATTTAGCCTATTATATAGCCAAGTAGCATCTGAGCTTTCTCATTTGCATCACTCTCACTCATTACAATGCCCTCAGTCAAAGAATTAGAGATACCCCCAGTCTTGTAGTTTACAGACTTCTCCTTAGAAGGACTGTGCCAAAACAGTCCTGAATGTTCGTGTTGGCCTTAATGAACCACCCCTTAGTGACTCAGTCACCATTCTCCACAAGCCCTACAGCCATCCCGGCTCCCTCTCTTCTAGCAAATAGGTTCGGGGTAAAAAAGAAGAAATTTATTAGGTATGAATTCCCTCCTTTTCCTGCCACATTCCCTTCAGTATCTTAGGATAATGTATACATTTCAGGCTTATTCACCAGTTTGTACTTCTGATTACATTTTCTCATTTCATCCACTTTCAGATTTTCCTTCTTATTACCTTTCTTCCCTCCTAAACCTCTAGCCTCTCCCCATCTTTCCTTACTGGCTTCTGTGGCCTACACACTTTTTCATTCTGACAACCTTCCTCTAACTTCGCATCTCCTGGTAACTTTATTACCAAATCATGTATACTCATTGTGATCTTCCACTTTCCTCCTCAATCCTTAAGGGTTCAGTGTTCCCTAGGGATTCTACACCCCCCCCCCTTTTCAATGAAGGCTTGTGGGCAACTTCATTAACATTGATAACTCAAAACTTCAATCTATATAGTGATTCTCCACCAAATAAATAACATTAGCTGACTTCTTTCCTGAGCTCCAAGTCTATATATCCAATTTTCTGTTAGATTTCTCCACCTGAATGTCCTGAAGATACCTTAAAATTAACTGTAGGCAAAACTGAAATCATCGTTCTGCCATCAAATCCATTTTCCTCCCAGATATATTTCCTATATTTAGTGGTAGCAAGCACTACCTGCACCTTCAGTGTGTCCTCTCATAACTCTTCCAGCTCTCACAGCCCTTACCTTTTCCCTGACCACTCATGTATTGAATTGGCTTCCCCCAGTTAGTTACTTGCTATTATATTAATCTATTCATTTCTACATGGAGTACAGGTAGTGGCTGATACCAAGGGCTCTGGAGCCAACACTACCTGAGTTCATATCTTAACTCTACCCCTTACTAGTCTTGCTACTTTGAAAAAGCTGCTTAATCTTCCTCTGCCTCAGCTGCAAACTATGTAATACTGCTTTTATGGGGATTAAATGAATTAATACACTTAAAGCATTGGGAGTAGTGCTTAGTAAATAATAAATAACTCTTTAAGGGTTTGCTGTTAATATTACCAGTTTCACAGCACATATTGCAATCAGTTATTATCTTGTATATTTTGTCTCTGCACTAGAATGTAAGCATTTTAGGTTCTAGGATCCCATCTGCTTGGTTCACTCATGTATCCCTATTACCTAGAACAGTGCTCTGTACATAGTATCCAGTCTGGAGATTGAGTGAATGGAATATCTTTTCTCCTTTTCAGCTTTCACCTTTTGATTCTTTGTCTAAACCCTAGTCACTTTCCATCAAAACTTTCATTTTGTTTGCTAGAACAGGGTTAATCTATATTGTAGCTAAAATCATTCTCCCTGGCTTCTCTTAAAATGTGTTCCTCTATTACTCAAGCTTCCTGTTGCTCCTGGGATCAGTACTAAGTTTCTTCTTTTTCTTTTTCTTTTTGAGAGGGAGTCTCGTTCTGTCGCCCAGGCTGGAGTGCAGTGGTGCGATCTCAGCTCACTGCAACCTCCGCCTCCCAGGCTCCAGCGATTCTCCTGCCTCAGCCTTCTGAGTAGCTGGGATTACAGGTGTGCACCACCACGCCCAGCTAATTTTTGTATTTTAGTAGAGACAGGGTTTCACCATGTTGGCCAGGCTGGTCTCAAACTCCTGACCTCAAGTGATCCACCCACCTCAGCCTCCCAAAGTGCTGGGATTACAGGCATGAGCCACCGCGCCCAGCCTAATACTAAGCTTCTAATCTTAATTTCAAATATATCCACATTTTTTGTTATTCTCATTTATTTTCAGGACATTTTTAATGAAAAATGTCATAAACAAAAAAAGGAGCATTATAACACTCAGTACTGACCACTCAGAATTAACAGTTGCTAACCTTTTTTATATTGGCTGGAGATCTTTTTTTAAAATAAAATAATACAGATGTGATTTGAAGTCCCTTCTCCGTCTTACCCAATCCCTTTCATTTCCCTCTCCAGAGGTAATTACTAACATGAAATAGGTATATACTCTTCCCATCCATGCTTGTGTGGTTTTTAAATTTTTATATACGTTACATTTTATGGTAGAGTTCATTCTGCTTTTTGACTAAACATTCTGACATTCTTCTTTGGACTTATATTTGTACCTATAGTTTTAGTTCATTTCATTTTAATCGTTTCATGGTATCGTGCAACATGAATATGCCACAGTTGTTTTTACTTTAAAAAGAAAAAAACAGTTTTCCTATTAATACAACATTTGGTCTTTCCCATTCTTTGCTTTTAAATAAAACAGTGCAGTGAATATTTTTGTACATGTCCCTTTGTATAAGGCGTTTCCTTAGGGTGTATCTACACCAGAAGTGGAAATGTGGAGTCATAGGATATGTGGGATTTAAAATTCATTTGATAGCACAAATTGTTTTCTAAAGTGGATCACAATGTATGAGAGGCCCATTGTCTTCCCCATTTCTCCACTCAGAATGCAGCACATTCGTGTAACACCTTGCCTCTCCATATAACTTTTTCCCTAAAAGTAATTTGTTTCATATAGTCTTACAAGACTCCACTAATTATTCTCTCTCATTCTTCAACTACCAAAAGTCTTTCCTTCTTGCTTATAATGTCCTCCTAAAATTATTATTTATATTTGTTGGTAAGTGTCATCATTAACCTCTTCATGGTTTAACGAACTCTTTTAGGTCAAGGGAGTTCATTCTCTTTACTCTTTTTAAATGTAACTGATATTCATTAAAGCTATAGTGCCTTCTGTGGTTATTTGGTAAATTTTTGTTAAATGACAGTAACTGTTTACAAATCACATGCACATTTAACATTTTGAAATGTCAGTGCTTATATTCTTGTTCAAGTGACTGACAAAGTGACTGCAAATGTGAATTTCCACTATTTCTAAATAGAGCATAAACAGTGCTCTTCGCCTTTCTTTCTAGAGGCATTTGAACAATTTGGTTGTGCCAATTTATAACCTCAGGGAGAACTTGATATGGGTTGCTTTTGTGCATTTGATTTTCTTTATAGATGTGCCTGCTTGGTTATATTTCTGTCTCTAAGAGAAAAAACATAACATCTTATCTAATGAAACGGGATTGGATAACTAGATAGTGATAAGGAAGCAACAACCCTTTTTTTTGGGCTTTGCCAAATTCTGTTCAGATAACATCAATAATGTAACTCTTTTTCCCCTAAATATTTTTGTGAAGAATATTTTTACCTATAGGAGCGAGATTTCTTTCCCACATATAAATTAACTTAAATGATTTTTAAATATTTTGTTAACCTAGAGTAAATTGACTTTTGTTGTGTGAAATTTGAGTATTTATTGTTGGGGCTACCGAAGTTTCCAGTTCTTTTGTGTTGTGAAACCAAAACTTAGACCCCAAGTATAATAAGTGATATTTTGAATTGTCAGTGTCAGTATTGCATTTTTGTTGTTAATACTTCTAACTAAAATTTTCACTAGAGAAACTACTTGTCTTTAGACTTCATATATACTAGTTTGCCTTTGAAAGTGTTGATCCTAATTCTGCCTTGCTTTGTTTCATAGAGGAAGGTACTTAACCATGCATATTTATCATTTGTAAGCTACTGCCTTCTCATTGTTCCTTAGCCACAAACTCTGAATCCTTATTGCCACCCAAGTTTGCATAGTTGGTACTCATCATCACAGGCGATAGGAGGATTGAGAGAAAGAAACAAAATGGTTATATAATTCCTGGCAGTTCTGATAGTTTGGTAGTGATTACTCCTGGTGACCATTAATACAAAGTTAATAGTACTATCTTCTTGTACACACACAAAAAATACATAGCTCCTCTTCATGTGAAAAGAATAAGTTTACTTTGTCTTAAGTCCAGTACAAAGGAGTTACCATGTCATAATTACTCTTGAAATGAAAGTGCTCCGTAAACACAAATTGCCCCTCTTCTTGGTACCTACAGATGATGATACAGTATTGCGGGTAAGAGCCTGAAATGGAGCACTAGTCTGTCCAGTTCAAATCCTGTTTTCCATACTTACTGGCTGTGTGATGTTGGACAAATTACTTGATTTTTCTATCTGCCTTAGTTTCCTAATCTGTTGTAGGACAGAGTGATAATAGGACATACTTCTTAGAACTGTTGTGTGAGTTTTAAATGAATTCATTATGAAAAATATTACCACAGGGCCAGGCACATGGTAAATATATGTATTAGTATTTGGTTTTGATGGTAGTTGTTTGTATTCTTTTTTAGCTTACCTGTTCCTGTCATTCCCCCATCCTTTTCTTTCCTTTGATTTATAAGACCTTCTTTGCTTTCAACATTTTGACCCTTTCATGTTGGAAATAGTTCATATGTATCATCTGCCTTTTGTTTATGTTCTATTTTATTATACAGGAATTTTAAAACTTTGTTCTAAGTTTTATAACTATTTACCTTTAATGGCTTCTAGATTTTGGTGTCACACTTGGGAAGGACTTTCCCACCCAAAAATTATAAAAAGATTTCCTATATATCCTTGTGCATTCATAGTTTTACTTTTTTAAGGTTATGACCTTTAATTTTACCTGTAATTTCCTTTCATTTATGGTTTCAGGTAAGTGCCATCCTTTTTGTGCATATGTAAACATACATGTGGCGTTTCTCTGGTTATCTACCTGGTAGCACAGGAATTATATATAAGCACATCTCTGACTTGTCCCTAATAAATAGCATGTTGACAATTAGAATTTTTTTTTTGAAGTTGAATATGAATTTTGAGCTCATATATCCATCTCTCTTAGGTTGACAAAGATTCTGAAAAATTCAGTTTTTAAATTTCAGTAATAGTAGGAACTGAGATATATACTTGAATGTCTATATTTTGTTCATTTTTTTCTCTAAGTTGTCTTCCTAAATTTTGTAAGTTCCTAAGTATCTTTCACTTACTGTACAACTATTTATTATATTAAGACAGTACATTTAATGGACTTCTAAATGTTGTGTTAGAGACATGATGTGCCATGTCTATCTTGTAGCTTTCTATACTTGACACCCACGTGCCCACACAACCTTTGGCAAACTGAGAAGTGTAGGCTTCATGGGTTTACCAAAAAGGGGTTTGTTTTTGTTTTTCCAGTGAGTACCAAAAGCTGAAACATCCCTTTTACTTGAAGATTTGGAGAGGGAAAACATTTTTATATCAAACAAGTTCATTAGCTGGGCAAAGTGGCTCACACCTGTAATCCCGGCACTTTGGGAGGTTGGGACGGGGGATTACTTGAGCGCAGGAATTTGAGACCAGCCTGTGCAAAATAGCAAGACCCCGTCTCTACAAAAACAATTTAAAAATTAGCTGGGCATAGTGGTGGGCACCTATAGTCGCAGTTACTCAGGAGGCCGGAGTGGAAGGATAGCTTGAGCCTCAAAGGTCAAGGCTGCAGTGAGTCAGGATTGTGCCACTGAACTCCAACCTGGGTTACAGAGTGAGACCTTGTCTCTAAAAAAAAAAAAAATTAAAAATTAAACTAGTGCATTAATATTTTGGAGAAGAATACAAAGTTCGTATGATTTTTTTTTTTTTTTTTTTTTTTTTGTAGAGATAGGGTTTGCTATGTTGCCTAGGCTTGTCTTGAACTCCTGGTCTCAGTGATCCTTCTGCCTCCACCTCCCAAAGTCCTGAGATTACAGGCCTGAGCCACTATACCCAACAGTTTGTATGAATTTTTAATATTCAATTAGAAGCCTTCAAATGAGAGCCATACACAAAAATGCTAAGCCGCTTGTACACAGTGTTAGGCCTCCTGTCAGTCTACTGCTGTGTAGTGGTAGGGGTCAGGACACAGCAAATTTAGGCTCAGCCAACTGCTGATCTAAAGGGATTCTGACCAGAGAAGACAGCTAACATTTTTGGAGGGCCTGCCCTGGGAGAGAGGCTGTGGTCCGTGCTCTACATTTAAATCAGTCAGTCCTCACAACAAACCTAGAAGCTAGATATTCTTTTTTCCACTTTGCAGATCAGAAAACTGCAGCTCAGAGAGATTAAGTTATTTACCGAAAATATAACTGGCAGAGCTGGGATTTAAATTATCGTCTAATGCTAGTGCACTTCCCTTTCTATTGCCATTTCTATATGCCATTGACTCCTTCCCAGGCAATAACTGGTCATTTTCATTCTGAATCATTCATTATTTAGTCTGTTATCAAATGGTGTGGCATATTACCAAGTTTTGGTCACACATACTGGTTGTGTGACTTTGAAGAAGTCATTTGACTTCTAGGCAATAATAACTTGAATGCTGAATTACAATATTGGACTAGGTGGTCTCTCAGGTTCTTTGGGGTTTCATGGAACCTTGGGATCCTAAGAGGATCTTCTAAGGTGTTCACCTCTTCGGTTTTGCCCCTTCCTCACTCTCCCCTGCAGCTATTGCCTTATCTAGTACCTTATTTATTTCTTAAATGGATTAAAAACCTTGCTTTTATGGAATTACAAAATTAAGAGATTCATGATAAAATTGTAAAGTCACTTTACAAAGAACACAAATAATTTGGTTGCTTAGAGAATGCTGCCATCTTGTGTCTACCATTTTATGAGATAAAAAGCTAAAATGGAGAAAAAATACTTGAAGGATTTTTGTTTTGTTTTGTTTTTGGTGGAACTTAATCATTTGATGTAGTGGCTGGAGAATCTTGGTCAGATTGAGATGACACGGTATCAATTAAAAGTTTTTTGATATTTGTTTTTGATACCCCCTTTTCTATTATCCTTGTGTCAAACATTGTGAAATCAAAATGTGAAAAGTAATGTAAGGATATATCGGGTTCCAAGTGATTGTATTTCAAAATGGTTTTTGAAGAGTTAGTATAAAATGTGAGTTACTCTATAATGCATGCTTGGCTGTCTTGGTATTAGGTCTCTTGGTGCTTAGATCTCATTATATGCATATATGTATGCTTAGCTATTTCACCTTAAAATGTACTATTCTGTTTATTGACAGCAAAATTGTCAAAGGACAATGGAAGAGGTAAATAATCTTTTTAGAGTTGTTTACTTGCTAGGCTATATTCATTCATACCGAATAAATATAAAATAAAACCGACTTCAAAAATATAACATGGAGAAAATTTTGTATTTGGGGATTTTTGTTTTGTTTTGTTTTGTTTTTGCTCTGCCATCCAGACTGGAGTGCAGTAGCATGATCATAGCTAACTGTAACCCCCAACTAAAGCTATTCTCCCACCTCAACCTCGCAAGTAACTAGGACTGCAGGTGCACACCCCTACACCCAGCTAATTTTTTAATTTTTGTAGAGATGGGGTCTCACTGTGTTGCCCATGCTAGTCTTGAGCCCCTGGCCTCAAGTGATCCTCCTGCCTTGGCTTCCCAAAGTGCTGGGATTATAGGCACAAGCCACTGCACCCAGCCAACTTTTTTTTTTTTTTTTTTTTTTAGAACAGACAATGTGGGTTTCATTAAAAATGTTAAATGGCTTGTTATTTTTGTTTTATTTTTTCTTTTGTATTTTTAAAAATCTAGAATGTTATTACGGTTCAAAATTACAGTCTTAAGTCCATAGAGTTACACAGCTCTAGAAGAGAACTCTAAAAATGATGGTTCTTGGAGTTAAAGTGTTTCTGATTATGATCTTTTTTCTCTCTCTTTATCTATAGATACTATCTCAATTATAACCCTGACTGCATTGTAGCTTCTCAGTACATATCATTTTCTTTCCTCTTCTCTCTTCTGCTTTTAACTAATCAATCCTCTCGGCCTCAGTGACTTATTCAGGTTCACAAAGCTAATATATGTTAGAATTCATTGTTACTCAGTGTTCTGACTTTCGTTTAGGAAAATAATGTAATAAAACAACTGACAGTAATATTTTTAATTTCTCAGTTTCATGTGGAGTGTTCCATTTCCCTTGGCC
The DNA here is from genome assembly GCF_000001405.40 of Homo sapiens. Lineage (NCBI taxonomy): Eukaryota > Metazoa > Chordata > Mammalia > Primates > Hominidae > Homo > Homo sapiens. Next base: position 135,602,464 of record NC_000002.12, read on the forward strand.
ATTTTGTTAAAATGGTTTCTTTTGTTTTCATTTTAGGCCACGGAAAGGTATGATATATTTGATCCAAGACAGTCCATTCCAGTCCGGGAATCTACAGTGGTGACAAGGACATGGGACTCCTCCTGCCAGATTACAGATGGTTCACTACAGTTGACATCCTGGCTGACAACTGTGAAAAAGAACCTTGGATTATTTTATTTTATTTTTGTGGGACACCACAATCCCAAATCCAAAGGACGCATCAGGTAATGCTTCCCTGTCATTCAGAAAAACATATTTTTCTTACAAAATCTCACCTATAAAAAGCAAGAAGCCAGTGTCTTAAGTAACTTCACCACCCTCTCCCTACTTTGCAGCTGTTTGTTTTCGGAATGAACCAATTAACTTTTGTATGGGTTATAATTAAGGAAGACATGGTTTTCTTTTTTTAATTCAGTTCAGTCTGTCTGTGACTTTAAGACCTACTTCTCTTTGGCTTTTTTAACTTTTGAGCTGTATTTATCAATTCCTAAAATCCATTTATTTATGTATTTATTGAGATGGAGTCTCACTCTGTCACCCAGACTGGAGTGCAGTGGCGCGATCTTGGCTCACTGCAACCTCCGCCTCCCAGGTCCAAGCAATTCTCCTGCCTCAGCCTCCCAAGTAGCTGGGACTACAGGCTTGCAGGCACGTGCTACCATGCCCAGCTAATTTTTGTATTTTTAATAGAGATGGGGTTTCGCCATGTTGGCCAAGCTGGTCTCAAACTCTTGGCCTCAAGTGATACACCTGCCTCAGCCTCCTAATGCACTGGGATTACAGGTGTAAACCACTGCACCTGGCCCTAAAATCCATTTAGATTGCAAAACATTCTTTCAGGAAATGAACTTTTGAATTTTTCAAATTGATATAGAGAAAATAAGTTTCACTGGTTTCCCCCCCGCCACAAGATTTTATTACGAAAATTTTCAGAAATATAGAAAAGTTGAAAGAATTTTACAGTGAACATCCCTATAACCACCCCTTGATTTCACCAGTAACATTTTAGCATACTTGCTATAACCTATATCTGTCTATCCCTCTATATATCAATCTGTTCATTTTTTTTAAAGATGCATTTCAGAATAAGTTGTTTATATAAAGTTCTGCCATTATTGGGTTTTTTTGTTTGTTTTGTTTTGTGACAGAGCCTCACTCTGTCACCCAAGGTGGAGTCTAGTGGCGTGATCACAGCTCACTGGAACACACGCCTTTTGGCTTCAAGCAATTCTTGTGCCTCAGCCTCTTGAGTAGCTGTATTATAGGCATGCACCACCATGCCTGGCTAATTTTTGTATTTTTAGTAGAGTCTGGGTTTTGTCACGTTGCCCAGGCTTGTTTTGAACTCCTGAGCTCAAGCAATCCGCCCACCTTGGCCTCCCAAAGTGCTGGGATTACAGTCGTGACCCACCGCAGCCGGCCAAGTTCTGCTGTTTTTATTACATTTTTTGCAGCTTAAAATGAGTGCTATCTTTAGCTTAATCTCTGATACATTAATCCAGTGCAAAACCAGTGATTTTCTTAAACTCACTAATGACATGAAAATATATTGGAATCTTATGTATTTGATTTCCTGTGGATTCCATATTCTAGAGTGCCTGGATAATGTGTTGTTTGGCATTGAATCACTTAATTCAGGAGAGTTTTCAATGCTTTCTTCATATTGCTGAACATATTTGTTAATCCAGATTTACAAGTGTATTTTGTAATAGAATGTTACTGTTTATTTTTAAATTATTTCCTTTTGGAAATATTTCAGGGTAATTTAAGAAATTTGGAATTTTAGGAATCCAGATGAAAAAGCTATTATAGGTATCCCTTTGGAGAAAAAGATTTCTAATGTCTTCTAAATACACATATATTATTCTCCAGCCATTACCTTCTACCTTGATCTGGCTCGGTCCTTAATGTTTCTTAAGAATTGCCACAAGTATATGTGCATCAAAATCACTCCATATTCTTTTTTTAAATGTAAAAAAAACACACTTATGTGTTAGCAATAGGGTCTTGCTATGTTGCCCTGGTTGGCCTCTGCCTCCTGGACTCAAGCAGTCATCCTGCCTGACTCCCAAGTAGCTGGGACTACAGCTGGGTACCACTGTGCCTGGCTCACATACTTTCTATAGCTCTTTTCTCACTGTATTGTGATCTTTTTTTTAATTTGGATGTATCTAGCACAAAATTATATACTCCTTGAAATCAAGAATTTTGTTCCTGTCTATATTCAACATTATTTCTGGAACATAACAGACAGTAGGTCAGTATCATGCAGTAACTGAATGTAAAAAAGTTTCAAACTGTATTAATTTTTTTTTCTTAAGGCTTCAAGCTCCCTGTAGAATTCGAAAATAACCTTTTCTAATGAGGATGTCTGATACTGTTACTGTAAAAGATGAAACTGCAACAATGAAGGATTTGGAGGCAGAAGTGAAAGATACAACCAGAGTTGAAAATCTTATCAAATCAGAAAACTATGGGAAGATTTTGGTAGAGAAGAATGAACATTGTATTGAGAACAATATAGATTTGCAGGTAAACAGGAATTTTTCTCTGGCTACAAATACTAAATATTCAGTATATATTTATGTTTATTTTCATACAAAACTCACTTCTCAAAATTCTAAAAGGGTAAGTTGACCCTTCGTGACATGCTTACTAGCTGGTTTTGGAGCCAGTTGGATTAGCTTGCTGTGAGTCTTAACTTGGCTTGTATCATGTAATATACTTCTTTTTATTTGTATGTGGCTAGTGCATTTTTATTGGCTTTCTACTTTCTCATTCCACCCTTTTCCTAATTACCAGTGCTGTGAGAGTTTTGAACTCTCACAGTTAAATTTTGAGTTTAACCTAAGAGCTCTTAAAGGAAAGACAAATAGAATACAATAAAACTGCAGACGAACTATTGGCAAAAACAGCCCTCAGGGGGTTCCTCAGTCACTCAACCTGACTGACAAAAAAGATTTGTGGGCCCGGGGGAAGTTAATGCTTTTAATGCTGTGCATATATAATGACTTAGAGCTAGCCACTGAGAAGGCTTCTAATTCCAGGCATAAATGGAAATTGAGTTGATTAACAAATTGAAGATAGGTAAAAATGGTCCCAAGTAATAGCATTTCTAGTACTATTCATTTCTTTGGTAAGGTTTTCCAGTTATCTATTTTCTCAGAATGAAGGGCTAACACTTTTAAACAATTTATTTTATTTTATTTTATTTTTTTGAGATGGAGTCTCTCTCTGTCGCCCAGGCTGGAGTGCAGTGGTGTGATCTCGGCTCACTGCAGCCTCCCTCTCCTGGGTTCAAGCAATTCTCCTGCCTCAGCCTCCCGAGTAGCTAGGACTACAGGCATGCACCCCCACACCCGGCTAATTTTTCTATTTTAGTAGAGATGGAGTTTCACTGTGTTGCCTAGGCTGTTCTAGAACTCCTGAGCTCCGGCGATCCGCCCACCTCGGCTTCCCATAATGCTAGGATTACAGGCGCAAGCCATCGCACCTGGCCCACAATTTTTTTTTTAATATCTCATCATTTATCAGTCAGGAAACGAAGCAAGGCTTGGGCTGAGTGAATTTTCTATTCTACAGGGTATCCAAAGAGGTCCTTTGTTGGCATTTAACAGGCCGGTGGACTTGGTCTGGAGCATCCCGGATTGCTTCTCGCACCTGTCTGGCACCTAGGTAGGCAAGGCTGCAGTGCTGGGCTCAGGTAGAACTAGAAGCACCTATTTATGGCTCCTCCAACAAGGTGGGTCCAAAGTAGTCAGACTTCTTATGTGGCAGCTCAGGGGTCCCAGAGAGAATGTTCCAAGAAAGCCAAGCAAAGCTGCAAGGTTTCTTTTGACATAGGCCCAGAAGTTCCAGAACGTTACTTCAGCTATCTTCTTTTGATGACATAAGTCAATAAAGCCAGGCCAGAGGATGGGGAATTAGACCCTACCTCTCAGTAGGAAAGAATTTGTAGCCACCTTTAAGCTACCACAAAAAGTTATTCAAAAAAAAATTGTTTAGGCCGGGAGCGATGGCTGTAATCCCAGCACTTTGGGAGACCGAGGTGAGTGGATCACAAGGTCAGGAGATCGAGACCATCCTGACCAACATGGTGAAACCCTGTCTCTAGTAAAAATACAAAAAATTAGCCAGGCATGGTTGCGCGCACCTATAGTCCCAGCTATCCTGAGGCAGGGGAATCACTCGAACCCGGGAGGCAGAGGTTACAGTGAGCCAAGATCGCACCACTGCACTCCAGCCTAGTGACAGAGCAAGACTCCATCTCAAAAAAAAAAAAAAAAAAGAATTAAAAAAAAAAGTTTAACAATGTTTTAATTTTTGCTTTGCAATTAAAGAATTCTATTTTTGGAGAAAATATTCTATCATTCTATATGCTAAAGACTTTGAAGGCTATAAGCCAAAAAGTATAGCTTCATTTTTTTTTTCTTTTGTGTTTTCTTTTTTAGCTTCACTTTTTTAAAGTAAAGAAACCTGGTTTTTTTGGGTGGGGGGGCGGGGTTTTTTTGTTTTTTGTTTTTAAGACAGAGTCTCGCTCTGTCACCAGGCTGGAGTGTAGTGGCGCAACCTTGGCTTACTGCAGCCTCCACCTCCCGGGTTCAAGCAATTCTCCTGCCTCAGCCTCCCAAGTAGCTGGGACTACAGGCGTGCGCCACCATGCTCAGCTAATTTTTGTATTTTTTGTAGAAACAGGGTTTCACCATGTTGGCCAGGATGGTCTCGATCTCTTGACCTCATGATCCACCTGCCTCAGCCTCCCAAACTGCTGAGATTACAGGCGTGAGCCACCGCTGCTGGCCAAGAAACCTGTTTTTAAAGGTTTTCTCATTCTTTTGTTCAGTCAAAAACTGTCTTTTTTTCCTATTATGTACCAGACACCAGGTTAGACAATGATAGCAATTCCTCCAGCTATAAAAAAAGCATTTAGGCCCCACTTATAGTCAAGTGGTAATCATCTAAGAAATTGGGAGAAATAACATTTTTTTCCCAGTCATTTTTACTAATAGCACTTTCTAGAACAACAAAAAATTGCCATACCTGTAATCAGTACACTCAGTGATGACAGCATGCCAGTGTCCTGATTGCATCAGAGAAAATCTGCTAAAATTCTAGTGCATTTGTGATTGAAATAATAAAATACTTCATTTTAGCCTCTTTTCTACACCTAATATTTCTTTTCCTAGATCATGCTTATCAACAAGTCATTAATTTGGGTTATTGCATTTCCTACCATGTCTATTGTGTTGCCCTTGGCAGTAAGCCACAAGAACATTCTGATGACCACTTTTGCATCATGGCCCAGTTGTTTGTAGTATAAGAAAATTTCCCACATTACCCAAACCATTTATTGAAAAATCTCTTCTTTACCAAGGGAATACCATAGTAAACAAACATGGGTATGGTCTTTGACCTCTTGTTTCCTATAGCATAGCGACTGTAACGATTTGGAAGGAGGGAAAAAGAGAATGTGAGAATTTATTTTATGTTAATCTGGTGAATGCCATATTCATTGTTTATTGAAGTATTTATTAATAATTTACTATATGGGCCGGGCGCAGTGGCTCACATCTGTAATCCCAGCACTTTGGGAGGCCAAGGTGGGCGGGTCACAAGGTCAGGAGTTCGAGACCAGCCTGACCAACATGGTGAAACCCTGTCACTACTAAAAATACAAAAAAATTAGCTGGGCATGGTGGCGCACGCCTGTAATCCCAGCTACTTGGGAGGCTGAGACAGGAGAATCACTTGAACCCAGGAGGCGGAGGTTGCAGTGAACCGAGATCACGCCACTGCACCCCAGCCTAGGTGACACAGCGAGACTCCATCTCAAAATAATAATAATAATAATAATAATAATTTACTATATGTAAGAATATTGACCCTGCTTTGAGCTTTTGAGGCCCAAAATGCTTTCATCCAAGGTGCCTGGCAAGGGGTGTACAGTTGAGATACCTTGTATAGAACAGATTTAATTAATGGAAATTGGGAATTGGAAGTAGATAAAACTGGAAAATTGGTTTCTTCTGTGTTTTCATTTAAAATATTGTAAAACAAAGTTAACTGTTTTAAGCATCAACAGGGAATAAGTGTTTTGTTTTAAAAAGTCTGGTTAATACAGAGTTACTTTTAACTTAATGTGGAGTTAACTATTCTAACATACTACCAGATATTTCATCTTCCTTTGGTACCTCTAAGGTACTGCCTAAAGGTTGTCATCTTAAATAGCAACTGCTGTTTTTCACTCATAAGTTTGGATGTATGTAGCAAATAATGTAGGTTTTCTATTGAGATTTTTGGATAAACTATTATTTTTTCTAATAGAGTGATAAGATATTCTCTACTTTGCTCTCATTCTGAAAATCAGCTACCATGAATATTATAACTTACATCTGTTATCTTGCTTCAGCATAGTAATATTTAAAGTGATTAAAGGAAACAAATGTTTACCTTCCAAAAGATGCATTCATTTTATTCATTTATATAAAAAAACTGCACGTTTAATATATACATTTTGAGTGAAGTCATTGTTAATTAAGGGATGTTACAGCCCCTTTTGTACTATGAAGAGACTTTATGATTTTCTTTCTGTTAAGGGTAGTATTTACATAAAAAATAATTTCATCAAACCAGAGAGAGGCCAACAGACATTACATGTCATCTCAGGTGGTTCCAAGCAGAGATTATCTCAGAGAGCTCTTTGACCATTTAATTTATAAATAATTCTACTTGTGTTTTCTTTCTACTTTCACTAGTTTTCTCTTTCCACTTTTAAAAAATGTTGTGTTTCTTATTCAGGGTTTTGTTTTGGACTGTAATATTTTATAGAAATTTTAGGATTACTTTCATAAAAATTTCTTAATACTTCAGAGCTAATTCAAGAAACCTGTGTGCATTAACGTCAGGAAGTTAACTGTCCCACATAATTGCCTTGGAGTTGTTCTGAATTGTTGATTATGGTCTCAAATAATTATCTGACAGGTTTTTGGTTAGGAATTTTTCTGCTGCCACACACTGTTCCTGTTGAGAATGTAGAGGTACATTTCGGACTTTATATTTTTATGAAACATTTGGAAGGTTGGGGTGGTGGATGCCAGGTTTCTAAATCCAGAAAAATGTATTTTGTTAGACTATGAGTATCCCTAATCTTTAACATGGGTTAATTGGATGGTGGGGAGTATTTGCTTTGATTTCCTGTGTATAACTCACCGATGGGTTTCCATTGTTTGATTTTCTTCGCGGATAGGTTTTTCAGATTACAATTAGTCTAAATTAGCCTGGTGCGGTGGCACATGACTGTAATCCCAGCACTTTGAGGAAGGCTAAGGCAAGCGGATCGCTTGAGCTCGAATTCAAGACCAGCCTGGGCAACATGGCGAAACCCTGTCTCTACCAAAAAAAATAAAAAAATTAGCTGGATGTGGTGGCATGCACTTGTAGTCCCAGCTACTCAAGAGGCTGAGGTGGGAGAATTGCTTGAGCCAGGGAGATCGAGGTTGCAGTGAGCTGAAACCGTGCCACTCTACTCCAGCCTGGGTGACAGAGTGAGACCCTGTCTTAAAAAAAAAAAATTTAAAAAACTTAGAGTAAATTATTTGTGTTGATTTTTACAGTCATTTATTTTAAATATAAAATTCAGAACTCTGTGCTCTGCTTATTAAAGGTTCAAACTCAACTTTCCCATTCTTTTACAGTTGTATCTTTGTACTTAACAAATAGTTTGTCCAGGGATGTTCATCTGTATACATGTGTATATGCACACAATTCAAAACATATCTGGGAACAGTTCAAACAATGCCTCTCCCTCACATTATTATTAACAATAGGATAGGGAGTCCACATTGTGTTGGTAACCCTTGTCATGGAGAAAATAAGAGAGCTGATTTCTGTTAAAAACTAGGCCTTGTGTGCCAGAGTCAATGAATAGCTCTGACATACGTGAGTCAATTTTCCATACACAGAGTTGGCTAAAGTACATGTTTTGTATATTCTGTTTCAGTAGTAAGCCCTTCGATAATCAAGATGAGACTCTTATGTCTTGTATCCCTCAAGTTAATTCCAGTGCATTTCTTTAAAAGAGGTTTGGGCAAGAAAGCAATGAATCTAATAAGGCTATCAGAAAAGTTCAGAACACAATGCCACGCTTCTTCGACAATGAAGGCAGTACATAACAAATTCCCTCATTTGCTTGGAAAGTATTGATGAAACAATTAACTTATTTCATTAATCTGTTAAGAAATGAAGTATTTTTTTAAAGGACTGAATAAAAGTCTCTTTATATAAAATCATTCAAATAATAATCTTAGCTATTTCCTGTTTGTCAAACAAAGATTAAAAGCATGTATGTGGCAAAGCGTGGTGGCTCCTGCCAGCACTTTGGGATGCCGAGGCAGGAGGTTTACCTGAGCCCAGGACTTTGAGACCAGCCTGGACAACACACGAAGACTTTGTCTCTACAAAAATAAAAATAAAAAAATTATTCATGCGTCACGGTACATACCTGTAGTCACAGTTGTTTGGGAGGCTGAGGTGGGAGGATGACTTGAGAGTTCAAGGCTGCAGTGAGTTAGGATTGCACCAGTGCACTCCAGCCTGGGCAACAGAGTAAGACCTGTCCCTTAAAAAAAAATAAAATTTAAAAAAAAAAAAAAGGATGGCTGCGCACGGTGGTTCACGCCTGTAATCCCAGCACGTTGGGAGGCCGAGGCAAGCAGAATGCTTGAGTCCAGGAGTGTGAGACCAGTTGGGGCAACATGGCAAATCCCCATCTCTACAAAAAAACACAAACAATTAGGCATGGCGGCTACTCTGGAGGCTGAGGTGGGAGGATCATCTGAGCCCAGGAGGTCAAGGCTATAGTGAGCTGTGATTGCACCACTGGACTCCAGCCTGAGTGACAGAGTCAGACCCTGTCTCAGAGAAAAAAAGATATATGTAATGTACCTAGTACATAGAGCCTAGCAAATGGTAGGTGCTATTAACAATGTTATAATTGTTACTATTAGCAATAACACGATTCTATGGCTTCTCAAAAATTTGTGGCTTTATTGTCATGCAAGATTTTTTCTTTAGTAATAAAACAGAGTAAAACTTAATTTTAACATAACCTCCCCACATTTTCAGTACAGTAGTTTTAATTCTATTAAGTTCTGTATCTGTATGCTGTATTTTTATTGTTTTTTATTAATATTGAATGAGTTCAACTTTTTAAAACTTATGATACATTTTCCATAGTATATTTTTATAATTATTTCTAGGATTTGGTACTCTTTCTACTGAACTTGGGTCATATGCACATATGGTAGTTCTTTTAAGCACATTTACTTTTCACGGTGCTTTCTTGTGCTGCGTAAAGATGTTGGCTACATCTTGTAGATGTAGAAATGCTTTTGCATACTTACCGTTTGTACTTCTTTGGATAATTTTCATGTACATCACCAGTGGGATGGGATGATCCTGTATCTTCATTTATTATAAGGAATAACTATAAACCAGATAGTTTGTGACTTTCTCCACATACTTTTCGTTAGAATCTAAGAGTTAGGCCTTTGAGTATTTAACTCTGTGCTTTATGGCTCGAAAGATTAAATGTTAAAAACAAATTAGTGATTGTGTTTAGTTTATTGATTTTTAAAATAGCTCTCCCACCTCAGAGAACTTTGTATTTTTCATTTATTCCAGTAGAAATTAGCATCCTGGCATCCATTATTTTTACTGCCCTGACCTTAACTAGACATGGAACATTTTAATTCATTATCTTCCTTACAATTGCCACTAATCTTTACTATTACCTAGAAAAGTACTGAGAATTCGTAACCTCTTCAAGGTGTTTTGAGTCTGGTTGAAAGGGTGTAACCATTATAATTTTTCTTCATAACAATTATTAATTACAAAGAGAAAATTATTCCTATTTTTTAAATGTCAGATTTTCTTAGTTGAGTGATATTTAATTGGTTATTTTTGTGCTAATACATATATAACTCATAAGGATTGCTCTGTTTTTTTCAGTTCTCCAAATTCTAGTAGCTGGTAACTCTGACAACGTATTAGTATCAATTTCAAACTGAAATTCTATTAAGGATGTTTCATATTCTGCACCCATTTTTTCGCCTAGTTCCTGTCTTATACTTCAGTATAAAACAATGTAAATTATAAATTGGGGACTTTGTCCCTAAGCCTTCTAAATTCTAATATAAATAGCATTTCTCTGGACTAATACAGGTCTATTAAACAAGCTGCTAAATTTTTGCTGTGACAGTGAAATTCTGCTAAGGGTGAAAAGTGTGCTCTAAATAATAAAATCCACTTTTAAAATAATTACATATCAAATAGAGGGAATTGCTACTTAAAGCCAAATCTGGCTGCCAAGTAGATTACAAAAATATGAAATAAAATGTTTACTTTAATAAACAACTTGTTTTCTCTGCTTTGTTATGTATGTATGGCATATTTTCTAGTACATATAATTTCTATTTGCTGTTTGAAAGGAAATCGAAATAAATTATGTTATTGAACAATGCCACTTTAGCAATTTATGGTTTACTTATATAGTAGTGTATTAGTTTTCTATTGCTGCATAAAAATTACCACAAACATAGAGGCTTAAAAGACAACACCCATTATCAGCTCACAGTGGGCCCAACTGTGTTGTCCGCTTAGGGTTCTATGAGGCCAAAGTCAGCCAGGCTGGGCCCTTTTCTGAACGCTTTGGGAAAGAATTTGCTTCAAGGCTTATTCCAGTTGTTGACAAACCTTAGTTTGTTGAAGCTGTAGGTCTGAGGTCCTGTTTTTTGGCTGGTTGTCAGTAAAGGCCACTCTGTTCTGAGAGGCTGCTCATAGTCCTCCTTACATGGCCCCTCTATCTTCAAAGCCATCAACGATATGTCGAGTCCTTCTCACGCTTTAAATCTCTCTGACTTGCCCCCGTGCTCCCACCAGAGAAATGTTTGAGCTTTTATAGGGCTCACTTGATTGAATCAGACTCACCTGAATCTTAAATTGTATCTTAAGGTCACTTGGCTTGGAGCTTAGTTAACAAATGCATAAATCCAGCAGGGTATGGTAGTTCACACCTGTAATTCCAGCACTTTAGGAGGCCAAGGCGGACTGCTCAGTTGAGGTCAGGAGGTTGAGACCATCCTGGCCACCCAGTGAAACCCTGTCTCTACTAAAAATACAAAAATTAGCTGGGCATGGTGGCAAACGCCTGTAATCCCAGCTACTTGGGAGGCTGAGGCAGGAGAATTACTTGAACCTGGGAGGCGGAAGTTGCAGTGATCCAATATCACGCCACTGCACTCCAGCCTGGGCGACAGAGTGAGACTCAGTCTCAAAAAACAAAAAAGCAAAATCCTTTCTTAGCAGTACCTTGATTTGTGTTTGATTAAATAACCAGTGGATGGGAATCTTGGGTGCCATCTTTAGAATTCTGTCTACCTCAGGTAGAATTTAATCCACAATAAAGTTTTTTAAAATATATTAATTGCACTGGACTAAGATTCTGAAGATATGGGGTTCTGTTTGACTTTAGTAACTAATTCTGGACTGTGAGGTCTTTAAGACCAGGAACTATGTCTTATTCATCTTCATAGCTCTAGTGCCTAGCACAGTACCTGGTGTACAGCAGGAACCTAAAACATGTTTGTTAAATGAAGTCAAATTAAGATAATTTTACTTCTCTGTATCTTCCTTTATCTTTTCCTCATTTTCATCAAAGCCTCCTCGTAGATTAAAAGTGAGATAAATACATGTGTAAGTCTATGAATATTCTCAAGCATTACGATAGGAACAATATACAGCACCCCCATTTTATAGACTTTTTTTTAAATTAGCATTTGTTAGATTAAGTAATTTTTCTTAATCTCATTGCTAATAAGCAGAGGCAGCACATTGGTTTTCTGACATGGTCAGTTCCTAACCTTTAATAATCGATTACATTTATGACACACTTTAGAGTTTTCAAAGCCCCTTTGTTAGCTACGCTTTCACTGAATCCTTTCAAGAATCCTGTGAATTAGTGCAAGTAGTATGAACTTTTAGACAGATAAAAGTAAACTGAAGTAATTTGACCATGGTTACCCACTAATAAGAAGCAAATTCAAAAATTTAAGTCCAGCTTTTCTGCATATGAATACAGGATTTACATTGACAGTTAATGACCCCTTTCCTTTTAGAATTTTTAATAGAAGATTTTATACCAGTGATACTTAAAATTACAAGAGATTAAAGCAGAGGACTGGGAGTAAGTCACAAATTATTTTCCCTTCTGCTTCTTCAGAACTCATTTAGGTATGTGCATTTTCATAGTATTCACCTGTTGCTTTTCTCTCTCTTTTTTTTTTCCTGTAATCCCTAGATGGTGGCATCTACCACCTAGACTAGATGGTAGTACAATTTATTTTACTTTTATTGTTAGATGTGAGTTACAGTTAATTAGAAATCCTCTTGAACAAGTTAGAGAGTAGGTAAAAACAGAAGACAATACCAACATGCAGAAGACCTCTTAGGTGGCACTGCCATATTCATGTGTGCGCACACATGCTATTTTCTTCTGTATAAGAAACAAAGTCATTTTTCTTTTATTTTTTCTATTTTCCTTTTGTTGTTCTGTAGTTTGTATAATCTAGGGTTAAAATCCCAAGAATACAGTGCTTTTTAATTTTGAAGAACTTTTGGCTCAAAATGGGAGCAGGACATACTGGTACTGTAGACTCTTGTTTCTGTTGACTCTACAAGGAAGGCCTTTTTGAAATAAAATGATGGGTTTTTTTTTTTAATGTAAAGCATACTAGTCTGGATATTAAGGATTTTGTATCTGTTTTATGTTTGTTACCAGACTGGCTCCCTCATGTTAAGAAGTAAAAATGATAGATACTTTTGCCGTGTACTATTTGGTGTTGGGTTTGGGGAGGAAAATTGGAAGAAAGGAGTGTTTAAAACCTATCTGGCTCTGGTTCACAGGTGCTTCAGCTGGTTTCCCAAACCAAAGCTTGTATCACAAACTTGAGTTAGTTTGCCTTACCGCATTCTCCAATCATGTGACTGATGGTCGGCCTGTCAGTCATGCTGGACATCCGTATTGGAAGTCTGCCCTTTTTTCTTCCTTTCTGCTTCATTGCCTCACCTCAGACCTGATGAATAGGTTTCTATCACTAATAAACTGGTGGTGTACTTTATACAGTGTTGAAACACCTCAGTAGATTTGTGGTTGGACTCTGACTTACTGTGCATTTGAAACATTAAGTTTGGAACTTTTCTGAGTTTATCCACCTTTAACTGCTGGTTTTTGTGTGTGTTCTTTTTCCTTAACCTTGGCTAAACTATAATATGTTGTAAAATAATGAAGTATATTTTATTTCACTACCAAGAAGTCACCATATAAGTTCCATTGTACTCAATTAACACAGAAATTGTGGCCATTTGCTGATTTAAAGAAAAATGCCTAAGAAAGAAAAATAATAAAAATGCCAACCTATCAGGATTTTAAAGAAACTTCTGCAAGTGTGCTTCTGGGAGGAATCAGTACTCCTTTACTGAAACCAACTTTGATTTCCTCACTTTTCATACTTTATGCACAGTTAGTTTTTCTGTGGTTTAGGACTATGAATTAAGAAGCAAATTTTCTGTTTCAGTATGAAATTTAATACAAATCTTTCTTGTATATTCAGCGGCCATTGCAGTCATTTGGACAGACAGGAAAAAGGTCTAAGGTATAGTAAATATTTTGGTGTGCTGGCATGCCAAGGGCCTTCCTTCATGCTTGATGAATCCTTGTTTTCATATAGCACTACATTCAGTTTAGTTCTTCCATATTTTATGGGGGGCAGAAAGCTTATTTTGTTTTATTTGGGATTTTTGTCTTGCCTAGTCGCTTTTGTGCATTGCTTTTTTTATCTTGATGGTTCTTTATCTGTAGAGAAAATCGCTTTCTCACCATTTTTGGGGATATGAAGTTGGAATTATTCCCATTCTTTCTATTGCTATAATTTTCAAAACTGCAAATGTTTGTGTTCCTTCTTAACAAAGGCCTTCAGTAGTGTTTAATGATATATTTAACTTGCACATTTCATCTACTGTTATACATGGCAGAAACTATAAAGAAACTTAGAAACTCTTTCTAGGGGGCTTTTGGATATGCCCTAGATTTCTGAAATGTAGTGTTAATTATAAATACTTCTCTTTAGTCAAGCTCAAAGTTAAAGCTAGTTCGGAGCCTTGCAGTGTGTGAAGAATCTCCACCACCCCCTGCACCAGAGATATCACAGGAGAACCAGGTAAAAAAGCAAAACAAATGTTATTTCAAGACATGGTGGAACTGGAGAATTTTTGTATATGATTTAAGTTGTGTTTGTTATATTTGTTTTATTTTGACTAAATGAAACTTATTCAATAATACTTGGCACCCAAGAGATATATGAAAAGTTAGAAAACCTCTTTGCTTCAATCTAAGGCTTAGAGCAATTATTACTCTTCTGGAAGAACTTAGGAATCATGTAATTAATTAGGAATGTGGCTTTAAGAAAGTTATAAATTAATTTTTATAAAGTTAAAAAATGTTGGTCGGGTGCAGTGGCTCACGCCTGTAATCCCAGCACTTTGGGAAGCCGAGGTGGGCACATCACGAGGTCAGGAGATCGAGACCATCCTGGCTAACACGGTGAAACCCCATCTCTACTAAAAAAAATACAAAAAAATTAGCCGGGCATGGTGGTGGGCGCCTGTAGTCCCAGCTACTCGGGAGGCTGAGGCAGGAAAATGGTGTGAACCCAGGAGGCGGAGCTTGCAGTGAGCCCAGATCGCACCACTGCACTCCAACCTGGGCGACAGAGCGAGACTCCATCTCAAAAAAAAATATATATATATATTAAGGTAGCATTTCCAGTGAATATAATTGTGGTGAAATTTGCCCTTTTAGTTTTACCTTTTAGAAATTTCTCAGATACTTAATGCTTGTTTGTAAAGAGACCAGCCAAGACTTCTTCTTGATAGGTTATTTAACGTAACCTGAATGCATGGTGAAACCAATTTTCATATTAGCTTGGCTCTTTAATAGTTATCTAGTATTTCTAATTTCTCACATATCTATTCTTGTAAAATTTAGAACAGTGAGGTTTAGGCAAACCATTTAGTTTGCATTCTTTTTAATGCTATGACTACTTTTCTGTTAATCTCAGCTATGGGTTGATCTCTGTCTCATGTTACATCTGTATATTTATGCATAAATATTTTTGGATCCTTTACCAATGTTTATCTTGTGATAACTTTGCCTAGTGGCTAGTTGTACTTAATAAGAGTTTGAGCAACTTAAAATGCTCCTTTATCCCAAAAAACAGTTTCCAAGGAATTTGGGCAATTTTGTGGTTATTTAAGAAGCCATGACTGATCCATGACATGTACATCTTTTTTATAAAGTAAATATCATTATACATTTGGTGATTCAAACTAAAATTGTTAAACTTTCCCTTGATTTACATGATACCCTCAAAAGCCTATTACAGATATTTAGGATAGTTGTCACATATTTAGAATATGCACTGTTTTTGAAAAGCACTACATTTTATTGCTTGAAAATGCAAGGAAAATGTTTTGAAATAGATTGTTGTCAATGAAATGTACTTAAAAATCTGTTTGCTTTGACATTTCTTTGCATCAGAAACATAGGGCTGAAAATTAATTTATGATTTTTTTTTTTTTTTTGAGACGGAGTTTCACTCTTGTTGACCGGGCTGGAGTGCAATGGTGTGATCTCAGCCCACTGCAACCTCCGCCTCCCAGGTTCAAGCCATTCTGCCTCAGCCTGCCGAGTAGCTGGAATTATAGGCACCCGCCACCACGCCTGGCTAATTTTTTGTATTTTTAGTAGGGACGAGGTTTCACCATGTTGGCCAGGCTGGTTGCGAACTCCTGACCTCAGGTGATCCACCTGCCTCTGCCTCCCAAAGTGCTAGGATTACAAGTGTGAGCCACCGCGCCCGGCTGATTTTTTTTTTTTTTTTTTTTTGATGTATCTACATAGGAGATAGCTGTATGCATTTATTTGATATAATAGATGCATTTTAGCAATGAAATAGACTTTCTAGCAAAAAGCAGAAATACAGTCAAAGTATTTACTAAATCCTTGCTTGGAGAATATTTTCAAATATTAACCTTTGGCTTTTGCATGATTGTAATAAAGCTGAAGAGCTATATAATACAGTCTGAAAAAAAACCAATAAAATTGTTTTTTGAAACAGCACTTTTAAAAAGTTCTTTTGGCCAGGGACAGTGGCTCGCGCCTGTAATCCCAGCACTTTTGGGAGGCCAAGGCAGGTGGATCATTTAAGGTCAGGAGTTCAAGACCAGCCTGGCCAACATGGTGAAAACCCATCTCTACTAAAAATACAAAAATTAGGCAGGTGTGGTGGCACACGCCTGTAATCCCAGCTACTTCGGAGGCTGGGGCAGGAGAATCGCTTGAACCCAGGAGGCAGAGGTTTCAGGGAGCCGAGATTGCGCTATTGCGCTCCAGCCTGGGTGACAAGAGCGAAACTCTTATCTCAAAAAAAAAAAAAAAAAAAGTTATTTTGTACAAGTCAGAGTAAAGAATACGCCTGTTTGGGATGGAGTAGTAGGCAGTGTAATGTTTTTGAAAATTCATTTCTTTGTTCTGTTGACCAAAAAACAGATGTTACACCATCTTAGCTTCATGACAGTCTAAAGAGATTGAGGAAAGAAGGGTCAGGCATTCATAAATCTGTTAATACAGAGGAAGCGTATACTTTTTGAAAAAACAAAAGCTGTACCATGACCCTTGTTTTTTGTAGTGCATTTTACCTGTTTGAAAAATCTTGAGGGAGAGCCTGTTATGGTACTAAATTTGGCTAGTGAAAATTTATATGAAGAAAAAATAACAGGAATATATGTTGTGTATTGATATATACATTATTGATCATAGATAATTTTTTGTGTTGACAGTTCAAAAAGATGAGTTATGGCATGTGGATAATGACTAAAGAAGTTATATCAAAAGTCAATTATTTCCCTTAATATATTCTTTCTCAGTTTCTCTTAGATACAATAAGCTTTTTCTTTTTGGATAATTGCCTATGAATACAATCCTCTGAATAAAAGATACTTCTTCTAGTAGGAAGTCTTTTTCCAAGCCTTGAGATAAATAAATTGCACCTGAGTGGAAATTGGAAAATAAATTATTTCTCATGAAAGGTACTAGTATCTAATCCTTGATGGTAGACACAGTTTCCAACTAATTTGCTTGATTCAGAATGTGATTTTTGAGGAATTAATCTGGAATAAAACTCATTATTCAAAAAGTTGAGAGGCAATTAAGAGAGAGATGTCACTTGTATCTGATGAGAGCTTGTGAGAGGGAAGTGACCTCAATAACAGATGTTATTGACAGAGTGAAGAGTAAAGGAATTGCAGTTTCCTATGGAGAGGTAGCTATTATTCCAGTTATTTATAGTCTGAAGATTTTGTGTATAAGAACTTCAGTGTTTAAAATATATCTTGTTTATTTGCTACTGAAAACTAGGCCAACTGAAGACAGGCCTCAGTACATTAAGCTTACAAGATTTTAAAAATATAGTTCATCTTGATAAAATAGTTTAGTATCTGTAATTAAAATATATGGCTTTTTGAGGAGAGCTTAGAAATGAAATCTGCTAGTTACTGGAAGTGCCTTTTAGTGAAGATCTAAGAGGAGGTAGTGTGAAATCTTTTCTCCCAGCCTGGATTTCACTGGGTTCCTCTTGAGTAACCAGAATAGTAGTTACAAGTCAAGAAAACTTCTAAATATTATACTTCTGAAAAATAGTTCTGGGATTCATTTCTAGATACCTGTTTTACAGTTATGAAAAGCGTAAAGAAAGTGGGTTGGAAAATGAATCACAATAAGAAAAATTACTTACTGGTTGATGAGTGTAAGGAAGTTGCCAGTGTCTTTGGTAAACAAGACAGAGAGTGCAAAAAGCAAGTGTTTGTCATCCTAGTAAAAACTGCCAGTGTGCATCATTTACCCTATATTATGAACACAAATTTTAACTGGTATGATGAATTAAGAAGAAGAAAAGAGATGAAAATAGCAGGTAGCAGTCCTATTGGGGTAAAAAGTCTACGTGTCTGATTGATGGTTTTCTTGACTATAGAACAACAGTATAATTTAGTCTAAAAATAGGCTACACTTTTATCTTTAGTAAAACTGGTGTAGAATTTATTATAGCTTTCTTTATAACTTTACCTAAGTAAACAGAGCTACATGATTTTTGCCTTTTCTGTGTGGATTAATTTCTAGTAATCCCTTTGGGTTCTGGAATTACATGTAATGGCATTGTTTTTAAAATAAAACATGAATTCTCCTTTCAGTCTTACAGAATGTGGTTACTTTACAATTAAACATTACGTATCTGTAAGGATACAATTTTGTTTGAAATCTTTCTAAAAAACTGTGGTGATTGAAGGATTGACAGTGATATATAAATCTCAAAAAGGAAATAAAGCTGTGTGCCGTTGATTTTGGAAATGTTTGTACTTAACATTTTTATATGGTAGGAGAATGAAGGAATGTGTGATTATAATGGATACTCAGAAACCTGATTTTTATTAATCATTGACTTGACACTTATACATTCGTATTGTCATGATTGATGATAATTATGCTCTTGCTTGGCATCTTCCTTGCAAAAATAAGTTAAGAAGACCTGAGTTCTCATCCTCCGGGGATTTTACAAGTTGATGCACTTAAACTATAATAGAAAACATTTATTTTCTCTATAATGTTGAGGATTTGTTTTAATTGATATATTCAACTCAGAACGTTAGTTTTACATTTTATATAAAGTATTTGATAAAAGTAGTAAAGTATTATTAAGTTGTTTTTTAGTTTGAAGAATCCAGTTGGGTAAAATAATCTTTTTCCTCTGTACAATTCTGTGTTACTCAAAAAATATAAATGTGTGGTATTAAATGAATTGTATTGTATTTTCATTGAATAATTGACTTTGCCTTCCAACAGGAGAAAATTCAGATCCAGTTAACACAATCATTTGAGAAAGAAGAGAAGCCCTCAAAAGATGAAGCAGAAAAAGAAAAGGCCAGTGATAAGTTGCCCAGAAAAATGTTATCAAGAGGTTTGCAGTTCTTTTGTTTTTTTTTAAAAAAAAATTTTGCTATCAGTAATTCCATCCTTTTCCCCTTGAATAATTATATATAGTATATCTTTATGTAAAATGACACAGAACAGACTGGAAGGATGATACAGTACTTAACTCATCTGGGCAAAATGGTTTAACACAGTTCCATATATCAGTAAGACGTTTCAGCCAAAAATGCAACACATAACAGACGTTGAGGACATCTTAATCTCTTACTGGTCCCTCACTCATAGTAAAATACTAAAGTCATTATAATTTTTATATTGATTCATCTAAGGATACTATCACTCTTGAATTCCTTATGGTACAAAGAGCTGATGTCATAATATTGAGTATCCAGTAAGAATATTCTTGGAAACAGAGTGTTTATTTTTTATAAGTTTGGAGGGTCTTCACTATTACCTAGCATTGCAGATCAATAGAAATGCTTTTTAAATTTAAAAACCCAGTTATGTTGACCAGTATTATAAATAGTATAAAGATACTACATTTAAGGCGAAGATAGCATGAATATTTGAAAAGTATTTTGAAAGCAAGCCTGTAGTAATAGACCTGACAAAAATCAAATTCTTTCACAACTAAAATTTCTATCTACCTCCAAATTATTGCCTCCATTATATTCATATCTGAACTAAGCTGTCTTAATTTGCTACAAATGTAGTTAATTATGTAAATCATTTAAATTTTTCACCCACGGAGGCATTTTGAACATGAGGTTGTGGTGAGTATATAAAAGGATCTTTAAAGAATTTAGAGGAAATTAAACAGACACATGTGAGAGGTTAATTTTTTTTTAAGAATGTGCGTGGATATGCAGTTATATAAACTCATGTCATGCACATTATATGGGAATAGAAACATCGTGGTCACCTGATTTCATTGTAACTTTTCCTACTTTGTCGAATTTTTTTCAATGTGGGGCATCTTGTTTTATTTAAGATATATATACATCATGTGTAAAAGGGAATGGGACTTGTTTTCAAACAACTTTATACTGGGTTTTTGTGTTGTTGTTTTTTAGATTCCAGTCAAGAATACACTGATTCAACTGGCATAGATCTACATGAATTTTTAGTAAATACATTAAAAAACAATCCCAGGTAAAAATTAAATTTATAAGGTTTCCATTGCTTCTAGAGTACCATAATTTTGCTATATATGTTTTCATTATTGAGTTAGAGTAATAGAATAAGATTGCAGATATTTGAAGTACACCAGAAACATTTTAGTTTTTTAGGGCAAAGATGTTGTTGGTCTAGTATATGCAAATATATAAATATCTTTTTGCATTATGCATGTCACCATGATGTATGAATTTTGGGAAATATAGAATCACTAAGATATTTAGGCTCTTGATTGAGTTAGACATATACCATTAATCATGAGAAAAAAGAAAAATAGGTATCTCACCATAGTGCACTCAACCAAATAAGAACTTAGTGTATTCACTTATGAGTTTTTGAAGTTTTTAAATGCAAAGTTTTTGTTCCTTCTTGCTGAGTTTATAAATCATCAACCCAAAGATTTTTGAGGTGTTTATTTGAGTCAGTACTTTAATTGTGAAATCTTTCATTTTGTCAGATTACTAAATGAATAATTTTTAACTTTTTGGCAACTCATAAGCACTTTGAGACATTCTCCCTGCAAAAATGGCTACCCACAAATTATCTGACCAACACTTTCATGGAGTGAAAGATGCCAAGGTGAAGAAATCTTCCTCTAGATGTTAGCTTTCCAGAGTAGTAGCTTTCCAGAGTTGACATACGTTGAAATAAAAATGATGTCACTAGATATGGGCACACGGAAGATAAGAGAGTTGTTTATCTCTTACACAGTCTTGCTTCAAGATAACTTGTTTTTATTCAGGATGTATTGTATTCAGTACTATCTTGATTTTCTGTTTCGTATTTAATATCAACCCCAAAGAGAATTACCAAAATGAAGTGGTCTCTATAATAGGAGCTGAAGGATTATAGGTAAGGATTTAGAGAGAAGGTAGGCAACTCTCCTTGACTTTTTTTCCTCCAGTTCAAGTTTATTCCTCAGTAGTCCCAACAGAAAGATAAATTTATGAGTCTATTGAACAGCTCTAACTATGTGCCAAGCATTGTGCTAAACATTGTAGATATGAAAAGGTATTACATAGAAGCTCTGACCCTACAGTATTCACTGTCTCTGTACTAGAAAAAGACACCTGATAATTAAAATAAAACAAATGTAAAAGAGGTTTACAGGTGCTGTAATAGCCAGAGAAGGGCCACAACCTCTGAAAGGATTTTGGAATATGTCACTGAAAAGGTAGTGCCTAACCTGAATCTTGAATTAAGAGTGTTTTATATTGGAGCTGTCTATACAGAGAGACATGGGAAGGGCATTTGAGATAGAGACTAGAGGATTGCCAAGGCATAGTTATGTGAGAGGAAGTGTTATATTCAAGGAAAGATAGGCATGTGGCAAGTTATTCTAGAAAGTGATGGTAAAGGTCGGGCGCAGTGGCTCACGCTTGTAATCCCAGCACTTTGGGAGGCCGAGGCGGGTGGATCACGAGGTCAGGAGATCGAGACCATCCTGGCTAACACAGTGAAACCCTGTCTCTACTAAAAATATAAAAAATTAGCTGGGTGTGGTGGCGGGTGCCTGTAGTCCCAGCTGCGTGGGAGGCTGAGGCAGGGGAATGGTGTAAACCCGGGAGGCAGAGCTTGCAGTGAGTAGAGATGCGCCACTGCACTCCAGCCTGGGCGACAGGGCGAGACTCCGTCTCAAAAAAAAAAAAAAAAAAGGAAAGTGACAGTAAAGGTACTGGTGAGATATGAAGCATAGGCCATATCCAACTATCGTCAGCAAGGGATAATACCAACACCCTATGGCAGTGAGGAAATGTGAGGGGACCTTTTGATTGTCCCAGTGAGTGCAGAGTGCTGCTGGGAAGCCAGGGATGCCAAAAAGACCTATAAAACGGTGATGAACCACGAAAAATTGTCTTGAAATGCCAGTAGTGCATCAGTCGAGAAATACTGACTATGGCATGCCAAGTTAAGGAGTAATTAAACTGGATTTTAAATAGGGCCATACCATAATGAGATTTGTGTTTTGGAAAGATTACTTTGGTGTTTTAGAAAGATTATTTTGGCAGAGATAACTGTAAAGAAAAAGAGTGGCTAGGAGACCATAGAAAAGAATGGAGAGGAAAAGACACATTTGAAAGATATTTAGGAAGTATCATGGCAGGACTTGATGATCATTTTTATATGGAAAGGCAATGGGGACAGTAGAGTAGAACAGAAAGGCCAAGTACTAAAGATAGCAAAAACAGGGCCTGGTGGCATGTGCTTGTAGTCCCACCTACTCAGGAGGCTGAGGTGGGAAGATTACTGGAGTCCTGGAGGTTGAGGCTGCACTGAGCTATGATCTCGCCACTGCCCTCCAGCCTGGACTCCATCTCTAAAGAGAGAGAGAGAGCAGAGGAATCCTGAGAACATTTGTCCTGGAACTCAACCAAAAGGGAACAGTTACACTGAAAATAAAATAACAGAGGGGCCCTGCACAATGATTCATGCCGGTAATCCCAGTACTTTAGCAGGCTGAGGACAGTGGATCACCTGAGGTCAGGAGTTCGACACCAGCCTGACTAACATGGTGAAACCCCGTCTCTACTAAAAATACAAAAATTAGCTGGGCGGTTCATGCCTGTAATCCTAGCTACTTGGGAGGCTGAAGCAGGAGAACTGCTTGAATCTGGAAGGCAGAGGTTGCAGTGAGCCGAGATCACGCCATTGCACTCCAGCCTGGGCAATAAGAGCAAAACTCCATCTCAAAATAAATGAATGAATTAATTAAAATAAAATAACAGAGGGATATGAAAATATAAGTATTGTAAGATTGCGAAATATATATATTTGGTCTGCCTCCGTTTCCTAGCTTACAACTAAAATACCTGTAATCTCCAAAGAGCTATCTTTTTGTATGCTAATGTTGACTGATAGCTTCAAGATATCAGATTAGGCGGGTCACTGGAAGGACAAAGGCATGTTCAGAGGGTTGGGACTTCAGCCCCTGCTCCCAATCTCCTGGATGAGGAGATTGGTGAAGGTCAGTCTCCTCAACAATCATACCTACATAATGAAGACTTCATAAAAACCCAAAAGGACAGATTCAGAGGGCTTCCCGATAGCTGAACACATGGAGGTTCCTGGAGGATGTCAGGCCCCAGGAAAAGAATGCAAGCTCCATCCCTCTTCCCCCATACTTCGTTGTATGCATCTCTTCATCTGTATCCTTTATAATAAACCAACAAATATGAGTAAGTGTTTCCCTGAGTTCTGTGATCTGCTCCAGCAAACTAGTTGAATCCAAAGCAGGGGTCATGGGAACCCCAACTTGAAGCTGGTAGTCAGAAGTTCCAGAGGCCTAGACTTGGAACTGGTGTCTGAAGTGGGGCAGTCTTGGGGACTGAGCCCCAAACTGTGGGATCTGACACTATCTCCAGGTATAGAGTGTCAGAATTGAATTGGAGGACACCCAGCTGTTGTCCACTGTAGAACTGCTTGCTTGCGTGCGTGCGTGCGTGCGTGCGTGCGTGCTTGCTTGCTTGCTTGCTTGCTTGCTTGCTTGCTTGCTGGTGGAGAGAAATCTCCACATATTTTGGGTCACAGAAGTCTTCTCTGTTGATTGTTGTTGTGTTGGTGTGAGAACAGAGGGAAAACATGATTAAAGAGGTTTTCCAAAACAAGTACCAAAAATAATTTGTTAGATTCAGAAGTTAGAAATTGTTGGCTATTTTAACAAGTCATTTCATTTGGGATAGGGTGGTGGGAACCAGAACTCAGTGGGTTGAGTAATAAGTGGGAAGGTAGGAATTCATAACTAGTATGAGTAAAATAAGATTCTAGACAGGCAGAATTTTTCTTCTCTCTCTAAACCTGTGGGAAAGACATCAGCAAGGAACAAAGATTATAAATCCATTTTTATGTCTTCCAAATTATGTTTTGATTGTGTAGTTATTTTTCCTCTATAGATGCAAACGTTTTTAAGTTATCCACATAGACATTTTTTAACTGTACGGTTTAATGGTTTTTAGTATATTCAATATACAGATAGGAGCACTATCACCACAGTTATAGAACTTTTTCATTGCCCCAAAAGAAACCCCATACATTGTAGCTATTCCTATGCTAATAATAATAGTAATACTGATATTGGATGATCCCAACCCTAATCTGTTTTCTGTTTCTGTAGATTTCCCTGTTCTGGACATCTCATATGAATGAAATTATATAATGTATGGTCGTTCATGACTGGCTTTTATTCACTTAGCATAATGTTTTTAAGGTTCATCCATATTGTAGCATGTACCTTTTTTTATTCCTTCTGTGTATGCATTTTTATTTGAGCAAATATACAAGTGAATAATTCGTGTAATGGCTAATGTATAAGTTACTATTAGTGTCATTGTGGTTTTAGGAAGTTGAAGCTAATGTTAAATTTTGTGAGAAATAAGGTTTGCTTAATAATTGATTCAGTATTCTCTCTCAGTGAAGCATACAGCTAATTGCCAGCTATACCTGGTACACAATTAGTTAGAAGTATGGCAAATTCCCCCTGAAGCATTCAGGGTTGAATATTGCCTGGAGAATTCTACTAGATGTTAAGCAGATTTATTTTTAGTGATACTAAAATTTAGTCAGCCTTTCCTTTTTGGATATCTTTAATTTCAAGATTTTTGTTCACATCATTAAATCTTCATTATCTTGTCATAGCCCAATAAATAAACTAAATTTCAGGGGTTAAATAATAAGTTATCTGGAATTTCTGGGTGTCTGCAATATTTTCAGAGACTACCCTATTAAATACAGTCATTAATAAATTAGAACCTAGGAACCTGAAGGTGTTACTGATAAAGATTACACTCACTGACATAATTTTATATGTATTTTTGTGTTGCTTTTAGCCATATTGTATAAATTTTATATGGAGAAATATGGATGGTACAGATAACTTATATTATGTAATAGGAAAACAATACCATGGATTAACCTGAAGGTGGATTTTTTTAAGTAATTTGTTTTGCTCTAGGGAACGTCACGTATTTGTTCTCTGAAATATCTTCTAAAAGTCATTTTTATTGGAGGTAATATTTAAGTCATTTTATTTCTTATCTGTTGCAGACATTTAACCAAGAGCATATGAAACATTGGGTGGAGGGTGGTCAAACAGAAGCATTACTATTTTCTTCTTTTTTTATTTGCCACTGGTATAACATCGGTTCCCTCTTTCTCTAAAATTACTTCTGGAATAATGACTAGAACAATAGTAACTAAAAGATTGTTAGCCCTTCATTTTAGCTTTTAGTTTATTAGCTTGTTTTTATTACTTCTTTAATAATTAACAGCATGTATCAGTTCATTTTAAAGGTTACACGATAGAAGTTTTAGTTTGTGCCTACTTTTAGATGGTTTTGGCTCACCTGCTAAAAGATCAATATACCTTGAGAAAAGTAGTTTACCTGTTAGTTTGAGTCTCATATGTAGGGCCCCTATAAAGGATTAGTAACCTTTAACTTATGACCATTATAAAAATATCTAACCTCAATTACAGATTTGAAAATTTGAAAGCTTGGATAAGCTACAATGTGGAATAAAAGGCAGAAGGTATAAATCTTAAGACCTTAGGAAAGTTGTCATTCTTGTTTTTTTAACAAGTGCTACTAAAAGCAGGGTATCTTTTTTAAAATAAGTGACCCAGATAATCTAAAAATCCTCTGCAATCTATAGATGTACGTCTTAAGGGGAGAGAAAGCCTAAATTTCTATCAATTGCTAGTAAAATTGTTAGATTCTGTTATTTCATGCAGATAGTGGAAATTTCAGTGGCAGTGCATTTCACTGAAGAACAATTGAAATATTCTTATACCTGCTCTTTAGCTCAAACACAGAAAATCAATTTAAATGTACTGTTTTATGAACTCCAAATAAGTTGCCTCCTTTCTTGTTTGTTTGTTTGTTTGTTTGTTTTTGAGACGGAGTTTCACTCTTGTTGCCCAGGCTGGAGTGCAATGGCACAATCTCGGCTCACAGCAACCTCCGCCTCCCGGGTTCAAGCAATTCTCCTACCTCAGCCTCCAAGTAGCTGGGATTACAGGCATGCGCCACCACGCCCGGCTATTTTTGTATTTTTAGTAGAGATGGGGGTTTCTCCGTGTTGGTCAGGCTGCTCTTGAACTCCCTACCTCAGGTGACCTGCCCACCTCAACCTCCCAAAGTACTGGGATTACAGGCGTGAGCCACCGCGCCCAGCTAGTTGCCTGCTTTTGATTCTCGTCTTTATTTTTTTTACAGTAAGGCAATATGTAAATTATAAAAGTTACTGAAAATACTGTCTCACAATAACCCCAAAAGCTTGGATGAGGCTGGGCACAGTGGCTCACGCCTGTAATCCCAGCACTTTAGGAGGCCGAGGCGGGTGGATCACCTTAGGTCGGGAGTTCGAGACCAGCCTGGACAATGTGGTGAAACCCTGTGACTACTAAAAATACAAAAATTTGCCGGGTGTGGTGGCACACACCTGTAACCCCAGCTACCGGGAAGCTGAGGCAGGAGAATCGCTTGAACCCGGGAGGCAGAGGTTGCAGGGAGCCGAGATTGTGCCACTGCACTCCAGCCTGGGGGACAGAGCGAGACTGTCTCAAAAACAAACAAACAAACAAACAAAACTTGGGTGAAAGAGGGTCTTATAATTTAGTAAATAAATTCTTTGTTGGGAAAACTTTAGGAAGTAAAAATTCTTCACCCTCCCCTAAAATTTAAGAAAAACAAAAAGAATACTAAAAGACCTTCTGGATGAAGTAATTTTACTAATTTATTCCATGCAAAATATTTTTGTTGAACCTTTCTATATACAAATAGTTCAAATAACTATATATGACAATAATTGTGATAAATGCTATTAAAGAAAAATATGAAAGAAACAATTCTAAGAAAGAATATAAGAATATTTCAGCAAAGGGGAACAGCATGTTCAAAGTACCTGAGAAAGACAGGAGCTTGGCAAATACAGAAATAAACCAGGATGATAACAGTTTTGTGAGTTCAGGTCAGGAGATGAGGCTGGAGCTGGATGAAGACCAGCTCATGCCTGCCTTGTACATATGTTTAGTTCTAAGAACAGTAAGAAACCCATGACAGATTTAACAAAGGGAGTGATGTGTGATCACATATGTGTTCTTAAAAGATTGTTATGCATGTTTCATGTAGAATAGATTAGGGAAGATCAGGGAAGATACAGGGAGACAATATACTCCTGCTGTAGTAGTCAAGCCAGAAATCCTGTTGCCTGGATCCAGGGTTGTGGCAGTAGAAAAATAGATCAAAAGTAGATAAAATTTGCAGTAGTAATTAACTGTATTGGAGCATTTGAAAAAGGATGATTTAAAAAAAAAAAAAACCTTCGAGACCAGCCTGACCAACATGGAGAAACCCCGACTCTACTAAAAATAGAAAATTAGTCTGGCGTGGTGGTGCATGCCTGTAGTCCCAGCTAATCGGGAGGCTGAGGCAGGAGAATTGCTTGAACCTGAGAGGCGGAGGTAGTAGTGAGCCGAGATTGTGCCATTGCACTCCAGCCTGGGCAACAAGAGCGAAACTCCTTCTCAACCAAAAAAAAAAAAAAAAAAAAAAAAAAACAAAAAAAAAACGAGATTCTCATACTTCTACTATCATATACTGAGTAGAAGGTGGTGCCAGTTACTGAGATGGGATATACTAAGGAGAAGCAGGTTTGGAAACCAAACTGAATATTGCTATAAATTTTGTTAAAATGTAATTCTGTGTTCAGCTTTGGATTTGAAATCACCAAGTAGACATGTTTTTCTGTTGATTTTTTTTAAACAAATATAAAAATGTAAGTTAAATATTTAATGAATGATGGGGGAAATGTTATTACTTAGTTTTATGAAACTTTTGCAGTGTAGGAGGAGAATCAAATGCAGGTCTGATGTGTAGACTTTCAGGTGACCAAAGCAGGGGCTACCAGTTCTTCTATTGAAATTGAGAATAATCTGCATAGTGTTTATTTTAGGGAATCATTAACCTCTTGGCCTCGTTTTCTTGATCTGTAAACTTTGGAAGACAAAACTGAATGATTTGTAAAGCTGCTTTTAGCTTTAAGTTTCTGTAAGTTACATTTTTTTTTTCACATGTATATGAAATTTCCAATTAGCACAGGAAAATTCTAGAGCCATGTTATGGGTGTGTGAGCAGGGAGGTCCTTTGGGGAGTGATACCATTAATTTGTTGCAGCTAAGAGAACTAAATAAGACCCTAGTGATCTAAAGGAGCACATACAGGTACTCCCTAGAGTCCTTATTTATTTTATATGTTGGAGGTTTTTGGTTCACTTAGATTTTTATGGGAAAATTTAAAAATATATAATGGCAGTTTATAGAATGGGTTGAAATATCCTCTTCTTCTAAATTAGCGATATAATTAATACTTCTCTGCCATAGTCCCATCTACATACTAGTATTAGATTCCCATAGAAGTATTCCTGTTGTTACTGGCATTGCATGTTCTTTAGAATACTGTTTCTATGGAGTTCAGCATGATAACAAAGTCCTGAGCCTAACTAAAGATGTCTGTTCTTCTGCTTCCTCTCCACTTTATTGAATGAGGAAATAAAAACTAAAATGCTTTTATTATCCACACATTCACAGAGCAAACTCTAATATAGTAATACTAAGCAGATCAAAATACATTTAAGTTCCTTCGTTGTGTGTAAGCAAAAAAAAAAAAAATGCATTTAAGAATAGCCACATGTTGATTATTGTTAAAGTTGGGTGATGGGTACATCAAAATTCATTACACTATTCTCTACATTAGTGTATGTGTGAAAACTTCTGTAATAAAAAGTTAAACTACAAAAATCATCTTTTGTTTTAAAACATTAATAAATATTCTAGCATCAAGATTGGGGTAATACTGAATGTATAGTTTTTAGGGGGTGAAATTTAGCTGTATAAATCATAGGCTGTTGACATTTGTGATTACTTCATTGCTAAGTTTTACATATAAGAGTCTTCATACTTTGTTTCAGGGACAGAATGATGCTGCTGAAATTGGAACAAGAAATTTTAGATTTCATTGGTAATAATGAGTAAGTCCTGACATTCAACAAGAAAAGAAATTGTCATCACCATTCTCCTTGACTTACTAAGTTGGTTTTTCTTGTGCTTCTAGGTCTCCACGTAAAAAATTCCCCCCAATGACATCTTACCATAGGATGCTATTACACAGAGTAGCCGCTTACTTTGGATTAGACCACAATGTTGATCAGAGTGGGAAGTCTGTCATAGTAAACAAAACTAGCAATACAAGAATGTAAGTGTCAAGAGATGTAACTACATATTATATATCTAAATAATAATACTTTATCTTTCTATATTACCTTTCATCTGAGGTTTTCCACATGTTTTAACAGTCTAATTAAGTTTTATGATAACCTTATGTGATAGGACTGAAAAACACATTTAGTTTACTGGGAACAAAATGCAACAGCCTGGACTCAAATATGGCATATGAATGAGGACTGGGGCATATGGTAAAAAAATAAAAATCCAGAGGACATAGTATCAGTGATGTTTGACAACCACTCTTAGGGATTTTTAAAATTAATTTAGACAGCTGTAGCCAGCCTTAGTCAAATTTAAAAAAAAAAAAAAAAACACAAGAGAGAGAGCAGACTTTGTCCGTGACACCCTCACATTTAGTTAATCTTCTGTCAGTTTACCGTTCTTTCCAAAAGCCTCTGAATTTACTCCTTTTCTCTCACAATTCTTAAGAAAGTGGGACTGTTGGTTAATGCAATATCATTAGTGCTGTCTTCTTCCTGGGCTATGTATGATTCTCCGGAGGAGCTTTTTGTTTTAAGAATTGATTGCTTTATAGTGTTACGGAAGTAGATCATCATTGCTGTTACTTGGGAACAGAAGACCCAATGCAGAGGCACCCAAGTTATAAAACATACACAGCACATCCGTTACATCTTCTGCCTATTTTTAAGGCTAATCCTAAAACAACTAGCTGAGTTCAGCTGAAATTTATATTTTGATGGTGATTTGCCTATCGAAAGGAATTTCAGTTTGATATGAGGCAGCAACAAGTCTGTGGTAATGAGTAGCAGTCAACTTCAGATGGCATAAATAATCCTTTTTGGTCCATTATTTTTCTTTCTTTCCTGAAGCCAGATTTCTCCCAGGTTCTTATCTATGAATGATTTAATTTGCATGGTTATATTTAATTCATCTATGCCTTTTCTGATTTATGGTCTTTTGTCCTTATAGCTGCCATATCACTTGCTGGAACTATTGGTTTTCTCCCATTTTAAATAGTCTTTTTGTAAACTAAGTAAATACTTTAGTATTTTTAAATGATCGTTC
Source organism: Homo sapiens (assembly GCF_000001405.40). Lineage (NCBI taxonomy): Eukaryota > Metazoa > Chordata > Mammalia > Primates > Hominidae > Homo > Homo sapiens. The sequence continues at coordinate 135,633,060 of NC_000002.12, forward strand.
CTATAATTAAAAGTAAATTAGTGAAAATAGATGTGTTTAGAAAGGGATCTTTTCTTCTTATAGGGATTAAATGTTACTAAAATGTGAGTCTGATTTAGTTTTCATTAAAATTTAAATTTTCATATCCCTTCGTCTTTAATATTCTTTTCAGTTAGTCTTTTTCCAGTCAGTTATATCATGACTAAAGTAGGATAGTAACCATTAAGCTATGAGCTGAGCTAGAGGTGAATAGAACTGTTAATTCATTTAACCAGTACCTCTCAACATTACTCAGAGCTGCTGGATACACAAGCACATATACATTAGCAGGCATTTTGACTAACATTTTGACTGGTGACTCTCTAAGGTTTTCAATACAGTGTAACCTCAGTTATTTGAATTATATGAATGATGTCAAAAAGCTTTAGAGCTGTCTTTATCAAGATAATCAAAAGCTAGGCTCAGCAGAGATGCTTATAATATACTTAAAGAAGTATGGGTCAATAATATAATTATAATCAGACAGTTCAAATCATTCAAGTTACACTGTACTTTTTATATATATATATCTTCTGGGATATGAAGAAGGTTGTAAATCAGAAAACCTTAGAGATCTGCTCCATATTGAATAAAAACAAACTTACCTTTTCCTCATAGGGAGATTACCCGCTCCAGCCTTGAATCAGTGGTGTTATGGATGTCAACAACCCAGTGTCCACTGGGGTGTCTCAATGGAGCGGGAAGTTGGCGATTACAGGGCAGTAAATTCAGGCATCTATAAAAGAATGAGGTAAGACAGTCTTAAGGTTAGCTGAAATGCCTGCCAGTGCTGTTGGTGTGGGAATCCAGCTGCTCTTAGAAAAGTTGCCAGGCCCTTGGTTAAACCTTATAGTTCACTTTGGAATAGCAGTCTCTCGTTCAAATATAAACTCCATGAATAAGAAAATGTGACTTTGAACAGTTACAAAGATAGATGACATAAGTCAATGGGGCAATCATGTGACAAAAATAACATACTGCCATGGTCAGAACTAAATAAAAATCTTTCAAACCCTTGAAGAAAATACTCTTTTTCTTATTATTTTGATCACAAAGCTGTTTTTCGTCTTCCTATTTTTCTTTTACTTCTTACATATATTTATGTACAAATCTGTTCTCTATTTCACCCATCTAAGTATTTTACAATAGAAATTTCATTAACTTGCTTAGATAATTCTCACTTTTAATCTCCTTTTGCATAATTTGACAGGAGGCTTTTACGTACTTTATTAGAAATTCATAGGTTAAAATAAATGTTCAAAAGTATTACTTCGGTTCTAGGGCCAGGCGCAATGTCTCACGCCTGTAATCCCAGCACTTTGGGAGACTGAGGCAGGTGGATCACTTGAGGTCGGGAGTGTGCAACCAGCCTGGCCAATATGATGAAACCCCATCTCTACTAAAAATACAAAAAAAATTAGCTGGGCATGGTGGCACCCTCCTGTAATTCCACCTACTCAGAAGGCTGAGACAGGAGAATCGCTTGAACACAGGTGGCAGAGGTTGCAGTGAGCCAAGATCGTGCCATGGCACTCCAGCCTGGGTGACAGAGTGAGACTCTGTCTCTAAAAAATTTTTTTAAAAAGAAGTGTTACTTAGGTTCTAGATATAAGGAAGTTTGCTGAAAATATCATTACTCAGATTTATTTGGATTAGAAATTTACTTAGGTTATTCACATATATCATTTGATATTTGAACTATAAAAACTACCTAGGAGTTCAATGAGATTTTCTCTAAAGCCATTTAATATATTGTTATATTTCATATTTCAAAAGAATAATTCCAGTTTTATAATAGAATGATAGTCACAGGAGTATTGATTCAATTAATTTGTTGAAGCTGAGAATGTATTTTGGGAGGTGAAATTTTATATAATTGTAATTTTCCAAGGGCCACAACCTTGTGTTTGTCCTCTAGATCACAGTGGAACTTGCAACATTTCTGTGGAAGAAAGATGAGTCCACTATAAAATGTATTGCTAAGATTTCATAATCGTTACTTTAGGTCACAACTTTGACTTCTATAAAAGAACATCTCTTTTCTAACCTGTTCCAGTTAATGTTAGCAAACCTGTGCCCTACTGTAATTTAAAATTAATGGATGCACTTTGAAGTAGTCTGTAAGTTTTTAGCTAATTGAATGACAAAATATTTTATTACTTTCAGGTATAACACCAAACTAGGTACCATAGGAGTAGCATAAGATACGGCACTGCACTTTCCTTGTCCCAGCATTTTTTCGTAGGTTTAGACGAGGCAGTACAGGCTTTGGGTCTAACTGACCTGAGCTCCAACTATGGCTTAATCATATGCCTGCCTTTGACCTTGCATATTTGCTTAAGCCATTTGAACCTCGGTTTGTTCAATAATATTTATATCAGTAACTAACTTCTGAGTGTTTACTGTTTTATGTGTTACTGACATTTTCATTTCATCTTCAGAACAACCCTAAGAAGTAGGTACACTATATAATTCCCATTTTACAAATAAAGAAACCGGGAAAGAGAAAGGTTAAGTAACTTGTGCAAGTCATAAAGCAGCTAAAGTGCTAAAGCTCAACCTTTGAATCCAAGCGGACTGACTCCAGAGCCAACATTGTATTTGATATGGCCTCTCAACCATAACATGGAATAGTTAGTATTTTCTCATGAGATTATTGTGAGGACTAAATGAGACTGCATAAGCATCTATGGATGGCACTAAAAAGTGGTAACTTATTTTATTTCTTTTCATAAAATGTTATGTTTAACTTCTTTGCTAATATTGTTCATTATCTTTTCCTGTTCCTTTGTTTTTGTTTTTGTTTTTTAAGACCTGATCAGAAATTTAATGAACATATTAAGGATGATAAAGGTGAAGACTTTCAGAAACGTTATATCCTCAAGAGAGATAACTCTAGCTTTGACAAAGATGATAACCAGGTAATCTAGAACAATTGTAGGATTTGTATAGGTGCAAGACATACTATACCAGTAGTTCATTTGCCTAAAAATTATCCTCTTTTCTGTAGATGAGAATACGTTTGAAAGATGACAGAAGAAGCAAATCTATAGAAGAAAGAGAAGAAGAGTACCAGAGAGCCAGAGACCGAATATTTTCCCAAGATGTACGTACTAACTTACTTAGGTCTTCATGTTAGAGTATATTCTAATTACGTTGTAGGGTCTCAGTCTCCCTTTTATCTATTGATCACATTTATTTTTAATCACATTTGTTGCACATAAGGTCATCTTTTAGAAATATTGAGATCAGTTTTGCTTGTGTTATTAATAGTTTATAAAATACTACATTGCAGTAGTTATATAAAATTTTACAAAAGTTGGAAGCAGGTAGACTACAGGAGTCATTAAAAGAATGTTCTCCAGTCTATATAGTTTGTGTGATTTTTTTTCCCCAGACTTGTGACAGACTTGAGATTTTTATTAATAGAAATTGCTCCACTGTCTACAAAATCATATACTCTAGATGCTACTTGTTAGTTGACTTTCTTTGACAAATAATTTATTTCTTCTTTTGAAATAAAGCTAATTGATTTTGTAGGTTAATATCTGTTTTCTTCTTCATAAGTGATTATATAAGATAGGCTTTCTAAATGGCTAATTATTTTATGCATATATGCCAGAAGAGAATCAATTTGTTTTTTGTCAACATCTACTAAGCATCTGTCCTGTAATATGTGTTAATCAGCTACAGATAGAAATTTCCTCTGTGTTAAAAAAAAAAAAAAAAGAAGATTAAATAACACTAAAATCCAGATTGTAAGTGAAGAACTTATTCATTCAACAAATTTTATTGAGCACCTGTAGTAAGTGCTATCCTAGGCACTGGAGAACATATTCATGGACAGTTAAAATAATTTATCCCCAAAACAACCCTATATGGTAGATACTATCATTGTTTTTATTTTACAGATAAGGAACCTGAGATTCCAGGAGGCTAAAATAGAGATCACACAGCTAGAAAATGGCAGAGTTGGGATTTCAACCCAGGTCTGCTGAACTCCAAGCCTATACTAAATGTCCTTCTCTCTAGTTTATAAGATAGATGAGGTATCTGCCCTTGATGAATAGCCAAGTAATGACAACAGGGTATGTGGTTTATATAGAGACATGAAGGTGTAATAGATGACACAGCAGATAAGCACCAAAACCAGAACTGGGGAAGGGATGGGAGAGTTAGCTTCCAAGAAGTAACCTTACAGGAGTGAAGAGTTCCAAGTCGAGAGTCAGTATGTACAGAGGCCCAGAGGTAAGGGAGAACTTGACACACTTTAGGAATTAAAAGATTTAAGAGGAGGCCAGGCACAGTGACTCACACCTGTAATCCCACCACTATGGGAGCACTGAGGTGGGTGGATCACTTGAGCTCAGGAGTTCAAGACCAGCCTGAGCAACATGGCAAAACCCCATCTCTACAAAAAATTAGCCAGGCATGATGGTGCACGTCTGTAGTCCCAGCTACTCAGGAGGCTGAGACAGGAGGATCTCCTGAACTCAGGAAGTACAGGTTGCAGTGACCCAAGATGGCACTACTGCACTCCAGCCTGGGTGACAGAGTGACTCTGTCTCAAAAGATTCAGAGTAGCCAGATTCTAGCCTGAGTGATATAGGAAGTGAGGAAAGTTTAGGTTGGAAAAATAATCAGAAATGAGATGACTTGGTCCTGAAGGTTTAAGATGATTGGACTTCTGGGGTTTTTGGTGGTGTTTTTTTGTTTCGTTTTTTACTTTTGGCTTTTTTCTTTTTTGGTCAGCAGACTTTTTCTGTAAAGGTCAGATAATAGCTGTTTTAGGCATTGTGAGCCACATAGTCTTCATTGCAGATACTCAAATCTGACTTTTTGCTACTCAAACGTGACAGCAGCCACAGACAATACATAAGTGAATGGTCATGGCTGTGTTCCAGTAAAACTTTGTTTGCAGAAACAGGTGTCTCGCTATAGTTTGCTGACACTGGTGCTAAAACATCAGGGAGCCATTCAAGTGGGAAGAGTTATGATCAAATTGACATCTTAGAGAGATTGCTCCTGTTATATAAAATGGGCAAAAAATGGTAACTGGAAAACTAGTTAGAAGACTGTTGTAATCATACAAACAAAAATGGTCATTCCTAACCCAGATTAACAGTGCTGAAGGACTTTAAGCACCATTAAGGCATAGCTACTTGTTCACTGCTCTAGCCACAGATAAAGCACAGGTGATCAAATATTTGTTAAGTGAATGAAGTGGAATATGTATCCTATATATACCTTGAATATATAATGAAAATGGGTTCACTTATTTGGAAGATAATATTTGAATTTCAAATTAATTTGAGCCACAAAATGAATAGTTTCAAGATATGTATATTATATATTTGTTAAAAGTAAGCATAGGATCTCCAAACCAGAAAAAAAATTCCATTATTATTTATTTGTGTACCCTTATCACCATTTTTAACTTACATTATTACACATGATTTTTGTTGTCATCATTGGTTTACAGATGGCATTACGTTATATTTGACAAAAGCTCAACTTTTTGTATCTATTCTTTTTTCTAGTCCCTGTGTTCCCAAGAGAATTACATTATTGACAAAAGGTGAGGGAATTTTTAACATCTGTTTTGGTAATTGTCTGACTGATGCTAATAAAAATTAAAATGTCCTATTAAAATGCCAACAGACTCCAAGACGAGGATGCCAGTAGTACCCAGCAGAGGCGCCAGATATTTAGGTATTGGAAGCATGTTTTCAATACAGTATTGAAAAATTAAAGCATTTTTTTCTTTACTTTTTGTTCCCCTGCATTAGCTTTTCAAGGTTTTATTTCTAAATTACAGAGTTAATAAAGATGCTTCAGGGAGATCTACAAATAGCCATCAAAGCAGCACTGAGAATGAGTTGAAGTACTCGGAACCACGACCCTGGAGCAGCACAGATTCAGACAGCTCTCTTCGAAACCTGAAACCTGCTGTAACCAAAGCCAGCAGCTTCAGTGGAATCTCAGTCCTGACAAGAGGTGATAGTTCTGGAAGCAGCAAAAGCATAGGCAGGCTTTCAAAAACAGGTATAAATATCTACACAAAACTGTGCAGTCAAGTCATTAGTTTTCCTAATGTTGTCTCAGGTCCTTATTTATCAGATGGCTTCTAATTATCCTAAAATATAAAATCACTATCAATAGTACCTTGACCACCTCCGGAGCACTTAAGGGGTAATATGTTTCTTGACATGAGGATTCACTCTCTGTCCTGGACACAGATTTACAACCATCAATTACCATAAAAATTCTTCTCTATTGTGACATAAACTTAATTAGGTAGGTTCAATGAAACATTATCTCTTGATTGAATGCCCATAGGTAATTGGAAATTCTTTATTACTTATTCGTAGTTGGTAGAAGGCATGGTTTCTCACCTAGGATTATTTAACACTGATTGCATTTTCAGCTAATACTATCAATTATTGATTGCATTTTTTATGATAAAGTCCTTCATTTTCCATTAAAAAAATTAAATTGCTGAGGAGATTTTGAGGAATTTAAAAAACAAAAACAAGTAACTTACAAATGACTGAAAATTTCAATAATCTCCTCATTCTACTACCTGCTTCCTTGGAGTTCATTGGCTCATAACATTTCTTCTTTTCATTTCCTCTAACTGGCTTCAATACTAAAGAAGCTCATATGTTTTTAGGATCCTTGAAGATCTTTATTTTTATCCCAAAATAAGCGTGAAAGTCAAAAATGGGTGTTTCCCTGTCCGGGCGCAGTGGCTCATGCCTGTAATCCCAACACTTTGGGATGCCGAGGCAGGCAGATCACCTGAGGTCAGGAGTTCAAGACCACCCTGGCCAACATGGCAAAACCCCATCTCTACTAAAAATATTTAAAAATCAGCTGGGCGTAATAGCACGTGTCTGTAGTCCCAGCTGTTTGGGAGGCTGAGGCAGGAGAATCGCTTGAACCCAGGAGGCAGAGGCTGCAGTGAGCCGAGATCATACCACTGCACTCCAGCCTGGGCAACAGAGCGAGACTCCGTCTCAAAAAAAAAAAAAAAAGGAAAAGAAATGACTGTTTCTCCCTAACCTATTTGGGTGAGCCTAAACATAAGGTATTGTACACGTAAGAATTGAAGGACATATTTGAACTGAAGGGCTGTAATCAGTGCTTTAAATTATTAAGGCTTATGAATTGCAGTTGTCATCTTTTTAATGTATAATATGGTTGTATTGAAAATATCTTAGTATCTATGTTAGGATTTTGCTAAAAATAGGTAAATTTTATCAGTATAAGAAGTCTACTTGTGTACCAAATATGCATTATTTGGAAAATGGCCACTTGGTCATCATAACAGAAAAAGCTATTTATGTATCATGAGAAAATTATGTAGACACACTGCCAAATTAAAACATTTTAAGAATGTGTACTATATGTATTCTGTATTCTCTTCAGAGATGAAAAGAAATATTAATTGGCCCTTTTAATAGGCAAAAAATGATTTTTGTTTTTAATTCTTAGGGTAAATTGATACAGTTTTTATGAAGAGTCATTTTGGCATAACTTAAAATAGAAGCTGTCCTTCAGAAGGCAATCTGTATAGTGTATCATAGTTGTTTCATTCATTAAAGATTAATTATCCATCCCAGAGTCAATTCTCTTATTCAAAACCTAATTAACTATATACATAAGATGCAAATCATTTTCTTTCTTTGTCTCGGCCACCTTTTTTAGCCATTATGCTAAAAATCAGTGACATTTTCAGTCCCTGTATAATAGAAAATGGAATAAATTGCAGGGATGAAGGCATTTAAAAATCAGTTATCAAATTAGTTCAGTAAGAAATAAATTTTAAGTTAACACCAGTATAAGTACTTGGAATATATTTCATGGTATCTCTGTCCCTTGATTAGATAAAATATTCAAAGTTGATTTTACATTTTGGGAAAATGCTATGCTAGTAAAATGAGAAATTAGATTCTGCAATTAAATTTGACAGTTATTTGTCTTAATACAGAATTTATCATTTATTTCTTACACTGAATCTTTCTGTGTTCTTATAGATAAGGGGTTTCTGGTATTAAAGATTTTGGGCATTTTGCTGTACTAAATTCTTTTTCCTGGGGGAAAATTATCTATATATTCCTAGGTGTTAATCTAAAAGGTAAAATGTACATAACTTTGTCCTTTTGGGAATGTGGGTAATGTGCTTTTTGTGGCTGTCTGTGGCTGGTGTTGTTATAAATGTGCTTAAATTGCATGCTTTGGCAGTGATTTCTCTGACAACTTACGTAATCAGTTTGCTGTATTAAACTTGTTCGTTATGGGGAGGGTAAGCAAACGTGGACAGTAAATTAAAAAGAGCCAATGCTTTTATGTAGTAACTGCATGTTATGCAATGTAAATTTTATTGTTGTTTTAAAAACCTGTGTTTTTTATATGAGGTTTAAAAAATCCATATTTTTCATTACTCCTCTTCTAGGTTCTGAGTCTTCTGGTAGTGTAGGGTCATCTACAGGCTCTCTTTCTCACATCCAGCAGCCTCTTCCAGGTACAGCTCTCAGCCAGTCTTCTCATGGCGCACCTGTCGTCTATCCAACTGTCAGCACTCATAGTTCTCTTTCCTTTGATGGTGGCCTAAATGGGCAAGTCGCATCTCCTAGCACTAGCTTCTTTTTGCTTCCCTTGGAAGCGGCAGGCATACCACCTGGCAGTATTCTGATCAACCCACAAACAGGTTGGTATCCAGAAAAAGGTGTTTCAGGAATTATCTGAAAATTTAAGGATACTTATTAAATGTATTTTCTGAATATGTGTAGTCAGCTTTTTATTATTCATGAATAATTAACATTTTCCAAGAACTTTATAACAAAAACACTTAATGCTAGGGAAGTTTCAAAGACATTTATATCAGAAAGCATTTTTTTCCCCTTGTACATCTGTGATATCATCTATGCCAAATACTAGCCCAATTATAATTTTTAAAAAAGTTTATTTCCTAGAAATGAGACAACTACCCACGAAAGAGCTTTGTTTGATATAACAATTTTTTTTAACCAACATTGATTTTTTTGGATGATACAACAATTTTATACTTGGGAAAATCGGATACATTTTATGAAAAAGGACTGAATAAGCAGCTTTTTTTCATTATATAATGGAGGGGGGAAAAATAATTATCTTTCAGAATGTGTTGATTTTCTACTGAGGAAAAGGTAAAGGACATCTTATTGGTAGTAAAAAAAAAATTGGGGGGAGTCATGTATTAATATTGACAATACATATTCTTTGCAATTAGCTAATAGTAATTTACATTTTGGAGCATTTACTTTTACCATATGCTCTGTTAGGTGCTTTAAATATAACCTTGTTAGGTAGGTGAAATCCTCATTTACAGATAAAGAAACTGAACCTCAGAGAGGTGAAGAAACTGCAGTTATAGTACATTTCACTATGTAAATTGGTAAAAATGATTTATATAGAAAAAATGATCTTGTAAAAGATCACAAGAAGTCTTGATCTCTTCAAGATAGCATAGCCCAGTCATTTGGCAAGGTAATGAAAACTCTCCTTGATCTTTTGATAACTTTAAATCTCATAGATTTAGCTGATGTGGTCTCATCATAATGGCAGTAGTTTACAGGCAGATACGGGTGGGAGTATAAGGTCTCTAAGTGTTCCTGGCCCTTTCCTTTCATTTGTAGTAGAAAAATCATGGCTTGGGACTCATTACTTTCAGGTTTTATTCACATCTCTTTTTAAGACGAAGTATGCAAACATTTGTTTCTCTTATAAGTATTAAATTAGCATAAATAACTGATTTTTCAGAAATTCAATTTTTGCTTAGTAATTACCTTCTTATTCTTCAGGTTATTATGTTACTAACATTCCTGTTTTTATCCAGCAAGATGTAAGATGATTTAATATTTTACTTTTTCCTATTATTTTTCATTCAAAACATAATATGGTTTTGGTAACATGAAAGATTCATTTGCTTAGGAAGGGATAGAGTGAGAAACTGATTGGTCTGAAATTGAATTGTACTATTAATTTAAATGAATCAAAAAGTGATCTCTGGTTTTTGACAACAGTATTACAATACATTTAACTTTTTTAAGATGACCCTTAAATTACATTTGACCGCCTTCACCCAAATCTGCTCCACCAATTTTTTCTCCAAATTATTTAGCAGTCAACAAATACCCAGGACAACTTGTTTTTAGTTATCTATAACTGTCACACAAATTATCAGTATACTAATTGATTAAAATAATTTTACTTTAGAGTACTTTTTCTGCTTGATAGCTATAGACTAGTATAGTCTTCTCTCCCAAATATTATGTTTTGATATCATAAGTTTCCTCAAAAAAAAAAAATGGAAAGGGATTTACTATGGAAGAACAGATGTTTTTAAGACAATTTAAGAAACTGTTTTTCAGTCAAATTTTTCTGTTTGTGTATTTTTCTCACTCGTAATCATTGCACAGTTACTTTTTATGTAGTCCCTTCTTGTTTCTTTTTTTAACAATCCAATTTTAGTAAAGAAAAATACTAATCTTTTAATCTACTTATTGAAAAAATGTCTGGAAGACAGTATCTGAAATGTTAACGATATGATTATGGGGAATTCCACAATAGCAAAGACATGGAATCAACCTAAATGCCCATCAGTGATAGACTGGATAAAGAAAATGTGGTACATATACACCATTAAATACTATGAAGCCATAAAAAAGAATAAGATCATGTCCTTCACAGGAACACAGATGGAATTGGAGACCATTATCCTTAGCAAACTAACGCAGGAACAGAAAACCAAATATCACACGTTCTCACTTGTAAGTGGGAGCTAAATGCTGAGAACATGTGAACACATAAGAGGGAAACAATACACACTGGGGCTTATTGGAAGGTGGAGGGTGGGAGGAAGGAGAGGATCAGGAAAAATAACTAATGGGTGACAAAATAATTTATATAATAAACCACCATAACACAAGTTTACCTGTATAACAAGCCTGCACATGTGCCCCTGAACTTAAAAGTGAAATCACACACACACAGAGATTATGGTGAATTTATTTTCTTTTTTGTCTCTATTTGTTATTTTCTTAAAACAAATGTTACTTTTTGTAATAAGAAAAAGTTGTTTAGAATGTACGTGTAGAGAAGCCAGGTGCAGTGGCTCACACCAGTAATCCCAGCACTTTAGGAGACCAAGGCGGGTGGATCACGTGAGGTCAGGAGTTCGAGACCAGCCTGGCCAACATGGTGAAACCCCATCTCTACTAAAAATGTAAAAATTAGCCGGGCGTGGTGGCAGGTGCCTATAATCCCAGCCAGTCTGGAGGCTGAGGCAGGAGAATTGCTTGAACCCGGGGGAGGCTGAGGTTGCAGTCAGCTGAGATCGCACCACTGCACTCCAGCCTGGGCCGGGCAACAGAGTGAGACTGTCTCAAAAAAACAGAAAAGAGGTTGTAAAATAAGGACAGTACCATCAAGTTTACAATTTGAAACATGAGCTATTAATTATTTTAGTTTTTCATCCAGTTCTAATTTTATTAGTGAAATATATGTAATGTGGCCTAAAAATTAGATATTTCCTACCTCCTAATAAAAACTAATGAATAACTTTCCAATATCCTGAAGTCAAGCATTTTCTCTTTGAACTGAAATATAGCCTTATAGGACCCCAATCCTGTAACTGAATTTCTTAGGCTAAATGTGTTTCGCAATTCAGAGTTTTTCAGGAAACACTACATATTATGAAATAAGGCTAGGATTACTTTGGGAGGTCAAGGCGGACGGATCACCTGAGGTCAGGAGTTCAAGACCAGCCTGGCCAAAGTAGGGAAACCCCATCTCTACGAAAAATACAAATATTAGCCATGTGTAATGTCACATGCCTGTAATCCCAGCTACTCGGGAGGCTGAGGCAGGAGAATCATTTGAACCCAGGAGACAGAGGTTGCACTGAGGTGAGATTGTGCCACTGTACTCCAGCCTGAGCAACAGAGTGAGACTCCGTCTAAGAAAATAATAATTAATTAATTAATTAAATTAAGCTCACTAGCGGTCTGGGCCAGTACCCCATAATAAGAAATGCAGTAAAACATTTGAATATTTAAGTGAGGGAAATAAAGACTATTAATAGCCTCATGTCAGAGCAGGCATTTCCCAACCTAAGGAAATCTTTGTTTTCAAATATTAGGGTTTTTTTTTAATTGTGGTTAAAGGATTTTGGACATGCTTTGTAAATTGTTAGTAAAAGGACCTATTTTCCACCTGTATTCTAAGTTATTTTTTTCCCTCTTTTTGAATTTTTCAGGTCAGCCCTTCATAAACCCAGATGGGAGTCCAGTTGTGTATAATCCTCCTATGACTCAACAACCAGTTAGATCCCAAGTGCCTGGACCTCCACAGCCACCTCTGCCAGCCCCACCTCAACAACCAGCAGCTAATCACATTTTCTCACAGGTGCACATATCCATGATTACATAATGCTAAGTTGACTTGCCTTTACATATTTGGGACTAAATTCGCTAATTATAATTGAGATAGCCTAAGTATCTCTTAGAACTTTAATATTCTGCCACTAGTGATATTCCACTCACTACTCATAGGAAAAGAGATAACTTCAAAGGTTTTTCCCCTGATAAATACTGAAAATATGTTGGAAAGAAGGGAATTGTTTTAATCATATGAGCCTGTCTGGTGAGTATTTTATCCCTATTTCACAACAGCAAGAAATGGACAACAGGAGAAATAAAAACAAAACTGTGATTGTTCATTGGCCCAATGAGCAAAGTGAGTTGTTTTAAGATTCCACAGATTAAGCAGTTAGAAGAAACTGAGATAGGCTGCTCAGGTTCTGCAAGGTACTCTTCATCCATTCTACCTACCCTATGAAAGACAAAGCAGTTCTGAGTTAGAATTCCCAAAAGTACTCTCAGTAATATTTTGAGTTTGTAAAAATGTTTAGAATTTACACATTCATTTTCACATTCAGTCTTTTTCCCCTACAGTTGTATTATCCATCTTTGGGGAACTTGACTATACCAGTATGAACTCCTATTTTTATTCTAACTTTTTTTTTTTTTTTTGAGATGGAGTCTTGCTCTGTCACCCCGGCTGGAGTGCAGTGAAGTGATCTTGGCTTACTGCAAGCTCCGCCTCCTGGGTTCACACCATTCTCCTGCCTCAGCCTCCCAAGTAGCTGGGACTACAGGCAGCCGCCACCACGCCCGGCAAATTTTTTGTATTTTTAGTAGAGACTGGGTTTCACCATGTTAGTCAGGATGGTCTCGATCTCCTGACCTCGTGATCCACCCGCCTCGGCCTCCCAAAGTGCTGGGATTACAGGCATGAGCCACCGCGCCCGGCCTATTCTAACTTGTAAAGATTGTTTAACATTATCAAAGTTCCTGTAGTTAGTTATACCTCTTTTTCCCTGCAAGACTCAGTATTCCATTGGTGAAAACATGCAGAGTGATTTTGTATGAAAGAAGTATGATGGGCCTGGCGCGTTGGCTCACACCTGTAATCCCAGCACTTTAGGAGGCCGAGGCAGGCAGATCACCTGAGGTCAGGAGTTCGAGCCCAGCCTGGCCCAAATGGTGAAACCCCCGTCTCTACTAAAAATACAAAAATTAGTCGGGTGTGGTGGTATGCACCTATAGTCTCAGCTACTCAGGAGGCTGAGGCAGGAGAATCACTTGAACCCGGGAGGTTGCAGTGAGCCGAGATCAGGCCACTCCACTCCAGCCTGGGTAACAGAGTGAGACTCCATCTCAAAAAAAAAAAAAATTAAATAAATAAGTGAGTATCCCTTAAAAAAAAAAAAAGAAGAAGTATGATGATAAACTTGAACTGGAGAAATTTCATTAATTTTGCTCACAAATGATATCATTTGTATTGCAGGGTTGAAGAACATACAAGTTTAATTACATTATTTAATGGTGTGAAAGTCATAAAAAATAATTGTACTTCTGGCAATTAAGACTCCTAATACTGGGCAAGGCAGTTTTTTAAAAAGAAGAACTTACAAGTTATGGATATACTTCTAAGACCATAGAAATCAGTTAATGTATGTAGAAGAGATTGCCTAAAACTATTTCCACAGACTCCCATATTCCCTTCCCAATCCCATTTGGTTACATACAATGAGCTCGCATAAAACTTCTTCCCTGGCTTTCTCTGCCTTGGCTTCAGTCAGCTTGGTCCCAAAGAGTTTCCTCTTTATTATGCTGTCATGTAGTTGTCTTTGCAGTGCCATGTATTTTACCAGGAGCTTTAAAACACTAATTTTCATTTGGTTTCATTTTTATTTAAATTTCAGTGGAAATAATGTTAATCTGGCAACTTTTAAAAACTCTGGGATTTATCTGTGATTATATATTTCAGATTATTATCTCTTAGAACTTTGTCTGATTTAGTGATAAGAGACAGTTCTAAATGAAGATGTAGGCCACCTAGTTTAGAAACAGATGCTTTAATGAGCTATAATTGGAATTCTTGGGATATTCATCAAATTTCATAACTTATTTTTCTAGCATTGCTCCAAGTTCAGGTAATGCATCATCAGATCCAGAAACAGAGACTCAAAAGTGATTCTCAATGAATACCTTTTGCACAATCTGAAATAATTTATCAATGAGATTGCAAATAACCAAACAAAATAATGCTATGATTTCCAAAGCCTTCAGAAGGGCTACTTTTCTTAGACCTAACGTAAAACCAATTACTTTAGGTGGATGTTGTTTTGCAGCCAGTTGCAATTCAAGTAGGAAAAGGATGTGCTAAGGCTCTTTCTTCCCTAAATGGTGTCAGAATTTCACTTTCATCAATCAATCTTCTAGCCCACAGTTTTTTTCATTACTCTCTGAAATTCGGGAAGACATTAATTCATACCCTTGGTGCTCATAGTACTTTCCTTAATCCCCCAGCTGACTAAAACTTTTGTTTCATCTGACACATAGGAGATCAAGTCATCTGAAAGTTATGTCTTAATGGTTATCTGACTTAATAACACATCAAGTAGCTTGTTCTTGAGAGTTCTAAAGCTATGGCACCTCATGTAGTATAATATGTACTATCATCTGTTAGGAAGCTCACTTATTTCTAGCCATGAGTTTTGTGAGGAACCAGAGGCTACTTCATAGATCTTTCAGCTTTTACTGAAAGATTTTTTTAATGCTTTAATTATAGATTTTTTTGCTTTCTTTTAAGCTTATCTAAGCTTTTGTTTTTTAGAAACCGTTGTGTTGATTTTGTGGTAAAAGTGCAACTCAAATCATTATTATCTATCTATGATGTCATAGACAAACAATGTCTATCTTAGTTGACATAGAAGTTCTCTATTTAAATTATTGCCTGAACAATCTTAATTCCATTAGTTTATCTAACATTTTTAAAGTATTGTCTCTGAAGACAACATGCAGAGATATTGTTCAGAAGGAGATGCATGAATATACATTTTAACTAAGAGTTTTCATCAAGTGAGATTCCCTGGGTTCCTCATCTACTTGCTTATGTGGCTGTCTACAAGTCACTTAATTTACCTTAGTCTAACTGCCTTCTGTAAAGTGGGTTGCTATAGTCTTTAAGCCAATATGTATATTACCGTTTTTGTAATAAACAGTATAAATATGAGAAAATTAAACAGATGCAATTTTAGTTTGTGGATGACCAGCTGTATTCCCAAGATTGAAAAGTGATTACAACTTTAAAAAAAAAAAAAAAAACACCTGTGTTTGAGTGCCCCTGGGAAACATAAAACCCTTTTTTTTCCTGAAACTCAGGAGTATTTCATTAATGGCCAGAGATTTTAAGTAACTAGTTTCTCAGCTCCTAACATGTACTATCTTAATAGAAATGTGTTAATTACAAAGAAAGTGTTTATCTTCCTTATATAAAAGAGGTGTTTGTGTGTGTGTGCATGTGTCTGTATGTATATATGTGTTTGTTGTTCCTTAGGCTATTATTCTTAATAGTTCCCACCATATATATATATTTGGGTTTTTTTTTTTTTTTTTAGACGGAGTCTCCCTCTGGCGCCCAGGCTGGAGTGCAGTGGCGCGACCTCGGCTCACTGCAAGCTCCGCCTCTTGGATTCACGCCATTCTCCTGTCTCAGCCTCCCGAGTAGCTGGGCTACAGGCGCCCGCCACCATGCCCGGCTAATTTTTTGTATTTTTTAGTAGAGACGGGGTTTCACCATGTTAGCCAGGATGGTCTCAATCTCCTGACCTCGTGATCCGCCCGCCTCGGCCTCCCAAAGTGCTGGGATATATTTTTTTACCCAGAGCTTTTTTCTTATAAAATTGCTAAAAGTTAGGGGCTTTGGTCCCAAAAGACTGCTTAATTTCACCTTATCAGTAGGGTAATTGGAATAGTTATTGTGTAAGTTATTACTGTCTGATAGTAAGAATGAAGTTTTTCATTTATAATTTAGTGTTATACTGCAAAATAGGGCAACCCTTTCATAAAACCAGGAAATAATGAGAAGTAGTTTTGCTTTTACTGACTTAACCCGGGGGTCTTTGTTAAATAATAGGATTCAAAATGCCTAAGTCACCTGTTCCCGTTAATCTATAATAAAGAAATATTTTATTGCAAAAAATTATTCTCCTAATTATGTAATAAATTCAGGCGTACATGTTTTTGAAAGTTTTACTGTATTAGAGTTGCTTCACTTTGTATTGTTTTTGTTGTTTCCTATGTTGTTATATTTTAAATGACTTTATAAATGTAGTTAAAGCTATTGCCAAAAAAGTGTAAATTTCCGTTTTATGCAATTCTTCTAACGTTTTATTCTGACATTAACATTGTTTGCCAACCTGTTATTCTTTAGCCTGTTCATCCTCTGCAGTCCTCTTCACAGCCTGTTCAGTACTCTACAGCCCCTTACCCATCCCCGTTCCTGCCAGTCTCACCCACCCAGCAATACTCTGTGGTACTATATCTCTATTCACCTCCTGCGTTGTTTCTGTGGGTGGATGTGTGATGAATGCTCAAGAGTGTCATTAATGTAATATGATCTTTTGTGATTTTTTTTGGGTCAGGTTTACATATGTATCTAAACAAAGTATTTCTAATTCATACTAGAAATAATTTATTCCATAAAATATTGGTTATAGTGGCTTATTATGGTGATTGTTTAACCTTTTCCTGCTTTTTCATAACGAAAGAATTTTCAGGTTGATTATTCTAGTCCTAAGATGTTTTAGCAACTTTCTCATTGAGGCCACTGCAGGATCTGTGCTGCCCTGGGATGGCAGCTTTCATCTGGGTTTAGGCATTCTATTTTCTCCCCAACACTGTAGCTCCAGTAGACCCAGTACCAGTTCTTAGGGTGAGTTGTAGCTTACAGCTACAGAGGACTTCTAAGTATATTTTCTAAGAAGATTTCTGGATATTTAATCTGTGACTGTAAAGTAATGATACTTTCTTCTATCCAAAGTATGCCCCAATTTTTATTGGAATAAGAAAATGACTTTTTTCCAAGGTGACTCTGAGAGTGGTATACAATTATGGTACTTCTGTTAACAATATTTGATCATATAACATTGAAATTACAGTTCATAGGTACATTTTTTTTCCTTTTGACACCATTCACTGAATTAGGCTAATAGTGTTAAAGTGTCAAAGTGACAGTTGGGGAAGAGAAAAACCATATATTTTCAATCATTAAATCAGGCATCTCCTTTCAGTCCTTTATCTTCTCCATAGCCGTAATTTACTTTGGAAAATCCAGCAGATCTAGAAACTGCAGACATGTCAACTTTGATATGATGACTCAATTGCCACAATTTTGTAAGTCATTTTTTTCAGTGTTGACCTTTTAACAAAATGTGGTATATTTTATTGCCAGTCTGTGGTTTCTTGGGAACAGGGAGCATTTTAACCCTATATAATCATTTCAGTGATATTTTTCTGGAACAATAAGAGCTGGTCCTTATCCTGTTGAATTAGAGAAATGTTTGTCAGATAGCACATAAATCATAACCCTTGTCTTGGTAGGGCACCATTTAGTAAAAGCATAGGAAACTGTCATTTGAATTACATTTGTCAAATTATCTGACTTCCAGAACAGATTGAAAAACACAAGGGAAGAATGGAATGTATGGCCAAATTATTTTTGAAAGATTAGAGAAAGGACTGTAGTGGATTTTATGTATTTAATTTCTGCAAATAATTTTCGTGGTTAGGGATACAAAAATGCATAGAATTTGCATTTTGCCTTCTAGGAAGAGGGGAGATAGTTTAAAGCAAATACTAATTAGTACCTTGCTCATTGCTTGGTCTTTGAAGTCCTTTCAGAAAATATTAATTGTATAATATGAACTTGGCCAATTTCACTTCTACATTCTAATGTTGCTTTCATCTTCATTTAAATAAATGTCTTCATTTTTTAATGTGAAATGTTGTACCCTACTCTTTTCTGCATGCTGTGCATTCCCACTAGATATATTTTTTAAATAATTTATAATTTATAATATTCAACAATAGAGTTGTCATTTTTTTGAAGCTTTACCCTATTACATAATTGCTGTTGTTGATATATATAATTTCCATAATGTGTACTATTGCATCTTATTTAAAAATAGGAAGTATTTTTCTTTGATAAGTTTGGCCTATGTGTAGAAGGCTTACTAATTTTTGACTTCTTCCTTTTTTAGCAGGATAACCTAGGGTCTCAGTTTAGCCACATGAGTCTTGCTCGCCAGCCATCTGCTGATGGTTCTGACCCTCATGCCGCCATGTTCCAGTCCACTGTGGTTCTTCAGTCTCCACAGCAGTCTGGTTATATCATGACAGCAGCCCCTCCACCACATCCTCCTCCACCGCCACCACCACCACCTCCTCCTCCTCCCCTACCACCTGGGCAGCCAGTCCCTACTGCTGGATATCCTGCCTCTGGTCATCCTGTCAGCCAGCCTGTGCTCCAGCAGCAGGGATATATTCAGCAGCCATCACCACAGGTATATTGCTTTTTAACCTTTTCTTTCTTGTGGAAACCTCTCACTTAAGATCAGTTTTAACTTCAAAGAACTTATTTTTAAATTCTCATGAAGAGAATTTGTGAGAGTATATAAACAAAGCATATACTCATCTTTCCGCCTCTGGAGATTTTCACGCACATGCTAAGCAACCATATGACAGGTAAATGCTCCAGTTGGTTGGTAAAGTATGTGAGCTTTGAGGGGTTTTTTTTCTGAGAGGTATGGGTTTCTAAAAAACTAACCTAAGGGAAACACAATAAAGTGTAAATCCACTGTAAAAGTAAAATGGTAAGACTGGGCACAGTGGCTCACGCCTGTAATCCCAGCACTTTGTGAGGCTGAGGCTGACTCACAAGGCTGGGCTTGAGCCTAGGAGTTGGAGACCAGCCTGGGCAATGTAGCGAAACTTTTGAATATTTAACTAACTTTTAATTTCTGAAACAGACCCCACTTGGTTATGATGTAGTATCCTTCTTATATATTGTGGGATTCAGTTTGCTAATATTTGTTAAAGATTTTTGCATCTATGTTCATGAAGGATATTGGTCTGCAGTTTGCTTGTAATATTTTTGGTTGTACTATCCGGATGGTAGTAGCCTTAAAATGAGTTGGGCATTGTTCCCTCCTCCTTTATTTTCTGATGGTGTTTATGTAGGATTGATGTTATTTCTTCTCGCATGTTTGCCAGAATTCACCAATGAATTCATCTAAAGCTGTAGATTTTTTGCAGGGAAGGTTTTTAAATTACAAATTTAATTTCTTAGTAGATATAAAATGATTCCAGTTCTCTTTTTCTCTTTGGACTAAATTTCATACTTTGTTTCCGTTTCATGTTTCAAATTTGTTGTCATAAAATTGTTCTTAATATCCCCTTATGCTTTTAATGTTTTTAGGATCTTAGTGGTATCCCCTTTTTATTTCTTGGTATTGGTAATTTTGCTCTCTCTTTTTTGTTTTTTATTAATTTAGCCAGTTGATTTATCAAGTCTTTTGATGTTCTTAAAAAAAAAAAAAAACACGGGCCAAACATGGTGGCTTACACTTGCATTCCCAGCCCTTTGGGAGGCTGAGGCAGGCGAATCACTTGAGGTCAGGAGTTCGTGACCAGCCTGGCCAACATGATGAAACCCCTTCTCTACTGAAAATACAAAAATTAGCTGGGCGTGGTGGTGCACGCCTGTAATCCCAACTACTGGAGAGGCTGAGGCAGGAGAATCACTTGAACCTGGCACATGCAGCTTGCAGTGAGCTGAGATTGAGCCACTGCACTCCAGTCTGGGCAACAGAGCAAGACTCCATCTCAAAAAAGAACAAAGGTTTCATTAATTTTTATGATTTTATTTTCAGTGATTTTAGATTTTTCTTCTAATAGAAGTTTTTAATGCTATAAATTTCTTTTTTTCTTTTTTTTTAATGCTGCAAATTTCTAAGCACCATTTTGGTGCTATCCACAAATTTGGATATGTAGTATGTTAGTTATTATTTAGTTTAAAATGTTTTCTCTTTTGAGAGGATTTTTTATGACCCATGACTTACTTAGAAGTATGTTATTTAATTTCCAAATACGTAGGGGCTTTCTAAATACCTTTTGTTATTGATTTCTGTTTTAATTACATGTGGTCAGAGAGCTTACTCTTTTAAGATTTCAGTGTTTTGGGCCGGACACAGTGGCTTATGCCTGTAATCCCAAATGGTGAAACCCCATCTCTAATAAAAATACAAAAATTAGCTGGGTGTGGTGGTGCGCACATGTAATCCTAGCTACTCGGTAGCGTGAGGCAGGAGAATTATTTGAACCCAGTAGGCGGAGGTTGCAGTGAGCCGAGAATTTGTGTTCTAATATTTTAGCGTTATGTGGTTTTTTGTTCAGGGTTCTTTTGTGGGGCAGGGCATTTTGATTTTTTTATTGAAATTCACATAATATAAAATTAATCATTTAACCATTTTTATGTGAACATTTTAGTTGCATTTAGTACATATTCACAGTGTTGTACAACCACCACTTCTGTTTGGTTCCAAAACATTTTCATCACTCTAAAAGGAAACCCCATATCTGTTAGGCAGTTGCTACTTGTTCCTCCATTTCCCAGCCCCTGGCAACCACCAATCTGCTTCTGTCTCCTATGGTTTTACCTATTCTGAATACTTCATATTAATGGAATCAGGCAACATGTTACCTTTTGTGTCTGACTTCATTCATTTAACATAATATTTTCAAAGTTGATCCACATCGTAGCATAGGCACACACACACACAAACACACACACACAGTGGCACACTATTCATACTTAAAATGTATTCACACTTAAAAATCTGTTCACACTATTCATTCTTTCCCTTTTTATCCATTAATTGAAATTTGGAATGTTTTCTTTTGTTGTTGTTGTTGTTGTTGTTGTTGTTGTTGTTGTTGTTGAGACAGAGTCTCTTTGTTGCCCAGGCTGGAATGCAGTGGTGCAATCTCAGCTCACTGCAACCTCCGCCTGCCATGTTCAAGCAATTCTCCTGCCTCAGCCCCCCGAGTAGCTGGGATTACAGGCGTGAGCCACCATGCCCAACTAATTTTTGTATTTTTAGTAGAGACGGGGTTTCACCATGTTGGCCAGGCTGGTCTCAAACTCCTGACCGCAAGTGATCCTCCCGCCTCGGCCTCCCAAAGTGCTGGGATTACAGGCATGAGCCACCGCACCTGGCCAAAATTTGGAATGTTTTCATCTTTTGTTTCTGTAAATAGTGCTGTTTTGAATATGTAGGTACATGTATTTTTTTAATATCTCTTTTCAGTTTTTTGGAGTATGTGTGTATATAAAGTGTGTGTGTGTGTGTGTGTGTGTGTGTGTGTGTGTGTGTTTGTCTTTTTGTTATTGAGCTAAGAGTTCTTTATGTATTCTGGATACTAGACCCTTGTCAGATAAGTGATATGCAATTATTTTCACTCATTCTGTAAAATTGTCTTTTTAGTTTCTTAATAATGTTCTTTGATGGACAAAAGTTTTTTAATTTTGGTAAAGTTCACTTTATCCATTTTTTCTTTTATTGCTTGTGCTTTTGGTGTCATATCTAAGAATTGGTTGTCCTGTCTTTTAAGTGCTTTATGTTTTTAGCTCCTAGGTCATTTATCCATTTTGAGTTAATTTTTGAATATTGGCGTGAGGCAAGAGTTCATCTTCATTCTTTTTCAAGTATATATCTAGTAATTCTAGCATTATTTGTTGAAGATACTTTTCTTTCCCCATTAAATAACCTTGGAATCCTTGTCGAATATCCTTTGACCATAAATGTAAGGGTTTTTTCCTGGGCTCTCACCTTACCCCATTATGTATTTCTGTCCTTTTGCCAGTACTACATTGTTTTGATTGCTGTGGCTTTGTAGTAACTTTTAAAAATGGGAAGAGTGAGTACTCCTACTCTGTTCTTTTTCTTTTTCTTTTTTTTGTTTTTGTTGTTGTTGTTGTTGTTGTTGTTGTTTTTGAGATGGAGTCTTGCTCTGTCACCCAGGCTGGAGTGCAGTGGCGCGATCTCGGCTCACTGCAAGCTCCGCCTCCCAGGTTCACGCCATTCTCCTGCCTCAGCCTCCCGAGTAGCTGGGACTACAGGTGCCCGCCACCACGCCCGGCTAATTTTTTGTATTTTTAGTAGAGACGGGGTTTCACGGTAGTCTCGATCTCCTGACCTCGTGATCCGCCCGCCTCGGCCTCCCAAAGTGCTGGGATTACAGATGTGAGCCACCGCACCTGGCCTACTCTGTTCTTTTTCAAAATTGTTTTTAGTATTTAGGCTCCTTGCAATTCCATATGATTTGAGAATGGGCTTTTCTGTTTCTGCAAAAAAAGACCTTTGGAGTGTTGATAGGTATTGCGTGGAATATGTAGGTCTCTTTGATATTATTGCCATGTTAACAATACTAAGTTTTCCAGTCTTAAATGAGCATGGGATGTTTTTTCGTTTACTCTGGTCATCATTGATTTCATATTCTATTGTTTTGGGATTTGTCCATCTCCCTTTTAAGTTCTATCAGTTTTTTATAGTATTTGAAGCTATATTAAACAATTTATATTTATCATGTCTTCCTGATATATTGACTCATACATACATTTTTCTCTGTCTCTAATAGTATTTCTTGAAACCTATTTTATCTGACATTATAGTGTCATTCTTTTGAGTAACATTTAAATGGTAGATCTTTTTCTATCTTACTTGCAACCCCTATATTTAAAGTGTCTTTCATTTATGGTTATTAGTTGGGTTCTGCCTCTTTATACAGTGATTGGAGTGTCATTAGACCCTTTAAATTTAATATATTTTTGACATGGTATGCCATGTCATACCAGATTCAGGTATGCCACATTGCTATTTTTTTATTTGCCCTATCTGTATTTTATTCTACTTTCCTGCATTTTATATTATTTGAACTTTTTTTTTTTATAATATTGAATGCTTTACGAATTTCCGTGTCATCCTTGTGCAGGGGCCATGCTAATCTTCTCTGTATTGTTCCAATTTTGTCTTTTTAGGTACATCCCCTTGAATTTTCTGAATATGTGTGTTTTTCTAGGGAATGTGTTACGTACCTTTACCTTATCAAAATCTACTTCAAGTTAATATTGAAATTTCAAGTAAAATGTAGCAGCCTTATAACAGTATAATTCCATTTACATTCTCTCCGTCCTTTTGCTGTTGTTGCCATATACATTGCATCTCTATATATTATATACCAAAAATAGTGTTAATAATTTTTGCCTTAAAAGAGATATTGGCAGCCGGGCACAGTGGCTCACGCCTGTAATCCCAGCACTTTGGGAGGCCGAGGCACGCAGATCACTTGAGGTCAGGAGTTCAAGACCAGCCTGGCCAACGTGGCGAAACCCCATCTCTACTAAAAATACAAAAAAAAAATTAGCCGGACCTGGTGGTGGGTGCCTATAATCCCAGCTGCCTTGGGAGGCTGAGGCACAAGAATTGCTTGAACCCGGGCAGCAGAGGTTGCAGTGAGCTGAGATCGTGCCACTGCACTTCTGGGCCACAGAGCAAGATTCCATCTCAATTAAAAAAAGAGAGAGAGATATTGGCTAGGCACAGTGGCTCAAGCTTGTAATCCTAGCACTTTGGGAGGCTGAGATGTACGGATCACTTGAGGTCAGGAGTTCGAAACCAGCCTGGCCAACATGGTGAAATCCCATCTCTACTAAAAATACCAAAAAAAAAAAATTAGCCAGGTGTGGTGGCGGGCACCTGTAATCCCAGCTACTCGGGAGACTGAGGCAGGATAATTGCTTGAACCTGGAAGGTGGAGGTTGCAGTAAGCTGAGATTGCGCCACTTCACTCCAGCCTGGGAGACAGAGCAATACTCTGTCTCAAAAAAAAAAAAAAAAGATACGTTTTTTAATTAAAGGAAAATACCTAAACTCAGGATTTAGATTACTTTCTGATACCTCCAGGAACAGTTAAGGGATCCCATATGTATTGTGTCTATGTTAATGCTTCAAAGACAGGAGATCTACGGTAAACTTGAGTGATTCTTGGCTAAAAACTAACCTAGGAATATTATGCCTGGCTGGTTTTCAGATGAGATGAGCACTCTTTAAAATCTCCACAGATCTCTGTTCTTTTTACAGATAACCCAATCAGAAGAGCAGAATGTGAGTGAGCCCATGACACTGTTAAAGTTAACTTACCCACATACTTCTGTAATACTGGATTAGGTATTTATTCTTCACCCCAAACTAGGTCAGATTAAGAGAACTTCATTACTAATACTAATAGCTCTGGAAGGAAAAATAAATCAAGATGGTCTTGATGGCATTTTAATTTGCATTAGAAATATGGTCATGCATCATTTAATGATAGAGATACATTCTGAGAAATTTATCTCTAGTGGGTTTTGTCATTGTGTGAATGTCACAAAGTGTATTTACACACACCTTGATGGTGTAGCCCTCTACACACCTAGGTTATATGGTATAGCCTACAAGCTACAAACCTATGCAACATGTTACTGTACTAAATACTGTAGGCAATTATATCACAATGGTAAGTATTTGTGCATCTAAATATATGTAAACATAGAAAAGGTACAGTAAAAATATGATATAAAAGTTTTGTGGTTTTTTGTTTTGTTTTTTTCTTTTTTGAGACGGAGTCTCGCTCTGCCGCCAGGCTGGAGTTCAGTGGTATGATCTCAGCTCACCACAACTTCCGCCTCCCTGGTTCAAGTGATTCTTCTGCCTCAGCCCCCCGAGTACCTGAGACTACAAGGCGCGTGCCACCATGCCCGGCTAATTTTTTGTATCTTTAGTAGAGACAGGGTTTCACTTTGCTGGCCAGGCTGATCTCAAACTCCTGACCTCGTGATCTGCCCGCCTCAGCCTTCAGAAGTGCTGGAATTAACAGGTGTGAGCAACTGTGCCCGGCCAAAAGATTTTTTTAAATGGAACACCGATATAGTGCACTTAACCATGTATGCAGCTTGCAGGACTGTAAGTTGTTCTAGGTGAATCAGTGAATGTGAAGGCCTGGGACATTTTACTACTGTAGACTTCATAAACACTCTTAAATTAGGCTACACCTAATTTATTTCATACATTTTTCTTTCTTCAGTAATTAACCTTAGCTTACAGTAACTTTATAAACTTTTTAATTCTTTTCACTTTTTTATTCTTATGTAATAAAACAGCTTAAAACACAAATACACCATACAGCTCTACAAAAATATTTTCTTTATATCCTTATTCTAAAGTCTTCTTTTATGAATTTTTAAATTTTCTTTCTTTTTAATTTTTTTTAATTAAAAACTAAGGTGCAAACATGCATATTAGCCTAGGCCTACGCATTTCAGGATCATCAGCATCATTGTCTTCCACCTCCACATCTTGTCCCTCTAGAAGGTCTTCAGAGGCAGTAACACACGTGGAGCTGTCGTCTCCTATGTGGAGCTGTCATCTCCTATGATAACAATGCCTTCTTCTGAAATACCTCCTGAAAGACCTACCTGAGTCTGTGTGTGTGTGTGTGTGTGTGTGTGTGTGTGTGTGTGTTTGGTTTGGAGTTGTTCTTTGTTTTTTGAGACAGAGTCTCACTTTGTCACCCAGGCTGGAATGCAATGGCACGATCTTGGCTCACTGAAGCCTCGACCTCCCAGATTCAAGCAATTCTCCCACCTCAGCCCCCCAAGTAGCTGGGACTACAGACACGCACATCACACCTGGCTAATTTTTGTATTTTTTGTAGAGATAGGGTTTCACCATGTCGCCCAGGCTGGTCTTGAACTCCTGAGCTCAAGTGATCCACCCACCTGAGCCTCCCCAGAGTGCTAGGATCACAGGTGTGAGCCCCTGCCCCTGGCCCTGAATCTGTTTTGCAGTTTTTAATAAGTAGCAGGACTACATTCTTTTTTTTTTTTTAAGACAGGCTCTTGCCTCTGTCACTCAGGCTGGAGTGCAGTGGTGCAATCACTGCTCACTGCAGCTGTGACCTCCTGGGTTCAAGTAATCCCCAATCTCAGCCCCTGAGTATACAGGACTACAGGCGTGTGCACCTCCACACCTAGCTAATTTTTTAATTTTCAGTAGTGATAGGGTCTCACTATGTGGCCCAGTCAGATCTCAAACTCCTGGGCTCAAGCGATCCTCCCGCCTCAGCCTCCCAAAGTGCTGGGAGTACAGGCGTCAGCTGCCATACCCAGCCCAGAAGGACTACATTCTGAAATAATAGTTAAAAATATTGTAAATACATAAACCAATAACAGCCATTTATTATCATTACCAAGTCTTATTTATATACTGTCTGCTATACTTTTAAACAACTGCTAGCACAGTAGGACTACAGACATGTGAGTGATGTATTGTGCTATGACATCACTGGGTGATAGGAATTTTTCAACTCCTTTATAATCTTAGGGGGCCACCATCATATATGCAATCTATCATTGACCAAAATGTCACTTTGTGATACATGACTGTATGAGAAAAATTAAAGAATGGAACCAGTATAACTGTGCATTAATGTGGGAGTGGATAAAGTAGTTTATACAATGAATGTTGTTTAGCAGTTAAATTGAATGAGCTAGCTGTATATGTTTCAATAAAGAAAGATGTCTCAAAAACAACATGAATTGCAAAATGAATTTCATGAAGTTATATGTAGTTGAGTTTCCCGTATTTGAAAAGCCTGGGACCAGAAGTTTCAGTTTTTTGGTTTTTTTTGGGGGGGATTTTGGAATATTTGCATATATACAATGAGATATCTTGGGATAGGGCCCAAAGTCTAAAACCAAGTTCACTTCTGTTTCATATACATCTTATACACATAGCCTTAAGGTAATATAAGCCATATTTTAAATAATTTCATGCATGATGTAAAGTTTTGACTGTAACCTGTCACATGAGGTCAGGTGTGGAGTTTCTTTTTGAGTACTGACATGACATGATGCTTTTGGCATCATGTTGGTACTCAGAAAGTTAAAGATTTTGGAGCATTTCAGATTTTGGACATTTGGATTTTTAAAATACTCGCCCAGGCTCAGTGGCTCATGCCTGTAATCCCAGCACTTTGGGAGGCTGAAGTGGGCGGATCAGTTGAGGTCAGGAGTTTGAGACCAGCCTGGCCAACGTGGTGAAACCCCATCTCTACTGAAAATACAAAAATTAGCTGGGCATGGTGGCACATGCCTGTAATCTCAGCTACTTGGGAGGCTGAGGCAGGAGAATCATTTGAACCTGGGAGGCAGAGGTTGCAGTGAGCCAAGATGGCAGCACTACACTCCAACCTGGGCGACAGAATGAGACTCCACCTCAAAAAAAAAAAAAACCTAAAAATAAATAAAATAATACATGTATGGATAATAGATATATAGTAAATAGATATATACTGTATAGTAAAATCACCAACTACAGAATAATGGCTTCTATGGAAGTTAGAGTAAAGGAAATAGGGTGAGTCTTTAGCTAATTCAGTAGTGTTTGGTTTTGTAAGAGAGAGAGCTGAAGCAAATATGGCAAAAAAATTAAAATCTAAATATGATTGATGACACATTAGTTATATTTTTATGCATACTTTGTTTGAATTTTTTTTAAATTTCAGTTAAATTTAAGAAAAATCAGTTTTCCAATGATTAGTGCTAAAAAGAATTATTACTCATTAAACTCTGATCTTCCTCACAGAAAAACATATGTAATGCAAGTAAAATTGATTTTTTCCCGCAATATTTATGATCCTAGATGCCAGCCTGTTATTGCGCTCCAGGCCACTATCACTCCAGCCAACCTCAGTATCGCCCAGTCCCTTCTGTTCATTACAATTCACATCTAAACCAACCACTGCCACAACCTGCGCAGCAGACAGGTGAGTTGTGTTTCTTATGTCATAACTTCTGAGCCACACTTTTTTCCATCTTCTATTTCAGTGTTGCTCTTAAGATAGTACCTACTCAGTCTCTCAGGATCTCGAATATGTTCATACATATGAGTTTGCAAACCAATGAGATTAAAAGAGTGAGCAAATCTTAGCATCCTCTGGAAAATACCACAGTGTCACGTCTACATGCTAAAGGGTTGGGAGCTGTACTGGGAATATCTTAAGCAGTTTGTTAAGTGGCTGCCATCTCTTACTGCCATTGAGATTGAAACTGTCTTTGCAGCCTGATAAATCACCTATGGTAACAGCAAAAGAGAGGCAAGGCGAGGCAAGGTGACTTATGAATGGCTAACCAGAAGCAAAGATCAAAACCACCTAACTTGGATTGAGAACCCTAGTCTAGGGATGATATTTTGATCTCTTAGTAGGCATGCCTTTAAAAGAAATGATGTACTTAGCATATTTTCTGTGTTTTGCTTTTCAGTTTATTGATTGATAGTGAAAAGTATTTTTAAACCAAATACAATCTAAGGCCACTTAAATGAAATTTATTAAAACTCAGCATTGTTTTTGTTTTAGCACTTTGCAGATTTTCTTCAAGCATTCAGTGAAAACAATTTTGATCTCAGTGTATAAAACTATCTTATTGATTTTTTAATGAACTCATTTCTCTGTATGCTTCTCACCTAGATGTGTACTTCCCAGATGTTTAATAAGGTATTTATTCAGCCTTTTATAACTCTAGGAGTTGAAGTGGAATTTTATCATTGGTTTCTTTAGAGCTTTCTTAACTGCTTATCACTATTGGAGGCTCCCTGACTATGTGAGTGTGACTCACTGAGGAACCCATAACCTCCACCTCCACTGAGGCTGTTTACTGCTCTTGATATTGTGTGAAACTCGTCAGGGTTACCACCAGTTTAGGAGAAGCATCTCTGCACTGGCCCATCTGATGAATAGTAGTCATACTTCTCTTTATTGTTGCAGTCTTCAGTGATCATGATTCACTAACTTTCTGTGCTAGATATAGTTCATGCTTAGCATAGCCATGCAGGATAACTTCCAGGTCCTTAATCTGTTACCCTTAGGAGTTGTCTCGTTGTTAGTTTACAGGTTCTCCCCTTTTTAGTATGTTACTAGCCTTGTATTGTACATGTGACAAATGTTCTTCCAAAGAACATTGAATACAAACATTGGTCATTTTAGCCAAGTTAGAATTTTAGTTCCAAGCTACCTAAAATTTAATAACACAGTCCACGTCAAATAATGTAAACTAGTATATGATATAATTTCAAAAGGTATCAAAAGTTATTCTCTATTCGTGGGAACATTGGTTGTGGTACTGCTCATTAGCTTTATATACACTGGTGTTTTATTCAGAAACAATTTTCTGAATTTTTCTGGACCTCAAGTAATAGAATTTTCATATTGTTTTTTCTTGATTTTTTTCTTCCAAAATTATAACACAGACTGTAGCTGATGCCATAATAAAGAAATGTACCTTCATGCTACTCATTTAAATATCCTTGCGTGTGACTAATTAACTTAATTCATTAGTACACTCTATTAATAAGGCAAGCAAAAATCCTTTGTTCTGTGTTTGTGTTAGCTTACTAATTTTGTTCTTCAACATGGCAAAATTTTTATCCCTGTCCATGGTCAAACTGCCTATAAAATCACTTTCAATCACAGGTTGGGACTAGTGTGCTAGTATATATGCCTCTCTGCCAAAAAAAAAAAAAAAAAAAAATATGACACTTAATAGAATTCAACTAAATATGCCTGATTGGAGGTGAAAACATCTATGTGACAGATAGCATGTGTTTATCATTGGTCATATTTTTAACTATGGGGTTTTCTCTGATGCTAGTTATGATGAGAAGGAGGAAACAATAAATCAGGTTGCATCTGGATAGTGCTACAGGCACAAAAAAGAGAATCATGTCTTTGAAAAATGTTTGACATTGTGTTTGACTCTTATGAGTCAGTCATAATATAACACTTTATAAAAGCTAGACTTGTCCTTTCAGCTGTTTTATATAGTATCCTCTTAACTTACAGCTTAAGTTAGTTGACTCATTCAGTTTGAAGAATAAAAGGAATAAATCCTCAAAGCATTCTTATCTAAAAGAGAAAGGAATTTTGTTATGCTAATAAGTATCATAGAAAATTTTCCTTTAAAGAAAAGTTCAGCAGGGCCAGTGCCAACTGTTGTGTTGGTAATTGTATTGAACCTTTTCATAGAATTAGTGGGGATTTGAACTCTTTTTTAAAAGTTATAATCTAAAGACTTTTTTATAGTTAGCTCATCATTAATTTTTATGTCAAAACTTGCAGAAGGCCAGGCACGGTGGCTCACACCTGTAATCCCACCACTCTGGGAGGCCAAGGCGGGTGGATCACCTGAGGTCAGGAATTTCAGACCAGCCTGGCCAACATTGTGAAACCCTGTGTCTACTTTAAAAATACACAAAAAAAATTAGCCGGGCATGGTGGCGCACACCTGTAATACCAGCTACTCGGGAGGCTGAGGCAGGAGAATCGTTTGAACCTAGGAGGCGGAGGTTCCAGTGAGCTGAGATGGCGCCACTGCACTCCAGCCTGGGCAACAGAGTGAGACTGTCTCAAAAAAAAAAAAAAAAAACTTAACAGAAAAGTGTGCATTTATGTTTGTATGTGCCCTAGTGTAGAAAAGTAAAATGTACTGGGAAATTAACATGATAGTTTATTGTTTTTGAGTTTTTTTACAGGTATATAGCAATTACTGTCTCATAATTTACATTTTTATATGGAAACATACTTCTGGGTTTCCTTTTGGTTTTTATTTTCTTACCTCTCTACATTCTACTATCCCAATCTGATTAAAAATGAGAAATACTTTTTCATATCTCTTATATTTGTATTTCTTGTCAAACAACACTTGCTTACCCCACAGTGTCAAGAAGCATGTTTTTTTTTAATTACATAAAAGGGTGAAACTAATTATTCAACCAAATAATGAAAACACTAGTAGACTTGGAGCAATTTTTTTTCACTGTGGCACAAGTAATGTTTAAAAGTTTGTATTTGAACTTAAAGAAATTTTGCCCTAAATTAACAAGCCCAACTGAG
This sequence comes from Homo sapiens, assembly GCF_000001405.40. Classification (NCBI taxonomy): domain Eukaryota; kingdom Metazoa; phylum Chordata; class Mammalia; order Primates; family Hominidae; genus Homo; species Homo sapiens. The sequence goes on from NC_000002.12 coordinate 135,664,517, forward strand.
CAAAGTATTTTTAGACCAGATAGGGTATGGGCAGTAGAAATACAGGATCTTTCATTATTTTTCCTTTGGTGGATAGGGAGGAGGATGGGGAAATATCTCAAGGATAAAATGCTCTAGGTCTTTTATCCATGTGTCCCAGTGGACCACAACTGAAATCAGGACTAACATTACTGCTGGGGAAATGAATGTACTAGTCTTTTGTTATGAATGTGAAACTACTGAACTGTTCATTCAAAACAAGGTTGAGTAAACCCCTGTCAACAGAAACAGAAGAAACCCTGGCTACACACATAAGACTTTCTGAACAATGCACTGTATAATGGGAAAGAACAACAAAATAAAAGTCAGAATCCTGATGGCCCTTAGTCATTTGTAACTGGTGTTAGGCATATCACTTAAAGCCACTGAGTTTCAGTTGGACTCATTTGCAAAGTATGGAATTTTTACTGTGTTGTCTGTTGAAGCCTCTGTGTACTGTAAAACTCCATAATTCTTTGTGTCTCATGTGAGTCATTTCTAGTTCTAAAAGGTAGAATAATAGAGAATTGGTTTGTAACAGCTTGGCAACCAACTGTCAATAACTGGAGTCAATGAAAGCAACTATTTCAAAAGATCAGATTACTTACCAGTTTCACTAATAAAGATTTATTACTTTAAACCTTTATCATAAAATGTATGCTTTGAATACTGTGAAGTACACTGCATATAAGGAGTGTGGTATAGTATAAAGAAACTTTCTGCAGGTAGTAATTATAGTGAAGATTTTAGGTTTACAAAGCCCTAGCTGTTTTCTGTGTAGCTTTTATTATTCTTATGACTCTTGACAAGTTTGTAGCTTCACCATATACATTTAATATTTTGCAATAATTGGCCTTGTTCCTGAGCTGTTGGATTCGGGGCCGTAGCACTGTCTGAGAGGTTTACATTTCTCACAGTGAACCGGTCTCTTTTTCAGCTGCTTCCTGGCTTCTTTTTACTCAGGTTTCCACTGCTTTTTTGCTTTTTTTAATGCTGTATGAAGGTGTTAACATTTGTTTATATTTTTCATTAATTGTAATACCTTTAAATCATGCATCATACTCAGAAATAGGGATTAGAATTTAAGTGACATCTTTGGCCTAATATAATTTACCTGTTAAAAATTTGTGAAAGCTATTGCTTATTTCTTTTCCAAAGTAGATTTGGATGACAAATTCAGTTTGGTTTTGAGCTTATCTAAAAAGCTTAATGTTTTAAGCATACCAAACTCATTAGCAGAAGTCAAATATGTCTCTCCCTATTGCTACACAACTTTTTAGGGATATTGTTATATATGAAAGCATGACATCAAACGGACCTAATACACCTAAATGCATTTGAAGCTACTTGGTCTCGGTTCTTACCAACGATATAATTTAATTTTTTTTTCCAAACGATGATGTTGTTGCATACCTGTGGAAAGCAAAATGATTCTGTGAAACTATACTTTTAGTTTTGCAACCATTTGATAACTTCAAAGATTATCAATGTATTATATCTTTAGTCTTAGCTTTCCAGATAACCCAGAATCATATGGTTCCAAGTTGATTAAGCTTTGTTACCAGCAGACTATGGTAGGATCCTGATGAACGACACTATGGAAGAAACTTGTTAGGATAAACAGTCTTCAATGTGTGCATATTGTTGACAGAATTTGAAGGCACAAATTTAAGAGTAACTAGGGTGTAAAAGGCGAGCAAAGAAAAGTCAGCACTACTGGGTAAGCAGGTGAGGGGGCTTATTGATAGGAGAGTCGGCTATGTCAAATAGGGACTCAAGGCACAAAGTCAATTTCTTTACTGACAACTTTCAATCCAAGTAATAGGAATTTTGTATTTGTAAATTACTAGGTAGTGGCTCTGGCTATTCTTGTTTTTTCATTGATTTCTGTGAGCATTTCTTAGTATGTATTGTGTGATTCAGCATAGATTCAGACATTGTATAATACCTACAAATCCACCTATTTCCCTTTTCCCTTCTCCATTAACCTGCCGCCACTGAAATCTGGAGCCAAATATATCTGGTAAGTACCCACAGATTTCCTTGAGTTGTATAGACTCTTCCATGGAATAGTTCTTTAAATAGCTGTGAGCAATAAACTCTGTGTGACTGTTTTTGTTAGAATTGGTTTTTGTATATGTATATGTTTATTTCAGGCACAGGAGTGAGAGAAGAGGGGATGAGAGATGAGAAGGGATAATCAAGTGTGATGGCAATTGCATCTCCTTCCAAATACACCCATGGGGCTGGCTTTAGTTGAACTTGCCCACCTACTAAAATAGTGCCACAGACAGAAGCCCAAGATTATAAGCTTGAGGTTTTAACAATTTGGTCTTGTAGATGCCTAGTTACAAATAAATTTGGCTTTAGTAAAATGGCTCATCTTTAAAAAAAAAAAAAAAGAAAACTACCTTCACAGTGCTTCTATTGTACAAGCACAGTCTGGAAAAAAAATTAATAGGTACTATTAAGTGAAATAACCTTAGATTCATGGGTATTCTAAGCATTTCTTTAATACTTTTTGTAATTTTTCTGATTATTTCTGTGTTATTAAGAATGCTTTCCTTTAGAACAAATGCTAGTTCAGATCACCTATATAAAATAAAATCAGCCTGTTAATGCCTGTTCAATACTTTTGTGCTGAGCACTGCATTTCCTTCCTGCTCTCTTCTTGGTTAAAGTGAGAGTTAAAAATAGAACATTCTGTGGAGCCCTCCAGGGAAGTTCCTGAACCATCAGTTTATATTGTCCTAGTTCTCTTAGCTTGCAGAATTGATTGTGCTTTCCTCTGAAAGTGCTGAAAGAAATGGGATAATATTGCAACAGTGCAGTCCTTTAACAAAACAGAATGGTAGTGTTTTAAAAAAAAAAATCTATGTTGAGATCTGGATATTTATTTTGTTGTTTGGTATCACTTACTATTGGCATTTCTTACTTTACAAAATAGAGGCTTTCCCACAATATTGACGTAAATTCCTATAAAAGATATAGTGTTTTCCTCTACTTTCCAGATTAAATTCAGATGTATCACAGGAAGAATTTTTTTTAATTCTAATATACTAAAATATACTTTTTAGTGAAGAAAGAATAATTTATGTGGTAGCCAAGTTGGAGTCGGGATACTGGAAATACTCTTCTTGTAGCATTTTTGAAACCTGTTGATACTTTTCATTCTCTAGAAATCTACTTCTCCTTCCTAATCCTCAGCCTTCTCCCTCTTTTCCAGATCATTGGATTTTTCTTTCTCAAACTTGGCAGTCTTCAAACTATACTTTTGACACTATGAGAACTCTGTACCCACTCTTGCTTTTGTCTGAATAATTAGACAAGGAACCTAACCTACAATGCCACTTCTCTAGGTGTCACTCTGTAACGGTTCATGCCCAGCAGTCTGAAATTTCTTTGTTTAAACAAAAGTTCAGAGGAATTCATGAGCAACTTGAACAGTTCAAGATGTAAATTTTATTAAGCAAATGTACATAATGTGAGGCATACCTGTAATTAAATGATCCTTTATTTTATGTTAACAATTATTTTATTAATGATTTTGTCTTACATAGGCAAGAGTAAGGTTCTTATCTTTGATTGGATTAGGAGAATGATGTGGGCTTTTTTGTTTTTAGTGCTTTCCAGCTGAGTATTTCTAGTTTTGCTTGTGATTATAGTAATTTTAACCAACATAGATCCCAGTTTTATTTTCTTTTTCATTGGAACAAATGTTAGCCTGTTAATGCCTGTTGAGTACTTTTCTGCTAAGCACTGCATTAGAAAAAGACCAATAATCTTTTAGTAATCTTTAATGTTCTGCTCTTTAGAGAATATAATTCAAAATTATATACTTTTTAGCCAGTTGCTGTGTTGTATGTTATAATTATTAGAATGAGTGATAAAACATTTCATCATGATTTCTGGAAAAAACATTCATATTCCTGTCCTAATGCCAGTCGAATTTCCCTTCTGGGGTACCGATCATTCTGAGCATCAAATGTTAAATGACAATTTTAGTTGTGTTAGTTTAGAACAGTTCTTCAGACCCTGATGGCTTTCTACCCAGTGTAGTTTAAACCTGGTGAATTTTCCTGCCTTGGATGTAAAAATGAATGAAATGCTACTCAGTGGATGGAAAAAAGTCATTGCTTCACAGAACTTCAAGACTTCGCCCATAAAACGTAGCAGCTCTCCTTGCACAAAATGTGTCCAGGTTAAAGCTGGCACTGCCCTGCTGAGTAAAGTCTGACTTCTTGGCAAAGCAGCCTGACTTTGTGGAGAAGACAGCCAGTATCTATGAAAACTCTGCTAGACTAATCTTGTATAGACTCATCTGGAATGTGGCAACAGACTTTTTGAGCAAAAGCAGCCTCCGAGGCAAAACAGCAAAACTAAAGCCCAAAGGGAACATTGGAGATTCACTTGGAAATACTCAGGCTGAGAGACAGAACTGTGGGATGTGGAACCTGAAATAGTGTCACTATTTGAGCCAGTTCTTCTCCTTCCCAATTGTCTTTTGTTATGTTTTAATATTTTTAGAGATGGAGTCTCACTGTTTTGCCTAGACTGGAGTGCAGTGGCCCTTCCTAATTGTTTAATACAATTTATGCGTATAATCTAATTATAGTAAGGCAAGGAAGTGTAACTTTGAAATACATCAGTAGTAAACCACGCATCTTGCGGGTAGTGGACAAACCAAGGGAAGGACTGTTCCTCCCACAGAGAGGACATTGTGGGCTAATCATATGCTTATTTACACCTGCTCTTTTTTAAAGCCCCCAAGTTCATGTGGCTACCATCTGAACTAACTACCCAAAAATTTTCACTCTGATTCCTATTTTGAATAACATGCTTATACTCACCAATAAATCTTTAGTTCAAATGAACGAAAAGTTTCCTTGTTGATTGACATTATTTCCAGTAATTATCTGTTTTCCTGTAATTAAGTTTATCTTGAGACTTAGGTATGTTAAGCTACAGTAAAGTCTTCATTAACCAAAATTATCAGAAAATGAAGCAAGGCCAGGTTCTGCTTATTTGAACAATATTACTGTAATACTTTTTCTTCTTCAACATGTGTTCCTCAAAAAAGTAAATTTTAGAATCAGACAGCTGTGTGCAGCTCTCAGCTACACATTTGATAGCTGTTGATCATAGAGAAGGTATGAACCTCTCTGTGCCTTTTGTTTCCTCAGCTGAAAAACAGGGATAATAATTGTATCTATTTCATAAGATTGTGAACACTAAATGAGTTAACATATGTAAAGTACTCAGAACAGTGCCTGAAACTTAATAAATATCATTTGAGGCTTAGGTATTAAGATTAGCTTGTGTGACTGGGCGCAGTGGCTCACCCCTGTAATCCCAGCACTTCGGGAGACTGAGGTGGTCCAATCACCTGGTGTCAGGAGTTCAAGACCAGCCTGGCCAACATGGTGAAACCCCATCTCTATTAAATATACAAATATTAGCTGGGTATGCTGGCACGCACCTGTAATCCCAGCTCCTTGGGCAAGAGAAGCACTTGAACCCAGGGGGTTGAGGTGGCCATAAGCCGAGATTGCACCGCTGCACTCCAGCCTGGGCGACAGAGCAGACAGAGCAAGACTCAGTCTCAAAAAAAAAAAAAAAAAAAACCAACAAAAAAGATTAGCTTGTGGTATCATTGAAGCAAAGATAATTATATTTTAAATGAAAATTTAAATTTAAAATGAAAATATAATTTTAAATTATATTTTAAGTGAAAAGACAGGGATTTGGGGCCAAATTCTAGAGCAGACACAGGAAGCTGACAGAGTTTGCTCTAAAATGTTTATATTTTTTGTCCTTTTAGCTACTCAACACATGCCTTCATCCTGAAAGTACAGTAAAGATCAGTTGAGTTGTTTGATGTTAAACTTGAGGTCTAAATATGTTTTGAAGAAAATTACTTAAATACTTTCTTCCCATACATTGTACAATTTCTATTGATAAGATGTGGAAGCATTATATGAAAAAAGATTTTGAAATAGTCTGTGTCATATAACCCCATTTCTATAAATAATGAAAATGAATATATATGTTGCCCTCTGCATGGAAAATTAGGCTAGCCACATATAAAAATGTAAATGGGGAGTATCTATAAGTGATTATTTTCCCATATAGACTTTTTCTATGTTTGTATTTTTTTCCAAATTTTCTACTATAAAAGTCTTTTTTATGCTCTATAAGGTTTTTATAAAAGATATTAAGTCTACATTTTTAAAAATATTCAGGCCAGGTGCCGTGGCACACCCCTATAATCTCAGCACTTTGGGAGGCCAACAGGGGCGGTTCACTCTGAGCTCAGGAGTTCAAGACCAGCCTGGGCAACATGGCGAAACCCTGAATCTACTAAAAATACAAAAATTAGCTAGGTGAGGTGGCGCGCACCTGCAATTCCAGTTACTCAGGAGGCTAAAACAGGAGAGTCGTTTGACCCAGGAGGCAGAGTTTGCAGTGAGGTGAGATTGCGCCACTGCATTCTGTCCTGGGCGATAGGGTAGGACTCTGTCTCAAAAAATAATAGTAAGTAAATAAATTAAAAGTAAAAATATTCAAATAATACCTTCATTACAAACTTTACATACTAGATATAAAGTTAAACAGTTTGTATTCTTTCTTTGAGTTCTTCCTAAGCACTTTGAGGCTAACTATATGGAATCTGTGATTTAGCTGCTGTACAGTTTTCTAGGAGAGACTTAATGAGTGATCTAGAAATTCCAGTCTGATGTGATTTGTATTCGTGGGAGTGTCATTTTAATGAAAAGGTGATTAAATGTGTTTAATCTTGTAAACCAGTGTTACGTTAAAATTTATTTTTTTAATTTTAATTTTAATTTTTTTAAGATGGAGTTTCGCTCTTGTCGCCCAGGCTGGAGTGCAATGGCGCGATCTCAGCTCACTGCAACCTCTGCCTCCTAGGTTCAAGTGATTCTCCTGCCTCAGCCTCCCAAGTAGCTGGGATTACAGGTATGCGCCACCACGCCTGGCTAATTTTGTATTTGTAGTGGAGATGGGGTTTCACTATGTTGGTCAGGCTGGTCTTGAACTCCTGACGTCAGGTGATCTACCCACCTCGGCCTCCCAAAGTGCTGGGATTACAGGTGTGAACCACCGCGCTGGCCCAATGTTACCTAAAAATTTAAATTCAGGTTGGGCGCCATGGCTCATGCCTATAATCGCAGCACTTTAGGAGGCCGAGGCGGGCAGATCACCTGAAGTCAGGAGTTTGAGACCAGCCTGGCCAACATGGTGAAACCCTGTCTATACTAAAAATACAAAAATTAGCCAGGCATGGTGGCACACGCCTGTAATTCCAGCTACTCGGCAGGCTGAGGTATGAGAATTACTTAAACCCAGGAGGTGGAGGTTGCGGTGAGCCAAGATGGTGCCACTGCACTCCAACCTGGCCGATAGAGTGAGACTCTGTCTCAAAAAAAAAAAAGGCATACGCAAACCATGAGAGAACAACTAACCAGAAATGTTTATGTTACCTGTAGAGTTTTATGAGATGTGGCATAAGAGAATGGACAAAATCGTAAAGGGATTAATAATTAAGATAGATTCTTAGCGAAGGCATTTTTTTAAGTGCTTGGCATCATTATTTTTAATAGCTCCACTGTGTTCAAAAACTCAATCCTAGCTTATTTATGCTACTTCTGAATGAAGTCCTAAGATATTAGTGTTTTTTCTCCTTTCACAGTCTTTAAAATCTAGAACTTCCTGGTAGTTCTTATCACTCTTCTATGTGTAAAACCTTTGCTTCTTCACCAGTATTCTGTTGTACCTTCATCTTCCACTTATCACTTCACATACCATATTCATTCATTCATGACTATTCCCCATTAAAACATATTAACTGTCTTACTTTTTCCAAACCTTTTATTTTTGCTGGAATGAGCTTTTCCTTTAAGTCCAAGCCCAAATGTCACTACCTTTATAAATATCAGTCAGGACTAATTTCTTCCTCTTTTTTTCATAAGACTCTATTTATACTGCTATCCTCATACGGTATGGTGGCTAAAACTGCCTAATTTCAAAGATAGGGACCATGTCATATCTATCTTTATCTAACCCAGATGGTGTCCTTTTTACTACTATTTGTAACAAATGACTAGATGCTGAGATCAACTGTTTTATATTTCATGTCAAATTTTCAAAATGTACGTGGTGTTTGTAAGAGAGTGCGTGTGTTTGTGTGTGTGCTTGTGTGTGTGTGTGTGGCAATTAGTGGGCATGGATATTAATGGAGATTAGGCTGCTTTAAAGAATAAGATACCAGGCCAGCCACGGTAGCTCTCGCCTGTAATCCCAGCACTTTGGGAGGCTGAGGTGGGCGGATCACCTGAAGTCTGGAGTTCAGGACCAGCCTGTCCAACATGGTGAAACCCCCATCTCTACTAAAAATACAAAAATTAGCCAGACATGGCAGTGCGCGCCTGTAGCCCCAGCTACTGGGGAGGCTGAGGCAAGAGAATCGCTTGAACCCAGTAGGTGGTGGTTGCAGTGAGCCAAGATTGCACCACTGCACTCCAGCCTGAGCGATAGAGACTGCATCTGAAAACAAACAAACAAAAAGAATAAGATACCATTGGAAATTTACTCATGCAGCTTTCATGATGTAACCAGGCATGGTGGTGCACACCCGTAGTCCTAGCTCCTCAGGAGGCTAAGGTGGGGAGGATTCATTGAGATGAGGAGCTCGAGGGTACAGTGAAACAAAAATTCTGCCAAGTCTGTCATAAGAAGTTATTATTCCAGTCTATACAGAACCCAAATTCTGATGCTGCAATAGACGTGTATGTGTTGAGGTGGCATTTCCAACACAAAAAAAGGTCTCATGTTCACATTTCATTTCCATTCCTGTGTTATTTTTTAAGGGTGGAAATTTGTCATTGTATGTTTTAATGGTGTTTGGAATTTGGGGTATAAATTTGAAATACTTGTCATTTGATGAACTGAAAATAGTGTTAAATGTTAATTGTTAGATTAAAAAGGAAGAAGTTTATTCTGTTCTCTGCCTTTACCTGCCTGTAAGTTTAAGTAGTATAGGAAATTCACAAGGAATAAAGGTTTAGAAAACAGCATATTATCAATCACTTTATTACAGATGAGAACTAGAATACACAGTATTCTGTTTTTACAAAGTTAGACTGGTGAGAAGGAAGTCATTGGAAACATGGCCATAAAGTAGTTTTGCCATAGAAATAACATCATTTTACAAAAACCCTTCACTGTTAAGGGATTCACTATAACTGAATTTTTACTTTGGTTTTGGTTTTTTTCTGTGTTTTTGGTTTTTTGTTTGGTTGGTTGGTTGGTTTTGTTTGTTTGTTTTTTGAGACAAGGGTCTTGCGCTGTCGCTTAGGCTGGAGTGCAGTGGCACTATCTTGTATTTTTTTGTGGAGACAAGATTTGGCCATGTTGCCCAGGCTGGTCTCAAACTCCTGAGCTTACCCACTTCCATCCACCCAATCCATCCATCTCCCAAAGTGCTGGGATCATAGGTGTAAGCCACCACACCTGGCCAAGATTTTTAGTTTCTTAATTTTAATGTGTTGCTTTGTTACTGGATATACCTTGTGGTTATATTTTTAAAGAAGATAGATGCTAGATTTTATTCAATTATTTAGTCCCTGAGCAGAATTATTAAGGCTACCAGACAACTACAGTGATGCTGCTGTCTATAATCAATACTTGAAATTGCCATGTCTGTTGCTTTAGGAATTAGTGAGGATATAAATGAAAACTGATAACAAAATGTATTTATGGTATTATCAGGGAAACAATTTCATTGCCCTTTAGCTGTTAAAGTCTGTATAGGTGGTATTCTAGTTCAGTTCATCTTTGTAAAAACTTTTCAGTACTCTGAAGCTAGATGATTATTTTTATCTAGTTCTTTAAAAAATAAAAAACTTTGTGGGTAGCATCTAGTAATTTACATGAGTCTTTAGCTAATTAGTATACCTAAAAGAATCCTCTTAGGATCAGGAGACAAAATACAATTCGTATTCTCTACTTAGAGCTTATCATTGTAGATTCTTGTTAAGTAAATAAGTTTACTTGATAAAAGTAAATTTGTGCACTTAACTTACCACTTAAATTACCAACATTCAGTTTAGGTGTTTGCTTTGTGACCTTGAGCAGATTACTTGAGTTGTTTAATGATTTGTCAAGTGACCTTAATCATACAATGAAGAAATAATCTAAAAAATTACAGTATAACTCCATTTGCCTGTGTCTTTGACACATTCAAAAGTGGCTCTCTCCCCTGCCTTTTTTTTTTAATCCCCAGCAGGGACAGTTTCATGGGAATGGAACCTCTGCAGATGCATAGAGCCCCATGCTTGTGTTAATATTCTGTTGTTACCAACTTGAAATTCTTAATAGTTGTTGTTTTTTTTTTTTTTTAACAAAGGGCCCTACATATTTTCCATTTACTCTGGGCTCATGTTATGTAGCAACTCCTGGTCCTGAGAAACTAGTTATCATAATCGATTGTAATATGCCCTGAATAGTAATTGTCCTATGTTATCTAAGTGTGTGACCCTATAATCTTTGCAATTGTAGAAGAAATCTTTGTAGGCAGATTTTATTTCAATATATTTTAGTGAGGGAATGTAGGTAACTTGGGCTAAAATGTTATTTCATAATAGATGGTTTTAGGGGCTTACCATTTAATCAAAATTTTATCATTTTAGAGCATAAAAGTACTCGCTTAAATTTTTTTTTAAATCTTACTAGATGAAATGAATTCAGAGCAGGATTTAACTCATTGTACCATTACAGGTTATCAAGTTATACCCAACCAGCAGCAAAACTACCAAGGAATAGTTGGAGTTCAGCAACCCCAGAGTCAGAGCCTAGTCAGTGGCCAACCCAACAGCATTGGAAATCAGATTCAAGGAGTGGTCATCCCCTATACTTCAGTGCCAACATATCAGGTATATTGTCTCTTTTATGTACTTTGGGTAGAGATGATTTCGAATAAATTAAGTGCACAACTACAATACATCTTCTATGCTCTCCTTTTAATACAGGAAAAACATTTCTGTAATATACAACCTTTTAATACAGGAAAAACACTTCTGTAATATACAACTTTATAGTCAAGAGTTTTATTAGTCGTAGAAGCTTGGTTTTATCCTCATTTTATTGCATTATTCATTTATTAATGTTTAGGATCTGAAACACATTGATATTGGCAAGTTAATATTGTCTAGCATTGTCTTATGTTTCCAGCAATATAGGTAGATGAGCAAATGTCTTATTCTATTCCTCAGCTCTTTAGAAAGTCCTCATTGCTGGGAGAGAGGAATAGGAGGGAAAATAGAGGTTAGTGGTAGATATTTGAAATAGTGAGATACAGTATAGACCATGAATCCGTAGTTGTAGAATAGGGAAGTATGTGCAGTTTCCTGTGCTGTGACTGATTTTTTTCCTTCCTCTCCATCCCAAAAAGCGATGATATGTCTCATATTTTAAATTGTTGTAGATATTAGGCCAGGCACAGTGGCTCACACCTGTAATGTCAGCATTTCAAGAGGCCTAGGCAGGCAGATTACTTGAGATCAAGAGTTCCAGGTCAGCCTGGCCAACATTGTGAAACCCTGTTTCTACTAAAAACACAAAAAATAGCTAGGCAAGGTGGCGGGGCCTATAATTCCAGCTACTCGGGAAGCTGAGGCAGGAGAATTGCTTAAACCCAGGAAGTGGAAGTTGCAGTGAGTCACCACTGCACTCCAGCCTGGGCAACAGGCAGACTCCATCTCAAAAATAAAAACAAAATGTTACAGATTTTAATTTATAGTTCTAAAGCAGAAATACCTATTATTTGATGAATAAGCACGTGTCTTCAATATAATATGACACATTTTTCAAAAATTTGTTTTACCTTTATATTTATGGAGTAACTTGCAAGAGGGTTTATTTTATTAGCCTCATTGTTTTTCATAGCTGAGTCTGATTTTAAGAACTCCAGGCCAGGGCCAGGTGCAGTGGCTCGTGCCTGTAATCCTAACACTTTGAGAGGCCAAGGTGGGTGGATCACTTGAGGTCAAGAGTTCGAGACCATCCTGGCCAACATAGTGAAACCCCATTTCTTTGAAAAATACAAAAATTAGCCAGGCATGTTGGAAGGCACCTGTAATGTCAGCTACTCAGAAGGCTGAGGCAGGAGAATCACTTGAACCCGGGAGGCGAAGGTTGCAGTGAGCTGAGATTACGCCACTGCATTCCGGGCTAGGTGACAAAGAGAGACTCAGTCACAAAAAAAGAGAGAACTCCAAAGACCACTTTCATTCATCTCAACAAGGAGAGAATAGCCTAGTTGGGAAGATAGGGAATAGCCTAGTTGGGAAGATAAAATACACGTATTTTGTGTATTTTATCTGAACACATGTAAACAAATTGGTGATAGTGTACAGACTAGTAACTGAGAGGATCATGAAATACAGCAATGAACAGGTTAAGGACTTGATTTGAAGCCTTCTGGGAAGTTAGAAACCTTTAGCTCTTCAAAGAAAATGATGGGCGTAAATTGGTTAAGATGACATTCTGAGAATGAAGAAGGATATAAGCAAAGGTGCAAGCATATTCCATATAATTTCAGAAAATTGAAATTAAAGTGTGAAATGTGAGGTTGTCAAATGTTGTTGAGCACCAAGTGTATGTCCACTTTTGAGAACCCTTTACCATAGAACACATCTACAAAAGAAAGAAAAGATACTTCATGAAAACTGGGCTTTCCATCTTCATTTTCTCTCACATCCCCCATGCTTCTGACCCCTTCTCCTCCATCCTTGAGCCTAGGCACATGAGCCTGCCCTTCGTCTGTTTCCCCATAGTTAAGCATTAAACAGGATTGACACCAAGCCTGAAGCCTTCCTTTCTCAAAGACTCTGGTTCTACTATCTAATCCAATACAGAGTTCAGCATGTAAGATCTGCCCTTAATCTTTGGGGGCTTACATCTAGTAAGAGAAATGTCATTTTTAAACAAATTACAGCCTAATTAGTATAGTTTTTTTTTAATTAGCTGGATATTGAAAATATTCCAGAGCTAAGGTAGTGGTCATAATTTTTACACCATACATTTTTACATTTTAACATTATTTTCTCATTGTATTTAATGTAATTCTCACATTGGCTGAATATTGTAGGAAGTATTGCTCTGGCCAGCAATCAATAATAGTCATCTGCTTTAAAGTGTGGCTCCTACTACATTTGATAAACAAGCTAGGTAGTGATAAACTGTTATCTAAAAAATAAGCCAGAAAAGTCATCTGTCCTACACCTCCTGAGTCAGAGGGCATGGGTTTGAATTCTGACTTTCCCTCCAGTGTATTCTATGCCTGTACACTCTCTAGTAGTGGTCGGTCGCTTGCTCTCTCTCGCTCGCTCTCTCTCCCCCTCCCTCCCTCCTTCCTTCTCTTTGTTTTTGAGACAGAGTCTTGCTCTGTCACCCAAGCCGGAGTGCAGTGGTGTGATCTTGGCTCACTACAACCTCTGCATCCCAGGCTCAAGTGATTCTCATGCTTCAGCCTCCCTAGTAGCTGGGATTACAGGCGCATGCCACCACGCCTGGCTAATTTTTGTATTTTTAGTAGAGACGGTGTTTCACCATGTTGGCCAGGCTGGCTGGAACTCCTGACCTCAAGTGATCTACCCTCCTTGGCCTCCCAAAGTGCTGGGATTACAGGCATGAGCCACTGCACCCAGTCAGTCATTACCTTTTAAATCATAGAGCCAGGTATAGAGAACAGTGAAGTGATTCTAGAACTGAGTTTCTGGAGCCACAGGGTTTGAATTCTGACTTTCCTACTTACTAATCTAAGGTCTTATAGCTAGTAAGTGGGAAAGTCAGAATTCAAATTCCTGCCCTGTATTTACCCATCTATAAAATAGATGATAAAAGTACCTTCAGGCCTGGCGCAGTGGCTCATGCCTGTAACCCCAGCACTGTAGGAGGCCAAGGTAGGTGGATCACCTGAGGTCAGAAGTTTGAGACCAGCCTGGCCAACATGGTGAAACCCCATCTCTCCTGAAAAATACCTTCTTAGGTTGTTCAGAAGCCTTAATGAGATAATACACATAAAGCACTTAGAACAGAACTTAAAACATGGCAATAAGTACCCAATAATGTTAACCCTCCCTATCATTACTATTATTAACGTCATCATCATCATCAGTGGTTATAGTGGTTATACTGGCTTGCTTTTTTTTTTTTTTTTTTTTGGAGACAGAGTCTCACTCTGTCACCCAGGCTAGAGTGCAGTGGCTCATTCTCAACTCACTGCAACCTCCACCTTCTGGTTCAAGCAATTCTTGTGCCTCAGCCTCCTGAGTAACTGGGACTACAGGCACGCGCCACTACTCCCGGCTAATTTCTGTATTTTAGCAGAGACGGGGTTTCACCATGTTGTCCAGGCTGGTCTCGAACTCCAGAGCTCAGGCAATCTGCCCACCTCAGCCTCCCAAAGTGCTGGGATTATAGGTGTGAGCCACTGTGCCCAGCCCGGCTTTCTTTTTTTTTTTTTTTTTTTTTTTTTTTTTAAATAAAGATCCTTCAGGCCATTGAATATACATTGGCTTTATTTAACAAAATCACTGTAATCCAACTCTAATATTGAGGTACATTTGTAAATTAAGAACCCTTTATGCCTGTGTTGTTTCTATCTTAGAAACTGTAGAGTGGTAGTACAGAATTGTGTTCGTGTGATTTCATTTAGATGATATAGAAAACAGAACTGAAAGATACACTGTTTACTGAATGCCTACTATAACTAGATACTTTAGTTGTGCTATCTCATAATGGAAATAATACCTCCTTTGTAATGGAGGTGGTGTTTCCATTTCTTCTGATAAGAAGCTAAGGAGCCTCAGAATAGTCACTTGCCCAATATCACTTAGATAGATGGCTGATATCACATGTAGGTATTTTAAGCTCCAAAGCTCTCACTTTTTATGACCCACTGCGTCTCACTGCCATCCTGCCTGATTTTTACTTAGTTCTACCTGAGGTAAACTGTGTTACTCTTTCTATATCAAATGGCCATCCTTATGTGGAAAGTTTCTTTTTCATAATTTAACCTTTTCATAATTTAATGCATCAGCCTACAGTACATACATTTACAAATGCTAGCCAGAAGCAATAGCTGACATAGAAATAAAGTGGTAGTGCTGTGGCTAACAGGAAAGCCTGTTGGCAGTGTTAGCTTATTTCTGACTGCTCATGCTTTAAAAGTTTATGGTGGCTGCTGGGTATGGTGGCTCACTCCTGTAATCCCAGCACTTTGGGAAGCCAAGGTGGGCGGATCACTTGAGGTCAGGAGTTTGAGATCAGCCTGACCAACATGGTGAAACCCCATCTCTACTAAAAATACAAAAATTAGCCAGGCATGGTAGCGCATGCCTGTAGTCCCAGCTACTCAGGAGGCTGAGGCAGGAGAATTGCTTCAACCCAGGAGGCAGGGGTTGCAGTGAGCCAAGATTGCACCACTACACTCCAGCCTGGGCAACAGAGCAAGAATTCATCTCGAAAAAAATAAAGTTTATGGAGGTTGAAAACATAAACATTTACAAGGCCTTGAAAAAAACCTTTTTCTCTTGAAATTGTCTTTCAAATTTTAGGTTTCACTGCCTCAAGGTTCTCAAGGAATTCCCCATCAGACTTATCAACAGCCTGTTATGTTCCCTAATCAGTCTAATCAAGGATCTATGCCCACAACAGGAATGCCTGTTTACTATAGTGTCATTCCACCTGGTCAACAAAACAATTTAAGGTGAGTATGACTGAGTAACCTAATCTTCCAGCTTCTCATTGTTTACCAGGATTATGGTCTGTTGCTAGTTTTAAAGTTGACTAAGGGGCATTACTTGAGAACATTCTCTAATGTAGAATAGAAAAAAACTATAATACAGTATACTTTTTAACATATTTCTTTCGGCTAGGTACGGTGGCTCACGCCTATAATCCCAGCACTTTGGGAGGCCAAGGCTGGTGGATCACCTGAGGTCAGGCATTCAAAACCAGCCTGGCCAACATGGTGAAACCCCGTCTCTACTAATAATACAGAAGTTAGCTGGGCAAGGTGGCGTACGCCTGTGATCGCAACTGCTCGGGAGGCTGAGGCAGCAGAATCTTTTGAACCCGGGAGGCAGAGGTTGTAGTGAACCAAGATTGCGCCGTTGCACTCCAGCCTGGGCAACAAGAGTGAACTTCTGTCTCCAAAAAAATATATATGTATATTTCTTTCAGTAAAATCAGTACAAGGAAAGCAGTCCATATAAAAGCTAAAGGCAAGTCAGATCTCTCTTGTGCCTAAAAATTAGGCCAATCTTCTGTTACTCACACAAATGGAGTAACAGTTGGAGTGTAATATTTAAGGTTTTTATAGGGGTCTGGAAAAATTGTATTTCCTGTGTATAACTTTAGCAGTGAAATATCTTGCTGGAATATTTCAGGCTTTGGGAAGCTCATTTTTCATCAGTAAGGGAGGGAAGGCATGTAAGAGAAGTAAATGATAGTAGTTCTACATTAAAGCAAGTCATGAAGTATTCCATCAACAGAAATGTCTCTGACAAGCCATGTGTTGAAAATACTAATCTTTCATTGAATTGGGTCCCTTTAGTTCATTGTTCAGAATGTATTACCAAACCATTCATTTATTCTCATGGCATCCCTGTGTTACCAAGCAAGTCCATTCTGCCTGCGTATAGCAAGCCAATCACTGTGACAACGGGTTTTGCAAAAGAGAAAATATTTTATTCACAAGGCTGCTTGTGAAAGGAGATGGGAAAACAAATCTCAAATCCGCCTCTGAAAATAGGGCTTGTGGGTACTTAATTTTAACATTATTTTCTCATTGTATTTAATGTAATTCTCACATTGGCTGAATGATTGTAGGAAGTATTTATCTGGCCAGCAATCAATAATAGTCATCTGCTTTAAAGTATTTAAAGTAGGGTGGTCTAAAGCGTGAGAAAATGTGATTGATGGGTGGGAAAGTTGATTGGCAGGTTGGAAAAATGAGGTAATTGGGGTTTCTGCACAAGCATAATCAAGCTACATGGTTCTTCATAGGACGTGTGTGCAGAAAATGGCGTTAGCATGATCTGAAGATGGAGTAGTTTTAGGCCCTCTGACGCCAAAAGGTCACTCTCTGGGCACCTGTGCAGGCCTAGTTAAAGGGTTCATGATCTCAACCAGCTTGGACTGGACATGAGCTGCCCCCTGGATCCTGAAAAACAGCTTTAAATACCTGTTATATAGTTACCCACAGTCAGAAATGTTATCTATAAGGAAAACAGTGGGAGTTTAGTTATATACTTCTTGGCCACATGACTTGCTAGTGGGAGTTTTAAGATTAGCTAATCCCAGCCCCTTTGATGCAAAACTGCTACAAAATGAAAATAGAAATATGTACTTGGTTAAATTTCGCATTTGTTGTGTGAGTTTAAATTTTATAAATAAGGAAAAAATACTCCGAATCTGAGTTTTTTACCCTGATAAATCTAAGTTTGGGATCTAGAATGCCAGTTCAGTTTCCAAACTGTCAGTTAGAGGCAGAAATCTGTGCTAAAGTAGGGTGAAATGAGGAGTGAGAAAATTGATGATTTATCTACTTTTTGAACCAAAGTTTAATTTTTTATTTACCAGAGAATATTGCCAAAGTCATCATTTCTATGTGGGGCAGAGGCTGAGAGATGGGTATTAAGTTACCTTTGTAGGCCTGCCTACTGGGAAGAGGGGCTTTCATAAGGGAAGGATATCAAGCCTATAAGAACCTATGTAAGATGGCTTAGGCTTTCACAATTTTTCACGTTTGTTGTACTTGTCAGTCCCTTGAAACAAAAAAGATTTTGTGTGCTTGACTTGTGAGAGAGCTTGCCATAAGAGTGTGGATACAGGTGAGAGAGCATAATTATGTTCCTGCCCCTATAGTGAGCCTTATTTTAAGCATAAGAGCAGAATCCAAAAGCTGTCAAGCGAGTGCTGATGACTACACTTTGGAAAGATCCTTGGTTTTAGTCCCTGGGCATGCTTCACAAAGAAAATAAAAAATTTTTAAGAGCTAGCTTTGGCCTGAGGGATAGCCTGCAGCACAGAAATTAAAAGATAGATGAGATTCTCCAACAACCTCCAATGTGAATCTTGATTAAAAGTTTTTGGTGTTGGGCATGGTGGCTCACGCCTGTAATCCCAGCACTTTGGGAAGCTGAGGCGGGTGGATCACTTGAGGTCAGGAGTTCAAGACCAGCCTGGCCAACATGGTGAAACCTCAACTCTACTAAAAATACAAAAATTAGCCAGGCGTGGTGGCGAGCACCTGTAATCCCAGCTACTCGGGAGGCTGAGGCAGGATAATTGCTTGAACCTGGGAGGCAGAGGTTGCAGTGAGCTCAGATTGCACCACAGCACTTCAGCCTGGGCAACAGAGGGAGACTCTGCCTCAAAAAAATAAAATAAAAAAAGTCTTTGGAATTACCCGCAGCTTGGACCCAAATGAGGCAGATAAACTTGAAATAAGGTAGATGTAAGCTGACAGTAGTGATTGGTCACCATGTGACAAACTAGCATTGATCTGTTCCAAGTATAGAGTACCAATGTGAGAAATTGAATGAGTTGTACGTGAAGCAGGGAATGTGTATTCTGTCAGACTCATCTTGGTACATTTTGGACTAGTTACTTGGTAGGAAGTCAAGTCATGTACAGAATTAAAGTTCTCTGACTGGCTGCAGTGGCTCACGCCTGTAATCCCAGCACTTTGGGAGGCCAAGGCAGGCAGATCACTTGAGGTCAGGAGTTTGAGACCAGCCTAGCCAACATGTTGAAACCCTGTCTCCACTAAAAATACAAAAATTAGCCGGGCGCGGTGGTGGGTGCCTGTAATCCCAGCTACTCGGGAGGCTGAGGCAGGAGAATCGCTTGAACCTGGGAGGTTGGGGTTGTAGTGAGCCGAGATCATGCCACTGCACTCCAGCCTGGGCAGCAGAGTAAGAACCTATCTCAAAAAAAAAAAAAAAAAAATTCATTAAAGATCTCTTTGGGTGAAAAAAAATTCATAATTAACTGATTAATTTTTTAAAACATAGCAGCATTCTTTACAGAAAATGTCATTTCTGCTTCTGGGCAATATTTAGTAGACAAATCACCATAATATTTCAAGTTTACTTGGAACCATCACTTAAGAAGTCAACTATTGGTAATTTTTATTAATCAGATAGTTGAATTACCATCTAAGGGCTAATGAATAGAGGCAATTCAGAAATCTAGACTTAGTGGCTTATATAAATTATATTTTATCCTACATATTTCAGTATATTTACATGAAAAGCAGGGGTTGATCTAATTACTGAAGCACCAGCTGGGCATGGTGGCCAGGTAACAGAGTGATACTCTGTCTCATAAATACATACATACATACATACATACATACATACATACATACATACATACTCAAGCACCTGGAACAGGGCCTAGCATAGAGTCAGAGCTTGGTAAATCTATACTGAATGAACATATTTCTTTTGTTTTGTTTTGTTTTGTTTTTGTTTTTTGTTGTTGAGACAGAGTCTCACTCTGTCGCCCAGGCTGGAGTGCAGTGGCACGAACTCAGCTCACTGCAAGCTTCACCTCCCAGGTTCACGCCATTCTCCTGTCTCAGCCTCCCGAGTAGCTGGGACTATAGGCGCCCGCCACTACGCCCGGCTAATT
Source organism: Homo sapiens (assembly GCF_000001405.40). NCBI lineage: Eukaryota > Metazoa > Chordata > Mammalia > Primates > Hominidae > Homo > Homo sapiens. Next base: position 135,684,260 of record NC_000002.12, read on the forward strand.
TTTGTATTTTTAGTAGAGATGAGGTTTCACCATGTTAGCCAGGATGGTCTCAATCTCCTGACCTCGTGATCCGCCCACCGTGGCCTCCCAAAGTGCTGGGATTACAGGCGTGAGCCACCGCTCCCAGCCGAACATATTTCTTAAATGTCAAAGGCCAGCTTGCACATGTGTATATGTACATAGACATCATTAACTGTTGGACTCAATTTTATTTTGTTTCTATAACCTCTCTATGCTTTTTAAATTTTTCATCAATTTTTAAAATTACAAAACAAATAATGCTGTTAATATAAGTGAAGCAATACAGAGATGTGTAAAGGGAAAGGTAATCATCATGCCCTGCTCCACCCCCCATCCCCAGGTAACCAGCATTCACAGGCTAGGGTGTGTTCTGTCACATTGGCCTCCTGGCTACACAAACAATACACGCATAAATACTCATATGAGGAATTGGGTGGTGAGTTTTAGTGAAATACACATTCTCTTGCGTTTTTTTTTTCTTTTCCATTTTATTCTTTGTTTTTGAGGTGTCTCACTCTGTTACCCAGGCTGGAGGGCAGTGGCATGATCATGGCTTACTGCAACCTTCTCCTACCAGGCTCAAGCAATCCTTCCACTTCAGCCTCCTAAGTAGCTGGGACCACAGGCACGCACCACCACACTCAGCTAATTGTTTATATTTTTGGTAGAGATGGGGTCTCACTATGTTGCCCAAGCTGGTCTCGAACTCCAAGGCTCAAGCAGTCCTCTCACCTCTACCCCCAAAGTGCTAGGGTAACAAGCATGAGCAACTGCTCCCAGCCTGCATTTTTTTCATAATAATGTATCATGAACATCAGATTAGTAAATACTAGTATAAAACATCCTGTTTTGTTTTTCTAATTTCTTGACAAACATAATTTTATATAAGTAATATTATGTCATCCTGGCAGTTTTTTATTGTCCTAACCTTCTCTCTCCCTACCCTACCACTGGACCATTTCCCACACACACACATGCTAGTTAACCCGTGTTTCTCTCCTGGTTTCTGTCCTTCCTTCCTCACTTTCCTTCTTGTGCTTATTCATATACTAACACAGATATGGTACGGCAACATGAACAAAATAGCACACATACACACACTCAAATTGAGTTTATAAATAGTTTTGAATATAAAATGTCTACAACTTGGTTTTGGTTTCTTGTAGGAGCATATCATGTCTGACATGTGATGGGAGAATCCATTCACATTTAATATTACAACTGATATACCGAACTTTTTTCCACCAGCCTGTATTTGTTTGTGTATTTCACCACACTGTACTTGTAACTGATGACTAATTGGTTAGTCTTCTGCTGTTTTCTCAGATATTTATCTGAGAAATTTCTCTAAATACATGCTATATTCATTGAGACTCTTCATCATGGAATCCCACTGATCTGATACCAGGGAATATGCTGGTCCAATAAGCTAATTTTTCAGATAACTAAAACTCATGCCTTTAAATATTAGTTATTAGGTGGCATGATATGGTTAGAAAAATGGGCTTTGGAATCATAAAAACCTGTCTTCAAGCCAGTGTGACCTTGGACAAGTTATTTATTTGTACTTTTGTTTTCTCATTTGTAAGACAGAAATACCTTCCAGGACTGGTGGAAGGAATTACATGTCTAGAACTTTGTATATGGAAACTGCAAATTTGCCAGCTGTATATCTGATATCCAAAATATTAAGGAAATCCTGTAATTCAGAAAAAAAAAGGGTTAAAGAGTTGAATAGAAATTTATCCAGAGAAGACATACAAATGGCAAACAGGCCAGAGAAAGGATGCTTGATATCACTAATCATTAGAGGAATGCAAATCACAACCGTAATGAGATATCACCTCACACCTGTTAAAATGGCTGTTATCAAAAAAATCAAAAGCTATTAAGTATTGATAAGGATGTGGAAAAAAGGGAACCCTTGTAACACTGTTGTTGGGAATGTAAAATGGTGTAGCTGCTATAGAAAACAGTACAGAAGTTCCTAAAAAAAATAAAAATAGAACTATCATTTGATCCAGCAATTCCAAATACTTCTAGATATTTATGCAGAAGAATTGAAATCAGTATCTCGAAGAGAGATTTACATCTCCATATTCATTGCAGCATTATTCACAATAGCCAAGATGTGGAAACAACCTAAATGTCAATTGGTGGATGAGTGGATAAAGAAAATGTGGTATGGCTCATTCCTGTGATCCCAACACTTTTTGAGGCCAAGGCATGAGGATGGCTCGAGCCCAGGAGTTTGAGACCAGCCTGAGCAACACAGGGAGACCCCATTTCTACAAAAAATTTAAAAAGTAGCTGGGTATAGTGACAAATACCTGTGAAGCTAGTCTACTCAGGAAACTGAGTTGTGGGAAGATAACTTGAACCTGGGAGGTCAAGGCTATAGTGAGCCATGATTACGCCACTGTATTCCAGCTTAGGCGACAGAGCCAGACCCTCTCTGAAAGAAAAAAAGGTTATATATGTACTGTAATGGAACATTATTTAGCCTTTAAAGATGGAAATCCTGCCATATGTAACAATGTTGATGAACCTTGAGGACATTATGTTGAGTAAAATAAGCCAGTCACAGGACAAATACTGCCTTATTCCACAGTATGACCTCTAAAATAGTCAAACTTGGCTGGGCGCAGTGGCTCATACCTGTAATCCCAGCACTTTGGGAGGCCAAGGCAGGTGGATCACCTGAGGTCAGGAGTGTACACCAGCCTGGCCAACATGGTGAAACTTCATCTCTACTGAAAATACAAAAAACTAGCCGGGCATGGTGGTGCCGGTAGTCTCAGCTACTCAGGAGGCTGAGGCACAAGAAGCACTTGAACCTGGGAGGCAGAGGTTGCAGTGAGCCGAGATAGTGCCACTGCATTCTAGCCTAGGCAACAGGGCAAAATTCTGTCTCAAAAATACAGAAAATAAAATAGTCAAACTTGTAGAAGCAGAGAGTAGAATGGTCATTGCCAGGGGCTGCAGGGAGGGGGAAGTGGAGAGTTACTCTTCAGTGGATATAACATTTCTTTTATGCAAGATGAATGAACTCTGGAAATCTGCTATACTACATTTTGCCTATAGTCATATTGTGTTGTACACTTGAAATTTTATTAAAAGGGTAGCTCTCGTGTTTAAAACAAACAAAAAAAGAAAAACAGTTATGGTGTCTTTGAAGGATTTGTGACATCCATTTTAATAGTTCACATGTCTTTAGCACTTAACCTGTTTCTGAGCTCTGTTCCAGATCATTGTAATGAGTGAATACTTCTCCAAAAAGCAAGTATGAAAGCTTGAAGAAATCATAGAGAATCATTAGTTTATCCTTAAAGCAACAAATATTTTTATTTTGGCTCTTACTCCCAATTAGACTAAATGTAGTAAGATGTGAATTTTTTTAGTGTGACTTTTTTCCTGATTAATATGTTTTCTGTGTAACATGAATCTACGTCATTGTTCTTTTCTGGCTCGTCAAACCAATACCTTTTCAATGACACTACCTTTTTGGGTTTAAGAAAAGTTATCTTTTTGTTTACCTCACTGAATTTGAAGTCTACATTTTTACAAGAACACTCAGCTGAGAAATGAAAAATAAATCACATTAATTTTCAGAGTTACATAAAGAAAAATATGTGTAGCAGATTCTCAGTATTTGTAGACTTTGTATTTGCAAATCTGCCTATTTGCTGAAATTATTTGTAACCCCTAAATTGATACTTATTGTACTTTCTTTTTCATTCGTGGACACGTTCAGTGTGGCAAAAAAGTTTGAATCATCAGGCAAGCACATTCCCATCTGAGGTCAAACAAGGCACATGCTGCCTCCCTGTTTCAGTTCTTCTATTATAAACAATTGTCCTTTTCAGTCTATTTAGTGCCACGTTGTTCACACTTTTTGGGTTTTTGTTTGAAATGGCTCCCAAACAATGCTGATTTTCTGTCTTGTGTTACTAAGCACAAGAAAGCTCTGCTGTGTGTTCAAGCATGAGTTGGTACTGGCCATCAGTTCAGTGTTAACGAATCAACAATACAGTACATCCAGAAAAAGAGGAAATTCACAGATGTGTATGTGAGGCCACTCTAGAAAGTCCTAAAATAACATCCGAAATAGATGACAAAGTTATGAAAAAGATGGAAAGGCAGCTGGATTGGTGGATTCATAAGATGATGAATGAGTTTATCTTCCTGTTTTGGGGGATTTTTTTTTTCCTTTCTCTTGGCTTCTCAATATGATAACCAAGTTTTTAAAAAACCATAGTGGACAGCATTGTTGTGAAACTGAAAGCCAAAGAAATTCATGATCATGTTACCCAGGGTCAGGAAAATGGTAAACACTCCTCAAATAGTGTTTTGTTATCAAGAAATACTGCGAAGGGCCAAGGACGGTGGCTCATGGCTGTGATCCCAGCACTTTGGGAGGCCGAGGCGGGTGATCACTTGAGACCAAGAGTTGGGGACCAGCCTGGCCAACATGGTGAAACACCATCTCTACTAAAAATACAAAAATTAGCCAGGTGTGGTGGCGGGCACCTGTAATCCCAGCTACTCAAGAGGCTGAGGTAGGAGAAACACTTGAACCCAGGAGGCAGAGGTTGCTGTGAGCCGAGATGGCACCACTGCGCTCCATCCTGGATGACAGAGCGAGACTCCTTCTCAAAAAGAAATACTGCAGAGTTTTTACATTTCTAGAATCTCATTTGTCTTCACAGTGTCCTTCTAAAAAGGATAAGAATATGTATTTGTTTTTATTTTACATGTAGACACTATGAAATTTCAACCCTATATATCTTCATTTAATTGGTCTGGCCCTGATCTTAAGCCTGAGCAACATTATTTTTTGATGCCCTCCAGGTGATTCTAGTGGGAGCCAAGAATTGAAACCCTCTGGCCTACACTAACCAGCCCTTTAGTCTGGTTTTTATTCATGCCTTCAGCTGTCCACAAGTAGCTATAGCCCAGTAAAACTTTACACATTAGCAGAGAAGTCATGATGTCTATCACTGTTTATTAGTAGATTTTCATCTGAAATCCAGTATCCTGACATAAAACTATAAATTACTACATATCAACAAGTTTATAAATTTCTAGATCTTAGATGGAAAGTGTATCTTAAACTCTAGGTTACAGGGTCTTGATCCATACAGTCTTACTATGTTTTAGATGCTAAATGGACTCTAGTAGCCTTCATTTTATTACAAGATTATAAGGAATAAGATTCCTATAAGAACACAAAGTGAGTCTTTGTTTTGAAAAATGTCTTACTTAGCTTGGGTTGCTTAGCAAAATTGTTTTCTTACAGAGGTTCCTTGTGTAGAAAGGTAGAATTTGAATTATTATGTCTACTTTCAGCTCATCCTTTCAGTTCACTGAGGCAACTTTGTGTTTGGATTGGATTGTGTTGTTACTTATCATTATGAAGATTGAGCACAGCCTGATACAAGTCAACATATACTGTCACTTTAAGCGAGCAAAGTACTAGTCAGGGACACTAATTTTACAACAACTCATGAGATTTTTCTCAGTCCTTAGTGTGGAGAGAAAATTAGTTTGATACCAGCAGCCTTCAAAAGTGGGCAAGTGAGTTGGATATCTTCAAAATGCTCTCATTTTTACCGGTTCTTCTCCTATTTTCCCTTTCATTTTCACTATTTTTATCTTGAAATTCAAAACGATAATACCTTTGTCTTTGATCTATATTCTCAAAGGGGTAGCATACAGACAGGAACTTGAAAAGACTATAGCCTTTTTTTAAGAACCTTTAAAAAATGTTTCACAGAATCTTTATGAAATTATGAAAAAGAAAACCTACTTTTAAGTCTTTTTCCCTTTTTTCTGTCCACAGTCTGTTTTTCCTCATTTTTGTATCCTAGTATTTCTCTAGTGTCCCTTTTGTCCTACTTGTGATACCTCTCTTGTATTCATTTTATTTCTCCTAAGCTTCTAGTTTGACATTTTCAGTTTTTTGTTTGCCTCAGCTATCCTTTGAAATAATTGTTGATAATAAGTCTGTCGATCTGAACTATATCTTTTGGTAAAGTTTTACTTCTCTCGTTATTAAAAATGAAGTTACTAACAGCTTAGAGAAATAAAATGTAATAAATAAAATTTTGATTTTGCAAGATAAGTTCAAGAGATGTGCTGTACAAGACTTTGTCTACAGATAAATATTGTATTATACACTTAAAACTCTGTGAGGATAGATCTTGTGTTAAGTGTTTTTACACCAATAAGAATATGTTTTAAACTGAGCAAACCAATATACCCTACAGCATATCTGCACTGATAACCTATGTATGATTTTGTAGCACTAACAGAATAGATGAAGAAAGATACTGTTGAAGGAATAAAATGTAAAAGAAAAAAAGTTACTTTCACTGCTAAAACATTGCCTTTTCAGAACATTCATTTCTTCTTTAGTGGATATAAAAGAGGTTTTTTTTGTTTGTTTGTTTCTTTTTTTCTTTTTTACCATTTTTGTGGGCATGTGTTTATTAGCAAAATTTATTAGTAAATTGTTTTATTCACCAAAAAATGTTAAAGGAGAAGGGAAGAGGGTGCTTTAGCTATTTCATTTTTGTGAACTCACCAAAATGAGTGATAATGGTAATACTTTGGATTTAAATTATTTAGGTACCTTTAAGGAATAGGAGAGGCAACATTTCATGAAAAAACCTCTTTATCCATAATTGATCACACCGAGTATTTGTGGTGCTTCCTCAGCCTCTCAATGAGTTTCTGTTTTTGAAAAATACTTCTCTTATATCTGTATTTTGTCTATTAAAACAGTCTTTCCTCTATGTACCTTGTTTAGGTCTTTCTGGTTAAACATACATAGTCATTGTAGAAAATTTGAAAATATTTGAAATTTCAAGTGTTTGATGACAAATCAACCACAGCCTTAGCACCCAGAAATAATCACTGATAAATTTTGATGTACCTCACCAAAGTCATTTTTCAGTGTGCATACATATATATGAACTATGTTAGCAATCAAATTTTTTAACATTTTATTTTATACTTTGTAAAAACTCCATTATTAATTTTTCTTTTAGGCTGGGCATGGTGGCTCATGCCTGTAATCCCAGCACTTTGGGAGGCCAAGGTGAGTGGATCGCTTGAGCTCAGGAGTTCAAGACCAGCCTGGGCAACATAGCAAAACCCCATCTCTGCAAAAAATACAAAAATTAGCTGGGCGTGGTAGCTCATACCTGTGGTCACAGCTATTCAGGAGGCTGAGGTGGGATGAGCCCAGGAAGTTGAGGCTGCAGTGAGCTGAGATCAAACCACTTCACTCCAACAGAGAGAACCCCTGTCTCCAAAAAAAAAACAGAAGTAAAGAGATTTTCTTTTTAAATTAAATATATAAGCTGGATTTGGTGGTGGGCCCCTGTAATTCTAGCTACGTGGGAGGCTAAAGCAGGAGAATAGCTTGAACCTGGGAGGCAGAGGCTGCAATGAGTCGAGATTGTGCCACTGCACTCCAGCCTGGGCAACAAAACAAGACTCTGTCTCAAAAATAAATAAATAAAACATATATAAATATCTGGAGTTAAATAGTAAAATTCTACCTCCATTGCCCTTTCTGGAAAGCAGTCACTATACACCAATATAATCACTAGAGTTTTTGTTTGTTTCTTTTTTTTTTATTTTGAGATAGAGTCTCACTCTAGCCCAGGCTGGAGGGCAGTGGTGAGATCTCAGCTCACTGAGCAACCTCTGCCCTCCAGGTTCAAGCAATTCTCCTGCCTCAGACTCCCAAGTAGCTGAGATTACAGGCTGCCGCCACCACACCTGGCTAATTTTTGTGTTTTTAGTGTAGGCGGGGTTCACCATGTTGTCCAGGCAGGTCTCGAACTGAACCTCAAGTGATCCGCCCACCTCAGCCTCCCAAAGTGCTGGGATTACCGGCAAGAGCCACCACGCCCAGCCATTTTTTTTTTTCTAAGGTGAAGATCAGTGTTGTTTTTGTTTGTGTCATGTGGAGTCTTTATGAATCTTTTATTCTGCAATTCGCTTGTCTTATTAAACATTATGCTTGGCCGGGCACAGTGGCTCACGTCTGTAATCCCAGCACTTTGGGAGGCCAAGGCGGGTGGATCACCTGAGGTCAGGAGTTCTAGACCACCCTGGCCAACAGGGCAAAACCCTAAAAAATACAAACATTAGCTGGGCGTGGTGGCACATGCCTGTATTCTCAGCTACTCAGGAGGCTGAAGCAGGAGAATCGCTTGAACCCAGGAGGCAGAGGTTGCAGTGAGCCAAGATCACGCCATTGCACTCCAGCCTGGGCCAAAGAGCAAGACTCGGTCTCAAAAAAAATAAATAAACATTATGCTTAAACTTTTTTCCATAGAGCATCTGAATTTTAGGTTAGGATAGAAAAAAATTAGTTTGAGACTCTTTAAAAAAAAAGGCCAAAAATTAGTCCAGTAGCGGTCTTTGAAGTGAACTTGAAGTGGGAAGAACCCCCAGGCAGAAGGATATCGTATTATGTGCATCAGGTGGTGGCACCCTCAGCTGTGGTAGTGGCAGTAGGAGGGGGATTAATCTGGGGTGCACTTTGAAAGAAGAAACAAATATTTTATGTTAAGTGAGGATTAAGGAAAGATTTGAGATATCTTAATGGGTAATGCCCCACTAGCAGCAATACATGTTGGGATTGAAAATCAGTGTAACTGTTATTTGGGTATCATTTACTTTAACATACCTACTAGATCTAAGGTCGGCAGACTTTTTCTGAAACACGCCAAATAGGAAATATTTGAGGCTTTGTAAGCCAAAATACAGAATTGTGGATTCTATTTAGGTATTTATATAACAAGGGGAAAAATAAGTTTCCATAAATTTTTATTGCTAAAATTCAAAATATAATAATGAGCACAATGGATTTATTTTGGGTGGCAGATAACATTTTACTTAATTGGGGTTCAAAGTTAGTGTTCTTTGTCATCAAGTTGATTTCAGATGTTCATCTGTAAAAACCATTCTTAGCTTGGAGGCAATACAGAAGCAAGCAGTGGTCTGGGTTTTGCCTATAGGCCATAGTTTGCCAACTCCTGTACTAGATGGTTGATAGCCAGCAAAAAAAAAAGACAAAGAGGCAGTGGTCACAAATGAAGACCAACAACTTAGGAAAAAGGAGTGTGGAAGCCAACATACAAGGAGATTTCAAAGATTAATAGTCAGATGTTGTAGGGGGTGAGGAAGGAAGAGAGTTGAAGACCATTAAAGGGAATAAAAAACACTGGCTGTGACCAGAAGAGGTCATTTGTAACCTTGAGATAGTATGTGGTAAAGTAAAAAGGACTCTTAAGAAAAAAATAACAAGTTCAGATGGTTCATGAAGTATTATGGACAAAAGGTCATAGTATTTATTCAAAAAGAGGAAAGATGTAACTACTTTGAAAACTAGAAGAGAAAGAACTAAAGGAGAAAAGAATTCTTAGGCCAGGTGCAGTGACTGACACCTGTAATCCCAGCACTCTGGGAGGCTGAGGCATGTGGATCATCTGAGGTCAGGAGTTCAAGACCAGCCTGGCCAACATAGCAAAACCACATCTCCTAAAAATACAGAATTAGCCGGGCTTGGTGGCACCCGCCTGTGATCCCAGCCACTTGGGAGGCTGAGACAGGAGAATAGCTTGAACCCGGAGGCAGAGGTTGCAGTGAGCCAAGATCACGCCATTGCACTCCAGCCTGGGGAACAAGAGCGAAACTGCCTCAAAAAAAAAAGAAAATAATTAATTTAACATGAGACAAAAAGGAATGATTCTCTAAATCTTCCCTACCTACTTTTGAATTATTCTTCAGTTTAGATTTTTACAGCTTTTATTCCTCAAGTAACTTCTAAACTTTTCCCAATTGTTTTTAAAAATCCACAGTGACTATTTTTACTGCCTAAGGTTTTGAATGGCTATTGCCAAACTTGCTGTTTTAGATATTTCTTGAGGCCACAAGCAACCTATATAACAAGCAGTCCCCTGAGATAGGCCAACCCAGTTTACAAGGTAGAAGAGGTATGTGTTGGAAGTGTCCCTCTAGCATATCCTGTGTATTTTATTTTTTGAATAATTTCCAGGTCTTGGGAGTGTGCTGACTTTGGCATCTTACGTGGTATCAGGGACAATATGAGGGATATTGAAGAAAGGATCTTTAAAACTTGCATCCTCCTGACTTCTGTTTTTAGCCAAAATGGAGTAATATAGACTGGATTTAACTCCTACCTTAACCAAAAAGCCAGAAATTATGTGAAACAGTAGTTTCTAGATATTGGACATGGGACATTGAAGAACAGTAAACCCTGAGAGGGAGAAACAAAAGAAGTGAGTCTTAGGATTGCCCCAGCTTAGTGCCACAAGAATGTTTCCCAGACACAGCTCAGGGAGGGGGAACCCAACCAGAGTCTCTGAGTTAGGAGATGGAGTTGGGACTTAAGGAAGCCAAGGTAGCTAGAGTTTACAGGGCAGAATACTGAAGAGAAGAGAGCTCTAGAGATCTCTGGAGGGACCTCCTTGAGTCTTAGTTGAAGAGATTGGTGCATATGTTTGCAAACACTACTTGAGGCCAGGAAAAGAACCACTCAAAAGGAGCAGACACAAACAATCCCTGGAACTCACCCAAGGACAGTAATCATTTGTAGTCCTACCAGCCACTGGCAAAACTTCATAATACAGGAAGCAACAAGTAGAGGACTTAAAAGGACACTATCTCAATATGGAGGAAAATTGGTCCTAGATTAAAGGCTGCTCTGTTTGGCTCTAAGCTTCCTGTTGCCCGCCCCCCAAAAGCATTTAAAAACAAAAGGCTGCTGTCGTCCTGCCTGAAAAATCATAAAAGCAAAACCCAAAAGAATTAAATTATTTCCAGACAAGTTAACTATGGTCCAGAACAAAGCTCAAAAATACTGTTACAAATTACAAGAGTATCCAACACCCAACAAGGTTAAATTCACAATTTAGTCTTGACTCCAATCAGAAATTACCTGTCTCCAATCAAAAATTACTGAGAATGCAGAGAATCAGGAAACTAAGGCTAATAATGAGGAGAAAAATCACTGAGTTGAAACTGACTGTGAAACAATGCCAGTATAAAAATCAGAGAGGGAAAATGATTAACAAAGCATCATTGCTCTTAAGGGGCTAATTCATGTGTAACAGGCATCCTCAAAAGAGAGAAAAGGGAAAAAAAATATTTGAGTAAGTGATGGTTGAAGTTTTTCAAAATTTGATGAAAATTATAAACCCACAGATCCAACAAGCTCAGCAAATCCAAGCAAAAGAAATGTGAAGAAAACATCTTAAAAAGTTATAGAGAAAATCTTAAAAGCAGCCAGAGGGGGAAAAGAGCCATTGCATACAGAGGAACACAGTTAAGAATGTCAGCCGACTTAGAAGCAATACAAGCCAGAAGACAGTGGAGCAACATCTTTATTTGAAGAAGTGAAAGAAAGAAAACTTGCATTCTATACCTGTAAAAATATTTTTCAGAAACAGAGATTTCAAACACACAAAAGCTGAATTAATTGCCAGCCACCTCGCACTGTGAGAACTGTTAAAGGAAGTTTTTCAGACAGAAGGAAAATGATACCAATGGAAATTGGTGGTACACAAAAGAATACAAATAAAAGGTAAGCAATATACAGGCTTAAAAAACAAATATATTTTTGTCCTTCTGACAAGGGCTCGTGTGTATAATAAATCAAGAATTCTCAAACCAACCACCTGGGGAAACAGTTTGTTTTAAACGTTAAACCCAATTATTCCACTTCCAAGTATTTAAGAAAAATGAATACTAGAAGAAACCCAAATGTCCACCCACAGGTGAATGGATACAATCCATGGTATATTCATCAGTGGAATATTACTTAGCAATAAAAAAAGATCTGTTGATAACAGCAACATGGATGAATCTCATAATTATCCTGAGCGAAAAAAGAAAAAGGCCAAAAAATATATATAAACCACATTATTCCATTGATATTATAGAAAATAACAACCTAATCTCTGTTGACAGCAGACAGATCAGTGGTTGCCTGGAGCCAGGAGGCTGGGAAGAGTTTATGGGGAAGAAGGGAAGGTGGGACTACAAAGGGGCACAAGGCAACTTTGGTGAGGCTTTATGGTGTGCATATACATAAAACTCTTTAAATTATATACTTTATGTGTGGTTTATTTTCTATAAATTATACCTCAGTAAAACTATAAAATAATCTGAGTCTTAAATTTTTTCTTAGAGACTGGTTCTTGCTGTCATTTAGGCTGGAATGCAGTGGTGTGATCCTGACTCACTGAGGCCTCAACCTCCTGGGCTCAAGCAATCCTCCTGCGTCAGCCTCCCAAGTAGCTGGGACTACAGGTGCACGCCACCACACCTGGCTAATTTTTTAATTTTTTTTAAAGATAGGATCTCACTGTATTACCCTGCTGGTGTCGAACTTTTGGGCTCAAGCAATCCTCCCACCTCAGTCTCCCAAACTGCTGGGTTTACAGATGTGAGCCACCTTGCCTAGCCTTCTTTTCTAATAGTTTAAACAAAGACTAGTTTTGGATAAAGTGAAAAGAAATACTGTAAAACTAACAAATTATTAAAAACAAGAGTAAGAATTTGTGAGGTTAAGATAGGCCACAGGGCATTTAATGGAGGAATAAAGGTAGACTTGAACTAACTGTAAAACCTGTTACAGAGTCATATTGAAATGTTAAAATTTAATCAAAAGTGTTTTTTTCAAAAAGCAAATGACTAAAAACTCCTTTCAGCCAGAGGTGAGAGATCGGGGGGAAACAAAAAAACAATAAAAAGAAAGTCCAAATACCTATGTTGCACCAGCCTGACCAACATAGTGAAGCCCCACCTTTACTAAAAATACAAGAAATTAGCTGGAAGTGGTGGCATACTCCTGTAATCCCAACAAAATACATGTAAAACCTTTATGCCCAAAACCATCTTGTGATGTGGAAGATTTGTACTCCCTATGGTTTATATCTTAGAACAGATGTCAGAAAACTACAGCCCACAATCAAAGAATGGTTTTTAAATTTGTAAAGGATTATTATTTTTTAACTCCTAAGTGACCATGTGTTACTCAGAGTTAAAATATATACTAGCTGGCTCTTGCAGAAAAAGTTTACCAGCATCTGCCTTAAAAAAACCTTGGCAGATAGGTATCAGAGACATGTTTATGAATGTTTGTAGCAACAATGTTTAGCCTAATACTGGAAGTAATCCAAATAAAATGGAATAGAATGTGTAAGTATATTTTGATGTATTCATTTCAGACACTACTATACAACAAAGAAAATTACTAAAGTACAACTACTTGTATCCAATTGGTTGAGTCTCACAGATATGATACTGAGTAATTAAGAAACAGTCATAAAATAATCTATTATTCCATTTATTTAGGATCAAAAACAGTCAAAACTCAACTATGTTCTTTTGGGATACATATATATGTGGTAAAATTATACAAGAAATAAAAAGCAAGTAAGTACTGGTTGGACAAAGTGGGTCACGCCTGTAATCCCAGCACTTTAGGAGGCCAAGGCAGGCAGATCAGTTGAAGCCAGGAGTTTGAGACCAGCCTGACCAATATAGTGAAACCCCATCTCTACCAAAAACAAAAAATTAACCAGGCATGGTGGTGCATGCCTATAATCCCAGCTACTCAGGAGGCTGACGCATAAGAATCACTTAAACCTGGGAGGCGGAGGTTGTAATGAGCCGAGATGGTGCCACTGCACTCCAGCCTGTGTGACAGAGCAAAACTCTGTCTCAAAAAAAAAAAAAAAAAAAGTAAGTGCTCTTCACAAAACTGGTAGGAGGGGGTTTTGATGTTAGAGGTGCATGAGACGGGAAGGCAGGGATACTTCTTTTTTTTCTTCTCCCTTTTTTTTTTTTTGAGACGGAGTCTCACTCTGTCACCCAGGCTGGAGTGCAGTGGTGCGATGTCGGCTCAGTACAAGCTCCGCCTCCCGGGTTCACGCCTTTCTCCTGCCTCAGCCTCCCGACTAGCTGGGACTACAGGCACCCACCACCACGCCCAGCTAATTTTTTGTATTTTTAGTAGAGACGGGGTTTCACCATATTAGCCAGGATGGTCTCAATCTCCTGACCTCGTGATCCGCCCTCCTCAGCCTCCCAAAGTGCTGGGATTACAGGCATGAGCCACCGCACCCAGCCAAGGCAGGGATGCTTCTAAGATACTAGCAATGTTCTGTTTCCCAATCTGAATGAAGTTACATAGATAATTATTTTGTTATTATACTTAATTTAAACTGTAATATATTTCTAAGCACTCTATATTCGTCTGTTCTCGCATTGCTATAAAGAAATGCCTGAGACTGAGTAATCTATAAAGAAAAGAGGTTTAATTGGCTCACAGCTCCGCAGGCTGCATAGGAAGCATAGTGGCTTCTAGGGAGGCCTCGGGAAACTTCAATTATGGCAGAAGGCAAGAGGGAAGCAGGCACGTCTTACATGGCTGGAGCCCGAGGAAGAGAAGAGTGGGGGGAGCACCACACACTTTTTAAAGAACCAGATCTCATGAGAACTCACTGTACAGTACCAAGGGGGAATGGTGCTAAACCATTAGAAACCACCTCCATGATCCAGTCACCTCCCAGCAGGCCCCACCTCCAGCGTTGGGGATTACATTGTGAATGAGATTTAGGTGGAGACACACATCCAAACAATATTACACTCAGATAGATAGATAGATAGATAGATAGATAGATAGATAGATAGATAGATAGATAGATAGATAGATAAGATAGATAAGATAGATTGATTAGATAGATTAGATAGATAGATAGATAGATAGATAGATTAGATATTCCAAACCCCAAAAAATAGCAAAATCATTCGAAGAGAGGCCTAAATATATAGAAGACTTTAGGAGAAAAAAAGCTAACAGAATGGGAGGAGAGGAATTGAAGACAATAAATAGAGACAGCCTTTGAAGAGAATTGCTTTCATAAGGATAAGCGTTGAATTGGATTCGTATATGGAGAGGATGAAGTCAAGACAGAGGATCCTTTTTTGATTGAAAGATAGATGCATGTGTTTGTATGCTGAAGGGAAAGGCTTAGTAGATACAGAAGATTTGCCTCTGCAAGGGACAAGAGAGAGAGTTGTAAGGTCCCCAGGGAGGGTGAGAGCCACCACAAAAATGGAAGCGGGTTAGCCTTAGATAACAGTGCAGAGGATTTCATGGGCAGTAAACGAGGACAAGGAGAGTATAAGGATACAGATATGGGTAGATGGATAGATATGGCAGCAAGAGAAATTCTCTTCTGATTGCTTTGCTTTTCTCAGTGAATTAGTCAAGATATCAAGTACATTATCAGAGTAGAAGAATGTTCTAAAGTTTTGTAAATGTAGAAATCCATTACAGCTATATTAAGACTAATATTCAAAGGAAAGAAGCAAGATACAGGGGAAATGTGACAAGTATGCCTAATAAAAGCTTATTATATAGAACATTTTTATCACTTCTCTATGTTCTAAGATGGTAACAGTGAGACTACAAGTAAATAATCCATAGAGATAAATTGTTACTCGAAGAAAACTGATAGTAAGTTTTCACATGGGAAAATGTTGTCTTACCAGCAATCCAAAAAATGAGAATTAAGGCAACTTGAACACAAAAAGTAGGCTAAAACATATAGTTAGCAATACTGTGCATAGAGACGTTTAAACATTACTGGTTGCTAGGCATATCAAGCCCATTTTTCTATAAATCAGTCGGGATATTTAACAAAATGCAAAATTGCTGTACTTTTAAATTCTACCTCTAAAATTTTATCACAAAGATAATCCACCCCAGAATTTAAATTGTGGCTAAACAAATTATAACAGTGCTATTATTAACATAAGAATCCAAATAAAAAGATGCAAAAAAAAAAACATGGAGTAACCTGGTAACCTTTGAATAGTTTAAATTTTCTTCTCCATTTATTTTTCTGCTAGGCTGATTAAGTTTAGCTTAAGTCATAGTGAGATTTACTTAGTTGTCACAGACCGTTTCTCAGATAGTGGGACCAGTGAGTTTTAAAGGTGTTTGTTCTGTGTTAATTGCTCCAGTATCTTCAATTCAGAAGAATAAATGTTTGATATTCAGGCTGCTATAGTTCACAAATGGATTTTATTGATGACTTACAGCATTTTAAGTGAATAGAGCACATGTCTATTAAGTAATATTATTAAGTTCAGGAAGCTTGCTTAACTGCCATTGACAATAAGATGTAGGGTGGTTTAAAAAGGCAGAAAACCAAATGACTTAACACACCTTGACAACTGTTCATAAATTTTCAAAGACATCGCTTCTAGTAGTCACTAAAAGCTGTAGTAGATGTATGACTTGCTTTTCAAATGAATCAATTATTGCTTGAGAAGAATACACTTGTTCCTATTCTCCCATCTAAAAAATAATTTGAAATAGCAGCCATGAAATATTTACAAAAACATAAAGAGAAAAGACACATGATGGCAGTTTATTTTCATGTGGAATTTCCCATGCTATTAATTTTCCTAAGTCTCGACCTTTTGTGGGTGATTTCATACAACAGGATTTTGTAAATACTTTTCATGTACAGTAGTCCCCCTTATCCAGAGGGTATATGTTCCAGGATCTCCCAGTGAATGCCTGAAACCATGGAATTGAACCCTGTATGTACTATGTTTTTTCCTATACATACATGCCTCCGATAAAGTTTTAATTTATAAATTAGGCACAGTGATAGATTAATAACTAATGATAGAACAATGATAACAATATACTGTAAGAAAAGTTACAGGAATGTGGTCTCTCAAAATATTGTACATTGGCCTGGCACAGTGGCTCACGCCTGTGATCCCAACACTTTGGGACACAGAGATGGGAGAATCGCTTGAGGCCAGTAGTTTGAGAGCAGCCTTGGGCAACATAACAAGACCTCATCTCTACCAAAAAAAAAAAAAAAAAAAAACTATAAAAATTAGCCAGGTGCAGTGGTGCACACCTGTAGTCCTAGCTACTTGGGAGACTGACCTGATAGGATCACTTGCACCCCGGAGTTCAAGGTTACAGTGAGCTACAATCTTAACACTGCACTCCTGGGTCACAGAGCAAGACCCTATCTCCAAAAAATAATAATAAAGTAAATATATACACATGCATACATATAAATGTACTCATCCTTGTGGTGATGTGAGATGATGAAATGCATATGTGATGAGATGAAGTGAGGTGAGGTGAATGATTGTAGGCGTTGTGACATAATGTTTGGCTACTGTTGACTCTCCAACAGGATGTCAGGAGGAGGATCATTTGATTCAGGTGATCTAGATCATCAAGTCGTGACAGTGTTGATAGCTAAATGTCAGGAGCAAAGAGTGTCCATGACTAACAGGCAGCATGGATATGCTGGGCAAAGGGATGATTCACATCTTGGGCAGCACACCATGAGATTTCTTCATGCTACTCATAATGACATGCAATTTAAAACTTATAAAGTGTTTATTTCTGGCATTTTTAATACTTTTGGACCATGGTTGACTGAGGGTAACTGAAACCAAGGAAAGCAAAACCACAGATAAGGGGTGACTACTGTGTGCACCATTTTTATTCATTCTGCCATGTGCTTATTTATCTTGTTTTTAAACAGCTCTATTGAGATATAATTTATATACTATACAATTCACTTAACATGTACATTTCAGTAGCTTTTAGTGTATTTCCAAATGTGTGCAACCATCACCGTGGTCAATTTTAAAACATTTTCATCACCCTCAGAAAGAAACCCTGAGGTGGAAGCAACTCAAGTGTCTATCAACAGGTGGATAAAGAAAATGTGGTATGTACATACAGTGGCTTGAGCCAGGAGTTTGAGATTGCAGTGAGCTATGATTGCACCACTGCACTCCACCCTGGGCGACAGAGCAAGACGTTGTCTCAGGGGGAAAAAAAAAAAAAAAAAAAAAAAGGCTGGGCGCAGTGGCTCATGCTGGTAATCCCAGCATTTTTGGAGGCCAAGGTGGTTAGATGACCTGAGGTCAGGAGTTTTGAGACCAGCCTGGCCAACATGGCAAAACCCCGTCTGTACTAAAAAATACAAAAAAATGGCCGGGTGTGGTGGCTCACACCTGTAATCCCAGCACTTTGGAAGGCCAAGGCTGGCGGATCACAAGGTCAGGAGATCGAGACCATCCTGGCTAACACGATGAAACCCCATCTCTACTAAAAATACAAAAAAATTAGCCGGGCATGGTGGCAGGCACCTGTAGTCCCAGCTACAGCAGGAAAATGGCGTGAACCCAGGAGGGCAGAGCTTGCAGTAAGCCGAGGTCATGACACTGCACTCCAGCCTGGGCGACAGAGCAAGACTCCGTCTCAAAAAAAAAAAAAAAAAAAATATCAGGCATGGTGATGTGTGCCTGTAATCCCAGCTACTCGGGAGGCTGAGGAAAGAGAATCACTTGAACTTGGGAGGTGGAGGTTGCAGCGAGCCGAGATCGCACTCCAGCCTAGGTGACAGAGCAGGACTCCTGACTCAAAAAAAAGAAAAACATATAGAGTAAAGAGATCTCAGTCTAGGAACAGACTTAAGAGGTGGCAAAAGAGAGCAGCATAGAATCAACTATACTAAAACTGAAATTATTGTTTAGCAGGTGTTTTCTATCACTTCATTGACCCACTAAAGTGCTGTCTCTAACAGATCTGCTAATACGCTGCTTGATGATGGCTGGTTCATCCTAATGCGCTGGTCAGAATATGCCCCATCTCAAGATCAGTCATTCTCCAGGAGCATCAGAGACATCTTTGTGGTGAATTGTGTTTATGATACCTACCCTCCAATTTCTCAAGCCGAAGGCATCTTTTCCATTAAATATATAATGTAGACTCTTTTTTAGGTTTCATGCAAATACTTGTTTAAGTACTTAAAAAGTTCAGAGCTCCTTTTTAAGGAATATATTAGCCCTTCTTGCAGGTACTTCTGCATCCTACCTATTTATTAAATGGGAAATAATCCTCTTTGGGCAAGATTTCCAGCCCAGCTTCTAAGTTTCCTAGTAAAACATGAAGTATGTTTTATATGTGATACTGGAAGGCTGGATTTCTCTATAATTAACTGCATGCTGTAAATTTATTTTAGAATACAATTATGATATTCTGCAATCCAGCACCTGCCAGTGGCCTAACTGCTTGCTTTCCTTATCATCCTGGCAGTTATATAATCCCTGGGCTCACCATTTTATCTTAGCTGCCAAGAAACACAAAGCTACATTCAATGCTCTATGAAAGCAACAATCTTAGGGCAGGCGTCCCCACTCCCTTTTTTTAATACTTCATTTTTTAGTCAAATTCAGTTTTTTTTTAATGGCTCACATTAGGGAATAGATGAGCTATAAATTAATGCTTTTATAAATATGAGCATTTAACCAGAAAGCCCAGATAAATCAGCTATTAGCATTTAAAGGAAAACCCAAAAAATGACACATTAAAGATTTTGACATTTATTTTCATTAATTGAGCATATAGTCAAATTCTGATTAATTGAAAGTTTATATTATACTAGGTATATATACCCTCACCACAAAAAATATATATAAAATGGAAATTACTATGACTTTGAGAAAGCTTATGAGGCAGAAAGTTGGTGTTTTCTTCCAGAGACTACAAGCCTAGTTGAGCATCTGACCTGCAAATGAATTGGTTATTTATTCATTTATTTATTTATTTAGAGACAGAGTCTTGCTCTGTTGCCCAGGCTGGAGTGCAGTGGTGTGATCTCAGCTCACTGCAACCTCCGCCTCCTAGGCTCAAGCAGTTCTCCTGCCTCAGCCTCCTGAATAACTGGGATTACAGGCACCCACCACCACGCCCAGCTAATTTTTGTATTTTTAGTAGAAATGGGTTTCACCATGCTGACCAGGCTGGTCTCGAACTCTTGACCTCAAGTGATCCGCCTGCCTCAGCCTCCCAGAGTGCTGGGATTACAGGCATGAGCCGCCACACCCGGCTGAACTGAAGGTTTATATTGCAGAATATCAGCATAAACATCTTCAAATGGCCATACTCTGACATCTGCTGAAGTTTTCTGAAGCAGATTCAAATTGTTTCATTGAAATTAACTTTCTACTATAACATTTAAAAGCTAAACTTTTCAGTTTTCAAAAAGCATTTTAAAGTATTGTTTATAATTACAAAATGCATGCATGCTTTTTTTTTTTTTTTGAGACAGAGTCTCTTTCGCCCAGGCCAGACTGCAGTGGTGCCATCTCGGCTCACTGCAACCTCTGCCTCCCGGGTTCAAGTGATTCTTCTGCCTCAGCCTCCCAAGTAGCTGGGATTACAGTCATGCACCACCACACCCAGCTAGTTTTTGTATTTTTAGCAGAGATAGGGTTTCAGGCTAGTCTCAAACTCCTGACCTCAAGTGAGCCGTCCTCCCCGGCCTCCCCAGATGCTAGGATTACAGGCATGAGCCACCACACCCAGCCTCTTACAGAGTTTTAATGTAGCTGAAATCTTACTGTATATATTTCACTTATTGGTCATAGTAAAAATTTTTTCATCCTATTAAAAATTCATTAATATAATTTAATGATCATACTCTTACATTTTATGAATATACAATAATATATTTACCCTATTGCAGAACATTTAGGTCGTATCTTTTTACTTTATTGAACCATCTTGTAAGCAATTTTAATTACTCCCTTGGCATGAGTCCTTAGAAGGGAATTAGTAGGTTAAAGGATGTGACTGTTATTAAGGTCCATGGTACATTTTGCCAAAATCTTTGATTCACAGTCCCAATATGTACTGACTCCGCTTTACTGTTTTCACATTTCATAAATGGCAACATGTATTAATTTGGCTCTGTGATTATTAATGAAGTTGTACATTTTTATGTTTGGCTGTTTACACTTTGAATTATTTGGCCAAATCTTTCATCATAGTTTGGTAAGGCAAGTGCTAATTGCATGTTTAAGTGCTAATGGCATGTTTGTTGATGAAAGAGCTGAAGTTCAAATAACATGTTCAGACTCATATAACGAATAACAAGTAGAGTTGGAACACAGCCCTGTGCTCCCTTCTGACACCCAAATACATGGTGCTTTGCCCTAGGTCAGGTATTAAATGTCAAAGGCATTAAAATAGCAATGTACTGTCACTTGAATTTGCAAGATCTAGTGAATATATCTTAATATCAAGCATTGATATTGCTTGATATTAAGCAGTGGTGGGCGCTTGTAGTTAGCTACTCGGGAGGCTGAGGCAGGAGGATCACTTGAGCCCAAGTGTTCAGTGCTTCAGTAACCTATGATAACACCACTGCATTCCAGCCTGAGGAATAGAGTGAGACCTTGTCTGTTTAAAATAAATAAATAAATAAAATCACACTTTGATAAAGTAAGTTTCTAACTTTAAAAATACATTATATTTGTCATTTTTTTTATCATGGCTTCAATTCCAAAACATGGTAAGAATGAATAACTAATTAACTGGAGAGAAGGGGAATTTCTCTGAATTACCCTATAATGTTAAAGGAATAAGATGAGCACTGTAAAAAAACTCAGAAGAAGGACCGGGCACAGTGGCTCACGCCTGCAATCCCAGCACTTTGGGAGGCCAAGGCTGGCGGATCACGAGGTCAGGAGATCGAGACCATCCTGGCTAACATGGTGAAACCCCGTCTCTACTAAAAATACAAAAAATTAGCCGGGCGTGGTGGCGGGCACCTGTAGTCCCAGCTACTCGAGAGGCTGAGGCAGGAGAATGGTATGAACCCGGGAGGCGGAGCTTGCAGTGAGCCAAGATTGCGCCACTGCACTCCAGCCTGGGTGACAAAGGGAGACTCCATCTCGAAAAAAAAAAAAAAAAACTCAGAAGAAACCTGTGGGATATCCTATAATGTCTTTCATCAATCTCCAGTGATCTTGTAGAAGCATTTCACAGCAGTTTGTCTGGCTCTACCTTACGTAGAGAAGAGGCAGCTCCTAAACAGGAAAAAAATATTGGTAATAATTTTTATTGCAGTGGCCTTAATACAGTTGAAAGTGGATATTTTGATTTTTTTTTTTAGTTTACATATCCATAGTTTTGTTTTTGTTTTTGTTTTTGTTTTTGTTTTTTTTGAACATTCTTGGGTGTTTCTCGCAGAGGGGGATTTGGCAGGGTCATAGGACAGTAGTGGAGGGAAGGTCAGCAGATAAACAAGTGAACAAAGGTCTCTGGTTTTCCTAGGCAGAGGACCCTGCGGCCTTACGCAGTGTTTGTGTCCCTGGGTACTTGAGATTAGGGAGTGGTGATGACTCTTAACGAGCCTGCTGCCTTCAAGCATCTGTTTAGCAAAGCACATCTTGCACCGCCCTTAATCCATTTAACCCTGAGTGGACACAGCACATGTTTCAGAGAGCACAGGGTTGGGGGTAAGGTCATAGATCAACAGGATCCCAAGGCAGAAGAATTTTTCTTAGTATAGAACAAAATGAAAAGTCTCCCATGTCTACCTCTTTCTACACAGACACAGCAACCATCCGATTTCTCAATCTATTCCCCACCTTTCCCCCTTTTCTATTCCACAAAACCGCCATTGTCATCATGGCCCGTTCTCAATGAGCTGTTGGGTACACCTCCCAGACGGGGTGGTGGCCGGGCAGAGGGGCTCCTCACTTCCCAGTAGGGGCGGCCGGGCAGAGGCGCCCCTCACCTCCCGGACGGGGCGGCTGGCCGGGCGGGGGGCTGACCCCCCCACCTCCCTCCTGGACGGGGCGGCTGGCTGGGCGGGGGGCTGGCCCATTCATAGTTTTATGTCAGGACTTTTCAGGAAGTTTGGGGATAAATGGGATTATTTGAGATTGATGTTTCATTTTTCTGTTAAAGGGTAGGATATCAACTTTGAATGACTAGGCCTGGTGCTTTACTTTAAAAGTCCTTCTTTCCCTCCTGTCTTCCAAAGGAGGAGAAACTTGTGAAATTACTATAGAACTGATTCATCTCTGGTATAATATATTTGTATTTTTAAAGAGAGAGTGTAAATACTGACTTCTGTGCTTTCTTTTTTCTAAAGTGTTTAAGTGATTTAAGAGGGTGTCTCATTGCCTAGTCTATGTCCCTTGAATTATCTATACGTCTCTCAGAAGATAAGTAGAGGCCTGGAACTCATTTACATAATTCTAAAACTTGATTCTTACTCATTTACCTAACGGGTAATCTAGTGCTAGAAACCCACTAGAGTGGTAAAATGAAATCGCAGTTTGTAATTTAGTAGAGTATGGGCTATATTGCTTACTTCAGTGACCGACCTGAGTATTCCCTTCCCTTTGCAGGATGGCTTGCTTTCACCCACATGTCTCAGACCTTAGCAAACAAGATCAGAGTGAGGGGCATGGCTCAGGAGAGCTGTTCACATGGGTTAGAACAGAGCCTAAAAAACCTTCCACCTCTGGGGACCTTTCTGTTTTCCTCAATTTCGGCACATTTACAGACTTAAGCTGTATTATTTCCACAGGTAGCTAATACTTATATTACACATTACAACCATAATTAACATAAATTTCAGAAAGTACTGTTTTCACTTATGATCCAAAATCACTTTCTATTAAATCCTCCCTTTATATCTCTTTTTCCCTTTTATTGAACCGCTCTGAGTTACTGCCCCTAAAAAGGCATAAAGCTTTACTAATTCTTATTAACTGTCAGCCTGAAAGACAGAATTAACTTTTTATTATGGAAATCTGTAAACATATATAAATATAAACAGAAGTATACTGAACCCATATATGCCCATCACCAATTATGTAATTACTAATCTGTTTTCATATAAATCTCTGCCTCTTCTCCCTCCAATATTAGTTTGAAATAAATCCCAGGCATCATAGTATTTCATATCCATGAGTATTTCAGCATATGTATCCCTGAAGGATTTTTTAAATCCCACATAATATCATTTTATATCTTAAAATATTGAGGTTAATTCATTAATTACATCAAATATCCAGTTAATATTTGTATTTCCTTCTGCCCCGCAAATATTGCTTATGTTTTTACACATTTGTCTTAGAGTTTCCCATATTCTGGATTTTACCGATTGCGTCATCATACTGTCATTTAACATGTCTTCCTGTATTCTCTGTAATTCAGTAGTTTTGTATAAAGTTTAATGCAATTATACGAGACACAGGTGCAAAAAGTTATTCCAACTAAATTAAGAAATACTGTTTTTGTAAGACAGCTTTTTAAAATGACAAAGACAATAGAGTTTTAGATATAAATTATGGCTCTCAGTTACTCATGAATTCTCAGAATAGTATCATTCTGTGGTTTTTAACTATTATAAAAAAATTCTAGAAAAAACTTCAGAGATAATGTTATGACAAACCCCATATTAATTTGAGTCTGAAAGACTGCTCAGGCCAGGTGCAGTGGCTCACACCTGTAATTCCAGCATGTGGGGAAGCTGAGACAGGAGGATCACTTGAGGTCACGAGTTCAAGACCAGCCTGGCCAAAATGGCAAAACCCCATTCTACTAAAAATGCAAAAAGTAGCCGGGTGTGGTGGCAGACACCTGTAATCTCAGCTACTTGGGAGGCTGAGGCAGGAGAATTGCTTGAAGCCTGGAGGCAGAGGTTGCAGTGAACTGAGATCGTACCACTGCTCTCCAGCCTGGGTGACAGGGCAGAACTCTGTCTCAAAAAAAAAAAAAAAAAAAACTAACTGTTCAAAAATACAGCAGTAACTTAATGGTTTCACACTAATAGCCTTTAATTTTTGTCAATATTTTGTTAACTATGTCAGAACATGTTCTGTTGTTTCCTCTATTCTTAGTAATTAGTCTCGCTCTGTCGCACAGGCTGGAGTGCAGTGGCGCAATCTCGGCTCACTGCAAGCTCTGCCTCCTGGGTTTACACCATTCTCCTGCCTCAGCCTCCTGAATAGCTGGGACTACAGGCACCTGCCACCACGCCCGGCTAATTTCTTGTATTTTTAGTAGACATGGGGTTTCACCGTATTAGCCAGGATGTTCTCGATCTCCTGACCTCGTGATCCGCCCGCCTTGGCCTCCCAAAGTGCTGGGATTACAGGCGTGAGCACCGCGCCCAGCCCATTCAAGAATGTTTATAGTCATCCTCCTCTCATTATGCTGTTTTTTTGTTTTTTCCATAGCTCTTCAGTAGGTTACCTGCAACATCCAGGATCAGAACAAGTACAATTTCCTCGAACCACTTCACCATGCAGTTCCCAGCAGCTTCAAGGCCACCAATGTACAGGTATAAAGAAATCAGTGAAAATAAGATGATTGGTTCATATGAGAAATAGTTCGATTACTTTCCTTAGGCATTTCTACAAAAAGCTTCTCAATTTGTGATGTGCTGAAATACACCCACAATATTGAGGGTGCTGTACTGAATCATAGTTAACATGTGCAGTCCACTTCTTCCTTTCCTTCTACTGCTGCTATCACAGTACTATCCTGATTCTCCTTTCTCAGAAGTATTGATACTCTCTAGGGTTATTTCCTATGCCTTCTGTCATTACTCTTCCAGCTGTTCCTGTTTACTCCAAATTACCTTTATGATAAGTGAGATGTTTAGGCCTACAGAGTCCATCTTAATGCCTGTTTAAACACACAATACTTGTAGTGTGATGCACTAGGGCTTCAACCTGGTTTTCTTAGTTAATAGTAAAATTTTATTCAGAAATGTAAAATTACTACTGTTATCCTAGTGTTCAGAAACACCAACTAGTTGCTAAAATATTCTGACTATAGCATCCTAAATTCTGATTTTCAGCTGGACCACCACCGCCACCTGGTGGGGGGATGGTGATGATGCAGCTCAGTGTACCAAACAATCCACAATCTTGTGCCCACTCACCCCCGCAGTGGAAACAAAACAAATATTACTGTGATCACCAGAGAGGACAGAAGTGTGTAGAATTTAGCAGTGTAGACAATATTGTCCAGGTAAGATGGTTTTGTTCATTATCATTTTGAAACGTTACATTTTTGTTACCTAAGATTGACTTATAAGGCTTGAATTTGAAATCCCGTCAGCCAGATTAATAAAAGAATTTGGGCCAGGCGCGGTGGCTCTCCCCTGTAATCCCAGCACTTTTTGGGAGGCTGAGGCACGGGGATCACCCAGTTTCAGACCAGCCTGACCAACATGGTGAAATCCCATCTCTACTAAAAATACAAAATCAGCTGGGTGTAGTGGCACATGCAAAAATACAAAATCAGCCGGGTATGGTGGTAGCATGCATCCCAGCTACTCAGGAGGCTGAGGCAGGAGAATCGCCTGAACCCAGGTGAGTGGAGGTTGTAGTGAGCCAAGATCGTGCCATTGCACTCCAGCCTGGGCAACAAGAGTGTAACTCTGTCTCAAAAAAAAAAGACGGAGGAAAAAAAGAATCAGTGTTTAAATATTATTTGCTAACTTCTGCGTATTCAAAAAAGTGTTTTCTAACTTAAAAAGATAAACTAGATCTAAAATTTGGTGAAGAAAAATAAGCATTTATCCTACCTTTCCCATATGACTATATATTAATGTAACCAAATAGTTGATAAGGGAATGTTCTCTGTAGAATAATCCAGTTAATAAATGCAGAAGCAATGGTAGAATTAGAAAATTGCCAGAAAATCATCAGCAGATCCTAAAAATATTAGATTAAAAAGTTTTGGTTGAGAAACTGCTCACTTTAAAAAAAAATTTTGAGAGGTATTTTAAATGGATGAATTAGAGAGACAGCCCTGAATCCACTGATCAGTTGTAACATCACTAAAAGTGGGCCAGCCAAACATTATTTACCTCTTCATGTGGTATAGAAGGAAGTACACAGCATTACTTATGATATACTCTTACCGAAATTTGAATCTATTCAAGCCTCTAACCCTAGCTACTAGTTTATGGGAAATATAAGAAGAAACAAAAACAAATTACCTGATACCTGATACCAGTGGGACATTTTACTTGACAAATTGGCCCTGTTACTTGAATAGATGGCATTTTGAAATAGGAGCTTGGTCTGTTATACATTAAAAGAGACTCAAGAGGTATAATATCAGATATAATGTATGGATCTTATTTGGATATTGAATGATCAAAAGACATTTTTTAAGGCCAGGCGCAGTGGCTCATGCCTGTAATCCCAGCACTTTGGGAAGCTAAGGCAGACCTGGAACGCAGGAGTTCGAGACCAGCCTGGGTAACATGGTGAAACCCTGTCTCTATAAAAAATACAAAAAATTATTCGGCCATGGCAGTGTGCACCTGTAGTCCCAGCCACTCAGGAGGCTGAGGCAAGATTGCTTTATCCCAGGAGTTCAAGGCTGCAGTGAGCTATGATCATGCCACTGCGCTGCCCCCTAGCAACAGAGGGAGACCCCAACTCTTTGAAAAAAAAAAAAAAACCCAGGCACAGTGGCTCATGCCTATAATCCCAGCACTTTGGGAGGCCAAAGCGGGCAGATCACCTGAGGTCAGGAGTTTGAGACCAGCCTGGCCAACATGGAGAAACCCCGTCTCTACTAAAAATACAAAACTTAGCTGGACGTGGTGGCGGGCACCTGTAATCTCAGCTACTCAGGAAGCTGAGGCAGTAGAATTGCTTGAACCCAGGAGGCAGAGGTTGCAGTGATCTGAGATCGTGCCCTTGCACTCCAGCCTGGGTGACAGAGCGAGACTCTGTCTAAAATTAAAAAAAAAAAAAAAAAAAAAAAAAGAGTTGTCCGTTAGATATAAATGTTTGTATACTGAAATATTTACAAGTAAAATGCTGAGATTTGCTTTAAATACTTCAGGAAAAACAAAGCCAGGGCGATCACAGTTGAACCTGGATGATGGGTACATGGAATTTCATTATGCTTTTCTATCTATACTTTTATATACTTGAAATTTTATAGAATTAAAAGGTTTTATCTTTTGTTGAGAAAAGGTTACCCTCTGACACCAGGCTGGACTGCATTTGCACAGTCACAGCTTACTGCAGCCTCAACCTCCTGGGCTCATCATTTAGAGACAGGGTCTGGCTCTGTTACCTAGGCTGGAGTGCAGTGGCATGTTCTGGGCCTACTGCAGCTTCCATCTCCTGGGCTCAAGCCATCCTCCCACCTCAGCCACTTGAGTAGCTGAGACCGCATGCACACCACCATGCCCAACTAATTTTTTTTTTTTTTTTTTTTTTTTATAGAGATGGGGTATTGCCGTGTTGCCCAGGCTAGTCTCAAATTCCTGAGCTCAAGCGGTCCACCTGGCTCAGCCTCCCAAAGTGCTGGGATCATAGGCTTGAGCCGCTTTACCCAGCCAGGTTTTAACTTTTTTTAAAAGATACAGGTTGGGCATGGTGGCTTACGACTGTAATCCCAGCACTTCCGGCCGGGCACGATGGCTCACGCCTGTAATCCTAGCACTTTGGGAGGCCGAGGTGGGAGGATTACGAGATCAGGAGATCGAGACCATCCTGGTTAACATGGTGAAACCCCGTCTCTACTAAAAATACAAAAAATTAGCTGGGCGTGGTGGTGGGCGCCTGTAGTCCCAGCTACTTGGGAGGCTGAGGCAGGAGAATGGCGTGAACCTGGGAGGCGGAGCTTGCAGTGAGCCAAGATCGCCCCACTGCACTCCAGCCTGGGCAACAGAGCAAGACTCCGTCTCAAAAAAAATAAATAAAAATAAAAAAAATCCCAGCACTTTGGGAGGCCAAGGAGAAAGGATCACTTGAGTCCAGGAGTTCAAGAGCAGCCTAGACAACATAATGAGATTCCATCTCTATAAAAAAATTAAAAATTAGCCAGGTGTGGTGGTATACACCTGTAGCGCTAGTTACTTGGGAGGCTGAACCAGGAGGATTGCTTGACCCTGAGTGGTAGAGGCTGCAGTGAGCTGTGATCACACTACTGTACTCCAGCCTAGGTAACAGAGTGAGACCCTGTCTCAAAAAAAACAAAAGGAGGGGGAACAAAGGTTATTACAGATCAGCTCACAAACTACCAATGGCCATTAAACAGATGAAAATATAAAACTACTTTTCATCTATATAATTGGGAAAATTCAGGAAGACCAATAATCTGCCGTAGTAATAGTTTGGCAAAGATCAAGTTATAAGCTCTGGGACTCTCTTTGTGGTAGTGTAAATTGGTACAGCTCTTTGGAATGCACTTTGGAGACATTTTTCAAAATGTAGAATTTGATCCACAGATATGCTTCTGGAACTTTACCCAGTAAAAATTAAATAATAAGTGCAAAAATATGTGTACAATATTTCTTTTTTCCTGTTGTAATATTGAAAAACTGTGAACAGTCTTGACATTCACCAGTGGGTAACTGATTATTACTGTGCCATTTAGGAAAATGCCCTTAAGTGTGTAATACTGAAAAGAATAAGATAAACCTACTATTGAAATGGTAGTTTGTAAATAACCAGTCTCCATTAAAAGGAACTAGGGCTCCTTAGAAAAATAACTGTTGCCAGAGTTGGTGCAGGGAAAGTACCAGATGGGTGTAGGCCATCTTGGCTATGCCAGAAAGTAAGGAAGGGATGGAAGAAAAATAGGGACGTCTTGAAGAATACAGGATCAGGAGTGGAGGTTTGGGGCATAAAACAATGATAGAAATGAATGATCATCCATAGAATAAAATAAGAATTCATGAGTCCATACTGATAAAAATCAATAAATGGAAAATGAAACTGTCTTACCTTAGTGTAATATAAAGTGATAAATGTAGAATCGTGAAATTAAAAGATCACCACCAAGAAAACCATCAGGCAAGAGTCACCACTAGAGGCTACAAAACTAGTGGGTGAAATTCTGAGGAAAAGCATAATTTTTTTTTAAAGTATCTCCCTACAAGATACTTAAAACTACAAAGGAAAAAAATTGTAATTTACAGTGGAGAAACCTGATAGGCACCATGTTAACAAAGCAGTCGAAGTAAATATCACCAATACTGTGATGAGAGATAGACGTCAGGTTCCTTCTGATGTGATCCATTGAGAAGGACACATTACTTCTCTGGTGTTCCTTTCCCAAATATATAACATGAACTTTTTAATGAGGAGACAGCAGACAAACCCAAATTGAGGGACAGTCTACAAAATAACTGATCTTCCAAAACAAATCTTCAGAAATGTCAAAGTCATGAAAGAAAGAAGAGACTGTGCTGTTCTGCTTCAGATTAAAGAAGATTAAAGAGCCATGACAACAAAATGCAGCCCTTGATTCTAGTCTGGATTCTGGACTTGAAGGGAAACATTTTTCTTATCTTTTGCTATAAGGGACATTAGTGGGACACTTGGCAAAATTTAAATTAACTGTAGATTAGATAATACTATTGTATTGTTAATTTTCTGGCTTTTATTCTACTTTGATTATATTATAAAAGTCCTTGTTGTTAGGAAATAGACACTAATTATTTTGGGTTAAAGGAATATCATGTGAAATTCACTTTCAAACAGTTCCAAAAAACACAGTGATATATATGTATATATATGGGTGTATACACACACACACACACACACACACACAGAGAAAGCAGTGTAATAAAAGTTAAGATCATTTGGGAAATCTGGGAATTCTTTTACAATCTTAGGAACTATTCTCTAATGAAATTATTTAAATATGAAATGTTACAGTATTTAATATGAAAAAAGAGTGAGTTCGCTGTATGTATTCTCTCATGCAAAAGTATCGGCAATATTATTGCCAAGGTACAAAAGCAAGTTTTGAAAGTAGGATGTATAGTCTGTTCCCATTTTTGTGAAAAATGGATGTATGAATGCATGTGCATAGAAACAATCTGTTGGCCAGGTGCGATGGCTCACGCCTGTAATTCCAGCACTTAGGGAGGCTGAGCCAGGCGGATCACAAGGTCAGGAGATCGAGAACATCCTGGCTAACACAGGGAAACCTCATCTCTACTAAAAATACAAAAAATTAGCTGGGCATGGTGGCGGGTGCCTGTAGTCCCAGCTACAGGCTGGGACTGAGGCAGGAGGCTCAGGAGGCTGAGGCGGGAGAATGGCGTGAACCTGGGAGGCAGAGCTTGCAGTGAGCTGTGATTGCGCCACTGCACTCCAGCCTGGGCAACAGAGTGAGACTCCGTCTCAAAAAAAAAGAAAAAAAAGAAACCATCTGTTACCAGTGTTTATTTTGGGGAGTTGCAGATCACATGCTTCTATAATGTTTGAATTATTTTCTAACAAGTACGTATATGTAATCAGGAAGAATAAAAAATAAGCCTGCCCAAAATGCTGACCCATTTTCTTGACGTATTGTAATTGCAGCACAGCCCTCAACTCAGTAGCCCCATTATTTCACCAGCTCAGTCGCCAGCACCAGCTCAGCTGTCCACCCTGAAAACTGTACGTCCCTCTGGACCACCACTTTCCATCATGCCCCAATTTTCTAGACCTTTTGTCCCCGGGCAAGGTAAGTGCACATGAAACTAGTCACAACTTCAGAGAATTTAAGACATCCATTCCCAGTCACTTGGTAATTTATCTTGGTAATATTGCCTTTCTATTTTCCATAGAGCTGCATCTTCACCTACACTCAGGCATGTCTATTTGTGACCATATACCCTCCTAACCTTAATGTATCATTGCTAATTAATAATTATTAATTCAGTAATTACTTCTGTTTAGTAATTACATGATCACATTAAAATCACTTTAACTTATTCTTAGAATCCATTCCTCTATAGTAATAATACACAGTTTTCTACATTTTTTCGGTATTTTAATTTCTACTTAGAGTAATATATATCAAAAGTTTATCCAGGCCGGGCGCAGTGGCTTACGCCTGCAATCCCAGCACTTTGGGAGGCCAATGCGGAAGGATCACTTGAGGCCACTCAAGACCCTGTCTCTAGAGAAACTACAAAAATCAGCCAGAAGTGGTGGCACATGACTGTAGTCACAGCTACTCAGGAGGCTGAAGCGGGAGGATCACTTCAGCCCAGGAATTTAAGACTGCAGTGAGCTCTGATTATGCCACTGCATTCCAGCATGGACAGCAGAGCAAGACTCTTGTCTCAAAAATAAAACAGAAAAAAGAGATTATCCAAAAATTTATTCAGCAATCATTTATTAAGGAAATGGCTATGCCCTTGGTGTATAAAGATGAATAAGGAGAAGTCCTCACCCTCACTAACCCTTAGTCTACTTTGGGGAGCAGATATGCAAGCAGATGATTATAAACTAATATGGAAACCATTTTATTTCCTAGAATTTATCCTAAGGATAATGCACACAAAGATTTATATACAGAAGAGTTTATCCTATAGCAAAAAAAATTTACAAACAACCTAACTCTGTACATCAATGAGGAATACTTAAATTATGGTATATTCATACAAGGAATATTATGTAGCTATCTAAAGAATCACTAAAAGGGGGCAATATTCAGGCTAGGTGCGGTGGCTCACACCTGTAATCCCAGCACTTTGGGAGGCCCAGGCAGGTGGATCACAAGGTTAGGAGTTCAAGACCAGCCTGGCCAAGACAGTGAAACCCTGTCTCTACTAAAACTACAAAAACAAGCTGGGCGTGGTGGCAGGCACCTATAATCCCAGCTACTCGGGAGGCTGAAGCAGGAGAATCACTTGAACCTGGGCGGCAGAGGCTGCAGTGAGCCAAGATCGTGCCACTGCACTCCAGCCTGGGCGACAGAGAGAGGCTCCGTCTCAAAACAAAAAACAAACAAAAAAACA
Organism: Homo sapiens; assembly: GCF_000001405.40. Taxonomy (NCBI): domain Eukaryota; kingdom Metazoa; phylum Chordata; class Mammalia; order Primates; family Hominidae; genus Homo; species Homo sapiens. The sequence goes on from NC_000002.12 coordinate 135,716,977, forward strand.
AACAAACACGGGGAGCAGTATTCACAATATGGTAAGTGATTTTGAAAAACAAGTTACACAGACATTTTGAAGTAGTATGCAGATGTCTAATAAGCCCTTGAAAAGATATTTAACATCAGTCATTATAGAAATGAATATCAAGCCAGAATACCACTTCACACCCATTAGAATGGCTATAATCAAAAAGACGGACAACACCAAATGTTAGTAAAGAATGTTCTCACTTGCCAGGCATGGTGGCTCACGCCTGTAATCTCAGCACTTCGGGAGGCTGAGGTGGGTAGATCACTTGAGGTCAGGAGTTCGAGACCAACCTGGCCAACATAGTGAAACCCCATCTCTACTAAAAATACAAAAATTAGCCGGGCACAGTGGCACATGCCTATAATCACAGCTACTTGGGAGGCTAAGGCAGGAGAATTGCTTGAACTCGGGAGGCAGAGGTTGCAGTGAGCCAAGATCGCACCACTGCACTCCAGCCTGGGCAACAAGATTGACACTGCATCTCAAAAAAAAAAAGAAGAATGTTCTCCCTTGAAAGTGGGAGCTAAACATTGATGAACACAAAGAAGGGAACAATAGACACTTGGGTCTACTTGAGGGGAAAGGGTGAGGATTGAAAAATACCTATTGGGTACTATGCTTATTACCTGGGTGATAAAATAATAAGTACACCAAACCCCCACAACATGCAAAATCCACATGTGAGTATTTAAAAAATAATGTTGGTAAAGATACAGAGCTACTAAAATTCTCACACATTGGCGGTAAGAGTGTACAGTGATGAAACCGCTTTAGGAAAAGGTATGGCAGTTTCCTAAGACTTTAATCATTTACCACATAACCCAGCAATTCCACTCCTGGGGGAAAGAGAATTGAAAACATGTTCACATAGTCTTGTGTACGAACATCTATAGCAACCTTATTTTATAATAGCTCAAACTGGACATGACCAACATGTCCATCAACAGGAGACTGGATACCCAAACAAGTTGTGCTATATCCTTAAAAGGGTACTACGCAACAATAAAAGTGAACAAAGCAAGCTACTGACACACAACAACATGATGACTCTCCGGGTCACGACGTTAACCAAAAAATAAGACAAAAAGAGAATATATTCTATATGATTCTAATTATATGAAATCCAGCTGCAGACAAACTAATCTGTTATGTTAAAAATCAGATAGTAGTAGAGATGGGGTGTGGAACTGACTGGGAAGGGACTGGAGGGAACTCTTCCAGGGATGGAAATGTTCTTTAAGGGGGTGGGGGAACAGGGTATGGTTACACGGACTTTTACAGTTGTTAGAATTCATCAGATTCAACACTTAGAATGTTTATTTTATTGATTGTATTGTATGTTAATTATATCTCAATTTCCTTAAAAACTTACACACACACATATGCATGAGTCAGCCCACACATGTAGAAGACTGAAAAGATAGACACCAAAATGTTAGAAGTGATGGAATTACCAGAGTGGGTTTTGTTGATGTTGGTTTGTTTGTTGTTGTTTGTTTTGAGACACTGTCTTATTCCATCGCCCAGGCTGCAGTGCAGTGGTGCACTTGTGGCTCGCTACAGCCTTAACCTCCCCGGGCTCAGATGATCCTCCCACCTCAACCTCCTGAGTAACTGGGCTTACAGGCACACCACCACACCTGGCTAATTTTTGTATTTTCGGTAGAGACAGGGTTTCACCATGTTGCCCAGGCTAGTCTCGAACTCCTTGGCTCAAGCAGTCTCCCCACCTTGGCCTCCCAAAGTGCTGCGATTACAAATGTCAGCCACTACACCCAGCACCAGGGTGGTTTTTATTTTCTCCTTCGTAATTCTCTATCTCCAAATTTTCTACAAAACAAATTCCTTATTAAATTTAGAAAAAAGGCTATGCGCAGTGGCTCACACCTGTAATCCCAGCCCTTTGGGAGGCTGAGGTGGGTGGATCAGGAGGTCACGAGTTTGAGACCAGCCTGAAACATGGTGAAACCCCGTCTCCATTAAAAATACAAAAAAAAATTAGCCGGGCATGGTGGCGCACGCCTGTAATCTCAGCTACTCAGGAGGCTGAGGCAGGAGAATCGCTTGAACCCGAGAGGCAAAGGTTGCAGTGAGCCAAGATTGTGCCACTGCACTCCAGCCTGGGCGACAGAGCAAGACTCCATCGCTAAATAAATAATTTAATTAATTAATTAATTAATTTAGAAATTGCATATTTTAAAAAAATAAATTGAAACAGTATGCGTCATACAGTCTGGTATGAATGCCGCAGGAGGAACACCTAGCCCAGCCTATTAGGAGGGGTCTTTGTACTGCTGACTATAATCTTATCTCCATATTTGAAAAAAATTAGCTGGACATGGTGGTGGGCACCTGTAATCCCAGCTACTTAGGAAGCTGAGGCAAGAGAATCGCTTGAACCTGGGAGGCAGAGGTTGCAGTGAGCAGAGATGGTGCCACTGCACTCCAGCCTGTGTGACAGAGCAAGACTCTGTCTCAAAAATTAAAAAAAAAAAAGGAGTTATCCATTAGATATAAATGTTTGTATACTGAAATATTTACAAGTAAAATGCTGAGATTTGCTTTAAATACTTCAGGAAAAACAAAGCAGGGGTGATCACAGTTGAACCTGGATGATAGGTACATTATGCGTTTCTATCTATACTTTTATATACTTGAAATTTTGTAGAATTAAAAGGTTTTATCTTTTGTTGAAAAATCTTAGGTGTCTTTATCTAGGGGATTCCAGAATTTTTAAGCAATGTTCTCTGTATTCTGTTAATGCTAAGTTTTTGAGCCTCATTAAATTTTTAAAATTTCATTATTGTAGCACTTAACTCTGACTTCTTTACAACTATTTTCTTTTCTTTTTTTTTTTTGTTTCGAGACGGAGTCTCGCCCTGTTGCCCAGGCTGGAGTGCAATGGCATGATCTTGGCTCACTGCAACCTCCACCTCCAGAGTTCAAGCTATTCTCCTGCCTCAGCCTCCCAAGTAGCTGGGATTACAGGCATGTGCCATACGCCTGGCTAATTTTTTGTGTTTTTAGGAGAGACGGGGTTTCACCATGTTGGCCAGGCTGATCTCGAACTCTGACCTCATGATCCGCCCGTCTCGGCCTCCCAAAGTGCTGGAATTACAGGCGTGAGCCACCGCGCCCGGCCTTCACAACTATTTTTTATACACCTTCACACTTCACTTTGCATCTCTGATCTCAGTGCTAAACCCCCATGTCATATCTGCCCTTCCATCTATAGGTTGGGAAAGAGTATGTCATGCATATGTCCTGCCAGGGAGCTGCCCAGGCATCTTCACTGTGTTCACCCGGAAGGAGCCTTGTGGAATGGCAAGAAGTCCACACCTTGCTGCTTTCTGTTATGAAGCTCTCAGGAGAAGGGGTGTACAGTTTCCTGAGGATGCTTTCCTAGCACCTACTGATAACCCTCCTCCAAACACAAAATGTACTAAATTTGAGAACTTAAAATAAATGAAAATGTAACACAAAAACCTTATTATCCAAGACAAAGTTTTTGCAGTCAGCATTTATTAAGCCTTTGCCGTGTGATGACTTCAGGCTTTCCTGAGTGATAGAAAGCAATTGGAAGATCTCCATCCTCATTAACCCACATTTACTGATTTAGGAAGGGAATACTTACGAATAATGACACTTAAGAACTACACAACTTTTTCTGAACAGGTTCAAATTATAAATGCAAATTTCACTTAAAGATTAAGAAGAGCAGACTTAAGACCTAGGATGTACAACTACCCATTGGTTAAAACTATTAAAGTGTGTTTGAGTATATGTAAATGTGTACATGCATATATTATATGCATAAATTTTTAGCAATTAATAGTGAATTGGGGAGATAAAAACTTAATGTTTATCCAGAGTTTCTTCCTTCCTCTGAAAGGTAAGATTTTAATCATAATAGAGTGATATGGATTTCAGCACCTCAAATGATTGGCATGTGTATTGTAGTTATTTTGGTGTATTTCATACGGGATGTTAGGATTTAGTGTCATAGTTTTCTTAGATTCTTCCTCTTCCATATCTTCAAAGTATCCAGAGAAGTTTCTCTCCATCCTGTCTCTATTCATGTAGTTCCTACCATGCACCCTCCTTCCTAACCACTGTTATTAGTCCTTAATCTTTTCAGAATTTTGCCTGGGCTCTTAAAAGGATATGTGGAAATTTTTAATTCTTGTTTAAAATGTCATTTAGCCAAGCATGGTGGCTTGTACCTGTAATCCCAGCAACTCATGAGGTGGAAGGATTGCTGGAGGCCAGGAGTTTGAGACCAGCCTGGTCAACATAGTGAGACTCTATCTCTACTAAAATAAAATTAGCCAGGCATGGTAGTTTGTGCTTGTAGTCCCAGCTACTTGTGAGGCTGAGGCAGGAAGATCACTTGAACCCAGGAGTTCAAGGCTGCAGTGAGCTATGATTGCACCACTGCACTCCAGCCTGGGTTGTCAACAGAGCAGTACCCTGTCTCCAAAAGAAAAATGTCAGTTATCTATACTTTTTTTATGCCACCATACTTGTTTCCCCTGTTCATCTTATTTTGAACAATTAGAAAACTCTGGCAAGTACTTTTTGTTTTATTTTATTTTTTATTTTTTTGAGACAGTCTCTCACTCCGTCACCCAGTCTGGAATATAGTGGCGCCATCTCAGCTCACTGCAACCTCTACCTCCCAAGTTCAAGCAGTTCTCATGCCTCAGCCTCCTGAGTAGCTAGAATTACAGGCGCCCACCACCAGGCCTGGCTAATTTTTATATTTTTATTAGAGATGGGGTTTCACCATGTTGGCCAGGCTGGTCTCGAACTCCTGGCCTTAAGTAATCCGCCTGCCTCAGCCTCCCAAATTGCTAGGATTACAGGCATGAACCACCGTGCCCGGCCTCTGGCAATAAAATAAAATATTTTATTGACTTTCAGGAGATTCCAGGTATCCATTACTTGGCCAGCCACTGCAGTACAATCCTCCTGCTGTTCTGCACGGACACATTCCAAACCAACAGGTAGGAAAGACAACTAACCTCCTAGGCTTTGTTGCAGAACATCATAGCTCCCTCAGAGTGTAAGGGGCAACCCTGAGCCCACCTGTTGGCACTGCCCAAGAAGAGCTCTGTGCCTCAGCCAGTTGGTTTACACAGATTATCACTGGCTCCATCAGGAGCAGAGCAAAGGAGAAGATGGTGTGCTGCTTGGCAGAGCAGTAATTCTCTAGTGCCACCCAAAGACAAGGCAGTGGCTAGGGATTGGGGCACTCTTGCTAATGAAGGACCGTCAGCAAGTGATCGGTCATAATGAAGGACAGGAATGCCACTGCCACAGGCAGAATCCAGAAGGCCTGGGACTGATTTTCTTCTGCCAGAGTGCAAAACCCAAACTAAAGGTGTTTTGGTGTTAATTTGTTAAACATCCAAAGTGTGTTTTTCAGCATTATTAACGTTGTTTCTCAACTATTTGTGGGTTTTCAGGGTCAGCCTGGCAGCAGGCATGGAAACCGAGGAAGGAGACAAGCTAAAAAAGCTGCATCCACAGACCTTGGAGCAGGAGAAACAGGTATGTCTCTGAGGGGCAACTAGATGTGGGTCTGCAAACTGGTGACAGTCTAAAAATACACCACAGCACAGAAATGGGTTTTCCTCTTCCTAGAATCCTGCAAAAAGTCATAATTTTTGCCATCTCTGATTTAGGGTTCTTGGATATGTTCCTATGACCTTGTGTCATTTGAGATGTGAGAGTATATATGGTAAGATGCAGGTAGGTTTAGGAGGGACAGAGGGGCCACAGGGAAATGTGTGAGAGGAACAAGTAGAGTGAAACTCTTAGCCTCTTAGTTCTTTGAGAAAGGGTTTGTCCTTACATCCATGTGGGAGAAAGTCTGAGTGAACAAATATGTTGCCTCTCTGTGGTAAAGTACCTTCAAGTTTATATTTTAACTTTCTACTCAGCAGCCTTGTGGTGTGGTTAGGGCAAGTGCTTTTATTTTATTTTACAATGGAAATGTGAAGTTCAGAAAAATGTTTGAGATCACCTAATTTAGAGAAGCCACTGTACAATGCCTCTTTTTATTTGTGCAACTACCAGTAAAGACTATGACATCAGTAGCTTAATTTTATTTTTTTTATTTATTTATTTATTTTTGAGATGGAGTTTCATTCTTGTTGCCCATGCTGGAGTGCAGTGGTGTAGTCTCAGCTCACTGCAACCTCCACCTCCCAGGTTCAAGCAGTTCTCCTGCCTCAGCCTCCCGAGTAGCTGGGATTACAGTCGCCCACCAGCACGCCCAGCTAATTTTTTGTGTTTTTAGTAGAGACGGGGTTTCACCATGTTGGTCAGGCTGGTCTCGAACTCCAGACCTCAGGTGATCCACCCACCTCAGCCTCCCAAAGTACTAGGATTACAGGTGCGCCCGGCTCAGTAGCTTTAACACTATTAGCCCTCTATTCCTTGCCTATCGGGTAAGTAGGAATGATTTAAAAGATGGATGTCCCTGGCCGGATGCAGTGCCTCATGCCTGTAATCCTCTCACTTTGGGAGGCTGAGGCAGGTGGATTGCCTGAACTCAGGAGTTCGAGACCAGCCTGGCCAATATGGTGAAACTCCATCCGTCTCTACTGAAAACACAAAAAATTAGCTGGGCATGGTGGCGGGCGCTTGTAATCCCAGCTACTTGGGAAGCTGAGGCAGGAGAATCGCTTGAACCTGGGAGGTGGAGGTTGCAGTGAGCCGAGATCACACCGCTGCACTCCAGCCTGGGAGACAGAGTCAGACTCCATCTCCCAAAAAAAAAAAAAAAAAAAAAAAAAAAGATGGCCCTAACAGTTTTAATTTTGTGTATTCGAATGGTCATTTCCCATGTCATATTTGGGTCTGCAGTGCTTTTTTACCCAACTTTTTTGGTAACAGGAATGTATTGATTCTGTACCTTTTCTATTCTAGTTGTTGGGAAGGTCTTGGAAATTACTGAACTACCAGATGGAATAACTCGCATGGAAGCTGAAAAGCTTTTTGGGGAACTCTTTAAAATTGGCGCCAAGATCCGGTGGCTCCGGGACCCCCAGTCCCAACCACGTCGTCACCCCCTCTGCTGTGGCAGTGGGGACAACACTGCCAACCCTGAACGCTCTAAACCCAGTGACTTGGCCTCCACCTACACCGTCTTAGCCACATTCCCCTCCATTTCAGCTGCACAGAATGCACTGAAGAAACAAATTAACTCAGTTAACAAGTTTAAGCTGAGAACAAGCAAGAAGCACTATGACTTTCACATTTTGGAAAGGGCAAGTTCTCAGTAACAGCCACCTTTGGACCCTTCGCCTTTATGGTTCCCCTGCCCTCTCCCATCTTTGATTGGCTTGGTATTTGGAGCTTCTGTTAACATTATAGAGACTCCTAGGATGTGTGTTCATGGCATTATAGCTTTTGAAGAAAGGCCAGTGATCCAGCAAAGGGGGAAAAATATGCATTTCACCCCACATGACTAGGAATCCACATCAGAATGATACAGAGTTAGCAGGTTTTTCTAAGGAAATGCCATTCAAATGCCTCCTAACTTTTATAGTTATTTTGTTTTATATTTCTAAATTCTTGTATCAGATCCAAAGCTCTATTGTACAGCAAATTATTCTTCAAAATGATTATAACCAGTTGCACCCTGTATTTCTTTTTGCAGCCAGCACAATGTGACCCAACTTAAAATTTGGGGGAAAAAGAATGCAGGAGTGAAATAACCAAGTCAAAACCATGTACTATCTCCTTGGGGGTTAGGGATGCTAAGAAGAGCCCACAAATAGAGGATTACTCTTCCCCTGAATCTCTAAACTCAGAAACAATTACCAAAAAATACATAACTCTTCCTTGTAGGGCCCTTTCCTTATTCATTTAGGTAGTGTGAACATTAAGTATAAAATAAATTATGTTCTTAATGCCTCTTAAACCACTTACATTCAAAGGGGAACAGAAATCATTCTAAGCAGGAAAATACTTCCACTTTTTTTTTTTCAAGTATCTCTCTAATAACTAAATGCCACTTATTTGCATTCTCCTTGTGGATTTTTTGTCACCTAAGGAAATGCATTTGATGAGTGCTGGAAACTTCTTAAGTGCTTTACAGTTTGTTTTCATTGTTTGCAGCGGATCACTGGACATCAAAGATTCATTGCACTTATGAACAAGGAACCTTCTTTTCAATTTCTGTGTAATTTGCAAGGCTGTACAATGTGTGCTGATGCAAGCCTTTTTCAGTTCAAGAGAATAAATGTTTACAAATATAGGCTCACTTTGTCTTTTTTTTAATTAAAAACACCTTTTAAATGAGTCAGTTTTGAAGACAATAACCTTTTTGGAAGATTTAAGTCAATTTCAGACTTACAGAAGATGAAAAACAGTAAACCACCTCATTTTACAAATGTCCTAAACATCCCTTTCTCTGTGGCAGTGATTCCTGGTGGACATGATTCGTGTTACTGTGTTGTCTATCATAAAGTTATTACCAACTGTAGAAATTTGGAGTATGAACATACTTATTGTCAGGCAACTAAAAATAGAAGGTTATGTTTGGTGAGATAAATTTGTTTTTAGCTTATGTATTGCACACCCAATTGTCCACTTAGGCTCAAACGCTTTATAGACATCTTTTCCCTTTGGTTAGCCAAGCAAAGTCACCCCGTTGGGAAATCTAAAAGGTAGGGGTCTGCCAACTGCAGCTTTCCTGGAGTCTGGTTATCTTCCAGCCCAGACTAGGGCTTCTACTATGAAATTGAAGAGCACTAGGTGTTACCAGACTCTGGTGCAGATGTGCACTCACTTTAGCACATTTGCAAGGTCCCACTGGTCCCAGAGAATGCCATGCCTCCCCACCAACTAGCACATCCCAATTGTGAATATTGTACTCCTGGGATCAAAAGTTGAAGCTGTCTTAGAACCATTTTAGATTAAGGAGCCATAGCCAGGGAAAAGAGTAAGAGTGTGAGGTCTGTGAAAATCTCTTGCTTCCAAGGCTTGTTGAATTTTAATTATTTTTGACATGCAGAGAGTCAAAGATGGAGAGGACACGTAAGTAAGGCTAGCATTTCAGCAACAATTCTTCAATCATACATGGGGATGGAGACCAAAAAAGTCACAACCTCCCATCCTGGCCAACATGGTGAAACATTGTCTCTACTAAAATACAAAAAAATTAGCTGGACATGGTGGTGCGCACCTGTAATCGCAGCTACTTGGGAGGCTGAGGCGGGGGATTTGCTTGAACCCAGGAGGCAGAGGTTGCAGTGAGCCAAGATCGTGCCACTGCACTCCAGCCTGGTGACAGAGCAAGACTCGGTCTCAAAAAAAAAAAAAAGTCACAACCTCATGGTTTCTGGCAATTATTTTTTTTTTTTCTTTTGAGACCAGAGTCACTGTATCAACCAGGCTAGAGTGCAGTGGCACGATCTCAGTTCACTGCAACCTTAGACTCCTGGGCTCAAGCAATTCTTCCTCAGCCTCTCGAGTAGCTGGGATTACAGGCACCTGCCACCATGCCCCACTAATTTTTGTATTTTTAGCAGAAACAGGGTTTCGCCATATTGGCCAGGCTGATCTCGAACTCCTGACCTGAGGTGATCCACCCGCCTCGGCCTCCCAAAGTGCTGGAATTACAGGCATGAGCCACTACACCTGGCCTGCAATTAGTTTCTCTTGAATATTCCCTTTAGACCAGGCACGGTGGCTCATGCCTATAATCCCAGCACTGGGAGGCCGAGGCGGACGGATCATTTGAGGTCAGGAGTTCGAGACCAGCCTTGCCAACATGGCAAAACCCCATCTCTACTAAAAACACAAAAATTAGCCGGGTGTGGTGGTGGGGTGCCTATATAATCCCAGCTACTTGGGAGGCTGAGGCAGAAGAATCACTTGAACCTGGGGGGCAGAGGTTGCAGTGAGCCGAGGTTGCGCCACTTCACTCTAGCCTGGGCGGAAGAGCGAAACTCCGTCTCAAAAAAAAAAAAATTATCTTTAACTCCTGCAGTAGGAATTCTGGTAAACCAGTTTTTGCTTTAAACTCTTAGTTTACCTTGTAGGAATTGAATACTGTGCAAAGTAAATAGGTAAGACACTAGAGCTAAAAAAAGATCAGAGGCTATTGTAGAGTTAACTCCTAGCCACCACCACCACATTCCCTGACAATCACATGGAAATAACAATGAAATTGGCCAATCCCACCACCATTACAAAAATATGCACACGTTCCCTAATCTACATTCCCCCCTTTTTTTTTTAATCTAAAGTCTGATTTCCCCTGTATAAAAATGGTGGGAGGTAGAAGCACACACAGGAGGCATTTAAGATGTGATTTGGTCTAGACTGGTAATCTCAAAGACAGCTTTCGATGTCCCATAGCCCTGGCAATAATCCTTATCATGGGTTTTTCCAGACCCCTGACCATTTTTAGGGGTAGATATTGCTTTTTTTTTTTTTTTTTTTTTTTTTTTTTTTTTTTTTTTGAGATGGAGTCTTGCTCTGTCGCCCAGGCTGGAGTGCAGTGGCGCGATCTCTGCTCCCCGCAAGCTCCACCTCCCAGGTTCACGCCATTCTCCTGCCTCAGCCTCCCGAGTAGCTGGGATTACAGGCGCCCGCCACCATGCCTGGCTAATTTTTTGTATTTTTAGTAGAGATGGGGTTTCATCGTGTTAGCCAGGATGGTCTCGATCTCCTGACCTTGTGATCCGCCCGCCTCGGCCTCCCAAAGTGCTAGGATTACAGGTGTGAGCCACCCCGCCCGGCCAGATACTACTTTTACCAATAAAGTGTTATTCTTTCTTGTGCCAATATTAGCAGCTCCAGCAGTCCTTTCTTTGGGAATGATAGAGGTCAGTCCATAACATTCTGTCTGTTTATGCTACTTAATATTAGAAAACTGAGAATGACTTATGGTTTGAAGCTCTTGGTTTGCAAAGAACATGGATATATTGGGTACGTGTTTGTGATCTAGAGTACAAGGTGTGTTTGCCATGGTGCCACAGGTAATTAAAAATTATTAGGTTGGCATCAGAGCTGGCAACAAAATAGGGATGTGAGCCTTTCCCAAGCTAGGAAAATGTTTTCCTGACCCCACTAGGTAGGGCCTTATGGCCTGTGAATAGTGTGGCAACACAGGCCTCTGAGTAGAACCCACAGTTCCAGATTAGCTTGGGCAGAGTAAAGTCAGCATATCTGCAGCTACCTCAGGAAACAGCTGAGTTGGATTCTCTACCTGTTACCAACAACAGAAAACATGCAAACTTAAGACTTCAGCAGAGGCAAGACCCCCTAATCCCAGACCACTGCCTGCCCAACAGATAATATGTTATCTATAGTCTCCAAAGGCTAAGGGCATGAGTTCCGTCTTCTAGGGCCCAGTGAAGTGCTAGCACAAAGGCATTATATACATGCTGGTGGGATTCAAAGCTGGCCCCTGGTTGCTTGGGATTCTAGAAGACCTTTAACAGCTGGTGCTAAAAGAACCTGAGTCTCTTGCACACACATTCAGCCCATGACCTTCACCGGCTTGAAAAACAGATACAGCTGCCCTTGAATCCACCCCCACATCCACATATGCTCAGGCTACACAGTGCATATTTGTTCATTATTTTTCCCCTCAATGTCTCTACTTGTATTCATTTTGGTTTGATTTCACCCACATAAGAATACTGGAGGGCTGTAAAGAAAAGGCAGTGGGAACTTCTGAATCAGAAAGAAAAATGATAAAAGTTTGTTCTTTGGGGGTTGAGGAAGAGGAAGCATTGAAATAGATACATTAAATAGTTTTTTAATTAATTATTTATTTATTTTTTGAGACAGAGTCTTGCTCTGTTGCCCAAGCTAGAATGCAATGGTGCAATCTCGGCTCACTGCAACTTCTGCCTCCCAGGTTCAAGCGATTCTCTTGCCTCAGCCTCCCGATTAACTGAGACTACAAGCACACGCCACCACACCCGGCTAATTTTTTGTATTTTTAGTAGAGATGGGGTTTTACCACGTTGGCCAGGCTGGTCTCAAACTCCTAACTTCAGGTGATCTGCCAGACTGGCTCATTTCTGCAAGTAATAAACTCTAATAATATCCTGTACTTCCTCTTCAAAGCATTTAGCACAATGGTAATTACATGAGTAATTGGCCAATTAGTTGCTTACTGTTTTTCTATCCATCAGAATGTAATCTTTAGGACAGGGAAAATGTCTGTTGCTTCTGTTTACTAATATATCCCTGGCACCACGAGTGCCTTTCCCAGTAAACATTTGTCCAGTGATTAAATGAACAAATGATTTGGCAGAGTCAAATGCTTTGAATGTTTTTTCTTTTTCTTTCTTTTTTTTTTTTTTTTTTTTTTGAGAGTTTTGCTCTGTCACCCAAGCTGGGAGTGCAGTGGCATGATCATAGCTCACTGCAGCCTCAACCACCAGTGCTCAAGCAATCCTCCCATCTCAGCCTTCCAAGCAGCTGGGATTACAGGTGTGAGCCACTGCACTGGCTAATTTCTTAAATTTTTTTGTTTTTCTTGTTTGTTTTGTTTTGTTTTTGAGACAGAGTCTCACTCTGTCACCCAGGCTAGAGTGCAGTGGCACAATCTCGGCTCACTGCAACCTCTGCCTCACGGATTCAAGCAATTCGCTTGCCTCAGCCTTCCGAGTAGCTGGGACTAAAGGCGAGTGCCACCACGCCCGGCTAATTTTTTGTATTTTTTAGTGGAGATGGGGTTTCACTGCGTTAGCCAGGCTGGTCTCAATCTCCTGACCTCGTGATCCGCCCGCCTCGGCCTCCCAAAGTGCCTGGATTACAGGCATGAGCTGCTGTGCCCGGCCAATTTTTTAAAATTTTTTGTAGAGACAGGGTCTCACTGTGTTGCCCAGGCTGATCTCAAACTCCTGAACTCAAGTGATCACCTCGGCCTCCCAAAATTCTGAGATTATAGGCTTGAGCCACTGTGCGCAGCTGCTTTAAATCTTGAAAGGCATATATATGTATATGTATATACATACATTTTAACTGCTTTACATATGTTAGTTATTAGTTATTTCTGACAGCCTGCCAAAATCTTGCATATATATATACATATATACATTATATATATACATACATACATATGTATATATGTGTATATATAATGTATATATGTGTGTATATATGTATATATACACGTATCTATATATACACATATATATTATACATATGTATATATATGTGTATATATGCAAGATTTTGGCAGGCTGTCAGAAATAACTAACATATGGAAAGCAGTTAAATACTATGTGCCAAGCACTTGCTAAGCACTTACAATGGTCTCTATGTGATTGATCATCACAATAGCCCTAAAGGATAAATTATATTATTACCCTAGTTTACTAATGAGGCAACTGAAATGTCAGAGAGGTGAGGAAATTTGCCTAACGTCTCAGCTAATAAGTGATGGTGGTATTCATAAACCAGGCAGGCTGACTCCAGAGGTCATGGGCTAAACTATTTATATTACTGCTTCAAGCCTTGCTAACGCAGTAGTTGCCATTTTTGATTTGGCTTATTCACCTGGATCTCTATGAGAAGCCAGAGAGGAGTACCATCCTATCTTACATGTGAAAATTTGATTGTTGTGAGTGAAGCTTGGAACTTATTTATTTATTTATTTAGAGACAGAGTCTTGCTCTTGTCGCCCAGGCTGGAGTGCAATGGCACGATCTCGGATCACTGCAACCTCCGCCTCCTGGGTTCAAGTGATTCTCCTGCCTCAGCCTCCCAAGTAGCTGGGATTACAGGCGCCTGCCACCATGCCCGGCTAATTTTTGTATTTTTAGTAGAGACAGGGTTTCTCCATGTTGGCCAGGCTGGTCTCAAACTCCTGACCTTGTGATCCGCCCACCTCGGCCTCCCAGAGTACTGGGATTACAGGCGTGACCCACTGCGTCCGGCCCTGGAACCTATTTAAATGCTGCTTCTCTTCTTTTTTTATTTTATGCACACCCATGAACCTTATGTGGTAATTAAACTATTCTCCTACTGGTCTACAGGTGAGTGATGATGATGCTCTGTATAATCTATCATATTAAGCTTTTTTTTTTTTTTTTTTTTTTGAGAGAGTTTCGCTCTGTCACCCAGGCTGGAGTGCAGTGGTGCGATTTCAGCTCACTGCAACCTCCACCTCCTGGGTTCCAGTGATTCTCCTGCTACAGCCTCCTAAGTAGCTGGGATTACAGGTGCCTGCCACCATGTCTAGCTAATTTTTTGTATTTTTAGTAGAGATGGGGTTTCACCATGTTGGCCAGGCTGGTCTCAAACTGCTGACCTCAGATGATCCACCCACCTTGGCCTCCCAAAGTGCCAGGATTACAGGTGTGAGCCACTGCGCCCGGCCATATTTAGCATTTTTTATACTTCTCACTTTCACTCAAGAAAAAACAAGAACAGACAATAATATTTTTCCTTTACATGGTTTTTATACAACCAGCTTTGCAACATGTAAGTTATAAAGCCTTCTCTGGTGGTAAGCAGGTACAGGCTTCTGTGGGACAGAAAATGTTTTTTTTTTTAAAGCATGATGTGAGACTTTATATTTCAAGGTGATGTTACCAATCCAGTTTCAGTAAGAAATGCCCTTTGATTTCTTTTGAATGACTACAGTTAAGAATTCAGTTTGTGGTAGGTTTTTCTCTGTGCAAATTAAAATAGAACCTTAGTAGTGGGAAACCTTTGGCCTCAATGACACTAGTAACTCATTCATTTGGCAAAAAATACAAGACACTGAAAATAGAAAAAAGACTGAGGCAGGTCGCGGTGGCTCACGCCTGTAATCCCAGCACCTTGGGAGGCCAAGGCAGGTGGATCAACTGAGGTCAGGAGTTTGAGACCAGCCTGGCCAACATGGTGAAACCTTGTCTCTACTAAAAAAAAAAAAAATACAAAAACGTCCTTGTCATCGTGGTGCGCGCCTGTAATCCCAGCTACTCGGGAGGCTGAGGCAGGAGAATGGCTTGAACCTGGGAGGCAGAGGTTGCAGTGAACCGAGATCGCGCCATTGTACTCCAGCCTGGGCAACAAGAGTGAAACTCCATCTCAAATAAATAAATAAATAAAAGAAGATTGAGTAAAGCTATTGTTTCTTTTTTTTCTTTTTCTTTTTTTTTTTTTTTTTTTTTTGAGACGGAGTCTTACTCTTGTCACCCAGGCTGGAGTGCAATGGTGTGATCTGGGCTCACTGCAAACTCTGCTTCCTGGGTTCAAGTGGTTCTCCTGCCTCAGCCTCCGGAGTAGCTAGGATCACAGGCACCCGCCACCACACCTGGCAAATTTTTTGTATTTTTAGTAGAGACAGGGTTTCACCATGTTGGCCAGGCTGGTCTCGAACTGACCTCAGGTGATCCACATGCCTTGGCCTCCCAAAGTGCTGGAATTACAGGCATGAGCCACCGCGCCCAGCCAAAGCTATTGTTTCCAAACTCTCTTCCTGGGGAAGAGAGAAGATATAAACCCAGAACTTTAAGTAACTATATAAAATAAAATGTTCACAGGATGTAAATGACCGTGAGAAACTGCGCTCTTCCCCAGGATGTGATGGAAGCCAGTACCCAACAGGTATGTGAAACACTGGCCAATGCTGTGAGTACACTGATGCCTGTCCGATGCCAGCTTCACATGTACAGCAGCGACCGCAAACTCAAAATACTCGCTATAGCCTGAGTGTAAGTAAATGGGTGAAGCTTAGTAGTGGGAGGGGCTGTGGCAAAGTAGAATGCACATGACCTTTCTACAACCTTTTGCAGACCCAGTAAGAACATCAGGAGACCAGACACAGTTCATAGATCTCACACTGCCAAGACATGAAGAGAGTTAGAAGGGCCCTGTGTGAGGTAAACTGCTGCAGGGCCTCCACGGAGCAAACCAGAAACAGCACACAGTGATTGGTCACAGAGGAAAACAGGGAGATTTCAAAGGTGGAAGGCCAGGGGCTCTATGGCAGGCCACATGGGATGGTTCCCCATCTTGCCCTGGGACCACCATGAACAACCTCTCTGGCTTGGAAGACAAAAAGCAGGACTTTGAGAATGCACATTGGGGTCAAGCTGATGTGGTGAGGGTTCTTCCAATGGTCACAGAGACACCAACTGAAACCTGATCTTCCTCTTCAGCAGCTCTAGACCTGGTAACCAGCCTAAGCCCCAAGACCCCTCAGAGAAGAGCTCATTGCAATGAAACCACTCATTGTGTATCAAAGAAGCCCACAAAACCTTGGGTCTTAGCTCACGGGAAGTCTTTTATCTCTAGAATTAAGGGTTTGCACTGGGAAGGAAAATAACAGTACAAACCATGCCATATTTTTACTGCTACACAGCAGTGAACAAACTTCTGTGGTAAGGGCCTGAGTGTAAAAAGTTGCTGTAGTTTGTGATTCAGGTCTGTTTGAAAATTGGCGTTGATGCCACTTCCCTCAACAGGCCACCACTCACCTCTCCTTTCCCTCTACAATAACCAGTACATGGCTCTTTCATTTTATCCAAGCCAAAGAATTATGGTCACCTATTCATGTATCAATCTCTCTCACTGACTAGACTACAGGCTTTTTGAGGACAAAAATAGTATTATTGTCAATGAATTAACCAATAGTTCAATCTCAGCACCTAATCTATAGCCTGTCCTGAAACAGGCATTCAAAGTTTTAATAAGTGAAGGGAGAGGCCGGTCACGGTGGCTCACACCTGTAATCCCAGCACTTTGGGAGGGGATTACAGGAGGATCACTTGAGATCAGGAGTTCGAGACCAGCCTGGCCAACATAGTGAAACCCAATCTCTACTAAAAATACAAAATTAGACAGGCATGGTGGCACACACCTGTAATTCCAGCTACTTGGGAGGCTGAGGCAGGAGAATTGCTTGAACCTGGGAGGCAGAGCTTGCCGTGAGCCAAGATTGTGCCACGGTACTCCAGCCTGGGCAACAGAGCGAGACGCCGTCTGGAAAACAAAATAATAATAAGTGAAGGGAGACAATTCCATGCAAGAGTGAACCACGCAAGAGGCAGCATGGTGTGAACAAAAACAGAGTTGGCAAAGAGTATGCCCTGGTAGGTGAATAATAGTATTGTCGGTTTAGAGGACCCAAGTGGGCAAAGAGAAGAAATGAATGTTGGAAAAGCAGGTTGGAGCCAGACTGCAGAGGATTTTGAATGGCTACAAACTTTGTTTTTGGAGGCACTACAGATGCACTGAAGTTTTGTTTTGTTTTGTTTTGTTTTGTTTGAGACACAGTCTCACTCTGTCGCCTAGGCTGGAGTGCAGTGGCATAATCTTGGCTCACTGCAACCTCCGCCTCCTGGGTTCAAGCGGTTCTCCTACCTCAGCCTCCTGAGTAGCGTGATTACAGGTGCACACCACCATGCCCGGCTAATTTTTGTATTTTTAGTAGAGACGGGGTTTCACCATGTTGGTTAGGCTGGTCTCGAACTCCTGATCTCGTGATCCACCGCCCCCCCTCCCTGACCTCCCAAAGTGCTGGGATTACAGGCATGAGCCACCATGCCCGGCCGGCACTGAAGATTTTTAAGCAGAAACATGCTAAAAATCAGGGAAGATGGATATGACATAATTGTGTGAGATAGACTGGAGAGAAGACAGAGTAGTTACGAAAGCTGTATGAATCTTTCAGGCATCAGGTGATTAGGTATGTCTCTCAGCTGGGTTCACAGAAACAGACTGAGAAGATCTGCTTGCAGGAGGTTGATAGGGAGTGAGCTACATGGGAAATAACATTGGTGAGATGCACCCAAAGAGAGACGGAGATGGGAAGCCCCTCAGAAGACAAAATGAGGCAAGGGGCCCAGGCCTTTGTGTCCTCAGTGAAGCACCACTCCTGGAAAGGACACACTTTGGATATTCTCAACTGCTGGGGAGAGAGAGTGCCAGGGTCCTGAAGATGGGGCACTATGGTATCCATTACAGTAGAAATTAAAAGGATTTAAGATTAACACAAAACAATTGGAAGGCTGCTGTGACTGGTTTCATACAAGTAAAGGGAAGACTCTGGCTTCACTCTATGTGACAGAAGACACAAGGGTGTGTTGATTTGAGAAGGGATAGGGATATGTTCTTTTTTTTTTTTTTTTTTTGAGACAGTCTCTGTAGCCCAAGCTGAAGTGCAGTGGCACGATCTTGGCTCACTGCAACCTCTGCCTCCCTGGCTCAAGAGATTCTTGTGCTTCAGCCTCCCGAGTAGCTGGGACTACAGGCGCCTGCCACCATGCCTGACTAATTTTTTGTATTTTAGTAGGCATGAGGTTTCACCATGTTGCCCAGGATGGTCTTGAATTCCTGAGCTCAGGCAATCCGTTCCCCTTGGCCTCCCAAAGTGCCGAGATTATAGGCGTGAGCCACCATGCCCGGCCGAGAGGGGTTATGTTCTAATTGAATTTTATAATATCAGATTTCAGGACTCAAGAATCTTTTCCATAATCTCTGACTGCTTTCCCTCCCAGAAAGCATAACGTTTTGTTATTTTATTTTATTTTATTTTTTGAGACAGAGTCTCGCTCTGTCGCCCAGGCTGGAGTGCAGTGGCGGGATCTCAGCCCACTATAGCCTCCTCCTCCTGAGTTCAAGCGATTCTCTTCCCTCAGTCTCCCGAGTAGCTGGGATTACAGACGTGTGCCACCATGCCTGGCTAATTTTTGTAATTTTAGTAGAGATGGGGTTTCACAATGTTGGCCAGGCTGTTCTCGAACTCCTGACCTCAAGTGATCTGCCAGCCTCGGCCTCCCAAAGCGCTGGGATTACAGTTGTGAGCCACCGTGTCTGGCCACGTTTTATTTATATTTATTTATTTGTTTATTTATTATTTATTTTGAGACGGAGTTTCGCTCTTGTCACCCAGGCTGGAGTGCAATAATGCGATCTCAGCTCACTGCAACCTCCTCCTCCCGGGTTCAAGTGATTCTCCTGCCTCAGCCTCCTGAGTAGTTGGAACTGTAGGCGCCCATCAACACGCCTAGCTAATTTTTGTATTTTTAGTAGAGACAGGGTTTTGCCATGTTGGCCAGGCTGGTCTTGAACTCCTACCTCAGGTGATCCACCTGCCTCGGCCTCCCAAAGTGCTGGGATTACAGGCATAAGCCACCACGCCCAGCCAGCATTTTAAAACTCCATATTGCTGACCTGTTTCCTGCCCACTCTGAGCCCTCCAGGCCATTGCCTCCCCTGTACCATTTTATTTGTTTGTTTTTTTCTCCTTTCTGCATTTCTTTCCCTCCCCAACTTATTTATTTATTTATTTATTTATTTATTTATTTATTTATTTATTTATTTATTTTTGAGACCAAGTCTCACTCTGTTGCCTAGGCTGGAGTGCGGGGTGTGATCTCAGCTCACTGTAACCTCCGCCTCCTGGACTCAAGTGATTCTCATGCTTCAGCCTCCCGAGTAGCTGGGACTATAGGCATGAGCCACCACGCCTGGCTAATTTCTATATTTTTTGTAGAAACGGGGTTTCATCATGTTTGCCAGGCTGGCCTTCAACTCCTGACCTCAGGTGATCCACCTGTCTCAGCCTCCCAAAGTGAGCCACGGCGCCCATCCCCCAACCAATTTAGATTCCATGTTCCATCACATTGTTTGTTCCATTGCTAATCTCCTAAACTTCTTTTTCATTTGTTCTTTCTCCCACTGCCTAGCACCTAAAACCCTGGATAAATCCAAGTCTCCACTTTCTCCACGCCTGCCCTCAGGGATTAAGTGACCGCTGAAGAAAATTACACAATTGGGCAAATTCAAGACCACCAATTTCACAGTCCCTTCTGCACTGTCTGGCACACTGTGTTTCCCTAGTCCACTTGCCCTCCAACACTCAACACTACTTCAAACCTTGTTTCCTTGTACTCAAGGCGTCAATTTCCTTACTTCCCCCCTTACTCTCAGCAAATAACCTCTCCTTCAAGGAAAAAAAAGCTAAAGCTTTCACGTAAAATCTTCCTCAAATTATTGTTTTGAAATGTATAAACATATTTATGTCTGTTTTTTTAAATAAACTTATTTATATCTGAAGTTATTTTTTCAGCCAGGTGTGGTGACTCACGCCAGTAATCCCAGCACTTTGGGAGGCTGAAGTGGGTGGAATGCTTGAGCTCAAGAGTTTGAGACCAGCCTGGGCAACATGGTGAGACCCTGTCTCTACTAAAAATACAAAACAAAACAAAACAACAACAACAACAACAAAAATACATAAGTTATTTTTTCTTTCCTCTGTCTGTTAAAATGGGAAGGGTATCTCTTCTATCTGCCTGTATTCTAGATCCCACCCCAGATTGTTTAGAATGGTGGTAATTACAAGAAGCAAGATCCAACTTCCAGTAGCCTAACTAGTGAGGACAGTTACTATCTCACAAAACAAGACATATGGAGGCTGAGTAGTCCCAGGGTTGGTTCAGGAGCTCTGTGAGGTCATCATAGACACAAGTGCTTTCTAGATTCCCTTCTGCCATTCTTAGAGCATAAGCAATGTCTTTCCTCATGGCCACAAGATGGCTGCAGCAGTACCTGGCATCATTTGCATATAACCACATCCAGCAAAGGAAGATTGTGCCTTCTTTTTTTCCTTTTTCTTTGAGACGGAGTCTCACTCTGTCGCTCAGGCTGGAGTGCCATGGTGTGAGCATGGCTCATTGCAACTTCAACCTCCTGGGCTCAAGCAATCCTTCCACCTTAGCCTCCTGAGGACTACAGGCACACACCACCACACCCGGCTAATTTTTTCTTTTTTTATTTTTGTTTTTGTTTTTTGTTTTTTGTAGAGGCACTCTTACTATGTTGCCCAGGCTGGTCTAGAACTCTTGGCCTCAAGCAATCCTTTCATCTCAGCCTCCCAACATGTTGGGATTATAGGCATGAGCCACTGCGCCCAATCTGTGCTTTCTTCTATGTGTCTTTTATTAAGAAAGCTTTTCCTGGAAGTAGCCCCTCCCACCCCCCTACCCTTCCTACAAGGTTTTACTGGCTTCAAGGGGAGGTTGAAAAGCCCAGTATCTGGCAGGTTGCTTTGTTGTTGTTGTTGTTTGAGACAGGGCCTCACTCTGTAGCCCAGGCTGGAGTGCAGTGACGCAATCTCTGCTCACTGCAACCTCCGCCTCCCGGGTTCAAGCGATTCTCATGCCTCAGCCTCCCAAGTAGCTGGGATTACAGGTGCATGCCACCATGGCTGGCTAATTTTTGTATTTTTAGTAGAGATGGGGTTTCACCATGTTGGCCAGGCTGGTCTCAAACTCCTGACCTCAAGTGATCTGTCTGCCTCAGTCTCCCAATGTGCTGGGATTACAGGAGTGAGCTACTGCACCCAGCAGTTTTGCCTCTCAGTAGAAAGTGAATTCTGTCAGGAAGGAATAATAGAAGGCATGGTAGAAGAATGACTGCTGGATCGGCCATCAACAGAATGTGCTGTATACCCCATTTTCCCTCCCATCTCCAGAGGGGCCTTCCATTTTCCCATTTGTTCAATCTAAGACCAGTTCCTTTCCACTAGCATTTAATTTTATGCAAATCTCTCCCATCTTTAAAAAGGCTGTCTTTTCAAATCCAAATTCCTGTCCAGCTAATGTTCCTTTCTTCCTTCTCACCTTCACACTCACTGACTCTTTACCTCCCCTTACTTTTCAACCTTTTGCCATCTGGCTTCTGTACACAAGAACCATGAGAATTGCTCTTGCTAAGCTTAAAATGACCTCTGTGTTACTAAAAACAATGGACATTTTTTAGTCTCTCATCTTAATTGACCCAACAGCAGCATTCCACACCACTGCTTCTCCTTTCTTAAAATTCTCTCTACCCTTGGCTTCTTTGATATCACACACTCTCCCATTTTCTTCCACCACCCCACACTCTGCCTTTCCTGCTGAGTCTCTTTTACTGGTTTATACTTTTTAATACAACCCTATAAACGTTGGAGGCCCTAAGACCTCAATCATGCTCGTGTCTCACCTCACTTTGCACCATCTCCCTAAGTGATGGTATCGTTATCTTCCAGTGCCTCATTGATCCCCTGTATGTAGATAAATCTCACTTTCCTATCTCTAGTTAAGAACTGTTATCTGAGCTCCAAGACTAATAGCTATCTGCCTACTTAACACTGCATGTGAATATCTCTCTAGTACTCCAAACACATGTTTAATATTGAACTCACACCTTCATGAACAACCTCCCCACCATCCTTCACTTCTTTCAGTGTTGCCTATCTCAGTACCATCTTCTTTACGATTTTGCAAGGCAGATACCCCAAATCTCTCTCTCTCTCTTTTTTTTTAGAGACAGGGTCTTGCTCTGTCGCCCAAGCTGGAGTGCAGTGGTGCAGTCATGGCTCGGTGCAGTCATGGCTCACTGCAGCCTCAAACTCCTGGGTTCAAGTGATCCTCCTGCCTTGGCCTCCCAAAGTGCTTGGATTACAGGCATGAGCTAACACACCTGGCCACAAAATCCCTTCTTGAGTCCTTCTTCCTCAACCTCCACATGTAATCAACAAAATATATTGGGTCTGTCTCCAGAATATCAAAAGCATCCACTTCACTATCTCCCTTATGTTAATACATGAATAAGTACCTCTTACCTGGTCTATTCACATTCAGCCATTCCACTTCAAATCCAATCTATTCAATTGCTATCATACAATTTAAAAATGGAAGTCTTATATGTATCTGTTTATTTATTTATTTTTTGAGATATAGTCTTGCTCTTTCGCCCAGGCTGGTGGGCAGTGGTGCCATCTTGGCTCACTACAACCTCCACCTCCTAGGTTCAAGCGATTCTCCTGCCTCAGCCTCCTGAGTAGCTGGGATTACAGGCATGTGCAATCACGCCCAGCTAATTTTTGTATTTTTAGTAGAGATGGGGTTTCACCACGTTGGTCAGGCTGGTCTTGAACTGCTGACCTCATGATCTGCCCGCCTCGGCCTCCCAAAGTGCTGGGATTACAGGCATGAGCCATTGTGCCTGGCCAACTCTTCTGTTTAAAATTTTTCAATGGCTCCCTGTAATCCTTAGAAAAATGTCTTAAAATTTTTAACATGATTTTCAAGACTCTGTATCATCTGATCCTTGCCTAGCTTTCCAGCCTCACTTGTACCACACTCCTCTTTCTATGTTATAGCCACACTGGGCATTTTTTAGTTCTGCAAGTGCACTGTGTTTGCTTGCTTCAGAGCCTCATGTGGAATAGCCTTCTCCTTCACCTACCTAGAGTTCCCCGACACGTCATTTCCTCATGAAGGCCCTTTCTGACTCCACTAGCCCATGTTCGGTCCCATCCTCATACACTTCTGTAGCACTCTGAATTACCCTTCTGTGACATTTATCATCACTCATAATTACTTATTCAATGTCTGTCTTCCTGACTAGACTGTACAGTCACAAAGACAGGGCCTTCTTCTGACTGCCTCACCTCCTTATCAGTGCCAGGCACAATGCCTAGCTCATAAAAGATGAGTGATAAACACTTGACAAATGAATATAAAACTATGAAGGATTCTTATTTAATTCTAAAATTAGAGATAATTAAAGACATAGCTCTATTGGAATAATTTCTAGATTGATCAAATTTCCAGAAGTCCATTAAAGTTGATGTTAAAGGTCAATTCTAATTTTTCTGTAGGATTGTTGTCCTATAGAAGCAACTGTCCCTAATCAGCATTATGTCTCAGTTTATAATAACACTATATACGAGAGGCCTGATTGGGAAAAAAAGTACAAAAATCGGAGTGCAAATAATTAGCTATTTTTAGGGAAAATATCTGTAGGAAAGGTGGTATATTCAGATGTATCACTTCCTTTATCTTGCAAAGATTGTCAGATAGATGTACTGCTGGAGGATAAATTTAATTGATGTAGAATTTAACATAATAGTATATGCAACTTTAAATAAACCATGCAAGCCTTTAGCTAATAGTTATTACAGACCATGTGATTTCATGAAAGTATTAAATATGGATCAGTTTTCATTTAATGGCAGCCAATCACAAAGCGCCACATCTTGATTATAGGACATTCTCCCAGAAAATTGGAAAATAAATCACTATCTAGTCTCTTTTGTATTACCATGGAAAGTAGCTGGAAAAGAAATAATCTATTCTCTGCTTTGTGTTACTTTAAAAAGTAGCTGTGGCAATAGCCTAACGCGTTTTGAAGTTTTGAAATGATCTCTATCCAGTGTCTAGGAAATTGCTGAAGGCCTGCGTTCTACCAATTCCTCCGCTTAGGCACATGGACTACAGGTTATTAAAGAAGGTGACTTGCGGTTTTTATCCCGTTTTTCTGCAAGGTTGGGCTACGTTCAGAAGAAATCAAAGCCTCGGAGTTAATCCCGACAAAGCCCATTTAGTTCCATGCGAGGACTATTTCCTCCACACTGAGAGTCTCAACGAGGCCGAGAATAGCATATGCCAGTTGGAGTGACACTTATTTCTCCCTCTCCCCTTTATAGAATGTGTAGTGGCCCTCACTACTGCCCCCTTTAGCTGTGCCTCAGAACCCACAGTTACATGCTCCACAATATGGAGGCGAATAAGCCTAAGTGGACTACAATTCCCATCATGCCTCACTGCAGGCGCCGCCGACGTGTCTTAGCGGTTAGTCATCCCTCTTACCGCTTTCCTCCACTTCCTGGACTGCGCGACCGGAGGCCTAGCGGGCGCGCGCCCGCACCATCGACTCGCCAACGAGAGAAGGTCCTGGGGCACGGACACCGACGGGTTGCGACTGTGACGTGAGGTGTTCTCGCGCGCGCTAGCGCGCGTCTCCGGGTGCCGCTGACGGGCGTGCGCGCTTGTGCGGAGCCGGAGGTGGGGGCCGAACCAGCCAAGGTTGCGGGGGCCGCAGAGCCGGACGAAGACGGAGGGCGGAGCCGGCTTCGGGACTGCGGAGACTACACACCGAGCGAGCGCCTGGGCCCGAAGGGAGCGATGCTGTGGTTCCAGGGCGCCATTCCGGCCGCCATCGCGACGGCCAAAAGGAGCGGCGCGGTCTTCGTGGTGTTCGTGGCAGGTGAAGGAGGCAGGGGTTCGAGAGGCGGCCGGGACACCCCTCCGGCCTACCTTCATCCTCTTGTATACCTCAGCCGCCGGCCCGCCCTCCCCGAGACGCGGGCTCCTGTCGGCTCGCACAATTGCCACTACTACCCCGCGCCCCAGGGACGGCTGCGACTCCGCCGCCAGATCCCCCAGAGGGGCCATGCAGACCCTCAGCGCCCTGCTCCTTCAGGCCCCGGGCGCCCCCAGCCTTTCCTCAGTGTCTGCGAGGCCCGGGCTGCCGGCCCGTGGCTGTTCAGCGCCTCCCCGGTTCGTTTGAGATACAGTGGGCCTGGCCCCACCGCTGCGTCTCCCGGCAGCCGGGCCGGAGGCACCGTCTGGCCCTGGTCTCCAAAGCGCCCCGAGGCCCGCCGAAATCTCCCCGCTCGGGGCGACGGACGCGGCCAGCAGGCCCCAGCCGCCCAGCCCCGCTCGTCGCCCCGAGCCTCTCCCCTGCGCAGCCAGACCCCCGCGACCCTCTCCCTGACGTCCCTCTCTGTCACCAAGGACCCTCTTTGTGCTGCTTGAACGCCCGTTTCGTTACTGCTGTTTAGATGGAGGTAGGAACGGGCCATTAGGCAAGCAGTTGGGTTGTAATTAGTTGTGGACTGTCGGGAAGAAAGCTGTGTCATCGATAAGCAACAAAGAGAAACCACCTGATGTTCACGGTTACTGGTGTTAGTACGTTCCTGAAACGTAAACTTTTGAGCTGAATAGAGGTTTAATTTTTCTTTATGGCAGTCTTGGTAGGGGATCTAGTGTGAAATAATGTAAGTTTAAAAAAAATCCATTAGTTTCAAAGAAAATAGACGTTCAGTCCTTGGTTTCTTCCCTTTGTTGTCTTCTTAGGCTAAAATCTACACGACTTTGAGAACGTTTATTAACTCATATATTCTCTGTTGCTCTAGGCTATTTTGCTCCATATTCTCCTGTTTTATTACTGAAATCTTGTAGATTTACAGTGAACTCCCTGCCTCTACGGTTCTGCTCATACTCATTACATGGACCAAATCAATGTTTGTGGCTGTTGTTAATTTGAGGTGTATTTCTTCAACTATTTGTGTTTAATAACGGTTTATTCATAATTAACTCGTCTTTTAATAGCTCTATAACTTTATGCACTGCAGTGAAGAACGAATTACTGAAATGTGAATGTCATTTAGCATTAAATTTGGAATTTATAATTGTTTTGTTACGCCAAGTTTTTAGCTCAATGCTGTTTATTAGAAGAGCTTGAATAGTTTAGATTCTGTGATGCTGTCTGGGGGTTATATTATACTTTACATAAATTAATTCTGTAATCCCGTAAGGAAAAAAATGGATTGAAAATGAAAGGAAAAGTAAATGACACTATGCTTATTGTGTACATTAGTAGGTTTTTGACATTTTAAATTGTTTTTCTCCTAATATCTCAGTTGATCCTTGCAGTAAATAGAACAGGTTTAATTATCCCCATTTTATAGATGAGGCACTTAGGTCAGCAGTCATAAAGTGACTTGCACTAGGGCCACAAAAAGGATTTACATGTCTTAACAGTCAAATTTTTTAGTAGCTTCAAAAAAACTGGCTTTTTTGTTTCTTAAGGAAAAAACTGAACAATTTGTAAATTGGTGATTTAAATTGGTATAGAAATCAGAAATTTGGATTATGGTAGTCATGTTTTTGAACAAATGTCCAAACATTCCTAGAAGGCACTCTTGAGGTAAATCAGTTAATTTAAAAAAAGAAACGAGAGATTTTTATTAACAAATATTAATATTTGGAAACTCTAGTACAAATTATTGGAATAGTTAAATAAAGTTATAGGTCTTGCCTTTCGGGGTTTTGTGTATATATATATACTTTCTTCAATTAAGTTTTTACTGATGAGCATGTATTACATGTATTTAGAATATAATGACTCTTGAATGTTTGCAGGAAGACTGTTAGCAATCTCACAAAGGAGTCTCTGTCTGTCCCTTGACCTGTTCCAAAATCCAGCTAGCTTTTTTAGAGCTTTAGCCAGTTAATCCCCAAGACTAAGTAGGATTAGTGTCACTCTAGGAGTATGTAGATACTGGACTCATGAAACCAAAACACTTACAGATTGCTTAGAGCTTTCTTCATAACTCTGAAGTCAGAACTTGTGATTTTCTTAGGTCTAAGATCTCAGTAATAATATACCAACTTAATGGAAAATTTGAAAGATGTCTTTATAGTTGGAAGACGTGATCTCAAGAGTACACTTTGGTTCATAGAACTGTTCAAGTGGGAAACGTTTTAGGCAAGTGGTCTTTAGTTAGTGACATTTTCATGGATGAATTAAAGAATATTGTAGAGTTGATGTTAGGAGACGAGAGATTACTACTACTTCAGCTAACAAATTAATATGATTTTCAAAGTATTGTGGCTGTGTAAAGTAAGTGAAACAAAACGATATTCATTTAATACTTGGGAAGGTAGAATAATCTGACGAGACTGAAGTAAAGGTATCTGTTCACTGGCTAATGTTGCTAGGTAGGTAGGCCAAACTTTGTTAATGATAGACGCCATTTTCTGCCTTTTTTGGTGAATGTAGACCACAGAAGCCTTTAGGTTTTGAGCAGTTGAGATTTATTTTACATCGGAAAGACTGGCTGTATGAGGGTCTGCAACTCTTTGCTTCTGAGTTCGTGTTGCTCTCTTTAAGTGCCTTCGCTTAGGATACTGCCGATACAAAGGATATGCTGTTTTCTCCTAAAATCTTAGGCCCACCTAACTTTATAGTTGATAATTTGATTAAAAATAAGAAATGAAAGATACCAGAGTTAGCAATCAGTCATCCCACTCAGTAGTATTAGGAAAGTTGTCATTAAGCATTGAGTAATTCCATTCAGCTTTCCACCACTGCTGTTCAAGCAGCTGCTGCCACCACTAGGCTGAGTCTAGGACAGACACTGCCAGTAGGGTTGAGACATCTGGGACCCTAATCACATGGTACAGTATAGGTGAGGGAGTGATGCACCAGCCTCACAAGAAGCAAGATTTATACTTTCAGCTACTTACGTGATATCACTGTTTAGATCCTCCCAGGATTCTCAAGCCTAAACGTGTAAGTGCTGCCTAAACCTGTGTTTCTCCCAGTGTTCTGCATCTGATTGGCACTACCATACATCTGGTTGGATAAACCATAAATATGAGAGTCATCTTTGACTCTTAACTCTTCAGTCTCTTCTTGAGCTCCGGATTGTTCACAACATTCCAAATCACATAGGCCTTTCCCTACACACGTATTCCTTCTGCGTGGTGAACTCTTCTGGCTGTTGGCATGGCTGAGCTCTCTTATCCTTTAGATTTTAGCTTAACTGTCACCTCAGAGAGGGCTTCTCTGACCATTATAAAGAGTTCTCTTGTTATTTTCTCTCATAGATTTCTTTTTAGTAGCATTTATTACTGTAATTACGTATAGTGTCTATTTGTTTAAAAATTTTGTATACCATTAGATTTTAAGCTCTGTTGAAGGCAGACAATGTCTCATTTGGTTTATATTTAGTATACAGTTCAATGCCTAGAACAAAATAAATGCAATAAAATAGTGAACATATAAAAGAATGAATGGAAAGGATTTCTCATTCTTCACAGCCTTCTCTGAGAAGGGTTCGTAGTAAGAATATTCTCATATACTTATTTTTCTTTGGTAGGTGAGTCATTTATTTGGAATCTTAATCTCTCCTCATCAGATGGTTTCTGAAGATGCATTTAGAGTGATCTCACTTGCAAATAGTAACTTCTCGTTATTTTGCATCTTCAACATCTAGGAGTCTGCTAATGGAGCATTCTTAATGGAGCATTTGGTCTGTGGATGCATTCTAGTCCCGTTTACTTTTTTTTTTTTTTTTTTTTTGAGATGGAGTCTCACTCTGCCGCCAGGCTGGAGTACAGTGGTGCAATCTCGGCTCACTACAACCTCCACTTCCCTGGTTCAAGCGATTCTCCTGCCTCAGCCTCCTGAGTAGCTGGGACTACAGGTGTGTGTCACCACGCACAGCTAATTTTTGTATTTTTAGTAGAGACGGGGTTTCACCGTGTTGGCCGGGATGATCTAGATCTCTTGACCTCGTGATCCGTCCGCCTAAGCCTCACAAAGTGAGCCACCGTGCCCGACCCCGTTTACTTTTCCATGGTCAAATTTCTCAAACTCCTATTTCTGGTATTCCTGAATCTCATCTCACAAAATATATGCAAATAAACAGCATTAGAGTCAATTATTATAGGCATGCCATCATACTTACTATATTAGGCATTTAGCTATTCCACAGAGTACTTATTGGGTGCCTACTATGTTTTGTAGAGATTTTAGTCTTGTCAGTAAATAAAATGGAACCAATCCTTGCCTTCATGGAACCTTCATTCTAGTTAGGGGAGACAGATACTAGTAAACATAATTAAAAATGCATAGTATATTGGAAGGTGAAAGTAATACAGAAAAACAACAGGAGATAAGGGAGCTTTGGGAATGTCTCAAGAGTGTAATTTTAAAGTAAGTGAGTAGGAGAGTTGTAATATTAAAGTGGGTGATTAAGTATCAGCTTTATTGAGCTGATATTTGAGCAAAGTTTTAAGGGAGTTGGAAGTTAACCATGTAGTTATCTGGGGGAAGAACATTCCAGGCAGAGGAAACAACTAGTACAAAGACCTTATGGCTGAAGTGTCTTTCATATTTGAGGAATAGAAGGAAAAAGAATAGCAAGAAAGGAAAAAGGAATGAGGTCACAGAGGTAGTTGGAGTCCTGATGTATGGGGCCTTCAAGCGCCCTGTAAGGACTTTGGCTTTTACTTTGAGGAAAATGGGGAGCCATTGTGTGATCTAAGCAGAGGGTTGATGTGATCTTTTTTTTTTTAGAGAAAGTTGCTGTGTTAAGAATAGACTTAGCAGGAAGACCAATTTGGAGGCTTTTACTAGGCTTCCAGGTGAGATGTGATAGCTTGGATCAGGGTAGTTAGTAGTGGAAGTGGTAAGAAAGTTACATTCTTGATTTATTTTGGAGCTGGAGTCAGTTACAATCAAGGAAAACTAGTTTTTTGGCCTGAGAACTGGAAGGATGGAGTTACCATAAACGAATAACTGCAATGAGGAAGGCCAAAGTGGATTAAATTGTCCTGGCCAACATAGTGAAACCCCATCTCTACTAAAAATACAAAAAAATTAGCTGGGCGTGGTGGCGGGCACCTGTAATTCCAGCTGCTCAGGAGGCTGAGGCAGGAGAATCGCTTGAACCCGGGAGGCAGAGATTGCAATGAGCCAAGATTGCACCATTGCACTACAACCTGAGCGACAAGAGTGAAACTCCATCTCAAAAAAAAAAAAAAAAAAAAAAAAGATACAGAACGTTTTCAGCATTCCAGAAGGCTCCTTCATGCTCTATCAAGGTAGCCACTATACTGAATTCTATCACCATAGATTAGTTATAGGTTAGCATACCTTTTATAATTAGCATACCTACAATAAAAGGCAAGTCTAAAATTGCAAACAGAATTGTACCTGCCTCTGTCTACCTTGGATTAATTTTGGAGTATAAATGCTGTGGAGTGGAGATGTTGAACTCAACAGAAAGGTGCCACATAAAGGACAGATATCAAACTTTTTATTTTTCTCTCTCTCTAGACGGTCTCACTGTGTCACCCAGGCTGGAGTGCAGTGGTGCAATCTCCGCTCACTGCAACTTCCACCTTCCGAGTGCAAGCAATTCTCCTGCCTCAGCCTCCTATGTAGGTGGGATTACAGGCATGCGCCACCACACCTGGCTAAGTAGAGATGGGGTTTTACCGTGTTGGCCAGTCTGGTCTCGAATTCCTGGCCTCAGGTGATCTACCCGCCTCAGCCTCCCAAAGTGCTGAGATTATAGGCGTGAGCCACCGAGCCCAGCCCACAACTTTTATTTTAATAAAATCTTATGTACAAAAGCCCAAATAGGCACTGCACCGATGACTGCTTATTATTGTGGTACTTTGCGCATCATAATTTAGATGGCTTCTTTTATGAAATATTTTGTATCATTTAAATAGTCCAGTGTAGTTTGTTTTCATTGCTCTTCATGATGTGAACTGTGTATGCAGTCACACTTTTCATTTAGTGGAAAATTCAGTTTTCAAATTTGGCAGAAAGTGGTATAGGTGGGATTATATTTTATTTGAGGTTTCCGTTTTCCAGGGGAAAAGAGTTTGCAATCAGCAGATCCCAGCCTGGTATAAGAATTTTTGAAATGTTTTACAGGTGATGATGAACAGTCTACACAGATGGCTGCAAGTTGGGAAGATGATAAAGTTACAGAAGCATCTTCAAACAGTTTTGTTGCTATTAAAATCGATACCAAAAGGTTTGTTTATGTTTTAATATTTTATTAATTTTAAAATTTATAAGTATTGTCTTTGATTTATAGTGATACTCTTGGACTAGAAGAATGTTGATGTTGGGCTGGGCACTCCCAGCACTTTGGGAGACTGAGGTGGGAGGATCGCTTGAGCCCAGGAGTTAGAGGCTAGCCTGGGCAACATAGTGAGACCCTGTCTCTATAAAAAATAATAATAAAATTAGGAGTGTGGTGTGTGCCTTTGGTCCTGCTACTTGGGAGGCTGAGGGGAGGATCACTTGATCCCTGAAGACTGGGGCTACAGTGAGCTGTGATCATGCCACTGCACTCCAGCCTGGGTGACAGAGTCAAACTCTGTCTCAAAAAAAAAAAAAAAAGAATATAGGCCAGGCACAGTGGCTCATGCCTGTAATCCCAGAACTTTGGGAGGCCAAGACAGGCGGATCACTTGAGGTCAGGAGTTTGAGACCAGTCTGGGCAACACAGTGAGACCTTGTCTCTACTAAAAAAAAAAATACAAAAATTAGCCGGGTGTGGTGGCACACGCCTGTAATCCCAGCTACTCGGGGGGCTGAGGTAAGAGGATCACTTGAGCCCAGGAGGTTGAAGTTGAGGCTGCAGTTAGCAGTGACTGCACCACTGCACTATAGCCTGGGCGAGAGAGCAAGACTATCTCAAAAAAAAAAAAAGAATGTTTATGCTATGTTTTTGGGTATCTAAGGCATATTAGGAACTTAAATTCTGACTGCCGTTTGCTAAATTCATCATGAATCCTGCTGAAAAAACTTTAAGCTTTCCTACTCTACCAAGCAGCCATCTAACATGTACCAGGAATGCAAAAAGAACAGTCATCTCCAGCTTCTAAAAACTTGGAAGTAATGGTAAATCATACATTGAATATCTCTGAGAGGTTGATCACTTACTGTCTTGAATCCTATTTTTGGGAATGGAGTCATTTAATCAGTGGAAATAAGGACATTTATAGGTTCCTCAAAGTACCTGATGTCCACAAGTCTATTTTGTTTCTCCGTTCCTCCTCCCCATCTTTTAAAAAAATTTTTGTTATAGGAAGTTTCAAACATATATGAAAGTAATGTAACAGTGTAATGTACCCCATGTACTTGTCTACTAGCTTTGGTAATTAACTCATGGTCAGTCTTGTTTCATCTATACCTCCACCCATTTCCACTCAATCCAAATAATTTTGAAACAAATCACAGTCACTGTATCACTTCATCTATAAATATTTTAGTATGTCTCTGAAGTATAAGTATTGTTAATTTTTTAAGCATAACTATAATATTAATACTTCACAAACTAATAATAATTCTTTAATATCAAATAACCAGCCAGTGTTCGACTTTTCAGTTGTCTCATCAAAGTCATAGTTTTATTACTTTATTGCAGTTTTTTAGTTCAAAATTATTCAAGGGCCACACATTAGGAAGCATTGATTTCTCTCAGTATGTAGGCTTCTCCTCCAACTCCCCTGCTCCTTGGAATTTATATTTTAAAGACACCAGGTCATTTGTTCTATACATTTGTTCTGTGGTTTCCTACAGTATGGATTTTGTTGACTGCAATGTGTTAGTGTCAAGTTGGTTCTTTCCTGTTTTCTGTATTGATAGGTAGATTCAGGTTTGTTTCCCCTCCCCTCATCCTGTCCTAAGACTACTTCATAGGTAGTGATGTGTCTTCCATCAGAAGACAGATAATACCCTGTTTTCTCTCTTTATGATGTTAGCAGCTATCAGTGATCATTACCTAAAAACATTATTATTTATTTTTTTCTTTGAAGCAGGATTTCACTATGTTGCCCAGGCTGGTCTTAAAATATTGGACTGAAGAGATCCTCCCATGTCAGCCTCCCAAATAGCTGTAGTTACAGGCATGCTTCACTGTGCCTGGTGCTGAAAACATTAATTCATTAGCACTTACAAAGTGGTATTCCTGTCTTTTTGATATTGATACTATCAGAATGAATAATGTGTTTGAAAATCACTGTCAAGATTAAAGCATTCAGAAATTTCTACTCGGGAGGCTGAGGCAGGAGAATGCTGTGAACCCGGGAGGCAGAGCTTGCAGTGAGCCGAGATTGCACCACTGCACTCCAGCCTGGGCAACAGAGCAAGACTCCGTCTCAAAAAAAATAAAAATAAAAATAAAAAAATAAATTCAGAAATTTGCCTATAAGTTTGTAAACTTTATGTAAAAATTTTCTGTGTTTACAAAAACATCAAGTCGTAGTATAGCCTGTCTCACAACAGTTACTGAACTATGTATTTACTGAGTAGTTTTTAAAAAACAGAATCTGTCAATTTAAGTATATCTTTTTTTTTTTATTGTTCATCACCTTCCTGAAGCACCTTTGAGAGTTGGCAGTGGCAAGAAGAATATAGGGATTTATAGGGAATGTGCAATACATGAGAATTCCAGAATTCTTGAGATTGTATACAGACTGATGTGTCTGGCTTTTTTTTTTTTTTTTTTTTTTTTTTTTTTTTTTTTTTGAGACGGAGTCTTGCTCTGTCGCCCAGGCTGGAGTGCAGTGGCGTGATCTCGGCTCACTGCAAGCTCCGCCTCCCGGGTTCACGCCATTCTCCTGCCTCAGCCTCCCGAGTAGCTGGGACTGCAGGTGCCCGCCACCATGCCCGGCTAATTTTTTTTTTTTTTTTGTATTTTTAGTAGAGACGGGGTTTCACCATGGTCTCGATCTCCTGACCTCGTGATCCGCCCGCCTCAGCCTCCCAAAGTGCTGGGATTACAGGTATGAGCCACTGTGCCCGGCCGTGTCTGGCATTTTTAAAAATAAATTACTTTTTTTTATTTTTTATTTTTTTTGAGACGGAGTCTCGCTCTGTAGCCCAGGCTGGAGTGCAGTAACGTGATCTTGGCTCACTGCAAGCTCCGCCTCCCGGGCTCACGGCATTCTCCTGCCTCAGCCTCCCAAGTAGCTGGGACTATAGGCGCCCACCACCATGCCTGGCTAATTTTTAAAATAGTTTTAGTAGAGATGGGGTTTCACAGTGTTAGCCAGGATGGTCTCGATCTCCTGACCTCGTGATCCACCTGCCCCGGCCTCCCAAAGTGCTGGGATTACAGGTGTGAGCCATCGTGCCTGGCCTTAAAAACAAATTTCTATTAGCAGATGCAGGGATACCTGCATATAGTGATGGTTCATGTTTGTTTCACTGTAGACTGCATGCTGATAGAATCTAGTGTGCCTTTAAATTATGGAAAATAAATTTTCTTCATTTCATAATAACTAAGTCACCCAATGTTTTGGGATCATTTTAGTGTGTATGTATTTTTGGAGATAGCGTGCATTGAAAATAGATTAGTAGGAAATGCGTAAAAAGTTTACAATTATTTCTGAAATGGTAGGATTTTGGGTAATTTTTTTTCTTGATTTTTTACTATGTTTTTAAATGTTTTTATGATAATAATGCTTTATATTTGAGGGAAAAAAGCAAATTCTAGTTCTTAGAAGCATTTGTTTGATTATTGGAAGCATCTACATTGATGAGTATCTCTTACTAATCTTATAAATTCTCTCTCCCATCCCTGACCACTCAGCTCCCTTCTCTGGAGGGAACCAAATCAAGAAAATATATTTATGTTTGTTTTCCTTCCATGTTTTACAAAAATAGTATTAATAGCATTTTGACATACTTTTCTATACCTTTTTCTTTTCTTTTTTTTGAGACAGAGTCTCACATTGTACCCTGAGCTGGAGTGCAATGGCATGATCTCGGCTCACTGCAACCTCCGCCTCCTGGGTTCATGCAGTTCTCCTGTGTCAGCCTCCCGAGTAGCTGGGATTACAGGTGCACACCACCACACCCAGCTAATTTTTTGTATTTTCAGTAGAGAGGGAGTTTCACTATGTTGGCCAGACTGGACTCGAACTCCTGACCTCATAATCCACTTGCCTCGGCCTCCCAAAGTGCTGGGATTACAGGCGTGAGCCACCACGCCAGGCCAATTTTTGTATTTTTAGTAGAGACAGGGTTTCGCCATGTTGGCCAGGCTGGTCACGAACTCCTGACCTCGTGTCCACCTGCCTTGACCTCCCAAATTGCTGGGATTACAGATGTGATCCACAGTGCTGGCCTGCCTTTTTTTGTGATTGCATAATTATTCAGTTTTTATTGGTATATAGATTGCTTTTAATCCTTTGTTATTATAGAGTATTACATTATCACATGCCTAAGTAAGTCGTAGGCCTTATGTCTTCGTGTTCCAGGTTAAGATATTGTATTCAGGTATACTTGTCTGCTGAGGAAGCAG
Organism: Homo sapiens; assembly: GCF_000001405.40. Taxonomy (NCBI): domain Eukaryota; kingdom Metazoa; phylum Chordata; class Mammalia; order Primates; family Hominidae; genus Homo; species Homo sapiens. The sequence continues at coordinate 135,752,654 of NC_000002.12, forward strand.
CATGGCAGATACCAAATTAATTTTTTAGCTACCAGATGCAGCCACTAGCTTGTGGGTTGTAAGAGCAAATAGTTCTTTCTCTTTTGAGATGAAGTCTCACTCTGTTGCCCAGGCTGGAGTGCAGTGGCGCGATCTTGGCTCACTGCAACCTCTGCCTACCAGGTTCAAGCGATTCTCTTGCCTCAGCCTCCTGAGTAGCCGGGATTACAGGTGTGTGCCACCACGCCGAGCTAATTTTTGCATTTTTAGTAGAGACCAGATTTCACCATGTTGGCCAGGCTGGTCTCAACTACTGACTTTGTGATTCACCCGCCTTGGCCTCCCAAAGTGCTTGGATTATACCTGTGAGCTACCACGCCCGGCCTTTTTTTTTTTTTTTTTTTTTTTGAGACAGAGTTTTGCTCTTGTTGCCCAGGCTGGAGTGCAATGGTGCAATCTTGGCTCACTGAAACTTCCACCTCCTGGGTTCAAGCGATTCTCCTGCCTCAGCCTCCCAAGTAGCTGGGATTACAGGCACTTGCCACAATGCCCAGCTAATTTTTGTATTTTTAGTAGAGACGGGGTTTCGCCATGTTGGCCAGGCTGGTCTCGAACTCTTGATCTCAAGTGATCTGCCTGCCTCGGCCTCCCAAAATGCTGGGATTACAGGCATGAGCCACCATGCCAAGCCACAAATAATTCTTTCATTTGAAAATTATAAAACAAACCAGAAAAAGTCTTAATGAAATAAGAATTATATTTTTCTCCTTCAACCTGATTGCTGTGAAAGAAACTGGTAGTTGCAGGAAAATACTTGTGATTGGTACAGTAAATTTTATTAAAACAACTCAGTATTTAGAAAATACTTGCATTCATCTAGTGATTTTGTTTGATTTTGTTTTACAGTGAAGCCTGCCTACAGTTTTCACAAATCTGTATCCTTTCAGTAAAGAATGGCTTATATATATACATTTATTTACCTTCCTTTTGGTTAATTTATGAAATTTAGAAATTATTCATTTTTATTTAGGAAATCATACATTCTTTTTTATGGAAACTTTATTACTAAGTGTCCTCATTTAAAAAAAATGTTATTATAGGAAATTTCAAACATATATAAAAGTAACTCAATGGTGTAGTGCACCCCATACATTGAGATAATATATTGCAGCTAAAGATAGGATAGGGAGTTTTTAAAATGTGAATATCTGAAAAACAATATAGATCAGTTGGGTTGGAATGTTACAAGTAGCTTGCAAGAGGCAGCTGGCAGCAAGATGGATAGAAAAGGAAGTTATGATAGAGGAGAATGTAGTAGATTCTTCACTAGAATATACCTCATAAATTAACATGTCACATGTATTAATACTACAGGTATAATGATGCAGTACTTGAAATTATTTAATAAATGTTAGATTATATTGTGAAAATCACAAAGATCATTTGTTTTCCTTTGTTACCAATAGTGTTTCGTAAAACTATCCTTTCGTTTCACATGAATTGTTAGACTTCATTAAACTGTACAGATCCTGTAGTGTGTGTTCCATCCAGTTTCTTTATTGGAGACAGTGGAATTCCCTTGGAAGTAATAGCAGGAAGTGTTTCTGCAGATGAACTTGTTACAAGAATTCACAAGGTCCGACAGGTAAGAAGGAACAGAACTGTTGTTTCCGTAAATGGTACGTCAGGAATTGGATTTTTTTTTTTGAGATGGAGTCTCGTTCTGTCGCCCAGGCTGGAGTGCAGTGGTGTGATCTCAGCTCAAGTGCAGCCTCCGCCTCCCAGGTTCAAGTGATTCTCCTGCCCCAGCCTCCCAAGTAGCTGGGATTACAGGCACCTGCCACCACACTGAGCTGATTTTTGTATTTTTAGTAGAGACAGGGTTTCACCATGTTGGCCAGGCTGGTCTCAAACTCCTGACCTCAGGTGATCTGCCCGCCTCGGCCTCCCAAAGTGCTGAGATTACAGGTGTGAGCCACCGCACCCTTCCTAACATTGGAATATTTTTGGAGCCCCTCTGTATATTCAGGAAACTGCCATGCCAAAAATCTTAAAAGGTAGTAAGTACTGTCTTTGTCACCTGTTTTTGTAAATAGCATGAAGTTACAGGTGCCAGTAGCCAGTACCTAATACTTGACTGACTTCTTTACCTTTCTTTATTTTTTTATTTTTTTGAGATGGAGTCTCTGTTGCCCAGGCTGGAGTGCAGTGGACTGATCTCAGCTCACTGCAATCTCTACCTCCCGGGTTCGAGCGATTTTTCTGCCTCAGCCTCCCCAGTGGTGGGATTACAGGCGCATGCCACCATGCCCAGCTAATTTTTGCATTTTTAGTAGAGACGGAATTTTGCCATGTTGGCCAGGCTGGTCTTGAACTCCTGACCTCAAGTGATCTGCCCGCCTTGACCTCCCAAAGTGCTGGGATTACAGGCATGAGCCACCACACCTAGCCATCTTTTACCCCAGTCTCAACACATAATGAATATCACCATAACTTTGTTGAAAGAGAAAGTTGCTGTCATATTAAGGCTCTAACTATATATTGCTTAATATATTTTAAGGACGTTATACTCAATAATTAATCATTTCTGTCTACTTTGGACAAATGGCTGGTAGAAGTTTGTAACTTTTTTCTTTGAATTCTAATTTGAGGGAAAATCAATAGTGTGCTTTAACAAATGTTTTTATGGTCTTGCCAGCTTGCAGGTAAATTCCATAATGTGATTATATCATACTTAGGATTATACATTTTGGATTCATCTATTTATGAGCATTTCGTATTTCTCTTTTTATAGAGTATAAATCAACCTGTATTTTGGTCTCTACTGCCATGGTAAGTTTAGATTCTTATCTATTAATTAAAATCCAATTTATTTTCTGCCTAGATGCATTTGCTAAAAAGTGAAACATCAGTAGCAAATGGCAGTCAGTCAGAAAGTTCAGTGTCTACTCCATCTGCGTCATTTGAACCTAACAACACTTGTGAAAACTCTCAGTCCAGAAATGCAGAGCTTTGTGAGATACCACCCACTTCTGATACAAAGTCAGATACTGCAACAGGTAACTTTTAATGTACCTTTTTGAGTGCAATAGAAGCTCCTTCACTACATTTTAATATTTAAATATTAATATTTTAAAAATATATTGTATGTATTTTTCTTCACATTTATTTAACTTAAAATTTAAGAGTCATATTAAATACACATGTGTCATTTAGTGGCAGAAGACAATAAAGTCAGTGAATGTCAGCTCAACTCCCAAATAGTCAACAATCCAGAGCAATTGATTTATAATTTCTGCTATTGCGCTGCATGCTTCAAGGAATGTCATGACACTGAGCAGTTTTATAAATCTCTTACTAGCCTAGAGAATTTGGAAAGTTTCAAATGAACTAAAGTATTATATTTGGAATTGTTTCTATAACATGTAAAAAGCTATATAAATTTAAGAGAATAGTGTTATATATATTTTTTTTGATTAGAGGTAAAAGATAATTATGAAATAGAGCTTGTAGAAGTAAGAGGTGTGACTGTAAACTCATTGATAGAAAAGGCAAAAGAGAAATTTTTGGGATTGTGGTTGGAGTTGTTTGGTGTAATATAGCTTTGTATTAGGCAACCGAGGGGTAAATAAATCAAGATGTTAGGATATTAGTGTCCTAAAAGATGAATCTACTCCAGCATCCCACACAAATAATCATCAAGCTTCTATTTGAATGCATTCAATGATGGGAAGCTCATTACCTTGCTAGGAAGCCTGTTCTGTTGTTGAACAGCTCTAGTTTTTAGAAAGAGTCTTCCTTATATTGAGCTGAAATTTGATGCCCCATAACTTCCTGTTAACATTAATGCTGCCTTGTGGAGTTACACATGACAGGTTTTGAATATTTGAAATACAGCTATTTGTCTCATTTTGAGGTTTTACATCGGATGGATCATTCAACTTCTGGATGTGTACGGAACGGGGGGACTCTATTATGGATGTTCATTTAGGTCTACGACAGAATAATTACTTTAATTGTATTTACCTGGATATATATCATTTCCAAAATTCTTCATTCCATTTTGAAGATAGACACATGTTTCCCTCTGGTATAATATTCTTTCAGCCTGAAAATTTTCCTTTAGCATTACTTATTGTACAGGTCTGGAGTTTTCTTTATGTGAAATGACTTTGTTTTATCTTCATTCTGGAAGGATATTTTTGCTGGATATAAAAATTTTTGTTTACAGTTACAGGTATTGTCCACCGTCTTCTGGTCTTCATAGTGTTCTAATGAGAAGTCTCCACAAATTCTGATTGTTCCCCCCTGTAAGGAGTATGTTGCTTTTCTCTGGCTGCTTTCAGGATTTCTTTCTTTCTTTGGTTTTTAGCAATTTGACTGTGATATGCCTAAGTGTATTTTTCTTTGTATTTATCCTGTGTTTGGTTTGCCTAGTTTCTTACATCTGTAAATGTGTGACTTTCACCAAGTTTGGGAATTTTGGTCCATATATCTTGCTGGAATGAATTACATGTATATTAGGCTTCATGGTATTGTCCCACAGGTTTATTTTTTCACACTTATTTTTTCTTCTTTGGATTGGATAATTCTGTTGATCTGCAAGTTCACTGACTCTTTATCATCTCCATTCTGATGTTAAGCCCATCCAGTGAATTTTTTATTTTAGATAAAATTATGTTATACATTTTTTAGTTGTAGGATTTCTATTTCTTTCTCTCTTATTATAACTTTTTATTTTGAAATAGTTTGACTCATAAGTTACAGAAGTTGTGCAGAATGAGTACTCTTCATCTACGTTTTATTCTTTTAATTCATTTCAAGTGTATTTCCCTTTTCCTCATTTGAGTTATAATGGCTGCTTTAAAGTCTTTGTCTGACAGTTTCAATATCTAGCTCATCTGAGGATTGGCTTGTGTTGATCACCTTTACCCTTTAGAATGGGTCACATTTTCTTGTTTGTTCATATGTCAAAAAATGCTGGATTGTATCTTGTACATTGTTGTAGACACTCTGGATTTCATTATATTCCTGCAAAGAGTGTTGTTTTTGTTTTAGTAGACAATTAACTTGGCTAGACTAAAACTGCAAGCTCTGGCTTACCTGAGGTGAGTAGCAGCTCTAATCTCAGTTTTTTTTTAGCTTAAAAAAAATTTTTTTTTTTTTTTGGTCAGGTGTGGTTGTTCACACCTATAATCCCAGCACTTTGAGAGGCCAAGGTGGGCAGATTGCTTAAGCCCAGGAGTTTGAGACCCGCCTGGACAACACGGCAAAACTCTGTCTCTACAAAAATGTGTCTGCAGGGTCTGGCTCTGTCACCCAGGCTGGAGTGCAGTGGCACAAACATAGCTCACTATAATCTCCAACTCCTGGCCCACGTGATCTCCTGCTTCAGCCACCTGAGTAGCTAGGACTACAGGTGTGCACCACCACACCTGGCTAATTTTTTTTTTTTTTTTGAGATGGAATTTTGGTCTTGTTGCCCAAGCTGGAGTGCAATGGCACAATCTTGGCTCACCACAACCTCCATCTCCTAGGTTCAAGCGATTCTCCTGCCTCAGCCTGCTGAGTAGCTGGGATTACAGGCATGCGCCACCATGCCTGGCTAATTTTGTATTTTTAGTAGGGACGGGGTTTCTCCATGTTGATCAGGCTGGTCTCAATCTCCTGACCTCAGGTGATCTGCTTGCCTTGGCCTCCCAAAGTGCTGGGATTATAGGTATGAGCCACCACGCCCAGCCTAATTTTTTAATTATATTCTTTGCAGAGATGGGGTCTCACTATGTTGCTTAGGCTGTCTCAAACTCCTGTCCTCCAGTAATCCTCCTGCCTTGCCCTCTGAAAGTGCTGGGATTACAGGCATGAGTCATTGGATCCAGGCCTGTAGCTTTTTAAAACTATTTATTATGGAAAATTTCAAACATACATAGAAGTAGAAAAAAATAGTATAAGAAAACCCCATTAATCCATTGCCTAGCTTCATGGCCAATATTCTCATCTGTGCCCTCCACTCCTCTTCTTTTTCAACTTATTTAGAACAAATCTCAGGTAAAATATTTCAATATGTATCTCTAAAATATAAGAAAGGAATATAAATCTTTTAAGATTATATATAGTTGCCTTTTAAAATAATTTTTTTTTTTTGAGACAGAGTCTCACTTTGTTGGCCAGGCTGCAGTGCAGTGGCGTGATCTCGGCTCACTGCAACCTCCACTTCCCAGGTTCAAGTGATTCTCCTGTCTCAGCCTCCCGAGTAGCTGGGACTACAGGCGTGCACCACCATGCCCGGCTAATTTTTGTATTTTTAGTAGAGACGGGGTTTCACCATGTTGGCCAGGCTGGCCTCGAACTCCTGACCTCAGGTGATACGCCTGCCTCAGCTCCCAAAGTGCTGGGATTGTAGGCGTAAGCCACTGCGCCCAGCCAAAATAAATTTTAATTATGGAAATTTGCAAGCATATTCTAAAGTAGAGAGAACAGAATAACGAACTCGAGGTACTCATCATCCTGCGTCAGTGATTCCCATTATTTGCTCGGTTTTTGTTATCTGTCTCCCTATATGACCACCCTTCCAGGTTATTTTGAAGCAAATCTCAGGCATTTGTATGATTTCATCTTTTAAAATATCAATATCTAAAAGATAAGAAATTTTTAAAAATAACAACAATACTATTATCAAAGCCAGAAAGCTTAATAGTAATCCTTTTTGTCATCAATTATCTAGGCAATATTTATATTATACTTTTTTTCAGTTTGAGTTACAGTTCGATATATTGCTATTGGTTGATGTGTTTTTAAATTTAATATATAGATTTCTGCTCTCCCTGGTAGTTTTTCCTATAGTTTTCCACAGTCTGGATTTTACTGCATCCCCATGGAATTGTGTAAGATGTTCCTCTATCCCCTTTATTCCTCTAAATTGGTAAAGCTACAGACTTGATCAAGTCAGCTTCATTATTCTTTTTGACAAGACTACTTTGTAGATGATGATGTATATTTCTCTCAGGAGATACATTATGCCTGTTATTCCAGTTGGCTTTTTAAGCCTAAAGGCGGAACTTCTCAATACATTTTTATTATATTTGGATTTTTATCAGTTGTTTTAGCTTATTGAGGTGTTTTTTCAATCCAGAATTTTTTTTTTTTTTTTTTTTTTGAGACAGTCTCGCTCTGTCTCCCAGGCTGGAGTGCAGTGGCGCTATCTTGGCTCACTGCAGCCTCCACCTCCCAAATTCAAGTGATTCTTCTACCTCAGCCTTCCAAGTAGCCGGGATTATAGGCACCCGCAACCATGCCCAGCTGATTTTGTATTTTTAGTAGTGATGAGGTTTCACCATGTTGGCCAGACTGGTCTCAAACTCCTGACCTCAAATGATCCACCTGCCTCGGCCTCCCAAAGTGCTGGGACTACAGGTGTGAGCCACCATACCCGACCTAGAATTTTTCATTTAGGAATTAGCAGTTAAATATGAGTGTTAATAAGCTATTTCACACAATTTTGGGTCACCCATAAAGTTACACATGGGCCAGGTACAATGGCTCATGCCTGTGATCCCAGTACTTTAGGAGGCCAAGATCAGTTGAGCTCAGGAGTTCGAGACCAGCCTCGGCAGTGTGACAAAACCCAGTCTCCATACAAAATACAAAAATTAGCCAGGCATGGTAGCGTGCACTGGTGGCCCCAGCTACTAGGGAGGGTGAAGTAGGAAGATGGCTTGATCCCAGGAGGCGGAGGTTGCAGTGAGCCAAGATCATGCCACTGCTCTCCAGCCTGGGCAACAAAGCTAGACCATGTCTCAAAAAAAAAAAGTTACAAATTTATATTTTACATCTTCAAGTCATTTATGAAATACCAAAGGCAGAGAACTCTGTGACATACAATTGGAAATCTTCCTCTATATGACATCTTTCCATTTCTCTTTAATTATGAGTCATAGATTCACCTAACTGTACTCTTATTCAACACTTTTCCCCCAGCTTGTCCACAGGTTATCTTCATAAGATGTTAAATTTTTGCTGATAATAAGACATGTCCTCAGCATTTATTTTATTTGCTAAAGAAAGGTGGTTAATTTCCTATTGAGCCTCTACTGGCTGCTAGTGGTTACCACTTCTTATCCAAGAGTTGCATTCAGTGATACACTGGTAAACATTTATCAGAAGGATCTGTGGAAGCAAAGGCCCATATTTGTAGTATTTGCTAATTTCCCAGGTGTAAATACTCCCACTTTGTTGATTTCAAGCTACCTAGGTTATGCCCCTGAATGGGGAGGGAGAAGAGATATGCACCATCGTCTCTACTTAGTCATACTAATTATTTTTACTACTACTGTAGTAACGAAAATGCTTACCATGTGCCAGTCTCAGTTAAGTTCTAAGCATTTTACTTGTATTAACACGTATTTCTTATAACAACCGTGTGAGGTTACTATCCCCATTTTACTGATGAGATACAGAGGTATTAAGGAACTTACTGAAATGACTGTGTGGCTCCAGAGTCCTTGTTCGCCAAAGACTGTAAAGAAGAATCAGGTTGGTGGCAAGTTGTAAGGAAGGGAATGACAGAGGTCTTGTAGAATAGGCTAGGACAAAAGTCTATCTTTCAGGAAATCCTTCAAAGAAAACTAGCATAAAGAGGCTCTCTAAGGAACCACTCTGGTCAGCAGAAGCAGATTCCTTGGACCAGTGTAAGTCCAGAGCCATACCCAGGATCAAACCTGGCCTGTATTGCTCACTGCTCAATAGCCACAGCCACATTTTAATTAAAATTAATTACAACTAAAATTTGTCCCTCACTTGGCAGTAACCTCATTTTAGATGTTCAACAGCCGCTTGTCTAGTGGCTGCTGTGTTAGACAGTATAGATATTGGAGGGCACTGCTCTAGAGTGAAGGCTACCCATAGCCAGGCATGCCTCCTGCCAGATTGTTATTCATGTTTTACATCTGACCTTTACCTTGGTGATTTTAACTCGGTAACTGCTTTATTTCTATTTGTGAACAATTTTATCCACGTCTAAACTTTAGGATTAGTAATAGCATATTTAGCTCCTTCTCCATTTTTAGGGAAAATATATAATGCTTAAGATATAAAATTATTAACAGATGCTATAATCTGAAAGATTTATTCCTTTAAAAAGTTGCATTAAATGCAGTATTCTTATTTCTTTTTATTTAATAATTAAGGAGGAGAAAGTGCAGGCCATGCCACTTCCTCTCAGGAGCCTAGTGGATGCTCAGATCAGAGACCTGCAGAGGACCTCAACATCCGAGTGGAAAGGTTTGCTCTTCTTTTTGCAAATAGCATTTTGTTTAAAAAGACAGTGGTTTTCAGTTATTTCATTAATTTGAATTAAAGCTAAAGTTATACAAATGAAGTTTTAGAATTCTGAGTTGAAATTTTTGATCACCTAACTAATTTGTATCCATAAACATTACACTCTAAGTGTAAAGTTTTCATGTATGTCTGAAGTCACCAGTCAGCTTTTGGTCTGATCATTCTAAGAATCCCCTTTTTAATGGTATTTTGGTACATGGGTGTTTCCATCTGTCACTTCTGCTTTTATCTCTATGCCATAAGGATAATAAGCTCCAGATGGGCAAGAACTTCAGCTTATTTCATGACTATGTACTGAGCTTAAGTTCTGCATAAGTGGGTGTCTACTAAGTGGCATTTTTCATTAGTTGGTCTAATAATCAGATACAAATTTCTGGCTCTTTGTAGTTTCTAGTATTTTTAATGATACAGTAATTGTCAAATCATAGTCTTTTATGCTGTGATTCCTACATGAGTTAATAATTAGTGGTTAAGCGGGAATATTTTAAACCCTGATTTAAACCCCTTTAGCGTTAGTTATATGGAAGTTTAAAAAAATTCCTTAGCATTTAAAAATTTTTTTAAAAAAACCTTCCTTAGAGAGACTTGATATTTTCTTGTTCACATAGATGCTTCGGGGAAACAGGGTTCAAAGTGATTGCTGATATTGTCTTTGAGTTTGCTTGTGACTCAGTAAAGATCAGCTTCTTTTCAGCAAAACCTAGATTCTGATTGTTCTTTGTAGGGGAAGGGGCAGTGCCCAGACCTTGAGGTGAAAAGCAGGCTGGACCTCACAGTGGTGAGGAAAGTGGTATAAGCCTAGAAGAATAGCAGCAGGAAACTTAAGTTCCCAAGGGTTCATCCTGTTTTGCTTCTTTCTGATTTGCTAACACCAGGCCCACTACTCTGTACCTTTATTTGCACCACTCTGGGCTGAAGTGAAAATAAAAAATCTGGAAAAGGGTTTGGAGACTTGGGGCAAAAACCTGAATTACATCAGGTAGCCCTTTATTTTGAGGTGGGGTCAGGCGCTATTTAGTTATACTGGAAAAAGTTTTTAATAGCCTCCATTCTTATGTAGGGGAATGTCAGCTAGTGTCTGCCTGTGTCATAGTACTAATTAATTCACAAGCTGAGATCCTGCATTTTATTCATCTGCGTTCATGCCAAATTAGGAATCTTGTTCCTTTTGTGGAATCTGATTCATTGACAATGACAATAACTAATAACACCAGCGTATGTAATATTCCCATTCCAAATGTCCACTTAGCTCATTATTTATACCCTAAGAGTTGCCATCGTTCTCACCATCCCCTGCCATAGACTGTGAAGCTCTTGTGCCCTCAACTAACTCATCCCCTGCCATCTTTTGCAGGGTATTGAACTGTGAAACTACTAGTTTCCCTGTCTCTCTGAACTGAAGTGCTTTTTCTCAGCCTGGTTAAGTTGGACCCATCAGTCCCTGTTGTGTAATCTGATATTTTAGAATTATATGAAGTTCTATAAAGCAAAATTCATGCATTTTTCTCTGACCTTGATGGTATTTTAAAATCTATTTCATACAAATTAAAAATTCAGAGTTAAAATTTGGCAGGGGCTGTGAGTGGTGGCTCACGCCTGTAATCCCAGCACTTTGGGAGGCTGAGACAGGTGGTTTGCTTGAGCCCAGAAAATAGAGACCAGCCTGGGCAACATGGCAAAACCCCATCTCTACAAAAAAATACAAAAATTAATTGGGTGAGGTGGTGCACACCTGTAGTCCCAGCTACTCAGGAGGCTGAGGTGGGAGGATCACCTGAGCCCAGGAGGTCAAGGCTGCAGTGAGCCATGATCACACCACTGTACTCCAGCCTGAGTGACAGAGCAAGACTCTGTCTCAAAAAGTAAATAAATAAGACCAGGCATGGTGGATCACGCCTGTAGTCCCAGCACTTTGAGAGGCTGAGATGGGTGGATCATTTGAGGCCGGGAGTTCAAGACCAGCCTGGCCAACGTGGCGAAACCCTGTCTCTACTAGAAAAATACAAAAATTAGCTGGGCATGGCACGCATCTGTAGTCCCAGCTACTCAGGAGGTTGAGGCAGGAAAATTGCTTGAACCCGGGATGCAGAGGTTGCAGTGAGCCAAGGTCATGCCACTACACTCCAGCCTGGGTGACAGAGTGCTACTCCGTCTCAAAATAAATAAAATAAAATAAAATAAAAAATAAAGCAGGATGGATTAGCAAATGTAAGATTCTTACTTTCCTCTCAGGCTACAGTTGAAACTGAGATCTATTTCCAAAGACCATGTTTTTGGAAAACTAATTACTGTAGTTGACTTTAAGTCTTAGGCTTTTTTCTCATCTAGCTTCAAAGAAAACTAATTTTGTTAAGGGAAAGGGTGACTAAATCAAATTGACATTAGTGAGAAATTCATCCTATCTTGTACATAAGAACATAGTCCTTCAATCTTGAGCTGCATTTTGTCAAGTAAACATAATTAAAAAAAAACGGATTGGTGATTTGAAATTGTGAGATCTAAGTTTTTATTTTTAATATTAATGGATATACAATGGTTATTTATTTATTTATGAGGCAGAGTCTTGCCCTGTTGCCCAGGCTGGAGTGCAGTGGCATGATCTTGGCTCACTGTAGCCTCTGACTCCCGGGTTCCAGCGATTCTCCTGCCTCAGCCTCCCAAGTAGCTGGGATTACAGGCATGCACCACCACACCCGGCTAATTTTTAAAATATTTTTAGTAGCAACAGGGTTTCGCCATGTTGGCTGGGCTGGTCTTGAACTTCTGACTTCAGGTCATCTGCTCACCTTGGCCTCCCAAAGTGCTGGGATTACAGGTGTGAGCCACAGCACCTCGCCTGTGATGGTTTTTTGTTTGTTTGTTTTTGAGATGAAGTCTGGCTCTGTTGCCAGGCTGGAGTGCAGTGACATGATCTCGGCTCACTGCAACCTCCTCCACCCAGTTCAAGTGGTCCTCGTACCTCAGCTTCCTGAGTATCTGGGATTACAGGTATGCGCCACCATGACTGGCTAATTTTTGTATTTTTAGTAGAGACAGGGGTTTGCCATGTTGGCCAGGCTGGTCTCGAACTCCTGGCCTCAAATAATCCACCCGCCTTGGCTTCTTCAAGTGCTGAGATTACAGGCTTGAGCCACCACGTCTGGCCAGGATATACAATGTTTCACTAAAGTAACAGATGTGAAATAGGAATCTTTTAGCGAATCTTTAGTTAAAATGCATTATTTTGTTTATTTCATTATGTTTTTTTTTTTTTTCCCTGAGATGGAGTTTTGCTCTTGTCGCCCAAGCTGGGGTGCAATGGCACAATCTCGGCTCACTGCAACCTCCACCTCCCAGATTCAAGCGATTCTCCTGCCTCAGCCTCCCGAGTAGCTGGGATTACAGGTGCCCACCACCACACCCGGCTAATTTTTATATTTTTAGTAGAGGCAGGGGTTTCACCATGTTGGTCAAGCTGGTCTCGAACTCCTGACCTCAGGTGATCTGCCCGCCTCGGCCTCCCAAAGTGCTGGAATTACGGGCATGAGCCACCACACCCAGCCATGTCATTATGTTTAAAATGGGCAGAATTATCTGGCAAAGATAATATATACTACCATGAATTCTAGTCTTTTTATTTGAATAAGTTTCAAACCTCAACGTTGAAAAAATAGTGTAATGGCCATCTTTTAATTTTTTTCTTTTTTTTTTTCTTCTGATTCATTTGAAAGTTGCAGACATAATTTCACTTCATGCCTAGATACCTCAGCATGCAGCTCCTAGGAAGACATTGGCTGAGGGTCTGTGGGCTTTGAGCAGGGACTCCATCCTAGGCCAGGATCTGGGGATCTGTGCTCACAGACCCATGTCCTGCCCCCTTCTGGCACCCAAGCAGGCATAGTGACCATTAAGAAGTAGATGCCAGCCCGGCACAGTGGCTCATGCCTGTAATCCCAGCACTTTGGGAGGCCGAGGTAGGTGGATCAACTGAGGTCAGGAGTTCGAGACCAGCCTGAGCAACATGGTGAAACCCTGTCTCTACTAAAAATACAAAAATTACCCGGACGTAGTGGTGGGTACCTGTAATCTCAGCTATTTGGGAGGCTGAGGCAGGAAAATTGCTTGAACCCAGGACGTAGAGATTGCAGTGAGCTGAGATTATGCCATTGCACTCCAGCGTGGGCAATAAGAGAGAAAAGCCATCTCAAAAAAAAAAAAAAGTCGAAGCCCAAATGTAGAAGTTATGGAACAGTCAATTTGTTATTAAATTAGATGCAGTGTAGCTTTTCACCCAAATTAAAACAAACTTGCGTTTGTATTTCTCAGAAGAAAATTCTACAGATGGTCTATAAATACGTTTATACACCATTTTCAGATGGTGTATATTTTCAGATACAAGCACGATACCATTATCATACTCAAGAAATTCTCAATTGATACAGTAAGATTATCTAATTTGTCCGTATTCAGATTTCCCAGTTGCTCCAATAATGGCCCTTTTAACTTTTCTTCCCTTGATTCAAGATCCAGTCAAGGATTGTTCATTGCATTTAGTTTAGGCTCTGAATCCAAGACACTTCTTGTTTGCATTTTTCATGATTTAGACATTTTGAAGAGTCTAGGTTAGTTGTTTCTACAATGTCCTTTGATCTGCTCCCTGTTCTATCATTAGATTCAGGTTAAACTCTGATAAGAACATTACCAAGATAATGTTTTGTCCTTTCCATTACTCATATCAGGAGACAAGTAATATGAGATGTATGCATTATTGGAGCTGTAAAGTTTAATTATTTGGTTAGGATGTTGTCTGTTGGGTACCCTTTTCATTTTCTAATATATAAGTTGTCTATGGGGTGATTCAAATGGTAAATATCCTACTGCTTAAAAACTTCACCCGGTGGTTTCAGCATTCATTGATTTTTGCTGTAATCACCTATTTCATTGATGTTTAAAAATTGTGGTATTTTTCTCATTCTGTTTTTTTCTACATTTATCAGCTAGCATTCTTCTGTAGAGAAATGCTTTGATCTACCCCCTCTACTTTCCATCTGCCCACCCCCGCCCCCTTTTTCCAGTAAACTACTTATTGGACACCAGCACCCAGATGAAGGAATAGAAAATTACCAGTGCTAGTCTGGCATGGTGGCTCACGCCTGTAATCCCAGCACTTTGGGAGGCCAAGGTGGGCGGGTCACCTGAGGTCAGGAGTTCAAGACCAGCCTTGCCAACACAGTGCAACCTTGTCTCTATTAAAAATACAAAAATTAGCTGGGCGTGGGGGTGTGCATCTGTAGTCCCAGCCACTGAGGAGCCTGAGGTAGAAGAATCACTTGAACCCGGGAGGCAGAGGTTGCAGTGAGCCGAGATCGTGCCACTGCACTCCAGCCTGGGCGACAAAGTGAGACCTTGTCTCGGAAAAAAAAAATGAAAGAAAGAAAATTAACAGTGCCTAATAAGCTTTCCTAATGCCCCTTCCCAATTATGGATTCCCTCCATAAGATGATCACTATCCTGAATCGAACACTGTAGGTTAGTTGTCTGTTTGTGAACTTTGTGATGGAATCATGCAACGTGTATTTTTGTGTTTGATCTCCTTTGTTCAGCTTTGTATTTTGAGGCTTATCCGTGTTGCATGTCACAGTAATTGGTGCACTCTCATTGCTTTATAGTATTCTGTTTGACTCTACCTTGATTTATTAATCCATTCTACTGTTGGTGGACATTAGGATTGTTTTCAGTTTGGGGCTATTTGAATAGAACTGCTATGAGGAATATTCTTGTATATGTCTTGGTGAACATGTGTACACATTTCTTTTGGGCATATATATGAAGAAGCGGGAATTTCTGGGTTATACATAGTGATCAAACAGCTTTCCAAAGTGGTTAGGCCAATTTACAGTTCCCCTTAGCAGTTAAGACATGTCACAGATGCTTTTTTTTCTCTCATGTGTTACTATCCATTTCTCTATTCTTTTTGGTGCACAAATTGCCCCAAATTTGACTTGTTGGAATCCCCTTCATATTGGGTCTTCTGGCTTTTTGACAGTACTCACTCCCTTGATTGCTGGCACACATTGTTCAGTTTGGTATACACCAAACACTTTTAGAGAAAATACCATTTTCATTTAAAAAAATGAAATATAATTCACTACCATGAAATTGAAAGTGTACAATTCAGTGAGTTTTAGTATATTCACAAGGTTGTGCATCCACTACCACTGTCTAATTTCAGAATCATTATTTTATTTTTTAAATTTTTTTATTTTTTTGAGATGGAGTCTCACTTTGTTTCCCAGGCTGGAGTGCAGTTTCACCATCTCGGCTCACTGCAACCTCCGCCCCCCAGGTTCAAGCGATTCTCCTGGCTCAGCCTCCTGAGTAGCTGGGATTACAGGCGCATGCCACCACACCTGGCTAATTTTTGTATTTTTAGTGGAAACAGGGTTTCACCATGTTGGTCAGGCTGGTCTCAAACTCCTGACCTCGTGATCTGCCCACCTCGGCCTCCCAAAGTGGTGGGATTACAGGCATGAGCCACCGTGCCTGGCCGATTTTATTAGTTTTTGAGATGGGGTTTCATTACGTTGCATTACACTACCATGCTCAGCTGATTTTATATTATTATTTTTTTTTCCTGAGGCGGAGTCTCACTCTCGCCCAGGCTGGAGTACGGTGACATGATCTCGGCTCACTGCAACTTCCGCCTCCCAGGTTCAAGCGATTCTCCTGTCTCAGCCTCCCGAGTAGCTGGGTTTACAGGCGCTCACCACCACGCCCAGATGTTTTTCTATTTTTAGTAGAGACAGCGTTTCGCCGTGTTGGCCAGGCTAGTCTCAAACTCCTGACCTCAATTGATCCGCCTGCCTCGGCCTCCCAAAGTGCTGGGATTGATTACAGGTTTGAGCCACCGTGCCCAGCCTGATTTTTTATTTTTTGTAAAGATGGGGTCTCAAGTTGTTACCCAGACTGGTTTCGAACTCCAGGGCTTAGGCTATCCTCCTGCCTCAGCCTCCTGCAGTGCTGAGATTACACATGTGAGCCACCACACCCAGCCTCCATTTGTTTGTTTATTTCAGACAGGGTCTCCCTTTGTCACCCAGGCTGGAATGCAGTAACGCGAACGTGACTCGCTGCAGCCTCGACCTCCCGGCTCAAGCAATTCTGTTACCTTAGCCCCTAAAGTAGCTGGAACTACAGGCACACGCCACCATGCCTGGCTAATTTTTGTGTTTTCTGTAGAGACAGAGTTTTGCCATGTTGCTCAAGCTGGTCTTTAGCTCAAGAGATCCACCAACCTCAGCCCTCCCAAAGTGCTGGGATTACAGGCATGAGCCACTGTGCCCAGCCTCCATTCATTTTTAACTGATGAACTTCTTACAGTTGAGAATCAAGTTGGTGTTAGTAATTTGGTATTAATAATTTGCTGGCCTTAAGTTTTTATTTTTACAGGTTTTTTTTTTTTTTACCATAGTGCTGTTTAGTTTTATATAAGGAGTAGAGCATTTATAAGTCACTGATTTATGTATTTGTTTGAAAATGTATTTGTAGATTTTAAAGTCAATATCAGGTAAATCAGAAAAAAAGGGAAACTAATCATAAGTGGGAAGTGAGGCATTTAGAATGAAGCTAGGCTTCTGATGGGCTCTCGTTGACTCCAGGATTTCTGTAGGGGCCTGAAGCCAGGCAGATAAATAGTTGCTTGCTTTTTGTTTGTTTGTTTCTTTATTTCTCCAATTGTTTTAGCTAAATCCATCTCCTAAATGTGTTTTATATTAATATGATGTGTCTCAATTAGTGGTGGTTTTTTTTTTTTTAATACAGACTAACAAAAAAACTTGAAGAAAGGAGAGAAGAGAAAAGAAAAGAGGAAGAACAGGTAAAGTTCATGCAGTTAGCATTGTTTTGTCCTCTCATTAACTGAGGTTGTGATTGATTATTCTATTCAGTGTGGCAGGCCTAGGGTGACTTCATAGTTTTAGTTCAGTGTTGCAGCACTATGAAGATAATTCCTGTTTTCTCTAGTAGAGTCATAGTATATACATTTTTTGTGTTCTTTTCGTAAATTACTATGAATAAATTAGACCATGCTTTTTCCCTCTGCAATGATTTTTTTTTACACTAAGAATAAAGGGACTTGAGCTAAAATGTTTGGCTTGAGGTTGAACAAAGTTTTAGTTCATTTTTGTGAAAAAATGTATAGACATTTTGCTGAATTTTTCCTCTCCTGTTAAGCATTCTAGCACATGGTTCATTTTTCTCACCATGTATACCTAACTGTGTAGCATGTCTTTGGAGTTCTAATATAGGAAGGTTACCATTTCATTCAAGCCAAATACGTGACTGCCATGTTGTCCCTGAAGGGTAATATATTTACCCTCATGACTAAAGACCTGTAATTATGCTTGCCTTCAAATTACACTGACTACATTATTATCTTAACAGACCATTGGCAATGATTTATAGATTGATAGACATTTGACCATTAACCATGCCATTAATAAACTCGTCTAGACTTACATTTTATGAAGTTTTATTCTTTTAACTGCAGTTTTCGTTGCATTCAAAATAATATCTGGGGCAGATTATCAAGTTTTTGGATCATAAAACTTTTTCTTTAATTCAGAGAGAAATTAAGAAGGAAATTGAGAGGAGAAAAACTGGAAAAGAAATGTTGGATTATAAAAGAAAACAAGAAGAAGAATTAACAAAAAGAATGCTGGAGGAAAGAAACAGAGAGAAAGCAGAAGATAGGGCAGCTCGAGAACGTATAAAACAGCAGATTGCATTGGTAAGTCTTAAGTTTCCAGACATTCGTGAAACTGTTTTTCTGTGCACAGTAGCTTTAGATTACTACCAGACTGTGCACACAAAAATAGATTTTAGTGACTCATAGACTACCAATCCTGAGCTTCCTTTTATTAGAAATTGTAAATGAATTAAAATAGTTAAGATTAAAATTGAGTTGATTTTTTTGAAGTGATTTTTATTCATATTTTGTTAATTTATGACTTTTATCAGCATTCAAAAAGCAGCTTTTAAAGATTCCCTAGAAAATAAGCTAAGTACTAGTACCTACTACTAGTACTAAGTACCTACTAGTAGTAACTACTAGTACTAAGTACCTAGTAGTTCTTCTGTAGTCACAGGCACACTTTTTTGCAACATTGAAAGGATTTAGGCACATCATAAAGCTTAGTTTGCAACAATTGCTTTTATAATTCATCAGCTGCAATACATATTAAAACCATCCCGCCAGGTGTGGCTCACGCCTGTAATCCCAGCACTTTGGGAGGCTAAGGAGGGCGGATCACCTCAGGTCGGGAGTTCAAGACTTGCCTGGCCGACATGGTGAAACGCCATCTCTACTAAAAATACAAAAATTAATCGGGTGTGGTGGTGGGCGCCTATAATCCTGCTACTTGGGAGGCTGAGGCAGGAGAATCACTTGAACCTAGGAGGTGGAAGTTGCAGTAGGCTGACATGGTGCCATTGCACTCCAGCCTGGGCGACAAAAAGCGAAACTCCATCTCAAAAAAAAGAAAGAAAGAAAAAAAGCCATCCCTACCTTAATATTTTTGTTCATTTGGTCAGTCAACAAGTATTTGTTGAGCATTTATTATTTATTTATTTTTGAGATGGAGTTTTAGTCTTGTTGCTCAGGCTAGAGTGCAGTGGCGCAATCTTGGCTCACTGCAACTTCCACCTCCCGAGTTCAAGCAATTCTCCTGTCCCAGGCTGCCAAGTAGCTGAGGTTACAGGTGCATGCCAACATGCCCAGCTAATTTTTGTATTTTTAGTAGAGACGGGATTTCATCACATTGGTCAGGCTGGTCTGGAACTCCTGACCTCAGGTGATCCACCCACCTCGGCCTCCCAAAGTGCTGGGACTACAGGCGTGAGCCACCACACCCAGGCTTGTTGAGCATTTATTATGTACCAGACCTTGTTCCAGGCTTTGGAGATACAGTAGTGAGCAAATTCATTTCCTTGTTTCCTTAATAATAATTCTGGTCTCCGACAGTTGATAAAACTAAAAAATAACAGTTCCAGAATGTTAAAGTTCACATATGGTGTTAGACAATTTCAGGCAGCAAAGGCACAGTGGCTCACAACTGTAATCCCAGAATTTTGGGAGGCTGAGGTGGGAGGATTGCTTGAAGCCAGGAGTATAAGATCAGCCTGGGCAACAAAGTGAGACCCCACCTCTACAAGAAAAGAAAAAAAATTAGCTGGGCATGGTGGCACACACCTGTAGTCCCAGCTACTCTGGAAGCTGAGGTGGGAGGATTGCTTGAGCCCAGGTGTTCAGAGGCTGCAGTGAGCTATGATTGTGCCACTGCACTCCAGCCTTGATGACACAGCAAGACCCTGTCTCTTAATAAAAAAAAAAAATTCCATGCATATTTGTTTGGAATTGTGTGAATTAACCATTCTGGCAGTAAAGGTAATTGGTATTTAATGATGTTTTAAAGGACCGTGCAGAGAGAGCTGCTCGTTTTGCAAAGACAAAGGAAGAAGTAGAGGCTGCCAAAGCTGCTGCCTTGCTAGCAAAACAGGCAGAAATGGAAGTCAAGAGGGAATCTTATGCAAGAGAAAGAAGGTACTATATTTCATGCTGAAACATCTCTGTGCACATAGGGGCTGAGGAGAATGATTATAAGCTGGTTTTTAACACTGATGTATACTGTGGTTATAAGCAGTCCATTCCAGAGGGACATATTAATTTGACAGCTCCCAATGGTATCTCTCATTTCGTGTGAGTGTACACTAAAAAAGTACTACATAAATAACTTTAAAAGAGGGCCCAATAGCCGGGCGCGGTGGCTCACGCCTGTAATCCCAGCACTTTGGGAGGCCGAGACGGGCGGATCACGAGGTCAGGAGATCGAGACCATCCTGGCTAACATGGTGAAACCCCGTCTCTACTAAAAATACAAAAATTAGCTGGGCATGGTGGCGGGCGCCTGTAGTCCCAGCTACGCGGGAGGCTGA
Organism: Homo sapiens; assembly: GCF_000001405.40. Lineage (NCBI taxonomy): Eukaryota > Metazoa > Chordata > Mammalia > Primates > Hominidae > Homo > Homo sapiens. The sequence goes on from NC_000002.12 coordinate 135,772,940, forward strand.
GGCAGGAGAATGGCGTGAACCCGGGAGGCGGAGCTTGCAGTGAGCCGAGATTGCGCCACTGCACTCCAGCCTGGGCGACAGAGCGAGACTCCGTCCCCAAAAAAAAAAAAAAAAAAAAAGAGGGCCCAATAAATACCTGTTTTCCAAAGACAGAAATGATTTGTAACCAAATGAATATAATGTTTATCTCATACGTATTAGGATTCTTTATTTTTCAGAATCCCCTATCCGATAGGATTAAGCAAAAGAGGAAATACATTGGCTCTGCAGTTCAGAAATCCAAGGGTGAATTTGGTTAGGCATAGCTGTGTCCAGCAATCTAAAGGATACCATTACAATTTCTCTCTCTCTTTTTAATTCTTGGTTTCTTCTGTTTTAGCTTCATTCTTAGAGAAACTCTCCAAATGGTGTCAGGAGAGCCCAGCACCTCCTGGCACTTTCAGGACCTTGAATTCACGATCCCAGACAGAAGAGATTAACCTTTTCTCTCTCATGCCTGTATCAGTCACTGAGAATTCTGACTGCCCCTGTTTGGATCATGTGGCCACCTTCAGAGTAGTCAGTGTCCACATGTGTGGGCCCTCTGGTTGGAGGAGGTGACATGCCCAATCTTGTGGTGAAGGAGGTGGGGGAAATGTTATTGATAATTATACCAGAACGAATGACACATAGCAGGGTAAGAAGGCAGTTCCCAAAACAAAAATATGTTGAAAAGACAAAAAAAGTTTAGATTTCTAGTACACCTTGCTAATTGGATTATGGTTAATACTTATTGTCTTCTCTGTGCCTTTTCATATTTCCATATTGGACAGTTAACAAGTAGTATTTTGTAATCAGAAAAATTTTTAAAAATAATTTTCCAAAAATAATGAAGTAATAAATTTAACAAAAATGTAAGATTTGTGTGCTAAAAATGACAAAACATTGTTGAAAGATTTAAGACCTAAATACCTGGAAAGTATCCTATGTTCATGGATAAGAATACTTAACATTGTTAAGATGATAATCCTCCCTAAACTGATCTAACTGATCTATAGATTCAACACTCCTATCAAAATTCCAGCTGGCTTTTTTCCATAAATTATAAACCTAAAATTCATATGGAAATGCAAGAAACACAATAGTTAAAACAAACTGGAAAATGAAGATAGATGACTCATACTTCCTGATTTTCAAACTTACTGCAAAGCTATACAGTGATGTAATGGTATAAGATGAACATACAGGTCATTGTAATAGAATGGAGTCTCTAGAAATAAACCCTTACATTTATGAACTGTTTATTTTTGAAAAGGGTACCAAGACTATTCAGTGGGAAAGAAGAATCTTTTCAACAAAAGGTGCTTGGACAACTGAATATCTACATGCAAAATAATGAATTTGGACCTTTACCTCACACCATGTACAAAATTAACTTAATGGATCATCTACCAAAAAGTAAAACTATAAAATATATATTCTTAGAGGAAAAAAGAGGAATATATTTTTGTGATCTAGGAGTAGCCAATGGATTGTTAGACATGGCACTAAAAGCACAGGAACAAAATTTAAAAATAGGTAAATCGCACTTCCAAAATTTAAAACTTTCGTGCTTTGAAGGATATCATCAAGAAAGTGCAAAGAAGCTGGGCATGGTAGCTCACACCTATAATCCCAGCACTTTGGAAGACTGAGGCAGGCGGATCACTTACGGCCAGGAGTTCAAAACCAGCCTCGCCAACGTGGCAAAAAACCGTCCCTACTAAAAATACAAAAATTAACTAGGCATGGTGGTGCACACCAGTAATCCCAGCTACTCAGGAGGCTGAAGCATGAGAATCGCTTGAACCAGGGAGGCGGAGGTTGTAGTGAACCGAGATTGCGCCACTGCACTCCAGCCTGGGCGACAGAGTGGGACTCTGTCTCAAAAAAAAAAAAAAATGCAAAGAACAACCCATAGAATTGGAGAAAATATTTGCAAATCATATATTTGATGAGAGACTTGTGTCTAGAATATAAAAAGAACCTGTGACTCAATTATAAAGACACCCAGTTCAAATATGTGGAAAGGATTTGAATAGACATTTCTCCAAAGAAGATAAACAAATGGCCAGTAAGCACATGAAAAGATGTTCAACATCATTAGTCATTAGGGAAATCAAGTCAGAACCACAATGAGATACCATTTCACACCCACTAAGTATGCCTAAATGTAAAGAGAAAGTAATAAGTGTTTGTGAGGATGTGGAGAATTTGGAACCTTTCTGTGTTACTGGTGGGATTGTAAAATGATGTAGCCACCTTGGAAAACAGTTTGCCAGTAACGCAAAATGTTAAACATAGTGTTATCATAGGACCCAGGAGTTCTACAGCAGCAGTTTATACAGCAGTTTATATCCAAGAGAATTGAAAACGTCAACACAAAAACCTGTACATGAGTATAGCAGCATTAGTCAAAATAGCTAAAATGTGGTAATAACCCAAATGTCCAGCAACTGAAGAATGTGTAAACTGTATCTCATACAACAATGTTTTTCAGCAATAGGAATAAGAACTGATACCTGCAACAACATGGATGAACCTTGAAAATACAATTTCCATGAAAAAAGCAAGTTACAAAGGTCACATACTGTATGATTCTATTACACAACATGCCCAAAATAGACAAATCCGTAGAGATAGTAGATTAGTGGTTGCCAGGGTCTGGAGGAGGGAGGGATGGGGAGTGACTGCTGATGGGGTTGGAGTTCCTTTTTGGCATGATGAAAATGTTCTGGAATTAGATAATGTTGATAGTTGCACAATTCTGAATATATTTAAAAATCACTGAACTGTACACTTTAAAAGGCTTAATTTTTGTTTGTTTGAGATGGAGTCTCGCTCTATTGCCTAGGCTGGAGTGCGGTGGCATGATCTCGGCTTACTGCAACCTACACCTCCCGGGTTCAAGCCATTCTCCCTGCCTTAGCTTCCTGAGTAGCTGGGATTACAGGCATACACCACCATGCCCAGCTAATTTTTGTATTTTTTAGTAGAGACAGGGTTTCACCACGTTGGCCCGGCTGGTCTTGAACTCCTGACCTCAGGTGATCCGCCCGCCTTGGCCTCCCAAAGTGCTGGGATTACAGGCGTGAGCCACCACACCCAGCCTAAAAGAGTTAATTTTTTATATGAATCTCAGTAAAGCAGTTATTAACAAACAAAAAGATCTGATATGGTAGAAAAAACTATTGTCATTGCACATTTCCACTTCCATTTTCTCTAACTTAATGATATTGTTAGAGAATATATAGAGGTGAAGATTGTGACTTTAATTTTCTTTTTTCATAGCACTGTTGCAAGAATTCAATTCCGTCTTCCTGATGGTTCTTCCTTTACAAATCAGTTCCCTTCTGATGCTCCTCTAGAAGAGGCAAGGCAGTTTGCTGCACAGGTAAATTTATGTCTTGAGTTGTAGTAAAAATAGATGTGTAGGTTACTAAATTATAGGAAGGGAAAATTTCAAAGCAGAAGTTGAATGTGAGTGAATTGTGACCTCTCCAGGAGGGAGGCACAAGACGCCTCTGAGATATTGTGGAAATTCTGTCGGGTGTTAGTGCATATGGGAGTAACATATCTGCTTTGTGTGCAGAAGTAGGAATTTGCTGATATTGTATAATAGGTCCTGGGAACTTTTCTTTTTTAAAATTTTTTGAGACAGGATCTCACTGTGTCGCCTAGGCTGGAGTGCAGTGGTGCGATCACAGCTCCCTGCAGCCTCGACCTCCTGGGCTCAAGCGACCCTCCCACCTCAGCCTCCTAAGTAGCTGGAACTTACAGGCATGTACTGCCATGCCCGGCTAATTTTTGTACTTTTTGTAGAGACAGGGTTTCACCATGTAGCCGGGCTGGTCTTGAACTCCTGGGCTCAAGCATTCCTCCCACCTCAGCCTCGCAGTGCGTTGGGATTACAGGCGTGAGCCACCCAGCCCAGCCACTGGGAACTTTTTTCACTGATTAGTAGACTCATTGAAGGAGTGACAGGCAAGTGATTTCCCGAAGGTCTGATGTGAGGGAATTGTCCCACTCCCCTGAAATGGAAGCAGTTTTTCTCACTCCTCTCTCCATTTCCTACAGATTGCTTAGGGGCTGGTCATTTTCCTACGATTTACCTTTTGGCTAAGGAAAAAGAGGCAGTAAACTTTATTTGACAATAGTATCTTCTTCAGGAATTTACTTCCAAAAGGTGGCCTTACTCAGAATCTGAATGGAGTATATATCTTGAGATATGAGTAGTTTTCAATTTATTTTTATTCCCTGATTGATTCCTTATTCAAAACGGATTCTGAGCATCAGATGTCCTTTGGGTTCTAGGCTCATTATATGTATCAGTATTTTTTTCATATATATAATTTCAAGGTTAAAATTAGGGATTTGGGTTCAGATCTTTCCGCCAGACCTTTTCTCCACATTTGGTCGTCTTCTTGCACTCGTGAACTAGGCTGGACAATGTAAACGTTTATTTTAAAAACTGTTTCCCCCTAAGCTTTATAGTAGAAACAGTCCCAAATAGGTGCTTTCATTCTTCTTTTGTCTTGGAGCCTCCCACAATGTGTCCCCTGTCCTGAGTTTCACTGCTTTTGCCACAGGTAAATGGAGAAGGGACTACATCTTTGATTGCATGTGTCCTATTAAAACTCCACCTCAGGCCAGGCATGGTGGCTCACGCCTGTAATCCCAGCATTTTGGGAGGCCGAGGTGGGTGGATCACAAGGTCAGGAGTTTGAGACCAGGCTGACCAACATGGTGACCCCATCTATTCTAAAAATACAAAAATTAGCCGGGCGTGGTGGTGGGCGCCTGTAATCCCAGCTTCTCGGGAGGCTGAGGCAGGAGAATCGCTTGAACCCAGGAGGCAGAGGTTGCAGTGAGCTGAGATTGCGCCACTGTACTCCAGTCTGTGCAACAGAGCAAGACTCCATCTCAAAAAAAACAACAGGCTGGGCGCAGTGGCTCACGCCTGTAATCCCAGCACTTTGGGAGGCTGAGGTGGGTGGATCACGAGGTCAGGAGATTGAGACCATCCTGGCTAACACGGTGAAACCCCGTCTCTACTAAAAATACAAAAAATTAGCCAGGCGTGGTGGCGGGCGTCTGTAGTCCCAGCTACTCGAGAGGCTGAGGCAGGAGAATGGTGTGAACCCGGGAGGTGGAGCTTGCAGTGAGCCAAGATCGCGCCACTGCACTCCAGCCTGGGCGACAGAGCAAGACTGTCTCAAAAAAAAAAAAAACAAAAAAAAACCCAAAAAACAAAAATTCCACCTCAGTACAGTTATCAAGTTTTGTATTTTGTGTATCTTTAGAACAGTGAGGGGTATGTGTGATCTACAGTAAAAAAAAAAAAATACGAAAAACAAGTTAGTCTCCTTCTTTGGAATCTTCTAGGGAAAGATACACAGATGTCTAAGATTTTACAAGTGATTTTTGTATATAGAGGACTTAAAATTGTGAGGGTGACTTACAGTGCTGTCCATTGTACGTTCCTGGATCTGGTATTGTGTGTATCATGTAGGTTGATTATGGACCATTTATGCCTTGAGACAAGGAGGAGGCTACACTTCCTGAAGGTATATATGAGGGAAATACTGGTCTAGTCCAAATTCTTAATAGGGATTACCTGTAATCCAAATGTGTGTTCATGAGACATTAAGTTTGCCAAAGGATAGTGAAAACCTAATGATGAACTGCAACAGTACTTAAAGGAGATACACAATTGTCCATTTTTACTCAATTTATTTGTGTGTTTTTAGGAACTATATTTTGCTATTTTGTGGTCATCTTTGAGTTACAGAAGCTTTTAAAAACTATTTGGATTTGATAGCTTTTCAGCTGCTTAGGGGCTGGAAGCACAATTTTATACCTTTTTTTGAGTTTACATGTAATGAACTTTTAAAATTAAGGCAATGTTAATTAAAGCATCATTTTGGATTCATCTGAGTAATATCTTACTTTTAAAGGCACTCTTTAAGTTTTTAAAACTTATTTTACAGACTGTTGGCAACACTTACGGTAATTTTTCGTTAGCAACCATGTTTCCCAGGAGGGAATTTACCAAAGAAGATTATAAAAAGAAGTTACTGGATTTGGAACTTGCCCCAAGCGCTTCGGTGGTACTGTTGCCAGTATGTATATACAGATGCATTTTTTTCTCTTCTTATTGTTTTCTGTTTATCATACTCTTCATTTCTTATAATTAGGGGAAAGGAAGTGCACAGATATACTGAAGGTAATTAAAATTCAAGTGATCCAATAATTAGATGAATTTATAATTCCATTATCCTGTGCTTTATTTGTATTGCTGATATTACTTGTGAGACATGAAACAGTTTAATTTTTAACTTTTTTCTTCACATATTTTTGTGTACAAAAAAAATGACCAATAGGAGAAGACAGTAAGAAATGCAGATTATCTGTCTAATCCACACACTTAGTGTCTTTTATTTATATATGCTCTACTGTTTGCCAAAAATAACATGAATATTCAAACAGATTATCCCATTTGATCTGCACAACAATATTTTAATCTCTGGTGAAGAAAAGAAGCTCAGACAGCTTAAATGACTGCTGCCGTAACTGGGATGAGAGCCTGGGTCTTCTGTGTCCTGGTTAACATAGTTTTCCTTGCTCTATACTAGACGTGCCCTCCACCCCAAAACAGTTAGCTCTCCAGTAATCAGGATTTCATTGTTTGAACCTTTTTTTTTAAATCAGCAAGAAAGACTCTTCTTATAAAAGTTTAATATTCTTAAAAAATAGTTGGCTCATTTCACTGAGAACTACTTTCTAGTTTGTATATTACAATTTCTCTTAAACACAGCTCCAAATATTATAACATAAAATTACAATTGTATATATAATATACAATATTATACAATTATATACAATTATTATATAAAATAATTATATAAAATAATTTTATAATTATAATATATTATATAAAATATAATATATATAATATATAAAATAATTGTATACTATACAATTATACAGTTATTATACAATTATATACAATTGTATAATATTGTATATTTATCTTTAAAAACTTCTGGGAGTCTTCAGAAGTTTATATATACGTGAAAAACAGCAAAAGATATCATTTTACCCTCTTGAAGTAAACTAAAATTGGTAGGACCTCCTTTTCCAGATAAAAGTTTCATCTGGAACCTTGGGCGTGATGTGATTGTGCTAACGTAGTCTTTATCTAGGTTTGTTTATTAATTTCTAGGCAGGAAGACCAACTGCATCCATTGTACACTCTTCCAGCGGAGACATTTGGACCTTGTTGGGAACAGTGCTTTATCCATTCCTTGCCATCTGGAGATTAATTAGCAATTTCTTGTTTAGTAATCCGCCTCCCACACAGACTTCAGTGAGAGTAACATCGTCAGAACCCCCAAACCCTGCATCATCTAGCAAATCAGAAAAAAGGTATCTGTGTGTGTTTTCCCCATTTATAAAATATGTAAGTCATGCCCAGTATCTTTTTTAAGTAAAAAGTTGAGTACTTTGCCTTTCTGTATATGTCCTCTCCAGTTCCCACGGTGGAGGAGAAAAACTCCGATGCTCTGAAACTTTATTACATCATCTCTACTGCAGAGCTCACTACCTGCGTTTTCTCAGCCAGCTTTATAAAACCAATTTTTTGGAAAGCAGCTTCACCTCTACTGGTTTATTGTTTCATTCATTGAAGTTTCTTTACCCCATAACTATCAAGGCAGATTTTTTTTTCTAGTAACCTCTTTCTTGCTAACCATGTTTGCTTGACAAGATAGTTCATTGCATTAATCGTTCAGGGTCATCTTGCATAATTACTGTAGGTGAACTACTCTGTTTTGATCATTTTAACCCTGTTGGTTCTTTTATCTACCGGCTGACAGCCTTGTCTGGATCATTCAGAGAAGGACCAAATTGTGGAAACAGGTTATTGCTTTGAAAATTCTCTCTCAGAGAATTATTTTGGACTAATCCCTTAACCAAGAGACCAGGGCCTGATGCAGTGGCTCACGCCTGTAATCCCAGCACTTTGGGAGGCTGAGGCGAGAGAATTACTTGAGCTTATGCATTCAAGACTAGCCTGGGCAATATAGTGAGACCTTGTCTGTACAAAAACAATTTAAAAATTTGCCAGGCACATGTCTGTGGTCCCAGCTACTTGGGAGGCTGAGATGGGAAGATCACTTGAGCCCGGGAGATTGAGGCTGCAGTGAGCCAAGATTGTGCCATTGCACTCCAGCCTGGGTGACAGAGTAAGAGTGAGATCCTGTCTCAAAACAAAAACAAAACAACTTTTATAGCAGATAGCATGCAATGGTTAGCATAGTAATACAACACTGACAATTTTAACTCCTATCTTTGTTAAGATTTTATATACTTGAAACAGGTTAATGGGAAGTATTTTCCTAGAAAGTAAGTTTATGCCCCTTTCTAATAATTACATAATAATGTAACTTACTGAAATGGACACCGCTGTTAAGCACTCTATGAGGCCTTTTATAGGCATTATAACAAATCTTCATGCCAGTCCTATGTGATAAGTAATAGAAATTCTTTTTTCTCTGCCCTCAGTATGGAGAAGCCCTAGTCATGTGTTTATGGATTCCATAGGTAATGACATATAAGTATTGTGATTGGGCTGCTTTGTCCTTTATCTTATTTCATAACTGTTAGGCAGGAAGACCAGTTACCTACTAAGTACGTTACTGTAGTGAGGACAGAGGGAAGCTCAAACAAGGCTGAATCTTAAAACTCTTACTGAGCAATGGGTGGGAGCATTTAATACTGAATTACTGTAATATAGGAGAGCTCGTTGTATGGATTTTTAAAACTTTTTTCAGGCTGGGTGTGGTACCTCATACTTGTAATCCCAGCTCTTTGGGAAGCTGAGGTGCAAGGATCACTTGAGGCCAGAAGTTTGAGACCAGCCTGGGCAACATAGTGAGGCTCCATCTCTACAAAAAAAACTTTTAGTGAGCTGTGTGTGATAGCGTGTGCCTATAGTTTCAGCTGCCTGGGAAGCTGGGGCAGGAGGATTGTGTGAGCTCCAGAGTTTTGAGGCTGTAGTGAACCGTGATCGTGCCACTGCACTCTAGCCTGGGCAACAGAGGGGACACCCTGTCTCAAAAAAGAACAAAAAACAACACTTTTTTCAAATAAGAGAAAGGTCTTAGATTAGAGCAAAGGATGGAATAAAAGGTGTGTCAAAGAGAGGGTGAAGCTTTGTGTTCCACCATTATTTTTCCTTTTTTCTCTCCCCTCTAGAGTTATAAAAGTCTGTTGGCTTAAATTTTATCCTTATACCTTTGTATTTTCAGAATAGGAAGTCCTCTTCATTCTTAATTGTTTATAAATAAGTCATTCTTGAAGATTTTGCGAAGGATTTAAAATTGACCCTTTCTGTCAAGCTGACTGGAGCTTTGGATAGTCTCTAGGGTGCTAAGTTACAAATGTTTTAGTAGATAATGTCGGCTTGCATAAATAACAAAGGAAAGATTAGTTGGCAAATGGTCACACTCCTCTAATGCTTATTAAGTCACTAAGAAACACAATGGAAATGGAATATATGATTTGGCTGGCTGGCTTGACTTAGAGATCAGATGAAGCTAAACTACCAAAGACTGCTAAAGTCTAGTACTGTGTTAGTAGATATAATGGTCTCCCATGGACTTTCCTTACTTTAGATGGCATTAAAAGTAAAACTTAGTTGCCTGTACTGATGGAAGTTGGAAACAGCTTGTATTACTATTGTTTTTATTTTATGACATCTTCCCCTTGCTCCCTCTTTTTCGTATCAGGGAACCAGTGAGAAAAAGAGTGCTGGAAAAACGTGGAGACGACTTTAAAAAGGAGGGGAAAATTTATAGATTAAGGACTCAAGATGATGGTGAAGATGAAAACAACACTTGGAATGGAAATTCCACTCAACAGATGTAGTGTGACAAGTATAATATGTGCAATAATCATTGTTTCTCTTATGATTTAATTCAACTAAAATTCTACTGGAGAAGTGGGACTGCTTTATATTTTCCAACTGGTCTATAAAATGTCTCTTTATTCCTGCTTAGTGGGTGTGGGTTGAAGGTGTTTAACTCAGAAAAGTAAAGACAGGAAATAACTCTCTGCTAGGTCCTTGCTTATATGGCAACCACTGCTAGAACCCTAAAAGAACCAAAAATCTGCCACAGCCTGCCTCCATCAGCTTCTTATTTAGTATTTCATATGCCCATTAGCCCTATGCTTCAGATGACACGTTTTGTTTAGAGCTACTTTGCTCCAAGACTCTTAAGCCCAAAGTAACTGGTATGTCACTGAGTAACTTGACTCGGTGTCAGAGCATTTTAACTAGCCACTCAGATGAGAATTTATGTTTAACTTCTCTTTTTACTCATCAGCTGCAAGCAAAATCTTGTAGTTTTTAATCTTAAACACTGAATAAAAAAACTTTCCCCTAAATTGGAATGATCTTAGTTTTGCTTTGAGTTTTGTTATCTAGCATCTTTTTGTTGCACAGGGCTCTATTGAGGTCCTATGTCTCTGATTTTTTTTTTTCCCCAGTATTGCCCTGGAGCTGTCTCTGGAAAGTAGCTGGCGAGGTTACCTTAACTATCACTGAAGAAAGAAATTTTCTGACACACTGATGGCATGTGACTTGTCTCCTAAGTCAGTGAGGCATCACTTTGTTTGCATAAAGTATACGGTTTGTTAAGGCCTTTGTTCTTGTGAGATGCAAAACAGCTGCTAGTCTGCAACCTAGTTTTCCCTCTCACCTTTAACTGACGTTTTGTCCTCAATAATTACACAAGGACCTAGAGTACCTATAGGACAAAAAGTATAGAATAAAAATATGCCTTTAGTCATTTGGTTTTTCTTAAAAAGTTGAGATTCTTAATCTGACTTACATGTTACTTTATCCGTATGTCTTTGTTAGTGGAGACCGCTAAACTAATGATGTTTGAAAACAGTTCCTCTGTTTTAGATTGGAAGATAGCACTCTAGAGTGGACATACGGAAAGACTGTGACTTTATTTTGTAATGGGAGGAAGAAATTTTCTCAGAGCAAACTTTCTATTTTTTACCTGTGAAATAACAGTGACTTTTTAAAATGGTGACAGTGTTGGCAAGGAAACAGCAACACAGGCTGCGCTGTTGGTAGGAGTGAAAACCAGTATAATTCTTCTGAAAAACATTTATCAGAAACTTAAAATATTTCATACCGTTTGATCCAGTAGCTTCTTCTAAATCATAAATGCAGACAATGTTTAGGTAAAGACATACTCATTAAGTGTTATTTATTTTACTCAAGAACTGGAAACCAACTAAATGCCTTCTATAGAAGTAATTTTTGATGAGGAGAAATGGTACAATACTAATTAACAACTTGGTTTAACATGTTTACTGAGCATCTGTTAAGTGTTGGGGGAAAAAGCAGCAGGATCCAGAGCTATAGGTACAGTGTGATCTCAGCTTTGCAAACACATTTTCTACATAGATAGTACTAGGTATTAATAGATATGTAAAGAAAGAAATCACACCATTAATAATGGTAAGATTGGTTTATGTGATTTTAGTGGTATTTTTGGCACCCTTATATATGTTTTCCAAACTTTCAGCAGTGATATTATTTCCATAACTTAAAAAGTGAGTTTGAAAAAGAAAATCTCCAGCAAGCATCTCATTTAAATAAAGGTTTGTCATCTTTAAAAATACAGCAATATGTGACTTTTTAAAAAAGCTGTCAAATAGGTGTGACCCTACTAATAATTATTAGAAATACATTTAAAAACATCGAGTACCTCAAGTCAGTTTGCCTTGAAAAATATCAAATATAACTCTTAGAGAAATGTACATAAAAGAATGCTTCGTAATTTTGGAGTAGGAGGTTCCCTCCTCAATTTTGTATTTTTAAAAGTACATGGTAAAAAAAAAAATTCACAACAGTATATAAGGCTGTAAAATGAGAATTCTGCCCCCTCACCTCTTACCCCAGTACTATTCTCCAGAGGTAATCTATTAACAATTTCTTATGTAATTTTCAGAAAATTTGTATGCGTATATAAGCAAATATGTAATCTTTATTTTTTAAATAAATGGGATCATATTATATATTCTACCTTGCATCTTGCTTTTTTGCTTACATAGTCTTGAGATCTTTTCCTGTCGACACTGAGCTACCTCATTTTTAATGGTTGCATAGCATTCTGCTTGATGAATGTACTGCATTCAGCTTACTGTCCATGCTCTGGTGGCAGTCAGTGGTTATTACACAATTTTGTTTTTCTATTACAAACATTGCCATCGTAAGCAACCTTCAGTGGGAGGTATAGTCTTACTGTGAAAATATACCTGTAGAATATGTTTGTATAACTTGCTAAGTGAAAGAAGAGTGTTTGCAGTTTGGATTGTGAAAGATGCTGTTGCATTGCCTCCTCTACAAGCTGTGTGAATTTGAACCCCTACCAACAGTCATGAGAATGTCCATTTTCCCACACCCTTGCCAACACTGTATTATCATACTTTCTTAGCTTTGTCAAAATGATGGATGAAAAATGATACAATCTCGTATGCATTGTATTTATCATGAATGAAGTGAGCATCTTGATGTTATTGATCAGTTTGGCTTATCGTGAGAGCTCCGTGTATTCCTTGCCAATTTTTGTTTTCATATTTTTCTTACTGATTTATAAGACTACTGTGTACATTACAGCCATTTGCTAGCATATGCAGTGAATATTTTCTCTTTTTTTTTTTTTTTTTTTTTTTTTTTTTTTTGAGACGGAGTCTCCCGCTTGCCCAGGCTGGAGTGCAGTGGTGCAATCTCGGCTCACTACAAGCTCTGCCTCCTGGGTTCACACCATTCTCCTGCCTCAGCCTCCCGAGTAGCTGGGACTACAGGTGCCCACCACCACAGCTGGCTAATTTTTGTATTTTGTTTAGCAGAGACAGGGTTTCACCGTGTTAGCCAGGATGGTCTTGATCTCCTGACCTCGTGATCCGCCTGCCTCGGCCTCCCAAAGTGTTGGGATTACAGGCGTGAGCCACCGCGCCTGGCTTCTCCCTCCCTTTTGTTGAGTATATTTGGTAATTTTTTCCACAGTATTATCTGTGTTTTCCTTTATGACCTCCAGGTCTTGAGTCTTGCTTATAAATACCTTTCCCACTTCAAAAATTAATTTTTTTATATCCTAGGATTCTTATGGTTTCCTTTTTGTATGTTTAAATCTGGTATCCAAGGAAAGGACCTGGCTCCTTCCCATGCCCGTGGCTAACATCCCCAGGAGCCTGTTCCCTCACTGCCTTCATGGGCCCTCTGCCCCGAGTAGGCGCACTGCCTGCGAGGTGGGCATCTGTTCCATGTGCAGATGCTTCTGTGTCTAGGCTTTCTCTTCCTTTATTGATCTGTTTGCTCTCTGCTATACCAAACTAAGCTAGCTTTATAATGTGTTTTAATCTTCTTCCCCCAGATTTATCCTGGCTCTTCTTACAAGTTTATTTCATATATGAAACTTCTTTATATTATTTTGTTAGTGTTGTCCCAAAAAAGTGATGTTGAGTTTTGAGATTATTTAGGTATAATTGGCACCTTATGATACTGAGTTTCTCCCCAAAGAATGTCTTTTTTTTTTTTTTTTTTGAGACAGTCTCACTCAGTCGCCCAGGCTGGAGTGCAGTGGTGCGATCTCAGCTCACTGCAAGCTCCGCCTCCCAGGTTCACACCATTCTCCTGCCTCAGCCTCCTGAGTAGCTGGGACTACAGGCACCCGCCACCACGCCTGGCTAATTTTTTGTATTTTTAGTAGAGATGGGGTTTCACCATGTTAGCCAGGATGGTCTCGATCTCCTGACCTCGTGATCTGCCCACCTCAGCCTCCCAAAGTGCTGGGATTACAGGTGTGCGCCACCGTGCCCGGCCAACAAATGTCTTTAATATCAATTTTAGAACCACCCCCACCCCCATCTGACAAACTTTTCCAGTCGATTGATGGAGAAAAATGCTTGTGCACCACAAGCTCCTGACTGCCAGGTTGGGACTCATGGCGTTGGAATGTTTTGATAGGGAAAGGAATGCTTACAAGAAGCAAATTTCAAGTGTGATCATCCTTTTAAGACCAGCCCAAAATTACTCTGTTGTTACAAAACATTTTCCCAGCTATCTAGATGTAATATATGGGCCAATCAAGTGTTTAGGTGTTTCACACTGAGATTGTCTCTCAGCACATTTGAGGGGATTATAAAGAACATATCTCTGCTCCCACCACTGCCCTGGAAATGCTATGTGAATGGGTGAACACACGAAAGGAGCATTTGTGCTTTTCATTGCTCTCTCCAAGTTGTGCTTGCCAGAGACAATGAGACATGGTCCTTGGCCTTAAGAAGCTGATGATAGAGAAATACGCAATTCCAGTATAGAAACTGGATGGTCAAGTTGTAATAGGGGATATTTACAAGCAAAGCAGACGAAGGAGAATCTGCCTGGGGATTTCAGGGAAGCCATTCAGAGGAGGAAGTACATTATTTCAGCTGAGACTTAAAGGCATTTTCAGAAGAAAGGGCATCCTAGGTGGAAGGAGTAGCATTTGGGAAGACACAAAGGAATATGGATAGTTGTCCTATGTGCCGTTTAGAACTACCACAAATTGGGAAAGGAGGAAGGAAACAGACTAAATGAACCAAGGTCAGATGGGAGAGCTGGGGATGGCATAAAAAGTGGCAGTGGGGGTGTTCGAGGGGTGGGAAAAGGCCACTTTCTGCATGTTGTGGTATTTGCCCCAAGGAATATAATGTCAACAGAAAGACTTGGTCTGGTGAGAAAGCTTAATCGGAGCTCCAGATGGCTTGTGTGACTTCATAACTTCTCTTGAACCTACTTTCTCAAGGAGGGGCAACCATAGGAGAAAGGACAGTCTGCTGTTTTTATTTTCTGGAAAACACAAGATGTGAAGCTAGGGAGAGCTTGCAGAAGGGCAGGAGATGATATTGCAGTCTATGCAATGGAGTTGATTTCTTCTTATAGGAAGGATTTTTACGGTTTTTGCTCCCTTAACAACCCTTAACAACTCTGAAACTTAAAACAGCCCTGTTAAGTTCAATTAAGTGGTTCACAGACCCACTAGACCAGTATCTACACGTTTCCGCAAGAGCTACTTGCTTCTCAAATGCCCAAATGAACTCTGATACTGGAGCAAGATGGAGATATTTCCATTTTACTCAGCAAGTCGAAATCATTCAAGATTAAAGTCATCTCTAACGGTGCAGCAGGACTTTATGGAGAAGTCCAGTATCAGCAGAGTCTAAGACCCTAAGGTGTTTGGTGGCCGGTAAACATAGATGAAGAAACTAGGCCTGCTTCATAGAACTTGAGGTGGTAACTCATCAGAATGAAGACACCGGGCTCAATTCCTGTTGGCTTCGTTGTGTTTTCCCTTGCTTAGAGCGCTTGCAGTACTTGTATGACAGAAATGCCAAGCCACAGACTCCAAGAAGCACAAGAGAAAAGAGAACGTACAAAGCTGTCTGTGCTTCTGTGGTGCCGAGCATTAGCCCCAGGAACTGCACCTCCTCCTGTCTCACGGGGCTGATGGTGGGTCCAGCATCTAGGAGAGTGTGACACAGGGTGGTTGGTGCTCTGGCGCTGATTTGAGTTCTCAGATCTCTGAGACCCCAGCAGAGGCTGCACGGTACCCCAAATCCGCACAGCCATTGACGGGATGCCGAGGTGGAGGTACCCATCCCCTTTCACTGTGTGTCAGGAGCCTCTGAGTGAAGTTAAGCAGTTGTATTTTTTAAACATCTCTATCAGCAATTAGAATACGGTTGAATATCCCTTATCTGACATGCTTGCTTGGGATCAGAAGTGTTTCAGATTTGGGATTTTTTAAGATTTTGGAATATTTGCATATACATAATGAGATATTTTGGGGATGGGACCCAGGTCTAAATATGAAATTCATATATGTTTTATATGCAACTTATCCACGTGGTGTGAAGGTAATTCTATACAATATGTTAAATAATTGTGTGCATGAAACAAAGCTTTAACTGTGTTTTGACTGCGACCTGTCACATGGGGTCAGGTGTTGAATTTTCCATTTGTGTTGTCATGCCAGTCATGCTCAAAAAGTTTCAGATTTTGGAGTATTTTGGATTTTGAATTTTCAGATGAAGGATTCTCAGCCTGTATAATTGAAACTGGATAATTGTCATTTACATTTGTGTAGTGATTTATACTCTTACATTTAACAAATACGGGGCACCCACATGGTGCAGGCATTGTACTTTCATGGTCCCTTTATTTGATCCTTATAACTGCCCTGAAGCATGTGCCTGGTTTCTTATCTATGAGTGCACAGCAAGTTAGTGGTAGGGCTGGAAGAAGAGTCTAGACCTGCTTATTCCCAGGTCAGGGCTCTGGTTTCTAGGTGTAACATTGACCCTAAGTGTCCTTTGTTCCACCCCAGGAAATGTCTGGAGCATTCAAAGAAAATAAACATTTGTTGAATGAATGAAGGAGATGGGGCAGCAGAGAGGAGGGTAATAAACTAGAAGAAAACAGACTGAGAGAGGCCCTTCCACCTGCCCTTCACCCTTAGGCTTTATTCCCTCCCAGAGCCACATCTCACCTGGCTGGTGGAGACAAGCGTGAGGCCCTGTAGCGGGGTCAGGGAAGCCATTGCATCGGACCACAGAGGCGTAGAACTTCGCTGATGCTTTGGGGATCCTTGGCAGAGAAGGGTCACTGTAGTTCACAAAATGCAGACCAAATCTCTCTGAAAAGCCTGTGGCCCACTCAAAATTGTCCATCGCACTCCAAACTGTGTATCCTCGAAGGTCCACCTTGTCCTGCACAGCTGCTCAAACACAGAGGACTAGGCATAAGTTTCCTATCTCATAAGGCAGCTTCCTGCCAGGCCTTCGGAAGCCAGGTCTGCCTACTGCTCTCCCCACCGCCTTCACAGATGGCGGTAAGCTTTGGCTTTAGCTCTGTGAGAAAGCTGCCCCTTTCTTTGCATGCAGTGACTGTTAGCGGGTCCTCTGTGGATGGAGATGTAGAGCCACCAGCATCTTTAGAAAGGCTCAGCCCTGAATGGGAGTCGGGAACATGGGTGGACTAATTTCCCTGGGTCACCTACACTTCTATCCATGATCTTGGTCAGTGCCTTAGAATGTTAATGCTTCTCCCTGTAGAAAATAGCCCTTAGATAGAATATATTTCAGCTGGGTAGGATTTTTCTAATCATTTCCTTTGCTGGTGCATTGCTTGCTCTTTTACTCAGCATTTGTTCCATTCTCTTATCCTCATGGTCCCATCTCAAGTTGTTAGGGCTGAGCCAAGAGCCTCAAACTTTTGCTCGGAGACTAAGAGACCCTACAGGCAACCACACAGCCTACTCCTCCTGGGCCCTACCCAGACCATTCTCAGGAGGGCACTGCTGTTCCGACATCAGGGAGGATCAAGGGGAGCAAGTGACTCAGGCCAGGAACTAGGGTTTGGTGGCATCAGGCCACTGGGCTTGCTTGCTGAGCTTAGACATAGGAAGGAAAAAAACTCAGAGTGCGGCCCTAAAGCAAAGCTTAACCCCCACAGGAGCAAGAAGGCTTATCGTTCTCTTCTTACTGTGGCCCAAGGACGCTGTATCACACTCCTGCAAATAGCAGATGTTTCCAACAGGGGAAGGTGCACGCTGGGGAAGGGCGGGCCCGTCGTACCTTTGAGGGCCTCATTGATGTAAGTCCGAAGGTAGTAGATCCTTGCAGTGTCATTGAGGTCTGTTTCTTCCCGCTGGGACACTCCATTCTCTGTGACATAAATTGGAGGGTCATTGTATTCCTCCTTTAACCAGTTCAGGATCCTCCTGAAGCCAAAAGGCGTCATCTTCAGCCAGAAGGAGCCAGAGTCTGGCCACGAGCGATCTGCGATGGAAGCAACTCCTCTACAAGTTCAAAAACTAAAGATGAGGTCTTGTTTTGTAAATCTCAAGAGGCCCTTTACACGAAACACAAAACAGGACTTAGACCAGGAAAAGCCTTAGGTTTTGTCTAGCCTTAAGAATCATACTAAACCCAGAAGAATCAAATTGCCTCAAATTCTCCTCCTTTCGCTGGTTCTAGCTGCCTGCACTCTGTGCTTGTATAGCATTGGACAAGCCACTCAGCTCTCCGTCCTTCAATTTCTCTGCCTGTGCAGAGAATGGTCTTGCTCATGGAGCCCAGCCCTCCACTACTCTGAATAGATGGCTCCTTACACCAGCTATGAAAGGCTATGGGTCCCCAGCTCCAGGCTTCCAATGGACGCCAGTGCTGTGTCTTCAGAGAATGGGCTCCCCCAAGTCACCCATGTCTAGTCAATGCCACTTGCAGACCACGGGTGAGGCCACAGGCACGAATATTTGTAGGGGCCCTGCTTTGTGTGAAGACAGGCAGCAGACAGGCTGGCACCTCCTTCAAGTGTCCAAGAGCCTGGCCTCTCTCTTCAGTGATGGACGAGGAGGTGGACAGCTCCTGCCACAGGGGTGCCTGCTGGGGGAGGCCACAGAAGCCTGATCACCTGTAGTCACATATGTCAAATAAGAACCAAGAATTTAGACACTTCCTACACTCAGATCTTTCAGGGAAAAAAAAAATGTTGGTTTTATCAGCACCTGGATTTATCTGACTCAGCTGAATTGAATGTGGGCCATTTCATAAGCACTAGTGGAGGTCTTCCCAGGGACAGCCCCAGGGCTCATAAGAGGGAGGGAGAATCAGAAGGAGTAGAGGGGTGTTCTGGAGTCTCCTCAGCCCCCTTGGTGAGCCTGACTCTGGGGGTTTCAGGATACAGTGGGAGTGGAGGGGCTGGTTTTCAAAGAAAGAACCTGGACACAGTCAGAGCTACTGGTGTGGAAAGATGCTTGATGGAAAAGGAACAAAATGAGATTTTCTGAAAATGGCAGATAAGAGACAGGACTTAGGTACAGCTCCCACTTGGATGGACAGAACAGTGTGTGGAGACTCACATTGTTAACTGTTGCTCCAAGAACTACTGCTGGAACATACCAGAAAAACCAAAAGAATTCACAGACCTTTGAAAGAAGCAGAATGCTACTGCAAACTCCATGAGACAGCTGCAAAACTGTGAGTTCCCAAAGTGTGAGAAGGGGAAAGTCTGCCTCTGAACACACATCCTCTCTGGGGACCTGAACATCCAGATCATAGGAGAAGGATTTAACCTTACCTAGAGCGCAAGTGGATTTAGGGAGCCAAGTGAAATGTAAAAGTAGAAGAAGCAGTGGGAAGAGCCCTGTAGCCACTCCCTGTCCCCAGCTTGAGCCCAGGGAAGCCATTCCTGACTTTATCCTACAGGGGTCCTTGTAGAAGGAAGCCAGTGGAATTAGGGAGGGGCAGGATTAAGGAAGCTTCTAGCTCAACTTATTAATTTCAACTAGAAGCATGAATTTTCCTGAGCAGAATCTTGGGGGCAAACAAGAAGTGCAGATAAAAGCACAGAAGCCACAGCCAACAGTGTGGGCAGGTGGGGAGGGGCAAGGCCTGAAAGCCCTGTTTGCTTTCTCAGAGAGAAGGCTTGTGGCCTGGGGTGAGATCTCTGCCCTGCGCACTGTTGGCAGGGCACAGCAGGAGTGAGACTGGCCTTGCTGGCTGCATGGGAGCTAGGTGAGGCTTGTGACTGCCAGCTTTCCCAACTTCCCTAGCAACCTGTATGACACAGCAGAGGAAGCCATAATACCCCTGGGAACAGAACTCCACTGGCCTGAGAACCAGCCCCCTATTCCCCCACAGTGGCCACAGCAAGCCTCACCCGAGGAGAGTCTGAGCTCAGATATGCCTAATGCTGCCCCAACCTGATGGTCTTTCTCTACCTTTGCTGGTAGCTGAAGACAAAAGACATAAACTCTTGGGAGCTCTATGGCCCCGCCCATAACCTGAGAAACCCAAATACCCTGGCCAACGTAGGGCAACCTTGTAATCCCCCTTCTACTACCGCAGCTGGTGGCAGTGGAAGGGGAAAGCACCTCAAAAGTGCCACCTCCTCTCTTGAAAGTGCCACCTCCTGGCTGGAGACCAACCAACTCACGCCATTATAGCAACTCATAACAGAAGAACCCTGCTCCAAAGAAAGAGAAAACAACAACTAATTCCACTGCCTGCAACATCCTGGCTAACCAGAGGTCCTGAGTCTGTCCACATGACAACTTCACTGCTCGCATAACCAGCGTTTGAGAAAACCAGTGCACGAAAGAAAACTACAACCAAGGACCCTCACAGAATCCACTTAAGTCCCCTGCCACCTGCACTGGAGCAGGTGCTGGTATCCATGGCTGGGAGACCTGAAGACAGATCACATCACAGGACTCTTTGCAGACATTCCTCAGCACCAGTTCAGATCCCAGTAATTCTGCTGGGTGGATAGACCCAGAAGGGCAATGGCAATCACTGCAGTCTGGCTCTCAGGAAGCCCCATCCTTAGGGAAAGGGGGTGAGCACCACATCAAGGGATCACCCTGTGGGACAAAAGGATCTGAGGGGCAGCCCTTGAGTTCTAGATCTTTCCACTGAAACAGTCTACCTGAATGAGAAGGAACCAGAAATGTTAATTCTGGTAATATGACAAAACAAGGTTCTATAAGACCCCCAAAAGGTCGCACTAACTCTCCAGCTATGGATCCAAACCAAGAAGAAATCTCTGAATTGCCAGATAAAGAATTCAGAAGGTTGATTATTAAACTACTCAAGGAGGTACTAGAGAAAGGTGAAAATTAACTTAGAGAAATTTAAAAAACAATACAGGATATGGATGAAAAAGTCTCTAGATAAATAGATATCATAAAGAAAAAGACAATCGGCTGGGCGCAGTGGCTCACACCTGTAATCCCAGCACTTTGGGAGGCCAAGGCAAGGGGATCATCTGAGGTCAGGAGATAGAGACCAGCCTGACCAACATGGAGAAACCCTGTCTCTACTAAAAACACAAAATTAGCCGAGACCATTCTGGCCAACATGATGAAACCCCGTCTCTGCTAAAATACAAAAAAAAAAAAAAAAAAATTAGCCAGGCGTGGAGGTACGCGCCTGTAATCCCAGCTACTTGGAGGCTGAGGCAGGGGAATCACTGGAACCCGGGTGGTGGAGGTTGCAGTGAGCCAAGATTGTGCCACTGCACTCCAGCCTGGTGACAGAGCGAGACTCTGTCTCAAAAAAAATAAATAAAATAAAAACTGTTACTTAAAAGGTGAACCAAAATCTTTTACTATCTCTACTTCATAAAAGCATTGTTTAAAAAGAGAAAATAAAATTTTACTCTTGTATTATTGTAATATTTATTAATATTAAAGCGAATTTTGATAAAACCTAAACAATTTTTTTCTTGAAAATCCTTTTTAACAACCAAGCATTTTTAGAGTTAAGCAGCCTGTGAAAAAGAACGCAAAATAAATAAATTTTAAAAATGAAATAAAAAAACAAAAAGCCAAGCACATGTGCCCTAATGGGAGGTGCCCTGGAGACCCCGGCCTTCTCTCCCTCTTGCTTGCTGGAGATTTCCTTGGGATCTGTGGGGTGGCGAGCATCTTGCAAACCCCGGCACATTCGGCGTTGGAGGCCCTGTTTTGAGGCTGGGCAGGCCTCAGAGAGCACAGCCAAGGGCACCTTTCTGCCTTTTCCAGAGATGGCTCCGGGCTCCCTGTTGGTGGACTTACCTGTCTGCATCAAAAGAAGAGATGGCAGTGGCATAGTTGAGGTTGTAGGCGAGGACAGTGGTGTAGTGATTGAACCCAAAAAAGTCATAGGTGCCGTTGATCCTCCTCTTCTCACTCTCTGTAAATTCTGGCAGCCTGGGTGGAAGAAGCCATTGAGGGCAGGGCTTCAGGGAGAGCCATGCTTTGAGAAGAGAACGTCATAGGGCTGGGGCGGGGGAGCTCTCCGAACCCCAGGCACTTGGCAGTGAGTAGGGGAAACTGGCAGGGAAGGAGAAGAGGTCCTTCAGGCGGTGCAGGAAGCACTGCGGCTCCTCCAGCCAGACCATAAACCTGGCTTCCCTAGGTCTCTACAAGAGCCTCTGAAACCTGAAGGACCACACACACACGCACCCACGCGCGCGCGCGCACACACACACACACACACACACATGCATAAACAGTTTTTAATTTCCTTCAAACAACATATGCAAATTCTGATATTTAGCATCTATGACAGATTTCAAAATCAAGAGCATGCCTGAGGTACATATCTGAGACTCTTCCCCTATGTTTGTAAAGTTAGATCTTGTATAATTTTTTTTTTTTGTGGCTGAGTCTGGCTCTGTCACCTAGGCTGGAGTGCAGTGGCGCGATCTCAGCTCACTGCAACCTCCGCCTCCTGGGTTCAAGTGATTCTCCTGCCTCAGCCTCCCAAGTAGCTGGGACTACAAGCGCCTGCCACAACTCCTGGCTGATTTTTTATATTTTTGGTAGAGATGGGGTTTCACCATGTTGGCCAGGCTGGTCTTGAACTCCTGACCTCAAGTGATCCGCCCACCTCAGCCTCCTAAAGTGTTGGGATTACAGGCATGAGCCACCACACCCGGCCCTGTATCTTGTGTAATTTGTATTTCCGTTTTCTGCCCTTTCCAAGTTTCTCTGCTCCTCTTGGGGTTTGTTTAGGCATGCCTCTTTTCTCCAACTCTAATAATAATAATAATAATAATAATAATAATAATAGCTTCAAGATCTTCAAAGTAGCAGGGGAAATAATTTGCAAATTGAGTATTTGAGTTTGAATTTCTCAGTTCTCACGATTTCACTGAACTTTGTTTTCTTTCTTCCTTTTTTTTTTCCCAGACAGGGTCTCGCCCTGTCCTCCTGAGGACACTGCACGCCCCCTGAGGCTGGAGTGCAGTGGTGCAATCATAGCTCACTGCAACCTCAGTCTCCTGGGCTCAAGCAATCCTCTCACCTCAGCCTCCCAAGTAGTTGGGAATATAGGTGTGCGTCACCATGCCTAGATAATTTTTAAATTTTTTGTAAAGACAAAGTCTCACTATATTGCCCAGGCTGGTCTTGAACTCCTGGTCTCAAGCAATCCTCCTGCCTCAGCCTCCCAAAGTGCTGAGATTACTTGTGAGCCTGGGAACTTTGGCTTCTTAACCTGTAGATGGAGCATTTTCCAGGCACTCTGAGTGAAAAGCCTCTCCTGTAGAACCTGACTAATACACTTGTGTGCAGCATGTACAGGTGATCCTGAATGCATGCGCATGCCCACAGGGAGACCTGGGGCTTCTGGTTTAGGTGTGGCCCAGAGATGCCCTGCTGAGGCCTCTGACACTTTCATCTTGACCTTTCTGCTACCATTAACCTGAGGGATCAAGAACCTTCCTTCCCTGGGGTTTCTGAGATGATGGGAGAAAACCAAAGCACAGCCTCCTCCTGTCCCTGACGCTTCTGCTCAGAAGCCAGCAATGGCCTGTGGCACCAAAGCCAAGGCCCTGTGCTTGGCTTCCAGGCCCTCCACCATGTGGCCTCAGCCCCTTCACTGCTGCTGGGCTGGTCTCCCCACTCTCAGCTCTGGCACCCCCACTCATTCTTACCTCTAGGCCTGTCTTCACAACTCTGCCCCGTGGAAAGAATGACCTGCAATCCCCCACATTCTATCCCCTGTCAAGGCCCAGCTCAGCTGATGTCCTGCCTTGTCCATGAAATCTCCTGGGTCTACCCAGCCTACCCTGATCTCATCTTCTGAGTTTTCTTTGTACTGAAGAGCCTGGGGAATGGGATGGAGAACTGTCTTTCCAGCTGATCTGTCAGCAGCTTGAGGAGCCGAATGGAATCCTCTCCTTCCATGGACCCCTCCCCCTGGCCCTGGCTCGGGCAAATGGTAGGTGCTCGGCAAAGTTGTGCAGATGGGCCGGGCGCTCATCGGTTTTGCTGGAGATCACAGTTCGCAGATCAGACCTTTAGGCACAGCCTGCTCTGGGGAACTTACCCTAACTAGGCCAGGGTGTGCATTGTGAGGTGGGAGCTGGATTTTTTTTTTTTTTTTTTTTTTGAGACAAAGAGTCTTGCTCCATCGTCCAGGCTGGAGTGCAGTGGCATGATCTCGGCTCACTGCAACCTCTGCCTCCCGAGCTCAAGCAATTCTCTGGCCTCAGCCTCCCAAGTAGCTGGGATTACAGGCCCCCGCCACCGCACCCAGCTAATTTTTGTATTTTTAGTAGAGACAGGGTTTCGCCATGTTGGCCAGCCTGGTCTTGAACTCATGACTTCAAGTGATCCGCCCACCTTGGCCTCCCAAAGTGCTGGGATTACAGGTGTGAGCCACCGCACCCGGCCTGGGAGCTGGATTTTTAATCCTCAGCTGGACTATATGGGGGCGTCTAGGGGCAGGACTCAAAGACTATGTTGGGAATTCACACTTGATTCCCGCCAGCCTTGGAGCGGTGGGCATGTTCCCGTGGGCAGTGACTGCCGCTTCCTGCGCTTCCTCACACCACACCTCTCACCCCACCTGCATGATTCTCAAGCCCCCAGCATGCGCCCTGGGGGCCGACAGCTTGGCTGCAAATCTCAGCTCTATCTCTTAATAGCTGGGTGATCTTGCCCTAATCTTTGCGCCTCACTTTACTCGTATTTAAATAGAAATAAAGATACCAACAGAAGATGGGTAAACGTTGGCTGCTAATGTTGCTACTCCTTCCTTGACAAGAAGGGGCGGGCGGGTAAGGAAGGACGCTTTGGTGCAGACCATCGCCACCTGCTGGCCAAGTGATGCAAAGCACACGCCTGACTGTCAGCCACTGCCACCCACATTCACACGTGCGGTGATGAAATAGGATAGGATGAGCTGGGATTTGTCTGTGGAGTGGCATAGTGGGGTTGCTCAGAGGTGGATAGCCTTGGAACAGATTTCCTGGCTGTTCCACAATATAATAACCATAATAGCAAACCCCTCTGTCAAGCATATAGCAGTGCCAGGTGCTGGGCTAAGCTTTACATATATGATCACATGTAACTTCCCAGCAAGCAAAGAAGCTCAGTCATGGTAACTTGCCCGAGACATGCCTCTGTGACCCCGACGCCCATGCCCTCACCACTGCGGGCACCAGGCCCTTACCGAGACTTGTTGAGGCCTGCAGCCAAGCTCCTGTCACGGATCCGCGTCTTCATCACCTCATTGTAATCTCCATTCTTGAAAATAGGATGTGCAAACCAGCCTCCCATGAACTGCGGGTAGGGTGGGGGAGACAGCCCAGGCGTTACAGGTGGGCACAGCAAGAGACAGCATCGTCCCCGCTCAGAAGTGCCTGGCCTCACAACCTCCCTCCTTTTCCTGGACCCCCAGGTTAAGCTCTCTTCCCTGTGGCTCCTGCCTGTTGCAGCTTCAGTGTCCACAGGTCTCCCAGCTGGGTCTGTGCTTGCTCAGTTGCTGTTGCACTGAGGACAGGGCCACCTCTTCATAGTTGTAGCTTGAGGTGACAGTAACTGACCTGGGCACTGGCCCTGGTGCTCAACAAATGCTTCCTGGCTGCCCTTGGATGGGTCCTGCAGAGGAGAAGGGAGAACCCACAAGCCTCCAGGCTCCCGGTTCTCTTTCTCACCACTGAGCGGCTGCACTTCCTCATCAAAGTGCCCAAGGAGCAAACAGAACTTTCTGGGGAGGGCTGAAATGCAAGGCTTTCCTGACTTTCCGGGCAAAGTATAACTCTTAATGGGCTTTCACAGCCCCAGAGTGGGGAACCGTTTGACCTATTTTCTCTAATGAGGCCTAGGCCATCCTTATCATGTGCGGGGATACGTGGCACCCAAACACTATGATGCTGGGGGTTTGAGAGCCTTCTGTAGTCTCTCCAAATCCTCTCCTCACCCACTGGCTGCTGCTGGGAATGTGGGGTGAGGGCAGCTTCCACTCATGGTCAGAGATGAGGCATGGAACACACATGCCCTGGTAAAGAGGCTTAAATGCACCCACTCCAAGGTAACACACTAGATATTTTCGTGGAAGCTGATTCTAATAAGAGATGCATCTGTCATAGTCCATGGCTGCAGTATCACAGTTCACCAGTAAGTGGCTCAATCTAATGATATGACAGCCTAACGTTTCCTGACGTTTGAAGTTTTGATTTCAGGAAAAAAGGAAATGTTGTTCTAAATCACCAGTTCTGTGAGTCTGAAATGAGGGATACATTAATTTTGTTTCAAAACTGTTTCCCCAGCTGGCTAGCAGACCAGAAAATTAAGCCCTTCGTTGCATTTATTAATTTGACTATCTTTGTCAAGTTCTCTTGTGAAGAGTTTGGCAAACCAAGGCCCATGGTGTTTCCCCCGAGAGAGTTATAGTGCCACAGTTGGCAGACTCTTCCACGGAGCCCAAAGTGGGAACCAATCCAGAGAGAAACCCTTGCCTTTCCTTCCTGATGCAAAATGTAGGAGAGAGCACCTTCTATCCCTTTCTAGGAGGAGCCAGAGGAGCTGTGCCGTGAACGAGGATCATTCTTTTCCTTCTCTCCTCTTGTCAGTCAGGGGTTCAGGTGGAAATAAAGGTAGGCCATGCTGGCACCTGCTTCCTTTTTTTTTTTTTTTGGAGATGGAGTCTCTCTCCATTGCTCAGGCTGTAGTGCAATGGTGATCTCAGCTTCTGGGTTCTCCTGCCTTAGCCTCCAGAGTAGTTGGAACTACAGGCATGTGCCACCACACCTCGGTAATTTTTATATTTTTAGTAGAGATGGGGTCTCACCATGTTGGCCAGGCTGGTCTAGAACTCCTGACCTCAGGTTATCAGCCTGCCTTAGCCTCCCAAAGTGCTGGGATTACAGGCGTGAGCCACCTTGCCCAGTCGGCTTCCTAGTAATGTCTCTACTTCCTTGGGTGAAATTCCATGACTGAAAGATGCTGTTCTTAAACTCATTGAGTTGGCAAATTAGGGGCACTAATGAGTTTCACAGAATCTAAAGCCCCCAATTTAAGAAATGCCTAGGCTGGAGCAAATCAAATTAGATGGTGACACCTAAAGGTGACGTGTGACACTGCAGCCCAGCTCTGTTAGCTACTATAGTCAAACCAGAGAGACTGAAGAAATGGAAATTTCTCTCTAGGAGTTAACTTCAAACCAATGTTACAGAAAGAATTACCTGTACAAATGATTTTTAAAAACTTAAAGACAACTTAACCCCACAGACTTTATCACTTTCATCACAGCAAACTTTTGAGGTGGGCAGGACATCTCCAGTTTGAAGTTGAGGAAACTAAGGTACGAAAAAGTTAGATGATTTTCCCAAGCTCACAAAATCAGGCAATAGCAAAACTAGGCTTAGATCCTAATAATTCTTCTTTTTGGGGGTTGGGGGTGGTCTCCCTCTGTCACCTGGAGTTTAATGGTGCCGAAATCATGGCTCACTGCAACCTTGACCTCCTGGACTCAAGCTCCCACCTTAGCCTCCTGAGCAGCTGGGACTATAGGTGTGTGTCACCATGCCCTAATAATTTTTTTTTCTTCACAGACAAGGTCTTTCTATGTTGCCCAGGCTAGTCTCAAACTCCTAGCCTCAAGAAATCCTCCTGCCTCAGACTTCCAAAGTGCTGGGATTATAGACATGAGCCACCACACCCTAAATCTTTGATTCACAATCTGTTTCCATTAGGCTGGAAGGAAAGATGGACAAGAGTAAGAACAAGCGCCCAGAGGAAAAACAGACCTGAACATATCTCCTGGCTGCCTCCACATCCTCCTGGTTAGAGGGATCTCTGGGTTCAGCCCAGTCACTGCTGATGGTGATGGAAATCACGCCACCTTGACTGGCGCGGTACACATCGTTGTACAGATGCCAGGCCTCAGCATGAGCCTTTATTAGATTGTGGCCAACAATGTAGGGGGCAGTGCCAGGCCTATTGGAGACTCCTGGAAACATACACATGGATGTCAACAGAGAATGGATAGAATGGATGTGACTGAGATTGTTAGTCCCTGCCTGCAGATGTCCCCTCTGTGTTTGGGAGAAGGGGTGTAGATTCTGACACTAGGAAAACTGGAATTCAAACCCTGGCTCTCCCTCTTATTACCTGGCTGTGTAACTTTGGGTGAGTAATTCAGCCTTTCAGTTTCCTCCTTGGTGAAATGGGCAGCAGAGAGTGCTTGTGAGAGGGAAATGAAACAGTGTATGAAACCCGCCCACAGCAGCACTGTGTCTGGAAGAGGGAAGGCCACTTGATAAATGTTGGCTTCTGTTCCCCTCCTCCAGAAGAGTGGCTCGTACGTCTCAGGCAAAATACCCATAATAGAGATACCTATCGCAGAATCTAAAGCCCCCAATTTAAGAAATGCTTAGGCTGGAGCAAATCAAATCAGATGGTGGCACCTAAAGGTGAAGTGTGACATTGCAGCCCAGCTCTGTTAGCTACTATAGTCAAACTAGAGAGACTAAAGAGATGGAATTTCTTTCTATTGAGTTAGCTTCAAACCAATGTTATATTCAGAAAGGACTATATGTACAAATGATTTTTTAAAACTTAAAAGACAACCCAGGCCAGGCAGGGTGGCTCACACCCATAATCCCAGCACTTTGGGAGGCTGAGGCAGGTGGATCACCTGAGGTCAGGAGTTTGAGACCAACTTGCCCAATATGGTGAAACCTGTCTCTACTAAAAATACAAAAAATTAGCCAGCTGTGGTGGCAGGCGCCTGTAATCCCAGCTACTCAGGAGGCTGAGGCAGGAGAATCACTCGAATCCAGGAGGTGGAGACTGCAGTGAGCCGAGGGGTTCAAACAATTCTCCTGTCTCAGCCTCCTGAGTAGCTGGGACTGCAGGCGCATGCCACCACATCTGGTTAATTTTTGTATTTTTAGTAGAGGTGGAGTTTCACCATATTGATCAGGCTGGTCTTGAACTCCTGACCTCAGGTGATCCACCTGTCTTGGCCTCCCAAAGTGCTGGGATTACAGGCGTGAGATACCATACTCGGCCTATGATTATTTTTGAGACAGGGTCATGCACTGTCATCCAGGCTGGAGTGCAGTGGTGCCATGAGCATGGCTCACGGCAGCCTTGAACTCCTGGGCTCAAATGAATTGACAGGAGTTGATAATCTGGAGCTCCTTGGGGACCCATTGTGATCATTTGGGTTGGAGAATGTAGCTAATGCAACCAGCTGACACGGAGATACCCTGATAGTGAATGCTGCAAGAGAGGCGCCTCTCATGTGTTGAAGGAGTGTAAACCAAAGGGGCGAACTAGGACCAATGGAGATGCCTCTGATAACGATTTGAGGCACATCTCCTGGTGGCTCTTTCCAGCTGTTACACAGTGTTCTGAGGAATCACATGAATGAACACAAATTTATTCTTATTAACTCAGAACTAGATAAAAGGGAAACTGGATGGTTCTCAAGGCACAAAAATAGGTCCACAATTTCTTATTCAAAACCCTAAGGGATCCCGCAATCTTACTTTTGGGTATTTATCCAAAGGAAAGTAAGTCAGAATACCAAATCAATACCTTGACCTCTGTGTTTATTGCATCACTGTTACAATGGCCAAGATATGGAATCAACCTAAGTGTCCATCAACAGATGAATGGATAAAGAAAATGTGGCATCTATATATGATGGAATACTATACAGCCATAAAGAAGGATGAATCTTGTCATTCGTGACAACATCGCTGGAACTGGAGGTCATTATGTAAAGTGAAATAAGTCAGGCACAGAAAGGCAAATACTGCATGTTCTTACTCACATGTGGGAGCTAAAAAGATGAGCTCCTAGCAGCAGAGAATAGAATTGTGATTATTAGAGGATGGGAAGGGTAGTAGGGAGGGAGGACAGGGAGAGGTTGGTTAACGGATACAAAGTTAAGCTAGATAAGAAGATGAAGTTCTAGTGATGTGTGGCACTGTAGAGTGAATGTAGTTAACAATAATTTAGGCTGGGTGCAGTGGCTCACATCTGTAATCCCAGCACTTTGGGAGGCTGAGGCGGGCGGATTACCTGAGGTCACGAGTTCGAGACCAGCCTGGCCAACATGATGAAACCCCATTTCTACTAAAAATACAAAAATTAGCTGGGCATGGTGACACATGCCTGTAATCCCAGCTACTTGGGAGGCTGAGGCAGGAGAATTGCTTGAGCCCAGGAGGTGGAGGTTGCAGTGAGCTGGTATCATACCACTGCACTCCAGCGTGGCCAACAGAGCTAGACTCTGTCTCAAAAAAATAAAAAATGAATAAAAAATAATGATACAAAAGAATTTAGTGTATATTTGCAAAAAGCTAGAAAAGAGGACTCCGAATTTTCCCAACACAAAGAAATGATGAATGTTTGAGGTGATGAATATACTAATTATTCTGATTTCATCATCACACATTGTATACATGTATCAAAATATATTTTGTACTCCATACATATGTACAATTATTGCATGTCAACCAAAGTTAAAAGAAAAAAAATCTTTTAGGGTCAGATGTGTTTTGGAATTAAATGTTTCCTTTGAGAAAAGTACCTATCAGCCCCATGGGCCGCAGACAGCTAGCTCTCCATAGTCAAGCACACTGATATCTCTGCAGCAGAACTTAGGAATGTTTGCTCAGTGCGATAAAGACCATGAGCAGCCTCCTGTTGGTTTGAGTCAGGTTTCACTACTATTAAATGAGCTCAGGTCAGCCAAACCAATTGTCAGAAACTTTGGGGTTTGGGAATTGTGGAAATAGACTGTAGACCTGTACAGCCTGACAAACTGTCCTTCCCCACATCAATTTGCCCACATCTCTGATCTCAGAGAGCTTCCCACCTGAGGCCGATCAGAGTCACAGAGCAAAGAAATGAACCCACCTTGAGGAATTGAGATGTGAAATTCATGTTTAACAATGCAATGCCAGGAGGGAAACCTCTACAGCCCTGAGCAAGAGGCAGGGTTTCTGCCATGGGGCTTTCTTGGTTGCCTCGTCCTGTGCCATCTGGATTTCAACTCTTGATGTGCTAAGAATGCCATGATTCAAAGAGCCTATGAGCCAGGGCTGGGACTTACCTGGAGCTGCTGTTCCGTAGCCATAGCCCTGGTAAGCAATGACAAAGGGCTCATTCAGCGTGATCCAAAACTTCACCTTGTCTCCCAGCCTCTGGAAGAGCACATCTGCATACTCCTTAAACCGCTGCACGATGGTCTCATTCTCCCAGCCTCCTACATCTTGGAGCGTCTGTGGTAGGTCCCAGTGGTAAATGGTCACCTGGGAAGAAGCCAGATCAGCTGTTGCATCAGTCATGCTTTCCATGGGAAGCCCTAGGTTAGATGTGCCAGCATCAACGTCTGCTGCAAATCCTGAGAGTGACTTATGAGACAAAAAGGCTCAAAGATTTTTTTCTTTTTCTTTTGGGAAAAGGGTAAATTGCTTTCAGGGAGAACTAGATGGCTGAGGTCAAGGTTGGGAAGGAAACTCTTTTATGCTTTTCAAATTCTGCATCATATGAATTCACTGACAATTAAAAAGTTAAATTTGAGGTCGAGCACGGTGGCTCATACCTATAATCTCAGCACTTTGGGAGGCCGAGGCGGGTGGATCACTTGAGGCCAGGAGTTTGAGACCAGCCTGGCCAACACAGTGAAACCCCGTCTCTACTAAAAATACAAAAATTAGCTGGGCATGGTGATGCGTGCCTATAAGCCCAGCTACTCTGGAGGCTGAGAAACGAGATCCGCCACTGCACTCCAGCCTGGGTGACAGAGCGAGACTACGTCTCAAAAACAACAATAACAACAAAAGCTAAATTTGAAACCAGCATTTTGTTTACATGATAAATGTGCTCCCCCAGCCCTGCTGGTTCCTGCATGTGGACTTTCCCAAGGCCTTGCCAGGACCCACCATACCTGGGGCTGGATGCTGGCGGCCAGCAGTGTATCGATGAGCCTCACGTAGTAGTTCAGGCCCGCTTCATTGATGTACCTGGTGGTTCCATCAGGGAGGATGCGAGACCAGGAGATGGAAAAACGGTAGTGGGACACGCCCAGGTTCTGCAGGGTGACCAGATCCTCAGCAATCTTGTGATAACTGTCACAGGCCACGTCTCCAATGGCATCGTTCTCAACCCTCAGTGGTGTGTGAGAAAACGTGTCCCAAATGCTGAGTCCTTTGCCATCTGCTCTCCACGCACCTTCAATCTCAAGATGACAAGACATGGTCTTATTAAGTCATTCAGTCAAGCACTCACAGCCTCCTTTCTTTCACTGGGTGAGTCTCAAGTCAGGACGTTTACTCTTTTGTGATAACGCTTAGCTTAAAACAAGCACATTGGTCCATGTGTGGTGGCTCACGCCGGCAACCCCAGCGCTATGGGAGGATCGCTTGAGCCCAGGAGTTCAAAACCAGCCTGGGCAACATGGCAAAACCCCATCTCTATAAAAAAAATCAAAAAAATTAGCCAAGTGTGGTTACCTCCTCTGGGAGCCTGCTCTGGCCCCTGCTCAGTCTCGGAACTCCCCTGGCTTTCTCTACGCATGTGGCAGGCCCACTCTTGCACAGAGACAGACGCAGACAGAAGATGGAAAGCAGGAACCACCACTAACTGCCAGGCAAGTCACTCTTGCCTTTTCCATTTTTCTTGCACAAAATAAAACCATCCTATTTTCTGTATGAGTAAGCCTCATTTTGGCATGAATACAGTAGTGGTGTGATGTTTTTAGGACATCAGAATAAGCTCAGGCCCATGCTGAGAGCCAATGTGAGCAAACTGCCTGCTTGGAAGGATCTAGCTGGGGAATAAAGGGGTCCAACAGGGACTGGTCATAGTCATGGGCTGTAGAACAGTGTTTTGGTCAATGACGGACCTGATATATGATGGTGGTCCCATAAGATTATAATGGAGCTGAAACATTCCTATTGCCTAGTGCTTTGCAGCCATCATAACGTTGTAGAGCACTGCATTATTCATGCTTGTGGCAGTGCTCATGTCAATAAATCTACCGTATGGCCAGCAGTATAAAAGTATAGCACATGCAGGCCGGGTGCTGTGGCTCAGACCTGTAATTCCAGCACTTTGGGAGGCTGAGGGAGGAGGATCACTTGAGGCCAGGAGTTCAGACTAGCCCTAGCAACATAGCAAGACCCCCATCTCTACAAAAAAATTAAAAATAAAAAATTCATTGGGTGTGGTGGCATATGCATGTAATCCCAGCTAATGGGGAGGCTGAGTGATCCTCCTGCCTCAGCCTCCCGAGTAGCTGGGACTACAGGAGCACACCACCACACTTGGCTAATTTTTTTGATTTTTTTATAGAGATAGGGTTTTGCCATGTCTTGCCCAGGCTGGTTTTGAACTCCTCGTCTCGAGCGATCCTCCCATAGCACTGGGATTGCAGGCATGAGCCACCACACCTGGACCAATGTGCTTGTTTTAAGCTAAGCATTATCACAAAAGAGTAAAAAAGTTTAAAGAATTAAAAAGTTAATAAAGTAAAAATGTTACAGTAAGCTAAGGTTAATGT
The DNA here is from genome assembly GCF_000001405.40 of Homo sapiens. Taxonomy (NCBI): domain Eukaryota; kingdom Metazoa; phylum Chordata; class Mammalia; order Primates; family Hominidae; genus Homo; species Homo sapiens. The sequence goes on from NC_000002.12 coordinate 135,806,381, forward strand.
GTTATTGAAGAAAGAAAAACATTTAAAAAATAAACTTAGTGTAGCTTAAGTGTGCAGTGTTCATAAAGTCCACAGTAGTGTACAGTAATGCCTAGGCCTTCCCATTCACTCACCCCTCACCCACTGACTCACCCAAAGCAACTCCCAGTCCAGCAGGCTCCATTCATGGTGAGTACCCTGTCCAGCTTTTATGCCATATTTTCACTGTGCCTTTCTACATTTAGATACATTTAGATACACAAATACCACTGTGTTACAACTGCCTACAGCATTCAGTACAGTAACAGGCTGTACAGGTTTGTAGCCTAGGAGCACTAGGCTATACCATGTAGCCTAGGTGTGTAGTAAGCTACACTATCTAGGTGTGTGTAAGTGCACTCTGTGTGATGTTCACACAACTATGAACTCACCTAACATCACATCTCTCAGAGTAAATCCCTGTTGTGAGCAATGCGTGACTGTATTTGTGTGTCTTTGCCCAAGTACTTCTGCCCAGGCTCCCCCTGCTCCATCTGGCCCTGCAAGCACCCATCTCAGGACAGCGAGCCTCACCATGCTGGTCTGGGTAAATTTGGGGGTGTGAAGAAGCCAGGCTGTCTGGAAGAGGACCTCCCAGACCCCATGCTGCCCCTCCATGGGTCTGCTGGAATCTCCTGTTCATGCATCTGCCCTTCCCAGCACTGAGCCCAGAGCCTGGCACAGGGCAGGTGTGCAGTCACTGGTGTCCCACCATCCTGAACTCCTCACCTGATATGCAGCAGAAGCTGCACTCCAGATGAAGCCCTCAGGAAACCGTCCGTACAGAAACTCATCCTCCCTGGCCAGTGGCATGCCGTTGTTGGTAATGACCTCTGTGTAGTACCTGGCGGAGGCTCTTGCTGTGCGAGGCCTGTTCGTGTTGTTGAAATCAACATGGTACAGTCCAAACTTGACCGTGTAGCCATTTAGCCACTCAAAGTTGTCCATCAGAGACCAGGCGACATACCCTCGAAGGTCTATACCATCGAGCCTGTAGGCTGGGAACATCCCAAAGGGAGCAGAGGAGAGCTTGACACCAGGAGTCAGGACCTCCATGCACCCAACCCACTGCCAGCTCCTCAATTCAAGGTTGTGGTCCTAAAAGTGACATACACCCTGAGAGACCAACAGATCATCTGTTGATCTTACTTTTCTGCCAGTACCTATGACCCCACAGCAAGCATTAATGACTGATCATCTCCAAATCAAATTCTTCTCTTGGGGTAAAGAAACATGCCCCAAATTCAAGATCTTCAGCCCACTTAGGAAGTTAAGCCCAATGCATCTGTAGTCCTAGCTACTGGGGAGGCTGAGGCAATAGAATTGCTTGAACTCGGGAGATGGAGGTTGCAGTGAGCCGAGATCACACCATTGCACTCCAGCCTGGGCAACAGAGTGAGACTGTCTCAAAAAAAAAAAAATCAATGAAACAAAAAGTTGATTTTTAGGCTGGGCACAGTGGCTCATGCCTGTAATCCTAACACTTTGGGAGGCAAAGGCAGGTGGATCACTTGAGGTCAGGAGTTTGAAACCAGCCTGGCCAACATGGTGAAACCCCATCTCTACCAAAAATACAAAAAAATTAGCCGGGCACGGTGGCCACTGCACTCCAGCCTGGGTAACAGAGCAAGACTCCATCTCAAAAAAAAAAAAGGAAGTTTGAATTAACACAACTTTCTTGTTCTGGGGTGCATGGGATAAGCTCTACGAAGGCAGAAATTTGTGTTTTGTTCATTGCTGTATTCCCAGCACCTAAAATAGAACTTGCTCAGTAATGAATGAATGGACCCATGACAATATGAATATTCTGCTAGGGACCCTGTGTGTGTAGTGTTTGTATTTTTCCTCTGCAGAGACAACCATAGCCTTTTTTCCCCCAGCTTCTCAAGGAACATATAACCCCCAAACAGATAAAGAATTATGGAGTTGGGACCTAAGAGAGAGATCTATTGATGGTTCATAAATCATCCCGGCAAAACATTTCAGGCATATGACCCAGGGAATGTTGGAAGATTTCTTTAAGGGGAACTGAACCCTCACACACCTTTCAAAGCCTCATTGATGTAGGTTTTGTGGTAAAATATCCTATCAGTATCCTCCGTGTTCGGATTGGTCAGCCCCACTCCGTTTTCGGTGATGTAAATGGGGATGTCACCATACTCTTCCTTGATCCAGTTCAGCAGCCTTCGCGTCCCCCAGGGCGCAGCTCTGTTCATTGCCGTGGAAGGCCACGAAGGGTCCTCCTCCTCAGCCATCTCCTGGTCGTCTTCGTAGGAGGGTGGGTTTAGCCTGGGTGTTTTGTGCTGCACGATTCTGGAGTAGTACGTGTTGAGGCAGAAGACGTCGGCCGTCGCCCTGATGAACCTCTTCTCTTCCTCAGTGAAGCTTGGCAGGCGGGAGGTGGCTAAGTGCTGCAGTTCACTCCTGTTCCCCACTTTCCACTTCATGGTGTCAGGATAGTCTCCGTTTCTAAAAATGGGGTGAGCAAACCAGCCCAGGGAGAACTGCAGCATTCGGTCAGCGGCTTCCACATCTCTGGGGACCCCTGGTGACTTGGGCTCTGCCCAGTGTGTACTGAGGCTCAGCGAGATGACCCCCTTCTGCTCCTGCCTGTATTTCTCATCGTACGTGTGATAGACTCTGGCATGGGCTTTGATGACGGCGTGGGCTATCCTATATGGTGCCCAGCCTGGGTCCTTCACCCCTGGGGGAAATTCCCCTGAGCCATAACCTAGCCATGCCAGGTACATGGGCTCATTAAAAGTCATCCAAAACTTGACTCTATCACCAAAGGTCTGGAAACAAAAGTCTGCGTAGCTGTCAAACAAGTCAATCAAGGCAGGATTCTCCCAGCCTCCGATATCCTGGAGGGCCTGGGGCAGGTCCCAATGGAACAATGTCACCATGGGAAAGATGTTGCTTGCCACCAAGCCATTGATCAGCCTGTTGTAATAATCAACCCCATGACTGTTGATAGAGCTGTTTCTCCCAGTTGGGAAAATCCGAGACCAGGAGATAGAGAAGCGGTAGGCCTTCACCTTCAAAGCTCGGAGCATATTCAGATCGGCATCCAGCTGGTGATAGCTGTCACAGGCGATGTCTCCAGTGGCATTGTCTTTCACATTGCTCCCTGGTGTGTGGGTAAAGTTATCCCAGATGCTGGGGCCTTTGCCATCGGCATCCCACGCGCCTTCAATCTGATAAGCGGAAGAGGACACGCCCCACAGAAAGTCATCCCGAAACGTCCCGTGGTAGAACAAATCTCTTTCGAACTTGGGTTGGCTGGAGAACTTTTCCCAAACGACTTTAGCCTTGGAGGGCACCTCAGATGGAAAAGTGAAGGCTCTGACTTTGGAGGGGAGGTTTACTGTATTAGGTGGTAGCAGTCTTTTTGCCCCCTTGGTGAGGAAACCGTTCTTTTCTATGATGCTAGTGAAAAAGTAGGCAGATTTCCTGGGAGTCCTTGACTTGCTGCTGTCGCTGAAGTTGACGTGGTGCAGGCCAAACCGCTGGCTGTAACCAGAAGGGCCTTCGAAGCCATCAATGAGGGAACGAGCAATGTAGGAACGAACATCCACAGAGTCTTCCTTGATAGCTGTGAAGAAAAATAAAAATTAGATTTATTTATTTATGGATTTATTTAATTGAGATGGGGTCTCACTGTATTGCCCAGGCTGGTCTCAAACTCCTGGACTCAAGTGATCCTCCCAAGTAGCTGGGACTGACTACAGGAGTGAGCTAGTGCACCATTATTTTATTTATTTATCTTTTAAAGACTAGTCAGTGCAGTAGTGAGAAGGGGGAGAAGGGTATTAGAAGCTGTTTGATCTGTAACTGGTTGTGAACAGTCAACTGAGATAAGTTATTACCTCGGACCAGCGAGGACTGTTTTTCAATAAAATAGTTTTTATTGAAAAATTAGAAGTATAGTCTCTGTTACTAATGTTGCTTTTAAAAAGTGTTCCTTTTGACATGAAAGTTTTGGGGGTGACTTGGGTTACCCCCCAAATGTTCATCCTTTTTCCTCCTCAGAATGGATAAAAGGAAAATCCACAAGATCCTCACAAAACATCAGGCCACTTTTGTGGCCATAAATCTCAAACCAAAGGAGCATCCCCATCTTCAAATAAATAGTGGAGGGGATGTGTCCCATGTGTTACCACCAGGGTGTCTTGGTTTTATATAAAATACATAAATCAATCTTTTAACAATATGCTTTTGCTTTTCCTTGTTTATGTTTAGTAATATTGACATTAAGTGACAACATATTTCATATTTTAAAAAAGAAATAAAGCAGCCTGGGCAACATGGCCAGACTCTGTCTCTATTGAAAAAAAAAAAAATGTGGCCAGGCGTGGTGGCTCACGCCTGTAATCCCAGTACTTTGGGAGGCTGAGGCAGGCGGATCATGAGGTCAGGAGATTGAGATCATCCTGGCTAACATGGTGAAAACCTGTCTCTACTAAAAATACAAAAAAATTAGCCGGGCGTGGTGACGGGAGCCTGTAGTCCCAGCTACTCAGGAGGCTGAGGCAGGAGAATGGTGTGAACCCAGGAGGCGGAGCTTGCAGTGAGCTGAGATCGCGCCACTGCACTCCAGCCTCGGCGACAGAGCCAGACTCCGTCTCAAAAAAAAAAAAAGAAAAAAGAAAAGAAAATTAGCCTGGTGTGGTGGTGTGCACCTGTAGTCCCAGCCACTTGGGAGGCTGAGGTGGGAGAATCGCTTGAGCCCAGGAGGTCAAGGCTGCAGTGAGCTCAGATCAGGTCAGTGTACTCCTCAGAGCAAGACCCTGTCTAAAAAAATTAAAATTAAAATAAATAAATAAATAAAGCCTAAAACATATATTCCCTGATACAGTGCATTGAATGGTGACCCCCGAAAGATATGTCTAAATTCTAACCCGTGGTGCCAGTGAATATAACCTTATTTGGAAAAAGGATCTTTGCAGATGTAATTAAGTTAATGAGCTCAAGATAAGAACATCCTGGGTTAACTGAGGACTGACCTGTGAGATGAAATCTATTTGCCATACCTTTCCAATTGGAATAAAAAGACATATGAAATAGTATGTCAGGTAAGAATGAGACCGTAGATGTGGATCAATTGGATCAAAATCAATGACATAGAATGTAGATTTTATAGCCAATTAAAGGAAATGAAGACCAGTGTGGCTGGAGCAATGAGGGAAGAGTTAATGGGTTGGAGTCCGGAGGATCACTAGAGCCTAGGAGTTTGAGGCTGAAGTGAGCTATGAACATGCCACTCTATTCCAGTCTATGTGACAAAGCAAGACCCTGATTCTAAAAAAAAAAAAAAAAAAAGATAATGAGGCTTGATGACTGCATAGGACTCAGATGGGCAGAATGTAGAGGGAGGTATTCTAGGCAATAAGGACACTGGGTCAGGCATGGTGGCTCATGCCTGTAGTCCCAACACTTTGGGAGGATTGAAGTGAGAAGACTGTTTGAGCCCAGGAGTTTGAGACCAGCCTGGGCAATGTGAAGAGACCCCATGTCTAAAAAAAAAAAAAATAAGCCACGCATAGTGGTTTGCACTGTGGTCCCAGCTACTCAAGAGGCTGAGGTGGGAGGTTGGCTTGAGCTTAGGACTTTGAGGCTGCAGTGAGCGATGTTTATGCCACCGCACTCCAGCTCTCCAGCGGGCAACACAGCAAGACCCTGTCTCAAAAACAAAACAAAATAAAACAAAAAAACCACAGGAGCAAAGACGTGAATGACATGAATGAACCTTGGGAAAGAGAGTTAGGGAGCTGACGTGAAGGACTCCCCACTATTATGCTTTCTTTGGCTCCATTTCTCTAGGAGACTTTCTTTGTCTTATTAAACGAAACTTTGAAGACTTGGAGAAGTACCACCCACCTTCCAATCACTGGCACATCCATTGTTCTTACCCTTGAGCACCTCATTGATATATTGATTGAAGTAGTCTACTCTTAAGGAATCATCAAAGAGATTTTCACTTTCCCCTATGGGCATGCCATTCCCGGCAAGGTATATTGGAACTTTTCCTCTTGTGTATTCCAGGGATACAAACTGCAACAGCCTCCTTATCCCCCAGGGCACCACACGAATCCAAGAGGATGAGGTCTGGGGCCACACATGGTTCACGTGTTGGGAGAAGCCTCCAATGGTATCATAGCTAGGGATGCAGGTGTTTTGTGGGGCGTTGCTGATGAGGCGGGAGGTGTAATGCGACAGACCCAGAAAATCAGCAGAGCCTTTCAGGAGCTGCTTCTCTGCCTCTGTGAACTCGGGGAGTTGAGCCACAGGATGGGAGCACTGTCTGTTCATCTGTTGGATCTGGGTCCTCAGGGTGGCTGGGTAGTCTCCATCCACAAAGACGGGGTGTGCAAACCAGCCCAGCATGAAGTGCAAGAAGCGCTCAGAGGCTCTCAGGTCCTCAGGCCTCTCTGGAGACAGGGGTTCTGCCCAGTCTGAGTTCAGCACAATGCCCACGTGCCCCTGCTGCTGTGGGCGATGATGGCTGTTGTAGTGGTGCCAAGTTCTGGCATGAGCCTTGAGGACCAAGTGAGCCACCTTGTGAAAAAGTAAGAAGGAAATACAGTGATTAGTAATAATAACAATGACAACAACAGGACTAATGAACCAATAACAAGTCAACAACAATGTCAACAAGTCAATAAAGACAACAACAACATTGACATTGTCAATATTGACAACATCAGCACTAATGTTAACATCAAGTCATCAACAAATAACAATGTTGACACTAACATCAATGATGTTAACAAGTCAATAATAAAGTTAACAAGTTAACAACATAAACAACAAGTTAAGACTGATACTAACAATGTCAACAAGTCAACAATGTCAAGAAATCCAAACCAATGTCAACAAGTCAATAATATCAACGATGTTGATGTCAACAACATCAATACCAACATGAACGGCATCAACAAGTGAACACCAATGTGAAAAGGTCAACAATATCAAGTCAACAATGTCAACAAGTCAACACCAATATCATCAACAAAGTCAACAAGTCAACAGCAATTCTTCAAAATTGTCAACAAAATAACAGCATCAACAACCACATTAACAATAACAACTAACATATATTGGGCACCTACTACTTAATGAATTCTCTCATGTAATCCTCACCACAACCTCATATGGCAGGTACAATTATTATCACCACTATAGAGATGGTGAAAACAAGATCCAGAGCTGTGTAGTAACTTCACAAGGCCAAGAGTCAGGAGTAAAGTGAGAACAAGCCCCTGGCAGTCTGATTCCAAGCCTGTTACTGTTACCCACACTGCTATTCTGCCTCTGTCCTTAATAAGTGCTTTTTGAGAAATTAGTCCATGGGGAGGATTATTTTAATTAGCACACAAGGGAGAGGAGGGCTCTTTCTTGCTTATTTGTTCTTCTTTCTATTTAATGGAATCTCGGAAGAAAAACCAAACTAGGAGTTTCTTTGTAGACTTAACTCATGCTCTTACAAACAGCAACAGCTTTTTGTGGGAAGTAGGGGCAAAAGGAGGGTGTCTGAAATATAACAAGCCTAGATTTAAATCTTGACTCTGTTACTAACTTGTTAACTTGGACAATTTATTCTCTCAACTTCAGCTTACTTGTTGGCAAGAAGTGGGTAATTATGGATCCATCTGGGATGATTAAATACGTGTATATAAAGCATTGAGCAGAAACTCAGAGAGCAGGAGTGAGCTTGCTAAATCTTAGCTTGCTTTCCTTTTTCCTTTTTATCATCTGAAGAGGATGACACTTACCTCTGAAGAATTTCATGTCAAAATATGCCATAATCACTAAAACGCCTGGCTGCTTCTCACATCCCAAATATTCGTCTTTAGTTGAGTTCTAAACTCGAATGGCAAACTGTGCTCCTTTCCCAAAAGCAAGGATGTCTTTCTTCTAAATTAGCCAGTGTCAGGAAGGGAGCTCAGTGGAATATTAGACAACCATCAAAAACAGTCATCACAACTGCTTAATAATAGGGAAAAGTGCTAATGACATGATATCAAGTAAACAGTGAGCAACAATCTGAGGTGCCCTGTGACAACATCATAAATGCAAAGAAGCCAAGACTGGAAGGAAATACTCTAAAATAATAAAATACCTTTTTTTTTTTTTTGAGATGGAGTCTCGCTCTGTCACCAGGCTGGAGTGCAGTGGCGCAATCTCGGCTCACCACAACCTCTACCTCCTAGGTTCAAGCGATTTTCCTGCCTCATCCTCCAGAGTAGCTGGGACTACAGGTGCCCGCCACCATGCCTGGCTAATTTTTGTATTTTTAGTAGAGACAGGGTTTCACTATGTTGGCCAGGCTGGTCTCGAACCCCTGATCTCGTGATCCGCCCGCCTCGGCCTCCCAAAGTGCTGAGATTACAGGTGTGAGCCACCGCGCCTGGCCCAAGACATTTTTTTCTTTAAATTTTTTCCTTAATAGTTGCTATGAACTGAATTAGTTCCCCCATCAAAATTCATATGTTGAAGCCCTAATCCCCAATGTGATGGTATTTGGAGATAGGGCCTTTGAGGGGTGATTAGATTTAGAGGAGGTCGTGAGGGTGGGACTCTCATGGTGGTGGTATTAGTGTCCTTATAAGAAAAGATACCAGTGAGTTCTTCCAACCACCCCTATATGAGGACAGCAAGAAGGTGGCTGCCTGCAGGCCAGGAAGAGAGCCCTCACCAGAACCCAAACATGCTGGTCCCTTGATCTTGGACTTCCCCAGCTCCAGAATGCTGGGAAATAAATATCTGTTGTTTAAACCACCAGTCTATGGTGTTTTGTTATTGCAGCTCAAGCTCACTAAGACAATGGCATTCTAACATTGAACTAATAAATAAAGGGAAGAATTGAAGGAGAAGAGTGAAGGGGACTTTCTCATCAAAGTCTCTGTAAAGATATCTCAAGAGCCACAGTTCAAAGGGGAAGAAAAGCCTAAGAAGAAAAGGTTTAGATAAGTTTTACAACAAGGAGTGAAACAGAAGATTTCAAACCTTCCATTTTCAGAAGGTGGGTGGTGGAATGGCTCCATATGTGCAGTCACTTGCTGCTCAAGAGCTGAATGGAAACTCTGACTTACGTGCTACAATGTTTGACATTTCATTGAGTTATTTATTCATGATGTTCCAGCTCACCCTAGTAATGGTCTTTTTGAAGAGTTCTGTAATTTTGCTACGTGTGTTAGTGTCATCTTCCCCAAAAGGTTATAACATGTCCAGGGCATGGCTGTGACCCCTCTTTAACACCTAGCACGGGACACAGGAAATAGTATTATTATTATTATTATTATTTTTGAGATGAAAGTCTCGCTTTGTCACCCAGGCTGCCCAGGCTGGAGTGCAGTGGCATAATCTCGGCTCACTACAACCTCCGCCTCCCAGGATGAAGTGATTCTCTTGCCTCAGCCTCCCAAGTAGATGGGATTACAGGCACCCACCAACATATCTGGCTAATTTTTGTATTTTAGTAGAGACAGGATTTCACCATGTTGGCCAGGCTGGTCTTGAACTCCTGACCTCCCAGGTGATCTGCCTGCCTTGGCCTCCCAAAGTGCTGGGATTACAGGCGTGAGCCACCATGCCCGGCCGGAAATACTCATCTTTAAGAATGGAACCCAAACAGTGACAGGGAAAAGGCAGACTAACATGTCCATCCTGAAGAACGCTGCCAAAGAAAGCTGGTGGGTTTTCTGGGAGATTCCGAAGAAAAAGGGAAATAATGGAAAAGACCTATAGCCATTTAAAATTTTGTGCCAAGTGTATACATCCCCTTCTTGTTGAAACGATGCCCTGACTGGCGTCTGGAAAGCCAATGCCTCCTTGCCTCTTCCCTCTCTGCCTCCTCAGCTCTCAGTGAGCGTATTGAGGAGTAAAGCATGGGTCCTTGGCCCACACCAGTCAGTTGTCACAGCCTCCTGGCCAGGACCCAGCAATGAGTTCAGGGTGGGTATGCGACCCACTGAGAGACCATGAGACACAGGGACACTTCTGTTGGGAAGGACAGAAAAGAGCCGAGCTTTTTTCCCTACTGGTCATGAAATAACAGAAACAGGGCTGCTGCCATCTGGCTGCAAAGTAGCCCAAGAATAAAGCCAACGAGGGGAACAGGAGAGGAACTGGGTCCTGGTGGCATCGCTTGTGCTCTGATCAAATTCCACCCTGATCAGGCTAAATGAAGAATTTTCAACCTCCTGAATGTGTAAATTCTCTCCTTGCTTAAGTCACTTTGGGTTGAGCTTTCTGTCACTTGTCACTGACATGAGGAACTTGATTTGGAGTCAAGAAGACTCGGACTCAAATCCTGACTTCCACCTGGCTACTCACTAGCAATGTCATCATGACCACATTGTTTATCCTGTCTGAGCCTCACTCATCCATCAGTGCTATTCTGAGTATGTAATAACTATTATATTTTAAAAGTACCAGTAGAGGGTCTGGACAAAATAAGGTGATTAACAATTTTTTTTTTTTTTTGAGACAGGGTCTTGCTCTGTTGACCAGGCTGGAGTGCAGTGGCAAAATCTTGGCTCACTGCAGCCTCTGCATACCAGGCTCAAGCGATCCTCCCACCTCAGTCTCCTGGGTAGGTGGGATCACAGGCGTGCAACACTATGCCCAGCTAATTTTTGTATTTTTTTTGCAGAGACAAGATTTCGCCATGTTGCCCAGTCTGGTCTCGAACTCCTGGACTCAAGAAATCTGCCTGCCTTGGCCTCCCACAGTGAAGAGATTACTGGCATGAGCCACTGCACCTGGCCAGGTGATTAACAATTTAATTAACAATTTATGGTTCCTTCCCTCCCCGATTTCCTTTAAAGAAAGAACAAAAAGTAAAGGCTTGCTGATGGAAGAAAACAGAGAAAATGACTTTCTTCCAGCCAATGTCCTTTCTCCTCCAATTAGTAGGAGCTGCAGGGTTGGGAAGTACCTTAAAAGAGGCCACTCCTGGGTCAGAGATGCCGGGAGGGTGCTGGCCGGTGCCATAGCCTGCGTAGCTCATCACCCACGGCTCATGGAAGGTCACCCACAGCTTCACACGGTCCCCAAATGTGGAGAAGCAGAAGGCCGCATAGTCCAGGAAGGCATCCACCACGCTCTCATTCTGCCATCCACCATGATCCTGCAGGGCCTGAGGCAGGTCCCAGTGGAACAGCGTGGCCATGGGCTCGATGCCCGCATCCTGTAGCCTGTCAATCAGCTTGTTGTAGTAGGCAACGCCTGGGAGGCTGGGGCTGCTCCCGTGCCCCATGGGGAAGATCCGGGACCAGGAGATGGAGAACTTGTACACCTGAGCCCGGAGGCCGCAAAGCAGGGCGACGTCAGAGGCTACCTTGTGGTAACTGTCGCTGGCCACCTCCAGCGTCGCTTGGCCCTCAGTGGTGTTCAGGGGCCTGCGTGGATCCCAGATGCTCACCCCTCTCCCACCCTCGGCCCAGCCTCCTTCCACGTTAAAGGCTCCTGTGGAGGCACCCCAGAGGAAGCCTTCAGGGAAAGTATCCTGCAGGAAGGCATCCCTTTCCGCCCTGGACTGATTGGCAAATGCTTCCCAGATTCTCTGATAGGCAGAGGCAGGAGAGGAGTCCGTGGTCTCGTGGTCCTGCTGCTGGTCAGGCTGAAGGGCCAGGCTGCCAGTCAGAGAACAAGACATGCTGCAGGATTGAAGGGACAAAAAGGGACATAATAATGAATGACGCTGGCAGTTACAAATGCCCCCTACGGATGACTACTGTGTTTAATCAGAAAAGATTCCAGAAACACTGAGTCAAAAGTCATATCTGCAAAGCCATGGGCAGGAAGTAACTGGCAGATGGGAAAATTATTATTATTACCCCTTCTGAGGTGAGTGATTCTTGCTCTTTCATGGTTAAAACAGGAACAATGCTACTGTTCTCTGTATTAGATTGCCCTTGAATATTGTCTTCAGTGTTAGTACCATACTTTATTCTTCTTATAATTCATTATTTGTAAAACATAGCTAATAATAACAATGACTCCAATTTATTGAGCCTTGATTCTGCGCTGGCCACTGTAATAAGAATGGATGTGTATTATCTCATTTAATTTTCCCAACAAATTTATGAGATGGGTACTACAATGATTTATCCTCATCCTACACAGGAGGAAACTGAGACTAAAAGAAACGGGGGCTGGGTGTGGTGGCTCATGCCTGTAATCCCAGCACTTTGGGAGGCCGAGGCAGGTGGATCACGAGGTCAGAAGTTCGAGACCAGACTGACCAACATGGGGAAACCCCGTCTCTACTAAAAATACAAAATTAGCCAGGCGTGGTGGTGGGGGCCTGTAATCCCAGCTACTCAGGAGGCTGAAGCAGGAGAATCACTTGAACCCGGGAGGCAGAGGTTGTGGTGAGCTGAGATCACGCCATTGCACTCCAGCCTGGGCAACAAGAGTGAAACTCCGTCTAAAAAAAGAAAAAGAAATGGAAAACTTCCTGATTTCAGGGAGCCAGCAGCTATTTATCAGCTGGTACAGAAGTACACTGATGTGGACCAGTTGAATATCAGTCCTGGCTACTGCTTCCTTTCTTCATGCTGCTTGGATTTCTGACATAATGGCAGGAGCTCAAGCATCCATCCTGAACCATGAGGTAGAAACCTTGTTAAAGGTGACAAAGCAACAACAAAGGAGCCTGGATTCCTGGTGATTATGAGTAACTTCTCCTTGCACACAGCTTGCAGGTGGTGGAGCAGATTCTGTGCTTTTAACCTCATACACATACATGTTTATGTGCATGTATATGCATGTACATATGTATATGCATATGAAATAAAACATCACATAAAAGTGCATGCTGCATTTATACAAAATGTGGTCTGATTTTTCTATTTTATTCTAGTCCATTTTCCTCCCTCCCACTCTCCTTTCCTCTTTTTTCTTTCTTTTTTTTCAATTGTGATTGCCAACTTCTAAATTGAGTCATGTCATGCAGGCAGGAAAGCATGCATGCTGCAAATTACAGCCAGCAGAGGTCGGCCTTGAGGAGTGTGGCACATGCCTGGGGAAAAGGACGTGGAGTACAAGAGCATCTCCCTGTCACACAGCCATCGTGTGGAGAGCCGATGGCACCTATACCAGGCTGGCCCACAGCGCAGAACTGGGAGAAGTGACAGGAACACTGCACAGGGATCTTCCTCTCAAAAAGCGAAGCCTGGGGCCGGGTCACCCAGCAGGAGGCGTCTTCCGAACCTAAGAGCCTTCTGTTTCACTCAGCATCAACTCCCTGACATTTGCTAGATTAGGGGGAAAGGGAAATGATCCTTTCCTTCGTAGATGATCCCAAAACATATGCGACTGTGGATCGCAGCTGGGGATGTGTCGCGTCCCCTCGGTGCTCAGCCTCTGCGTATCCACGGTGCCCATAAACACAGCGTCCGCTGCTCCGAACCTCGCTCTTACCCAGCCCTCCTGGCCCTGACTGTCCTCCTGGATTGCATGAAGAGTTTTAAGGAAACAAATAAACTGCCCTGGGATGAAACAGAACTTGCTGTACAGGCTTGGAGCTGGGAACCCTGGGTTTGCCGGCCATGGAGAGGGATTTAGCACATGACGGCACCTCAGGCTCCACACCCAGGGCTCCTAAGTTCTCCCTTTTTTAGGGTGCAGTGCTGTGTGTCTCCTGCCACATTCTCATGTGAGAGTTGTTCAGGGGCCGCTCTGTCTCCCCTATAAGGTCTAGAATTCTGAAGGAGAAAACTACGTTAGTCATTTCTGAATCACTCCCCACCCACCGCCCCTGCATTCAGCGGGTTCTCCAACCACATCCTCCTGAGTAGGGGCCCCTGGCTGTCCGTTTAATGTAAGCCTGTGTTGGCCCTCCCCTTCAGGCAAAGCACCACCAAGCGCTGAGAGAATCTCCGAGCTGGTGTCACTTGTAATCACTGGCTTTTCAGGGAACCCATTTTATTACGGCTTCTTGAGTTTTCTTTTGTGAAGCCACAGCCAGTCCTTCTTGGCTGACTCCAAGTGTGGTCAGGAAGCAGTGGTAACCCATGTCTGTCTATTGCAAGTCTACACTGCCACACAAAGCCTGAGGTACAGCTGCTGCTGCGGGTCTGTTGATCTGAACTGCTGATTTGAAGTGGATTGAGAGGATGGAACAATAGAAGGAGGATATGGCTCAGGACAGTCAAGTACTGGAAGAGGAAAGGTACAAAGAGGTGTTGGCACTGAATGACCCTGAACAGGGCTGCACTGGAAATATCAGAGGTGAGTGACAAAGAGAACTCTAGTTGAAGGTCTGGAAGTCAATTATTGTCTCCAGCTTTTGTCCCACCCTAAGGGATGGTGCATGAACTTCATGCATGTAACATCCCTCCAGGAGCGCTGAGGTTCTGGGCAATTCCCAGTGCTGGCTACCATGCCATTCTTTTCTCATTCACTCAAGAGCGTATTGGGATATGCGTGCATGAAAGCAATGTAATTATGGGCACAACCTCAAAACCTGCTCTAATTTTTTTTTTTTTTGGAGATGGAGTCTCGCTCCATCACCCAGGCTGGAGTGCAATGGCGCGATCTCAGCTCACTGCAAGCTCTGCCTCCAGGGTTCACACCATTCTCCTGCCTCAGCCTCCCGAGTAGCTGGGAATACAGGCGCCCGCCACCATGCCCGGCTAATTTTTTTGTATTTTTAGTAGAGACGGGGTTTCACTGTGTTAGCCAGGATGGTCTCGATCTCCTGACCTCGTGATCCACCCGCCTCAGCCTCCCAAAGTTCTGGGATTACAGGCGTGAGCCACCGTGCCCGGCAATCTGCTCTAATTTTTTAAAGCATATCATTTGCAAACTTTGGCACTTGAGTCACTCAGTAAGATATTATTTACAACCCCACCATAGATTCAAACCTCTGTCCCTAGAATGTTGTCAAGTTAGGCATCTGGCTTGCAGCAACAGCTGGCTTTCCTGTCTATGCTGTCTCCTTCCAGGGAGGATGTTTCACCCTTCATATTGAGGAAATGGGCACAGAGAACCCATTTCTCTTACTCATCATGTAACTTCAGTGGGATGGTCAGATCTATCTTTAACCTGGCCACTCTTCCACAAGCTCACACTGTCTCCAGCAAGATCTTAAACTAGAAGGCAGGAGTTCAAATCCTAGCTGGTGCAGTGGCACAATCTCGGCTCACAGCACCTTCTGCCTCCTGGGCTCAAGCGATCCTCTGACCTCAGTCTCCCAAGTAGCTGGGACCATAGGCATGCACCACTATGCCTGGCTAATTTTTGTATTTTTGTAATTTTTTGTAGAGACAGAGTTTCACCATGTTGCCCAGCCCAGTCTTGAACTCCTGGACTCAAGCAATCTTCCCACCTTTGCCTACCAGAGTGCTGGGATTACAGGTGTGAGCCATCATGCTAGTTGCGCACAGTTGGGCGAACTGACAGATGAGAAAGCAGAACCTCGTGAGTCCCACTCAGTAAGAGACTCCCTACTTTCTTTCTGAGTCTTTGTTTCTCATCAATTGAATGGCAATAAACAACTTGGTGGCCCAAGAGTTGATGACAACAGTCCTATAAGATTATACATGTAAAAGAAACAGAGTATTCTACAAATATCAGTTATTGATAGTTCAATAGGCAACCTGACATTACCTTTTCTTGGAACTTGATGAACAACTCAGAAACTCATTAATATCAAACCCAATGGTGAGCACTTGGTCTTTATTTATGGCTGTAAGAGAAGAAATTGAATTAACTCTATGTAAATGCCAACTAAGAACATGCAAGTCTGAAATCAACAGTTTTCCTCGCTCATACGACACACCCAAACTCCAAGCAGTGGTTCCAAGCCCCTTTGGAAAATACCATGGGCTAACGACTTTAAAAGCTTAGAAGTGAATTCTACTTACTTATTACTTAAAAGTGGTTCTCAAACTTCAAGGTGAATCAAAATCATCTGTAGAGCTTGTTAAAACACAGGTTGCTGGTCCCACCCCAAGAGTGTCTGATGCAGTAGGTCTCAAGTAGGGCTCAAGAATATGCATTTCTAATGAGCTCCCAGGTGATGCTAATGTTGATGCTGCTGGTCTGGGGACCACAACTTTGGGAACAATTGATTTAGAAGAACTCAAAGATCAGAAAGGGGTGGAATATTTTTAAAATTGTGGTAAAATACGCATAAACAGAAAAGGTACAATTTTAACCACTTAGAGAGAGGTGGGATCTAAGAACAGAAATTGTTATGCCATCAAAGGTGAGTTCAGATAAGCATTATTAAATGGTATCTATGGATAAACTTCAGGGGCCCTGTGGAGCCAACCCATTGCTGGGATGGGGTCCAGGTGTGCTATGGTTTGGATGTGGTTTGTCCCTACAAAAACTCATGTTGAAATTTAATTGCCAGTGTAACATTATTGAGAGGTTATGGACTTTTAAGAGGCATTTGGGTCATGAGGGATCCGCCTTCAGGGATTAGTGCAGTCTCCAGGGAGTGAGTGAGTTCCCATTCTAGTGGGACTGGATTAGTTACCATACAGTGGTTGTTATAAAGTGAGGCTGCTTCTGGTGTTTTATCTGTTTGCAGGCACTTCCTTCCCCTTCCACTTCTCTGCCAGGTTAGGATGCAGCATGAGGCCCTCACCAGAAGCTGACCAGATGTGGCTGCCTGATCTTGAACTTCCCAGTCCCCAGAACCATGAGCTAAATAAACCTTTTTTCTCTATAAATTACGCAGTCTAGAGTATTCTATTATAGCAACACAAGACAGACTAAGACACAGTGGTAGAAAGAACACTACTGACTTCTCCCATACTCTGGCCTATGGACAAGAGTGACAGACAGACAAGAGTGAATATCAGGGCCCTCAGGCACATTCCTCTCTGCCCCTTCCTCCCTTCTTGCAGAGTCTCCAGTGACTGCCAGCCTCAATGCTATCATAGACCCCACCTTTCCCCTGACTTGATTGGACCAGAAGCAGCCTCCTGATCCATGGCCAACAATCAGATTCACTTTCAAGAATTTGAACTAAGAGACACTAGGAAGATGGCCCTTGAGCTGTGAGTCCTACACTTGAAAGTTCTTAGCATCTTGGTCAGGTACCCACCAGGGCCATGTGCAAACTGAGATAATGGGGACATGGAACAAGGGTAAGTGGAGAGGGCTGGCTGGAGAGAGACGGGCAGAGGAAAGCCCTGCCAAGAGGAGCAGAGATGAGAGACCTTGGAGGGAGAGGTAATAAAAGGAGGCAAAGATGATTTTCCATGCTTACAACTCACAGCTGAGGCCTAACTATCTTTATGTCCATAAGAGGCATCCTTGTGTCGAACCTCTCCTCTTTCTTGGGTCAATGGGGGATGGTTGCAAGGGACCATCAGTAGGAAGGCATAGTACACTAACCCAGTCTGGGGTGGGCTTTTATACTAGTCTTCCTCCCATGCTCCTCCTCCCATTGGAACCCCGGACTTTCAAGACTGCTACCTAGCACACCAGTGCACCAGATGTCACTCAAAACCTCTTCAGCAATGGCCCACTCACCTTCAAAAAGGCTGAAGAGCAGACTGGCTGGGTTCTTCATGGTGGAGGGGCAGTCTGGGAGTTTTAGGTTGAAGATGAAAACTTTCACTTTTGGCTCAATGGTCTGAAAAAGAGAAGGACCAGCAAGTGAACTGAAGCCTCCTGGAAAGCATCTTGATAACAGGGACAGAGTTTCAAGATGAGAAGCTGTGGCACTTACTCTGGCTTTGGAAATGACCTCTAAGTATCTCAGTTAATTAAAGGAGTCAACTCTAGACTCTGAAGGAGAAAGATCTACAATTTTCAATAACATAGTCTACCCTCCCCACCAACCCCCACCTTCACCTCTTCTTTCATCACAGGCTTACAGGGCACCTCTTAGAGCCAGGCACGGTGTTAGGATCAGGAACAAGGCCACTGCTCACATCCAGAGCCTGTGCTACTTAAGAAGCTTAGTTAAGAGGCCACCATCTATGGATGTCTGGGATTTGCTTCAAAATAATCCAGTTTGGTTAGCTGGGTGTGGTGGTGCATGCCTGTAGTTCCAGCTACTTGGGAGGCTGAGCCAGGAGGATCGCTTGAGCCCAGGAGTTTAAGGCTGCAGTGAGCTATGATTGCACCACTGCACTCCAGCCTGGGTGACAGAGCAAGATCCTGTCTCTAAAAAAAATTTTTTTTAATTAAAAATCTAGTTTGGGAGATAGAAGTTATAGGTTAGGTGAAAGAAGATTAGCTATGAGCCAATAATAGCTCTTGCAGCTGGAGATGGCTTCGTAGGGGTTCATCATTCTTTTTACTTTTGGATGTTAGAAATTTTCCAAAACAAAAAGTTACAGCAGCCCAGCGGGTGTGGTGGCTCACGCCTATAATCCCAGCACTTTGGGAAGTTGAGGCGGGCGGATCACCTGAGGTCAGGAGTTTGAGACCAGCCTGATCAACATGGTGAAACCCTGTCTTTATCAAAAATACAAAAATTAGCTGGGCTTGGTGGTGCACGCCTGTAATATCAGCTACTTGGGAGGCTGAGACAGGAGAATCGCTCGAACTCAAGAGGCAGAGGTTGCAGTGAACCGCTGCACTTCAGTCTGGGCAACAAGAGCCAGGCTCCATCTCAAAAAAAAAAAAAAAAAGAAAAAGAAAAGTTATATTAGCTGTTATCATTAAAATGGAAGCAAATGTAATTTCCTCTTCTTATTTCTAGCCATTTCAGTATCAAGGAAAACGTCTCAGGGCTGACATGCTGTTTGACTTCACTTTAAATTACCTTTTTTGCGGGGCTTGGAGTTTGGTCATTTTACTCACAGTAACTTTTTCCTCCTCTGAGCAACTAAAAGCTACCAAAAGATACCAATAGTAACCACTTTAAAAGGAGCCAGGCATAGTCTTTACTTTCTCATAGCCACCTGTGACTTTCTTTACAGATGGGGAGTCAGAAGCTCGAGAGGCCGAGCGGGTTGCCCATGACTGCGCAGTTAGTGGAGCTGTGACTCCACACAGTCCTCATCCCTCCCTGTGCTGGGTCAATGCAGTGGGGACAAATGACCCAGGGTGGCGTGCTTAGGGAAGCAAGGGTTTTCTCCTTCCTGAAAGACGGATATGCCATGAGGCAGCCGGTGATGTCCCAGGGCTGGAGAGCTAGAGGAGCCTCGGAGGCCCCCAGCCTGTCTTCTGCCAAGCGGAGAACTCCCTGGGAGCACAGCTTTTTCTGATAAGTGGATGGGGGACCTCCTCGTGTGCCTCCTGCAGAACCGAGAACCCTGGAGTGTGCCGCAGCTCTTCATTTCTGGGCTTGAGGCTGTTCTCAGGCCCTCAGACAGCTGTGTGCCGTTGGGGAGTGGCCGCTGAGGGCCCCTGAGGCTCAGAGAGGGCTGTGCAGGTGCTCCGGGGAGAGGGTGGGAATGGGGGCAGGTGCCTGCTCCTCCCTGCCCTGCTTTCGCCCTCTTCCCTCGCAGCCCACAGGAAGAGGCCCCTTCAAGGGGAGGGTGGGGTTCCAGGACAGGGAGGGAGGGGACACTGGGAAGGTGGGCAGCACGATTCAGGCTCCTGTGGACACAACTCAGCCCCTGTTCTCAGGGCAGGCTCAGCTGTTCTCCCTGTCCTGGGTGTGGTAACTGTGCATGGGAAATGCTACCAGGCATGAGACCACAATCCCAGGAAGGAACAGTGTGCTCTCCAGCTCAGGGGTTGTCAGCTGTCATTTCCGAATCTTTGAGGCTGCCTCTGAGGGGCCAACCCTACCCAAGGAAGTAAAAGGAATAGATAACCATTGCAGAACATTTATAAATGGCTGCTAAGTTTGTCCAGGGAGAGTTTTACTATTTGGCTGGCCAGCTACAGACTGAAGTTTCAGTGCTTTACCCAGACACTGGTAGAAGTGTCTTGAAAATGTGGTAGCCAGGTGCAGTGGCTCATGCCTGTAATCTCAGCACTTTAGGAGGTCGAGGGGGGTGGTGGATCACTTGAGGCCAGGAGTTCGAGACCAGCCTAGCCAACATGGTGAAACACTGTATCTGCTACAAATACAAAAAAAAAAAAAAAAAGCTAGGCATGGTGGCGGGCACCTGTAGTCCCAGCTACTTGGGAGGCTGAGGCAGGAGAATCGCTTGAACCCCAGAGGTGCAGGTTGCAGTGAGCCGAGATCATGCCACGGGGCACTCCAGCCTGGGTGACAGAGCGAGACTCCATCTTAAAAAAAAAATGTTGTGATGGAAAAAGGGAAGAGACTGAAAATCACATCCTCAAGTACCAGCCATGCAGTGCCTCTGCTGCCTGTCAGAGGCACGCCACCTCCGCACAACAGAGATGGTTTTAAAATGGCAGCTTTGTCTGAACCCATTAGCCTAGCAACAAGCTCTGGTTTAATTCCATGAGGAGGACAAAAGGCAGCTTTAGTCATCACAGGCACAAGCAGACCTCGAAGACCCTAGAGTGTTACGTAAGGCCCAGAAACCTTGTCAGCCAGCCCGCAAGCACAGGCCCTGGGCAGCAAGCAAGTTTAGGTTCAGGTGAGGCATTCACAAAAACAACTGAAACTGATCATATGTGATTTAAAAAATACCACCCTCATTATCATGTTCCAAACCCTTGGACTTCTTTTTCTTTTTCTTTATTTTTTTTTGAGACAAGTCTCTCTCTGTCCCCTGGGCTGGAGTGCAGTGGCGCCATCTCGGCTCACTGCAACCTCCACCTCCCGGGTTCAAGCGATTGTTGTGCCTCAGCCTCCCAAGGAGCTGGGATTACAGGTTCGTGCCACTATACTTGGTTAATTTTTGTATTTTTAGTAGAGACGGGGTTTCGCCATGTTGGGCAGGCTGGTCTTGAACTCCTGGCCTCAAGTGATCCGCCTGCCTCAACCTCCCAAAGTGCTGGGATTACAGATGTGAGACTTATTTTTCTTTTGAAAAGACAGTGTGGTGTCTTAGAATGAGAAAGCCCTAGTTCAAATCCCAACCCTGGAGCTCACCACCTTGGTTAAATTGTTTAAACCTTAGGGTGTGTTTTGAGAGGTTGAGATGATGTGAGAATGAAGTGCCTCCCAGGTGTCTGGGATAAGCAAGCACTAAAATAGCTGTTACTCAGATGTCTTTGTGGCTGCATCTGTCACCTTTGATTAGATCAGTGGTCCCCAACATTCTTGGCACCAGGGACCGGTTTCGTGGAAGACAATTTTTCCACAGACTTGGGGGAGGTAGGGGGGATGATGGGGATGATTTGGGGATGAAATTGTTCCACCTCAGATTATCAGGCATTTGATTCTCATAAGGAGCACGCAACCTGGATCCCTCGCATGCGCAGTTCACAATAGGGTTTGTGCTCCTATCTAATATGGTCGCTGATCTGACAGGAGGTGGAACTCAGGTGGTAATGCTTGCTCGCCTGCCACTCACCTCCTGCTGTGCAGCCAGGTTCCTAACAGGCCATGGACCAGTACTGGTGCTCCGCCTGGGGGCTGGGGACCCCTAAATTAGATCATCTTATTATTTGTAGATAACAAAAGCAGCAGTGTCTACTACACAGACAGCTAGAAACACACAGACATTGGGATAGGACTGGTGCTAATTTGTCCATTTCAAGCACTCTGCCTCAGGTAAAATGGAGGGTCCATGTAGCTGAAGCTCAGTTTGACATTCCTGAGCTTGGCCTTTTATTTTTATTTTTATTTTTGAGATGGAGTCTCGCTCTGTCACCAGGCTGGAGTGCAGTGGCGAAATCTTGGCTCGCTGCAACCTCCGCCTCCCAGGTTCAAGTGATTCTCCTGCCTCCACCTCCCAAGTAGCTGAGACTACAGGTGCGTGCCACCACACCCATCTAATTTTTGTATTTTTAGTAGAGATGGGTTTTTGCCATGTTGGCCAGGATGGTCTTAATCTCTTGATCTCATGATCCACCCACCTCGGCCTCCCAAAGTGCTGGGATTACAGGCATGAGCCACTGTGCCTAGCCAAACTTGGCCTTTAAAGGGATAATTCCTCAGGTAAACCATCCTCCTTGGTGACGGAGATGGTGGGATTCAAAACCACAGGTGAGTGTAGGGGGCTGCTCTGCCTCCCTCATGGGAGGCACAGGCTGAAAGCAGCGGGGAGTGGTTTTGTGCCCAAACCTGAAGAGGCAGGGGGTCCAATGTGGGTGCATACCAGTGGCCAGACATCCTTGGAAAGGCCCACAGGAAGGCAGCTCTCCAGGGTTATAGGAATACTGCCAGCACTCGGAAGGTGCAGGAGAAAACGTGGGCACCATCAGATAGACCTTGTCACAGGAGAATAGTTGGGACTCCAGGGAATGAAGCAAGTAAGTCACACAGCAGTGACCAAGCCTAAGAGAGAAACCTGGTAGTTGGATAGGAGGCTCCTAACACACTTTCTCTAATGAGCCCGCATCATTAGACTTGAGAAAAGCAGTACTGGGTACAGGAGGGAGTACTGAGCTTACTGGAAGGTCCAGACAGCTGGGATCTGATTTAGTAGACCTGGGTGTGAAATGTTTGTTTTTTTAAAAATGTGGTAAAATAGACATAAAGAAGAAATTTACAGGCCAGGTGTGGTGGCTCACGCCTGTAATCCCAACACTTTGGGAGGCCAAGGTGGGCGGATCACTTTAGGTCAGGAGTTTGAGACCAACGTGACCAACATGGTGAATCCTTGCCTCTACCAAAAATACAAAAATTAGCCAGGCGTGTTTGTGTGTTCCTGTCATCTCAGCTACTGGAGAGGCTGAGGCAGGAGAATCGCTTGAACCCGGGAGGTGGAGGCTGCAGTGAGCCAAGATCACGCCACTGCACCCCAGCCTGGGCAACCGAGGAAGACTCCATCTCAAAAAAAAAAATTACCATCATAACCATTAAATGTATAGTTCAGTGGTGTTAAGTGGACGCTTATCGTTATGGAACCATCACCCCCATTGATGAGTTGCCTTTTTAAAACTCAGAATGAACCCCAGAATCTCAATTCTCGGCAGATTTCTACACAAGCAAGCAGAGGATCTATGTAAATATTCACCTTAACAAGCTAACCCTTGTATCCCTTCTAGGAAAGACTGCCTAACATCCGATGTTCTCTAGGGATGCTTGCAATGGAAATCTCCCCAGACACAACTCAGCCGGTCTCTGCTGTTGATGGAAGTTCAGTTTATGCAGTAGCCAAAGCATTAAATGTCTAATCTGCTCTCTGAAACCTTCGCTGCATTCATCATTAATGTGGAAAAGGGCTCAAATTACCTGCAATTTACTCAGCTTCTGCCGCAGACTTGCCTCATTTTGGCATTCATAAGACAAATCAAGAGAGAGGAAATCGACCGTGTCCTGAAAATAGTAGTTAAATAGGGTCATTAGAACCTAAGCACTGTCAAGACTAACAGCCTCTCAGAAGTACGCTTTTTTGTTTCTCCCCTTATCACTAAACCAAATATTCCAAAGCAGGATTTTCCAAAGGAAAAGATGGAGATGGAATGAGAAAGTGTGTGTGTGTGTGTGTGTGTGTGTAGGGGGCGGGGGGTGCCTGTGCCTGTATGTTGTTGGGAATGCATCACCTATGTGCTCATCCATGCGCCTCTGTGCTCAGCACACAGAAAGCACGCAGTGTTGATGGCTAAATGAATGCGTGAAGGAGTGTGTATGCCAGAAATGGGAGGCAGTTAGAGGCCAGTGCTGCCCCTGGTGCTTCCTCCATAGACCCTCACATTTGGCCAGGATGGGGGTGGTGGAGCCTTCAGCCACGCATGGCTCCACAGTCATCCCTGTGAATCCTACCGGGTGTTTGGTTTTGGTTTAAATTTCAGGCCACCGTTTGAAGTCCACCCCCAGTTATCCCTAGCCAGGCCAAGAGCTAGGGCCTGTGGAGTACGCACTGGGGACTTCCTCTTTAGCAGAGACAACCCTCATGGTCCTGGTCGTCGACACCCCCATCCACACTTCTGATGAGGATGTCCCCTCTGCCCTGTCTCTGGCCTGCATGTGCTCAAAGAACTTCAGATTCACAGAGTCTACACAGGACCATGCCAACACCCCCAGTGCTGCGCTCCCCTCCACGAGCCTGGCTGGCCGTACCTGTCTACCCTTGGCCTGATTAGATCATTACCTGTCTTATCCCTCCCACTGATCATCTGCTTCTTCAAGACAAGGACTAATGGTTACTGTCACCTGGTCAGAACCAAGTGCTCTGTGAATGCCTAGTGTTCCATTATGGGAATGCTAAGCCTGTGGAAGTTACTTATATCCTACTGCTCAAGGTCTTCGCTAAGGTCTGATTGCAAAAGTTCAAAAAATTGCAGCCTCAGGCATAAATGGGTTAATAAGTGGTTCACTACTGGCTCCCTGTTTCTTTCTCAGTCAAGTTGTCATCAGTGTTCACTAAAGACCACACTGGCAGGTATCACTCCAGCATTCCCTGCCCACTCTCGCAGCTCTTCCTTATGTCTGTCAGTTCTGCACAACACATCGTCACTGAGTTCCTACCTCTGAAAGTCACACTGTGTGGGGATGGTGGGTAGGGATTCACATTTAGAGATAAATAATATCCACAGAGGTTTACACCTTTAATAGGGAGGGTTAGCAAATGCACCAATCACACGAGGAGAAGACAGAAATTTAGAAGTGCTGTAAGAAGCCCACACCAGTGGTTCTCATGCCTTGCTGGGGATTAGACTCACCTGGGGACTTCGGATGCCTGTGCAGGCCCAGGTGGGTCCCACCACATTAAGTCTTGGTCTCCGTGCTCTCTCCTAGCTCTCTAGGTGGTTCTGATGCCCACTCAAGCTTGGGAACCACTGGTCTAAAGCAATGGCTAAGGGTCCGGGTGGGGACAGAGTGCATCAGGGTGAGTGAGGGAGTGTTACTGAGCGAGGCCTCAGCTGGAGAGCACAGTTACGTGTACATTAACAATGGAGAAAATTTTGCTGGAAGGAGATTTGAGGAAGGCAGGAAGACAGGAAGGACGTCCAGTAGGGGATGCAGGAGGGTAGGAAGCAAGCATAGCACTCACATGGACAAAATAGGAGGTGAGGCCAGAGAGAGACAGAGAGAGAGGCCCACACGTTCATGCACTGGAGGGTCCTGTGGGATTCGTCCCACTCGGAAGTGTGGCTTCCCAGCAGGTAACTGGTCAGAACTGTGCTTTTGGGAGATGACCCAGAAGCATTTCACAGCATGGACTGGGGCAGATAGACCAGTACAAAGGCTATTTCTCGACAAGCATTTTTCTGATCAGCACTTTGGTCTCCTGCGTTCATAACTGATAGCAGTTATCGCCCTCTGTAAACTAATTTAGGTGCCATTCTGGCCGTGCAATCAGCCTGGGAGTTGTCCCTCCAGAACCTTATCAGTCTTGGTTCCATCGTGTTTGAAATGGAAAATCTGAAGACCAGACCCTGACTCCTGGGGCCCCCATCAACGCACAGACGCCAATGAGCAGCACAACATCTCTACAGCACCAGGGCGATGCTGCAGAACTACGGAGACCGGCGGTGGTTCCCATGGCTTCCAGACTGCCCAGCTGCCCAAGGGGGCCCAAAGCTGTTCACTTCCCAGATTATTTTAATTTTTCTTTTAAAAATTATAGTTAAAGGCTGGCGTGGTGGCTCAAGCCTGTAATTCCAGCACTTTGGGAGGCCGAGGCAGGTGGATTACCTGAGGTCAGGAGTTTGAGACAAGCCTGACCAACATGGTGAAACCCCATCTCTACTAAAAATACAAAATTAGCCGGGCGTGGTGGTGCACACCTGTAATCCCAGCTACTTGGGAGGCTGAGGCAGGAGAATCACTTGAATCCAGGGTGTAGAGGTTGCAGTGAGCCGAGATCGTGCCACTGCACTCCAGCCTGGGCAACAAGAATGAAACTCCATCTCAAAAAAAAAATAAAATAAAAAATATAAATTATAGTTAAAAAGTGATAGTTGGCTGGGTGTGGTGGCTCATGCCTGTAATCCTGACACTTTGGGAGGCTGAGGTGGGAGGATTGCTCAAGGCCAGGAGTTGGAAGTAGAGGCTGCAGTGAGCTGTGATCATGCCACTGCACTCTGGCCTGGGTGACAGAGCAAGGCCACAAGACCCTGTCTGTAAAAAAATAAATAAATAAAAATAAAAAATAAAAAGTGATAGAGGATATACGTACATTTTTAATTTTTTTTTTTCAAGACAGGGTCTTGCTGTGTCACCCAGGCTGGAGTGCAGTGACATGATCACAGTTCACTGCAGCCTTGACCTCCAGGGCTCAAGCAATCCTCCCACCTCATCCTCCCGAGCAGCTGGAACTACAGGCATGCATCACCATGCCTTGCTAATTTTTGTATTTTTAGCAAAGAAGGAGTTTTGCCATGTTGCCCAGGCTGGTCTCAAACTCCTGGCTCAAACAACCCTCCCATCTCCGCCTCCCAAAGTGCTGGGATTACAGAAGTGAGCCACCGTGTTTGGCCAGGTGCACATTTTTGAAAAACCCCTTTACCCTAGTACCTGTTTTGCCATAATCTCATCTCTTATCCTATAAGCTATTTTGGACTCAAAAATCAGAGCCAGCAGAGGCAAGTGGCTTCTTCCTGCAGGGAAGCTGACACTTGACCAAGCAGGAGCTGCAGCTTCAAGATTTTGTTTTTAAGGTAATTATGAACCTGGAGAACATACACCACTCATTCTGAGGCATTTACAGAAATGTCAAACCAATAGACCAAAACTTCTCTTGTTTTTAAAAAATTAAAATCAAACTCTCCTCAGATGTTACAGGTATATTTTTGGGCTGCTGTCACCTGGGCAAGCGCAGATATGGGTGGTTCTAGCAGGAGCTCCGGGATATCTTCAGCTCGCAGGACAACAGAGAGTTTTCCGCCTGAAACCAACCAGAGACACGAACAGCAGGTGAGCGAGGGCAGGAGGCTCTGACTGTGGAAACCACTGGGGGATTCATTTCCTATGGACCTGAAGAAATCATCCAAATGACTTTACTCTAGCTGAAAGATTTTAGAAGACAAGGTGGCTTAAAAAAATAATGTTCCTTTAGAGAGTGTTTTGTGAAAATCAGGACTATGAAATGCAGAGCAGTTGGAGAGTTGGCAAGGAGAGAACTCCTTCCTAAACTTCTTTTTTTTTTTTTTTTTTTTTTTGAGACGGAGTCTCGCTCCGTCGCCCAGGCTGGAGTGCAGTCGTGCCATCTCGGCTCACTGAAAGCTCCGCCTCCCGCGTTCACGCCATTCTCCTGCCTCAGCCTCCCGAGTAGCTGGGACTACAGGGGCCCGCCACCACGCCCGGCTAATTTTTTGCATTTTTGGTAGAGACGGAGTTGCACCGGGTTAGCCAGGATGGTCTCGATCTCCTGACCTCATGATCTGCCCGCCTTGGCCTCCCAAAGTGTTGGGATTACAGGCGTGAGCCACCGCGCCCGGCCATCTTAACTATTTTTAAGTGCACAGTTCAGTATTATTAAGTATATTCACATTGTTGTGCAACCAATCTCCAGAACTTTTTCATTTTTCTGAACAGAAATTCTACTCCCATTAAAGAGCTCTCCATTTCTCCCCTACCCCAGCCCCTGGCCTCTGCCATTCTCCTTCCTCTCTCCATGAATTCGACTGCTCTAGTTTCCTCCTATACATGGAATCATACAGCGTTTGTCTTTTTGTGTCTGGCTTATTTCACATAGCATAATGTCCTCAAGGTTCATCCATGTTGTAGCATGTGATGATTTCTTCCCTTTTTAATAAATGTGGAGTAATATTCCATTTTATGTCTATGCCACGTCTCGTTTATCCATTCATCCATCAGTGGATATCTGGGTTGCTTCCACCTTTTGGCTATTGTGAATAAGGCAGCTATGATGTCCTAGTTTATTTTTCATTTATTTTTGAGACAGAGTCTCGCTCTGTCGCCCAGGCTGGAGTGCAATGGCGCAGTCTCGGCTCACTGCAACCTCCGCCTCCCAGGTTCAAGCGATTCTCCTGCCTCAGCCTCCTGAGTAGCTGGGACTACAGACACGTGCTACCACGCCTCGCTAATTTTTTGTATTTTTAGTAGAGATGGGGTTTCACCGTGTTAGCCAGGATGGTCTCGATCTTCTGACCTTGTGACCCGCCTGCCTCAGCCTCCCAAAGTGCTGGGATTACAAGCGTGAACCACCACGCCTGGCCTTATTTTATTTTTTTGTTTAAGGCCGGGCGTGGTGGCTCACGCCTGTAATCCCAGCATTTTGGGAGTCCGAGGCGGGCGGATCACCTGAGATCAGAAGTTTGAGTCCAGCCTGGCCAACACGGTGAAACCCCATCTCTACTAAAAATACAAAAATTAGCCAGATGTGGTGGTGCGTGCCTGTAATCCCAGCTACTGGGAAGGCTGAGGCAGGAGAATTGCTTGAACTCGGGAGGCAGAGGTTGCAGTGAGCCGAGATCACACCACTGCACTCCAGCCTGGACAAAAGAGTGAGACTCCATCTCAAAAAAAAAAAAAAAAAAAAAAAGAAGAAGAAAAAAATGTTTAACGTCTCTATAATCAAATACATGCAAATTAACAAGACATGAAAATAAGCTGTTTTCAGCTGTCAAATTAGTAATAAAATATAGCATTTGAAACTGACAGAATGGGGTCAGAGAGTAATTTTATAACTGTTCGTATAAATGATTACAACTTTTCTGGAAAATAATTTAGTACCATGCTTTAAAATCTTAAAGAATGCAGATCTTTTCACCTAGTAGTTTCAATTCTAAGATTCTGTCAGAAAGAATTTATCAGAAGGTGGGAAATAGTTTATAGATAGGAATGTCATTGCAACATAACTTGTAACTAGTGAAAATTAGAATAAACATACAAAAATAAGGAAAATACCTTAAACTTTATGCTCCATTTATACAATGGGAACCTAAAAGACCATTGAAAGTTATGCTTTCAAGTTTTTCTTTTGTTTTAAGCAATACTATTCCAGCACTGGAGTAAATTATTATATTATTTTAGAGATAGTGGCTCTCTATGTTGCCCAGGCTGGTCTCCAACTCCTGGCCTCAAGCAATCCCCCTGCCTTGGCCTCCTAACGTGCTGGGATTATAGGCATGAGCCACCATGCCTGGCTCAAGTTTTTAATAAAATGAGAATATAGTCATAAACTATGTTAAAATGAAAAAGTAGAACATAGAAGTATATATATATATATATATATATATATATATATATATATATATATATATCAGGTACTATATATACAAATATGTATGTATATGGTATATAATAAAAACAAGAAAGCATATATAATCCAAAATTGATTCTCAAAATTGGTGTACCTAACATACACTTAGGGAATTGATTATAATCACAAATGTCCTGGTTCAGCCTAGGCCTACAGATCAGAACTTCAAGTCCCCTAGGAGGCAGGAATGTGAACAGTTACAGTTGTGCTCTCCTCATCCTGTGATATATAATTGTTTCATCTTGTATTTGTCTGTCTCCCAAGCTGCAATGTAAGCTCCAACTAAGACATGTAAGTATAGGGGAGCCGAGGGGGAAGGACAGGAAACCACGAAACTTTGCCTCCAAGTCAGGGTAGCAGGACATAGACGGAAAGGAAGACAGAAAGACAATCAGTGCTTGCACAACTCAAGACTGGGCAAGGGGTATTTCAAAAATACATGTGTGTATATATATATATATATATATATATATATATATATATATGTATACATATTTTTTTTTTTTGAGATTGTGTCTTGCTCTGTCGCACAGGCTGTAGTACAGTGGCATGATTTCGGCTCACTGCAACATCTGCCTCCTGGGTTCAAGCAATTCTCCTGCCTAAGCCTCCCGAGTAGCTGGGATCACAGGCGCCTGCTACCATCCCTGGCTAATTTTGGTATTTTTAGTAGAGACGGGGTTTTGCCATATTGGCCAGGCTGGTCTCGAACTCCTGACTTCAAGTGATCCGCCCACCTCGGCCTCCCAAAGTGCTAGGATTACAGGCGTGAGCCTCAAAGATATTTTTCAAAGGAAATGCTGAGTGTTTTGCCATGTTAGCTACCCCTTCCTATCGCCAGTGGGAAATCAATTTACAATATTAATTTCTCCCTATGCACAGACATAAGAGGACTGCTGAAGGTGAGTTGGGAGAAATGTCGAATCTGCTCTAAGGAGGATGGGGAAGGTGTGTGATGAAGGTTGCCGAGGGGTCACCATCAGGTCAATGTGTACTCACCCTGAAAAGCATAGCTTTCGTGGTAAATCTCATAGGCTTTTCTGTGGGCATCACTGAGGGTCTGGAGTTGTGACGCTCTTGATTCCTGGTGGGGAAGCTCCTTGATCACTTCCTCCAAGTCACTGAAGGTGAACCAGATCCCAACTAGGTCCCCGAAGGAGTGGAAGGCGAATGTGGCATAGTCGGCGAAGAGGTCAGCAAAGGCTTCGGTTCTCCGGAGGGTGCTGGCAGGGAGGGTCTGGTGGTGCAGGATGACCATGGGCTGAAGCCGTGCAGTCTTGAGGGCCTTGAGGAGTCGCCGGTAGCACTGCACTGTTTTCTCGTCTGGATTCTGGGTGCTTCCTGCTGGGAGGAGCTGTGCCCATGACAGAAATACCTTATAATGGGTGATCTGACTGGCATGGAGACTGCTGAAGTATTCTGGCAGGAAAGTGGGCAGTGGCTGGTGACAAACATACATGTCTTTGTCCCCTGCTACAAAGTTAGAACTCTGGTCTCCCAGGAGACCACTCAGGTTGTGCAGCAAGTCATTGGTTAGAGGACCAGCGGTGGAAATGAAATTTCTATCAGACTCCCAGTCTGACCCCCAGCATGAAAAACTTAGCAGGGCAATAAAGACTACATGCCAAGACAGCTCCATTTTCTAGGAACTGTTAGGAGGTATGTGGAACCCTTACTTTATAACTGCAACTGAGGTTGTAAAATACTAAGTGATAATTAAGACTTAATATTTAACTGGGTTATCTATGATCACAAAATCAGTACACGGTTCACTAATGCAATATTTAAAAATGTAAAGATCAGGGCCGGGCGTGGTGGCTCACACCTGTAATTCCAGCACTTTGGGAGGCCGAGGTGGGCGGATCACGAGGTCAGGAGATCGAGACCGTCCTAGCTAACATGGTGAAACCCCATCTCTACTAAAAATACAAAAAATTAGCCAGGCATCGTGGCATGCGCCTGTAGTCCCGGCTACTCAGGAGGCTGAGGCAGGAGAATCACTTGAACCCAGGAGGCGGAGGTTGCAGGAGCCAAGATCATGCCACTGCACTCCAGCCTGGGCAACAGAATGAGACTCCATCTTAAAAAAAAAAAAAAAAAAAAAAGGTAAAGACCAACACAAAAACCTCAGACTTCCTATACAAGTTAAGCAGAGGAACCCGGAAAATGTCTGAAGAAAACGATTACCAATTTTTTTTGTTTTTTTTGTTTTTTGGTGACCGGGTCTCACTCTGTTGCCCAGGTGGGAGTGCAGTGGTGCGATCACAGCTTCCTGCAGCCTTGACTTCCTGGGCTCAAGTGATCCTCCCATCTCAGCATCCTGGGTAGGTGGGACCATAGGTGTGCGCCACCACGACTGGCTAATTTTTTGTATTTTTAGTAGAGATGGAGTTTTGCCATGTCACCCAGGCTGGTCTTGAACTCCTGGGCTCAAGCAATCCTCTTGCCTCAGCCTCCTAAAGTGTTGGGATTACAGGTGTGAGCCAGCGCACCCAGCCACACATTATTTTAAAATTTGTTTACATAATACAAAAATAAGTATTTTGCCCCAAATTTTCTCTTTAAAAATATGCTGAACATATTTTGTAAGAGATTCAAACAATATGGAAACATCTATGAAAAACTTGCAAATTCCTTCACCCTCCCCCCTCCTCTTCCTATAATAAGTATCTTCAGCAATATGTATCTTTCCAGTTTTCTTTCTCTGCATATCTTAATGGTTATACAGGAGTCAGAATGCCTGGGTTTAAATCTCACCTGACAAAAATTACTTAACTTTGTGCCTCTATTTTGTCACCTGTAGAATGTGGATAATTCATCATAGGCTGTGGGGATTAAATGGGTCTTTCTTGTAGCATGTATACAACAGTACAGCTCAGGGATCATTATTATTACGTAAATACAAATGGAAACGTGTATAACATTTAAAATATAGAACAATTTAACATATATGGAATTATGCCATATGTATTTTCAGCCTTTTCTTCACTTAATAGCTCTTAGAGTTCTGCCTGTATCAGAACATATAGACCCACCTCTAACAGATGCATAGCTTTCCACAGCAAGAATGTACCATAAATTAACATCTTGCATATTAAACACCGGTTGGTTTTACATTTTTGTGTTGCAAACAATGCTGCAAATGAATATCCTTATATACAGGCTGGGCATGGTCAATCACGCCTGTTTTGCCAGTACTTTTGGAGGCTCAGACTGTAGGACTGCTCAAGCCCAGGAGCTTGAGGCCAGTCTGGGCAACACAGGGAGATCATCTCAAAAAAAAAAATGGTTTTTGATTGATTGAAATGCAAATTGTCTTCCAAGTTAAATCCTACATAGAGTTAGATGTGTGCCTGTATCCGTCTGCCTTGCTAATGCCTATTATAAAACTTTTACATTTTTGATACTTTGACGTAAATATTATGTGCTTTTCTTTTTCTGATTATTTAAGAGGTGAAGCTCTTCTTGTTAATTGGGCATTTTTCTTCTGAGTTTTATCTTATTACTGATATAAAAATTCTTAATGGGAGTTTGGATATCACATATTAAAACGTGATAGAAAAATTTTCCCATCTTTTAATTTGGTTTATAGTGTCTGTTTTTTTTTAATAGACTCCCATGACTTTCCATAGACTGTAGAGGGTGAAGCCTGGGAATCTTTTTTTGTTGTTGTTGTTGCCGCCCAAGCTGGAGGGCAGTGGCATGATCTCAGCTCACTGCAACTTCCACCTCTTGGGTTCAAGCAATTCTCCTGCCTCAACCTCCTGAGTAGCTGGGATTACAGGTGCCCACCACCATGCCTGGCTAATTTTTGTACTTTTAGTAGAGACAGGTTTTCTCCACGTTGGCCAGGCTTGTCTCGAACTCCTGACCTCAGGTGATCTACTCACCTTGGCCTCCCAAAGTGCTGGGATTACAGGCGTGAGCCACCGTGCCTAGCCTTTTTTTTTCTTAAGTGAAAGCAAGGCTATTAGGAAAGTAAAGGAATAAAAAATGGTTACTACGTCAGCAGAGCAGCCTAGTCTTTAAAGATACATTACCTGATACCAGTCTTCTTATAAAAATCCCATGACAAATCTACTTGAGTATTCACTCTTGTTTTTAATGTTTGCCATTTATTTTTAAAATACTTAATTGTACATACTTGTGGAGTACATTTTGACAAGGTTTCATACAAGTTGATTCCAGGGAAAGAGATAATTATTGGGAGAAACATATTTAAATCATTGTTTTAACCTATATTAATCTGTCTTGCTTTCTACTAATAGATTTCTGGCTGCTCAAATTCACATTGCACTGGAAAGCTCAGACATCAAGGCAAGTTGAGTACTCATGGGTATTAGACTGTCCCACGTGGGCCTTAGCCTCAGACAGTTATTTTGCTTTTGTGACCTTTAACATACTTTGTGATTTAATGAATGCCATCTGTTGTTAAAAGCTGCAACACAGGAACTGCTCCACCTCATGAACATACTGATCATAGCTAAGTCTCAGGAACTGTTAGTATCATAAACGGTAATAACTTTTCCTGGAAGACCATAAAATTTGGGGATTGCTTGTAATATAGCAAATGACCTATTTCCCCTAAAAAAGCAATTTGAAAACAATCCTGAGAAATTACCCTTAGGACACAGAAGTAAAATAAATTACTAAAGAGTAATTTTAAAAAAGTATAATAAACTTTTATAAACTTAAAAAAAAAAAAAAACAACTGGAATTAACCTTGGAAAGTCATCTCTAAGGCCTCTAGCTTTCATATGAGTTCTCTAATGACTCCTTCTCATAGAAACCTCATCCATAATACCACAGTTCTACCTCTTCACTCCAGGTTAAGCAAAAAGGGAAAGTCTCACATTCAGAAGTAGATGGAAGTAATAATCAGGGTACAGTAGAAAGAAATCCAATAGACAACTTCAGAACAAGTTATTTTATTTTGATGAATAAAAGCAGTAGCTGGCAATTGAAAAAAAGTTATTTGCTCAATAGGACAGCACATACCTTAAAAGTAATGGGCCTTTTCTTACACATGAAAACAAAGGTATTGGTTATAGAGACTACACATTATTTGGTTCCAACTTCACTGGGACAGGAAACACACCAAAGGAAGTGCTGAAGCCTGTGTTGGTATGAAACCTGTGATGAATGTGACACATAGGACCATCAACTCAATTCTTGTTTCTGAAAACAAATCCTGGAAGCATCACTTCCAGAAACACTTCTGTCCCTAGCAGAGCTCCAGCCAGGCTCCAGGCCACGAGGTGCTGTGCCACAGTTCCTCAGCTCTGGTCAGTTACTTTCACTATCTCAATCTTCGAGCAAGTAGTTAGGGTTAACTACCAAGTAGGGATCTTCTTCATAGCTCTCACTTCCCTCTGTGGAGCCTTTCAATCCAGCCTGGGTGAGCTCAATTAGAACATGATCCTGTGAAACACAAATATTTGTCCTCAGGTTTCAAGCAGTATTATACCAATGTCCAGATATACAAGACTTGACCCTTCTTCCGAGTGTTTGCTATCAACATTTTCTTTCATTTCCCAACTAGAAACTCCTAGGAAAAGGACCACACTTTAAAAATCACTATCAGTGCTCTGCTAAACCCTGTTCCTAGTAGGATGCTGACCTTTTCATACCATAAACCCCTTGTGGAAAATTAAGAAATACTTAAATATATTACATCAAATGCTTGTAAATACAACTTCAAAAAAGGAAGTAATGCTTGAATTTTAAGGTTAAACAACTCTGCAAAATCTTCTAATTAATTGGAAGTCTGTTTCATACTTAATATCATTCAGCAATTTTTAATTATGACCACTGAACTTTTTCATATACCACCATTTCATAGAGTTAGGAGAAGAATCTATGAAAATTCATCTGAAAAATTTTTCACTCTGAGCTAATAAAAAAAAAGGTAGAACATGCCATCTGGCTTAAAATCTTGATGACAGATTTTAAGCCCACGATATAATTACAGGTTAGTCAAAACTGTCCACAAATGAGAAGAGCTCCTAGCCAAGCCCATAGAAAGGAACTCAGGAAACTGTGATTTGATCCTAAGAAGTCTGGCAAGGCTCCACAGTATAAACACTGAAGCCACTAAGGGGGACTGGACACTTTTTAAAAAATTGCCCTTTCAAATCTACCCCTGAAGTTAGATTGGACACTTTCAAGCACTCACTCTATGTGTTAACATACCTTCATAGGAAGCATCATATCTCATCAGCACAGTATAAGCTCTCTAGTTTTCTGTAGCAAATTAGTTCAGGTGGTAAGCCAAATTTTAAAAGGTAATCCAGGCTGAGCGCAGTAGCTCATGCCTGTAATCCCAGCACTTTGGGAGGCTGAGGTGGGTGGATCACCTGAGGTCAGGAGTTTGAGACCAGCCTGGCCAACATGGTGAAACACCATCTCTACTAAAAATACAAAAATTAGCTGGGAGTGGTGGCGGGCACCTGTAATCCCAGCTACTCTGGAGGCTGAGATAAGAGAATCATTTAAACCCAGAAGGCGGAAGTTGCGGCGAGCTGAGATCATGCTACTGCACTCCAGTCTGGGCAACAGAGCAAGACTCTCTCAAAAGATAAATAAATAAATAAATAAATAAATAGGTAATTCAAGTTTAGATCAGTTAGCTTCACAGTGTGTTCCAAAGTCCTGAAGCAGATTCCTTGCCTGGGTCGTTTTACTTTACACTGATCCCAAGGAGCACACAGACATGTCCCACCACTAGAAAAGCAACTCTGGACCCTGATCTGAGTAGCTGTTCTTACACCTCCCTACCCCTCAATAATCACAGACTGATCTACCTTCACAGGAAAACGGTTTTTGAGAAGACACAACCCCAATACATGACCTCTGTAATATTTATATAGTGAGCCCTGTGAATTGGCACGACAGTTAAATCTCTGCCACATAATAGGAAAATTTAACCATTCAACATATATTTGATCCTGCTATGTGCCAGGTACCACTGTAGCTCCGGGGCAAAGTCTCTACCCTCACAGAGCTTATATTCCATAAGAGAGACAAACTAACCACTTAAATAAAGAATATACTGCTGGGCCATGTTAAACATTACGAAGAAATACAAGGCAGGGTGACAGCAAGAGCAGAAGGCTACTATTTTGGCAGGCTAGCAAGAAAGGTTTCTTTGAAGAGGTAACATTTGAGCAGACATTGGAGAGGAGGAGGATATCTAGGGAAATGGACAAAGGGTGAGTGCAAAGGCCCTCATATTTGGTGTGCCTAGGGATCAAGGCCAGTGTCACTGGGGTGAAATGGGTATGGGGAAGACTGCTGTGAAATTAGGTGAATGAGGGGACAGGGGTTACACTGTATAATAGTTCTGCAGGCCATGACAAGGAGGCTGAATTTCCTTCTAATGTGAGAGAAGCACTGGAAGGGAGGGTAGTAAAATAATCTGATTTATATTTTAAAAAGACTTATCTGGCTGCTGAGCAAGAAGCCAATACAAAAAAAGGACAATTTTATGAGGCTTCTGCAACAGTCCATGCCTGGTGGCTTGGGTGGGCTGGTGAAGGCGGTAAAAAGAGAAAAGAAAATATACACACACTGAAGCTGGGGGTCAGAGGATTTGCTGCTGAAGAGGAGCTGTGAGGGGAGAGTGGAATCAAGGAGTCAAAGACAATTCCAAGGCATTTGGCCTATAGCAATTGAGTAAGAACAACTCAACTGCAAACAGGGAAGAACAACTCTGTTTTTGAACACATTAAGCACGAGATGCCTGTTAAACGCTCATCAGTAGGCAACCAGCTCTATACATCTGGAGTTTACAGGAGTGGTGAGAGCTGGTGACATAAATGTGGAAGTCATCAGTAGATGGATAAATTCATAAAACCAAATGAGATCACTTAGGTAATGAATGTAAACTATCTGAGAGTAAAGTAAGAAGAGAAAGATTCAGGCCAGGCACGGTGGCTCACGCCTGTAATCCCAGCAGTTTGGGAGGCCAAAGTGAGCGTATCGCCTGAGGTTAGGAGTTCTAGATCAGCCTGGCCAACATGGCAAAACCCCATCTCTACTAAAAAAAAAAAATTAAAAAATTAGCCGGGCGTGGTGGCCGGCGCCTGTAATCCTACTTGGGAGGCTGAGACAGGAGAATCGCTTGAACCCAGGAGGTGGAAGCTGCAGTGAGCTATGCCACTGCACTCCAGCATGGGCAACAAGAGCGAAACTCTGTCTCAAAAAAAAAAAAAAAAAACAAAACCATTCAGGGAAAGAGACTAAGAGGGAATAACCAGTGAGAAAGAAGCCCCAGGAGGATACAGTGACTCAGAACCAAGTGAGGAAGACACTATTTGTAGGAGTGATCAACTGTGACAAAGCTGTGGACAGGCTGAGTACTGAGAATGGCCAGCTGACAGGAGTGGAGAGAAGGTATGTGATGGGCCTGTGAGAGAGTGAGGCAAAGAACTGACCCGGGAAAAGGAATTGCACTGGGCAGTGCTGTCATGAGGTTGATGAGACAGTAAGAACTGTCCACTTGAGATTTCTGGTCATCGATTTAAATAAGACTGGGCTCATAATTATATGCTTTTCTCCAGATACTTTCAGCTGCTTAGATAAGGATACAAAAAAAAAAAAAAGTTATATTTAACCAAGTTTGGGGTTTCGCCAAGCAAGTAAGATGGAAGATTGACTATTGGGTTGGGTAAGGTGGGAACTAAGAATGTGAGGAAAATGAAACATAGAAAGTAGGTGACAGCAGTACGACCAAGGGCAAATATGAGGATGGGAAACAGAAGCTTAAAACACCTAACTAGTAAGACTTCAATCCCACCTTCTGAGATTTAACCTAAATTCTGCTTGTTTCAGCAGAGGAAATAAGTCATTTACCTGCTGTTCATTCTCTCTTATTTTACAACTCATACTTCTGACTACACTCCAATGATTCAAAACAAACAAAGGTCAAAAAAAATTTCACTAGTGAACCTGCAGATACAGGGCATGAACTCCCTCCCTCCCTGATACCAGAGCACGCGCACTTCTGCACCTACATAGTGTGTGAGTCGATGAATAACTTTCTCTATGATTCTTTTTTTATTTATAAGTTCTTCTTCAGAGTCTATCTCTGATTCGATTTCCTTCAAGTACCAGTTAACAAGCTCGCTCCTCTTTAATGCTGACTCGTCCTCTTCTGCAACAAAAAAACACATTCAAATTATCCTAGCAACTCGTACTGTCAGTCCTTGGGTAAATCTCTGCCACATATACAACGAGATAATGTACAGATTAGATAAATGTCAAGCCGTCCGAAAGTACATCTGGTGACGTAAGGTCCGCAATGTTCTAGCATAAGCCTGAAATAACAAGTCATATCACTTGTATTAAAGCATGCCTTATTTTATCCATAAGGAGAGAAACCTAATAAAATAGATTATAAGAAATATGTTTCTTAAAGCTATTAAGATTTCAAAGTATGAAGGTCTTTTCTTCATCTTCTTATGCTTCACCACCTCTGAGAATGCTTGCCAACAGAAACTAAAAGCATAAATTAGGAATGAAGCAACAGCAAGCAAAAATTCTGAAATATAACAACTTTTCCTCTGTAGAAAGGGGAAGGCTTTATGGAACTGGAGTTTACTAAGAAGTAAAATTCATGAGTATTCACTCAAAATAAAAAATTACCTGTTTATTTTAGCAAGGTTCATCTTACTAAGTGAACTGCCTGCTGCTTTTAACAAGTCCAAGGTCTACCAGACTTTTAGAAAGTCCTGGTAAGAACCCTCAACACATAGGAAATGTTTGGACCTGGATAACATAACTATCATAAAACTCAACTTCTGCTGTGTTTAAAACTTACTTGTATGAGGGAGAAAGAGAATAATGACATATAACATGAATCAAGAACACCTTGAGTTCCCAAATCATTTTGTGTGAGACGCGAATGAGGACAAAAGCTGAGGCGTCCTAGTGGCCACTTTGTTGCCTTCTCTCCTACTGGTCTAAAGTTCCCAGGGGAACAAGGGCAGAAACTACAATCTCTTGTTCTCTTCTTTCATAGCAGAGCAAATACTGTGATGACAAAATATTCCAGAAAGCCAGCACAAGCCATCCTTGGGGCTTTTAATCAAGAATTATCTGATGCTTAACTATCAAGTAGAAGTTTAGGTTCAACATCTTGAATTCATCATTTTTCCTTCTGCTTTGTAGTTAACTATAGGGTGATAAAACTTTGAATAGCATGGTAAAGCAGTTAAGGGTAGGAAGCGTACTAGTGTCCAGACGCCACACTTTACCAATAACTACATGAGGATTTTACTCCATTTCTAGTCTGCAATGGCCTTTTGATAGTATAGATTTCTAGGCTCAATTAATTACTGTTAAAATATACCCTAGGGGTCCAGCTGTTTTAAACAGAACCATTGTAAGGGAATAGTAATTTTGCATTTGTAAAAACATTTGTATGTGCTGCTTCATATGTTATCAGGTCCCAAAATTATTAAAATAGGCCCAGAATGTTAAAAAGAAGGACCTACAAAGCTTTGCCTGACAATAAGCTTGTGAAGAAATGTTCAGGCTGGCAGGTATGCTGATACTCCACAAATTTACTTTGCTAAAGTGAGTTTATCTAACAACTTATCCTCTCTTCCGACAGAACAACACGAAGTTTGGCAATCACAAGTGGCCTATGTGAACAGAGCTTACAGAAGTGACCGAGCATGTAAGCAGTACCAGGTAAGCCTCACCTTCTTCCACCTTTCTGAGGTGAAGCACAATAAGGTTAGAGATTCGGCAGTACTCAGAGAAGCCCAGCCTTAAGGAGGCTTTGGGAGCAGACTCTTGATTTATGTCTTCATTGTAGCCATTGATCCCGTTCACAGGAGCAGGGCTGTCAGCATGACCTAAGTGAAAAATTGACCACCTGAATCTTATTTTTGTGCCCTTAACATCCCCTTGTCAAGCATTTACAAATACACTACTTACATTTAATACTGATTTTTTTCACTTTTAAAAATTATTATTATTATTTGTTTTAGAGACAGGGTCTTGCTATGCTGCCCAGGCTGGTCTCGAACTACCGGACTCAACTGATCCTCCTGTCTTGGTCTCCCAAGTGCTGGGATTACAGGTGTGGGCCACCACATCCAGCCTTAACACTAATTTTAAAACAAGCATACATTCCCACATGATCTCCTCTGCCAAAAAATAAAAATGAAAAACAAAATAAACCGGCTAGGTGCAGTGGCTCACACCTGTAATCCCAGCACTTTGCAAGGCCAAGGGAAGCACATCACCTGAGGTCAGGAGTTTGAGACCAGCCTGGCCAACATGGTGAAATCCTGTCTATACTAAAAATACAAAAATTAGCTGGGTGTGGTGGTGGGTGCCTGTAATCCCAGCTACTCGGAAGCCTGAGGCAGGAGAATTGCTTGAACCCGGGAGGCAAAGGTTGCAGTGAGATGAGATTGCACCATTGTACTCCAGCCTGGGCAACAAAAGCAAAACTCCATCTCAAAAATAAAAAAAAACAAAAAACAAACAAAAAAAAACATGCATACAGTTATACATAGCATATAAGAATTTTCAAATAAATTAGAAGCAAATGTATAAACTCTACTAGTAAAGACAAAAACTAACTTGGGAGGAACGTGAGGGATCAGAGATATAAAGATTTCACAATCTGAAAGTCCACTTGCAGTATTATATACAAAATAAAAAATTCTACCAGTCTGGGCAATATGGCGAGATCCTGTCTCTAGAAAAAATTCTCAAAAAATTAGCCAGGAGTGGTGGCGTGGGCATATGTCCCAGCTATTAGAGAGGATAGGGAGAAGGACTGCTTGAGCCCAGGAAGTTAAGGCTGCAGTGCCATGAGTGTACCAAGGCATTCAAGCCTGGGTGACAGAATGAGACCCCATCTCAAAATAAATAAAATTTCTAGTATTTTTCTGTTCTAATGTGCTTGAAAAAATGTTTTCAATTCAGAAGCAAAACAACAATACAAATAAGGGTAAAACCCAGGGGATTTATGTCTATTATCACCATTTTGCTGCCTTTTCTTTTAGTCTTTCAAATATCTATGTATTTTTTGAGACAGAGTCTCGCTCTGTCACCCAGGCTGGAGTGCAGTGGCACAATCTCAGCTCACTGCAACCTCCGCCTCCCGGGTTCAAGTGATTCTCCTGCCTCAGCCTCCCAGGTAGCTGGGGCTACAGGCAGCCGCCACCACGCCTGGCTAATTTTTGCATTTTTAGTAGAGAAGGGGTTTCACCATATTGGCCAGGGTGGTCTCAAACTCCTGACCTTGTGATCCACCTATCTCAGCCTCCCAAAGTGCTGGAATTATAGGCGAGAGCCACCGTGCCCAGCCAAGTATATATATTTTATATCAACTATTTAATTTCATTTTAACTTGTAAACAGTGAATAGAATTCAGTATCTGCTTTTTCCGTTTTGCTACCATAGACTATTAGCCAACAGCAGGTGTACTTCTACCACATGACATCTCAGAAAATGTTTTGGTCCCTAACTCCAAAACAGTCACATGAACAAGTATCTCACCATTGATGCCACCAGCACCCTCATCTACCTCCATCTGGATCTCTTCCTCTTGATCTAGATTGACATCAGGTGTTTCCACACGGATGATTGATTTATTCAGTAACCGGAAAGCTTCCTTCACATGTTTAGGTTGGACCTAAACCAATAATGATGAAGTAATTAAGCTACTTTTTTTGATATACCAAACAGATTTTCTCCCAATGAAATCACAGTAGTATGTATTT
This sequence comes from Homo sapiens, assembly GCF_000001405.40. NCBI lineage: Eukaryota > Metazoa > Chordata > Mammalia > Primates > Hominidae > Homo > Homo sapiens. Next base: position 135,848,277 of record NC_000002.12, read on the forward strand.
TGGTTTTCTCACAAACACACACACTCTCACAGTGTTGCTTTGGTTTTCTCACAAACACCCTCTCTCATTCTCTCTCTTACACACACAGAAATAGCACTATAAATTCACCAGAATGGCTAAAATGACTGACAATATCAAGTGTTGTCAAGAAGGTAGAACAACTCTCATTCACAGCGGTGAAAACAGAAATTGACACAACTGTTTGGCAGAAAAACATGCATTAACCTATGACCCAACAATTCCACTCCTAGGTATGTACTTGTAGAAATATAAACATATATACATATCATATGAATCCAAAGACATATACATCCCATAAGAACTAGGCCAGGCACGGTGGCTCATGTCTATAATCCCAGCACTTTGGAAGGCAGAGGCAGGCGGATCACCTGAGATTGGGAGTTTGAGACCAGCCTGACCAACATGGAGAAACCCCATCTCTACTAAAAATATAAAAAATTAGCTGGGCATGGTGGCACATGCCTGTAATCCCAGCTACTCAGGAGGCTGAGAAAGAAGAATCGCTTGAACCTGGGAGGCAGAGGTTGCAGTGAGCCGAGATTGTGACACTGCACTCCAGCCTGGGCGACAGAGTGAGACTCCATCTCAAAAACAAAACAAAACAAAAAAACAACCAGCAATGAAACCAGCCAGAAAATGAAATGGAAAAAAAGGCTACTCCCAGTACGAACAAACATGATAAAATATCAAGAAATTCAACAAGAAACACTGAAAAACATATGAAGAAAAGTTTAAAGCACTACTGAGTGAAACAGAAGACTTAAGTGGAAAGATAACGGTATTTGTGGTACTCAGAACTGTTCACAAATGTTTGCTCTTCTAATTCTGGGCACCTGGTAGGAAGGCATTTCTCTATCCATTTGAACTTAGGAGGGGCCATGTTAATTTCTCTGGCGAATGAAATGTGAGTATGTGTCATTTCTGGATAGAAGGGGGAGAAAGCACATGGCTCACCACCTTCTCTTCCCTGCTTTCTGTCATCATGAAAGCGTATGTCAAGATCAAACCTTTATATCAGCCTGAATCTCTGAGTAACTTGACAAGGTGAGTCCCTTGATGACCTAATGGATGTGTAGCACAAGCAAAAAAAAATTGTTTTATGCAGCTGAGATTTTATAGTAGTACAACCTAACCTATTCTAAGTGATACGTTACTGAATAGGAAAAATCATAGATGTTTTCAATTCTTCAAGTTAATATAAATAGAATGTTATACTGATAAAAAAATACCAGGTTTTTCTTTAAAACAGAGCAAGCTGATTTCTAAGTTCCTAACAGCTGATAGAGAACAATGCGCTGGAACTAGCCCTACATTTAAACTACAAAGCCCCATAGATTAAAACATCATGGTACCAATGTAAGAGGAGCTGATAAGACTCAATGAACAGAATGGAAAGTCCAAAAGGAGATCCTAACACACACAAGAATATATAATTAAGGCATGCCAAACCAGTGTCAAAAAGATGGATTGTTCAATAAATGGTTTTGGAACAACTAGAAAACTAGCTAGGTAAATAATGGGAGAATTTTTTATAATCTTAGAGTGAGAAAGGCCTAACAAAAGTTTTTTTAATGGATGAAGATTATGAACATATGAGACAGAAATAGCTCTTAAATATATGCAGATACTAAATTTCATTCAGAAAATATATTTGTGTATATAATTTATGTGCATATATTTTAATATCATGTGAATCTGCTATTTGAAGACTAATTTTTAAAAATAGAACAAAATAAAAATCAATTAGAGACTGCCCTAAGACATGTACCAGTTTTATGCAACTCATTTCAGGAACTATCACAATGAAAAAAAAAGTACAAATGTTAGCATGGTTTTAGAATGACCTTGTCCCAGGGTATCTTGCCTATCCAAATTCTGCACACCCTTCAGTGACTGGGTTTAAACGTCGGCACCTCCCTGAGTCCTCCTCCTTCTTTGGTAATAAAGTAATTCATCTCAGCACTCTGGTTGTGATGCTCTATTCTCCCTCTCGTTTTTTTTTAATTTCCAACTTATATTTTAGGTTCGGGGGTACACATGCAGGTTTGTTACATAGGTAAACTGTGTGTCATGGGGATTTAGTATATAGATTATTTCATCACCCACTCTATTTTTTACATGCTTAATTAAATACATGTCTCGTTCCCACCAGATTAGCAGCAATGGAAGGCAGGGGCTCTCATTCATTTTTTGTCCCCTACAGGTGTTCCCTAAATATTGGGTGAATCAAAGAATATTAAATAACCTAGTGTGAAAGTACTTCGTCAATAGTAAAGTACCATATCAAAGAATTTGAAAATTTAGTGGAAAAAAGCCAAAAAATTAACCTGTGGGATAAAAGTAGTGATTGAAGTCGGAACAGTGGTTACTTCAGGGGAAGAGGGCTAAGACTGAAAAGAGGCAGGGGTTTGGAACTTTCTGAAATTATGGAAATGTTTTGGATCTTGAGCTGGGTATTCACAAGGATGTATGTGAAAAAACTCACCATGCCATACATTTCCCTTTTTATAAATTATACCTCAGTCACACTGTAAAAAAAAGCCAAACCCCCTTTTCAAAGACGACCTTACATCAAACCTATTAATAAAACTAGGAAAACGCAGGGCTGCTTTGGTTGAAGCGAAGATGGGACGCTTGAATGCCCTTTCGTACTACTCCCCTTTTACCTCGTTAATACCCACTGACCTATCCTCGTGGAATGCAGGGCTCAAAGAACAATCTAAAAATCAAACATTATACAAATGCAACCTAAGGAGGAGAGTTCCTTTGAGGCCAGGGGCTACATTATCTTATCTGTATTGCCAGCGCAGAGGCCTACTAGTACATTGTAGGGTCTAAGTACATTTTTCCTGAATGAAAGGTATTAAATGGTAACTTACGTCTTTATGCACTCTATAAACTATGACGTGATCGTCTCCGTCTAACAACTACACTCAAATGCTTACCAAGCTCTTTAAAGGGAAGAATTCCATGGTCGTATGAGCATTCAACAGTTACATAAAAATGTATTTGCAGTGAATTCTAGTATGTCCCATACCAAAGATTAAAAACATGCAACAAATCTGTTTATCTCTGCTCTCATCATATCAAAGTGACTCTGATACCTCATCACAGCAGTGCATCCGAGCCATAGCTTCAGAGAGACGAATCATGCTCTCAAGCTGTCGCACTGTAATCCTCCATGAAGACTTGGTCACTCCAGAACCATCTCTCTGGCGGAGATGTTTATATTGCTCCACAATGAAGTCCTCTGACTCTTTGGAAATCTGTTTCAGATCATCACTCAAGTTAGAGAAACATTTCTATTTGATGAGAGCTACGGTAAACCTAAGTTTAAGAGCCTTCCAGGTGGAAACATTTAGGGAACCTGAGAGGGTTGAAACTTTGAGAAGCCAGTGACAATAAATTACTATTGTAATGTCTTTCAAAAGAAACTAATATTAAGGAGGCTTGTGAATTCCATGTTACTAATTTTATGAACCTGAAAAAAGGCTTAGTATTTAAGCAAATGACCATTTCTAAAAGCTGCTTAACAAGCTGAAGCAATGGAACAAGATGTAATGTCTTTTACACCTCAGGATGTCAGTGCTCATTAAATAAATTAATGCTCAGTATTTGAGGCTCAATTAATTAACTCACACTCTTTGCAGGGAAAAAAAAGCTGTTTCAATAAACTTTATATCTAAAGGATCCTCAGCTTTTCAGAGCAAGGAATTCACCATATTAAGGAAGCATGCCAAGGTTACAGAGGGATCAGTATATCAGTATGCAGTAATGGAGAACAGATGCTCTTTTTTACACAAGAATCACCCATAATCCTTAGTTTTAAATGATTAAATTTCTTTGGGACAGTGAGAGCCAACTGCAATCTCATGAATAATCAAGTGAAGATGATAAATGATCAATACCTAGTAACACCTTCCAGAAGTCAAGTTAGCCAACAGTGTGAAAATCTCAACCAGAATGAGTATTTTTTTTCCTTTTCATACCCTATTTTGGGAAAATGCCAAGCATTTGGGGGTTTATGTCCAGGTAAGAATCCTGGGTCCAGAACAGAGTTAGTCCAATACAATGCATCAATCACTGTAAAACAGTAATTTATATTTATCATAATGGCCTAGATGAATCCAATGTTTCCTTCAAAGAAAGATTCAACTATTGATTTAGGCGCATAAACAATTTTAACGTTCTTAGTAATGTTTGAAATAAAAGAATGTTCTAGATTATCCAGTTATCCAAAACTCTTCTCCCATACAAATCTTTTTATTACCACCAAACAAATAATGGAATTATTCAGAATTTTTTTTACAGTTCCCTTTCTCAGCCCTCTCTGAAAAAACAAATTGCTGTTCCAGAAAAAAAAAAAAAGTTGTAAAATTTAGGAACTAAGGTAGATGACAGGTTCAGTTAATTTCCATATAACACACTTACTTAAATTCCACTTTAATATACCCATTATACCTTATCCCAGTACAAAAGGGTAGGTTACCTTGGGTTTAAACTGTCTTGCAAAGAGAAGATATCTTCTGATATCATCGAGGGAATAGACACGATCAATTGATTCCTCAATTCTTGAATGCAAATCTACTATGCGCCTGGCAATGGCATAATCTGTAACCTAATTCAAAACAAAAAAATCACTTTGATAGTCACAGCAATATCTTCTCCAGACTATCCCAGGCAATAAGAAATGATTTATCGCCAAAAACAAGCTCTAATATACCACTTAAAGAAGTATTAATGGGTACCAAGTTTCTGATGAAAGTTTGGGAACAGGTGGATTTAAAATCAAACGTTTAAATGTATACCATTGCCCCACTCTAAAACTATACCTGAAGGAATTGATTGGCTTTAAAAACAATAGTAGGGTAAAGTGCAGTGGCTCACACTTGTAATCCCAACACTTTGGGAGACTGATGTGAGAGAAGAGCTTGAGGTCAAGAGTTTGAGACCAGTCAGGGCGACAAACTGAGACCCTCCCTGTCTCTACAAAAAAACTAGCTGGGCATGGTGGTGCACATGTGTAATCCCAGCTACTCAGGTGGCTGAGGCAGGAGGATCACTTGAGCCCAGGAGGTTGAAGGGGCAGTGAAGCCATGATTGCACCACTGCACTCCAGCCTGGGCAACAGAGTAAGCCTTATCTCAAAAACAAAACAACAAAAATAGCAGAACTAACATTTATAGGGCCCTCAGTGTATGAGACACTGTTCTCTTAGGCAGGTCTTAGAAGAATTAACTTATGCAATCCTCACAAAAATTTTATTAGGTAAATGATATTATCCCCATTTTATACATGGGCAAATTGAGGCCTAGGAAGGTTAAGTAATTTATCCAAGGTCACAGTTAAGTAGTGGAGCCAGGATTTGAATAGTCTAGCTTCAGAGACTGTGCTCTTAGCCACTAAATTTTGAAGATATTCATCCCAGAATACTGGAAAAAAAAAAAAGACCCCAAAATATGCAACTTGCTCTCAAATGGTTCAGGAAAAAAGTGTGCAGATATATACAGACAGTAAGCAATAAAGCAAACAGGGTAAAATGTTATTATGTGAATCACGTAAAGGGTATATGGGTGTTCTATGCACTATTCCATTTCTTGCAACTTTTCTGTAAGCTTGAAATTATTTCTAATTAAGAAGTTGTCTGGGCGGAACACAGTGGCTCATGCCTGTAATCCTAGCACTTTGAGAGGCCAAGGCTGGTGGATAGCTTGAGCTCAGGAGTTCAAGACCAGTCCAGGCAACACGGCAAAACTCGGTCTCTACAAAAAATACAAAAGTTAGCTGGGCATGGGGGCCTGCACCTGTAGTTCCAGCTGCTCAGGAGGCTGAGGTGGGAGGCTGGCTTGAGCCCAGGAGGCAGAGGTTGCAGTGAACTGAGATCATGCCACTGCACTCCAGCCTGGGCAATACAGCCAGACCCTGTCTCAAAATAAATAACTAAAATAAAACAGGCTGGGCCCGGTGGCTCACGCCTGTAACCTCAGCACGTTGGGAGGCCAAGACGGGATCACCTGAGGTCAGGAGTTTGAGACCAGCCTGGCCAATAAAGTGAAACCCCGTCTCTACTAAAAATACAAAAATTAGCCGGGCATGGTGGCACACGCCTGTGATCCCAGCTACTCAGGAGGCTGAGGCAGGAGAATTACTTGAACCTGAGAGGCGGAGGTTGCAGTGAGGTGAGACGGCAGCACTGCACTCCAGCCTGGGTAACAGAGCGAGACTCCATCTCAAAAAAAAAAAAAAAAAAAAAAGAGAAAAAGAAAAAGAAAAAGAAAAAGAAAAGGCTTTTTGGCCAGGTATGGTGGCACATGCCTATAATCCCAACACTTTGGGAAGCTGAGGTGGGCAGACTGGTTGAGCTCAGGAGTTTGCAGCCAGCCTGGGCAACATGGCAAAATCCTGTTTCTACAAAAAACTCAAAAGTCAGCCAGACACAATGGTGTACATGTGTGGTCCCAGCTACTCGGGAGGCTGAGGTGGGAGGATTGTGTTAGCCCAGGAGGCTGAGGCTGCAGTGAGCCATGATCACGCCACTGCAGGAAAGAGTGGGACCCTGTCTCAAAAACAAAACAAGCCGGGCGCGGTGGCTCACACCTGTAATCCCAACACTTTGGGAGGCTGAGGTCGGTGGATCAACTGAGGTCAGGTGTTTGAGACCAGCCTGGCCAACATGGTGAAACCCTGTCTCTAGTAAAAATACACAAAATTAGCCAGGCGTGGTGGCACACGCCTATAATCCCAGCTACTCAGGAGGCTGAGGCAGAAGAATCACTTGAACCTAGGAGGCGGAGGTTGCAGTGAGCCAAGATTGTGCCACTGCAGTCCAGTCTGGGCAACAGAGTGAGACTCCGTCACAAAACAAAACAAAACTAAAGAAAACAGTTTTAAAAAAATCTTGAATGTTTTAAAGGTTTATAAATTGATCTTTTAAAGGTTTATAACTTGATCTGCTACTAAAGCTACTTTAATGAATCATGAACAAACATAAATGTATGAAAATCAGACAACTCAATTATCTGGTAATTAAATATGTCTCTCTTGTGAAGGGAAAAAAAGTGAACCAAACCAAACCAAACCAAACCAAACCAGGTGTGATGGTGCAGGCCTACAATCTTAGCTATTCAGGAGGCTGAGGTGGTAAGGTGGTTTGAGGCCAAGAGTTCAAGACCAACACGGGTCTTGAACTTGTTGCCGTTGCTACAAAAGGATGAAAAAATTAACCAGGCATGGTGGTACAGAGCTGTAGTCTCAGCTACTTGGGAGGCTGAGGCAGGAGGATCACTGGAACCCAGGAGATTGAGGCTGCAGTGAGCTATGACTGTGGCACTGCCTGGGTGACAGAGTAAGACTTTGTCTTTAAAAAATAAATAAATAAAAATCCAAGCCCTCCAAACACTCACAAAATGGAAGGCTACTTTTATTTAGATAATATTTAAAGTTCCACTGTAACAAAGAGCTGTGCACTGTACCCAATAAAATGTAGAACCTCAATGCTGAATGATTTAAAAAGTACAGCCTAAAATATTAGTTCCTACAAACTGTCATTTTATAGTTCTGTGGGCATCTGAAGTGCATTATTAAATATTTAAGTACACATAACTCTAATAATTAAACTAACATATCAGAATCCAAGTAAATCTACATTTTTTCACTCAATCTTAAAAGTGAGAAAAAAAGGTAAAATACATTCAGCAACTTGATAGGAAAAAATACAAAGATAAATGACTCATGATTAAAAAAAAGAAGAAGAAAAGAAATTTCTTTGGCATCCCAGTTTTTTTCAAGGTGACTGAAAAATAAAATAAAAGCCCAATCAACAAAACAAAAAATTGTATAAAAATCTTAAGAGTGTGGTTGGGGCCAGGTACAGTGGCTCACACCTATAGTCCCAACATTTTGGGAGGCTGAGGTGGGTGTGCATCACTGGAGGCCAGGAGTTCAAGACCAGCCTGACCAACATGGTGAGACCCTGTCTGTACTAAAAATATAAAAATTAGCCACGCATGGTGTTACATGCCTGTAATCCCAGCTACTTGGGAGGCTCAGACTCAAGAATCGCTTGAACCTTGGAAGTGGAGGTTGCAGTAGGCCAAGACTGTGCCACTGCACTCCAGCCCAGTCTCCAGTGAGAGGCTGTTTAAAAAAATAAAAAGTGTGGTTGGAAGTTAACTGTAACTTGTTTCCTTTTGAGAAATAAATAGTAACAAAACCTGAAAACTTAATTCTTGAACACAATTAAGTGGAAGAGGCAATTCAAATGACTTTATTTTGAGTTGCTTACTAAACCCTTTGTCCGATCCTGTGCCACCCTGAGGGAAATCAAAGGCTGGTGCACATACATGCACCAGCTGTTGAGCAGTGTATCTTCCAGCCTTGTCTCACTCGATTACTCCAACTGGAAATAAAAAAGGAAGCTCATGGGGTTACCTCATTACATTCATCCACAAGGATAAAGAAGAGATCGAATCGGGACATGATGGGAGCTGACAAATTTATATTCTGTTTCAATGATTTTGATCTGTCATAGTGTCCACTGATTGGGTTTGCTGCTGCCAAAATGGACGTCCGGGCGTTCAGAGTAGCCTGACCACAAAAGAAAGAATCTTAACAGATTTAAATAGACATCAGCCAATAAATATATAACAACATGTTCAATCTCACCCATAATTAACTAAACACAAACCAAAATAATGACATACCCTTTTTCACATAAACAGGAACTCCTATGTGATTTTGGTGGTATGATGTGCACACCATTGAAGACATCAATTTGTTAGAAATTTCTCTTATAGCCAAATATAAAAGGATGTTGCGTTCAAGGATGCTTACTACAATTTTGTTTGTAATACAAAACACTGAAAATGAACCAAATGTCACTCAACAGGAGTCTAAAGAATCAAGCTGTGGTATACACAATTGAATATGGGAAATTAATAAAAAACCAAAGTTGATCTAATATGTGCTGGTAAAAGATTGCCAAAATAAAATTATGAAGTTAAACCAGCAGGAATGAAATTGTCAGTATTATGCTTATGTACAAAATATTCCTAAAAGGGGCACAAACTCAATAGATGCCTTATTTTCCTCCTCCTAAAATTCCTTTTTATCCATTAGATACCTCTAAGTATCTACTGTTGCTGGGAGTTGCAGGGAAAGAGTTGTCTTTTCAATTTACAATTGTGTACTGCTTAAAAGCTACTTGAATCTGTAGCTTTTAAAGTTTAGATTCTCCCTAGTGTTGGTTATACTGTCATACTTATTTTCATTTAAATACTCTGTTAATATAAATAAATATATACATATATAATCAATCTGTTGATCTTTGGTTATTTTTGTTATAATTGGAGCATGCTTTATCAAAGAAAATAAAAGCTTTGTTCATGGACATTTTCCTCTATTATCATGGCAATACATTTACACAGTACTCTAAACAACATTTATAGTTTCAATAAATAATTCTCAGGGCTGTATTTTCCATTTTAATGAACAGCATTACACACTGAAGTAATGAATTTTATCCAGGTGAACTTCTCTAGTACTACATTAATCAACAAGGCTATGGACGATGCAGCAGAACAGAAGTAGATAACACATACCTTCACTCCTGCTTTAGTGATGGATATGGTCTGCTGTTCCATAGCTTCATGAATAGCAACTTGATCCCGCACGTCCATCTTATCAAATTCATCAATACAACACACACCCTGTAACCAAACAAATCAAGCCTAAGAAGCTGTCTTTCAAGCTGGATGCATGGCTCACACTTGTAATCCCAGCACTTTGGGAGGCCAAGGCAGGAAGAACGCTTCACTAAGGCCGGGCATTTGAGGTTACAGTGAGCCATGATTGCCACTGTACTCCAGGTTAGGTGACAGAGTGAGACCCTGTCTCTTAAAAAACAACAACGGCCGAGTGTGGGGGCTCACACCTGTAATCCCAGCACTTTGGAAGGCTGAGGTGGGCTGATCATGAGGTCAAGAGTTCGAGACCAGCCTGGCCAACATGGTGAAACCCCGTCTCTACTGAAAATACAAAAATTAGCCAGGTGTGGTGGTGTGCACCTGTAATCCCAGATACTCGGGAGGCTGAGGCAGGAGAATTGCTTGAACCCGGGAGGCAGAGGTTGCAGTGAGCCAAGGTTGCACCACTGCACTCCAGCCTGGGCGACAGAGCAAGACTTCATCACGAAAAACAAGAACAGTCTTTCAGATGGAAAATTACAAGTAAACTCACAAAGTCTGCTACCACAGGGACTCTTCTATTCTCCAAACAAGTAGAAGATAGGTAAGTGAAGATTCTTAACTCCCTTTTCTAAGGAAGATAATTCAACAGATCCTAAAGCTAGAAAGAACCACACAATTGACTTAAAACTAAGAGCATAACTAAAAATATACACTTACTGTACTTGTACTCAACATCAAAACCTTGTGTCAACTCAGGATTGATTTTATACCTATAACTTATATACACATCTACCGATCTAAACTAGTAACAGCAAACACACGTGCTCAGGACATGCTGATCAACTATCACAATTTTAAATTCTAGATGAAGAAAACTATGAATTATTTACTAAAGAATGCTGGGTTTTTTTTGTTTTGGTTTTTTTGAGACAGAGTCTCGCTCTGTCACCCAGGCTGGAGTGCAGTGGCACAATCTTGGCTCAATGCAGCCTCCACCTCCTGGGCTCAGTGATCCTCCCACCTCAGCCTCTTGAGTAGCTGGGACCACAAGCACCCGCCACCATGCCCGGCTAATTTTTGTATTTTTAGTAGAGAAAATGGGTTTTCGCCATGTTGGCCAGGCTGGTCTCGAACTCCTGACCTCAGGTGATCCACCCACCTCGGCTTCCCAAAGTACTGGGACAAAGGTGTGAGCCACCGCGCCCAGCTGAGAATGCTGTTTTTAAGGACATCTTTTTAATGGTAACTTATAGGCCTTTACTGATAGGGTAGGGGTATTCTGACTTCTTTATACTGAAGAGTGTAAAATGTTCTTACATTATCAGCCAACATCAAAGCTCCAGCCTCAATGACAAACTCATGAGATTCTTCATCTCTCACAACAGCTGCTGTTAAGCCAGCAGCACTGGACGCTTTACCACTGGTGTAGACAGCTCTGGGGCTGAACTCCTCCACGTGCCTGTTCAAGGTTATCACATAAAGACTCATTAATATGTGATTATACAGCACCCTTCCCAGGAAAACCAGCAGAAGAGTTTAAATTACTGAAAGAACATTTGAGAGCTTAAGCAATTCATGAAGACACATGCCACAGACTAAATGGGAAGGTTTCTCTCCCTCGGCTTTTCTTTTTTTTTTTTGAGAGGGTCTCGCTCTGTCACCAGACTGGAGTGCAGTGTCACAATCTCAGCTCACTGCAACCTCCACCTCCTAGGTTCAGGCGATTCTCGTGCCTCAGCCTCCCGAGTAGCTAGGATTACAGGTGTGGGCCATCACGCCTGGCTAATTTTTGTATTTTCAGAGTTAATACCTGATAAAAATATCAATTTTTTTTAATTGAGACACAGTCTTGCTCTGTCGCCCAGGCTGGAGTACAGTGGTGTGATCTCAGCTCACAGCAACCTTTGCCACATGGGTTCAAGCGATTCTCCTGCCTCAGCCTCCCGAGTTGCTGGGATTACAGGTGTGCGCCACTATGCCCGGCTAATTTTTGTATTTTTAGTAGAGATGGGGTTTCACCATGTTGGCCAGGCTGGTCTCGAACTCCTGACCTCAGGTGATCCACCTACTTTGGCCTCCCAAAGTGCTGGGATTACAGGCGTGAGCCACCACACCTAGCCTAAAACATCAATTTTATTTATTTTTTAATTTAATTAATTTATTTATTTAGACAGAGTCTTGCTCTGTCACCCAGGCTGGAGTGCAGTGGCTTGATCTTGGCTCACTCCAAGCTCTGCCTACTGGGTTCATGCCATTCTCCTGCTTCAGCCTCTCGAGTAGCTGGGACTACAGGCGCTCGCCACCACACCCGGCTAATTTTTTTTGTATTTTTAGTAGAGATGGGGTTTCACTGTGTTAGCCAGGACGGTCTCGATCTCCTGACCTCATGATCCACCCACCTCAGCCTCCCAAAGTGCTGGGATTACAGGCGTGAGCCACCGCGCCCAGCTAAAACATCAATTTTAAAAGAAGTCTTTAATAGTAATAAACAGCAACAATCATCTATCAGAAGGTCTTGCAATTAAAAATAAAACAAAACAAAACTAGATATGGGGCTTATTCCAGAAATGCAAGATTGGTTTAACATCTGAAAATCAATCAATATGCTAAATTAATAAAAGAACTACATGACCACCTAAACAGATGTAGAAAAAGCATTTGACAAAATCCAACACCTTTTCATTACAAAAACCAAACAAACCAGGAATAGAGGAGGTTTTCCTAAGTCTAATAAAGGGTTTTTTCTTTAACCTGACAAAGGGCATCTATGAAAACCCACAGATAACATCAAACTTAAAGGTGAAAGGCTGAATGTTTTGCCCCTAAGATCAGGAATAAGACATGGATGTCTGCTCTTGCCACTTCTATTCAACATTATACTGATGGCTCTAATCAAGGACAATTAGGCAAGAAAAAAAGGCAGCCAGATGGGATACTCCGACTATCATTATATACAGATTTTATACATAGAAAATGCTATGGAATCCACTAAGACTGTCACATACCACATGACACTGTTACCAGAGGCAACATTGTAGTACATCTTTCTTTTTGAGGGGGGAGAAAGAATGACAAGAAAAAAAAAAGAATCCTTTGTAACACAGGACTACTATCTTAAAATCTAAAACTCAGTCTGTGATATGTTCAAAAGAAATATTTAATCATAAAACTCCAAACCAACTAAAAATGTTCAATATTCTAAAATGGTACTATGCTACAAATTTCCAAAACAAAGAAAAGGCAGCTTGATGTAGTATGAAGTACACATGTTTTGCAGGCAACTGTATCTGAATTTTAATATTCATGGCTCGGTGTCACCTTTCACCTACAAGAAAGTGGGCAAATTTCTTGTAGGCTTGGAGAGGTTGTGACTCTCTGAAAAAAAAAGGGAATAATACACATGCCTGTCTGGGTGCTGCTAGAGTAAGACATAACACATATACAGCACTGAGAACATGGCAGGTGCTCAGAAACTTGTTGCTTTTATTTTGGGCCCTAAGTTTCTTAAAAGTTTGAAAGTAATCAAATATTTATTATAGCTTCTAAAAACAGTCAAAAATTGTGTTCACACTGACAAAGTTAACATAAAATATCTCATAGCAGCATTCCCTTTGGAAAGTACATCCTATTTTATTTTTATTTTTTTTGAGACGGAGTCTTGCTCTGTTGCCCAGGATGGAGTGCAGTGGCGCAATCTCGGCTCACTGCAAGCTCCGCCTCCTGGGTTCACGCCATTCTCCTGCCTCAGCCTCCCAAGTAGCTGGGACTGTATACAGGCGCCCGCCACCACACCTGGCTAATTTTTTGTATTTTTAGTAGAGACGGGGTTTCACCGTGTTAGCCAGGATGGTCTCCATCTCCTGACCTCATGATCCGCCCGCCTTGATTTCCCAAAGTGCTGGGATTACAGGCGTGAGCCATGGCACCCGGCCAGTACATCCTATTTTAAAACCTTACAAATGTTTGTATTCTTAGTCTCAACAATCCTGTATCTAGCAATTTACCCAGAGGAAACAAACAAAAAATGTATATAACATTATGATGTTCACTGCATCTATATCGGTAATTATTATAATAAACTATCCTGTTAAATTTAACAGGGCTAAGAAAATGATTTTGTAAGCTATAGTATACCAACAAAAAAAGACAATTGTGAAAATGACAAACTCATGAGATTTTTCCATGCGAAAAGAAACATGGAAAAAATGTTTATAGAAAATTGAAATTACAAGTATGTATAATATGATTTACAATAATGAAAATACATAATTCATATTTTTATACAAATAATAAAATTTGTATAAAATTTTATACAAATAATAAAATTTGTATAAAATTTTATACAAATAATAAAATTTGTATAAAATTTTATACAAATATATTTTACAAAGATATTATACAAAGACTAAACAGTTCAATGTGAGATTGGTATTACAGGCAATTTTTCCCTATTCTAAAAAATTGTACAATGTTGCCATAACTTTAATCTATGAGAATTATATATTCAACATAGTCATAATTTACACTCCTAGTAAGGCCATACTGACTGCATTCTTGGTAGCACAGCCAGCCTGGGAACTATGTACACTTTTTCCTGCAACACTGTATCAGGCAAACGCTTACTTGAGAAATTGGCTCTTAGCTGTACTTGGGTCACCAACAATGCAAACATTTATGTCCCCTCGAAGAGAGGTCCCTTCTCCTGTTGTCTTTGGAACGCCACCAAAGAGCATCAGCAGGACACCCCGTTTTACTTCATCATTGCCTGAAATGAAAAGAAGCTACAGATGAAAAACTAATTTTTCAACATGAAGTTAAACACTTTCAGAAGAAACAGTAAAGGCATGTTTACCAACCGAAAGGCAGAGTCAGCTAAAGCAAAGCATAAAACTGGAGTAATAACACCTGGCTTCCGATCTTGGTTCTTGTTCTGTGGACTTAGTCACCTAAACCACTGTTCCAATGTTTTCTCCTACACCACAGATGTCACCGTGCCAGTGCTCACCATCCTAAGAGCCTTTACTTGTCCATGAGTCCTACTTCCTACACAAAACCTTACCCAATGCCTTAGCCCTCAAAGATCTCTCCTGATAAATGAACTATGTCCACCAAGGCCTACCACATTTGCTAGTCCTTTTTAATGCCAGTTCTTATAGTTCTGTGAAGAGTTTGAGGAAATGGTTCATAACACTTTTCTATCACCTACAGTGACCAGCACTGAATAAATATATGTTAACTGAATTCATGTGGATTAAATAAGATGCTGAATGCAATTTACAGCTGCTTAGTTCATAAATCCAATAAGAAGGAAAAACAATTTTCTTAAAAAAGAACACTGTGCTATTAAAAGAAACATTTTTCTGTGGAACTGTCGACTCTCTGAACTCCATCAACAAAGTGCTATGCAAAGTTACACAAGGCATTCCTTAAAGCAGAAAATTAGGCTGGGTGTGGTGGCTTATGCCTGTAATCTGATCACTCTGGAAGATCCGAGCACTTTGGAAGGCCAAGGCGGGAGGATTGCTTGAGCCCAGAGGTTTGAGACCAGCCCAGGCAACACGGTAAAACCCCATCTCTAAAAAAAAAAATTTTTTTTAATTAGCTGGGCATGGTGGCAGGCGCCTGTAGTCCCAGCTAATTTCGGGGCTGTGGTGGGGAATCGTTTAAGCCCAGGAGGTTGAGGCTGTAGTAGGCAATGTATGCTGTCACTGCACTCCAGCCTGGGCAAGAGTAAGACCCTAACAAAACAAAACAAAACAAAACAAAACAAAACAAAACAGGTAGAAAACTAAAAATCCCTTCCACAAACAAAACTTCTCTGACTTATATTTAGATAGAAAAAAAGGGCCGGATGCAGTGGCTCATGCCTGTAATCTCAGCACTTTGGGAGGCCAAGGCGGATGGATCACTTGAGGTCAGGAGTTCAAGACCAGCCTGGCCAACATGGCGAAACACCATCTCTACTAAAAATACAAAAATTAGCTGAGTGTTGTGGGGCAATCCTGCAATCCCAGCTACTCGTGAGGCTGAGGCAGGAGAATCGCTTGAACCCGGGAGGCAGAGGTTGCAGTGAGCTGAGATCACGCCACTGCACTCCAGCCTGGGCGACAGAGTGAGACTCTGTCTCAAAATAAAATAGAATAAAAAAAGATAAAAAAAGGTTGAGTTCTTACCATAATCCTAATTGAGTATGGAAGACAAGGATGGAAGAGTTCAAAGATAAAGCATCAGGCCTAAAATTTTAGTCATAGCCTTCAAAACACAGCTTGCAACCAAGAGTCAGGAAAATGTGAAACTGCCAAAGGTATAGACAGAACAAGTAACCAATCATAAACACTCCATTTTGGTAAATAAAAAGAGAAACAAGAGCCAATGTGGTGACCTACACCTGTAATCCCAGCTACTGGGGAGGCTGGAGGTAGGGTTGCTTTAGCCCAGGAGGGAGTGCTTCAGCCTAGACAACATAGCAAAACCCCGTCTCTCTAAAACACATACACACACACCAACAAGGCCAGGAGACTACAACCACAAAAAGGCCAGGAGACTAGTCTCGCATATGGAAACACACTTAAGTGCAGCTCTGTCATAAGGCCAGGAAATAAGATGACAAAATAACTTTTCCTTAAAAAAATAAAATTGTGATAAAAATACATAATAAAACTTATCATTTTAACCATTTTTCAGTGTATAAGTTCAGTGGCAGTAAGTACATTATGTTGTATAACTGTCACCACTATCCCTTTCCAGAACTTTGTCATCATCCCAAATAGCAACTTTATCCATTAAATAACTCATTTCTCCCATTCCCCCAGCCACTGATAACCTCTATCCTACCGTGTCTCTATGAATTTGCACATTACAGGTACCTCGTATAAGTGAAATCATGTACCTGTCCTTTTGTAAATGACCTCTTTCAGACCCACTAAAAACTTTCACAGTCTGATTTATGTGCTTTCAGAAATCACCTGTGGCTGTTTATAATCATTATTTTGATTTCAAGTTTATGGTACAAATGGATGGAATTCTTACCATGTATAGTAGGGAACAGGCTGGTACAAAGATTGTGGTATAGATTTTTATCTTGACTCATCTCAAACACTTTCTCCCATTCTTTCACAGTCATTTGGTTCTTAATGCTCTCAGCTGTCTGTTCCTCATCTCTGAGCTCTTTCCCCCCAAACTAATGGTAGAGAACAAAGGAAGAATCATTAGTATAGAAGCAGTCAAAAGAGCATAAAGGAGAAGAAACTTCATTACAAACACAACATAGCATGGGAAGTCAACCTCACAATTTATTGACTGTAAAGGTTTAAAAAAAAACAACTCCCCAAACTAGTAAGCCCTCAGTTAACAAAGACACTTAAGGGTATGTCATTTGTCCAGTGAGTTAAATAGAAAAAAAGCTACCTGAATGCTCAAGAGATAAGCGATAGCAGAATGTTAATCACTGACATAAAGATGCAAATAAAATAAGAGAATATTATGTTCACTCCCTTTTTCCAATACTGAACTATTTTCCAAACTCCCATTTATGACACAGAATCAAGTTAACTGAATGATACTGCCAGGGGTTCATCATTCTCAGAAGTTTACTTCCCAGATTACTAAATCTTTTTATTTGTATTTCCTCCAGAAGAATAACAGAGGAACTATGAAACTTTAAAACAAAAAACAGCGTGGATAATTTGTACCACTGCACTTAAAAGCATTGAGCTTTTATGTAAGACATCAAATAAGACTTTTTTTCAAGATCAGAAAGGCATACGTCAAAAGATTTGGTTTTAAAACTCATCAAATCTTAACCCCATCCCGTGCTCTCAACATTGATGAGACAGCCCAGATGTTTCAGAATCCTATCATTTCGTGGCAGCTCAGGGTAGGTGTTTCTTAAGCTGTCACTCTACTAAGACTCACTGTTGGCCTGCCTGGCCAACAGAGCAAGACCTCATCTCTAAAAAAGTTTTTTTAATTAGCTGGGTGCAGTGATTCACACCTATAATCCCAGCTACTCAGGAGGTTGAGATGGTAGGATCACTTGAGCCCAGAAAGTGGAGGCTACAGTGAGCCATGACTTTGCCATTGCACTCCAGCCTGGGTGACAGAGAGAGACTGTTTCAAAAACAAACAAAAACCCCCAAAACGACTGACCCTTGGGTTGGTTGGCGCAACACAGCAGGCAAGAAAGACCAGCCTATAAGAAAGGTCCCTAACACCAAGGGCCCGGAGTCCTCGAATGCCTTCTGTCTCATATCCATCAACACCACTGACACGGGAATTAGTTTCTGCACGTGCTCCTGAAACAGAATGATAGGTTGTTTCACAACTTAAATATTAAAGGTGCTGAACATCAAAATTGCTCAAATAAATGAAAGCTATAAATCCAAAGACTTCACTTAAGCCTTGAATACTTTCAGAATAGCACCATTTGTGGCAAAACCAATTTGTTTTTATTCTCATCACACTTCGTTCCTCAGCTTCTGATTGGTAGCCAAAAAGAAGACAATGAAGATGTGGGAAGCTAGATACTGTGCAGTTTAGGTAACTGAGAATTTGTTAAATTTGAGCCACAGATTACTGACCTGGTGTGCTAAGCTTGGAGACGTCAGGCACAACAATCAGTGTCCCTGTAAAGTCACACTTGTCACCAGCTTGAGCTGATTCCACAGCTTCAGCCCTTAAAATTACTTCTAAACTGCGGGGGATACTCCCTCGAGGAAGCTCAGCTTGGGTCTCTTGAATACGAACCTGTAATACAGACAAACAACCAACCAAGAATGAGAAGCAATACCTTTCAGATGCCATATAATCTAAATTAAATACCACAAATACGGACGTATTCTAAACTATCTGACCCATTAGCAGACTTTTCACATGTACCAACATTTATCCTAAAAATTATCTACTCTAAAACTCCTTTTAGTCAAATAGTTCAATTTGGCAAGAGATTACATCTATTTAAAAACTCCATGATGATTCAAGCAGCAGAGAAAAAAAAAACTTCACTTTTACTCATTAAAAAATAATTTTTTTCTTTGTTCAAAATGACTCCAAATATCTGTTCCATGCTCCATCTTCTCCTAAGCTTTAAGATAATTTTACAGAAAATTTCAAATACACCTTTTATACCCTCCACTTCAACACAACTGCTAACATTATTTACAGATACATGTTTTTTTACTATGTATTTGAACACAGTTGTGAACATCAAGAAACTTCATACCTAAATATTTTAGCATTCATCTCTAAGAATAAAGACAATCCTGTTACAATATCATTATCACAACCAAGATAATTAAACAATATTTAATTTCATAAAATTACATATCTTCTATTATCTAGTCCATCTTCAAATGTCTTGTCAAGAGTGTCCTTTATACAGTTGTGTTCCCCCCCCCAAACTAAGACCCAATCTAGATTCATACTTTATAAGATAAGACATCTCCTACCCAAAGCTGTTGGTAAAATATGTGCATCTTATAAGCTACCAGGTTAATGTAAGAAAGCCAAATAAGGAGAATGATTATCAGAGCAATATAAATAATATTAAATTCATCTGATAATAATTATTCCATACTTGAGCTGCTTCAGCTTTTCTTTCCATTTTGTATGTCCCATAAAATTAAGTCCTGCTGAAATCTGAGGGTCCCCTTCATTCTTACTACTGCCATCCATCACCTCTTGCCCAGGTAACTGAAATTGCCTATTACCCTCTGTTAAACCCATCACGGACTTATTCAGTTTGCTTTTAAAAAAAAACACACAGGCTGGGTGCAGTGGCTCACGCCTGTATCCCAGCACTTTGGGAGGCAGAGGCAGGCGGATCACGAAGTCAGGAGATCGAGACCATCCTGGTTTAACACGATGAAACCCTGTCTCTACTAAAAATACAAAAAATTAGCCGGGTGTGGTGGTGGGCACCTGTAGTCCCAGCTACTCGGGAGGCTGAGGCAGGAGAATGGCGTGAACCCAGGAGGCGGAGCTTGCAGTGAGCCGAGATCGCGCCACTGCACTCCAGCCTGGGTGACAGAGAGAGACTGTCTCAAAAAAAAACAAAAAACAAAACAAAACAAACACACACCCACACACACAAACTACCTTCCCACTATATTCCCACTGCTTATTAAGATAGGCTCAAACTCCTCAGCCTAAGATTTAGGGATCCAAGTACCTCCAGGTCTCACATCAAATCATCTCTCAGATGATCTCCAATTTGGCTCCTTTACTTCAATCATGATAATCCTCATTGCTTCCAAGCTAGCCTGTCCTATTCATGCTTTCCTTTCTATGCAGCAAATGGAAATCTTACACTAACAAGTTGCTATTTCTTTAAGTTTTCTTAACTCCAGTTCATAATGACAACCACCACCACCTAGTTACCATTTATTCTTTGACAAATACATCTTGTCAGTCTTAAGGAACTTCCAAGTTACTGAAAGTTAAAACAAATGTATATACTAACAATTATAATTTACATGAACAGTTTTGGGCTTAACTTTGTAGTCATTTTGATGATGCTTAACTTACATAAAAATTGAGTTGAACATTATCTAAATAAGCTATTGCAAGGGCCTAGAAGTGAATTATTATCATAGATGGACTCTGATCTAAACAGATGTTAAATAAATACCTTTTGAAAATCAACAAATCTTGATTTATTTGTATCCAGTAAGAATCTCCTCCTGTTGGCACAAACTGGATTTCGGCAGATGTTTGGCTGTGTGTATTTGAACTGCTGTTCTACATCCCTGATCACTGTCTGACAGTCCAAGCACAGAAAAGTTCCGCTCACAAGCTCTGGGTGAACTGGGTGAGTCCGCACCACCTGCCCACTGATGCGAGTGAGCAAACCAATTCTGGATGAGGTGAGCTCTCGAATCCTGTTTAAAGACAAATGTCCCATTAGTAAACATTCATCTCTTAACTAAGAATCTTTCCATTTTAGTGAGAGGGTATTCAAAGATAATTTATGTTTAAAAAAAAAATTCAAGAGACAAGGTATTCTTTGGACTCTCCTATAAGAATAATTTAGTCAACGTGCCCAATCCTAAATTATATGACGTATATGTATCCAGAACAAAATATATAAATGAACTAAAGGATGCCAAAAAAATGAAAATTAAAATTATAAAACAGAACGGGCTGGGCGCAGTGACTCACACCTGTAATCCCAGCACTTTGGGAGACCAAGGTGGGCGGATCATGAGGTCAAGAGATCAAGACCATCCTGGCCAACATGGCGAAACCCCACCTCTACTAAAAATACAAAAACTAGCCAGTCGTGGTGGCGGGCGCCTGTAATCCCAGCTACTCGGGGAGCCGAGGCAGGAGAATTGTTTGAACCCGGGAGGTGGAGGGTGCAGTGAGCCAAGATCGTGCCACTGCACTCTGGCCTGGGTGACAGAGCAAGACTCTGTCTCAGAAAAAAAAAAAAACAAAAACAGAATGATCCTGTTTTTGTTTTATATGCAAATACTTTTTTGCTTACCCGCAATTTCTAAAAAAAAAAGCATGTGTTACATAATAATCCTATCATGAGAAAAAATTTTGTACTCAAAGTTCAGAAACACTTCCTTTACAAACCCATTTTATGTGAAGTAATTTGGTAATTTTATAATTTCAGTAGTTTAACTTTTCAAAATATCACTTCAATTTTATCCAGTAAATTTATTCTTAAAATAACTGCCAAAGGGGTGTTTGAAAATTATGCATTTAAACCAACAAAAATTTCCAGAGATTCAGGAATTTCTAGAATTTCATATTTTCTCCCTTGATCAATTTTCTCCCAAATTTCCCTAAAAGGCGCCCTAAAATGTGATAATCCTAAAAATTTGCTTCACTCCCTTTACATCTAATCCCATCTCCATAGGAAAATACATTTCTCCAACACTAAACTTTCTGGATAAGTGGGTATAACTCCTACAAAAGTCAACCTTCTACAAAATCTGAATGCAAACCACTATTTTTTCCTCCTGGTATTTTACAGCATCAATTTTATAAGTACTTGTTTTATAATTATTGTGATTATCAATTATGAAAAAGTAATTTTACAGCAACAAACCTATTTTTTGCATGATTTAGGTAGAAAACCTAAGCCAAAAGACTTCACAGACAAGGAAACTGAGGCTCAGGGAGGTAAAAGTGATTTGTATAATGTTAAATAGCCAGCTAATAGCAGATCAAGGCAACCTCTCAAGTTTTCTGACTGTCAGCTAAGTGGTACTTATACCATTTGGTGAATTCCTTTTTTTCCAGAGAAGGGTTTCTTACTTGTGTCTGGTAGGCAGGTCTTGGAATGCAACATAAAAATCCTTGGCAAGAGGGATCTCTTTACGGTCTTTGACGAATGTTTTCAAGGCCCGACACAGGTAAGGGTAAACTCTGAAAAACAAAAAAGTCAGCTGATACCTTAGAGGTTTACCAAGGCCTCCTTCCCTTTACATACCTACCAACAGCCGAGATTAAGGAATTTCATCTGGTTACAACTAAACCTTAGAACTTAACTGTGTAGGACACTTCTATTATCTACTCTAGGTTTAGGACCCTCTTTCAGTTCTCTCCTATCCCACCGGAACACTAAATATAAAATGTCATACCATACCTGATTATCATATAGCACATAAATAATCATACAGCACCCACACTGTTGGCCATTCCTCTGTCCAAGATGACTAGCTGAACAATCATCTTGTCAATATTATGCTCAATACTGTGAATTTTCTGTGGGCTGTTTATGACTTAGTAAGTCATGTGTCAAGTCAGTCAATTTCTTTGGTTTCATTCTGAGACAAGGTCTCACTCTGTCACCCAGACTGGAGTGCAGTGGCACGATCACAGCTCACTGCAGCCTCAATCTACCTAGGCTCAGGTGATCCTCCCATCTCAGCTTGCTGAGTAGCTGGCACTACAGGCATGCACCACCATGCCCAGCTAATTTTTGTGGGGTTTTTTTTGTAGAAATGGGATTTCACCATGTTGTCCAGGCTGGTCTCAAACTCCTGGGCTCAAGTGATCTATCCACCTCAGCCTCCCAAAGTGTTAGGATTACAGGTGTGAGCCACCACATCTGGCTGGTTTGATAAGAAATGGATGAGGACAGGAGAAGTATTTGTGCACTAATGTGAGAACAAATTGGCAAAAATGCTCCATTTGACTGGTGAGAGTGAAGTATGCATGTCCTTTTGATATGTTTCTAATACCTACTCCAGCTTAGTTTGTTTAAGAAGTGGGGTCTGAAACCCTCTAAAAAAGGCGCTACTCTCAGGAAAGAGAACTGCTGCCTGGCTTGTGCATGAGGCATGGCACAGCTGCTTCTACCACCAGGCTTGATTGTCTACCTCTCCCTTATTTGTCAGTGCTATAACTTCTACTGCTGCATGCTTTCACAATAAATCCTGTTGCTTACTTACCCCCTCCAATTATTCTTGATCATCAGCTATGACCAGAAACACAGACAAATCCTCCATCTCCTAATCTACTAAGAAATGAACGAGACTGTGCCTCCTTATCCCTGGGTTTTCATTTATCTTTCACAACTGTCCACAATTTATTTTAACCTGATTCTATTTCTATAGACTGTCACATTTATTTAATCCTAATACAAAGTCTTGTGTGCAAAGATGTTTCTTGCTATATATAACAAGTCAAAACAAAATAAAAGCCTTCTATTAAATATAATGTCTAACCATAGTATTTCTACCAAAAAACCACAATTGGAGCTATTAGTATGAGTTTAAGAAATTTTATATGAATTTGAGTAATTTCATACACAGCATACACACAAAGACATCAAAATGTGACAGAAGATCCTTACAAAACTCTGCACTTGCAGACTTGGAAGGCTCCTGGAACTCTGTTGTAGCAGATCTGCTAATGACGGTGGTGGATTACAAGTGTATAAGCAATTTAATTCTCCTTACTCTTCTCCATTTTCTACAATATATACCTATTACTTTTATAAGCGAAAACAAAATTAAACTTTAAGGGAACAAGAAGTACAACAACGTCAATGCTGTAAAGATATCCCCAGTACAAGAAAAGGACCCACACAAACACCTATTCCTGTGGGGAAAAAGGATCAATGGAATGACACAAAAGTAAGTAAGTACAGTTTTCCTCTTGGGAAAACTATATAGAAAGCAAAGATTTTCAACATTTGTATTTGAAAAAAAAAGTTCAGCTCTGGCCGGGCACGGTGGCTCACGCCTGTAATCCCAGCATTTTGGGAGGCCGAGGCGGGCGGATCACCTGAGATCAGGAGTTCGAGACCAGCCTGACCAACATGGTGACACCCCGTCTCTATTAAAAAATGTAAATAATTAGCCGGGCGTGATGGTGGGCGCCTGTAATCCCAGCTATTCGGGAGGCTGACGCAGAAGAATCGCTTGAACCCGGGAGGCAGAGGTTGCAGTGAGCCAAGATCGCGCCACTGCATTTCGGCCTAGGTGTGACAGAGCAAGACTCCGTCTCAAAAAACAAACAAACAAACAAACAAACAAAACACAACAACAAAAAAACGTTCGGCTCTACAAAGGCCTACATGAAGTTCAGAGCAGTACTAAAACGACCACTGGCAGTATCAAAGCGCCTCTTCTCAGTGGGAAATAACTGTGAAAGCTGACCTTCTGCTACACAAGTGAACACTTACAGTCCAAGAAGAGCTGGCTTCCCGGATTTCAACCCCTATTCAAAGTAAAGAAGATTAATATGCCCATACCTATAGAACTCCTCTTGAATGGTGGTGGAAAGTTGCTGGTTAAATTGTTCCAGGTCCACAAAACTCACAACCAATGTGTTTCTCTCAGGACGAATCAGTTCCTCTGCTAATTGCAAGTATTTAATTTCTCCATCGCTGCTCTGAAACCTGCAGGTACATTCGAGTCAACTAGATTAAGGACACAGGCAGTACAAAGAACCTGAATGATAATTCAGAACATTGGTTAAAGTCCAACAACTAGGCTCAGACAGGCCCATGTTTGGCAGTTCTGTAACTTGGGGCAAGTTACTCCTCCCTTCTGATATGGTTTGGCTGTGTCCCCACCCAAATCTCGACTTGAATTTCCACATGTTGTGGGAGGCACCTGGTGGGAGTTAATTGAAGCATGGGGACAAGTCTTTCCCCTGCTGTTCTCTGATAGTAAGTCTCACGAGATCTGATGGTTTTAAAAAGAGGAGTTCCTCTGCACAAGCTCTCTTTGCCTGATGCCATCCACGTAAGACATCAGTGACTTGCTCCTCCTTGCCTTCCACCATGATTGTGAGGTTTAACTGCTAACTAACAAAAAAACCCAACAACTAACTCTTCTTTTACTACTGTCATGTATAATTAAGATTGGAAAATGTTAAATCAAGAAATTCAGTCTCAAACCCAATGATTCCATTTCTGTAGGGAATTTGCAAACTAACAAATTAGTCAGGGATTTAAGAAGCAGAACAGAAATAAGAATACATGGAAATGAGGTGTTTCACAGCCCAAGACTTCGGGAAAATTGAAACAGGCACACTAAATAAAGCTGCTGGTATTTTTGCTTCTAAAGCCCAAGCAGGATATCATACAAATTTATTTCTGTTCTTTCAAACATAATATGCAGATTCGCCTTAAGAAAAAATCAATTTCTCCTCCATATACAGCATGTTCTGACTCCTTAAAATATTTGTTAAACAACTACGTGCAAAGCCCTATAACAGAGGTACCTGAGGCTGAAAATGGCAGTGTTGTTCCTGCCCTAGGGTTAACTAACACTTTGTCTGCGTCTAGGGAGTTAGACATGTAAGCAATGAAGACAGACAAGAAAGATGTTCCTGTTAATGAGAAGAACAAGAAATGTGCTAGGGGAATAGAAACTAATTCTGCCTAAAAAAACAACTACAAGTTATACATATAAAAGGTGGCGTTGGAATTCAGCTTCTGAAAGAGTTAAAAATTTCAAATAAAAACAGGTGGTGAAGTGACTGACTAGATGATTCCAAGAATGTGATTAAGTCAGAGAAGGTAGGGGAGAAGTGTGGATGATGACTGGGGTGTTTTTGTAAGACAAACAGGAAAGAGGAGTGATGAAGAATTTGAACTTTATTCCACAAGCAATGGTGAATTAAAGTTTATTTTGTGACAGGGAGTTGGCATTTCTTTAAACAAAGCACAGAGATTATTTGTCTCATCATTATCATCTAGCTGCAAAGTCAAGGCACTTAGATTATTTGTTGAAATGAAACGTTTATTGAAAAACCTTTGTAATGTGATGTGGTGGGTAGGTGGGGTTGAGGATGGAATTTGAATTCCAGACTAAGTAGCTAGGAGGTAAATGTGTTACACTGCCAGAGATAATGAAAAACAAACAGCACCCTGGGAGCCTAAGGAAGAAAGGATTAGTGCCTCTCAAAAAGGTGTACAAGGTTTCACAAAGGTGTGAGTTTTTAGCTGGGCTTTGAAGGAGGAACTATCAGGCAGACAATAACATTGCCATAGGTAGTGAAATGGAAATTAAATTATGGTTTTAAGTATACCAAAATTTCCTAAGAAGGCAGCATTATTCACAATAGCCAAAAGGTGGAATGAACCTCATTATTCACAATAGACAAAAGGTGGAATGAACCTGTGTCCACTGAATGGATAAGCAAAATGCAGTATATATACAGGTTGAGCAGCCCTCATCTGAAAATTTAAAATATGAAATGGTCCAAAATCTGAAACTTTTTGAGTGCTGACATGATTTTCACTGGAGCATTTCAAATTAGGGATGCAATTGGTTAAGTATAATGTAAACATTCCAAATCTGAAAAAAAAATCCAAGATCCCAAACTCTTCTGGTCCCAAGCGTTTCAGAAAAGGGATACTCAATGTGTACAGACAATGTTATTTAGCCTTAAAAAGTAAGGAAATTCTGACACATGCTACCTCGCAGAGGAACCTTGTAGACATTATGTTACACAAGCCAGACACAAAAGGACAAATACTACACGCTTCCACTTATATGAGGTACCTAGAGTGGTCAAACTCATAATGAAAGGAAGCAGAGTGGTGGGTGACGGTGGCTGAGGGAGAGGGTAACGGAGGAGAGTTCGTGTTTAATGGGCACAGAATGTCAGTTTGGAAGATGAAAAGAGTTTGGAGCCGGACACGGTGGCTCACGCCTGTAATCACTTTGGGAAGCCCAGGCGGGGGGATCACCTGAGGTCGGGAGTTCAAGACCAGCCTGACCAACATGGAGAAACCCCATCTCTACTAAAATACCAAATTAGCCGGGCGTGGTGGCGCATGCCTGTAATTCCAGCTAGTAGGGAGGCTGAGGCAGGAGAATAGCTTGAACCCGGGAGACGGAGGTTGCGGTGAGCTGAGATGGTGACACTGCACTCCGGCCTGGGCAACAAGGGCTAAATTACGCCTCAAAAAAAAAAAAGTTTGGAGATGGGAGAGTGGTGACGGCTGCACAACGAGGTGAATGCACTTAGTGCCACTGGACTCTACACTTAAAAATGGCTAAAATGGTCAACTTTGTTATGTATATTTTACTAAAAAAGAACTTCAAAAGCCATTCCAAACTGCTGACCCTTCATCCTGGAGGCCGTGGTGTATCTGCTCCAGGAAAAATAACCGGTGGGTGAGGCAAGCCAGGGAGGAGGTTGGGGTTATGAAGCTAGGAGCCCAGAGGCACAGAAAAAAAGAAGAGTAGAGAAAGGAAAGGAAGGCCAGAGGGAAAGGGGAGCAAGGGACCCAGAAGAAGGGATATGGTGAGCTACTCTCTGCAGGGCAGGGCTCCGCCCCCCAGCAGCTTTCAAACCACAGTTGACGCAGAAACTTTCATCAGCACAAGAGGCGAGGGTGGCCCGTGCCCTGCGAACCCCCAGCACCATGCTCCCGGCTGCGTGGCCCAGCAGGGCACCGACGAGATTCAATGGCACTTCGGCCTCCCACTCGACCTGGCCGCACCCAGCGGCCCAGTTACTATACTCAGCGAGCCCAGGTTTCCGCGCCGGTCACCGAGGGCTGTGCAAATACCAGGCTCGCGGGGTGGTGAGCATCAAGTGACAGAAGCAAAGCGCTGAGCACTGGGCACGAGCGTCTTAGGGCTCGAGATGGGTTTTACTCCAGAAAAACCCAGCCTGTCCCAGGCTCCTCGCGGCCGCCGGGCTCGGAGCCTAAAGTTGGGGGGCGGGCGGGGAGGCGCTTCCCGGACGCGCGACCCCCAGGTTCCGGAACACCCGCCGCCCACACGGCACCGCCTGGCCCAGACGCCGCAGGCTCCGGAGGCGGGCGAGGCCCGGGGCGCTCGCCGACTTACTCCTCCAAGAAGTCCAGGAACAGTTTCTGGCACTTCTCGGCCACCTCGTCGCGGACCTCCAGGTGCTGGCTGCCGGCGCCCGGCTCCGCTGCCGCCGCGAGGTCCATATTTGCTTAGTGCCGAGGATTCGCCTGCGCCACGCTCGACCGCCACAAGTCGCTTTTTTCCAGACGCTGCAGCTTTGCGCGCGCCGCCGCCGCTTCCGCCCCGCCCCCTCTTCCGACCTGCACGGCCGGAACCAATCGTGACACAGGAGCTGGAGATTTCGCGCCAAACCTGACCAATGAACGGCGCCTCTCCAAGAGCCCCAGCCCACGGAAAGGGATTTCGCGCCAAATGCAAAGCCCTTCTGGAGAAAGCCCATCTGCCTTTGCGCCTGCGCAGTGTAGCCGTGGCCCGCGGGTATTTTTGGCTGCTGGAACAAGTTCGAATCTGAGGGTTTTGTCCGAGTGGTTTTTCAAATGTTCTTTAAATCATTCCACTGATATTAATTGAACGATCGGAGTAAGACTCTATGGAAGAGAAAAATGAGTAAGCCGCTTCTGCTGTCTAGTTAGAGGAAATAATGGAAACCACAGTATAAAACCCTGTAAAAGAGTCAAAGAGATGTCTAAACCTTGCATGGGTAAGGTGGCACAATTATTGTGGTGGTGCTGACCGAGGAAAATCAGCGAAATATTTGACATTGGCCGGGCGCGGTGGCTCACAACCTGTAATCCTAGCACTTTGGGAGGCCGAGGCGTGTGGATCACCTGAGGTCAGGAGTTCGAGACCACCCTGGCCAACATGCAGAAACCCCATCTCCCCTAAAAATACAAAAATTAGTCGGGCGTGGTGGTGCACGCCTGTAATCCCAGCTACTCGGGTGGCCGAGGCAGGAGAATCGCTTGAACCTGGGAGGAGGAGGTTGCAGTGGGCCGAGATCGTGTCACTGCACTCCAGCCTGGGCAACACAGTGTGACTCCGTCTCAAAAAAAAAAAAAAAAAAAAGAAAGAAAAAGAAAAAGAAAGAAATATTTGACACTTTGATTAATCTTTTTTTCTTTTTCTTTTCTTTTTTTTTTCAGATGAAGTCTCACCCAGTCGCTCAGGCTCGAGAGCAGTGGCGCGATCTCGGGTCACTGCAACCTCCAGCTCCCGGGTCCAGGGGATTCTCCTGCCTCAGCCTCCTGAATAGCTGGGATTGTAGGCGCCCGCTACCATGCCCAGCCAATTTTTGTATTTTTAGTAGAGACAGGGTTTTCGCCATGTTGGCCAGGCTGCTCTCAAACTCCTGACCTCAGGTGATCCGTCTGCCTCGACCTCCCAAAGCGCTGGGATTACGGCCGTGAGCCACAGCGCCCGGCCTTAATACCCTTCTTAAAATGCACTATTGGCTTGAGTTATCCTTATGTTTTTTTCCCCCATCTTTCCCTAACCATTTCACTTGGTTTTTCTGCCATCTCTTTGGCCATTCCTGATTAGCATCCTTTGTAGGCGCCTCTCCTTCAGTGAGTCTTTTAAATGTTCTGGTTCCAGAGCCTTCTTTTCCCGTAAAGTCGCTCTCTTGGGCGACCCTTTACACTCCCTTGGCGTTAATTAACATCTGGGTACTGATGATATCTATATGTGTATTTCACCAACCAGTACCTTTTTTTGGCCTCCAAGACATTAAGAGAAACGGGGACCACTTCCATTTTTTGAGGCTTGTTGCATATTAAAAATATTTTTTCTTTCTTTTCTTTTTTTGAGACGAGGTCTTACTATGTTGTGCAGGCTGACCTTGAACACCTGGTCTCCAGCAATCTGCCTGCATCCGCCTCCCGAGTAGCTGGGATTTCCTGCCACCACCAAATCCAACTTATTGAAAAATTTTTTCTTTTTCTTTTTTTTCTTTCTTTTCTTTCTTTCTTTCTTTCTTTTTTTTTTGGAGACAGAGTCTCGCTCTGTCATTAGGCTGGAGTGCAGTGGCAGGATCTCGGATCACTGCAGCCTCTGCCTCCCAGGTTCAAGCAATTCTTCTGCCTCAGCCTCCTGAGTAGCTGGGACTACAGGCGCACACCGCCACGCCCGGCTGATTTTTTTTGTTTTTGTTTTTTTGTTTTTGTATGTTAGTATAGACGGGGTTTCACCATGTTGCCCAGGCTGGTCTCAAACTCCTGAGCTCAGGCAATTCGCCCACCTCGGCCTCCCAAAGTGCTAGGATTACAGGCGTGAGCTACCGCGCCCGGCCTGAAAAGATTTTAAAATGCCAAACAGAGTGGACAGAAGCTCAAGTAATTATTTTAACATACGTACAAATACACTATTCACAAGATATTTACAGAGTTTAACAAAAAAGCTCAATGCTGGCGTGTTGCAGTGTATCTGTAATCGTATGTATTACCTCATTTGAAAATGAACACTCGGCCGGGCACGGTGGCTCACGCCTGTAATCCCAGCACCTTGGGAGGCCGAGATGAGCGGATCACGAGGTCAGGAGATCAAGACCATCCTGGTTAACACGGCGAAACCCCATCTCTACTAAAAATACAAAAAAATTAGCCAGGCATGGTGGGGGGCGCCTGTAGTCCCAGCTACTCGGAAAGCTGAGGCAGGAGAATGGCCTGAACTTGGGAGGCGGAGCTTGTAGTGAGCCGAGATCGTGCCACTGCACTCCAGCCTGGGCGACAGAGTGAGACTCCTTCTCAAAAAAAAAAAAAAAAAAAAAAAAAAAACCCGAAAATGAACACTCAGCCGGGCGCGGTGGCTCATGCCTGTAATCCTAGAACTTTGGGAGGCCAAGGTGGGTGGATCACTTGAGGTCAGGAGCTCCAGACCAGCCTGGCCAATATGGTGAAACCCCATCTCTACTAAAAATACAGAAATTAGCCGGGCGTGGTGGTCGGTGCCTGTAGTCCCAGCTACTCAGGAGGCTGAGGCAGAGAATTGCTTGAACCCAGGAGGCAGAGGTTGCAGTGAGCCGAGATCGCACCACTGCACTCCAACCTTGGCGACAGAGCAAGACTCTGTCTCAAAAAAAGTAGAAAAGAAAAGAAAATGAACACTTGAGGCTCTGTGTCCTACAGCCCTTTACCAGCTCTAGAGTCTGCCTGCCTACCGGACATCACCACTTGTACATATTTTAGGAAGCTTGAACTCAACAGTGCTTCCTGGATATTCACAACCCGATTGAGCTAACCTGATTCTATTCCATCCTCTCAAAAGGCCTCACTCTTTTCTTTCTCATTTTTCTTCTTCTCCCTTCTCTTCCTCTTCTATCCTCAGGATAGATTTCTCAGAACTAAAGTCCCATGTACAGAAGGAAAAAAACAAAAATGATAGTGCAGAGCTCCGGGCTGATTTTCAGCTATGCTCATTGAGAAACTCAAGGCTTCCTCTTCTCAGCTCTCCATATCTCACAGGTGTTCCCTTCCTCCTTCAGACATGTATCTCTGAATCAGAATAGTAGATGATGTCTGTAAGTGAGGTTTGTAGGGATAACTTCCACAACAGGAGGAGGGTATGAATTATGAAATATCTCTGTCACACCCCAGAAAGTTGTATGCTATGTGTGTGCACTGGTGCCCAGGCCTGCTTGCTATCCTTAGAAAGTCCTGTTCACAAGATTGGCCTTTGGCTGGCATTGGGAACTTGACTGGTAAATAATTCTCTACATCGATATAACACTATCCCTTGATAATGATGGCTCATTGTACCTAAACTGTACAATGTGATTTATGCTGAATACCTGGAAGTCTAAAATTTTTTTTTTTTTTTTTTTAAAGACAGGGTCTTGCTGTGTCACTCAGGCGGGAGTGCAGTGACACAATCACGGCTCATTGCAGCCTCGACTTCTTGGGATCAAGCGATCCTCCTGCCTCAGCCTTCCAAGTAGGTACATGCCACCACGCCTGGCTAATTTTTGTATTTTTTGTAGAGACGAGGTTTGGCTGTGTTGCCCAGGCTGGCCTCGAACTCCTGGGCTCAAGCGATCCTCTTGCCTTGGCCTCCCAAAGTGCTGGGATCACAGGTGTGAGCCACCACACTGGGGCCTTTTTTTTTTTTTTTTTTGAGACAGGGTCTTGCTGTGTCACCCAGGCTGGAGTGCAGTGACACAATCATGGCTCACTGCAGCCATGACCTCCTGGGCTCAAGTGATCCTCCCACGTCAGCCTCCCACGATGTGCACCACCATGCCTGGCTAATTTTTATATTTTTTGAAGAGACAAGATTTCCTCATGTCACCCAGGTCAGTCTTGAACTCCTGGGTTTGGGCAATCCTCCCAAAGTACTGGGATTACAGGTGTGAGACACCATGCCCAGCCATCCATGATTCTTTTTAAAAAATTATTTTAGAATAGCTTTGGATTTACCAAAAGTTGCAAAAGATAGTACAGAATTTTCAAATACACCTTGCCTATTTTCCTTTACTGTGAATATCTTACACTCTTATAATACATTTATTACAACTCAGGAACCAACTTTAGTATGTTAGTATTAACTAATATTGCACAATTTATTCAGATTTCACCAGTTTTTCCCTACTGTTCTTTTTCTCTTCCCAGATCTCATCCTGATGCCACATTACACTTAGTGGTCATGTCTTCTTAGACTCTTCTGGTTTGTAACAGCTTCTCAGACTTTCCATAGTTTTAATGCCAATGTCTCTCAGTTGGGATTTGTCTAACGTTTTTCTCATGATTAGACAGTGATTATGGGTTAGGGAAGGATGATCACAGAGGTAAAGTATACGGTTTCTTACCATTACCTTATGATTTTGAAGCAAAACATTGTATCTTTTCATTTGTAGATATTTCAGAATGATTTTCTAAAACATAAGGGTTCTTTTTCCTGAGACATGTTTTTAGCTGGGAAGGAAACATCCTTCAAACAGCTGTAGCAGTGCAGGTTAGTGATGCTTATTATTTTAAATATAACTGTAATATTTTCCAGAATCACTGACACTTCAACTTACACTAAATAAAACCAGCAGATTAAAAAGTTACATGATTTGTTGTGGGTGGTGTGCAATATTCAATAAGATATTTCTCATATTATGAAATATTTTCTTTCAATGCAGTCAACCCTCATCTTATAAAATATTTGGTATATTTTACTTCTTTTTTATTTATTTATTTAATTTTTTGAGACAGCATCTCACTCTGTCACCCAGGCTGGAGTGCAGTGGCACAATCACAGCTCACTGCAGCCTTAACCTCCTGGGCTCAGGTGATCCTCCCACCTCAGCCTCACAAGTAGCTGGGACTACAGGTGTGCACCACCATACTCAGCTAATTTTTGTATTTTTTGCAGAGATGGGGTTTCACCATGTTGCCCAGACTGGTCTCAAACTCCTGGGCTCAAGCTATACTCTTGCCTCAGCCTCCCAAAGTGCTGGGATTATAGGCATGAGCCATTGTGCCCAGCCCGTTCTACTTCTTATTAACAACAACAACAACAAATGTATGCTAGCTGCTAACCAGTTTTTAGCAGTATGACTTTCTTCCTAATTACTTAAATAAGCAAAGTTTGATCTTGATATCTAACAAAATAAGTTCAACTATGATGTCTAACAAAATAAGTTCAAATAATGGCAATTTTTAGTTATTTTTATATGATTCTTAGTTTTTCCAAAAGCTGAACACCAGAATTCCATACACACACACACACACACACACACACACACACACACACACACACAGAGTTAATTTTATGTGCCAACTTGAGTGGGTCATGGGCTGCCCAGATTAAATATTATTTCTGCTTGTGTCTTTGAGGGGTTTCTGGAGGAGATTAGCATTTGAATAGACAGAATCTGTATAATAGATTGGCCTGCCCAGTGTGGGTGGGCACCATCCAGTCAGTTAAGGGCCTGAATGGAACAAAAGACAGAGGAAAGAGGAGTTTGCCCTCTTTTCCCTGCCTTACTGCCTGAACTGGGACATCTTGTCTCATCGTATGCCTTCAGATAAGATTTACACCGTTGTCTCCCCTGGTTTTCAGCCCTTCAGGTTGAGACTGAACTACCTACCAGCTTTCCTGGGTTTCCAGCTTGCAGATGCCAGCTCATAGGATTTCCCAGTCTCCTAATTGCATGAGCCAGTTCCTCATAATAAATCTGCCCCCCCCCCCCTCCTATTAGTTCTGCTCTCTGGAGAACCTGGCTAATACACTCACTTTTAACTTTCATATACTCCTCAATTCATAATAACCTATCATTTTAAATATACTTTACATTATATTATAAATTAAGAAATATGAAGCTGCATACAAATTTACTCTTGTTTTATAGCTACCATAAAATGCTTTTATGTCCCCCTTAAGATCCTCCCAGGTTCACTTGTCTGTCATTCAGCTCCATATGGGCTCTGAGTCGCTCATTGATGACTCTTGCCCTCTGTGGCTCTCAGGCTTCTCCGTCGTCCCCACTGAGTAACAGGCTCATGCCTCTCAGAAGCACCTTGAAGGAGAGAGGGGTTAAGGCCCTGGAGAATCCTTGACATTGGTCAAAGACATGAGTCAGTGATTAAATTTCTTCTCTTTAACCAATCCTCTGCAGATGGATATTTAGGTTAGGTTAGGTTAGGTTAGGTTAGGTTATTTGCTCTCTGCTCCTCCGTTAGAAATAACAGTACAATTAGCATCTTTGCATGCATGTATTTCTGGAGGTTAAGTTTCTGGAAGAGCTAGTCCTGGGTGAAAGGGTATGAACATTTTATGTTTTCATAAACTGCCCAATTGCTTTTCAATAAGGTCGTATCAATTTGTTCTCTTATCAATGCACATGGCATTTTCATTTTAAGTAAAATAAGAACCTTAAGGCAAATGGATTAAGTTCTGATCTTAGAATTACAGGCTTCAATCTGTCAGTGGGAAAGGATTATTTGGGGATTAGAAGCTTCCTGATGTCTCTAAAATCTCAGCCATCCCCACACTGCTCCATTCATTCATGTATTCAATCATTCTGTGTCAGGTACTGTGATAGGTACTAGTGATATTGTAGTGAACAAAACAGACACAAGTCCCTGCTTCTCATGAAGCTTACATTCTAGGGGGCGAGGTGCACTGGAGCACACTGAAGAGTTTGATACAATTCATTCCTTCTTGATTTTGAGCCTCAACAAGAAAATTGCTTCTGTTACTATATTACAGAGCCCAAGAATCACCCAGTATTTCAGAGAGATTTAAAACCCATCTCCATGGCTTGAGATTGAAAAAGAAAATTTCACATGCCACTCTTCTAGACATAAAAGAGATCTGTACTCCTCATGTGCAGCTGTAGGAGGCTGCACAGGCAGCATGGGTTGACCTTCACTTTCATTAGCCCCAGGAGATATCCTAGAAATAGCAGACCATTAAGTCTCACGTATGGTCCATGAAAAAAAAAAAATAACAGACCACTGGGTTGACAGGGAGCTCAGAAAAAGGTGCACTTTCAAGCAATTCAGGTGGAACCAAATGAAACATTTTTTCTGATCTGAATGCAAGTTATTCTGAAGTAATTAAAACAAAACATGAAACAAAAAAACCAAAATGAGCCCATGGTGCTCTCAGCAGTTGCAGAGAGGATTGTATGAGTGGTGGCAGCTTTGTAGAAAGCATTTAGTTGCACAGTATGTGGCAGGCATCAAGGATGGCTAGTTTGATTCCTAGTGTGACTTCAACTAAAATGTCCAAGGGCATGGTATGTGGGGGTTTTGTTGTTAGGTTCCTAATTAACAAGAATGAAGGGCTGACGTGTTCTATGATATGATTCGTCTCAGTGTGTGCATTCTGTCCTTCAGTCTTCTGCTGTCCTTCAGTCCATCCTACTGTCTGGGTATCCTGCAGTGGGCAGCCATGTTTGTGGATAGGGCTCCTGGAAACTTACAACCTAATGGTGGAGGCAGGATATGAACACAACTACAATTTGCAGAGTGATATGCAACTGTACCAAAAAACATAAAGTGTAAAGTGAAATCAAAGTACAAGGTTACAGTAGAAATAAAGGATCCTAATTAGGATATTTACTGTAAAAAGAGATAATCTACTGGGAGGCCAAAAAAATCACTGATTTCTTATTTTATAGCAAATTATAATTTAAAATTGCAAAAAATATACATTCATTGAAGGAAAGCAGAAATACAGAAAAGCAAAAAGAATAAAAACCACCCCAAATTGTACCACACAGAAATATTATTTAATATTTTGATGAATTTCATCCTTTCATATGAATTTCATTATTGTATAAGCTCCTTTTAAAATAAATTCAGGCTAGGTGCAGTGGCTCACGTCTGTAATTTCAGCACTTTGGGAGGCCAAGGCGGGTGGATCACTTGAGGTTAGGAGTTCGAAAGCAGCATGGCCAACATGGTGAAACCCTGTCTCTACTAAAAATACAAAAATTAGCTAGGTGTGGTGGTGCACCTGTAATCCCAGCTACTTGGGAGGCTGAGGCAGGAGAATCCCTTGAACCTGAGAGGCAGAGGTTGCAGTGAGCTGAGAAGTCACCACTGCACTCCAGCCTGGGTGACAGAGTGAGACCCCATCTCAAAAAATAAATAAATAAATAATAAAAGAAATTCAACAGTATATCATAAACATCTTTTCAGTTGATAAATATATTTCTGTATTATTTTAATGGCTACGTCTATTACTATAAAGACCATCCATGTAGTATATTTTTACAAATTTAAATCTTTAGATAATTTTGATGAGAAATTAATGAGTCAAAGGGGAGTCACATTTTTTTTTTTTTTTTTTGAGACGGAATCTCGCTCTGTCGCCCAGGCTGGAGTGCAGTGGCATGATCTGGGCTCACTGCAAGCTCCGCCTCCTGGGTTCATGCCATTCTCCTGCCTCAGCCTCCGGAGTAGCTGGGACTACAGGCACCCACCACCACGCCTGGCTAATTTTATTTTTTTATTTTTAGTAGAGACAGGGTTTCACTGTGTTAGCCAGGATGGTCTCGATCTCCTGACCTCGTGATCCGCCTGCCTCAGCCTCCCAAAGTGCTGGGATTGCAGGTGTGAGCCACCGCGCCCAGCCTGGGAATCACATTTTAATACTCTTAACACATCTGCCAAAGTATCCTCCAGAAAACTTGCACATCCTCACCGGCATATGATAGTGCTGTTACAATTATTTTTCTCCTTGTCAAATTAAAAGGGGAAAAATGAGACCATGTTTACTTCTTACATATATTTTAATAATTTCCTAGGGCACCTCACCAGCTTTCAATCAGTCCAGTTCAGTGGATTGCACTCAACCAGGATTTCTTGGATTGTTCCATTGTATCTTGTACAAGGGTGTTCTCTCCTCTTGCATTTCACACAAAGGGTGCTCACTCTGAGAGTACATCTTCCTCATTGTCTTAGTCCTCAGAAATGGATATCGGTGTGCAGCAGGTTTACTGGGGAGTGCTGTGGGGATCAATAGCTAGTGGGGACAGGGAGAGCATGAATGGGCAGAGGTAGAAGTCAAACTGCTGTGCAGTTGCAACAAAGACCTCGGTGGAGCCCACAGGGAGCTCCGCAGCTCAGATAGCCCTTCAGAGTGGCTCCAAATCAGGCAAGGGGGCTGGGCCTTTTACCCAGCATCAACCAGTCATGGGATGCAGGCTGCCCTTGGGGAAGTAGTGTAAATGTGGGTGAACCAGCTTATTTTAGTCAAGGGTAATTCCTAGGGAGAGAGGAGAGAGGTTAGCTATGAGCTGTCAATAGTCAACGAGGTACTAAAGTAGGTTTCTGGGCTGCACATCATGGCATCCACTAGAGCCCACCCTAGCACCTGCTCTGTATAGTAACAAGACTGCATTTCAGAACAGCACCTACAAGATCCTGGTTGGCCTCTTTTCCTAAGGAAACTTACAAGAGGAAGGCTAATAGGACGAAATTCAGCTGTTGCAGCTGGAGCTGAACTTGAGCCTAAAATTGATACTGATCATGATTCCCTCCTCTACAACCCATTCCTAGATTCCCCTCTTAGCTAGCACCTTTTCTAGTCTAGGTGGTTTACCTGGCGGAGTGACACAGACCTTCATTCCTGAAGGACCTAAGTCTTTGGTCACCATACTTTTTTAGGCCACGGCTGGTATACTTGTCCTTTACTGTCAAAACTGGTTAGTGGTTGTATGAGAAGTGCTGGATTACCTGGGTGTCAAACCTTTATCCTGCTCCCACTGTATAACAGATACCTGACCTCTTCTTGCTGCTCAGGTCAGTTAAACCCACTAATATTATGACTGTTTGGCTTGCCGGCAGGCATGTGGAGCCTGAAATGGCAGAGCAGCAGTGACAGTTTCAAGTTTCAAGGAGCTCTTCTTGTGTCTCCTAGTGCAAGTGTTAGACCTGTGGGAACTAGGATATATAGAACCACAGAGTCTGCAGCTGTGGGGAAGGAAGCACCAATTTCCCAAGTGGATCACCGGAAGAGATGGTGTGCAGGGCCACTCCTTCCACCTCTTGTATCCTGGACCCTTGTATTCTACCTCATGGGGACTATGCCTCTTTTTTTTTTTGAGATGGAGTTTCACTCTCGTCACCCAGGCTGGAGTGCAATGTGTGATCTTGGCTCACTGCAACCTGCACCTCCCGTGTTCAAGCGATTCTCCTGTCTCAGCCTCCCGAGAAGCTGGGATTACAGGTGTGCACTACCACACCCAGCTGATTTTTTTTTTTTTTTGAGATGGAGTCTCCCTCTGTCGCCAGGCTGGAGTGCAGTGGTGCAATCTCGGCTCACTGCAACCTCCGTCTCCTGGGTTCAAGTGATTCGCCTGCCTCAATCTCCACGCCCACCACCTAATTTTTTTTTTTTTTTTTTGTATTTTAGTAGAGACGGGGTTTCAACATGTTGGCCAGGCTGGTCTCAAACTCCTGACCTCAGGTGATCCGCCCGCCTTGGCCTCCCGAAGTGCTGGGATTACAGGCGTGAGCCACTGTGCTCAGCTGGACACATCTTAAAACAGTTGCTGAATTAAGGCAGAGACCATATTTGGAGGTGGTGCCCCTGCCTTGCACAATAACATCTCCAAGCCAGCACCTTGGTTGAGCCTCCAAAAGGCCCTTCTATCACCCTATAAGTCATGAAGCTTCTGGGCAGTTCAGTGAGTAACAGGATCAGTGTCAGGAACTCAGTGGAGCTGGGAGAGTGAGCTGTCAGAGTAGCTGATTAAAGCAATAAGCCAAAAATTAAAGTGAAGCCTTTAAGCACTTACTGCGATGGTAAAAGCGAGTTTAAAGCTGGAGAAAGCTCTTACTCCTGCTTCATTTCCCCTATGAAATGATGCAGTGAATGAGGGTCAGGGGGATCAGCACAGACATGGCGGTCTCTTGGGCAAAAGGCTCCAGAAGTTTTATGGACCCTGAAGTGGAGAGGGTTTGGGGTAGAAAAGTCCTGGGTGCTCAGTCAGATTGGGGAAAAAGTGTCTTCAAGGTTCTTCCTCCTCCCCCTATAAGGAGACCTCAGCAGAGGAGGCCAAGGAGGACCTCTGCCCAAGGTCTCAGACGGTGACCCAGAGATAAAGGCACCAGGCTAGGAATGTAAATGCATGAAGAGCATGGCTGGCCAGGGGAGCCTGAGTCCTTGACTACAACTTCCTTTAGAAACCAGGATGCACCGGCTGTGCACGATGAATGGCGTGGAGAGGGCAGCTTTCCCTGTGAGGCCTGCCAGGTAGTCTTTGTAATTGCTTATGGTCAGGCCTGAAAAATCACAGATAGGTATTTAACCAAGGGCCAGACTCCTCAACCCGTAGATCTCATGGTATCGCGCCTATTGCTTTGCTGTAAGGTGGGACTCTGAGTCTGAGCTGTGGGGGATTCCATGTTGGTGCATCAAACTTTGTAAATGCCGGGACACTGCTACTAGATGAGACCTCAAAGGCAGAAAATGAAAACCCATACTGTTGGGGTGATCAGACCCAACACCAGGCCATGGGGGCTACGAAGTCCAGCAGAGTCAAAGGAATGAGAAGAGACAAGTTAAGAAAGAAAATGGGACCAGGGGGCCAACGCTAGTTTGGAGGCTGCGAAGGCCCCAAGCTCTGGGAGCCCATGCTATTTATTGGTGATCAAAGAAACAGGTGGTGAGGATGTGGGGGTTGAAAGGAAGCGGTGTATCAAGCAAATGAGGTACAGCTATGATGGTTTAGCATTTTCTTTGAAACATATGGCTACTTGAGATAATGGAAGTGCTAGAAGCAAGGAGCCAGCAAATCTAGACACATTCCAGAGGCCACGAGGGGTTTTAGACCCTGGACCCCAGACATGTTCCAAGCCCTGCCTCAGTTTCTCTCCCAACACTCAGCTTTTCTCCCAACACATACCTAGAACATGTGCTGAGTCCAGTAAAGTTGAATTGCTGCTGGAGGTTGGAAGGGTCCAATGTTATCAACTTGCTAAGAAGTGAGTGGTTGGTTTCCTCCAGGGATGGTGCCACACTGAGGGCTTGGCGTTGAGTTCTGTTGCTGGCAGACAGTGAGAGGTGAAGCCAGTGGGACTTCCTGGGTCAAGTGGGGACTTGGAGAACTTTTCTATCTAGCTGGAGGATTGTAAATGCACCAATCAGCACTCTGTAAAATGGACCAATCAGTGCTCTGTAAAATGGACCAATCAGCAGGACGTGGGCGGGGCCAAATAAGGGAATAAAAGCTGGCCATCTGAGCCAGTGGCAACTGTTCAGGTCGCCTTCCATGCTGTGGAAGCTTTGTTCTTTCTCTCTTCACAATAAATCTTCCTGCTGCTCACTCTTTGGGTCCGCACCACCTTTAAGAGCTGTGACACTCACCATGAAGGTCTGCAGCTTCATTCTTGAAGTCAGCGAGACTACAAACCCACTGTAAGGAAGAAACTCGGGGCACATCTGAAGGAACAAACTCCGGACACACCATCTTTAAGAGCTGTAACACTCACCGCAAAGGTCCACGGCTTCATTCTTGAAGTCAGTGAGACCGAGAACCCACCAAAAGGAATAAATTCCGGACACAATAGGACATTTGGCAGTGAGAGAAACTAGATCAGTCTCAGTGAGTGGGAACCCACGTTGGGTCCATAGCCTCCATCCCTGCCACCTGCCTACTTTCATTAGACTGTTGTACTAGACTTGCAGTGACTGATGACAGAGGCAGGTTGACGTCAAATGGTCAAGTCATTCTGTCCACCAGAATTCCATGGTGGATATTCTCTGGTGAGTGTTAACATATGATACTAAGATCTTTACATTTTGTTCCTATTTCTGTAGTTCCACCCATATGATTTTTGGTCAAGCCTCCTTGCCCCTAAACTTCCAATCTTTCTCTTTCCAGGCCCCTGACTAATCAGCCTAGCCATTCACTAATGTCCACAAATGT
Source organism: Homo sapiens (assembly GCF_000001405.40). Taxonomy (NCBI): domain Eukaryota; kingdom Metazoa; phylum Chordata; class Mammalia; order Primates; family Hominidae; genus Homo; species Homo sapiens. The sequence continues at coordinate 135,889,547 of NC_000002.12, forward strand.
ATGTGTGTTGTTCTTACCTTGGGCCACTTCCCATTCCATACAAAATATATAACCAGAGGCACTGCCCATTGGAAAGATTTTATGTCTTTCAAGGCCACCCTTAAGTGGTTGTAGTATAATAGTAGCAGCCTCTTACCAAGTCAGCCCAACCGTGAAACAAACATGGCTCTTTTCATCCTCTGCCAGCTGGTCTCAAGGGAGGTTCCCTTTTCCCCTCTTCCTCCAACTCCAAACATGACCATAAGTTTGAGCTGAGGAAGAGAACAGACCCAACAGTGGTGATGACATGAAACTCTGAGAGTCCTGATTATTATCCAACTTACTTGGGTCCTTCTACTCGTGCCCAATCCCAAGTGTCCAACTACTACACATGTGTGTGTGTGTGTGCGTATATTTTTTTTGTGTGTGAGAGTCTTGCTCTGTCACCCAGGCTGGAGTGCAGTGGTGAGATCTCTGCTCACTGTAACATCCACTTCCCAGGTTCAATTGATTCTCATGCCTCCGTTTCCGAAGTAGCTGGGACCACAGGCGTGTGCCACCATGCCCAGCTAATTGTTTTGTATTTTTAGTAGAAACAGGGTTTCGCCATGTTGGCCAGGCTGATCTCGAACTCCTGACTTCAAGTGATCCGTCCACCTCAGCCTCCCAAATTGCTGGGATTACAGGCGTGAGCTGCTGTGCCCAGCCGGCAACTATTATCCTAGGATGCTTTTAGCCCTTGTAACTTGGTGAATCTGAAAGAATCCAGCACACAATGGGAAGATCTGGCTGCACAGTCACTTGATGTCCTATAATTAGGTACTCTATCTCCACCAGGGCCCTGTAGCCAGCCAGGGTCTCTTTTCTGAATGGTGTATAGTTCTCTGCTGCAGATGGCATAGTCTTACTCCAGAACCTAGGAGGTCTATGTTGTGATTCTCCTACTGGGGCCTCCTATAAACTCTACATGGCATCATTTCCTACCACAGATACCTTTAGTAGCATAGGATTTGCTGCTTGAACCATAGCCTGGAACTGCTTTAGAGCCCTCTCCTGTGCTAGGCACAGCTCAAAACTGACAGCACTCCATGTAGATGGGTCAGAGCAGTGTTGTTTGAAGGTTCTGTTCGATAGTTAGTTATTAGTTCCATGTATTCCAGACTTGGGAAGTGCAAAGAAACCAAGAAGTTATTATTATTATAACACTTTTTGAATGTCTTATAAAAAGTGAGGCACCGTAAAAATGTTATTTATCGAATAAATCTCTCTTCAGTCATGATATGGCTTGGGTATTTGTCCCCTTCAAATCTCATGTTGAGACGTAATTCCTAGTGTGGGAGGTGGGGCCTGGTGGAAGGTGTTTGGATCATGGAAGCAGATCCCTCATGAATGGTTTAGCACCATCGCCTTGCTGATGAGTGAGTTCTCACTCTGAGTTCATGTGAGATCTGGTTAAGTGTGTGGCATCTCTGTCCTCTCTTCCTCCCATGTCATGTGCCTGCTTCCCCTTTGCCTTCCACCGTGATTGTCAGTTTCCTGAGGCCCTCACCAGAAGCAGATGCTGGCAACATGCTTCCTTACAGCCTTCATTACAACCATGAACCAATTAGTTCTCTTTTCTTTATAAATCACCCAGTCTCGGGTATTCCTTTATAGCAACGCAAAAATGGCCTAGTACAATTCACAAACGTGAAACCAGTGGAGTGCATTCTACAGCTATCGCTGTAGAAATGGTAGACTTTTAAAGGCAAAGGCAAGGAATTCCAGTAAACAAATCTTCCTTTAGGGTGCTCTTTTATGATAGGTTTCTTCAAAAACATCCAAGAAATGTTTTACTTTCCTATCACCTTAAAATAAAAATAAAAATAAAAAAAAAAACACCCCAGAACCTTTAGCATTTCAAATGATAAATCTACATAGGCATTTTCAAAAGCCATTTTGTATATGTGTTTAGCCCCACCATGTTTGCTTGCCTCGTTGAATATTCTGGTGACAATACTAAGAACACAAAGGAATTTCAGAATTAGCATTTTAATGCTTCTCATAAGTAAAAAAATCAACTGAGTCTCATTCTGAAGCAAATGTTAAGTTTGCTATGTGGAGGCTGTGGCCAATAACCAGTCAGCAGCACTAAAGCTGAGTGTGGATGTTGGCTGTTTTCTTGCAAAGTGGAAATGTTAGCTCTCCCAAATTGGACCCAGTGACAGTCCAGATGTGGGAGTCTGTTACAAAAGAAAGCAGGTTCTGAGTTACGCTAAGAAAGAAGACAACAGCTAATCTTATTTACTTCCAGAAACTTGTCTCTGATCAGCAATTTCTTTCTCTTTTTCATTTTTTAAGAGACAAGGTCTTGCTCTGTTGCCCCAGCTGGAGTCAGCTTACTGCTGCCTTGAACTCCTGGGATCAAGCAATCCTCCTGCCTCAGCCTCCTGAGTAGCTGGGACTACAAGCATGTGCCACCATGCCCAGCTAAATTTTTTTTATTTTTGGTAGAGACAGGGTCTTGCTACATTGCCCAGGCTAGTCTTGAGCTCCTGACCTCAAGCGATCCTCCTGCTTCGGCCTCTCAAAGTGTTGGGATTATAGGCGTGAGCCACCGCGCCTGGCTAGCAATTTTTAAATATGAATTGCTGCATGATCTGCTCTTCTTTGTTAGAACAGACTTACAAGAACACTCATTCAAATATAGATCTGACTGAATATGTTAAAAAGTAGAATAGTTGGCTGGAGGCTGAGGTGGGCAGATCACCTGAGGTTGGGAGTTCGAGATGAGCCTGACCAACATGGAGAAACTCTGTTTCTACTAGAAATACAAAATTAGCCAGGCATGGTGGCACATGCCTGTAATCCCAACTACTTGGGAGGCTGAGGCAGGAGAATCACTTGAACCCGGAAGGTGGAGGTTGCAGTGAGCCGAGATTGCACCATTGCACTCCAGCCTGGGCAACAAGAGTGAAGCTCCGTCTCAAAAAAAAAAAAGGTAGAATAGTTAATTTGGAAATTTCTATAATAGATTTGACTAAATTAGAAAAATGAATAACTATTTTGAAGCCCAAATAATCCATCAATATATGTAATCTACTTTTACAAACAGATGGGAAAAAGCAAATTGGTTAAAAATGTTACTGCTTGCATCCTTTCAGACTCCGAATGCATATACTATTTGGATATGTGCATATAAATTTCCCTGAGCAGTATGATATGTTATCTAGGTCAGGGTCGGTCAGAAACATATGGCACACTCAAACAAAATATGCTTGAAAAGTTATGTAAAGAAGCCATAAAGATTTGGGAAGCTTTAAAGGAAACAGAAAGGATTGGTGAAGTACCCTAGAGCCAGCAACCACAGGAAGCTACTACCACCTTTAGGTCTGAAGGAGCAGAGAGGGAGCAGCTAGTGGGGTCTAAGAAGCAGGGGTACTGGTAGAGTGGAGGCTGTGGCCTTCAGGAGAGGAAAGTAGCTGTGGCTAGAATGTGGTCCAGCAAAGAAAGAAAATAAATATCCTGACCTTTCTCTTCTCCCTCCATTTGATCTGTTGGTGTTTTCCAATGACCAAAGCCAATTAGAAGCCATTAAGGAAGGTGCTTGGTTAATGCAGTCCATAGAGGTTGGCCTCCCAGGACACACAGCAGAGTGGAAAATGGCAGTAAGTGGAGAAAGCAAGGGCAAACAGAGAAAGTCCAGCTCACAGGAAGAGCTTTCAATGACAATGAACACACATATAGGTAGTCCTTGCTTTGGGTGGTTCTGATATATATTATTTTCAGTTACCACTGTCAAGTTAAATTACATCAGTCCCTCAACATGGTTCAAATTTCAGTTACTGTGGTATATTAATTGTGAGTAATTGCATAAAATACACTGTCACCTCTTCAGGTCAGAAATTACTCCATAAATAACAGATGTGTGTCATAATCAGTGATCAGCTGTGTCATTTCTTTCAAAATCTATTGGTGATCAGTCACTGTACATGTTATTCAGTTCATGCACAGACAGCAAAGTGTGTAGTTGTGTTGCCTCCATGACTCTCACTGATGAATCCATGTGATATTTTTAAAAATAGATATTCAAAAGAGGGCATTAGTCAACAAAGATGACAGTGCAGCAAAGGAACAAAATATGTTAACTCCGGAAGTGAAATTTGCATCAAACATAAATGACATTGCAGAAGAAAGAGCTGACCATGGGAGTGTCGACACTGCCACCTTTGAGAAACTCCAGGTATATACCATAAATGAGGAAAGAGGTTGTGATGGAAAGGATGAAGATTTCCTAGAGGAAGTGACAATAGCAAAAAAACTTCACATTAAAATATTTTGAAGAGATTTCATGGTTTTGAAAGCACAACAGATAAAATATTGGAAGCTGATCTGAATGTAGGATGGAGTATGACGATTCACCAAAGCATAGAAGAAATGGTCACCCCAAGCTGGGTGCAGCAGTGCGTGCCTGTAGTTGCAGCTATTCGGGAGGCCGAGGGAGAAGGATTGGTTGAGCTCTGGAGTTCAAGACCAGCCTGAGCAACATAGGGAGACTCTGTCTCTTAAAAAAACAGTCATTCTATAGTGAAAGTTACACCACAAGAAGCGAAGCATTGTTCAAACTACTCTTCATAATTTTTTTTTACAAAGGCATAAACCATTTTAATTTTCAATGTTTCTAATGTTTTAAATTATAGTACACTAAATAAATATTAGTTTCACTATTTTTTCTTTTTTTCTTTTTTATTGAGACGGAGTCTCGCTCTGTCACCCAGGCTGGAGTGCAGTGGCATGATCTAGGCTCACTGCAAGCTCTGCTTCCCGGGTGCATACCATTCTCCTGCCTCAGCCTCCCAAGTAGCTGGGACTACAGGTGCCCACCACCACGCCCGGCTAATTTTTTTGTATTTTTTAGTAGAGACGGGGTTTCACCGTGTTAGCCAGGATGGTCTTGATCTCCTGACCTCGTGATCTGCCCGCCTTGGCCTCCCGAAGTGCTGGGATTACAGGCGTGAGCCACCGTGCCTGGCCACTATTTTTTTCATTTCTCTATATTCTTATAACCAACAGTAAGGGAATTTTTAACATTTGACAAAAATTTTTAAAGATCATAGGACAATCATATTTTACCCTTTGAATATTAACGTTGCTTTGCATGGTCATTTTTAGAGTCCCACATAATTATGCAAAGTGAGGACTTCTTGTACTGTGCTTTTCAATGGCTGATTAACATTCTACAATATGGATATAGCATTATTTAATCCTCTACTAATGGACATTTAGGTTGTTTGCATTTCTTTCTCTGGTATAAACAATGCTACAATAGATATCTTTAAACACATCTTGTTTTGTGCACCTGTATTCTTAGGATACGTTTTTTTTTTTTATTTTATTTTTTAAGAGATGGGGTCTCGCTGTGTCACTGAGACACTGAGGCTGGAATGCAGTGGTGCACTCATAGCTCACTGCAGCCTTTAATTTTAACTCCTGGGCTCAAGCGATCCTCTTGCCTCAGTCCTCCATAGTAGCTGGGATCACAGGTGCCAGACACCCCACCCAGTTAGGGCTAAATTCTAAGAGAGAGGCATTACTGGGTTAAAGGATATGCATATTCACATTTTGATACACACAGCTAAACTGCCTGCCTGAAATTATGTATGTTTATACTCCACCAACAGCACCTCAAAGCTCCCAATTCTCCACCCTGTGGTGAACAATAAGCATATTTTATTTTCATTGCCAGTTTGTCACCTCACTGTTGTTTCAATTCATGATCACCAGGGAAGCTGAATATTTTTAAAGAATAAGGTTTTAAAAAGGTATTTGAAGAGTTCCTAGCCGGGCGCAATGGCTCACGCCTGTAATCCCAGCATTTTGGGAAGCTGAGGTTTGCGGATCACTTAAGGTCAGGAGTTCGAGACCAGCCTGGCCAACATGGTGAAACCCCATCTCTATTAAAAATACAAAAATCAGTTGGGCGTGGTAGTGGGCACCTGTAATCCCAGCTACTCGGGAGGCTGAGGCAGGAGAATCGCTTGAACCTGGGAGGCGGAGGTTGCAGTGAGCCAAGATCCTGTCACTGCACTCCAGCCTGGGCAACCGAGTGAGACTCCACCTCAAAAAAAAAAAAAAAAAAAAAAAAAAGAGTTCCTTCAATATTACTGACATTGAAAGCAGAGAATTTTCTTGCTCTAGGAGTATGATATCTTTATCCATGAGAAATAGTGGCAGCTACCAGTTTAACATTCTGGGTAGCAATTATGAGTCTGCCAGCTCATTTTAATTAAGCTAATGCATAATGATTTGAAGAAAGACTATAGAGAAAAAGTGGTAAGATTTTGCAAAGTGTCTTAGCTCATTTTTAAGAAAGGCCTATGGGTCATATTTTCATCTCTCAACTAAATATATTCACACACACTATCAGACATAAATGTACATAATAAACTGTCAGATGTGCATGTAAAAATAAAACTTCTAGTATAAATACATTTTACGTTTGGTTTATTATTACCAGCTTTATCTCTGAACTCCCAAAACCAAGCAATCAATTTGTAATATCAGGCACATGCCATATACTCATCATTATGCTATGAATATGGGACTACAAAAAGTTTAAATGTGGTCAGGACACGGTGGCTCACACCTGTAATTCCAGCACTTTGAGAGGCTGAGGCAGGTAGATTGCTTGAGCTCAGGAGTTTGAGACCAGCCTGGGCAACATAGTGAAACTCCCTCTCTACAACAAATAAAAAATTAGCTGGGTGTGATAGCGTGTGCCTGTAGTCCTAGCTCCTTGGGAGCTGAGGTGGGAAGATCACTTGAGCCCAGGAGGTCGAGCTGCAGTGAGACATGATTGCCACTGCCCTCCAGCCTGGGTGACAGAGAGAGACCCTGTATGAAAAATAAAAAAAAAAAAGTTTAAAATGTGGTCCCTACCCGTAGCATTAACAACAATACCTGTTTAGTGAATATATTTTATATGTCAGGAGCTGTAGAAGAGTCTTCACTTATGGGTCTCATTTAATCCTCATGATCTTTCAAGGTAAGCATCGTTAACTCCACTCTACAGATGTGAATTCTGTGCTCAGAATTACACACCTAGTGTCAGGTCAGAATTTGAACCTGAAGTTTTCTGATTCCACGCTGCTACACCAAATTGTTTAAAACCTAGTAAAAGAGGCCGGGCACGGGGGCTCCACACCTGTAATCCCAGCACTTTGGAAGGCCAAGGCGGGTGGATCACTTGAGGTCAGGAGTTCGAGACCAGCCTGGCCAACATGGTGAAACCCCATCTCTACTAAAAACACAAAAATTAGCTGGGGATGGTGGTGCACACTTGTAATCCCAGCTACTCAGGTGGCTGAGGCGAGAGAATTGCTTGAACCCAGGAGGCAGAGGCTGCAGTAAGCCAAGATGGCACCACTGTACTCTAGCCTGAGCAACAGAGTGAGATGCTGTCTCAAAAAAGACCCCAAAAAACAAAACAAAACAAAAAAACCTAGTTAAAGAGACAAAGTAACAAATTTTAGAGAAAAATTAGGTGTGAAACCATGTGTGTGTGTGTGTGTGTGTGTGTGTGTTTTTCGAAATTACCGGTTCATATTTAATTACCACAAATCACAGGAGCACTGGACGTGGCTTTAGTGAGTGGGCCTCATTCAGTTCAGGCAGCTAAAGGGAGGGGGGGTGTCCTCCTAGTCCTCTCCCTGGAGCTAAATATGCACCTGGGAAAAAGTAGGCTCTGGAGCACAGAGGCTTGGGTTTGGTTTTTTTTTTGAGACAGAATCTTGCTCTTGTCGCCCAATCTGGAGTGCAATGGCATGATCTTGGCTCACTGCAACCTCTGCCTCCCAGGTTCAAGCTATTCTCCTGCCTCAGCCTCCTGAGTAGCTGGGATTACAGGTGCTTGCCACCATGCCTGGCTAATTTTTGTATTTTTAGTAGAGACGGGGTTTCGCCATGTTGGCCAGGCTGGTCTCAAACTCCTGATCCACCCACCTCAGCCTCCCAAAGTGCTGGGATTACAGGTGTGAGCCACTGCGCCCAGCCACTTAGAGGTGTTTTTTGGAGCAAAAAGAACTGAACTCCTAGCACCAGGCAAAACTGCAAAAAGAAAAACACCTGTGCCCAGGCACTAGCTACAAGGCTGCACCGGATAAGGAAAGCTTGGGTCCTGTAAGCTTCAGGACAGGGACTGCTCCTTGGTCAAGCTTTCCCTGGCACCTGGCACATAGGAAGTTGCTTGAGGAGCAAGTGTTCAACGAACCTGAGAGTGCTCAGGATGATTTCCAGATAATTGGGTTATCTGAGGGCCCACCCAGAAGCACTCAGCTGCCAACATGGGAAGGAGTGAGTGCCTCCAACCTCAGCTGAGCCCCATGTGGTGACTTCTTCCGGAGAGACAAGGGCATTAGCACGTCACACCCCTGTTTACAGGCCCCTCACCTGAGCCACTGCACCTTCTCTTTGATGAAGTGCTCGCCCAGCAGCGGGTCAGCTCCAAGTACAGGCTGTGCTGAGGAGGCAGGTAGTCCAAATACAGGCGGGGGTGTCTTCTTGGGAGTGGTCTTCTCCATCTGGGTGCCCTCGGGCCACTCATTGAAGGAGGTGATGGAGCTGATCTTGGGCGTCACCATCGCGGCCGCCTGCAAGGCCCTGTCATAGTCCTTGCCATTGACCCTCTTCTCCCTATTGTGGTCGTTCCAGGGCCGGATGCTAGTGTCTATGCAGCCAGGCCCCATGCTGGGAATGAACATGAGGTTGTTGGCATCATAAAAGTTCTTCACAGCTTTCCACTTCTGATGGGAGGAGCCCCAGGAGAATCCATTGGAGACAAAGTAGGTGGACATGCCTTCAAACCCTGCGGCCAGGACATCGTAGGTGTGGCCCTCTTCCACCAATAGTGCTATGAAGACCCCATAGTGGGGGCTGTTTGGTGTCAGGAGGTGGGTCCAGGCCTCAAGGGATGTCAGGTATGAGTCATAGATATAAAAGAGTGGGGTGCTCTTGCCCATGCTGTTCTTATACAGGGATAAAATGCACCATGGGAGCCATTCACGTCAATGATATACTTGATGTTGTCATGTACAGTGATGTCATCCTGACCTTGTGGGGTTGGATGTGGAAGTGGGGTTAGATGTGGATCCAGTCATCTGGATCTGCACTGATGGGTGGTGTCCAGAATGGCAGGCACCAGGTCATCTGAGGGTTCCCTGTGACCATCAGCCATGCCAGGTGTATACCAGGAAGGGACCAGGACATTGGGGTCCCAGGAGCCATAGGGCCCCAGCTCTGTGTAGAAGCTGGAGCCCAAGTCGTCTGGGGGGCTGTGGTGGCTGTAGGGGTAGCTGGCTGAGATCTTGGGGTCCGAGTGAATGCAGTGGCCCTCACGCTGAAGCTCTGGTACCACGAGTGGTAGAAGGTGTGCAGGTCCAAGTGGATGCGCAGGCTCTGCCCCGAGCCAGGAGTGGCTGCCCTCCCACCCACCTCCCACGGCGCTAAAACCACGTGGTTTTGATAGTAAGATGGTCACGTTTTTCACTGGTTTAATAACCTGCAATATAGTGAATGGACAGGTGAGTATTTGGAAGATCCTGAGCAGTTTTAGGAGAAGACTCATTCCTGTAAGTGTTGGGAGAGAGAAGCAGGCCTGGGGAAAGGAGGGTTGAAGGTTTGCCCGGGTCTGATAAGATAAAAGGACAACGTTTTACGGCTGAGCAAGGGGAAGAAATGGCAGATGTAGCCCATCTGGAGAGAGAGCATCAGGGGCTGGTGGTGTGGGTTCTGCTGTACTGATGAGGAAATCTAAGACACTGTGAAAGAAAAATACAATCTTGGGAACCCAAACTCGCTAAGCCAAAGGAAAAGTTAAACTTGGGAACTGAGTCACACACAAAAAACCTTTTTTTGTTCCCAGATGGCTGTAACTTCACATGCTTATTTTATCTTATGCAAAATACAGATTTACTGAGCTGAGACAAATGCATAATTGACTTTCCCCCTACTCCTTTATTTTCACATGTAAAATGCAGATTCACTGAGCCCTAATCAAAGCCTCACAAGAACGTATCCACTTGCCTCACTGCCTACCCTCCCTCCTTTTTTTACCTTCCCCTCCTGCTTGCTTTTTCCCCTTTAAATACTGAAGTTCCCCAAACCTTCTCTGTAGAAAGCATGGGTCACAGATCCAACTGTAACTTGTGTTTTGTTTCCCAGGCGCATCCTCAACCTTGGCAAAATAAACCTCTAATCAGCTGAGATCTGCCTCAGTCACTTTTTGATTTACAACACCATGTGGTGAACAAAGGACTACTTTGACTAGTGAGTTAGCCAATCATTTGTGCAGATGTTGACATTTGGCAGAAGGTGGAAAAATAAAACTGTTTGTATTAATCTGAGTCTACCCGACTTTTGAGAAACTGACGCAGCAGGTAGCAAATACAACTCAAAATCTAGAAAAACCCTCAAGTGCCAGCCAACTGAACTGAAACAGAAATTAGGAGAATGTTGTATTTTCTTTATGGTTAGACATTGCCAAAGGCAGTATCACTTAGAAGTCTCTAACCGTAGCCCAGAAACAAAAAACAACAACAAAACCCAGGCTATTTTAATGGTCTAAATACTTCCAGATCCTAATATATACAGTGAAGAAAAAAAGAAAAAAAAAAACTTCCAGGGATCACAGGAGCCTATGTTAAAAAACATATTCTTATCTAACCCATCTGTATAGTAATGTATTATATATACATTCACTTAAAAATATCAGTTAGGGCCAGGCACGATGGCTCACGCTTGTAATCCCAGCACTTTGGGAGGCTGAGGCGGGCAGATCACTTGAGGTCAGGAGTTTGAGACCAGCCTGGCCAACGTGGTGAAACCCCATCTATACTAAAAATACAAACAAAACAAAACAAAACAAAAAAAAACAACAACAGGCAAAAGACATGAACAGACGCTTCTCAAAAGAAGACACACAGCCAACAAGCATATGAAGAAATGCTCAATATCAATCATTAGAGAAATGCAAATAAAAACCACAGTGAGGTACCATCTCACACCAGTGAGGATAGCTATTATTAAGAAGCCAAAAAATAGCAGATGCTGGTGAGGTTGTGGAGAAAGGAAGTGTTTAAACACTGCTGGTGGGAATGTAAATTAGTTCAGCTACTATGGAAAGCAATTTGGAAATTTCTCAAAAAAACGTAAAACAGAACTACCCATTCAACCTAACAATCCCATTACTGGGTATATACCCAAGGAATATAATCATTCTACCCGAAAGACATATGCATGTATGTTCATCACAGCACTATTCACAATAGTAAAGACATGGAATCAACCTAAATGGCCATCAACAGTGGACTGGATAAAGAAAATGTGGTACACTTATAGCACGGAATACTATGTAACCATAGAAAAGAGTGAGATAATGTCCTTTGCAGCAACATGATGGAGCTGGAGGCCATTATCCTAAGCAAATTAATGCAGGAACAGAAAACCAAATACTGCATGTTCTTACTTACAAGTGGGTGCTAAACATTTAGTACACATGAACATAAGAAGGAGGAATAGACACCGGGGCCTACTTGAGGGTCAAGGGGGGGAGGAGGGTGAGGATTGAAAAACTACCTGTAATTTTCTTACAAACACCTACTCCAGAAAAAGAGACAAAAACAAAACAAAACAAAAAACTACCTATGTTTATTACCTGGGTGGTGAAATAATCTTTACTCCAAAACCTCCTCAACATGCAATTTACCCGTGTAGCAAACTGGCATATGTACCCCCTGAACCTAAAATAAAAGTTGGAAAAAACAAAATTCATGTTGAAACTTAATCCCCATTGTGGTGGTATTGAGGTGGGGCCTTTTGGGAAGTGATTAAGTCATGAGGCTGTGCCCTCACGAATGGATTATCCACCTTATTAAGGGGCTGGAGAGTAGTTTAGACCCTTTCTTGACCTTCTGTTCCTTCTGCCATGTGAGGATACAGCATTTATTCCCTCCAGAGGATGCAGCAACAAGGCACCATCTTCGAAGAAGGGACTGGGTCCCTCACCAGTCACTGCTGGCACCCTGATCTTGGACTTCTCAGCCTCCAGAACTATGAGAAATAAATTTCTGTTTTTTAAAATTACCCAATCTATGGTATTTTGTTATAGTAGTACAGACCAAGACAGTACACTTACATAATCCAGAAAATATACTCTTAGGTATCTATCCAAAAGAAATAGAAACATGTCTATATAAAGACTTGCAAATGATTGCTCACAGCAGCATTATTCATTATAGATTAAAAACTGGAAGCTACCTAGATATCCATTAACTGGTGAATGGATAAACAAATTATGGTATATCTATTCTACGGAATACTACTCAATAAAAAGAAACACATTATTAATATATGCAACAACATGGATCTCAAAAAATTATGCTTAATGGAAGAAGTTAAATACAAAAGACTGCATACTGTATTGTTCTGTTTATATGAAATTCTAGAAAAGGCAAAAACAGACCTTGAGTTGCTAGCAATGGGGACTGACTATAAAGATACACTATGAAACTTTCTGGGGCAGTGGAAATGTTCTGTAGCTTGAGTATGGTGAAGGTTAATTGACTCTATACAATTACCAAAATTCATAAAACTGTACACTTAAAATTAATTTTGTTGTGTATACCTGAACAAAATGAAAAAAATTTAAATAAAATTATCAAATTGAATTCAGTATATATACAAAATTTATTTTAAAAATGTTTATTTTTAGAGACAGGTTTTCACTGTGTCACCCAGGCTAGGGTATGGTGATACAATCATAGCTCACAGTACCTTGAATGCCTGAGCTCTAGTCATCCTCCTGCCTCAGCCTCCCAAGTAGTTAGGACTATAAGCATGTGCCGCCATACTGGCTAATTTTATTTTTTGTACAGATGAGGTCTTGCTATGTTGCCCATGCCCAGCTGCATACACAAAATAATATGTAGTGATCAAACAGTATTTATTCCAGAAAAACAGTATCAGGGATTTCTGTTATTATAGCCCACTGTATCCAAACAACATGAAAAAATCACAGCAAATACTGATAAAGTATTTGACAAATTCAAAATTTATTCATAATAGAAAATGAACTAATAAAATCTCCATTAACCTGATAAAAGACATTTATTAAAAATCTAAAGGCCAGGCGAAGTGATTCATGCCTGTATATCCCAGCATTTTGGGAGGCTGAGGCAGGTGGATCTCTTGAGTCCAGGAATTCGAGACCAGACTGAGCAACATACATTTTTTTGTCTCTACAAAAAAATACAAAAAATTAGCTGGGTGTGGTGACATGCACGTGTAGTCCCAGTTACTTGGGAGGCTGAGGTGGGAGGATTGCTTGAGCCTGGGTGGTCGAGACTGCAGTGAGCTGAGATTGCACCACTGCACTCTAGCCTGGGTAAGAGAGCAAGGCCCTGTCTCAAAAACAAAACAAAACAAAAAAAAAAACACACAACGAAAACAAAAACCACCTACAGAAATTATCACACTTAATCTCAAGACTTTAGTATTTAAATAAAAACAATACAAGCATGCCTCCATCACTGCTTTTATTCAACACTCTACTGAAGAACTAATCTAATGCAATCGGCAAATATAAGAATGAGACAGGAAGACTAAACTCTTATTTTGCCCCACACTATTCTGTGTTCTACACTTTTTAATTCCCATAATAGTCTCATGATGTAGGATTATGCAAATGAGGAAAGCTGAGGATAAGCAAGTTATCCAAGGTTATACATTAATGTAAGAGCAAAACCAGAATCTGAACCCAGGCAGTGTGGCTAACAGAATCCATACTTTTTACTGTTATGCTATCCCTTCTCACACCTCTCCATCTACCTTGAAAATACAAGATATTCAATACAAACTATTAGAAAGAGTAAGAGATCAAGAATACTGCTGCATAAAATGGCAACATATAAAAATTGATAACTGAGGCCAGGCGCGGTGGCTCACGTCTGTAATCCCAGCACTTTGGGAGGCCGAGGCGGGCGGATCACGAGGTCAGGAGATCGAGACCATCCTGGCTAACACGGTGAAACCCTGTCTCTACTAAAAATACAAAAAAATTAGCCATCTAAGAAAAAAAAATTGATAACTGATAGTGTTCTTTACCCTTGTAACAATTTAAAAATGTCACGGAAAAGATCCCAATCCTGCTACCAAGCAGAAGGGGCTCACTGCCCAATGCTCTAAGCCAATAAAATGACACTGGGTTTTTGAGAAAAGCTTTCTATTTCAAGTGACTTACAAGGAGACAGGAGTGCAGCTCAAATTGCTCTCTCTGTGCTGGTGTTAAGGCAGTGATTTTATCCTTCAGGGGGCGGATTCTGGGATTAGTAGGTGATTGGTGGAAGAGGTCTGGAAAGTTCTTCGGCATGTGTAGTTACCTCTTTATGGGTCCCATGTGCCAATTTGGAGGTAGTTAGTATAAAATATGTGGTGAAACTTTAGGCTGTAACATTAGCAAGCTTGCTGTGTAAACTCTAGTTAGCAATATTGCTTTTAACTGATTTTAGACAGTTTTGTTATAAGGGAGGGGAGTGTTAGTAAGTTGTTTTTTCTTATCTGTTTATCCTCCACACCCAAGAATTTGTTACTCAACTTTTTTTTTTTTTTTAACTCCTTGGGGCATGGTTTCATTCCCAATAGAAAAAACAAAACAAAACACTGTAAGGTGTTCTAACATAAACTGGAAAATTAAAAGCAGTTTTAATATGCTAATGTTAAGTAAAACTACAGTGAACAAAGTACTGTCTATATTATGATTGAATTCATGGGAAACATTTATTTCCGGGCTGAAGCCGAAAAAATACACAAGCTGGGCGTGGTGGCTCATGCCTGTAATCCCAGCACTCTAGGGGGCCAAGGCAGGTGGATTGCTTGAGCCCAGGAGTTCAAGACCAGCCTGGGCAACATGACAACTACTACATGTCTTTACTAAACATACAAAAGTTAGCTGGGTGTGGTGGTGTGCGCCTGCAGTCCCAGCTACCTTAGGAGGCTGAGGTAGACTGCTTGAGCCCAGGAGGTGGAGGATACAGTGAGTTGAGATCCTGCCCCTGCACTCCAGCCTGGGCAACAGGGTGAGATCTTTCAAATTTTGTTACACTGAATATTTTGTTTTCAAGAGTACTCATTAAATCCTGCCCACAAAAAAACACTAAGCTACCTCACCAGTTTCTCCCTTCATCACATGATTAGCAGATCCTTGGCAAGGCTGTTCTGACTCAGCTGAAATATCTTCAGATCTGCAAAGCACAAGGATATAGAGCTAAAATGGAAAGATATTTGCTTCCAGCATTAACAGTACTAAATTCTTTGATAATCTTGAGAATAAAATGCTGATAGGATAAATAATAACATCACACAAAAAGCAAAACACTTTTAAAGTATAAAATAAAAATGTTTTACTACAATTAAAAAAATCAATAAATGAAGAGATATACCATGTTCATCCACTGGAAGACTAAAGAGAGGGAAATTCCAAGTCTTTTCAAATTATTCTATAAATTTAAGGTAGTTCCAATGAAAATCTCAGGATTTACATATCAAATAAATCTGCAAAACAATATTAGACATTTATAGAAACATAAATATTTAGTGAAAATATAAAAACAAAAGAATAAAAGTTTGAATTCATATAATAGTTTCCTATAAGAGGGTACCTTAACTGCCCACAATTTCTTTTTTTTTTGATTTCTTTTCTCTTTAAAAAATAAAGTAAGGGCCAGGCACAGTGGCTCACACCTGTAATCCCAGCACTTTGGGATGCCCAGGCAGGCGGATCACCCCTGAGGTCAGGAGTTTGAGATCAGCCTGGCCAACATGGAGAAATCCCGTCTCTACTAAAAATACAAAAATTGGCTGGGCATGGTGGTGGGAGCCTGTAATCCCACCTACTTGGGAGGCTGAGGAGAATCGCTTGAACCGGGGAGGTGGAGGTTGCAGTGAGCTGAGATCATGCCACTGCACTCCAGCCTAGGCCACAGAGCAAGACTTGTCTCAAAAAAATAAATAAATAAGAGGTCAGGTGCAGCGGCTCACACCTGTAATCCCAGCACTTTAGGAGGTGAAGGCAGGTGGATCGCTTGAGGCCAGAAGTTCAAGACCAGACTGGGCAACATGGAGAAATCTTACCTCTACCAAAATACAAAAATTAGCCAGTCTCATAACCTGGTCTCAAAACAAATACATAAAAATAAAAAAAAATATTTGAAGCAAATATGATAAAGATTTGATAAGACTGGATAATAGGTACAAGTGTATTTTATCATGTTCTAATTTGGTCAGCATGTTTGAAAACCTTCACAATAAAAAAGATTACATCATTCTAAGACTTTACAAACTTTATTTTGAAACAAGCTATAATTACATGAAATTAAGAACAGCTCTAGGGCCAATATTATTGTACTATTTTAGGGTCTAGCAATTACACACTATAGAAGATGGATATTTTATTCTTGCTGTGGATTAAATTATGAAATACTTTTGGGGTGCCTTCTATATTTAAGGTATTCTGGTAGGATATGAAAGAAAAAAATAAGAACTGAATCTAAACTTTCAAAGACTGTACAATATAGATGGTAAACACCCCCTTTAACTTTCAAACATAATGGGCAGATGTTCGTGGTCCAGGGGTAACTTCCTAACTTTTTGACCCTCATATTTTTCTGCATGTAATTTTTTCTTCCTGTACAAAAATATGTTATGTTTTGTTCCTCCCCAATATTTGTGGTCATGTAAAATTAACATTAGCATCAACATTTGTAATAATCTAGAGGGAAAGTGTTTCTAACTAATTCTTACACAAAAATTTCTTTTTGACGGATAAGATGGGACTGGATTTTACTGACATTCACTAAGTATCAGTACCATTCCAGTTAAAAATCAAACAAAATTCTGCAATATATTTTAACCCATGTGAAATGAACTCTGTCAACCGACCCAAGCTGTCAACTTTAAGAGCTCTATCCCTACGCCCATCTAAACTAATATCCTGAAATGAATACATGTTGACAACATATTAGTCTTTATTTATATAAACTAGTTGTGTATTTTTTCTTTTACCAAATTATGAATGCCTAGCACCACTTACAAAATCAGTTGGCCACAAAGTTACACAAAAACTACAATTAGCTTTAAAATTTTATTGAAATTCAAGTTTAGAATTTAACAAATTAATACAATATTACACTGAATACTTTCTAACCAGTAGTTTAGCTTTACATAATTTCTAGGCATAACTTTTAAGAACTGATACTTTCTGGTTAATTTTCCATGATATGCCAATTATACATTCATTAAAATTTCAGATGCTACCTGAATTATTCTTATCTCAATGACAGAATTTAAAAAAATAAGTTCAAATACTGAAAATCTAAGACATTAACACTGGGGCCCTTGTAATATAGAAAAGAAGAAAAATTGTACAATCTTAACTGTTTAAAACTCTTAACGTTTACTGTAGTAACAGAATATGAATTTGTAACATAACCATATGAATTTCTCAAGTTATTTCCTACTGATGCATGTCTGAAGTTATAAAAATCTCTTTTAAACGAACCTATACTGAATTACTCCAAAAATAACAGTGATATTTTAGGGCCTTGCAAATTTATTCTAGTGCATATTTTAAGTACCTAAAGTACAGCCTGTGCACTAGCAGGTTACTGAAAAGAATAAGTGTGGCTTTCTTTTTTTTTTTTTTTTTTTGAGGCAGGGTCTCGCTCTGTCATCCACACTGGAGTTAAGTGGCAAAGTGTGAATTTAAGGAGTGAGTCGTTTGGGATCACGAGGGAACATGGAGGTCTGACGAACATTATGCAATCCCAGAAACAGCATAGTAACTCGTTCCAATCCTGGGGAAGACAAAAATAATCATTAATTCCTTTTTGAAAATCTCTCAGGGTCTTACTTAGAACTACAAACATAAATGTAATCGTTAAACTAAATACTTTTCCTTGTTAGGAAAGAAAATGACTCTTATTATTTTGGGTTTATTTAAAACTGTTTTGAGTATTGATTCAGAAATAAAGATGCTGCTATAAATGAAAAGGACTAAGTAATATATCCTTGAGTGGTATGGAGTCTAAAATGTGAACCACAAAAATCTATACGAATGAACAAAATCTATGATGTAACAATAAGAAAAACAAAACAAAAGACTTTATAAGCTTGAACGTTTCAAATGATACCACACTCTGATTATACAGTCCAGGCAATGAGGATGAGAGCCATAAACTTGCTTAAGCAATAATAGAAGTATGAGAAAATTTACTGTTAATTTTATAGACATTTAACATGGTGGACCCTACGATAAAAAGCTCTGGAGTACATTATTATACTAAGTGTTTTGACTGTAAAGAAGAAACTGATTTTTGGAAGGTGGTTAACAAGATTATGGTCTCTCCTTTCAATTGATTCTATGTAGAGATGTAAAAAGAATGAAAAAGCTCTTCAGGTATTGATAGGAAACAAGTTACAAGATACATTAAAGTATTTCTTCTCCATCCGGACTCATATTAAAAAAATGATACATTAAGTAAAAAATGCAAAGTACTAAATGGTTTATATATAATAGTATGCTACAATTTGTGTAAAAATATTTAAAGAAATGTGTGTGTCTTTTCGTATATGAAAAGGTATCTTTGCAAAGGTTAAGCTGAAAACTAGAAACAATGCTTTCCTGTAGGGAGGCGAATACGCACTATTCTTTTTCCTCCTCCAATTTAAAAAACAGCGTTAAAATACATAAAAAATCTACCATCTGAACCATTTTTAAGTGTCCAGTTTAGTAGTGCCAAATACACTCACAGCATTGTGCAATCATCACTGCCATTCATCTCTATAACTCTTAAAAAAAATCATGTTTATATCCAAAGGAATGGGACTGCGGGGTCAAATGGTATTTCTGGTTCTCAATCTGTGAGGAATCGCCATACTGTCTTCCACAATGGTTGAATTAATTTAAAATTCCCACCAACAGTGTAAAAGCATTCCTATTTCTCTGCAACCTTGTCAGCATCTGTTGTTTCTCGACTTTTTAACAATTGCCATTCTGACTGGCGTGAGATGGTATCTCATTGTGGTTTTGATTTGCATTTCTCTAATGATCAGTGATGTTGAGCTTTTCTTCATATATTTGTTGGCTCATAAATGTCTTCTTTTGAGAAGTGTCTGTTCATGTCCTTTGCCCACTTTTTAATGGGGTTGTTTGTTTTGCTTTTTTCTTGTAAATTTGTTTAAGTTCCTTGTGGATTCTGAGTAATAAAGATACATGCACGTGTATGTTCATTGCAGCACTATTCACAATAGCAAAGACATGGGATCAACCCAAATGCCCATCAATGATAGACTGGATAAAGTAAACGTAGTACATATATACCACGGAATACTATGCAGCCATAAAAAGGAGTGAGATCATGTCCTTTGCAGGGACATGGATGAAGCTGGAAGCCATTATCCTCAGCAAACTAATGCAGGAACAGAAAACCAAACACCACATGTTCTCACTTATAAGTGGGAGCTGAACAATGAGAACACATGGACACAGGGAGGGGAACAATACACACTGGGGCCTGTCGGGAGGGTGGGGTGGGGGACAGCATTAGGAAAAAGAGCAATGCATGCAGGGCTTCATACCTAGGTGATGGGTTGACAGATGCAGCAAGCCCCCATGGCACATGTTTACCTATGTAACAAACCTGCACATCCTGCACATGTATCCCAGAACTTAAAAAAACAAAAAATAAAAAACCATATGTAACGACCTTAACTGGTGCTATTTATTTTTAAAATTTTGCCCAGCTTTATTGAGTTATAATTGACAAAAATTGTATGTATTTACAGTGTATGATGTGACACTCTGATACACTGTGAAATGATTAAATCAAGCTAATTAACATATCTATCATCTTGCATACCTATATTTTTTGTGGAAAGAACATTTAAAATCTACTCTTTTAGCAATTTTCAATGTGGAACAATGGATCTCCAGAACTTAATCATCCTAAGTCAATCTTTATACCCTTTGACCATCTTCTCCCCATTCCAACAACCATTCTACTCTTTGTCTATGGGTTCAACTTTTAAAAGGTACCATATATATGTGAGATCACACAGTATTTGTCTTTCTGTGCCTGATGTGCTAATTTGTTTAGCATGATGTCCTCTATGTTCATCTACATTGCTACAAATGACAGGATTTCCTTCTTTTGTAAGGCAGAGTGTTATTTCATTGTATAGATAAAATAGGTTTGAGTATTCCTAATATGAAAATCCAAAATGCTCCAAAATCTGAGACTTTTTGAGTGCCAACATGATACTCAAAAACATAAACAAAAAAACCAAAAAATGCTCATTGGAGCACTTCAGATTTCTAGATTTGGCATGTTCAACCAGTAAGCACAATGCAAATATGATAACAAATGAAAAAAATCCAAAATCAGACACACTTCTGGTCCCAAGCATTTTGGATAAGGGATACTCAATCTATACTTTCTTTATCCATTCATCCACTGATGGACACTAAGGTCATTTCTATATCTTGGCTATTGTAAATAATGCTGCATTGAACATCAGAGTGCACAAATCTCTTCAACATGCTGATTTCATTTCCCTTGGTATGTAAGACCAGAAATGGAATTTCTGAATCATATGGTAATTCTCTTTGTAATGTTTAGAAGAATCTCCATCCTGTTTTTCATAATGGCTGTACCAATTTTACATTCCCATCAACTATTTACAAACAAGGATTCCCTTTTCTCCACATCCTTACCAACAATTATCCATTACCTTTTTACTAACAGCCAGAGGTGTGAGATGGTTATCTCATTGAGGTTTTAATTTATATTTCCCTAATGTTTAGTGATGTTGAGCATTTTTTCATATACCTATTGGCCATTTATATGTAGGTTTTACATTTAGGCCTTTGATCCATTTTGAGTTAATTTTTGTATATGATGTTAGGTAAGGGTCTAATTTCAATCTTCTGCAAATGGACATTAGTTTTTTCTGTACCATCTGTTGAAAAAACTGTCTCTCGACCAATTTTAATTTGAAAATTTTGTAAGTACATTTTGTATTTTCCAAAAAACCCCAAAACAAACAACAAATAAAAACTTCAATGAAACTATACATTCAAAAAATTTTTTAAGAGTGTTTGATATGGACATCCAAAGATGAGTTAAATATTTGCTCATTTTAAATTGCAGAGCAGTCCCTTACATATACTGTAGAAGTGATCTTAAAGTGAATCAAGTGCTGCATCTCAATAAAAACACTTAGCAGCTCTTTGAGCTATTTTAAGGTAGAGCTTTAATTTGTGCTAATGCGAATGAACTCACAGCAGCAGAGAGAAAACAGGATACTCCACTTACAAGACATTTGGCTTCTAAATTCTTAAGAGAAAAAAAATGGCTAGAACTTTATGACAATAATATTTTATAACACACAAGTTAGCTGTTTATTTTGTTTCTTGGAAATCAAATTTTCACTTATGTCGTAATTCACTTTTAAAAATTCTTGTAATTCAAATTTGTATTATACTTAGAACTTATGAACTTATTTGTAAGCAATAACAGAATATTACCAATGCCTCCACCAGCATGAGGAGGGGCTCCAAAGCGGAAGGAATCAATGTAAGCCTTAATTTTCTCCAAATCTGCAAAAAGACACAAAACAAAATATAATTTATCATCTTATTTATCTTAAAAGGTCACAAAAGCAATTACTGTTCAATGGAGATTTTTAAAAAGACTGAGAAGTCTTTTAAATGTTTACAATGTATTATTTTCAGAATATACACTCCCCTAAATTATTTTAAGTTGTTTACCAATTCCATGATGTAAAGCTCTCTCTGTTAGCAGTTGAGGATCATGTATTCTTTGAGCTCCTGACAATATTTCTTCTCCTCTCATGAACATATCGTAAGAGTTGGACTGTTTCTGCAAGAGAAAAAACACCAGTCCTCAAGTGACTACCATCCTATTTCTATTACATATATACGGAAAAAAATCTCTGCTGCATGAAGAGCAAGTTCATTTTTTCCTACAATTAACAATGCAATCTTGTTCTCTAAAGTAGAATTAAACTACTGAGGGCTGAATAACTTTTTCTTTGTTTATATCAGATTCTGTGCTCTCCTCCCACACCCCCCAATAACAAATCAGAGCATCACATCTAATTTTTAAGAAGCAGTGCTGATCCTTATTTCACTTTATCATCTGAGATGTTTTTAAGAATGATATTATTTTGGGGTGACTTTTGGAACTCCAAGTTATTAACAGGTGTGAGTCTTTAAATTATTATTATTTTTACTTTAATCCCCTGTCTTTCAATAAACCAGTGGTTCCCAAAGTGTGATTCCTGGACCAGTAGCTTCAGTATTACCAGAAATTTTTTACTTGGTCTGGAGTGGGGCCTGCAAATTATCAGGCTCCCATTCCACAGCAACTAATGAGAAATTCTGCCTCAGCAACTGGTGTTTTAAAAAGCCCTCCAGGTGATTCTGATGCATGGTAAAGTTTAGAAACCACTGCAATGGAAAAACGGTAAAAGACCGTAAGACATTATTTAGATTATTAACTCCCAGGATACAATGTGAATTCCCAGTTTAAGGTCAATGACAGGATGATTTACTAAAGTATGCAAATCTAGTAGTACTATTTATAATTTACATAGTCTTTCTCTCTCATAAATCTTCAGAAAAATGACCAAGTAAAATGATTTTAACATAGGTTTTTAAAACTAATTTTCTAGAATATTCAAATTTTACAATATCATTTTGACCAGTGGTGACAGACATCAATGGTAATACGTATGTCTATCAAAACTGCAAATTATTAATGAAAACCATTATTCCTATTATACAATCTGACAGTGACAATAAAATTTCCCTTCTGCCTCAAAATGGGTTACTTAAAACCAAATTACTTACGGGATTTCTTGGGTCAGGCATGGTATAGAAAGGTCTTACAGCCAATGGATATTTATCAAGAATATAAAAATCTGTATCATACTATAAAAAGAATAAATGCAATTAAAATACATTTTTAAAAAGTAAAATGGCTAACATTTTGGTAATTAACTTTATACAAAAATTTTGGTTCTTCGTAATTACTCTAATTATATTGTATATACAATGAATATCTTGCTTTTTTCAGTAACATTTTTATCCTACAGCATTTTGCCATGGTGTCATAAATTCTTGCAATACCTAATTTTTAGGCATTACTTATTATCCATAGTTTTTAAATTTTTTTTTTTTAAGAGATGGGGTCTTGCTCTGTTGCTTAGGCTCGAGTGCATGATGAGATCATGGCTTAAGCAGGAGCCTGGCTAATTTTTAAAATTTTTTGTAGAGATGGAATCTCGCTATGTTTGCCCAGGCTGGTCTTGAACTCCTGGCCTCAAATGATCCTCCTACCTTGGCCTCCCAAAGTGCCAGAATTACAAGCATGAGCCACAGTGCCAGGCCTACGGTTTAAATATTCATTTTTTTCCTTTTTTTTTTTTTGAACATGTAAGCCCTTTCTAATTTCTCCCCCATTCTAAATTACACTTTGATAAACATCTTTGATTTTTACTTTTTTCTTTGTTATTCTAGTTCATCTAGTCATTCTGATGCATTTTATAATGAAAAAAATTATCTCAAATCCTTTTGATTGTTATAGAAACTATATTAAGTCCATGAATTATTTTGGGAAATTTGATGTATTTTACAATATCCATCATTGAAAAACATGGATTATCTTCCCAAGAATTTAAATTTTTATCTAGATATATACATGAGATTTTGGTAGTTTTCTTCAAATGAATGCTACAACTGAAAGAAATAAATGACATTAACTTGAAATTATGACTTTTTTTAGAGAATGCTTACTATGTGACCTAGATTTAATTAAAAATAAATAAATTACATTTGAGGGCCCGGCGCGGTGGCTCATGCCTGTAATCCCAGCACTTTGGGAGGCCAAGGTAGGTGAATCACCTGAGGTCAGGAGTTCGAGACCAGCCTGGCCTACATGGTGAAACCCTATCTCTACTAAAAACACAAAAAATTAGTTGGGTGTGGTGGTGGGCGCCTGTAATCCCAGCTACTCGGGAGGCTGAGGCAGGAGAATCGCTTGAACCCAGGGGGTGGAGGTTGTAGTCAGCCAAGATAGTGCCATTGCACTCCAGCCTGGGCAACAAGAGCGAAACTCCGTCTCAAAAAAAAAAAAAATTACATTCCAACAGTTTTTGACTTTCAACATTTTTGATAAAACTTGAGATGAGGATGTTAATAGCTGACAAACTGAAACTGGCTCTGCTGAAACAGCATTTTAAAGGTATAAACTGAATATTGTATGACTTCAGAAATATCAGTTCTCTAGTCTAACAGTTTCAACTGCCACCAGTAGGAGGAGCTCAAGGACTAATTTTCCTTTTCATTATATCATTATCTTAAAAATTTTAAAAAGATCATACTAAGTTTAGCTTTTATCCTCTTTGGAGTCTTGGTTTTAGAAAATGAGATTGGAAAGTAGCTATTACATAAGAGGGAGAGAGGAACCTCATTCATCTTGAAGTCTCATGAGACAGCAGGGGTACACAGGGAAGACCATTTCTAAATAATTTTCAAATAACTTGGAGGTCATTTCCAACTAATCCGACATAGGTATCACTTTTAGAGACACCTCAGAACAACTTCGTAAAAATATTAAATACTGAGTTAATCAGATCATCTGGGAGAAAGGCAGGCTGTCTGAATATTTCTCAATTTTCTAAGAAAAAAATTTTTTTAATGTTGTCCTTCTTCGGTTTTTATTTATTCCAGAATCATACCATTCTAGGAAGCTCAGACCCCTCTGCAATTGTTTTTAGTCCCAAGAGACATTTCAGAATTAGAAAAAGAAATCCAGCATATAAAGAGTCCTACCTTTTCCTTTACCAAATGACCCAACAGCTTTTCATTTGGTGTGCTGAAAAAGAAACGTGAAATCAGTGTTTGAAGATCAAATGGCAACTTAAAAACATTAATAAGGAACTTCTTCTATTTGAGTTTCTCAAGGGATTACAAAATTTGGCCAGAACACGCAGTTGTCTATTCTGCTCTTTTCTTAAAAGGCAAGTACTACTGAAAATCACTTATGAGTATACCTTGGTACAGTGACTCAGTGCTTAGTAGATGCTGCTCAAATATTTAATTAAAGCAATAAACAGAATATAGCAATTCATTGATTCAGAAATATCATGGATGAAGTAATTTCCTACAATTACACATAATAAAAGTTCGCTATACTAATATGGGCTAGTCTTGCCATGAAATAATCTTCCCTTTTTGGTACTCTTTATCAATGGTTTATGAAATAAAAATTAGTATTATCCAAGGTTTTAAAAGTGTTTATATAAACACGTTACATTTCTATGGCCAAGAGGTAGCTACTTCAGCTTCTATCTTATGTAAAAACAATTTCTAAAATACTTAAAAAAATACTACCTAAGCTTATAGGATTTTCATCTTGCCTTAAAATGTCATCTAGCAATGTAGGCAATATTTAAAGCCATATATATATATTTTTTTTTGTTAAACAAAAATAAAGGGTTTTGGGTGAATTGTTTTTTGAGAAACCCTAAAAAGTGACAATAATCATTTCCTTTCCCTCCTAAATACACATGTATTGTGATGGTTTAAAGGAATCATTCAAGGAAGTCTTGAATAAAATATAAGTAGATAGAAATTACCTTTACATGTTTTGTTTATTTATTTTTTACAGACAGGCTTTCACTCTGTCACCCAGGCTGGAGTACAGTGGCATGATCATGGGTTACTACAGCCTTGATACTCCTGGGCACAAGTGATCCAATTGCCTCAGCCTCTGGAGTAGTTGGGACTACAGGTGTGTGCCACCATGTTCAGCTAAATTTTAAATTTTTTTGTACAGACAGCATCTCTCTGTGTTGTCCAGGCTGGTCCCGAAATCCTGGCTCATATGATCCTCCTACCTTGGCTTCTCAAAGTACTGGGATTACAGGCATGAGCCACCATGCCCAGCCTCAATCTTTATTAAACTACATAATTTGTTTCAAAATTATAAGTCGTATGATCTAAATTTAGATAATACTATACTAAATACTATATATAATATAGTATGTATGACACTATATAAACAATATTGACTTTTATAACTTTTGGATGTTAACAGTTTATACCCCGATCCTGTGTGGGGATGGATTTAGACTGCTGTCTACCTTCTCTAATACCACTAATCTGGAAAGAGAAGTAACATATTAGAAGATAAAATCACAGGCAAAACTCTCTATACTCTTTAAAGAGTTACAAACATGAGGGGAAAATAATGGAAAATGGTGTTTATAAACAAAATTATGAAAACTTAGGCAAACTATAGTAAACACTTTTATTTCAGATCACACATTATATAAAAGAGCATCATACTGTATACCAAAGTTAATAAAATGTAAGTGTATCAGGTGAAAAAAATCATTTATTAATATTTTCATTTTTTCTTATCTTAAACCAAATTACCAAGGTTTTAAAAATCACAAAGACAACTTGGAGGACGGGTCAATAGGTGCAGCAAACCACCATGGCACATGTATACCTATGTAACAAACCTGCACGTTCTGCACATGGATCCTGGAACTTAAAGTAAAAAAAAAGCCACAAAGACAAACCTCAGATCGTCTTCATCTCCCATTTCGACTCCAGCTTCCCTAAGCATAGCCAATGCTTCACAATATTCTAGTCTTAGAGTTGGCTCCAAAAATTTGAATGGCTCACATGGGAACTGTTTATTCACTGTTTGAATTTCAGTCTGAAACCTATTTGCAGAATGATTTAGTTAATAAAATGTATGAGATAAATGTTTCCCCCACAAGAGGTCACTGTGGCAATATACAAAAATCAATCTTTGAATCAGTATATACACCAGGAAAAGCATTATCAAATTATTAAAGAATGAAATTTAAATACTTAAAATATTTAACACCATTTTTCAATCTCGTTTTTGTAACCACAGTAACATCAAAGGATTAAAAATTTTCTTTATAATTCATATCAGTTAATATGGTTAGAAATATAAAATGCCCATTTTATGAAGCATTACAAAAATCTGACTTTTTAATCCTTTAACAATTCTTGTTATCACTGAGGAAGACCAAATTAATGAGTATTTGTCTTATCTTCCCCCATCAGTATTACACTGTATGTTCAGGGGAGTGCCAGTTTCTTTCCCATTTTGATAATCTCTATAGTACAATGCCTACCCTATATATATAGAAGGTACAGGACAATGTTTACTGCACTGAGCTGAATTTCTGCTATGGAAGATGATATTTTATTGAGATTTAAAAGGTCTATTTTTGACCGGGTGCAGTGGCTCACACCTGTAATCCCAGCACTTTGGGAGGAGGATCACTTGAGGTCGGGAGTTTAAGACCAGTCTGGCCAACATGGTGAAACCCCATCTCTACTAAAACTACAAAAATTATTTGGGTGTGGTCGGGAGGCTGAGGCAGGAGAATTGTTTGGGCCTGAGAGGTGAAGGCTGCAGCGAGCCAAGATCGGCCATTGCCCTCCAGCCTGGGCGACAGAGCAAGACTCGTCTCAAAAAAAAGAAAAAGAAAAAGAAAAAAATGTCTATTTTTGCTGGAGTATTTATGTATTAAATGATGGCTGGGATTTGCTTCAAAATAATAGTGAATGAGGGAAATGGGTAAACACAATTGGCCACAGGTTGACAAGGACTGAAACTGGTTGATGAGTTCATGGGGGCTCATTAGACTATTGCACATCCTTTTGTATGTGTTTGAAATTTTTCCATAATTAACAGACTTGAAAAAAGTATGTTTATATTCTATATACAGAAAAAAGTATGTTTGTATTTTATATATAGAATTCTTTACCTAGAATTTACATTCTATTTTTATTTTTTTTAATTTCTGAGACAGGGTCCCACTCTGTTGCTCAGGCTGGAGCGCAGTGGTGCAATCTTGGCTCACCACAACCTCGGCCTTCTGGGCTTAATCGATCCTCCCACCTGAAGCCTCCTGAGTAGCTGGGACTACAGGTATGTGCCACTATGACCGGCTAATTTTTTGTTACTTTTTGCAGAGATGGGATTTCACCATGTTGCCCAGGCTGGTCTTGAACTCCTAGGCTCAAGCAATCTGCCCGTCTCGGCCTCCCAAAGTGTTAGGATTACAGATGTGCACCATGCCCGGCCTAGAATTTATATTCTCGAAATTAAAACACTATCATTTCTTGATTGGTCTTACAGGCTTTCGTGGGAATAATAAAGCTTAGCCATTGATTTATTAAAATCTTGATGTAAGAAGGGTTAAAAAGACCCCATAATTGATTTTTTTAAATTTGTTTTTTATTTTTTTAGACGGAGTCTTGCTCTGTTGCCCAGGCTGGAGTGCAGTGGAGCTGTCTCGGCTCTCTGCAACCTCTGCCTGCTGGGTTCAAGCAATTCTCCTGCCTCAGCCTCCCAAGTAGCTGGGACTACAAGCGTGTGCCACCATGCCTGGCTAATTTTTTGTACTTTTAGTAGAGATGGGGTTTCACCATGCTGGCCAGTCTGGTCTCAAACTCCTGATCTCCTGATCTGCCCACCTCAGCCTCCCAAAGTGCTGGGATTACAGGCATGAGCCACTGAGCCCAGCTCCCAAATGATTTTTAAATAGCTTTTCTTTGCTTTATATATCAACTCCCATTCATCATGTCTATCAATGGTAGTACAAAAATATGACTATCAATACTTTAAAATACATTTATATATGTATTTTATACACATATATATTTGGATATATATACAATACATATACATACAATAGAATACAAATACATTTGTATATGTATTTTTCTATGAGAGGTAAATACTAATGATAAACACGAGAGGAACATGACACAGGTCAGATAACCCAATAAACAAGCCCTGACACCAAAACTTAAAATTCCTAAATGACTTGAAGAACATACAAAGAAGGTTTTTATTTTCAAATTGCCACCTTAACTCTACTGAAAAAGTTCAGCAGTAATGGCGTTTGAGTCTAATTTGTAAGTAGAGATTTGATTAATCCCAAGGACTCAAATTCATGCTTGGTCTGTTGTTATAAAAATCAAAGTGGAAATGTCAAACTCTATTATTTAATGGAGAAGCTATCAGTATTTTTAAAAAATGAGTTTCTGAAACTTTCTTGGATTATAAATGCGAACAGAAAATGAGAAAAGCTGTGTGTGCTCCTTCATTGTAGTTCTAAAGTATATTTTGTCTTATAAGGAAAATGTTATCAGTTGTTCCATGAACCATTGAAAACTGATTAAAATAAACTGCATCAAAATGTTTTAGAGAACAAAGATATAAAAAGAAAAAGGCTGTCTGCAATTAACTAGCTATCAAAGGTACAAAGCTGCAGAGAATGCCTGGAAATACTGGCACTTATGCTACAGTATTCTTAAGATCAGTGATTGATTTCTACATTCTATTTTTTCTTTGAGACAGAGTCTTGCTCTGTTGCCCAGGCTGGAGTGCAGTGGCGTGATCCAGCTCACTGCAACCTCCGCCTCCTAGGTTCAAGTGATTCCCCTGCCTCAGCCTCCCAAGTAGCTGGGATTACAGGAGCGTGCCACCATGCCCAGCTAATTTTTGTATTTTTAGTAGAGATGGGGTTTTGCTAAGTTGGCCGGGTCGGTCTTGAACTTCTGACCTCAAGTGATCCGCCTGCCTCAGCCTCCCAAAGTGCTGGGATTACAGGCGTGAGCCACCTTGCCAGGCCAATTTCTACATTCTTAAACATACTCATTAGCCCTGCAATGCAGTAAATAAAATTCGTATTTTTGAACTCTTTTAAAATACCAATGAAACATATCAAATACATCAACAAGGAATAGTTGAATTGCTGGTCTTCAAATAAAAATTTTAAATATGATCTTCTGTCACTTATTAAAATGCTAGCTTAGACTATTATAGCTTACCTAATACTTGAAATATAGTCACAAATACAGAAAGAGGGAAAAATAGAGACTTTCTTAATCAACTTGACTCGGTTCTATTTTCTTTTCCTATTTTCTCTATGTTAAACATCATCATAAATAAACAACTTTCAATGACCTGTAAAGGGAAGAGCTCTTTGCCAGTTTAGAGGGTGTAGGTGAAGTGCACATTCTACATGATTCAATTTTCTGAACATCTAGAACACATCTAATATTTCTATAAATGTTAATTCATCAGATCCAAATAGATTTAAATATCCGTTCAGTCTACTAGTTTCTAATCTTTACTGAGCACTTAATGTAAATATAAATTGATTTAAGAATTAACCATATTTGACCAGGCTTAATTTACATGTCGACAGATTCAGTTGACTGAAGGAACTTTTTGCCTCTGAGGTGGGTAATAATGCTATTTCCACTTAATGGCTGAGGAAACTGAGGCACAGAATTAAATAACCTGCACAAGGCCCACACAGAGAAGGAGCAGAGCTGGGATTTGAACTCAGGCTATCTGGATGTTGCTGAATCCAACCTCTTACACACTACCCTCATACTGTTTCCCAAATAAACTGTTAAAAGAAACACATGCTGTATTTCTTGAGACATTCGGGATGTCAGTATAAAGGAAACAAAAACAACAACAAAATACAGTTGGACTGTTCACAATGTGGTAAATTTACTAGCACAATAGAGGTTAATTAGTTGAGCCCCCAAATGATTTGGATCCAGAAGCAGTATTCTGAGTGTAGATTTTTCCAACCAATTAAATGGATCATCTAACTGGTAAATCTTTATATATATGTTCATAGAAACTTAAGTTTGTATGTTTAAATTGAAGAATTTTTTTTTTAAAGGGCCCAAACATTTGAAATTAAGTCCATCTAGGTGCATAAAATACTTTTTACCTTTCTTGAAGTCCTTTGAATATTTGTACCATGGTGTCAGCAATTTCTTCCATAACTTCGTGGTAATGGTAATTAAAAGCCATTTCAATGTCCAAACCAACAAACTCAGTTAGATGTCTATGGGTATTAGAGTCTTCCGCTCTGAATACTGTGAAGTTAATAAAAGAAATAGAGAGCAAACACTGATTTCAATTTTGGATAAATAGGGATTTAAATACAAACTTTTATTTAGTTGGATTCCAGTGGTATTATTTTCATATTACAGGGCTGGAAGGACCTCTGATGAACCATCTGTTTGAGCATTATCTTGGACAGCAAGTTCATTATAAACTCCTACGGTCGTGCAATAAAAGCCGTACCAAATGTAAATTAATAAGAGAGGTTCATGAGAACCCTGGGGGAATGCAAGATCCTGAGGTGTCTTCTCAATATTTAAAAATATATTCAATTATGACCAAGATAGTGAGTTCTTCTCAATTTTATTAAAACCTGACTCAAACTAAGTGAAACTCTACCAATAAAGTAACATACGTATTCCATTTGACTACAGTAGTCATTTATAGGAATATTTGTGATGTGAAAGATGAGTCGAGCTAGAGTCAGGAAGACTGGACAGGAGGAAAAGGCACTGAGGATATTAAGAGCCATTAGCTCAGTCCAGCTAATATCCAGTCCAGCCTTAATATCCTCAGTGCCTTTTCCTCCTGTCCAGTCTTTTTGACTCTAGTTCGACTCATCTTTCACATCACTAATATTCCTATAATACATCCTTGCTCAGAAACTTACAATGGTTCCCAAATGACTACTGTAGTAAGACATAAAATGACCAAAAAAACCCTAAAACCTTTATGCTTTCGTAAGTTAATCCTAACCTATATTTCTCACTTCTTAATACTAACTTGTCTTATTTTTGTTTTCTTGTGTAGTTCTTGCTCTTTACTTACTCTGCTTCCTGTCTAGAACTCCATCTCTGTTGTCTATATATCCTACTTTGTCCTTAAAGTACATCTCAGTTTGAATTTTCTTTTATGGTGACTCTAGCAAACTCCATTTTCTCTCTTTTTACAGTTACTATTTATACTACATAATTAACACCCATTTGCTGATGGTATAGGACAATCTGATCATTCATTGTGAAAATTATTTGATTATTCCCTATGACTGTGATATGTATGTATGTCTTAGTCTTGGGAGCAGGCACAATATTGATTCCCTTATCACTCAAAGCATGATCTGGAAATGAGCAGCATCAACAATACCCAGGACTTGTGAGAACTGCAGAATCTCAGACCTCTCCCCAGATTTACTGATCAGAATCTGTATTTTAACAAGATCTCCAGGTAATCTGTGTGCATATTAACATTTGAGAAGTGCTGGCTGGTTCTTCTTTTATGTACATGGTACCTAGCACAAGGTTATATAAGCAGCAGGTGTTCAACAAATAACTAGTTAATAAATTCAGAAAATTAAGACCCTTAATGATCTTGCCAGTTTCTCTATTAGCAAGTATTTAATTTTTATTAAGGTATCAAAAAACATATATAAAATAACTTGGTAAGTGTTAAATAAAGTAACGCTGGCTTTTCACTTACAATTAGCTTCAAAAAAGAATTTGCCACATGATTATGTGCCTGTGCTTGACTTTTAGCAAACATTTCTTAAAAACCATATTAATATAATTTATTAAATATAACATATTTGTTAGTAGTTTCTAATGGACATCAGCACATTACCAATAGTAAGGACAATACAAACAAAATAGTGAAACAGAACAGCTCTGGAATAAAATTGATAGCAAATTAGACAGAGGTACACTGTAAACTTACAGGAGTAAGAAATTATAAAGGACAAAAACATATATTTCTTTGACCACTGCAACTACCTGCTCTTCAGTGCTGATAGGGAGCTGAAAAGAGTCCAAATGGGAGCTAATTCTGTTCTAACTGCACTGAGGTATATTAAAATATATACTTAGGTATATTTCAGATGGTGTATATTTTCAAGAAACGCATTTTTAAAATGACATATTCTCAAGATAAAAATTTTCTTCAGCATTCCTCTGTAAGAATACATATGTTTATAATTGTATTCACATGGAATGATGCTCAACTGTTTAAAGTACTATTGACCATATTATTATTACTATTACTTTTAAGAAAATGTCTACCCAAATATATTATCTCTAACTCAAAGTCTAGCATTTGTGTAGTCAGCAGATAAAATAATTTAAGCTTTCAAAGTGTCTGTACATTATATAAGTAAAATGTTTCTAAAATTATAACTGCTGTATAATTAATTAACTTGGATAAAACATAACTGCCAAAATCTTACCTGGTCCAATAGAGAAAACCTTCTCAAAATCAGCACAAATGCACATTTGCTTATATAGCTGTGGGGACTGAGCCAGGTATGCATTATTTTTAAAATATGACACAGTAAAAACATTGGCTCCTCCTTCACTGGCAGCTGAAAGGTAAACATTTATATTTATATTATTATAATCAATTGTAAACTTATCAATGCAAACCTCTAGTTAAAAAGTTTATACTCAGGTAACTCACTTTAACAAAAACTGGAAAATGAAGAATTGTGGCTAAATCACAGTCTATATACATCATCTTCTATGTGATTCTAAATAGTTTATATTTAAACCAGATTTACTTCTTTGGCTATGCTTTTATTTCACTTCTGTGGATATATATGCTCCCTTTCTGCATCAAT
This sequence comes from Homo sapiens, assembly GCF_000001405.40. Taxonomy (NCBI): domain Eukaryota; kingdom Metazoa; phylum Chordata; class Mammalia; order Primates; family Hominidae; genus Homo; species Homo sapiens. The sequence goes on from NC_000002.12 coordinate 135,923,174, forward strand.
TTCAAAACTATTAAAGCCCCTTTGGAGTTGTTAAAATTTTTTTTTTAAAATGAAAAAATATATTCTTCATCATTTTTCCTCTTTTAAAAAAATTTCCCCAGGAGCTGGAATAATCATTCTTCTTTTCTTTTTTTGAGATGGAGTCTTGCTCTGTCACCCAGGCTAGAATGCCGTGGCACGATCTCGGCTCACTGCAACCTCCGCCTCCCAGGTTCAAGCGATTCTCCTGCCTCAGCCTCCCAAGTAGCTGGGACTACAGGCGTCAACCACCGCGCCCGGCTAGTTTTTGTATTTTTAGTACAGACGGGGTTTCATCATTTTGGCCAGGCTGGTCTCGAACTCCTGACCTCGTGATCCACCCACCTCGGCTTCCCAAACTCCTGGGATTACAGGCATGAGCCACTGCGCCCAGCCTGGAATAATCATTTTTCTAATTATTAAGAATGCAATGTTCAATTGTGAATTTGTAACAAAATGCCATTTGTAACACACTTTCTAGTGTTAAACAAATCTAAAAAGGGTAAAATGATTAAGACAAGATTCTCATACAAGAATAAGAATTAGCCAGGCGTGGTGGCTCACATCTGTAATCCCAGCACTCTGGCAGGCCGAGGCAGATGGATTACCTCAGGTTGGGAGTTCGAGACCAGCCTGACCAACATGGAGAAACCCTGTATCTACTAAACATACAAAATTGGCTCGGCGTGGTGGTGCATGCTTGTAATCCCAGCTACTCGGGAGGCTGAGGCAGGAGAATCGCTTGAACCTGGGAGGTGGAGGTTCGGTGAGCCGAATTCACAACACTGCACTCCAGCCTGGGCAACAAGAATTAAGGAAATTTTCCCATCATTAGTATTTACTGATTTTACAATGCAGTTTATACAAAACAAAACTGCAATACTAATTTCAAAAGAAATCTATATAATGAAAGTAGTTCCTGGTGTAAGTTCTGTAACAAGAATCTTGCTTTGTGTGTTACTGCCTCACATTACAATCATTATCACAAAAGGACTCCTGGAATAAGAAAATGTACTTATTAAGGTTGGTGATATATGATTGTTGCTATATAAGATGGTCTTCAAAATAGTAGTCTCATGGCAATAAACCTTAATGGACACTTGGGATTCTCAAGTTAAAAATTTTATTAATATAAAGCAACTCTGGGGAGAGCAAATTTATTTTTAAAAATTAAGAGAAATATTTTGAAGCATACCTGAAATAATTTTAGGAGTTTGGATTTCCACAAAACCTTTGTTAATTAAAGTTTCTCGGAAGAGATGGCAGATGCCAGACTGGAGACGGAAGACTGCCTGACTAGTTGATGTCTAGAAGACAGTAATAAAATCTAATTAAATCAACGTACTTAATTACTAAGCACTAACTCTGTGGGCTAGGCACTGTGGAAACCTAACAATTCTTGCTTTCAACATTTTTAAATTCTAATAATTGGAGAGAAGACGAAAGGACACGAATAAATACAAGGCAAAAAGGCATGCTGGAATACAATGACTATATATGATCATATAAAGGAATTTCACCGGAAATCCTTAGTGAGCAGATGTTTTAATTTGTAGGAATTCCATAAAAGAAAAATGTTTCTTAACAATTAGTGAAACAACTTACTTGTGAATGGTCTGTTTTTTTTAAAGGCAACCAACCCATAAAGTGAGACATAGCAATGTTTGTGCAGCATACTAATGTTCTAAGTAAGATTTTGGTATTTGACAATAAATGAATAAAAACCATGTATTTTTATTTTAACCATTACAACAATACAATTGCAGATACTTGTGTATTTGTTCAATTAGATTAAGAAATTAAAAAGAAAAAAATACAATAAAAGGGGTAGGCATCCCATGACACTGATTTCCAATGTGGTACATAAAACAATAGTAGCGCTCCAACTGTGCAGCACAGTTGCCTGTTCTTTCTATTCTCTCTCTTTCCCTCCTTTCTTTCTCAGTTTCTCTGGTCCTCCTATTTACTTTTAGCCTCAATCAGTTGTGATGGTGACCAGAAAGCTCTAGAGGTAATTATCTCTACTTTAGACTAACTTTTGTCCACTTCTCTGGTCAAAAGAAGTGACTTCTTATCTTTAGGTCCTGGCTTATTATATTTTTAAAAAATAGCTATCCTATGACTAGGTAGGTGTTTAGTAAAACATGTGACCTCAAACCACTAAGTTAGCTGTGAATAACTGAGTTAGGTGAAGAAGGTGTCTTCTTAGTCTCATTACGAGAATTTCAATTACTTCTCCCATATCAAAGGGCTCACCCCTTCTGCATTTACACAGTAGTACCCTGTGAAAACACTGTTAATGGAATGATTACATTTCTTTCACTCTAAAGAATGATATTTAAATAATCTTGAATTTCTGCAGATCAGATAAAAACATTCATGTAAACTGGTCATATTTAAGTAACATTATTTTATAACTTACATTCAAAGTTACAAATCAATAGTTTCTCATAAAACAATAAAACCATTTCAAAGGTCTTTATAATTTATTAGATTACTTACTCATTTTCAAGATGTCTACATTTAAACTATAGAAAAAGACTTGCATTTTTTTCACATTATGTGGTTTAGTGAAACGTCTGGTTCATCCAATCAAAACAAATGGCATAATCTTCTGCTTTCAAAAGCCTAGTGACCTATTTAGCAAAAAGCTGTTTCACTGTTACTGACAAATGTACAGAGATGTATTTCACTTAGAATATATTCTATAAGAGGGTCACTGAATACATTTTATTGCCGCTTGCCTCTTAGCTAGTTCAACTAAACCTGGCTCACTGCAACCTCCACCTCCTGGGTTCAAGTGATTCTCCTGCCTCAGCTTCCTGAGTAGCTAGGATTATAGGTGCCCGTCACCATGCCCAGCTAATTTTTGTATTTTTAGTAGAGACCGGGTTTCACCATGTTGGCCAGGCTGGTCTTGAACCCCTGACCCCAGGCGATCTGCTCATCACGGCCTCCCAAAGTGCTGGGATTACAGGTGTGAGCCACGACGCCTGGCCTAAACTCACTTCAACATCTTGCTAAATGGAAATTAAACTTATGAACTGGTTGTCATAGATTATTTAATATGAATAGAAATTTCACCATTATGTTTTTAAAAAACTGTACTTCTTCACTTCCTGATTGTACAAACAACTATGTTAATGTGTAACATTTATGGGGAAAACGGATCTGTCATATATAAGAAAAATGATTTTTTTCTCATTAGTTTCTTCAAGGCACTTGCTAATAGGAAGACGGCACCTACTTGATTAGACAGTGAACAGTTATTCACATGACAATTCTAATACATCCTAATTTCCACCTAGGATTTACATACTGGAGAATATTTTCTAGAAGATTCTAGCTTTTAAATGGTTTAATTTGAAAACCACCAATCACAGGGGTAGATGGGAAAAGAATTAAACAAAAAGGAATTACTAAATATAAGATGTTCTTTAAAAGTAAATAACAAGAAAGAAAAACAAATATTTCAAAATACATCTTCAACTATTTTGATTATGTATCTTACTAGCAAGAATACCCATTACTGCAAACAATCACATTGTGCGAGCGAATTCAGACTAGCTATCTCTGCTGGTTGGAACAAGACAAACGGGTAAGATTAGTATCCTGTAAACTCTCTGACTTTGCTCAGAGGAAAATAATGTCCTCAGGCCCAGGTTAGTCAGTTAATTTAGCAGAGGAAGAGTACTAAGCAGACTGCATCAGAGTCTGAGAAACTTTTTGTACCTACTGCTGGGTTGTCTTTCTACATTTCTTCCTCCTTCAAAAAGCATTATCATTACATGAGAGAACAACACAATATAGTTAAAATAAGAAATGGTAATGGTATTTTTTCTTCTCCTGATCAAAACAAGACACTCTTGCGTAGAACACATCTAAAGAGAAACAAAATCGGTTTTTTATAGACTCATTTTAAAACTGTTTCCCCATTACATATTGATTACTACAACTGACTTCTACACGTGTGTAAGAATTTGACGGTTAAGGTAAAAATCAACAATGATCCAACTTATCAGTAAGATTACAGAATGTATATAACAAAAGAAAAGTATGTTTAATAGGGTAATTATATATTAAATCTATCTCAAATTAAATGCTTCTAAACTATAGTACATAAAATGAATGCAACATATGTTAATTTCAATGCAAATATATAACAACCTTATTTTCAACTGACAAGGAATGTACAAATACCTTATATATTTAATTTATCATTACTATACTTACCCTTACCTTAAGATACCTAAATGAACAGGAAAAAGGCCTTCTTTATCATTTAAGTTATAAACCATACTAATAATATTAGTTTCCTTAATGTTTAAATCTAAAAATTGTTTTGGGTCAGACAAATATTTTAATGATTCCATAATATGTAAAAAAAATAATACTTCCTCCTCACTCATTAAACAAATATTTATTATATGCCTCCTAGTACTGGGCTAGGTGTTAGATGATAACGGCGATTACAGAGGGCATGAGGTAGAAGATAAACTAAACAGAAAGCAGAAAACTAATTTTTCTACACTTAAAAAAATTAATTTTAGAAAAGCAAAACGAAAAACCCAGTCCTTGAACTTTAGTTCTAAAAAAGCTTGACATTCCTTATATTAAAATAGTACTTTTAAATTCTATAGCAAACTTCCCAAAAGTATGGTTATTAAAATTAAAACACTGCTATTCTGTATTATGTGAAAGATCTGAAATAAAGGGAAAAACAATATTCTGCATTTATAGAATTCCTTTCCCTGAGGTCCTCATAGCACTAAAAAGCAAAATTATATCTTTTGTGGAGAAGAGAGGCAGGTACATGGAGAGAAGTAAGGGTGTTGAGAGAAAGAATTTCGATAGGAGACAAAAATTCAAACAAACCCAAACTTTATACAGCAATCTTTAATAGTACTTAGCGCCTTACAATCCTCACAACAAATTACTTCCATGTTGTATTAGACTTGTAGCTTTTAAAAATACCTATTTAAGTTATCATCTTAGTTAAGATACCCACTATATCTTTTGCTTTTAATGGCTGTAGAGAATTCCTGTTCATTTATGGTTTATCAGGTTACAGAGATACTACTGTGAAGCTGGACTAGGGGTCAGGAGAGATAGTAGAAAAGGCAGTGGGAAAGACATTTCTAAAATGATACCTGATTTAATTCCAAAGGGAACTATTATTTTAAAAAATCAGATTTATGTAGAACTTTTTTTTTTTGTTTTTTGAGATGGAGGACTCTGTTGCCCAGGCTGGAGTGCAGTGGTGTGATTTCAGCCTCCTGAGTAGCTGGGACTACAGGCACATGCCACCAAGCCTGGCTAATTTTTTTTGTATTTTTAGTAGAGACGGGGTTTCGCCATGTTGGCCAGGCTGGTCTTGAACTCCTGACCTCAAGTGATCCACCCGCCTCAGCCTCCCAAAGTGCTGGGATTACAGGCATGAGCCACCATGCCTGGCCAGATTTACGCAGAATTTCTTTTTCCTTTTTTTTTTTTTTTGAGATGGAATTTCTTTCTTGTCGCCCAGGCTAGAGTGCAATGGCGTGATCTTGGATCACTGCAACCTCTGCCTCCCGAGTAGCTGGGATTACAGGTGCCCGCCACCACGCCTGGCTAATTTTTGTATTTTAAGTAAAGACGGGGTTTCACCATGTTGGCCAGGCTGGTCTTGAATTCCTGACCTCAAGTGATCCACTGTGCTCGGCCAGAATTATGTAGAATTTCTAATTGAACAAAAGGAATATCTGTGAGAAAGAATCCAAGCTGTCTGCAATTGCTATTATATTACATATAATAACAACTGCAACAGGGGGATTCCAGCTGTATGTGTTCAGGTTAACTGTGTCAAGACATTCCAACACATATTCATTCATTCTAACGTATGACAAAAACGCTAGCAGATCAAGTATGTATGTCCTATGGAGGGACCCTGTGATACATAGCAGTGCTGAGCATCCTTAAAATGTTTTTCTAACTGATGCATTGGTCTTGAGGTCAACAGTTATGACATCCCTGAGGACACCTCCCCTTGACTATTTCAAAATGTCCAGATCTACTTTCAAAGAACTCCTATAGCTGTGGTGATCAAACACCTATCATTCTCATGGCAGCCCCGAGTCCCCAATTTTCTGCCCACTGCTGACACAAACCAGCATTTCTTAAACTTGTCTTTTGCCTTCTACTATCATTTCTGTCATACTGGGTATCTCTTGTACTAGTACTTAATATTTTCCTTTAAATCACATTTTAAAACTTAACTAACTCTAAGCAATAATATCCATGAAAACATGGATTTTATTTGCTGGTTATATTGTATAGCTATTAAAATAAAAAATGTTCATCTGTTTAACACCCAGAAATCACTGTGTACCTTCAGTGGTAAAGGTACCATACTTGGGAAAACACTGCAAAACCACTGAAATGTCATGTAAGTTTCAATATATTGGCATTAAAACTATATTGCCAGGATAATCTCTTATACTACAAAATTACGAAACTTCTCTTAAAGAGTTGAGATTTTAATTTTTAGTTTGGAAAATATGTATTGAAAGTAATGAGCTAGGCAATGTGTTAGAAGATGGGCTATTGATATTATCTAATTTTTCTTTGTTTAAGCGTTTTGTGGCTTTGTTAATAGAAAGTTTCAGGGAGATATGGCAAATAGGCTTATTTCCAATCAGTTAGTGGAGGCTGCCCTGAGTGCTGTGTGGCTACTTTAAGCTCATCAAGAATATTATGTATATGGTATGTTGTGCCTGACTGGGGGCATTTGCCATGAATGTAATTCTTTTCTCTTGGACAGACTGGTAACTTAAGTCAAGGCAAGTACATGAGTTAAGGGGCTAACAGTCTGTCCAAGAGAAAAGAATGGTGAAGACAAAGGTGACAAATTTCAAAACAAAAATATGTAATTGATAAGATGAAACCACACCATAATAGCAGATACTTTTCATTCATTAACCCACAGGGTCAAAGTAGGGTTCATTAGTGAACTATAAAATATATGCTCAGATAGCTATTTTCTTAATCCCTGCATGCCAAAATAGACCTAAACATTCAGGAAAAAAAGTTACAGAATTACATAGTAGGGGCTATTTGATAGTGTGATTTCAGAGGTAGCATTGAGGATAATGTGGTGTATTAGCAAACAAAGAGAACTTTAGGAATGCCATGGGGTCTCAAGGGTTAGGATGCCCATGAGTCCTGAATTGTCTATCCCCTTGGCATGTGAAACCAAGTGGCAAAAAAGAGCTGATGATTCACCTTTAAAGATGGCTCAGTTTCTATGCTTACCTGGCAACCCAAGGGAGGGCATCCCTATTAAGGAGACCTCACACTACTAGTCTTATCTCCCCAACAAAATGATGTGTTCTTTGAAGATGACCAATACATATTCCACAGTATAAGAAACCTGTAATACGAACATAATAAATATTTTGTAGACTAGCTATAGTACAGGGGGTCTAGATAAAGAAATAAAAGAAATAGACTAATTTTGAACCAACGAATCCATTTGTATTTGGGAAAAGTACTTAAACAATGATTCTCAAGAGGGAAGACTAACATTTACTCCTAGGACAACCTTCACCTGTACCTAAGAGTGAGGTGAAATAAAGGGGACAATTCTGATCTAAAGGGAACTCTCCTGAATAGATTCTGAGAAAACCCTCCTAACAACCTGCTAACCTATGAGGATGAAGCTAATTTGCCGTGCCAATCTGGAATATGAGTTATGTGAGTGCTATGTATGAAAAGGGTGCCAAAGACATTTTAATTCACTTTTCTAGGAATGAAAATTGCTTTAACCTTCTTGGGGGCTGGAAGGTGAAGTATTTTTAATCAGGGCACCTGCCTGTAAAGTTCAGAGAGAAAACCATTCATATACGAGAAAAAAGTCAGGCTACACTAGAACCTGACGGAGGATATATCTTAGAACGTTTGTATTATAGAAGAAGAATGGCAATTTTGCCTTTTATTTCCAAATTCTTTAGCCCTTGACTTTGCTGAGAGTCTATGAAAGAGCTAGTTGGGGACTAAATTAGATAGTAGTTTATTTTTTATTTGTTGAGACAGGATCTTGCTCTGTTGCCCAGACTGGAGTGCAGTGGTACAAACATAGCTCACTGCAGACTCAACCTCCTGGGCTCAAGCAATCCTCCTGCTTCAGCCTCCTGAGTAGCTGGGACCACAGATGCATGCCATCATACTTGGCTAATTTTTAAATTTTTTAAGGAGACAGGGGTCTTGCCATGTTGCCCAGGCTGGTTTTAAACTCGTGTGCTCAAGCATTCTTCCCACCTCAGGCTCCCAAAGTGTTGGGATTACAGGTGTGAGACACTGCACCAAACCAAGACAGTAGTTTAGAAGGAAACGAAGGTGCTTAAAAACTTAAAGTTACTAATGTACACAACATCTCCCAAAATGTAAAGTCAAAGTAAGAGTTAAGCATGTGAACGCTTGCAAGGGCCAAATAACATGAATGAATGAAATGAATGATATTTGCTGGGTGGTGCAGGGCAAAGCAAAAGACAGTGTAAGAATCCTGTATATGTCCTATCTAGCATGCTAGCTCATGTTCCAGATTCTCCTCTTTTTAAGAAGTGCCATCCAGATTTTAATGTGAAAACCCATTTTTCAATGGTGGCAATGAATTTAAACAAAACAATACAACCCAAAACCCAAAAACTCCTCAGGTCAAATTCTAGAGGCACAAACCAATAATAACTTGTGTGAACAACTAGCAAGGGCAAATAAATAAAGAATGATGTCTCACTCCTGTGGCCAACATACATGAAAAACCTGAGGTTTCTAGGTAGTATCAAGAGGACTTTGGATTACTGCTTGCTTTTCATATACAAATTAAAATGGAAAAGGTAGAAGACAAAAAGCAAATAATTAGGAATAACATGAGTATATAATAAGGGTAGACTCACATGATGGTAGAATAGCCAAGAAGAACTCTTAAGGTGACAAAAAATTTGAGCTTGAGTAGAATATTTAAGTAAAAAAGGAAGATGTGGTCAAAATATTAAGAAAGATGCAATGGTTTTACTACAACAATGATGAAACCACTAAACTCTCTTTCACTTGCAACCAAACCAGAAAGGGAAACAGAAGACCCATGAGACTACTGCATAAACCACCAGAGCCAACTGCTTCTATATTTTTAATTTGGTGCTCCAATCAAATTCAAAGGATTGAAGCATTAATTACTCATCTCCACCTGGTTGATCTCAAATGTGCATGTAATTTTTTTCATAACTTTGTAGTGATATTAAAGGTTATGTTTCTACTTGCTGAATAACTTGTCTAAAAAAGATATCACCTGGAAGCAAGATCATTTACTGGCTTCAAATTCATTTGTCATTTTAAAACAAAGAAAGTCAATATCCTGTTAACTAGTATTTAACCGCTCCTGTTGCCTGCAATTCTTTTTAGGGGAAGGGTCAGTCAGAAAAGGAAATTGTTTCCTGTATTATCATACTTACAGTCAGGCAAATACCATTTAGCTTTATAAGCCTGAGACAGGTATGGTATCCCTGCCCCTCTCTAATGCGGCATAATTGCTTCACTTAATAAATAAATGAGGCATACCCTAAGATCAATGACTCTGTTGTCTAATCTTGTATCCTGGTTAACAGTAGCTCTTCCTTCCTAAAAAAAAAAAAAAAGAAAAGAAAAAAATAAATTTTACTAATATTTTGAAGAGCACAAAAAATACTTTTAGAAGCCATGTTTACTTTTAATTGAGTAGGATGTGTGTACGTTAATATTATGCCCGAAAATCAGATAATGGTAGAAACACAAAGTGCGGCCAGAGAGAAGTTAGCGTTAAAAGAGAGATGGAAAGAAGACAAAGAATGAACAGATATTAATGGTTCTTTCCCTCCTCCACCCCTCAAAGCCTTGCCTCATTATTGGGATATAAGAAAAATTAACCACCCACTTCTTCATTGATTCCTGGATTTAACCTGCTAGCCCAAGGTTGAAGGAACAGATAAAAGCTGACATAGAGTAGTGGTTCTGAAAATGTGGTCTGGGGAGCAGTGAAGGTCCCTGAGACTTTCCAGAAGTTGATGAAGTCAAACTTACTTTTTCATAATAATACTTTTTGTTTTTCACTCTTCATGAGTATACTGAGCAGTCTGCTAAAGATTCTATGATGTGTATTATCACAATAGAATGAATGCAGAGGCAATATGAGAATCTAGTTGTCTATTAAGCCAGAAATCACAAAGAATTGTGGTTATATAAACAGAATGTCATCCGAAGGATGAGGGAGCTGAGTGGTTAAGGCAATGGACTGCTAAATACAATGTCACTCTTAACAATAATTATTTTTTGCTTTGGACAACTGTAATTTTTTCATAAAATGTTATTAGCTTCATTATTTACATAATACTACATATGCAAACATGTATGCAATGTATATATAATTTTTAATAAAGTAATAAATATTTAAAAATGTTTTAATTCCCAATACTGTAAATATTGATATATATACCAATAAAAACAAAAGCTTGTAGGGTTCTTAATTATTTTTAATAATGTAAAAGGCAACTCGATACCAAAAGGTTTGAGAATTGCTGATTTTAAGAGTAAGTTTAAATAACAATGGAGCTCAAAATCAATTCACAGACACCCTTAGTACATCAGGTTTTCAATGTTTTGCAAACTAAATATACAGCGGAAGCATAATATTTCATAAGTATAATTTTTACCTCTTCTCCTTCTGCCTCAGGCCGAACAGCATCATCCAGCTGCAGGGGCAGACGGGGTTCAGCCAAACTGATCACATAAATCTGTAAGTGAGAGATTACCAAAAATAGTAGAAAGCACACAAAATCTGCATCTTTTTCTTAAAAAACAATCTACAGTTGACTTAAGCATGAAGCAATGTTTGCATACATCTTTAATTGAAACTACTTGCTGAAATCAAACAAGATGATACAGGTTTTTTCACCTTGATGATTTGTTTAAAATGGGGATAATAATATTTTTTGCCTACCTCTATGGTTGTTAGAACAGTCAAATAAGGTAACATATATAAAAATTATTTGTAAATTTTAAGATGCCTACCAATGTAATAAGTAATGACTGGGGTGTAGGCACTGGCTTACGGTCTAGCTATGTCAAAAAAGCTATGGTTAGGGGTTGGTGCTGTGGCTGACACCTATAATCTCAGCACTTAGGGAGGCTGTGGTGGGTTAATCACTTGAACCCAGGAGTTCGAGACCAGGCTAAGCAACATGGTGAAACCCCGTCTCTACAAAAAACACAAAAATTAGCCAGGCATGGTGGCACGTGCCTAAAATCCCAGCTACTTGGGTGGCTGAGGCACAAGGATCACTTGAACCTGGGAGGCAGAGGTTGCAGTGAGCCAAGATCGCACCACTGCACTCCAGCCTGGGTGACAGTGAGACCCTGTCTCAAAAAAACAAAAACAGAAACAAAAACAAACATAAACACAAAAAAGCTATTGTTAGGGAAATCACTTAATCTCAGAGCTTCAATTAAAATAAAGCCTGCTATAAGAATCAAACAGAATAATAAATGTGAAAACACTTTACTCATGTGAAGGAGCAATTAACATATGACTTGCTATCATTTTTTTTTTTTTTTTTGAGACGGAGTCCCACTCTGTCACCCAGGCTGGAGTGCAATGGTGTGGTCTTGGCTCACTGCAACCTCTGTCTCCCGGGTTCAAGCGATTCTCCCACCTCAGCCTCCTGAGTAGCTGGGACTACAGGCACGTGCCACACCAGCTAATTTTTGTATTTTTCGTAGAGACAGCATTTCGCTATGTTGGCCAGGCTGGTCTCAAACTCGTGACCTCGTGATCTGCCTGCAATGGCCTCCCAAAGTTCTGGGATTACAGGCATGAGCCACCACGCCCGGCCATCTTGTTATTTTTAACAGCATTTGGCCAGCGCCACTGCCACTGCCACCACTAGGACCAAATTCAGTCCAGCTCTGCTGCACTTCTTTTCTCATTCTTTCTCCTTTCAAGTACCCCTTCATTGCTCTCTCTCATTAAACATGTTACAAACATCTCATTTCCTGCCAGTCTCCTGGTTAGGAAATGCCCTAGAGGATGTTCCTTTATGTTGTCAAAATCCCTCAATAGGCCAGGCGCGGTGGCTCACGCCTGTAATCCCAGCACTTTGGGAGGCCGAGGCAGGCGGATCACGAGGTCAGGAGATCGAGACCATCTTGGCTAACAGAGTGAAACCCCATCTCTACTAAAAAAAAATACAAAAAATTAGTGGGGCGTGGTGGCAGGTGCCTACAATCCCAGCTACTCGGGAGGCTGAGGCAGGAGAATGGCGTGAACCTGGGAGGTGGAGGTTGCAATGAGCCGAGATCCCGCCGCTGCACTCCAGCCTGGGTGACACAGCGAGACTCTGTCTCGAAAAAATAAATAAATAAATAAATAAAAATTCCATCAATATTCACTCACACTAATTTCACATTTTAGTGATAAAAAGCAACTGGGTCATAAAGACTGAACTAGAGTTTTTTGCTTTTTGTTTTTCTGGCTACCTTTAAAAACCATTTTATCATATTAGTTAACCCAAACTATGTCTGGAAAACCTGCTAAAGCACAAACGGGAAAAATACCTTATTTAGTTACTTCAGGAAAGGGAATTATACTCTTCTAGTTGGCAGATCAATATTGGCATTCAGCTTAGATACTCCAAGAAATAGTGTAGGATACTCTAGTATTCCTTATTATAAAATAGAACTATTTGTCACCACTCCCTAAACCCAAATTCTAGGATTCCCTTTGACAAGTTAACAGAAACTTCATCTCCAATCCAAACTGGAGAGCTGAAGAGCTGCTACTTCTACTTTTATAACTAGTGGGAATTCATCATCCTCTTTACTAGACCATGAGTACTCTGACCCCAGAGTCTTCACATAGTGCTTGGCACAAAGCACCTATCAACAGTAACTGCTGGCTGAATAAATAAATAAGTGATAAAGCAAAGTCACTACTTATATAAGATTCTACTTAGTAGGTAATACTTCATGCTTTGTGAAATACTTTATTTTTATTATGGCAAATTCTGTAAGCTCTTCTGGCTTAAAATTTATTACTAATATTTATTAATGTTGCATTGCACACATCTAGACAATAAGAATATCTTAAAACTACATTTGCTTCTAGTAAAAAAACAGAAATATATATATACACACACATACACTTTTTTTTTTTAGTTTTGAGACAGGGTCTTGCTCTGTCACCCAGGCTAGAGCGCAGTGGTGTGATCACAGCTCACTGTAACCTCCAACTCCTGGGGTCAAGTGATCCTCCCACCCTGGCCTCCCAAAGCACTGGGATTGCAGGTGTGAGCCACCACATCTGGCCAAATTTTCTTTATTCAAGTACTGAAAAAGATGTGTTACTTGGAAGATGTGGGAGTTATCTTTCTTGGTCAACATAAATGGGTTTATTCATTTATCTTTATTCTTACTCTTTGGTCAGTTTGTCTTTACTAGGTTACAAACTTCCTGGTGGGGTTGTTTCAAGATGAGACTTACACAAAGACAACAAAGTCATTTGTCAAATTAGGTCAGTAAAAATTACAAGGTTTTGTAAGTCTTGAAGAGTTCCAAGAAAACAGATTCCAGCTAAATACAATGTTACTCTTAAATCAGTAAGTACATATAGGCCTATCTCTGAATCTGTCTGCCTGTTGGTCTGCCTGACTCTTACATATGGTCATGCATGTGCACACGGATCAGGGCGGGAAGAGGCCATGCTGTCTTAAAGACTACTCCTTAAGAGAAATTTAGTGATGTATATTGTAGATACAATCTAGACCTAAATCTGAGCACTGTAGGTTCAAACTGGCAGGGTTATTTCAATAGTACTAAATATGTGTGAATTCACTTATGGTTTTTTTTTGTTGTTGAGATGGGGTCTCACTTAGTCACGCAGGTTGGAGTGCAGTGGTGCGATCTTGGCTCACTGCAACCTCTGTCTCCTGGGTTCAAGCAATTCTCTTGCCTCAGCCTCCTGAGTAGCTGGGATTGCATGCACCTGCCACCACGCCTGGCTAATTTTTGTATTTTTAGTAGAAACAAGGTTTCGCCATGTTGATCAGGCTGGTTTTGAACTCCTGACCTCAAGTGACACTTATGGTATTTTAAGTCAATGATAATGAGCTCTTTCAGTTTTTAATCCTGAGAAAAAAACAGATCAGAGATAAGTCTTCTTTAAAAAAAAAGGAAGCTACTGTTGGAATATAAGACCAATAAGGTACTATTTATTTTGACTTCTCTATGTTGTAAAAAATATCAGAAAAGTAATTATTATAAGACTAAGAATTAGTTAATTAATCATTCTTTAAAAGTACATCATCGTTAGTTGATGCAGTTTCTTCCTAGCATCGACGGTCTTTACAATTTGGCATGTTTTTGCAGTGGCTGGTACTGGTTGTTCCTTTCCATGTTTAGTGCCTCCTTCAGGAGCTCTTATAAGGCAGGCCTGGTGGTGACAAAATCTCTCAGCATTTGCTTGTCTGTAAAGGATTTTATTTCTCCTTCACTTATGAAGCTTAGTTTGGCTGGATATGAAACTCTGGGTTGAAATTTCTTTTCTTTAAGAATGATGAATATTGGCCCCCACTCTCTTCTGGCTTGTAAAGTTTCTGCCGAGATATCAGCTGTTAGTCTGATGGGCTTCCCTTTGCGGGTAACCCGAGCTTTCTCTCTGGCTGCCCTTAACATTTTTTCCTTCATTTCAACTTTGGTGAATCTGACAATTGTGTGTCTTGGAGTTGCTCTTCTCGAGTATCTTTGTGGCGTTCTCTGTATTTCCTGAATTTGAATGTTGGCCTGCCTTGCTAGGTTGGGGAAATTCTCCTGGATAATATCCTGAAGAGTGTTTTCCAACTTGGTTCCATTCTCCCTGTCACTTTCAGGTACACCAATCAGACGTAGATTTGGTCTTTTCACATAGTCCCATGTTTCTTGGAGGCTTTGTTCGTTTCTTTTTACTCTTTTTTCTCTAAACTTCTCTTCTTGCTTCATTTCATTCATTTGATCTTCAATCACAGATACTCTTTCTTCCACTTGATCAAATTGGCTACTGAAGCTTGTGCATGCATCACGTAGTTCCTGTGCCATGGTTTTCAGCTCCATCAGGTCATTTAAGTTCTTCTCTATGCTGTTTATTCTAGTTAGCCATTCATCTAATCTTTTTTTCAAGGTTTTTAGCTTCTTTGCGATGTATTCAAACATCCTCCTTTAGCTCAGAGAAGTTTATTATCTACCGTCTGAAGCCTTCTTCTCTCAATTTGTCAAAGTCATTCTCTGTCCAGCTTTGTTGCGTTGCTGGCGAGGAGCTGCGTTCCTTTGGAGGATAAGAGGCACTCTGATTTTTAGAATTTTCAGCTTTTCTGCATCAACTAACAAGCAAAATAACCAGCTAACGTCATGACAGGATCAAATTCACACATAACAATATTAACCTTAAATGTAAATGGGCTAATTGCTCCAATTAAAAGACACAGACTGGCAAATTGGATAAAGAGTCAAGACCCATCAGTGTGCTGTATTCAGCAGACCCATCTCACATGCAGAGACACACATTGGCTCAAAATAAAGGGATGGAGGAAGATCTACCAAGCAAATGGAAAACCAAAAAAAACAGGGGTTGCAACCCTAGTCTCTGATAAAACAGACTTTAAGCCAACAAAGATCAAAAGAGACAAAGAAGGCCATTAAATAATGGTAAAGGGATCAATTCAACAAGAAGAGCTAACTATCCTAAATATATATGCACCCAATACAGGAGCACCCAGATTCATAAAGCAAGTCCTTAGAGACCTACAGAGACTTAGACTTCCTCACAATAATAATGGGAGACTTTAACACCCCACTGTCAACATTAGGCAGATCAATGAGACAGAAAGATAACAAGGATATCCAGGAATTGAACTCAGCTCTGCACCAAGCGGACCTAATAGACATCTGCAGAACTCTCCACCCCAAATCAACAGAATATACATTCTTCTCAGCACCACATTGCACTTATTCCAAAATTGACCACATAGCTGGAAGCAAAACACTCCTCAGCAAATGTAAAAGAACAGAAATTATAACAAACTGTCTCTCAGACCACACTGCAATCAAACTAGAACTCAGGATTAAGAAACTCACTCAAAACTACTCAACTACATGGAAACTGAACAACCTGCTCCTGAATGACTACTGAGTACATAATGAAATGAAGGCGGAAATAAAGATGTTCTTTGAAATCAATGAGAACAAAGACACAACATACCAGAATCTCTGGGACACATTTAAAGCAGTGTGTAGAGGGAAATTTATAGCACTAAATGCCCACAAGAGAAAGCAAGAAAGATCTAAAATTGACACCCTAACATCACAATTAAAAGAACTAGAGAAGCAAGAGCAAACACATTCAAAAGCTAGCAGAAGGCAAGAATAACTAAGATCAGAGCAGAATTGAAGGAGACAGAGACACAAAAACCCTTCAAAAAATCAATGAATCCAGGAGCTGGTTTTTTGAAAAGATCAACAAAACTGACAGACCGCTAGCAAGACTAATAAAGAAGAAAAGAGAGAAGAATCAAATAGATGCAATAAAAAATGATAAAGGGGATATCACCACCGATCCCACAGAAATACAAACTACCATCAGAGAATACTATAAACACCTCTATGCAAATAAACTAGAAAGTCTAGAAGAAATGGATAAATTCCTGGACACATACACCCTCCCAAGACTAAACCAGGAAGAAGCTGAATCCCTCAATAGACCAATAACAGGCTCTGAAATTGAGGCAATAATCAATAGCCTACCAACCAAAAAAAGTCCAGGACCAGACGGATTCACAACTGAATTCTACCAGAGATACAAAGAGGAGCTGGTACCATTCCTTCTGAAACTATTCCAATCAACAGAAAAAGAGGGAATCCTCCCTAACTCATTTTATGAGGTCAGCATCATCCTGATACCAAAGCCTGGCAGAGACATAACAAAAAAAAGAGAATTTTAGACCAATATCCCTGATGAACATCGATGCAAAAATCCTCAATAAAATACTGGCAAAACAAATCCAGCAGCACATCAAAAAGCTTATCCACTACCATTAAGCTGGCTTTATCCCTGGGATGTAAGGCTGGTTTAACATATGCAAATCAATAAACGTAATCCAGCATATAAACAGAACCAAAGACAAAAACCACATGATTATCTCAATAGATGCAGAGAAGGCCTTTGACAAAATTCAACAGCCCTTCATGCTAAAAACTCTTAATAAACTAGGTATAGATGAGACGTATCTCAAAATAATAAGAGCTATCTATGACAAACCCACAGCCAATATCATACTGAATGGTCAAAAACTGGAAGTATTCCCTTTGAAAACTGGCACAAGACAGGTATGTCCTCTCTCACCACTCCTATTCAACACAGTGTTGGAAGTTCTGGCCAGGGCAATCAGGCACGAGAAAGGAATAAAGGGTATTCAATTAGGAAAAGAGCAAGTCAAATTGTCCCTGTTTGCAGATGACATGATTGTATATTTAGAAAACCCCATCGTCTCAGGCCAAAACCTCCTTAAGCTGATACGCAACTTCAGCAAAGTCTCAGGATACAAAATCAATGTACAAAAATCACAAGCCTTCCTATACACCAATAACAAACAAACAGAGAGCCAAATCATGAGTGAACTCCCATTCACAATTGCTTCAAAGAGAATAAAATACCTAGGAATCCAACTTACAAGGGATGTGAAGGACCTCTTCAAGGAGAACTACAAACCACTGCTCAACAAAATAAAAGAGGACACAAACAAATGGAAGAACATTGCATGCACATGGATAGGAAGAATCAATATTGTGAAAATGGCCATACTGCCCAAGGTAATTTATAGATTCAATGCCATCCCCATCAAGCTACCAAGGACTTTCTTCACAGAATTGGAAAAAACTACTTTAAAGTTCATATGGAACCAAAAAAGAGCCTGCATTGCGAAGACAATCCTAAGCCAAAAGAACAAAACTGGAGGCACCACGCTACCTGACTTCAAACTATACTACAAGGCTACAGTAACCAAAACAGCATGGTACTGGTACCAAAACAGATATAGATCAATGGAACAGAACAGAGCCCTCAGAAATAACACCGCATATCTACAACTATCTCATATTTGACAAACCTGAGAAAAACAAGCAATGGGGAAAGGATTCCCTATTTAATAAATGGTGCTGGGAAAACTGGCTAGCCATATGTAGAAAGCTGAAACTGGATCCCTTCCTTACACCTTATACAAGAATTAATTCAAGATGGATTAAAGACTTAAACGTTAGACCTAAAACCATAAAAACCCTAGAAGAAAACCTAGGCATTACCATTCAGGACATAGGCATGGGCAAGGACTTCATGTCTAAAACACCAAAAGCAATGGCAACAAAAGCCAAAATTGACAAATGGGATCTAATTAAACTAAAGAGCTTCTGCACAGCAAAAGAAACTACCATCAGAGTGAACAGGCAACCTACAAAATGGGAGAAAATTTTCACAACCTACTCATCTGACAAAGGGCTAATATTCAGAATCTACAATGAACTCCAACAAATTTACAAGAAAAAAACAACCCCATCAAAAAGTGGGCAAAGGATATGAACAGACACTTCTCAAAAGAAGACATTTATGCAGCCAAAAGACACATGAAAAAATGCTCATCATCACTGGCCATCAGAGAAATGCAAATCAAAACCAATGAGATACCATCTCACACCAGTTAGAATGGCGATCATTAAAAAGTCAGGAAACAACAGGTGCTGGAGAGGATGTGGAGAAATAGGAACACTTTTACACTGTTGGTGGGACTGTAAACGAGTTCAACCATTGTGGAAGTCAGTGTGGTGATTCCTCAGGGATCTAGAACTAGAAATACCATTTGACCCAGCCATCCCATTACTGGGTATATACCCAAAGGATTATAAATCATGCTGCTATAAAGACACATGCACACGTACGTTTATTGCGGCACTATTCGCAATAGCAAAAACTTGATACCAACCCAAATGTCCATCAATGATAGACTGGATTAAGAAAATGTGGCACATATACACCATGGAATACTATGCAGCCATAAAAAAGGATGAGTTCATGTCCTTTGTAGGGACGTGGATGAAGCTGGAAACCATCATTCTCAGCAAACTATCACAAGGGCAGAAAACCAAACACCGCATGTTCTCACTCATAGGTGGGAATTGAACAATGAGATCACTTGGACACAGGAAGGGGAACATCACACATCAGGGCCTGTAGTGGGGTGGGGGGAGGGGGGAGGGACAGCATCAGGAGATATACCTAATGTAAATGACGAGTTAATGGGTGCAGCACACCAACATGGCGCATGTATACATATGTAGCAAACCTGCACGTTGTGCACATGTATCCTAGAACTTAAAGTATAAAAATAAAGGAAAAGTAAAAATGGAAACTGAAAAATAAAATAAAATAAAAGTACATCATCAAAAAACTTATAGCAAGATAGGTCCATTATTATTCACTTATATTGGTGAGTAGTTTTTCAGATGTGTTTTGTATTTTTCCCTATGTGGCTGTGGTAGACTGTTTGCAAAAATGGCTGCAATACTTCCTCTTGCTCCTGCATGTATATTCCCCTGCAATCATGTTGCTTTTCCTCCCATCAAGGGCTAGAATCTATTTCTCTACCCCTTAAATCTAAGTTTTGCTGTGTGACTTTGACGAGTGGAATATTTAGCAGATGTGACACAAGTAGAAGCTTGAAAAGTGTCTGTTCTTAGGGTTTCGCACTCTTGCCTTTGGGAACCCTCCTGGTACCTGAATATCAACATATCTGGGCTAGCCTGCTGGATGAGAGGAAGCCACAGAAAGAGATGTGCCAGATTTATCAGTGAGCCCAGCCAATGTTGCATGGAGCAGATGAGCCATCTCAGTTGGGTGCATCACAGAATTGTAAGCAAATAAATGTTTGTTGTTTCAAGTCACTAAGTACTGGGGTGATTTGTTATATAACAAAAGCTAATTGATTCAGTAACTAATTTATAAACCTCAGTATTTTACATTAATTAGTAAGAACATATAAATTTGACATGAAAACTATTAGAACCCAAATCTATTTCTATATGCGATTTTATATTTTGAAAAAACTTACCTTCTGAACATGTAACTCAACGTCTTGCTGTGTACAGCTTCCAATTTTCTGATTCACTTTTCTCACAACACCTTCTACATCCACAATGCTCTCTTTGTTGATGCTGTCAAGAGAAAAAATTCCCAACTTGAATCATCTCATCAGAGGTGTCAGAACTCCTCTGGTGTTTCAGCAGTAAAGCTGAATATGTTAAACTCTTTTTTAATACAGTAAGCCACTTGAGATAAAGCCAGTCTATTTAACCTACTTAGAATAAGCTATTACGTAGCATACCTTGTGAGATTCCTTGAAGAGATGATTTTTTAGATGCCATAATTTAGTTACCACTTATAAAATACTCTGGACATAAAAGGTAATAAAACCAGTACCGAATTGGGAAAAGTAGTAAAAAGTCTTTTAATTATTTATTAAAGAACATTTCCCTCCCTATTTTTGAGAATCACTAAGATCAGCATTTCCTATAATGAGAAATACTGGCTTCAATAAATGCAATTACTGGTATGTGATGGAATTAAATAATAGAAGACGGTCAACTGAAAAGATTTTAAGGTAATAAGAGGACATTAGCGTGCTGTTTTGCAATTAAATCCTCACTACCTTTAGCTTCTGAGTATACTCCGTCATCAGATTTATGATTATTGGATTGTGTACTCCCATTTAAAAGGGTGCCTATATGAAGTTTAATATATGATGAGTGTAAAATAAATGCATCTCCTGGACAGCTTATTTTTATAATAACTTGAATTCTGAACACCAGACACTGAAATTCTAAAATACAAAATTTATAAAGTAGCTTATTAAACACAATGATTATTTTTTTAATCACTAGTACATAACCAAGGAAGAAAATGTATACTCCAAAATGGTGATTCCCATACAAAATGTACCAGTTTTACTTTTGTGTATATTCTTGTACTGACAAAGTATATCACAATATAGTTGATGAAAAGGATAAGATTTAATTTTCATGGAAAAATTCTATTCATTCTGATGAGGATTTGGGTCTTTAGTAGTTGTGGTGCAATTAGACATTCCAGAAACCAGACAGTACTTACTTTAAACAAGAGAACACCAGAATCCATTTCAATGAAAAAGGATCAAAATGAGGATAATAGGTGAAGAGTAGTTAAGAAAGAAAATTGTTTATGTCACTTGGCTACACTGCCTAGAAATCTTTATGTCTGTTACCAACTAACTTAAAAAAAAAAAATCAACAGCATGCATATCTCTTGTACTCTCGTAAGTCTCCTGCACTGGGGCTATCACCTAATACCTAGCTAAAATCTTGACTACTGAAGAAACTCAGAATTTATTATGGCAAAAGAAGTAGTTGGTGAACTAAGATAAGGCTCTTCTGAGGCTTGAAGGGATCAAGAGGCTCCAGTGGACTGTTACAAAGTTTTCTAATACTTGCAATCTAGTGTCACTGAACTGAATCTATCTTCAATTTGACTGCCACCTACCAGTAAATGTGATAACTGAGTGTATATTCAGGCCTGGTGAGAATTCTATTGCTTATCTCACACATCTTCACAAGGAAGGTTTTCTCCTCTGTATCGATCAATGTACTGCTTCATCAAGCAACCTGACCTGTCCCAAGTAGAGGTCCACTCTGCTACCTTTCTTCTATATCCCTGACCCCTTGGTCCCCTCGTCTCACAAACTTTGACTCCTATTAGAAGGCATTTGCTGGCCCTCTGCACCTTCCATTATCAGACAGTCTTCTTCAGGCCAACTCAAGTCAAACACATCTACTTTTTTTTTTTTGAGACAGGGTCTTGTCTCTGTCACCTAGGCTGGAGTGCAGTGGCTCCATCTTGACTCATTGCAACCTCCGCCTCCCGGGTTCAAGTGATTCTCCTGTCTCAGCCTCCTGAGTAGCTGGGATTACAGGCATGTGCCACCATGCCTGGCTAATTTTTGTATGTTTAGCAGAGACAGGGTTTCACCATGTTGGCCAGGGTGGTCTTGAACTCCTGACCTCAGGTGATCCACCCGTCTTGGCCTCCCAAACTGCTGGGATTACAGGCATGAGCCATCGCGCCCGGCCCAAACACATCTGCTTTTAAGGACTGAGCGTCATGCTAGTATCCTTCTAGAAAGAAGGTGGAATGTAGTCAAAGATACTCTGCCCAGGGCTGGCTGTAGGTCCAATTAAAGCAAAAAAAAATTCCCTCTTCTTTCTCATTCAAAAGTACCAGATGACTCTTTTAACCCAGGACCTGAAACATGGAACTATATCTACCTTTAGTACTTTAATTTCGTAGTACTGAGTGCTAAAATATTAGATCAGCTAGTCTAGAAAACAACTACCACTTAGAACATTGTTTCCAGGACGAAACAACTTACAAATTAACTTCTGAAACCACAAACTATTTCTTAAGCTAGGGCCAAAGCTATTATAAATTTCTGCAATTACAAATTGTTCTACTGAATCAACGGGAAAGAAGGCAGGATTAATCAGACATAGAGAACAGTTAATTTTTTTTAACCCTTCCAATCTCAGTATTTCCCCTTATTATATGCAGCTGTTAAAAATCATAACCTATTTAGACATTAGTAAAACTATTCCATGATTTTGGACAATTTAGCCCTATTATCTCTATACAGCTACATCTGTATCTACATCCATTTTTGTCTTACTGTAGACATGAGTGAATTCAGAAGAAAAAACATTAAAATCAAAAAGGTTCCATTTGTGAAAAAGGGTCAGACTATCCGAGGGTTTTATGTGTGTATATATAAAATAGAGTCAAAACAAGAGAGACAGGAATACTTGCGTACATTACTGCAGTAGAAGAATAAAATTCTACTGACTGTAGAAAGAGTCTGATTATATGGTTTTAACTGACATTGTATATGAAGATGGCATAATATCTACAGGAGAGGAAAGGAGGGGAGGGGAAGAAAGAAGGGAGGAGAGAGGAGAATGAGGGTACCACTGCTAGCTTCTTTTCATTACTGGAATCCCACAATCTTCCTTCAGAAACCTCACATGCTATAGGTGATATGTAACCTTCTGAGAAGCAATCCAAGTTATGGGTCCAGTGTTTATGTATAAATTAACTATTGGAAAAACTCAAATTCATTCTCATCCTTTTAGATAAAAGAAAAAAGCAGGGAAGAAAGGGTAGGCGGAATGAAGGAAGTTGAATTATTTTCTTTCCCTCAATGGGTAATCTTGAGCATATCACACTTTGGAGAGCACTGGGGTAGAGAACAAGAATCATAAACCCTGAGAAATGGCTACCGTAGATGATCTGAAAATCAAGGGTGAAGGTATAATTTCTGTATAGGAGACACGTGAAAAAATATTTAACAGCACACAACTCCAGTCAAAGAGGTCACCATCTTGCAAATAAATGGAGACATAAATCGGGGGAAAAAGCAGTTTATCTCTTGCTGCTGGGTCCCAGTATCAGGTTTTGACTCTGACGAGTCCTCCTGAGCATATAGAGAAGAATCACTGGGATCAACTCACTGCAAACTCATCTCCTAGGTTCAAGTGACCCTCCCACTTCAGACTCCTGAGTAGCTGGGACTACAGGCAGGCACCACCACGCCCGGCTAATTTCTGTATTTTATGTAGAGACAGGGTTTCATCATGTTGCCCAGGATGGTCTCGAACTCCTGGGCTCAAGTGATCCACCTGCCTCTGCTTCCCAAAGTGGTGGGATTACAGGCGTGAGCCACCATGCCTGGCAAACACACTTTTATTTTTATAGCTCAAATGAAAGTGATTTTAGCCCAGGCACGGTGGCTCATGCCTGTAATCCCAGCACTTCTGGGAGGTCGGGGTGGGTGGATGACCTGAGGTCAGGAGTTTAAGACCAGCGTGGCCAACATGGTGAAACCCAGTCTCTACTAAAAATACAAAAAAATTAGCTGGGTGTGGTGGCGTGGCCCTGTAGCCCCAGCTACTCTGGAGGCTGAGGCAGAAGAATTGCTTGAACCCAGGAGACAGAGGTTACAGTGAGCAGAGATCGTGCCACTGCACTCCTGCCTGGGTGACAGAACGAGACTCCATCTCAGAAAAAAAAAAAAAAGAAAGAAAGAAAAAAGAGAAAAAAGAAAAGAGATTTAACAACTAAATCCCTAAAGTATTATTTCTATTATTTCTTTAGCAATTCCCTTTTATGTTCCAGGTTCTGTGTGAAGTGCTTTAGGTAGACACTATCTCATTTGCGCTTCACAAAGGCCTACACGGTAGGTATTATCAACATTTTACAGATGAGAAAACTGAGACTCTACAAGGTTAAGTAATTAGACTACCATCACATAGCTAATAAGATCATTTAATGATTATTGCACTAGACAGTTCTGTTACAGACTGACAAATTAGAACTAAATTTAAATATCTCAGAATGCATCATCAGCTCACTATGAAATAATACATTTTCATTCTTAGAAGCTCATGAGCTGCTAGATTGCTTTATAGTTTCTGTGAAAAAAAAAAAAACAAAAAAACAACAACAACTGAAAATAATAGGCCCTTTAGTAATAGTTTCCCAAATGTCCAGGAATCATACTACCTTCCCCAGTAACACTGATGTATCTTGATGTTTTGCTGTTGTTGCCAACCTTAGTAGAAATTCAGCAAAATCTTTAAATAATAATTTCATATTGTTTTATACAAAGTTATATTTAGCCCAGGAGAATTAATCCCACAAACGATCTGAAAATTTCTGACAGCAGATTTTAGACCCGTTTTTTTTCTTAGCACACCTTTAGCATTATCCAAATTTTCAATACAGATGTTGCAGTGGACAGGACTGAAAATAGAAGCTGTTTTTCCTCTAACAGATAAATACCCTGTTCCAACAAAGAGGTATAAAATGTAGGTGCAACTGTTCAAGGAGTTGCAATACACAACAGTATAATGGCCTTGCCTACATTCACCAACTTATCCATATGGATGCTCAAGGGGTATCCACATGCACACCTCTCTTTGGGCCTCAACTACAGACAATATACACTCCTATCACAGCACCTGTATACCCTGCCTCTGCATGCAGTTGTTTATCTCCCTTGCCCTCTCCCAAAATTAAGCTTCTCCTAAGATATATATGACACACATAAATCTTTGCATACTCAAGCCCAGCAGAGTACCTGGACCAGAGCACGTGCTAAATACAAGTTTGTAAAAATCAATGAGACTTCTTCTGAGTATTATTTTGGTATTTTCCAGATCTAATAGTTAATGTAGGCTGGGTACAGTGGCTCATGCCTGTAATCTCAGCACTTTGGGAGGCCAGGGCGGGTGGATCACTTGAGGTCAGGAGTTTGAGAGCAGCCTGGCCAACATGGTGAAACCCCGTCTCCACTAAAAGTACACAAAAAAAATTTAGCTGGGCGTGGTAGCGTGTGCCTGTAGTCCTAGATACTCGGGAGGCTGAGGTAGAGAATCGCTTTAACCTGGGAGGCAGAGGCTGCAGAGAGTCAAGATTGTGCCACTGCATTCCAGCCTAGGTGACAAAGCGAGACTCCGTCTCCCGTCTCCAAAAAAAAAAAAAAAGTTAATGTAGCAAACTGAAATTTTAACCTACCAACTAGTAAAACACCTATTTTAGGTGAAAGATCTAGAAAGGAAAGAAAATAAACAAACTTGTAGGTAGCTAGGTGACTCATTAGAGAATGAGAAACATACTTGTGACTCATCAGCTACCAATAAATCATTTAACCACAATGACTAATATAAAGAAAAATAAAATAAAATATATATGTATACACATAATGGTACTAAAAAAGGCTTATTTTCAGAATCAGAATACCTCTATGTTTGGGGAGAGTGGGAAGTATTATATAAGCACAAACAGCGATATATAAATTTTAACTTTAAAACTACTTTTCACATTAATTGTAGTCCTTTATAGTGGGCACTGTAACTTTAAACTTTAAAAACTTGTGTTTACACTCACTGTCCTCTCTAACAGTCAATACAAAAAGGCCTCCAGGACTTCCTTTAAAAAAAAACTGGCTTTATAACACTTAACCAAAACTAACACAAACTACTCTGTTAATTACTTTAAAATGGCACACATACAAAAAAATTTTTTTTAAAAGAATAAAGGGATAATATCTCAACTTCAGGATCAACTATTAAATATTAGATAAGATGGGGATCCAGAAATACAGGCCTGGATAGATGGGTATTGCATCTTCCTGCTTCTAGACAAATTTCATTTAAAAACCTCAAACCATTTCAGATATATAATTAAGAACCTGTTCCTAGAACCTCTAGGGAATTAGATGTGCCAACCTTCCTATGTAACTCATTCAATTGCTTCATTTTTATATGCATTCATCCATGAGAAAATTGATCTTTCCAACAAATTGATTAAAATAATGTGTGAAGAGTCCTGTGGCACTTAAATCCAATTAGTGAATCAACTTTTTAGATTACTCTATTGATGAATTGGATATTCCTAAGACAGACAATTTGAGGCAAAATAGTTGGCTCCGTATTAAATTCCAATGTTTCTTTTAAGGAAAATACTCCAAAGCTAGAAACTGCTAGTAGTATTGTCTAGCCAGTAAGGCAAAAGATAAGCACTTCAGATTTAATATCTAAAGTAAATGCTAAGATCGTTATCTACTTAAGATATTAAAAGTGACCTCATATTTTGCCTTTTAAATGATTAAGAAACCCCAGCTGGAACTATCTGATTTGATATTTTTAATAGCACAGTCCTTGCTTTTTTCCACCTGGTATATGGCCAGAGGGAATAGAGTTAAATATAGGGCTTCATGGAATTAACATATAAACACCATTGTTTCTCCCACTTTGTTGTGTATGAGTTCACATGCTTTAATGTCCAGTCTCTTTGGGCAGTAACATTCAAAATGGAAACGAAACATCTTGAAAATAAACAAATAGTCCTAAGGCACTCCTCTAGCTCCAAGCATTTTATATATAACAACTGATCTAAGACAGAATTAAAATTAAATGGAGATTAGAAATGGCCTTTTCCTCACAGACATATTTCTCTCCATACTATTTTCCAAACCAGATTCTGGCAGAATAGTTAGCTCGTTCACTAACTGAGCTGCTAGCTTCCCAAAGAGAATGTGTTACTAACTAAATATTCTTCTGAATTATCTCATGCTTCATTGATCCTCAAGTTTCTAAGTAAAGATTTTTGTTTTATTTAAGCAACAGAACTCACTAGAATTGGTTTAGATGTTGGTGATGTACTGTTTTTAATAATAACAGAAGGGTGGTAGAATACTAAGCAATGGAACTCAGTGCTTTCCAAATTTTGCCTTTCCAATTATACTTAGAAACTAAGAGATAAAGAGGAATGAGATCCTGAAGAGGTCAGTGAAACAACGAAAACACAGGCACAGCCCATAAACCTCTATTTTCATTATAAAGTAGAATATACACTAGTGGGCCCAGCTGAGGAATAGGAATCAGTTGTCATGCCATGAACACACAGGATACTCTAGCCTGGTGTTAGATGATGGAATCAGGAGTCTTTGGGACAGGGGAGTTTGTAGGGTGTTTGTGGGGCAAGAGAAACAAAGGGGCGGGGAACAGTGGATAAAGGTGCAGAGCGTAGTTTCAGGAATGGAGCATGGGGCCACATGAGGTCAGGAAGAGGCTGAAAAGACTGGGAGAGAATGTGGAGATGGATAAAAAGACTAGAAGTCTTGATGAGGTCCAACGGAAAATGAGGCAGCCTGGGGGAGGCAGATTGGTGGAAATTATAATCAGAGGATTATTGGGTAAAACAACCTGTTGGGCTTTTTCTAAACTCAAAAGCCTGGAACTTCTCTTCAATTAACTCGATATAGTTAAGCTTAGGAAACACTACTGGCTGCCTGCCCAATGGACTTGCCTTCTTCTTTGCTAAAGGGGCTAGCTTCACTCCTCTTTGGTGTCTACTCTATATTTGGCCAAGTGCCATATGGGAAGATGAGCCCATCTCAGTTCCAAAGAGTGGGTCATGTGTACTCTCAGTCCATGTTGGCAATTTATTCCAGATTAATGGTGTCACTTCCACTTAGTTTCTCAAACCAGTAATTTTCTAATTCATTATTTTCCTTACCCCCACACATAAGTTGTAAGCAAACAGATAAGATTCATGTTTTATCCATTCACTAGCAAACCCTGTTGTCACTTTCAAGAGTACAGTTTTGCTATAAAGCTTGTTTTGAAAATGTGAATTTGTTTCAACATCGTTGACACATTAGGGAACAATTTGAGTATAATGAGAATTTTGCTTTTGCCTATGCCAGATTTCATCAGTGAGAACACTCGGTCAATGCAGACAACAACACTTGGGTGCACTCGGCCATGCAGGAATATACAAAATGCACACACCTTAAACATCTACTTGTAACTCATGTTATGAGCCATACCCATCCACATCTGGTGTTACAACTTTCCCTCTGATTTCAGACACTGTTCCTTCCATCACTTCAAAATAACTTACAAACTGCCTTTCTTTTGATACCCACTTCCACAAGCAAACTGCACATTTTTTTCAAGGTAAAATGCTATATTTATTGTAGTATTTATGTATTTCTTAACCATTCAACGAGTATAAAACTGTTACCTTTAAGAAGTTAGGTTACTGGCCGGGCTTGGTGGCTCATGCCTGTAGTCCCTGCACTTTGGGAGGCTGAGGCGGGTGGATCACCTGAGGTGAGGAGTTCAAGACCAGGCTGGCCAACATGATGAAACCCTGTCTCTACTAAAAATACAAAAATTAGCTGGGCGTGGTGGTGGGCGCCTGTAATTTACCCAGCTACCCAGGAGGCTGACGCAGGAGAATCGCTTGAACCTGGGAGGCAGAGGTTGCAGTAAGCCGAGATTGCACCACTGCACTCCAGCCTTGGCAACAAGAGTGAGACTCCGTCTCATCTTTTCAAAAAGTATGCCATTAATGAAGTTTTTTTTTTTAAATTGACACATAATTGTACATATTTATGAGGTACAGTGTGATGTCTCCATATATGTACACATCGTGTAAAAATCAAATCAGAGCATTTGGCATATCTATCACCTCAAACATTTATCACTTCCTTGTGGTGAGAACTTCCCAAATTCTCTCTTCCAGCTGTTTTGAAATATGCAATATTGTTAACCATAGTTACCCTACTGTGCAAGAGAACACCAGAACTTACTCTTCTTCCTATCTGTAATTTTGAACAGACTGACCAATCTCTCCCTCATCCCCCTCTGCCCCCCACCAACTATTCTCTCTACATCTATGTGATCAACATCTTTAGCACATGAGATCATCCAGTATTTCTCTGTGTCCAGCTTATTCCACTCAACATAATGCTCTGCAGGTTCATCTATGTTGCCACAAATGACAAGATTTCACTTTTTATGGCTGAATAGTATTCCAGAGTGTATATATCCCACACTTTATCCATTCATCTGTTGAAGGAAACTTAGGTTGAATCCATATCTTGGCTATGGTGAATGGTGCTGCAATAAATATTGGAGTGCAAATATGTATCTCTCTTTGACATAATCATTTCATTTCCTTTGAATAATTACCCCATAATGGGATTACTGGATCATATGGTAGTTCTATTTTTAATTTCTCATGAGCCGCCATACCGTTTTCCATAGAGGCTATACTAATTTACATTCCCACCAATAGTGTATGAGGGGTTTCCCTTTCTCCACATCAAGTTTTTGAGTGTTATGCCATTAATCTCATTTTCTCCATAAACACTGTGGTTTTTATTGCACAATTTTGCATAGGACGGTTAGTTTTAGGAATGCGTATGTCACATAGCAGAACTGACAGTACATTAGCACACTCTACAAAAAGCTAATCTAAAAGGACACCCATACCTAAATGTTCCAAGATCTCTTCTCCCTTGCTGTTGATGGAGCAATTCTAGGAAAGGACTTTAGTTGGTACAAGTGTCTAACAAAGCGCCTGCAATTAGATGTGTTAAGGAACAGTATTAGTTATCCAGCCAAATCCTTTCTATTCTTTCCTGCATCCACAATCTTAGTAAAAGATAAATTCTTATTTTAAATTCTGAGTCTGTGGTTTTATTTTCAACATCAGTGGCATACACCACACAGCTGCTTTTTTGAGTGACTTTGTGCCTTACTTCTCAAGAGAGTGATACAAAGGTGCAAAACGTATTGTGTTGTGTTAATGGCAGTGCTGATAAGAAAAAAAAGCCCAAAGCCTAAGCAAAAGTAGATGCAATTGATTATTAGATTTGCCTCTAGTGGTGTTAGGTTTCATGTTTTTAACTATCAAAATTTTTCTTATTGAGATTATTCAGGAAGAATAACTGTCACTGAAAACATGAAACTCTCTAGGTTCCAACTCCCTGTCCCTCCCCCTTATTTTTAGAGCATGCTTTTTAACAATAGGGTGATTCCTTAGAAGGCAGCTACTGCTTTATAGTGGAAGAGACAAACTCATTAGTGTTACTAATGGTTAAAAATAAATTCCTCCTTTGGAATTTTTAGCAGGAATTTATCACTCAAACATAAAAATATTTTTTATTACTTTATAATCAGATCCACTTTTTATTTATTTTTAATTTTTATTTATTTATTTAATTTTTTTTTTTGTAGCGACAGGGTTTTGCCATGTTGACCAGGTTGGTCTTGAACTCTTGGGCTCAAGTGATCCTCCTACCTCAGTGTCCTAAAGTGCTGGGATTACAGGCATGAGTCACCACGCCTGGCCCAGTTCTATTTTTTAAACTAAACTTTTTTCCCTTTAGTTTTGACTCGTAATACCTTGGGAGCAGTGTCTAGCTAACAAACTGTATTCTAAATGGAGCTATAATGTGGAGGGTTTTGATCTAACACCATTACACACTATTTCAGAGAGGCAGGATGACACAGAGACTAGAGTGTGAATCCAGAATCTAAGAGACCTTAGTCAAGACACTTAATATTTCACATCTCGATTTCCTCACCTGAAAACAAAAACAAAACCAAAAAAACAAAACCAAAAAAAAAAAAAAAAAAAAGAGAGAGAGAACAGAACCAACCTCCTCTCCGCCCCAAAACAAAAAAAGACAAAAACAGTATTTACACCTCATGGGGCTGTTGTGTGGATCAAGTGAGAAAAAAATCTGGCACTTTGTGGCTCCACGCTTAGTATAGAATAAGAGTCAGTTATTATAAGGGAACCTGTTATTTCCCCTGTACATCAACTGGGGAAGATGCTGGTGACCACTGTACTGTAACTTTTGGGTCTGGTACAGGGACTAACAGAGAAGAGGCATCCAAATAAGCATAAAAATCCATGCTAGACACTGGAAAGGTGGCAAAATAAAGCAAGTGTAGTTACTATACTGAGTTTTAATTTCAGATTAAGCTTCTTAAATATTAAAAATAATATTTCACATGCAACGAGTCTGGTATGTGGTAGGGGATGGGTTTTCCATGACCTTTCATCTAAAAAATACATGACACCTGCTACAGAGGTCGAGGAAGAGTAGCCCATCATTATTCACATAATCTATCAATAAACCCAAGATGACAGAAGATGGGCAGCATAACCTTTACACTAATAGTGTTACCTTTTATTTCTCATCATTCTAGGTACCACAGATTTAAGCACCTTGAAGTATTTCATTATACTAGATAGTCTCAATAAAGGCCTAAAATATAACAGAAATCCTATATATTGATGTATTCTGATTGTCTTGTTAACAGTAGGGATAAACTTGGCAGTTGGTAGAGACTGGGGGATGACCAAATTTTATTTTTGGGTAGTCATCGGCTCATATTTTTCTAAACTATTTCCATTTATTACCACCACCAAAAAAAAAAAAAAAAGTCAATAATGGTGAAAGAGACACTATGTACATTAAGTTTTTCCATTTGCGTATTTATATATCCTTATATCAACAAAAACTACTAAAATTTTTAACACAGAAACTTGACTATTAAAGATTTTCAGCAAAACCGATACATTTTTTAGCTTTCTGGTTGTCAGAAATAATGTGTTAAATCTTACTATATACTCAATGATAAATATACTTACAGATCTACATAACCACCCACATTCAAATGAGTAATTTTTAAATCTTTGCAAGGGGGGTGAAAAAAGATTAGTTAGAAAAGAGGCATGCCATAAAGTTGTCACACACCAGTTCTTCAAATAATGCACCAACATAAAATGCTTCAATGTTATAAATTAAATGTACAATTCACTGAGGCAAAGAAGTACAAAATGCCCAAACACAAGAAACCACGTATTTGCTAATTAAAACAGCATCAAAAGAACAAAAATAAATTAGGTAAGTACTTCAAAAAATAATAAAACCACCACCTTTTGAAAATAAAAATCTTTTTTTTTTTTTTTTTTTTTTTTTTTTTTTTAGACAGGGTCTCGCTCTGTCACACAAGCTGGAGTGCTGTGGCACAATCTCAGCTCACTGCAACCTTCGCCTCCCAGGTAGCTGGGGACTACAGGCTCACACCACCATGCCTGGCTAATTATTCTGACTTTTTTGGTAGAGATGATGTTTCACCATATTGCCCAGGCTGGTTTTGAACTTCTGGGCTCAAGTGATCTGCCTGCTTTGGCTTCCCAAAGTGCTGGGATTATAAGTGTGAGCCACCACGCCCAGCCATATGTTTCAATTCTAAGGTAAGCATAAGCTTCATTTATAGGTCAAGCACTTCTTTCAATTATAGTGAATTAGTACCACACTAGACCTCAGACTTTTATATTTCTCACGCAAGTAGAAATAAGTGTTTGAATCAGCATCTTAGCTTTGAAGAATGAGTTAAGATAAGCAAACAGTAAACAATGTAAGAAGTCACATGGTTGTGTCAGGGAAAACCAGAGATGGACAATACTTAAAGTGGTAAAAACAAATTTTATTCAAGATTATTGCAATAGGGGAAAAGAGATCTGAGTATAGAACTAGGCTTAACTTTGAATACACGATTGGCAAGTGGAAACTTAGACCCAAAGATGGGAATATAGAGTCAGTGGATGGAAAATTACTAAGAGGAGCCATCAGGAGAAACAGAAGATTCTGGCTAAAATGACCTAACAGGATTCTTGTTGAAGGCAGGCGAGGGTGATCAGACATCACCTGAGGGATGGTGGAGGAGAAGGAACCCAATTAGCTATGGCGGGTGATCAGATACTGAGGGGGGATGACAGGGGTTATAGTTAAAGCAACTCAGCAGGATTCTTACTAAAACTGAACAATGCAGGCATAAACATGAAGTAAAAAAGTCGAGGCTTACCGGAGCAGAAAGTTCTTTCAAAGGAATCTGAGGAGAGTTTGGTCAATGAGGGACTCTTTGTCACTAGTCAGTAGGGAACTAAATCCTTGCGTTCTCTCTACCTCTATTACACCCATCTGTCCACTGATGCTTTGCAAAAATTAAAGATTTAAATCATTCTTTAAACCATGATAACTTATTTATTTATTTTTTTTGAGATGGAGTCCTACTCTGTCGCCCAGTCTGGAATGCAATGGTGTGATCTCGGCTCACTGCAACCTCCATCCCCCAGATTCCAGCAATTCTCCTGCCTCAGCTTCCCGAGTAGCTGGGATTAGAGGCGCCTACCACCACACCTGGCTATTTTTTTTTATTTTTAGTAGAGACGGGGTTTCACCATGTTGGCCAGGTTGGTCTTGAACTCCTGACCTCAGATGATACACCCACCTTGGCCTTCCATAGTGCTGGGATTACAGGTGTGACCAACCGCGCCCGGCCTGTGATAACTTATTTTTTAAGCCAGAGTCTTGCTCTGTTGCCCAAGCTGGACTGCGGTGGCACAATCACAGCTCACTGCAGCCTGGATCTCCTGGGCTCAGGTGATTCTCCCACCTCAGCCTCCAGAGTAGATGCGACTACAGGTGCATGCAGCCATATCCTACTAATTTTTTTTTTTTTTGAGACGGAGTCTCGCTCTGTCGCCCAGGCTGGAGTGCAGTGGCACAATCTTGGCTCACTGCAACCTTCGCCTCCTGGGTTCAACCGATTCTCCTGCCTCAGCCTCCCGAGTAGCTGGGACTACATGTGCCCGCCACCATGCCTGGCTAATTTTTTGTATTTTTAGTAGAGACGGGTGTTAGCCAGGATGGTCTTGATCTCCTGACCTCGTGATCTGCCCGCCTCGGCCTCCCAAAGTACTGGGATTACAGGTATGAGCCACCACGCTCGGCCGACTAATTTAAAAAAAATTTTTTTGGTAGAGATGGGGTTTCGCCATGTTGGCCAGGCTGGTCTCAAACTTCTGGGTTCAAGTGAACGGCCCATTTTGGCCTCCCAAATTGCTGGGATTACAGGCATGAGCCACCATGCCCAGCTGATCCAAAATAAGCGTGGTGAGAAGTATGCACTACTCAACAAGGCACAGACCAGCAGTTCTAAAACTACTCTATAGGTTCTCTTTAGTGGAATAAAAAATGTCAGCAAACCCCATTAATCACTTAAATAAGTTCTGTCATGTTACTTAAAGACCTACAAATACCAAACTACTGTAAATGCTTATGCTTATAGCCCTTAACTTTAAAATAGAAATAAATTTTTAAATAAAAACAAAATTCAAATTAATAAGTAATATTAATTTTTAATTTCACTAAAACTAAATTGCTGACATTTGGTTTACTCTATAAAGCTTGTAGCCTTAGAGCCAGTTCCATAATTAATTTGTTTCTGTATTCTGACTTCAATACTAGTAATGGGAAGAATACCTGTTCAGTTACCTAAAACATTAACTTTGAGGTAGAGTCAGGATATTTCAGCTTCACAATTAACCAAAATTCTGCAAAGAGTAATCTAAGAATGACAATTTAAATAAAGTATCAGTCAATCATTTTATAAAACTGTCTTACTTATGTGAAAGTTAATGTGGCATTGTTAGTTAAAATTTGTATCAAATGAATTATCAAGTATCTGAACTTAACTGGAACTAGAAATAGAAACATTTTTCCTTGCATCCAACTGTTATACTACTAGTGATCTGCTGCCTAAACAAGTGACCTCAAAGATAAATGTATGAAAGCTACCTTAATTTTTGCTTTCACAATTTTAGCGCATACCCATTTTATGCGCTAAAACACAGTTAACAATTTTTAGGAAAAGGATTTTAAAAGACAAAGAAAAACCCCATATATCTTTTCCCTAAAAAAGTTCTAAAAAGTTCTTGCCGAAGTCTAAAAGTAGACTTCTCCTACCAAGAAGGATCAGGATTTCTGAACTATCTTAGAAGTATAGGTTACATCACACAGAAAGGACAAACTGACTGACCCATCTGGAACATAAAATCATGTTCCTAAGAAAATTATCTTAACCAACTACAAAACCTAAAAACTCATCATTTTTTGCCAACGAGTCTTAGCCATAAGAATTTTCCTTTTTCGCAAGATAGCAAAAGCCATTAACCCACCTACTGGTAATTATTCAGGCTCGATTCCTTAACATGCTAGTGCCAAAAGTTTAATAATAGTTATCTATGTACCACATGTTGAACCTATTGTATAAAATTGGCTCCATTCACTTACATATAACCAGTGACAAGGTTTATAATTTGGAACAGCTCAACCTTTTCCTACACATTGCTACTTTATATAAAGTCCATTTTTTAAAGGGACTAAAAATAGCTGCATGTCCTTTGCTTAAAAAAAAAAAAATCAAGTCACAATTTAGTTAAGCCTGAACTGCATCTAGATCCTTATGGAGTTCCACTTCAGGAATTAAAAAATCTAGGCTAAATTACCTATATTCTTCCCTTGTCTAAAAGAAAGATCACCCATGGCCGGCTGCGGTGGCTCATGCCTGTAATCCCAGCACTTTGAACAGCTGAGGCGGGCGGATCACCTGAGGTTGGGAGTTCAAGACCAGCCTGACCAACATGGAGAAACCTCGTCTCTACTAAAAATACAAAAGTAGCTGGGCATGGTGGTGGCATATGCCTGTAATCCCAGCTACTGGGGAGGCTGAGGCAGGAGAATTGCTTGAACCGGGTAGGAGGTTGCGATGAGCGGAGACCACGCCATTGCACTCCAGCCTGGGCAACAAGAGTGAAACTCCGTCTCAAAAAAAAAAAAAAAAAAAAAAAAAAAAAAAAAAAAAAAAAGATCGCCCGTATATCATCCCATTTGGATGAAAGCCTTTAATAAAATAATGATAAAAAGATGTTCTTTAATTTTATGAGGGCATTAGTGAACTAAGTTCTGTTTGGGAGACCATTTGAAAGTAGCTCTTTTAGCTATTAAGCTATGGTTGACATCTGATATAGTCAATCGCTGTTATTTAGTCAAGTCCCAGGAGTTTCTGAGAAGATCCAAAATAATAGGAATAACTTATTTGCGGAGTACTTTAACGTGTCTGCTTCTAAACACATCACATGGATTAACCGTCCACTTGTCAGTAGAATGCCTCTCACTGAATATTATGGGTAACTGGGATTTTCAAAAGGCTTTTCCACTGGAAGCTTTAGGAATGTAACGCCGAGGTTATAATGCAGTTTAATGGAAAAATATATTCTCTATGTAACTGTCGGCTTCATGTATTAGTTTTCAAAACCAAATTATTATACAAAAGTTGTTTGTTGATTTGAGGTTGACTTTTTTCCAGTATTTTTCAGTATATTTAATAGAATTTAGCATCTATGTCTGCGGTTTCCAGGACCATCTTTTTTTCTTTTATAGAAGGTTCTCTGTGCAGATAAAATTTCTAGGGACCAAGCTCATTTATGTTTGACTTCATAGGATACACACTAACCTTAAAAGGTTGGAAGACAAATGCACCCCACAAGCACACACTCTAACCAGGAGACGAAACAAGCAAACCTAATTACCAGAAGACACACGTAGAAGAAAAGTGGTCATCTCTGGGCAGCACTGGGAGATAGGGAGAGGTGGGGCTACTGTATTAGTAGTATTAAAATACTACTGATCTCATCAATGAATCGATACAATTCATGGCACTTAAGTTCTTAAATCCGAGTGCAGGTATTACTATGACGTAATTTGATAAATATCTAAACCAAAACCAGCTGCTGAGCATCCTTTATATGTATAACATTGTGCTAGAGGGTCAGGGAGGGCTGAAAGCTAAATTACGATATTGAATTAGATAATTTTTAAGTTTCTTTCCAATTCTAAAATTCATAATTCCATCTGTATTAACTCATTCTTAGAAAGCATGCATCTAAAAAGCAAACATTTAAAAAAATCAATAGAAAAAATATATCATTTACTCTGATTGAATTCTTTCTTTTAAAAAACACTTACACACTATGAAATTACTTTATTACTTAAAACACAAAGACCATCCATTTTCTCATGTTTTCTGAGATCATTATCATGGAAATAAAATTCTGATGAAATTGAAAAAAAACATGAAACAAAATTAGCCACATCACCACTACCAAGTAAAACAGCTCTCATCACCTTAGAGCCACTGCACACACAACCACACTTCTATCTCTATATCTGCCTCCTGCAAGCTGAACAAAACAATGTGCTGCTTCTACGGGAACTCTGAGCCAGACAGCCCAGACTTTTACAGGAGGAAAAAGCAAGTTTTACCTTTTTTCTCCTAAACCCTTTTGGTGTCAAAGCTAAAAGTTGTAAAACATTTGTTTTACTTCCTTCTGGAGGCAATCATTTGCCAAACTACATTCTTTTATTTTATATACTTTTATTTTTTGGTTAGAAAACTTGTTGCTCAACATGCAAATCTCAAACTGGGGGAGGGAGGGAAGGAGGGAGGAAATGAAGCTCAACAAACACAACAAAATAAAGTTGCTCTGCTATGTTGAGGCTGCCAGGCTTTTTGTTACTCTACTTGAAAGTAAATGTGACTTGTCTGTAGAGAGTGCTGCTTCAGCAGTTCCAAATGAATTTCAAGCCTGTGCTCCATATTTTCTCTTTTGTAAGTTTAATGTATTCAGCAACACTGAACTGACAATTTAAATAACTACATTTTTAAACAAACGAAGCATTGATGTTAATGTATGAAAATGGTCCAAACCCCTGGGAGTCTTGGTTCCCACCATTGTTTATTCTGACAACAGGATATAATTGCTTACTTACTTGGCAGCAAATTTAACCATCTGCTTGCTTGCATGGTCTCCCACCGCCACAAGAGCCTGGACATTAAACTGCTGCTGACGTAGGACTAAGAAGCACTGTTTCCCTGAAAAAGACAGAAAGAACACAAATGTATTAAGGACACGCAACTTCAGGTTTTACAAAGAAGGAAAATGCTCTCTACTTTAAAAGTGGGCCAAAATTTACTATACTCATCAGGCACGCATGCATGTGTATACTATCCATTTGGCTTCCACAGACAAAATACTCACACTCAACTGACAACCCTTAAAGAAACTCAAGTTCCTATGATGAGTAACAAGAAATGCTTTCAACTTGTTATAAGAACACAGGCAAATCACCAATTTCAAAAAAACTTCTAAATCAAGAAAATTATTTTGTCATTGCATTGATTTATTAAACAAATTTCAAGTAACTTGAGATCACTTTCAACATTCATTCAATAGTTAGTATATTCCACATGCAAAGGCACTGTACTACTATGGAAGTTTCAATACTGCAACCACAAAAGTGCTAACACAGTGCTTAAAAACAAGGACACAAACACTATGGGGTGGTCCATCTACAGAGTTTCTTCCTACCAAAGTACATTTTAAAGAGCATTTAAATTGACAGGCTAGTGCCTTTCATGTTCTACGTTCTTCATTTTTCCTTTATCACCTTCCTAGTCCTTCATATTTTATGAGTCTCGCATTTTTTTTTACTCCAAATAACTTATATTGTCTATTAAAGATCATTTTCTTCAAGCCCTATAACCAGTTTTATTTTTACATATCCTGGGCCTCTTTATTCCTTCTTCTTTGATAAAGAACTGTTACTCCTTATTCTTAACCTTCTGAAAAACATTATTCATAATATATTTCGTTATTATGTATCCTTGTGACATCCCTTTTTCCTCCAAAGCAGATCCTTCTTAAGTCTCTGATCAAATTCTGGGAAATTACTTCTTCATAAAAAATGGGTTAATCTCTCCAAGACCACTTTACACATCAGATTGTTTTGTAAAACATCACAAGATTTTGTTTTTTAAACTGAGCATTATATTTTACATTTAGAATGGGCCTTAACCAAAAGAAGAAAGAAAAAGGAAAGCAAAAATGCAAGCAGACTTACAGTTACTACTTTCAACATACAGTATTTTGAAATGCAAATCAGATAGCAATCACAAGTTAAAAAAGACAGGTTGCAAACAAAGTGTCAACACAGACATAATCTATTGACTTTAGAGTCATATATGATTGGCAGGTTTTTAACCACTAAAAAACACTCTTAATTTTCCCTTTTGCTTTGGAGGATGATCCAGTCACAAAGTAAAATCCTAAAAAACGAAGTTGTATTAATACAGGAAACAAATTCAAAGGAGTTTTAAAATATTGGAAGGACAAAGGTTATTACCACAGAGAAACTTGCAGATGAATAAAAATAACATTTTCCTAGGAACTACTACTGAAACCACAGCCACGTTACCCCACTTAGAAAAGTATGTTACTGTGAAATGGAAGGTAATGTGCACACGACAGTGCTAGGCTAAGCCATAATGTAGTCAGAGTGTATTAGCTACTCTAATAGTCCAGACAGAAGCAGCACCAACCTAGCTGCCTCACAAAGCTGTCCAGTGATAATTTCAGTGCTACACAAAGACCCTGGAGAAAGAATGGAGAACTCTAAAGGACTTACAAAGGGTGAGCACAGGATAAGTCTATGGGTCGGCACTAGGGGGTAACAATTAGTGTGTCTGGTAGAAAAAAAAGTAAAAGCTTTGAAATCAAAAGGCCTGGTATCATATCCTATCACTTCCTATGAAGGGGCCTGTGGGAAAATTATTAAACCACTTTATATCTCAGTTCTTCATCTGGAAAATGGAGACGGTAAGAGTCATGAGGTTTTCTTTCATAATCATAAGGATTTTATAATATGTTTAAAGTTGAGACGGAGCCCAATTAATGTTAACTATTAATGACTTTTTTTTTTTTTTGAGATGGAGTTTTGCTCTTGTTGCCCAGGCTGGAGTCCAATGGCGCTACCTCAGCTCACTGCAACCTCCGCCCCCCGGGTTCAAGCGATTCTCCTGCCTCAGCCTCTTGTGTAGCTGGGATTACAGGCACGTGCCACCAGGCCTAGCTAATTTTTGTATTTTTAGCAGAGATGGGGTTTCACCATGTTGGCCAGGCTGGTCTCGAACTCCTGACCTCAGGTGATCCACCCACCTCAGCCTCCCAAAGTGCTGGGATTACAGGTGTGAGCCATCGCGCCTGGCCTATTAATGACTTCTTTTTTTTTTTTTGAGATGGCATCTCGCTCTGTTGCCCAGGCTGGAATGCAATGGCATAATCTCGGCTCACTGCAACCTCCACCTTCTGGGTTCAAGCAATTCTCCTGTCTCAGCCTCCTGAGTAGCTGGGACTACAAGTGCCTACCACCACACCTGGCTAATTTTTGTATTTGTAGTAGAGACGGGGGCTTCACCATATTGGTCAGGCTGGTCTCGAACTCGTGACCCCAGGTGATCCACCCGCCTTGGCCTCCCAAAGTGCCGGGATTACAGGCGTGAGCCACTGCGCCTGGCCTTAATGACTATTATTAGTAACACCACTACCACTGACTACTTATTTGATGATTAATTATCATTCCTTTTTCACAGCTGGATGACTATATACAAAAAGTATGCAGGGCGCTGGGAACACGAACGTAAGTATTTGTTAGAAAATCATGATAGACTCTTACATGAGGAAAAAGTGATAAAACCATATGTAACGTGTAATCCCAATTTTGTTTGTGTAAGAAGTATATTAAGATTGATCATATGGGGAAAAAAACCACCAAAATGTGGCTACCAATGAATGGTGAAATTATAGGAAATTGTTCTGTCCCTGTATTTTTCTGTATTTTCTGAACTTTCTACAATAAATATGCACTACTTTTCTAATCAGAATAAAAATTTTTTAAGAGAACTATACACTCACAGGTAGGTACAGAAGAAAGGTAAGGGCTGAAAGGAAATTTTGGCCAAGTTCAAAATTAAACACAAGCAGTAAGTAGAACCCGGGAAGTTTTAGACAGCTAAACATAGGAGCAAATGTACCTCCTAAGATTTGCATGCCTGCTAGAGAAAAGAAAGAAAATCAACGGTTATAAGTGAAGTGAAGGCCAGTCATGTTGGCTCACGCCTGTAATCCCAGCACTCTGGGAGGCCGAGGTGGGCGGATCACTTGAGGTCAGGAGTTCGAGACTAGGTTGGCCAACGTGGTGAAACCCCATCTCTACTAAAAATGCAAATATTAGCCGGGCGTGGTGGCAGGTGCCTGTAATACCAACTACTTGGGAGGTTGAGGCAGGAGAATTGCTTGAACCCAGCAGGCGGAGGTTGCAATGAGCTGAGATCGTGTCACTGCACTCCAGCCTGGGTAACAGAGCAAGACTCCACCTCAAAAAAAAAAAAAAAAAAAAAAAGAAGTGAAGAATGTTCACTATACCCTTTAAATGTTTACTGTGCTTATTAGATTTAATTCTAAAAAATTTTTCTTATTAAAAAAAGGCAACAGATGGGGGAGGAAGGGAATGAAGTAGTGAGAACAGTCTATGAGCATATTGTTTTACAAAAACCTATATAGTATGTAAAAGTGTGCCAGTACAAAAATAACCAGATCAATAGAACATAAGAAAAAATTGATAATAGACCGTATTAGATAAAGGAGATCCTAATTCTAAACAGAATTCAGGACATTACGAAATTTAAACAAACACCCCAACGAATACAGAGTAAAAAATGGAACTGAATATTAAACTATATCACGGAGGAAGGGAAAACTTTCTAAGTTTAAGAATGAAAGAACATCTATATACAAAATAAATCAAAGGAACAATAACACTGAGAAAAAATAAGTGCTGAACAGCATATAACCTATATAAATTAATCTTTTTAATACATAAGGATCTTAAAGATTTATGAGAAAAGAACACTGAGATCCCAATAGATAAACAGGCAATAGACCAAAACAGATAATCTGAAGGAACAAGAAAAAAACCATAGTAAGTAAATACCGTATAAGGAAAAAAATGTTACTGGTAATGCAAGTAATGCAAGTTGAAGCAAACAACGACAGATTATTTACCTCTCAAATGAGCAAAGATTTAAAAAATACAAAATATAAAATCGAATTATTACTCAATGCTTGGGAGAATTAAAATCGTAAAACCGTTCCTTTATAACTTGCTGAAGGCAGGGTAAATTTGTGTAATGCTTCTGGAGAACAATTTGGCAATAAGCATTAAAAGGCTTAAAAACGTTATCTTTGACTCAATAAATACATTTTTTAGAATATATGTTAAGGAAATTGAAACAGAACTACTTGTGACTAATGCTATGGTCCTCAAGCTTTCTACGTTCAAAGCACTTTAAAATACAAGAACCTTGATGGTCCACTTAAAATGATTTTTAAAGGACTCAAACAAACAAACAAACCATCAGTACTGGCTCCCTGGTAAATAGAACTGTCCACTCAGACTACTTCTCTATGAAGCACTTTTGAGACCAAGCTCTTGTCATGTATTAGGAAACAAAATTGTTCTTTCTTTGGCTCTGGTTGGTGACACACCTTACTGCATGATTAGCTTAGTTCCATGTTTTACAAGGCACTACCTTCCACATGCTGAGAGATAAACAGGAGCAGTGTGTACATGATCCTTTTTGTGCAAATTTAAAAAACAAAAAATATGGTCATGTCTGTATGTATATTTTGTCTGTCTGTAAATGTATTTTTTTTTTTTTTTCTGCAAGAACACACAAGAAAGAACAGTGGCTATTTTGCAGGGAAGAGACTGTGGTGAGATGGAGGAGAATCGTGAGACCTCTATTTCCATATCTTTTTCTACTACTGGAATTTTTATTTTTACCATACCCATAAATTACTTTCTATTTTAAGAAGCAAATATATAATTCCTCAGTTTAGTAAAAAGTTCTCACTTGAAAAGCTGGTATATGAACTTTAGAGGGCAGATTAATCAACTGCTAAATATTATTAATCTTTCTTCTTGGAACTTTCCAACACAAAAGACAGTTTATAGAAAACAAAGTCAGTGTTCAAAACAGCTGAATGAACTATCTTTTGATATTTTATTTGTTTTTGTTTTGTTTTGTTTTGTTGAGACAGAGTCTTGCTCTGTTGTCCAGGCTGGAGAGTAATGGCACGATGACTGCAACCTCTGCCTCCTGGGTTCAAGTGATTCTCCTGCCTCAGTCTCTCGAGTAGCTGGGATTACAAGCGTGTAATCCCATGCCTAACTAATTTTTGTATTTTTTTAGTAGAGATGGAGTTTCACCATGTTGGTCAGGCTGGTCTCGAACTCCTGACTTCAAGTGATCCACCTGCCTCAGCCTCCCAAAGTGTTGAGATTACAAGCCTGGTCTATCTTTTGATATTTTAAATTTAAATTCTTAACACTTAAAACTTTGTGCTGCATTTTGATTAAGTTTTCAGAAGAAGCAGTTTATTTCTTAAGTTTATATGGATGTAGTGTTTTAGAAAAATGTAAAGTCAGAAATTTTTTATCGTGAAGTCTTTATTTCTGAGCTGAAGAACAAACATGGTAGGTAGTTAGGACAAAAAGTTTCTTCTCAGCTCCATTATGGTGATGGCTCAGCAATGAAATAGGCCTTCATGGGAGAACCAGAGTATCAAAGATGTGAGGCAATCCTATGTTTTCATCTCTTCCTGCTGACTTTTAGCTTGCTAAGCCCCCTGGATTCATTATTTAGATAATGTACCTTAACTTCCTAATATCCAACCTTAATATTTTCCTTCATGATTTGTATTAATCAATTAGGGATTAAAACAACAAAGATCTCAACGTTCTGAAGTATTTTCCACTTATTGCTTCCCCTGAAATGTTCCTGCATAGATTTAAGTTGAAGTTATTTTGGAAGTGTAAGTAAGTTTTTAGGAAGAATAGTGCTGAAATAATTATTTTGTGCCAGTGCCTTCCACATGGTACGTATAAAATTTGAAAGGAATGACAGACATTCCAATTACTCTTTCAATATGCAGACTTATGCTCATATGTTTCACGCTTGAAAGAAACTAATTTTAAGCATATCATTAAGGTAAGAAATTTCTCCTTGCTCCTATTTAAAACACTTCACTTTAGGGATGTTATATATAAACCTACCATAAGAAATCTGATTTTCATTTTAAAAAATGTCTGAAACACTGCCCTTAAGGAAAAAATATACAGGCTTTTCTTGTTTTGTTTTTTTATACGAAGAGACTCTTATTTTTGCATTATAGGATTCTAAATGTCATACTTTTGACACTAGGATTTTGACACT
The DNA here is from genome assembly GCF_000001405.40 of Homo sapiens. Lineage (NCBI taxonomy): Eukaryota > Metazoa > Chordata > Mammalia > Primates > Hominidae > Homo > Homo sapiens. Next base: position 135,967,739 of record NC_000002.12, read on the forward strand.
TCCATTTCCTTATTCACAGTTTCTCAGGGCTTTGCTCTACTAGAAACTGCCACCATGAGTTGTTTCTTGAAGCCCAGCTTTAATATATTACTCCTGGGGTTAAAGCACACAAACGATCCCAAGTAAGTCATATTTATTGATATGATTTTTCGTACATAAGATATAGGAAGAAGAGGGTACTAGCAATCAGGGTTTTTGCAAATTCAGAGCACAAGATTTTATTCTTAAACACAATCTACGGCCGGGGGCAGTGGCTCACATCTGTAATCCCAGCACTTTGGGAGGCCAAGGTGGGCAGATCACCTGAGGTCAGGAGTTTGAGACTAGCCTGGCCAAAATGGTGAAACCCCGACTCTACTAAAAATATAAAAATTAGCTGGATATGGTGGTGCATGCCTGTAGTCCCAGCCAGCTACTTGGGAGGCTAAGGCAGGAGAATCACTTGAACCCGGCAGGTGGAGGTTGCAGTGAGTTGAGATCATATCACTGCACTCCAGCCTGGGCAACAGAGCAAGACTCTGTTTCAAAAAATAAATAAAGATAATCTACATTGGCAGAAATAAAAAACACTGACAATCACTGCTGACAAGTGTCTCAGTACGTTTTCTGTTGCTTGTAACAGAGTATCTGAAATTGGGTAATTTATATGGAAACAAACTTATTTTTTTAAAGTTCTGGAGGCTGGGAAGTCCAAAGTTGAAGGGACACAACTTGTAAGTGCCTTCTTGCTGGTGGGGACTCTGCAGAGCCCTAAGGTGGCAGAGGGCATCAAGGTGAAAAGCTGAGTGTGCTAGTTTAGGTCTCCTTATAAAGTCACTAATGCCACTCCTGTGATAATCCATTCAAGGGGGTAGAGCCCTCATGACCCAATCACCTCTTAAAGGCCTCACCTTTCAACAATGCCACACTGGGGATTCAGCTTTTTTTTTTTTTTTTTTTTTGAGACAGAGTCTCACTCTGTCACCCAGGCTGGAGTGTAGTGGTGCGATCTCAGCTCACTGCAACCTCCGCCTCCTGGGTTCAAGTGATTCTCATGCCTCAGACTCCCAGGTAGCTGGGATTACAGGCGTGTGCCATGATGCCCGGCTATTTTTTGTATTTTTAGTAGAGATGGGGTTTTACCATGTTGGCCAGGCTGGTCTTGAACTCCTGGATTCAAGTGATCCACCCTGCCTAAGCCCCTGAAGGTGCTGGGATTACACATGTGAGCCACCGTGCCTGACCAGGATTAAGTTTCAATATAGCATGGGAAAAATAACGAAACCATGGCAGCAAGGATGTGGAGAAAGTGGTACTGTGACATACCTGTGGGAATATATTTGAATACAACCTCTTGGGAGGATGATCTAGTATTAGAAATTTTAAAAATGCATATGCATGCCCTTTAACCCAGCAATTTCATTTCTATACACCCATCTTGGAGAAATACTACCTCGTGTAGATCTGTAACTAGTTATCATGGAAGGGTTTCCAAGAAACACTGTTAATTATTTTAAAAAGTTGAAAAATAATATGTAAAGTATAACAAGACATATTAAACATACACACATCCAAAATAAAACAAACTGTGTGTGTGGGTGTGTATGTGCACATACGTGCATTATAAAGATTTGGAAAGACACAGAACAAATTAAGAATGAATAATAAAAAAAAGAATGAATAGAAAAGGTTGGGGCAGAGGATAGGTAGTATAGAAGAAAAAAGGGAGTATCATTATTTCTGTATTCTTTTAAAGATTCGTGTGCAAGTATTAATGTATTATTTGAGTAACTTACATTAAGTATTATAACTTAGAATAGAATTTTCCAGTTAAAAATGATGAAGACCAGATTATAAATGCAAAATTCCACAAAAAGTAAGTTAAACAAGCACTATACTAAAAAAAAAAAAGCCACCCGCACCTTTGCCAAATTGAGTTTATTCAAAGAATCTAAAAATGGTTCAATGTTATAAAATACATTATTGTCACTCACTGCAATTACATAAAGTTGATTCTTGTTATTTATAGAAGTTATGCTCTGTAAAGCTGCCACAATACTGAATTAGGGCATACTGAATCATTGCTCCTGAGGGAAGTTTAGGGTTAGGTTTCTTCACGCTTATGGTCACAATATTTTTGCCAACTGATTAATACATAACCTTCTTTTGTGTGTGTTTCTGTTTAAAGATACCTTAATATATATTGGTGAGCCATTAACACTTAACTCATGGCCAAGGGCACTGTAACTCATGCCTAAACAAAGCATATCTAAACACAGGTATTTTCTTCTTAAGGGAACAGCACAGTCTTCTTGTGCTTCCGAACTTTAGAAACATTTGAGAACCATACTTGGGGCCATTTTAAAAGGCAAAAGCAAGCTGGGCACAGTGGTGCATAACTACAGTCGCAGCTACTTGGGAGGGTGAGGCAGGAGGATTGTATGAGGCCAAGAGTTGGAGGCTGCAGTGCGCTGCAATCATACCTGTGAATAACCACTGTACTCTAGCCTGGGCAACATAGTGAGACCCTGTCTCAAAAAAAAAAAAAAAAAAAAAAAAGAGCCCATTAAGCATCTTCTTGGACCACAACAGAATAACACTACAAATCAATAATGAGAAATTCTGGAAACTATATAAACACATGGAAATTAAACAATATGCTCTGGGATGACCAGTGGGTCAATGAAGAAATTAAGGAAATCAAAAAATTTCTTGAAACAAATGATAATGGAAACAACATGCCAAAACATATGGGATACAGTGAAAGCTGTACTAAGAGGAAAATTATAAGTATCTACCTAAAAAAAGAACTTCAAATAACCTAACAATGCATCTTAAAGAACTAGAAAAGTATAAACTGAACCCAAAATCAGAAGAACTAATAAAGATCAGAGCAGAAATAAATGAATTTGAAATAAAGGAAACAATATAAAAGATCAATGAAACAAAAAGTTGGTTTTTTGAAAAGATAAACAAAAATGACAAGCTTTTAGCCAGACTAAGGAAAAAAGAGAAAAGACCTAAATAAATAAAATTAGAGATGAAAAAGGAGACATTACAACTGATACCATAGAAATTCAAAAGATTAGTGGCTACTATAAGCAATATATGCCAATAAGTTGGAAAATCTAGAAGAAATGGACATTTCTAGACACATACAACCTACCAAGATTGAACCATGAAGAAATCCAAAATCTGAGCAGACCAGTAACAAACAACAAGATTAAAGCCGTAATAAAAAGTCTCCCAATAAAGAAAAGCCCAGGACCTGATGGCTTTACTGCTGAATTCTACTAAACATTTAAAGGACTCACACCAATCCTACTCAAACTGTTCCAAAAAACAGAGGAAGAGAAAATACTTCCAAACTCATTCTAAGAGGCCAGTATTACCCTGGCACCAAAACCAAAGATAGATCAGAAAAAGAAAACTACAGACCACTATCTCTGATAAATACTGATGCAAAAATCCTCAACAAAATACTAGCAAACCAAATTCAACAATACGGTAAAAAGATCATTCATCGTGACCAAGTGGGATTTATCTCAGGGATGCAAGGAGGTTCAAAATATACAAATCAATCAATGTAATACATTGTATCAACAGGATGAAGGACAAAAGCGATATGATCATTTCCAACTGATGCTAAAAAAGCAGCTGATAAAGTTCAAATCCCTTCATGATAAAAACCCCCCAAAAACTGGGCATAGAAGGAACATACCTTAACATAATAAAAGCCATATACGACAGACACACAGCTAGTATTGTACTGAATGAGGAAAAACTGAAATCCTTTTCTCTTAGATCTGGAACACGACAAGGATGCTCATTTTCACCACTGTTATTCAACATAGGACTAGAAATCTTAGCTAGAGCAATCAGATAAGAGAAAAAAATAAAGGGCATCCAAATTGGAAAGGAAGAAGTAAAATTATCCTTTTTTGTGGATGCTATGATCTTATATTTGGAAAAACCTAAAGACTCCAGCAAAACCTATCAGAACGGATAAATTCAGTAATCAGTAAAGTTGAAGGATACAAAATCAACATATAAATGTCAGTAGCATTTTTCTATATGCCAATAGTGAACAATGTGAAAAAGAAATAAAAAAAAGTAATCCCACATACAATAACCACAAATAAAATTAAACACCTAGGAATTAACCAAAGAAGTGAAAGATCTCTAAAAACTATAGAACACTATTGAAAGAAATTGAAGAGGAAACACAAAAAATGGAAAGATATTCCATGTTCATGGATGGGAAGAATCAATATTGTTAAATACTACTCAAAGTAATCTACATATTCAGTGCAATCCCTATCAAAATGCCAATGACATTCTCCACAGAAATAGAAAAAAAAATCCTAAAATTTACATGAAATCACAAAAGACCTAGAATAGCCAAAGCTATGCTGAGCAAAAATAATAAAACTGGAGGAATCACACTACTTACCTTCAAATTATACTACGGAGCTATAGTAACCAAAAACAACTTGGTACTGGCATAAAAACAGACACACAGACCAGTGGAACAGAAGAGAGAATCCAGAAGCAGATCCACACATCTACAGTAAACTCATTTTTGACAAAGGTGCCAATAACATACATGGGGGAAAATAGTCTTTTCAATAAACGGTGCTGGGAAAACTGGATATCCATATGCAAAAGACTAAAACTTGATCCCATCTCTTACCTTATATAAAAATCAATCACAATGAATTGAAGACTTAAATCTAAGACTTTGAACTATAATACTACAAGAAAACATTGGGGAAACCCTCTAGGACACTGGTCTGGGCAAAAATTTCTTGAGTAATACTCCACAAGCACAGGCAACTGAAGTAGAAATGGACAAATGGGATCACATCAAGTTAAAAAGCTTCTGCACAGTAAAGGTAACAATCAACAAAGTGAAGAGACAACCCACAGAATGGGACAAAGTATTTACAAACTACCCATCTGACGAGGAATTACTAACCAGAATACATAAGGAGCTCAAGCAACTCTACAGGAAAAAAATCTAATACAATTTTAAAATGGGCAAAAGATTTAAATAGACATTTCTCAAAAGAAGACATACAAATGGCAAAAAGGCATATGAAAAAGTGCTCATCATCACTGATCTTCAGAGGAATGCAAATCAAAACTACAATGAGGTATCATCTCCTTTCAGTTAAAAAGGCTTATATCAAAAAGTCAAATAACAAATGCTGGTGAGGATGTGGAGGAAGGGGAACCCTGGTACACTGCTGGTGGGAATGTAAATTAGTACAATCACTATGTAGAACAGTTTGGAGGTTCCTCAAAAAACTAAAAATAGAGTTACCACATGATCCAGCAATCCCACTGTTGGGTATATACCCAAAAGAAAGGAAATCAGTGTATCGAAGAGATATCTGCACTCTCATGTTTACTGCAGCAGCATTCACAACAGCCAATATTTGGAAGCAACCTAAGTATCCATCAACAGATGAATGGATAAAGAAAATGTGCTACATATACACAATGGAGTACTATCCAGCCATAAAAAAGAATGAGATCCTATCATCTGCAACAACATAGATGGAACTGGAGGTCATTTTAAGTGAAATAAGCCAGGCACAGAAAGACAAACATCGCATATTCTCACTTACTTGTGGGATCTTAAAATCAAAACAATTGAACTCATGGATATAGAGAATAGAAAGATAGTTAACAGAGGCTGGGAAGGGTAATAGGGGTTGAAGGTGGGGGGCCCTGGGAAAATTAATGGGTACCAAAAAAAAAAAGAATGAGTAAGACCTAGTATTTGATAGCAGAACAGGGGGACTACAGCCAATAATAATTGTACATTTAAAAATAACTAAAAGAATGACTGGGTGTCGTGGTGGCTCACACCTGTAATCCAAGCACTTTGGGAGGCTGAGGTGGATAGATAGCTTGAGCTCATGAGTTTCAGACCAGCCTGGGCAACATGGCAAAACCCCATCTTTACAAAAAAAATGAAAAAATAAAAAATAAAAATTAGCTGGGCGTGGTGACATGTGCCTGTAGTCCCAGCTACTCAGGAGGCTGTGGGAGGATGGCTTGAGCCTAGGAGCCACAGGTGCAGTGAGTTGAGATCACACGGCTGCACGCCAGCCTGGGCCATACTTGTCTCAAAAAATAAATAAAATTTAAAAAATAAAAATAATTAAAAGAATATAACTGGATTGTATGTAACACAAAGAATAAATGCTTGAGGGGATGCATACCCAATCTTCTATGATGTGATTATTACACACTGCATGCCTGTTTCAAAATATTTCAAGTACCTCATAAATATATACACCTATTATGTACCCCAAAAATATATACACCTACTATGTACCCACACAAAAGTTTTTAAAAGTCCTTTTTTAAAAGGCATAAATGTGGCATTAAAGAGACTGTGAAAGGGACGCTTATTTACAGTATGAGAGCTGAAACAAGAAGGCAGAACATTACTGTGTTTGACTTTAATTGGGAATGTGTGTACTGGATGACGCAAATACTCTGCCACTCTGCACATGTACAGGTCTGGCATGACTGAGAATGACCACAAAAGTGCTGCAAGTGTTCTGGGGTTATAAATACATTTTAGCCAGTAGGTGAATTTGCGAATATGCAGTCCACGAATAATGAGGATCAACTACGTTAAAATTTATTTTATTACACAGAAAATTTCCAACAAACACAAAAGCAGAGTGAATAGTATAATGAACCTCTCTACATATACATCACATAACACAATTATATTTTGAAGGGAAGAAATGCTAGAAAAAGGTCTGATAAAATTCAACATCTCCTCCTGACAAACAGAAAACTTGGCTGGGAAACTACTTTTAATCTACTTTTTAAAACTTTGCCATTTATTTTCTAATGACATTTTATGTAGAACCTTAAACTCAAAATCATTCATTTAGAACTGGAATTTCTGCTCTTTCAAAAATTCTTCATTGTGTGAATCCCTGAAGTACTAGAGAACCTACTAGTATTGCAAAGAGAAACAAGAAATGAGATACAAACATTTGAAAGAAAAGGACATAATGATCATCATTTGTAATGCCTCTCTTCGCCTCAAAAAACTGAAATGCAAACAGACTTGGAGAAAATTATTTGTTCTTTTTTAATAAAATAGGAACAGGGCAAGAACAAACAATATATAAAAGAAGTTCAAAATAGTTAACATATCAGGAAAAGAAGTTTAATCTAACCAATGACTGAAACACAAATTAAAGCAACAATGGATAAATCTGAACTTTATACAAATGAGAAAAATAAAATATATGTAAAAAAATATAGCCATACTATGAAATACTATGAAACCATTAAAAAACAATGATGCGGCCGGGCATAGTGGCTCACGCCTGTAATCCCAGCACTTTGGGAGGCTGAGGTGGGTGGATCACAAGGTCAGGAGATCGAGACCATTCTGGCTAACATAGTGAAACCCCGTCTCTACTAAAAATACAAAAAAATTAGCCGGGCGTGGTGGCAGGTGTCTGTAGTCCCAGCTACTTGGGAGGCTGAGGCAGGAGAATGATGTGAACCTGGGAGGCGGAGTTTGCAGTGAGCGGAGACTGTGCCACTGCACTCCAGCCTGGGCGACAGAGCGAGACTCTGTCTCAAAAAACAAACAAACAAAAAAAACCTATACGCACAGACATGAAAAGATATCCAAAAGATAAAGAAAAGTGCAAGTTATAAAATAATACAGAGTATTATAAAAATTTTAGCTCAAACACACATATACACTCACATTGACCCTCAACTTCCTCATAAAAACAAATCTGAGGCTGGGTACAGTGGCTGAAGCCTGTAATCCCAGCACTTTGGGAGGTCGAGGTAGGCAGATCACCTGAGGTCAGGAGTTTGAGACCACCCTGGCCAACATGGTGAGACCCTTGTCTCTACTAAAAATACAAAAATCAGCTGGGCATGGTGGCGCATGCCTGTAGTCCTAGCTAAGGAGGCTGCAGTGAACCGAGACCACACCACTGCACTCCAGCCTGTGTGACAGGGCAAGACCCTGACTCAAAAAAAAAAAAAAAAAAGCCCTCATCTCTACTAGAAATACAAAAATTAGCTGGATGTGGTGGCAGGTACCTGTAATCCCAGCTACTTGGGAGGCTGAGGCACGAGAATTGCTTCAACCCAGGAGGCAGAGGTTGCAATGAGCTGAGATTGCCTCACTGCACTCCAGCCTGAGTGACAGGGCAAGACTCCACCTCAAACAAACCAACCAAAAAAACCCACAAATCTGTAAAGAAGGATTACAGTCAGTTTTCCACTTTATACCTGATTTAATTCTATAATGCTTGAGTATTTAACAAAAAATGGTTATTACTTTTATAATCTAGAATAAATTTTTCAATTTTGCAAATTAAAAATATTGTAAATGATCATGTAGAGCTACATAAAACACTGATACAGCATATGAACTCACTTTTGTAAAAGAAAAAGTATCAATTTTTGTTTAAAGCAATTTCTATCATTTCAAACTTTCACAGTGTTTTTATTCTCTTGGGAGCAGAACAAGTGAATTACACTTTCTGCTTTATTCTTTAGTTTTTGTGCTGTTTGAGTTTTAAAATAGTGCAATTAGCATTTAGCCCCTCCAAAATTCCCCAATACCCATAAATAATTTATTTTTTTGAGATAGAATAACAGTTAATATACTAATAAAAAGTGCTATGAAATTCCTCAATTAAAAACTCTTAAGAAAGTTTTAAACCGTTCAGTCTGTTCATAACATTGACACTCATAAATTCTCCCTATCCACCCACCATGATTAGCTCATATCATCAATAAAGTCCTTACACCTTGCAATTTGTTTCATGTTTTGAGGCAGGAGGCACTATCAATTAAGAGACTAAAATAATTTGTCACAAATGGAAAAAAAAACACTAGCAGATGGTACAGGAAGAACATTCTCAAATCCGAAAATGTGCAATGTTTCAAAATCCAAAAACTTTTTGAGTGCCGACATGACTCTCAAAAAACATGCTCATTGGAGCATTTTGGATTTCAGATTTGGGATGCTCAGCCAGTAATGCAAATATTCCAAAAAAAAAAAAAAAAAAAATCCAAAATCCAAAACACTTCCAGTCCCAAGCATTCTGGATAAGGGATACTCAACCTGTATATTTTTTCACTTACGTGATGCTTCATACTTACATGCTGATCTCAATTAGAGTGAGCTACTGGACAGCAAGAACAAGACCCAGAAGACAATGCTCTATTATATGTGTATAAAACACCTGTTTTATTCATCTATTATTCGGTAGGGTTCTTATTATGTGTTGTGTACCAAACAAAGCAAGAAAATAAGCAGTAGCACCTTCCAAGAGCTGACAACAGGAAATAAGACCCACAAAAAACTACGATGGAAGGCAAGTAAGTAACTGTCATGCTCATTAACATGACTCAATTATCGAAGGCTTACACTGCACCAAGCATAGAGCTAAATACTTTATAAATATTACTACATAACATCTTATAAGCTAGGTATTAATATATACTTGTTTTAAGAGAAGACACTGAGGATTGGAAAGGTTATGCAATTTGCGTAGAGTAAACAGATTGTAAGCACAAATCCAGGATTCAAACACACATCTGTCTCACTGAAAAGGTCTTATTCATAACCACTGGGAAGTATCACTCATGAGTTTTAACTGTTAAGAAGAAACAGACATGGCAGTCGTAAAATAAAGGGATGGGTGTGAAGGGAAATATTCTTGGTTCAGGCTTACTTGTAGCATGCATTCTATCTTTTAATTTGCTAAATTACTATGTTTAGGAAAAAGTGCCCCATTTGGACAGAACAAAGGCTCTCAGTATAACGGGAGAGAGACGAGTAAATGAAGGATTATAATACAATGTGACTGACTATTGGCAGAATAAATGGCCCAACCTTTCAGGAAGGCAAATCAACATTATTTGAAAATTTAAAACTCCACCAGTACTCTTCTCAAAGTCTGTCAGTATTCATCAGGGGAGGATACTGAAAGAATAGACAAACTCTTAACAATGGTGGCCCTAAGAGTGAAATGTATGTATAAAGTGCTGGAATTTTAAAAATAATGGGCATGTATTAATTCTACAATAAAAAAATTATAAAACACAATTAAGAAATGCTCTATCGGCTGGGTGCAGTGACTTATGCCTGTAATCCCAGCACTTTGGGAGGCCAAGGCGAGAGGATCACCTGAGGTCGGGAGTTCAAGACCAGCCTGGCCAACATGGTGAAACTCTGTCTCTACTAAAAATGCAAAACTTTGCCAGGCATGGTGGCGCATGCCTGTAATCCCAGCTACTTGGGAGGCTGAGACAGGAGAATCACTTGAACCCTGGAGGCAGAGATTGCAGTGAGCCGAGATCGCAACACAGCACTCCAGCCTGGGTGACAGAGCAAGACTCTGTCTCAAAAAAAAAAAAAAAAAAAAAAAGAAAAAAAGAAAAAAGGAAAGAAATGCTATATATCATGGGACATATTAAATACTATAGAAGCAAAGTAGAATTTTTAAAATAATGGGCATGTATTAATTCTACAATAAAAATATTATAAAACACAATTAAAAAATGCTATTATCATGGGACATATTAAATACTACAGAAGCAAAGAACTCTGCTAAAGAGACGGAGATGTCTTAGAAAGCTTCTAGCTTCTGTTTATACTCCACCAATTACTATGAGACTTTGGGCAAGTAGCTTCATTCTGAACGTGTTTCCTCATTTATAAAGTGGAATAGGAATGCTTGTTCTGCCTACTTCACAAACTTGCAGGGATGATCAAATGTGAAAAAGTATGAAAAGTATAAAGTTATAAACTAGTGTGTCAATTGATATTTTTAGACAATTCTGAACACTACAGTAGGCCAATTTTCTATAAGAACAGGGTCTGTCTAAATGATCCTAACGTTTCTTCTCTGTTGTTGAGGCTAAATTTTTAGCACTGTCTGAAAGAACTTTCTATGATGAGAATATTCTGTATTTGTGCTGTCTGTCCAAAATGGGAGCCGTTAGCCACATGTGGTCATTAAGCTCTTGAAATACAGCTAGTGTGACGGAATTACTGAATTTAAATGTAAATAGCTGCATGTGGTCAGTGGTTACTGTATTGAATTGCCCAGTCTTATCTTTTGTTCACTTCTCTCCTCATCTAGATAATTACAAATATAAAAATATTAACAAACGGGAAGTTTCTCAAAAACACTCTTCACTTAAATAATTAAAGTTTACTCTTTTTTTTCAATTTTTTTTTTTTTTTAGCTACTCCTTCTCCAGCTGAAAATAATTAAACTTTAGAGCGATGCTAGAAAAGTAGCTTGAAGTCTTAGATTTCATCAGTCTTTAGGGTCAAATTATTTGTAAGGATGTTTTACAGGAATCTAAAATTGATTAACCATGGGTTAATACTTTACAGTGACTTTTAAGAAAGAAAAGTTACATGTTTTTGTTTTGTTTTTAAAGATTTACTTTGGTCTGTGAGGAATATGTAAGACAAAAAATTCGGAGTCCTTACCGAAAGAGCTTTAATAATGAAACCAATCCTACCTTTAGCTCTGCTTGTATGAACTCTTGCACGTACCCAAACAACTTCATCAGCTTTTTGTATTGTCAAGTCTCTAACCCGAACCAAAACTCGATCTGTAATAACAGTAAACGATTTTTATATAGTAAAATAATTTTTAAATTCAGAATTTACAAAGAGATCATAATTATTTTTGACAGCTAGCATAAGTACTTGGAACCATCCTGAATAATTCTCAATCTTTGACAACACTGTCTTCTCTATCATGTTCCATGTGCAATTTGCCTCAAGTTTTGTGAACTGTGCTTTCTAAACATATTTTTAAAATCCGTCTATTTCTCTACCATCTTCACTGCCGCCATACTAAACCAAGCTATTGTCTCCCACCTGAACTACAGCAATAGCTTCCTAACTGCAATCCCTGTGTCCCCTTCTAATTCAGTCTCCTTTGAAGTCAGACAGTTTCAAAATGCAAATCTGAACACTTCAATGACTTGTAAGGCCAAACACAGCCTATCCTGCCTAGGACATGGAACTTTTGCCTGCCTGCCACAGTACCTAAGTCAGCTAGTCTCTACCAAGTCTGAACAGTCGCAGTATCCTATTCCCCAGGATGCAGTGACTCTAACTGAGCTAATGCAAGTCTTTCTCTGGGACTAAATATACAGATGCTGGGAATGAAGCTCTCTTTCCTGGGATTGCTGCGCTGACATGGTGCAGGCCCAGGGCTGCAGCTTTCACCTTTCCTGCTATGTTTGCAGGATTCGAGAAGGAGGCCAATATCCTAAAGGAAACAGAGCCAAAAGCTGGAGAGAGAAAGGCCTGTAGATGCTTCCTGAGCCCCAAGATCCAATCATGCTTGATGTCATCTCATACATTTCCCTATCGAGCCTTTTGGCTGTAAGTGAGCCCCAACTATTATGCTCCTAATACTAAACAAAATACTACATTCATCTAGAGTTCCTAAACAGGAAAACAGCTACAAAACAACTGTTATGTAAAGATGTGTATACAACGCAACATTCAACAATCATTTTTGCTACTCTTCTAAATGCAATCATTTGATTAGAGAAAAACATTTAAGTATTAGTTAAATTAAACATAGCAATAGACATGACATTACAATATCGAGAATACCTTTTGAGACATAAAGTCAAATTATAAATACTGTATGTCTTACCGAATTTTTCTAAATGTATTTATAATTTGCCTATTGAAGAAAAGATGCAGCTGCAGAGAGAATCTGATTTACAGGAGAATAAATAACACGGTTCTCATAGCCAAAAGCAAAGAGAATGAAAGAGGAATTTTAAAGCCACTGGCATCACAAGAGGATTTCTGCAAAACACTGCCAACAGACTTTATGAGTTAAGCCAACTTCCAAGTCTGCTGTGTAAACTCAGGCAAAAGAAAGCGTGAAAGAGAAAAGACAGACACATCAGCAGAAGATTTTAAAAGGCAGATTTGAAAATGCCAAGACTGAAAAAGCAATGGCTAACCAAGCAATCACAACTCAAAACCACACAAAACAGAAAAGCAGAAGTCTAAGAGATATGCGATAATTAGGATAATTTTACTAGCACTTTGGAGAAGAAAAAGGGTAATGGCTCTTCTTTCTTGTGGCATGGCAATTAACTAGCATAGGGGTTCTCAACCTTTAATACACCCGAACATACCCGAAGCCCATGCCATACTCACATCACTATGACTGGCTAACCAGTAACAACCAAGGTAGTAGGATTTCAGTTTGAAAACTGCACTTTTAAGAGTCATGGGCATCAGAGTGATTAATGCAGAGAAATGGAAGCAGATGAGAAAGGAAACCACCTTGAGCAAAGAATTGGCATTTTTGCAGAGGTAAAACCAAAGGCCGAATTTTACATACATAGGTTATCTTTCTCTCTAAGTGGAAGAACGCAACTGTCTGTGGATTTGCCAGCAAAAGAACAACAGCAATTATGTTAATGGCTGCTTTGGGCCTATGTTAAAGACCTAAACTCCAGTGAGCTTCTTTGTGTTACAGCTCAAGGAAGTACAGTTGAGAAAGACACCTAACCTGAAAACAAAGTCTCAAGTGTCTCCTCCTGCTTGCCCTGGCAGAGGAATATCATCCCCTATACTCTATTGCTCATAGTCTATTTTACATAGGTTGAGCATTCCTAACCCGAAAACCCGGAATGCTCCCAAATCCAAAACTTTTTGAGTGCTGACATGATGGTCAAAGGAGATGCTCATCGGAGGATTTTGGATTTTCAGATTAGGGATGCTCAAGTGGTAAATATAATGCAAATATTCCAAAGTCCAAAAAAATAAAGTCCAAAACACTTTTGTGGTCTCAAGCATTTTGGCTAAGGGATACTCAACCTGTACTCAATTACTTTATTTCATCTTTATGTTTTGGAAATGATTTTCAGAAATTTTGGCTTTTTTTTTTTTTTGACAGGGTCTCACTCTGTTGCCCAGGCTGAAGTCCAGTGGTGTGATCGTGGCTCACCGCAGCCTTGACCTCACAGGCTCAAGTGATCCTCCCATCAGCCTCCTGAGTAGCTGGGATAAAAGGTGTATGCCACCACGCCTAGCTAATTTTTTTACTTTCTGTAGAGATGGGGTCTCACTATGTTTCCCAGGCTAGTTTCAAATTCCTGGGCTCAAGTGATCCTCCCAACTCAGTCTCTGAATTTTGGTCTTTTATTGTATTCTTTCCCAACAAGCCTGGGAAAGAAAAGTGATTTTGTGATCATGTGGCAAATCAAATATAACAATAAAATTAACCTAGAGGTGTTTTATTTCCAAAGCATAATATTCATAGGCAGCCCTCTAAACTGGAAGCAGTGCTTCCAATGGGCAAGAATGTAAACGTCTACAATTACTGCACCAAAGAGTGAGAGACGTAATTTGAAGTGTCTACCAAAAGAAAAATTACTGTCAAATAGTTAAGTAAGACAAATCTGTTGAAATTACATATATAGAATAGAAGTAAAAGAAAGGCAAACATTTATAAATAAAAAATCTACAGGTCTGAGAGAAACAACATGAGTCAGGTCAATTTCAAAGAAATATAAGGCCGGGTGCGGTGGCTCACACCTGTAATCCTAGCACTTTGGGAGGCCGAGGTGGGTGGATTGCCTTGAGTTCAGGAGTTCGAGATCAGCCTGGGCAACACAGTGAAACCCCATCTCTACTAAAATACAAAAAAAAAGTGAGGCGTGGCGGTGTGCGCCTGTAGTCCCAGCTGCTCAGGAGGCTGAGGCAGGAGAATTGTAGGAACTTGGGAGGCGGAAGTTGAAGTGAGCCGAGATCATGCCACTGCACTCCAGCCTGGGCGACAGAGCGAGCCTCTGTCTCCCAAAAAAAAAAAAAAGAAATATAAAGATGCCAACATACACTAACAAAAAAGAGCGGTTATAAGAAAAGATAGACTGGGGTCTAAGAATAATTCATTTCATTCCCAGACACTAAAGCTACGAGTAAACAAAATGGAGTGGGGGTGGAGGCTTTAAAACTCAAATCATAGTACTGCCAAAGAAGCCAGAGAAGATGTAAGATGGAAGGACCCATGGACTCTAGGGTCAGATGGCCTTTGGTTCTAATCCCAAGTCTGGCAGACTCTGTGTAAGTCAAGTTTCTTATCTTTCAACTTTGGTTCCTTAGTTTTCAAGGATGCTGTAGAGAATAAGTGAAAATATAAATGTTTGGGAAGAGTCAAGCAAAATAGGAATAAATAATAGCTAAAAACAGTCAGAGAAGTAAAGTTGTGGGGGTTGGGGGAAGTAAAAGAGGTAGCTTTATTAAAGCATGCAAAAAGGCTACATGTGATGAAGGCAGTTATTAGCCACTCTCCTATCTCCTAGACAACGGTTGAATCTTACCTAATAATTTAGGAATATTTAAAAAATATAATCTACCATTTAAAACATACCATTTAACCTACAATACCTAATAACATTTTTTTTCCTTTTCTAGAGTTGGAACCCTAAACTGACAATGTTTACACAGGGTTATGACATCTACTTGGATTATTAATGTCATTTAAGCTTTTCAGAATTATACCTTCAGATTTATGCCAACCTTACTTAAAATTTCATTTAGAGCTTTCCTGGAATTAGAAAGCAAAAAAGCTTTATTTACTGTCACATAGCTACTAACCTGGTTTTTCTTGTGATTGTATCATTGAAGATATTCCATATCTCTCTTTAGCATAATCCTACAAAAAAAGTTTTTTGCATCGTGACTTTTTATGTAAACACTAAGAGCACAGTAAACACATAAATACTAATAATAGAATATAAAAATGAATTTAACTTTCAGGATCATTTTATTAATTCAGAAAGTCAGTAGTTTCATAATGTGGAAATCTCTCATTCATTTACATATGTACTCTACAGAAAACAGAAAAGTACTGTTTCTGGTTAGTTTGTTTTGAAGATCACCACTCCTAGATGGATTTACCATACTTAATAACATTCTCAGATAAAATTTACACATATGTACAACACATCTTAACTACCTTCTTCAAAAAGATGAAACTACTTCAAAGCAGGGACATAAATTTCCTCTGTGAAGGGAGTAGGATGAAGTACCACAGTTTTATTAACTTCCTATTACAGGAAGAAATGTTCAAAGAGAACCAACGTTTTGGGTAAGCTTTCTGAGCACCAGATGTCCACAGTTTTTAGAAACTGGAGATGCTGGGTATAAGCTAACTACAACTTTCCTTTTGTAAAACATCATCAAAAAATTCACCAGCTTCCTGTTTCTAAAAACCAGATTCAGGATACCAGGTTACAGGAGTTTGACACTGACAATATAATAATATCAAATTTCTTGTTACAGATTAGAGTTAGGAACAGGAAACAGAAGACCTAGGGTCCAATCTGTTAACAAAATATACTTATTAAATAGATAAGTGGCCTTTATTTCAATCTTACTTTACCTCTAAAATGATCTAAGATTCTTCTAGCTATAAAATGGCATAACTCTGCCACAATGTCTACCTTGTATCTAGACCTATACTATCTGTAAGGGTACACTGATAGTTTATGTAATTAAGCAGATTAAGAGTACACAAAAATAATTGCCCTAGTTTTTACAAGGTAACTTAAGATCTGTATGAAACAATTAAGTTTCTGTCACTTTACAGCTACCTGTTGGAATCCTCTCCTTTAGAGCAGGAGGGTGCTGGATTTTGTGTTTACACCAAAATAAAACCAGACATGTTTAAGGCGCTTACTGAACAATTTAAAGAAAAAGATAACCCTGGCCAGAGTAGAGAGATACAGTCACACAATGAAGCCTGAGGGCAACAGAAGGAGATTAAATTGTGTGAAGGACAAAAAAGTTGCATTCATAATTAGTACTATTAATATTTCAGTGACTCTTCCTCATTTAGTATTCTAAGATGACCTTACTTCTCATGTTGCTTACCACAAACTCAGAACTCCTTATAGAAAAATTAGGGAGCCAGACGGAAATTAAGGCTTAACAGTACTACAGCACACATAACTTGTAGGATGGTTTCAAACTTTGATTTCTGAAAAGCACCGAAGGATCACTGGGTGTTATGAATTATCCACGTGATTTGGGGTCACTTCACCTCAAATGCATTCTCGGTAACTCCTATTACCTACCTTACCGGGTCACTGAGAGGGAGAAAGTAAATAAAAATGACATGTGTTCTTTAAAGCTGTCACATGGGAAATGGTCATTAAACATATTGGCAGATGGTTTTGCTAAGTACTGTCATTACTTGCTAAAGCATTAGGAACACGAGGGCTGAGTACATATCGATTACTAGTGCTTATTAAAATTTTCCCAGGGATTGTGCATTACGTGCAGGACGTGCCTAACCCAGAGAGACTCAAGTGTGACGCCGCGCTCCTACTTCCGGGGCGGCTGGTTCTTCCCGTCCTCCCCACCCCGGGGACACGCTTCTAGTAGGCCAAACTCCCAGGTGACCCCCGCAAGAAACGCGGTCCGGAGAGGGTCTGGCCCCACTGCTGGGGCAAGGGCTCTAGGCGCCCGGACCCCACGCCCGCAGCCTGCGGAGAACGTGCCGACAAGGACCTGTAGGGCCCCACTCCCCCTCCTCCCTCCCTCGGCGCAGCCCGGCCCAGGGGTCTGTCCTCCCAGGCCCAGGAAAGGAGGAAACCCACTTCCGCCGCGTCCATGATCTCCCGCGGCTTCTCCTGACTCTTGCGGCTGGCGCTGGCGCTGGGCATCGGGACACGGAACTGGGCAGTGGACACCACCCTCCCTCGCAGGCTTCCGTAAGGCAGGCCAAAGGGGCTTCTCCCTCCCTCCCAGTCTCCGCCCTCCCGACCCTGGGGTCTCAGCACACGCGCTCGGACTCCGCGTGGAGGTGCGGCTCCAGAAAGATCGCGAGAGCTGCGGCTATCTCGAGATCCCGGAGCGCTGGCGGCCGCGCGCAGGGTCTCCTCCCACTCTTGCCCCGCCCCTCCGGGAGTTTTCCCGGAGTTGGAGGGAATTCCCGGGAATTCGCGGTAGTTTCGCTGGATTGGCTCTGGGGGCGGGGGCAGGGGTTACCAGGTGGCTGGCTGTAGACCTGGGCGAATGCCAGCTCTCTTCAGCTTCGTCCCAACTGCGACTTCTGCTCCATTCTTCTAACAGCCCTTTCAACTCCGCTCGGCTGTAACCGCAGACTCGTCACTAAAACACCCACCTAAGCGCGGGCCTTGGTTTCTCCTCTCTTGGACTTTCCCGCCTTCTCTCTTCCCCTGGGCGACGTAGCTGCTTGGGGACGGAGGAGGCCTCTTCGCAATCCATTGCCCTGCTTGTTGGGACAGAGGAGTGCAGTTGGCTTGCCAAGGCAGCATGGGTTACCAGTCCCTGTGTAAGTGAGGTGTAAATACAGTGGCAACGACAACAAGAAACGCATACAATTGCATTGATTGCCTGGATCTGTTGCAGTGTTAGGGACAGTGCATAGTGTTGGTTGCCCAATGGGCGAATATCCCCAAGTTAGGCTTTTTTAAAAAACTGATTTTTTAAAAAAGCTATCATTCATGAGTTTTGAATCGAAATTGAAAATAATTTGGAGATTTGGTTTAATACTGTTTCCCCTGCCAGAGTTTGCACTCCGTCGTTTCAACTGACTTGGTAGTGTCTTAGTCTGGCACAAAGTGTTAAGGGGTGCACATAGATCCCAGCGCAAGTGAAAGGCTCTCTCTGGAGGCTCCCCCATGGAGTAGTGAGAAGACAGCCATGGTCCTTGCTTGCCTGTAGCTTTCCTTCTAATTGCAGGTGGTATGAAATTTTATTCCCTATTTAATTGATCAAAGATTATTTACAAACATCTACTTTGTGCCAGGCATTCTATCAGGTGCTGGCAATAAAAAGATAAGTCCTAGTTCCTGTTCTTAATATTACACAGGTACCTAGGCTGATAGATGCGCCATCTTGATACATGCTTCCATTATTACAGAGTCAGGAAGAGAATTTAGCTCTTAAAATGGCTGCCTGGAAGTGACACATTTCACATTCTCCTAGTTTATTGGCGAGAACAAGTCACATCGTCATTCCTGAGTTCATGGGGGCAGGAGAATTTACTCATTCCTTGGGGAGCAACACTGAATATTCATGATCAGTATCACATTCCGTTAAAAAAGGCATCCCATTATACTCATGGGATTCGAATACAGAAGGGGGTCTGTGAAGTTGCTTCATCTTGGAATTTTTTTTAAAACTTGGATTGCCTCAATCAGGTATAGTCCTAATGTATGGACTGGTTATCAGAAATCTGAATACAAATCCCATCTATTATCCCTTTGCTAGGGTAGCGATCTTACCTTTCCATCTGTCCATGAGGCCTGTCCATGTACTTCTTTCTTACTTTGGCCCCGTTGCCTTGATAAAAGTATTCTTATTTAGTCCTGGAATAAGACTGTAAATATATATTCTTGTTTCTGGCCTCCTTTCCTGATAGTGATAGAAAAGAAGCATTTGCCAGATCAGTGGCCACATGTCATATGCCTGAGGTCTTAAGAATCTGCTGTAGTAAAGATACCACAGCTGCAACTGAGGCTGTGACTTGGTTGAACTTGCAGTAGTCTACTGTCAAGTTCCTGAATTTGTCTGGTTTTTGCTGGAGCCACACCGGTGACAATAGGAATGTGATGGAGACTACCAACCATTACGTCTTTAAGGGTTGCACTGATCTCCACTATTCCCCTTGGGGACATGTTATTGTTTATGATTTCCTATCCTAGTTGGGGGCTGGGAAAGTGACTTTTAGAGATTTCCTCTTAGCTTTATCCGGTATGGTAGCCTATTCCACAGACCAAAGAATAGGGGAACAGCTCTGCTATGGTGCTCTGGCTGCTTTGCAGGATCCACATAAGCCATGTAGGCAAGGGCGGGAACTGCAGCTAACCTGAATCTTGGAAAAACATCTTGTGATCCTGCTGGAACATGAGAGGGTGGAAGGCCATCTCCCACTCACTTCCCTGTCTCCCTGAGAGGCTGTTATGGGATGGTTTCTTACTACCTCCTAGATTCTGATGAGGTGTGGGACTTCTTGCCCCCTTCCCTCAAGGGAAATGCAGAATACAAAAATGTATATAATATCTTACTGCTTAACTGGAGTCTAGAAGTGGCTGTTAAGCAACAGAGTGTCCCACTACTCATGTTGCAGTCATTTGGTGCCTTTTGTTTCAGTGATGTCCTTAATGGGACAAGAATCACAGGGAGCTGGCAACTTTGGCTTATTCTTCTTTCTCTCTCTCTTTTTTTTAATTTAATTTTTTTTTTTTTTGAGACAGAGTGTCCCTTTGTCTCCCAGGCTGGTGTGAAGTGTCATGATCTTGGCTCACTGCAACCTCCACCTCCCAAGTTCAAGTGATTCTCCTGCCTCAGCCTCCCGAGTAGCTGGGATTACAGGTGCCCGCCACCATGCCTGGCTAATTTTTGTATTTTTAGTAGGCATGGTTTCACCATGTTGGCCAGGCTGGTCTCAAACTCCTGACCTCAGGTGATCCGCCTGCCTTAGCCTCTCAAAGTGCTGGGATTACAGTAGTGAACCACCGCACCTGGCCTTTTTTTTTTTTTTTTTTTGAGGCAGGGTCCCACTCCGTTGCCCAGGTTGGAATGCAGTGGTGCGATCAAGGCTCATTGCAGCCCCGACCTCCCGGGCTCAAGGGGTCCTCCCACCTCAGCCTTTGGAGTAGCTGAGACTACGGGTGTGCACCACCATGCTCAGCTAATTTTTGTATTTTTTGTAGAGATGGGGATTCACCATGTTGTCCAGGCTGGGGGCTTATTCTTGTTTTCACTGTCTATGTAAGTAATAAACCATCTAAATCTAAAAGCAGCATGTTACAGCTTTACTGATGGAATCATTCAGGCCTTGACATTTCCTTACTTGTCCTGTGTGTTCCTGTCTTGACAGGAATCAGCGTCGGACTCTGCCAATTTCCAATACAATATCCATCCCAAACTATACATTTAGGGAGCTGGAAAATGACTTTTGGGTAGGTCCATGGACCTAGTTGTTGCTGTTAAGAGGGTTGAAGTGCCATTGTGGTTCTTTTATTTCTTTATTTTTTTCAAGACTGGGTTATGAGACTAGCTAATTTTTTTGTTTTTTAGTAGACATGGGGTTTCCCATGTTGCCCAGGCTGATCTCGAACTCTGGGTCTCAAGTGATCCATCCGCCTAGGCTTCCCAAAATGCTGGGATTACAGGTGTGAGCCATTGCGCCCAGCCACCACTTTGATTCTTGGTCCTTTGTATGTGGTTCTTTTCCCCCTGGAAAAGAAAGAAGCTCACAGGACATCTGCTAAGTAGACTACATGGGTCCTTCTTTGTTCCTAATGCTCAGGAATTTCATAATATTTATCAGCCTGGGGGTTTAAATTTATCATTGTGCTGGACATTGGGCCATTCCATCTGGAAGCTCGTTAGTTCTGGGGCATTTTCTTGAAAAAAGTCTTTGATGATTCTCTACCTTCCATTTCTTCTCTTCTCTGTTTCCTGAATTCTTATTAAGTATTGGACTTCCTGAGCTGGTCTAATTTCCTTATAATTTCTCTCCATTTTTCCATCTTACTGCATTTTGATATGCTTTTGGGAGATTTTTTCAACTTTATCATATAGTCTTTCAATTGCGTTTTTCCCATTATTGCCATCATTTAATAATTTCCTAAAGCACTCTTTTTGTTATTTGAATGGTCCTTTAAAAGAATAGAATCCTGATCTTTTAAAATGTATATAATATCTTCTCATCTTACTGAGCATATTAATAAAGTGATTTTTTGGGGAATTTTTAAAAGCGTTCTCTCTACATAACCCCTTTCTTACAAGTTGCTTTTCTATTTGTTTATTTTTGGCCTCTGTCTTCCATGTTAGAGACCTACCTCAGGTGTTCAGTGAATCCTTGATTGTCTGCTTATGTTAAAAGTGGGGACTAGGCCCGGTGCGGTGGCTCACGCCTGTAATCCCAGCACTTTGGGAGGCCGAGACGGGCAGATTATGAGGTCAAGAGATCGAGACCATCCTGACTAACACTGTGAAACCCCGTCTCTACTAAAAATACAAAAAATTAGCCAGGCGTGGTGGCAGGCGCCTGTAGTCCCAGCTACTTGGGAGGCTGAGACAGGAGAATGGCGTGAACCCGGGAGGTGGAGCTTGCAGTGAGCCGAGATTGCGCCACTGCACTCCAACCTGGGTGACAGAGCGAGACTCTGTCTCAAAAAAAAAAAAAAAAAAAGGGGAGACTAAAAAGCTGATTAGAAGCTCTCTGAGCACTTCCATGGGGTTTGTCCATTGTGGATTTTACTGCATGATGGTCTGGGTGGGCCATTTGATGGGTGTCAGTATTTTTAGATCTTTCCCTTTGGCTAGTCAGATTGTTCAGGGAGAAAGCTCTTCTGATCTGCTGCATGAAGAATAAAGGTCTCACTGCTAGTGTTCTGGGAATATCTGGCATCCCACATGTATTTGGTCACCGAATTCCCCTAGTTGGGTACAGTACCCAGTTCCTGAAGTCAAAGACCCACCTTTTACCTTCTCTACAGAATCCATCATGTCAGGGTAGGAGAGGACTCTTGCCAAAAGAGTAGAGTATGGAGGGCTGCAGGAATCAGACTTCTCTTGTAACTTTCCCCAAATTGTCATTATCATTCCCACTCCCCATCTCCGTTTCCAGAGGTATTTGGTGCTGCTTGTCTTGAGTCTTTTGTGATTTCTGTGGTATGAGTGAGGTCACTTCTCAGCTTTCTTGACTGCTCCCTTAGGATTCAGCTTTTCATATCTGCTAAGTAGGTTACCACTGGCCCACCTGCTGCTTTTTGGCTTCCTGCATTTTTGGGGGGATTGTCTCCTCTCCTGTTCTCCCATCCTCTCGATTATAGTTTTTGTGGCATTAAGGGCAGGAGCAAGATTAGATCTGCCATCTTAGTGCAGAAGTCACTTTTCATGTTTTATAACCTCAGTGTATACAAAGTTTCTGGTTGATGACTGTAGTTACCAAAATTTATACCAATGCTTATACTTTTTTTTTTCTTTTTCTTTTTTTTGAGACAGAGTCTCACTGTGTCTCAGCTGGAGTGGAGTGCAGTGGCACGATCTTGGCTCACTGCAGCCTCCGTCTCCTGGGTTCAAGAGATTCTCCTGCCTCAGCCTCCCAAGTAGCTGGGATTATAGATGAGCACCAGTATGCCCAGCTAAGTTTTGTATTTTTAGTAGAGATGGGATCTCACCATGTTGGCCAGGCTGGTCTTGAACTCCTGACCTCAAATGATCCGCCTGCCTCAGCTGCCCAGAGTGCTGGGATTACAGGTGTGAACCACCACACCTGGTCCCAGTGCTCATACATTCTTTCGGCAAGTATTTATTGAGAGTCGACTATGTGTCAGGCATTAGTCTAGACATTTGGGATACATCAGAGAATAAAGTAGATAAAGGTCCCTGTTCCTGTGGATCTTATGTTTTAGAGGATGGAGGCAGATAATAAATAACAAAATAAGTAACATAATAAGTAAATTATGTAACGTGAGAAAATGAAAAAAAAATTGAGCAAGTTAAGAGAAACAGGAGTTCTGGGGAGGTGTGGTTGCAGTTTTAAATATGGTGGTCAGGGTAGGCTTCAGTGAGAAAGTGACATTCGAAGATTTGAAGGCACTGAGAGATGTGCCTGTGTACATATTTGGGGAAAGAGCATTCCAGGGAAGAGGACAACCAGTGTAAGGGCTTTAAGATGGGAGGAGCAAGGAGGCCAATGTTCTATACCTAGGGTAACATCTTTAAGCCCTCTGAAGTGTGTAGGATTCTTTATCCTGAATGACTCTAGTTTGCCAATCTTTTTAAAAAATTGTGACAAAACACATAAAAATTATCTTTCTAACCTTTTAAAAGTATACAGTTCAGTAATGTTAACTATATTCACATTGTGTAATAAATCTCTAGAAATTGTTCATCTTGCAAAACTGAAATCCTGCACCCATGGAGTAACAGTTTGGCATTTCCCCTCCCCCAAGTCCTGGGCAACCAATATTTCACTTTCTAATATCATGATTTTTGACTATTTTAGATATCTCAGATAAGTGGAATCATATAGTATTTGTCCTGTTGTATATTGCCAAGCTTTTTGAGTTCTTGTATTGCAAATTCATTCTGGCTCCAGCCTTGCTGTCATGTTGAATTTAGCTATTACTTCTCTCACGCCTGGATGTAATTCAAATCTTAACACCCCTGTTTACCAGCTGAATCAGGTGGGATGCCTTTGGCTGCAAATAAGAGAAACCCTGACTCAGACTGTTTCAAACAGTAATGTATTGCTCATCCAGTAGGAAGTTGGGGAAAGAGGAGAGTCCAGGTTTGGTTGATCCATGCATTCAGCAATGTCATCAAGGACCGAGCAGTTCTTTCCTTCTCGCTGCTCTGGAGACTTCACCCTGAGGTTGGTAGCAAGACAACTGCAGCAAGTTCAGGCATCACATTCAGTTGTGACAACATCAGGGAAGGAGACAGACCTCGTACTTTCCCATGCCTCTCCCTCAAATGTAGAAACCGTTCCTTAAAATTTCTGCAGCCAGCTTTCCTTCACACCTGATTGGCCAGAATTGGATCAACATGCTTGTGTTCAAACCAGTTACTGGTAAGGGAAATGGGATCAATAGGCAATCAGGCCTACCTCAGAATTTTGGGGGTGGGTTGGGAGTGTTGCCTCCACTGGAGCACATGTATACCTGGGAGAGGGGTGGACATCTAAATAAAACCAGATTCTGTTAGGATGGAGGAAGGATAAGAATGGATGCTGAGTAGATAGCCAGCTGTGTCCATTACATTAGCTGTGTGATCTGAAGAGAGTCATTTGACGTCTTGGATCCTCAGTTTTGTCAAGAAAATAAGAGTCATGGTGTTTTCTCATGTAAGGATTAAAGTTCATGTCCTTTGTAGGGACATGGATGAAGCTGGAAACCATCATTCTCAGCAAACTATCGCAAGGACAAAAAACCAAACACCGCATGTTCTCACTCATAGGTGGGAATTGAACAATGAGAACACATGGACACAGGAAGGGGAACATCACACACCAGGGCCTGTTGTGGGGTGGGGGGAGGGGGGAGGGATAACATTAGGAGATATACCTAATGTTAAATGACGAGTTAATGGGTGCAGCACACCAACATGGCACATGTATACATATGTAACAAATCTGCATGTTGTGCACATGTACCCTAGAACTTAAAGTATAATAAAAATAAATAAATAAAAATAAAAGCAAAAAAAAAAATAATTGAAAGAGAAAACAGTCCATGACACCTACTTTTGCTGATTTCAGTGGTTTTCAAATTGTGGTCCCTGGACCAGCATGTCAACATCAGCATCACCTGGTGTTATGGGCTGAAGGTGTAGTCCCACCTCTACCTCCCCAGTTCATATGTTGGAGTCCCCCAATATCTCAGAAGGTGACTGTGTTTGGAGATAGGGTCTTAAAAGAGGTAATTAAATTAGAATGAGGTAATTGGGGTAAGCCCTAATCCAGTATGACTGGTGTCTGTAGAAGAGGGAAATAGGACGCAGACACACACAGACAAGAGGGAAGGCTATGTGAAGACACAGGGAGAAGAGGGCCATTTACAAGCCAAGAAGAGAGGCCTCGGAAAAAAAATCAACCCTGCCAACATCTTGATCTCAGACTTTTAGCCTCCGGAACTGTGAGAAAATAAATTTTGTTATTTAAAACCACCCAGTATACAGTACTTTGTTATGGCAGTCCAAGCAAATGAATATACCTGGGAACTTGTTAGAAATGTAAAGTCTCTGGCCCCATCCCAGACATACTGAATCAGAAACTCTCAGGGTGAAGCCCAGCAAACTGTTTTAAAAGCCCAACAGGTGATTATTATGGGCAGGGCTGGCCTAGTTGTTAAGGTTATAGGAACCTGTCTAGCCTGGCTCTACCACTTACTAGCTATCACATCCTGACTCTACCACTTACTAGCTATGTGATTGGTGGGTAGTTTTAAAAACTTTTCTGTGTTTCAGCTTCCTCATCTGTAAAATGGGGATAATTCTAGTCCCTACCTCTTAGGTTGCTATGGTAATAAATAGGTCCATCTAGATAGAATTTAGAACAGTACCTGATGCGTAGTTAATGCTCAACAAGGGTGAGCTACTGTCGAGATACATAACATGTAAATGTTGAATCTGCATCTCACTTGAAATGGTTGGGTTTGGAGAAACGGATAGTCAAGCTTATTGGAATTATTGTTAAAGTGAGGACCTGAGAACTCCCTTAACTCCCTTGAGTGAAGTTGAATACTCCACCTGTTTTGGCGGCTTGACACTCTTTTTTCTTACTTCCTGGTTTATGATTGTGATGTGGGAAATATAAATTGTGCCAAGTTCTTTGGAGTTTATGCAAATAATACATGGCACACATTGTTATGTTGCTCTTCATTCCCTGTGAAGGCCTTTTGTCATCAACTTTATATCCTGTTCCCATGAGAACTTTACCTTTTTCTCCTCTTTGCATTCTGTTCTTGATGGATTGTCTAGTTTATCACTTGGACAACTTATCCTCTTTCTCTGACAGCCTATTTAAAACCACCTACTATTAAAAACAGTTTTCCATCAAGGCATCTAGATAGTCATTTCCCTTGTTTTTCATCTGCCTTTTATCTGAGGCGATGCCAATGGTTTTACAGTACGCAGCTGCCACTAGATACTAATGACATTTTCACTGGGCAAGTTGCATTTCCCAGCCTTGTTTCTGTATATTTGATTGTCTTTAGTATTTTATGTGAGTTGTAAACACACTGGGTAGAAACAACTCAATAAATGACAAACAGTAAAATGAATACTAAAAAGTTATAGTCTCATAAAATGAGAACGAGTGGGGCCCCTCTCCCAAATAGAAGTAAGCCAGGGACATCAGGATGTTATGAAAATGCTAAATGGCTGCTACTTTCCCTTAATATAGTCTTTCAGTCCCAAACTTGTTGTTTTTTGTAATTCTGCCCTGCAATATGCAATTCTCTTTCCTTCTACTCACCTTCTCAATCACTCTAGCAAACATAACCATTCATTTATCACCGAGGCCCAAAATCTTGGTGCCATTTCTTGTTGCTTTCTCTTCTCCCCACCATTCAAAAATCTATCAAAGTCTTTCTGCCTTTTCCTTTTTTAACATTATCCATCTCTAATGAATCTTAAAGACCATACTTTTTGTAATTGTGAACTGGAACATTCAAGGTAAATCATAATTCATTTGGTGAGATTATCTCCAGTCTTATTTTGTAAATCCATGTATGACTGCAGCCATATCCAGAAATTTTATAAAGGGTGTTAACCCCCAACCCCAATAAATTATAATGTAAAATACAAATATAAAGTATATCACACTTTAAAAAGAATTCTACATGTGCGAGGAGGTAGGGAAAAATCAAAATCTCAGCAATAGCAATTTCAGGACTCTCCTGGGGCTCTTGTCTGACTCTTCCTATTCATCACTCAGCCTCCTTTTTATGGTTTTCTGCTTTGCTCACTTTAACACAGTGCCCTTCAGTGTTCACTACAAGCTCACCATTGTCACTATCAGGGAGTATGTGGTTTTATCATCTACCTTTTAAGGAAAAGTTTTTACTTTTAGAAAGGCACCTTACTGATAATTATTTTCTCCAACCTAATGTCTTTTTTTCTATTTTCATTTATGGTTCTGGTTTTATGTATGTATGTATGTATGCATGTATGTATGTATGTTGAGAAGGAGTTTCACTCTGTCTTGCCCAGGCTGGAGTGCAGTGGCATGATCTAGGCTCACTGCAGCCTCTGCCTCCTGGGTTCAAGTGATTCTCCTGTTTTAGCCTCCTGAGTAGCTGGGACTACAGGTGTGTGCCCCTACTCCCGGCTAATTTTGTGTTTTTGGTAGAGATGGGGTGTCACCATGTTGGCCAGGCTGGTCTCAAACTCCTGACATCAAGTGATCCACCCGCCTTGGCCTCCCAAAGTGCTGGGATTACAGGCGTGAGCCACCACGCTCGACCTCTCCATGTGATTTTTGACCTAAAGGAACTATTTTTAATATTCTGAAGAATAATCCTATTTAAGTCACATATAAACAAGTTGTGCTAAATTAAAAACATTTAGTTCCATTTACTTCTTCATTTTAGTAGGTAACTTTGTGATGCAAACTCGGATTGGTCTTCCTATTTGAGTCACTCAATCCAAACCTTGGTAGGAAAATCTGGTTCCTCTCTCTTCCCGTAGCTGTGGTGGATCGTGTTTCCAAAGATGTCTGCCACAATATCGCTCATCCCATATGTTCTTTTGCAATGTGACTGTGTCACTCCCTCATCAAGAAGTAGAGTCTAGATTCACTCCCTTTGAATCTAGACTGGCCTATGACCTATTTTGACCAATATAATATAATCTCCAAGGCTGGGCCTTAAGAAGTCTTCAGCTTCTGTCTTCATGTCTTAGAGTGTTCTTTCTTGGAACCATCTGCCAAGCTGTGAGGAAGCTCCAGAGCCATATGACAAGACCTGATGGAGGATAACTGAGGACTTTGGCCAACAACCCCAGCTGAGCTCCAGTTGGAATGTGAATGAGGCCATTTTGAGTGTTCCAGCCTATTGGAGCCCTAGCCAACACTCTACAAACTAGAACTGCCTGATTGACCCGCAGAATCATAAGAAATGTAAACTGCTGTTTTAAGCCAGTACATTGGGAGGTGGTTTGTTATGCAGCAATACCTGACTGAAACACTGGGGCTCCTTTGCTCAGCTTGGTTTTGAGGCCTTGCACCACGTTCACCTGCTCACCTCATCACCCTCAAACCTCTGCAGGGAAATACAACTTACTTTCTGGGTTTTCACAGTCATTTTAGCTCATGGACAAAGTGGTTCACTCATCAGTGACTATGAAAGTGGCCAAATGATGATCACAATACTAATTAAGACTTTTTGAATGCTTATGATGTGCCAGGCACTGTTTTAAGTGTAATATATTTATTCATACATTTAATTTTTAGAACAACTTTTTGGCTGAGAAAGACAGGATTCACTTCCAGTGCTTTCCAAAGCAGCATTCTCTTTGTCTTAAGTCAGGGAAGGCCTTCAAATTACTTTCATTAGAAGAAGATTTAAAGGAATGTTTCTGTTTAGGGTTTTTCAGTCTAAACAATTTTTAGAACAATTTTTTGAGCTAGGCACTATTATTATTTCCATTTTATGATAAAACAACTAAGGCACAGAGAGGCAAAATAACTTGTAAAACAGTAAGTGGGTCAAATCACCATCAGAACCCAAGCATCGGCCCCCAGAGCCACATGCTTAGCTACTGTGATGTCCTGCCTCCCATAAATAATATCTCAAGCTTATTTTTATTTTTTTAAAAAACGTTTTTGAGTCAGGATCTTGCTTTGTCACACAAGCTGGAGTGCAGTGGTATGATCATGGATCTCTGTAAACTTGAACTCCTGGGCTCAAAAGATCCTCCTCCCTTGGCCTCCCAAAGTGCTGGGATTATACAGGTGAGCCACCATGCCTGGCCCTACTTGAGTTAAGAAAATCCTCTAAGGCTTTGATTGCCTCGTTCATTTATTCTAGGTTCCAGGCTGTGTCCCATGCTGGCAGTTACATTTAGAAAACTCTAATGTTAGAGAAGTCTGAATTAACTATTCCTACATTCACAGTTCAGGGTAGGATAGAGTGTTTGCTTGGTTTTCCCAGGTTTCTCATCCCTGTGTGGCCACCGCAGAGGGCAGCAGAGTGACAGGCTGAGGGTGCAGAGGGGGCAGAGAAGCAGAACTGATGGAGGGCCCAGGCAGGGCAGGGGTGGGCGGAGCTATTTGCACATCTCAGGAGTGAGAGCTAGGCGGGAGCTCAGCCCTAACTCTCACCAACCACCCACTGATGGAGAGGGCAGCTTCTTCCAATAGCAAGGGCTGTGGCTGCCAAAACTGTGCCATTTGACTTGAAGCGGAGGAAAGTCTCCTTGCTTGCTATGCAATTGCAATTGCAGCCTTAAGGCAAGCTCCCCACGGCCTTCAGATCCCTCCCAGGCAGACATCCTGGAGCTGTCACTGCAAAGCTTGTGATTTTGCTTCAAGCAGCCCTTGAAGTTCTCCTGCTTCCTATTTGCCTGATAACTGCCCCAAGGACTCTGAAGGAACATTTTAAAAGCTAATTATAAAATTTAGTAGGCCTGCATTCTTACATTGTATTAAGAGTGAGGCCTTTGGAGACAGCCCTGGGTCAGAGTTCCATCTCTGCTGCTTAATTGCTGTGTGGCTTTGGGAAAGCTGTTTTCTTCTCAGATTCTCAATGTTCTTGGCTGTAGAATGGGTTAGTGATATTTACCCTGTGTGCTTGTTGTGAGCAATAAGTAATCCTATAGTCAAAGCCCTTGGCCTCATATATACCAGGCAACCATCAGGGTAGCTATTAATTACAAACATAGAATATATTGTGGATCTATGAGACCATTAACATACCATGCAGTCTTAGCATGTAAGCAGCAAAGGGTAAAGCTGGTGTTTCATGCTCTGCTGTACAATGTTTGCAGAGGAAAAAAGACAATCACCCTGATCTATTTTAGAAAAATGCTATATTTTAATCGCTTCTCTTTTTACTTTCTTATTTTAGTTTTGTCCTTTAAATGCTTTGGAGCATTTAATAGCTCTTCTGCTTTCAACTTCTATAAATTCACAACTTCTATAAATTTAAAAAGTGTCTAAATCTTGATTAAATGCTCTTAATCTGAGGCTTATGGGTTTCCAGGGGTCTGTGAACTTTTTGAAATTGCATGCAACATTGTTTGTGTCTACACATATGTGCATTTTTGAGGGGAAATGATTCATAATTGTCAACAGACTCTCAAAGGATTCTGTAGTTGGACAAAAGATATAGAAGAGTCCTTGGACAAAAGACTGAAAAACCCTAAACAGAAACATTCTTTTAAATCTTCTTCTACAGAAAGTAATTTGAAGGCCTTCCCTGACTTAAAGTGGATGCTGCTTTGGAAAGCACTGGAAAAATGGATCCTGTCTTTCTTAGCCAAGGACTGGTCTCTTTTCTCCAATGTGTCCCTAACAGAGTGGTGAGGCTGGCTCTTCCCACCAGTACAGGTAATGTGGTAAAGATAGGACCACGTGGACGAAGAGGTATTACCTTCTCTAATTACAGCTAACAAAGACCTAGGCCTAACCTCAACTGCACCTTCTGTCTCTGGGAAGTCACTTATAGAGTAGACCTATAATTAGGATTTGGTACCGGAAACATAATTCTCAGGATGGTGAATCTCTAAATTATGTCCCCAGAGACATACCTGAGACAAAACCCTAAGGGCTGTTGGCCGTAAGAGGGTGTGTGTGGTATTCTACATTCAGTAGGGATTTATAAATGAGGATGATATCACTCAGAAGGGGCAGGTGTCCAAGAGGCCCTTTTGACTTCTGCAATGGGGCCTGACAGCCCCGTGAACTGAGCTCCATAATTTATGCCTCCGGCATAGAATCTGTGCAAAGCAGGAATGGCCGTATCAGCATTTGGGGATTTAAAGCAGCTTTTTTTTTTTTTTTTTTGAGATGAAGTTTTGCTCTTGTTGCCCAGGCTGGAGTGCAATGACACAATCTCAGCTCACTACTACCTCCACCTCCCGGGTTCAAGCGATTCTCCTGCCTCAGCCTCCTGAGTAGCTGGGATTACAGGCATGCGCCACCACGCCCAGCTAATTTTGTATTTTTAGTGGAGGCTGGTTTCTCCATGTTGGTCAGGCTGGTCTCAAACTCCCAACTTCAGGTGATCCACCCTCTTCGGCCTCCCAAAGTGCTGGGATTACAGGCGTGAGCCACCATGCCTGGCTAAAGCAGCTTTTTTTATCCACAGACCTCTTTCCCAAATTGTAAGGAGGATTCAGCTCATTGATTTCACTTTATTTTAAAAGAAAATAATTATTGATGTGTAAAGTAAATGAAAACACAGTCAAGTGGGAGTGTAATTGAAAGTAATTTAAGAGTTCAATGGTTGATGACTTTTTTCAATTATGATATCTCTTTATTAATAGGAAATTCATAAATTAAGGAGTATGCAATATAATCATTGTGGAATATATTAGGGAAACATTTTTGATCCATGCAAGTAAATTGAGATAGACTGGGTGCACCTGTTCCTAGTCATGCCCAGGGAATATGTGAAACTCTGGCTCAGGATGAACGTCTGTTGGTGTCAGCACAACAATAATGAAACAAAGTTGGCAGTAGGGTGGGGAAGTGTTTGGTGGGTGGGAGCCACCATCTGCAGCCAGCTCCCAGCACGGCTGTGTGTTCGGATACCCATCAACCAGGAAAGGGAGTCTAAGGCCTCCAGATGATTTTCCCCTTTCACAAAACTGTTGTAAAATGAAATACAAATCCTTCCTGAATGTTCCTAGCTTTTCTTCCTTTCGGAAGTTTTCAGTCAATGGGAAACAAAGCCTTATTCAAAGGATTAAAGCCATAGTCATTCTATTGTTTGGGGCTTCAATAATGTGGCTTTCCTTCCACAGACAGAATTTTCAATTCACAAATCATCTGAAAAACAGGAAATTTTGGAGAAACATGCTTATGATAACAAACAAGGGATCTATCGTGTGGTATAGAAGTTTACACAAAGAGGCATCTGATTTTAAGTTTTTGTTTTTTTTTTTTTTTTTTTTTTTACCGTTCTGGGCTTCTGGCTGCATTCTAGGAAGATCATTCCTTAAAAGAAATAGCCATATGGCTTATAAGGTAAGACTACTCAGTTCCCATCCCAACCCCCAGAAGAGAATGGAGGAAGGGAAGCAGACTCTGGCTATATTTTTATGGCTGCACTCCAGGCAGTACTGCAGAGGCAACAGGCAGGCTCTGAAATGCCTTCTTCCCCCTGCTATCCTCAGGCCTGTGTTTCTCTCTTACTCCACCCAAGTCCTGGGCCCTTACATGGCAGAGGGAGGGAGAAGGGCCAGCAACATTGGTTAACAGGAATAGAGAATGTTCGAGGAAGGCAGTGGCAGGCAATAGCCATAGAGAGTCACAGAAGGTTAAAGAGGTTGTGGAAACAGTCATTTGTTTTTCAAGCAGTTCCGGTGGGGTTTGAGAAAGCAGCAGCACTCAACTGTGAGCAGACAAACTCACTTTGGAAACCTATGCAGCCACTTCTAAGTAAACTACCAAGAGAATTATTATTTTATTTAGGTTCCTCATTTCAGTGACAATCTTTTAATCCTTTGAACTGTATGCTGAAAAGGACATTATAGATCCTCCTGAAAGATAATTTTTAGTGTCCACGGTTCCCTCAATATGATGATTTTTTTCCTTGGTCCCTATCTTTCACCATTCCCTTTACCTTTTATCCATGCTTTTCCCTGATTGAAGGAAGACAGAGTCTATTTGCTTCCTAGCATCTTCTTCTATGGCTCTTGCTACTGAAAGTGTGATCTAGATTCCAGCAGCAGAACAGCAGCATTTTGCTTCTGAGAAGTGCAGAATCTCAGGCACCATCCTATGACTACTGAATCAGAATCAGCATTTTAACAAGATCCTTGGTGATTTGCATGCATGTTAGTTTGGGAAGGGCTGATCTGTACAGATCTGCCCTATAGGCCTGACTCATAACCCACACTCCCCAAAACCTGCAAGATCCTACATTTCTGGCCCTGTATACTTCTCTAGTCTCATCCCATGTCACTCTACCTCTCATTCACTAGTTCCAGCCCCACTAGTCTTTCTCGTTCTGGCCTCCAAGCCTTTGTACTTGCTGTTCTCTCTGCCTGGAGTGCTCTTGTCCCATCTAGTATGGCTGACTCTTTTATTTCAGCTTAACTGTTACTTCTGGCTGTGAGCGGTGGCTCACACTTGCAATCCCAGCACTTTGGGAGGCCGAGGTGGGCAGATCACTTGAGCCCAGGAGTTTGAGACCAGCCTGGGCAACATGGCAAAACCCCATCTCTACAGAAAATACAAAAATTAGTCAGGTGTGGTGGCACACACCTGTGGTCCCAGCTGCTCAGGAGGCTTGAGCCTGGAAGGCTGAGGTTGCAGTGAGCCAAAATTACACCACTGTACTCCAGCCTGGGCAACAGAGCAAGACCCTGTCTCAAAAAAAAAAAAAAATTTACTTCCTTTGAGGATGCTTTCCTGACCCCTCTATATGAAGAACTACCTCCAACCCAGCTACTCTCTATTCCATTACCCTGTTTTATATTTTTATGGCACTTACTGTTATCTGAAGTAATTTTATTCATTCATTTTTGGGTCTATTTTATTCAGGATTGTGTGTCCAGTGTTCAGAAGAGTGCCTGGCACATCAAAAGTGCTGAGTTAATGTTTATTGGGTAAATGAATACAGTTTTGGGAATCATGAACATTGAGAACCTAGGCCCAGACAATTCTAAGGTAAAATATGTCACCCTCTGAACCAACCCGACAGCTTTCAGCTGATTGACCTAAGACCAGTGCTTTTGGGTGCCCGGATGAGCATATCAAAGCCTGGTCCCCTGAGCAGTTGCATCAATATCTCCTAGGAACTTGATAGAAAGGCAAATTCTTGGGCCTTACCACAGACCTACTGAATCAGAAATCTTGGCAATAGGGTTCACCATTCTATGTTTTAAGGAGCCTGCCAGGTAATTCTGATGCACTGCCCCACACAATACCAACATCTTACCAGTGTGGAGAACCCACAGTGTTCAAAGCTCTCTTACATATATCGCTGTTGTTCTGGACTTCATAAAAGCCCTGAGAATAGGCATGGCAGGTGTCATTATTTCCCCTTTACAGATGAAGAAATTGAGCCCTAGGAAATTATTCCATTTGTGTTGGTAATACTTGCTTTATCAGAATCACTTGGAACGCTTGTTAAAATTGCAGATACCTGGGCTCTACCCTAGACCTACTGAATCAGAATCATTGGGGCTGGGGCTCTGGAATCTAGATGAAAAAAAAAAGAAGCTCCTAGGACATTCTAAAGCTAAAAGTTTGAGAACCAATTGCAACAGGAAACAGTGGAATAGATATCAGAGCTTATAGCCCCTCATTCCTAAGGCATGCTCTTAGAGAGTCTTGAGAAGAGTAAGTAATGATAAAGAATGATATTGATCTTTAGTATCTTTTAGTGAAAATAGTTAAAACAAACTGGCAGTAATTCTTTCACCTTTATTAGACCCTAACCCTACTTGCTACTGTTGTAAACCAGGGAGAATCAAACTCCATGACAATGGACTGTTTCTTTGTATATAATTTAGTTGTGTATAGAACCAACTAACTGGACATCAACTAAGGGGTGGCAGGTTTTCCTGATTAGTTTGTGATACAGGAATTTTTATTTATTATTAAAAAAAATTTTTTTTTGAGACAGAGCCTCACTCTGTTGCCCAGGCTGGAGTGCGATGGCACCATCTTGGCTCACTGCATCCTCACCCACTGGGGGCGATCTTCCCACCTCAGCCTCCTGAGTAGCTAGAACTACAGGAGTGCACCACCACACCCGGCTAATTTTTTTTTTTTTTTTTGAGATGGAGTCTCACTCTTGTCACCCAGGCTGCAGTGCAATGGTGCGATCTCGGCTCACTGCGACCTCTGCCTCCCGGGTTCAAGTGATTCTTCTGCCTCAGCCTCCCAAGTAGCTGGGATTACAGGTACGTGCCACCATGCCAGGCTAATTTTTGTATTTTTAGTAGAGATGGGATTTCACCATGTTGGCCAGGCTTGTCTCAAACTCCTGACCTCAGGTGATCCACCTGCCTCAGCCTCCCAAAGTGCTGGGATTATGGGTGCGAGCCACCATGCCCAGTCCTGGCTAATTTTTAAAAAACATTTTTTTGTAGAGACTGAGTCTTGCTACGTTGCCCAGGCTGGTCTCAAACTCCTGGGCTCAAGGGGTCCACTTGCCTTGGCCTCCCAAAGTGCTGGAATTACAGGCATGAGCCACTGTGCCCGGCCTAAAAACAGTAACTTTTAAAAATACTTCTCCAAATGGGCAAGTAACTCCCAAATCTCTTCTCCTGCCCCAGCTTCCCTGGCTCCAGGCCCATACATTGAACTGCATATGGAACAGTTCTCTTCTAGATGACCTGCGGGCATCTTCATCTTAGTATGTCCAAATTCATTACTTTCTTTCCCACCCCATCCATTCTTCTTCCTGGCTACACTCTATCAGCGAATGACTACATATATCACCCACTGTGTCATCTTAGCCAGGAATCCAGGCAGTTTCTGGATTCCTTCCATCCTGTCTCTGGATAGCTAACCAGTCATTTCATTGTACTCCTTAGATTGCTCTCAAATCACCACCCCTTCCTTCATCTCTACTCAACTCCAGTTCAAGCCCTCATCATCTCTTGCTTGGGTTGTCATGATGGCTTCCAAAATGGTCCCTTTGTCGGTGCTTCTAGTTGACCTCATTTCTCCTCTTCCTTCCTTTTGGCTCTATGCTTCAGTGCTGTCAAATTGCTTTCACTTTTTTAAAAAAGAGTTTTCCATTTTAATTTCTGAGACACATGACACATCTTTGTCAATGTTAGGTCTGGGAAAGTTTCTATTAACTTCACAAGACAGAAAGGACCCTTCTCTCCAGCAGTGAAAAATTCAAAAGAAGAGAGCTTCAGGGAGTTCAGTTGCTACCCAGCAGAAGCTTCAATTTCTAACAAAACTGTGAAGTTTCAAATAATGAAGGGGAACTTCACCCCAAGATGGTACTCACTTAGGAACATTATTTTCCTTCAGCTTTCCCTTGAAATATTCAACAGCTTTTTTTTTTTTCGAGACAGGGTCTTGCTCTGTTGCCCAGGCTGGAGGGCAGTGGCATGATCTTGGCTCACTGCAACCTCTGCCTCCCAGGTTCAAGCGATTCTCCTGCCTCAGCCTCCCTAGTAGCTGGGACTACAGGCATGCACCACCACGCATGGCTAATTTTTGTATTTTTAGTAGAGACAGAGTTTCACCATGTTAGCCAGGCTGGTCTCGAACTCCTGACCTCAGGTGATCTGCCTGTCTGGGCCTCTCAAAGTGCTGGGATTACAGGTGTGAGCCACCGCGCCTGGCCTCAACAACTTTCTTCTCCCCATTAGGATTACCTCCATTGTGGGCTCTTTTCGAGGGAGGAGGCACTGCATTCTCACTCCCAGTCTAAAGCTGCTTTCCCTTCTCGGTGATGTTTTCTGCTTCCATGCCTTTGTACATGCTGTGTCTGTTCTATTGATTTTCCTTTTCCCATCTCCTGTGTATGGCAAACTCCCACTTGTTTTTCATGATTCTGCTCAAGTGTTCTTTCCTGTATGAAGCCCAAGCTGTCCACTTGGAGAGACATCTGGCCAGCCCCCCGTTGTTCCAGCCATCCCCAGTTCAGGCATCAGACATGTGGTGAAGAAGCCATCCTAGATGCCCAGCCCCAGCTACCATCTGATGCAACCACACTGCTCACCCCGAGCAAGAACTGCCTGCAGGAGCCTAGTATTATCCTCTCTCACAGAACCATGGCAGGGAATAATAAATTGTTGTTTGAAGCCACTCTGTTTTGTGGTGGTTTGTTAGGCGGCAATAGGAAACTAGAACACCATAGCTTTTTTTTTTTTTTTTTTTTTTAGAAAATAACTTGATATTCATAAGCACAGCTTTTTAAGCTGCTTTTATTATTTTTCCCTTTATACGAGTGCATTCTGCAACATAAGGAGATTTCTATCTCAGCCCTGAACAAGATTTATGATCTTGATCAAGTCTCTTTATAATAATGTCACAGAACTTTACTTGCTTCAATTCTAATATGAAGGATTGAACTAGTTAATCACTAAGGTCCACTCTAGTTCCAAAATTGTGGCATTCTCTTCTAACTATCAGGGAAAAATTGACTTATTCTTTGTTAAGTTGTAGCTTGCAGTAAAGTTTTTTGGGCATGAGAATTTTCAGCAAGGTGGTGAGTGCCAGGAAAGTGCTGACTCAGCACAATGCTGTCTGTTAGCCAGGAACAAAAATGAGGAGCAACCATAAATTTAATCCTTTAGCTCCTTCTCCCTGCAAAATTCAGAAGATGTTTTATCTGTAACAAAAGACTTGAAAGAGGATTCTCACTTTTTCCCTTAAAAGTTGTTACTCAAGTCTGTAGGTAACTTCAGGATTTTTGACAGAAGATTCAGATTTGCATAGTTGACTCAGTCTCCGGAAGATCCCTACACTCAAATTCTAAGTTTAGGGCAAGTGAACTGAGTGATTCCTAGAGGAAATAAACTCTCGCCTGAGAACAACAGCTGAAATAAAATCCCATAAGCCAGGAAAACAGCCACACAATTACAGTAACAGGTGGTCAGTTTCAAAACAAATTTCAAGGTCTGACTCGCCTGGCACCTGCTCTAGAACCACAGACAGCAGTTTGACACTGTCTGGGTCCAAGTTAGGTCATCCCTGCCACACCATAAGGAAGATTAACTACCTTTATTAGCAGAGCTAAGTCATGGTAGGTTAGAGGACTGCTTCTCTGTGGTAGTAACCCCTGTGTTCCCTGTCTGAGAAGAGGGAATAAGAGAGAATTTGGGAACTGGACAGGACCTTGCAGATTAACCATTAGGTTGGTGCAGAAGTAATTGCAGTTTTTGTCCTTAAAAGTAATGGCAAAGTGAAGCCGAGGGGAGCTAAGCAGAGATTTGCTCAGAATCACATGACCTGTAGAAGCAGAACATCCCCACCCCCATTTTATTGTGAAAAAATTCAAACACACAGCAAAGTTGAAAGGATTTTTACAAGACACAGCTGTATATGCATTTCCTGGATTCTACTGTTAATATTTTATTAAACTTGTTTATTTTCTAACTATCCCTCTATCCATCCTTCTATCACCTTATTTCCTGGATGCCTTTCGAAGTGAATTGCAGACATCTGTACTCCTTCCCCTAAAGCAGCATAGTGTTTTATCATCATTTAATAATTTAATACCTCAATTTTGTATACATTATGGAACCAGGAAACATTATAAGAAATCACTGGACCCCAAAAATGTTAATTAGCCTTGGCTAGCCTGAAAGAGAACACAATTTCCTAAGGTCCTAACTTTAAGGCACTTGAGGATTCTTACTAAGGGCAAATTCCTGAGATGACAGAAATACTAGTCAACACACATCAATGCCTATGTTTTTCCCTCCTCCTGGAATCCTGTGCTTTCCCCTTCCTGCTCCACCTGTTGAAATCCTCTCTTCATTCGTCCAAGAATGATCTCAGATGTCTGCAAGGAACATAAACCACTGTTACACACGTATTGTTTTAAGGAAAAAAGTTACTGAAGAAGTCTGAACTGTCACCTCCTTCCCAATCCCTTTCCTAAACCCCGAGTTTTAACTTTTCTCATTTTAATGCCCATAAACTTTCATTGCTATTTTTCCTCCCTCATTCTACCTTGTTGCAGTTTAGTGTTTATTTGTTTGTTTATCACGACTACTGCTCCTCCTCCTAATAATACTTATGGTTAATTTCTTTTTAAGGGACTATATCTTAAGACTATGTGTCTTCTGCAGTTCTTTGCATAGAGTCAACGTTGAAGGACAAGCAACTTCAAATTTCCAAGCAACAAAATTATGTTCGGGTGGTTTTCTGAAAGCGAGATCTTAAGAACCACCTGTATCAGAATCCCATGAAGAGCTTGTTTAGTGTGCAAATTTACAGATTGTCCCCCCTCAGAAATGCTCATTTAGGAGTTCCTGTCCTTTGCGGGGACATGGATGAAGCTGGAAACCATCATTCTCAGCAAACTAACACAGGAACAGAAAACCAAACACTGCATGTTCTCACTCAAAAGTGGGAGTTGAACAATGAGAACACATGGACACAGGGAGGGGAACGTCACACACCAGGGCCTGTCGGGGGTGGGAGGTAAGGGGAGGGAGAGGATTAGGACAAATACCTAATGCATGTGGGGCTTAAAACCTAGATGATGGGTTGATAGGTGCAGCAAACCACCATGGACATGTATACCTATGTAACAAACTTGCATGTTCAGTACATGTATCCCAGAACTTAAAGTAAAATATAAAACAATAATAAAAAGGAAATGCTCATTCAGGAGTTTTGGGGTGGGGGTTCAGGAGGCTGCAGCCTTAACAATTACCTCTGGTGATTTTGACACAGGTAGCACAGCAGCCAAACTTGGAGAGATTTGTTCACAGCACTGCATCACCAACCTTACTTTCTGTTAGGCCTTTAATCACTTTTTTTTTTTTTTTTTTTTTTTTTTTCTGAGACAGGGTCTTGCTCTATCACCCAGGCTGGAGTACAGTGGCACGATCTTGGCTCACTGCAATCTCTGTATCCTGGGTTCAAGCAATCCTCTCTGCCTTGGCCTCCTGAGTAGCTGGGACCACAGACATGCTCCATTATGCCCAACTAATTAAAAACATTTTTTTTAGAGGCAGGCTGGTCTCGAACTCCTGAGCTCAAGCAATCTGCCTGCCTCGGCCTCCCAAAGTGCTGGGATTACAGGTGTGAGCCACTGCGCCCGGCCTTTTAATCACTTTTAAACCAGCAACCCTAATCTGCCTGTCCCTTGAATGGATCCGGATAAAGGTGTGGCAAACAAGCCTCCTGTCACAGTGGGGTGTGACAGTCACGGCATCACCCCTTCACCACATCATGTGCTGCCAGTCATCACTTCTGCTGTTGCCACCAACCCTTGCGTTTCCCTTTGTCACTTCCCCCTTGCCACCACCAACGGCCACTGTCCCTCTGCTCCTCACCCTCCATAGCTGAGTCAGATCCAGCATTGGGCACTTGAGGAAGAAGCCACTGTGGAAGGCGGGATGAGGGTGTTCCCATTCTACATTCACAAGCCCACAGCTTGGAGAAGAAGCACACCTAATTCTGACCCTGGCTTCTGAAGAAGCTCTGCAAACCTGGCTAGAAAGTTGGGCCTGTGGTTTGAGGTTCCTGCTGCCTTTGATTTTACAATGAGTGGAAATTGAGGTTGAGTAACAGGTCTCTTGCCCAAGTATTAAGGGCCACCACGAAGCATACAGCAATGAAGGCAGGAGCTGATGACATGTGGTTGGTTCCCCCCTCTAGGCCAAGTATCTTTGTATAGGGAAGGCCGACATGGCCATCTTCACGGTTTGGTATTAGTGGAGTGTCTTATACATACTGAAATTTGTTTTTGTTTTCAGGTGCTAAAAGGATAATACCAAGGAAAACTATGGGTGGGGGCAGTGAATGGCCAGCATGCCTATAATCCCAGCACTTGAAGCCAGGAGTTCGAGACCAGCCTGGGAAACAAAGCAAGACCCTGTGTCTAAAAAAATTTTTTTAAAAATAAGCTGGGCATGGTGGCACGTGCCTATAGTCCCAGCTACTCAGCTACTCGGGAGACCAAGGTGGGTGGATAGCTTGAGCCTAGGAATTTGGGGCTGCAGTGAGCTATGATTGCACCACTGCGCTCCAGCGTGAGTGACAGAGTGAGATCCTGTCTCTTTAAAAGAAAAAACTATGATTCAAAGTGTTGTTTTATGAAGCATAACCTGCTTTATGTTTTGAGTTTAATATAACTTGAAATCAGTTTCTCTAAGACAGTGCCAGCCTTGCCATTTTTCAGTTCAACATAGATTTCTCTATTACAGTGGTTCCCAAACTTTAGGAGGCATCAAAGTCATCTGGAGGGCACAAAAACACAAATTTATGGATGTCACCCACAGTTCCTAATTCTCTCTCTCTCTCTCTTTTTTTTTTGAGATGGAGTCTTGCTCTGTTGCCCAGGCTGGAGCACAGTGGTGTGATTTCGGCTCACTTCAACCTCCGCCTCCTGGGTTCAAGTGCTTCTCCTGCCTCAGCCTCCCGAGTAGCTGGGATTACAGGCTTGCGCCACCACACCAGGCTAATTTTTGTATTTTAGTAGATATGGGGTTTCATCATGTTGTTCAGGTTGGTCTTGAACCCCTGACCTCAAGTGATCCACCCACCTCGGCCTCCCAAAGCCCTGGGATTACAGGCGTGAGCCACCATGCCTGGCCTGTTTCTGATTCTCTAGGTCTGGAAAGGGGCCCAATAATTTTCACTTCTAACAAGTGGCAGGATGCTGCTGCTGCTGCTGGTCCAGGGACCACACTTTGAGAAGTATGGTACTGTGTGGTACTTACCGGACCATTTACCATACTTCCTGCCTGCCTAATTGTGTCACAATATAGCCGTGCTTCTCAGGCCTAGCAATTCATTAGAATTACCTGTGAAGCTTTTAAAATGTAAGGTTTGGATGGAATGCTCAGACCCTACCTTAGACCCAATTAAGCCCACAGCTTTGAGGGTGAGGCTTGGGTATTGTTCAGAAAGATCCCCAGGTGATTCTAATGGATACCGAGGGTTGAGAACCACAGGCATATAGCAA
Organism: Homo sapiens; assembly: GCF_000001405.40. Lineage (NCBI taxonomy): Eukaryota > Metazoa > Chordata > Mammalia > Primates > Hominidae > Homo > Homo sapiens. The sequence continues at coordinate 136,010,078 of NC_000002.12, forward strand.
ACTCTGGCCCTATTCTACCTTAACATATGATTCTCATTTGACAAATACATATTGACCACCTAATATATGTCTTGAAAATGATAAAGTATGTAAGAAATGGTCCCTGACCTCAAGCAGAGATACATCATATGCCCAAATATTTAAACAAAAAGCTGGTGTGTGGGGTTTGTGCCAATTAGAGGACTAAACCATTACTGAAAACAGAAGGCTGGATGATTCAGGGTAAATCAATGCTGCACTTGATCCTCACATTGTTTGAGATAAGTTATGTATGCCTCTGCTGCACATGAAACGTATCCCTTTGGTGGGGGAAATTGCTCATTTATTGGTTCGTTGAGGATGTTCCAACTGATTCACCATGGTAGGTGTGATTGAACCATGGAAATGATGGAACATTAAATCAATAGCTAGTCAGCTGGTGACTATTCCTTGGCTAAGTATGCTATTAAGGTTCTGTTTCAGAAGTCCCTGTGCTCAATGGAGGTGAACCTTTCCAGTGGAGAAATACAACATGAATTATGTTTAGAAAATGCTTCAATCTGGGGTTTTAAATAAACAGTCCTTAAATATGTATAAAAATCTGAAATTATTTTAGAATCGAAGGGAAAAAACAACCGGGTCCAAAAACCAAACCATATTTAGCTTAAAAACACGTTCTTATTTGCATCCACTAGAATACAATATAATTTAATGATTCAATGACAGCTGGCCCATGAAGGGCAGAGTTTCTAGAAAGGAGGAAATACCCTCTTTGGGTGTTACTTAGGTATTAAGTGTATTATTTAATTCATTGTTTTATTTAATTTGGTTATATCTTTTTTTTTTGAGATTTTGTTTTCATGTTGGGTGGGTAGTTTTTCTAAGAATAAGAAATCCCAATGACAACAAAATGTCATTGTTTTTAAGAGAAGGAGATAAATACATTTTAAACTGTTATATTTATTTATTTTCAAAAAATGCTGGAGGCATCATGTTAGCAATTGCAGGGGATAACATGAATATGACAAAGCTGCTCTCAAAAAACTTACCACTTTGTAGAAGGGAAAGCTAAGTGCCTATTCCAAGCAAAATATGATATGATACATGCCTTTAGAGAGGAGTAAATTTTAATGAGGCTTCAAAGAGCTGGAAGAAGAGGTCAAGGTTCAAAGAGCCTAAGATAAGGCACAGAACTGGGGTTCTGGTACAATGCATTACAGCATGGCCAATTTTCAAAGGCCAGCTGTTCCCAGTCAAACGAAGATGAAGCTGAGGGCAGGTGCAATCAATGGGAAAATCAGGCCACCCTCTCCTATTTTCCCATAGATGCAGTTTCATGATCAATAGTTTTATAATCTCATTTTGGGTAGCAAAATGAAAATGAATCTGAAGCATTCTTTCTAGTTTATTTCACACTAATAAAATCCAACCTGAAGGATTTTATATGTTGGCTCTATGGCCGTTAGTATTTGATTAAGGTGTTTAGCCTCATTAGTAATCAAAGGAATGAAAACTAGAATAAAAATTCAGTCATTGTTTTTGGTTTATCAAATTGATAAAGACTTAAAATGGCCACCAAGCATTGGGGAGGTTAGGAGTGATAGGCTCTCTCCTTCTATCTATGGAATATTCCTTGGCTCACCATGGCTGGAGAACAATCCACATCCAATAGCTCATCAAGTCTACTTCCAGGAATGTATTCCAGAGGAATAGTATGGACCTATGCAAAAACTTGTGTACAAAATTATTCCTCAGAGCTTTGCTTATTATTGGGAAGAATGAGTAAAGAAATAAATGCCCGGCCAGGCGCGGTGGCTCATGCCTGTAATCTCAGCACTTTGGGAGCCAAGGCGGGTAGATCACCTGAAGTCAGGAGTTCGAGACCAGACTGGCCAACATGGTGAAACCCCTTCTCTACTAAAAATACAAAAATTAGCTGGGCGTGGTGGCAGGAATCTGTAATCCCAGCTACTCAGGAGGCTGAGGCAGGAGAATCTCTTGAACCTGGGAGGTGGAAGTTGCAGTGGGCCGAGATTGTGTCATTGCACTGCAGCCTGGGTGACAAGAGCGAAACTTCGTCTAAAAAAAAAAGAAAAAAAAAAAAGAAAGAAAGAAATGCCCCGAAACAGGTTAATAAATTTAAAAGTATTATGCCAGGAAGGGAACAGTAGCAGTCCACTATGCCTAGAAACTAAGCCTAGTAACTTAGAAAAAAAAATCTTCCAAGTGTTTTAGGTAAGTTAGTATTAATAATTCTACCCAAGGTCAATCCCCTCCCCTCCATTTCCTCCTCTTCAGATATTCTGTGCTTCTGCCAAATAGGACAACTTGCTATTTGTGTCCTGAACTGACCTTATACACTTTCTTGCCTCTCTGCCTTTGCTCGTGCTTTCCCACTGTCTCAATGGCTTTCCTTAATCTCTGAGGTCTCACCTCTTCAAGACCCAATTGTGTAAGCCACCTTACATAATGTTATTATGATGTCCCCCTTCCTCATCCAGCCAGAAGGATTTACTTCCTTCTCTGTATGCTCATAGCAATTTGTTCATTTTCTATTCTTCTCACCCTTGTCCTGTGTTAGAGTTACCGAAATATATGTATATGTGTGTGTATATATTTTTTGTCTTGTTTTGTTCCTGTTAGATTTTGAACAACTTGAGGGCAGGGGCCAATCTTGTTCAGATTTATACCCCCCAGAGTTATAAAGCATGCTGTGAAAATGATTGTTGACTGAATAAGCGAGTGAGTGAATGCAAAAGTACACTTGGAGCCAAATGCTTATATTCTCTGCAGACATGGAATAAACTTGACAAGTGCTAAAGATGCTCTTTGATTTTTGTGTGGCATGAGACCTCAGGCTGAAACTTCTCATCTGAGCCATTGAAGGGAGCCTCTCATCTCTCCACCGAGAGGGGAGACCAGAATGGTAAGCCAAACTGCAGTCTTTCCCACTCTCAACCCCTGTCACCCCAATACTTAGTGGAAGAGGGATAAATTAGAGTTTTTACCAAGGGAGAACTGATGAAGACATTGCAACGAGGTAAGCGCTTATGGTCAAGTTATCAGCTCTTTTACTGCCTCAACGACACACATTTGTCCACAAAATGAAGAGATGAGGACTATCCATATAGTTGAGGGGCAAAATAAAAATAGAAACAAAGTGTTCTCAGTGGAGAAAAAGGAATTTGAAAGCATTTTAATGACGCACATTGATTTCTACCCTCCCAGATTCAATATACAGCAAAAACTCCATTTATGTTGATGGTGCAAATGCCTTGAGACTGTCAATGAGGAAGTTAAGCTGAACAGCCAAACTACTGTTCAGAATAGTCAAGCCTAAGTGTTGCTAAGGAATTTTCTGTCCCCACTGAGTACAACTCATACCTACATGTCCTATTATACTTCACAATACACCTGCTGGCTTTCTCGGCCCTTCAGGAAATACCTTTGCTTCCTGAAGAATGCAACAAACAACCCAAAACACCACCACAGCCAGCCAGCTGACACCAAACTGTGAACTGTTGTCCCCTCTCTGACAGGGTTAGATACTTGAGTGATTAATATTTGCAGATAGTGCTAAGGCCAAGTTCAAAAAAGAAAGTCATATATATATATATATATATATATATATATATATATATATATACACACACACACACACACATATATATACACATATATATATGTAGAGTCTATGTAGTATGGATTCTTCACTGTATGTATGTATAAATTCTTATATGCATGTATTATATTGGCAAAAAGGAGATCATTACTTTTTTTTTTAAAGTTCCCTAGTGGGATAAAATTAAACCTCACTGATATGAATACTTTTTGCAGTAAACAACAACAAAAACTTCTTTTTACCAAGGTTCCTCTCCTGCCAAGTAGCAGTGATTTACAGACCCAACATGTGAGTGAATGGGAAATACTATATTTCCAGACTTGGGTAATGAATAACCTCTGAGGGCTTGAACTTTTCTCCGTTCCCACAGACTGTATCCACAGAGCGGTGCTCTTGCCTTGAAAGGAAGGATTTGCCCCGGTTTGGAAGGAAGTGGAATAAATAGAACTGGAAATGGCAAGGTCACCTTTAATATCATATGAACTGCCTATTAACAAGCTTCACAATTGCTTTGTTTCTTCCTCCTCCCGTGCTATAAACAGGCTCAGGCAGAGCAAACTCTTGGAGCACACACAGTGTGGGGAGGAAGCTCTCAGAGCAGCAAGGAAGGAGAGGCTGCAGGCTCAACAGGGCCCATCAAGCATACCAGGGTTACAATTGTGTTATGGTGTGGTGGCCAGGAGGGAAAAATGCTTGTTTTTCAAGGAAGGAACTATATTGTCCCAAATTCCTGTGTATAAAATATAGGACAAACAAGTTACAGTGGGAATATTTAATTGGAGCATGTGGAATAGATGGAATAATTGCCTTTCACTTGGCTTTTCCCTGCTCTAAGTAGTATCACATGGTGGTTACATAAAGACAAAAAAGTTATTTTAAGAACCCTTCTCCTTAGGACCCTGTTTAGTTGGTATTCCAAACACACAGAGCAAGCTCTTCACTGGCATTCTGCTTGACAGATTTTTCTTTCTTTCCAGGCTCCTTCAGGCACATTCTGTTGGGCTTCCCTCTACCTCCCCACTCTGCTGCTTCCCCGCTCTTTTTGAATTTCTCCCTGTTGAGGAGAGGGAAGACCAGCTAGGAGGTATGGAAAAGGCACTCACGAGGTTTGGAGGACAAAGGGTTAGGCAACAGGCAGGTCTGGAATTTCAGTGCCCTGGCTTTCAGGAATTCTTAGATAGTCCAATATATAAATCATCTTGGAAGATCTTTTGGGAGCAGCACTGTCATTAAAAAACAAACAAATAAAAAACACCAGGCTGGGCCTGGTGGCTCACACCTGTAACCTCAGCACTTTGGGAGGCCAAGGTGGGAGGATTGTGAGAGCCCCAGAGTTGGAGACCAGTCTAGGCAATAAGGCAAGACCCGTCTCTACAAAAAATAAAAATTAGCTTGGCATGGTGGCACATACCTGTGGTCCCAGCTACTCAGGAGGTGGAGGCAGGAGGATTGCTTGAGCCCAGGAGGTTGAGGCTGCAGTGAGCCATGTTCACACCACTGCACTCCAGCCTGGGTGACAGAGCAAGAGCCTGACTCAAAAAAAAAAAGAAAAAGCTCCGTCTCTACTAAAAACACAAAAAGTAACTGGGCTTGGTGGTACACACCTGTAATCCCAGCTACTCAGAAGGCTGAGGCATGAGAATCACTTGAGCCTGGGAGGCGGAGGTTGCAGTGAGCCAAGATTGCACCACTGCACGCCAGCCTGGCCAACACAATGACTCTGTCTCAAAAAAAAAAAAAAAAAAGCATCACTAAGCTTCGAGTCAAAGAGAAATAATCTCATATGGCTTAAGTGCGGATAATCAAAGGTAACATAAACCAAACAAAACTGAGTTGGTATTTGTGAATTGTTATTTATCCTTCTCTATGGATTCTGCACATTCAGTCAAGGTGTTTAGGAAAACCTCCTCCCTACCATTTTGAAAGTGTCATAGAGCTATGAACTGTTGTAATTTCAAAAGTGCAATTAAAAAGGTGTAAGAAAGATACAGTGAGTCTCTAAGGGGTAGAAAGAAAACCCTAAAGGGTAGTTTCTATCAAATATAAATTTTGGCTACTTCTTTACAATTCTAGGATGATGTGAGTTCTCATCATTGCAGATAATGGGTCAGAGCTGAGCTGTTGTGGGAACTGCTAGATGGAGCTAGAGTTGTCATGTGGCCAACTATTTTGATCTGTGGCTAACATGTAATATCAGGAGATTCTGATCTCTGTCTGGTAGATGTGTTAAATTAAGTGTCTGGGGAGTAGACATTGAGGCATCAGTCTAGAAATTCAAACAGATGTGCTCTACTAAAATGCTATGCTAGAATGAACCTGACCAAGCTAATCATCCTCTAAAGTGCACTACAATAGACAGAAGACATTTTCTCCTGGACTGTACAAGGGATAGGGTCGGGGAGGATGAGCTCTTTCCTTTGTCCTCTGACCACCTAGAACAGCATAGCTAATTTGCTTTGTCTAGCAATAAGAAATCTCACAATATATTTAGCAGCAAGGTTGAGTACACACATGTGCACACATACATGCACTCACATTCATTTCATACCTTAACATTTTTTTTCACCTTTTAAAAAATATGAAAGCAGAGGATCTGGATTGAGAAACTTGCCATGCTTTTCTCTCAGATGTTCTCTTTTCTCTGAAGACAGCAGGACCTCATCCAAAGGTATCAGCTATGCAGTTGTGCTGTTATTTCTTTTCAGGTGACAAAATAGCAAAATGTTCTCCCATGATGATGAAACTCAGCTTTATTTTATTTTTTTCTTTTCCCTTGTAGCTCTGTTTCTGGCAGGAATCTGACACCACTTACTCCTTGGGTAGAAACTCCCCCAAGTCTGAACTATGTGATTGCCTGAGCCCTGCTTCTTGTTCATTAAGACTGCTCCTCTGAAACGGAATTGATGAATTTTTAGTGGCTATTAGAAGCATTTGGGATCCATAGGCATCAGGGTTTGATGCATGGCCCTCATCTCTGTGGGCTCCTGTGCAATGATTCTCATCTGTCTTAGTTAGAAAGTGAATTAATCTTGACCTTGGCCTCAGGGGTGTGGTTCTCTGCCCTCTTACACATCTTCAATTCGCTTCTTTATCAGAAGCACTTGTTTTAGGCCCAGGCTCCCCCAATTTTAATGACATTTAGACATTTGTCTTTAAGTTACATTGCTTTGATTTTAATCAAAATCTATATTTCTAGTATTATATGTTTCCAGAAAGTTCTCATTCTGGATTGTAATTTAATTACATGGATCATTAAAGCTTTGAAGGATGCTAATGGGCAGAAAAAAGAGACTTAACAAAACGAAAGTTATTATTAGGAATTACAAATCACTTAACATTTCAACATCACTCGTCGGATGTGGGCATTTTGTTGAAAGAGACCTTGTTTTGAACAGTGACAGTGCAGAAGACCTATGGAAGAAACAAGCTTCCAACTTGATTTCTATTGTTATGCATGCATAGCAAATTATTAATTCTATTCTAATAGGGTAATAGATTTAGAAATACTATTAGCAGAAAACTTGATGTATTAGGCAATACTACATACCACATTAGTCTAACCGCTCAACTGTAATTTTTCATCCATACTTTCTTGGGATGTAAATAAAATTGATATTATACAATGAAAATAAAATTGCCCACTAGTCTTGCTTATTCTCTTGGTGGGCTGAAGAGTTAAACTGTGGTGAATGCTGTTAGATAGGAAGGTAATGAAAACTTCAGTTAGCTTAGGATTATTCTTACCAGCAAGCATTAGTTAAAAGTTAAATTTAGCAAGTGGTTACCCAAATGTTAAAGGCATTTAAACTGGCTGGGCACAGTGAGTGGCTCACGCCTGTAATCCTAGCACTTTGGGAGGCCGAGGCGGGTGGATCATATGAAGTCGGGAGTTCAAGACCAGCCTGGACAACATGGTGAAACCCCGTCTCTACTAAAAATACAAAAAATTAGCTAGGCGTGGTGGCAGGCGCCTGTAATCCAGCTACTTGGGAGGCTGAGGCAGGAGAATCACTTGAACCTGGGAGGCAGAGGTTGCGGTGAGTCGAGATTGTGCCACTGCACTCCAGCCTGGGCAACAGAGTGAGACTCCCTCTCAAAAAAAAAAGTATTTGAACCATTCTTTCTGTGCTGCATAAGGTATTAATAATAAAACATTACATGACTGCATGTATAATTCTACCTAATTGAATTGAGTTTTCAAATTATTTTTTGTGTGTGTCTTAGACAGTGGCGCATTGAAAGTACTGCCTGTCCAAAATCAGGAACAGAAAAGTATTTCAATTACTCAGAAAGTAGACATGGCTGGAAAATCATAAGTAAGTGGTTATTAATGTCAAGTTTAAAGCTCTCAGGCTCTTCTGTCAGGCCACGCAGGGCAAATGAGATCAACAGGATGGTTTCTTGTTTTTTTTTGAGACGGAGTCTTGCTCATTGCCCAGGCTGGAGTGAGAGCAGCGGCACGGTCTCGGCTCACTGAAACCTCCTCCGCCTCCTGGGTTCAAGCAATTCTCCTGCCTCAGCCTCCTAAGCAGCTGGGATTATAGGCAAGAGCCACCACGCCCGACTAATTTTTATATTTTTAGTAGAGATGGGGTTTCACCATGTTGGCCAGGCTGGTCTTGAACTCCTGGTCTAAAGTGATCCACCCTTCTTGGCCTCTCAAAGTGCTGAGGTTATAGGCGTGAGTCACTGTGCCTGGCCCAACAGAATGGTTTCTAATAAAAATATTTATTACCATTGCATCCTACCCCATTCCCACTCAGTGTGCCCCTTACTTAAATGGCCGCCTTCACCCAGGCCACTACAGGGAGGGCACTGACTTGGAAGGACAGAACACTCACCACTACCTAGCCTTCACCCTGGTCATCAGTTGCACTTGATATGGCTATAGCTGGTATATTTCTATAATGATGGGAATCATAGAAATTGTTAGTATTGAGTTGCAAGTCATTGGTAATGTTTTCCAAGGAATGACCAAGTTCTGTGATAATATATGCACAGACAGGAAAAAATACAAATAAATTTAACAGCACATATAAAAATACTATCACCTTATACTGTTCATTTTGTGCCATCCAGGCATGTAAGGGAGAGAGAAATAAGATAAATTTGCTGGTGGGAGAAGCAAGCAAATAGAGAGAAGTTTAGAGGCAAAGAATTTGGGAGGGGCTGGTGAAAAAGAAGGGGAAGGAGGAAGTACAACCAAACTCCAAAGGGTAAGTGGAATTGCTGTAAGAGAGATTTTCTTTTGAATAAAAAATGCAGGTACCTTTTAAGTACAAAAGGAATAGGAAAAGAAACAAAACACATTGAAAGGTACAATTAACCAAAAAAGGAGGCAGAAGGTAAAAAAGACATAAAATGGACCAAGACTATATCAAGTAACTTTAAAAATGTTTCTTTAAAATTTTGTTTTGGTAGAGATGGGGTCTCACTATGTTGCCCAGGCTGGTCTCAAGCTCGTGGGCTCAAGTGATCCTCCTGCCTTGGCCTCCTAAAGTCCTGAGATTGCAAATGTGAGCCACTGTGCCTGGACTTAAGTAAGTTTTAATTTAGTGAAAGATTTCTGTTATTTTACTTCTTATAACTTATTCCTTAGAAAAAGGTCCCAGAGTTATGGATTCAGTGACCAAGGAGCTACTCAAAAATAGTTGCCTTCGAGAAGACTTGAATTCATGACATCTTCCTTTTTCAACTTAACTGGTTTAAGCAAGTTATTTAAAAATTGCGCCACAGTGTATAATTTCCCCCAAATTTCAAATTCTGTTAAACTACTTCGAGGAACTGAGAGTATATTTTTATGTCATCTGCACACCAGAGTAATTTGTGAAGCCCTGGAAGGGAAATGTGATTTCTGATGGTATCTCAGCTTGAAACACATGAAGCGGAACCAGAGGTCACGCTCATAACCTATCAGGAATTAAAGGAAGTGATTCTACTTGAAAGACCCTAATGTATGTTAAGACTGAAGGAGACAGGTCCCTCCCTGGCTGGGGGAGAAAGGAAGAATAAAGGTAGAGAGATGGCCAAGAGGGAAAACAGTTGTACGCGTTGTGCCTGGGTATGTGATTATCCTCTTGTGCCCTAAGTTGTGAATCTGGATGTCATTGATATCCTGTTCCAGCTTCCTCTGAATCCACTAAACTGTTGAAGCCAGGGCTTGCTTCCTGCCTCAAACTCACAGTGTAGGTTAATACACGTTTTTATTGGACTGGGATCTCTCTTGCTACCAAGGCTGAAAAGAGCAAGCTGAGGAAAGATGAAATTGACCCTCCGGCAGGCTGACTCCAACCCCAAGGAACACCATGCTGCGCATTGCAGCCACCACACAGACCGTGCCAGGGAATTCTTCCTTGGCAGCAAGTGCTCGCTTTTGATTATTTGTTTGAAGAGCATAGGCTGGGTTTGGAACTAGTTGTCCCTTCTGTGCTTCGTTAGATCCTGTGTCTATTTCTTTGACCGCTTCTCATAATATCCAGTCGCTGCTGGCTTATTGGAAGGCAAGTAACCAATGTGCCTTATTAAGAGTATGGCTTCTGGAGCCAGCCAGCCTGCATTCACATACAGGTACTAGAGGTGTGGCCTTGGGCAAGTTACTTAACCTTTCTGTGGCCCAGACTACAGAATGGAGATAATGTCTCCTAGAGCTGCTGTTGGGATCAAGGTTAATATGTGTAACGTGCCTGAAGCAGTGACTACAATATTAGCTGTTAATATTATTATAAATCTATCTTTTCCACAGGAATGTGGAAAAAAGGAAGGCAAATTTGTATATCCAATCCCTATCATAATAGAATATTCAATGCTTCTTGAATGTTAGAGGATAGTTTTGGTAGATTTGGTTTTAGAGCTCTGACCCACTATTCACTCATTTATTCATTTAGTCCATTACTCAGCAAATGTTTCTTGAACTCCTACTGGGCACTGGAGATCTTGGTAAGTGCTGGGTATAGATGGCCAACCAGAGGAAGAAGATTTCTGCCTTTAGGGGTTTTAGTGGTAGAGACTATCATAAATGAATAAAGACAAGAATAAATTTATAATTACAATTTAATTACTTTGAAGGAAAAGAGTAGAGAGCTATGAAAGAAAAGAACCTTTTGTTGTCTTCAAGTCCTGCTGTACAATGGTGAAAAATGCAGGAAGATAGAAAAGAAATCGCATATGTGCTCCTCATATCATTTTAATAAGTATAGGTGATCAAGGTAGAAATGTCTTTATGACTGATCTTTTACTGGTCCTTCTTATGCTTCGGCTCAATCAACACATAATGCTCTCTGATGTCCATGGCTGGTTAGCTCATTTGGTTAGCTAATGAGGTCAAGGTCAGAGGTCAGCATGGGTCAGCAAGCTTTTCTCCTTTCTGTGGCCAGATTGCACTCTTAACCTCAGCCATCTTGCAAAAGTGAACATTTGGTCATAGGAAGCCTGGGTCAAGAGAATGTGGATGGAGGAGTCCCAAAATTACCACAAATGCAAGCCTCATTGATCACAGGTGTCTGTTGGCATTTTCTTACACTAATGATAGCATGCTACATTTCATTGTTCTCTGTCACTGGAGTACTAGTGCCATTTTTGACCGATGTAGCCAATGATTTCTATAGTTTTTTCCCCAGAAAGGAAAATGCCATTTCAAAATAATCAAACCACTTTTGAACATTATCTCTGATAGAGGGGGTGTTGTAGAGTAGAGCAGTCTATTTCTGGTAATAATGTAAAAATCACTTGGGGGTCTTTTTACAAGGCAGATTCTGCTGCAATAGGCCTGGGTAGGGCTAGAGATTCTGTGTTTCAACCAACTCCCAGATGATGCTGTTGCTGCTGATCCACGGACCACAATCAGAAGAACATGCAACTAAACAGACAATAGTAAATCAAAGCTAAGTCAAGATTTTAGTACAACATATACCAAACCAAGGCATAGTGAATGTGACCACGGGTACCACTTGGTGGAACTGTTTATTGTTGAGGACAACTCATTGTTTATAGATAAGCTCTCCCCAAACAATGTTTCTTTTCAGTCTTTTTTTTTTTTTAAGTGGCATCCTGTTTTCCTGGGAGGGGAAGCATAAGGAAGAATTCAATATACTTGCATTTCAGAATATATTAGCTCCAGCTCTTTGAGCATTATACACACACGCACACACATATATATATATAATGCTCATATATGAGCATTATATATATATATGTAATGCTCATATATATATGTAATGCTCAAAGAGCTAGAGTTAATTCCATGTTATGCAACATAAAATGTCTTTGAAACACACACAAAGCCTTTGTTTTATGGAGATTATTTTAGCTTTATCTTCCGCTTATTTCACTGTATGTGACAAGTGTGGTAAAAATCTTTTGTGTCTTGTGTATTTATTTTTTTGGTAACAAAAGGAGACAGCGCCTTTTCCCACTGCTCAGAAGAGGCCTATTCTCCTGCTGACATGTCTGCGTCACTCCTATTGATGCTATGATGATCATGAGCATGAAGTTGCCAAAGAAACTGCTTCTCTGAGGAAATTTCCATGAGTGTGAAATCATGGGAATCAAAATTGATGGGAAAGTCCCTCCGAGAGTGTGAAAATTGCCAGGATTCTTATAGGAAAAGAGCTTATGATCATCTCCTTCACCATTTAGTCAGATGCATTTCTATTGCCTTTGGAGAAAATTGCCAAGCTCTGTTCAGTGCAAAATGCTTCATTTTTCTTCAAGTACTTTGGGTGGATATATGTTTGTAAAATTCGGATTTTCATAGTTTATTTAGTCCAGCCCCAGCATTCGACAGGCAAGGACACCCAAGAACAGAGGAATGAAATGACCTTAAGGTGTGACCTACAAGTTACAGCCAGAACCAGGATACAAACCAAAGTCTTCTGCTTCTTTCTATTGTACCTCCATGCCTTGCACCCAGGGCAGAAGCTGAAAGCACATCAATTTGAAGAAAAGTTTAGGATTGGCACATATCTTTGTTCCTCAATTTATTTAAGCAATTAATAAATACTCAATTAGCTACTATTGTGTGCCTAGCACTGTTTTGCATAACATAAAGTAATTTAATATTTATTCATTAGTTCAGTTTTTCTGCTGGTAAGCTACTCAGAGATGAGTTAGGCGCTTTAGCTGTTTATTATAACAAACTTCTGCATGTTTAAAACCTCCACCACTTTTACTCTTCTGTCTCATCCCCCTCACAAATCAGTGGCTAAGATTCTTTCCCAAGTGCCTCTTACATCACTTCTTTCCTTTCTTCATCTGCTTGTCTTGAAGGAAGGCCTTATTACCCAACTGCCACTCTGTGGTTGAGGCTTGGAGTCCCTCCTCCCAGGGATCCCCTATAGCCCTGACATTCTTTTCTCTTTTCCCTCAAAGCATTCTGTTTTTGCTGCCCTGAGTTTGCTAGATAACTGAAACTAGTTTACTATGATTCCCTTAGTTTCCTTCCTATACTTTTTGATCTAGACTCTTCCAATCATCTCCTAATTAGTGCTCTTGATCACAGCTTTTCTTCCTCCTATTTGTCCTACACATACCTGCTAAATCTATGTTTCTACAATGTGGTCATTTGCAGACATGGCCCATCTTGCCTGGAACTGCACCTGAAACACCACAGCGGTTAATAAGTGTCTTCCTCTTCTTTTTCCTTCTATCCTACATATACCAAAGCTGGGGGAAGAAGTCTGTAGTGATTCAGTTTCCATATACGTAAATTGGGGGTAATAATAATACTAATAATTTCTTAGGGTTGTTGTGAAAGTTTAGCTATTATTATTAATGAGAAAATGCCAAGCTATGAAGTAAATTTTATTTTCTTCTAATATTTGGTATCATTTCATGTATGCTAGTTTTAGTTATTTTTTAACCAAAAGGTAAATATCTTGAGGAGAAGACAATGTGTTGCCTGTTGGGCTTCCCTTTGAAGCCCAGCAATTGCCTAGTATGGGGCTGTGATCTCAGTGGGTATCAGGAGTGTTGTTCATCTGGGTTGTGCTCATGCTGGCTACCAGCCAGGGTCCAGGCCCCTCCGTAAGGCATCTGTTCTGATAGGTCAGTGCTTGTGCCACGTTGGTTGACAAATACTTGCACATCACCCCTGCTTGACTGAATTTATGGTAACTGGAGTTTAGCCTTGACCAACTGAAAAAGTTAAAATAGAGGAAACGTATACAGGCTTTGACTTTCTCCCTGCCACCCTCATAATATGAATTGTGTATTAAGAATAAGTTACAATGTATGGTTTGAATCCCTCTCATGGCCTACCTTACTTCATTGTGACTAGGTGTTTTTTTTTTTTTACAGTCTTGCTCTGTTACCCAGGCTGGAGTGCAGTGGCATGATCTCGGTTCACTGCAACCTCTGCCTCCCGGGTTCAAGCAATTCTCCCACCTCCGCCTCCAAGTAGCTGGGATTACAGCCGCCCACCATCACGCCTGGCTAATTTTTGTATTTTTAGTAGTGACAGGGTTTTGCCATGTTGGCCAGATTGATCTCGAACTCCTGACTTTAGGTGATCCACCTGCCTCAGCCTCCCAAAGTGCTGGAATTACAGGTGTGAGCCACCATGCCCAGCCTTATGCCTAGGTTTTAACAGAATATTACACAGAGGGTAGAGGGAATAATCGGAGAAACACAAAGAGATGGCAGAAGGCTGCAGGAGCAAGGTAGACCTGGATTCCCACACTGGTTGTAGCCAGCATGCACTCCTGCTCCGGCCTGCGGATGGCGCTGTGAGTGGAGCCCACACTTGGGGACCCCAGCTGAGGAGGCATTTCACAATGGTAATAGTATTTATTTATTTTTTTAGAGAAGGTCTTATTCTGTCACCTAGGCTAGAGTGCATGATCACGGCTCACTGCAGAGATCAAGGCTCACTGCAGCCTCAAACTCCTGGGCTCAAGCCATCCTCCCGCCTCAGCCTCTATAGTGGCTGGGACTACAGGCTCAGGCCACCATAACTGGCTAATTTTATTTTTATTTTTTGTAGACACAGGGGTCTCACTTTGTTGCCCAGGCTGGTCTCGAACTCCTAGACTCAAGCAATCTTCCCACCTGGGCCTCTCAAAGTGCTGGGATTACAGGCATGAGCCACCATGTAAAGCCTGGTATTGGTATTTAAAAAGCCAGATAGCATATTGTTATCGTCACGCATTCCTCCCTCATTAAGTAAGGATTTCTATCAAATAGCTGATGTAAGAACACTCTTTGTCCATGTTACACTGTTGAAGAAAAATAAACTCATACCTTGGGATGTTTTTCCTTTGAGAGGAGACCCCTTCCAGCTTTTACATTAGGAGAAATTGCTTCTTAGTGTGATTTGAAATCTCTTTTCCCACTTCACCACTGAATTTCCCGGAATCCAAACATGATGCTGAACACAAGGATATGGGGTAGAGGGTGGTGAGTTACATGTAACTCTCTTCAGCGTTTGGGGAATCCCAAAGACTTTGTGCTGCCTCCGCCCTCTGAGTTTTGGGAGTTTGGCAGACACCTTAGAAAACCTCCCTTCAGCCCTCAGGTTTGAGTTCCCTAGCAACGGCAGCCTTAGAAACTTGAGAGAGAGGGATGGGTGTTGGGGGGATGGTTGAGAAAGAGATAAGAAGAGATGACTGAATAGGCCTGGGATTTTACGCGCAGTGCTTAATTGAGAGTGAGGGGAGCGGGTGGGAAGGACTGCTCAAGCCCGCCGCCAGTGATCTCATACCAACCAAAAGGCAAGCGAGGGCCTGGCTGCCAGCTGAAAGGAACAAAGGCGGTAGGTGGGTGGAAGTGGCGGAGGGAGGCAGACAACTCGTAAAGGCTGGCGAGGCCCAGAGTTCTGGCCCTGGGAGGAAACGCATCCCAGCCTACAAAGGCTCCGGCCCGAAGAATGGCCTGGCGTGTAATTCAATGCAGGCCCAGTGACCACACTGGAGTTGTAGCCTTTTGTATTAGCGACAACAATGGAGGGGGAGAAATCAGGCCACAGGCTCGCGGTGCAGACTGGCTGGTGCGGATGTCTTGGCCCTGGCGGCAACGTGAGCTGCCTGTCAGGCCGTTGCCCGGCAACTGGACGCCGCCCGATCGCGCCTGCAGAGCGCACTGAAAGCCGCCGCAGCCGGGTTGAAAGGCATAGCCGCGTGGTTCACAGGCCGGTCCCGGGGAACAGGAAACAAAGGACAGGGAGCTGAGGCAGGGATTGCGTGGGATCAGGAGAAGGCCTCACACCGTGCGAGGGGGGACATTGGGAACCCCCTTTTCTCAAGGCCCTGAATTGGTGCTCTATCTTAGCCCAGCGCGTGAACTGCTTGAACAAATACAGCTCTTCCTCCATCTTCAAGTTCGCACAGCATTCCTAGCCCAGATGTTGTATTCCATTGTCTGCCTATTGTGTGAAAGACATAAATAACCCCAGACAAACAACAAAAACAAACCTTGTTTAAGTGTCCAGCTGAAATTCATTTGTGAGTCAGGAAAATTTTCCAAAGTAGAACCTACCATGCACCTGGTGGATAAATAGATGGAGGCTCACCATACGAAAATACATTTGTTAAATGTAGTGTGGTTCCTGGATTGCATCGTGAAATTGGAAACATTGGTGCTATAAAGCCTGTCCTTTGGTTAATAGTAATGTAACAACATTAATTTCTTAGTTTAGACCCCGAGTCAGCAAGCTTTTTCTGTAAAGGAGCAGAGGAGATACTCTGGGGCTTGTGGTCCAGATGGTCTGTGTGCCACTACTCAACTCGGTCACTGTAGAGCTAAAGCAACCAGACAAATATATAAAGGAATGAGCATGGCTCTATTTTAGTAAAAGTTTATTTTTAAATTTATCATTATTATTTTTTTGAGACAGAGTCTTGCTCTGTTGCCCAGCCTGTTGCCCAGGCTGGAGTGCAATGGCAGAGCTCACTGCAGTCTTGAACTCCTGGGTGCCAGCAATCCTCCTGCCTCAGCCTCCAAAATAGGTAGGACTACAGGCACACTTCACTGCCTGGCTAATTAAAAAAATTTTTTTTTTGGTAAAGATAGAGTCTCACTATGTTGCCCAGGCTGGTCTCAAACTCCTGGCCTCAAGTGATCCTCCTGCCTCAGCCTCCCAAAGTGATGGGATTACAGGTGTGAACCAACTTGTTTGGCTAAAATTTTATTTATGAGCACTGAAATTTCAGTTTCATATAAATTTTACATGCCATGAAGTATTAGTCTTCTTTTGATTGTTTAACCATTAAACATTTAATACTCTTTGCTCTCAGGCCCTACAAAAACAGACAGTGGGCTGGATTTGGCCTACAGGCTGCTACAGTTTGTTATTCCCTGGTTTGAACAAATGAACCAAAGTTATGTTAAATGTTAACATTAGGAGAAATTGATGAAGGGTATACAAAAACTCTCTGTACTCTCCTTGCAACTTCCTGTTCATCTAAGGTTATTCCAAAATAAAAAGCTGGTTTTAAAAAAGTATTTAATTGGAAAGCTTTTTAGATGGAATGTTTAGAAAGAGATTTGTTGTTGGGGGAGTAAATCAGGATTTGGGGTGTGTGTGTGTGTGTGTGTGTGTTTTGGAGACATGAAGGAATGTTTTTCTTGTTATTTGTTGACATATGGTACTAAGACCTCCCAAAATGAAACTCCTTGCTACACCACTGTATTGGTAATCAAGCCATTAACATCAAACAGCCTGAAAACAAAATAGCATTCCAATTACACAGAACTCTTTGACCCTGAGGGTTAGGCGAACAGTTTCAGCTCACAATGAACCAGGATGGGAACACTGGAACAAAGAATTAAACTTTTTGCTCCAATAGGAAACTAGAAAATTGTCGGCCAGCTTATTTTTAACTGCACGTGCGCGCGCGCACACACACACACACACAGACACACACAAACACACACAAACACACACACACACACACACACACTTCCGGCTAACATCTATGCCAAACAGCATACACAAGACTTTGATTTACAAACCAGGATCTATATTCTTTTCCAGATTTTACTAGTTGTGTGAATACAAACTTTCCTTTATGTTTGTCCAAAAATAGTATGATATGAGACCTACTCCTTGCTTTCCTTCAAATTGAGCTCTTAAACATTATATCTTAGGCTGGGCACTACCAGTTATTAAGAACGGATGATGATTAAGATCTAGAGACCTGCTATACAATTTAGTAACTATAGCTAACAACACTATATTGTGCACTTTAAAATATGTTAATAGGACAGATCTCATTGCAAGTGTTCTTACAAAATAATAATAATAACAAATAAACACAAGGAAATTTTTGGAGATGATGGAAATATTACATGCTTTGGTTTTGATGATAATATCATGGGTATACGCATATGTCCAAACTCATCAAGATGTATACATTCAATGTGTGCACACTTCGGTGTATCAATTATACTTCAATAAAGCTAAAACAAAAAAAGGATGCTGAGACAGTACACGGGGGCGCTTAAAGCGCTCCTACTTCCCGACTGCAGTACTAGGAGGGTGTGGGCTACGGTAGAAAGATGGTATAAAATCTCACGGGTAGCTAACTGTTGTAACCGTGGGCATGGTGGGCCGAGGGAAGCTCAGTAGTGGGTTGATGCTGAAAGTGAAGGAGGGACTGGTGCAGTGTTCCTTGACAAAATGTGAAGCAAATGGAAATTTGATTTTAGGAATTTTCCATCACCCCTGCTTTCTAGTTTCCTTCCTATTCTCACACTCTCAGCAACTCCACATTTAAGACTTTGACATCTCAATCAACATTTTTTTTTTTTTTTGGAGACAAGGTCTCAGTCTGTCGCCTGGGCTGGAGTGCAGTGGTGCAATCATGGCTTACTTCAGTCTTGACCTCCTGGGGTCAAGCAGTCCTCCCACCCCAGCCTCCCAAGTAGCTGGGACCACAGGCGCATGCCACTACACCTGGCTAATTTTTTTTTCAGACAGAGTCTCACTGTGTCACCAGGCTGGAGTGCAGTGGCGCCATCTTGGCTCACCGCAACTTTCACCTCCCGGGTTTAAGCGATTCTCCTGCCTCAGCTTCCTGAGTAGCTGGGATTACAGGTGTGCACCACCATACCCAGCTGATTTTTGTATTTTTAGTAGAGACGGGGTTTCACCATGTTGATCAGGATGGTCTTGATCTCTTGACCTCGTGATCCACCCGCCTCAGCCTCCCAAAGTGCTGGGATTACAGGTGTGAGCCACTGAGCCCAACCCACCTGGCTAATTTTTAAAAAATATTTAATAGAGAAGAGGGGAGTCTCACTATGTTGCTCAGATTGGTCTTAAACTCCTGAGCTTAAGCAATCTTCCCACCTCAGCCTCCCAAAGTGCTGGGATTACAGGCGTGGGCCACCATGCCTGGCCTTAATTGGCCTTTTCAGTTGGAGATGTTTCAGGACTCATTCCTTCAACAGTTATTATCAAGCATGGACTTTCCTTGTGTCAGGTCCTGGGTCAGCACCAGGGATATGAAGATAAATTAAACATGGCTTGTAGCCTTGAGGGTCAAGGGGCTTGGAGTGTAGACAAGGTCAGGTTCTTCAGTGTGGTTGACGAACACCAGCACCAGAATCACCAGGGATCACAGAAAGACAAATAGTGCATGATGGCACTTACATGTGAAATCTAAAAAGTTGAACTGAGAGAAACGGAGAAATAGCGGTTGCCAGGGGGTGGGGGAAATGGGAAGATGTTGGTCAAAAGGCACGAGCTTTCAGTTATAAGATGAATAAGTTCTGAAGACCTAATGTACAGCATGGTAACTCTAGTTAATAATCATGTATTAGATACTGGAAGTTTGCTAAGGGAGTAGACCTCAAGTGTTCTCACCATACACACAAAAGTAGCTTGATTGTGGAAATCGTTATAAAGGTATGCTTATGTCAAAACACTACCTCGAATGCCTTAAATATATGCATTTTTAAAATGTGTTATTATACTTCAATAAAGATTAACAAATCATTTTAAAAAAAGGAATCGCTGGGGAATGTTTTATTTACAAATGTTGCCTGCTGGGCCCACCCCACAATTGCTAAATCAAAATCTGCACAGGGCAAGGGAATCTGTATTTTAACAACTCCCTCAAGTGAATATTTTGCTCACTAAACAATTGAGATCCACTGGAATTTGTGAATGGATGTGAAATATCTTAGGTATAATGATGATGTTATGAACTGATTATTACAGAAGCATAGAAGGGGGTGGTGGGGTAGGATCAAAAGGGAAGTTACCTAAAAATGATACCTGGGGCCGGGCGCGGTGGCTCACACCTGTAATCCCAACACTTTGGGAGGCTGAGGTGGGCGGATCACGAGGTCAGGAGATCAGGACCATACTGGCTAACACGGTGAAACCTCGTTTCTACTAAAAATACGAAAAAATTAGCCAGGAGTGGTGGCGGGCGCCTGTAGTCCCAGCTACTCAGGATGCTGAGGCAGGAGAATGACGTGAGCCCGGGAGGCAGAGCTTGCAGTGAGCCGAAATCGCGCCACTGCACTCCAGCCTGGGTGACCGAGCGAGACTCGTCTCAAAAAAAAAAAAAAGAAGAATCAAAATGACACCTAAGCCTATTTTAATGAAAGAGAAGACAAGGGTGGGGATGAGGGTGAGGGACAGAGTGATAAAGGGAATGGGGGCAGGACACAGAATCCCGAAGTGTCTTTCTGTAGCTGGAGTGTAAGGAGAAACCCACATTTCCTTCTGTAGCTGGAGCGTAAGGAGAAAGGAGGAATGAATCACTGATGGTGACTTTCAAGCACTGTGATAGACAGTGGAAAACTCATTCTGAGCAAGGGATATTTCTTTCTGTCGCTCTTGCCTCATTATAAGTTCAAGTTCTCTCTCCGATAAGGGGCTCTGGTTTTTGGCAAGGACTTGGCCTTTTCCTTCACATCATAGTTTCTATAATCCATGCACATGGAATAAAAATGTGCTCCATGTCAAAAGATGATACCAGATAAGGGCTTATCAGGTCATGCAGACCACTCTGCTTTTCAGACTCAAACATCTCAGGAAATAGAGATATCTGCTTTTATCGGAGTAGGGCTGTAAACTCTGTGATGTGCAATCAAGGGAGGATGTATATTATCCTTTGGCACTTTTAAAAGAAGGCAGGCAATGCCTAGATTTTGGGGCATGGTTCTGAGGTAGTTCTGGTAAAAGAATGTGGCCCTCTCTGTCCCCCAACCTCTATTTATGCTTTGCCCTGTCATTGCATCCTCATGGGCATTTTTGTCTTCTTCCAATGTTTCTTTTCCTGGACTTCAACAGGTGGCCTTGGCATTGCAAGCCTTTGATTCTTCTGAAAACAGATGATTACGTGGTGTGGTCAGCCTTATCTTCTTTCCCATGGTTTTATGTTTCCTTCCAGGTTGATCTGGTTTCTTTGACTACCCTATTTTAGGAAGGAGACATTTTGCTTGGTAAAGCACATGAATTGATGTAGCCAGGACAGCTAATCTAGACAAAACACACACACACACACACACACACACACACAGACACACACAGACACACACACAGAGAGAGAGAGAGAGAGAGAGAGAGAGAGAGAGAGACAGGCCTCCCAACAGCTGCAGAGACTATTATCTATGTTGTTTTTCATCACTGGCTAGAGAAGAAGCTCAATTCATCATCAAAATAGTTGAAGTCACTTGAAAAGTTAGCATTTACCATTTGGCTCCTAGAAGAGAGAAACATTTGTTTTGTGCTAAAAGTGACTCTTTGTGTCTTTCAGTAGGAAGCCATGGCTTTAGGTGAAAGCAGAATGGTGACCACTTATATAAAGGTAGACAGTAGGGTGTTGATGGGTGGAGAAATACCAGAGTGAATAAATATACTCTTATTTCATTCCTACACATCCACCTACATAATCATTTCCACGGAGCAGTGGTACAAAAAATTAAAATAAAAAACTCCAGCTCAGCATATCTCAACCTTGCCACTATTGACACGTCAGGCAAAATAATTCTTTGCTGTGGGGGCTCTTCTATGAGTTGTAGGATGTTTAGCAATATCTCTGGCCTCTATCCACAGGATGCCGGTAGCAGCCCCAAACACCTTCTGGTTGTGACTATCAAAAATGTTTCCAAACATTGCCAAATGTCCTCCGAAGGGCAAATTGCCCCGTGTTGAGAACGACTGTTCTAGTAGAATCACTTACCACGTTAATAAATCAAGCAGTATCCAAAGTATTTACGGTAGCGATGGGAGGGCAGGATGTTCCAGTGGCTGCATTTTTGTGTTTGGTAACTTTCATGGACAGATCAGGCTTAAGTGGATGTGGAGCATAGTTTCACCCCAAGAATGTGACAGTCACAGCTGCAAGCTGACAGTGGAAAGGAGCAAATCCTTTTGGATAGGATATCCTGTGAGCATAATATGTGACATTCATCGGTTTTCAGAAGTGGCTTTAAAGTTTTTTCTTCTTCTGAAGCTTTGTGTGGTTGCTGTCTTCAAGCATAGAATTTTAATTTTTCACAGTTCATAGGAGATGCAGGAGAAATCTTCCTTTCTCCCTGTATGTAGTCTGTGGTTCTCCTCGACAATATGCTGGTATCCATAAAAAAGAAAAATTCAACTTCTAATTTGTGGTATTTGATTTTACCCAGAGTCAGAGAATGTTCCATAGTCCAAGTCCCATTAATCTTATGGTGAAAATTATGTTATAGTCTGGTACATCCTTCAGTAGGAAATTCCCATGGTTCCAGGCCCCCAGGGCGGGTCCCTGTGCTGATTTTGGAGGAAATCCACACTGCTTTCTCCAAACTGTGTTAAGCCTTTCCTTTGCTCTTATCAGGCTCGCTCTGCCCTTTATACAATAAGGCCCAAACAATGAAAAAGCCATGGTGAGATTTAGATGAAAAAAATCACAAAGGAAGGAAATTTGAATTACTGCTTTCACTCAAGCTCTCATTCAACGGGTCCTAGCATTATCAAAAGATCAGGGAATCATGTTATATATATATAATTATCTATAAATATGCTATTATAGGCTTATGTTCTTAAAATATCTCAATCTCTGAACTGCCAAGTAAAAAGTTCCAGAGTACTAGTCAGAATGTCTCGGGGATCTTGGAAATAAATTATGGGTACGCTCATAATTAAACTTAACAGAAGGAAGTTAAGATTGATAGTGACAATATCTTTGTTCTTTGATCAAATTTAATTTTGTCTAGACATTAACACCATGCTTAGATATCCTGACATCTTTCCATTTTTATATTGTCATTATAGTGGGATACGCATGGACATATTGACATTAATATGTAGAGATCAAGTTGCTTTCATCTTTGCAGTACTGTCATTAGTTAAGTTTCCTTTAAAGCAGCAGTTAGTCTGTGTGAATTTTTTCTTTTTTATAAGTCTGTGGTAAGTTGGTGATTGTAGTTTCACTCTATTCTCATGAGTGTAACTTAACACTATTGGGTTTACCCTGGCATGTGAGATAGTCATAATAACATTAACTTCAAAATCTGTAGGATGAAATCTAGGGTTTGAGTTTCCCTAATCCTTTGCAGAGCTGTAACTTAGCTGGAAAATTACATTTCCATTGAACATTCTATAATGCTCAGAGGCACTGCAATCAATGAGCGTGAAAATGCCAAGCACATCCCATCCTGACACTTCTTATTAAGCATAGAACATTCTTGAGTGAAAGTAATATCACAGAGTAATTTGGCTATTAAGGCAATAATAGCATATCTTGTCCTGGTGATAAATTTACCTTTTGTTAACAGTTTTTCTCCCCCATTTTAATAGCTGCATTAAGAACGGTGCATAGGAAGTTTCTTGGAACATACTGCCTGTTCCATATTGGTTTTTTTCTATCTGATTCTAACATTATGTCAAAGGCTGGATGACATAGTTCTATTCTTAGAGCTAGCAAATCCAAAGATTTCAAATCAGTATTAAAAAGAAAAACCTAAAGACTTCTTCAGTAAGACCTATTGATATAGTCCAAGTGTTATTCCATAGGTGGTAGGATTACAGGTGATTTTAAAAACTATTTTTCTTTGTACTTATCTGTTTTCAAATTTTTCTGTAATTGATATATATTGTTGTGTATTTCAAAAGCTTTATTGTAAGAGGGTTTGTGGATTCAGCTTCACAGCTATTTCAAACTACTCAATTACAGAAATATAGTATACTTTTTTATCCCTTTTTTTCAAAATATATTTTATTTTAGTTCCTTGTTTAAAACTGCAAAAGGCAATATTTTTACTCCTAAAGCTTATGTAGCAAAGAAAGGAGCAAGTCGTTCTTAGCTTTTGGTTTAGGATATTCCTAGGGAGATGTGAGTGTATTATGTATTCATTTAAGCATCCCAAGTTGATCAAATTGAAACAAATGAAAAAGTATATTATGCATTCAGCGGACTTGCTTTTTTAGGATAGATATGCTTGGAATATATTCAGATACATTCCTGATAAGTGTTTTTAGTTTGATTAAATATGATCACATCTACACAAAAGCAGCCCTATATTGTACAGCTATGAGAAAATCAGCACAACTACCTGCCACTCAATTGGCTCTGAACTTTGATGTTCTTTCACTGCATCTATTATTACCCAGTTTAAAAACTAAGAAAAGGACAGGAGAGAAAAAACGAAAAAAACATAGGTAGGAAGCAAAAATGCATATTAATAGTCAATTAGTTAACAATTTCTGTTTGACTTATTTATAGTCAAACAATGTACGTCATTTGCCTGAGTGATGAATTTCCTACCAACACAGTATCTGACATACAGCAGGTACTTAATAAATATTTGTTTTGAATGAATGCATACATTCATAGAAGTAAAATCATCATAATGAATTAAAAAATGTAGAACTTCAGAGAAGGGAACTTTGACTGTGGCTTGGAAAATTTTTACCAAGGAGATAGAAATTAAGCTTGGAATTGTAATATGGACATTTCTCAGGTGGAGAAGGCAGGGAATAGATGTCTCAGCTGTAAGCCCTAGACTCATATAGGTTAGATTTTTCCTGAGCAGGAGAAGAGGTCATATGTAAGAAGAGGGAGAGAAAGTGGTTAGATTGGGGAGGTGCTGTTCAGTCACAGAGACGAACCTAGACTTGTTCATTCTACCTTTGTGCTAGGGAGAGCCCAAATTCTGCCTTGAGGGGACTCTTGGGCCAGTCTTCAGGGAGTTTGTTGAGATCTCTGGTCTCACGTTCAGTTTCTGATTTTGGTTTAGCTCTTCAGCTCTTCACAAATGTGACTCACTTTTGCCCCACTTGGGCTGATGGTTTAGGACACATGACATCTACCTGGCTACAGAGTTCTTCTCACAGGTATGACCTCAGACTCGCTGTTGCTTGGAGTTCAGAGAAGCAGCCCAATGGGAGGGTTATCTGAAGAATTCCTCTAGCTAGTGGTTTTCATGGGAAAAAAATACATGAGATTTCTCATATATATATATTTATATGACATCATGAGATTATAGATCTAATATATAATTTTATTATATAATGTTATATATTATATTTATTATATATAATAATATATATTTATAATATATAATCTCATGATGTCATGTATATCTGATAATCACTATGTGATATATGTGCTCACACATACAAACACATTTTTTTATGTTGTTATATGTATTTCATATTATAATATGTATGTATTCACAAAATTTACCCAAAAGTGTATTTTCCCTAGTTCCATATCTTTATAACTTGGGTGCATTCTGATGTACTCTAGTCTATACTTTTTTGTATTTCATTTCAAAAAATGCTTGTTATAACTGAATGCATTGATTTTATATGCTATAATGGGTCTACCCATAGACTGAAAAATTTGGCTCTAGTTGAAGTTTCTCAAAAATCAGTGTGTATTAGAAATACTTGGGAAGCTTTTTACAAAGCTAGGTTCCTGAGGCCCCTCCCTCTAAGATTCTGACTTGTTGCATCATAGAAAAGGCCCAGGAACCTACATTTTTTGGCTCAATATATGGAAAATAAAAACAACAGTGCTCAGTAGACGGTGCTAAGGTCCATATGAGAAGTTCACACAGTGTGTTAAATCCATGTTCAGAGTGAAGAGTGTTTGCTGTCCTGAACAGAGTCTGCACTCCTCCAACTGCACCTCTCAATGGGTGATTATTTCAAAGATGTCAAGAAAGAAAAGCCAACTCATAAAAGAGGGAAACAAAGAAGCCGGTTCATTGGAGAAAAGTTATTTATGTGACCTGTTAAAATGGAAACCTTTGGAAGCATTGCTTTGTTTAATATATTCACCTAACTTGGGCTTTATAAAACATTAATCTTCCTCTCTTCCTTTCAATGTAGTGAAATAAGCTTAAAATGTGATTAAGCTAATGATATCTAGAGGTGACAGGCTGAGGCACGTTAATTCCTGAGTAAAGTACCCTTTGGTTGAGAAACTCATAACTAAACTGGCCATCAACAGATCGCCAGGGAAAGCCTGCAAAGGTGAGAGTACTTAAGGCTTCTAAGAAAGTAAATAAAGGTCCACATGCCCAGAATCTAAAACGTAGTCACGCAAAATGAACCTCATGATATTCAGATGGTGTATAAAAGAATGGGTTCTGTTTGCTCGTTTGCCTTTTTTAGAGCCCTAAAAGTCCACACTTGTTTTAAGCAGCTGCAAAATAAGTAAATAGATTTTTGAGAGCAAAATTAAGATTTGGTTGAAACATCTTTCTCATCAAATAGCATGTTTAGGCCCCAGATGCTCTATGAAGCACTCATAAATAATGTGATTTCTGTCTCTAGAAGCTGACATTTGCAAGAAGATGCCTGGTAAAAGTGTAGATATAAAATACGTATTTGTAGAAATACAATATGCTGTCTTTTGTATAAGAAGATAATGTTAAATGACCTATCATCATTTATTTTGAGCCTCTTTTCTGTCTACATACTCTTACCCAGCTACCCTCATAACAAAACACACATTTACCAAAGGAATAATTCATGGAACAAAACAAAATGAGATAAGGTGCTGAGTTAGTTTTTCACTATACTTTTAGCATTTCGGTGGTCTGTGATAAACAATGGAACTAACCAGTAAAATAAGCTTAGATTGAAAAATGCCTTAATCTGCCTCCATGCAAAAGAAATATTCGTATTATATAAAATTCAATTTTCTTGAATATTTGCATTATATGTATTTTAAAATTGCTTTCTTGAAGTATAAATGACATGCAATAAAGTGCATATATTTAGGTGTACAATTTGATAAATTTCAACACATGTATACACCCATGAAACCACTGCTGCAATCAAGATAAAGGACATATGCATTACAGCCCTGCACTGTCTTGTTCCCCTTTCTAATCCCTGCCTCCTACCCTACGCATCCCCTCCTCCTCCCAACAATCTCTAGGCATTCACTGTTGATTAGTTTGCATTCCCTAGAATTTTATATGAAAGTAACCATACAACATGCATTCTTGTTTTGTCTGGCTTTTTTTTCACTCAGGAATTATTTTGAGACACGCCCAGATTGTAGCATTCGTTAACAGTTCATTCCTCATTATTGCTGAGTAGTATTCCATTGTATGGACATATCACAATTGTTTGTCCGTATACCCATTGAAGGACATTTGGTTGTTTCCAGTTTTTGGCTATTATAATAAAACTGCATGACCATTTACGGCTAAGTCTTTATATAGATATATGCTTTTATTTCTCCAGGTAAATACATAGGATTAGAATGGCTAGATCACGGGGTAGGTTTATGTCTAACTTTTTTTTTCTTTTTTCTTTTTTTTTTTTGAGACACAGTCTCTCTCTGTTACCCAGGCTGGAGTACAGTGGTGCAATCTTGGTTTACTGCAACCTCTGTCTTCAGGGTTCAAGGGACTCTTGTGCCTCAGTCTCCTGAGTAGCTGGGATTACAGGTGTATGATACCACACCCAGCTCATTTTTGTATTTTTAGTAGAGTTGGGGCTTCTCCATGTTGGCCAGGCTGGTCTTGAACTCCTGGCCTCAAATGATTCAAGTGTCTTGGCCTCCCAAAGTGCTGGTATTACAGGCATGAGCCACCGCGCCTGGCATGTCTAACTTTTTAAGATACCATGAAACGGTTTTCCAAGCTGGTTGTACTATTTTACATTCTCATTAGCAGGGTATCAGAGGTCCGGTTTTAAGCATCTTTACTAATATTTGGTATGATTTGTCTTTTTATTTTTATTTTTTGTGAGTTATTGGTATAATTTTTTTTTCTTTTTCAACTTTTATTTTAGATTTAGGTAGTATACATGCACGTTTGTTACCTGGGTATATTGCATGATGCTGAGGTTTGGAGTCTGAATGATCCCGTCACTCAGACACTGAGCATGGTACCCAACATTTAGTTTTTCAACCCTTGCCCCTCTCTCTCCTGGCTCTGGTAGTCCCCAGTGTCTATTGTTGTCATCTTCGTGTTCATGAGTACTTGATGTTTGGCTCTCACTTATAAGCGAACGTGTGGTATTTGGTTTTCTGTTTCTGTGTTAATTTGCTTAGGATAAGGGCCTCCAATTGCATCCATCTTGTTGCGAAGGACATGATCTCATTCTTTTCAATTTGTCTTTTTAGAAGTGTGTTGTTTAATCTCCAAATATTTTGGGATTTTCAACCATCTTTCTATTATGGATTTCTAGTTTAATTCCATTGTGGTCTGAGAACATACTTTGTATGATTTCTATTCTTTTAAATTTGCTTAGGCACATCTTATGGCCCAGAATGTGGTCTGTATTGAATGTTCCATGTGAATTTGGGAAGAATGAGTACTCTGCTGTTGTTGGATGCAGTACTCTGTAAGTGTTAATTAGATACAGTTGATTGATGGTACTATTCAGTTCAACTACAATATGTCCTTACTGGTTTTTCTGCCTGCTGGATCTATCAATTACTGAAAGAAGGGTGTTAAAGTTTCCAATTATAATATTTGTCTATTTCTCCTTGCAGTGCTATCAGTTTTTACCTCATGTATTTTGATGCTGTGTTGTTAGGTATATACCTTTAAGCATTGTTACATCTTCTTGGAGAATTAGCCCCTTTATCATTACACAGTGTCCTTCTTCGTTGCTGAAAACTTTCCTTGTTCTAAATTCTGGCTTGTCTGAAATTAGTACAGTTACTCCAGCTTTATTTTGGTTTGTGTTAGCATGGTATATCTTTTTCCATCCCATTTATCTTCCCTTCCCTTTCTGCTTTCTCTGTTATTAATTGATCATCTTATATGATTCCATCCTCTCTTCTCTCTAAACATGTCAATATACTTTCTTTAAAAGGGCCCTGGGCACTGCCTGGGTCCCTCTCTATGTGCTGCAGCATGGAAATTCTCTCCAAGTGGTAAGCTGAGGTTGTTGTCAGACTCACCTTGGCACTATTGATATTTGGGGACAGATAATTCTTTGTTATAGGGGGCTGAAGTGCATTGTAGGGTGCTTAGCACCATCCTTGGTCTCTACCCACTAATAGTAGCATCCTCAGTTGTGACAATCGAGAATATCCCCAGATGTTGTGAAGTATTCTCTGGGGGCCAAAATTATGCCCAGTTGAGAACTACTGATTTCGAGATTTGAACACAGACTCTTCAACCTGACACGCCTCCCTAATATGTTCCTGTCTAACCTTTCCCAGTCTCATCACCTAGACTTTTGCTCATTCCATTCTCTAGCCAAAAAACTACTTGCTGTTCTCCTATCATGCCTTAAACACCAGTGTCCCTGTGCCCCTTTTGTGCTGTTCTCTCTGCCCAAAATGTCCTCTCCCATCTCTCTGTCAAAATTCTCCCCACTTTAAAGACCCACCAAAAATACCAAATTTTCTACAAAGCCCTTTTGATTTTCTAAGCTGATATGATTTTCCTCTACTAGTTTATTTGTCTCACACCCCTATCCACCTTAGTAATGGTAAGCTTCTTAATGCATATTTTCCCTTCTGCACACGTATTGTGGCTTTTGCACACATGGTACTGCCCTTCACTGCACATAACAGGTGCTCAATATATATTAACTGAATTTTTAGTTTTTACATATTGAGGTTCCTTTTAAAATATAAATCTGCTACCATTCAATAATAAAAGACAACCCAATTTAAAATGGGCAAAGGATCTGAATAGATATTTCTCCAAAGAAGATCTACAAATAGTCAATAAGCACATAAAAAAGATGTTCAACATAATTAGTTATTAGGGAAATGCAAATCAAAACCACCATGAGATACCACTGCACATCCACTAGGATGGCTATAATAAAAAAGACAGTTAATATCAAGTGTTGGCAAGTATGTGGAGAAATTAGAATTCTCATACACTTCTGGCAGGAACATAAATGCTTTGGTAAATTCTTTGGTAGACAGTCTGGCAGTTTCTCAAATGGTGAAATATAGTTACTATATGTTGTAGCAATTCCACTCCTAACTATAGACAGACCCAAGAGAAATGAAATTTGTGTCCACACAAAAACTTGCATACAAATATTCATAGCAGCATTATTCATAATATTCACAAAATGAAAACAATGCAAATCCATCAACTGATTAAGGAATACATAAAAGGTGATATATTCATACAATGGCATGTTATTAGCCAACAAAAAGAAATAGGTACTGATATCTGCTACAATGTGAATGAACCTTGAAAGTATTATGCTAAGTGAGTGGAACCAGTCACAAAGGGTCACAAATTGTAGAATTTCATTTTATTGAAATGCCTAGAGTAGGCAAATCTATAGACATGGAAATCAGATTTGTGGTTGCCTAAAACTTGAAGGATGGGAAGACTATGGGAGGGTGGCTGTGGGGTATGGTATTTCTTTTTGGGAGTAATGAGTGTTCTAAAACTGATCATGGTGATGGATGCACAATTCTGTGAATA
The DNA here is from genome assembly GCF_000001405.40 of Homo sapiens. Taxonomy (NCBI): domain Eukaryota; kingdom Metazoa; phylum Chordata; class Mammalia; order Primates; family Hominidae; genus Homo; species Homo sapiens. The sequence continues at coordinate 136,040,487 of NC_000002.12, forward strand.
TACTAAAAGCCATTGAATTGTCTACTTTAAATGGGTGAGTTGTGTGGCATGTGAATAATATCTCAATAAAGCTCTTTTTACAAGGCATATCTTTTAATTAAGATTCCAAAGAGAAATATGTAATATTTAACATATGATCAATATATAAAAAAAGTTGATAAAAAACAAAAATCCCTTTCTATGAGAAAACAATTGGACAGCAAAGCCAGTTCTCTTGGCAAGAAGAAAATTGCTGAAGCTTTCACAAATCTGCCTGTAGAGTAACAGATGAATTCTACTAGGATGGGTTTTTGCTATTTTTGCTAAGACAACCTTTTTGGCACATCGTTATTAAGCTTTGACTCATTACCATTTGTGACAACACTGATAAAGGTCCCACCTAAGAACACTCCTTTACTCTATTTCATACTGTGTTATTAGAATATGTATCCAAGCCTTGTCTTTGCAAATAGCCAGAATAGCCATTACTTCCTGCATTCATAACGTGATCATCCTGAGCTAAATAAGGTGGATTCTCACACAGAGAACAAGTACTTGAGGCAAACTAATTAAAAGACAGACTTGAAGATCAGACCTGATATAGTCCCCTCTGTTTTCCAGACAGGCACTCCTGAATATAAATACATACCCCTTCCGATACATTGTTATCTGTTAGATGTCTTTGTGCAAACTAGAGTAGATTTATGTTTTGTTTCATGGGTGGAGACACTCAGAGAAATAGGAACAATGTTTTGGGGAATTCTAAACCGATTTTTAAAATCATGCCTGTTACCTGCTGAAAAAAACTTTATATTCACAAAAAAGGTAGAGTCAATTGGTTATTTAATATATTGTAAATCTACTTGTGATATTATTGTGATCTAGATTAGTGCAAACTACTAGGCATTTAACATCTTTTCTCCTCCTGTTATAATCAGTAGCGTAAAAAAAAAATCAGCTATTTTTAACTCTTGCCACTGGCAATAAATTATGAATTGTGATTTTTTTCAGATACAAAAATAAATGTTATCTTATCCATATTCATTTTTTTTTTTTTGAGACGGAGTCTTGCTCTGTCCCCCAGGCTGGAGTGCAATGGCACGATCTTGGCTCACTGCAACCTCCGCCTCCTGGGTTCAAGCCATTCTCCTGCTTCAGCCTCCCCAGTAGCTGGGATTACAGGCATGCACCACCACGCCCAGCTAATTTTTGTATTTTTAGTAGAGATGGGGTTTCACCATGTTGGCCAGGCTGGTCTCGAGCTCCTGACATCATGATCCACCTGCCTCGGCCTCCCAAAGTGCTGGGATTACAGGCGTGAGCCACCATGCCTGGCCGTTATTGTATCCATATTCATTTTTAAGACAAGCATATTAAAGAGCACATATTAATAAACCAATGAAATAGAATAATTCTAAGAATTTTTCAGGAAAAAATGCACCTTGCTGGAAATCCATCCTGTGTGTGTGTGTGTGTGTGTGTGTGTGTGTGTATTTGTGTGTTTCAGTGCAAGATGTAGAAGGGGTAATTGTACCCCATTGATGGTCAATTAGTTTTAAGTAATCTGTTTCACCGGAAGAGACAAAAATATAAATGAGAAGTGTTTTTGAATTTTGTTTTTTAACTAGCTTCATCTTAGTGTATAGGTATGAAAGCAAGTCAAAGGGCTACTTGGCTGGGAACCTCTTGGTAAAGTAATCGGCTTTGATGTTAGCCTTTTGATAACCCCCACGGGTGTGCATAGAGGAAAGGACAGTTCTTCAGGATTTGCTTCCTTTGACTGAGGCTTGATAAACTTACAAATTCTAACTTTATGTAGCAGCACCTGGAATACTGGGGTTTTCCTGTGAGGAGGCAAATAATAAATGATAGGGAAAAAACACAAGACCCAGTGGGAAATATAAACACAAGAAAAGAAACAAAAAGTATAACCCGTAGGAATAGAACACATTTGAGTTTTGAGCTGGTGAAGAGTTCAGAGATAATCACATTCAATATTTTAATTTTGGTCATGAATGAATATGGGTCCCAAAGAGGTTAAAGGAAATATCCAAGATCACTAGGGAGTTAAGGCTGGAACCAGAATTAAACCCAACTCCTTGCAGTGTTTTTTAAAATACTATAACAATGTAGGATAAAACAATATGGAGGGAATGTCACGTAGTCATTCCTTAATTCCACAAATATTTATTGAGTGCATATGATGTTCCAGGTTCTGGGGTAGGCACTGGGTTTGCAATAGTGAATGGAATGGAAAATGTTTCCACCCTCGTGGGTCTTACAGTTAGGTGGTAGAGACTGAGTGATAGTCTCTTTGGGCAAACACACACAGACACAATTATGAACTCTGGAAGACAGAGACCGGGTGCTACAAGAACACATAATAAGGAGGCCTAGTGGGACAGTCAGGGTTGGGTCCGTACATATAAATTCACATCCTAACTTTCTTGTCTCCCATCTTTCTTCCTGTTGTGACTTCCAGGCCTAGTTGTGTCCATGTTCACATTATCTCTGCCTGAAACACACTCTTTTTCCTTCTAACGTGGGAAACATCCTCTTGTCCTTTGGGGCCCAACTTCAATGTCATTTCCACAGAGAGGCTTTCCTTGACCTCCAGCCTAGGTTGCACACACCCATCATTCATTCTCACAGCACCATATATTTTTCCATAGTCAGACTTTTCACAATTGATTGTGTAGTTTAAGATCTGGTCACCTCACTAGACTGAGGACAGGGATCATGCCTTGCCTTGTCCTGTGAACAGTCCTGCTATGTGTTAGACATTCAATAAATGTTTATTGAATGACTGAATGAATGACTCTGTCTGGACTGTCATTAGTAATGATGACCATCCTTTCCTTGAAACCTCAGAAGTCCATGAGGTCAAAAGCAGCTTAGTTCATGTAAAAAATACCTTCCTTGTTGCCTTGACCTCTTTTCTTGATCTCTCTATTCTGAATTTCTCTAATTGTTGACATAGAATAATCCATTCTTGGCTGGGTGCAGTGGCTCACGCCTGTAATCCCAGCACTTTGGGAGGCCAAGACAGGCAGATCACTTGAGGTCAGAAGTTCAAGACCCTGTCTCTACTAAAAATACAAAAATTAGCCAGATGTGGTGGCACATGCCTGTAGTCCCAGCTACTCTGGAGGCTGAGGCAGGAGAGTCACTTGAACCTGGGAGGCAGAGGTTGCAGTGAGCCAAGATTGTGCCACTGCACTTCAGCCTGGGCAACAGAGAGAGACTCCAACTCAAAAAAAAAAAAAAGTGTAATCCCAGCACTCTGGGAGGCTGAGGCGGGCGGATCATGAGGTCAGGAGATCAAGACCATCCTGGCTAACACGGTGAAACCCTGTCTCTACTAAAAAATACAAAAAATTAGCCAGGCATGGTGGCGGGCGCCTGTAGTCCCAGCTACTCAGGAGGCTGAGGCAGGAGAATGGCGTGAACCCTGGAGGCAGAGCTTGCAATGAGCCGAGAGTGGGCCACTGCACTCCAACCTGGGTGAGAGAGAGACTCTGTCTCAAAAAAAAAAAAAAAAAAAAAACAAAGAAAAGAGAAAGAAATACAAATACTGCATGTTTTCACTTGTAAGTGGAAGCTAAACACTGCGTACTCATGACCACAAAGATGGGAACAATAGATGCTGGGGACTACCACAGAGTAGGGAGGGAGTGAAGGGGGCAAGGGCTGAAACACTACCTATTGGGTACTATACTCACTACCTGGGTGAAGGGATCATTTGTATCCCAAACCTCAGCATCACACAACATACCTTTGTAACAGACATGCACATGTTTCTCCTGGATCTAAAATAAAAGTTGAGAAAAAGAGAACCCTCTAGCTGAAAGTGTGGTGAACATTCCTGCAAAACGTACATTTCCTTGAAAAGTCTGGATGTGGGCGTGTTCTGATGATAAGGAAGTTCTGTCAGCCATATATTGGTCCATGCTTTCCTGAAGTAGCCCAACTCCCTAGCACAGATAGACACACAGAGGAAGAGTGCCTCAGAACAAAAATAAGTTTTCAAAACAAAAAATATCAAGAATTACAGAAGTCTGGAGGGGAAACTCATGGTCAAAGCAACGTGTTGATATAGAAAATAACGAAAGATACAAAGAAACCTCACAAACTAATTTTTGCAGGCTATTTAGTCTTTACTGTTGGCTCTGCTTCTGGAAGGAGAACACAGTCATGCATCTTGCTTTGTCCTTCTTCAACAGTTCAATATAGTAATGAACGTGTTGAATATCTACTCTGTGCATATCTAGCATGACTAAGGAAATGAATATGACCACGACTCTCTTCAGAATAACAAACTAGTAGGAGATAGAAATATGTATATGACTGCAAAGACAGGTAAAAATAATGTGCTCCCAGCAGGAGCTATAAACAAAACGTCATAGGAGCCCAGAGAGTGCGTGGTAATTGTAGACTAAGAAGAATCACTGATGTTCTTCATGGAGGCTTTTGCATTTAATTAGGCTTAAAAAAGTGGGCTTCAACAGTCAGATATGGCAGGGCAGGAAGGACTGGTGGGAGGAAGAATGGGGTTTATGAGGAATGAAGGAGGGGAGGATATTTCGGGGGGAGAGAATGGCTTGACTGAATCCACAGAGTGACAGTACATTAGAAAACAGTTGAGCTGACCCTAGAGGGTATGGCGTGGGGCTGGAGATGTCTGGTTGGGGATAGAGTGCAAAAGTACTTTCTGAGCTCAAATTGTAGAAGGTCTTCAATTCCATTTAAGGCGATTGGATTGGTTTCAAGTAGGCTGGTCCGTGGGGTGGGAGGTGGGAGTTGAAAGTCCATGAAACTCAAAATGCTTCATCATCCTCAAAACTCATAATCTTTTTGAATATTTAATTTATTTTTAGTCTATCCTTCTTAGGTTCATTTTACAGAGTAGTTTTGGTAGATGTTTGTCTTTTTTTCATTTCTGTATTTGTAGCCTTTAGCACACAGCCTACCACATACAGACATTCAACAAATTTGTTGAGTGTTGTTCACTTCCTCTCAGGCCTTGTCTATACATAAATGGAAAATGTCTATCAGCACACATTAACTCAACTTCACACAAGTGATCAATCTGGACCATTCAGGCTAAACGACCTTTCTCACCAGCCTGTATTCTAACCCATCTGCATAATCAAGCCACACTTCTAATTTGTCTTGCTTTTAGGGTTGTAGCCAATTTAAGTTTCTTTTGGATTTTCTGCTGGATTGCCAACATTCTATTTGGTAAGAAGATAGCCAAGTTAGATAATTGGAAACAAAGAAGAAAAAAATGTTTTCCACTATGAGCAGTCCTTCGGTTCCTCTTAATTTTCCTGATAATTGCTTTAACCCTACACTTCAAGTTGCCTAACTGTTTAGTTTCCACATTTTAGGGTCCAATGCACAATTCCTTGAAATTCAATTGACATGTTAACTTTGAACCTTCAAAGAAGAAAAGCTTTCACTCCCACATGGTCACATATGCCTGAACTGCTTGCCTCTTTACATACAGAACAGGCTTGGTTGCCTTTGCAGAAAATTAAATAACTCATCTTTTTTACGCAAATGCCAAACATCAAAAGGGCCAACTACCTACTGAGAGTAGTGTTCAAAGACCAGCTTAAAAAATCAAGAGATGAATGAAAGCCAAGGTTTTTGCACAGCAAATACTTGCAAGAAACTTCTGGTAGTCATGGAGTAAAATCCCATTTTCATAGTTTCACTGTGCTTTTAGATATGTTGGGCTGGGTTTTCCCATTGCTTGTCATATTCTCAGGGATAAATTGGATGCTTATGCTGTTTTGGAAATGGTATTAATTTAAGCCTCTCTGATGAGATATGCAGTAAAAATGTATCATAGTGCTGATGTCAGGGGAAGGGAGATGACACTCCTGTGGGAAGATTTGTATGACCCAGGGTATGGCTAAGTCCATAAAATGCTTTCCATGGAGCAGGATTGTACTGCAGGAGCCTGTGGGATTAGTCTAGTTTATGTCATCAATTAAAACCTCCATCTTCCATGAAACCTTCTCTGTTTCCCATTGGTTCTGGGCTGAGTTGGGAGCTGACTTGGACCTCACTCCTCCATGGCTTTGCATTCTGTCTTCCTTTCTGGCTAAAGTGCCAAGTCTCTGCCATCAACACCTGTTTGTGCCAGTGAAATACAATACTCTCTTGCTCTGTTTTTCTTGCTTCCTTCCTCTTTTCCCTTCCTTCCTTATTTCCTTCCTTCCTTCCTCCCTCACTCCCTCTCTCTGTTTCTCTCTTTCTTTTTCTTTCTTTCTTTCTTTCTTTCTTTCTTTCTTTCTTTCTTTCTTTCTTTCTTTTTCTTTCTTTCTTTCTTCTCTCTCTCTCTCTTTCTGTCTTTCTCTTTTTCTTTCCTACTAGTAGTAACCAAAGATGCATTTGGAAACATCTTTTATTTGTGTGAGACATAAATGTTGCCAGTAATAAAACTCAAAATGGACAAAAAGTATTAGAACCAGACTAATTTGGTGAAGGAGGGGGGCAGAAATGAGGATAAGAGTGCAAGGCATTGATAGCTTCACCTTTCTGCTCCTGACTGTGCTGTGCTAGAGTCTGTGTGTCCCTCTGCCAGACCAAGCCTCTGTCCCATATATAGTCTTGTTGAAGGGGCAGGTTTTATCCTTGTGACCTTGTTCCTCCAAGCATAGCTGTATGTATGGCCAGGTTTTATCCTTGTGACCTTGTCCCTCCAAGCATAACTGATTGGACTAAGATAGGATACTTGTGTCAAAAATAGACAAGCTATAGGCTGGCCAGTGTCCTGTGGTATGGCCTAGCAGAAAAAGATGAGCTGGGTCAGCTACCGTCTTCCCCTGAGGGATTTCAACAGGGACATATCGAGAATTTCTAGTGGGAGCTGGAACTAAAAGTTCAGTAGATTAAGAGAGACTTGAGATATCTTAAGGGAGTCACATTGATGAGGAAGCAGAGACTATGAGGCAGATAAAAGATTGTAAAAAGTTGAGCACTGGAGTAAGGATCTTTAAAACTGTTAATGAGGGTCTTTACAGCTTCCCTGGATTTAGAACTACTGTTCAGAACTACCTTCTGTGCAGTCTGACCCTGTTCTTAAAATTTTATGAGATTCTAACTTCCTTCTAGCCATGTGAATCCTTACAGTAAATCCTTTCCTTATGCTAGTCTGTGAGTGCATATTAGAAATGCTTTCAGCTGCAAGTAACAGAAAATTTAACTGGCAGTGTCTTAAACACAGGGGCATTTATTATTTACTTAAGAATTCCAGTTACAGTGTTGGTTCTGCAGCTCAATGATGTCATGAGATACCCAGGAGCCTTGGCCCATTCTGCTTTGCTTTAATGCCTGATGTTGTGTAGTTTTAGGTGTCACATGGCAGTGACTAAAGCAGATGGAGAAAGAGGTGGGACAAACAAACTTTCTCCTTGAATCCTTATGATAATTTTCTTAAAAAAATCAAGGAGGAAAATCTTCTTAGAAAGACCCTGGCAGATAGCCCCTGGTGTCTATCAGGACTGGGTGGTCACCCTGGGTCAGTCACTAGCAAACAAGATTGCAATGGACATATTGCATTAGACCCATTGTGATTCATGTCCTGGGGCTGGGCTCATTGCTGCCCATCAGAAATTGGCATGCTGTTAGCAAGAAGGGAGAATGGCTATTGGGTAGTGAACCAGCTGATGTGGCTTGGGTTCTCTGGAAGCAGATTCACAGATGGAATTTGGGATGCAAGGTGTTTACTTGGTTTGAAACCTGTAAAAGGAGAGAAGCTTAAAGACACATAACAACAAAATGTAATGTGGCATCCTGGATGTGATCCTGGAAGCATCAAAGGACATTCAGTAAACACTAAGGAGAACTAAATAAACTACCAACTCTAGTTAATAGTAATGTATCAGTATTGCTTCATTAATTGTAACAAATGTATTATACTAATGTGAGGTGTTACTAATAGGGAAAACTGAATGAGGGCATATGGAAACTCTGTGCTATAGTCTCAGTTTTTCTGTATATCAGAAACTATTCTTTTTTTTTTTTTTTTTTTTGAGACGGAGTCTTGCTCTGCCACCCAGGCTGGAGTGCAATGGTGCAATCTCAGCTCACCACAACCTCTAGCTCCCAGGTTCAAGCGATTTTTCTGCCTCAGCCTCCCGAGTAGCTGGGAGTACAGGCGTGTGCCACCGTGCCTGGCTAATTTTTGTGTTTTTAGTAGAGATGAGGTTTCACCATGTTGGCCAGGCCGGTCTTGAACTCCCAACCCCATGATCTGCCCGCCTTGGCCTCCCAAAGTGCTGGGGTTACAGGCGTGAGCCACCACACCCGGCCTCAGAAAGTATTCTTAAAAGCAGTCTATTATAAACAAACCAAAACCTGTCAAAAGAAGGGAGAGGTAACAGGATTGGGCAGAAGAAAAAGCTGAATCACAATGCAGGACCATGGAAATCTCAGCTAACCCCTGGGGAGCTCTGGAGAGACTATCGTCCGACTGTGTTTCCCACATTGAACGGAGCTGTCTGGGCCTTTATCCTGCTGCCTCACTCCATCACTAGGTGTGGACTATGCCAGGAAGGCACAGTCTTGGGCAAAGTGGCTCTTTCTAGCTGAGGCTGACATTGAAGAAACTGACAGCTGAAGGCCATCTGTTGGTCACACTCCTTGCAGCTGGGCAGCAAGCCCCTCCTTGACAGAGAATCTGGGTGGCACATGTCTGTGTCCACTACATCAGCAGTGTCTACCTCGGTGAATCTCTGTAGTAGACATGGAGATGTGCCACAGATGATCTTCAGCAAGGACTTCCTGTTTCAGCTGCTGGGAGGGCAGCCATTCTGATACTGGGAAGGAAGGGCCTAGGCAGGAGAGACACCAGTGAAGATGCTAGGAATTTCCTATCAACCATTGCAGCCATCTCACAGTCACGGGGTATCTGTGACCATGGAAACAATGCAAGAATTTCCAAGAACTATGCTATGGGGTCATAGTCTCAGGCTATTTATGAAATGCATTTATTCTGAAATTGCATGTGCAAGTTGGTTGTTTGGAACCCTAAGTACATTTTTTTTTTCATAGAAATAGTAAGTAATAGGTTTCCTTGTAAGCCCACAAAAGACCACAATGTACCTGAAGTATAGCATGATTTCAGTTTTACCAATTGTTATTTGTAAAACTGTGTCTTCACAGAAAGGTACATTCCAGGAAGGGACACGCCTTCCACTATAGGTGGTCATGGATAGATCCACACAGAAGGCAGCACTTTATCTCTGCATTGCAAAAGATAATCAAGTAAGTTAGGAGCTCTGGATTATGGTTCTGGTTTGGCTGCTTTCTTAACACTGTTAGAGTGTCTTTTTCTGTTCTGTCAAAGGATGGGGCCTAAGTAGATCATTTCTAGAGCCCCTTCTGTCTCTAGCATTCTGTATCTCTCTAGAGCAGTCATATAGATAATCGGAATTCAGAAATAAAAAAACATTTGCATATAATAGGGCAAGAACATGGCTAAACATTCATATTTGTCTGGGTCTTCTTCATAGCACAGTATTGCATAGTGACATAATTAGTAAAACTGGGCCTCTGTGCTAAATTGAATGTGGATTCCCCTGCATAGGACAAAAGGACTCTGTGTTTCTCCAAACGACTGGGCTTTGTTAGATCAGAACAATGTCTTAGGGAATTGGGTGAAGAATGAAACTTCCCCTCCCTCCAGGCCCTGCTCAAGCTTCCCCTACAGTAGAAGGCCACTCCTCAATGCTATAGGAAATAAAGTTCCTTGTAGTCACACAAGGCAATTGGGAGCTGCATGGGATCTGGGCAGACCCACTCATTTGCCCTGCCCCAGCCTGGTGACACCATCACCACTCTTCCCTTGGGGTATCTAAGGGAGGACCTGCATCAATGCCCTCAATGTATAGGTTTATTGTGACCATTTGCTCAGGACAAAGGTGTGTTGGTAATTTGTGGTTGTTAATATTCACAGTAGAGTATAATTTTGAAACTCTCATTTCCACATATAAGCTACAAATTAAACAATTTACCACAGTTGTTAGAAGTTTCCATATAACGTTATTTGTAGGACAATAATGAATAGACCATAGCTACAGTTATCTAGGTCACAGTCTCAACTTTGGAATGAAATCCAAGGGTAATTCAGGTTGGTATCTTGGACTTTGCCTGAGTTGTCTAGGGAATCAGACAGAGCTGACATGCTTCAGAAACATGTAACATATACTCTGCTTAAATGTATGGCTTAAACTCTACTGCCTGAGATCACATGAAAATTTCATTAATCACTGACCTGTGCCATGTCATCGAGTCTCCTTGAGCTTAATGTGAGTCATTGAACCTTGTTTAGCTTCAGTTCTTCATTATGAAATCAGGGATGATAGAAAGGTTCCAAAACAGTGGGGTGCTTTTATATTTTTATCTTTTAGTCTTTTGGATGGTAGAGTCTTGGTTCCTTATGGATACCTTGCTACAGAATAAATCTATAACTAATTCTCCCAAATCTTACTATAGCCAGAAGTTTCAAAATGTTCTCCCTGGTGCATCTTTTTAATCAATGCTATATCTAATAGAAAAGTGTTTATGTCTCTGTTACTCAAGAAGAATCAAACCATCTTCCTTCTCCTTTTTAAAGTCATTTCATCTGTCTGATGCAAATATCAGTGTGCATCCTTCTCTCTTCTACTCCTAGACAGACCGCAGTGTGGCCTAACACACATGCATAGAGATGGGGTCAGGCCCCCCCTGCTTTTAGCTTTGGTTTTGTCACCAACTAACTTTTGGGTCCAGCAAACAGTGGGTGCCCAACACATGTGAAATGTGAGTTTTAAAAATTCTCTTGGCCTCGATTTTCTTTGTTGTCAAATAAGACAGTTTTCCACTGTGGCAGGTACTGTTGATTAACTCTATAGTCATTTCAAACACCCTTTTCCTGTCTACTTCTCAGTATAGAATAGAGGCTGGTAAATGACATATGACTTCTCTCAGCCTGTCTTGCAATTAGGTGGCTCATGTGACCTAAGGGGCTGTTTGCTGGAGGGTTTCTGGGAAGAGTTATTTTCCTAAATAAAGTGATAGAGACATGGGAAAACAGCCTGTTCCCTGCCTTCACCTTCCTGCCTTGAAAGCAACTGTGGGGGAAAGATGCTTGGAACTGGGATGACCACTTTATCTTGTGTAAACACATGTGAGGATGAAAAGTCAACTCTCTGAGGATGGGGAGCCTTGAGACAGCAAGAGCCTGGGCCCTTGAGCACCATTGCTGGGCCATTGCACCAATCTCAGAATTGCTTACCCATGCCCTTCTTATTACATGAAGTGATTCCATGTCTCTAGCTCTTAAACAGAGTCAGGTTTTCTCTTTCTTGCAGCCAAAGTCACATCTTAAGTGATTGTAACCACTACAAAGTGATACTCTCTAAAGTCACTTTGTTCTAAGACTCTCACAGTATGTACTGAACCAATTTTTTTTCCTGGTATTATATCATTATAGGTGAGTTTCATTTCCTTTCCTGTGTTCTCTAGTAGAGGTGGTAATGAGCAGTGAAATAACAAAGAAGTTGAGAATAGGAGAAAAAAAAAGTAAGGAATGAAGACTTCAAAATAACTCCCATTTAGGTACTTAGAAGTTAATCATGAGTGGAATACACAGAGGGAGCTGGGCTTGGCTTGACGGGGTGATCTCCACTTTCCTTCTCTATTCCCAGAAGACTTAGGAGGCTCCGTGAGAGGGAGAATGAGATAAGAATTTTAGCAACTTACTCTCTCCACCCTGTGAAAGAACTTCTGCCTTGGCAACACCCCTCCCCAAATAATTTTCACATAGTCCAGATGAGTGCCTTCCCATACACAGGATGAAAGATCCAGGGAAAAAAGTCATATCGGGACAATGGAGAAAAAAAATTGGCTTTGCCTCTGCATTGTGTGTCTAATCCTGGTTCTGATAGCCCTTTACAAAGTTCCAAAAAGTGAAAAGCAACCGTGGAAACACCTGTTGGAAACCGTTTTTGAGCTGTCCACGTTGGTACTGGCTGGTTTCCTCTGGGAGGCTGAGTGCTCAAAGCATCAAGAAGGCCAGAACAGAGAACAGAATTTGTACTCCATCATCTGTGAAGGCTTTACTCTATTTCAGTAGCTGTGAATAAAGGGGCTTTCCGTAAACATACGTTATGACCATAGATATCAGGTTGACTAATACAATTCATGGCTCTGGCGCTCTTCCTATAATCCACCTGACTCGAATACTCAGGGTGTGCCTTTTGGTGAGTTCATATGTTTGAGCAGTCAAAGCTTTATAGTCCTCACCAAAAAATATGTTTTTGACTTAATAGTTTTTAGATAAAAAATTTTCACAATGGATGAAGTAGTCTAAGACATTGATAAAACAAAATTATGTTAAAAAGTTCTCGACCTTCCTGCTCTTTTATGTTTTTCTCGCTAATCTCACACCTTGCTAATCTCTCACACCTCCTTTACAGAGGTGTAAATTATCTTCTTTTGGGTGCATGTACATCAATTGACACATTTATTTAAATTTAAACTCAGAGAAAAAATGCACTAGCTTTTGAGTTTAGAGTCAATGTGAGACCTCAGGTCCAGAGAGGTGAGCGGCAGTGGAAGAGGTGATAAAAGACTGATTCTGTGCTACTTTTATCACCTCTCTGGGCTTGAGCTCCTAATCTGTGAAGGGAGGCAACTATCCTAAAATTATCTTTAGGATGATTCATTACAGCTGTAACATGCAATGATTCTATTAAGAGTCTACTGAATAAGGCTAAAGCTATTCATTATTTTTTTTCTAAGAAGTTTTTTAAACTCTTAAAATGATTTCAAAGGAACAAATCCCTTGTAACTTGTAACTTCAAAAAGATTTTGAGTAATTGCTTTTTCATCACAATGTTTTCTTTAGGCAATGTACTTCTTGAACAACCTCTTGCTATATTCCTTTGGTGCTTGGTTTCTCTTTTAAAATAGTGATGCCTGCGACTGCCTATAATAGAGCAGCCATTTTTAGTTACTACTGAGGCCAAGCCTTTCTTTGTTGAAAATAGTTTTATTTTTTATTTTTATTTTTTGAAACGGAGTCTCACTCTGTCGCCCAGGCTGGAGTACAGTGTCGAGATCTCAGCTCATTGCAAACTCTGCCTCCCGGGTTCAAGCAATTCTCCTGCCTTGGCCTCCTGAGTAGCTGGGATTACAGGCACATACCATCATGCCTGGCTAATTTTTGTACAGTTAGTAGAGACAGAGTTTGGCCATGTTGCCAGGCTGGTCTCAAACTCCTGACTTCAGGTGATCCACCCACCTTGGCTTCCCAAAGTGCTGGGATTATAGGCATGAGCCACTGTGCCCAGCCCCCTGAAAATGGTTTTAAATGCATATTTCAGTGTGTAGATTATAGTGAAGCCTGAGGATTTGTTTAAAATATAAACATGATGCAAAAATTGATTTTAGATTTCGCCAGCATATTGTTGTTAATTGGTAGAAGCATTAGAATTGTATGATAATATGTTTACAAAGTTCATGTCAACTTTTATGGGAAAGCTGTGCATTCTTTTGTAGAAGACCTTATGAACCTCAAGCTTGTAAGTAATAGCTATCTTTTGTAAATAAGTTCTAGCTGTGTGCTAAGTACTTTATGACACCTGAGAGAAACTCAACTCATGATGATGACAGGGATGGTGAAAGTTGCTACATTAATTGAGTGCCTACTGTGTGCCAACAAGTGATTATATCCAGCATTATTTCTAACTGTTTCAATGTTAATATGAAGAAAGCATTATTAGCTTCATTTAACAGATAAAGAAATTGAGACTACTGAGACTCAGCAACGCTGGGGAGTAACACTGGCATTTGAACTCAGGTCTGCCAGACCTCTTCCACCATGCTAGGCTGAAAGGCTTTTCTGCTGATGGCTTTTGCAAAAATCATTCATGTACACTAGGAGGCCTAGGTGTGCAAAGCTATAAGATAAGCCATCTGAATGAAAGCTCCATTTTAGTAAAAAAGAAAACACTAGAAGAAGGGGGACATGAATAATAATAGCAAACACTTGTAAAGTCCCCCTTTGTATGAGATACTGCTCTAAGTGCTTTGTGACTACGAACACATTTAAAGTTGATGACAACTTTATGGGATAGGTGCTTTCATGGTTACCCTGGGCTTCCAGATTAAGAAACAGAGACAAAGAGAGGTTATGCAGCTTGCTCAAGGTCACCCAGCTAGTAAGTGGTAGAGCTGGGATTTGATCTCAGTAAATTTGGCTCCAGAGTCCATGTTATTAACCCCCTCACTCTGCTACCTTTGTCTTATGCTTAATTCCTATTATCAGGTAGGAATCTAATGGCAGGTCCTGCTGAGCCACCTGTAAACCAGCACAAGAAGGCATTTGAAGATCCCTTACATGTCCATATTATTTCTTGCTTGGAGTGGAAGGAAGGAGTATTGCCCCGCCTGTGGCTGGAAGAAGGCTGAGTAGCCATACAGTTCCAAAGCAACACCGTCTTCCTCTTCTGGGTGGGTTGGGTAGGGCACCATGATGATAACCTCTCTTTCTACATCCAGTCCCCTCCACATGCTCCCCTCCATAGCCTTAAAACAGGAAATAACCAGCACCCCAGTGATTTTTGTGGTGGTGGTTACTAGGTATACATAAGTATAAGATATTATCTCTAACCTTTAGGCGTTCATTGGCCAGTCACTGAAAGAAAGGAAAAAAAGAAAAAGAAAAAAGGAAAGAAAGGAAGAGAAAAATAGAAGGAAAGAAAGAAAGGAGAGAAGGAAAGAAGAAAGGAAGAAAGGGAGAAAAGAAGAAAAGAAGAAAGAAAGGCCAGGCACAGTGGTTCATGCCTATAATCTCAACACTTTGGGAGGCTGAAGTGGGAAGATCACTTGAGTCCAGGAGTTCGAGACCAGCTGAGGCAACATAGGAAGATCACAGAGTCTCTATAAAAAATATTTAAAAATTAGCTGGGTATGGTGGCACACATAGTAGTCCCAGCTACTTGGGAGGCTGAGGCAAGAGGATTGCTTAAGCCTAGGAGGTCAAGGCTGCAGTAAGCCATGATTGTACCACTGCATTCCAGCCTGAGTGACAGAGTACAACCCCATCTCAAAAAAAAAAAAAAAAGAAAAAAAAAAAATAGAAGAAGAAGGAAGGAAATGAAATAATTACACAGCATTAAGGCCAATGTGATGAAGAACCAATGTGGGCTATAATTGCCCAGGAGGGCTTCCCTGGAGATGTGGGGTTAATCTGAGCCATGAAGAATGATTATGGGTTGGCCAGGCCAGTTGGGGAGGGAAGGATGGCCAGAGGTAGAATGAAAGGGAGAGGACAGAGAGGCGCCATGGCTGAAGGGACACCATCCTTCCTTCCTCTCCCGCTGCATCCATATGACTTGTGTCCTGCTGCTGCTGAGTGCCAGTGGGTAAATACCTTCTCTAGAGCCCCAGCCCCTCCTTCGGCTCAAAAAGGTGAGTAACTAACATACTTCTTTGTGAAAAATGGGCGATCTAGACCTTATGAAACATTAATTTTCTAGTGTGTTCTCTATGAAGAAATGAAAACTCTGTATTTGAAGAAAGTCAAGGAAGTAGCTACAATACAGCCAAGCATTAACACAATGCCTGGATGGTTAGAAGTCTCAGGCTATTTAAAGACCCAGTAATTAACATAGTGCAATAACATAAAATAGGAAGGGCTACAGTTTACTCTGCACACAAGAACTCTTGGCAGCCACATGATTCCTTCACAAAAATACAATGACCAGTAAGTTCTGCAGATGAGTTTTCTCATCTATAAAATGGGTATAGTAACTGTATCCACCTCACTAGGTTGTTGTAAAGATTAAATGAGTTAATATACACAAAGTGCTTAGACCAACCCCTGCTGACTTATACACTGAGAAATGTTCTTAGGACAAGATGCTAGTTAGCTACAGAAGTGACACAGACCACATGTGAAGTGTGTGTTGTAAGTGGTAAATTTCAGAAATGGGTCCCAGAGGGGCAGATTCTTTTCCGAGGCATAACGGGTGATATGTAGGAGAAGACATGCTAAAGCTCCATTTCTTTTCGGTTGTAAAATGAGTCACCTTTTCTAAGAAGTGTTACATAAACCAGGTTTGGTTCATTTGAGCACGGTGTGGTATATAAGAAATAGAATTTGCTTTATTTTAAACCGTTTTTTTTTAACCAATTGGTAGTTGTTTAACAAAGCTTTTTAATATTTGATGTGAAGCAAAAACCAATGAAAGTCTATAAAAAATAATCCCAATATGATGACTCAGTAGCTCTCATTCTATTTGAAAGTGATCTGCACTTGGCAGGGGGTGGTGGGGGGAATGAAATCAGAAGGATTACAAGGGAGCTTCAATTAGATCTGTAACATCTTATTTTTTAAAATAAAAGAGAGCAAAAAGGCATAATACTAACATTTATTTAATCTGGGCACTATTAGATTATTTCCTTTGCTATTCTGCATGTTTGAAAAATTTTATTTTTCATCTAAAGAAATGTAGCCTTCAGCTCATTTTCCTCTCACCATATAGCTAACTTTACACTATATTCCTGCTCCCTACCCCCACTTTGGTTCCACAGATCTCTTCATCCCTTCTAGAAACAGTAGAATGTTTTGCATCTGTCTCTTTGGGGATTTCCACTTCAGCCTGACCAGTTTCGGTAAATGCTAACTCCATTTTTCCTTTCATCTCAGCCAGCACACTTTGTAGCGACTATTCACAGGTCTTCTGAGGGTGATATATCTGCGCCCCAGTGTCACAGCAGACACAAAATCTAGTAAAAATGAAATTTCAAGGGTGGCCTTGATCAGTATGAGTGTCAACACTAGGGACAGCAGTGGATAAGTGTGGGTAGAAGCATTGAGGGAGTGAGACAAAGGTGGAGATGAGGAAAATGTCACAAAAGGGCAGAGGCTGACAGTGGGGGCACTTGGCAGCCAGTTTCAGGTCTACCCCTGTTGCCTCGGAGATGGGAAGGCAAGTAGGAGGCAATGTGTTGATTGTATAAGAGCTTGTCAGATGACTTGTTAGCCCAGCTGGCCATCTACCTGATGCTGACTTGGGTCAACATGCAACTAGAACTTGGTTTCTGTAGAGGAATAAGGTCCCCTGAGTTGCAAGACTGTAGGAATAGCTCTACCGTGCTGGCAAATCTGTAACTAGCAATGAGTCCAGTGGGTCCTACCAAATGCTTATCGACTAATTAGATGACTGATTTAGTCTGTTTTGTACAGCTACAAAAGAAATACCACAGATTGGGTGATTCATAATGAATAGATATTTATTGGCTTTTGGTTCTAGGGGCTGAAAATTCCATTATTGAGGGGCTGGCATCCGGTAAGGGCCTTCTTGCTGCATTATCCATGGTGAAAGGGCAAAGAGAGGGAGGCAGTGAGGGAGGGAAGGATAGAGAGAGAAAGAAAGAGGAAGATGTGCAAAATAGAGCTGAACTTCTCCTTTTATAAGGAACCTACTCCCATGACAATGGCACTAATTCATTCAGGAGGGCAGAGCCCTCATGGCCTAATCCCCTCTTAAAGCACCCACCTCTTAATACTGTTACAATTGCAATTAAATTTTAACATGAGTTTTGGAGGGGACAAATGTTCAAACTATAGCAATGACCATTGTCAGTGCTGATGCCACCCATAAATACTAAAATTGATAGTAGCATTTTAGTATATATAGACTTATTTATGTCCCTGTTTCCCCTGTTGCACAGACTGACTAGGGGCTGTGCTCCCTGGCTGAAATGTTAGGACCTGTGGAAGCATGCTTTAAAGCTTGTCTTTCCCCCTTCACCAGATCAGTTTTCCATTGAGTTCTCATGGTGAATCCTTTTTAAAATGTAAGGTCCTGAAAGAAAGAATCCATGTGTTCTCAAGTTCTTGTATGCCCTGCCAGGACCTGTGGGCTTTCAACAAAAGTCATTTGAGGAGTTCCATTAGGTTGGCAGATACAAAAAACAGCTGTGCTTTCCAGAGAGAGAAATCTATGACTGCTGAAATCTGCTATCTTTGACTCTGCCTTTGCCTTTTATCTTTTCCTTTAGATAACAGGCTTTACTGTTTTGCATTTTACAGTCATATAAACTAATTCAGGATCACCCTTTGGCTGTTTTGCCATCTCAATGCACTCAATTTGAGTTGCTCCCTTAAAATAGCTGGCTTCCAATTCTTTAATCATGAATTCCAAATGACATCTTAAACTTGCTTGAGAAAAAGTTGAAAAGGACATTTTTGGAAATGTACAAATTGTTACTTATTGATTTACTTTTATTCAATAAAAATATGAGAGGCCGTGCCTTGGCTGATCCTGATCAGTTGCTTACCCATCTCTCTCTCTTCCTCAGTTTCTTTCTATGCAAAATAGAGCCAGTAATGGTACTTATAGCTTGCCATAGAGATTAAAGGTTTAACATAAAACACTTTCCCTTAAGAATATGACCATCTAGTTGGGGAGATGTTGACTATAAATAGATGTTAAATAAGGAAACAAAGCTGAGTTGCTAAGTGAGTATATGGATGGCAAATGCTCTGGAGCAGTTAGCCCTTCTCTCTAGCTGAGTAATGATTTCTCCATGAAGTCCTGTCCTTGTTCTACTGTCAGACTAGGTGGAGCCTCCTGCAGAGCTTCCACTGGCTGGCTGGACTCCCAGCTCATCCAAAGACCCCACCTGTTCCCAGTTCTGCCTAAGCAGCAGCATTCCTGGCCAAGCCCTGAGCTTCAAGGCTGATGGTGTCCACTTCCCCTTCAACCAGCACAGCTCTCTCCTTCTCTAAGAAAAGTGCACCTTCCTCTCATTCTTACATAAGGCTTGTCTAGTGAGAAAGTCCCTCTCTGGGTTGCCAGAGGCAAAAGTCTTGGTTGTTCTTTACTAAAAACTTGTAACCAGCTGCAACCATTAACAGATGTCAGACTGAGAACACCCATTAGAGAGTGCAGAGCTAGCGAAGGGTGAAGGGTTTTTTTTTTTTTGCCCCACTCCTGGAAAAGGACAATCAGCTTTTGACATTAGTCAGGAACTAAGCCCCTCTATAGTCTAAATTTATTTAACCTAAATTTATTTTAGTTCTTTCTCTTACTCTTGTCTTTGAGGTTGCCAATTTTAGATATACCTACAGTTTGCCCTTTAAGCCCCAATTGTATGTACTTTTATTTTCTTTGCTTAGCTAGTCATTTTATTCTCTATGATATTTCTTTTTCCCTTTTTTCTTTTTTGAGATGGAGTTTCACTCTTGTTGCCCAGGCTGGAGTGCATTGGCGTGATCTTGGCCCACTGCAACCTCCACCTCCCTGGTTCAAGTGATTCTCTTCCTCAGCCTCCAGCGTAGCTGGGACTACAGGTTCATGCCACCACGCCTGGCTAATTTTCATATTTTTGGTAGAGACAGGGTTTCACCATGTTGGCCAGAATGGTCTTGATCTCCTGATCTTGTGATCCGCCTGCCTTGGCCTCCCAAAGTGCTGGGATTACAGGCATGAGCCACCATGCCAAGCTCCCTGTGATATTTCTAAACATATTCTCAGTAATCTCTAATGCTCACTGCAGGACAGTCTGTGCCTATATTGTTATTGCTTGCTATAATGCAGTTTCTGCCATCTTCTTAAGGTTACAGAATGAACCAGCCTTGTTTAGGATATTTGGAATGACAGATATTAGGTGAGTTTCTTATCACCGCGAGGCATTGGAAAGGTAAGGTGAATGACAGGTACAATCTGAAAATTAAACAGTTTGTAGCACTTGTTTTTTAATCAGAGTTCAGCAAGAGTACATGATGTTTCCCATGGAGCCTCAGCATCAGGCGAAGGCATAGAGCTGTCACTCAACCACACGATGGCTATGAAACAAAAGACTCTTCCAGTTTATTAATTTAAATAGGCAAAACGAGCCAATTCCTGGCCCCGTTGTAATACAGAGTAGAGATAATGTACACATCCCAGACTCCCAGGAACTGGAAGGAGGCCATCCTGGGAGAGTGGGACTGTATCTCACCATTAATGCCCCACCCCCCAACTCCCAAATATGGGCAAACTCTGGTTAAAACAAACATCAAGGACAAAGATGTCTCAGAAAGGAAATGAACTGAGAAGCCCGGGCAAAGCCTCCTCCATCCAGCTGCCTGGGAGGGAGAGAGGTGGTGGTGGCCAACATGTGAGTAGTTCTTTCTCTCTTCCCTTCAGAGCCTCCATGGGAGGTCTGGATTCAGGGTATTCAGTTTCTACATATTTTGACAGGGTGTGTCAGTTCAAAGGCATAGAGCAGAGCTTTAGCACGGGGGAAATTGAGGTCATTAACGTATTCCAGCTCACACATTGGAAAGCCCACAAGATGATTTGCATGCCTAATGACTGTGCTCAAGTCCCACTGCCCCGGTAGACGTTTCCCCTGATGCCTCCAAGCCTTATCTGATCTCTTCCATTCCTGATCCCCTCTATTATCTGATGGGAATCATATACCCCATGCTCTAGTTATTCACAGTTCCATCCCTGGAAGTGCTCATGGTCAAGTTGGCTTAGCTATTGTACATAGGCCGCTCGCTTGTGTACAAATCACTGCTCCCCAGCCAGATTATGAATTCATTGAATGCAGGCAGGATCCCTATTAGTCTTTGTATTCCTGAAGCACCTAACACAATGCCTAGGGGAGTGAGGCAGAATTACAACATTAATCCCTGTCTCCCAAATAAGACACCTTGAATGAGAGACGGAGGAATAGAGAAGGCTCTGTTGTTCTCGGGACAGTCTTCCCAGTGCCACCTTGCCTGAAATGCAATCCTTCTAGAGTCATGGTGCCGGGAAAATGCCCTCTATATGTGCAGAGATGATTATTAAGGGATGAGTGTTTCCCAAGGGCCAGGGCATACTAAAGATGGGATACAGAAATGTATGTGAGGGTTGGCCAGACCAGAAGGATATATGGTCAGGGAAAAGTCACTGGTCAGTGTGACCACAAACCTCAAGGGGACTCTCAGTGCTGCCCAATGATCCATTTCCATTCAACTCACACTCTCAGTCTCTTAAGTATACATTTTACACCATTTCTCCTTAAACCATCAACTCCTCCTCCTCCCTTACTCTCAGCTGATGACCTTGCTTCTTATTTCTTGCTAAGGAAATAGAAGCAATTAGAAGAGGACTTCCATAAGCTCTCACCACCTGATATATTGTAGATCTGTGTTCCTGACCAAACTGCATACTGAATTGTAGTCCCCAGTGTTTGAGATAGGGCCTGGTGGGAGGTGTTTGGATCATGGGGGCAGATTTCTCGTGAATGGTTTACCACCATCCCCCTTGGTACAGTCCTTGAGATGCTGAGTTCTCGTGAGATCTGGTCATTTGAAAGGATGTACTGCCTCTTCCTTCACTGTCTTGCTCCTGCTATGGCCATGTGACATGCCTGCTCTTGCTTTGCCTTCCACCATGATTTTAAGTTTCCTGAGACCTCCACAGAAGCTGAGCAGAAGTTAGCACCATGTTTCCTGTACAGCCTGCAGAACCATGAACCACTTAAACCTCTTTTCTTCATAAATTACCCAGCCTCAGGTATTTCTTTATAGGAATGCGAGAATGGACTAATACACCACCTTAATTACCCACCCACCTTCACCTGCATCCATTTTCCCTGTCTTCCTTCTGTAACTGTGGATGAACCGACTGTGTCCTGTCTAAGGCCAACCCCTCTTTCCTACAGGCTAGGCCTTTTTCTCTTTCCCACATCATTATTTTTTCCCTCTCTACTGGATCATTCCCATCAGCCTGTAAATCAAAACAAAACAAGGCCTTCCTTGACCCCATGTCCCCTTGCAGCTATATCCTCAGTTTGCTCCTTCTTTTTATAGCAGAACATTCAAAAGAGATATATTTCCTCCTTGACTCCATTTCCTTTCCTCCCATTCTCACTCTTTAATCTTTTTAAACTAGGCTTCATCTACACCACTCTTCTAAAACAGCTCCTTCAAGGTCACCAATGAGTTCTGTATTGCTAAATGCAGTGATCAACTCTCAGTCCTATCTGATGCCCGCACAGTGTTCCCTTTGTATTTGTAAAACACTTCTTTCACCTAGCCTTTGGGACCTCTCTGAATCTCCTCCTACCTCACTCAGTCTTGTTTGCTGGAGCCTCTGAACCCTAGATGACAGTAGGCCCCACACTCAGCCTTGGCCCTTTTCATCTCCATAGATACTCACTCGCAAGATGATCTCATTCAGTGCCATGACTTCAAATGCCATTTATAGACTGAATATTCCCTAATTTATAGCTCCCTCTCTTCCAGACTCCAAAGCTAGAAATCCATTGCCTGCTTGTCATCTCCACTTGGATACGGAATAAGCATCTCAAAGGAATATTTATAAAAACAAACTGCATTTCGCTGCCTTCATCCTTCAGTCCAAGCCTCTACCTTCTCTTGCCTGGACAACTAGAATTGCCCATTAATGGTTTTCCCTGCTTCCACTTTTGCTCCTCTACAGTGGATTCTCTGTATAGCAATCAGATTAATCCTTTTTATGTATTTACTTTCATTATTATTATTATTATTTTAGAGACAGGGACTTGCTCTGTCACCCAGGCTGGAGTGCAGTGGTGCAATCATAGCTTACCGCAACCTTGAACTCCTATGCTTGAGTGATCCCCCCACCTCAGCCTCCTGAGTAGTTGGGACTACAGGTATGCCACCATGCCTGGGTAATTTTTTTTTTATTTTTAGTAGAGATGAGTTCTCACTATGTTGCCCAGGCTGGTCTCAAACTCCTGAGCTCAAGTGATCCTTCCAGCTCGGCCTCCCAAAATGTTGGGGTTACAGGTGTGACCCAGCATGGCTGGCCCAGAGTGATCTTTTTAATAAAATCAGGGAGCTAGGCACAGGGACAAGTGCCCATAGTCCCAGCTACTCAGGAGGCTGAGGCGGGAGGATGGCTTGAGCCCAGGAGTTTGAGGCCTGCCTGAGCAACATAAAGAGACCTAGTCTCTAAAAAAATAAAAAATAAAGTCAGATCATGCTAGTCCTCTGCCCAAACTCTCCAACTGCTTTCCCTTTCTTTCAGAATAAACTCTGAAGTCCTTACCATGGTCTACACTGCCTTACTTGTTCTGGCCTTCTACCACCCCTCTGATCTCATTTCCTAGCCATGCCCTGTTCTCACTCCACTCCAGGCACCCTAGACTTCTTGTAGCCCTTTAAATGCTCCAAGAAAATTCTCATTGCAAGACCTTTAAATGTGCTGTTCCCTCTGCCAGGCATGCTCTTCCCTGATATTTGCAGGACTTACTCCCAATTTCCTTTGTGTTTTTTTCTGATGTCTTCCCTGACTATCATCCACATGATACTAATTAGCCCTTCTCCCCTCATTACCTCTTACTCCTATCCCTTCTCCTGCTCTGTGTGTGTGTGTGTGTGTGTGTGTGTGTGTGTGTGTGTGTATTCCTTATCATTTGACATTTATATGGAACAGGATCCTGGTAGGAAACAGATGGCACATTCATTGGGGTAATTTAACAAAGACACTATTTTCAAGGATGTAGGCAAGGTTAAGAGAACCAACCAGGGATGGTGAAGCACACAGTCTGGCAATAGTCAGAAGCTATTTTAAAGAAAGTGAGGTGGTCCTGAAGGGACGAGGGAAGGGTGTTGATACTGGAACCCAGAGAGAGCTCTAGCCATGGTAGAGAGGACTTCCATCAGGAGATGTGGCCTTAGAAGAATGTGGCCACTGCCTAATGACCACCCGGTAGAAGGAGTGCCAAGGGAATAAATACCCTCATCTTCCTCCTTCTGACCTCCTGTCTCCTACAGGTGTCCCCTGTTGGCCAAACCCAGCCAGAAGCCAGAGGTCAAGGAAGCCCAAGTGATACGACAGAGATCAGCCTCCAGGGGCACGAAGCAGCATGGAAAAGGGTGGGAGTGGATCTGCGGTAGCAAAGAGGGACTGTCCAGCACACATTATCTATGTTTTTATTTCTTGATGATCTTTTTTCCTCACTAGGTTGTAAGCCCCATGGAAGCAGAAACTAAAGCAGTGCCAGGCACAAAAAGGGTGGTCCGCAAAGATTTTTAAAGTGAACAAACATGTGATATGTGGGCATGTGGTGAGGTGGGCTGTGAGGTAAGAAGAGATGAGATCTGTGAGGTCATGACCCTGAGACCATGTGGCTGAGGGCAGGGAGTCACTTGGAGACCTGGGAAATCTGATGGCCATCTTTAAGGCAAATGATAAAAAATGGACACAAAGCACAGCCTAGAGAAGCATCACAAAGGAAACAGCCACGCACGGCATATTCTGTGGGACACAAATGTGCTGAGGCTAGAAGAAGCCTCCAGCTGCAGCAGCAACAGCGGTGATAGCAGAGAATATTTGCTGGCAAAAGGAGAATGTTCTTGCATTATAATCACTAGAAATAATAATAATAATAAAAAAAGCAGAGACCCTGACAGCCCTGCAGTCATCCAAGAAGATTAGCATAAAAAGCAAGAGGCAGATAAACTGGATTCTGATTGTGGCACGCCCATGGTGGGGGTGTTCAGGGCCCCCGTCATTTCCATAGGCTTGGAGCTACAGCAGCTGGTAGGCAGACCCTTACCATTTCTGCACTAGAAAATCTAATCATATTCATGTTTTGTAATTTTTTAAAAAGATTCTGTGGAAGATTTCATTGGGAAAACAGAAGAAGTAATTTATATTGCCTACTACATACCAAACGACTACAGATATGGTTTGCCCAAATCCTATACACCTTCTCTACCTGTTCCACCTTTTCCATTAGGCATTTTAGTTCCCAACTTGAATACCTACTCAGTCTGAAAAACAAAGGCCCTCTTTGGAGGGGAGTTTAGGTAATATGTATTATTGCTGGAGAAGGCCCCTTAGGAGTCCCACTTTGAAACTCAAAGGAGGAAATAAAATACCTCTTCCAACTACTCACATACTCTTTCTGATAAGAGGACCATCAGTGGAATTCTCCCTAACTAATGAACGTATGACAAAGTTATGTAGGCTAATAGGTTATCAAACAGCCTATGCATGAGTCATTCTTCCTCTTCCTGTGGTCTTTTTCATCTCATTCCTGTTGCTTCTTAAATCCCAATTTAAAGAAGCCCCTCAGATAGTGTCAACCAGACGTTCCAAAGTGGGTAGACTCAACTCAGCACCCAGCACTGATGTATGTGCCCAGACAGAACAGCTCTGTTTGAGGCTGCTGTGCTGCCTGTTCCACAGATGCTAGGGACAGCTCAGGCACCAGCTGTGTTATGCTGGAACCAGCTGGGGGGAATAAAGAGAGCAGGAGGCACTGCCCTGTAAGAGCCTTCAGCCTCTCTTGAATACCAGTGTGGAAGCAAAAGATTAAGTGTCAAAATGCATGGTGGAGACAGGGAGGTAATGCTGGGGAAGGGAGATGGCATGGGTATAAGAAGAGCCAGGTCGGAAGAGCCTCCTGGAGTGTGTGGGTACCCAGGGGTACAAGATGCAGTTTCCATGAGAGGCTGTGGTGCAAAACGGAGGTGCACATAGCCTGTTGTGGAGACAACTAAAGCCCCCAAGTTACAGAAGAGTTTGTTGTGTTCACCGGGCAGAGAGAAACATTCAAGATCTCTTTCAAGTAATTCAGGGTAAATGAGTAACCAAGCAGAGGGAAGGCCAGTCTGGCTGAAACTGTGAGCAGAGGAGTCTAGCCAAAGGGCAGCTGTTGGGGCAAAAGCGGGTGATGAGGGGGCTAAGGAGGCACACTGGCTGGAAAGAAAGACATTGTCATCCTGCCCTGTCCTTGTGCAGCCTGGGCAGTGGTGTCTCATCTGACCTGAGGGCTGCCATCCTGAGGGGCAGCATTAACACAAATTTGGGTAAAGCCATTCTTTCTCTAAAAATGTCCCAATTATTCCCCTAAAACTCTAATCATTCCCCTAAAACTCTAATCATTCTTAAGTCCTATGATCTTTTAAAAAAGACTTTACTGTAGAGTTCATGCTTTTACTTATGCCCTTTGATATGCATGCAACTCCTTTCAACAAATTCACCACTATGGCCACTTTCCCTTACAGGGGTAAAATAGATGTGCTGTATTTTCTGTGCTCCAGAGTGTATGGCCAATCTTCAAAATCTCTATATCTGACTTGCCCTTTGGGTCCGCGTTGAATCAAAATGATCCTAGAGTTGAATGGATGAGGGTGAGGTGGATGGAGGACATGGCTGGGTATAAACTTCCAGGGGAGCCTGCAGGTGTTGATCTCTTCTGGTCAGCTGGTGTTCCCAAGCACTGAGTCCATTCTCAAGATTCACAGATGGAGGATGGAGGAGGGTCTCAGGGAGTTAGCCCGTGGAGGGAAGCAAAAGAATCAGTCTACATTGGAGTGGACCTCCCTTAAACAGAGGCTGCTTTAATCTAAATGTTTATGGCTCTTTCAAATTCGTATCTTGAAATCCTCACCCCTAAAAAGTGATGGTATTAGGAGGTGGGACCTTTGGGAGGCAAATAGATCAAGGGGACAGAGCCCTTATGAATGGGACTAGTGCCCTTATAAAAGAGGCCTGAGAGAGACCCCTCATCACCCTTTCTACCATGTGAGGTTGGAGTGAGGTTACTGTCTATGAGCCAGGAAGTGGGCCCTCACCAGACACCAAATCTGCCAGCACCTTGATCTTGGACCTCCCAGCCTCTGGAACAGTGAGATAGGAATTTCTGTTTTTTATAAGCTACCTGATCTGTGGCATTTTGTTACAGCAGCCCAAACAGACTAAGACAGAGATATAATCTAGATTCACAAGGGCCATGCAGTGAAATGTCAGGGCGGCATACAAAACGGTGCATACCGTGGATGGGTGAATTCATGGGCACTAAATTCCATTAAGATGCAACACTTCATACTTCTAAAAGCACTGGATAACCTGGATTTTGGCCTGGGAGACAGGCTCTCACTGACTGAGTTTCAGCGAACTCCTTTGAACTGTTGGGATTTTAGAGGCAGTAAGTGTGGGGCGGCTGGGTGGGCACTCAGGAGACGGAGTTGATCGTGGGAAGCTTCCAAACTCTGCCCTGCACGACTGCTCGGCCCAGCACAGTGGCTGGGAAAGGAAAAAAAAATAATTAGACACCACAAGGGCCCCTTATGGCTTGAGATTCTCTTCGCCTCCTGGTCTGACACAGCCCCCACTGGTATGTAGTGCTTTGGGGCATGGTTCTTTGAGCTTACGACTTATTCAAGATGCCTTTGAAGCTAGACTCAGCGTAAGCCAGGCCGGGATGTGGGCAGGTTGGCGCTTGATCTCCATTCATATTTACAAAGGCTGCTTCAAAAAGGAAAGCTAATTGTGATGTATCAATGCCCAGGTGACCTGAATGCTGCTACAAATTGCCTCCTCGGGCATAGAGGTACTGGGTAGTCTTCTGTTCTTTATCTTTGTTACACCTGGCCAATTCCTTTAGGCTGGCTTCCTTCCTCCCTCCCTTCCTTCTATCCTTCCTTCCTTTCTTTTTTCTTTTCCCTGTCCACATATTTTACATCAGGCCTGATCCTGTCACTACCCCAGGTTTGATTAACTTAGGCAAACCCTTCATCATACCCAGCTGCTGATTTCAGATGCAGAGTGGGGAGATAAAAAACTGTCAAGAGGGGAAAATGGATGAGCAGCAGATAAATGGTGGCAGGGGGGCCGGGGGGTGGTGCAATTTTCTCAGGCACGGCCTGCCACTTTCCTGGCTTATAATTAGAGACATAAGAAATATGTTTTTCTTCCCAGATTCGGACTCTGTTTTTCGTTTTCAAAAAGCCATCTGAATCCCATCTTTAGCGTGATCTTCTGCTATTTTGCTGGCGGTTCCACAATAGCCACCAACTTAGGGACTGCCGAGAGGAGCCAGATATCCCTGCCAGAGAAAATGCATCCCTGAACCTGACATCTGGGTCTTGCAGCTGGAGGGAAGGAGGAGACAAAAAAGATGCAGTCCTGAGTGTCATCAAAGGCAGTTGATGGTGCCAAGCGAGTATGGAAATTACATACAGTGCAGATGCCATTTTCAACATCAGACGAATAATGCAGCTATTTAAGAAAAACAAAGATGTGCTTAGAAATTGATCATCCGTGTACGTGCAGTGAAAATGTTCATGGCTTCCAGGGTGTGACAGGGATGGGCAGCATGCTCATTTCCAAACCATTCACATTCTTTTCTCACTGTGATTCTGAAAGAGTAACTGAAGAAGTCAGATTATTTTCCCCCTCTTATGAAACACAAGGGGGAAGAAGTTACTTGAAATTGAGCTTTAGAACACACTCTACATGGGCATTTAAGGTTTTCAGGTTTATGCCAGCTTTTTTTTTCTTCTTCTAAGCAGCATTTTAGATTGCTCTGCGAGACAGACAAGGGAATATGAAAGCCAGAAAGTACACTCAGTTATCTACAGGCCACGATCAATCACAAAGAATTAGTTCATTGTGCCATGATTTGAGGGAGGAGAAGCGGACAGAGAGGAAATTGCAAATGCTGATGAGCATGAAAGCACCTTGCCCCTCTTTCTTTCTTTCCTCTTCTGAGTTAGATCTGTTCAAGATTAGAGGATGCACAGTGCCACGAATGTTCAGGTTAGAGGCACTGTGCAGATTCACTTTTGGTTTATGCAAGGTGAACACAGAGGTAGTAGGGGCAAATACCAGCTCCAGGCCCAGGAACAAATATTTCAGAAAAAGGCTCTATTACCTTTTGTTACTAGCAAAACACACATTGTCAGGAGAGAGGCCTCCTCTCTGTAAAAGTATCTTTACCAAGGGGAAGGCTGGGAGGAGATAGGATTTTTGTAATCTAAAAGATGACTTAAAACTGGGAATTTCATGTTTTCACTGGAACAGCCAGTGGGTTTAAGTGGTTTTTGTTATCAATTACCCCTTAAAAAAAAAACTTTATTTTTGTCGTTATTTAAAGGAAAACATTGTTTGAACTTGGCAGTCAAAATAATGTTCCAGAACTTCTGGGGTACTGAGCTCTGGGCATCCTCGTGGTGACTTCAGAATTTATGTCTAGGAGGGCTTAGGGGTGGAGATCTGTTGGAGTAACACCAGCTGGGGGTCTTGGCTTGAACTATGTTTATATGGCAAGCACACTATTGTCACTTAGACTGTACAATTATTTGTAGAGGCTTGGAGAACTGTTAGCCTAAAGCCCCCTAAATCTCCCCCTTGACATCACCTCTGTTCTTGTCCTGAGCCTGCTTTTCTCCACGTGGGCACTACTGCATTTTCGAATGGGCCATTCTTCTTTATGCGGGGCTATCCTGTACTGCTGGACTTTCAACATCCCTGGCCCTGCTCACTAATTGCCAGAAAACTGGAGGTGGCCACTGTGACAACCAAAAAAATCACCCCACACTTCCTGATGCCTTGCTGAGAATCATTAGGTTTATTTCAGTCCTCACATACATACTTTTTTGAGCGCATTTGGGTGAAAAATCAATAAGCATATACATAAACAAAGCGGAGTCACTGGGGAGACAGTGCTGTCTGGAACAGTGGCTCTGTATTTTGTCTCCTCATTTCTATACCAGTCATGTGCACAATACGTGCCTGTCAGTAATAGCTCTCATTAAAATAAATTATTTTCAATTTATTTAGGACAAAGGTGGGAGTGCAGATTGAAAAATTTTTTCCTTAGATTCAGCACCTATGAAGGGTCTCATACTTACCCCATATCTCTGATTGAGTGTCCCTGGTGAATTGAATTGAAAGTGCACTGAACTACAAAGACAATTTGCCATAAGATAGCTGTTATATGGCTGGGTGCGGTGGCTCATGCCTGTAATCTCAGCACTTTGGGAGGCTGAGGTGGGCAGATCACGAGGTCAGGAGTTTGAGACTAGCCTGACCAACATGGTGAAACCCCATCTCTACTAAAAATACAAAAATTAGCCGGGCATGGTGGCACGTGCTTGTAATCCCTGCTATTTAGGAGGCTGCAGCAAGAGAATCACTTGAACCCAGGAGGCAGAGGTTGCGGTGAGCCAAGATTGTGCCACTGTACTCCATCCTGGGCAACAGAAGAAGACTCCATCTCAAAAAAAAAAATAGCTGTTATGTTATGCAAGCTGTTTGACACCTTTATGCCTCAACTACTTCATCCGCAAGATGGGGATAATAATGTGTGCTCTACTTACCTCGTAAGGTTGTGAGGACAAAACTAAAACTGTAAGATTGCTTTGAGGAGCTAAATGCATCATGGATAAGTGGTGCAATTCCTATGCAGACAGTATGATGGTTCCTCACAGGACCCAGCAATCCTATGAGGAACCATCAGCAATCCAGCAATCCGGCTTCTGGATTTATATCCAAAATAATCAAAATCAGAGTCTCAAAGAGATATTTGCATACCAACATTCATAGCAGCATTATTCACAATAGCCAAGAGGTGGGAGCAACCCAAGTTACCATCCACAAATGAATGGATAAACAAAATGTGATATACACATACAATGGAATATTATTCAGTCTTGAAGAGGAAGGAGACCCTGTCGCATGCTACAACTTGCGTGAACCTTAAGGACATTATTCTAAGTGAAATAAGCCAGGAACAAAAAGGCAACTACCATATGATTCCACTTATATGAGGTACCTAGAGTAGTCAAACTCAGAAACAGAAAGTAGAAAGGTGGTTACTGGGGACTGGAGGAGGGGAAAGGAGAGTTATTGTTTTAATGAGTATAGGGTTTCAGAAGACAAAAAAGTTCTAGAGATTTGTTTCACAACAATGTGAATATACTTGACGCTGCTGAACTTTACGCCCACCTAAAAAAGGTTAAGATGATAAATTTTATGTTAAATATTTTTTGTTTGTTTGTTTTACCACAATGAGAAAGAAAGCACGGTAGAAACAGAAGGTATCATTATCAAGTATAACCCAGAGGTTGGGAGAACAACAGGTGCATCTGTACATTTTCCAAGGTAGGCAAATTATATCAGTGGGTCCACTGTCCTGGGTTCCCCAAGGACACTTTTACTGAGGAACACATAAAGGAATAAAGCAGGGAAGTATTTAGAAAAGTATTTCTTAAAGTGGGAAATATACTAGCATTCCCTAAGGAATTAAAAAAAAACACAGGTCAGTGTTCTTGGCTGCAAATAACAGAAGCTACTCTGGTTAGCCATATTAGTCAGGATTCTCTAGAAAAACAGAACCAGTGGGATATATCTACATGTAGAAAGATATTTATTTGAAGGAATTGGCTCATAGGATTATGGAGGCTGACAAGATCAAAATCTGCAGAGTGGGCCTGTAGGCTGGAGACCCAGGGAAGAGTCAATGTGGAGGTTCAAGTCCAACAGCCATCAAGCTGAAGAACCAGGAAAGAGCTAATGCATTGTAACCTGCACAGACCTAGATGGACTGAACAAAGAGGGGCAAACATGGGAATAAAAGATAAGAGACAAAAGAGTATATTTGGAAGAGGGGTCAGGGGGCACCTTGCCTCTAGTGGACAAGGGCCCCGAGCTTTACACAGCCCTCCGTATTTATTAGGCAAAAGAGATAGTGAGAAGGAGAATGGAAGAAGGGGTCAGCTGCTCAATCCAGAGTAGGCTTGCAAGATTGTATTCCTCAAACAACAGGCTCTAGATATCACAGTAGATAGCCTCGGTGCCAGGGAGTGATTGCCTCCAGCAAAACTTCTGTTGGCTTCTGTTGGCAGGAGCAGTTGTGAGTTTGCTCACATCCTGCATTCATGATAAACAGTTTGCTGTTTGATCATATAGCCTCCAGTAGAATGCCAAGTTGGTCACGTCCCATGGGCCTTTGGCTCCCTGCATATCTCCCTTCCTGTTAATGAATTAATTGAAAGAATGTAAGGCCAGGCTGGGCAGCTCTCATTCTCCAATTGGCAGTCCATCCTCTTTTACCGACTATAAACAGAAGACAGAGACAAAACAACATTATTCCAAGAACCATACAAAAGATGTAAATGTGGTGCCTTAGATAGGTCCAAGGGTTGAGGCTCTCCAGGCCTTGCTGGAATTTGGTGCAGTCTTCTAAAGAAGGCTGAAACTCTTGAGTTGGGTTATTTAAATAAAGAATTTTGTTTTGTAATTCACCAATATCAAAGGTGATGTTGGATGTGAAAGTTCCCTGCAAATGGGCTTTCACAAGGTCCCACAGATACTCACTTTGGTTATATTCCAAGTTGGTTACACAAATATGAGTGTGATTAAAATGACAATGCAATTGCTGCTGCAATTGCAAGCTTTGTACTTGTTCCCCTAACCATAGAACTGTGGATTTTAACATTGCCACTTCAGTTTGTAACTCAGTGTTAATTTTACTCTGAAGTAGCCATGCTTGGTCGGCTGTGCATGTCCAGTTCTCCATGTACTGAGCTGTTTGAACAGAACTATGCAAAGCTGCAGAAGATATCACAACAGAAGTTATTAGTGTGATCAAGGAAACAATAGCAAAAATTATCATGCCTAAGGCTCTATGGACACAATGAGTAAGCTCAGTTAGAAGAAGTTTTGCAAAAGGCAAAGCAGGTGTAGCAGCCCAAGGCTCAGACGGATGAATAGGGATGCGACCTAAAATCATCAAAGGAGAGATGTTATGTGTTTGCAATGTGCTAAGATTAATGCAGTGATAGAACTGGCAAGACTTACAGATCAATTGGGTATTGTTTACCTGGAGCTGGTCCTTCTTAGCTGCTAGAAAGACATGAGGATTAAAAACACAAACTGTAAATTGAGTGGTGATATTCTTTACAAATGTAACATTGGAACTGTGTTGTGTCTTTGGTCGGCCTTCTCTCTGTCTTTGCACTCAAGCTCAGCTGACTCATGGCTCATACCAGAGGGACCAAGCCCATGGTTGGCCACCCTGGGTTCCTCCAGTCTCCCGTTCCATGCTGGCATGCACCTTGAGGGCACCCACACGGTTTATCCATCTCCTGTAAAAACACAAGCATATCCTCTTCCCCGTGTCAGTAAATCCACTGGACCTTTCCATTGTCCTTCTTGTGGGGATTTCCACAACACTTTTGGATTAACTTTCCTCTTTTCCTCTAACACTTGCCAATGTCTTTCTGCTGGAGTCTTACCATCCGTACCAGGAGTCCAAAAATTTAAAGTAAATAAGGCTAAATGTAGTTTTCATTGAGGTGGTAGTTGGCCTCCTATACCCCCTTTTTGTTTTTTCAACATGCATTGTAATGTTTGATGTGCCCGTTCTACAATGCCTCGTCCTCTAGGATTACAAGGAATTCCTGTTTTATGGGTTATAGCCCAAAGTTGTAAGAAATGTTGAAAAGCATGACTAGTATAAGTGGGTCCCCTGTCAGTTTTTAATTGTTTAGGTATTCCCATATAAGCAAATAATGACAGACAATGTCACCCTACGTGACCAGCTGTCTCACCACTTTGGCATGTAGCATGCAGCATATGAGAATAAGTGAAACAAATTAAGCAGTTCTGGGTCTAGTGTACTTTTAACTGCAGCAGTTTCTATGCAACTGGCTACATTTACAACATAAGCTGAATCACAGACAATGTTGATAGGATCTGAAGCTGTGAGCTGTAAAACCTGAATGCCAGCAGTTAGCTCTGAGCATTGAGTTGAAGCACCAGAGGTATCTAACTTCTCCTGTGTTAGAGGCCATTGATCCACCTGCACAGGTTTGTCACTAAACCATTCTAATAGTAAGGCAGTGGGTGGAGGAGAAATATCAATGACCCCCATCAGAAATCCTGACGTCCTAGCCCTTTTCTATCTGTTTTTCCAGTTACTGATATTGAGTTAGGATTTCTCTGAAGAAATTTTCCTAAACCTTTTCCCTTCTGATATCCCATGTTCTTCAACATTTTCAACCCTAGGTTGTCAAAGTTTTCATTTGTTAAGTCTCATATCCCATGCTGGAGGTAAGTCTCAACCCCATAAGTTGATGGCTATACTTGCAACATAAGGCTGAAAAATACATGACTGTCCATCCGGACCAAGACAAGATAAAATCTCAGTGCTCTGTTGAACACTTTGAGCTGTTCCTACTCCCACTAGGGATGTAGAAGCTAATTGCAAGGGCCAGGATGGGGGCCAATTATCTTTAGATATTACTGATACATCAGCTCCTGTATCCATAAGCCCATAAAATTTCTTTCCTTTAATTTGTACTACACAAGTTGGTGTATTAGAGGCTATGGGTTGGGATAGATAGATTTCCCTTGTAGTTGTGCTCCCAAGCCCTTTATTTCCTAATTTCTCCTTTCATGGAGAAGGGTGTAATTTGCAGGGAATAAGCAATAATTAAGCAATATATTCTCCCGGTTCAAAAACCCAAAGATCTTGTGACATTAAAACTATTTGAATTTATCCTTCATAATTGGAGTCATTCACTCCTGGGACTACAGTAGTGCCTTGCAAGTTAAGGCGGCTTTTGCCTAAAATTAGTCCCATATATCCTGCTTGTAAAGGTCCCCAAATGCCAGTGGGAAATTTGATAGGTTTGTCTCCACCAACTAACGTGATTCTTTCTCTGGCGGGTAGATCTAATCCTGCACTTCCTGGTGTTCCTGGGGTGAGGGAATCAATGTGCCTCCAGGAACCCATCCCCAAAACGGGGTTGAGGTCTGGACTGGGAATGCCTTCATTGTCTGTGGGGCCCGGGTCCAGGCCCCCGTCTCATTTCCTGGCACGGGGGTGCCATTCTGATGAATTTTGAGTGGCACTGATTAGCTCAGTGATTTCCTTTGTTATAGTGGGGACAAAGTCCTGGCGTTTTTTTCTGCTGGGGGGGGCACCGCATTGTAAGGTCCTTTCTGTCCTGAGATCTGGTGGCATTCCTTTTTAAAATGTCCAGTTTTTCCACAATCATAACATTTTCCCATTTTAGGATTTGACCCTTGGCTCCTTTTAGATTTGTCAACTGCTAAATTAGCCATTCCTTACACTAACATTGCAGAGCGATGAAGCTCATTTCCCACATCCTGACGAGCTCTGAGAAAATTTCCTAAGTTTTTTGTACACCTCACAGGTGCCAGTGCACATTTACAGTCCGCATTTGCATTCTCAAAAGCTAGAGTTAAGGTTAGCATTTCTGCAGCCGTGGTATGAGGAATCTGACGCTTCACTGCCTCTTGTAATCCTGCAAGAAATTGCTTATAGGGTTCCTGCAACCCTCGTATGATATGTAAAATGGATTGTACTGGAACTCCCTCTTCAGGAATTGTGACCCAGGTGCGTTTAGCGGCCTGTGCACACTGCTGATAAACAGCGTCTGGGAGTGCCATTTGATGTTCCAGGTCTGAATAAGGGCCATTACCTAACAGCATATCCTCTGTAGTGTCTGCGTGTCCAGCAACACGGTTCTGTTTAGCCAGGCCTGCACACATTTCTTGCCAATTTAAATTCCATGTCGGATATGCACTAGCGGACAAGCAAGTTCGTGCCAAGTGTTTCACATCAAAGGGTAAAAGACGCATAGCACCAAACACAGATTCTAGCAATCCTAAGGTGAATGGGTTCTGTATGCCATCATTTACCACACTCGTTTTTAATTCCTTTAACAACTTAAACTCTAGTGGAGTGTGTTCATGAATAACCTGCTGTGGATTGTTTGGATCAGGCCTTACAGAAATAGGAAAAGCGCAAGGTCCTAAGGGCTCTCCAGCTATGGCAGCAGAGCATAAATTTCTTTGTATTGGGGTCTCTATTTCTGCCACCAAAGGAAGTGGCACTGATGTTTCTGCAACTGGAGGAGGTGGTATAGGCCAATTTTTATCCTCCATCTCCTGTTTTTTATTTTTAATTGGAGCTGTGGATGGGACAGCAGATTCTTTCCAATTTTTAGATTCACCCGGCTGTCCCGCAGATTAATAAGGAGATAATGGCAGAAGTACAGTACGAACTAAACTCCAAGTGAAGACAACAGAAGAATCAACTTTAAGACCTTTTTGATGAGCCTGTTTTAATCCTTCTCCTGCTCTATCCCAATTTTCCACATCAAGAGTGCCTGCCTGTGGAAACCATGGGTTATGCATAATAACCTTCTGTGGCTTCTGCAGGAGGTTTGTTAGTGTCTGTGAATTAATCTGCACTCCACACTGTCTCAACAGAACTTTAAGCAACTGCACATAATGTTTTTCTTCAATAGACAAATTCTTCCCCTTGTTACCCTGATTCAGAAACTTCCTGTTCCCAGCACTTCTTTAAAGCACTGCTCCCAGTACCTCTTTAGGGCACTGACCTTTTATCCGCTGCTGGCAGACTCATCCCGGGGTCCCCGTTCGCTTGTCAATTTCAGTTCCTCTGCTCCAGCAGACCTTCGTTCAAGTCCTCGTAGTCCTGTGTTCAGACGCCACTTGATGGGCGTCGTTGGAGTCCCTGTTCTGGGTCGCCACTTGTAACTGGCACGGACCTACATGGACTGAACAAAGAGGAGCAAACACGGGAATAAAAGACAGGAGACAAAAGAGTATATTTGGAAGAAGGGGTCAGGGGGCACCTTGCCTCTAGTGGACAAGGGCCCCGAGCTTTACACAGCCCTCCATATTTATTAGGCAAAAGAGATAATGAGAAGGAGGGTGGAAGAAGGGGTCAGCTGCTCAGTCCAGAGTAGGCTTGCAAGACTGCATTCTCGAACAACAGGCTCTAGATATCACAGTAGATAGCCTCGGTGCCAGGGAGTGATTGCCTCCAGCAAACCTTCTGTTGGCAGGAGCAGTCTTGAGTTTGCTCACATTCTGCATTCATGATAAACAGTTTGCTGTTTGATCATATAGCCTCCAGTAGAATGCCGAGTTGGTCACGTCCCACGAGCCTTTGGCTCCCTGCAACACATCAATTCAAGTCCAAAGGTTTCTGCTATAAAACTTCCTCTTGCCTGCGAGAAGCCAGACTTCTCTTCTCTTCATGCCTTCAACTGACTGGAGGAGGCCCACCACATTATGGAA
Source organism: Homo sapiens (assembly GCF_000001405.40). Lineage (NCBI taxonomy): Eukaryota > Metazoa > Chordata > Mammalia > Primates > Hominidae > Homo > Homo sapiens. Next base: position 136,077,380 of record NC_000002.12, read on the forward strand.
AGCAATCTGCTTTACTCAAAGTTCACCAATTTAAATGTAAACCTCATCCAAAACCCTCACAGAAACATCCAGAGTCATGTTTGACCAAATATCTAGGCGCTGTGGTTCAGCCAAGTTGACCCATAAAATTAAACTTCACATTAGCTTAAGCAGAAAAGAAATTCACTGGAAGTGTATTAGGGACCTCCCCTGATCCCTAGGAAGACTGAAAAACCTGGTTGGAGATTGAATGGGAACTGACATAGCCTAGGGAGTCAGTACCCCCAACTCACACCTAACTAGCAAGACTACTACTGCCACAGCCACAGCACCTGCTGCACTGCCAATGTCACCAATGTTGCTGAATCCTGAACCCTCTCTGTGTCATTTGCTTCAAATCCAAAGTCCTGGATAGGAGCATCCAGTTGGCTGAGCCTAGTCCATGTACTGCAGCTACTAGGGGACAAGATGGTGAGTGTGTGACATTTTCAGCATTGTGGTTGGAGGCAGGCCCTACTTCCCACCAAGACACACAATGGGGAGATTCCCAAGCAGAGGAAGGAGACTCAGCTATTGGACAGTCAAAGAAATCATGAAGGTCTACTATATGTATTTCCACTCCTGACCTAACTGAATGTAAGTGTTGGAAGGCAGATATGTAATTTCAAAAATCTCCCCCAGATGATTCTAAATCACTTCCCTTCCATCTCCGCTCCCATCATTGTATGTCTTGCTGTTTTAGAAATGATGATTTTTAACAATTGTTCTCTTCCATTTTCTTATGTCTAGATAACTGTAAAACCATCATCAGGGGATCTGGCTAACAGTGTGAGAAGCTGCCTAATTCTGACTACACCTTCTGACCTCACTCTGGTGTGGACTTGAAGAGGGTGCTCTTGGATCCAAGAACTTGAGACCAACTCTAACTATCTTAATCTATTTATTGAGAGTGTATCAGAGCTTGCAGAACCAACCCAATGTGTGGGTTTGGGTGTGGAGAGCAAACACAGTAGTCCTGAAGGCTGGAAAGCTGGTCTTTCACCTGGAATGGGTGGGCTTGGACATCACCTCTGCATTGCTGGACTGTGGTATGGTCTCACACCACAAGAAGATTTAAGCAACCTTATTAACTTAATAAAGATTTAAAGACGTTGAGCCTGTCCATGTCACTTGCCTGTGCCTTAATTCCTTTGGGTGGCAAGAGAAGACATTTGGCCTCAGGCTCTTCCCCTAAGTTTACGCCAAGGGAGAAATCTCCCCAAATAGGAAGGGAAGCCAGATGCTGTACAATAAAAACCAAACACAAACAAAATAACATAAGACACACGCACGCATACACACAAACATCCATGACCTCTCCTCCAGTAAACAAAATAATGAGTGATACTGTTTCTGTTTTGCATGGGCAGCCCCTACATTGAGCTGTTTCACCACCTGTCTCTGAAATGTAGAGTCTAAACCATCTGACTCTGTCTCTCCTACTGGTTCCTGTTCTTCCTCATCTCCTGTGGTTATCATTAATGCTGTTTACCAAATATCTCCATTTCTACCCCTGTGTGGGTGTGTGATTGGATTATACCTTCTCATCCCCTGGAGGCTGAGTGTGGACGTATGTTTTACATTGGCCAATAAAAGGTGAATGGAAGTGGCTTCTCTGTGTGGAAGCTTCAAGAACCTGTGCCTGATTTGCCACACTCATTTCTCCCTGACAATCATCACTGTAATCTCGGGAGCACACTTCGAGTTGAAGCCTCTGTCAGCCTGGAGCCCGGAGGGATTATGGTCAGCGAAGGCATCAGCCAACATTCGTACACGTGAACCGGGACAAGAAATAAACCTTTATGTCTTTTAGGGCTTTTTGTTACTGCAACAAAGATTAGATGACTCTAACTGATCGAGCTGATCTGTCCCCTTCCTACTGCCTCCCCTGGACTTTCTCAAGATCTTCCATCTCTGCCCCTCAAACTGCTATCCTTCTTACAGCTTCAGCTTTTACCTCCACACACTAGAGTTCAGCTGCGTGTCCTGCCTCAGACTCCCATTTCTAATATCCATTTGGATACCACTATATTTTCAAAATGTACAGAATGGAACCCCTCCCAGAGTTAATTCTTTGTGCAACTTCTCTCTCTTTTTACAATGTCACTATCAATTTTCCAGCCCCTGAATTCTGAATCTGAGAGATCTTTGACTCACTCTCTGCCTTCACTACCCCACCCCCCAATCAATTACCAAATCCTCTTTTATATTATTTTTGAGGTCTCTTGAATTTGTTCTTAGCGCTACCAGTGCTCTTACCTCCCAGGCTCCTTACAGCTAAGGAAAAGGCACAGGCCTCAATCCACTGTATTTGTTTATTACAGGGCATTCCACAACCAGATACTACAGACTGGCTGGCTTATACAACAGGAATCTATTTTCTCACAGTTCTGGAGGCTGAAAGTCCAAGATCAGTGTGCCAGCAGAGCTGATTTCTCTGAGGCCTCTCTGCTTGGCTTGCAACGGCCACCTTCCTGCTGTGTCTTCACATGGCCTTTTCTCTGTGCACACTCACCCCTTATATCTCTTCCTCTTCTTAGGACACCAGTCATATTGGATTAGGGCCCCACCCTTATGGCCCTATTTAACTTTAATTATCTCTTTAAAGGCCCTATGTCCAAATACAGTTCACATTGGTGGTTAAGGCTTCAACATGTGAATTTTGGGAGGACAAAATTCAGTCCATAACATGGTACCAATCAGCCATGCTGGGGCCAGGTTTAGACTCAGGAGCTGGTGAGGAAAGGATACCATACCAGCAACAATGGCAGAGGCCAACGTCACATTGCTCCTGAGTTTGGAAGTCACAACGTGGTTGGCAGCAGTGGAGACTGGTGTAAATTTGCATTCCAGGCTCAAAAGTTACTCAGAAGTGATGCATAAATGGCAGTGCAAGCTGACATGCCTGGTGGTAGTAGTTGTGATGATCTTATCAGACCAGTTCTGCAAGGAAGTGGGCACTATTTCTAGAAGTTTGGCTTTAAGGGTATTCTCCAGGCTTCTTAACAATTTTATTTGGCCCTATATCATGTGATGTTTATGATACATGAGAAAAATAATATGGTTCTTGTAGCTTATTTGGTATTAATAATTAGTTATTCAATATGACTCATGTCATGAATATGCCTATAGCACATTTTTAAATAAATGTATTTTTATATCTGTTGAAATCATAGCAGTTCAGATACTTTCGAGAACAAGAAAATACGTTTGTGAGTGGGGTCATCTAAATGTTAGAAATGACTTGAGCAAGTTGTAGAACCTGGGTCTCCCATATCCTTTAAACAAACTCCCTTTCTACCTAATCATTTAGAGTTGAGTTTGCTTAAAATGAAAAAGACTGATGACTAAATTATGGCAACAGGGTCCCAACCTGGTGCCTATACTGCAATTTATCTTAAAAACCATTGTCAAGCACATATTCCTTAATCATGTCCATCTCTTTCCACAAATTCTGAAGGAAACTTGGATTTTTTTTTTTTTAAGGCAAAGTTTCACTCTTGTTGCCCAGGCTGGAGTGCAATGGTGCTGTCTTGGCTCACTGCAACCTCCACCTTCAGGGTTCAAGCGATTCTCCTGCCACAGCCTCCCAAGTAGCTGGGATTACAGGCGTGTGCCAGTATGCCCGGCTAATTTTTGTATTTTTAGTAGAGACGGGGTTTCGCCATGTTAGCCAGGCTGGTCTCGAACTCCTGACCTCAGGTGATCTGCCCACCTCGGCCTCCCAAAGTGCTGTGATTTACAGACATGAGCAACCGCACCTGGCCTTGGATATTATTCTTTCAGCTTTATGACCCCTCAGTTGCAAGTGTCAGAATACCGATTCAAAATAGCCTAAGCAAAAAAAGATTACTTATTAAGCAGACATAGCTATGAAGTCCAAAGGAATAGATAAAACTCCAGCCTTTCAGGTGTGGCTGTATTCAGGGGCTCAGATTATGTCCTTAGGGCTGTGTCTGTCTTCATCTCCTAACTCCCTTCGTGTGTCAGCAAAGAGAGACTCTGGCTACTTGAACTTTGAAGGAGAAAGATGGAGGTATATCCCTCTCAACCTCTCTCTCTCTCCAACAAAACTCTGCATTCTGATTGGTCCTGGGCGAATTTTGTGTTATTCACTGGAACAGTGTCCACAAGGATGAGATTCTAATGAGCTGGGCTGGACTATGTAACAGGTGCCAAGGTAGGAGAAGTGGGCACGGTCCCACGAGGTCAAGGACAGCCAATTTCCCAAAGGAAAAAAAAGTCTCAACAGAATAATTTCCAAAACATACCAGCTTTGGGCACCAGTATATGCTCCACCCCTTGAAATCACACTGGCTAGTTCCCTGTTCTGCCAGTGGGAGGTGGGCTCTGGTGTTTGGACAGGAAAGATGACCCTGGCCTTTCCCAGGAAGAGGCTGCTCTGTGTCTGAGGGAGGCAAGCTTCCTCTGGAGGGATTGTGAGGCTTGTCCTACTGGACCCAAGGCCTGTGTGCTGTAGCTCTGCTTTCCCCTCTAGGTCACTGCTTTTGAAGCTGGATGAGTTCACTTTTCACTAGTGCTGGGAGCATCACCAACCCTTGTTGTCTCTCATGGCCCTGCAGGAAGCCCTATGTGGTCTTTTGACAGCTCACTCCCTGCATCCAGGGAGAATCGAGCCCATTGTTTCAGGGGGTTTCCTTTAGGCTAATCTGAGGAGTGTGAAAGAACCCATTTAGAGAGGCCTGATGAATAAGGACAAAATAAAGATCAAACTCAGGCAAAATCAAAAGCTATTTGTTAACAGGCAAGATGTTCTTCAAAGTCTTTATCAGGAGCAAGGAAGACTTGCAGCACTATGTGGAGAAAGTAGGGTCTGGTGGGTGGGGGGCATTCATTTGAAGTTCCAAACAGATGACTCCTGGCCCAGCCGCTGGGCTCAGCATTATCAGTAAGTCTCTTGGGTTAAGTGGGCAGTGCTGGTGGATAAGGGTCTGGGAAAAATAATAAGTCATCCAGTAGCAGGTAATGTTTATTGGAGAAACTCTCCAAGCCCTCCTGTCCTTGCACTCACCCTCAGGAAGGAACCCCATGCTGCAAATTAGAGAAACTTTCCTAATCCAGGGTTCCTGGTGTAGGAAATCGAGCTATCCTGGTGTCATGTAAACCATGCAATTACTTTTCAGATGATAAACAAATACACGGAGGCATCAGCTTCCTTAAACCAACACTAGAATGAGAGCATGATGGTGCTTCCAGAGTTGGTCTCCTGAATGTCGGCTTAAATGCCTACCATACGCCAGGTAGGCATTGTGCCCACATGATCTCATTTGATTCTCAACACACCCTAGACTCTTATTTTCTCCACTTTACAGATGTAGGAACTGAGAGAAGTGCATGCAGTTCACTTAAGTTTTCACAGCTAATACATAGAAGAAGTGGGAGTTGAACCCCTGTGATTTGCTCTATCCAAAGCCTGTGTTCCTAATCACTTACCATACTGCCATTCTCACTAGACCCAACAGGGACATCATCTCCTTTTTCCTTGGAAAATGGAATGGAGGTAGTCTCATGCCAAACATTGGTCCTAGATGGAAAGACTGAGGCACACAGAGATTAAAGTGATCCACCTGGGACTATCACCGTTCACGAAATTGACCATAAAGAATGGATTTTGCTTTCTTACTGTAAAACACAACAAGCTATGTGTCAAACACCAACAGATGTAAGGATGTTGGGGTGGTGGTGGCCGAAAGAGTCACCCAGAAGCCAGAGTTACTCAGGCCCATCAAGTTAATGCATGTAATGATTACTATCAGGATACAGGTGTGTCTTAATATCATTCCTTAAAAGAATGACAACTACTGCTGGGAGCGGTGGCTCACACCTGTAATTCTAGCACTTTGGGAGGCCGAAGCGGGCAGATCACGAGATCAGGAGTTCAAGACCAGCCTGGCCAACATGACAAAACCCTGTCTCTACTAAAAATACAAAAATTATCCGGGCGTGGTGGCACATGTCTACAATCCCAGCTACTGGGAGGCTGAGGCATGAGGATTGCTTGAACCTGGGAGGTGGAGGTTGCAGTGAGCCGAGATTGTGTCATTGCACTCCAGGCTGGGCAACAAGAGCAAGACTCCATCTCAAAAAAAAAAAAAAAAAAGAATGACAACTACAAACTGTGTTGCACAAAACAGTAGCTATAATCCTTGTTACATGTAGCTATTTAAATTTAAATTTGAATTAATTGAAATGAAATGAAATTTAAACTTCAGGTTCTCAGTGCTACCAGCCCCCTTCCGAGTGTCCAATAGCAGATACAGAGCATTCGCATCATTACAGAAGGTGCTATTGGATGGCGCTGCTACAAAACCTCCCTTGACCACACTCCATGTTAGTGACAGCCCCATTTCTGTTGTTGTTCACAGCAAAACTCTTTGAAAGAGTCGGCTGTACTTGTTATCTCCACTTACTCACCTCCTTTTCTCTCCTCAGCCCACTCCATTCAGGCTTTCCACATACATCACTTGTCTGAACTCTCTTTGTTCAAAGTCGTTAATGATCTTCATTTTGCCAAAGCCCAAAGTTAAATGTCCTGATCTAGTTCACCCTTTCAGCTGTGTTGGATGCTGTTGGTCACATCCTCCTTCTTCAAACACTTTCTTCCCTGAGCTTCCCAAAGACCCCAGTGTCTTGGTTCTCCTCCTCCCTAGATGAGACACATGGCAGTCTCCTTTATTGTCTTCTGCCTATAAGGCCTATCAATTCTGGGTTCTCCAGGGCTTCATCCTCAGACCGTCTTCCTCAGGTATCCATGTTCTCTCCATGGGTGAACCCAACAGCCAGAAGGTGGAAAGCACAGCACTCAGCTCCCAGGCTTACAGGCCTCCCATTGCTTCTCACGGTAACCCGAGTAAAACCCACTGTGGCCCCCAAGGGCCTGCCTGAGTTCGCCTCTGCCTACCTCTCCCTTGCCTCTGTCTCTGCTTGTTTTCCTCTGTTCTTTGGACAGGCCATTTGTTTCTGCTGAGTCTTTGGATTAGAACACTTCCCCCAGATTTTTCAATGGCTGTTCCTTGTCGTCATTTGGATCTTTTTTTTTTTGAGATGGAGTCTCACTCTGTCACTGGACTGGAGTGCAGTGGCACGATCTCAGCTCACTGCAACCTCCGCCTCCCAGGTTCAAGTGATTCTCCTGCCTCAGCCTCCCAAGTAGCTGGGACTACAGGAATGTGCCACCATGCCCAGCTAATTTTTGTATTTTTAGTAGAGATGGGGTTTCACCATGTTGGCCAGAATGGTCTCAATCTCTTGACCTCATGATCCACCCGCCTTGGCCTCCTAAAGTGCTGGGATTACAGGTGTGAGCAACTGTGCCCAGCTGTCATTTAGGTCTTAACTCAAACATTACCTTCTCAGAAAAGTCATGCTTGACCACTCTAGATACAGCCGCTCTCCCCATTATGGCAAATATATCTTGTCTAATTTTATTTAGTTATAGCATTGGTCACTAATTGAACTTACCTTATTTACATTTTGTGGTCGGTTTTCTAACATTAGCATAAAAGCCCTTTGGGGCAGAGCCTCTGTCTCTCTTGCTCACCATTCTGTCCTCAATACCTATCACAAGGTTTGGCACCTAGTAGGTGCTCAATTAAACCTTCCTGATCTAAGATATTTGCGGACTGATAATCTGGCCAGGAGTCAAGGTGGGGATATGACTGTAGCTGACTCCCTTGAGAGTCAGTCAGAGACAGACGAGGACCCAAGTTATTGGGAAGAGGAGGACTGTACAGTTAGAAACAGAGAGCTTCATTGAATGTGCTTTTTGCCCTTGGCCAGATGAGCATGGCCCGTGTTTTAAACTAATTTCTCTGGTATTTTGTGACTCTACTTATATCTTAAGAATGTCAATTCCTCTTAATCTTTTTTTATTTCTTCTTAAATATGTTAACCCAATGTCAGTGTGACTTTTTCCAAACCATTCTTGGGCCTTAGTTTCCCCATCCATAAAGTGATTTGGTTTTTGGTAGATAATTCTTAAACTTCCTCTCAGTATTATATTCCTAATCGCCTGTCATTAAAAAAAAAAAAATTCAGACTATATTCTTTCAGGAAAGCAATTTAACAATAATGTGTAAAAGACTCAAAATAATTTCACTTGTAGAACTTTATCCTACAGAAATAGTCAGAAATTTGAACAGAGATTCATCCACAACTATGTTAGTCTTAGATTTATAAATGATAAGTCAGAAACAACAGTAAGAAAGGCTGAATAAATTAGGATACTTACACATGTTTGAATATTATAATGTTGGAATGTATTTGAATATTGAAATACAAATTCCCAGTATCATTGGAAATGAGGATTTAAAAAAAAAATGATGAGGAAAGATGTTTAGAGTCCAATGTTAAATCATTTATAATCTCAGTCTATAGAACATATATTCATGGGAGAAAAGCTGGAGGAAATATCTCAAAATGTAGCTTGTAATTATCTCTGCATCATGAGATTTGCCTCTTTACATTTTTAAAATATTTGTCATTGTTTTCTAAGTAATCTTCAGTAAATATAGAATACTTCTTGCAGCCAGTGACTTGGCTGAAACAGATTCCAGTACTATGAGTTTAGAGTCAGAAGTCTCGGGTTTAGTTCAATTTATTCAACAAATATTTATTGAACACCTTGTATGAGTCAGACACTGTGCCATGAGCTGGGGATCACAGGATAATGCAGGGTCTGGCCTAAGAGACCGACTGAAGGCTGAAAATCTGCCATGGGGGTGCTTGCAGCACGGTAGGGGAGCGCAGGAAGTGGAAGGGGGTGTCTGGGGAGAGAAATTCACAGGACACAGGGTTTCAGAGACAGCATCCTGAGGGTACACCAGATCCCACTTACTTGCTTGTGATCTTGGATCAGACATTTAACCTCTCAGCTCCCCATCTGTAAAATAAAAACACCACTGGTTGCCTCTACTAAAGCAGATGGTGATTGTTGAGAAAATCACATATTGAGAAGGCATATAGAAGGCTGTTGGGCTGTTGGCACCTGAGAAATGCTATCAGAGGCCTATGGACTTAACCTACAGATGGCAGGAAGGGGTTGTGGAGGGGCCTTGATTTAACGATTAGCAGAGCAGCGAGGCCTGGAGCCAGTTAGATGACAATCCTCTTGTGTCTTCAGTGTGACTGCCACTTCTCCCTTCTCTTAGCTATTCTGAGGTGTGTTATGGCTCAAGGGAAGGGCAAAAAAGCTGATGCTGGAATAAAATGGGGCTCTGTGGGAGATTCTCAGCTTCCACATTGCAGTGTCCCCTCCTACCCTCTTCCTGCTTCAGCTCTGAGAGTGACCTGAAATTGTCACGTTTGATCACCCAGAGGAAACTGTGCTCCCACTGAGGACTTGCTATGTTAAAATGAGCAAGCCCCTGTACTGTCTGGAGTTAGACTGGGGCACTTGTGGGGCTGGTAGTGTTGATGTTCAGTTTGCAGCTGTCCCTGGTAGATTCTTGTGTCAGTGGCATCCCTCACTGGTTGCAGATCCTGGGTCACTACACATTTCAGAACTAAGGGGAAAGGCTGCAGCTTCTCCTTGAGTGGCTGGATTTGAAACCTGGTTAGATCTGTGCGCTCAGAAAGGCATGGAAACCAGAGATGGAGCCGGCTGGTTTCCTAAAAACAGGCAGATCGGGTGCTTCTCCTGACCATTCTTTCAGGGTGGCTCTGGCTCTCTTCTAGGGTTCCTATAGAGAATATTTGGTTCATTCTCACTCACTTTCTCTTCCCCTCTGTTCTTTCCTCCTCTCTTCCATCTCTTTCATTTATTCATTTTCAACAAATATGTACTGAGACCTGTTGTGCATCTGGCACTGTGGGGAAAAAACAAAGTGAAATTGTGTCCATAATTGGTGGGCGCTTGGTCTCACTGACTTCAAGAATAAAGCCACTGACCCTCGCGGTGAGTGTTACACTTCTTAAAGGCAGTGTGTCCAGGGTTTGTTCCTTCTGATGTTCGGATGTGTTTGAAGTTTCTTCCTTGTGGTGGGTTCGTGATCTCCCGGCTTTAGAAGTGAAGCTACACACCTTCCCGGTGAGTATTACAGCTCTTAAGGCGGTGCGTCTGGAGTTGTTCGTTCTTCCCAGTGGGTTCGTGGTCTCGCTGGCCGCAAGAGAGAAGCTGCAAACTCTCGTGGTGTTACAGCTCATAAAGGCAGCACGGACCCAAAGAGCAAAATAACAAAGCTCCCAGAGATTAGAAGGAGACCCCAGCGGGTTATCACTGAGGGCGCGGGGCAGTCTGCTTTTATTCTCTTATCTGGCCCCACCCACATCCTGCTGATTGGTCCATTTTATAGAGAGCCGATTGGTCTGTTTTACAGAGAGCTGATTGGCCCGTTTTGACAGGGTGCTGATTGGTGCATTTATAATCCCTGAGCTAGACACAAAAGTTCTTCACATCCCCACTAGATTAGCTAGATACAGAGTGCTGATTGGTGCATTCACAAACCCTGAGCTAGACACAGGGTGCTGATTGGTGTGTTTACAAACCTTGAGCTAGATACAGAGTGCTGATTGCTGTATTTACAATCCCTTGGCTAGACATAAAGGTTCTCCAAGTCCCCGCCAGACTCAGGAGCCCAGCTGGCTTCACCCAGTGGATCCCCCACGGGGGACTGTAGGTGGAGCTGCCTGCCAGTCCTGCGCCGTGCGCCCACACTCCTCAGCCCTTGGGAGGTCGATGGGACTGGGCACCCGTGGAGCAGGGGGCGGTGCTCGTCGGGGAGGCTCCGCCCCGCAGGAGCCCACGCGGCCGGGAGGCTCAGGCACGGTGGGCGGCAGGTCCCAAGCCCTGCCTCGCTGGAAGGCAGCTAAGGCCCCGCGAGAAGTCTAGCACAGCAGCTGCTGGCCCAGGTGCTAAGCCCCTCACTTCCCGGGCCGGCAGGGCCGGCTGGCCGCTCGGGGTGCGGAGCCCGCCGAGCTCACGCCCACCTGGAACTCGCGCTGGCGCGCAAGCGCCGCGCACAACCCCTGCTCCCGCCCGCGCCTCTCCCTCCACACCTCCCCGCAGGCTGAGGGAGCCGGCTCCGGCCTCGGCCAGCCCAGGAAGGGGCTCCCACAGTGCAGCGGCGGGCTAAAGGTCTCCTACAGCGCCGCCAAAATGTGAGCCCAGGCAGAGGAGGCGCCGAGAGTGAGCAAGGGCTGCCAGGGCTGTCAGCATGCTGTCACCTCTCAAAATGGTACCAGAAATTTGAGATGCATACTATGGAACTTCTGGAGAGTGATGACTGCCAGGGAAAATGGCCAGCTTAGGCTTCGTGAGGATCTTTCAGGTAAGGCTTCATGGAAAAGGGTTCTGTTCAGCTCAGTTTTTTTTTTTTTTTTTTTTTTTTTTTTATGAGACGGAGTCTCACTCTGTTGCCCAGGCTGAAGTACAGTGGCGCCATCTCAGTTCACTGCAACCTTGGTCTCCCACGTTCAAGGCATTCTCCTGTCTCAGCCACCTGAATAGCTGGGATTACAGGCACGCGCCACCACATCCAGCTAGTTTTTTTTTTTTTTGAGACAGAGTCTCGCTCTGTCGCCCAGGCTGGAGTGCAGTGGCGCGATCTCGGATTGCTGAAAGCTCCGCCTCCCGGGTTCACGCCATTCTCCTGCCTCAGCCTCCCGAGTAGCTGGGACTACAGGCACTCGCCACCACACCCGGCTGTTTTTTTTTTTTTTTTTTTTTTTTGTATTTTTAGTAGAGACTGGGTTTCACCGTGTTCGCCAGGATGGTCTCGATCTCCTGACCTCGCAATCCACCCGCCTCGGCCTCCCAAAGTGTTGGGATTACAGGCGTGAGCCTCAGCTCAGTTTTATAGTAGAGTTAGAATCTGGCTATGCAGAAAGAAAGTCCATTCCAGGTGGAGGGAACAGCACAAACAAGGGTGTGGAGGTGGGGACCATGGGATGTGTTTCGAGTAGGGTGCAAGGGGAGGAGCCAGGACAGACAACAGCCTGCCTACCTTCGTTTCTTCTGTTTCTCTCACGGGATGGATAAAACCTTACTCAGCCATGGGAATTCCATTTCCTCACACAAAACCTTCCTTTCCTCCAGTTTTGAAGGAGTAATATCTGTATAGTGAAGCTCTTCCAAAGCTTTTAACCTGCTGGGTGGAGAATTTTGGCATAAAAGAATGACAAAGGCAACACTAACTCCTTCAGTTCAGAGAGGATCTTTCCTTCTAAGTTACAGAAAGCATTAACATCATCGTTAGCAACATCTAGCCTTTTTTTTTTTAGAGCCTGCTCTTTCTGTGTGACACTCATAAAACCATTTTCTAATGGCAGTCCCAGACCTTAAGAAGCTCCATTGTACACACCTGCAGGCCAACAGGTGCCTTGAGAACAGGGCCTGGTATTCTTATAAGTCTTCTGTGGTGCATCATGACAGTTGACCGATAGCACCAATGAGGACAGATGTGTAGGGACATTTGTTCTGCATAATCTGGGAATAAGAAAAAAGTGGTAACAACCCATTTTCCAGGAAGACAAATTGAGACAAAGCACATGAAAAGCTTCACTCAGGGTTTCTGCCAGAATTTGGCAAGTTTCTCTTCCAAGTTTTGGCCCATGGCAAGCTCTGCATGGCCTTGGCAGGGTGGGGGTCTGTCATGTCTACCACATGGCTGCTCTCCTGCAGTGCTGGAGGATGAGGCCATTTGGAGACAATCACCTTCTGTCTCTGGGCTCTGACATCTGGGAGGTGGACGACCAACAGGCCTTGGCCGGGCCTCCTGGCCCTTCGGCGTGCCGCATGTTTGTTGGAAGCCGTTTTTCCGGAGAAAGCCACAGCAGTGAAGGTCACCTTCTGGACAAATAATTCCGGTCCAGGGGTACCAGATGCAATTGGGAATCTGAGGCAATGAACAAATGCACAAATGACTTTGTCTTCAAAGAAAATAGGATTCGACAGAACTGTGGCTGTCCCTTGCTCAATAGGATTGGCACACTGCAGAGAAGCCACTGAGGGTGGCTTGGTTAGAATCCAATTTTAGTAATTAGTTCTATTCACAATAAGGCGTGTTAATAGGTCCCATGTTGAGCAGGCAGAATCCCCTGTCTCAGGTGCCAAGTGCCAATTAATGAAATCAACATTTATGTCCCACAGGTAAACAACTGTTCTGCATTCATTCTCTTGGAGCTGCAGGCAGGCATTTCCCCCAGTAGGTGCTCTGTCAGATAATAGACCGTAAGCTTCAAGAAGACAGGGGTCATGTCTGTTTTGCTCACCACTATATTCTCAGTGCCTGCCTTACCTTTAGACACCTATTTAGATTGCAAAAGCCCCAAGAATTCTTTCCCTCCGTCTGTGCTCCCCCTTTGCAATACGACTTTCAGCTCCTGCCCCTGTGATTTGCTTTGGCCATACTATATGGCAGAAGCTACACAGCATCAGTTCTGGGCCTAGATTTCAAGAGGCCTTGAACACTTCTGCTCTCCTACTTGGACCTCGTGGAGGCTCCATGGGAACAAGCTTGGGTTGGTTTGATGAAGGGTGGGAGACACAAGGGCCTAGTGACCCTCATTGTCCTAACTGACAGTCAGCCAATCTGCAAAAGAGTAGCTGCTTAGATGACCAGTAGCTGACCACAGATGCATCAGTGTAGCTGAATCCAGAAGAACTGTCCAGCTGGGCCCAACCCAAAAGGCCATTCAAAGAATTACAAAGAAAAGAAATTATTGTTGTAAGCCACTAAGTTTGGGGTAGTTTGTTGTGCTATTATTTAAGCCACTAAGTTTGGGATGGGCGTAGTGGCTTATGCCTGTAGTCCCAGCACTTTGGGAGACTGAGGCATGAGGATTACTTAAGGCCAGGAGTTCAAGACCAGCCTGGACAACATAGCCAGACTCTGTCTCTACTAAAAAAATTAGCGGGGTGTGGTGGCACATGCCTGTAGTCCCAGCTACTTGGGAGGCTGAAGTGAGAGAATCACTTGAGCCCAGGAGATTGAGGCTGCAGTGAGCTATGATTGTACCACTGCACTCCAGCCTGAGTGACAGAGCAAGACCCTGTCTCTAAAAACAAAACCAAAAACAAAACAAACCCAAAAAAACCAGTTAAGCACTGAATATGTATTTGCTGAAAGATGGATGAATTATTGATTACATATCATCCAACTGTAAACAGCTTGCCCAGTCACTGTCATTTATAGTATTGTTCTATGTTTTTCCTAACACAGAAATTGTCTTTTTTGGCTTCTTGGTGTATTTCCTATCTCTCTTTTCAGTATGTAAGTTTTATGAGGATAGGAGGAGATCTTGCCTGTCTGACTCACCTTTAAATTCCTACAGGCTAGAATGGTTCTTGCCACATAGTGGGGTCTCAAAAAAATATTTCTTGAATGAAACAGTGAATGGATTTCATTAATTTTACTTACAGTGAGACTAGCTAAGCAAAGAGCTTGAGAAGAAGCTATCACATATATTGATTGGCTAAGGTGCCCTTTGCTGTTTGTATACTTTCCTTAATTCCTTTCATTATAAATTAGCACTTACTGAAGCCTGGCATGTGAAAATAAAGGACTTTACATTTGTGGAGATATTGTTATATTTCCTGTCTTCTACCTCAATTCTTAGTCTCCTCTTTCCCCCACTCCAATGCCTTTTCATCATGTGCAGTTATGCAAGGGAAACCTTTGGTTTGCTTGGATTTTCTGCATCAAAAACACCACCACCACCACCACCAACGTCAGTATCATCATCAACAACAACAGCAACAGCAAAGCTTTATTTCTAAGATTTCCTTTCTCTTCCTTCCCCTGCTCTTACCTCAGATATTTATCTTGGCTTCTCAGTATTTACCTTTAATGTTTCCTTTATTTATTCATGTTTGCTTCTTAATCTTAGATCCAAATGGGCAGAAAAATTACACAGAAAATGATGGAGGCAAGATTTGCACTTGAAAATCAGAATTCTATTTATTCACTCGTTAATAATAAAAGTGAAAAATACTCTTTTCTAATCAGATGTACACCTAATGAAATCTTTCTCTTATTTCTCACCAGCCATCATTAGTGAGCTAATCTCTAGGTTTTGTAAGGAACAATATACAAAATCAATGTTTTCTTAACACAGCTTCATTTAAAAAAAAAGTACAGCATGAGAAATGAGTGTATTTGGACTCAGGTTGGAGTTTTGTCATAAAATGGCCAAACACAGGATAGGTTTCCTTTTGCCTTTATGGTCAGGGACCACAGCATCTAAACATCAGTTGGAATCAAGAGATGGACCTTGATTTTCCCAGAAGGCTTTTGTATTATTCATATCTGTTGCTCTTCACGTCTAAGGCTGAGAAAAAAAATTAAGTCAGAGGGATGAATGACTTTCTAGCACAGACATT
This sequence comes from Homo sapiens, assembly GCF_000001405.40. Lineage (NCBI taxonomy): Eukaryota > Metazoa > Chordata > Mammalia > Primates > Hominidae > Homo > Homo sapiens. Next base: position 136,092,738 of record NC_000002.12, read on the forward strand.
TCAGACAGTTTTGGTGTTGTAACAGAGTGCTGTAGTCATTTTTACTTTAGGAGGAAGATGAGGAGGTAGAGAGAACCTTCCCTTTCACTCCTCAGATTACCCCTCCTGGACAACTGCCGACCTGGCTTCTCCTCCAGCCTGGCTCTGACCATGAGCCCCACATGTCATATGTGACATGAAATATGTGGATGGCAGGGTGCCCATTTCTCAAAAAACCTCATATGGAGGGCTTCAGCTGGGTCCGTTAAATCCCTCAGTTTTTAAAAGACTATGTGTGCTGGCTCTGTTGGAAATTTATGACTTGCTAGGATCTTTCTTTTCTCTTCTTTCCGCATGGGACTTGTGCATCAAGTTTGTCTTCCTTGGTTTTGTCTTTAGCGTTGTGTTTCAAATCAGCCCATGAGGGCACTGATTTCAGTGGGTGAGTGAAAAGAAAGGAATCCAGCTCAAGGCCACCTGCACCTCTTCCTGTCACTGACATCGTCAAAAGGGATTTATTAAGCACTGTCTTGTGCCTGATCTCCTCTGGAGTCTAATTTTATTGTTGAGAACTCTCAGACCTTAATGGGTATCCAAGTGTTTTGGATTCATTTGCAGATGAGGCTTAACAGCGTTTCAAATATTTGAAGACCATGTTCCACATATACTTCTCATGCTTTTATTCAATTACTACCTGTTATTATAGGTTTATAAATTGAGTGCATTAGACTTGCACTTGCTGAGCCAATTTTTATAAAGATCTCATCCAGAGAGTCGATACAGGGAGCGTTTTGAAGTGAACTCTTTTCCTCTGGACTGTACCCCCAGCCATTTGTCCATGTCACGTTTGTCCATGTCACGTTTGTCCATGTCAGTGCCCTGACCCTTGTCTGCAGGTAGCCAGGATATCGGATCCTGGAAAACCCAAGGACAGGGATCAAAACGTGGATGACAGGAAGCTCAGCAGGAGGATATTAACACTAATTAGAATACTTTTTCCTGAACACAGATAATGATGGCTTTCTTTGTTCAGCATCCTGGTAAATCCCCTCACTACAGATTTCCATACTCTGAACCAAATCTGAGCATCTGGAGGGAACTGCTGTTATGGCTGAATTAGCCATTCCAATTAGAGAAAGGAGGGAGTCGCCTCTGTGTCTCCATTTCCCAATCATCTGCAATAACTGGATTTCAGGGGGGTTATACAAGCATTCCTGCAAGGAAGAAGCATTAACTATGACATGACCTATTCAACATATGCAGAAGTTATGTGCTGAGGAAAGGTAGGGATATGCAGAATTATTTTGAATTGACACTTAATTTCTGCCCCCCTACTCACTGCACTAGCTCTGTGCTAAATTAATGCCACTTATATCTTGCTTTTAAATAAAAATTTATGGATGACAGCTGAGGTCCTTCTTAGGGTGTTTATGATTTGGGATTAAGATCCTTAAGTGCTGGGGCAACTCATTAGCTTGTGCACACTACCCACTTTTATGTAGTCAGGAAAGGAAAGGAAAGGAAAGAAGGAAGAAGTATGTAGTGGGGGACGGGAAAGAACAAAGGGAAAATAGGCCACCATTTTCAGATAATAATAACATAATTATTACGATTATGAAATTATTATTATTATTATTTTGCTGGAGCAATTAAAGGGCTTCCTTTAAGAGTTAGAAGATCAAATGCTACCCTAAGTATAAAAGAATAGGCATCTTGGCCAAAATTTAAATTCACTTTGAAGTAGAGTTTTAGACACAATTTAAATTCTAAACCTTGTATTTGTAAAAAATTTTAAGAAAACAATGAAACCTACAAGAAACATTCTACCATGCAAAACCCATTCCTGCAAGTTGGACTTGGGCTTATTGGGCAGGGATAGGCAGATATGAAGGCCAGTGTGTAACCTTGAGCCCTAACCAAAACCCACATCCCAAATGCTTCCGTGGCAGACAGACTCCTTTCCACGTCCACTGATGAAGAGGTGGCAAAGCAGATGGGTCTCCAGTTGCCCTTTCCTGAGCAGACTCCCTGCCATGACTGTCCCCTGCTGGGGCAACCCCTAGGAGACTCTGTCATGGAGAGTCATGTAGCCGTGGGGCATAAGGTGTTCTCAGAATGCAGTTCCTTGTACTAGGACTTGAACTGTCTTACCCCTCACCTTTCGGCAAAAGTGCAAAGGGAGGCTATAGCCCACTCTTTTCTTTCTGCTTCCAGCTCCATTCCACATTTCAGGGGGGTTCTTCTTCCTTAGACCTGGGGACACTCCAGCTGGCACATTCAAGTTCCATTTTTCTCCCCATCCCAAATAGCTGTGCCTTGGCTGTCGTTGGGCCTAAGAATGTGCATCTGAACTATGAGATGTCAACAGAAGGGATGCAGACCACTTTCAGATTGTGGCCCTAAAATTGTCCTTTCCCTCCTGGCTGGGACACAGTTGTAAGGGCTGAATGTGCATCCATGTGATATGTACTGCCCTCAGGAAGGTGACCCAGGGAAGAGGCCTCTGAGGCCCAGACCATGGGTTTAGGGCTGTTAGGGCATGGATTCATGAGGTCCTGGGTACTGAGAGCACAGTCTAGAGTACCTGAGGCACAGGTTCTGTGTGAGCATTTTCTTGTGATCTCACAGACTCCTCACCAGTGAGGCTACTCTGCAGAGCAGAGGGTCCCAAAAGTCCAGATGTAAGGGGGTTTGAGAGTTTGCACTCTGTTAGCCCCGTATTTCCTGTGAACTGCACAGCTGGGTCAGTGTAAGCTGGTATCTTACAGTTGTTAAACAGCTTCTTAAAGTGTTCATAAGGATTATCATGAAAGGAGATTTCTTGATCCTTCCTTGGTACCTTTCTAGAGTTTAATAAGTTCTCTTTCCTCTCTGTGTTGCACACAAGAGCAATGGTTCTTCCACAGTGCTGAAAACAAATACTGAGAGGATTAAAACCTGATTAAGACCATCCCTGGTTCATAGCAAACATTTGCTTATAAGTCATCATATGGCTTATAAGATGATTGATCTATCTCAATAGGATTCATAAAGGGGCATTTAAATTACAGAAGAGCTGAATGACTCCAAAGAGTTAAATATTTTTATTTACTCAATAAGGTTTACACTAAATTTAGCATACTTTTCAGCATATGAGTTGAGGGGTTGTGGTGAGGCAGGTAAAAGTCAGTTCATGCAGGTGAAATTGTTTTTATTAACTAAGTCAAGATGGGGCTTTATTTTATTTCTGTGCATATAATTTAGGGTTCCATGGGAAAGTGGCACATAGCTAGATACCTGGAAGGGGGAAATCAATGCAGACTCCAGCTTTGGTATATATAGAGATTCCAAGGGCAGGACTTCACCTTGTTCATAATCAGAGTCTGACATGTAGCAGGTGCCTAATGGGGAACTATAGAAGGAACTGAAGCAAAGGGATGTTGAGTGAAAAGTGAAGTTAGTGGAGCACAGTGTTTCAGTGGCACTCATTGATGAGGATGGTGATTGAATATTAACTTGCAGTCTGTTTTAAATACAGAGAAAACATTTTCTTGTTTCTTTGACTTTAGACTTTTCATGGATATGTTGGAGATTTGAATCACATAATCTCAAAGGTCCATCTACACCTAAAATGCTAAGCATCTATTCCCAATTATTGTATCTAGAAAGTATTCTGTTTGCACCTTAGCTGGTAAATACTGGGTACCCTTTAACTTGGGTACCTGGCTAACTCTATTAGCTTATTGGGAACATGGAATATATGTCATGTGGTCTCCACCCTTAGGAGTTAGAGAGTAAGAATAATACATAAAATGCAGCGAGAAAGCAATTTAGCATTCAACTCTGGGCTGTAAGGGTCAAAGATGACTTCATGAGTGAGGAGCTTTGAAGAATGGAGAAAACTTGGGTAACTAGATAATGGGGAGAAATATCAATTCAGGTTGAAGGAAGAGTCTGATGAAAGATGGGAACCAGTTGATATGTTTAGGGACTGAGAATGTGGATATGTTTTTAGAATGGGAAGTAGAGAGAAAAATGTTTGCATAGACAGGCTAAAAACAGATTCCAAAGACTTTGATGGAGCTGGGCACAGTGGCTCACCCCTGTAATTCCAGCTACTTGGGAGGCTCAGGTGGGAGGATCACTTGAGCCAGGAGGTCGAGGCTGCAGTGAGCTATGATGGCACCACTGCACTCCAGGCTGGGCAACAGAGTGACAGTCTGTTTATTTAATTTAATTTAATTTATTATTATTTTTTGAGACAAAGTCTCTCTCTGTCTCCCAGGCTGGAGTGCACTGGTACAATCTCGGCTCACTGCAACCTGTGCCACCTGGGTTCAAGCGGTTCTCCTGCCTCAGCCTCCGGAGTAGCTGGGACTGCGGATGTGCAGCACCACGCCTGGCTAATTTTTGTATTTTTAGTAGAGATGGGGTTTCACCATATTGGCTAGGCTGGTCTTGAACTCCTGACCTCGTGATCTGCCTACCTCGGCCTCCCAAAGTGCTGGGATTACAGACATGAGCCACTGAGTTTGGTCGAGTCTGTGTCTTTCTCTCTCTCTTTTTTTTTTTTCAAAAGACTTTGATGTAAAGTAGAAAAAGACAGGCAATGGAGACACATTATCAGTGTCTGATCCTTGTCTTAGTGTCTCAGCATATTATAATATTGTATACAATGAGCCATCCTTCTGGAAATGCTGTCTGCTCTTGGCTTCCATAGACCCTACATTTTTGGATTTTCTTGAGCTTCACTGTCTTCTCAGTCCCCTTTGCAAGTTCATCCTCCTCCACTCAGCCTCTAAGAGTTAGAAGCACTCAGGGTTCAGTCCTTGGCCCTGTTCTCTATCTACTGTACTTGATTTAATCTCGATCCCTTTAAATGTCATCTGCATGGTGATAACTCTCAAACAACTATCTCTGGCCTCATCCTACCCCTGGAGCTCCTTAGACTCACATTTTCATCTGCCTACTTCACATCTTCACTAAGATATCCCCAGGAACCTCCCACTCACATGTTTATTATTCCCACTTACATAATGACCCCACTCTAGTTAGGCTGAGGCTGCCGGTTGCCCACCAACATCCTTTCTACGTTTCTTCCTTTAGTAAAAGGACTCCTCAATTTTAGTTTGGTGTATAGCTGCTCAACCAGAGGCTTCACTTCATGCCTCCATTTCAGTTAGGTGTGATCTTGTGGCTAGGCTCTGAACGATGAGATGTCAACAGAAGGGATGCAGGCCACTTTCAGATTGTGGCCCTAAAATTGTCCTTTCCCTCCTGGCTGGGACACAGTTGTAAGGGCTGAAGCCTAACACAGCTAACTTAGATCTAAAGACAGAAACCTTGCACTTATGATGCCAGAGCTGCCTTCCCAGCCCTGGACTCTCTACCTGTGGCTGATTATGTGAGAGAGAAATGTTTCCATCTTCTTTGAGCCACTATGCTTTGGGACCGTTCTGAACAGGAGCTTAGGCTATGCCCCTAACTATCATACCCAGTCTTCCCCACCTCATAAATTTCATCTCCATCCACCTAATTTCTCAAGCCAGAAAGCAGTGAATACCCACCCTATTCTTCTTCAGATCCAGTGTATCAGCATGTCCTACTAGTATTACCTAAAAAGTATAATTGAGATCCATCCACAATCCAAATTTGTGTGCAGCTACTACATTACCTCCTAACTGGTCACCTCATTTTATTTTTGTCCCCATATGACCCTTCAACTAAGTGCAGCCAAAGACAACTTTAAAACTTAAATGCATCATGTTGTGTTCCTGTTGGAAACCTCTCAATGCCTTCTCATTTCATTAAGACAAAGTCCCAAGTGTCCTGAACTTGATCCTCTATGATCTGGCCTTTGCTTTCTTCCCCAGCCTTACTGTGTGTCACTTTCCCCTTGCTCACCAGGCCTCAGCCACAATGGCCTTCTTTCCATTTTAGTTCCTCAAACGGGCCAGGCCCTTTCCCACCCCAGGCCTCTGCTCACGTGCTGTTTCTGCGTCTCCATGTCTATTCCCTCATGCTTTGTCAGTTCAGCTCCTATTTCTCTTTCAGGCATCAGCCTAACTCCCTCTTCCTCAGGTCTCCAATTGTGTTTCATAACAACCTATTCTTTTCATTTATAATACACCGCAATTTATAATTCAATGTTAAATGGAGGCTCTGTTTATGTGTTTGTGTGTGTGTGTGTGTGTGTGTGTGTTTTGTTGTTGTTGTTTTTTTTTGTTTTTGTTTTTTTGTTTTTTAGGCAGGGGTCTTACTCTGTCTCCCAGGCTGGAATGCAGTGGTGCAATCATGGCTCATTGCTGCCTTGACCTCCTGGACTCAAGCAATTCTCCCACCTCAGCCTCCTGAGTAGCTGGGACTACAGGCATGAGCCACCATGCCCAGATAATTTTTTCAGAGATGGGGTCTCATTATGTTACCAGGCTGGTCTTGGACCCAGGATCTCAAGCAGTCCTCCTGCCTCAACCTCCCAAAGTGTTGAGATTACAGGCATGAGCCACTGAGCCCGGCCTGTGTTCGTTTAATACCTGTCTTCCCTCCTAGACTGGAAGCTGTTAGGAAAGTGGGGCCATGTTGCTGTTGTTCACCTTCATACACCCAGCTTCAATAGGGTGCCTACCACATAGTAGTTGCTCAATAAAACTAGTACTTCCTGAAATGAAATAAGTCGTAGAAGAACAAGATGAGAGCAGAGGTTAAGAAAAATAAATCTGGGAGAAATGTGTAGAATGGATTTTAGTTGGATGGATAAATTTCCTACGACTGCCATAGAAAATTCCCATAAACTAGAGACCTTAAAACAACAGAAATTTATTCTCCCACAGTTCTGGGAGTCACAAGTCTGAAATAGAAGTGTCAGCAGGGCCGTGCTCCCTCTGAGGTCTCTAGGGGGATTCTTCCTTACCTCTTTTAGCTCCTGGTGCTTGTTGGCAATCCCTGGGGTTCCATGGCCGTGGCAGCATGACTCCCATCTCTGCCTGCTGTCACATGGTGTTCCCCTATGTGTCCCTTCTTTCTCTGGGTCTCCTCTTCTTAAAAGGATACCTGTCATATTGGATTTATGACCTGCATTACTCAGGTATGACCTCATCTTAACTAATTACATTTTCAAAGACCCTATTTCTAAATAAGTTCAGGCTAAGGTTCTGGGTGGACACGGGTTTTTGGGGAGACACTATTCCACGTAGAGTACTTGGGGTATAAGGAAACCAATTTGCAATCTTGCAGGCTGGAGGTGAAAAAGACCTGAACTGTGTTGTAGTGAGAATTTAGAGGAAAGGATGAAACCAAGTGACATTTAAGAAATTAAAGACCATAGAATGTTAGGGCTGGAAGAGATCCTAGAGGCTTCCATGTCTAGTGATTCTCAGGTTAGGCTTCTTATGTCCTTCAGATGGGGTGCCTCAGAGGTGGCCAGGAAGTAGAGGGCACAGGAGAGATTTTCCGGGTCTGCTACTCCTTGTTTAATTAGAACAATTATTATTTTATATTTTCCATGTTAGGTATCCACATAAGATACTGTTTGAAGATCAGTTGTGCTACATATCTCTTATTTCACCATTTAGGAAATTGTAGCCAATTAAAGAGTAAGACAGTGGTTCAGAAAAAATTGCCTAGTATGGACTACTGGTTTTAAGAATTTGGGGAGAAGGTGGCCAGAGTAGTATAGGAAACTTTCATAAAAGGGACAAGGTTTAAACCCAGTGGCTGCACTTGTGAAATACAGTGAGTAAACAAGGTTCAATTGTCTTTGTTCCTGTAAGCTACAGTTCTTCTGGATGGAGATGTGGGTGTGGCCCGGTCCCTATAGCAGGGGTGCAGGATGAGGTGGAAGGTGACGGGGACCTGCCAGCAAGTTCTTCCTGCCAGGGTCACTCAGCAACACGCTGAACACAGGGATGAAGGAGAAGGAAGTGCCTCAGGTGACATCCAGATCCCACAAGTAAAATATGAGGAGACAAGATGGTGTGGTGGGTGGGAGAAAGTGGTTTGGACCCAGATTTGGTTTATGGGGACCCCTTTTGTTTTGGACATTGGGTTTGAGGTGACATTGGAACAGTAAAACTTTGGTAAGTAAACTTGGATGAATTAAGTCATTTTATGTGTCTGTTTTGTAACCTCCATGACCTTTTAATTTCAATGACAGGGTAGTATCTCCCAGGCCATGGTGTCCTCCCCAGAGTGCCCATTTTGGAACATGCATTGTGGAAGTTAAGGAAACATCAGTCTGTGATGGGGACTGTCATCTCCACCTGAATCACACACTGTCTTACTCGGTGGCCTTTCCAGATCCACTCAGGGCCCTTCTAATTTTTGGTTTATACTACAGTCAAAGTTATCATTTCAAAACACCAAAACACAAACAGATTGTGTTAGCCACCCCTGCTTAAAACACTTCCCATTGCTCTTAGAGCAAGGATCAAAGTCCTTGAGGTACATTAGCAGATTCAGGCTAGAGGTGACTGTGTCTTGATTCTCTGGCCTTCCCTGGCACCACTTCTCCTCTGATCTTAGAGATCTGGCCACAGAGTCTCAGTTTCGCTGACTTCTTCCTGCCCCAGGGCCTTTGCACATGTCCTTCATGCTGTCATTTCCTGCACCCCTTACCCTCTCCAAACACGCACTCATTCCTCAGATGCCAGCACAGTTAACATTTCCTTGACCCCTGGCCCACCCCAGTCTAAATCAGTTCAGATCAGTTTCTCTTTTCTTTCAGAGCCCTATGCTCAGTTTATAAATGTGTGTTTATTCCCCAGGTTATTTAACATTTATTTCTCCTCTTCTAAGTTTCATATGAGCAGGGGCTATGTATGTTTTGCTGTGTTAAGCACCTAGCATAGCACTTGAAATGTAGTAACGGAATGAATGAATGAGTAAAAGCTCAAACTCCCAATATTTGACTTCTTTAGTTTCCAAACCCTAAAGTTGCATTGAAAAGCACAATTTTATTTTTTGGGCAAACACTACTTTTGCCTATAGAGACATATCACACTTTAACAAAAATGTACACTATAAATTTTATTTCTGCTATATAAATATTTGGCAAGTTAAAGTTATATCAGGTGTTAAAAATACATTTCTTTAGAGACCTTGATTTTGGCTGTTAAAGCACTTGCTGGGAGATGTTCCTATGTTTTAAGTGTAAAGGAATAGATTGTACTGACTTGGAAAAAAATCTCTAGAAAACCAGGTCCTTATATCACCTTTTGGAGGCTGTGACCATTGAGGAGGTGCTGCTCAGATCTCCCATTAAGAAAGAACTTTCCATGGGCCCAATTAGTCAACAATCTCTAGCTGGGAGCACCTCTTTCTGGCAGAGGCATCTGTACTTGCTCTTCCCAAGCAGCCCCCAGCCAATGATGGAACATGGTTGAAATCCCAGGGCCATTTCTGCCCAACACAGGACTTCTCTAACAGGTACCCTTTCCTTGGGAGCTCTCAGTTGGGTTGGCCAAGACTTTGTTGGATCTTCAATGTGGTCTGAGGCTTTCTCTTCCCAATCCTGCTTTCTCCCCAAGATCACAGTCTGAAGCCTTTCTCTTCCTAGTCTGCTTTCTTTCCCTTTCCATCTTCATACCCGATACCCTCTCATAAACCTCTTGTACTCCTAACTCTGTCTCAGCATCTGCTTCCCAAAAGATACAATGGATGCAGAGGGCTTCCAGCAATATACTCATGTGACATTAAAATGTTAGAAATTTAATTATTTTGTTTTATTGTCAATTTTCCTTTCCCAGTTCATTCCCTATGAAGATTTAGTTTATAGGCCAATTTATAAGGCCTATTTCTGAAATAAAGAATAATTCTAGAAAAAGAGTAATTCCTTTGTGACTAGCCTATAAGCTCATGGGGCCTGACACTGTGTTTGTTACTGTCCTATCCCAACACTTGACACATAGTTGATGCTCAATAAATATTTGTTGAATGAATGAATGAATGTATATCTTAACAACAAGGTTTGTTTGTTTTTTTTTTCCTGCTTATATTGAACAGAAGAGGCAAGAACAAGACATACTACAACAGCATTTTAGATGGAGGCTGTATTAGTTTGCTCAGGCTGCCATAACGAAATACCACAGACGGGGGGGTTTAAACAACAGAAGTTCATTGTATCATAGTTTTAGAGCATAGAAGTCCAAGATCAAGGTGTCAGCAGAGTTGATTTCTTCTGAGGCCATTCTCCTTGGCTTATAGATGGCCATGTTCCCCTCATGTCTTCACATGGTCTCCCTCTGTGTGTGTCTGTGCCCTAATTTTCTCTTGTTATAAGAACACCAGGCCGGGCACGGTGGCTCATGCCTGTAATCCCAGCACTTTGGGAGGCTGAGGAAGGCGGATCGTGAGGTCAGGAGACCGAGACCATCCTGGCTAACATGGTGAAACCCCGTCTCTACTAAAAATACAAAAAAATTAGCTGGGCATGGTGGCGGGCGCCGGTAGTCCCAGCTACTTGGGAGGCTGAGGCAGGAGAATGGTGTGAACCCAGGAGGCGGAGCTTGCAGTGAGCCGAGATCTCGCCACTGCACTCCAGCCTGGGCGACAGAGCGAGACTCCGTCTCAAAAAAAAAAAAAAAAAAAAAAAAAAGAACACCAGTTATGTCAGATTAGGGCTCATTCCAGTGATTTCATTTCACGTTACTTATCTCTTTAAAAACACTATTTCCTAATACAGTCACATTCTGAGGTACTGGGGGGTTAGGGCTTCAACAAATGAATTTTACAGGGCGGACATGGTGGGGGCCAAGTCAGCCCATAACAGAACTGCCAGTAAACAACTCTTTTGTGTAAAGATTTTTTTCTGAGATGCGGTCTTGCTGTGTTGCCCAGGCTGGTCTCAAACTCCTGGGCTCAAGCAGTCCTCTTGCCTCAGCCTCTTGAGTAGCTGGGACTACAGGCATGCACCACTGTGCCCAGCTTAAAGTGTTTTAACTTGTGTTGGATGCTAATGGAAATAGAAATAAAATACAATAAAACAAAAAATAAAAATTACATGAAATAAAGCAAATAATTAATATCCTTCCTTTAATGTTTAATTTATAGCCAAAGAGTTATATAAGTGTATCTATAAGTATAATGAAGTATAAGACCAAAATCTCTTGATAATTCCAGGTAGACTTGTGATGCTTGACCAGGTAAGTCATACATTGTAACAAAGACACAAATTTCAACTCATAAAAGACCATACACTTGAAACTATGAATAGAAAGGTCTTTACCATGTGGATTTAAAATCTCAATCAAAATAGGTAATACCTTTATCATTAAAACATATACTTTTTAGAAGAATTTATAGTCACATTTGGACAATTTGTTTTTGAGGATAATAATACAAATTGTTAACTTTTTACTTATTAATATATTAATTTTATTTATTTATTTATTTGAACTGGAGTCTCTGTCACCCAGGCTTGAGTGCAGTGGTGCAGTGGTGCAGTCAGCTCACTGTAACCTGTGCCTCCCGGGTTCCAGCAATTCTCCTGCCTCAGCCTCCCAAGTAGCTGGGATGGCAGGTGCATGCAAGCATGCCTGGTAATTTTTGTATTTTTAGTAGACACAGGGTTTCGCCATGTTGGCCAGGCTGGTCTCGAACTCCTGACCTCAGGTGATCCACCCACCTCGGCCTCTCGAAGTATTGGGATTACAGGCGTGAGCCACTGCACCTGGCCAATATATTAATTTCATTTTAACTATAGGCAAAATGTTAGCTTTTCCTTTCTAGTCCCTGTTTTCGATCTGATTCCTGAGCCTATCTCAAGTAATAAAAGTAACAGACTTGCAGAATCCTCTCCACAAAGTGAGCATTGGTCTTTTTCGCTGGCTTTTCCCACCTTGGAACCTTGCATATGTGACATGCTGCAAACCACCATTGTTGTGTGCGGCTATATTCTGAGGACTTATTCGAATGAAGGAAGTTCTTCCCCAACATGACATTTCCTTTCTAATACAATACAAAAATGGAATATTTAGGGTTGACCACTTACACATTGTTCCCATTTCAGGCCCCCACACTATTGCCGTCATGTGTGAATGCCTAACCCTTTCAGAGATTTCCGTTAGGGCTTTCTAGTATATTTACTTTCCTGTGGATTTTGAAAGACTTGACCTCTCTGGGAGAAGTGCTTTGAGAAACCCCAGATCTGTATTGCTTCTACTAAAGCCTTAACGGGCTGGTCTTGTGAAGATGGTGCCATGAGTATGTATTGATTTGAAATATGCTCACTTGCCATAAGTTCAGTCTGGCCTGTGGCTGCTCACACACAGCCCTGAATTGCATTCTCCTATACTTTGGGAATTCTCTAGAATGCTTCCTTGAGATCATGACCTTCAGTTCAGAAATGCTAGACTGCATCAAAGGCACTACTGGGAATATAATATAGTTAGGATTTCTGCTACTAGTAAACCCTACTATAGTCATGTATTGTTCAGTGACCAGGACGTGTTCTGGAAAATGTGTGGTGAGGCGATTTCGTCATTGTGCAAACATCACAGAGTGTGCTTACACAAAGCCAGATGGTGCAGCCTACTACACACCTAGGCTGTACAGCCTATTGCTCCTGGGGTATAAAGCTTACAGTGTGGTACTGTACTGAATACCATAGGCAACTGTAGCACAAGGGTATTTTTGTATCTTAACCCATATAAACATAGAAAAGGTACAGTAAATGCATGGTATTATAATTTTATGGGACCACTATCATATATGCGGCCTGTCTTTGATCAAAACATTGTTATGCAGTACATGGACTCTACTATATTCTAAGTACCTTGAGGGTGATATGTATGTCTGATTTTTTCTTTAGATATCCTACAAATGCCTATTTCAGTTCAACTCAACATTTATCTAGTGCCTAGTTGGGTCCTGAGTTGATTAAAAGAGGAAAAGGAAGAGACGAGGGTTCTTTCTTGGAGTACTTATAGCCTAGGAAGGAGCATGGGGATTGTAGACTTCTTTCCTCCCTTCCCTACACCTTTTAAAACAACTCAATCAGTTCACGCCTGTAATCCCAGCACTTTGGGAGCCCAAGGCGGGTGGATCATTTGAAGGTCAGGAGTTCAAGATCAGCCTGACCAACATGGTGAAACCCCATCTCTACTAAAAAAAAAAAAAAAAAAAAAAATAGCTGGGCATGGTGGTGCATGCCTGTAATCCCAGCTACTTGGGAAGCTGAGGCATGATAATTGCTTGAACCCAGGAGGCAGAGGTTGCAGTGAGCTGAGATGGTGCCACTGCCCTCCAGCCTGGGCAACAGAGCGAGACTCTGTCTCAAAAAACAAACAAACAACAACAAACCCAAGCCAATTATCTTTTCACTATTCATTATAGTAAGTTTGGAAAATAGGGAGAAATCAAAAGAAAAAAATATTTTACAATTGCCCCAAAGCTTATTACTTAACTACTGCTGACAACATTTTATCTTTTTAAAAAAATACGCAGACTATTGAACCTCTTTCATTTTACACATCGTAAACATTTTCTAACAAACTTTCCTCCCTTCTGTATACCTTTTAAAACAAGCCAATCGGCCGTGCATGGTGGCTTGTTTTCAAAGGTGTAGGAAAGGGAGGAATGTTTAAAAACATTTTCTTTTTAAACATTGATTAAGAAGCTGGATAATATTTCATTCTGTAGATTCACCATAGTTTGTTTCATTCTCATTTTGCTGTCAGATGTTTAGGCAAATGCCAGTTTTTTTTTTTTTTTGTTATTACAAATGTAATACTCAACTTTGTACACAGAGTATTTTTAAGATTTAGGATCAGTTTCCTGAAATTAGGTGTCTAGAAATGGTCTCTCTGTATCAAAGGGGATGAGCGTAGCGGCTCTGGAGACGTTTGCCCTTGGCTTTGGAAAGGTCTGGCCAGCTTATGTCTGACCAGCAGGGCTCAGAGGTGCTTGGCTCTCTCTACTCTGGCCCTTGGGACGTTATTATTTTAAAAATGTGTGCTAATTTGATAAGTAAGAAACAGTGTGTTGTTATTTTGATTTTCATTTATTTGGTTGCTAGTGAGGATGAACATTTCCTCATATTTTTGTTTATCAGTTTTATTTCCTCTTTTGCGAAGGGGTACTTTGAGTCCTTTCTGATTTTATTTACTATTTCCACACATCTTTCTTCTTTTCCACTCCATACGCATGGGGTTTCCATCTGGCTAGGGATTTTTTTCCAGGGCCACCTTAGCCTGGACGCCTTGTCCTCCTTTACTCTGGACCATGGGAACTGAGCAGCCGCTTTTGTGCTGTCATCCAGATATAGCAGAAAACTCACATTTACACAGAAAGCACTTGGCAGTTTCCTCAGCGTCTTCTCACATTCTTTTCATCTGAAACAGAAGCTGGGCCTCTCACCTTGGGAAGAGTGTTCTATAAAGTAATGAATTTGCTTGGAGATGTTTCTAGTAAGAGACAGAACAGAGCAGCCCCTTGGAGATTAGTTTTGATATTCCCACGAGGCACCTGAAGGCTAAAAGGAAATAGAATTATCCTCCTTCCCCCAAGAGCTGGGGTCAGGTCCAAAAACGCTTTCTGCACCATTGATTTTTCTTAGGCTTTTGTGGCTCAGCTTGTGGCCATGAAACACTATTCATTGCCATGGATTATGGCTTTTTCTTTTGTCCTATTTACGGACTGTCTGTGTAGTCACTGCCAAAAGTTGTGATTGGTGATTATCACTTTGGAGGAGCAAAGCTGATGTTGCTCACACCAGACAAAGGTTAGTCAGCGCACCTCAACAACTTTCATTAGTGAGACATCACTGCTGTAGCTTCAGGGAGTTATAAGAGAAGGAGATGCCACCTTTATCAGCACTCTGGGAGATGAAAGTGACACAGCTGCACAAAGGTGGATTAAAAAAAAGCAACTCTCTTACCCCAGATTGTTCTTTCTAAAATAAAAGACCCAGTAAAGAAGCAAGATTTTGCCAAGCAATATGGCAAACCAGTACCCAGACCCACATTGAGGGTTACCTGTGAAAGCATTTTGTCAATAGTAAAGGTGCCTTATAAGTGGTAGGTATCACATTTATGTGAATAAAGTCACTAGTTCTCTGGGGCTTTCAGTGCCTGAAGCTTAAAGAGTAAACTTTCTTATATTTCGAGTTTCACTTGTTCATTTTTATAAAATTTCTACTATCGCTTAAGCATATTCTAGACCAGGGGTTGGTAAACCACAGCCTGCAGGTCAGATCTGGCCTGCCACCTGTTTTTGTTTTTAATAGCAGAGAAGCAAAGAATGGTTTTTACATGTTTTAGTGATTGAAAAAAAATCAAAAGGAGAATATCTCATGACACATGAAAATTTCATGAAATTTAAATTTCAATGTCCACAGATACAATTTTATTGGGACACAACAGCCACACTCACTTTTTTATGCATTTTCTTGTTACCATGGCAGAGTTGAGTGGTTGTGCTGGAAACTACATGGCCCTCTAGGTAGCCTAAAGTATTTGCTACCTGGCCCTTTACAGAAAAAGCTTGGGACCAATGTTCTAGACACTGGAAATACAGCTATGAACAAAACAGACCTACATAGTCTTTACATTCACAGAGCTTACATTCAGGTATAGCTTACTTTAAAAATGGCCCAGGGGGACTGGCACCCTTGATTTTGGCTTTGGAAACCTCAAGTCCTAAACAACTGAGCTAACCTTATATAATTTTAGCCAACATTGGCACAGCCTTATGGAATCTGATTGTTTTTTAATCAAATGAAGTATCTATTAATTAACTATGTTAGACTGCAAAGGTCTTGGTGCTTAAGACATTGAATTTGTTGAGAAAACAATGTTTACAAATTTAAAAAGAAGATAATGCCATTTACAATAGCTTCTTTTAACTTTTCAAAAGCCTTTTATGTGTGGGATCTTCCCATGTCTCAGACTTCATGTGCTAAGAATTTAGGATGGAAAAGCTCACTTGGACTGATAGAAACAGAGTAGGCTTGCCAAAGGAAGTGGGATGTGGTCCAAGATGATGGTCTTGATTTCCTTCTTCAATCCCAGGAGCCTAACAAGTTGTCTTCTGTGAACAGAAGGCCAAAAAACTACCACCAGGGCTTTTTCCCATATCCTACGGCTTGGCAGGACTTTTGCTCTTATCTTCATGACGTGAACAGCTTCCTTTGGGCTGGTAAAGCAGGAAGGACGATCAGGATTGGGGGCCTGACACCCAGCTCGTGAGGTGGGCTGGGATATGATACCCCTTAAATGGGGAATGAGTGGGAGCAAGACTGAGGGAAAATTGGGTGGGTGGGTGGAATCTTGGATTTCTTAAAATGTTGGACATTGGAAAGTCTGCGAGGTCTTTAGCTAATTTTCCAGCATGTCTAGAACATCAAAGGACTACATCTTCCACTCTACCGTGAGCAGCTTTCATACTTGCCTGGTCCAGAGTGGTGTTCAGTAAATGATTCAGTAAGTGAATGACTGTGAAAGAATGAAGGAACGAAGGAAGGAAGTCAAGTCATACACAGGAACATTAATCAGAATACTTAGGGCCGGGTGTGGTGGCTCATGGCTGTAATTCCAGCGTTTTGGGAGGCTGAGGTGGGAGGATCACTTGAGTATAGGAGTTTGAGACCAGTCTGGGTAAGATGCTGAGACTCCCGTCTCTACAAAACAAAACAAAACAAATAACCCGAGCCTGGTGGTGCACACCTGTGGTCCCAAATACACCAGAGGCTGAAGTGGGAGAATTGCTTGAGCCCAGGAGGTCGAGGCTGCAGTGAGCCATGTTTGCGCCACTGCACTCCAGCCTAACTGTCAGAGTTGAGACCCTGTCTCAAAAAACAACGACAACAACAACAAAAAAACTTAGAGAATTTTGTGTGCTCCCAGGAATAGGAATTTATGGGTGTTGATTCATTTGCTTATTCCACAAAATATGAAGCTCCTACTATACGCCAGGCACAGTGTATCAAGTTAACTTGAAACCCATTTTATTTCAACCACAAATAGTGCAAATCTTTCTAGAATGTCAGTGTCTGCTTTGTCACTTACAAAAGGACAATCAGGTGAGTGTCCGGTCTTCAACCCTGAAGAGTACTGAAGAGCATGAAGGATGTTTTTGACTTCATAGTTATTTTCCTGAATATTGGCTAACATTAAGGCAAATAATAAAGTTCCTGTAGTGCTTAGGAAGGCACACTCTGGTGTCAGATGACCTGGGTTCAAACCCAGGCTTTATCACTTATAAAACATGTGACATTGGGCCAATTTTAAGCTTTGTTCTATGCTTCAGTTTCCCCATCTGTAAAATAGGCAAATAATAATACTTACTGTGTAGGGCTGTTACGAAGATTAAATAGTCAAAGCCCCTTGGTGTGTAGTAAACCCTCAAGGTCAATGTTAACTGTTATTGCTATCACATAGGACTTGACCTAGAAATAGAAAAGATAGGGAAGTTTGGACTGAATATGTTGAGAATGTGAGGACATCTCCTAGAAATTGGTTGTCCTGTTTTCACATTTATAGTGTGTGTAGTAGAAAGAACATTAACCCCTTTATTTGTAGTTAAACTTTGCCTGTGCCCTCGCCTGAAAATGGAGCTAGCAATATTGCTGGGACTCTTGCATCTTACATATGAGAGTGCCTGGAATTTCAATATACATTACTTTTCTTCAGACAGAGTCAAATACGAGGAAGTAATTCCCTTTAATTAAGAGTGTTGATGAGTTGGGTTCTGGTTAATTGAACTGTAATATGTAAATCAACTTAATAGTGGACTGGCTCTGCCAGATAAACACACAGCACCTGGTGTAGTTTGGTTGAGCACCTTTATTTGTTTGATTTTGAAAAACTCTGTCCCTTCTGTGACTTCTTCACATTGGGGATCCCTCAACTCAGCCTGCAGCCAGCTGGAATTTTCAGTTGAAAGAAGGATTTTCAGAAGGTTTTAGAAGATTTTAATTGTTGGACTTGATAAAATTGATTTAAATTAATCCAAGCCAGTTTCAGACAGTGGAACAATAGGCTGGTACCTCATCACTCATTTTTTAAATAAAAGGAGAAAAATGGGAAGTGTTCCAAATTGAGTCACAGGCAGTGGTGAGGATTAAATGAGTAAACATCGTTGGCTTTAGAGAGACAGATATTTGATGATAATTAGAATCCCCAGCATTTTACCATTTATTTTTCTTTGTAGGATGGCTTCCTAGCACAGCCTGTGGCAGCTCATCAGGGAACAAAGAAGAAATGACAGTGTCCCTGCCCTTGAGAAGCTGATACTCCAGTGAGAGAAGAAAACAGGCAAAGAGAAAGATGTCACGATGACAAAGTAACATTGAAATGAATGTAGAAGATAATTGTGGGGGTTCGGTAAGGTGGGAATGAGTAGAGTGCATTGAAGTGAGACTCACCCTGGAACCCTGTCCAGTGATACTGTCTTAGTCGGTTCTGGCTACTATAATGAAATACCATAGACTGGCTGGCATGTAAATAACATAAACTTATGTCTCACAGTTCTGAAGGCTTGGAAGTCCAAGATCAAGACACCAGCAAATTTTGTGTCTGGTGAAGGCCCACTTTCTGGTTCATAGATGGCACCTTCTAGCTGTTTCCTTATACGACAGAAGGGGCTAGCTAGATTTCTGGGATCTCTTTTATAAAGGCATTACAAATTGTGAGGGCTGCATGCTTATGACCTAATCATCTCCCGAAGACCCTATCTCTTAATACCATCACCTTGAGGGTTAGGATTTCAACATGAGAATTTTGAGAGGACACATTCAGACCATAGCAAATACCAAGCTTTTTATGGATTCATACTATTTCAGAGAATTATACTGGTTGGCTATATCCTTATTTCGATTATTACTATCACCTTAAAAAAGGGATTCTCAACTTTGAGCATTACTGACATTTTGGGCCAGATCATTTTGTTGTGGGGGCTGTCCTGTGTATTGTAGGATGTCTAGCAATATCCCTGGCCCCTCCCCACTAGATGCCACTAGCACCTTGTCTACTACTCCTCCCCGCGCCCCCTACTTCCTCAGTATGATGACCCCAAATGTTTCCAGACCTTACCAAATGTTCCCTGTTGGGCCAGTTGCCCCCGGTTGATGACCATTGTGTTTAAAGAATTCATTTCAACTATTTTATCGGCCCCTAAGGCACCAGCCTCCCTCTGAGGCTGTGTCCATGGGAATGCTATCTGTGGCTGCTTGCGGATCTCTCCAGCACTGACTGGCTAAGTCACACTGGCAGCCATGGGTGAGACTTCCTCAACGTGGGTGGAGCAAATTCCTACGATGCCAGGCTGCAAGGTTGCATTTCTGCATTTCTAGGTGTCGGGGATGCCTTGATTATTTTCCAAAGTAATCTAAATTTTGTCTCCAGGGATCCTTGCCCCTCCTAAATGGGTATTATCTGGGAATAAGACAGCTCAATTGTTTATGGAGCCTTTATTTAATATTTGACAATATCTAGGAGAAAGTCACAAACACTTAGTTCAATTATTAAAATAAAGCCTGTAGGGTATCTCCCCAAAAGAGTATCCCAGAATCATTATTTTAATTTAAGCATAATTATAAAAGGGGGCTGGGAAGCCTGCAGTAGGGGGAGATAAATTTTCAAGTGTCATTTTAGGAAAACAAAGGCTTTGCAAGAGAAAACATCCACTTTCCCCCCTAGTTGCAGGCTTAATGTTATTAATAAGTTAGATGTCAGATGTATGCTGTTATTGGCAGCATGCATACAATTTAAATATTTTAGCTTTCATTATACAACTGAATCTACATGACTGAACTTCAAGGGCCCCATTCATAAGGGATGAGGAGAGGGAACAATCAGCTACTTCATGCAAGGGCTGGCCAGCAGACTGGGTTTCCCCACATTGTCAGACAAACCACGACACAGGGAAGGCTTTGGAGACGCTCTAACATGGCAGGGTTGGGACAGAGAATGATGGGGGTGGGGGGCACCCTTTTGGGGCAGGGAGAGAGCCAAGGCTTGTTTTTCTTTTGGAAAAAAAGCTATTCCATCTTTGTTCCAAGGGAGAATGAAATATCCATTAAGACTGGTGACACTGGGAATTTTGTTTTGGCTCAGTTCCTTTTGTTGTGACTCCACGGTAAAGGAGAGGAATCTGGGGTAAGGAGGTTTCAAGCCAAGATGAGAAAGAAAAAGCATGCCTTCCAAGGATTTCTTCTATTGTCTCCCGGAGAATAAATATTTATAGAGAGGGTTCAAGTGAAGTCTGTCTCAATGGTTGTGGCTTTAAGACTAAGCCTTTGAGAGAGTGCATGTAAAACTATGCTTAAATGAAGGGTGATCCAATTAGGCTTCTCAGGGAAAACCAAGAAACCTCAAGATAATTTCCTATCTGAAATCTAATTGTGTCCTCAAGTAGAATATGAATACCACTTTGAATTACCCCAGATCCATAGACGGCAGCAAAAATGTACAGCCAAATTGGATTCTATTTTAAGTAATTAAGTTATTTCCCTTCACAGGATCTATAATTTGCCTTGAACAAATGTGATTTGCCTCAGAAAGATAAGGCATTGCAATTTTTCCTCCAAAATGGATTTTCTGTGCCAGAAACAATTACTAAAAGTAGACCAAATATTGTCGTAATTATATCCTACTTATTATCTGAGTGCATGCCTGGAGTGTACCCTGTTTGTGTTCCAATGTGAGGTAGGTATGGCTAGAGTTTAGAAATTATCTTTAAATAGAAACCAAAGCTGAAATTTACTCAAGAGCCTGGGGCTTGCACAATGGTCGTGTTAATAGCAACGGGTGGTTACATAAGTCTCCAAAATCTTGTGCAAAATGTGAGCAACAGGGAGCTTGCTTCAGTGGACCTTCCTTCTGACTCTAACAAATATCAGTATTAACTTGTAGCTGCTTGGCTGAGTCCTTGAGGAGGTGCTAGGTGTTGCGATAGTTTAAGAATAAAAGTGTTGAGATTTGCATAGAAGATATTACAAGAGGAGTATTTTGGTCATGGTTAATTTTATGAAGAAAACATTCACTTTTGGCTTTCTTTATTAGCAGTTCAGTTGACTTATGCCCAGGTGTTCTGAAGGGCAATAGTAGGTAAGAGTTAAGAGCAAGAGCTGGAACAATAAACAGAATTAGTTCTTGGCTTTGCCCCCTTGAAAGTGCAATGTATGGAAAGTCTCTGAATCTCAGTTCTCTTGTCTGTGAAAAGGGAGTGATGGTTATCTACACTGAGGATACTGGATGAGGAAAGCACACACCGTCTGGCATTGCACAGACCTGGGTTTCACAAGTGGATGGTGGAGTAAAATCCAAACACGACTGCATACCTTTTCTTCTTTATACATGCTTATCCTCTGAAAGATGACCTTTCATACAAATAGGTGCTGGCTGGCCATTTCTAAACTTCCATTTGAATTTAAAGTGGTGAAGGCTTCAGATTCGTTAAGTCATGTTACCTGGTTTAAAATACAGGATTTGATACTTACTACATGCCTTTAACCAAGTTACTTAGGCTTTCTGTGCCTCCGTTTCCTCTTCTATAAAATGTAATTAGTAACAGAAGCAGAATCTATCAGAGTTGTGATAAGGGGTAAGTAAAATATTACAATGAAATACCTAGGATAGTGCTTTGCATACCATAAATGTATTACTTTTGTCTTCTACTAGCCAAAAGAATGTCAACAGAAATCAGAACATAACACTAAGTAAGTTTAACATGTACTTTTATTAACAACTTAATACAAGACTGTACACTGTAGGTGCTGAAATCAACCCACTCCTGAAAACTGAAAAACCAGCATTTCTATACCACTTTGGGCTTTGGTTATAAGTGCCATCTTCTACAGCAAAATCACGTCTTAAGAACAGGAAAAACGTTCCACGGGAATGGAGAGATTATCTATGCATAAACAGCTGGGGATCATTTCTAGCTTTACGTGATTCACTACACGCTCTGGAATGTTCAGTTCCCTTTTCTACAGTCCTACCACGAGACATACAGCAACTAAGAACTTGGCCACAGGTCCTGCCTAGACACACATCAATATGAAACAAAAAAAATTTATATAAATAAGTCAATTAAACTTCACAAAAACTAAAGAAACACAAGACAAAAATCCAACAAGCAATAAAAACTGTACAATATTGGTCAGTCTTTTATATCTGAAAAATGTGTAACTTAAAAAAAAGTTATTTATCGTATAAAAAAAAGTCTTTTACATCTGTGTTAGCTGGAGTGAAAACTTGAAGACTCAGACTCAGTGGAAACAGATGAATGTCCACCTCGCTTTCCTTTGGAGAGGATCTTGAGGCTGGACCCTCTGCTCACAGAGGTGAGTGCGTGCTGGGCAGAGGTTTTAAATTTGGCTCCAAGGAAAGCATAGAGGATGGGGTTCAGACAACAGTGGAAGAAAGCTAGGGCCTCGGTGATGGAAATCCACTTGTGCACAGTGTTCTCAAACTCACACCCTTGCTTGATGATTTCCAGGAGGATGAAGGAGTCGATGCTGATCCCAATGTAGTAAGGCAGCCAACAGGCGAAGAAAGCCAGGATGAGGATGACTGTGGTCTTGAGGGCCTTGCGCTTCTGGTGGCCCTTGGAGTGTGACAGCTTGGAGATGATAATGCAATAGCAGGACAGGATGACAATACCAGGCAGGATAAGGCCAACCATGATGTGCTGAAACTGGAACACAACCACCCACAAGTCATTGGGGTAGAAGCGGTCACAGATATATCTGTCATCTGCCTCACTGACGTTGGCAAAGATGAAGTCGGGAATAGTCAGCAGGAGGGCAGGGATCCAGACGCCAACATAGACCACCTTTTCAGCCAACAGCTTCCTTGGCCTCTGACTGTTGGTGGCGTGGACGATGGCCAGGTAGCGGTCCAGACTGATGAAGGCCAGGATGAGGACACTGCTGTAGAGGTTGACTGTGTAGATGACATGGACTGCCTTGCATAGGAAGTTCCCAAAGTACCAGTTTGCCACGGCATCAACTGCCCAGAAGGGAAGCGTGATGACAAAGAGGAGGTCGGCCACTGACAGGTGCAGCCTGTACTTGTCCGTCATGCTTCTCAGTTTCTTCTGGTAACCCATGACCAGGATGACCAATCCATTGCCCACAATGCCAGTTAAGAAGATGATGGAGTAGATGGTGGGCAGGAAGATTTTATTGAAATTAGCATTTTCTTCACGGAAACAGGGTTCCTTCATGGAGTCATAGTCCCCTGAGCCCATTTCCTCGGTGTAGTTATCTGAAGTGTATATCTGCAAAAGAGGCAAAGGAATGGACATTCACTTCCAATTCAGCAAGCATTAACCCAGTTAAAAAAAATTTTTAAAGCAATTTAAAAAACCAATTCAGGCTTGCTTTCTTCAGGAAATTCTGAAGTAGTGGGCTAAGGGCACAAGAGAATTAATGTAGAATCCTACAACTCTCCTCCCCATCTTTTCCCATAGTGACTTCATTATATCCTTCTTTGGTAGAACCAATTACAAAATTCTTTGTTTAGAACAAAAGGGCACTGAGACGCTGAGGGTTTCAAAGTCACATCTTGGCTAACTCCTCTGCCCCGCCCACTAGAGGGAAGAAAAAAAACCTTCCTTAGGAGGAAAAAAAAAATACACACAAAGAGGCCACTCCCAGGCGGCGTGGGGGGTGGGGTGGGTGCTGCTAGGAGGGGCAGTGATTAACTTTTTGTAAGAAGTTTTTCGCCCAGGGAGGGAAGAGGGGAGAAGGGAGGATCACGGGGGGAGGGCGGGGGCGTTGCAAAGACTCATTCTCCTAAAGCGCAAAAACTTAATTTTCCCACGCCTGCCTAAATACAAACCATTCTGGGCTTCAAGCAACTTGTAGTGGGTAAAGAGAATGCGGTCTTAAAACGAAGGCCCTTCGGTGCTTGGGGTATATTGGGCGGGAGTGTCAGAAAATGAACAAACGGCACCTCCTCCCCCAAGCGGGCGCTCCTCCGGTGTGTGGGTCTCTTGCCATCCTCGTGTTTATCACTTGGCGCGTTTGGGACGTTAGGGAGCGGGGCATTTTCCTGGGTGGAGAAGGTAACGGGGTCTGCACCCGTGGTCCTCGCCCCAAGTTTCATTTCCTCACTCTCCCGGGTGGCTTCCCATTACCCCGCCACTGATCCAGTTAACCCGGCCGGAGGTGGGCAGCTGGAAGCCTCCAGGCGGTGGGCACGCGGGGGGCCGGGTCGTCCAGCCCCGGGCCGCCGCGGCTGCCCACTACACCCACGCCAACCGCCCGCAAGCAGCGCTGCAGGGGCTCCGCTGGGCGACACGCCAGGCTCTGTCCCACAGGGTGCTGGGGAGCGACTGGGCGGCTCCGCCGCGAGCGTCTTTGAATTGCGCGCCGCTGCAGGAAACCAAAAACTCCCTAGCAAGAGGGTTTCAAAAGGTTTCTGGAAACCACCGACGGTTAAACATCACAACTGGACTCGGAGAGAGCCAAACGGTTTCCCCACTTGCACCTGCCAGTCTTCGCGGCGGCGACCTGGCAGCCCAGGTGCGGTCTTAACCGCCCCCGCCCCTCACCCCGTACCCGCTCCTATCCCCGGAGCGCAAATCTCAGGGCTGGCAGCTGCGCGGTGTCAAAGGGGAGGTCAAACCACTCCGCTGACCTCTGCACGACCCCAAACTCTCGAACTGCAGGACCCACTCGCGGCCGTGGGGAAGAGGCGCGCTTCGGACGGCGGGAAGGTTTTCCCCCTCAAACCCAAAGCGCGCGGGCGGATCAACTCCTAGCTGCTGCCACCACTCGATCCCCTCAGAGGATCGGCGCGGTGGGTCCACCCGCCTCTCCCGCCCTCTGCCTACTGTGCTGGGAGACTGGCACAGCTCCGTCGGCCGCACAGAGTTTAACAAACACGCACCCAGTGTCAAGAACAGTCACCAGGCGCTTAACCCCGAAGTTAAAGCGGGCGCAATCTCCTCCTGGGAACTCAGCCCAGGCACGCCGCCCTCCGCCTCTAAATTCAGACAATGTAACTCGCTCCAAGACATCCCCGCTTCCCCAAGGAAGAGACCGGTGGTCTGAGTCCCGAGGCAGCGCGCACGCCTTCTCTGCACTTGTGCACAGAATGTTCTTACGTTTGCAAACAGCGTGCAAGCCGCCGCGCGCGGCGGGACTCAAGGGGGAGACACATGCAGCCACTGGAACGCTCTTTCCAGTCGTTTCTCCTCGACTCACAGAGAAAAAGATTCCAATCCTGCTCCCCCCCCACCCACCCGCACTATATAGGCATGGTCAAGAAAACTCCTTTCGGTGACCCTTTTTTGGAGTACGGGTACCTCCAATGTCCTGGCCGCTTCTGCCCGCTCGGAGAGGGGCTGCGCTCTAAGTTCAAACGTTTGTACATTTATGACAAAGCAGGTTGAAACTGGACTTACACTGATCCCCTCCATGGTAACCGCTGGTTCTCCAGATGCGGTGGCTACTGGAGCACTCAGGCCCTCGGCGTCACTTTGCTACCTGCTGCCGCAGCCAACAAACTGAAGTTTCTGGCCGCGGCCGGACTTTTATAAAAACACGCTCCGAGCGCGGCGCATGCGCCGCTGGGGCGGGGAGGGAGAAGGCGGGGTGGGGGAGAGGGGCAGACGCGAGGAAGGAGGGCGCAGGGGCGGGGCGGAGAGGTGCGCGGCTTGGGAAGCCCAGGGGACCCTGCTGTTTGCGGGTGGTCGGTAGTGAGTCCGGAGCCGGACAGGACCTCCCAGAGGCATTTCCTAAGTTTGAGGGAAGCGGGATGCGCCTGAAGACAGGTGGGAAGCGCGGGCTAGGAACGCGTCTCTCTGTGGCGCGTCCATCCTTGCTAAAGTGGATGGAATTCCAGACCTGGGAATGCTACAGTAGAGACACTGAGGCCCAGGGAAGGGGAGTGACTTGCTGGAGTAACCCAACCAGTAGGCGGCAATGCTGGAAGTAGGGCCAAGCTTCCAACGCCATTCCCCGCGCTTTCAGCAGACGCAGCCCATTCAGGAGGTAAAAGGAGTAAAGATCCTTCCTTCGGAGGATGTAGCTATACTTGCACATTCACAGCATCACTAGGGTCAGGTGCAGATAATTAGGAGATACTTTCAGAAGAAGGTAGGATTTGGCATAATTCTGGAGACTGATCAGATGTAGATATGTATTGCTCAGTAATTTCATAATAGCGGTAACCAATTCGCGAATAGTGCTTTATTATCCTAAAAGTATGCTTTATTATAAGAGTAATTTAGCGACCAGTACTTTTTGTAACAGATCACTAGGAACTTGCACAGAATCACTCATTCATTCTCACAACACCGTGTGGGTATTACCATCACAGAGATGCATTTAGTCCGATATTTATAGAAGGACGAACTGCGTGCCACGCACTGTTCTAGGCGTTGGGGATCCAGCGTGAACCAGACAAGGCCCGCATTCGGAGAAACCAGCAAATAAGCCCGGAGAGATGAAATGCCAGGGATGGGCAGGGATTCCAAGCCGGGCTTGAACCCAGGTCTTCGGTCCCCATACTCGGCGTCTTCCACGATTTTGAGCAGAGGACAAGCTTTGGCACGAATCAGAAATTAGGTTGAAGAACTGGGCGGGGCGGAGTGGGGGTGGGGGTCAGACGTTTAAAGCGATCTCAGACTGGCTGAGGTTTGCAGTGGGCGCGCAGACAGTGCTTTCCCCCTCGCGCCACTTCCCTCCGGCGCGGAGACTGGGTGGGGCGGGGGAGCGAGTGTGGGGCGGGGCCGAGAAACTGCGTCCGCAGGCGGGGTGGCCGCTGCGGAGATAGCTGGGACCGAGGCGCGTGCGTCGCGACACGGACCCCAGAGGCCCCCACCCCGAAATGGTCCCGAGGAGAGGGATTGCCCAGACTGCACTCTACACACGATCCCTCTTTTCTATATCAAAAGAGGAAACATTTCAGTCTGGAGTGTTCCAGAGGTAGTTCGGAGGCAGGGAACCTTTTCTCTACAGAGCATGACTTTCCCCCTTTGTCTGGGACCCCTCCCTAATGTTGGTGGTTAAAGGTTCTCATCTACTCTGCACTTTCACTGACACAGGAAAGATGATATCCGGGCCGGGAGATGGGACTCTCAGAAACGAACGAGTTAGGACACACACTAATGGCCAGATAAAATCAATTCTAATATTACATTTGTAGAATTAAAAAAAAAAAAAGAAACTCCAGGTTCTTGGAGGGTGGTGGCTGGAAGAGGTTTCGGAAGCTCCACGCCCCTTCTCACAGGCCTTGCATTACGTATCTCTTCATCTGTATCCTTTATAATATCCTTTATAATAAACGATAACGGTAAGAAATAAAAATGAAAATAAAACCGTAAAAACACTTTTACTTTTTTCGAATCTTTAATAAAACTTAAGGATCTTCATATTTTTATAGACACGGTAGATCCTATCTACTGAAGGTCTAGAATTTCAGAGCGTTTTCATGACTTGCTTTTCACAAAGCCTGGTAGTGGCAGAATCAGTATGTTTTATCCTGGACCGTAAGCTGCACCCTACCTCAAAACTCCTCCCTGCACGATGTCTAAAACCTGAAAGGTGAGATCTCCCAAATCTGTCCAAAAAGGGAAAGAGGAGAAAACTCGGAGCAAAATGGTTTGCATAATAAATATTTGTTGATTGTAGACAGACAAAAGAAAGCTCCTTCCTTTATCTGAAGACTCCTTTCAGATCTTTTTAGGGATCTCTACTAAAAGGAAGCAGATAATTAAAAGAACAATGAGATGCTATTTGGTGACTACCAAATTAGGCAAAAATCCATTTTTTTTCAAAGATAATATTTGGTCTCCGGATTTGAAAAGACCAGCTGTCTCTCGCTTGTCACTGATGGGAATGTGGCTTGGGACAGCCTCACTGGAAAGCATTTTCTATTCAGCAGGAACTTCAGAACAGTAACTCCACTCATAAAAACTTATGCCACAAAGGTATTTGTGGAAACATTTTTTTTTAAATAGTGAAATGTCTGAACATCCCTAAATAACCACTGTTAGTGGAATAGTTGACAAGATTTTGGTTCATCCACATCTGAAATTCCATATGGACATCGCGAATGTTATTTGTGAAGAATTTTTAGTGACATGGGGAAATACTTATGAAACATTAAGTGCAAAAGGCAGGATTCAGAATTGTGTATATAGTGTGATCTCAGTTATGTTAAAATATGCATTTGGAAAATATAGGGAGGAAAACCAAAATGTTTATAGGCGTTTTCCTTGGTGCAGAATTATATTTGATTTTTGCTTTCTTCCTGGGGTTTTTCTATGCTTTCCAGATTTTCTGTAATAGACATGAATCATTTTCATATTCATAAAAAAGCCAACAAATTGTATGACAAAAAGGGAATCAGAAGGCCTCCTTCATGTATGTTTCCACTTCTAAAGTATCTACTAAGATGTCAGACTTTTTTCACAATAGTCCTTTCCCCTTTCAAGGAAGGCTTGTTTTCCAATGGGCTAATCTTAAACTTCTATTTCCACTGGGCTACCTAAACCTTATTCTCAACTATTCTATGATGTTCTTTAAAAAACAAACAAAACTCAAGCATTTACTGAGCGCTTGTTATGTGCAACTGACCTCATATAATCCCCTCAATAACTCTACAAGGCAGGTGCCATTACTTTTATTACATGGTAAAGAAATTAGGGTCTGGAAAGATGAGGAACTGGCCTGTGACCCCGGAATGAGGATCTGCACCCAGTCTGTCTGGCTCTGAAGCCCAGGTCATTTGGCATTTACGTACATACTGCTTTGAGTGGCATCCCTTGTGATGTTACTCAACTTTTAAATGAGTATATGTCATACTCCTATCCCTCCAATATTTTAGGTTCCTTAAAGTGAATGCCCAGATATCCTCTATCCAGCTAGCCCATTGCTGAACAAATACTGGGCTCCTTAATCTTTTACTGAACCTTTCTTAAAAGAATGAATGACTTTCCTGTGTGGCTCTGGCAACAGAGTCAGGCTTAGGGGCTGTCAGGGATTTGGCAGGGTCCCCAACTTCTCAGGTTGGCTTTAGCCCAGGGAATAACTAGCCTTGGCCACAGTTTGGAGGGGATGCTTACAAATCCAGTGACACAGTGGCAAGCATCCTGCCACCTCCTGTTGCTCGCTCTGCAGCTGGTTGATTTGTGTGTGAGTGTGTGTATCTGTGTGTGTGTGATGAAAAGCTGTACTCTGTCCCTAAATTGGCTTCATGTTAGCTAGGCAGAAAGCTTAGGAACAGACCTTTTCCCAGTGGTGGATGGCAGGAGGTTAGAGAAAGGAGGAGGTGCCAGGAGGAGGTGGATGGCAGGAGGCATTAAAGGCCTTCAGAATACACAGGGTCTTCTGGTTCCTTCGCTGGCCCCTCTCCTGTCTCTAAAAAAATTGATCGCTTTTGTTTCTGAAAGAGGAAAAAAGTGCAAACTTCCTTGACAGTAGTAAGGGATACTTAGAGAAAGTTAATGTTTTCCTAAGTGATTAAAAAAAAAAAACAAAAACGGAGACTATTTCTCAAGGCGCAAGTAATTCTAACACAGGGTTACAAATCTCAAAGAGACAATGGTATCAAATGTCAACTATTTCCAAGCTGGTGTTAGGTGGAACAAATTGTCCCTTGCCTAACCACACCCCGCCCTCTCCTCCTTCCCTAAATCCTTCTGTCTCCAACACCTACAGATGAAAAGTGACTTTGAAAACAAACCCAAACCTTCCATCCTACAGTTCTTTACCAATTTAGGAAATTATTACTGTTTTTTGGGGGAGAGCCATTTTTACTCTAGATTTAAGTTGTATCTTGAATGTTGAAAAGGTCTGCCTTCACTAAAATGGGATGATTAGTGATTTCCATCAATGCTTTATAGCAGTCAAGACTAGTCAACAAATTTCCTATACAAAGAGAATAAACTAGACTAGTAAACAAATATAGGCAATTTAGAGCCATCCTGGTAAGTCATTTAAACAAAACAGCCACTTAATTAACAGTGCAATGATCATTACTCTACTAGTTCCACTGCCAGGAGGATGACTGTTCACAAAGTTTGCTGTGCTCCTGTGGCAGGTGCTTGTGTGGCTTTATGGGTGTAAAGAACAGCAGCAAACAGGCTCGGTGCTATTGCCTCAAAAATCATGGTGTCAAACTGGGAAGGAGGGTACTGCTTTAGGAAATAATTGAGTGAGTGAACCCTGTCCTCCATGGAATAGGCTTGTCATTGTTTTCCTTAAACCAGTAATTTATTGGTGGTGACCTCAGACAGCTATATAAAAAGAGGAAGCGCCTAGAGCCCTGTGGACTGTCAAGTTTTATAAAGAGAACTGGGCATCCCATGGCAGAGCCTTGGTGCTCCCAGAAATGTGGTGATCTGATCGCCCATACAGATGGGCTTTGAGATATTTCTGAGGTCATTCTTCCAAGAATATTATATTAGCAAAAGAACAGGGTGGGAATTACTTGTGTGTGTGTGTGTGCGTGTGTGTGTATGTGTGTGTGTAGGGGAATCCATACAATGTTTTGCTTGAGTTTTCTAAATCTAAAGCTATCTGTCAGCTATCAAAGCTGTGTCTTTGAGATTTGTAACCTTCTGTTAGAATTACATGCCCCTTGAGAAATAGTCTCCTTAAAAAAAAATAACTTGGGAATGATCTTAGAGCTACTTGTAGGTCTAAGACACCAGTGACAACATCTAAAAACCTGCAGGTATTGTAAATGAGTGAGGCAATAGGGACTGGTGGGGACTGTGGAGAACCAAAGGGTGCATGCCCTGTCCTAAAGCAGCAACCACTACCCTCCATTGCCCTTTGAGGGAATTTGGGCCATATTATTCACTTTTTTTGTTTTTTTTTTTTTTTGAGACGGAGTCTTGCTCTGTTGCCCAGGCTGGAGTGCAGTGGCACAATCTCGGCTCATTGCAAGCTCCGCCTCCTGGGTCCACCCCATTCTCCTGCCTCAGCCTCCTGTGTAGCTGGGACTACAGGCACCCACCACCACGCCCAGCTAATTCTTTTTGTATTTTTAGTAGAGACGGGGTTTCACTGTGTTAGCCAGGATGGTCTCGATCTCCTGACCTTGTAATCCGCCCATCTCGACCTCCCAAAGTGCTGGGATTACAGGTGTGAGCCACTGCGCCCAGCCTATTCAACTTTTTTTAAAGAGAAAGTGAAAGTCCTGATTTTTTAATAAGAAATCTCTCAACTTAAAAATGTTGGTTCAAAACAAACAAACACAAAAACTCTACTAGCTTCCAGTCTTCCAGTTTACACTGACCTAAGGTGTTGATGATAGCCATCAAAAGAAAGTATGAGACTAGGTATTGTGGTTCACACCTGTAATCCCAGCACTTTGGGAGGCTGAGGAAGGCCAATCAGATCACTTGAGCTCAGGAGTTTGAGACCAGCATGGGCAACATGGTGAAACCCTGTCTCTACCAAAAAAGTACAAAAAAATTAGCCAAGTGTGGTGGCTGTAGTCCCAGCTACTCAGGAGGCTGAGGCAAGGAGATCACTTGAGGTTGGGAGGCAGAGGCTGCAGTGAGTCGAGATCGCATCTCTGCACTGCAGCCTGCATGCCAGAGTGTCACTCTGTTTCAACAAAGAAAAAAAGAAAAAAAAGAAAGGATAGGGTTAGGCAGTCAGGAGACTTGGGAGGATGGAACAGACACACATGGACAAAAACTGGCTGCAGAATCCTTTTGGGGTGGTCTCTATGTCATAATTTGTCTCTCTGAGACTGAAATTAGTTACTTGGGATTTCCAGGTCAGTCCTCCCTTGCGGCACCTAACCGCACTCAGGTTAATGTCAGGGACCCTGAAGAGAATTGACAAGCTTTGTGTGATCCTTACATTCCTCAACCCTTTTCCCATCCCCAGGCCCTATGCCTTCTTCACTGTCTTGATGCATGAGCACTGGGCCTGTCTTTTCTTTCAGTTATTATAGGACAACGTCCTTCAGGGAGAAGAACATTCTTCCTTCTGCTCTTTAAACAGTGGGAACAACAGCAGAAAGGAGGATTGCAAGCCAGACAGAGTAGCTTTGTGGTTCAGAGCACAGCACTGGAGTCTGCTCACACAGTGGCCTTTGTTGTAATATCATTTGTTTTAATATCCGGCTAACAATAACATTCTACTTTTTGGATTATTGGGAAGATTAATATGATATCTATGTAAAGACTTTAGTACAGTGTGGGGCACTTAGTAAGTGCTTAATAAACATAACCTATTACTAATATAGGTTCCTATCTCTGCTGCTGAAATGTCTTTCTTGTTGGTCAAGGGCTTTGCTTAACCAGACAAATGGCTTTCTCCACCATTACCCACTGAAATGAGGTAAAGGGAAGTGGAGTCTTAAATAAAGTGTGAAGTGTTCTTACTTTTAATTGTGGTCAGAAGAGAGATCTATGCAATGAGGGAAGGAAAGAGAAGACATAAAGAATTTCTCATACGTGCCTTGAAAGCCCTTCCTGTCTTTGCAGTCTCAGATTCGGGGTTGAAAGGGGTCCTTAATGCCATTTGGTCTCATTATGTTCCATGCATTGGAAGGAGCTCCTTTTCAGCAGGTGGTCCTGTCTCTGGACACTCCTGGGATGGGCAGCCCACCCTTTGGAAAGGAGCAGATCCCACTGCCGGGCAAACCTGATCACTAGACGGTCCTTTTTTTTTCTTCCTTTTTTTTTTTTTTGGCTAGGCACCTGTCTCTCCTGTTTTCTAGCCTCTAAGTGTAACTTAGCTAGAGCTTGACTGGAGGAGACGCCATGAGAGGAAGCCAAGGACCGCGGCAGCCAAAACCATCCTGAGGCTAAAGCAAAAGCTGTGCTTTCCGAGACACTTATTTCTGCAGCCACAGGGATGAGTCTAATGAGAGGCTTCTTTGTTCCATTAGCAAGTCTGAGAAGGGTATCTGGCCAGGTTAGAGTTTCTTTTCATAAAGGAAATTATCTCCAAACATAGAAGAGCTGGGGATTAAGTGACTCAGAAGATTTAGTGCTGGACTTTTTTAAGGCCTCCTGAGACTTCCAGATATACTTGCCTTGGTGAGAAAATGTGGGGTAACAGCAGCTCTGGAAGCAGGTTAATAAAGAAGGCAATTAACCACATCTTTGCTTGGTTTTATGTTAGGCAAAAGCAGGTTAAAATGAATACTTGGAAATGTGTCTGAAGATGTGTGTCTGAATGGGCTTCTTTTTAACAGGTGCCAGTGGCTGCCTGGAGAAAGCATTTCCATGTAGTCTGTTCACCCCCGTAACCCCCTCCAATCACAAGCTCAGGCTGTTTCCTGGAATCTTTGTAAATTGGGGATGTTCTGTGTCTCAGCAGCTTCTTTTTAAATGGAAGCCATGAAATTGCTTTCAGTGTCATTTAAAAATACTGAAGTGGAGTGCTTTGGGTTTCTCCCTACTTTGTCCGCTTGTTTATCCTTGTGGTTAACCAGCTGCAGCATAATCTCCTGGCTGTGTTTACTCCTGTCCTATGTGCCCAGGGCTGCCCTCCGTGACCTGCTTGCTATTTTGAGCCCAGGTGGGGCAGCCCCTTGCGGGGAGTGGGCATCAAAAGTCCGCTTCTGCCCACATTGTCTCTTTTTGGTTGGGAAATTGGCTCACGTGTGGATAATTTATTGCTTGTTTGGGGCAGACGAGACAGAACGAACTCCACAGAGACACTTTGAACAACGCGGAACAATTTGGATTAATCCTTTCCGCAAACAGGGTTCCATTTGCATGAGGGGATTGCTGAGAGTTTTATCTTGGGTGATAAATGGCAGGCATTCTAGCTCCACTGGCGAGCATCGCCCCCATGCAGGTTTAGATTAGGCTTCTCCAGACTGAAGAGGATTTTTGTTCTTGGCCAGGTAGATTTTCACTTCAGGGTTAGGGTTCAGGCAGCTGGTTACCTTTCTGAGGGGGCTTTTTTTTTCCTATTGCCTTTCGCCCATCTGGGCTGTGCTAAGGTTTTTGTCCCAGTGTGGCAATTTTCCAGGCTAAAAAAAGAACCACCCTCCCTCCTTCAACCAAAGCCTCCTCTGCCAACTTTTCTCACACACGTGTGCACACAAGAGCACGCACACATGAGATCACAACCAACCACCCTAGAAAGCCCAGTTCTCTTGCGCTGCTGAATTTTTTGTTTTGCCTTCTCTCTCCTCTGTCATTTGCCTGCTGCTGTTCTGCACCCTCAATTCTAGAAAGAGGAAATTCTACTCAGGCACTGCCATGGATTTCTCTTTAGGTTTCTACCTAGGAGTTCAGGTGCTGCGGGTCACCCAACTGGCCCCGAAAGTGAGAGGGGCTCCCTGGTCCCAGAAGACAAAGACCTCCTGTGCCTGTTTATGCTAAACCTAAACATTTAATTGATCCTGCTTTCTAGCAGGTCCCAGGAGACTTCATCAGACTCTTTCTAGGAAGCACAAATATACAGAAGATATTTCTTCTGACCATTCTCCAACAATCAAGAGATGTTTATTGAACTCTACTTACTTTCAATAGTTTGTATTGTGAAAACATGAAGTTGTTTTCCAAAGGTGAAAAAGTATGTTATTTGATCTGTATTTTTCAAACTGTATGCTTCATTTTCTTCTTGAAAATCTGTTTTATCCCCACCTTCAGTCAGAGAGAATCTTAGAATGCTGTGGTTTTCTGACCTGTTGTCTGCAGTCTCTGGGCCCATACCTTTGTGCCCCCTGTGAACAGAACAGGCTGTCTTGAATTAATTCTGCAGAAGAAAGAACTGAAAATGGGGGAGTGTGAAGCATCCCTAAGAATCAGAAATAAGAAAAACTCAGCCAGTACAAGGTCTGAAGTTTCTCTCCCACCCTCCTGCTGTCCCACTTTGTTGTAAGTATAAACAGCTCTCCTCTGCTTCTCCTAGCGAGCAAGCTAACGAGGGAAGTGGGTTTTACTGTGCAAGCTCTCCCTTCTGTGTGTTGCTGGGGTGGGGTGCGCTGGGGGCAGATGCGTCTGTTTTTTCACCGGCCCGAGGCAGTAGCACAGGCCCTGTAATCTCCCTGGTCCCCCTGTGTCATCTTCCAGAATTTCCATAGAAGCTGAGGCAGCCCCAGCATGCCAGGCTTAGGCTGCCTGGTGATGGACCCCCCCCCACCACCCAGGGGAGTACCCCAAAGAGTCCCTTGGGTGGTGCTACTCTGGTTCTCTCCCCAGAAAACCTGGCTTCTGGAGGTGAAGAGGTTGAAGGACTCGAAAAAAAAATTCTACCCAGGGAACCATCTGGGCAAAGACTTGGACGTGTAAAGCAGCAGGCTGTACTCTGGAAACTGGAGTAGATGGGTCTCTCTGAGCGCGACTTGGTGTTAAGGGAGTAATGGAGATGTCAGTGAGCAGCAAATGAGACAGCAGTGTAAGACGAGGAGCTCACCACACGCTCTGAGGCAGCTATCAGGGAATCCCATTAACTATGTATGTAGCAGGAATGCTGTGAGAACTGTCTAGGGTAATCTATAAGGCTATTTTGTAAACTAGAATGACATTAATTAAAAGTTGGGCTGGGCACAGTGGCTCACACCTGTAATCCCAGCACTTTGAGAGGCCAAGGCAGGCAGATCACTTGAGGTCAGGAGTTTGAGACCAGCCTGGCCAACATGGGGAAACCCCATCTCTACCAAAAATACAAAAATTAGACAGGCATGGTGGCATGCACCTGTAATTCCAGCTACTCTGGAGGCTGAAGCACAAGAATTGCTTGAACTCAGTAGGCAGAGGTTGCAGTGAGCCGAGATTGTAACACTGCACTCCAGCCTGGGTAATGGAATGAGCAGAATGAGACTCTGTCTTAAAAAAAAGAGAGTTAGTTATCATAAAGATAAAATGTTTTAATTAAATCTAGATTAAGTAAAAGATGAAGTTGAGCATCTACCCATTCTGGTTTCATAAAGCACAGGAACCAATTTTCAGCCTAAAGACCCCAGCTCTGCTGTGAAAGGTGGGGGAGATAAGGTGACTGAGTCTGCCACTGAAGAAAACCAAGGCTAGTGTTGAGTGTTCTCATGATGCCAGGAAGTTTCCTCAGTTCTTCTCCCTTGCAAATCTGGTACTCATACTCTCACATGGCCCGGGATCTATCCCATAGCATTTTATTTTTTTCCGTGTATCTTCATGACCTGCTTTCTTCTACAGTGGCTTCTCTTCCTACTCCCTCTTGCCCCTTTTGATTTCCTTCTCTTTTATTTCTGAGGTCTCTTCATTCTCCCCCTTCCTTCCATCCTCCTATCTTTCCTCCTCTTCCTCCCTTCCTTCTTTCCACAAACTATTTTGAGTGCCTACAATGTGCAGAGCTCTGCTAGGTGCTGGGAGAGACACTAGATGAATAGCATACAGTCCTTAGCCTCAAGACACCTAAGTCCAGTATGGGAGATAAAATAGGGACATAAAAAACTGTGATAAAAGCCAGAGCAGGATGGGCAGTGCAAGTGAAGTACAAACAAGGCCCAGCAGGGAAAGAGGAGGCCTTTCACATAGGAAAGGCATGTGAAGAATGGGTAGGTATTGATTGGAAGGTATTCAGCAGGAAGGAGGAAAGCCTGACTCAAGTGAGAAGGCATGAATGAAACGTTGGAGCTGCAAACAGGGATCAGCTAGTTTGACTGGAATATAGGCTGGAGTTCTGTCTGCAGGGGTACATTAGGCCAGAGCATAGATGGTTTTATAGACAAGGCTAAGAGGTCTGGACTTTATTCTATCAAGTAACAGCAAAACTATGAAGATTTGGGGTTGGAGAATAATATGCTCAGAGCTTGGCTTTAGAATAATTAATCTATAAATGTAGTGTCAAATGAATTGGAACGAGAAAGCTAAGGTGGACAGACCAGACAGAAATCTATCTGGATAGCTCAGGTGGAAGGTTGTAAAGGTCTGGGCTAGCCACACATGGTGGCAATTGCAAGGCTGCTAATGGGTGGAAGAGATCTTGGAGAACCAGCATCTGGTGACTTATTGATGTGGGGCTGAGAAAGAAGGGAGAGATGAAGGGAGACTGGAATTTCAGCTAAGATGTGAAGAATGGAGGTCAAGGGGAGAGACTATTTCGGAGGGGAGGGGATGCTGTTTAGAGAAAGTCTGAAGGCTTACCCTTGTATTTTTCAAAGTTTGTATGTTGGTTTCTCAGTCACCACCTGCATCTGACTTGTGGGCTTTTGTGTAGCACAATGATATCCTGTTACTTATGTCATCGAAGTGACTTCATCTCCTGTCACATCTCAAACAACAACGATCGGAGGTGGCAAAACTTGGCAGACAAAAAAAAATGCAGGCTTTGAGATCCTTTCCTTACATTTCTAAGGTTACTACCTGGGTAAGGCCAAATCTGGATTTTAGGGGGAAGGACATTTGTTAGATCAAAGAAATCAGTATGTGGGTATCAGTTAGTGCTGGGGACTTTTTTCTATGGGAAGAAAGGCAGAAGGAAAGAAGCAAGTGTCACAAGAAGCTTAAATACGAGTTCAAATCAACATCTGTGATGTAATAATAGTTCCAATACAATCATGTGTAACTTTTATGGTTAAAGATGAATTACACAGAAAATAAGGAGTTGATAGTGTCCCCCATCAGACCAATAGTATCAGAATGAGCAGGGTTGGGGCTCAGTAGTTCAGATGAGAAACAAGTTGTTCCAACCCAATGTGCCCTGGGAAAGTTTTGCAGGAGAGATGGACTCTGAAGCTGAGCTTTACGGCAGTCCACATTACCACTACAGCACCCACTTCCTGGTTGGGCACATTGTTGGAATGTCATACCAAGGCACCCGAAGTTTAAATAATTTCAGGACTCCTTAACTGCAAATATAATTTTTAGCAGAACATTGAAAATAACTTGCTCTAGACTTATGCCTTTATCTGTAAATTTTATCACAGTCGTTCTTAAGGAAAATAGGCACCCTTTGCTTCCAGACCTTTGGTCCCTTATAACTGTTGCTTTGCCAAGTGTCCTGGTCTACTTTTGAGTGTCCAACTTTGGTTCTTAGAGTGCAGTTCCAAGCTGGCCCTAAATATAACTTGTTATTATATGTAGGTTCTCAGAGTGTGGCTCCATTCTTCACATCTTAGCTGAAATTCCAGGCTTCCTTCACCTCCTCCTTCTTTCTCACATCAGTGAGTCATCATATGCTGGTTCTCCAAGATCTCTTCTATCCATTAGCAGCCTTGCAATTCCCACCACTGTGTGGCTAGCCCAGACTTTTAAAACTTTCCACCTGAGCTATCCAAATAGATTTCCGCCTGGTCTTTACACCTCAGCTTTCTCCTTCTCATCCATTTGTTTGTTTTCAGACCCATTTTCTCTTTCCTTCTTGGCCTCAGATTATGTTTCTGGCCCTTCGGTTACTTACCAGTGGCTCATCTCAAACATGCTCTTCCACAGTTGGGTTTTTGGGTGATTTACTGGAAAGGGGAATGTGGGGGGTAAGGTGAGCTCATCACTGACCTTTGACTCTGTCAGGTGGTGCAGGCTGGTTCTCAATCTGTGAGCAGTGGACCCCAAGGGAAGTTATTGTGAAGGGTCTAAATACCCCCAAGTGCCAAATCTTCCTGTAGATTGAATATATAATGTGCTACAATTTTTGAAATGCATGTGGATGCTATTGTGATTCATAAAATATGGAATTGGTTTGGAAGTGTCTTGAATTCATAGGAGTTTTGTGTGTGTGTGTGTGTGTGTGTGTGTGTGTGTGTGTGTGTGTGTGTTTAAGAATGTTGTTTGGGCCGGGCACGGTGGCTCATGCTTGTAATCCCAGCACTCTGGGGGGCTGAGGTGGGTGGATCACCTGAGGTCAGGAGTTTGAGACCAGCCTGGCCAACATGGTGAAACGCCATCTCTACTAAAAATACAAAAAATAGCTGGGTGTGGTGGCAGGCGCCTGTAATCCCAGTTACCCAGTAGGCCGAGGCACGAGATTCGCTTGAACCTGGGACACGGAGGTTGCAGTGAATCAAGATTGCACTACTGCATTCCAGCCTGGGTGAGAGAGTAAGACCCTGTCTCAAAAAAAAAAAAAAGAAAAAAAAAAGCCAAAAACGAATGTTGTTCGTCAACAGACATTACCACACTACCAGCACGATTGGCTTTCATCTGGTGGTTCATGAAACTTTGTGGTTGTTAAAAGTGATCTTCATGTTCCGCAGAGGAAAGGCAGCCCTAAAGGGAATACAGTTTTTGTCTGGTGCCCAGAGCCTATCTACCCCTACTTGGGCTGCCAGAGAGTGGAGCTTGGGACACGACCAGTGTGGAATAGGATGGAAAAAATATTTCTCTGTACACTGATCACCACACTGCTTGCAGCAGGGAGCTATCAACCGAGAACCAACTACATAAGGGGGTTGTTATTTGTGGAGGAGCTTTCAGGTCCTCTAAACCTACCTCCCACTCTCGGCAGGAATCCCTTATAGAACCTCCCTGTGGGATGAACGTTAGCTTGGCCCTGATCCCTGCATTAACAGGTAGCGCTGTTTACTATAAAGTAAATTCAGATTCCAGGACCTCCACCTTGGTTGTTTCTGATTTGGCAGGGTTGGGGCGGGGCTTTGAGCATTCGCCTTTTCAAATAATGCTCGAGGTGATTCTGATGTCAGCCAGAGTTGAGAGAGAAGATTGTTATGAAAGGACACAAATACCTCATCACGGTGCTTTTTGTTTGTGAAGTGCTCACTAAGGCGTGAACAGCGTCATGGTGGGGCTCCTGCAGGCTTTATATTTATACCCCGTTTCTTATTTCTCACACCCACTCTGGTAGATAGATCCCTATTTCAAAAATGAGTGAATTAGGGTTCAGGGAAGTGAAACCTGTGTGCCGGCTGGGGACTGACAGTTGGAACCCCAATGTACAAATGAAACCAGGGAACAGTGGGTGTGACGAGCACTTGAGGAGCGACAGAGAGTTATGACCTCGAACCCACAAGTGAGACTGCAAACACAAGTAGGTGGGAGCCCAGCGGCAGGAGACTGACACTGCTGGAATCAGGGAGGGGGCAGTGCTGTTTAAGAGCTTCTGACACACTCAGTTCCTCCCTTCATCCTAAGAGACCTGGGCTCACTAGCAGAGGGGCTTTGGCAAGTTACTTGATGGATTAGGGCCTCAGTTTCTTCATCTGTGAAGTGGAGATAATAATAGTGCCTGCCTCCTGCTGCAAGTCTAGTCATCAGTATCATCAACATTGGTGGTACACCTGCTGGGTACCAGTCCTGGGGTGGGCGTGCTCCTCTCTAGAAGATAAAAGCCCATATAGAGACTATGGTGGAAGGAGCAGGACAAGAGAATCAGAAGCTCACCTCATTCTTAATGTGAAGAGACATTAAGATCAGGAAAGCCAGATGCTTGATGTTCTCTCTCATACCCATAGCAGATGGGTGCCTCACTGGGTTCCCCCAGAAGCTGATGGTGAGCAGGGGGGTGGCAGCCACTTTTATTTTCTCTTTTCTTTTCTTGTCTTCTTTTCTTTTCTTGGATCTTACTCTGTCACCCAGGCTAGAGTGCAGTAGTGTGAGTATGGCTTATTGCAGCCTTTAACTCCTGGGCTCAAGCAACCCTCCTGTCTCATCCTCCTAAGTAGGTGGGACTACAGGTGTGTGCCACCATGCCCAGCTAATTTTTGTTGTAGAGATGGGGTCTCACTCTATTGCCCAGGCTGGTCTTGAACTCCTGGCCTCAAGCAATCCTCCTGCCTCAGTCTCCCAAAGTGCTGTGATTGCAGGTGTGAGCCACTGCACTCAGCCAGCAGCCACCCATTTCTTACAGCTGCTCCAGTGTGAGGGGGTAACAAAAGGCTGCTTTCAAGGCAGCAGCCCAGCCCCCATGTTTCCTGCCTGGTCCCTGAGGAGTGCACAAGTGATCAGGAGAGATTCTTCTTTTGGTCACAGGGATCTTAATGATCACTGGGACTTGGGCTGTTTAAGATGTCACTTAGAAGTTCAAATCTACTTCCAGATGGCTTCCAAGCGAGGGATGGCCTCTACAGTGAGGCCAATCATGTGGTATATTCTTACCTAAGTGGGCCTTGCTGCCCTGCACAATGGCATCTCGGCCCATGGGCCAGCCTCGTAAGGTCTTTAAACCTATGACCACCAGGTGATCTTCTCTGGGGAGCAGCAGAACTTCCATGAGTCTGTCCAGGGATCTTATTTAGAGATGAGTCATACTTTTCTACGCTGTCAGCTCTAGGTTGAAGTAGAATGTACCAGCAACAGACTAGGATGACCTCGCAGCTAGCTGTCCATAGGAATACACCTCTTCTTTCTTCCAACCTCTCAGTTTCCTGGCGTTTCCTCTAAGTTAATGTCTTGCTAGAATGGTTTGAGTTGACATTAACTGTCTGCTATGTTTTATGCAGCACATGGCCACCTACCAAGTGGCACTTTCCATTTTGGGTATGGGGAGCAGGGTATATTTTATACCTCCAATCCCATTGTTCTTTATGAATCTTTGTTCCTTCACCCCTCACTTCCCAAATCGATCACTTTGCTTCTTGATTATGATATCCCTGTGGGTGAACCCGTAGATAGCAGAAACTGAGCTGTCTCTGCTGTTGATAATTTTAGCTCTTCTTGGAACTCCTTTCTTTTTGCAAATGCCAACCAGGTGTCCCCAAGTAAGAGATGATACTTGTTTGTTTGGTAAAGGCACCCAGATAAGAAGAGTCAGAATGAACAGCTCCAAAAGAGAAGTGGTTTCCTCGGTCACCGACTCACCACATTAAACATTCACCCTGGCTCACTGTCTGAAATGAGTCAGTGGTCCTTTCAGAATTCCCTTTACAACAGTGTTTCAAAGAAATCTGTGACTGAGGTTGCAAATCATTTTTTCTTCACTGCAGCTGACTATTTTGCATTTTCCCAAGGTGAAACTCAGCCTGTCTTTTCAGGTGTTGAGAAAGAGAGTCAAAACTTCAAAGTTGAGGGGGTGGGGGTGCGGGGTGGGGGACCCAGCTACCAAAGGGAAGCCCGAAAGCACTCTTTTCAAGGATAGGAAAACACTCACCAACGTCAGATTCTAACACTGAGCTGAGTGGTTTGCTATGTGCAGCTTTCTAGTGGCTTGGATTTTTCTTTCCTAATTTTTTTTTAAACCATCATCCTCTGGTTGCCATCATCCTCTTAGCATTCCTGACCTCCCAGAGTTTGGCCTCACTTGATTTACCGAATATTACCTTCCGGCTCCTTTTTATCAAAGGCCATTGCTATATCCATGGTGGTCTCCTCCCTGACCTCACTTCACACAGATTGCAGCAGTGATTTTTCTTTCCTTTCTTTTCTTTTTTGAGACAGTGTGTTGCTCTGTTGTCTAGGCTGGAATGCAGAGGCATAATCATGGCTCACTGCAGCCTCTGCCTCCTGAGTCAAGTGATCCTCCCACCTTAGTCTCTCGAGTAGTTAGGACTACAGACACAGGCCACCATGCCCGTCTAACTTTTATTTTTTTGGAGACAAGATCTCGAGATGTTGCCCAGGGTGTCTCGAACTCCTGGGCTCAAGCCATCCTCCCACCTTGGCGGCCTCCCAAAGTGCTGGGATTTCAGGCGTGAGCCTCCACGCCTGGGCCAGGAGTGATTTTTCTATGGGAGTTATTATCCACTCATTTCTGCACCACCTTCTGCATTGATAGAAATCCTTTTCATCTTAGAGCCCATTTTCCATCCCATGTCCTGGGTAAAAGCTTCCTGATGGATATTCAGTTCCTTACTTCCCCAAATGCTTGCTGAGCACTCTGTCCCAGGCACCAGACATAGGGATAAAGGCAGTGCACAAGGCCGACCAGGAACCTGTCCTCATGGAGCTCACAAGGATCCAGACAAGTGCACCTGCACTTATAGTTCAACCTAAACCAAACGTGGAAGGCTTTCCAAAAGAGATGACCTCAAAACTAAGACAAAACAAGTAAATGGGAGTTAATGAGGTGAAGGGGGTAAAGTGAGGTGTTTTGCTTTTCCTTGCACTCATGGTATGAAGCATCTTCTGGCACTCTGTTTTGCATCAGCTTGTGTTGTTTCTATGCTCAATGTAGGCATGCTGTTTGTTACCTTTAAGGTGCTATAACTCTTTGAGAGCCAGAGAGTGTGGTACTTTTCCACTTATCCTTCTCAAGTTTTAGCACAGTATGGTATAGTTTGCAAGGAAGGAAAGTAGCATTTAAGGAGGGCCCATTGTGTGTCTGTCACTTTGTGTGCAAGAGGTAAAAGCTACTGTGTTACTGAAAGGAATGGGAAGCCATACAGTTAGGGCAGTGCCACAGGCTGGAAATCAGGATAGTGGTTGTATTTTTGTCTCCACTGCTGAGTGGGTGTGTGATTTTGGGTGAATCTCTAAACTTCCTCTGGGCCTGACCTGATTTCCTCATCAGTGGAATGAAGGTATTCCACTCCAGCATCTTCCAGCTCTGTCATCTACTTTTTCCTGTGGCCTTGCAGGCCATCTGGTTGTTGTTGAACTGGTGGGAAGACAACTGCAGAAGTTAGTTCAGGGGTTAAATCTGGAAACCCAATGTGGAAATGAAACCGCAGCCCTGAATACATTAAGTGCTGGGTTAGTTGGAGACTAAGGAAAGAAAGTCCCTGAGGAATGAGCCCATGTGAGCTTTAGCGCCTCTGTGCCCACTACCAGGAGCCCCCAGTGCAAGCTATCAGCCAGGGAGGAACAGTGTTTGCTCGGGCTTTGCTCTGTGGGCATGCAGAGCTTCCACCCGGCAGCATCTACACCTGCGGTCTTGTAACCTAGCTACAGAAATAGCAAGTATGTGCGCAGAAGGCAAGTTGATGAGCTAGACAGTGGGTACAGACACTTACAGCAGAACTTTGGTGCTGAAAACACCTAGTTCAGGACATCATGTACTAACTCAAGGGTGCCTCCCCCTTTTTGTCTCTCTTAAATTTTTCAAAACAGGAAGAAACTTTTCTTCAACTGCAGGCACCAATAACCTATGACCTTCTAGAGAGATCATTTTGGAAACCATCTAAGAAAGCTACCCTCACTGAGGGGATGCTAGTCACTCTTTTCCCCTCTCCCCACAACTCCCCACCCTCCTTTTTTTTTTGTAACTCTGGGCTTCTGGCAACAGTTTGGAAGGTTGGCACAAGGCCATCTGAAACCACAGTGGGGTGTTAGGTAATCTGTTCTCATTAAAATGCTGTTCTGTGGTTTAATTTTCAACGGTTTCTTTGCAGCTTGAAAACACACATACTATATTTTTTGAGGTAAGGAGAGATGGCTGTTACAGAGGCAAAAAGGCGGGAAGATGGGGTACCCCTAAGACACTTCCTGGTATGTTTCCAGAAAAGAAACAGCTGCTTTCATTCTAGAGGGGGCAAATTGAGCCTAAGGCAGCATTTAGGGAGCTTCCTGGACATAACTGACTCTAGGGACAAATGCTTCAAACACATCTGAAAACTCTCCAGATTGAAAGGATCAAATCATATGACCATTCCCCCACTTAGTCATTGAATTGAGCACTTTTATTGACTGTCTACCAAGTGCCAGGCACTGGGAGACATTTCAAATCACACCTGAGGACAGAGAGACAGAAACCACTGCCCAGCAGGAGATCACCACCAGGTGGTTGATGACAAATAGGGCGGTGCAGTACAGTGGGGTAAGCAAGCTGCTTGTTTCTTCTCAT
Organism: Homo sapiens; assembly: GCF_000001405.40. Lineage (NCBI taxonomy): Eukaryota > Metazoa > Chordata > Mammalia > Primates > Hominidae > Homo > Homo sapiens. Next base: position 136,137,226 of record NC_000002.12, read on the forward strand.
CCTCACCTTCATGGAATTCCCACCTTTTGAAGTGTATCAGTGAAGATAGCAAACTAAAGCCCAGGGTTATCATTTCTTTCTAAAAAAGAGAATTGCAACACATTCAAATGCTCTCATTGCCACAAAAAGGCCTTAAGGTTGCCAAGTTTTGAGTTCAAGCTTTAGATGAGTTGCATTCTGTCATGAGCAGCATAACCTCTGTAGGGGTGGTAGGGTGTAACCCCTTTCCTACCCATCATAAGGGTTACAGCCAATACTGCTATAACAAAAGACAGGTTAACAAGAGAAAAACATAGCAAATGTATTAATCAAAGTTTATATGACATAAAAGCCTTCAGAAATGAAGACTCAAAGACCCAGAGAAAGCTGTTTTTATGCTTAGGTTTAATGAAGAATGGACAGCGGGTAGAAATGTGATTGGAGAAAGGGTATGGTGTAATGGTGATAGACTGAGGGGGATATCCAGGGAGGCTGTCTGTTCAAATTCTTCTTGGCCTCTCTGTGCAGCATTCCCTCCTCCCAGGTATGGGGGCAGGACCCTCCGGAATGAAGGTCTTCAAAGGAGAAGGGAGAGAGTGACCTTTCTGGTTTTATGGCTTGCTTTAAGGGAGAGGGGTTCTATTTTCTATGATCTGCCGTGGGGAAGGAGAATTCTAGTTTGTATGGCTCACTTTGGGGGAGAAATGAAGAGAGGTGGAAGACAGGAGGGGAGAAGAAGGTCAGAAAGACTTTGCTTCTGAGGTCTTCCAATCTCCTTTAGTTCAAAGTACTCAGCGTGCCCAAGTGCCATGCTCTGGGTTGCTGCATTCTAAGTCCCAGCACCACTCACCAGCAAGACTAGGGTGCCATCCTCATGCTGATAACAGTGGGTAGTTCAGACAGTCTTCTAGGAACTGTCTCACCTCCCCCACAGCTTCCCCCTTCTTTGTCCCAACCTTCTTGACTGACTCATTCCCACCTCACACAGCTCTGGCTCTGTGACCATGACCTTCGTCCTTAACTTGGCCATTCCCAGCATCTTGGCTTTCTTCCTAGTTCTTCTCTTTGGCTCTAAGCAATGCTGAGGCTCAAGGAACCTAGGCTAACCCCTATCTCTCAGGGTGACAGAAAAGCTCCAAAGGATGATGTCCAGGTGCGACGAAGATGGCCCCCCAGTAAACTGAACTAACCAAATTCAGCCCCAGGCAAGTTGGACAGGGCAATTTTGACCCAGGTCTGATTTGAACATTACTAACCAGATGAGCATTTTAAGTCATACTGATTCCAGTAACAGGTGAAAATTCTACCTGTTCCAATAAAGGACTAAAAGAAACCTATCCTTGGAACTTTTAACCCCTCCAGCATTTTTCTTTCTTTCTTTCTTTCTTTTTTTTTTGAGACAGGGTCTTGCTCTGTTGCCCAGGCTGGAGTGCCATGGCATAATCATAGCTCATTGCAGCCTCAACCTCCTGGGCCAAGCGATCCTTCCACCTCAGCCTTCCAAGTAGCTGGCACCACAGGTGCACACCACCACACCTAGCTAATTAAAAAAAAATTTTTCTTTTAGAGATGGTATCTCCCAGTGCTGCCCAGGCTTTTCCAACATTTTTCTTCCCTCCTGTCTGTCCTTACTCTTTGGGCCAGTTTCTCTCTATTTTTTTGACAATGTTATTGTATGTGTACTAATGGAGAAATGTGCATAGTTACTTTGGGTCTTTGTTTTGAGGGACTCAGGGCATTTAAGTTTTCAGAAAGCATCCACAATAGGTTAATATTGACAAGTGCCTCATTTTCCCTCTCCTAATCATTAACTATTTGGCTCAATTGAGACATTCGGTCAGGGTTCCTTAAAAACATTTTTAGATAAGCATGAAGGCTTTTGATTTTATTTAAAATCTTCTCATTGGTGGACATTTTTTGAGACAAGTCAAATTTGGTGACACTTAATGGAAGTATTTTATATATAGATGCTCCTTGACTTACAAGGGGGTTACATCCTGATGAAAACCCTAGTATGCTGAAAATAATGGAAGTCAAAAATACATTTAAAGGATAAAATGGTTGATGGCCACTCCTGGCTTGCTGCCTTCATGCTGGGAAATTCTCTTGAGTTTCATCTCAAGACTAATTGCCTTCCTCCTCTTCTCACTGGAAGCAGGAGACACAGATGGACTTTTTGTAGACATGATGGTATTTGAAACACAAAACACAATATCCAAAAAAAACACTGACCACTTGGTCCACTGTAGAGCATTGGTCACTGGCCCTGCTGACTGCTTGGCTGACTGGGAGCTGTGGCTCACTGCTGGTGCCCAGCATCATGAAAGAGTCTCTTATTGCATATTGCCAGCCCAGGAAAAGATCAAAATTCAAAATTCAAAGTATGGTTTCTACTGAATGCATATTGCCTTTTCATTATCACAAAGTCATAAGTCAAGCCATCCTAAGTCGGAGACAGTCTGCCCCAAAAGGTGAGTGAGGAGTGAGCTGGTCTGATTTATTGTTAGAATTTGTCAAAATATTGACATTAAAGCAGGTAAAAATCAGTGTGGTTTTCTTCGTGGAGGGTTTCACTTTGACTTTCAATACTGTATCTGAGGGTTTGATGAACCCAGAAATGCAAAGTGAAACTTGGGAGTATCAGCGCATTTCAAGCCAAACAGACCTCTATGAATGAAAGTTGAGTTCCAGTTGAGCTTCTTATCAGCATAGACCATTTGTTAGATGTCACCCTCTTCTCTTCATAAAAAAATATGGTCCCTTGTCTCAAAGGAACTTGTTTTTAAAATAAGATATATTGTCAGCCACCAAATAGCATGGCATTTTCTAACTCTTCTCCTCAAAGTTCCGTGCTCTTCTGGACTACTTTATTTTTATTTATTTATTTAGACAGGGTTTCACTCTGTCACCCAGGCTGGAGTGCAGTGGCATGATCTTGGCTCACTGCAACCTCCACCTCCTGGGCTCAAGCGATCTTCCCACCTCAGCCCCCCAAGTGGTTGGGACTACAGGTGCAAGCCACCGCGCCTGGTTAATTTTTGTATTTTTTGTAGAGACAGGGTTTCACCATGTTGGCCAGGCTGGTCTCAAACTCCTGAGGTCAAGCAATCATACACTCACCTCGGCCTTCCAGAGTGCTAGGATTACAGATGTGAACCATAGCACCCGGCCTGGACTACTTTATTTAAACTAAAGGTGCCATCTTTTTTTTTTTTTTCTGTTTTATTATTTTGAGGTTCTACCTTTGGAGGGTGGGTTGTAAGATCTTTCTGCCCCATCTTCTGGAAGACTGGAGGAAGGGGAATAATGAAGGCAAGGCTGGCGGAGCCCTTTCCCCCAACATTATCTCTTATATGGGTGGGGGCACATGGTAAGGGTGCCCCCTGCCTCCTCCCTTGGCTCTGACGGCTCTGGGAAGCAATGTAAAGGCTAGATGGTGTGAAGAAAGGGAGGTCTTGAGCCACCAAAAACGCATTCTTCTATCTTGACACTTTTGATATGCTAGGTTTGAGTAGATCAGTAAAATAGTGTGATGGAAAGTCACCAGTGTATTTCTCTTGGTGCACATTCAACATAGCAAATGCTTCATTCACTCAGGCTCCGGGAGGTTTTGTGTAAAAGTAGAAAAGGTACAGAAGAACCTTTTGTTTTCATAATACTTTAAACAGACTTAGTGTTCAAGGTGAAATTCGGGGTGTATGTCTGTGCAATGAATGTGACCCTTAGATCTGTAAATCCCTGGAGTCTGGGTACCTGAGTCTGAAAAGGGTCTTTCAACACCGCCTCCCACCCCGCTTCCATTGCTTGCTTACAGTTGTTAAAGTTTAGCTGAGGCAGGATCAAAATCAGTGATTGAATGGCAAGGTGCTATTGTCCTGGCTCCGCCAGAGAGTTTACACATACTCAGAATATTAGACGTGATTGACAGAGGGGTGTGTGTGTGTGTGAATCAAACCCCTTGTTCTGTTTTGCAGTCACAGAGAATCCTTTCCTTTTGAAATCCAAGAAGGTCCCCTTCTCTCAGCTTGTGGAGGGAATTAGGCAGCAAATAACCTGAACATTTTTTTTTATAATCAGCTAAAACTTTAATTGATGTAGAGTTTATGAAGTGAGTAGGAATTTCAGGATGGCTTTTTTTTGCCTGTCTTTCAAATGCAGCCACCTGTAGAGGGGCATTAGTTCTGATAGGTGTACAGTCTTCCCTAAATCCTCGGATCTGACCTTGGTTATTGTTCAAACTTTACATTTAAATAAACCAGAAATTTATTTTGTATAACTAGATGATATTAAAAGAAAACTGGCCAAATGATCAAAGCCGTTCTGTCTGTCTTTTAAAAAATAGTTCAGAACAGAATCCTGCATACAGGTTAGGATTCTATGAAACAAAGACTTTGTATGTGACTTGCAGAAATGATTGTGCACATAGTCTGAAAGCCTTTTAATGGCCTCGAATTGAGGAGTCTACAATCAGGAAGGGCCAGGTGGACCTGAGCTGGGATGAGTGCTTTCTTGGCAGGGAGCCCATTCTCATGATGAAAGCTGGGAAAATTTGCTGGAGGAGAGTAATCCAATGATACGAAAGGATTAGGCAGGCTTACATTTAGCAAACTGTAAACCATGAATGTGAATGCTGCACCTCTTCCCTACTCAGACAGCTGCCTTGCTTATAAAATAGAGCAACCATAATTAAATAAGAGGAGAAACTAAAGAGAGAGGGTGGGAGGAAGGAAGCGCCGGGTGTTTCAAAATGATATCGTGTGCATACAAACCAAGTTTGACAGCATTAAGTAATTCCTGGTCAGTGCTAATGAAACACTCCCCAGCATCACTCCAAAGACAGGTAGAAACTTTGAACCTGCACAGACTCCAAGTTCACCTGCCAATCTTTGCTCATATTGGTCCAGCCACTTTTTTTCGCTTCTGATTACTTAGCTATTAATGCCATTAATTAAAACCTGCCTTGCTTTCAGATGTATTATGAAGCTGTTTGTAAAATGCTGTGAAGGCAACTTGTTCCAAGAGCCATTAATTCTGGTAAGGGCCATGTCAGCTTCAGTTATGTGCTCATAAATGCAAACCCAACCCGGTCAATAATCTCCAGGGATGGTCTAAATTGCACAGCTGGCTTTTTAGAAAATGTGTGTGGAGGAACATGAAAAGATTGTTGAAAACACCCGAGTAAGGTTAGATAATAAATGGAACTATACTGAGTAGGGGGAGGGCAGAACAAAGAAGTTATTATTGAGCATGAGGTATGTACTGTATTCTACAAAGGGGTGATTTAGGCTGGGTTAACAAGGTATTTGGGAGGAGGTATTAAAATAGGAAGGCAGCATAAAGCATAATAGGTTTGACCAAATAAGTTCCCAGCAATGCCTGCTTCAGGTCCTCTTTCTTTCTTTTGCTGGCTGTCCTACTGTCATCACTACTTGGGAGGATCGGGGAAATGGAGGTGGAAGGTGACTCCTTGAGTTACCAGTTTGTTGGGCCTATGGACTTTCACGTTAGGACTTTTTTAGAATATTATTTCACACACTGTATTTATTTAATCTGTAAACCATATTCAGATAATAAAACTAAGTAGATAATAAAATGAACTCACTAGTATGCAGGCTTTCTCATATGATGGATGAGTAGGTACACGATGGATAAATAAATAGATGGGTAGATGGATAAGTAAAGGCTTCATTCATCCACTTATTTAACAAATATTTAGTTAATAAGAACCATGTGCCTAACATTGTTCTAGGTGATGGAAATGTGGTGATAAAGAGACATGGTTCTTGTACTCAAAGAGCTTTATCTTTTAGTGGGGGAGGCATGCAATAAACAAGTAAATATGTGGACGTGAAAGTGACAATAAAGAGCTACAGAGACAATAATACAGGATAATGTGATAGAAATGGACAGAATAATTAGATAAATTTATAGCCTAACAATAGAGCTCCAAGTAATTTAGTGTTGTGGTCTTCAATCTTGATTTTAACAACAGAACCTACGTATTTTTTCAGTTGAAAATACATATCCTATAGGGAAACCTCAATAGAGACTAGAGGTAAAAGCATATTTGCCCTAGTTGTTGTGTAGAGGGGTGTGTGTGTGCAAGTGTGTGGGTGTGTTTGTGTGTGTATGCTGGTGCCAGAGCCCTCTCCACCAGTTTAGGTACATTATAACAAATTGATTACAAGTTGTATCTGTCGTAAGAGAAAAATAAGTTAAAAATTAAGTGGTAATTGTTCCGTTGCAATGGGGTGGACAATATTGCTGGCAGTCTCTCATGAAGACATCCATAATCTGTTTGTGTCATTCACTTGACTCATTGATCAGGGTCTGCACTAGGTCAGTTTTTATACTTATTGTTTCTTTTCATTTTTAAATATTTTAATTTCTTTTCCTATTTTTATTAAATTAGAAAATCGTATCTTGCAGTTATGAAGGTTTGAGGAAAGGCACATATATTTGGTTCTGGATAGTTTAGTCTCTGGATTTCACAGATCCAGAAATTATGGCAAGGGCTCTCTCTAAAGACCACGTTCAGTGCTTTGTCAGGTGCTCAGAGGATGAGCTTATCACATCAAATGGGGGATGACTGGATGCTGCACATCAGGAGATAACAGCAAATGGATTCCTAATCTATTCTTGGGTTCCATTTGGCTCTGAACGTATTTATTTATGTTTTATTGCCACATTTAGGTGTGTTTTTAAATACATAAAATAATACATAATAGGTTTTCCTCTCCAACAAGTGTGAAAAACCATTAAATGCTGGGAACAAATCAATTTTTTATTTTGTATTTTTGAGCTGTTTACACGGTAGTTCAGCCTTTAAAAAATCCCTTTATCTTATCCTTTTCATGGCCATGCAGGTTCAGTGTGTACAAGATACTGACTATATCAGTGAGATATGCCCTTATAGCAAGTCACGTGAAACCATAGAAATGACCATGAAGAAATTATTTTTTATCTCATCTCTCATTTCAAAACCTCCTTCCTTGCGAATAGCCAAAATATGTCACTATCTATCAGTGACTGCAATTTCCTCATGTTCCTAGCTGTCACCATTTCCTTTGTGGTGGTGGGTGCTGTGATGTCCACTGCCCTGATCCCCCTCCAGTAATTAAAAATGCATTCTCCCCCATCCCCAAGTTGCTGGACATGCTTCTGGAAGACAGCTCTCAGCTGTCAGTGCTCTCTGGGGATGCCTGGGCTGAAGAAAAGTGCCTCAGCCAAGGTCACACCTCCTTCCAGGGGCTGACTGATCATTGTGCAGCAGAGAGGCCCAGCCCCCTCAGCCCAACTCAGAGCACATCCGAAGGGTCATCCCCACTCAGGAACTCCTCCCCACAGGGCTAGCTTAGGACCTGATCACAGCTCAAATTTTCCCTCTGACAAATCTTGCTTCCTTTCCCTCCTTTCCATAGGTGTTAATCCAAGAAGAAGCCCTAAAACACATCCTGCATGTTGGGGAACCCAACCTGTGATAGCTGGCCCCAGAAAAGATAGGATCAAGCACTCACTGGAATGGGATTTTAGGTCTAGGTCATGAGCTGTCTGGTGGTAATGAGGCTCCCATCATTGGTGGTAGGTGAAGCACAGAGAGCTCAATGTGGCAGTATAGCTACTAAAACTTTTGCCGGCCAGGCGTGGTGGCTCATGCCTGTAATCCCAGCACTTTTGGAGGCTGAGGCGGGAGGAACACTTGAGCCCCAGGGTTCCAGACCTGGGCAACATGGAAAGACTCTGTCTCTACAAAAAACACACAAATTAGCCAGGCATGGTGGCACATGCCTGTAGTCCCAGCTACTCGGGGCACTGAGGCAGAAGGATCACTTTAGCTTGGGAGGTCAAGGCTGCAGTGAGCAGTGACCGTGCCACTGCACTCCAGCCTGGGCAACAGAGTGAGATCCTGTCTCAAGAAATCCCACAAAAACACACAAAAAAACTTTTGACGGTAGTGAACTTGGATGGCACAAACCTGGACAAGAATGTGATAGCTCATGCAATGTTTAGGCTTTTGAGAAATATGGTGGAAATGGGAACTTTAAGGAGAGTGGAATTTGGTGGCTGTAACTAAACTTTGCTCTGGAAAAAGATTATGAAAAGCTGAGCATGACTAACTGGCAATTAAAATCTAAGTTTAAAATCCAGACAGTCTCTTTGGTAGCGTATGAAGAGGCTTTTATCTCCTTCAGCGGGAGAAAGAGCCAAGGATCAGGCTCAGGATTTAAGTAGAAGAGTTGCCGAGCTCTAAGGAAGGCTAAAGTCTCAACTGAGGCTGGTCTACTATTACAAAGTTATGGCCTTAGTTGGGAAAGAATAGCCTTTTAGATACAGGATAGGGACATCTGGGTTAATGCATCCAAAAATCTTGAATCCTGAGATTCACCTGAACCTTCTGAACCTGAAGAAGTGGCCTATATCTCCCTATCAAGAATGGTGTTCCCTTTTAGCTTAAAGATGATATCGAGGTTTCTCCCTGCAGGACATGTGCTCCTTCCTGGTAGGATCTCCCCTCTCCTTTCTTTTGTCCACTAGGTCAATGATTAGGGCTAAATCATAACATAAGCTGAGGACATGCTGGTCCTTCCCAGAGAGGGAAGGGGCTATGCTCCCCAAAGAACTGCAGGACCAGCAAGACCCAGGAGAGGACTGGATTCTGAGGATGTGGGACTGACGAGGGCAGATCATACATTTGATAAAAGAGAGGTTATTGATATGGGAGTTCTCTCCTGGAATATAGGGTTTAACACTCTGGGAAGAACTCCCAGGGAATGGTACAAACACATTGGTAGGATGGCTCCTGGAAGCATGAAAATGTGGTGGTCAATACTAATTGAGGCCAAATGACAAAATTTTTGTGGCAGATGGTGGAAGAAGGAATTAAGAGGCTTGGTGAAGTAAGCACATGAGAGAGGATATACTACATAAGGGTGAAAAACCTTCAAGATGACTATGTTCTACAGAAGGGCCAGGAAGACGCATCACTGACCACTCCAATAAGGAATGTGCTGGAGAGGGGTGCACCAGCATTGCTAAGAAGCTCATTGGTGTGGCTCCCCTGTATCCCCGGCCTGACAATAGGGAGATGCTGTTACAGAACTGAGTTCACAGATAACAATGGGGATCATAGGAACCCAAAACCATAAGAGGCCAGGTGGCAGCATTACCTGTCAGAAGCCAGGTAGGTACAACTATTGTAATGAGCAACGAGGTCAAATGGCATCCAAGAGGGCCTGACCTGTAGATGGTTATGAAGATAGTTAATAGAACTCAGTGTCCCTAAGGGCAATATAGGTGGCCAGCCAATGAAAGTACTGCTCAAGAGAAATCATGGGTGGATGACCAGGAGACTGAGTGATGTTGCCACAATAAAATTCATGATCCCTTGCCCAGTTTCTGGACCTGAGTTAGTCTTTGGACCAGGAACCCTTTGACTGAAGTAGAGTTCATGTCCCCAGGAGGAAGTATCCTGAGACACTATTGTAAGTCTGTTTATAAATGAGTCTCCCAGTCCTTCCCCCAAAGGAATATATGACTGTATATTCTGATACTTTATGTTGTGGGAAGGGGAAGACCCAAACATTTTTGAGAACTGCTGGACTCAGTGTGAGAGACTTTAGGACACTGAAGACTTAAACCATCATCATAGGCCCCCTCTTAGAGTGGGGGTGTAGGGAGGTAAGGTAATGAATAAAGTCCTGGCTCAGTTCTGGTTCACAGTGGGTTCATTGGATCTGTGGACCCACCTGGTGGTCATTTCCCTGGTTCCTGGAAGTATAACTGGAGTAAATATACTTGGTAGTTGGTACAACCCCCACAATGGGGAAATTGGCCCGTGGGGTAAGAGGTCAAGCGAAAGTAGTGGGCAAGGTCAAGTGGAAGCCATCAAAGTGGCTTCTTTCCATCCTGCCCACTGGCAAGATAGCAAATCAAAAATAATATTGCACTCTAGGGCTGGGGGAATGGCAGATATTAGTACCACTCTTAAAGATGCAGGGTAGGAGTCTCCATCATAACTACATTATTTTTGAGATGGAGTCTCGCTCTGTCACCCAGGCTGGAGTGCAGTGGCACGGTCTCGGCTCACTGCCAGCTCCACCTCCCAGGTTCATGCCATTCTCCTGCCTCAGCCTCCTGAGTAGCTGGGACTACAGGTGCCTGCCACCACGCCCGGCTAATTTTTTGTATTTTTAGTAGAGACGGGGTTTCACCGTGTTAGTCAGGATGGTCTCAATCTCTTGACCTCATGATCTGCCTGTCTCGGCCTCCCAAAGTGCTGGGATTACAGGCGTGAGCCACCACGCCCGGCTCATAACTACATTTAATACACTAATCTGACACCTGAAGACAGCAGATGGATCCTGAAAGATGATAGCAGACCACTGCAAACTCAACTAAATAGTAGCCCCAATTGCAACTTCTTTTTTTAGCAGAATAACATGGCCTTAGATATCTGATATGTGGTCACTGGTCTGGCTAGTGCTTTCCTTTCCAACCCTATTGGAAAAAAGGATCCAACCCTATTGGAAAAGAGTGCTCTGACTTGGAAAGGAAAAGAGTATCCATTTTCAGTTTTGTCCCAGGGCTATGTTAATTCCCCTGTCCTCTGTCATATGATAGTCTGAACTAACTGGCCATCCCAAGGAATATCACTTTGGTCCATTATATCAATGAAATCATGTTAATCAGATTCGATGAGCAAAAAGTGTTCAGTACTGTGGATACCTTGGTAAGACACATATACTCCAGAGGGTGGAAGATAAACCCTACAAAATCCAGGGATCTATCACATCCGTAACATATTTAGGGGCTACTGTTCTGGGACCTGCCAGGATATTCCCTCAAAAGTAAAAGGACAAATGAGTGCGTCATGTACCTCCACCACAAAGAATGAAGCACAATACACAACCCTTGGTAGGCTACTTCTGGTTGTGGAAGCAGCATATTCGGTATCTGGGAGTGCTGATCTAGTCCATGTAGCTGGTAACATGGAAGGATGCCAGTTTTGACTGTTGCCCAGAGCAGAAAAGGGCTCTGCAGCAGGTACAGGTTTGGGTTATACTGTATGACCAGGAAGACTCTACAGTATTGGAGGTATCAGTTGTAGGAAAAGATGCCTTGTAGAGTTTATGGCGGACCCAATAGGAGAATTATAGTATAGACCAATAGGTTTCTAGAGCAAGGAAATGCCATCTGTAGTGAAAATTATATCCCTTTTGAAAAATAGCTTGTGGGCTCTACTAGAGACTGTGTGCTTAATACATGGCACACCAAGAATTGCCCCAAATGGGCTGAATTCTGCCAGGTTCATATGGTTGGGAAGGCCCAATAACAGTATATAATAACATGAAAGTGGTTCATCCAGGGCTAAGCATGAATAGGACCAGGGGGCACAAAACAGCTATAGAGTCAGGGCACCCAGAGCCCCACGTCACCCACTATGACTGCATCAGTGTCCCTCCCTCAGCTCACTTCTGTGATTGCAAATGGATCCTTTATGACCATCTGATGGAAGAGGAAAAAACCCTGAGCTTCGTTTGTGAATGGCTTGACTTGGTATGTGTGTTTAAGCTGAAAATCATGGTGGTTGCACAACAGCCCTTCTTGGGGCAGCCTTGAAGGATGTAATGAAGGAATATGCTCCCAGTGAGCAGGGCTTTGAGTGGTACACCTTTGTGTGGAAGAAGAGGTGGTTCAGAGGTTAGAATATATACTAGCTCAACATCAGTGGCGAATGGCTTGGCTGGCTGTTCAGGGACCTGGGAGGAGAAAGACTGGAATATCAGGATCAAGAAAGGCTGGGGTAGACACATGTAGATGGACATTATGGGAGTAAGAAAGAAGGGGGAATATTTTTGGTTTTCATGTTAAAGCCTACTAGAGAGCATCCACCATGGCAGAGGCACTAAACAACCACGTAGACAAAATGACTTGGCCAGTTAATATCAGCCAGCCTCTGTCATCAGCTGCCCCAGTGCTGCTCCAGTGGGTCATGAATAAAGCAGCCATTGTGGTAGGGATGGAGGCTGGGAGGGAGACAGGGGTTGTGCATGGGCACAATAGCATATAAATTTGTGCTTCTCATTCCCAGAACTCTGGGACTTATGATTGAGAGATCTTGGCTCCCAAAGGGGATCATGAATACTTCTGCCAGGGTATGAAGCAAGAGTCCCATTGTACTATAAGCTATGACTGCTGCCTTCACACTGCAGGGTTCCTTGAGCCAAGAAATCAGCAGACGAGAAGAGAAGTCACCATCTTGGCACAGGTAGTTGACTCTGATCATCAGAGAGAGGTAGGGCTACTTCTACCTACTTCTATACAATGAGGGCAAGGAGGAATGTGGCACCCAGGCGATCCACTTGGATAACTCTTTGAACCCCCTTGCCCAACTCAGACAGTAGATGGACAAGTCCAGCTACTCTGGCCTGAGAAGGGCATGGTGATCAGGGACTCAGACTGCTATGAGGGTCTGGGTCATGCCACCAGGTAAGCCAGTGTGAACAACTGGCTGAGGGTGGGGGGAATCTAGAAGGGGTTGTAACAGGTGGGAAATGATGAATATTAGTTGCAGCCTGGAGATAAGCTATAGTGACAGGGACTAACCCATCTCATTAACCTTCCTTTCCTAAGTTTTCTCTGGGAATCCTCCTAGAGGAGTGGAATATGAGCAATGCAAGGGGCAGACTGGACTGGATATGTGATGCACTTTCAGATCTTCCATTAGGACTGAAGGACAAATTCCTCTTGCTGCTGGGAATGCTGCTGGAAAGATGGCTCTCAGTCCTTTTAGGGGATTGCCTTGACTGATAAACTTCCTTGACCAAGGGAAAATCTACATCCAATAGCTGACCAATGATGGGGCATATAGGTTTGGTCCCCTCACCTCTATTCAGTTAAACTTTGAGGAGCTTTTCCTTAGATCCATAGCTCCCTGGAAGATTGGCTGAGGACTTTGTTGGGATGTACCGCAGCTCGCCTTCTCTCAATCTTGCATCTCCCCTGCCCAATCTTGCTTCCTTTCTCTCCCTTTAACAAGTATTGATCCTGAGCCTATTCTCTAATACACATCTTATATACTAATCTCCACCTCAGAGACTGCTTCCTAAGGAATGCCTTCAAAATGGAATCAAACCAAAAGGCATGTTTTCGACAGCCAAGTGATTTCTTTGAGGGAAGCAGTGAATCTATTGGTGTTCAGATATGCCCTCTTCAATTCACAGGGAATGACTTCCTTAATGCACACAGAGTTGGAACTTCACCAAAACTGATGCCAATGTACTTTCCGAATTTACATCATGGCTCACGAGATAAGTGTTGACCCGACGAAAATCATCTCTTAGAGCATAGATTTTCAGTGATAAATAATGAGGTAAATAATATCTTAGAAACTAAAGAGTCTTGCAGAAGATAGTGGTGATGGTTGCATAACATTGGAAATATAATGAATGCCACTGAATTGTATGCTTAAAATGGTTAAAATGGAAAATTATGTTATTTATATTTTATATTTTACCACAATTTAAAAAAATCAATAATGTAATATACCAAAAACATTGACTTGTGTACTTTAAGTGGATGAATTGTATGGTTTATATCATTCAATTATATCTCAATGAAACTTTTTTTATATAAAAAAAGAGTCTTAAGGGGGAAAATCATCAACTGTTTCTCTTTCGTATATGTGCTCCACCAGAACTGAATTTTGTCCACATATAAAGGGTAATCTCTGCACAGACACAATACTACCTTTCTCCCACATTGCATACCATTGATATTATGCAACATCTACCAATGTTCTTTGATAAAGAAATTTTGTTGGTAGTTCTGATTCTTCTCCATAGTATTTATCATTACCTTTGTAGCTGGTTTCACAAGCTCTTTGGCAATAGCATGGCATATACTTACTTTACGATGTCTCTGTAGTGTTGTGTTTTCCATTACTTCTAGCAACAAAATTCTTCAATTTTGTATTGGGAAGCGCTTGTAATGCTTGCACTTGTTCTGGCAAAACTTTATTGTTCCATCAGAGAAGTCACCATAGAAGTCACTATACTTTGTTGGAAAATGACACTGAAACTTTTGTGGCTTCCTGCTGTTATTGAAAAACATTTTTATAACATATGCCACCCTGGAGGTCTAGGGGCAAACATATTACCATCTGATACAACCCAATTTTCAGAGTTTTCTGGTCATACTTCCTATTCTTGACTCACAGTCTTACATTTTTGTTAGCTTGTATAAGATCATCACAGTCATGTTCTTACTTCTCCCTGCAAATACTGCTTCACTGCTCTTTGTTGGTCCTTGAACCTGTTCTCTTTTTACAGTAAGATGTTATCATCTTGAGTTATAATATTTACGTTACGCTTTTCATCATCATCACTTTTGATCCACTGATACATTTTTGTAAATTAGAGATAATCACAACATTAACAACTAAAGATACAAATTCAGTAAATGAAAAGTGACATATGTTATCTGAGACAAAATACACACCATGTAAATGAATGTCAGCCTAGATGAACTGACGCATTGCTGGGGGTAACCTAAGCATTCAAGGATCTCATTTTGAGCAATCACACCCTGGTCTTTTCCACTTCCCCTTCTTCCTTTTTTCCCTTTGTTGGTCCTACCTGGACTCCTTACCTACTTCTTTCCCTCCTCGTTCTTCTGTTTCCTTTTTGAGAGTTAAGGAACATTAAAATAGAAAGAGACCTCGGAGATTTTAAAATCTAATGATCTCATTTTACAGATGAGGAAACTGAAGTCCAGAGAGATAACAATGAACTTCGCCAAGTCAGAGGGACGAGATCTGCCCTCCTGGCTTCTCTGACTCATGGGCCAATGCTTTTCCATTTTGCCACGACTCCAGTAAACTTTCTACTTCAGATTATCTTTCTGGTCCTCTTGTCGCTGACAGTGGTTGAATCCATAGTGGTTAAGAGTGAAGGAGACAGGCGTTTAAGGGAGTCATAACTTCCTCCTTTCCCTCCCTCTCCTTCCTTCCCTCCCTCCTTCCTTCCCTCTCTCCTTCCTTCCTTCCCATTTCTCCTTCTTTCCCTCCCTCCCACTACTGCCAGAATGGCCTGATAATGTCACTCTCTTCTCTACTCTTTGGTGACTCTTAAATCCCTATAGGATAAAGTTCAGTCTTCTACCTGGACATGTGACAGTCAAGTCATTTTTGTGTTCTGACTCCTGCCCTCCTGTCTGGTCCTATCTTCATCACTCTGTATATTAGCCAGGCTGGTTTATGATAATATTAACAAACAGGTCCAAAATCTCAGTGCCCTAACACAACAAAGATTTATTTCATATTTATAAAAAGTCCACTGCAAGTCTGGCTGACTTTCCAGAGGAACTATTCTTTATGTAGTGACTCAGAGATCCAGGCTGCTTTGGCCACACGATTTTTCCATTTTCACTAGATTTCCTCCTTGCCATGGAGGAGGAAGAGACAAGAAGATAGCGCTCAAGTAGGGAATGAACTCTTCTGTGCTTATCCTGAAAAGAATTTTATCAGCCAGAGTTTACCATCTAACTGCAAGAGGGCTGGGAAGTGCCAGAGAATGCTTGGTGAGGACTATGTTTCTGCCATGGTCCTTCCTTCCAACTGCAGTTCTGGAAATATCTGACTACTTGTCCCCTGAGCACAAACTCTTTTAAGCCTCTATGTCTTTCTACTGAGGCATTCCACCCTGCCAAGCATATACTCTTCTTGCTGACCTGATAGACTCTTACAAACCCAAGTCTCTATTTCTTTTTCTTTCTTTCTTTCTGTTTGAGAAGGGGTCTCGCTCTGATGCCCAGGCTGGAGTGCAGCGGCGCAATCTTGGCTCACTGCAACCTCCACCTCCCAGGTTCAGGTGGTTCTCCTGCTTCAGCCTCCCCCGTAGAAGGGATTACATGCTCTTGCCACGACACCAGGCTAATTTTTGTATTTTTAGTAGAGACGGGGTTTCACCATGTTGGCCAGGCTGGTCTTCAATTCCTGACCTCAAGTGATCCGCCCGCCTCGACCTCCCAAACTGCTGGGATTACAGGTGTGAGCCACCGTGCCTGGCCCCAAGTCTCTATTTGTAAGAAGCCATAGCTGATTTTCCCAGGCCAACATAGTGGTTCATTCTCCACGTCCCTACTGCATCTTGTCGTTATTTCCATCACAGCACTTCTTGTTTTGTTATATTTTTTTGCCTGGCACTTTTCCTCTAAAGAGAAATCTCCCTGTGGATAGGGAAAGTGTACTTTCATCTTTAGGTTCTCAGTTTTGTATGATGGTACCTAAAGTCTTCATACCTGTGGCTGAATAAATGAAAGAACAAATAAATGGCCACAAAACTCTCCAGCTTCTTGTTATGTTCTGTTTCACTACCCCTACCGTAGCTCAATCAACTTTCTTCTTCTCTTGTCTGGATAACCACAGAGCCCCCTTTGTGTTATCCCTCTTCCATTCTTACCTCTATCCAATCCATTCTCCACTCAGCAACCACATCATTCTGAAACACGAACCTGAGTGGGGCTTCCTATTTCCTTAGAATAAAATCCAAACATCCAAATTCCTTCCCATGACCCACAAGGCATGCGTTGGCCCCTGCCTGCCAATCTGGCCACAGCTCTCTCTCGCTTGCTGTGGTTCCCACACAGGGGCCTCTTCTTAGTTCCCTGACACACTAGGATTTTTCTCCCCGCAGGCTTTTCTCAGGGCTGGTTCCTGCGCCTGGAATACTCCTACTTCCTCTTCTGTCCTGGTTAGCGCTTTCTCAGTCTTTAGCTTAAATGCCATTCCTGGCCGGGCACAGTGGCTCACGCCTGTAATCCCAGCACTTTGGGAGGCCAAGGCTGGCGGATCACGAGGTCAGGATATCGAGACCATCTGGCTAACACGGTGAAACCTTGCCTCTACTAAAAATACAAAAAATTAGCCGGGTTTAGTGGCGGGCGCCTGTAGTCCCAGCTACTCGGGAGGCTGAGGCAGGAGAATGGCATGAACCTGGGGGGCGGAGCTTGCAGAGAGTGGAGATCGCGCCACTGCACCGCAGCCAGGGCAACAGAGCGAGACTCCGTCTAAAAAAAAAAAAAAGCCATTCCTCTGGCGGTTGCAATGATTTTGTTTTGATGGCAAATGAGAAACTCCCACTTGAAATACCCTAAATAATAAAGGAAATCTACCGACTCATATATCTAACAAATCCTGAAATAGTGCTGGCCTCAAGACAGGCTTCATTTATGCCTTGAAGGACCTCATAATCTCCAGAGAAAAAGAGAGACCCTTCTGGTAGTTCCTGCTGAAGTCCAGGGATTCATTCTAGCTCATTGGCCTAAACTGTATCACATGCCACAGCTAAACCAGTCCCTTTAGGAGCGGGACACTCCAGGGGGAGGCACTAAATTTGCTTAAGCCAATCAGGACACTCCCCCCGCCCCGAGAGCTGATGATGGAATTGTGCATGACCAAACAACATGGGGGCTTTGGGGAGGGTTTAACTCCCAGAGGATAGACAGTACTTTCGGCAGAAGAAGTGGGAAATAAATATTGGGAATGCATCCAAAAAGATATATTTATCATATTTTCTCAGAGGAGCCATCACTGCCCACCCCCATCTAAAGAATCCCCTCCGTTATTTTCTGTTACTGAATCCTACTTCCTTCCCTCATAGCACCTGCTACTGTTTGTAAATATTTATTTTGTTTGTTTTCTGATTTATGGTCTGAATCTCCCACTAGGCTCTGTCATTGGAAAAGATTTGATTTGCACACCTACTGCTGGAACATACGAGAAAATTCAATAAATATTTTCTTAATGAAAGAAAAAAGTGAACAATTTTCTTCTTTTCCATTTTAGCCCTGGTTTTTACTAACAGGCATGGAAGGATAAGGGTGAATGTGAGCACTATATTAATTTGGCTTTTCTTTGTCTGGAAGCTTAGTTCTCTTTCCCTTCCAGTAATCCCTCAAATTCCCTTTTCCCAGATCTCGTCTTATTACCCCACCTGCTCCAGGCACTCCGGTAATTTGGTTGTCCTTTTCATTTTTTTTTTCTTCACCTAGCTTGATTTAGAGCCTTCAATAGAAATCTTGATTTTTTTTCTTTAATTGTAGTCAAAATTATTTATTTAGATAAAATCTTCTGATTTCATAACAAAAGTAGTGGGATGATACAAACTGCATAACCAAAGAGAAATCTTGATTTTTATAAAAGAGTTAAGTTATATTTTTCCAGAGGATCTAGGGACCAAGTCTCCTCTTTTTGTGTTCCCCTAGCGCCTACAAATGTAAGGGTGTGCTTTACTGGGTGAAAAATCAACCACCCTCATGGAAAACAAGACTGAAGACAATGCCAGGTAGCAGAAAGAGAGAGGAAAAGTTAAGAGCAGGCCAAGAAAAAGAAAAAGCTGCCAGGAAAAAATAAAGGTTGGAAAACAGTGAAGTGGGAGGTCTTTTGGGTGAAAGGGACATAGCTCAAAAGAAAAAAAGTCATAATGAACTTGGAAAATGAAGATGAAATAAATCACATAATAAAAGTAGACTGGAGGAAATTTCTTTCCTTCTGATATTTATTCATTTATTTTTCAACAACTACTGAGCTCTACTGTGTGCCGGGAGCACTCTTCTAGGTGCTGAGGATATGGAGGTGACCAAAACATACAAGTCTCTGCCTTCCTGGAGCTCATATTCTAGAAGGGCAAGACAGACATTAAGTAGACATAGAATATGGACTGCTGGACACAGATGTCAGAGTGAAAACACACATCTGCTTTTGCTCCTACTTGACACATCATAGAATGCCATTAAAGGTACTTTTTGAAGGCAATACTCATGGATAAGGAAAAGGGGAGAGAAGTCAACAGTAACAAAGTTGGGAGCAGGAAGGCAAACTTGAGAAAACTACATCTTAAGTGGGCAGAAGAGAAAGGTGATTAGTGTAAACCAGGTTGACACTAATCACATTCCAAAGTACAGGAACTGGTGGCATCAGGTGAATCTGGAGTGGAGTGTGTGTGTGTGTGTGTGTGTGTATGTGTGAAGGGAGCAGGAAATAAAGACGATCAGTTGAGAATTTGTCGAAGAAGCAGTCAGCTCTCCAGACAGTCTCTTATTTCCTTGCACCCCTGCAGAGACTGGAGCTTTATTCTTTGGAGATGGCATCAGGCCCAGCTGAGAATGGAGGACTGAACACAAACAAGGGGATTAAGTGAGTGTATGCAGACTGGATGCCCCAAGAAAGATGGCATCCAGGCCTGGAACCTTCAGCAGGAGACTGGAGAAGTCTCTCTGAAGAGTCTGACCATCTCAAGAGAGAAATATCCAAAGATAAGAATATTGGGGTTTTCCAACCAAGTGGGGCAGTGTGACCACCATGTCATATAGTGAAACTCTTCACTCAAGAAGTCCCACCTGGGTATTCAGAGCTACCAGTCACCAATCAGCATTTTAGTTCCCTGTTCCTCAGATGAGCAGATGGCCAAGGATTACTAGACATCTGCACAAAGGTTCTAACAGGAAAGACAAAACGAAAACCAAATATACAGAAAAAAAAAGCAACTTGGAAGAAACAGATTATGTAAAGAGAAGAAAATTTAAAGAGGGAGAGAGAAAATTATCATTAAATGTCCAGAGAGATAAAAAAAGAGATATTGCAACAATGAAATAAGTACTGGATGCTAAAAAAATAATACTCAGAGAACTAAAAGGAGCAGTTGGAAATTAAAAATATAACAGCAAAAGTGAAAAACTCAGTAAAGGAATTGGAAAGTTGAAGAAGCTTTCCCCAACGTAGAGTGAAAAAGACAAAGAGATGGAAACGTAGGAGAGAAAAGATGAGAAAATGAGAGGAACAGTCCAGGAGGTCTAAATAAT
The DNA here is from genome assembly GCF_000001405.40 of Homo sapiens. Classification (NCBI taxonomy): domain Eukaryota; kingdom Metazoa; phylum Chordata; class Mammalia; order Primates; family Hominidae; genus Homo; species Homo sapiens. The sequence continues at coordinate 136,157,065 of NC_000002.12, forward strand.
AAGGATTTCAGAAAGAGAAAAGAGAACAAAAGAGAAGGGGACAGTCAAATAAAGAATTCAAGAAAAATTCCCAGAAAGGAAAAATATGAGTTTCCAGACTGAAAAGCAGGCACCATGTACTCATCATAATTACACAATGGGTGAAAATAGTCCTATGTTCATATCATAATGTACTTTCAGAACATGGAACTAAAGAAAGAGCTTAAAACCTTGCAGAGGGCAGAAATATGCCACTTACAAAGGATCATTAATTAGAATGGTTTCAGTTCTCAATAGAAGCTTTGGGAGCAGAAATTCAATGGAGTAATGCCTTTGAAACTCTGAAGGAAAACGTTTTCAGGCCTAAGATTCTCCTTCCAGCCAAATTATAAATCAGCTGTGAGCATAGAAGAAAAGTATTTTCAGATGTGCAATGTCTCAAAAAATGTGTCTTCCATGCAGCCTTTCTCAGGAAGCTATTGGAGCTTATGCTTGGAGTAAACCAAGAACAATAAATATACTAGAGTCAGGAAACAGAATAGCCTTAGGATGATGGTGAAGAGAGATTCCAGAGTGTCATCAATGTACCAGACATATTGGGTGAACATTCTCGATTGCACCATGTCAGAAGGTGTAGTTTGGAGAGCACGGCAAGAAATTGAAATGATGGGGGATATAATAAGTATGGTATCTATTGAGAAGATTTGGGGAAATGGTGAAATTTGGGTTTCATTACTGATACGAACATTTAACTCTGAGCAAATAGGAAACAGTAAAATGAGTAACTCCAGCAAAACAGAAATAATTGGAAAGGAAAAGTAATAATGGAATTCTATATGGTTCATTGATTGCATTTGCATAGGCATAATTATGTTACACTGAATGTTAACTTATTCAAAAATACTATATATGAGGAGGACAGAGGAATGGAAAGTGTGTGCATGTGTGATGGGGCAGAAAGAAGAAAGAATCAAAACCCTTAGTTTCCATACTGAGAAATCAGTAGATAATTCCTAAACATTATTGCTTTTTTTCTCTTGTTTAGAGACTTGGAGGCAATAATAACAAGAATATCAGTTAAAGTCATTGAATGTAATGGCAAACAGGCATATGAAAATGTGCTCAACATCATTGATCATCAGAGAAATGCAAATCAAAACTATAACGAGATGTTATCTCACCCCAGTTAAAATGGCTTTTATCCAAAGGCCGGGCACGGTGGCTCACGCCTGTAATCCCAGCACTTTGGGAGGCTGAGGTGGGCAGATCACAAGGTTAGGAGATCGAGACCATCCTGGCTAACACGGTGAAACCCCGTCTCTACTAAAAATACAAAAAATTAGATAGGCGTGGTGGTGGGCGCCTGTAGTCCCAGCTACTCGGGAGGCTGAGGCAGGAGAATGGCGTGAACCCGGGAGGTGGAGCTTGCAGCCAGACGAGATTGCGCCACTGCACTCCGGCCTGGGCAACAGAGCGAGACCCCGTCTCAAAAAAAAAAAAATGGCTTTTATCCAAAAGACAGGCAATAACAAATGCTGGTGAGGATGTGAAGAAAAGGGAACCCTTGTCCAGTGTTGGTGGGAATGTAAATTACAACCACCATGGAGAACAGATTGGAGGTTCCTCAAAAAACTAAAAATAGGTTGGACGTGGTGGCTCACACTTATAATCCCAGCACTTTGGGAGGCCGAGGTGGCCAGATCAGCTGAGTCCAGGAGTTCAAGATGAACCTGGACAACATGGAGAAACCTCTGTCTCTACAAAAAATACAAAAAATTAGCTGGGCATGATGGCATGCATCTGTAAGTCCCAGCTGTTCAAGAGGCTGAAGTGGGAGGATCCCTTGAGCCTGGGAAGTGGTGGTTACAGTGAGCCGAGATCATGCCATTGCACTCCAGCCTGGGCAACAGAGCAAGACCCTGTCTCAAAAACAAACAAACAAACAAAAAACAGAAACAAAAACCCAAACCAAACCAAAACAAAACTAAAACTAAAAATAGAGCTACCATATGAGCCAGTAATCCCACTGCTGGGTATATTCCCAAGACAAAGAAAATCAGTGTATCCAGGAGATATCCACACACCTATGTTTACTGGAGCACTGTTCACAATTGCCAAGATTTGGAAGCAACCTAAGTGTCCATCAACAGATGAATGAATGAAGAAAATGTGGTACACATACACAACAGAGTACTATTCAGCCATAAAAGGAATGAAACCCTGTCTTTTCAGCAACACGGATAGAACTGGAGGTCATTAAGCTAAGTGAAATAAGCCAGGCACAGACAAACATCACATGTTCTCACTTACTTGTGGGATCTAAAAATCAAAACAATTGAACTCATGGATAGAGCGTAGAAGGATGGTTACCAGAGGCTGAGAAGGGCAGTAGGGGGATAGGGAGGAGGTGGGGATAGTTAATGGGTAAAAAATGAAAAAGAAAGAATGAATAAGACCTCATATATGATAGCACAACAGGGGGGACTATAGTCAATATTAATGTAATTGTACATTTTAAAATAACTAAAAGAGTATAATTGTTTATAACACAAAAGATAAATACCTGAGGGGATGGATACCCCATTTTCCATGATGAGATTATTATGCATTGTGTGCCTGTTATCAAAACATCTTAGGTACCCCATAGAGATATACCTACCATGTACCTATGAAAATTAAAAAAAAAAATAGTCATTGAATATAATTGGCTCTGGATAGGAAAAATGGAAGGGGTAGGAGATGGCTGCCACTCATAATGAACTTTGTAGATATAGTTGATTGTGTAAACTCTGCATGATTAACATTTAAAAAGAATAAGACCAAAATCAAGAGAAAGGAAAACACCAGAAAGAAATATAGGTTGGGTGCAGTGACTCATGCCTGTAATTCCAGCACTTTGGGAGGCCGAGGCAGGGGAATTGCTGAGCCCAGAAATTGGAGACCAGCCTGGGCAGCATAGCAAGACCCTGTCTCTACAAAATAAAAATTTTATTAAAAAATAATAAAAAAGAAAGAAATATAGCAAAATGTTAGTCATTTATCTCTGGGTTTGGGGTAATAGATTATTTTCATTTTTAAATTTTAATTTCTAAAATTGTCTACATTTCCTAAAATGAACACAGCTTACTTTCTAAAAAGCACCATATCGTCATTTATTTTAATAATATATTTTCCTATTTGGAACATTGCTCTTTTTCCTTCTATTTTTTAGTTGACATGTAATAATTGTATATATTTGTGGGATACAGAGTGATATTTCAATACATGTATATAATGTGTAATGATCAAATCAAGGTAAATAGCATATCTATCACCTGGAACATTGATCATTTCTTTGTGCTGTGAACATTTAAAATCCTCTCTTCTAGTTATTTGAAAATGTACACTAGACTGTCGTTAGTCATGGTCATCCTGCAGTGTATAGAATGCTAGAACTCATTCCTGCAATCTGGCTGTAATTTTGTATCCCTCAACCAGCCTCTTCCTATCTTCTCTCCCCTCTACCCTTCCCAGCCTCTAATAATCACAATTATTAGAGCTCTATTTCTATGAGCTCATTTTTCAAAAGCTCCCGCATATGAGTGAGAACATGCAGTATTTATCTTTCTGTGCCTGAACATTTCACTTAATGTAAATTCAGGTTCATCCATGTTGAATATGGCTTAGTTTTTAAAGCTTGAAACACCCATATTTTAGGTTAAGGGGGAGAGAGTTATAGAGAAAGATATTAGTTTTCTTTCTTTTTCTTTTTTTTTTTTTTCTTTTAAGAGACGGGGTCTCACTCTGTCACCCAGGCTGGAGTGCAGTGGCGTGATCATAGCTCACTGAAGCCCCTACCTTCTGGGCTCAAGCGAGAAAGATACTAGTTTTGATAGGAGGATTTTGGTGGGGGGTGGGGGGATTGCTAATGGTGACATTTGGCTAGATCTTTGAGGGAGCAAACCATGTGGACACTCAGAGGAATGGGTGAGAATGTGCTTGAGCCTGTGAGGAACAACAGAGGTCAGCTGTGATTGGCGTGGAGGGAAGATGGAGGTCAGACAGAGAGACCATGAGGTTAGACAGGGGCCGGGGACCAGGCCCTGTAGAACTTTATAGGACATGTTAAAGACTTCAGATTTCATTCTGACTGCTACAGAAAGCTGTTGAAGAGTGCGGAGGAGGAAAGTGCCATGATCTGATTTGCATTTTAACGCTGTGACTGCTGTGTGTCCGGGGATGGGAGCCACAGAGGGCAAGGTGGGAAGAAGCAGGCAGGACCCGAAGCTGGGAGAGCCGTCAGGAGGCTTTCGCTGTCTTCCAGATGCACGATTCTTCAGGATTAGTCACTGGTGTTCAGAAAGTTTTTATTTTAGCAACAGGAACCTTTTTTCAAAGGAAATCTTACCTTGATTTCTCATCTATAAAACATTAAAGTGAAGCACACAAGTGAAGTGGCTTTAGTTGAAGTAGGAGGTGGGGGGTCCAGAGCCTCCTGCCCCCTCCCCTCATCCCTGCTCTCTCTACCTGGTGATCCCTGGAGGTGAGCCTTTGAACCTAGAGTTCTGCTGATCACCATCTGGACACTGGTTCCACCTAGTCCCCTCCTTTCATGGAGGAGGCCAGCCATGAGAAGTGGGACTTGAGTAGGAGGGTGCTCTGTGGTAGGCAGGCCTATGAAACCTACCCCTAAAGTCTGAGGAAGCTGAGAGGCTGAAGAAAGAGGCAGACAAATGCAGTTTCTCAGAAAGACACATTTAATAGGGACTTAGGAACAGAAGCCATGTGTTGTCTCTGGTGGCGGTGCCAAGACAAGATAGTGGATCTCTGTGCCATTACCCCCTAGACCCAAGGCTCAAATATCATAGGGAAAGAATGCGTAGGACAACTTCTTAAAGGATAGGTTTATGGTGCGTACCATAACATCAAGTTTGTTTTGACCTAGGGGTAGGACTTATGGGAAGTACCGCTCCTACACAAGGAACAATAGATAAACTGGAAATCTTAGAGGCCTTCCCCAAATTGGGGTTAATCAGAAGTTAACATGGCGGATTAGCATCCAAGATGGAGTTGCTTTGGCCTCCACAGAGGGCTTCCTAGGGTTTATGTTGAGGGAAAGGAAAAAAAAATCATGCTCCATGTCCCTGTGGGGAGACAGCCTCTGTGGAGAAGGCAGAGCAATACCCTGGGATTTTCGTGCCAGCTCAGGGCAGTTCCCACTGCACCATTCTGCTTCTGGCAGCTTTTAGGTCAAGTGTAGTATGTCAGGTTTTCACTTTGTCTAGCCACCCACTTTCTCCCAAAAAGGAGACACGCTTTGACCCAACCTGAATCCAAAAGACAAGCTGGGGGGATGCAGTGGCCCAAATGAGGACAGTGGTGGGCCTCTTCTGTTGGGAGGACCTAGGCTCTAACTTTCCCCACTGGTGGCATGCTAGTAAATGTTTGATGACTGGTAGAAAGAAGGAAGGAAGGAAGGAAGGAAGGAAGGAAGGGAGGGAGGGAGGGAGGGAGGGAGGGAGAGGGGCAGGGAGGGAGGGGCCCTCTAGCACTTGCAGATTTCTGCAGTGTGAATGGTCCTGTCATGATGGATTTATTGTCACCAACATGAGGTCACTGAACTCGAAGCTGGGAAGAGATATGCACTTGCATGTCCTTATATAGTACTTCCCCCATACACACAGCAGATCAAATAACCTCACAAGTTTAGACAATAGCAAAATGCAGTAACAATGAGCAAGTGAGGACTTTTGAGTATTTATGGCCTTTTATTTAATTTATTAATGGCTGTGTTTAATAACCAGCTGTGTTTAAAAACCAGCTGGCACAATTTCTGAAACTTTAACAATCACCTCTCTCAAGCCAGTTTGAGCCATCTCTGGCTCCCCAGTGCTCCATCTCTGAAAAAAAAAATCCCTCTGAACTTCAAATGAAGAAATCCATCATGACAGGACTATTTACACCACAGAAATTGGCAAGTGCTAGAGGGCACCTCCCTCCCTTCCTTCCTTCCTTCCTTCCTTCCTTTACAAATGATACATCTATACAGAACAATAACACTCGGCAATAAACAGGGGTAATGGATATACGCAACACCTCAAATGAAGCTAAGACATTGTGCCAAATGAAGGAAGCGCATCTTAAAAGGTTTGCATAAGGTTTGACTCCATTTTTAGGACAGGCTTGCAAGATGAAACTCTCATGATGGAGAACAGATCAGTGGTTGCCAGGGGTTAGGGATGGCAGGAAGGAGTGACTCTAAAGGGGCAGCTAGGGACAGCCTTTTTGGTGTTGGATGTTCTGTGTCCTGATTGTGGTGATGACTGCCTGAATCTATATATGTTTTAAAATTTGTAGAACTATATACCCACCCAAGTCAATTTTATTGTATGATAATTTATTCTATAATAATTTTCAAAAAGAAGAAAATTAGCATATTATGAAGCCCCTTTCCCCTAAACCAAAAACAACAAACAGATAGAATATCATTATGAATAGGGCAAGTCTTTCTACCCCTTTGGACCTTTTTTGATTCCTCTGTGAAATGAAAGGCCTGGACAGTCAGGAGTTGCAGATGCTAATGCCTGTGAGGAGGCAGTGGGTAATGTAAGTGGAAGACAACAGGGAGTGGTGGGGACTGTGGAGAACTGGTGAGTTTACACCTGCCTAAGGGGAACAACCTCGGCTTCAGCCTCAGCTCAGAGTTGCTATGCTGGACTGCAGCCCTGGATGGGTAGATGTTTTGCATTTCAAAATAAGTGAGAACTCTGGATTCTTTAAAGATGAAATTTCCTTATTTGTAAGCACTACCAGAACCCAACCATGTATGTCTGTGAATTGTATTCAACTAGGAGACCACCAGTTTGCAGCCCCTGGATGGCATGTACTATACCAAACTTTTGAGCATTTTAGGTCATGACTGTAAACTCTGATAAGCAATGTACCAGGTTCTTTATCAGAGATTTGGAAGTAGTTTTGGAGGGTCTCACATCACTGAATGTAAAATCGAGACCTCTTTGTCCGACTTAAAATTTGTGCAGTTGAGGTGCTCAGTGTTATTGTGGTTGTCAGAATCCACGTGTGGGGAAGAGGACCCAGTGCTGACCTGGATTCAATGGCTCTGCCCATCCCCCCACCCTGTCCACCCTGCAGGAGCACCTGGAAATGCGTCATTTAGTCTGTTACAGATCATAGCCTCTCATAAATGGACCTGACTTCTCCGCACACATTACCAATTTCATGATGATGAGTGAGGATTGAGTCCATCTCTCATTTCCACTATGGAACCATGATTGATGAACTTAGCATACTTAGATTTACACTAAGCATGTGACAGGGAAAGGCCTGTTATAAACAGCTGAAAAATGGCATCTGAGTAGGAAGCCACACACATCCAGTGCGAGAATAGGGGGGATGGAGCGCCCGTGTGAGGGAGAGAGATGAGTCCATGGGTTGGAGGGCATGGCCTCAGGCTGGAAGGATGGGTCCCCCTCTCCTGCTGCACAATTGCATGACACGCCACATTGCACACCAATGGAAGAGCTCATCCTCATCTGTGGGGGTGGGCCTGGGGATGGGCGGGGACTACAATGGAACTTGCAGGAAGGAAAGTGCTTTACTCCTTAGGGTTGCATCCCAGAGCCCCAGCACTGGCTGAAGGAGAAAAAGACTAGGGGGAAGGAATCTGCAGGCTTGGAAGTTTCAGCCCTGGAGCCTCAGAACTCATGAGGGAAAGTGAAGCCTTTACTTGCCAGGGAATTGTGGTAGCTAGAGCTTTTGCCCAACACAGTTTCCCTTCCCCACTTCATCTAATAACCAAATCTGCTTTTTTGAGAGGGAGCCCATTCCGTGTAGTTTCATGTAGTTTGGGAAGAAATGTGACTGACCTCCTTTCCAAAGAAAGGCAAATAGCCTCTAATTAGAGCACTATTCCCCTAGCCTCAGCGATTAGTTCAGGGATGAACATGTGACTCTAGCTGGTATAATCTGAGTTCTTCCTGGGAGCTGCGCAAGAACTAAACAGAAAGAGGCACTCTCTTTTCTCTATATTAGCTGTAAGGATGATAACCTATAGCATCTTGCAACTACCTAAGAGTCCATGAAAGAAAAGTTGAGGGCCGGGTGCGGTGGCTGATGCCTGTAATCCCAGCACTTTGGGAGGTTGAGGCGGGCAGATCACGAGGTCAGGAGATCGAGACTAGCCTGGCCAATATGGTGAAACCCTGTCTCTACTAAAAAAAATACAAAAATTAGCAGGGCCTGGTGGTGTGCCTGTAGTCCCAGCTACTCAGGAGGCTGAGACAGAAGAATCCCTTGAACCCAGGAGGCGGAGGTTGCAGCGAGCTGAGATTGTGAAACTGCACTCCAGCCTGGGCTACAGAGTGACACTCTGTCTCAAAAAAAAAAAAAAAAAAAAAAAAAGAAAAAGAAAAGTTGAACTTAAAACTTCATTTAAATGGTCTTGATTTTGATGTTATTGGTGGAGCCCTGGGATACAGCCCTACTTGAAGTCTACCTCTGGACTGTCTAGTTATGTGCGCCAATTTCTTCCTTCTTTCCTTCTTTCATCCTTTGTTTCTTTTATCTTGAGCTAGTTTAAGCTTAATTTCTGTCATTTGCAACCCAGAGTCCTGAGTAATATATCAGCTTATACGTATACCTAATACTAAGCAGGTTAACACCACATAGTAAATATATTAATAGTGAATTAAATACTATGCAAATATATTTATATATATTATATATATATAAGTTTATTCAACTAATGTATACTATGTGCCAAAACTATGCTAGATACTAGGGGTGAAATTATGAACAAGATTCATTATGGTTGACCTATCCCACTTTGGCCTTATTGATATTAAATTAGATATAATGTGACTATAACATACAAATGATTTGCCGAATTATTGCCTACTACATGCCAGGGCAAGGCAACAATAAAACAGCGAACAAGACAGATATGGTTCCTTGCCTCGTGAAATGTAACTCTGACTTAGTTTTCTTATCAGTAAGGTGGGTATAATATGAGTACATTCTTCCCAAGGTGGTTGTGACTAAATGAGATCTATGAAGTGTTTACAATAATTTGTAATAATAACGGGCATGGTAGGTGCCCAATAAATAGTAGATTATAGTTTTTATGTTTTTTAGAGACAGAATCTTTCTCCATCACACAGGCTAGAGTGCAGTGGTGTGATCATAGTTCACTGCAACCTTGACCTCCTGGGCTCAAGCAATTCTCCTGTATCAGCTTCCCAACATGCTGGGATTATAGGTGTGAGCCACCATGCCCAACCTAGACTGCAGTTTACTTTTTGGCTATCCAAGACTCCTTTTTTTTTTTTTTTTTTTTTTAAGTTTGACTGTGTGTGTGTGTGTGTGTGTGTGTGTGTGTGTGTGTGTGTGTGTGTTTTTTTTCCTACTGCAACAAAAAGTAGTTTTGGGGGTCAGATAGAAATGGTTCATATTCTGCTTCTTCCACTTACTAACTAAAGACTTTGGGGGAAATTGCTTAACTTTTCTTGGGTCTTAATTTACTCATCTATAAAATGTAAAATGGAATAATAATCCCTTCCTTGAAAAGGTACATAGTGGGTGCCTAATTATTATTATTAATTCATCCCCCAAAATGTGATAATAACATTGCTTGAGAAAAATCACCTCAGAGGAAATAGTAATAACAGTTATTATCTTAGTAAATAGCATGGAGAATCAGTGCCTAGCCCAGTACTCACACTTTTCATCAACGTACTTCTGGGAACAAAAGAGGGAAACTCATCTCGAAGGTGGGAGTTGCGGGGGAGAGTAATGACCTAGTGTGGCCTTCTACAAATGAAAAGTCTGTGTAAACTTACACAAATTTTTGCATTCCAGTCTATGGTAAATTCAGACCTATTTTAATACAAAGATGTTTTTATTTTATTTATTTTTTGAGACAGGGTCTTGCTCTGTCACGCAGGCTGGAGTGCATGGCTCACTGCAACCTCTGTCTCCCAGGCTCAAGCAATCTTCCCACCCCAGCCGCCCCAGTAGCTGGGACTACAGGTGTGTACCACCATGCCTGGTTAATATTTTCATTTTTTACTTTTTATTTTTAGCAGAGATGAGGTCTCGCTATGTTGCTTAGGCTATTCTCAAATCCCTGGGCTAAAAGGATCCTCCTGCCTTGGTCTCCCAAAGTGCTAGGATCACAGGTGTGAGCCACTGCACCTGACCATGAAGATTTTTTTGTTTTGTTTTTGTTTTCCTTTGAGACGGAGTTTTGCTCTTGTTGCGCAGGCTGTAGTGCAACGGGGCTATCTTGGCTCACTGCAACCTCAGCTTCCCGAGTTCAAGCGATTCTCCTGCCTCAGCCTCCCGAGTAGCTGAGATTACAGGCATGTGCCACCACGTCCTGCTAATTTTGTATTTTTAGTAGAGATGGGGTTTCACCATGTTGGTCAGGCTGGTCTCAAACTCCTGACCTCAGTTGATCCGCCTGCCTTGGCTTCCCAAAGTGCTGGGATTACAGGCGTGAGCCACCGTGCCTGGCCGAAGATGTTTTAATTTACCTACTGGTTACATTTCTTTCATTCCTCTTCTTCCAACTGACACTTCCTAGGAAGTGGCTGGTTTATCCTGTGGCTTCATGCACCTCCCGATCCCTCCTGCCTCTCGCTGCTGCTGACTGAGGATCTGTAACCCCAGTTTGAGAAGCACAGCTTCAGAACCCTCGAAGTAGCAGCGGGCTGGGAAGCAATGTCCTAGTCAAAGTTGTGTCACAAAAGGGTGGCCCTGAGACCCCCACAGTGAAAGAGTGGGAATGGGGGCTAAGTAAACTGGGCCAGGCTCTCCCTGCCCAATTTGGTAAATGTGTGCTAGAGGAAACATATGCTGTGTCATTCCTGTCACCAAGATGAGGAGAAGGCAAGATAAAGACGTGGAGAAGTACCTCAGTCAGGGCAATAAATCCCAAAGGAATATTCCCTGCAGCAGGCTGTGCCTGAAAGATGCTGGGCAGAGGGAGAACCAGATAGGGCAAGCCAAGCGCTGAGAAGAGGGGACAATAGAGATGACAACTTAGCAAGAAAGGGAGGAAGCTTGGTCACTGAGAGTCAACTGCATGCACATGGGGTGTGGGGGGCTGAAAAACTTTAGTATTGGGCACTCCCCCACAATCTTTTGATGTGATCAGGGTGAGATGTATGAACATCGTATTTGCTGGGTTTGACCTACAGTCAGTTGCATGGGCCATATGGTTTCCCTGACCCATAAAAGCCACTAAGTGAGGAAGTAATTTATTGCTAGAGATCACTGTCCGCCCCAGAATATCCTGGTGTATTTGCCTCATTGTTTCCTTAATAAGGGGTTAGAGAAGAGCAGGATTGTGGAAGCGGGGGAAGGGGGTGGTGCAGGATGGGCCATTCTTAATTCTAACAGTGAGACCCCGTTTGTTTGGGAGGGGAAGATAGGCATGCCTGGATCCTCCCGCACAGCGCTTCACAGGGGTTTTTTCCTGCCCTACAGCTCAGCAAATTGTGGGAGAGGGAGAGCTGGGAACATAAAGGGGTCATGAACTTCAAATGTATAACTTAGTATTTGCACAGATTGTATGAAGAGAGGACATTTCATAAATGGCAAATTATTCTGGATCCTGGGGAAAGAGGCCAATATGTTTTAATGAATTGGTGCCATAAAGGAGAGGACCATTTCCTCCCCTAAACAGTGCAAATTGAGAAACATTAAAACAATAGCTGCTGATAACCCTTTCACTGGAGGCTGGAATTCCGACAGTGGTTCCTTTGCTGGAGTAGCTGCCCTGTTTAACAGTGAGCTCCACACAAAGCTCATTGTGCAATGAGCTCTGAATCTGCACACTGGAAGACCCTGCAGCAGGCGAGCCTTGAAGGTTTGCTGGTACAGCCGAGAGTCTTTTCTTCCTTCTTCTTTTCTTAATAGCCCCGGAGCTTTGTAGCAACAATTATTTCAGTGATTGCGTCCTGGGTTTCTTAGTGTTATCTGAAGATGTTATCTGTAAAGACTTGCAATAGGAGCATTGCTCCAACACCTTGTCTGATCTGCTTCTGCTTTTAGTATGAAAACATATGTACTGATGCTAAGAACATTTTTGACTTTCTGTGTTTTGCAGGTTCTGTAAAGGCAAGTTCTGCTAAATTGCTACCTGGTCATTAAAAAAAAGGTCCCTCAGTGCATTTTGGACTAGTGCCAGATAATCCTAATCAGCACAGGGGCTAAATGAACCCTGGGGTCCCTTGTCAGCCCTTGGACAGGTAGGATTTTTAAGAAGCTAGGTCCATGTTAAAATATGTCCTAATAATATCTCAGAACAAACATTTCACATGGGTCTTTATGGCCTGCACAACCTGTAAGGCCTCTGTCTTCTCCCAGATTGATTCATACTAACCATGGACTTCTCGGGCCACTACTCCTGGGTCTTTCCATCTTCTGGTAATTAAAGGTTGAGGTACTACCTGGAAGAGTTTGTATCTGGGAATGAGATGGAAATCTAAGGAGACCATGAGCTCCACCATGCCCTTTAATGTCAGCCATTTGTCTTCTGAGGGTAGTGTGGGGAGGCAGGGGGCTAGCGGTTACTTGTAGAACTCAGAAGCAGTGAGTGTGGGTTTTAGTACTTTGTCTTGTGGGTCTGGTTTAGCACTTACAGTCATAGGACCTTGAACTTCCCAATGACATTGTGTCACTTTATGAAAAGATTGGGCCTGTAGAATCAGGCGACTTGTTTAAATCGCAGTTTATGTTACTACTTCGCTGTGTGACTCTGGGCAAGATTCTTAATCTCTCCGGACCTTAGTTTCCTAAACTGCAAGGCAGGGCCCATAATACCTGCCTCAAATGGGTTGTGAGGATCAACATCTGCAGCATGTCTGGGAAGAAATTGGAATGAGTCCTTTGTGTGTGAGATCCAGCCGGGGATCCCCTACTTTCTCCATAATACGAGAGAAGTGAAGGCCCCATCCATTTAGTCTGTTACCACCCAACTCAAATTCATTGTTTCTGAACTTTTCTTCTCCTAAACTTGTTCTTTCTGTAGGTAAAGTTCCAAAGGCTTTCATAGAACAAATGTAGTTTTTAGAAGGGATATCATCCATTCACACCTTAGCTTGAATCTGTTTAGGGACTACCTAGTAGATGATGACGAAAGCAGAGGAAACATAAGTGGGTAGTAGAGAGAAGAATGTGAAGGTTTTCCAGCACAGGGATCTCGGTTCTTGACCGTGGGTGGAGCGAAAACAGTCAGTGGAAAGGGATTCAGGGAAGTGTTGAGTAGAGAGGTAGAAATGGAAGAATCAAGAACCAAGAGAACATGGGAGGGGAAAACAGATGAAGCAATGATGGGCATAGTGTGGCTGTTAGCCCCAGGAAGAAGTCAATTTTCCTCTGAGATACAGGGGAAGGCAGAAAGAATGGGGGTGGGGGGCAGAGATAGAGAGTCCAGAAAGGGGAGAAGGAGATTGGCCAAGCCAGTTCAGCAGGTAAGAAGGAAAAGGTGAGGCTTTGGCACCAGTGACCATTGATGTACTCCTTGCCTCAGACACTTCCACTTGATGGTGAGCAATTAACGTATTTCCAATGACTGTCAGTTTCCACATCTATACACGGGGATGATAATGTCTTATTTGAAGAGCCGATTAAATGGGACACTGCAGAGCGCTCAGGACATGCAGGCTGTGAGTAGGCAATCCTCTGCACATCATTTGCATCTTCAGCCTCATTGTTCACTGACAGTGGCAGACTCTGGGTGGCCTGGGGATTAGGAGAGGATCCAATATTTGGAGGAGCCACTGTGGGATGGTAGTAGTAGCAAGAGGTGGCAAGGGCTCAGTGGAAGTGAGAAGCCATGAATTAATAGTGGGCCAAGTCCACAGTGCCAGTGATGTTCAACAATGTCTCCAGTCCAGGATCAGGACCAGACAGTACAGAGCCAGGCAAGGGGGTCCAGGACTAGGGCCTGGACTTTAAACCAGGAGGGTAGTTACAGGAGTACAGAGAACAGAGTGCTCCTGCTGTCTGCATTGCCAATAGCTGCACACGGGGAAGGCAGAGGGGTCAAGTCTAGAGAGGTCTTGGTGATGGTGAAGAGCTGTCACCATGGTGACAAAGTGGAAAGATGCTATTAGGAAGGACAGGCTGGGTGGCTGCTTAGCAGGAAAGCAGACCAGAAATACTAATGTGAAATGAGGCCATGATCCAGGGACTATAGGGTCAAGAGGCCTGATGTGATGTCAATAAGGATGTCAAAGTCTTGAGAGTCCTTAGGTGGCCAGAAATAATAATATGGACTAAAATTATCCCAGGATGAAGAACAAGGTCATGGTGTGGGACAGTCATCAGGAAAAGCCATGACATTAAGAGATGGCCCTGCTAGACCTAGCAAGTCCACTAGGGAGAGGCATATGCTTTGATGGGGACATAGTGGGGGATATTTTGAAGCAGAGAGGTGCATATTGTATTTGACTTACACATTAAAAAAAACTGAGCCAACATTTGAAATTTTTTTTGAAAAAAATAATCGAGATTTCTAACTTCTGTAGAAAAATAGGATTATCCGGCCAGGCACGGTGCCTCACGCCTGTAATCCCAGCACTTTGGAAGGCTGAAGCTGGTGGATCACCTGAGGTCAGGAGTTTGAAACCAGCCTGGCCAACATGGTGAAACCCCGTCTCTACTAAAAATAAAAAAATTAGTCAAACCTGGTGGCACATGCCTGTAATTCCAGCTACTTGGGAGACTGAGCAGGAGAATCACTTGAACCCTGGAGGTGGAGTTTGCAATGAGCAGAGATCACACCATGGCACTCCAGCCTGGGCGACAAGAGCGAAACTCCATCTCAAAAAAAAAAAACAAAAGAAAAAAGAAAAATAGGATTATCTGGCATTCCTGTGTCTGAATTTCTAGAGGGCAACTTCACTCTCCCTATTGGAAGGCAGAGTGACTTTTCAGTTTGCTACATTCCCTGTCAGTCCCCAACACTGAGGTTAAGTGTCATTTGTTGTTTATTTTTGAATCCTGTTTTGGTCTCTCCATGGAAGGAAAATATTTCTAAGTGTGCACAGAAATATGCACCTGGAGGCATCTGAGTTGGTGACCTTGATGTGAAGCAAGGGCTGTGCCATTGAAGCTGGGCCCTGATCCAATGGTAGAAGAGGGGATCCTAGTTGTTCCAGGAGTACCTCATGGTCCTAGTGCCAGGTAGAGAACAGAGATGGGGAGACAGAAGTAGTGTGCAGGAAAGGACTGAAAGAGGGAGACAGGAAATGGGGAGGTGCAAGTCAAAGGATGTAAAGTAGCAGATACGTAGTAGAGATAGTAGTGAGCTAATGTTAATAAAATTGTATTGTGTTAGGGAAATTTTTTTTTTTTTTTTTTAGATGGAGATTTGCTGGATGCAGTGGCACCATCTCGGCTCACTGCAAACTCCACCTCCCGGGTTCAAGTGAGTCTCCTGTCTCAGCCTCCCAAGTAGCACAGCACCATGCTTGGCTAATTTTTTATTTTTAGGAGAGACGGGGGTTTCACCATGTTGGCCAGGCTGGTCTTGAGTTCCTGACCTCAGGTGATCCACCCACCTCAGCCTCCCAAAGTGCTGGGATTACAGGTGTGAGTCACCGCGCCTGGCCTGTGTTAGGAATTTTTATTAAATAGGTAGGTTTTGGCTGCTCTTGTCACAAAAAAAGTAACAAGTAAAATGTCTTCACTGTAGCAGCCATTTTACTGTCTATATGTGTCCCATAACATCATGCTATAACCTCGAATATACACAATAGCATTTGTTTAAAACAACAAAAAAGAGAAGAGACGGAAAAAGAGGGTGAAGAATTTTACAAAAATAAGCCACTGTTCCTAGGGCTACTTGCTTGGGTCCCTTGAGAGTCTTGCTCATTCGAAGTGGTTGTATCTAGCTCTCCCTCCTCCCTGTCACAAGGACTGAGCCTATGGGACAGAGGGGCTTTGTGGAAGATCCTTTTGGTCTTCTGCCTAGCAGCAGGCTGTGAGGTCCCCATCCCATCTACTTCTTGGTGGCAGAGTTCACCTCTTACTTTAGAAGTTAGAAGTATCAGATTTTCCATTTTTCTAGCCTCCCTTGCAACCAAGGCATGGTATATGATCCAGTTCTGGCCAGTGGATTTTAAGGGAGTTTCCCTGGGGGCTTTGGGAAAGGTTTTCTTCCCCCTTTGAAGTGTGGTTCATGAAAGGAAGCATCCAATTTCTTCCACCAGATGTTATTGCATTGATACAGAATGCCTAAACCACGGTGACCATCTTGTTCCTGTGGGAGGATGCATGGCACAAGGAGGTTGGCAGAATGGAAAGCTGCCAAGTGCCTGGTCCTTGGCATCATTTTTGACACACTGAAAAACCTTGTACCACTCATCTCCAGAATTTTTGATGTGCAGCAACACATTTTCTTCACTGTTTAGGTTAATGTAAATGAGATATTCTGTTACTTGCAGCTGAAAGCATTCAGAAGGACAGAGACTTCATCCAGAGCTGGGCTTCTTCATGGGAGACATGGGCCAGTGCGCTGAGGGATACATTCAGTGACTACATAAGTGCAGTGTATTTTCCTAGTGTGTCCGTTTGACTCGATGGTAGCTGAAAACAGTGCTTTCATGTGAAAACAGACATGGATATTGGTATAGGGAATAAAATTCACAATATAAAACAGGAGTCTTGAGATTTCTTCCAGGAAAGCATCCCAGAACCTTGGGAAATTTTATGATGCAAGTAAATAGTGTTTCTCTTTCTATTGTGCACAGATATGAGAAACTCAAATTAAACTGCAATTGGAGAGATTAAGCCAGACACAGGAAGGATTGTGTCTATTGTGATTATTAAAGAGGTTCTGAATTGGAATGGAGACAGGACAATGGAATGTCAGAGCTTTGGGAGTTTTAAAGAGAGGAGTATTGTGATTTCAAATGCAGTTTTGCCTGGACTAGTTTTCTCAGCTTTCTAGGTCCCTGTCAATATCTTACCATTGTTTTGTATTTGTGAAGAATAATGATTTTTTTTTTCTTAGATGATGATTGCATTCCAGACCCTTCAATGTTTCTTTGGTAATTTATCCTTTGTTTTAATTCAATGTGCTACTCAAAATGCTGCCCTGGAGTTTTCCTTTAAATAGTTAATGTGAATGAAAGCAGAAAATTGCCAGGAGTCAGCCAAATGTTGAGACAGATTGTAAATACCTGTAGGGAAAGTATTTAAGCATTTCCGATAAGAAGGATACTGTAAATTTTACATGCAAGGGCTCTGCATCAAAGCCCAGATCCCAGCTTTTCTTCCCACTTTGAGACTTCTTAGACAAGGTCATCACAATGGATCTACTGTTTCCACTGGCATTTACATCACCACTTTATCTTGTTATTCCTGATTTCTTGCCAATCATATTGAGAATTTCTCAAGGGGAGTAAAAAAGAATAATCAAACCAGCTTTGCCTCCTTGACAGTGAAGAATAAGAAGAAAAGATTCTCTCTCTCAGAGACAGGCTTTCTGTTTTTTTTTTTTTATTTTTGCAGTATGTTTTAATTTGACACTCCACCTTTGACAACCCCAGGAGTCTAAGCCGATGAAAAGCTGAGTTAGTTTTCTCTTCCCCAGCTCAACCTCACATTAAGCCTTTTTTTTTTTTTTAAACCAGGAATTTTGGAAAGGTGTTGGTTTAGGGGATAGCCTCATGAGACTTTACTAGGTTACAAACCCATACTCCAGGCCACTAGACTGAGGACATGGCTGCAGTCTTTGGTTTTGTCAGCAATGGAGGCACAAAGGGTGACAATAGGAGGAAGGAAGGAAGGATGGGAATGCTTTGGATTCTGTCTGTTCCAGGAGCATCTGCCCCCATTTTGAAGAATGTTTATCGTGTGCTAGCTTGTTCTTCCAGGCTAGATCTGACTTCCCATAGCAGTACTCTGTTCAGCCTCCAGCTTCTTAGCAAGGCAGAGTGTGTCCCTTCTGCCTTCATCTACTCATTCACTCTTTCAACAGATTCATTAGGTGCTTAATCATTGTTGCAACAGTTAACATTCTGTGAGGGATTCGTCAGGAGGAGGTGTGGGTTGCAATGGTTAAAAGCATGGAGTCTGATGCCTGATTGCTTGGGATTTCCTGTCTTAGACCATTTTGTGTTGCCACAGAATACCCGAGACTGGTAATTTATAAAGAAAAGAAGTTTATTTGGCTCATGATTCTAGAGGCTGGGATGTTCAAGACTGGGCAGTCCATTTGGTGAAGGTCTTGTGTTCCTCATGGGTAAAAAGTGGAAAGGAAAATGGGTGTATGCAAAGAGACCAAACAGGAGAGTAGCCTTGCTTTATATCAACCTGCTTGTGTGGTAACAAATCTATTCCTGAGAGAGCAAGAACCCGCTCATTCCCCCACTCCTTGAGACTGCATTAATTCCTTCATTAGGGCAGATCCCTCATGACCCAAATGCCTTTGAAAGGTCCCACCATCTGTCAACACTGTCACATTGGCAAATACATTTCAACATGAGTTTTGCCGGGGACAAACCACATCCAAACCATAGCACTTGGGATTGAATCCTGGTTAGCTAAATGACCTGGTTTCTAAACTTCAGTAGGCCCTGGGGCAGTAGCATTCCACCAGCTTGTTGTGAGGACTGAATGAAGCATTGCATACACAGAGCTCAGCCCAGCTCCTGGGGGAACATAAAAAGCTGGTAGACGGCCGTCTTTGGAACGATTGTTATCATTGCCATTAGCGTTTGGGAGCTCACAAACATGGCAGCCCATTCTCACTCTGGGTTTTTTTTTTTTTTTTTTTTTTACCTTTTCTTCCTCCTGAGACCACTTCTGCTCACCTCAGTAATTCACCAGGTGGACATTCAACATCTGCTCCAGGTGCATTGCACTGTGCTCAGTGCTGTGGGGTGACAAAATGATGGGGTATCATTGGGCCTTCTAGAGGGCCTGCTGTCTGAAAGGAGTTAAATGCTGATGGACCCAACACCAGGCAGGACCTGATGCATGCTGATTTGTGTGCTAACACATGGGAGGGAGCCAGGGGTGTTGGCATGCCAGGAAGTGGGTGGAGAAGGACTGATTTGCAACAGAACCTTGGGTAAGTCACTGCCTCTCTTGGGGCTTGACTTTTCCCATCTGGAAGACCAGGGAGGTAGGATTTTCAAACTTTTTGGACCAGGACCCATAGTAAGAAGTGCCCACAATTTTATGTTGCCACTCTCAGAACCATATACATAATTGAAACATGTTTCATGAAGCCATACTCACTTGTACTACATGAAATTCTCTGTGTTGTCTTTTTTTAAAAAATGCTGGTTATAACTCATTATATTGACTTTCTGACCCCTTAATGGTTCAATTCAAAAACACTGTACTAGATGATCCCTAAGAAGCCTATCAGCTTGAACTTTCTGTAATTTTCGGTCTACATGGGTTGTATGGGTTTAAAAGAAGAAGGAAGGAATGATTAATCTCCTAGTTTTAATGACTGGCCAGAGCCCAGCTAGATTAATTAAAAAAAATATATATATATGGTTGGCTCCCATAGCAGCTTTCTGGAGTTCAAGGACATGGTCTGATGGAAATGAAGAGGCTAATTGTTGGGGTTCATTTGCTGGATCATGATGAGGCTGCAAACAGAAAAAGTGCATTACTCATGACAATTGGGTCGTTTGTGGAAAGGGAAGAAAGGACCCTGTCATTAAAGTTTGTTTCTCTCCTGCTTTCTAGATATGGGAATTCTGGAAAGAATCCACTCTCCTCAGAAAAAAAAAAGTCAGCTTGTTTTAATTCCTAAATGGATATGGTCCTGTGAACTAGGGGACTTGGGAGAAACGACTTCCCTGACTATGTAAATGTTTGTTTTTGCCTTAATGTGTTTGTCCATTTGCTTGACTGCTCAGAAGATAGTCATCTGAAAACACAAGCTTCAGGAGAAACTTTAAAAAACCCAACAACTAGTGCAAAAAAACCTACCACCCAACCCCTAAAACGAGAATACCAAACTGTGACCTCTCTCTCCACCTTCTTAGCCTGTACTTTAGTGCACTTTTCATAGAGAAGCCTCCACTTCCCAGTGGCCCCTTTGGGACAATGCCTTTGGCTGGGGCTTCTGAACACCCAGGTGGTTTCATGAAGTACCTCCATGTTATCCAGAACCAAGAGAAGACTTTTTCTTTCATTCCTTCCTCCCTTCCTCTCTCCTTCCCTCCGTCCCTTTCTCCTTTCCTTTTTCCTTTCCCCTTTCCATTTTCCCCTTTCCTGTTCCCTCTCCTCCCCTCCCCTTCCCTCCTTTTTCCTCCCCTCCCCTCCCTTTCCCTTTCCTCTTTCTTTTTTGGCAGCTCTTTGCACCCTAAGGAAATTTCTGGAATTCTGGTGACTTTCTGAGATCAAATGGCCTTTTTAACATCTCAAGTCTTTCAAAGTCCTTTGTTCCAGACTTTCACCCTTCAGTCTGAAGCAAAGGACTGATCAACACCAGCTGGACAGGCCCTTTGGGAAAACATCAGCAGGAGGGTTCACGGATATAGTCATGGGCTTAAAAAAGCCAAGACTGCTCTCTGGCCCTTCCTATCTGTTGTCTGCCTTCAATTTTGATGAAAAACACAGGGTTTAAAGTTGGTATGTTACTGGACTTCCTATGCCTCTGTAAAAATGTGGTTAATAATATTAGGTTGGAGCAAAAGTAGTTGTGGTCTTTGCTATTACTTTTAAATATCAAAAACTGCAATTACTTTTGCACCAACCTAATAGTAAGAAATTTATAGGATTAAATTATATATAGGTTGGGCGCGGTGGCTCACGCCTGTAATCCCAGCACTTTGGGAGGCCAAGGTGGGGGGATCACGAGGTCAGGAGTTTGAGACCAGCCTGGCCAATATGGTGAACTGCCATCTCTACTGAAAATACAAAAATTAGCTGGGTGTGGTGGCACACACCTGTAGTCCCAGCTGCTCGGGAGGCTGAGGCGGGAGAATCGCTTGAATCTGGGAGGCGGAGGTTGCAGTGAGCCAAGATTGTGCCACTGCACTCCAGCCTGGGTGACAGAGCAAGACTCCATCTCAAAAAAAAAAAAAGAAAGAAAAAATATAAATACATACAAAGGGTTTAGAACCATGTGGGAAGTTACTCAGTGAAATGCAGCCAGCATTGTTACTGTTGACCAGTTTATCATCCCAGAAAGAAGGTGGCAAATACAAAGACAGACATGGAGAGAATGAAGCTAAAGGAGGAACCCTGAGCCTAAGGTCATGCTGCAAAGCGTAGGGGGGAAAGGTATGATCTCTCACCCATCTTAAGGGTCACCACCATAACAAAAGCTAGGCTAACAAAGAAAAGCATAACAAATGTATTTAATCACGTGTTATGTGACATGGGAGCCTTCAGAAATGCAGACCCCAAAATCTAGGGAAATCTCTGTTTTTATGTTTAGGTTTCATGAAAAATGGACAGCTGTATAGAAATGTGATTGAACAAAAGGGTGTGATCTAATGGTCATGAAGCCGGAGACCCAGCAGGGCCTGTCCAGATTCTTCTTGGATTTTCTCTGTAACAGTCCCTCCCCTGGGGTATAAGTCAGGAACCTCTGAAATTAAGGTCTTCAAGGGAGAAGGGAGAGGGTGGCCTTTCTAGGTTTTTATGGCTTGCTTTTGGGGAAAGTGGTTCTAGTTTCTA
Source organism: Homo sapiens (assembly GCF_000001405.40). Lineage (NCBI taxonomy): Eukaryota > Metazoa > Chordata > Mammalia > Primates > Hominidae > Homo > Homo sapiens. The sequence goes on from NC_000002.12 coordinate 136,178,707, forward strand.
TGAGCCACCTTAGGGAAGAGGAATTCTGATTTCTATGACTTGCTTTGGCAGGGAAAATAAAGAGGGGTAAGAGATAGGAGAGCAGGAGAAGGTCAGAGAGTCCTTGCTTCTGAAGCTTTCCAATTTCCTTCAGTTCAAAGTACTTAGCATGCTCAAGCGCCATACTTCGGGGTATCATTTTCTGAGCCCCAGTGCAAGTCAAGGCAATTGAACCAAGATGGTGTCAGATCGTTTGATCTGGTCCATCCATTGGGCATGGGAGGGAGGCAGCCACAAAGTCTTGGTGAAAATGGGGTGAGAGATGGGCCTTTGTGAAATAGGGATAGAGATCTGAACCCTGCAGGGTTCCTAAATGGATGAGCAAACCAACTGGAACTTGTCACTAGTTGGCTCTGGCTAAAGGTGACTATAATAATAACCTTCTTTTACGATAGCTGGGTCCTCTCCTCAGAGCTTCAGGCTTTCTGAATTCAGAGCCTTCCTTAAGGTAAGGAAATGGCAGTTTGCTTGAATACAATGGTCTTTTTAAGGCAGCTCAGATGTTTATCTTATCCCAATATTTACCCTATTGAATAGGATTTGGGTGGCTTATTTTTCTAATTCTCTGGGGAGTGAGATTTCGTTGTGTTAAGTTGAATATCAACTTTTAAATGAAAAAATGGATCAAACTGAGAGAAAATCCTGTTCTGACCCAGGAGAGAAAAAGGCTCTGGTAAAATCTGGCCTGGATTTTTCTCTACCCATAACCTTGAGGGTAAGGAGCCCAGGGGAATGGCTGAAACAACTGCAAAAAACAACTACAGGACCCGAGTCCAGGCCTGCAGCAGGGAGCACCCAGGATGTTCTAGAATCTGAGTGCCTAGAACAGCTATTGACTGAGCCAGAGCTCCCACCCCCTTGACTCCCCAGGTGGCCCTGGGTCTGGCCAGCCTTCCTGTTTGAGCCTGGGTTAAATCCTAACATCATTTATTTTTTCCCAGTTGGTCTGAAATAAGCCTCAGGAAATAGGATCTAGGACAACAACCTCTTCAAGTAAAAAGGACAATGGCCAAATTAGCCCTCAGGGTATAGGTATGTGTTCAGCTACCATATCTCTTTTTAGAATGGAAGATTTAATTTACAGTATCCTCTTGCACCACCACTGAAAGCTTCCCTTCAGATCAGACTCAAGACAACAAGTGTGTATTCAGATTATCTGAAAGTCTCAAGGGTTTTTTTCTTAGCCAGGACCATAAGAACTAGACATGTATTTACTTAGTTAATCCTCTCAACCATCCTCTAAAATAGGGTTTATAGATGAAGAAACCAAGGCACAGTGAAGCCAGGTTACGTCAGGATTAAATAGCTCTAGAGCAGCTGAGCCAGGGTGTGAAAGTGTGTCTGCATAACTCCGAATGCTGTGCTCTTAGCGCTATACCCTTGGAGCAGTCCTTGGAAACTAAGCATGGTGTGGGTGTGTAAAGGTAGTGGGCTTTATTTCCCTTAGTAAGCTTCCAGTCAGGTTAGAAAAACAGGACTGGCCAGAGGAGGGGAAAGAATAAAGCGATTGCTTGTAAGTTTAGAATTCAGGTCGCAGTGTGTGTTGTTTGTGTGGTTTCAACCAAATTCTTTAGGTTTCTGAGATCGTGGCAGGAAGGGAGGACATGCTGCCACTTCCAAGACACCTGAGCAATTTCATTTGTGCTCCTTAGTGGCTGAAGGACCCATGGGTAAGTAGTTCAGCAAGAAAAGACTGCAGTTGTGCCAGACAGTGGGCATCTTTTTGCTCTGCACCTTTCCTGGAGGCTGAGACTTTGTGAAAAGAGGAGGTAGACAGCAGCTGCCCATGAGCTCATGAGAATAAAAATCTCAAAGCAGCCTTAAGTATTGTACCAGCAAGGTCTTTCTCATCCAGACTTTCACCTCCAAACATGAGAATTTCCCTAGTGATATTTACACATCTCCCATCAGGGAAGCAGGATATTTCCCTGACCCCTTCATGGGCAGGAACTGGAGTGCATGGGTGTTAGAACAAGCTGGCTGCTTTGGTGCCAGAAGAAGTAGACTCCACTATCTTGGTCCCACTGTGTTTCACCCCTTTTAGCAGGAGCAGCACAGGTGAGTGGGTGCAGGAGTCTGGGCGAGTGCTTTTGGGAGCCAGTAGGAGCAAAACTCCGTGTGGGCCCTGCAGCAGCATCTAGGATGGGTGCCCGTGACCCCTGAAGCCCCAGAAGGAGTGTTACAATGCCCTTTTAGCTCTGCCATCCACAGATGGCTTAAGTGTTAACAGCTCAGTGGAGGGTCAGTGTGACAGCCTTTTGCACCCACACTCACGACACCCGAGTTCTTGTTTGGTATCCAGGAGGAATGAGGTTGCACGAACGAATAAGAGATGGTAAATGCAGGGGATTTTATTGCTGATGAAAGTGGCTCTCAGTGGAAAGGGGAGCTGAAAAGGGAACAAAGTGGGAAGGTAATCTTCCCTTGGAGTCTGGCCATCCCCAGCCGGACTTGTCTTCAAAGCTACACCATCAAGCTGTCTCTCTAAAGTCAAGCTGCCTCTCTCTGACGTCCAACCATAGTTTCCAACATCCAGCTGCTTCTCCTCTCTGCTGGCTGAGCCTGGGGTTTTTATGGGCACAGGATGAGGGGCGAGGTGGGCCATGGGTTTTGGAAAAGGCAACATTCAAGTGGGAAAATAGGGATGTATGTTCTCACTTTGGGCCCTGGTATTAGGCTTTTTGGCTTGAAGGTGGGGCCCTCGCCAGAAAACCACTCTCTTTTGCCCAGAATTTCCCTGTCTCCTGTCCCTGTCATCAGCACAGATTTGCTTATTCATTTATTTCAATCCACAAGTGTCTACTGAGAATGTTCTATATGCCAAACACTGTTCTGGAAGGTTGGAGCACACGAATGGAGCACATGAATGGTCTGTAGCATTAACAACAACAATGAAAACAACAACAATGTTTGTTGGTATAGTGAAAGGTGGTACAAGCAACATTAAAAATTAATCAGGCCAGGCGCAGTGGCTCATGCCTGTAATCCCAGCACTTTCAGAGGCCGAGGTGGGCAGATCACAAGGTCAGGAGATTGAGACCATCCTGGCCAACATGGTGAAACCTGGGCATGGTGGTGCATGCCTGTAGTCCCAGCAACTCGGGAGGTTGAGGCAGGAGAACCACTTGAACCCAGGAGGTGGAGGTTGCAGTGGGCTGAGATCGTGACACTGTACTCTAGCCTGGTGACAGAGCGAGACTCCGTCTCAAAAAAAAAAAAATACAGTAGGAGAAAATAATTGTACCATGTATGCCAATTAACTGGCCAATATGCATGATATGTAAAAAGCACCTATAAACCAATAAGAAAAAGACATCCCATATAAAAATAGGCAGATAAGAGGACCAGATTATTCCCAGAAAAAAAATTGGCTCTTGGCTTGCATTCAGAATTTAGCAATGTGGGAAAACCCATTCACGAGTGGTAAATGCTGCAAACAGAAATAGGTATGAAGGTGTTACATCACTTGTATGTTAGTTTCTTTAGTTTGGTGGTAGACAACTGAGCCAAAATTACCCTTAATAGATATCTTAAGTCCCCTCAGTAAATTGTACATGATTTTGCATGTACAAGCCTTTGCCCTAATTTTTAAGAAGCACTGGCACAGACTAAATGAAGGAACAGAAGGAATGCCTACCTGACAAAGTCTTGAGATTCACTCCATTCTGCCTTTAAAGATAATGGAGGGATATAGGTCAGTTTGGGTCTGTTGGGTTTAAGGTGCCCTGGGGTCCTCTGGCTGGAGCTGTCCAGCAAAGAGTGGTGAACACAGACCCAGGCTTACCTCATAGCTGGGGAGAGAGAGGCTGGACTTTGCACTGAGAATCAGCTACTTCTGTGGGTAGATGGGCTGGACTGGGAGTGAGGAGATGACTCCTCCTTGCTCAGTTAAAGTACTCAGAAGGAGTCCTAATGTTTTGGGGTAGATGAGCCTATCAACATCCTCCTGCCTCTGAGGGTAGGGCTCTGGAGACCCCTTGGGTGTCAGGCCCAAAGCAGGAGGCTCTGAAAGGGGCAAGAGGTGATCTTGGAAGAGACCACATGCATCTGTTTTCCCTAAAATGATTCTACCTCTAAACAGGAACTGGAGACCTCGGATGGCTGGAGAGAAGGGTTGGGGGAAAGAGGAGGGAGATGTACCACAGCTTGCTCTGGCTGGCTGTGTGGTGTGGCCTTCTTCAGGGTCCTCAGGAACTAGAGTGGGCTACTCAAACTTTAGTGTCCTTAAAAATCAACTGGAGAGTTTATTAACCTGCATATTCATGGACACTACCCTTAAAGATTTTGAATCTACATTTAGTTTATCATAAGGTCCTGAAATTTGCATTTTCATAAGCATACTCAGCGCTACTAATACAGCATTCAAACTGGCTGAAAAGATACATACAATACAGACATGTATTTAAAAATACAGGGAAGATAAAGGTGAAAAGATCCTTCGGGGCACTGGCTTGAAAGACAATCCAAAGGAACTATGCCACAGTATGTGGATGTTTGATAATGGGCATGTCTGTTGTGAACGGTGCTTTGGCATTCTGCCTTCAGCCTGCACTGAGAGATGTGGGTGAGACTGGCTATTGTGTTTGCTGAAGGATGTTGGGAAGATCCAGCCCCACACATAATAGAGCTTCCTCTTTAGAGATTCATAGAACGGGGTCCTTTGTATCCCACTTCTGGGAGACCTGTGCTTCTCCTCACTAACTGGTTTGCTCTTATCTTGTGGAAAATGGGGGTCTCCTAACTGATTGGATTTCTTGGTCTGCTCTCTCTTCTGGGAATCATGGCTGAATCAGTGCAGCCCACTCCTTATAACTGTGGTTTGCACTTGTGTAATAATCACTACTCCCCCCTCTACCAGGCTTCATATTAATGTCTTGCCTTTTGTTTCTCTGTCATGCCTGATGACTATTAAAAATTATTTTGGGGGTAAAATTCATATAGCATTAAATTCACCATTTAAACCATTTTAAAGGGTACAATTCAGTGGCTTTTAGTACATTCACAATGTTGTGCAAGTGCCACTAGTATCTGATTCTAGAACATTTTTGTCACCCCAAAAAGAAACCTTTTAAAAATTAAACAGTCATTCCCCATTTCCCCTCCCAACCAAGTCCTCAGCAACCAGTAACAGCTATTTATCCCTATGGATTTGCCAATTCTGGACTTTTACTTTATTTACTTTAAGTTCTGGGATACATGTGCAGAATGTGCAGGTTTGTTACATAGATATGCATATGTGCCATGATGGTTTGCTGCACCCATCAACCATCTGGGTTTTAAGCCCCACGTGCATTAGATGTTTGTTCTAATGCTCTCCCTCCCCTTGCGTTCCACCCCCTGACAGGTTTTGGTGTGTGATGTTCCCTTCCCTGTGTCCATGTGTTCTCATTGTTCAACTCCCACTATGAGTGAGAACATGTGGTGTTTGGTTTTCCGTTCCTGTGTTAGTTTGCTGAGGATGATGGTTTCCAGCTTCATCCATGTCCCTGCAAAGGACATGAACTCATTCTTTTTTATGGCTGCATAGTATTCCATGGTGTATATATGACACATTTTCTTTATCCAGTCTATTATTGATGGACATTTGGGTTGGTTCCAAGTCTTTGCTATTGTAAATAGTGCTGCAATAAACATCATGTGCATGTGTCTTTATAGTAGAATGATTTCTAATCCTTTGTGTATATACCCAGTAATGAGATTGCTGGGTCAAATGGTATTTCTGGTTCTAGATCCTTGAGGAATTGCCATACTGTCTTCCACAGTGGTTGAACTAATTTAAACTCCCACCAATAGTGTAAAAGTGTTCCTATTTCTCCACAGCCTCACCAGCATCTGTTGTTTCCAGACTTATTAATGATCGCCATTCTAACTGGCATGAGATGGTATCTCACTGTGGTTTTGATTTACATTTCTCTAATGCCCAGTGATGATGAGCTGTTTTTCATATATTTGTTGGCCACATAAATGTCTTCTTTGAGAAATGTCTGTTCATATCCTTTGCCCACTTTTTGATGGGATTGTTTGTTTTTTTCTTGTAATTTGTTTAAGTTCCTTGTAGATTCTGGATATTAGCCCTTTGTCAGGTGGTAGATTGCAAAAATTTTCTCCCATTCTGTAGTTGCTTGTTCACTCTGATGTTAGTTTCTTTTGCTGTGCAGAAGCTCTTTAGTTTAATTAGATCCCATTAGTCAATTATAAACAGAATCATACACATATTTGTGTCTGGCTTCTTTCATTTAGTACAATGCTTTCAAGGTTCATCCATGTTGTAACATGTATCAGTACTATACAGATTTTTATGGCTGAATAATATTCCACTTTGATGGCTATATCCATTTAGCAGTGGATAGACATTTGAATTGTTTCATTACTCTTTTAAAAAATATAATTTCGAAAATAAATTGTTCAACCAAAGACACATCTTGTATGTTCATTGCAGCACTATTCACAGTAGCAAAGACATGGAATCAACCTAGGTGCTCATCAGCAGTGGGCTGGATAAAGAAACTCTTATACATATACACCATGGAATACTATACAGCCATAAAAAGGAATGAAGTCATGTCATTTGCAGGAATATGGATGCAGCTGGAGGCCATTATCCTAAGCAAATTATCAGAGGAACAGAAATCCAAATAAGCATGTTCTCACTTATAAGTGGGAGCTAAACATTGAGTACTCATGGACATAAAGATGGCAACAATAGACACTAGGGACTACTAGAGGTGGGAAGGAGGGATCAGGAGAAGGGTTAAAAAACTCACTCTTGGGTACTATGGTCATTATCTGGGTGACAGGATCAATCATACCCCAAACTTTAGCATCATGCAACATACCCAGTTAATAAACATGCACATATACCCCTGAATCTAAGATAAAAGTTGAAAGTAGTAAAAAATAAAAATAAAAAATAAAAATAAATAAAAATATACTTTTGTCTTGTATATAGCTTTCAGCCATTTCAAATCTTTTTGTAAATAGGCAGAACACAGGCAATTAAAATTCATCTATATGTTTATGTATGTATAGCTGCATGTACAATTCTATATAACAGTCAACAAAAATAAAATATTACCATTATGTTTGAGCTCAGATACTAAAGTTTGTTTTCTAATTACTTGGCAAAGTATCAATTCATCAATATACCCAGTCCTGAGTCTCTCCTGGGTTTCATTTCAGCTAGAGGTTATGGCAGTCTGGGGATGACAGCCGCTTGTCTTGGGGGCTAACTGCTAACTAATCCACTGTGGCTCCCCTGCATCAATAACTCTTTCTGGTCAGAGACAGGAGCAAGAAAGGAGAATGGTATTGGGCTGCTCTTCCCAAGTCCATTTTCATTCATTGCAGCAATGGATGGGTTTCAATTAAAATGAGGTCATGGGCTATTAAGATGACTGCGGAGTCTGTGGGGGAGGGTGAGTCACTTGTGTGCATGTGAAATGCCCATGGCTGTTTTGTAGAACTTGGGCTCCAGTCTCTGTTTTCTTCTGGGAGTGGGTTTAAGAGTGGGCAGCAGAGGCGTCACTGGAAATGAATGTTCTCCGTGTGGGATCCAAGATCACTCCCCCTGCCTCTACCCTCCCCCTTGTCTGGGTTCAAGAACAAAACTGTGTGAAAACAATAGAGGAAAAAGTAGCCAAACTTCAGTTGGTAACATTCTTGGAGATCTCAATAATGTGCAGTGCCCTGAACTAGACCATGTGGTTGGGAAATAAGGACAAAATCAAGACATGGATGGGCAGTGGGTGTCTTAAGGGCATGCCCAGCACAGCCACACTCTGCCTGGTCAGTAGTTCTGGTGGCAGCTGCAGCCAGGGAGGTTGGGAGGGATTGTGCCAGGCTGTTCTTGGCTGCTGTGGATGGCTGCCACACTGTCTGTAGAACATGCCAAGGGAAAGTCAGGGTGCCAAGCTGGTCTCTGACAAAAAACAAAAACTCCCAGTGTCTGAAATAAGCTCAAGACATTCAAGGATGGGTCAATTCCTTATGGCTTTTTTTTTTGAGATGGAGTCTTGCTCTGTCGCCCAGGCTGGAGTGCAGTGGTGCAATCTTGGTTCACTGCAACCTCCACCTCCTGGGGTTCAAGCGATTCTCCTGCCTCAGCCTCCAGAGTAGCTGGGACTACAGGCATGCACAACCATGCCTGGCTAATTTTTGTATTTTTAGTAGAGACGGGGTTTCACCATGTTGGTCAGGCTGGTCTCAAAATCCTGACCTCATGATTTGCCCACCTTGGCCTCCCAAAGTGCCGGGATTACAGGTGTGAGCCACCGCACCCAGCCTTTATGGCTTCTTTTAAGGGGTGAAGTGAGGCAGTGACTGTGTATTCCTGTGACGAGATCACTCAGAGCCACCCTGTAGATGTGGAATTCCAGGCTAACTGAATGGAGCAACTGGCTCAAGTAGGTACGTTTTATGCTCTGATGTCCTTTGGGGCTGTGCTGCCTAATCAATTCACCCTGTCCTCCTGCTTTGGGAACGAGGTGGTGGTGGAAGAAGAGGGGCTGCCCCATACTGGGCTGGTTGGGTTGGTTGGGTTGGATCTCTGATTAAATGGGAGGTGTCAGAATTTGGATTCCTCAGAGGTCTGAGCTAGAGCATGGATGTTGCAGATTCAGGTTGCAGATCTCATGAGAAGTAAAGCAAGTTATGTTAAAGACCAATAGAGTCAGCTCATGTTCAAAGTTGGATCCAAGAGTAAATGCCAAATGCACAGCACCAGAAGTAGGCCTGAGAGTTGAAGTTCAGTGTCACAAAGCCAAGACTTGGAGGATTAGCAATCAGGCAGGGAACAAAGTAAGAGAGAGCAAGAGAGACAGAATGAGAATGTGTGTGTATGTGTGCATGTGCGTGCACACGTAATATTCATGTGTGTGTGTGTTAGCACATGTTTAGTTAGGTCAATCATGGTGCATATATGTGTATGTAGGGTTTGTGTGTATAGAGCATGCCAGGTGTGTGTATGTGTTTGAGGCCAGTGTGTAGAGTATGAATTTATGTGGTGGGCCCCTAAGCATTTGTCTGGACTTTGGTGTGTGAATTTAGAGGCTGGCAGCTGTGTGATGATGTTTGGGTTTTGGGTTGGGCTGACGGTGAACATGTACCTCACATATGGTCGAAGCCAACTGTAGATAAGTACCTTGCCTTCTCAGGGTTGCTGTTCCTTAAAGGGCTACTTGGAATTGAGATCCAGGGTTGCATTTAGACCTTTCAAAAGTACTAAAATTAATGGAGCAGTGAAATATATTGAGAGAGGTAAAGAGAATTACTGGGACCTTAATAATAAATTCAGGCTGACCATTCTCAGGGAAAATTTCTCCCTCAAACCTCTGACTTTCTAGTTTCTAATTCTAGCTTCTGAGTTCAGATGGCTTCAAGAGACTAAATTCAAAGGCAACTCAGAGGTTTGCACTGCATCTTCAACTGTCAGCAGCTCTGGAATGCACTTGGAAGGGAGGGTGGAGAATCAGGGTCACCTTACAGTTTTGAGGGCCCTGTGAAGCTAAAGGTGAGGTCTGGGCTGGGGGTGAGGGTCACTGAGCTCTGGAGTGGGCTCTGCTGGGTGACCGTGGACAGGTAGGTGTTGCCGGTCTTCAGCATCTCATCCACAAACCAGAGTGTTGTTGGGGTGGGTTCCCCAAGACCCTTTTAGGGTGGCAGTGTTGGGATTGCGGGCTGGCAGCTGCCTGTGGTTTCAGACAAGAGGGAGAATTCCCAGAAGCATTTGTGCTCCTTTTCTACCACTTTGAAAAGTTTTGAAATGTGGTTTCTGGAAAAATGACCAAGTGCTCCTAATGGACAAGGTCCTATACTTTTTAGGCAACTGATACATGTTCACAAAATTAATAATTTTCCATAAAGGTATGTGTTTTCAGGTGTTTGGGGCTGGGTTAAAAGACATCATAAAATTCACTGGCTTCTTCCAGACACTTCTCAACCCTGCATTGAAAGCTACTCGCAACATCCCATGAGGCAGGTACTATTAATGTTATCCTTCCTTTCCCAAATGAGACAGAGGCACTGCAAGGTTAAGCTATGGAGGCCTACCTGCTTCACCCAGTGCTAGTTTCTCTTCTCTTGGATTCCCAAGGTCTTGGTTACAGAAGATCTCTTTCTTAATCTAAGGATATGCTGATGTGAAAATACATTGTTTTTTGAGGGAGAAGCAAATTCTCAACAGATTCCAGGTAATGACAAAATCCTGTCCCTCCACCCTGCAGGAAAAGCCCTAGGGATGAAGTGGCTCTGACATCCAAACTGTGGAGCCAGCTTCCTGGTGGCAGGGAGAGCTTGGATGTGGGGCAAGCCCAGTGAAACTTTGATTCAGTGAAACCTTTGGTTTCAGGGCTTTCTAGTGATATTAGCACAGTGGTCTCAGGTTCCAATGATAGGTGGAGGGATTTCATCTCTCCATGGAAGACCCTTTCACACATTTATTCATATGTTATTAAGCATAATGTTTGGAGACATTTTCTGTTAAAAAATAATCCTCAAATCCATGGAAAGGAAAAGAATCAGCACCCCTCCTAACCCCCTTTCAAAATCTTCCTCCCCTGCAGCCTAGCTATAGTTTTGTGCTCAGAGACTGACAGAGGTGTCTTGCTCCAACCGCTGCTCTTTGTTTTTCCCTCCACACAAGTTAATTTTCCCAGGGTCAGGCAGTGACAGTTCACTATGGACACAGCATTTTCCTGCAAGATATTTTCTGAAACCACCAACAGCCTTTTGGTTTTCAGGATTCTTATTTAAAGAAATTTGCATTAATAGCTCGTTGGGCCCCCTCATTTACATACATGTTTGAAAGGGCAGGAGCTTGGGGAATGCAATGAAAAAAACAAAACATGAATGCCCAGGCATTGCACGCTCCACAGAGATGCCCAAGACTATTAAAAAGTAGAAATTTAACTTCCAGTTACCTCAATGTGTTCATGTGGAGTTACAGAGGACGGGGAAAGAATAAACACTGTTAATTTTTTCTTACCTTTGCAACTATGATAGAGAACGTTAGCATTTGGCTTCCCAAAAGAGAATAAAGTTTTTTGGGTGATGTTTTTGTTCTGGGGGTGGGGAAAACTTTGGGCATTAATGAAGATGCATTAAAGAATGAAATAAAATGTGTTCTAAGTAGCCAAAAATGTTTTGCAGCTAGTGCTGGATCTGATTTGGCCAGCACCCTGCAGGCAAGATTTCTGAGTTTACGATTCTGAAAAGATAGGCCTGTGAGTCAAAATGCAACTTCTTTTTAGCCAATGATGTTTTATATTATTTAGGAAGCAAGCTGGATTGACGACATTAGGAAGTCCTGTTGAGACAGGAATATGAGTGTGTTTTGTCTTCCATGTAGTGGATCCTGGGGTAATTACTGAATAAGAATAACTCATTCCAAGTTTTAAAATAAAAAAAAAGAGCAAAGAATCATGTAGCCATATTTTTAAAAGAATATGAGAAATAAGATGGAAATATAAATTTTAGTGTCCTGAAGATTTCTTTAGATTTGTTGAATCTGACTTAACTGATGTCCATGGACCCTCTGTCCCCCAAGGAGTACATGTTGAGAATTCAAAGGGCACATGAACTTGAATAGGAAAAAATAATTACATCTCTAACTGAAAATTGGCATGTCCTTTAATTATGAAGTTAGATGACAAGCCACAGTAACATTAGCAAACCCATAATGTTGCCACCAACAAAAACCACAGCTATTTCCATAGCACATTGAAATTATTACAGATATCTCAAACTATTATTGACTTCAGTACTTCAAAGTTCTGACACTTACTGGGCCAGCCCCTAGGTCTTGTTATAAGTACTTTAATATATAGTGATATCTGTCATTGCTACACATCCTTATATCAAAACTTTGTTTTCTAATACTATTTTGATAACTGTCTTTCAGTGTAGTTGGTTTCCTTTATAATCCTGGGTATTTTATTTCAAGCATTGAAAAGCATTACCATGAGAAGTTCAGAGATTCCAGAATGCCAGAGGACATAAAACATGGAAAAATCTAAAGCTTAATCCCTTCTCTAAAGTCAGTGAGACTGGTAGGGCAGTAGGGGTGAGGGGACCTGTGGGGGAAAGGATAGAGGTGGAGGGAGGAGTGGGGAGGAGGGAGGAGGGACATAGGAGACAACCCAACCTGACCCACACATTGCCTCACTGAGTGATCTGGGACAACTGGGTCTCTCTGAGGCTGCATGTGCTGATGTTGACTGTGACAATAATCTCGTTATTTCTAGGAGGCTCAACTACATTCTACCTATGTACATTTCTCAAAATATCAAATTATTTTTCTTGCTAAGCTGAAGGCTGTTGGAAATGTACAGTAACTCCTAACTATATGTCCAGTCTAATAAAAAATAAAATTACCTTAGAGCAGGGGTCCCCAACCCCTGAGCTATGGACGGGTAATGGCCTGTTAGGAACTGGGCCACACAGCAGGAGGTGAGTGGCAGGTGAGCGAGCAAAGCTTCATCTGTATTTACAGCTGTTCCCCGTGGCTCACATTACTGCCTGAGGCCGGCCCCCTGTCAAATCAGTGGCAGCATCAGATTCTCATAGGAGCACAAACCTTGTTGTGAACTGTGCATGTGAGGGTTCCAGGTTGTGCACTCCTTATGAGAATCTAATGCCTGATGATCTGTCACTGTCTCCCATTACCCCCAGATGGGACTGTCTAGTTGCAGGAAAACAAGCTCAGGGCTTCCACTGATTCTACATTATGGTGAGTTGTATAATTATTTCATTATACATTATAATATAATGGCAATAGAAATCAAGTGCACAATAAATGTAATGCACTTGAGAATCATCTCCAAACCAACCCCCCTCCCCAGGTCCAAGGAAAAATTGTCTTCCATGAAACCAGTCCCTGGTGCCAAAAAGGTTGGGGACTGCTGCCTTAGAGGCCTGTGAATTATTAAGACATGAACTGAAAACTACTGTATTAATTGTGTGTTGAGAAGGAACAGAAGCTGTCTTCCTTCCTTGAATCTATATTTGGACTCCCTGCACTCACTCGCCTACTGGAATCCTCCTCCTTTGTTGCTGGTAACTTGAACCATCCAGGTCAGTGGTTCTCAAAGTGCAATCTGTGGACCAGCACATAAGCATCACCTGGGAGCTTGTCATAAATGCACATTCTCCAGCCCAGCCTCAGGCATACTAGGAATCAGAAGCAATGGGGGTGGGCCTTTTTGATAATTATCTACTTTCTCTGGGTGACCCCTGATAATCATAGGTTTTGACCCACATGGTCCTTAGTTTGGCTTCTGTACCATCCAACTTTTTGGAATCTATCTTCAGGACTGAAAAGTCTCACTTGTCAGTGTTCTTTATCACAGCTACAGGTAAAAGTGACTCTTAGCTGGATTACAAGAGTGGAAGGGGAAGCCTGGGGGTAGGGGTGATGTGCTTAGTGAGCAACTCGTTCCCAGTTCCTTCAGCTTCCCTTTGCCTTGGGGCTCCTTTGCTCTTGGTGTTCGCCACCCCTGCCCTGCTCCAGCCCATCTCCAAGAGGCCTCCTGTTTAACACATGAAATTGGTCACAGTGGAAGTATTTATACCATGGAAATAGCAAATGTTATACATTAAGATGTTTTTTGTTTGTTTCTAGAGAATCAGTTTATGAGCCCACTTCTGAATGAATATATTTAAAACAACATTGGCACTTGCTAGTTTCTACGAACTAAGGAATGTCACTTCACCTCTTAGGTATCAAAAATTCAGAAAAGATAGAAAGTCTAGGTAAGAGAATGGAAGTCATCCATAATTCTACCACTCAAAGATAACTTTGATTAATGTTTTGATGAATTTCTCATCTTCCATGCTGTATTAGTCAGAGTTCTTCAAAGAGACAAAATGAATGGGATAGATATCTATATATTGATATAAATATAAATTAGATAGAAATATAAATATATGAGAGAGGATTTATTAGAAGAATTGGCCCGCAAGATTATGGAGGCTGAGACGTCCCACAACAGGCTGTCTGCAATTTGGAGACCTGGCTCACGGTTCAGTTTGAATCTGAAAGCCTCAGAACCAGGGAAGCTGATGGTGTGACTCGCAGTCGGAGGACAAAGGCCTGGCAACCTGGAAGGCCACTGGTATAAGTCCTGGAGTCCAAAGGCTGGAGAACTTGAAGTTCTGATGTCTTGAGGGCAGGTAAAAAAAGAGCATCCCCGCTCCAGGAGAGAGAGGAAAGACCCTTTCTCTGCCTTTTATGTTCTCTCTAGGTTCCCAGGTGATTAGATGGGGCCCACCCACATTGAGGGCAGATCTTCCCCGTGCAGTCCAACTCACAGGCCAATCCCCTCTTGAAAGACCCCCCACAGATACACCCAGAAGGCATGCTTTACCACTTCTCTAGGCATTCCTTCATTCAGTCAAGTAGACACTTAAAGTTAACCATCACATATGCCAATACTGGGGCTCATAAAACAATACCCCAAAATGAAGGCCTCAGAAAGAGCCTCAGAAGCAAAAGTTCTTCTTTACCTTCTCCTGCCTTCCTGTCCCTCAGTCCTACTCTCTCCCAAGGCTAGCCATAGGAACTAGAATCCCTCTGCCCCAACATGGGTCATAGAAACCAGAACCCCTTTTCCTCAAAGCCAGACATAAAACTTAAAAATATTACTCTAACTTTCCCCACTTCTTTCTGTGTAAAAACTCGCCATAAATAAATTATCTGACCTACCTTGTTTGGTGGAGGTCATAAGACCCCATTCCAGAGAGGGTCCTGCCCCACACCCAGAAGGAAGGCATACTGCTCAGTGAGGCCAAGAGGAATCTAGACACACAGGCCTTGCTGGGTTTCCTGGCTCAGTCTATTAGTGTTAGCTCGTACCCTTTTTGTTCAATCAATCATATTTCTACAAGGCTGCCCATACTTTGTTGAACCTAAGCATGAAAATGGACAATTTCTCTTGTATTTATGCTTCTTCATTCTGAAGGTTCCTGTGTCTATACATTAAATAAACTCGTAGGCCTTTTCTCCAATTAATCTGCCTTTTGTAGGTTGATTTTTCAGTGAAACTTTGGAGGGCCAAGGGGAAAGTTCCACTATGCACTTACTCTATGCATTTTGTTTAAATATTTGAGATTATACAATTGGGTATCCTTTTTTCATAACAATCGTATCATAACCATTTTGCTGTGTCATTAAAATTATTTGAAAACATATTTTTTGATGGCTGTGTAATATCCCATCCTTGGGATTAAACACTTCACCTGATCGATCTGCATTATAAATAATGCTGCAATGTCTTTTTTCTTCTGCATTTCAATAGTTTTCTTGGATTATGTTCCCAGAAGAGGAATCTCTGAGTCAGTTTTTGAGGCTTAAATACATATTTACAAATCGTTTCCCAAAATGTTTGTCCTAGTTTATATTCACGCTGATGGAGAGGGAGTACTCCTTTTGATCTTAGCCATGATGTTAGCCACATTAAGAGCTACAGTTTAACTTAGACACCAGCATTTTGATACACATGACACACGTTGCATTTGGATGTCTATTTGTTGTCTGACAGCTTTAGAAGGGGATGGCCAAATTTGGAGTGTTACTAAAAAAAATGTGGTATCAAGACAACTGAAGGTCTTCTGGTAGAGGCTGGCCAACTTGAATAAAAATGATAGTTACATTCTTCCAATGTGTCAGTCTTTTGTAATTTAAATGCTTGCAATGAAATTTGAAATGCAGGTAGACATTTCGTATATTACTATATTGAGTAAGGGTAACTGCGATACACAATTTATCCTGCAGCAGGAGTGGCTGGGATAATTAACTGTTATACCTTATTTATCTTTTACTGGAGACATGTAGCCCTTCTCTTCTATCCTTAGTGGTGACAGGATGGGACTGAGAAGCAGGAATGAGGATGAGGGGATGCACCTAAGATCGTACCTTTCATTTTATTAATTAAAAATGTATGGCTGGGTGTAGTGGCTCATGCCTGCAACCCTAACACTTTGGGATGCTGAGGTTGGAGGATCACGTGAGACCAGGTGTCTGAGACCAGTCTGGGCAACAGGGAGACTCCTCTCTCAAAAAAAAAAAAAAAAAAAAAGTCAGGTATGATGGTACCTGCCTGTAGAGGCTGAGGTGGGAGGATTGTTTTGAGCCCAGAAGGTTGAAGCTGCCGTGAGCCATGATCATGTCACTGTACTCCAGCCTGGGCGGCATAGTGAGACCCTGTCTAAAAATAAAATAAAATAAAATAAAAACAGCAGCACCTTTATGGTTTTATCCTTATTATGAAAGGAATATATGCTCATTGTAGGTGATTTTAAAAATATAGACAATTTAAAATAAATATTACTTATTAGTTGTTTTCTTCCAGTCTTTTTTCTATGCACATGTATATGTATATAGTTTTAATATTTTGCATATATTATTTTAAACCAAAAAGGCATGCTGTGTATGCTGTTGTACACTCTCCTGTTTTGATTCTCCCCTTTTACTTCCCTTAAACTAAATAGACTTTAAATGCCTTTCTATGTTATTTAATAGCCCTCTAAACATCCTTTTAAATGTCTTCCAGGATTCTATATTTGGATATACTATTTTTATTTAAGCCATCCCTTATGGTGGGACACTTTTGCATCATGTGTTTTACATTATTGTCAATAATACTTGTTATCCCTGAACTCTGAGTTTTATAGCTAGCAGACTTGTTTGGGAACAGTTCAGAAAGAAGCTGACTCAGTCTTAGAAGGTCTCGGCTGACCAGCTCTAGTATGGATTATTGCTCCTGTCTGTCCTATTTCTTCTTTCCTCTCTGATTGTTCTCTTTTCCTTTCATAGGCCTGTGACAGAGGGAAGTCTAGAGCTCTCCATCTTCCCCCAGCTCACTTTGTCTTGCTCTTCATCTCAGGAGGCCACAAGGCCTGAAACTGAGATCATTGATGTCATGCTGGCTCCTCTCCTTGCTTGTTAAAAATAATCAGGGACACAGTTAAAGAATAAGATAGTACAGATGCTCCTCAACTTATGATGGGGTTATGTCCTGAATGTCCTGATAAACCCATCATAAGTGAAAATATTGTGTCAAAAATACATTTAATAAACCTAACCTACCGAACATCACAGTTTAGCCCAGCCTAATTTAAACGTGCTCAGAACGCTTATATTAGCCTGCCGTTGGACAAAATAATCTAACACAAAGCTTATTTTATAATAAAGCATCAAATATCTCATATAATTTATTGAATACTCTACTGAAAATGTAAAATAGAATGATCGTATAGGTACTCAAAATATGTTTTATACTGAACAAGTATCAATTTTGCACCATCATGAAGCTGAAACATCATAAGTGGAACCACAATAAGTCAGGGACCGCCTGTACTGTGAGGATTAGAACAAGGGGTTAC
Source organism: Homo sapiens (assembly GCF_000001405.40). Classification (NCBI taxonomy): domain Eukaryota; kingdom Metazoa; phylum Chordata; class Mammalia; order Primates; family Hominidae; genus Homo; species Homo sapiens. The sequence continues at coordinate 136,196,122 of NC_000002.12, forward strand.
TCACCTTACCCTTGCCAACTTCCCAATTCTCTATAATTTCCCAGAGGTGCATTGTAATTTCTACAATTAATTTTAATTTTTGTGGATGCATAGTAGGTGTATGTATGGGGTACATGAGATGTTGTGATACAGGCCTGCAATGAGTAATAATCACATCATGGAAAACGGGGTATCCATCCCTTCAAGTATTTATTCTTTGTATTACAAACAATCCAATTATACTTTTTAAGTTATTTTTAAATGTACAATTAAATTATTATTGGCTATAGTTGCCCTGTTGTGCTAGCAAACTCTAGGCCTTATTCATTCTTTCTATTTTTTTGGTACCCATTAACCATCCCCACCTTCCCCTCTCCTTCCTACCTTCCCTCTGGTAACCCTTCTTCTGCTCTCTAGCTCCATGAGTTCAATTGTTTTGATTTTTAGATTCCCCCAAATAAGTGAGAACATGTGATGTTTGTCTTTCTGTGCCTGGCTTATTCCACTTAATGTAATGAACTCCAGTTCCATCCATGTTGTTGCAAATGACAGGATCTCATTCATTTTTTGTGGCTGAATAGTACTCCGTTGTGTATAAGTACCACATTTTCTGTATTCATTGCATTAGTTTGCTCTCACACTGCTAATAAAGACATACCCAGGACTGGGTAAGTTATAAAAGAAAGAGGTTTAATTAACTCATAGTTCCATATGGCTGGAGAGGCCTCAAAGTCATGGCAGAAAGTGAAGGGGAAGCAAAACACATCTTACATGGCAGCAGGCAAAAGAGAGCTTGTGCAGGGTAACTCCCATTTAGAAAACCATCGGTTCTCATGAGACTTATTTACTACCACAAGAACAGTATGGGAGAAACGGCCCCCATAATTCGCTTATCTCCACCTGGCCCCACCCTTGACACATGGGGATTATTAAAATTCAAGGTGAGATTTGGGTGGGGACACAGCCAAACCATATCATCCATTTATCTGTTGACAGACACTTAGGTTGCTTCCAAATCTTGGCTATTGTAAACAGTGCTCAAACAAACTTGGGAGTGCAGATATCTCTTTGATATACTGATTTCCTTTTTGGGGGTATATATTCAACAGTGGGATTGCTGGATCATATGGTAGCTTATTTTTAGTTTTTTGAGGAACCTCCAAACTGTTTTTCATGGTGGTTGTACTAATTTACATTCCCACCAACAGTGTAAGAAGGTTTCCTTTTCTCCATATCCTCACCAGCATTTGTTATTGCCTGTCTTCTGGATAAAAGCCATTTTAACTGGAGTGAGATGATATCTCATTGTAGATTTGATTTGTGTTTCTCTGATGATGAGTGATGTTGCATACCTTTTCTTATGCCTGTTTGCTATTTGTATGTCTTCTTTTGAGAAATGTCTATTTAAATCTTTTGTCCATTTTTAAATCAGATTATTAGATTATTTCCTATAGAGTTGTTTGAGTGCCTTATATATTCTGGTTTTTAATCCCTTGTCAGATGGGTAGTTTGCAAATATTTTCTCCCATTCTGTGGGTTGTCTCTTCACTTTGTTGATTGTTTCCTTTGCTGTGCAGAAGCTTTTTAACTTGATATCATCCCATTTGTCCATTTTTGGTTTGGTTGCCTCTGCTTATAGGGTCTTACTCAAGAATTTTTTGCCCAGACCAATGTCCTGGAGATTTTCCCCAATGTTTTCTTCTAGTAGTTTCATAGTTTGAGGTCTTAGTTTTAAGTCTTTTATCCATTTTGATTTGATGTTTGTATTTGGCAAGAGATAGGGGTATAGCTCCATTCATCTGCATATGGATATCCAGTTTTTCCAGCACCATTTATCAATGATACTGTCTTTTCCCCAATGTCTGTTCTTGGCACCTTTCTTGAAAATGAGTTCACTGTAGGTGCATGGGTTTGTTTCTGGGTTGTCTATTCTGTTCCATTGGTCTATGTGTTTTTATACTAGTACCACGCTGTTTTGGTTACTATAGCTCTGTGGTATAATTTGAAGTCAGGTGATATGATTCCTTCAGTTTTCTTCTTTTTGCTTAAGATAGCTTTGGGTATTTTGGTTTTTTTGTGGTTCCATATAAATTTTAGGATTATTTTTTCTATTTCTGTGAAGAATGTCATTGGTATTTTGATAGGAATAGCATTGAATCTATAGATTGCTTTGGGTAGTATAGACATTTTAACAGTATTGATTTTTCCAGTCCATAAACATGAAATAGATTTCTATTTTGTAAATGTTGTCTTCCATTTCTTTCATCAGTGTTTTACAGTTTTCCTTATAAAGATCTTTCCCTTCTTTGGTTAATACTTAGGTATTTAATTTTATTTATGGCTATTGCAAATGAGATTACTAATTTACATTCCCAACAACAGTGTAAGAAGGTTCCCTTTCCCCACATCCTCACCAGCATTTGTTATTGCCTGTCTTTTGGATAAAAGCTATTTTAACTGGAGTGAGATGATATCTCATTGTAGTTTTGATTTGCATTTCTGTGATGATCAGTGATGTTGCATACCTTTTCTTATGCCTGTTTGCCATTTGTATGTCTTCTTTTTTGGGGTTAATTAAATATTTTAAAAATCATAAAATGTTTCTTACAAAAGAGCATTACATTCTGCACACTGCTCTGAACAGATGCCAGGGACATGTGGACTATTGTTACTTTTCCTCCCTGTCCCACCCCCCAAATGTTACAGTGACCACAAAGCAAGGTGTTCATAATAATTACATGGGGGGAATTTCTTCAAACCACCAACAATAACAAAAAATAAAATTGGCTCACTCTGCTGCTGTTTCAAAATATCAATGTTAGTTTTTTTTTGCATGCCCTTCCCCCCTCCAACCTTGTTTGTAAGGATCTAAAACATTACATCTGGTGAACAGCAAAGATTTCACTACACCTTAAATGCAGAACACCTATGAAGCAGAGGAATGTTAGCTTTTTAAACAGAAGCAGATTGAAAAAAAAAAAAGATGCAGGACTCCTTCAGTTCTTCACTAGTCTTAGAAAAACTTTCCAGAATACTGCTTCACACTATTCTGCGGCAAATACTGTGCATTCTGTATCTGGTCCTGTGTTCCTGTAATGGTAATGATCCGATCTTCGGATCCTTCTAAAGGCTCATCAATTTTGATCAAAGCTCCCTACTCATGACAGATTTGTTTAGTCCACTGACCACCTTTGCCAATAATAGATCCAGCCAAATCTCTGGGAATAGTTACTTGTGTAGTAATAATAGGTCCACCAAGATCACCATATGAGCCATGACACCCTGCATAGGAATAATCATATCTGGAGCCACCCTGTGGTTCATAAGCCATCTGCCATTCTGATGCGTTCCATGTATCTATTGCAGAGCCCCAAGTTTCATCAGCACTGAAATCAACCACGCCGTCGTAACGGTTTCCAGGTCTCCCTTTTCTGTTATAGGTCATGAGGTCTCCCCCCTAGGTGGTGGTTGGTGGAGGAAGAGGAACATTCCGAGCTCTGCTACCACTCTGGCCACCTCATCCGGGAGGAGGGGGAGGTGGTCCTCGACGAGGGCTCATATAAACATAATCTCTTCTAGATGGAGGCATGGGACGCCCACCCCGACCAGGAGACATTTTGTCAAAACCACCTCTTCCCTGCATCAGAAATCTCACTGGGCGTCCACGGTCGTCAGCAAACACCATTGTAAAACCACCATAATCATAGGTTTCATCGTAAAAATTGGGATCATAAGGCTGTGCATGTCCTTTGATGGGAGACTCAGAAATAAGATCAAGGATGATCTTTATGCACTCTACAACCCTATTGGGTTTTCCTCCAATAAGAACAACTCTATCAGTGAAATGAGGACAACATTCCTGGAAAAGCGTGATGGTTGTTTGTGTGTTTTCTCAGTTCTTTGATTTTAGCACCTTTGACCCCAATAATTCCTCCTGCTAGACTCTGATGAATCAACAGCCTCAACTCGCAGTCAAAGTCCCTTCCTTTATATTGTTGGTAATTTAAGTATTCCACAGCATCAGATTCGAGCGGGAGCTGGCTGGTTGCAGTGGGTGATGGCAACTGCGGGCCCTCTTCCAAGGTAGTGATGATTTTCTTCAGAATTTCTCCAATTGTTTCGATATCAGCACTGATATGCAATATATGCTGGGGGCCACTGCTGTCTAGAACTGAAATGCTGGCGTTGTAGTCTGTATGGAGAGCCTTAATATTCTTGCCTCCTTTTCCAGTCACTGCTCCAGCATTCTTGCTCTGAAGCAGAATGGGTAATTCAACCATCTCATCAGTGTTTCTAGATCTTTTAAATGCTTGTTCCTCTTCCATATCTTCTGCAGGGCGTTTACCAAATTCACCACTGGTTTCAGTGTTAGGGAAGGTTTCTTCTGGCTGTTCAGTTTCCATATTCTTGTATTAAATGGACACACCAATCAGTTGTTATATATCCTTGCAGAGCAGAACTGAAGTGTTCTTGGTCGGATCAACAACTGACACCCCAGTGCTGCAGTAGCTGCTTGAGGCCACCATCCCTCTGACGCCGTGCTTGTGTGTCTTTTCTTGAGAAATTTCTAATTAAATTTTTCCTCCACTTTTAAATCAGATTATTAGATTATTTCCTATAGAGTTGTTTGATTACTTTTTAATTTCTTTTTCAAATTGTTCACTATTGGTATATAGAAATGTTACTGATTTTCATATGCTGATATTGTATCCTGCAACTTTACTGAATTTATCAGTTCTAATAGTTTTTTGGTGGATTCTTTAGGTTTTTCCAAACATAAGCTCAAATCATTTGGAAACAAAGATAATTTGACTCCTTCCTTTCCAATTTGGATGCCTTTTCTTGCTTTCTCTTATCTGATTTCTCTAGCTAGGACTTTCAGTATTATGTCGAATAATAGTGGTGAAAGTGGGCATCTCTGTTATCTTCCAGAGCTTAGAGGAAAGGCTTTCAGTTTTTCCCTATTCAGTATGATACTAGCTGGTGGTCTGTCATATATGGCTTTTATTATGATGAGGCATGCTCCTTCTATACCCAGTTTTTAGAGGGTTTTTATTATGAAGAGAGTTGAGCTTTATTAAATGCTTTTTAAGCATCAATTGAAATGACTATATGGTTTTTGTCCTTCATTCTGATGATATGATGTATCATGTTGATTGATTTGTGGATGTTGAACCATTTTTGCATCCCAGGGATGAATCCCATTTGGTAATAATGAATGAACTTTTTAATATGTTGTTGAATTCAGTTTGCTAGTATTTTGTTGAGAATATTTGCACCAATATTCATCAGAGATATTGGCCTGTAGTTTTTTTTGTTTTGTTTTTTTTTTTAATGTATCTTTGTCTGGTTTTGGTATTAGGGTATTACTGGCCTCATAGAATGAGTTTGAAGGTAGTCCCTCTTCCTCTATTTTTCAGAATAGTTTGAGTAGGATTGGTATAAGTTCTTCTTTAAATATTTGGTAGAATTCAGCAGTGAAGCCATCTGGTCCAAGGCTTCTCTTTACTGGGTGACTTTTTAGTACAGCTTCAATCTCATTACTTGTTATTCATCTGTTCAAGTTTTGGATTTCTTTCTGGTTCAATCTTGGTGGGTTGTACGTTTTAGGAATTTGTCCATTTCTTCTAGATTTTCTGATTTATTGGGATATAGTTGATCCTTTAAATTTCTGCAGTATCAGTTGTATATCTCCTTTTTTATTTCTGATTTTATTTGGATCTTCTCTCTTTTTTTCTTCATTAGCCTGGCTAAAGGTTTGTCAGCGGTTTTTTGTTTTTTTTTTCGCAGTTGCAAGATTTAATAGAGTGAAATAGAGTGAAAACAGCTCCCATACAAAGGGAGGGGACTCAAAGAGGGTAGCCATTGCCGGCTCGAATGCCTGGGTTTATATCCCAATCATTGTCCCTCCCGCTGTGCTCTCAGGCAATAGATGATTGGCTATTTCTTTACTTCCTCCTTTTGCCTAATTAGCATTTTAGTGAGCTCTCTGATTGGTTGGGTGTGAGCTAAATTGCAAGCCCCATGTTTAAAGGTGGATGTGGTCACCTTCCCAGCTAGGCTTAGGGATTCTTAGTCAGCCTAGGAAATCCAGCTAGTCCTGCCTCTTAGTACCCCCTCTCAACAGGAAAACCTAAGTGCTATTGGGGAGGTTGGCCGATGACCACTCTAACTGCTTCCTGCTAAATTGGGGCATAGTAGGGGCTGTGCAGTTGAGATTTCCTCGGGAGGGGTGCCTTCGATGTCTTTAACATCAAAGCATGGGCTAGCAGGCTGGTCCAGGGGTCTGCAGTAGATCTTAGTCATGGACTGCATCTGGGGCTCCATTTGAAGAATCATTTGTAGTTTTACAGCTTCGATTCTGGAAGAGACAAACTTAACAAGGAGGTTAAAGATACAGGGTCCAAAGAGGAGTAGCAATATTATAGCTGCTAGAGGTCCTAAGAAGGGGAGAATCCAGGGCATCCATTGGCTGAGGAGGCCCCAGGGTCCCGTGTTTTGAAGCTCCTCTGCTCTACGTTGTATTCTATCTCGAATTTCTTTAACTTTCTCGGTGATGATTCCAGATTGATTAACATAATAACAGCATTCTTCCCCTAAAAATAAACAGGTTCCCCCTCTTTTGGCGGTTAGCAAGTCTAAAGCTCTTCGATTTTGAAGGACTACTGCTGCTAGGGAGTTAAGTTGATCTTGCAAGGTGACCAGGGATTCGGTGACCCGTTCCATGTCACCATTTAGTTCTTGAGATAGTTTGTAGTAGAACTGAGTAGAGGTTGTGATACTGCCAATTAGTCCACCTAGTACTCCTGCTCCGATAACAAAAGGAAGAATGGGTACTCTTTTGTTGCGGGGCTTAGGTATGACATGATTGTATAAATCTTGTTCAGTGTAGATGGTCATAGGGGACAGTAAGAATGAGAGGAAACACACAGATTCTGAAGAGCCATTCAAACAACGATAAGCTGAGGTACCACAGACAAAAAATATTCCTAAGGGTAGGCAGACTATTCGTGTGGGAGGAGTTACCCACCTGATGGATTGGGAGTTGGTTGTGTCTATAGTATTGCTAAATTTTACACAGGTGAGGTCAGGATCAGTCAAAGGAACCTCTAAAAGATCCCCTTGAGTGGCATAGGTTTTAGCAATTACTTATTGGCAGTTATGTTTTATCTTTTCTTCACTGTCTGGAAGAAATGTGGCTGGGTTAAGAGTTGCACAAGTGCACAGTTGCAGCACTGGCCCTTCAACAGAGCCTGATATTTGTCAGTTTTAACTTTCAAAAAACAAACTCTTTGTTTCATTGATATTTTATATCATTTTCTTTATTTCATTCATTCTGCTCTGATCTTTTTTTTTTTTTTTTTTTTTGAGACAGTGTCATGCTTTGTCACCCAGGCTGGAGCGCAGTGGTGTGATCTCAGCTCACTGCAGCATTGACCTCCTAGACTCAGGTGATCCTCCTGCCTCAGCCCCCCAAGTAGCTGGGACTGCAGGCATAGGCCGCCATGCCTGGATATATATATATACTTTTTTTGAATTTTTTGTAGAGACAGTGTTTCGCCATGTTGTCCAGGCTGGACTTGAACTCCTGAGCTCAAGTGATCTGCTGTCTCAGCCTCCCAAAGTGCTAGGATTACAGGCATGAACCACCATGCCCAGCCTTTTCTTAATTCTATATAACATGCTTATGCTACAAATTTTTTATATTATATTTTATTTATTGTTTTCCTAGATTTAGAAAGTATTCTACTACTTTTAATGTCTCCCAGTTTCCCTCATTGCATTATTTTGATAGTTATATTGTAGTGTTAGTCACATCAATATTAATATTCCTTTCACTGTGATTATATCAACATTATTTATAGCAGAGCCAAATAATGTACTACAGTTACAATTCCTTCTGTTTTGTGAATGTTGTATTTCCCCTGTAGTTAATAATTACCCTTTTTTTTCTTGGTATTGATATCTGTGACTAATATGTCCCTAAAGTCTTTACCAGAGTTTTAAAAGATCTCTCAACATTGTTGAAACTCTCAGATAATTTATCAGTCTTAGCTTCTTTTTGAAAGACATTTTTTTCTGGAACCTTATTTCTTTTATTTTTAATTTTTTAATTTTTTGAGACAGAGTCTTGCTCTGTTACCCAGGCTGGAGTGCAATGGCGCAATCTCAGCTCACTGCAACCTCTGCTTCCTGGGTTCAAGCGATTCTCTTGCCTCAGCCTCCCGAGTAGCTGGGATTACAGGCGCGTGCCACCATGCCCAGCTATTTTTTTTTTGTATTTTTAGTAGAGACGGGGTTTGGCCATGTTGGCCAGGCTGGTCTGTAACTCCTGGCCTCAAGTAACCCACGCACCTCGGTCTCCCAAAGTGCTGGAATTATAGGCATGAGCCACCATGCCTGGCCCTGGAACCTTATTTCTATCTGATTTCTTCTCAGGTATATTGAGATTTCTCTTCATCATTATGTTTGGAATTCACTGGGCTTTTTCTCCTAAAGGTCTTGTGTTAGTTCAGGCTGCTGTAACAAAGTACTTTCGACTGGGTAATTTATAAGCAATAGGAATTTATTGCTCACAGTTCTGCGGGCTGGGAAGTTCAAGATCAAGGCACAAACAGATTTGGTGTCTAATGGGGGCCCATTCCTCATGGATGGCACCTTCTATGTGTTCTCACATGGCAGAAGGGCAAAAGAGGCAAAAAACCTTCCTCAGGCCTCTTTTATAAGGACACTAATCCCATTTATGAGGGCTCCACCTCTTAATAACAACACACTGGGGGACTGGGTTTCAGCATACGAATTTTGGAGAAACACAAACATTCAGACCATAGCAGATCCTTTATCTTTCTCTTTCTTGGTTTATCCCAGTGGTGTGCTGGTACATGTAACAACCACCTGGGGGTCAGGGAGGGTTGAGGGGGATGGGAAGCCCTAGTTCGTAGTGTTTGCTGATTTCTGTGGTATCAATAGTCCCATCATGGCTGGTTTTAAGTGACCAATGTGATGTCACTAAACTCAGAGTTGAAAAGAGATAATCTTGGGTGCTGGCCTGAGCCAGCTACAGCACACCACTGGGTTACTCCCTTATTTTGATGGAACACATCTACTACTTCCTGAAAAAGGGTACATGGGAAGTAAATGTTTTGAAAACTTCACTTTTTTTTTGGAAAATGACTTTTTAAACTTTCACACTCAATTGACTTTGTCTTGATATTAAAATCTAGCTGGGGAATAGTTTTCACTCAGAACTTTGGGAGTGTTGCTCCATTTTCTTCGAGTTTCCAGTGTTGCTGGTGAGAACTCTGGTGCCATCCTGGCCTCATCCTTTTTATCTTATTTTCCTTCTCTGGAAGCCTTTAGAATCTTCTCTTCATCCCTGATTATATACAATTTCATGATGACGGATTCCCTGCCACTTACAGTTCTATATCCTTAGCAGATCCTTTTCATTCAGGAAGCTCATGTCCTTCAGGTCTGAGGAACTTTATTCAATTTCTTTAATGGTTTCCTCTCTTTCATTCTCTCTCTTTTTTGCTAGAATTCCTGTTTGTTGGATATTGGATCTCTTGCTTTGATCATCTAATTTTCTCTTTCTCTCTCAATTGCTGAGAGGTTTTCTCAACTGTATTCCGGAACTTCTGTGTAATATTAGGCACTCCTGTCAGAGTGCTGACACTTGGGTTTGGGGCTGTGTCATACATCTGTGTTTCCTCCAGAGTGTCTGCCTGGCACAGTGCTTGACTGGATGGAGAGGCAGAATCAGCAAAGGATTTTTGATCCAGATGAACCTGGTCTTGAATCGCAGATCAGCAAAAAATCATTTCACTTCCCGGTTCTTCAGTTTTCTTGCTTGGAGCTGAGCAAGGGGGCAAGTCATTCCATGGGGAGGGAGACTAGAAAGCTTGAGGGGTGGTCTACCAGACCTGGTTAAAGGAGAAGACCTTCTTCCCATTCTTCTACCCTTTCCCCAGACTGCATTCTAAGTAGTGCATTTTAATCTTCAAACTCTAAAATTTCATGAGAGATTACTTTGCAGTTTATAGTACCCAGTGTCACAGTTAAACAATTCCATCTTGCTTACAAGGAACATTTTGATACTTAAATAAGATTACTGCGTTTCAACGATGAACTTAAATTGTCTTTTTCCAGGTGCTTTCTACATCTGACCTCTCTCAACCAAATTAATGACAAAATAATGACTAAGATTTCGTGAGCATTTTCCACATCCCAGGCCTGTTCTAAGTGTTTAACATGTATTAATTAATTTAATCCTCAGCAGCCCAACCATGTAGGCAATATTATTATCCTCATTTACAATTGAGGAAACAGGCTCCAAAAGCCGTTGGGTTACACAGCTAGTCAATGTAACGTTGGGACTTAAACCCTGACATTAACTATGGATTGTCTGCTACTATGAAATCTTCATGAAGGAGGTTCTGAATTTGGACTGAGGTCCAGGGAGGTTTCCCTAGTGGAGGAGCTGAGCATGGTAGGACTCACTCTGATGCTGAGTAGGAATGAAGAACAGGCCTTAGCAGATGCTCCAGCCCACGAGGGAGGAGGCTCCTTAGGGTCGCACACCCTTTGCAGCTGTCCCAGGAGCTACCAGAAAGGCTTGGTCAACAGAGGGGACTCTTCTGTGCGAACAGCCTCAACCACTAACACACTGTTTCACCTCAGCAGCCCTGCTCAACTCCCAGCAGGCCTTGTTTAAACAGGCAGCTTGTAGCAGCTGGGGTTGGCTCAGTGGAACGTGTGGGCAGCCAAGGATGCCCCGAGTGCAGGTGCCTGTCTCTGAATGTGCAATCATGCAAATCCGAGGACCCAGACTGATGTGAATTGAAAGCCTGGTGTTCACTTCCAATAAACTCAACTGTCTATCGCCAGAGCAACACAGGCTTCCAGTCTTCAAGTCATCAATACAAATGAGCATTTCTGGTGTTAGAGGAAAAAAGTGTGGGGTGAATCCCAATCAGAGCTTGCTCCCTTTCAGGCAAGCAGCATCTGGAAAAGGCTTTGGAGGGGCAAATACCTTTCCTAGAAGTAATTTTCACAGGAACTGTTCAGGACACAGGAGGCATTGCAGGAGGAAGGAGCAAGGGAAATCACACCATGTAGTCATAGGGTCTTGAAAATCACCTTATCCTCTCTGCTTGTTTTACAGAGGAGTTAAGAGAAAGTCAGAGAAGTTAAGGGACTTGCCCAAGGGCACCTAGCTCATCAGTGGGCTGCTCCTCCTTATCTTGAGTCCCGATTTCCTTTTAGACACTCCACCCACCAGGCTGTTTCTCTAGTTCACTGCTTTGAGCACCAGGTCACAAGTGAGCACACATACCAACAGCTCTCCTCCTGAAACCATCGAGGGAGGCGAGTGATAGCAAACTTTGTTTAGTGCAAAGAATGGAAAAGGCTGCTTGAAGCACAGAAAAAGGGAAGTCAGAGCAGGCTGTGGCGCAGATGTCTGGGCATTGCTGTGGGGACAGAGTAGTTCACAAGACACAAGGCTTGTCAGCCTCTCTTCTGAACCTCTGCGCCCAAGGATTCTCAAGGAGCATTCAGATTAGATTTTAACTATGGATGCTGTGGTTGCCGGTAATAGAACAGCTAATAAAAAGCAAAGCTGGGGTGTCATCACCCTATCAGCAGATCAACAGTCTCTTCTTTGGTCCATAGGGCTGACCATGCAGCCTTATAGCCCAGAGGCCCTGTTACATAATCTTTCCACAACTCCCCTCTGTTCCTCACTGCACTGCCCTGGCCTTCAAAGTCCATATAAGTGCTGTAGAGATAAGCCTCATTAGCCTCACAACTTGCAGTAAGTGCCAAGATCATGTTATTCAGATGCCACTGAGGCCAGTGCAAAGGGAGCTAATTAAATGGTACGGGCTTTCTAGCTCTGAATCATCAGTTCAGGTGGTTACCTTTAATGCTATCTTCAAGCTCACCTTCTAGGCTGGTCTATGTGCCTAAGCTCCCACACCATGCCTCCAAGCCAGGAAAACCAGCAAGGAAGCTCTTCTGGTACCAAATGGGGGTTACACAACTGGTATTTTTTCACCCCCATTCCTACCTTGAGGAGAAATGGTAAGTTCTGTTGGGCAGATACACGTAGGCAATTGAGGTTCTGTGAGAATGAACACCTCACATTTTAAAGTTCAAAGACTAGAAAGAATGAATGGAAAGTGAGTATGCATTTTCCATTTTAACCCAGAGCAGCCCACAAACACATTAGGATTTCAGTTTTAGGGGGAAATTGACCTGCCAACCCCAGTTCCTGAGGGAGGCAATCTGATTGGCTGTCCGTGGGTCAGGTGTCCATAGTTGGTCTAACCACCAGAAGGGCTATTGGAAGCCCAACCATGTGAACTGTGTTGGGAAGAAAAGGGGGTTGTGGCGAGCTCAGCAGACACCGGAGAGATGTCTACTCCCAATGTCTAATTAAATATTCAGGCTAAATGGCCTTTCTGTCACCAGTTAGTCTATTTGAGTTTGGGCCAGTTTTCCCAAGGCAGAACCACCATTTCATTCCAGAGTGGAATCCAGGCTCTTTGGAATAGACAGAGGGAACAGGGTACTTAAAACCATCTCCTTACAACTCAGGCTTGTAGGCTTTGATCAAATCCTTTTGTTTCACAGATGAGGAAACAGGTTCAGAGAAAAGACATGAACCTGCTCAAGGTCAGCCTACCCACCTGTAAAAGGCACTTTGTAAAGTGAAGGGACTTGGAGGGCCACCTTGTTAAATCCTTCACCAGCCATCAGCTCGCTATGGAAATGCTGACTGGATAAATAGTGTACCTCTATGGCAAGATTTGTGGCTCTCAGAGGCCTTCCCGTAACAATGCTTAAGAAGGTTTTAATGATCTGCCTACTGGGCATTTCTGAAGCATTCATTTTAGGGAAAGCCAAGGTGCTCAGACTATAATTCTGAGGCTAATTTCTCCCTGGACCCTCCTGACCTGGCAGCAAGAGGGAGTGAACAAGGAGAATGACTAGGATTGCACCAGCCCCTTGATTCTTATCCTTTTGACCTTGTGCTTCGAAGGGAGACGGGTTTGGTGTGACTTTTTACACCTGCTTCAAATGTTGTTACAGAGCGGATGAGGGAGCTTGCCATAGCCCAGTACCTTTGCCTGCAAAATATCTTGCTGTAGTTCTTATGCTCTTGACCCTGAGATCAGACTAATGCTCGGAACCAGTGGGGCGTAGATCAAGCTGGGGGTGGATATGGGAGCTGGCCGATATAAAGAAAGGGCATTGTTAGAGCTTCTTTGAGCTTTCTGTATCCCAGATCATGAGGAAGCTGAAGGATTAGGGAGGAGAAGATGAAAGGCAAGCCAGGGAAAACAGGCAAAGGAAGTAGTTATTAAAATAAAAGGTGAAATTCATGGGAAGTAAATCCAATGTTTTGTCCATACTCAACTGGATTAGGAACATGTAATGAAAGCAAATAGATTTAATGGGGTGGGGATGATTAACGTTGTCTTGCAATACATTAGGAAATGACTTTGTTCAGGAGGAGTGGAGGGCTATGAGAGGAAATTAAACTTAATTCTTATCTCCTTATGATGTTTTAGTTGCTTAACTTCTTACAACACACTTGTAAAACCAGAAAGAGAGAGAGGCCTGAGGTTTAATATGTTGTTTGCAAAGTAACTGGAGATATGAATGTCTTGAGTGTGTGCTTCAGTCTTATCAAGGATCCAGTGTTTTTTTTTCTAACAATTTGTTGTAATAAGTAGATGTCCTTAGTGGTATTGGGGACTCTGGTTAAAAATTACCTTTCAAAGAAATGAAAGTTTAGTGATTATTGGCTTCCCAGGACCCAGGTGAAATTTTATCCCCATCATAAACCTCACAACAAATCCTCTCTCCTTGGGGCCCTTATATTAATACCATGTCATTTGTACTACTCATCCTTCTATTGCATCATTTATAGTTGTGTATTGCTGGTACATTACAGTGAGATTTGAATTTTCAGACTGTTCTAATTTTGGCAGAGAATAATAATTGTGCCTTCTTTATTTTTAATAAGACATTTCTCTTCCCCACTTGCAGAAGGCACACGGCTACCCAGCTAGAATCTGTATTTCTCAGCCTCTCTTGCAGCTAGATGTGGCTGATGATAGAAGAATGTGAATTGACATCCTGTGAAGAGAAGTCCACAATTGTTCCTTATTAAAAGAATGTTTTCGGCCTTCCCCTTTTTGCCCTCTTCCCTTTATTACTGGCTAGAATATAGGCTGGCACATGCCAGTAGGATAATGGAAGAAAAGAAGGGACTTGAGTCCTGGGTTGGCTTTAGGGAATCAAGTTGTCTACCTGCTCTAGACTGCCTATCTGCCTCCTGATATTAAGTATAAGAGAGAAATTTAGGTCTTGTTTTAGACTCTGCAATTTTGGTCTTCTTGTAGCCACTTATTCTATACTTAAACTAATATAGAAGTGAAATGCTTTGTGTTTCTTCCCTTTCCTTGCTGGGCAGGCACAGATGTTTCCCCTAACCTCCAGGGAGGGTGTGAGGCTTCTGTTCTTCCTGCTTCTCAGAAGGTGGGAACTGATTTTTACTTTACTTGAGCTCTCGGTCAGATGGGTCATCGTGTTTATGTTGAGGGAATAAGAGGAGAAGAGGGTTTGAGGAGGAGGTAGAGGGAAGGAAGTGCCTTGGTAGAAAGAAGGATTTATTCAGTGCCAGTAAGAATGTGGGCAAGGGGAGTGCAGAGAGGGAGAAGGAGGGAAGCACAGGGTGGCCTCAAGAGCTGGAACCAAGCCTGGGAAGTTACTAAGGAGAGGGTGGGTCTGCTGTATGGGTAAAGCTGGGAGAATGGAGCTGACAAAAGACCAGCAAGAGAAGTGTTGTTCAGGCACAACAATGAAACTGATAATGGCACTTGAGAGGAGCCCAGGTTTCTGCCAGCAGAGCTTGCAGTAGGTGTCTGGTGATGCTTTCCTTTCATCAACAGTTGGCACCTTGGCCCATCATTGCCTGACCAGAGTGACATCCATTCATGCTCCAAGGTTTTGCTCAGTCCCCACTGATTACCTATGTACTTCTTCTGTGTCTTTTACCCTAGGATACTGCTGAACTCAAGATAAGGCCAGTGGTTGCACAATTCCCTCAACATCTTGACTTGGGGGTAGACCTGCCAGATTTAGGATAAAAAATACAGGATTCCCAGTTAAATTTGAATTTGGAATAAATAATGCATTTTTTTTGTATGAGTATGCCCCATGCAACAGTGCATGCATTCTACGTGGCAACCCTACTTGGGGATAGAGGGAAAGGTTGCTAGAAATCTCTTGAGCTAGGCCAATGGTAATAATACCCCAACTGCATTACTCTTTCATGAGTATAGATAGGCTTTCTTAGTCAGCTTGGCTGCTATGACAAAATAGCTTAGACTAGGTGGCTTATAAATAGAAGAAGTTTATTTCTTACAGTTCTGGAGGCTGGAAAGTTCAAGATCAAAGTGCCAGCAGATTTGGTGTGTGGTGAGGGTGGCTTTTTGGTTCTTAGATGGTACCTTTTTGCTGTGCCTTCACATGGTAGAAGGAGCAAGGCAGCTCTCTGGGGCCTCTTTTAAAAGGGCGCTAATTCCATTATCTGATCTAATCACCTCCTAACAGCCCCATCTCCTAATACCATCACATGGATGATTAGTTTTTGACAGATGAGTTTTGGTTGTGAGGGAGGATCACAAATATTCAGACATAACAATGGTACAAATCTAAAGCAGGAAGATTGATTTCTAGTACCACCCACAGCATGAGGAAGTCAGGGTTCCCTTGCCTTATCTCCCCAACCTGACTGTAAGATTCTTGGGTGTGGGTTGGGGGACAGGCACTAAGTCCTACACATCTGTGTGTTTCACTCAGCACAGCACAGGGCTGAGCACATGGTGGGCATTCAGTGAAGACTTACTCCCAAGTGGAATCCAAAGGCTGTTTGCTGAGTTGGAGGGAGAACTGGACCAAGAGTCAGAAGATGAGGTCCTGTCCCTGGTATTGTCTTTAGCTTGGCATGTGCTTTTGAATGATCTTCTCTATGTCTCCGGGCTCTGGTTCTTTTAGGCATAAAACAAGGAATTTAGATTAGAATTTATGATTTTCAACTTGAGCCCTTTAGGAAAGCGGGAGAAGTAAGAAGAGATAGAGTCCAAATAGGTAGGACCCCAGATGTATGTCACCTACTTGAAAGAGATCACATGCAGCAGCTTTCTCTCTCTGTATCTTAATAGTCAATTAACATGATTCTGACCCCATGTATCTCTGACCCCTCATTGAATGGAGAAGTCCATTTTCCTATGGCTATTCTTCTCCCAGGATGTTCTTGGGGACTCCTAGGCTTGCTACTCTGACCCAGGACATCAGCCTGGTTACTGTGGTCAGAAAGTCTGGTCAATCTGGCTGCAGATCTGCTGTCCCCTGCCATCAGGGTTGTCATGATGCCACTGCTGAAAGCCAGACTGTCTGACTCAGCCACAAGCTCTTCTGCTCATTGCCATCCCTGCCCTGGCCCCATATCTCAAGGAAAAACCACTCCTTGCACATTTTCTCCAAGCCCAGATACAGTCCTCTCCCTCCCCTAAAGAAGTCTAACTAAGGGTGGGCTCCATGACCCAGCCTAGTGGTCCTCAGCGCATTCCCCAGAGTCCCAGGTATTCACTTTTATTAACTCCATTGGGGGTAATGTTTTAGTTTGTTCGAGCTGCTGTTACTAAAATACCGTAGACTGGGTGGCTTAAACAATAAGCATTTATTTCTCACAGTTCTGGAGGCTAGGAAGTCCAAAATCAAGGTGTTGGCAGATTCGGTGTCAGGTGAGGGCCCACATCCTGCTTCATAGATAACTGTTATCTCTCTGTGTTCTCACTTGGTAGAAGGGGTGAGAGAGAGCTCTCTGGGGCTTTTTTCAAGGGTACTAATCTTAGTCACAAGGGCTCCACTCTTATGACTTAATCACCCCCACAAACTTTCTAATATCATCGAATCAGTGGTTAGAATGTCAACCTGTGAATCTTGAGAGGACACAGATATTCAGTCCATGACAGGTAGGGAATGGGGAGAGCTAACAGTCCAGTATGCATTTCTCTCTAGGAAAAACCATTTTTCTTCTGCTTTCAAGTGTACATTCTGGCTTGGAAGCTCACTTTACATGTCTCTCTTTGGCACATACATGCAAATATAAGAAGACCTCACAGTTTCCTCCAGGGACAATGAGTGGGGACTTATCTTCCTTTGATGGAACTGAAAGGCCTATGAGCTTCCCCAAATAAAGAGGGGAGAGGCTCCAAAGCAAATGGCAGCCTCTGCTTCTAGAAAGCAAAACTAAAAGTCACCCCCAAAGTTAACAATTCCATTACTGAAATTTAAAACAAACAAAACCCCTCTTTACCAGATATTCTACTGTATCCGATGTCCTGTGTTAGGTGTTTTTTTTTTTTGAACAAAGTTTTTAAAAAGTTTGGAAGACATCAGAGGTTTAAAGTCTAGTAGAGGAAGAAAGAGTAATAAGGAAACAAAACTAGAGGGCATAGGATAGAGCTCCCTTGTGTGGTATCAGAAGGCAGCCCTGGGAAATGGAAGGAAAGAGAGATTGGGTGAGGGAAGATTGGGTTTGGGTACCCTAGAGGCTTCTTGGAAAAAATGAAATTTGAACCAGACCTGAAAGGATGAATCTGCTTTGGAAAAGCAGAAGGGAGAACATTCAAGTACAGTGTCTTGACCTGCAATGGCTAGGAGGTGTGGATGAACATGTGTTTGTGAGAAGGTGAGGGGACCCAGAGGGCAGCACCAGGTGTCTTCACTCCCTTTCACTAGCTGGGATAGAAGAGGCTTCATCTCCTGTGGCAACTCTGGTCAATTGCAGTGGCTGCCTGGAGTGCTGGGCTGAGAACAGTGTTAAGGACACACAGTGCTCAGCAGCGAAGAGTGCTGTCATTGATTAGTGATGTCTGCTGCAGGTGTGGGAGGGGAGAGGAGTAACATGTGTTTCAAGAACATGCCAGTTTTTCCCTAGACACTGTTTGGTGCATATTCCAAAGGACCTCCGGTGTGGGGAGAGTTTTATTCCTTTTTCCTCTCTTGAATTACAATCAATAAATGCTGAGAGCAACATCTGTGACTTTAAACGCTATCTTATCACCTCTCTGCCAATTTCTCAACTCCAAGTGTGCCAATTCCCCTTTGTCACTTTTCAGGCTGCTCAGAGAAGTCAGGGTCTTTGTCTCTGCTGCCTAGGTGCAGGAGAGAGCAGTCTTTCAACTAGGCACAAATAACAACATTGACTCAAGAGAAGGCTTTGAAGGCACTGAAGAGGGGAAGAGAACAGGGGAAATTCCAGGCACGGACATTTGCTAATACTCATGTGAGTATGTTATTACATAATGTGTGGCACTGGTCTTGCATTGCCTCATGTCCCCAAGTCTTATCTCTCTATCAAGGTTGTAAGTCCCTTGAGGTCAGAGACTGTGCTGTGTTTATCTTAGGGAGTTGGAGGGACAGGAACTGAGTTCGTGCTATTTGTGTCTCTACAATTCTTTGCAGATAGTGGACGCTGTATCCTTCACAGTGATAGATGCTTATAAGATGACTTTTAAATTGCTTTGAAAAATAGAGAGAGGAGTGGAAGGGGAATATTATGAAATTAACCTGTGGTCCTTGAGTCAGAGCAACTGGCAGAATAGAACAATGTGCCATTCACATCACCCCCTTTCTGGGCTTTTTCTTAGGGCCTGAGCCTCCTCTCAATTCATAGGACCTTCTCTTGAGGGTGGAGGAGGATTGTGGGCAGACAAAGAGAGAACTGACTGGATAGGGCACCTTCACAAATGTTTTTCCTGAAGCCTACAGAATGGCATTTTTCTGTTTGTGTTGAAGTTGTCCAACCGGTATTTTCAAATGATGGATTTCTGGAAAATTGGAGCCTGGAGGGTGACTTTTCATAAGATAGGCTCTGATCTTTGATCCATTTAAAAAACTGCATACTGGTAGGAAGACTGCATCGCTGCAGCAAGAAAGTAACCTGGCACACATGGTAAGAAGTTGCTGGGGTGAGTCCATATTGTGGCATTAATGATGAAGTTATATGGTACAATTGTGGAAGGAGCAAGGGTGCTGAGGGCTACATCAGGTCACAGAGAGCAAATGAATTAGACACGTAGAGTATAAAGTGGAAGGCCAGGTTAGTCCAAGTGCAAATGCTTTCTAAAATTAGGAAATAATCTTGAAAGTACAGTACACCTTGACATTAGATGGGAGGTGACATCCACAGAATATTTACAGATATCATTATGTGGGTCTTTGACTTTGCAACTTCTTAAATGATCAATATTTAAATATTTGGTGAACAAACATTATAGCAAATAAGACTGGAAAAATTCTCTTTACTTTCAGATTTTGCATTATAGCTATTTTCCCAGGAGGATTGAGAGATGAATAGAGAGCTTAAGCAAGTCATCCAGCATCGGAATTTAGAGCTTAAAGGGAACACTAGTGTATGAGCTAATCCTACCCCCTTTGGATCGTAGTTGAGAACAATGAGACTCAAATGGCTAAATGGCTTGAGTTAGTGGCCACACTTGGCTCAGGACTCAGCATTCCTGACTCCAGGTCTAGGCACTGTCCACCTCACCTCCCTGACCTCTGGGTGAATAGGAGCTCAGCTGGTTTTGGTTCCTCTGAAGCCTTTAATGGAGCCCTGGCTATTGCTCTGCTCTGAAATGTAATCTCACTGAATTCCAGTTCCCACACTGTCTATACAATGATGACAGCATTAAGCGACTTGCTTACCTTGAAGGAGAGTTAAGCATGGAAAAAGAGAACATGTCTAAAATCACAGTGAGAGGCTCACTGCAGGAAGGGCGACAGGCAATGTGGAGCTATACTAGTTTTAGTGGTGTGTGGAGATTAAATGTATAGCCTCTGGGCAGGTCACTTCACCTGTTGGTGCCCCAGTTTCCTCATCAGTGAAATGGTGCTAATAATAGAACCTACCTTATTGGGTTCTTATAAGGATCAAATGAATTAAAACACACACACACACACACACACGCACGCACACACACACACCCCTTAGAAGAGTGCCAAGTATATAATAAGCACACAAAAGAACTCTTGCTAGTACTGATGTGAGTGTGTTATTACATAATGTGTGACGCCAGTCTTGTATTGCTTCATGTCCCCAAGCCTTATCTCCCTATCAAGGTTATAAGTTCCTTGAGGTCAAGGACTGTGCTTCTCCTTATCTCAGGGAGTTGGAGATACAGGAACTAGGTTAGCTTTTATCATAGAAGTCATAAGATGTCTTTTCAAATGAGGTTGGTTGTTGTAGCTATGATTATAACAGCAATAGACTATTGGGCGACTCTCCTCTTGTATACACTATCTCATTTCATGTCTCCAATGTCCATATGAACTAGGTATTCTAACTACCCGCAGTTGTGGATGCTGCTAGTGCTCCACACCTCATCTCCTCAGCCTGGGTGATCAGTTTTTCCCCTCATGAAGGGTTCCCACCTCAAGTGCTTGCTGAGTCTCCCAGCTCTCCTTTAGGGTTTTCTCCTAAGCTGTGGAAGTCTGTTCAGCCAGGAAATGCAAGAGAGCAAATGGTTCCTCTACTGATGAGTGACAAGAGCCTTCTGCCTTTCCAACATCCAGCACTGAGGTGCATTCTATACCAGGACATCTCAAACTTGAATGTGCACAGGATCTCCTCGTGCAAATTATCGTTCAGGAAGTCTGGGATGGGGACTAGATTCTGCTTTTCTAACATGCTGCCAGCTAATGCTGAGGCTGGCCCATGGCCCACATTTTCAGTAGGAAGGTTCTATGGAATTTTCTTTGAAGGTCCCTCAGGGGTTTGAATCAGAATTGCCCACAGTGAGACCCAGCTCAATAGCACACTCTTTATTGATCTTCCCTCCTTCCTTGTCCACTACCTTTCTCTGGCTTCATAGGATCACCTTTCAAATAAATCACCTGCTGCCACCTAAGTCCTTGTTCAGACTTGGCTTTTAGGAGCACCCACAGTAAGACACTCCCCTTTACAGAGGAAGTTCATTGATTCAGGTCACACAGCTCCTAAAGAACTAGGGCTCCAGTATGAGTCTGACCTCCTAGCTCTTTGTACTGTACCTCATTGCTCTTTAGTAGTCTATGACTGCTTTGAGTTTTGAGTCCAGTTTTGGGAATGAAAACCCAAATAACAATGGCTTAAACACAGTAAGAATTCATCTTTATCATATAAGAAGAAATCCTTAGGTATTCAGTTTGTGATACTGATTTGGTAACTCAGGGATTTTAAGATGAGAGTTCTATGAGTCTCTTGACATTTTCCTTGTGGCTGTGAAAGGGCTGCCATGCCTCCAGCCACTATCTCTGGATTTCATGAAGGAGGATAATGGAAGACTGAAAGGCAAAAGGGTGCATGACAGCTGAGAATGCCTTCTCCTCCCTTTTAGAAACTTTCTTTGCAGCCCTGCCTAAAACCTTCCACATATGTTTTAAAGGTTAGAACTGTCATGTGGCTATTGCAATCTATAAACAGCTTTGGGAAAAGGTAGTTCTGAATGACTGTTATGTTGCTACCTCAACACAATCACCCTAAGGTCACTCCCTTAGGACATTAATGGAGGGTTTAAGGAGTTCTTTTTGAAGGGTTTTATGTGATTTTTCCAAAGCTTTCTTTGTTCAAGTGTGGCATGAGATGGAAGTGGTGGTGGCAGACTGGGTGGGGCACTGTATCCCCTTTCTGGGCACCTCACTCCCTGGTACCATTTAGGGGTGAGATCTGGCCTAGAGGATTTTTTTGGGGTGGGGTGGAACACACAGTGGGGCTTTAACTCCAGGCTGGGTTGGCTTTCTCCCAAAGTATAAGAACTCAAAGACAGTTTATGACCTCTGGGACTAATTTCCTTCTAAAGACCCCCATCTGGTCATCAGGAGAAATTAATATTCTTTCTATTAACATAACCTTAACCCTGTTTATAGCAGACTAATAACACTGGCCTTATTATGCCAAGAGGGCATCAGTCCCTTCCTGCCTGGTTATGCTTCAAAGCTTTCTAACATTGACTCACAGCGAAGGACACGCAGCTCAAGAGGTTTCTCCCTGATCTGCAGTTTCTCATCCCCCCAGCACATCCTTCTATTGTAGTCATATATCAACCAGACAGATATTAGGTTTTTAAGCAGGTACCTTTCCACTGGCTTGTGAGCATCTGCAGTATCATGACTTAATTCTTATCCTTCCAAATGCCTGCAATTAATCGACTGTGGATATAGCAGTGATACAACCCAGTTCCCTTATCTCCTAGAACTTGGAATCTTTTACCCAAAGCGGGTACTTAAAAATTCCAAGTTCTCCTGGAACTTGGACTCTTTTACTTAAAGTAGGTTCTATGTGTTGAATTGAATTAGTCATTCAAAGAATGATAAAAATTTAAATGTAGAAAGGTCCTTGAAGATGTTTTTCCTCCAGATTTTAAGATCAGCCAGCTTGGGTCTGTCACTGAAATTCATTGTGTGAATATAAACACACTGACTCGTCTCTTTGTCTTCAGTTTCCACACTTATAAAATGGAGTTGATAATCCTGCAAGAGTGTTGAGTACTTACTATGTGCCAGGCACTGTTCTAATTATACGTGTATTAACTAATTTCTTATCATTGAGTTCTTACCAAATGGAAGTGAATTAATACATGAAAAATGCTTAGCATGGTATCTGGCACATGACAAGCCTTCATATATTAGCAGCTGTTATTATAATCAGTTCTCAATTCTTGCCCAAGGTTAATGTTTGTTTTGAGGTCTGTTTGCAGCATCTATTTTCTTCTTCTTTTAAAATTTAGGGGAGTGTTTGTTCATGTTCCAGGCTTTCAGCACCTCTGCCCACCCATATCTATATTCCTGGGCTATCTGCTTTAAATTGTCCTCTCATTCTGTATCCTCCTCCCCGTGTGAAAATATTTCCTTTTCTTGGTGGTGCTGGCAGTGGCAAAAGGAGTAGTCCAGGTTTTGCAATGCCCTTAAAATTTCAAAGTCTATCTTTATAGCCTTACTGATATTTTCTTTTCTTCCATAACACCACCAAAAGAAAAAAAAAAGAAAAAAAGAAAAACCTGTAAGTTGTAAGAACTGGGTAGAAGGAGGTCATTGTCACAATACACTACATTTATAAAGTGCTTTGGAGCTTACAAAGACCGTTCACCTATCTCTTCTCACTTAAGCCTCTCGGCAGCCCCGGGTGGTCCTCATCGGAATCCTCGCGATAGAATTGGCCAGTAAGTTTTAAAGTCACTTTCAAAGAGTAGGACAACTGTCATAGACAGTCATCTGGTGGATTCTTAGTTTAGATCCTGTAGCAAGCTTGAAAATTGTCACTGTGGGTAACTGAAGGTAGACTGAGTCCTGGACAATGAGCTTCCTGAGGAGAGGAATGACGTCACTCATGGAACATCCCCAGGGCCTGGATCAATAAACTCGTGCTCAATGAGTCAGTGAATAAGTGGTGAGAAAAAAACATTAACATTTTATTATTTGAATAGCCACAACTGAAATTATTCAAATTTTGAAAGTTCAAACTTTTCAGTTCTCAGTGAATTGTCCATTGGAGTAATAACCAGTCACAAACTTGGAAGCTGTTAAGCCTCCTTCTTCAGGGGATTGAGGTGTTTATGTGGGGTGGGAAGAGAGGGTTTTAGTTGAGGGAGATCCTTGGCTGGGGTCTTTGAAAATCGGAGTGCATTTTTCAAACTGTACCTACAAAGGTTTGGCCAAGAAAGAGTACAAGACATTCAATGGGAGCCAATACATGAGCTCAATGAAGCCACAGAGCCAAAGATCCCCACACACTTGTGTTTGAAGGCAGACGGCAGACTTCCTGGGTGTCCGACTTTGGAATTCTTTCATTGTGCGATGTTTTACATTTGACCCAGTTTCCTGGGCAGTCTCTTAATGGTTCTTTGGGATAGAGAGGGAAGGAAGGTTCTGGGAGAATTTTGAGAGTCTGATGACAGCTCTGCACTCACTCTAGAAAAATGCACATATACACATATGGACAGCTCTGCTCCTCCAGATCAGAGGACCTAGTAAAATACCTCCTGTCTCTCCCCATGCTTCCCCCGAAAGAGAGTTGAATTGTCTGTGTTTCTAAATGTTTTTTAATGTGTTCCATTTTCCCCAGCTTTGTCCTCTTTCTGAGAACAATGGTCACTCCACTGTCCAAATTACTCTTTGTGCTATCTTGGGCTGTCTTCAGTTCAGCACTTTGGTAGTGAATTCTGACAGCTGCTGGAGAACGGGGGGGCTCACCCTTGCTCCAGTCACTCCATTAGCTGGGAACCACCTATTGATCATCTGCTCTCCACAGAACAGGACATATTCCTTAGCTTTGGCTACATCCCTGAAGGCATAAAAAAAGAGGTGAGGTTGATGCTGGGAGAGTTTGCTGAGAGGATTTAAAAAGTCAGTTGTGATATTTTTGGGGAGGATGGGGCCAGGAAAGAGGAGAAAGAGAGGTGAATTACAGGCATACCTTGTTTTATGGCACTTTGCTTTATTGCCCTTTGAAGCAATTGCGTTTTTTACAAATTGAAGGCCTGTGCAGTCCTGCATCAAACAAGTCTGTTGGTGTGATTTTCCCAGCAACAAGTGCTCACTGCAGTCTCTGTGTCACAGTTTGGTAATCTTCACAGTATTTCAAACTGTTTCATTATTATTATATCTGTTATGATGATCTGTGGTCAGTGATCTTTGATGTTACCATTGGAATTGTCTTGAACTGTGCCTGCATAAGCTGACGAACTTAATCAGTAAATGTATGTGTTCTGACTGCTCCACCAACCAGCCATTCCTTCATCTCTCTCCCTCTACTTGGACCTTCCTATTACCTGAAAAACAACAATATTGAAATTAGGCCAATTAATAATTCTACAATATCCTTTAGGTATTCAAGTGAAAGAAAGGCAAAGTCACTTGATGCTCACTTTAAATCAAAAGTTATAAATAATTAATATTAGGGAGGAAGGCATGCAGAAAGCCGAAATAGGCTGAAAGTTAGGCTTTTGCACTAAACAATTAGAGAAGTTGTGAATGCAAAGGAGAAGTTCTTGAAGGAAATTAACAGTGCTACTCCAGTGAACACATGAATGATATGAAAGCGAAACGGCCCCATTGCTGATGTGAAGAAAGTTTGGGTGGTCTGGATAGAAGGTCAAACCAGCCACAACATTCCCTTAAGCCAAAGCTTAATCCAAAAGAAGGCCCTAACTCTCTCCAATTTTATCAAAGCTGAGAGAGGTGAGGAAGCTACAGAAAAAAAAAGTTTGAAGATAGCAGAGGTTTGTCCATTGATGTTTATGGAAAGAAACCATTTCTATGACATGAAAATGCAAGGTGAAGCAGCAGTGTTGATGGAGAAGCTGCAGAAAGTTATCTAGAAGACCTAACTAAGACAAATGATGAAGGTGGCTAGCTAAACAATAGAATTTCAATGTAGATGAAACAGCCTTGTTTGTATTGGGAGAAGATGACATGTAGGACTTTCTAAGCTAGAAAGAAGTCGATGCCTGGCTTCAAAGCTTCAAAGGACAGGTTGACTATCTTGTTAGGGGCTAATATAGCTGGTGACTTTAAATTTAAGCCAATGCTTATTTATAATTTCAAAATCCTGAGGTTTTTTGAGAATTATGCTAAATCTACTCTGCTTGTACTCTATAAATGGAAAAACAAAGCTTGGATGACAACACACCTGTTTACAGCAGGGTTTACTAAATATTTTAAACCCACTGTTGAGACTGACTGCTCAGAAAAAAATATTCCTTTCAAAATATTCATCGACAATACACCTGGTCACCCAAGAGCTCTAATGGAGATGTACAAGGAGGCTAATGTTGTTTTCATTCCTGCTAACACCACATCCATTCTGCAACTCAGGGTTCAAGGCATAACTCTGATGTTCAAGTCTTATTATTTAAGAAACACATTTGTAAGGCTAGAGCTGCCATAGATAGTGATTCTTCTGATGGATATGGTCTAAGTAAAATTCTTTCTGGAAAGGATTCAACATTCTAGATGCTACTAAACACATTTATGATTCATGGGAGGAGGTCAAAATATCAACATGAACAAGAATTTGAAAGAAATTGATTGCAACTCTCATGGTTGACTTTGAAGGGCTCAAGACTTTAGTGGAGGAAGTAGCCACAGGTTAGGTGGAAATAGCAAGAGAACTAGAATGACAAGTGGAGCCAGAAGATGTGACTGCATTCCTGCAATCTCATGATAAAACTTGAACAGACGAGGAGTTGCTTCTTATGGTTGAGCATGGAAAGTGGTTTCTTGAGATGGAATCTATTCCTGCTGAATATGCTGTGAATACTGTTGATCTGACAACAAAAAATTTAAAATATTATATAAACTTAGCTGATAAGGCAGTGGAAGGGTTTGAGAGGATTGACTCCAATTTTGAAAGAAGTTCTATTGTAGTAAAATGCTATCAAACAGGAATGCATGCTACAAGGAAAACTTTCATGAAAGAAAGAGTCCATTAATGTGGCAAACTTTACCGTTGTTTTATTTTAAGAAATCACCACAGCCCTCCCAACCTTTAGCAACCACCGCCCTGATTAGTCGGCAGCCAGAAACACTGAGGCAAGACCTTCCACCAGCAAAAGGATTGTGACTTGCTGAAAGCCCAGATGATTGTCAGAATTTTTTTAGCAGTGAAGTATTTTTAAATTAAGATATGTACCATTTTTAGATATAATGCTATCGAATACCTAACAGACTACAGTATAGTGTAAACATAACTTTTATATGCACAAGGAAACAAAAAATTCATATGGCTTGCTTTAGCATCATTTGCTTTATTGAAGTGGCCTGGAACCAAAAATAAATGATTGATGGTTAATGATGTCACTGTGTTTTCTCTCAGATTGTCCTTGCAGGAGATGAGTAATCAAAGGTTCTTGATTTCCATCAAACTGTTCCCTTTCCTGATCCTTATCTTAATTCTTCTATAGTAATCTACCAGGTTTTTTTGCTTATACGTATTCCCAAATTTGTGTATTTTTGGCCAGTAGGGACACGGCATGAGGCGTACTCTGATTACCGCCCTTCTGCTGGGTCAGTTATATGAGTTTTCCCAGATGGGCTTTTTCCACTCTGAGCTATTGATTGGTTGCCTTTGCTATAGGCTCAGTGATCAAATTTCCTGCTGCTGAGAGAGGGACAGAAAGGAAGAAGAGTAGTTGGTTGAGGCCTTGAGACACGTGGGGCCATCCCCTTAGTTCATTTGCCTTTATAAAAATAATGTGAAGGCCTATAGGCCACATCAATAGATGCACCAACATTTGCAATGCAAACATAATTCTAGTGAAAATAATCACACTACAATATTCATTTAAGCAATGCTTACTAGGATCCACCTTTATTTAGCAAGGCGCCGTGCTTAGCAGAAGAAAGCAAGCTGTTGAAAATATTCACTGGCCGGGTGCGGTGGCTAACGCCTGTAATCCCAGCACTTTGAGAGGCCAAGGCGGGCAGATCACCTGAAGTCAGGAGTTTGAGACCAGCCTGGCCAACATGGTGAATCCCCGTCTCTACTAAAATACAAAAATTAGCTGGGTGTGGTGGCACACACCTGTAGTCCCAGGTACTCGGGAGGCTGAGGCAGGAGAATCACTTGAACCCAGGAGGTAGAGGTTGCAGTGAGCCGAGATAGTGCCACTGCACTCCAGTCTGGGTGACAGAGCGAGACTCTGTCTCAAAAAAAAAAAAGAAAACGTTCACTGTTAGCTTCTGTGTTATTGCTCCATGGAGAGACCTGCAAATACTCTCAGGCTTCCTTCTTCCTTCCAGAGGACTGAGGCTCCCTTTCGATTTATATCCAACCTCTACACTTGAACTGCCTCCTTGTGTTGGAGGATCAATTTAGAATACTCTTCAAGTGTTTTCTTTTCCCAGCATGTTTTTCAGTTCTCTTGCTTGACTCCATGACAGCCATTCGTCAGCCATTTCCAATTTTACTTTGCTTTCACACCGTAGTAGAAATGCCACACTTCTAGTTATTTTTACAAGTATCACCTTAATACTCAAAATGCCCTCTAAAGTTTATTGAGGCCCTCAGGTTCAGAAATATGAGCTCGAGTTTTTGTTGGGCTTGACCTATTGACCCACGAGAGCATCTGGTGTGGTTCCTACAGCTGCCCTCCGCTTGTGGAGCCTTTTA
This sequence comes from Homo sapiens, assembly GCF_000001405.40. Classification (NCBI taxonomy): domain Eukaryota; kingdom Metazoa; phylum Chordata; class Mammalia; order Primates; family Hominidae; genus Homo; species Homo sapiens. Next base: position 136,224,332 of record NC_000002.12, read on the forward strand.
CCCACAGGAGCTGCCTTTGATGGACTTTTCTGGGAGGAGGGTTATTCCCGAATGGATTTCTCTCTGAAGACCCCACCAGGTCTGGCAGAGAAAACAATGATAAGGAGAAGGCAAACAGGGAGCTGAAGGATTGCTTCACAAGAACAGCAAGAACAACTACAATGAGGAAAATCGCTTTGAAGTGAAGCGAACCCCTGAACTTTCTCAGTTATTCTAACAATCAGAGGGAAGGGTGGAGGACCACAGCGGCAGAAGAGACGGCAGTGCATTTGGGCAGCACTGAATGTGGGCCTTTGCTAGTTGCACAGTGAGTGCCAGGTGTCCTGCAGCTCAGAATCCTCTCCTCCATCCTCTGAGTTCTATTCAAATGTCCACTAAAGCACTTATTGGCTGATCCCATTAGGCTGAGTTAATTTACTTCCCCTGGCTAGAGGGATCCTCAAAGATAAGGACCTCCTCCTATTTGTCCCTGAATCCCCAGGGCCTGGCCTAATGTGGGACCCAATAAACATCGGTAAATGCTGCTGTGGCATCCTGCACCCACTACCATCTCAGTACTCTCATGCCGTGTTGTGAATTCTCTTTACTTCTCTGCCCCCCCACCATGCTCTGTGAGAACTCAGGCAGCTGGGGTCCATTTCTTTCTTTCTTTCTTTTTTTTTTTTTTGAGATGGAGTCTCGCCTGTTGCCCAGGCTGGAGTGCAGTGACTTAATCTCAGCTCACTGCAACCTCCACCTTCCGGGTTCAAGTGATTCTTCTGCCTCAGCCTCCCGAGTAGCTGGGACTACAGGTGTGTGCCACCATTCCTGGCTAATTTTTGTATTTTTAGTAGCGATGGGGTTTCACCACATTGGCCAGGCTGGTCTCGAAGTCCTGACCTTGTGATCCGCCCGCCTTGGCTTCCCAAAATGCTGGGATTATAGACGTGAGCCATTGCGCCTGGCCTGGGGTCCATTTCTTAACACCTTTGCATTCCCAGAACCTTGAGGAGTGCCCAGGGCATGGGAGGCTGTCATCTGTGTGTGCAAAGTATACAGGAAGCCTCAGCTGAATAAGACAGTCATCCAGGCTCTTTCTCCCACCTTGCTGACATCTGAAGGGAGTCACCATTCCTTTGGCCTGTAAAGTCACCTTTACTGCTACGAAACCGCCTATAAAAAGTTGGAACCAGGCAGCTATTTTAGATGCCTCTGGTGAGGTGAACTGAAGAAATAGTTAAACGTTAGAAGGCCTGAGTTCTAGTTCTCCACTAGTTAACTATGTGATCTTGGGTACAGGAGTTACTCATAGAATGTGGTGACAATAATACCCATGATATCTACTTCATTGAATTTTTATTTTTTATATTTTTAGTGGCTTTTAAAGAAATAGAAAAGTAATGCATGTTTATGGTAAGAAGTCATACATTGTATATCATGGGTTTTCTTATTATAATGTTTTGCTGGGGCCATGTCCTCTGCTCCTTAGATTTCCTATTAGATATAAAAGTGAGACTGCAGACCTGACTGATTCTTTGTGGAGGAAACTTTGGATCTTGTGCCTGCTCTCTATCCAGCTCCCTGCTATTCAAACTGCTTCTTGAAGTCTTGACTTCCTCAGCTGTAGTTTAAAGAAAGTTCTTTCCCTTCCAGACTAGCTGTAGGGGAGCACAGCTTTTGCATAGAATTCAAGGTGGGGGCTTCAGAGAGATGGCAAGGGAGGGCAGCTCTGTGCCCCCTCAGCACTCCCTGGCAGGAGGCCTGTGATGTGACATCCCAGGGACCCTGGGTGTGCGTTTGTTTGGTCTTGGTTTCTAGGCTTCAGTGAGGGTTATTATCTTATTGTTTCCTGTTCCCTTGGCCTCACGTCAATTCTGTCTGATGCCTACACCTTCGAGGTCTCTGTTTTGACACGCGGTTTGTGGCTGGGAACCCCACAGTGTCCCGAAAACATTTGCTTGACCTGTTGGGGACATCCTTCCCCTTTTTAGTGAAACAATGCCTTCCAGAGCACAAGGGCTTGAGGGCTTTGGACCTTTCCAGCAGTGTCAAATTTAGATTCCAAATGTCAATCTTGCCGTGGCTTCATCCTTGACTTCTCTTTCTTGAGAATCTATGCTCTTTGGCTAACAGCTAAGGGCCAGTTAGCTGCCTGCTTTCACAGTTGTTGTCTGTGGAAATTTGATATCAGCTGTGAAGTGTGTGCCTGGTAATGAACACAGTACAGCTCTGCAAGCACTGTAGCTCATGGTGAAGTACTGCAGGCAGATTGGACAGGGATTCAGGAGAATCCTGAATTTAACTTGGAGAGGGGTCTGTTTAGGATGTTAATCTGCATTTCCTGTCCTGGAAGACAAAGCACAGAAGGTTTGGAATATAGCCTGTGTTTGGCTTTGAATGCCAAACAGGTGCTGACACTGAGCCTTTTCCACAGCTGCCCTGGGATGACACCTAAAAAATTGGTCATTAAAAGGAATCCCTGAGATGATGCTTCCCATCTTCTGGGGGGTCCTAGCTCCTCTTTGGGAAATAGGTGAAAGCTGTGTTCCCAGGAACATGCATCAACATGCTTACTGTTTTGCACTAGGGTCTTATTTTCATCTCAGGGAGACCCACTGGACCAAAGTCTCTAGCATCGTCGTAGCTTGCACACAAAATGGATCACACTGGTCATTTCCCCACCTTTGACACAGTGTCCACTCTCCTGTGGGCTGTGTTTGTGTACTTTGAGCAGTCTTGGTTACATCTTAAAGCCAAATGCTCATCAGATGCAGGAAGCACCCAGTCACTCTGCAATGAGGAAAACTTAATATAGCTGTAAACATTTTATATGGGTCTTTACTACTGTTATTTAACTAAGTCTCACATTACTGTGCACCTGGGGAGCTGTACTGTGCAGCTGGGTGACAGATGGATGGGTCAGGAACAGGAAGGGACCATTAGGAGTTCAGTGTGTTTGGAAGCATCCTAGCTTCGAAATCAGACAGACTCGGGCTTGACTCTTGGCTCTGTCCTGTAAATCATCTGACCTCTTGGAAACCTTACCTCATCTGCAGAATGGGATCAACACAATATGAACGTCAGCAAGATGAAGATTCATTAAACAATGTGTGCAAAAACCTTCCTAGAGTGTCCCATCAGTGTTTATGTAGGAGTGCCCCACTTGTGCAGGGCCTGTGGCTGGTCAGACATGGACTGCCCTGGCTCTGGTGTCAGCCCTGGTGCCAGTGCTTCATGCAGCTCATGTGCAGGTTTTTTCTTCCTTACTTGGGTTTCCTAATTTCATGCTCAAGGTTTGGCCATCCTGAGAAATTCTGATCTCCTTATATGGAGAGGATTTTGTGGCTCTGCTTGGGGCATGGGGGTTGCTATATAGCAGATGTGGGTGTGCAGACATCCCCCCAACCTTTTTTTTCCTGGAGGTTGCTGTGGCCAGGCCTCTCCTGTTCAGGGGAGGCAGCTGGCTGCACAGAAAGGTTTGGTATGGCAAGAGCTGGTGAAACCACCAGATCCATGTAGGGATTAGGCCCTAGACTTGCTATTTTCATGTGTTCCTCAAATGAGCTCAGGGCATAAAGGCACAATTTAGGAAACCTCATTTCTAAATACTTCCATCTGTGCTGTATATTGAGATGCAAAGGTTAAAGGAAACTCTAAGGGAAAATTAAATTCATGAAACAGATAAATCAAGTGTTTTGATTTTCTACCTACCTACCTACTTACCTACCTACCTACCTACTATAGATAGTAATAGAGGCTCTCCATATCCAGAAGGATGTTTGTTTATATACATCCATTATTATGGAGAGAAAAAACACTCTTCATCTCCCCAATCTGTCCATTTGTCCATCCATCCATCCTTCCATTTATCCATCCATCCATCCCTCCATCCACTCATCCGTCACACCTACTATATTCAAGGTACTGCGAGGACTAAAAGATTTTAAGTATCATGGTTGTCTTTTGTGTGGACCCAGGTTAGGGTAGTGCTTGAGTCCTTAGATTTTGGAGTCCAACAGACAACCTTGGGTTCATAGTTCTGCTCTTCATTCACTGAGGAAACTTCCGTAGATTATTTACTGGTTGAAACTACAGTTTCCTCATGAAAAAAAGGAGGAGGCGTGAGGAGCAAATGAAATAATACATATGAAGCAATTTGCCTCAGTTTGGGTGTGTATTAAATCCTCATAAAAGTAACTGGCACAATGTGAGACTATAATGAAGGCTCACTAAATAGAATATAATTGCATAATTGGTCTAGTGGCAAAGACAAAGCACCTCTGAAATGTTTCCATACTATTTCACTTGTAAACATTTAAAGTACTTGCAAGTTTCAGGCATACACTGTGTGCATGCATATGTGCATTCATGCTTTGTGAGCATATGTGTATGTGTGTGTGTGCATGTGTAAATCAAGGAATATGTACTCAATGGGGAAGACTTGCCCTACATGCTTTTGGTGACAAATTCTCAATTTAGATTTCCAAGTGGCAATTTTAGAAGGTATTGTCTTCCTTCCCAACACCAGTTTTATAATATATAAGTCCACTGGGGATGTATATTTCAGTTGTGTTCTTCATGTATTCTTTGTTATTAGTAGTTCCTTTTGTTGTCTTGGTTGATACCATTTTTTGGTAAAGAATCTTGTCTTTTCATTGGTGTAGGTAAGGACTTCGTGACCAAAAACTCAAAAGCAAATGCAACAAAAACAAAGATAAATAGATGGGACTTAATTAAACTAAAAAGCTTCTGCACAGCAAAAGAAATAATCAGCAGAGTAAACAGGCAACCATGGAGTGGGATAAATCTTCACAACCTAGACATCTGACAAAAGACTAATATCCAGAATCTACAAGGAACTCAAACAAATCAGCAAGAAGAAAACCAAACAATCCCATCAAAAAGTGGGCTAATGACATGAATAGACAATTCTCAAAAGAAGATACACAAATGTCCAACAAACATGAAAAAATGCTCATCATTACTAATGATCAGGGAAATGCAAATCAAAACCAAAATTCCGTACCACCTTACTCCTGCAAGAATGGCCATAATCAAAAAAGCAAAAAAATAATAGATGTTGGTATAGATGTGGTGAAAAGAGAACACTTTTACACTGCTGATCAGAATGTAAACTAGCACAACCACTATGCAAACAGTGTGGAGATTCCTTAAAGAACTAAAAGGAGAACTACCATTTGATCCAGCAATCCCACTATTGGGTGCCTATCCAGAGAAAAAGAAGTCATCATATGAAAAAGATACTTGCACATACATGTTTATAGCAGCACAATTTACAATTGCAAAAATATGAAACCAGCCAAATGCCCATCAATCAACGAGTGGTTAAAGAAATTGTGGTATATATATACCATGGAGTACTACTCAGCCATAAAAAGGAATGAAATAATGGCATTTGCAACAACCCACACAGAATTGGAGACCATTATTCTAAGTGAAGTAACTCAGGAATGGAAAACCAAACATCTTATGTTCTCACTCATAAATGGGAGCTATGAGGATGCAAAGGCATAAGAATGATACAATGGACTTTGGGGACTCAGGGAAATGGTGGGAGGGGGTGAGAGATAAAAGACTACACACTGGGTACAGTGTACACTGCTCAGGTGATGGGTTCACCAAAATCTCAGAAATCACCACTAAGGAACTTATCCGTGTAACTAAATACAACTTGTTCCCCCAAAACCTATTGAAATTAAAAAAAAATCATTCCATTAAAAAAAAACAGTTCTCTTTTGTGCCTGGATTGCCAATGATTATGGCTATTAACAGTTTATTGCACTTCGCTATTAGTCAAGTATTCCTTCTCAATATTCTGATTTCTCAAATATCCTTATTTCTATCATCGTTTTATTCAGACTCTTCACATGTATCCTTCTTGTAAAGTCATTAAGAAAACAGTATTCAAGCAAATGATAAAAAGGAGATTTGACTTCTAGGCACTAGGAGGAAGATTTTAATGTCTTGATAAAGGATACTGTGGAAGAGACTCTGTCTTCAGTCGGAAACTGTCCTGTCTTGGAATAATCACTGCTGGAGGGAAGGTCCCAACTCTCATACCAAATATTTCCCATTTATTCTTACCAGGTTGGTTCTGACAGATACTTTATCTCAAGTGTCTTTGCAGCAAATCCTAAAGGCATATCTAGAAGATTATTTAATAACATCTGGAAGCACAGACAAGAGAGATGGTAAAGGAAATAAAGCAATCCAAATGAACTGAGCAAATCTGGGACATGACATCCTAGACCTTGCTAGGAGCGGATAATGGTGCTTTCAGCCAACTGCGGGGAAAGGGATTAGGAAAAATAAGCTAGGAAACAGACCACCCAGGCTGAGATGCTCATTCTTGTTTTACAATTTAAAGTGTAAAGGAAATCCAAATTAATTTCTCAGGATAGCATCACCTGCTTTGTGTCAGGGAACAAACAGTGAGTCAGAAGTGTCATATAAAACCCAATAGCAACGAGTTGATTCTGCACCGAGGTTTGCAGAATGGGAATGCGACTTCCCTGGCTCCATGACTTGATTCTGCACTGACGTTCACAGAATGGGAATGCAACTTCCCTGGCTCCATGGCATGTTGACGAGAGTCAGAGCTGAAGACCAGGGAGCCTGGGGGTGGTATCTATTGGAATTTTTCAGCCTCACTGATCAAAGTAGCTTGGATGAGATGGAAAAGGGCCAGAGTTCAGGCGGGGGGAAATATAGCTGGGTCAGAAGGAGTTTCATTGACAACTTAAGGAATAGCAACTCCTCTGGTATTCAATATGTAGGTGAAGCTAAAGAGGATATTGGGAATGTGTGCAGGAAGCCTCATGCAAGAATTTTCACAGTGGCACTGCTTGTAATAACAAAAACATTGGAATTAACTCAAATGTCCATCAAGCAGAGACTGGATAAATGTACGGGGGTGAACTTGCTTAATGGAATAATAGACAGTAATGAGAGTGGAATAAACAAGAGCTACATGTATTAACATGGATGGCTTTTCAACTGCACAATGCTGAGCAAAAGAGCAAACAGAAGAAAGAAAATGTGTGTATAAAGAAAAACCATGCATGTCAAGTTTAAGAAAACGTGAAACCATACTATATATTGTGTATCCAATTGTGACTGGATATAGACATACTGAGTACAAATGTTTTAAAATGCATGGGAATAATAAAAACCAAATTCACTTTAGTGGTTATATTTGGGCAGATGGAGAGGAGACGTGACCAGGGAGGGGGTACACAAGAGATGCCAATTGTATTAATGTTTTATCCTTTAACGTGGGCTGTAGGTACATAGATGTTTTGTTATATTACTCTGTAGTTTTTTTGTAAGTCTGAAATATTTCACAAGAACTTATCATCCCCCTCCTATCCACACAGAATTTTTAAAGAATCTAGAAGATAGCGTTTCTGAGGAAGGAAAATGGGTATGTTGGAGTGTTACAAAGAGAAATAAAGTGATGTAGTGTCTTGCAAGAGTAGGTGCTTAATATATGTATTTGCTGAAATTAACAAAGTTTGGGAAGGAAAGTAAACAGACCCAGAGAGTAATAGAAAAGGCGAATGAAATGAAAGGGCTCTGGGGAGAAGAAAGTTTGGATCCAGTGATGTGTGGAAGATAGCAGCACACACAATGAAGCAAAACGGGAGGATCGGTGAGTTGGATGGATGCTGAAAACCAGCCAAACTCCCCACTTCCTCAGCCTCAGAGCTTGGAAGGAGCTTCTGCTGTGTTGGGAATTCCTGTTGCCAGAACGTCATCTTCTAGGTGCAGCTCATCAGGATGTTGTAAATGGTTTCTTAACAAAATTATTCTTGCTAAGAGAAAGGGAGAAAGAAAATGCTTTTGAGTTTATCCATGCAAGAAGGTCATCAAAAAATGGCGATCAGCCTGAACTTTTTTGCTGAACTAAGAGAGTTCCTTTAGTCGTTTTTCATGAAGTTCACAGTGTGATTTTTATTCTATTTTGTAGATCATGTTTTCCTGTGATCTACAAGGTGACATACAGCTTTGATAAGGATGTGATCAGCATTCTGGTTTAATAATTGGCATACAATGGGTTTTTTGGAATTGCATCATATGTCTTCAGTATTATTATTTCTTTGCTTGGGTGATTTATTCTCCTGGATTCTGAGAACACAAATTGGGCTTTTAGAGTTAGCAAGCTGAAAAATGTTCGTTTTTAAACCTGTTACTCCATAAAGTCGGCTGTGCCCTGAGCTCCTTTGATGTTGCTCAGTAGACACTGAGAACGTTTCAGACAAATTCATTTTTAACTGCTCACGGAGGGCTTTGGATTATCATCTAGTCATTGTTCTAACCATTGGGACAGACCTTTGCTGAACAATGTTGGATTAATCAGGCAGAACAGAGCTCGAATCTCCTCATTCCTTTTGTCTGTATGAACTGAGCCCTGGACTCACAGCACGTAGAATTCTGGGGCTTAGGGAGCTTCTGCCTGTGCTTTATTTTGTTGTTTTATTCAATTAAAAATTAATTTTAGTTTGTTCTCTTTCTCCTCCATGGCTCAAACTATTAAAGATAGTTCTGAGGAAGGAAATGCAAAATAGCAAGAAATTGTTCTGCTTGCCAATGGCCCAGGGCCTCTTGCTTTCTAGGTTAAAAGGACTGTTTGGGGGAAATGAAGTTCTGTCTCTCTAACGACACTGTTTAGTTTTGCATCCTATTTTAGTTGGAGGGTGAAATGAACCAGATCTGTTTCTAGCCAGTCTGACTCTTTGATTCCAGATTGGGGCATCTTCAACAGGGTTTTATATCCTGTTGGAATGCAAGGCTATTTTAAGAAATCCCTATTGGATTGAGAAAAAGCACATAGTATAATTATGGTGACCAAACCATGTGTCCCAGATTTTCCAGGATGTTCCCCAAATTCATGTAGTTTCAATCTTTTCAATAAAGTAAGTGCATTTTGTATGCATCAACATGGAGCCTGATAAAGGGTATCTTTGTGTATGTGAGTGTGTAAAATAAAAATAAATATATATAAGTATATATATTTTATATAAATAAAAGTGTATATACCCACTTTTTTGCTGTGTGTATTCATTTAAATGAAATCTTCTTTAGGATCTTGTGGTTTCAGAATAGATGATCAGTAAGTATTGCAAAAATAACTGTCAAGGTCCTAACTAGCTGAGTGACCTTGAACAAGTCAGTTCCTGTCTCTGGATCTCATCAGTTCCTCACCATTCTGGCACATAGCAGGATCTCAGTAACTGTGCTGTTGAAAACCAAATGCCAAGCCCTTTCAGAATTCTCAGTCTTTGTCTTTACTTCTCCCTCTGTGTGTTCCATACTCCATGGCCTAGTCCATTGTACTTGCCTCAGTCTTCATATTGTATGATCTTTTACTGTTGTCTTGTAAGCTTCACTCCTAGGCTGCAAGAGGCTTGAGGGCTGGGATGGGTCTTCACATTTAAAAAATCTCCATGGTTTAGCACAGTGCCAGGCAGATATAAAAAAACAAACTGAAGGAAATACACCAAAAAGATGAGATAATAGATGACAATAAAAATGTATTCTTCATACTTTTTCATATTTTCCGTTATTATTATTATTATTATTATTTGAGACAGAGTCTCACTCTTGTCACTGAGGCTAGAGTGCAGTGGCACAATCTTGGCTCACTGCAACCCCTGCCTCCCAGGTTCGAGCAATTCTCCCGCCTCAGCCTCCCGAGTAGCTGGGATTACAGGCACCCACTATCATGCCCAGCTAATTTTTGTATTTTTGTAGAGATGAGGTGTCACCATGTTGGCCAGGCTGGTCCTGAACTCCTGACCTCAGGTGATCCACCCGCCTTGGCCTCCCAAAGTGCTGGGATTACAGGTGTGAGCCACTGCACTTGGCCCATTATTTTATTTTATTTTTAATCATAAATAGTATTACTTAGAGAATGATAAAAACAAAAACAGTAAGTGGTATTTTTTTCGAACACTCAGGATCGGAGAGGATCTGAGAAGCATGCTGTACATGTTTCCACCCCAAGGCCAATGTAGCATCCTTGCCTTAGCTTCCAATGTGCAAGAACAGCTGGCTATTCCTAGGGCTTTCCCACAAGCCCCAGACACACTGTTGTGAGGGGCGGCCACGTGGGTGTCACAGCTGGGAACTGGTTCTACTGTGGCCTGTCCCTTTTCAGGGATTGATTTGGGCTGTGTTACGGTAATCAAGCACAAACCAACAGTTATGTGGGATGTCTTATATATACCAAATACCCCTGCAGCTGGAACGCACTCAATTATCTTGACTGCCTTGGGGCTGAGCTGAGTGATGCAGCCAGGCCCTGTGCTAGGTGCGAAAGTGACTCAAAGGAGCCAGGCTGTGTGTTTCATGCTGTTTAGCAGTTTGCAAGCTAGTTGGGCTAATAATATGTGTGCATTCAAAGCTAACCAATATCAGAAGGCAGTATTTAAGCTTCAAATGAGTTTCTAGGAGGTAGAGAGGGTAGGAGGGCTGTGTAAGAAGGTGGTGTTTTGAGATGGGACTTGACCCAGGGTCTCCAATGGTGGCGAAGAGGAGGCAGGCCTTCCAGGGAAGGAAACAGCTTGCAGAAAAGCCTAGCAGTGGGAGTAAGTTTGGCTTGTGTATTTCATTTAGGGGTGGTGGGGAACTGAGTGATGGATGGGGACAGAGAAGAAAATGTGCAGCCGCGAATGGGAAAGTGATGGAGACGTGGGTATAGGCCAGGTCTGGGAAGGTTGTGAGAGCAGGACAAAGGTGGAGCCATGAACTGGAAGGTGGTATGGGCCCTTGTGTGGCTCTCAGGGGAGGAGGTGCTCTAATGTAACCACTCTGGGCCACAGATTCTTCCCATATGTGGAAATGTGGTATGAACCCTGTTAAGAACATGGGCCATGGGTGAGATGCTTGTGTTTGATTCCTGGCTCCACATCGTATCACCTGTTTGAGACTCAATTTCCTTATCTGCAAAATGGTGATAATGAAGCCCCTTCTCATAAAATTGTTCTGAGGATAAAGGAGATAATCCATATAAAGTGTTTAGCATAATGTCTGGCACATTGCATGTGTCTAATAAATCGCTGTTTTATGCAAATGAATATTAGTACTTATTTCATCAGTATGGTAAAAATGGTAGTAAATCTAGAAAAACCAAATATCAAAATAACTGGAAATTATTCTATTAAGAGAATGAACTTGAGAATGCTTCAGGGAGATCTTTGTTGGAAAGTCCCACTCCAATTCTACAATTTGGCTCCATTTACTGTGGCTTAGCTTTTGTGAAATATTTATGTTGGCAGGTTACTCAACTATAATTTTTGTTCGTTATCCCTCTAAGCTTGGTGAGGAAGATTAGTCTGTTTATCTTATATTGCAGAAGACACATGTAGATATAAATGCACTGCCATTTAGTTACAACATCTCTTCCATTAGCATTTACCGTGGTTGTCAGCCAAACTTCTATGGGGTGGAGGGGAAGAGAAGGGGACAAAGGGGTCCGTGAGTGACGGTGGTTGGGCAATTTTATACTGTGAAGAAGAAGGTGGTGGAAAATTTGGAGGCACCAGGGTGGTTTCTGCTTTGCCAGACTTAAGACTCAGCCTTGGAAGTCCTTGCAGAAGATTAGGAATGACCAAAATTGCTAAAACAAGACTGGCAAAGCAAACCAAATACCTCATACTCTTTAAAATATTAGTCATTCCTTCGGATGCTATAGTTTAAATTCTCCCTAATTAAAATTAACAACCTTTGGGGGACATTTGAGTGCCATTATCAGTGGACTTCTTAGTGGAGAATTATTTTCCAAGCCAAAGGACAACACCCCCAAACTTGGCTGCTACTTGACATTCCTGTGTGCCGGACTTACGTGAGTCTTTTTAACTAATGACAATGGTGAGCTGAGAAGGTCCTCCAGGGGATATGACTCACAGTGACTCAGGTGCACCAGAGCCTTGATCTAGCCCTATTGTTTTTCGTCAATAGGCCTTTGCCATGATCCAGCTGGAATATCAGTGGAATTGAGCTGGTCATGATAGAAAGAGAGGCCATTCAATGCCAATGCTCTTGTGAGATGCCTGGTAGTGCCGGTTACCTCTGCAGTGGCTGGCCCTGGTCTATGTGTGCTGTCTAACCACATAGATGATGGTGGCAGTGCCTAATGGTCCAGGCAGATGGGGGCCTGAATGAGCAGAGGGAAGGCATCAAACACATCTCAGGGCACAGCCTTGACAACATCAGATGCCTCCTAGGTTCTTCTCATACATAATAATGAAACTTTTCCACAGCCCTGCAAAGCACTGGTTGCTGTTTCACATGGGACAAATGCCTGTGTTGACCCTCAATTCCAGCCCACGGAGCTGACCTCCTGTGTCTTCTTCACTACCCCTCTATAGGGCTTTTTACTCCCATTTGAGAAAAGAATGATGCCTCCATTTAGAAGGAAACATACTGCACCCCAGGCTGGGCCTTTTGTATTTGGCTCAAGAGCTGTGCAGTGTTTGTTTTTTCCCTGCCACACATCCATTTCCCCTTCCTTTAGAAGCAGCATTCTAGTTTTCCTTGGGGTCAGCATCCCTTCCTCAGCCTTAGCCAATGTGTGGGCCAGATAGAGCTGACCCCACCCTCTGGAGTACTGGCATATGTGTGTGACCTAGGTCCGGCCAGTTGGCATCATAGTGCTTGTTTCAGAGATGGACACATATAAGTCAAGCTGGACCGATGGGTATTAGCTCTGGGGTTTTTTATGTAACTATTGACAAAGAGGTGCTTGCTTTCCTCTGGGGCTGCTAACTTGGTAGGGTATAAAGTTGGAGCTGCTGGTAGATTATCTACATGAATAAATAAGAAGAGCTTGCCCAGAGAATAAAGTAAAACCAAGAGGCAGAGGGAGAGAGACATGTTCCTGAAGACAGTGTTTGAGCACCTGGGTACCTGAATGTGGATCGTTTAAAAAATTACACAAGCCAAATTAATAAGCTTTTTTGTCTGAACCATTTTGAGCTGGTGTTTTTGTCACTTACAGCCTAAATAATTTTGGATAATAAAAAGTTCATCAAAAAGGTGTACAATTAAATTTAGGAACTTTGAGGTTGCAGTGCTGTGATCCCACCACTGCACTCCAGCCTGGGTGACAGAGCAAGACACAGTCTCAAAAAAATTTTTTTAAAGGAACTTGTATTTTCCTGAGGACTGTGCCTTCACATATTGTCTGTGGTACTAGCAGTCTACCACCTACCCAGGGACCACAGAAATCTTGGGTGGCAGAAACGGGCAGTACTTTTACATCTCCGATACCTGTGGCTTTTGGCCACCTCGATTTTAGAGAAGAGAGTCATAGGTAATGTTTAGTTGAAGAACTTTCCTCAACCAATATTTTCCAGATAACTTATATTTTTCTTACTTGTTTTCTGTAATATTGAAAAAGTGTCCAGGCAAATACTGACCCTCTGGGCTATATAGAAAAGGTATAGAAATCATTCACTGGAATGTAAAGTTGAGTGTATTCTGAGCTTTAATGGATCTGAAACATTTCAGGAGAATATCACGAAGTTCTGGAATCATCATTTCAGCATAGGACCTTAGAGTCCTGTTCTGGTTGAACCTCTTTATCCCAGAGGAGAAAAGATTCAGAGAGACAAAGAAGTTTCGCTTAAGGCTCATGGTGAATATAGTTGCAGACAATCAGTACAAATGAAGAGGAGAGAGGGTCCTGCTGAATACCTCATAAAGACCAGAAACTAGACCCTTTGCTTACTGTATTATAACTCTTTGAACAGATTCCCAGCTGAAACCATCAGAAGAGATGATTGGACTCACTGCTGAAACATCCAGCAGTGTGGCCTAGCTTCAGGTAAAGATGGATCCAGGAGTTTGGAATCAAATCCTAAAGACAAAGTCTCTTTTTTTTCTCTGTGTTAATTGTGCTGCTTTCCTTTGTGTTGGTTTTAATTCCCCAGCAGGTTCTGTCCACATGGTAGCTTCTGGCAGCTGTTAAGATTTTGTGCTACCAGATTAGTAATTCCAGTTGATGAACAGCTTATATTTCCCAATAGTTCCAGCAGAATCTCAGGAGTCATGTTTGTGGGCTCCAAAAGGGTAACTCCTGAATCAGTCAGTATGACCAGGGGTTTGCTGTCAGCATCATGGGCCAACTCAAATCAGCTGAGTGGAGACTGAGAGTAGGGGAGGGGTGGGCAAGGTGAACATGCTGTTACCTGGAGGAGGAATCATTGCCAGAAACACTAGAGGGCCACTACTCTTACGATGGGCAAGGAGGAGGTGGGGTGGGGGAGGGCCAGAGATTTTCTTTCAGGAGCTAAATCCCAGGGCTTAGTAATGGTATTTGGCCTTAAGCCTGCAAATGGCACTTTCATCCAGCAATATAAGCCCTGAAGTTTTTCTCAGCTGCAGAGAAGAGGTTTCCAGGAGGGTGTCAGTTTGGCCCTTGCTGGTGGCCTGGCCTCTGCTAAACATCTCGGCCGTGCTCCTCCATTTTCTGGCCGTGATAAGGCACCCCGCCAAGCATATCTCAGACAAATATCTGTATTGTTTGTGGTGTGATTGTGACTTCCTGTCTTCCAATTTAGTTTTCTGCCTTACTTTTCACTGTCTGGGTCATTTGATACTACATCTGGCACTTCCTGTTTTTTAAGACTCTGACTCTAGTCATCTGACTGTAGAAAACAGAGGTCAACTTCTTCATAAGTGATGCCAGCTTTAGTCACTTGTTTTGGTATACTAGTTGAGATTTGCGTAAGGAAAATTGTCAGGTGTCTGCTGGTTTTCTTAGCCTCAGACACTTCCCTATTTATAAGTTTTTGTTTTTCAGACATTGGGACTTTCTCCCCCTTGTGTGGATGTGGTGGGAGTGGGTGATCTCTGCCCTGTCCCTACAAATAATTCAACGGTGGTTCTCTCTCTCTTAAGGAGAACTACCAGTCCCGTAGATGCAGCTCTAGAATGAGGGTGCTTTGGGCATAACAGGCTCAGCCATCCTTCTGGTGTCTCGCCCTGTCTCCTTTCCCATCCTTGGGTTCACTTCTCTCCCTTTTTCTCTTCACTTCAAAAGTGGTTAGCTCCAGTTAAATACCTGGAGTTGGGACAGCAGAAAAGCTGCTAAATGCAGATTTGCTTTTTCTCACTAAAGAAAGAGGAACATTTTAGTCACTAATTTTCACTTCATTTAACCTTTCTTTCCACAGAATGGCCTGACTTTTGCTGGAAGGGGACAAAGCCCTAAGACATTTATATCCATGAGTAGAACATTTATGATATCACTTACACAGCTTCCTGGCCTGAGCTTTTCCAGACTTAGCTTATATTTTAGTCAAAGTAGAGGGATGGATTTAAGGAATTGTCTAAGATAAGTGAGAAGAGAGGACATTTGTCCTACCTAAAGGCAATGGCAGCTTGTGGGTGTGGCGGGGGGAATCTATAAAAAACATCGAAACAGGCTGGGCATGGTAGCTCACGCCTGTAATCTGAGCACTTTGGGAGGCCAAGGTGGGCGGATCACCTGAGGTCAGGATTTTAAGACCAGCTTGGCCAACATGGTGAAACCCCATCTCTACTATACAAAAATTGGCCAGGCATGGTGGTGGGTGCCTGTAATCCCAGCTACTCGGGAGGCTGAGACAGGAGAATGGCGTGAACCCCGGAGGCAGAGGTTGCAGTGAGCTGAGATCGCTCCACTGCACTCCAGCCTGGGCGACAGAGCGAGACTCTGTCTCAAAAAAAAAAAAAAAGAAACAAACACTTGAGGCTTGACATTCTGCTCCTTCTCCATGTGAGGTCTTCACTGAGCAAAAGCAATGGTTAGCTGTGGCAGCTGTGAAGAATCAGAGCATGGCTGTGGGTATGTTCCACCAGCATCTCCAAGGCTGTAGCTGGACTTCACAAAGGCTCAGTTTCCAGATGAGCTGCCTCTGACTGCCCTACTTCCCAGGGGCATGGGAGGTGAAGGCCAAATCTCCTCTCCTCTTCTCTCCTACTTTCACCTCAAGCAGTGGGACCACTGGAGCTGTGGAAATGTCTAGGCCTCCAGTGTTTCTGCCAATAGGGTCACAAGAGCAAGGAAAATCTCTTGTCTCTGAATTCTCCCTTCACTTGTCTTACCTGGGTGATGATGGAGGGGCATGTTGGAAGTCTGTCTGGCTAATTGTGTAAGAGTGTGTGTGTGTGTGCACGTGCACACACATACATGTGAGACACACATGCTCAGCAACATCCCAGCTCAGGCCTTCATATTCCTCAGTTAGAACTACAGAATTAAGTGCTTACCTTACCCATTGAAAGAGAGGCAATACTGCTCAGTGTCATGACTTAAAACAAGGGAAAAACCAACCAAATCCCAAACCAAACAAAAACTCCCTTGTTTTGTTGTAATGCTTTAAATGACCTCATTTCTTCTCCAAAGCCACCTCATGAGGTTGGAAGGACAGGCATCATGGATGGATGGGAGGTTTTAGATGGGGAGAGGGAAGGAACCCACCTGTCAGTGGGCTTCCACATCCAGCGTCAGTTTAGAAGGCCTGCATTTCATTTTTAGTTGACAAAAGAAACCAAACTGGCCAGGCGCGGTGGCTCACACCTGTAATCCCAGCACTTTGGGAGGCTGAGGTGGGTGGATCATGAGGTCAGGAGATTGAGACCATCCTGGCTAACACGGTAAAACCCTGTCTCTACTAAAAATACAAAAAAAAAAAAAATTAGTCAGGCTTGGTGGCGGGCACCTGTAGTCCCAGCTACTCAGGAGGCTGAGGCAGGAGAATCGTGTGAACCTGGGATGTGGAGCTTGCAGTGAGCTGAGATCATGCTACTGCACTCCACTCCAGCCTGGGCGACAGAGCAAGACTCCATCTCAAAAAAGAAACCAAACCAGCCAACCAGCAAACAACAACAAATGGCCTTTCACCCATACAGACAAAAGAAATCTGACGTGCCTGGAGTTTATGGAGAAGCCATCCAAAGCAGATGGGGCCATCACAAAGTTATCAATGCCACCAGAAAGGGATGGACACCTGCGGTGAAATGAGATTTCTAGAGTCCCTCTAATTGCTGCTTCCATGTAGGAAGGTGTCTTCCTACACCCTGTCCCTGAAGCTCTAACAGAGGTCAATCAGGGCAGCAGGAGTTTCTTGGTGGCCTGTAGAAAGGACAGCGGCTCACCCTGGGGTTGGACTCTGTCTCTGTTCCCTTTCTTTTTCTTCCTTCTCACCTCCACCAAGTCTGATACCAGTCCCAGTGAGGATATCATCTGGGAAATACCTCATGTGTCCCAGGAGTCTTACCTTTTGCATGTTCTGCTCTGTGATCTCTGGTGGGAATCTGCAGTACAGCAGGACTGGACTGGAACAAGGCAACAAGGACTAGGAGCCTTCCGTCCAAATCTTGGCTTAGCCATTTTCACTTACCGAATGCCCTTAGGGAGGCACTTAATCTTTTCAAGTCCCTCTTGGTATATCTATAAAATAATAAACCAAGGTGTTTTGTGTGGTGTTCTAACAGTGCTTGGTACAGTGCCTTGCACCCAGTAAGTCCTCAATACAAGGAAGAGATTAGTAGTATCCTCTGGATACAGACCAATTTTTCTAATCCTGAATGAAATTCCAATAAGCTGCTACTTTTGATTATCATGATAATCAGAGATACTATGATTTTTGAACATCCTCTCTTTCAAAAATATATTTGCTTATGGCTTAGTATTACAGTGAAGCCTCCGGCATGCGACAGACCTGGGTTCATGTTCTGGCTTCACCATTTATCTCCTTCTCTTCTCTGTTTCCTTATCTGAAAGCTGGGGCTAAGGACAGACAGTTCCTTCAGGTTGTGTTATACATATGAGAAGTGTATGAAAAGGGCTCAGTGAGTGGTTGTTGTTGTTCCATTTTATTGAGTACGTATTGTGTGCTCATGTTCTCACACCTGATTTCTTGTGTTGTCAACACAATAATCTTGAGAGGTAGGAATTATTATCATTCTTATTTTATGGGATAGGAAACTGCGGCTCTGGGAGGTCAAGTCTGAGGTCACATAGCTAGGAAGTGGTTGAAACTGCACTGAAATCTCAGTGTGGGAATCCTTCCACATCACTCTCCAACTGAACCCTATACATTTTTACCCCAGCCCTAGGGTTCCTACCTTCTCTTTAGCTTTCGGCATTTCCACGATTCACTCTCCTCTGGGTGTGCCACCCTGTCCTCAGCCAGGATGCCCAGAGGCTTCCTGTCCTGGCCTCTGCCATCTCTGTCTCTCTCCATGCTTGTCTCCCCCACCAGACTTCGGCATCCTTGAGGCCTGTGGCTAGGCCAGTCCCTACTTACCCAGCGCTGGTGGCCAGCCTGGCCCACAGCAGACCTCTCCCCAGTGTGTGTAAAATTAGAAACTGACAATGCAAGGTAGTGCCTGGGAGTTTCAGGGTGCAGGGCCATCCCACACTGTCTGTCCACCTCCATCTCTGGGTGACCTGGCACAGATGGGCTGTGGGACGTTCTGAGATGTTCCGAGATGGCTGTGGACTGTGAACTCCACTTTCCTCTGAGTCATCAGCACTCCACATACACTGAGCTCATCTGACTCTACTGGCAAGATGGCCCAGGCCTGCTGGCTTCGGGACCCACATCCTGCCCCCATCCTGTGTACCCATCGTGTGGTATTAGTAAGCCCAGCAACTCTGGGCCACACTGCTTTACCAGTCCTCTAAGCCTCTACTGCTGACCACAGCCACATGCAAGCTTCCAAACATGCCTCAAACATGTATTTGTCTGTTCATTCATTCATTCATTCATTCCCACACTGATCTAGGTCCTACAGATACCTAGACAAATAAGGAACTCGGGCCAGGCGCGGTGGCTCACGCCTGTAATCCCAGCTTTTAGAAAGGCAGAGGTGGGAGAATAGCTTGAGCCCAAGAGTTTGAGACCTGCCTGGGCAATGTCGCAAGACCCCGTTCTCCACAAAAAGGAAAAAAAAAGACAAAAAAAAAGTGTAACAAATAAGGAACTCAGAGCTAAGTGTAAGGGTTTCCCACACCTGCATATGTCTCAGAGTCACCTAGGAAAGTTTTTACAAATACAGTTTCCTGGACTCCACTGGAGACCTACAGAAGAAGGATCTCTAGGAGTAGGTTTATAGGAATCTGTATATTTAAGATACTCACAGCCAGACTCTGAACACAACTGGTTTGGAGAACCTGTAGTCAGGGAATTCGCTGAGTAGCAAATACCTTGAGAAGGCAAGAAAGCAAGACAGAGGCTGCGAGTGGGGAGTGCTGCCCTGCCACAGCCTTATCCTTTGCATTTGGGATCATGGCCTCTAAAAATCCTGTAGCATTTTCTTCTTCCCAGGAGCTCCCGCATGCAAAACTGCTACCAGATAGTCAGCTCCCTGAGGACAGGGACACATCTATTTCCATCCCTGTTATGTCCCCTGTGCCCACAGCAGGGCCTGGTATCTAGAAGGTGCCAGGCAAAAATTTGTTGAATAAATGAATCAGTGAATGAATGAATTCATTCCCTGATTCCCTTTAGGTGCGGCATGCATACCATCTTGTCGTTTTGTGACAGTGTGTGTGTGTCTGTGTCTATAGGAGGTGGACAAGGAATGGCACAATAGGATGAGAGGTTACCTCGGCTTTGCATCCAGCGGGTTCCCTTCAGGCCCTGGGCTGTGAGGAGAAATGGGGTTTGGAAGTGGGGTCTATGGCCTGTCCCTGCAGAGAGAAAGGGGAGCATCGGGGCAGGAGTGTGCCCAGCCCTCTGGGGCGTGTGGAGCTTGCCAAAGACAGACCTTGGCCTGTGCTGAGGAAGAGAGAGGCGGCTGGCACAGAGCAGTCATTCAGACAGCAGTTGACCTCCTGCCAGCTCCAGCGAGGCCCTGAGGACCTCGGTCCTCCCCAGCCGGCCCACTGAGGCCTCAGAGAGAGGCCCATCCATCACGGGGGGCCCCCAGGGAGGGCCGGGGGTGGCTTTCTGTGTCAGTTAAGGGGCTTCATTTTCAGCACAGATCTTGTCAAATTCAAGCTGTCAACCGCACAGACCCTGAAAGCCTGTCACAGACCCCTGGGGACAGGCGTGTGGTGCATGACCTTGAGGGGACTCTGCTGAGTGTGGGACTGTGGTGATAAGAGGGACAAATGAGAGGAAGCCACCTGGGCCAATTGCATTATGCTTGTCCACACCACCCCTTTGTGCTTGTCCTTGAGGGACGTTGGGGCAGCTGCACTGAATATATTTCCTCCTTCCCTCTCCTTGGTTCCCCCTCTCCCTTTCTGCCATCTCTTACAAGGCACAGGGAAGGAGGCAGTGCACTCAGGTTAAGGACAGACTGGCTCTGCTGCCTAGAAGCTGTGTGACCTTGGGCAAGTGACTTAACCTCTCTGAATCTTTTCCCTCAGGTTGTGATGAAGATTGTATGAGGTGATACATTGCTAAGAACAGGCGGCATATTGTAACTGCTCCAGGGTTATTCACTATTGTTATCATTTTCATGGAGGTAAGGCACAAACAGTTTGGATTCCTTGCTGGTGTTCCCTCATCTCCTTAGCATTTCAAGCTGCACACTTCAACTCTACGTGACCTCACAACATCCCAGTGCCCATTTAAAGGTGAATAAATGGGCAGGCATGGTGGCTCATGCCTGTAATCCCAGCACTTTGGGAGGCCAAGGTGGGTGAATCACTTGAGGTCAGGAGTTCGAGACCAGCCTGGCCAACATGGCGAAACCCCATCTCTACTAACAATACAAAAATTAGCTGGGTGTGGCAGCACATGCCTGTAGTCCCAGCTACTCAGGAGGCTGAGGCAGGAGAATCACTTGAACCTGGGAGGCGGAGGTTGCAGTGAGTCCGGATGGGGCCACTACACTCCAGCCTGGGTGACAGAGTGAGATGTCTGTCTCAAAAAAACAAAAACAAACAAACAAAAAAACAAACAAAAAAATATTAAAGATGAGTAAATAGAGGCCGAGCTGGGATTGAAGGCCAGGACTCCCACTAAATTCCCATTTTGGTCTTCAGATGGGTTCCTGAGGAACTAGATAGCCCTGCCAGCCCTGTGTGTGGGTGCAGCCATTCAAGTTCTCTTCTGAGGGGACAGGCCGGGCTCTGGGCAGGGCATTCTTCTGTCATGTCAGGGAGGCGGGAGCTGCTCTGACTGGTGGGCTTCCCGCCGTCCGCTCTGGGGCAGGGAATATCTCAGCTGGGGCTGTGAGGAGCTTATATCTGGTTATTGGGTGAAGGTTGAAATCACGTTAGCTGAAAGTGGCCATCGGGGCAGGCCTGAGACATGAAGAAGACTGAGAGCAGACGGGAGCTCTGAGGAATGAGAACGCCAGGGAGGCTGGGGAAGCAACAGCAAGACTGACAAAACGGGGAGCTGCCCAGGACCACTGCTGGGCGTGCCCTGATGTCTGTGAGGAGACTGTTTTGGACCTCCTGCGGGGGCCAGTTTAAAGGGCCCAAAATGTTCTAGAAGGCTCCTCTGAGGAAAGCCAGAGTTCTCTCACTTTGCACCTGTGTTGAGTCCTGGCTGCTGGGACTGGCCCCAAGCCTCCTCCTCCTCCTCCTCAGGAGGAAACATTGCTGGTTGGAGGGGAGATCTAGGCAGAAACAGTAGGAACCTACTGCCACCCCCCCCACCCCCCCCCGCTACCACCCCGGCCCTGGCTGGCTCCTCACTTGCACTGATCAAGCACCTGCTGGGTTAGGGGGTTACAAAAAGTTGTGGGACAGGGCTGTTGGTTTGGCCTCTCATCTTCGTGGGAGGATCCTTACCCCTGGCCAAGGCAAGGGGCTCACACAGCCTCTCAGGAGGACTGTGGCCAAAGGACAAAACCAAACTCCTCCCCCGATATCAGGCTGTGAGCCAAAGGAGCCTTGAACTGTGGCAATGGCAACTACCACCCAGAAGCAGTGCTGGTGGGGGGTGGGGGAGGGAGAGGCAGAGGGAAGCCGGTGGTGGTCTGACAGGCAGCGGGGCAGACAGGGGTTATTGAAGGGCATGGCCTGCCTCCACGATTACTCAAAAGCAAGCTGCACTTCTTACTGGCCCTTTAAGAACGGCGCCTACGTGATGAAATGCCAGGGCTGAGTGGAAGCCCAGAGAGTGTGACCAGAAGCCACTCCCTCTGTGCTGAGAGTCACGCAATCTATGGTCCATGCCCGCGAGTGACTGGGAGCTTGTTTGTGTGGGGGGCTGTTCCCGCAGCTGGAAGCCCCAGGTAATCCCAACCCCCTGCAACTCACAGATGATACTAAACTAAACAGCCCTGGCTGCCTCTGCCTCGGACCCCATGTTCTCTTTCCCTCTTCCTAGGTGTCAAAGGGCTTAGACTAGACGCGTGTTTCCCCAAATGCGCTTTTGGGTACCACTGGCAAAACACAAACCAAATTTAGGTAGTGGATGGACAGGCTATTTTATATATTTATTTTAATGCTTATTAGAAAAAATTTAACTGGCACATCAAACTTATGATTTCATGGTTATTGGTACCTGGGATAAGACTAAGTTTAGTTAGGTAAAAAAGGTAAGTCAAATTTAAAGAAAAAACAATCAGGTAAATATTAGTATGGTCAACACTGTCCACTAGAAATACAATGGGAGACAAAATGGGAGCCACATACATGATTTAAAATTTTCTGTGAGTCACAGGGAATAAAAAATAAGTAGCTGAAAGTGATTTTAATAACAGATGTTTTATTTAACTTAGTATATCAAAAATGCCATTTCTACATGTAATCACTAGAAAAATTATTGAGAGATTTTATTGATTGACTTTTTTTTTTTTTCTGAGGGCCCACTGCAACCTCCGCCTCCCGGGTTCAAGTGATTCTCCTGCCTCAGCCTCCTGAATAGCTGGGATTACAGGCAGGCGCCATCATGCTCGGCTAATTTTTGTGTTTGTAGTAGAGATGGGGTTTCACCATGTTGGCCAGGCTGGTCTTGAACTCCTGAACCACCCACTTTGGCCTCCCAAAGTGCTGAGATTACAGGCATGAGCCACTGCGCCCAGCCCTAATTGACTTTTTCTGGTAATAACTCATCAAAAGCTGGTGTGTGTTTTATGTCACATCTTGATATGGCCCAGGCATATTTCAAGGGCTCATGGCCACGTGTGGCTTGTGGCCACTGTGCTGGAAGTGTGGAGACCTAGGCAGGCAGGGCAACACTGTGAAGGCAGAATATAAATTTAGGCAGCCCAGAGTCTTCCAGCTCTAACATCTGTGCTTCTGCCATATGCTCACTCTCTGCCTCACCCAGAATTGCTCCCTCACTCTCCAAATGGAGACCCAGTTTGCTGCCTACACTCTATGCTTTCTTCACTTACCAAGCAACACACTTCATCAGTTGTCCACGAGAAATTTTATTATGTGGAAAGTTCGTATTGAATGTGTCTGCCAAATCTTTTGCAAGAAATAAGTCAGAGAGAAGCTCCTTTTGAAAGCCAGAGAGAAATATCCCTTGGCTCATCCCTGCTGCTGCCTTAGTCATCAGCCAGTGGCAACGTGCGTGGGTGTGTTCACCAGTGACAGATCGCCTTTCTCTAATTCATCTGGCAGGTGCACTGAGGGGATGGGACAGCTCTTCTTTAAGTCCCTTAGCATCATTTGTTATCAGTCTTTAATATTCATGAGGATCATCTGGGGAGCTTCTTAAAAATGCAAGGGCAATTATAAAATCATTGGATGGGGCATATGATTGTGATTCTGGGAATGTGATTCTGATGTGAATGAAAATTTGAGAACCACTGCCTGAAATGTTTTCCTAAAGTATGAAGGCTGGCGATGGCTTGTTGGAGAACTCCAAATTGGAATTTCATAGGCTTCATCATTTCAGATCTAATCATTAGAAGAGGAAGCCCGGACTGGTTCCACCCCATGGTCATGACTGAACTAATTGGAAACTCTCTTGAATTTGCCACAAAGAACTGAGCACCAATTAAAAATTGCCTTGGAAGAAATACCTACTAAATTCTAGCCAAGCCAGGCATCAGCTCCCTGGGCCCTTAGTGACTATTATTTCCAAAAAGTGTTCTCACTCTGATCCATTTGTTCTCCCTGCCGTTTTATCCCCTGTAATATTCTCTGGAGACCAGTTGCTATTATCTGAATGGAAGCATGAGTCATAAGTGGGAATGAGCTTGTCCTGGATCAGGTTTCCATGTGTGTGCTCAAGTGTGTGTGTGTGTGTGTGCATGTGTGTTACATCACAAGGAAAATCGCTGGTACCTAGAATCATTGAGAAACCCATCCTCCCATTACAGTCTAAGAATGAAGCCCTTGGGACTTAAGGATTCAAGATGGTTGGGTAAAGTGAACTCAACTCATGTTAAGGAGGAGAACAGGAGGAGGATTCTGAGACCCAAAGGCAAGTCCAGGACCCGAGAGAAAACAATGGAAACCTTAAAGTAAAAGGGGAGAGAATTTAGATTTATTAAAGACATACTCTGGACCAGGCATTTAAAATTTGTTACTTTTTAATAACCCTGTAGACTAGATATTTTTGTCCTCTTTAACAGACTAAGATATTGAGGCCCAGAGTGGTAACTTGCCCGATATCAGCCAGATGTAGGTAGGAGAGCTGGGGAAGGCTGATCCCAAAGCTGGTGTTTTTCTCTGAATGCCAAATACTCTCTCAAGATAGTGATTACTCAGCCTATTTCTGGGTTTGCCACTCCTTTTGTGAAAAAAGAATGCAAGATGAAGTATGCTGTGTCTTTGCTGAAGGCAGATCTTGTCACTATGTCCCTGGAGGAAACAGAATCATACTTGCTAGCATCAGTTCCCACGGTGCACTTGTGAATGTGGGGCTCTAGTAGGGATCTTCAGCGTCATTAACCTGGTTTATGTACATTGTACCAGCCAGGGAACCACCAGAGGCAGATGACACACTGAAAGGGATAATGGAGGAGAGGTTTAATGAAAAGACAATCTACAGAGGTGTGGGTAGGGTTTGGGAACCAACAAGGGATGGAGAAACCTGCAAGAGAAGCTGTTATCATCCCAGATCTGAAGGGGCAAGCAGAAGGAGTGCTTTCTCAAAACTCAGGGAGAAGTGTAGCCCTGGGAGAGGGGCCCTTAGCTGGGGAGCTGTGGGCACAGGGAGAGGCAGGCAGCCACTGCCAACACAGCCAGAGGAGCAGAAGAGTCAGTACCCCACCTCCCCATTTCACCCTCTGATCTCGTGCCTCAGCAAGTGGGGAACAACCAACACATACCCCAAACCTGTGGAACAGTGCCTCTACTTGGTAAGGGCTAAGTGCTGGCCATTATTCCCATCATTATTCCCACAAAGTAACTGCCTGGTGCCTATCCGAGGCCATTTCTCCAGAAAATGAACAGAGAGCCCCCTCCTGTCTGCTGAAAACCAGAAGCAAATTGGTCTGGAGAAATGGAATTTGCTGCTTGAGCCTAGTATGGGTCCTCACCTGCCTAATTGGATATGACCTTATTCAAGTTATAAGGGAAACTCTTGTTTGATTGACTCTTTTTGTTTGTTTGTTTTTTTGTTTTTGAGACAGTCTTGCTCTGTCGCCTGGGCTGGAACTCAATGGCGCAATCTTGGCTCACTGCAACCTCCGCCTCCCGGGTTCAAACAATTCTCCCTGCCTCAGCCTCCGGAGTAGCTGGGATTACAGGCACCCACCACCATGTCCGGCTAATTTTTGTATTTTTTAGTAGAGATGGGGTTTCACCATGTTGGCCAGGCTGGTCTTGAACTCCTGACCTCGGGTGATCTGCCCACCTTGGCCTCCCAAAGAGCTGGGATTACAGGCGTGCCCGGCCTGATTAACTCCTGAATTAAATGACTCTGAATTAGACTATCTTTCCCCTAAGAAATGTGGAGACTGACCATGGATCAGGAGGATTTATGAGCTAATTGATCAAGAGATCAAGAAAGGATTTGTGCTGAGTTTGCTGTGTGTGCCTTGTGACCGAGGGATGCAGCTGATTCAAACGGGAAGCACAGTGGGATGGGAAATGAGCCACCCTGCTAGTCATTAGGCACCCCCAGTGCCTTCCAGCTCCTGATCTATTCTTTCTCTTCCCCACCCTGCTCTGTGGCCAGTGGGGGCTGACACCTAAGGATTGCATCACTCAGCCATCCTTGCCAGCTGGCTTCCAGTTGGGTTTAACAAATGGGGGAACCCAGCAGGAGATCTGAGGGTGGGAGGAAAGAGACATTGGCATATTTCTCTGTTCTGGGTCTCTGACATTAGCTGCGCCCCTCCATCACCTCAATTCCCACTGGCAGCCATCCTTCAGGACTCCAGCTTCAACTGGGCTCCAGTAACACTATTTCCTCCTGGTGTCCCTTCAGCCTTGGTGTGGCTGTCACTTCCCACTGGTGGTTGGTCCCCGGGTGCCTCACCATTCTTGTTCTGTTCCCTCAACCTGGCCCACAACTCTATGAGGGATCCATTCATTAAAGGTTCTTCATTTGAACCATCTGTGATGCTTTGTGAGCTGCACCCTTCTGACCCTGACCTACTTGTAGCCTCTTCTAATCAACTCATAGCAGATGCTCGACTGAGAATCTTGAATGAAATGGCTCTGTGGCATTTGGGTATCCCAGAGGACATGACCGATATTCTTATATAAACACGATGTTATTGTGTGTGTTGGGGGGTTGGGCAAATGCATGAATAAACTGGCTCTAAAACTTACTTTAAAGATAAAGGTATTCAATGATAGATTCCAATGCCAAGAGGAATTAGAAATGACCAATACTGTCATGCGTGACCTTGTTATTCAAGAGTCATCAGAAATGTAGTATATCTTTGTCACATTTTATCTTAAAAAGGTCAGAATAGTGAGAAATGACCCTCACACAGCTTGGGTTTGCAGAATAATTCCAGACACTTGTTTATGTTTCTAGAGTTTTATTAAATACAGTCTATTCTGAACTGACGGCTTCATCCTATTTTATACTTGCATGGTGTCAGATCAGGGAAAGGAGATCTCAGGGTCTTGGTTTCTTAGTCCCTCAAGATGCCATAACACACTTTTATGCTTGTCTCTCTAGACACTTCCTTGACTATTGTCCTTAGAAAAGGGAGCCAAAGGGAAAGTTGGCTTTGAAACTGTGGACCCATTGAGGTTAGAGTGGTTTCCTGTCCCCGTTAAGAAGACCATATCTGTCACACACATTGATAGATGCCTCTGCTTCTCAGAGTTTTTCCTGGTAAAAGGGCATGGAGATGTATGGGATTCCCACACCTCTGGTGTCCCCCGAGGAAATGAGTTAGTCCCAGAAAGCTCCAATATCTTTAATACGGGAGGCATATTTTAGCACACATGACTTGAAGTCAGTCGGTCAATTTGGCTTTGTTTAACTTCCCTGAGAAGCAGTGCTATGGGAAAGACTGTTAAATGTTTCCAAAACATGTTTTGAAAAGAAGCCACCAGAAGGAGAAACAGTTTGCCAAAAATAAGTCATTTACCCACTGCAGTGCTTTGGTTGTTGTTTGCTCTTAAGAAATGAAAACCCCAAACTCTCAGACCAAAGTGTGGCCCATATTTGTTGGCCTGTTGACCTGAGGGGCTTTGTTTAGCAGAACCTATGGAGAGTTACTTAGGGCACTCAGGATCCACAGTGGAGAGTAATGGCGGGCCAGGGAATGACAGTGGCAGGCTGGGCTTCTGGGACATTGGCACTTGTTATTCTCCCTTCCTTTGGGCTCAGCTGCCCCAACCTCAATCTTGTTCTCTCCAGCTGCCAGCTGCAAACAACTGCCTTTGTTATTTAGGAAATAACTTGGACCATTTCCCGTTGACTCCAGTGTGTTTTGCTCTTGTCTACCTCTGCGATTTCAGGGTTCTGCCTCTATCCAAGCTGCTATTACTCCTGGTCTTGGCCACTTCTCATTGGCAACTCCTTGGTCTGTCCTTTTGGAAGTCAGCCTTCTGTTCTGACTTTAATCTGTGCTTGACCCCGAGGTGCAAAATCCTTGCTCCAGCCCTGGGTCTCTGGAACCTCACTATCTGGGCTCATTCCCACCCCCATGCATCCTTCTGCCTCCACTGAGTGTGTGTGTGTGTGGGCTGGGGAGGGATTAGACTCTGTTTTTGGCTCAAAACTATAACTGCTTCACCATGATAAGGGATATGCAAATTGAAACAATGAAATACCATTCACATCTACCAGATTAGTAAAAATTAATTAAGTGTGATGACAACAGGGATGGTGAGATGTGGCCGTAAGGGAAGTCCCTGGTGGGAGTGTAAATTGGTACAGTCACTTTGGAGAACAATTTGGCAGTATCTATTGAAGTCAAAGATGCATTTCTGCTATGAAATAGCAATTCTTCTCCTGGATAAACAGCCTGGAGAAACCATCATACAGGTATACAGATTTGTGTTTGTATGTACACATATAGATACACATATATACACACATGTATATGTATATGTGTACACACAACATATGTACACACATGAAAGAGTGCTGATTACATAGCCCACAAGCTGTGGTTTATGGAATGTGGTAATGGAATTGAATAATAGACTTCGTAGCAGTTAATAGAAACGTACTAGACCCAATTTCTATCAACATGTATAAACTTTAAAACAATGCTGAATGAAAAAGTTGGCTGTAAAAGGACAGGTATGTGTTACATATACGTATATACATATATAGATGCAATTCAAATTAAAATGTAAACAATATAATTTTTATTAATACATTTATATTTATTAAAAAATAAAAACACACATGGGAATGATACAAGCCAACTTCAGGTTAATAGTAACCTTTGGAGAAGGAGGGAAAGGATGAAGAAATAGAGCTTTAGTTGTATCTGGATACTTTTCTTTGAAGGTGGGGGTGGATAGAAAGAAAGAGAGAGAGAGATCAATCTAAGAGAGAGAGAGAGAGAGGGAGATCAATCTAAGGCCAATATGGCAAAACATGTTTCATTCTGGTGATGGGCTTCTACAGATCTAGTATATTATTTTCTCTACATGTCAGTATGATTGAAATGTTTCATATTTACAAGTTTGAAACAGTAAGAAAATGATTTCTTACTCCTATTTCTGTCTTGGGGAATTGATGCTAACTTGAAGATTCATAGACATGTACTTTCTGGTGGGGACAGGATCTTTGAGAACAACTGGTCAAACTTCATCTGGTTTCAGAATCTCTTCTATGGCCCTGTGTAAACACCTGCCCTGATGTGGATCTCTAACTACTGAGACTGCCCCCAGATGGGACTCTTGGGAAGTTATTGTTTACTTGAGTTGAAATCAGCCTCCTGCTGGCTTCAGGCCATTGGTCCCAGTTCTGTTCTGCCATACTTCAGATTCTCACCATCTTGGAGCTGCTGGGAACCAGGGGCCCTGGGGTCATCCTTGCAAGGGAACTAGGGAAGAAAGAGGAAGCTGAGGGGCTGGAGCCAACCGTAAGGCGTTCCTCTTTGGGAAGGCTGGCTTGTGATGGGACTTGCCAGGACCAGCATGCTGAGAGGAGGAAGCCAGCTCTCAGGTCAAGATTCCGTTGATGTGGAACAAACTATAACCCTGCGCCGTTGCTTTCCCAGGCCTCACTTCCCCAAACAGGGGCACGTGAACAGCTGCAGTGGCCTGGTGGCAGCATGCTGGGATCCTTCAGGCCAGGCCAGCAAAAGGGTAAAATCTGGGCCAGTGGGTACCCTCATAGGGACTCTCCAGGCTGCCTTCCTCTTCCAGGTCTTCTGTGAAATTAGCTGGAAAAGGAGATCACATGCCTGATTCCCCTTTATCCCAGCAAGCCTGGAAAACAAAGTCCAGCCCCAGTCAAAAGCTTCCTCTGATTCTCTTGTGTCTTGTTAAAATGCAGCCAAACTCAAGGCCTCACTAACAGGTAGGAAAAAAAAAATTATAGGAATAAATAAGAACACATTACTCCATATTGCAAATAAAACAATGACTCCCTTGATTTCCAGGACAGTCATCTCTGTACTTTTGGTGAACTGGGTTTTTTTCTTCCAAGCTACTCTTCTTGTAGGAGAAAATGGGAAAAGATTTGACATGCCCTCCACCTCCCTCCCCCCACTCCAAAATCACCTACCAGGTAAGGTCTGGAGTTAGTTCAATTTTAGGCTAATCTCTCTGTCTCTTTCTTTTTTTTCTTTGAGACAGGGTCTCGCTCTGTCACACAGGCTAGAACATAGTGGCATGACCATAGCTCCATGTAACCTTGAACTCCTGGACTCAAGTCGTCCTCCCACTTCAGCCTGCTGAGTAGCTGGGACTACAGGCATGCACCACCATGCTCAGCTAATTTTTACATTTTTTAGTAGAGACAGGGTGTCATCACGTTGCTCAGGCTGGTCTCAAACTCCTGACCTCAAGAGATCCTCCTGCCTTGGCTTCCCAAAGTGCTGAGATTACAGACATGAGCTGCTGTGCCTGGCCTCTTTTATCTGAAATATTTTGGAAAGAGAAGACTCGAGATCTCTGGGACAGGGGAAGAACCTGCAGCTACAGGTTCTTTCTCAGTGTGATCTTAATGAGGTAGGGAGATGGAGTGATGTTGCGGTGACTGTAAGCTTGAATGCTTGATGGTCCTTGTCTTGCCTGTTCTCTGGTTATAGGTTCAGTTTTGTAGATCACTGGTTCTCAAACTTTACTGCATACAAGGTCCCCTGGGAGCTTTATACAATGGGGGAAAGTCCCAAGTACACCTTAAACTAATTGAGCCAGAATCTTCAGGAGTGTATCCTTGGCACCTGCACTTTTTAAAACTCCCCAGGTGATTCGAAACAAGCCAAGTTTGAGAACCAGTGCTATGCCTTGAAACATCAGGGAGGTGTTCTTAGGGCCTTGTGAAAAAGCAAACACCAAAGGTTTCATTATGTTAATATAACTTAAGAACTTAAAAAACTCAAGGGCTTGCTATTGGCCAAACACTGTGCCAAATGTTTTCTGTGGATTATCTAATGAAAACAACAAGTTGAGGTAGGTTATTTATTTCATAGAAGAGGAAACTGACCTTCAAATAAGTTAAGGAACTTGCTCAAGGTGATGCAGCAGAAATGTGATTTGACAGGGCCCTCACTTCAGAGGCTGCATCTGACATTGATGATATTTACTACGGTGGAAAATTACTTTTTCTGTTTGACACACACGTGCACACACACACACGTGTACACACACACAACTTAGGAATGTTTGTAATAATGTATTTCTAAAAAAGATCTTGCCCACCCATTTTTTTTTCAGTAGATTACCAGAAATGTGAATTATCAGGGCACTACAATTCTTGAGTTTGCTAATTATTAGCTTTTCACTGAGTATCATATTGAAGCAAGTGCAGCATCAGCATCTCCTGTTTGGATACAAAGGGTCAGTGATGAGAGCACTCACTAATTTTAAGAGACTTGGAAAGTTGATGAAATTTCTGATTTTTAAAGACAGTGTAATGATGTAATGGAAAGGATGGATGAGATCAGGTTTTCTTAGTTCTTCCACTTATGAGCTAGATAATTTTGAGCAAGTCACTTCCCCTTTCTGGGCTTCAGTTTCCTCATCTGAAAAATAAGGAAACCGAATCAAGGGTTTGTTAAAAGGCCTTTCACTCTAGATATGATCCAAAAGATAAATATTATCATGGCAGCCTTAGTATATCTGACTCTGAAGTCTCAGCACCTGTTGTCATTGACCCGTTTATTCGTGCCTGAGTAGCATATTTATAGGACTGACTTCCTCAAGCTTATGGTTAGTGATGTAACAGGGAACCAGTCTCCATTACACGATGGGCAAATCACTCAAGTAGCAACAGACGGTCCAGGAATGATTGGAAAAGGCACACTTTATTTTGTGATGAAAAATTTGTAGGTGGATTTTTAATTTCATATGGATGAAAGTGGAAATTCACAAAGTATATCCAAAGAAAGTCAACCTCGTGGCAGATTTCTGGATCCAGACTGGCAGTGTGGGGCCTGTCACTGCCACAGCGTGGAGAGGCTTGCAGCCAGGTGGAGCTCGTGGGTGAGGCCAGCTGTCTGTCAGAGGCTGGCTTTCACCCTCACGCATCTCAAGACCTGACTCAGGAGCTCTGCCTTGAGGTAAACATGGTCCTAGCTGATTGACAATCCTGCTAACTTACAGTGAGGGATCTTCCTTCTTTTGGAAAGGAAGGTTTACAACTGCTGTCAGGGAAGAAGCCTCTGCCCCAGTGCAGGGACGGTGGATTGGAAGTGAAAAGGTGGCCAGGTGAGCACAGGGTCAGGACAAAGGCCAGAGAACAACCCTGGAGTTCCTCAGACTGTGTTGTGGATATTGACTGCCCAGTGACTTTTCCCACTGAGCACCCCAGTTCCCTTTTAGGGATCTTTCTCTCTCCCATCATGTTCAGGCTTTGGGAGATTGGTTGGTGCAATATGTACCCTCCTCTGTTAAAGGTTGAAGGCTCCTCCTAACAGAGCCTTCCTCTGAGAAGTAGGCATGTGACCTCAGCTTAACCCATCATACTCTCTCCCAGAACTTTGTGTCTTGAATGCTGGAAGTATGGTTGGAGTTTATTTATGCTGGGGAGAGCACCCAGGTGAAGCTGAGCAATAGCTTCTGTGACAAAGACCTTCAGGTTTTCATCTATTCTGAACCTGGTTTCCAGTCCCTGTATTGATCCTCTGTGGTTTTCCATACTACTCCATCCAACAGAGCATCCCCCTACCCGCTATTCCCAACTGTTTTCTTGAAATAGTCCAGAGTCAGTTGCTGAGTTTGCAGCCATAAACCTTGGCAGATGCAGGTCTCGGTTAGACCCTCACAGAGGGTACGCTCCCCTACTGCTGTGGCTTCTGTCCACCCAGTTGTCTCTCTTTCCCCTGGAAGTCATGGGTAAACACAGCCAACCTCTGATCCTGCGTTTTCACTTTTTCTGTGTGCTCACTCTCTGTTTCTACAGAACTTCTCCAGGCCGTATACAAAACAGCTGATTTGTTCTCCATTGGTTAAATCCAATTTCATTTCAATCCTGTCACCTTGAAACGAATCTGAGTTGTTCCCAAATTCTTTGGGCACACACTCACAGAAACTCTTTTAGGCTATGGTTTTCTTTCATTTAGTATAATAGCTAACTTCAGCCATTGTGCATGAGTTTTGCCAACCTAAATCTTCAAGAGCAACTAACTGCATTTCCAAGTTCTTGGAAGTCACCTCACTTCTATTCCTCATGTACCACTTAGATGTTTAAATCAATCTTGAAACGATTAATAGCCCTTTGGAA
This sequence comes from Homo sapiens, assembly GCF_000001405.40. Taxonomy (NCBI): domain Eukaryota; kingdom Metazoa; phylum Chordata; class Mammalia; order Primates; family Hominidae; genus Homo; species Homo sapiens. The sequence continues at coordinate 136,257,514 of NC_000002.12, forward strand.
ATTCTGTCTTCTATGATTCCCAACTGTGGGTAGCCTCCTTTCCTCAAGCTTGTGTTTTAACTCTTTATTATACTCTATCACCAGAATGACAAGGTGCTCTAGGGGATGCGAAAACATAAGAGGCAGGTTTCTTGCCTTTAAGAGTTGTAAATCTATTGGAGAGTTGAGATTTGTTCACATAAAATAATTATAGAAAACCTATGTCTTTGCCTTTGAGAAGCTCAATGGCTTATGACAATGGTTTTCAAACTGTTTCAAAGTCCTAGTTGTGTGACACCCACAAGGGGATATCTAGGAGGTGGGGAGGTGAGGAGGGAACCCACCTGCTGTTCTTCTGCAGAATTTCCTTGAAACACAGCTCCAGGACTAATAAGGGTTTGAGAACCACAGGATCCAATCTTTTGCTGGTGTACAAGCTCTTTCCTGACCTCCCCTCTGACTACAGATCCAGACCCATGTCCTGCTGCCTGAAGCTCCAGGGGCCTCCTGGCTGTACTGGGGCCTCCATGCTCCCCTGCCCTTCTACATGCAGCTGTCTCTGCTTTGTGTGCATCACATACCAACCATACCAAACCATGACTATAAACTCCTCGAAGGCACATATTGATTGAATTAAGGGCTGAATTTTGCAGTGCCATCTGTAAGAGTTATCAGAACTTAGAGATGAGGAAGATAATTACTGACTGGGGTGGTCTGGAAAGACTTCCTAAAAAAAGTCAGACTGTATTAGGCCTTTGGGAAATGTGGCATTCAGATTCATAGAAAGGAAGAAGGAAAATGTCTCAGGCATGGAAAGCATTGCTGAGCAAAGGCTCAGAGCAGGGTTTATGAGTATCCCATAGAGCAGTAAAGAGAACCAGGAAATAATTGGCAAGGGAGTTTTTAAAATATACCCTTGCCTTGACCCGCTGCAGACCTAATTAAAGAATCTCTGGAACGAGCTTGGGCCTCAGCATTTTTAGAGCTTCCCTGATGAGTCTAACGTGCAGCGAAGGCTGAGGACAGTCTTCAGACTGTCAAGGTGTATTTGGAGGGGTTTAAGGAAAGGCTGGCTTTGGGGAATGGAGGCTCCTGATGAAACTTCTTGCATTTTTGAAGGTTTCTGACTTGAACCAATGCATATTGGGGTGCTTTCACCGTACAGTGCTTTTCATGTTTGCAAACTAGATTTTATGACAGGTTAATCTGGTTCAGATTCAAGTTGTGGGAAGGGGTGGGAAGCTTGGAAAGTGAGCAAGAAGGATGGCACAGAGGTCCATGAGACAAGCCTGCTCTCAGAGAGTATGGCAGAAAAGGGAAGGTAAATCCAAGGGATACTGAACAGGAAGAATTAATAGAGTTTGGTAGGATGAAAAATGAGGAGATGTTTTCTAATTAGGTACAGCAGCAATGACAGAAATTTCTCTTTACACAAACAGTCCCAAAGTCATGCAGGTGAAGAAGTTGAGAATGGTACTCAACCTCTACATTGCCTTCTCTCCTGGATATTAAGAGCTCATTCCTTCTTTTGATCTTCCTATCTCCTAAACTATCATTGCATTTGATTTCCTTTATTCCTTCCTGGGGAAGCTTTCTGAATGGGGATTCTACACTGATGTCCTTACTGCCTCACTGCCCACATTCTCTCTAACCTACATCTCTGTCACCTACCCTCCATCTCTTTTGATGGTTTCCAGTGGCCTCCCAATTTCCAAAATCCAGTGACTCTTTTCTGGGCCTCCTTCTCTTCCACCCTCTGGCTGCATTTGACTCTTTTTTGCTTGACACTGTTGGCTTTGGGGCTAGTAAATACTCCTGGTTCTCCTTTTGATTTGTTTTTCCTTCCAGTTATCCTGAGTTCACCCAGCATCCATCCTGAGGCCCTTTTAAAATTTTGACTCTCTCATGAACTACTAACGTTTCCCTAGGTTTTTTATTTTCAGCAGGCAGCTGGGTATTCTTCACTTGATTGTCATATCTCTGCCTCATGCTCACTGACATTACAATCATAGCTGTTTGCAAAGTCTTGTATTGCTAGAAAGTGCTTTACTTACAGTGTTTCACTTGAGTTTCACCTTCTCTCCCAGCCCTGCTTCTTTCCTTCGGCTCTTCCCTGAATTTGAATCTTGGCTCTGTTGATTACTAACTGAAGCCTCAATTCCCCAATCTTTAAAATAGGGATAATAATACCCGTATCATAGGAGTGTTATGTTAAACAAGAAAATCTATGTGAGAATGTCACTGTCTGCTTGCTGTGTGACTCACTGTCACAATTTCTACTCACTGTCTGTCACACCCTTCTTCTCCTTCCTTGAAGGCAGGAGCTGTTTTTAAAATTCATTTTTTAACTATACTTTAAATTCTGGGATACATGGGCAGAACATACAGGTTTGTTACATAGGTATACACGTGCCATGGTGGTTTGCTGCACCCATCAATCCATCATCTACATTAGGTATTTCCTTTTTTTTTGAGACAGTCTCGCTCTGTCACCAGGCTGGAAGTGCAGTGGCATGATCTCGGCTCACTGTAACCTCTGTCTCCCGGGTTCAAGCGATTCTCCTGCCTCAGCCTCCCGAGTAGCTTGCAATTCAGGCACGTGCCACCACGCCTGGCTAATTTTTGTATTTTTAGTACAGACAGGGTTTCACCATGTTGGCCAGGATGGTCTCGTACTCTTGACCTTGTGATCTGCTTGCCTCAGACTCCCAAAGTGCTAGAATTACAGGCATGAGTCACTGTACCTGGCCAGGTATTTCTCTTAATGCTATCCCTCCCCTAGGCCCCCACCCCACGACAGGCCCCAGTGTGTGATGTTTCCTCCCTGTGTCCATGTGTTCTCATTGTTCAACTCCTACTTATGAGTGAGAACATGTGGTGTTTGGTTTTCTGTTTTTGTGTTAGTTTGCTGAGAATGATGGTTTCCAGCTTCATCCAGGTCCCTGCAAAGGACATGAACTCATCCTTTTTTATGGTTGCATAGTATCGCATGGTGTATGTGTGCCACGTTTTCTTTATCCATTCTATCATTGATGGGCATTTGGGTTGGTTCCAAGTCTTTGCTATTGTGAATAGTACTGCAATAAACATACGTGTGCATGTGTCTTTATGGTATAATGATTTATGATCCTTTGGGTATATACCCAGTAATGGGATGGCTGGGTCAAATGGTATTTCTAGTTCTAGATCCTTAAGGAATCGCTACGCTGTCTTCCACAATGTTTGAACTAATTTACACTGCCATCAACAGTGTGAAAATGTTTCTATTTCTCCACATCCTCTCCAGAACGTATTGTTTCCTGGATTTTTCTTTTTTGAGATGGAATCTTGCTCAGTCGCCCAGGCTAGAGTGCAATGGCGTGATCTTGGCTCACTGCAAGCTCCACCTCCCGGGTTCACGCCATTCTCCTGCCTCAGCCTCCCGAGTACCTGGGACTACAGGCGCCCCCAACCACGCCCGGCTAAACTTTTTTGTATTTTTAGTAGAGACGGGGTTTCACTGTGTTAGCCAGGATGGTCTCAATCTCCTGACCTCGTGATCCGCCCATCTTGGCCTCCCAAAGTGATGGGATTAGTGGCGTGAGCCTCCGTGCCTGGCCTCTTTCCTGGCTTTTTTAATGATCGCCATTCTAACTGGCGTGAGATGGTATCTCATTGTGGTTTTGGTTTGCATTTCTCTAATGACCAGTGATGATGGCTTTTTTTCATGTTTGTTTGCCACATAAATGTCTTCTTTTGAGAAGTGTCTGTTCATATCCTTTGCCCAATTTTTGATGGGGTTGTTTGTTTTTTCTTGTAAATTTGTTTAAGTTCCTGGTAGATTCTGGATATTAGCCCTTTGTCAGATGGATAGATTGCGAATTTTTTTTTCCCATTCTGTAGGTTGCGTGTTCACTCTGATGATAGTTTCTTTTGCTGTGCAGAAGCTCTTTAGTTTAATTAGATCCCATTTGTCAATTTTGGCTTTTGTTGCCATTGTTTTTAGTGTTTTAGTCTTGAAGTCTTTGCCCATGCCTATGTCCTGAATGGTATTGCCTAGGTTTTCTTCTAGGGTTTCTATGGTTTAAGGTCTTACATTTAAGTATTTAGTCCATCTTAAGTTAGTTTTTGTATAAGGTGTAAGGAAGGAGTCCAGTTTCAGTTTTCTGCACGTGGCTAACCAGTTTTCCCAGCACCATTTATTAAATAGGGAATCCTTTCCCCATTGCTTGTTTTTGTCAGGTTTGCCGGAGATCAAATGGTTGTAGATGTGTGGTGTTATTTCTGAGGCCTCTGTTCTGTTCCATCAGTCTGTATATCTGTTTTGGTACCAGTATCATGCTGTTTTGGTTACTGTGGCCTTGTAGTGTAGTTTCAAGTCAGGTAGCGTGATGCCTCCAGCTTTGTTCTTTTTGCTAGGATTGTCTTGGCTATACGGGCTCTTTTTTGGTTCCACATGAAATTTAAAGTAGTTTTTTCTAATTCTGCGAAGAAAGTCAATGGTAGCTTGATGGGAATAGCATGGAATCTATAAATTACTTTGGGTGGTATGGCCATTTTCATGATATTAATTCTTCCTATTCATGAGCATGGAATGTTTTTCCATTTGTTTGTGTCCTTTCTTATTTCCTTGAGCAGTGGTTTGTAGTTCTCCTTGAAGAGGTCCTTTACATCCCTTGTAAGTCGGATTCCTAGGTATTTTATTCTCTTTGTAGCAATTGTGAATGGGAGTTCAGTCATGATTTGGCTCTCTGTTTGTCTGTTATTGGTGTATAGGAATGCTTGTGATTTTTGCACATTGATTTTGTATCCTGAGACTTTGCTGAAGTTGCTTATCAGCTTAAGGAGATTTGGGGATGAGATGATGGGGTTTTCTAAATATACAATTATGTCATCTGCAAACAGAGATAATTTGACTTCCTCTCTTCCTATCTGAATACCCTTTTGTTTCTTTTTCTTGCCTGATTGCCCTGGCCAGAACTTCCAATACTATGTTGAATAGGAGTGGTGAAAGAGGGCATCCTTTTCTTGTGCTGGTTTTCAAAGGGAATGCTTTCAGCTTTTGCCCATTTAGTATGATATTGGCTGTAAGTTTGTCATAAATAGCACTTATTATTTTGAGATACATTCCATCAATACCTAGTTTATTGAGTGTTTTTAGCCTGAAGGTGTGTTGAATTGTATTGAAGGCCTTTTCTGCATCTATTGAGATAATCATGTGGTTTTTGTCATTGGTTCTGTTTATGTGATGGATTACGTTTATTGATTTTCATATATTGAACCAGCCTTGCATCCCAGGTATGAAGCTGACTTGATCGTGGTGGGTAAGCTTTTTGATGTGCTGCTGGATTCAGTTTGCCAGTATTTTATTGAGGATTTTCGCATCGATGTTCGTCAGGGTTATTGGCCTGAAATTTTATTTTTGTGCTGTGTCTCTGCCACGTTTTGGTATCAGGATGATGCTGGCCTCATAAAATGAATTAGGGAGGAGTCCTTCTTTTTCTGTTGTTTGGAATAGTTTCAGAAGGAATGGTACCAGCTCCTGTTTGTACCTCTGGTAGAATTCGGCTGTGAATCTGTCTGGTCCTGGGCTTTTTTTCGTTGGTAGACTATTAATTACTGCCTCAATTTCAGAAATTATTATTGGTCTATTCAGGGATTTGACTTCTTCCTGGTTTAGTCTTGGTAGGGTGTATGTGTCCAGGAATTTATCCATTTCTTCTAGATTTTCCATTTTATTTGCATAGAGGTGTTTATAATATTCTCTGGTGGTAGTTTTTACTTCTGTGGGACCAGTGGTGATCTCCCCTGTATCATTTTTTATTGTGTCTATTTGATTCTTCTCTGTTTTCTTCTTTATTAGTCTGGCTAGCAGTCTATGTATTTTGTTAATCTTTTAAAAACAGTCAGCTGCTGGATTCATTGATTTTTTTGAAGGGTTTTTCATGTCTCTGTCTCCTTCAGTTCTGCTCTGATCTTAGTTATTTCTTGTCTTCTGCTAGCTTTTGAATTTGTTTGCTCTTGCTTCTTTAGTTCTTTTAATTGTGACGTTAGCATGTTGATTTTAGGTCTTTCCTGCTTTCTCCTGCGGGCAGTTAGTACTATAAATTTCCCTCTAAACACTGCTTTAGCTGTGTCCCAGAGATTCTGGTACATTGTATCTTTGTTCTCATTGGTTCCAAAGAACTTTCATTATTTACCCAGTGGTCATTCAGCAGGTTGTTCAGTTGCTATGTAGTTGTGCAGTTTTGGGTGAGTTTCTTTTTTTTCTTCTTTTTCTCTTTCTTTTTTTTTTTTTTTTTTGAGACTGAGTTTGCTCTGTTGCCCAGGCTGGAGTGCAGTGGCATGATCTCGGGTCACTGCAAACTCTGCCTCCCGGGTTCAAGTGAGTCTTCTGCCTCAGCCTTCTGAGTAGCTGGGATTACAGGCATGCACCACCATGCCCAACTAATTTTTGTATTTTTAGTAGAGATGGGGTTTCACCATGTTGGTCAGGCTGGTCTCGAACTCCTGACCTCATGATTTGCCCACCTCAGCCTCCCAAAGTGCTGAGATTATAGGCGTGAGCCACCATGCCTGGCTGAGCGAGTTTCTGAATCCTGAGTTCTAATTTGATTGCACTGTGGTCTGAGAGACTGTTTGTTATGATTTCCATTCTTTTGCATTTGCTGAGGAGTGTTTTTCTTCCAATTATGTGGTCAGTTTAAGAATATGTGTGATGTGGTGCTGAGAAGAATGTATATTCTGTTGATTTGGGGTGGAGAGTTCTGTAGATGTCTATTAGTTCTGCTTGGTCCAGAGCTGAGTTCAAGTCCTGAATATCTTTGTTAATTTTCTGTCTCATTAATCTGTCTAATAGTGACAGTGGGGTCTTAAAGTCTCCCACTATTATTGTGTGGGAGTGTAAGTCTCTTTGTAGGTCTCTAAGAACTTGCTTTATGAATCTGGGTGCTCCTGTATTGGGTGCATATATATTTAGGATAGTTAGCTCTTCTTCTTTCATTGATCCCTTTACCATTATGTAATGCCCTTCTTTGTCTTTTTTTTTTTTTTAATCTTTGTTGGTTTAAAGTGTGTTTATCAGAGACTAGGATTGCAACCCCTGCTTTTTTTGTTTCTTTCCAATTGCTTGGCAAGTATTCCTCCATCCCTTTATTTTGAGCCTATGTGTGCCTTTGCACGTGAGATGGGTCTCCTGAATACAGCACACTGATGGGTCTTGACTCTTTATCCAATTTGCCAGTCTGTGTCTTTTAATTGGGGCATTTAGCCCATTTACACTTAAGGTTAATAGTGTTATGTGTGAATTTGATCCTGTCATTATGATGCTAGCTGGTTATTTTACATGTTAGTCGATGCAGTTTCTTCATAGTGTCTATGGTCTTTAGAATTTGGTATGTTTTTGCAGTGACTGGTACTAGCTTTTCCTTTCCATATTTAGTGCTTCCTTCAGGAGCTCTTGTAAGGCAGACCTGGTGGTGACAAAATCCCTCAGCATTTGCTTGTCTGTAAAGGATTTTATTTCTCCTTCACTTATGAAGCATAGTTTGGCTGGATATGAAATTCTGGATTGAAAATTCTTTTCTTTAAGAATGTTGAGTATTGGCCCCCACTCTCTTCTGGCTTGTAGGGTTTCTGCAGAGAGATCCACTGCTAGTCTGATGGGCTTCCCTTTGTGGATAACCCGACTTTCCTCTCTAACTTCCCTTAACATTCTGTCCTTCATTTCAACCTTGGTGAATCTGACAATATGTGTCTTGGGGTTGCCCTTCTTGAGGAGCATCTCTGTGGTGCTCTCTGTATTTCCTGAATTTGAATGTTGGTCTGTCTTGCTAGGTTGGGGAAATTCTCCTGGATAATATCCTGAAGAGTGTTTTCCAACTTGCTTCCATTCTCCCCAGGACTTTCAGGTGCACCAATAAAACATAGGTTTGGTCTTTTCACATAGTCCCATATTTCTTGGAGGCTTTGTTCATTCCTTTTCATTCTTTTTTCTCTAATCTTGTCTTCATGCTTTATTTCATTAGGTTGATCTTCAATCTCTAATATCCTTTCTTCTGCTTGATCAATTTAGCTTTTGATACTTGTGTATGTTCACAAAGTTCTTGTGCTGTGTTTTTCAGCTCCATCAGATCATTTATGTTCTTCTCTAAACTGTTTATTCTAGTTAGCAATTCCTCTAACCTTTTTTCAAAGTTCTTAGCTTCCCTGCATTGGGTTAGAACATTGCCCTTTAGCTCAGAGGAGTTTGTTATTACCCACCTTTTGAAGCCTACTTCTGTCAATTCATCAAACTCATTCTCCATCCAGTTTTGTTCCCTTTCTGGCGAGGAGTTGTGATCCTTTGGAGGAGGATCTGGTTTTTGGATTTTTCAGCCTTTTTGTGCTGGTTTTTCCTCATCTTCGTGGATTTATCTACCTTTTGTCTTTGATGTTGGTGACCTTCGAATGGGGTTTTGGTGTGGTCATCCTTTTTGTTGATGTTGATGCTATTCCTTTCTTTTTGTTAGTTTTCCTTCTAATAGTCAGGCCCCTCTTCTGCAGGTCTGCTGGAGTTTACTGGAGGTCCACTCCAGACCCTGTTTGCCTGGGTATCACCAGCAGAGGCTGCAGAACAGCAAAGATTGCTTTCTGTTTCTTCCTCTGGAAGCTTCACCCCAGAGGGGCACCTGCCAGATGCCAGCTGGAGCTCTCCTGTATGAGGTGTCTGTCGATCCCTGCTGGGAGGTGTCTCCCAGTCAGGAGGCACAGTGGTCAGGGACCCACTTGAGGAGGCAGTCTATCCCTTAGCAGAGCTTGAGCGCTGTGCTGGGAGATCCACTGCTCTCTTCAGAGCCAGCAGGCAGGTACATTTAAGTTGGCTGAAGCTGTGTCCACAGCCACCCCTTCCCCTAGGTGCTCTGTTTCAGGGAGATGGGAGTTTTATATAAAAGCCCCTGATTGGGGCTGCTGCCTTTCTTTCAGAGATGCCCTTCCTTTCAGAGAGGAGGAATCTAGAGATGCAGTCTGGCTGCAGCGGCTTTGCCCAGCTGCGGTGGGCTCCACCCAGTCTGAACTTCCCAGGGGCTTTGTTTACACTGTGAGGGGAAAACTGCCTACTCAAGCCTCAGTAATGGTGGACACCCCTCCCCCAACCAAGCTTGAGTGTCCCAGGTCGACTTCAGACTGCTGTGCTGGCAGTGAGAATTTCAAGCTAGTTGATCTTAGCTTGCTGGGCTCTGTGCGGGTGGGATCCACTTGGCTCCCTGACTTCAGCCCCCTTCTCAGGGGAGTGAATGGTTCTGTCTCGCTGGCATTCCAGGCACCACTGGTGTATGAAAAAAAATTCCTGCAGCAAGCTGGGTGTCTGCTCAAACGGCTGCCCAGTTTTGTGCTTGAAACCCAGGGCCCTTGTGGTATAGGTACCCGAGGGAATCTCCTGGTCTGTGGGTTGCAAAGACCATGGGAAAAGTGTAGTATCTGGTCCAGAATGCACTGTTTCTCATGGCACAGTCCCTCACTACTTCCCTTGGCTAGGGGAAGGAGTTCCCTGACCCCTTGCACTTTCCAGGTTAGGTGACCCCCCACCCTGCTCCTGCTCACCCTCCATTGGCTGCACCCACTGTTTAACCAGTCCCAGTGAGATGAACCGGGTACCTTAGTTGGAAATGCAGAAATTTCCCACCTTCTGCATTGGTCTCACTGGGAGCTGCAGACTGGAGCTGTTCCTATTTGCCCATCTTGCCTGTCACCCTTAAAATTCATTTTAACCCCCAAAGGAAGTGCTCCTCAAACAATGAAATGAACACATTCTGAATACTAGAAAGAGAAGTCATCTGAGTGGTGATTTGAGTGGATTTTGAGGGAGTGGTAAATTTCATCTGAACTGCATCTGAGCTCCTTTTTCCTTCTGAGTACCTTCTCAAGGGGCTGAGGAATCTGCAGGTGTTTTGGGCATGATTTCCCTGGAAGGGTCTGATGTTTTTTTCCAGGGTTGGCTCAGTATGATATGAAAAGATGATAATGTGAGTGCCTTTGCTACCCATTGCCTTGTGTGTCAGGGCGAGGTTCTATCTTATCAAGGAGCATCAGGTGTCTGTCAGCCTCTGAGTTGGAAGATTTGATGGCAAATTTTTTTACTGTATAAGCAACTTGGCTAATTACCTGTCAATTTTGATTTATGTGTTGTTTCAGATCTCTGTACTGCTGAACAACCTGATCTATGACTTACTACTTGGATTACTGCTTTCAAATATCTGGGTGACTGTAAAGTGATAAGGTCTTAGGGAATGTGGTCAATAATCAGACAGTCTCCATGACAGGGCTGCAGGCGACTTACTTGTAATGTGATGTTCCAGCATAACTGTGAAAAATTACGTGGCCTTCCTACCTGAAACACATTTAAGATTGTTCAGGAACTATGACTACCAGCTGGCCTTTCTTTAATGCATCATTCTTAGCTTACCTTTTTCAACTGCCAACAGTAGTTTGGAATATTGTAGTCAAAGCTTTTTGGACTTTGCTTTCAGAGTTGCAAAGTGCCTTAGTGTTTTGTCTGAAATGCTTTGGTAGACATCGTGATGGTACTGAATGAGATGTGGTATAAGTGAAGAAATGGACTGTATTTTTATTTCTTTACTTCATGTGTGGGAAAGCCAGTTTTCCAAAAACGTCTTTACTATGCTTAATCACATTCTGCGATTGTAGTTAGAACATCTTGTTTTCACTGTGAGGGCAGATTTTCAATAAGTAGTTGATACTGGTGACCAATGGGCTGTGGAGATAAGTGAGAATATAATGTCAGCATAAGCTGCAAACAATTTACGTTCAGTTTCAGTGATCTTTGCTATTCCTTGCATCAAGAGGTAATATCTATTATATCATCCTACGCCTTGAGTCTGTATGGTCCTATGATTTGCTTTTACCCATAGAATTCAGTGGAAGTTGTACAACTTTGGAGCCCAATTCTTGAGAGACTTTATAGATTCCCCTGTTGCCTTCTTAAAATGCTGCTATGTGAAGTCCACAGTCTGCTATGTAACAAAGCCTAATCTAGCTTATTAAATGGAATAAGGCCACATGGAGCAAAGATGAGCCACCCAGCTAAGGACCCCTGGACCCACCAGCTGACAGCCACTATCAGCCTGTAGACATGGGAGTCATGCATCTTGGGCCATATTAGGTTTTCCAGTCCTAGTCAAGCTTGCAGATGACTGCAGCTGTATGAATGACCCCAGGTGGGACTAGAAGAGAAACTGCCCCAGAGCCCAGCCCAGATTTCTAGCCCCCAAAATCATAAAGGAATAGGAAAAAATGTAAAGGTTGTTTTAAGCCAGCACATTTTGGGATTGTTTTTTATGTAGTAATAGATAACTGATACAGAGGGAAAAACTGAGAAATCAAGCAAATTCTATTACTATCAAATGTTAGCTTTTCTTAAAATTTATTTTTAATAGAAATGGGGTCTCAATATGTTGACCAGGTTGGACTTGAACTCCTGGCCTCAAGCGATCCTCCCATCTCGGCCTCTCAAAGTGCTAGGCATGAGCCACCATGCCTGCCCAAATGTTAGCTTTTATAATTTTATTGAGAAATAAGACTTAAAGAAATTGGACTATAACTTGTTAGATCCTGGAAGTTTAGTGCAAGAAGGGATTTTAGAGGTTATTCCTCTAATTCTTTCAATTGCTGACATTATTTTCTTTTTTATTTCAGAAAAAAATTATCTATTTATTTATTTGTTTTATTTATTAATTTTTTATTATACTTTAAGTTCTGGGATACATGTGCAGACTGTTATGTGTGAATTTGAATCTGTCATTATGATGCTAGCTGATTATTTTGCCCATTAGTCGATGCAGTTTCTTCCTACTGTTGATGGTCTTTACATTTTGGTTTGTCTTTTCAGTGGCTGGTACTGGTTTTTCCTTTCCATATTTAGTGCTTCCTTCAGGAGCTTTTGTAAGGCAGGCCTGGTGGTGACAAAATCCCTCAGCATTTGCTTGTCTGGAAAGGATTTTATTTCTCCTTCGCTTATGAAGCTTAGTTTGGCTGGATATAAAATTCTGGGTTGAAGATTCTTTTCTTTAGGAATGCTGAGTATTGGCTCCCACTCTCTTCTGACTTGTAGGGTTTCTGCAGAGAGATCTACTGTTAGTCTGATGGGCTTCCCTTCATGAGTAACCTGACCGTTCTCTCTGTCTGCTCTTAACATTTTTTCTTTCTGTAAAGCTATAGGGGTGGAGCGGCCCAAGACCACAGGAACCCACCTCTTACATCAGCATGATCTGGATGTAAGACATGGAGTCAAAGGAGATCATTTTGGGGCTTTAAGATTTGACTGCTCCCCTGGATTTTGGACTTGCATGTGGTCTGTAGCCCCTTTGTTTTTGCCATTTCTCCCATTTGAATCAGCTGTATTTACCCAATGCCACTGATACACTGCTGGTGGGAATGTAAATTGATTCTGCCATTGTGGAAAGCAGTGTGGAGATTTCTCAAAGAACTTAAAACAGAACTACCTTCAACCCAGCAATCCCATGGTTGGGTATATAACTAAAGAAATATAAATTGTTCTACCATAAAGATACATGCTGTGTGTATTCATCACAGCACTATTCACAATAGCAAAGACATGGAATCAACCTAAAGGCCCATCAATGGCAGACTGCATAAAGAAACTGTGGTACATATACACCATGGAATACTATGCAGCCATAAAAAATGAGGTCATGTCCTTTGCAGTAATATGGGTGGAGCAAGAGGCGATTATCCTAAGTGAACTAACACAGGAACAGAAAACAAAATACTGCATGTTCTCACTTATAAGTGGGAACTAAACATTAAGTACACATGGACACAAAGAAAGAAACAATAGACACCAGAGCCTACATGTGGCTGGAGGGCAGGAGGAGGGAGGGGATAAAAAAACCTGCCTATTGGGTACTATGCTTATTACCTAGGTGCAAATTAATCTGTATACCAAACTCCTATGACATGCAATTTACCTATGTAACAAACCTGCACATATACCCCTGAACCTAAAATAAAAGTTGAAAAAATATCTATACTGTTATGACAATAAGGTATTTTATGTAAGCCTCATGGTAATCACAAAGCAAAAACCTGTCATACATATGCAAAAGATAAAGAGAAAGGAATCAAAACATGCCACTATTTAAAAAAATAATCAAACTACAGAACAAAACAGCAAGAGTGGAAGAAAGGCATAATAGAACTACAAAACAGAAAATAATTAACAAAATTGCAGTAGTAAGTCCTTACCTATCAATAATTACTTTAAATCCAATGGATTAAATTTTCCAATCAAAAGAGGTAGAGTGACTGAATTGACTATAAAACAAGATCCAACTAAATGTTGCCTAGGAGAGACTCACTTTAGCTTTAAGGATACATAGGCTGAAAGTGGAGGGATGGAAAAATATATTTCCTTCAAATCATAACCAAAAGAGAGCAAGCCTGGCTATACTTCTATCAGACAAAATAGACTTTGAGTAAAAAAGTTGTCACAAGAGACAGATAAGGTCATTACATTATAATAAAGGGGCCAATTCTTCGAGAGGTTATAATATTTGTAAATATATATGCACCTAACAACAGAGCGCCTAAATATTTAAAGCAAATATTAACAAAACAGAAGAGAGAACTAGGCAGCAATACAATAATGGTAAGGAACTTCGATACCCACTTCTAACAATGGGTAGATTTTTTCAGACAGAAAATCAATAATGAAATAGCAGAATTGAACAATATTATAGGCCAAATGAATCTGATAGACATATATAGAGTATTCCACCCAACAGTAGCAGAAGACACAGTCTTCTCAAGAACACATGGAGCATTTTCTAGGACATATTATATGTTTGGCTACAAAACAAGTCTTTAAAAATTTAAGAATATTGAAATATATTAAATATCTTTTCTGATTACAATGTTATAAAAGTAGAAATCAATAACAGGAGGAAAGCTGAAAATGTTACAGATATCAAGACACATACTCATGAACAACCAATGGGTCCAAGAAGAAGTCAAAATAAAAATAAGAAAATATCTAGGGACAAATGAAACACCACACTCCAAAACTTATTGGATGCCACAAAAGCAGTTCTAAGAGGAAAGCTTATGGCAATAAACACCTACACTAAGAAAAATGGAAGATTTCAAATGAACAACATAACTTTACACCTCAAGAACTGGAAAAAGAAGAACAAACTAAGTCTAAAATTAGCAGAAGACAGTACATAATAAAGATCAGAGCAGAAATAAATAAAAGAGACTAGAAAAAATAGACGAGATCAATAAAATTGATTGTTTTTGTTTTTAAGATAAACAAAATTGATAAACCGTTAATGAGGCTAAGTGAAAAAAGAGGGAGGACTCAAATCAAATTATAAATGGAAAAGAGGGTATTACAACTGATATCACAGAAATACCAAGGATTATAAGAAACTACTGTGAACAATAATATGCCCATAAATTGCATAACCTAGAAGAAATAGATAAATTTCCATGAACACATAAGCTTTTAGCATCATGTTGGCACTCAAAAAGTTTCAGGTTTTGGATCATTTTGGATTTTGACTTTTCAGATTTTAAATGTTCAAATTGTACTATAATGGTAGCGCATAAATCATTTTTTTTGTACTATAGAAATATATAACATGCCAAGACTAAATCATGAAAAACAGGAAAACCTGGACAGACCAGTAGTGAGTAAGGAGATTGAATCTGTAATTAAAAATATCCCAAAAAGGCCAGGAGCAGTGGGTCATGACTGTAATCCCAGCATTTTGGGAGGCCGAGGCAAGTGGATCACCTGAGGTCGGGAGTTTGAGACCAGCCTGGCCAACATAGTGAAACCCCGTTTCTAGTAAAAATACAAAAATTAGCCGGGCGTGGTGGCATGAGCCTGTAATCCCAGCTACTCAGGAGGCTGAGGCAGGAGAATTACTTGAACCTGGGAGGTGGAGGTTGCAGTGAGCTGAGATTGTGCCACTGCACTCCAGCCTGGGTGACAGAGTGAGACACTGTCTCAAAAAATAAAATAAAATAAAATAAAATAAAGTCCCAGCAAAGAAAAACCCAGGATCAGATAGCTTCACTGGTAAGTTCTACCAAACATTTAAAGAAGGGTTAATGCCAATTCTTCTCCAACTCTTACACAAAAATTGAAGAGGAAGGAGAACTTCCAAACGCATTCTGAGGTATACCTAAGCCAGACAAGGACAAAACAAGAAAAAAAAATTATAGGCCAACATCCCTGATGAACATAGATGTTAAAATCCTCAGCAAAATACTAGCAAACTGAATTCAGTAGCATATTAAAAGGACCATACTTTGTGATCAAGTGGGATTTATCCCTGGGAGGCAAGGATGGCTCAACATATACAAATCAATAAATATAATCCAACATATTAACAGAATGAAGAATAAAAATCATGATCACCTTCATAGATGCAGAAAAAGCATTTTGCAAGATTCAACATTCCTTTATTCAACATTCCTCAACAAATTGAGTATAGGAAAAATATACCTCAACATAAAAAAGGCCATACATGCTGGGCGATGTAGCTCACACCTGTAGTCCCAGCACTTTGAGAGGCAGAGGTGGGCAGATTACCTGAGGTCGGGAGTTTGAGACCAACCTGACCAACTTGGAGAAATCCCATCTCTACTAAAAATACAAAAAATTAGCTGGGCGTAGTGGCGCATGCCTGTAATCCCAGCTACCTGGGAGGCTGAGGCAGGAGAATCGCTTGAACCCAGGAGGCAGAGGTTGCAATGAGCCGAGATTGTGCCATTGCACTCCAGCCTGGGCAGCAAGAGCAAAACTCCATCTCAAAATAAATAAATAATAAAGGCCATACATGATGAGCCCACAGCTAATATCATAGTCAAAGGTGAAAAGCTGAAAGATTTTTCCCTAAGATTAGCAATAAGACAAAGATGCCCACTCTTAGCATTTCTATTCAGTAGAGTAGTGGAAGTCCTAGCCAGAGCAATCAGGCAAGAAAAAGAAATAACGCCACCTAAATCGGCAAGGAAGAAGTTAAATTGTCCTGTTTGTAGATGACATCATTTTATCCATAGAAAACTCTACAATTCCACTTGAAAACTGTTAGAACTAATACGTGAATTCAGTAAAGTTGTAGAATACAAAATCAACATGCAAAAATCAGTTGTGTTTCTATGTACTAACAATAAACTATCTGAAAAAAAATTTAGAATGCAATTCCATTGACAATAGTATCAAAAAGATAAAATACCTAAGCATAAATTTAACCAAGGAAGCAAAAGATCTTTACCCTGAAAATTATACAACATTGATAAAAGAAATTAGACACAAATAAATGAAAACATATTCTATGTTCATGGATTGGAAGAATTAATATTGCTAAAATGTTCATACTACCCGAAGCAATCTATAGATTCATTGCAATCTCTATAAAACTTCCAGTGACATTTTCATGGAAATAGAAAAAGCAATCTTAAAATTCATATGGAACTATGACCCTGAAAGCAATCTTGAAAGAAAAAAAGCTAAAAGAAGTATCTTTCCTGATTTCAAATTATATTACAAAATTATAGGAATCAAAGCAGTATGATATTGGCATAAAAACAGACACATAAACTAATGAAATAGAATGAAGAGCCCAGAAATAAACCCACACATATATGGTCACCTAATTTTCTATAAGGGTGCCAAGAATACACAGTGGAGAAAGGATAGTCTCTTCAACAAATGGTGTTGGGAAAACTGGATATCCACATGCAAATAAAGGAAGTTGGGTCGTTATCTTGCACCCTACACAAAAATCAACCCAGAATTTATTAAAGACTTAAATATAAGACCTGAAACTGTAAAACTCCCAGAAGAACTCATAGGAAAAAGCTCTTTGACATTATCCTTGGCAATGATTTTTTGGCTTTGATACCAAAAACACAGACAACAAAAGCAAAAATGAACAAGTGGTACTACATCAAACTAAAAAACTTCTGTGCAGCCAAAGAAACAATTAACAAAATTAAGAAATGAGAGAAAATATTTGCAAACCATATATCTGATAAGGGATTTTATCCAAAATATAGAAGGCATTTATGCAACTGAATAGCAAAAACATAACAAAAACCAAATAATTAAATTAAAAATGGGCAAATGTTCTGAAAGACATTTCTCCAAGGAAGACAAAAGGCCAACAGGTATATGACAATGTGCTCACCATCATTAATTATCAGGGAAATGAATGTCACAACCACAATGAACCATTGCCTCGTATCTTAGAATGGCTGTTATTAAAACAACAAGAGGTATATATAAAAAAAATTAAAATCAGGATCTAGAAGAGATTTTGGCATTCCTGTGGTCACTACAGCATTATTCATAATAGCCAAGATCTGGAAGCAACTTAATTGTCTGTTGATGGGTGAATGGGATAAAGAAATTGTGGTATGTACATACAATGGAATATTGCTCAGCCTTATAAAAGAAGGAAATCCCATCATTTGTAACAAAATGGATAGACTTGGAGAGTATTATGTTCAGTGAAATAAACCAGAAACAGAAAGACAAATACTGTATGATCTCACTAAATGTAGAATCTAAAACACTCAAACTCACAGAAGCAGAGAATAGCATGTTGGTCAGAGGTGATGGTTAAAGGGTATTATGTTTCAGTTATGCAAGATAAATAAGTTCTGCTTATACTGAATCTACAGCGTAGTGCTTATAGCTAACAATACTGTACTATATACTTAAAATTTTTTGAAAAAGTAGATCTTATGTTAAATGTTCTTACCAGAAAACAAACAAAAAAACCCACAAATAAATACCGCCTTCCAAACCCAAGGACAAAAATAAAAGGGATTGGAGGAGACTTTGGGAGATGGATATGTTCATGATGGATATGTTCATGGCCTTGATGGTTTCATGGGTATGTGTTTATCCCCAAACTCATTGAATTGTATGCATTAAATATATATAGTTTTTAATATGTCAGTCATACCTCAATAAAGTGGTATAAAACATAAAAGAGTATAACTGTTCTTCACAGACTCTTCTGAAGTGCTCATAACTTTCCTAAGAACATTCCCAGCATCTGATCATCACTGCAGAAATGGTGAAAACAAGAGGTCACCTCCTATATTTTCAAGACAAGAAAACAGAGAAGCAAGTGTCAGTCCTGGGATTCATCCCCAGGCCTCCTGGCCATCTGTTCAGGTTTCCTTCCTGCAGACCAGGCCATCTCAATGACCTTCAGAAGGTGGCCAAGGACCCTGTGATTCTGTGACATGGCTGGCCAGTCATGTTATACTGTGTCTGTGTATTTATGTGTACCTATGGTAGACATGAGATGCTCTGTCCAGGTGTCCAGATCTTCCTTCAAGAAAGAAGGATCAAACAGCCTCCAGCATCAGGAGCTTCAGGGTTGGCCTCAGCTGCTGAGAACTGCCTCACTTGCGGTCAAATCTTTCCAGGACAACCTGTGTCAGATGACTGAGCAAGACGGGTCATAAAAGTCCGGCCACTTTGGCCTCACTTGGGACAGCTCTGACAGGCAATATTTGATCTGAAACTTCCTGCCAGATTGGCAGGAGCTTTGTCAGGCCTGCATCAACATTTGCCTTCTCCCTCTGCCCGATCCTGCATCTGCCCGCTTCTTTCCACAGGTATGGATACATAGTAAACATTCTTACCTCATATTCTGTCCCAGCATCTGCTTCCAGACAACCCAGCCTGTGACAGTCCCCTGTCTTTTCTCTCCCATTTGACAAAGAACACTGTCAGAGATTAGAGAGACAAGACAGGCTGTAGATGAATGGCCCACTGGCATATTTTGATTGGCCTGTACAGTTGTATTAGTCTGTTTTCATGCTGCTAATAAAGACATACCTGAGACTGGGTAATTTATAAAGGAAAAGAGGTTTAATGGACTCATAGTTCCACGTGGCTGAGGAGGCCTCATAATCATGGTGGAAGGCAAAAGGCATGTCTTACATGGCAGCAGCCAAGACAGAAATGAGAGCCAAGTGAAAGGGATTTCCCTTTATAAAACCATCAGATCCTGTGAGACTTATTCCCTACCAGGAGAACAGTATGGGGGAAACTGCCCCTGTGATTCAATTATCTCCCACGAGGTCCCACAACACTTGGGAATTATGGGAGCTATAATTCAAAATGAGATTTGGGTGGGAACACAGCCAAACCATATCTGCAGTGTGGTTTGTATACAGATGAGTCAGTATAGAAAAATTGGAATATTACCCATAAAATCTAAATTTCTATATTCTATTTAAAAATTAGATGATCAGGCAACATTGGCCCTTTATTCTTGAATAAGAGACTATTGGTTGGGGCTGAAGAGTGGCTTCCTCCTTTAGAGAGACGAGTTCTCCAGCTTGTCAAAGTCCCCAGAACTTTCTACAGACTTGTACCTGTTCACCTCCCTCCCTTGTGTTATCTCCCTGACTCCTATGAACATCTGAGCTTTTCTTTTGACAAATATAGATGGTTCAACAGATGGAAAGCAGAATCTTTCCTGTGCTACCATATCTTTTTGATTCGATATGGATCTTTAAGAATTGGATTTCTCTCGGTTTAAGGCCACGAGAGCCTTTTGCTGGGTCCTTGGTTTAGCTAAGCACTCAGGGCCACTATCGCTGCCCTCTGTCACTCACCACCCCCAGAAAAAGGTGTTCTCCATGGACACATGGCAGGGAACAACACATACTGGGGCCTGTCGGGGGATAGGGGGTGGGAGGAGGGAAAGCATCAGGAAGAATAGCTAATGGATGCCAGGCTTAGTACTTAGGTGATGGGATGATCTATGCAGCTAATCGCCATCCGTGGCACACGTTTAACTATGTAACAAACCTGCACATCGTGCAAATGTACCCCTGAACTTAAAGTAAAAGTTGGAAATAAAAAAATAGAAAAGAAAAAGGTGTTCTCTTCAGTGAGGTTCATGTCAGACACCGCCTACATCGAGAAACCATATTTATTTCTTTTTACAAAGAGTATCATATTTTTTCACTATAAAACTCATTTTTATTATTGAATATTTGTTACCCTCAAAGGCTAACATTTTTCCAAAAATGAATATATCTCTCAATGTGCTTAGGTTGATAGTGGAGCCCTCCAGCCAAAGAAGCAGAATAACCAGAAACTCCTCAAACAGGGCCATGCCACCTCCCTTCTTGTCACCAATATTGCCTGTGGCCAGGTGTCCAGAGCTATATGGAAAGCCTCTTTGCCAGCCAAGTCTAATGCCTCTTCCCCCCGAATAAATTGCTTCTGCTTCTTCAGGGGGTCGTAATTATGTAAGACTCAATAATTATATAACAAATTGCTTTGAAGTGATTATTTAAATTATGCATTGGCAGGAATCGGGTATTCAACTATAATGAGCTTCATTGGTTATGAAAATGTCTTCTCTGAGCTGATACAATAACTGCTTCTGTCTGTTGCTGTTTGAAATATGGGCCAGCTGGAAGACTTCAAAAACTTAGATTGAATCACATTCAGAATATAAAAGACATTGTAAAGGGGTTGGCTCCCTTTGTATCTTCTGTTCCTGGGCAATAAGGGTCCTTAGCCTTGGCCACAAAATGGGGCTCTGATGGGGCTTCCTGCTAGGACAGGTGGAGCTGGTGCCCAAAGAACCAGATCAGTACAAGGCTAGGGGGACTGTAGCTTTCCAGCAGGAGTTCCCTTGGCATGAAGAGCTTGAGGGGGACCTAGACCTCCAGGCATCTGGTCCCCTTTCTCCTCCCTACCTGCTCAGCCCACTTGGAGAAGGAGATGTGTGTTTAGTGGGCTCTGTGCTGTGCTAACCCTCCCACAGCTTCCCTGAAGGCTGCCGCTTAGGGATGGCGGATGCTGGGAGTGTGTTGGAATGCCTGTTCCCAGGTGAATCATTACTATGTGGAGCCCCAGCAGGCTGGAACAGGCTGGCATGGTCCAACGCAGAGGAGTAGGAGGAGCCCAAACCCCTCAGCCCATGAACTTGCCTCTCTCACACCCAGAGCACCTGGACCAACCAGGAGAAGACCTTCGAGATGAACCTCTAGCAGCCAAAGGCATTCAGGTTTTACCAGAAGGGCCTCCAGGAAATCTTGACAAATAAGGGCTATGTTTCTGGCCATCGTGGCCTCCCTAGGCCAAGCATTGGCAAACTTTTTCTGTAAAAGACCAGATGGTAAATATTTTAGGCTTTCCAGGGCCCGGACTTCTCCCTCTCATATTCTTTGTGTTGTTGTTTAAACAACCCAGTAGAAATGTAAAAACAATTTGTAGCTACTGGGCTGTAGAAAAATAGTCTTCAGGCTGGATTTGGCCCCAAGGCCAGAATTGCTATATCCCTGCCTGGTGCAGTGGATTCCGTGATAAACCACTGGATTTTTCTGCTGTCCATGCTGAAGCCATGGAGATCTGATGGTGGGAAGCCAGCTTTGAATTTCAGATCTGATAGCTCTTCTGGAAAAAATGGAAAAGGATCGAACAGCCACATGCCCATCTCAGATCCTCTGATCCTGCAGCTGGGGTAACTCCATTCTCTTAATGCCCGCAGCTCCTGTAGAGCCTTCTTGGCAGTCAGTATTTACTGCCTGGCATTTGTAAGGATCTTTTCAGGTATACTAGAGCTGTATACATCTGCC
Source organism: Homo sapiens (assembly GCF_000001405.40). NCBI lineage: Eukaryota > Metazoa > Chordata > Mammalia > Primates > Hominidae > Homo > Homo sapiens. The sequence continues at coordinate 136,279,126 of NC_000002.12, forward strand.
TACACCCACCCACCCACTCCAAGAGTCCCTTGAGGGCAGAAGTGGCAAGCTTTCAACCACTTCATCTCTGGCCAGCACCGAGAACAGTGCCTGGGACCCTTGCAGTAGATATTGTGCTGACTGAGTGGTGTCTGATGCCCCCTGTGTGTTCCTCTTTTCCCCTTTCCTGCAGTGAACCCCAGGAAGTACAGAAGGTTAAGATATTTTGTGCATTGTGGGGTGTTTGGCAAGGTGTGGCCATGCAGGTGTTTGCTTAGACCTCTCTCTTGGTTCTCTGTGTGTTTCTCTAGCAAAACACATAGCAGCCTTTGTGATCTGCTCACCAAGAGTGGAATGTGGCTGCCCCTCAGTTTGGAGGAAACCAGAACCCCTGGGCCAGGCTGTGGCTCCAGTCTGAACACAGGTTCCTCAGATCTGCTGCTCCTCAGCTTTCTGGGATCACTGGTTGAGAAGCCGGGATTGCTTTGAAATCAGAAGCCTGACTGCTCCTTCCCAAGACTGCATTCACCTGTTTGGACCCAAGTGTATTGCGATTGGCTTCACCCTGTGCTTGTGGAAATGTCTGTATTTGAGCCTTAGCCTAGGGGTTCTCATTCAACTCAGGATATTTTGTTCTCTCTTGGAGTAATTTAAGGATTATTTCCTCTCTGAGATTATCTTTTTAGATGGCAAGATTTTCAGAATCCTTTCGGTTGCTAGCAATGGAAATCACTGACTTAACTGGCTTGAAGGGCAAGCAGCATTATCTCACATAGCAAGAAATCCAGAGGCGGAGTGCTGCAGGTGTGGTTAGTTCAGTGGTTCCATCTTGCCATTAAGGAAGAAGCTCTTTCTTCTCTTTGCTGCCATACTTAGTGTGTTGGTTTAGGCTTTGCATGAGCTTTCCTCATGGGTGAAAAATGCCTGTCACAGCTCCAGGTGGTGCATCATCATGATCACATCCAAGGGGAGAAAAGGGACTGTTTGCTCTCGTGCATCTTTGGTCCACAAGAAAAATTCTTTCCAGAAGTCTCTTACCGACTTTCTGTCATTAGCCATAAGCATGTCCTAGGTCTATGCCTAAATTAATCCCTGATATGATGTGTGAATCACCACAATGGTTTTAGATCAACCATGTCTCATCCTCTGGAACTGGGGCCAGGGTTCCTGGGAGCACAAGGCCCTACTGAGGAGTGTAGCCACCTGCATGACATTGGGGTTTTGTTGGGAGAAAAAAGAAAGGGAGCACCCAGCACCCATCAAAGTGTCTAGTACAGCAAACATTCCCCAGAATCTTTCCTCCTTGAGATGCTGAGGGACACAGAGCCTTCTGAAGTTCTATTAATAAAAGAGAAGTTTTAGAGAAGGCTGCTTGGAAAACTCCTATGGGAATACTGTGAGCTACTCCTTCTTGCCCCATCCTGCTTTTAGACAAGAACCATGGGTCTGTCTAATCCCACCTTAGTATATTGGCTTTGAAGACAGCTATGACAGCCATTGTTTATTGAGCATCTACTCTGTGCCAGGCATTGTGGGAGGGGCTTTGCACATATGGCTTCTAATCATGCAGCTACACTGGCAGGGCTGCGTTATTGTCCTTATTTTACAGATTAGGGAACTGGAATCTAGAGACGTCGAGTAGCTTGCCTCTGGCTGCACGGTCTGTATAGGGCTGAGCCAGGAGTCGGCAAGCACTTTTAAAGCATCTGCTTTGATCTAGGCACTGTACTAGGTGATGAGAATGCAAAAAAGAATCAAATATGGTTCCCACCATCAGGGAGCACATAGACATAGCCTGTCCCTTCTGGAAGGTCACCCAGTATAACTAAATATGTGTCGCTTGTCCAGGCTGGAAAACATCTTTGGAAGTGTGAGGAAATTAGGCAGTGTCTTGTGCCTTCTACCTAAAGACCTCCTGCCTCCTGTCAGGAAGCCTAAAGCTTTGCTGAATAGCTTGGTAAAGGAATTAGGAGCATGGGCTTTGGTGCCAGAGTGTGTGAGTTCAAATCCCATCTCTACCACTTTCTGGCTGGATGATTATAAGCAAGATACCTTGTGGGCTGCTACGAGGTAAAATGAAAGAGACCTTGTGAAAACACAGGAGAAGAGCTTGGTAACAGTTAGCAGCTGTTATTACCAATTTACGTTGCTCTTCAATGCACTTTCTTATCAGGTAAGATATCAGAGGCCCAACCTCCTAATCCCCTTAGTCTCTTAGCATTTTGCACCCTCCCCCAGGTTTGGGCATTGATGTCATAGGCTGCAGCTTGTAGATTGCTCCAGGTGGTGCCCGGCACATTGAGCTGCTTGATGCTAGCTCTTTAGTGTGAATGACAAGCTTGTCAGCCAGCTCTTACTGCAAGTGTGATTTCCTCCTGTGTGATGGCTGCACAGGGAGGCGATGGAACAGAAAATGAGCACCTCTCTTCCTCTCTCAGGGCACTCTTTGGCTTCCCCATGCTGGGTATAAATGAAGCTGCCTATGCTGAGAGGCCTGGGAAAGCCTACTGCTCCCTTCTAATGGGGAGATGGGACCCAGTGGGCAAGAAGGCAGGCAGGGGAATCCTCACGCCTGGCTCTTGTCTCTTGTCACAGACTTGAGCTGTGGCACCAGGAAGTCCCCTTGCCTAGGTTTCCTCTCCTGTGAACTGGGAGGGCCTTATCAGCCTGTAATCTCACTGAAAAATCCCCTTTGGGGGGCGGAAATGGAGATGGGTATCTGAGAAATAGGGCAGCCCAGACCTGCCTCCAAGGCAGCTGGCCCGAGATACCCGCCCGAGGAACCCGCAGGCCGCAGGCTCTGCTGGGCGTGCTGGACCTTGTCTGCATCCCTGTCTGCTCTGCAGCTTTCGACGCAGCTCATCCATCTGGAAAACTGCCGTGGGATGCTGCTGCCCAGGGGGCTGAGGGGTCTCATCGATCTTGGGGAAATAATTAAGGCCCGCAAAGCCTTGCCGGGCTCTATCGGTGCAAGGTGCTATTAAGAACAAGATAAAAGCTTTGAGCCTTGATTGAATCTGGAAAACAAGGCCCATGCAGGCATTTTTCTTTGTCATGGTGTCAAAGGAGAAGGGAGAGTCCCAGGGAAGAAGGAGGAAGATGAAGGAGCAAAGGAGAAAAGACAGTTTTTGAGACAGTAGACAAGAGCCTTGGGAAAAAAAAAAAAGCAAAACCCACTAAAATTGCCTGTGCTTTTTGCTTTCTTTCTTAAGGGGACACTGTGAAAGAGGAGTGGCGGCTTTGAAGGTGACACCACACGCCACCTTCTCCTGTTTGTCCCCAGTGTCTCAGGTGAGCAATTATCACCATCATTCCTGCAGAGGGAGTTTGCTCCTCCAGCGGGAAGTCCGACTGTGTTCCTTGTGGTGGTGGCCTCCTTGCCCCTGGCTCAGGGTCTTTGTTGCTTTCTTTCTTTCCTCTTGTGCATTGCTTTGCTCAAATGTTTGCAGGAGGAGGGTCTGCTCGGAGGCCAGGCCAGTGCTGGGCGGCCCCCTCCTTCCTTAGAACTTTATTGTGCTTTTGCTCTCTTTTTACTGCTTGGCTGCAACAAAGCCAGCTCTCAGGGCTGAAATCCAGCTGAGGAGATCTGATTTCTCAAAAGCCATTTTGATCTTTTCACTTCAAAGGTAGGTTTTTTCACGCCCGAGCCCCAGTTTGGTGGCCCCAGACCTGCCCTTTTGGGCTGTGGGTCTGGAGGGACCTGTGGTCTCTTCTTTACATGCTGTTGGGAGAGCCTGGGGTCCTGGCACTGGGGCTGCCCAGTGCCAGCCCGGGCAAGCCTCCGATGTAGGGAGATTTGTCCTTGATGTCCCTGGTCTCCAGCACCCCTGATGCCCTGCCTTTTCCTTCTGTCTGGCTCAGCCCTATACATCTCCCAATTGCCAAAGCCCTTCTGCTCCCCAATCCCCAGTCATCTTATGAACATTGGCTCTCAGGAATGAAACTGACCTTCGGGGTCTTCTTCGGAGGACTTCCTTGAGAGCTCCCACCTCCCAGCCACCCTCCCCCACCCAAGGTGCCTTTCCTCAGGGGCCCTACTATATTCTGTAATGCTCGGTAAGTTCCCTTATTCAGTTCCCACCACATTTTGCTTAATTATCCTTTTTCCTCCCACGACCCTCAGGAGATCATGAGGGCCTTGAATAAAGGAGCTGTTATTCCCCCATATGCAGTCCCAGTGTCTAGCACAATGTCAAGCACATAGTAGGTTCTCAATGCATGTCCAGTGCATTAGTGAGTTCCTTCCTACAGCTCTCTCAAGCTGTCCTAGGGGTTGCTGAGGCAGCTCAGGGGCAAGCCAGCTTGGTGGAAGGAGAAATGGGCAGGCAGGTGGGGGGAGAGAGACAACATTTATTCTGGATCGCCTCCAGCCCATCAGGTAATTTCCAGACCCAGCCCCTGCTTTGTCCACAGCAAGTTTACTTTCATTGATTTTATAGTTCTATGTGCATATAACATTATAAATATTATGTCTATCACATGTGATAGGCAATAATATAGTGTATATGTAATATTCATATATGTATAATATAACATGTCATACATATGATATAGTATGACGTGTACAAACATACATATACAGATTTTTTTGTGAAAAGGGTTCTGTTTAAAAATTAGTTTAAACATCGAGGTCTTGAGCTTTTCATCTAAGGTCTTCTCTCTCCCGGGGGCATTTGCTTTTGAAGTTGTTACTCATTACCGCTTGGACAGTGGAAAGCTTTGTTCTGATTGAAGATGTTTTAGGCTTTTACCTAGTTGATGAAAGCATTGCTTTTCGGATGGTGACTTCTTTCCATTGTACCTACCACCCATCTCCCCCATACATCAGCAATCCTGGCTGGTATTGAGGAATGAAGAAGGGCATTGGATTCTCTGAGGTCACGAAACTATTAATGTTATTTATCTCAGATGATTTTTGTTGTTGTTGTTTGGTTTAGAATCTGGCCAGATGGGAGGCCAGGGTTGACTGGGTTGCTGTAAGGAGGCATTGGAGTTCTGGCCTCTCTCACTGGCCTGCTAGGGGGCAGCTGGCTTTTTCAGCTCTCCACCCACTTTCCTCTGAGCTGCCCCGCTCCCATTTAGCACCCCAGTGACAAGCACCTCCATTACTGTGCTTCCTAGATGCTGGGCCTCCTTCCATGAGGGGTTCCCCTGGGCCTGCCCTTCCCAGCACAGGAGTCCAAGTGCCCACCTTTGGTTCCTGATCAAACCCCACTGGTCTCTGTTCCAAGGTGGGATAGTGGCAGAACACTGAATTAGGAGCTAAGAACCAGGTACTGAGTCTTGAATTACTCACCATCTGTGGGACCTAGGGTTCATCACTCATTCTGGAGTCTCAGTTTGCTAGCAGGTTAACAGCCATAATCACCCAGCCTTCCTACCACAAGGAGAGGCTCATCTGAAACCCTAGATTGGTTTTTCTTAGGTTTCCTGCAATTAAAATCTTCTGGGAAGCTTTTAACATCCCAATTCCCAGACCACGCTCCCAAACCAATTAAATCAGATTTTCTGGAGATGAGATCCAGACGTCAGTATTTTTTTAAAGCTCCCCAGGTAATTTGAATGTGAAGCCAAGGTTGAAAACCACTGTTTAAGGTCAAAGTATTTATGGATATTGAAAATGAAAACAGATTCTGAACTTCCCTCCATTTTCTGCTAACTAATCTGCAGTAGTTCTTAGTTTTAATTTGGTTCAGAATCTGTTTAAGAATCTCTTGAAAGTTATGTGTGTATTTTCTCATGAAGTGACATATATGCAAAATTTTACATGTAATTTCAGCCTATAATGTCCCCTTGTTAGTGAGGCCCTCTCTGGCTACCCTATCCAAAATGGCAACGGTGCCCCTCCTCACTACAATTTCCTTCCTCCTTGCCTACTTTAAGCTTTCTCCATAGCCTTTATCACTATCTGTGTGAACATCCACAAGTCCCTCAGGAGGGTAGAGTTTCTCAACCTGTAGTTCCTGGACCACATTTACTTAATCAAGATAACCGGGGTGGGACTCAGGATCTGCATTTTCAGAAACTCCCTGAGTTTCTTTTGAACACTGAAGTTTTCCAGCCAGTGAGCTGGGTCCCTGGATTCTTGATTTACAGTTGCAGGGTCAAGTCTGTTGCTGTCTTTCTTAGAGCACCTCCTTGCTCTTCCAGATCCTGCCCTTTAGACAGGAATCTGTCTCCCTCAGCCTACCAGAAGTCTCAGGTAAACTCTCTAATGTTCCAGAGAAACCCCAGGTATTTTCCAAGTTACCTCAGGGGTATGTGGGAATGTGGCTATCTCAATTGTGTGGGTTGGGGGGCTTGGACTAAGGCCTCTGATCTAATGAAAATTATCTCCTTTCCCTCCCCTCTAGTGGTACTTGGAATTCTGTCACTGTCCAGTCATTCTTAAACTCTTTGGCGCCCACCTCTATCATGACAAATAACAAAGACCGTGAACAGCGGGCATATTTGATTCCATCTCTCTGCTCGAAGTTTTCCATTGGCTTCCAGTGGCCTACAGGGGGATGTATATCCCTATTTTTAAAGTTACCAGAAGGCACTTTGAGATGTGGCTGCCATTCACCTTCCAGCCTTGGTCCTAGTGTCTTTACTAAACTCTCCTGCAGGACTAAACTGCGTGTATTTCCTGGAGCTGCCACTTCCTTTCTTGGATATCCTGGATTGTTTCTTTCATCTCTTTACACAAGCCACTCCTTTCCCAAAACTCTCCAATGACTCTCTAGCTGACTCAGAGTACAAGCCAAGACATCACGTGGCTGAACGCGGTGGCTCACACCTGTAATCCCAATAGTTTGGGAGGCCAGGGCAGGAGGATTGCTTGAGCTCCAGAGTTCAAGACCAGGCTGGGCAACATGGCAAAACCCCATCTTTACAAAAAATACAAAAATTAGGTTGAGGTTGCAGTGAGCTGAGATTGTGCCACTGCACTGCAGCCTGAGCAACCCTAGTGAGACCCTGTCTAAAAAAAAAAAAAAAAAAAAAATTAGCCAGGTGTGGTAGCATGTGCCCGTAGTCCCATAGGTACCAGCTACTTGGGAGTCTGAGGTGAGAGAATAGCTTGAGCCCAGGAGGTAGAGGATGCAGTGAGCTGAGATTGTACCATTGCACTCCAGCTTGGGTGACAGAGCAAGACCCTGTCTCAAAACAAAACAAAACAAAAAACAAAAAATCAAACATTAAAGGCGTCATGTTACCTATAGGCTCTACTCGATCTGTCCATCACCCTCCTTGGCTTTGTGCCCTCATCTTCTGCTATTTCCCTGTTTTGTTTTCTGGGGCTGCTGTAACAAAGCACCACAGACTAGGTTGTTTAAACAACAGAAAGTCATTGTCCTGCAGTTCTAGGGGCTAGAAATGTGAAATCAAGGTGTCAGCAGGGCCATGCTCCCTCTGAAACTTGAAGGGAAACATCCTTCCTAGCCTCTTTCTCACTTCTGGTGTTTGCCGGCTCTCTTTCCCTTCCTAGGCTTGTAGCTGAGTCATTCCAGTCCCCTTGGCCTTCTCCCCATGCACCTGCACATGGTCATCTTCATATGAGGACACGAGTCATCCTGGATTAGGGGCCCACCTTACTCCAGTATGACCACGACTACTTACATTTGCAATGAGCTATTTCCAAAAAGGTCACCTCCTGGGGTAGTGGGGATTAGGATGTCAAAATATCTTCTTTTGGGGGATAACATCCCTCCTCTTTCATTCTGCTTCAGTCACACTGACCTAGATAGAGTTGTCAGATTTAGCCAAATAAAAAAAATAAGATGCACAGTGAAATTTGAATTTCAGATAAATAATGAATACTTTTTAGTATAAATGTGTCTCAAATGTTTCATGGAGTTTTTTTTTTTTTTTTTTTTTTTTGCCGAAGTATGTGACCATGCACTATTCGGGATGTACTTATACTAAAAAAGTTATTTATTGTTCATCTGAAATTCATATGTCACTGGGTATCCAGTGTTATGTCTGGCAACTTTTACTTTTTATTCCTTGAACACACCAAGCATGCTCCCACCCGAGGCCTTGGCATTTGCTATCCCATCAGCCTTGAATGCTCTTTCCTGAGATGTCTGGGATGCTCATTCTCTGATGAACTTCAGCAGGGCCTTTCTGGATCCCCTACTCCCTATACACATACCTCCTCTCCTCCTTTTTTGCTTTAATTTTTTTCCCTTATCCCTATAGGGCCATCAATTTCCATTATATGTATATTTCCCCCTTTATCCCTTATCACTAACAGGCTATATATTTTACCTACGGATCATGTTTATTGTCTGTCACCCCCAGGAGAATTTAAGCTTGAAATACTTATTCATTGCTGTCTCTCCAGGGCCTAGAACAATGCCTGGTGCACAGTTGATGTTCAGTAAATCTTCAGTGAATGAATAAAGAGATAAATAAACCCTTTCATTGTCACTCAAGTACTGGAAAGTGGGCATCTGTGGGTTTACCTAGGAGCCACTCCCACTTCTGGCAAGCAGTGCCCCTCTCCGACTCTCCATAGAACTAGCTTGGGGAGGTCCTGCCCAAACCCCAGATCCAGACATGTAGACACAATCCAGGTCAATCCATTAATTCTGTCCACTTGGCCACAGTGATTGGTTCAGGGACGGGTTCAAGACCCAAGTCAGTCTGACTGGAGTGAGTCTCAGAATTTCTGCTGGAACTATTAAGATGGAACACTCCCTTCCTACTGGTGTTTCTGAGAAGAATAAGATGTAAGCCTGGAGCCACTGATAGCCATCTCACCACCATAAAAGATGAGAGGGGACTCGGCTCCTGGCCAAAAACCTGCTTATGATCTTTCAGGCCTGACTGTAGGTGAATTCAAAGGCTTTACCTGGCAGGCTTCACAGAAAAAGCTGCCATCCCTGGCCACACTTGGTGCACAGCCAGGACCCGGGGGTCTCTGAAGCAGGTTGCACTCAAGGGCTTCCATCAACGACCATGCTGTAACGTGTATCTGTATTCCTAGCCCCAGCATCTCCATTTGGCTTGGGGTCTTCCCAGGTGTGGCACCTGAGTCCTGCTCATTGGGAGAAGGGGGAATCTTGAAGACACTTTTCTCCCCTTGAACTCAGCGCCCAGCACTTTTCCACACCTGAACCTCAGCCCAGATCCGTGAAAGGGCAGGAGCCTATTGCTCCAGTGAGACAAGTCCCCTGTCTTTGTGGATCCACCTGACCCTCGCCAGGTGCTGCTCCAGGGGTATGGACCTGTGGGGGAGCCGGTGCTTCCTCCTGTCTAGCCTCTTGCTCAGACCATCATGGTAAGTAAATAAAGACTTAGCCATTACTTTCCTTTTCGCTTGTCTTAATTGACTACTCGGACACCTGGCAGCTCAGCTCAGCTCAGCTCTTGACTACCGTCTGCCTGAGAGTGGAGCCAACCCAAGAGAACAGAGCTGAGGAACAGAGAGAACTAGAGTCTCTCTAATGTCCTTGACTCTCCTAATCTTGCTATGTTGGAAGCCAGTGTTGCCCTGGACCTTTGTGCTGAGCTCAAGCCGATTAGATGTGTTTTTTCTGTCACTGAGTCTTGAGCCCAATGCACACTCTCAGTGACCCCCTGGGGGGCCTCAGGAACTCCTCCACCTGTGTTCCCATTCTCCCTGTCCTTGCCATCATTGTGGTCTGGTTTATCCCACACTATCCAGCTTCATGTGCCTCCCCAAGGGACATCTGCTCTTAGAAACCAGGGGATGTGACTTTCTGTCTCTCTTTTTCTTTTTATTTATTTATTTTTTTGAGACAGGGTCTCTCTCTGTCACTCAGGCTGGAGTGCAGTGGTGTGATCATGGTTCACTGCAGCCTTCAACTCCTGGACTCAAGTGATCCTTCCACCTCAGTCTCCTGAGTAGCTGGGACTGCAGGTATCTGCCACTACACCTGGAAACTTTTTTTATTTTTATTTTTTATAGAGATGAGGGTCTTGCTGTGTTGCCCAAGCTGGTCTTGAATTCCTGGCCTCAAGCAGTCCTGCTTTGGCCTCCCAAAGTGGTGGGCTTACAGACATGAGGCACTGCACCTGACCCTCTATCTCTCTCTCTCTTTTTTTTTAAATCTCCACACCCCATATATGCCCATTTTAGTCTGTTCAGACTTCTGTAACAAAACTCTATAGACTGGGTGGCTTATAAACAACAGATATTTATTTCTTTCAGTTTGCAGGGCTGAGAAGTCCAAGATGAAGGTGCCCCCAAATATCGTGTCTGGTGGGGGCCCACTTCCACACTGACAGCCATCTTCTCCCTCTGACCTCACATGGTGGAAAGAATGAGGGGTCTCTCTGGATCCTCTTTTATAAGGATGCTAATTCAATTCATGAAGGCTCCAGCCCTATGACCCAAACAACTCCTAAAGGCCCTACCTCTTAATACCATCTTTTAGGGGAGTGGATTTCAACATATAAATTTTGAGGTGACATAAACATTCAGATCATAGAGATACTCTTGCACAAAATCAGACAAAAATTTCTGCAGATGACTTAATTGATGAAATTGCAATGGGCTCTTTACAATGTAAATCACTCATTTGGTAATTATAAATAGGATGAAAACTTCTTAATATTTAAAAAATCTACATTAAAACTTTTATTATTCCCTTAGGAAATCAAATCTGGATTAGGGGATAAAATCTGTATTAGTTATCTTCTGCTGCATAATAAAACTCCCCCAAAGCTCATTAATTTAGAATGACAAGCATTTATTATCTCAGTTTCTTGGAGTCTGAAATCTAAGTACAACTTAGACAGGTCCCCTGGTTCCGGGGACTCTCATAAGTCTGCAGATGTCACCAGAACTGTGGTCATCTCGAGGCTCAACTGCGAAAGAATCCCCTGTAAGCTCACTCATGGGCTGTTTGCAAGCTTCAGGGTCCTCACTGGTTACCAGCTAGAGACATCAGTTCCTTGCCACATGGGTCTCTCCATAGGGCTGCTCAGAATATGGTTGCTGGCTTTCCTTAGAGTGAATGAGTGGAGATTCAAGATGGAAGTCACAGTCTTTTTATAACCTAGTCTTGGAAGTGACATCCCAACACTCTCACCATGTTCTGTTTATTAGAAACTAGTCACTGGGTCCAACCCACACTCAAGGGAAGGTTATTACACAATATATTTATGGTATTTGTTAGGTATTTATTAGAGCAACATCCCACTTTCAGATAACAAAGTCTGTATTTATCCCTTTTCTCATCTTACCTCCAGAGGCAACTGTTTTCATGTGTTTAAAGAATATCATTTTTTTGTGAAGTCTTATTACAAAATTACACCCTTATTTTATGAGCAAACATTTTTTATTTTCCTAAATAGCATTGCCTTTTATATCTCTCATTCTCTTTCTCACTCTTTGACCTGAACATCAGTGGGCAGGGATCATTAGGAGCTATCTAAGAGGCTGCCTACCACAGTCCACCCTCTGGCCCCAGTGATTTACAACTCCCCTGCGTGTGCATCTAGTTACAACAACAGCTCAAACTGCAGAACTGCATCTAAATCAGGTTCATGTAGGGATGAGTCTCCACAAATATAGTACCTTAAATACATATCCTCTTGATCTTCAGACCTGTGGAACTCAAGATAGAAGTTATCTGGCTGCCCTCCCCACCCCAGATTACCTAACATACAACTGGGGGCCAGGAAGGCATTACTGTTCAACAAGGGAGAAAATTGGAGGCACAAGGGTGTCACTGGCCCATAGACATTCTGAAATCCCAGCAAGCAAATGTTAGGAGTTCCTTGATTAGATCTTAAGGCCTGAGAATAATTCCCCATGGCTCTTGGCTCCACTCTTCGGGGCATTGTTTCTGCTCTCTTGGTCATTTTTCTTTCTCATGGAAGGTACTGCATATTCAGCCTGCCTCCTGCCAGTAGAATTCTGGGGGTTCAAAGGCCTCTCTTCATTTTGTCCCTCTTAATCCAGGTTGGCAATATTTCTCCAAACATAAGTCTTTAGAAAAAAAAAACAAAACATTTTTGGACCATGTTTGTGTATTTAGACAATGTTTTCCTAGCAGTGCCCTCAATTTGATATTTGCTTGGAAGCCATTTCTTAATTTTAGCATTGTTTGCTGTCTGGAAAGGCTGAAGAATTTCAAAACTTGGCTTTGGCTTTTCTTTTTGGTATGACAGTCTTTCAATCTATTTCTCTTCTCATGCATCTTACTGCATGTAGGAAAAAGAGGCCCACTGGCACGTTCAACATTTTAGAAACCCTCCATAACTAGACCACTCAGTTCATGAGGCATATTTTCTACTTTCCACATAACTGCAGGTAACAGTGTTGCTAAACTTTCTGCTACTACATTATAACTTTCTTTCTTCACTTGAAGAGCATGAATAGCATGCTCTTCACTTTCTTTCAGCCCTCACCAGCAGGGATCTCAAAGTCAAGATTTCTACTAAGTCTGTTCAAGATAATTAAGCATTCTCTAACATGCTTCTCTAATTTCTCCCAATTTCTGCCTACTGCTAGGTTCCAAGGCTAGTCCCACATGTTTAGATATTTGTTACAGCAACATCCCACTTTTAGATACCAAAGTCTGTATTTATCCCTTTTCTCATCTTACCTCCAGAGACAACTGTTTTCATGTGTTTAAATAATATCATTTTTTGTGAAGTCTTATTACAAAATTATGCCCTTATTTTATGAGCAAACATTTTTATTTTCCTAAATAGCATTGTCTTTTTTATCTCTCATTCTCTTTCTCACTCTTTTCAGCTATTGCTATGCTTTCAGTATCCTTCCATGTTATTATGTGGACATCTAGTCTGTGGCTTCCAATGTGGTAGTACACCATGGCTTGTACTCCTTCTTCCCATATTTTCTCTGTCCAATCCCCAAGAGATGAGTACCCAGATTACCTCCAATGTCATGCCATCATTACAAATAGTGTTGCAATGGATGTCCTCATTCATGGCCCTTTATGAATGAATCTGTGTGAAGGTTTCTTTGGGATATGTGCATAACCGGAACTGGAATTGATGATGCACAGGTTACATATAAACCTAGTTTGACTAGGATGTGCCAAATTACTCACAGTAAGGCTACACTACTTTTCATTCCCACCTGCCATGCGTAAAGGATCCTGTATCCCACGTCTGAACCAACACTCACTATTTCGTCCAGTTTTAAAATATTTCTCCATTATTTGGTTTGAAGTAATGTTTAATATTTTGATTTACATTTTCCCTGATAATTGATGAGTTTGAGCATCTCTTCATATACTTTTGACTTCCCTGTTCCACAAACTGCCTGCTTATATCTTTTATATATTCTTTAGGATCAGAGACCACTTATCATTTCTTCTGCATTCTCCTCTCCTCCCAGAACACTGCTGGATATTAACTGTTGATTGATGAGAAGGTCAATGTGAGCTTCTCTATTTTGAGGCCTACATTTTCCTCTACACACCCTGAGGTGTTTGCCTGCATTCATTTTAAATACATTTATCAAACGACTACCCACGTGCCAAGACTTCCTGTGTGACTCTTCCTTCTGGCAAAGCCCAAATTACCTATCAGTCACTTTATCAATTGAACAGAAGAATGAAACTGGTCAAACTCATCATCTGGCATCAAACAGACTCTAGTATTTTAAATGCCCTTTTATAGTCTCTAACATTCTATGATCTGATTCTATCTTATTGACTAATTGATTTTTTCTTTTGTTGTTTTTAACTGCCGCATGCCTAAAGCAAGGCAAGAAGTAGGGAATATTGGCACATCGAGAGGAGGCTCAACAGCCCTTTGTTAAGTTTCTCTGTTTGTGAAGAGCAAACTCACATTATAGTGAATGATAATTGCTGATAAATATCACGGATTTAATGGTCAAAAAGTAAACTCCTCTCCTCATTGTACCCCATAAGGGTCACCAGTTTCAGTGTGACAGCATTTATCTACATTTCCAGAGAGAAAAAGGATTCTCAGCCCTGACTTAAGTACTCCCACACCCACTCCAGGGCAGGGTTAGATGCTCAACTCTAGAAATCTTGACTGAAACACAATCACCCTGTATGGTAATTGTCTGTTTATTTGCTCTCCTTCTAGATTTGGAACATGCTGAGCATACAGATTGTGTCTCATTCATTGCTTTATTTTATTATTTTATTGTACTTAGCAAAGCACTTGTCATATAGTAGGTGTTCAATAAACATTTATTGATTGAATCTGAATAGACACATGGAAAAACATTTATGCTTTTTTTTTTTTTTTTTTTTTTTTGAGACGGAGTCTTACTCCATCACCAGGCTGGAGTGCAGTGGCATGATCTTGGCTCACTACAACTTCCGCTTCCCGAGTTCAAGCAATTCTCCTGCCTCAGTCTCCCAAGTAGCTGGGACTACAGATGCGCACCACCACACCCAGCTAATTTTTGTATTTTTAGTGGAGATGGGTTTCACCATGTTGGCCAGGATGGTCTTGATCTCATGACCTCATGATCCACCCACCTCGACCTCCCAAAGTGCTGGGGTTACAGGCTTGAGCCACCATGCCCGGCCAGGAAAAACATTTATTGAACACCTACTTGCCATATACTATGTCAGATGCTGGGAATGCATGGATGAATAAGACACAATTTAAGTACAAAATAGTGTGCAACATGTACAGAGAAGGGGCATTGTATTCTAAAGGAGATGAGCTTTAAATCAAGAGACGACGCCATTTGTAGCAGTCTTCTTTTTCTTATTTGAGAGATTCCTTCTGCCCTTGAATTCCAGATGTGACTTGTACTTTAATTGCAAGAAATAGGCTATCTCTGTGTACCTATGGATAGGGAAGTGTATGCTGCCTGACTGTGTCTGCCCCACTCTAGCCTGGGGTTGGTATAGGGAGGTTGAAGGTTATTTGCCCACCACCCATAAGGCTTGGTCATGATGGCTGGGCCATCTATGCAGCCATCCAGACTGCAGTGCAAACTAACAAGTTAGCCTCCCAATATTAGGCACTCAACTCCTTTGGTGTATGACCCAATAACTGAGAAAATCTGAGTCAGCCCAGGAGTGATCTTTCCTGGCTTCACTCCAAATACATGTCAATTTTCAATTCCTTGGTCAAGTCAAAGGAACCTGGGTCAAATTCTGCCCTGGGTTGGAGTTTGAGGGAGTCTTAGACATGTACGTTTGCCGTAAAGTCCAGTTATGCATCTCTTAGAAAACATACCAGTCAGAGTCCTGCCAGGGCCTTATCTCACTTCATGTCAGACTCAGTGAGAAGGTTTAAACAGTGACTTCTAAAATGGCCCGCAGGCATGGGGCAGAGTCGGGAAGTATGCTGGATTTCACATTACATAGTCCGTAGAGAAACAAATACCCATTTCTTTGTTCTCATTTTTCAATGTACTCCTTATAAAAAAGTTTTCTTTGTGAAGAATCAATTAATAGTTGGTATTTGATCAAGTGAAGCAAATCTGGGTTCTCTTGAGCAAATCCCTAAAGGGATTTCCTTCATTTTCATATCTATGGACTTTGGATAGTGGAGCCTGATGTGCAACAATTTTCAATAAGATTTTTTCATCTATATTCCACAGAGCAGAGTTCTTTTATCTTTATTTTCTCCATACAACTCCTGACTTGTCATTTTTAAATAAAAATTACTGGACTAATTTCCTTGTATGTAATTGTTAACTCTTAGCCACTTATAACCAGGATCTAGTGGCCATGAGTTTCTTTTTTTTTTTTTTTTTTTGAGACGGAGTCTCGCTCTGTCGCCCAGGCTGGAGTGCAGTGGCGGGATCTCGGCTCACTGCAAGCTCCGCCTCCCGGGTTCACGCCATTCTCCTGCCTCAGCCTCCCAAGTAGCTGGGACTACAGGCGCCCGCCACTACGCCCGGCTAATTTTTTGTATTTTTAGTAGAGACGGGGTTTCACCGTTATAGCCGGGATGGTCTCGATCTCCTGACCTCGTGATCCGCCCGCCTCGGCCTCCCAAAGTGCTGGGATTACAGGCGTGAGCCACCGCGCCCGGCCGAGTTTCTTATATATGTATATTTTTGGTTGGATTTTGTGAGCTTTTCCATCATAGACCAAAAGAGCCAGTAACAGGCCAACTGGTGAATGCTACCACTAACAATAATTGGGTGATGTGAGGACAACCAAAAGAGCAGGGGTCACATGTATACGTTTTTGGTAAATGGCCAGATAGTGCATATTTTAGGCTTTATGGATCATATGTTCTCTGTGGTAATTAGAACCACAAAGGCAGGTAAACTCTACCTTTGTAGTGTCAGTACAGCAACAGACAATACACACATGGGCATGGCTGTGTTCCAATAAAACTTTATTAACAAAAACAGGTAATAGGCCAGATTGAGCCTGTGGACCTGAGTTTGCTGACCCTTAATCTAGAGAAAATGATAGAAAGAAATAGATTTGCTGTGAAAAATATCTAGCCTGCCCCATTTGCCTTTGAAACCCTCATTTTCAGTTGTCTCTTAGCACATAGCACCTGTTGTTCAGTTTTGTTTCTTGAGCTTTAGGTTTATAGGTAAAATGAGGGGTTAATGTCAGTATTCACAGAGTTTCCAATGACCAGACACCTGCCCTCTCATTAAAAAATTAATCTTATTGTGTATATTTAATGTATATAACATGATATTATAGGATATACATATATAGACAGTGAAATGGTTACTATAGTTAGGAAATTAGAATATCCATCATCTTACATAGTTATCCATTTTTGTTTTTGATTTTCTGTGACAAGAGCAGCTAAAATTTACTCATTCAGCAGGAACCCCAAATACAGTACAATTTTATTACCTACAATACTCATGTTGTACATTAAATCCCTAGTCTTACTGATCCTACGTGTTTGCTATTTTGTATCCTCTGACCATCATCTCCCACTTCTTCTTCCCTTCCACCCCTTAACCACTTTTTAAAATATTTTTATTTATTTGTTTATTTATTTTGAGATAGAGCTTTGCTCTTGTCACCCAGGCTGGAGTGCAATGGCATGATCTCGGCTCACTGAAACCTCCACCTCCCAGGTTTAAGCTATTCTCTTGCTTCAGCCTCCTGAGTAGCTGGGATTACAGGCACCCGACATCACGCCCAGCTAATTTTTGTACTTTTAGTAGAGGCAGGGTTTCACCATATTGGCCAGTCTGGTCTGAAACTCCTGAAGATTTCATATATATGTGAGATTATGCAATGTTTTTTTTCTGTGTCTGGCTTATTTCACTTAGCATAACATCCTCCAGATTCATCCATGTTGTGGCAACTGACAGAATCTCCTTTTAAAGACCAAATAATATTCCGTTGCATATATATCACATTTGCTTTGTCCATTCATCTGTTGATGGACACTTCAGTTTTTTCCATATCTTGGTTATTGTGAATCATGGTGCAATGAACATGGGAGTGCAGATATCTTTATGAGGTGGTGATTTCATTTCCTTCACATCTGTACCTGGTAGTGGTATTGCTGGATCATAGGGTAGTTCTATTTTTAATTTCTTTAGTAATCTCCATACTGTTTTCCATTATGGCTGCACCAATATACAATCTCATCAACAATGTACAGAGGTTCCATTTTCTGTACATCTTTGCCAATATTTGTTATTTATTAACTTTTTTATCATAAGCATCCTAACGGGTGTGAGGTGATATTTCATAGTGGTTTTAATTTGCATTTTTCTTTTCTTTTTTTTTTTTTTTGAGATGGAGTCTTGCTCTGTTGCCCAGGCTGGAGTGCAGTGGTGCAATCTCGGCTCACCATAAGCTCTGCCTCCTGGTTTCAAGTTATTCTCCTGCCTCAGGAAAATAACTCCTGCCTCCCGAGTAGCTGGGATTACAGGCGTGCAACACCATGCCCAGCTAATTTTTGTATTTTTAGTAGAGATGGGTTTTCACCACGTTGGCCAGGCTGGTCTCGAACTCCTGACCTCAGGTGATCTGCCTGCCTCAGCCTCCCAAAGTGCTGGGATTACAGGTATGAGCCACCACACCAGGACTGATTTGCATTTTTTTGGCACCTTTTCACATACCTGTTGGCCATTTTTATGTCTTCTTTGGGGAAATGTTCTATTCAGGTCCTTTGCCCATTTTAAAAATCAGGTTATTTGTTTCTCTACTATCGAGTTGTATTAGTTCTTTATAAAATTTTAATATTAACCCCTTATGAGATATATGGATTATAGAAATATTTGTCCTATATTCGTAGGCTGTTGTTTCCTTTTGTTGATTGTTTCCTTTTGCTAAAAAGCAGACTTTTTTAGTTCGATGTAGTTCCATTTATTTGTTTTCGCATTTGTCACCTGAGCCTTTGGTGTGATGCACTCTCATTTTTAAGGTGAAGTGTCTTTTCCTTATCTTAGCTGGGCCACGATAATGGGCTGAAACAGAGAAGGGTCTGGAATGGAAACCAGGCACTTCATGGAGCATCTGTGTCTCCCAGGGGAGTTGAGGTTTGGTGCTTGGGAGGAAAGAAGGGCCATACTTCTGGGAGTAAGCTAGGAGTTTTATTCTCTAGCCACTCAGAAATGAACAAGAGATCAGTTTCCCTAAATTCCCCTGGGTGCAAGGTTGGTTCTGGTTTTGAAGAGTCATGGCACCCAGGAAAAGAGTCCCAGATTTAAGCTGGTGATTTGTATGTTGTTGTGTCAGTCCTAGTGCTCTCTTTGCAGCTGTTGGCAGATGTAAACAGTCCATTGCCATATGGACTCCTTATACCATTTCAGCATTTGCCAAGGCAACAATTTCATTGTCTGTGTGTGATTTCAGAGGAAAGCGAGTAAGACTTAAAAGAAAGGCAAGAAACTGTAGCCCAGGTATCCTTCACCTGGAAGAGGGCCAGCGGATACGTTAATGAATAGGGTAGATTGTGGCAGCCAAGACCGAATTCTAAGACTGTGGATAATTTTCTTTCTGCCTAGGGTAGATCTGTAATCTCGTTCTTTTCTGTATCATTTTTTCACAAGTCTGAGCAAACATAAGCTAACATTGAGCTTCTGGTTCTAGTCATGGATAGGTTTCTGAGTGTGCAGCATCTGTTGGATGGATAAGTTGTTTGTGCCCAACGTGTTCATAGAGGGGTGATCCAACACTGGTGTCAGGGCCATCAATTAGACAGTGGGAGAGAGGAAGTGAAGAGGCAGCGATGAGGGTGGTAATTACACACTACAGTACAGTTGACCCCCAAGAGCAGGTGGCGGGAGCAAGTGAAATTCTGGGCTCTGTCACTCAGGATTCATTTTCGCTGTTGTGTTTAGGCCTGAGGGGATGCTCATTGATCTGGAAGAGACTGTCTACACTGTTTTATTAATATTAATACTAAGGATAACAAGAAAATAATGTATTTACTGTAGAAGGGTATTTTCCTTTCCTTTTAGTTGCTTTAAAGTCACTGTTATCATTAAAACCCATCCCTCTATTTTTAGTGATGTACCTGAGTCATATTCTTTCTCTCTGTAAAGTGTATATACACACATATATCCATATATATGTGCAACAGTGAGAAGATCAAGGTCTAGATCTCTAGTATGAGTCCAATCTTTACTGCTTCCAGAGAACTGACCCTTGGTTAAGCCCTTTGCAGCTCTAATATTCCCATTCTTCAAAATTACCTTCCACAGAGGTACCATTATTGCTGTTTCACAGCTTTGGAGATAAAGGCCCAGAAAAACGAAATGACACCCAAGACCTAGAAGCAGATTTCTACAGCCTTCCCAGTTCTGCTGGCAGTTTTCAGCTTCATTCTGAGCTGTGGTTCACTTCTGTCCCCTTTGTCTCTGGAATCTGTCTTTCCCAGTGACTCAGCTTTGCTTTTGGTCCTCAGCAGAGTGAGAAGACCTCGGAGTTGTGCTGGGTTCCTCAGTTCAGCCCGGAGTGGGGCGGAGACGAGTGGGGAGCAGATAGCAGCACAAAGGGCCCAATCAGACATTTCTTACCATGATAGATCCTGATGTGCAGTTGATGCCCAGGACAGACAGAGGTCTTGGGAGAAGCTGAGGTTGCTTTCTAATTTCTTTCTCTTTCTTTCTTTCTCTCTCTTTCTCTCTCTCTCTCTCTCTCTTTCTTTTCTTTCTTTCTTTCTCTTTCTTTCTTTCTTTCTTTCTTTCTTTCTTTCTTTCTTTATTTCTTTTCTTTCCTTCTTTCCTTCTTTCTTTCTTTCTTCCTTTTTGACGGAGTCTCGCTCTGTCACCCAGGTTGGAGTCCAGCGGCATGATCTCAGCTCACTGCAATCTCTGCCTCCCAGTTTCAAGCAACTCTCCTG
This sequence comes from Homo sapiens, assembly GCF_000001405.40. NCBI lineage: Eukaryota > Metazoa > Chordata > Mammalia > Primates > Hominidae > Homo > Homo sapiens. The sequence continues at coordinate 136,299,316 of NC_000002.12, forward strand.
CCTCAGCCTCCCGAGTAGCTGGGATTACAGGCATGTGCCACCACGCCCAGCTAAGTTTATTATTATTATTATTATTTAATAGAGATGAGGTTTCACTATGTTGCCCAGGCTGGTCTTGAACTCCTGACCTTGTGATCTGCCTGCCTTGGCTTCCCAAAGTGCTGGGATTACAAGCATGAGCCACCACGCCTGGCCTGCCTTATAATTTCACTGAGGTTATAAAACAACATTGCTGAACTTTAAATCCTAGCATTCATGACCCTGAGCATTTTCTTCTTCCTTTTTTGTCATTCTCTTCTTTGAAGACCAAGTCACCTGTTCCTTCAGCTTGAGATGTTTCAGGTGATAAGAAAAGACAAAATATCAGAAACGCCAAAGCTGTCATCCTCTATCCCTTCATGCAGGCAACTTGTATTTCTTATTACTGGTGTGGAGAAAAGTAACTACTCCTTTTTTCAACATGCTGTGGAGGCCTTTGTCTGTGCCAACATCACAAGATCAGACTTCTTAATGAGCAAGAGTCAAAAAAGAAAAAAAAAAAGTAAATTGACTTTTTACAGGGAAACAGGCCATTCCTCAAAAGCCATTAAAGATTCTGTCATCCAAAATATCCCTATCCTATTGACCTTATTTACAGATTTCATGAAAAATACATCATAGTAACATTGATGTATGGACCCTGTACCATTCAATTTCTTGAAAGCATCTGTACCTGATGGGGATGCTGGTCAGGCATTCATAAACATGGGGGCAATATAAATAAGACGATGCCCTGTGGAATATAATGCACACAGATGCTTTTTGAAAAGCTCAGATCCTTTGGAAATAGGGCAATTTGGCACTCTAACTTGGCTCTGAATGAAATAATGTTTTGGGTGGGGGAGGCAGGTAATGAAAGCGACAATTGTGAAGTGTTACTGGCAGTTTTCTTATTTTTACTGCAAGCTGGGAGTACATTTGTCTTCATTGTCAAAATGCCTGTGTTGTTTACAAGGAAGACAAGGAAGCAGGAAAGCTTATTCAGTTCTCTTGGCTGAGGAAACACCATTTCCTCATCACGAACCCAAAATCACATCTTGCACAGGAATTAGGCGGCACTCGTTGCTTTAGATTTGGACACATTTGGAAGGTTACTTTAGTACTTTCCCCACCTGGTTGGCAAGGTGGAAGTACCTGGTGAGAGCCCACTTGAGTGTGATGTCATCACATACCCAGCCATGTTCCCAGCATGAGGGTTCAGTTGGCTGGATCTTGAGAATTGCTGTGGGGTCCTGCCTTTGACAGTTTGGAAAACATTTATCAATTTTTCTCTTCCTTCAGGGGAAACAAATAGTGGTTGCAGGAATCATGGAGGCTAAGTGATAGTTGTTTAACTCCTCTACTGTGAACAGTAATGCAGATAGAAAAGCATGATTCTGTATCCAGGCCTTCGTCTATCCATTAATCAATCTTGATTGGCAGGGCAAAGCACAAAACCGGGAGGTACGGTGCTAACAGAGTGCCTCTCACATGTATTGGATGAGGAACCAGATGGAACTTGTAATCTTTCTTTGTGCTTCAGAGAAAAACCAGCCCAGCCCTTTCAATTGGAGGTGTTTATTGGGGGAATGCAGCTGGAAGGAAAATGCACACACACACAAACAAATCTAAATCTAAAATGCAAGGGACTTCAGAGGTGGAGACGACAGAAATCCCAGCTCGGAGCTTGCAAATCCTCAGCAACCAAAGAGCAACCTTCTGTGCATCTCGTCCTCATTTATGAACAATCAACAAAGCAACTGCAGGTGATCTTGGCTGATGCCGCAGAGGCCTCTCAGATGGCCGGGCCCCTGAAAACTTATTCACCACCTCATTAAAGCAATTTCAAAATCAATTCCGGATTTGACAAGCCGTCAGTACATTGTTGCTTCTCCGTGATAGGAGTGACATGTTAACAGCAATTAGACTTTTGCACACACACGTCGGAGCCTGTTCAGCATATTCTTTATTAGAAAAGCCTAAAAAGCGTTATTATAATCATCTAACCTGGGGTCATGGACACATGCTCTATGATCTCTGCCTCTGTTGGCAGTTGCCTCAGTGAAATTTTGCCTATTGTCTATAGAGATTAAAAGGAAGTGCTTACCCCAGATGCGATATTGAAAAATCAAAGGTCAGAGCAAAGCTTGTGGTGACCTCCATGTTTTTTAATACAAGTGATAGGAGCAATCAGATTAGCATGAACAAATATTACTCCTTCTGACAGATGGAGCAGGATTCTTATGCAAATGAGGGAGGACAGGCTAAGATAATTTGGTGGCAATATTCTGGGAGCAGGAGTGGATGGCAAAGACTGGACTCCAGTTAAGCAGAGGTATATCAGTCATTCATCTCATAGAAAACCACTTCCTTCTCTCGTACAATCAGTTTCTCCTGTTTGGAATGGTCTCCTTTGTAGCCAGCTCTATTGGGCAGTGGAGGTCTTCAGAGGGAGCTGACTTCTCTGTTTCACAAGCCCTGCAGAATCTACTGAAAAAGTATAGAGCTGGGCACGGTGGCTCACGCTGGTAATCTCAGCGATTTGGGGAGGCTGAGGAAGGAAGATTACTTGAGCCTAGGAGTTTGAGACCATCCTGGACCACATAGCAAAAACCCATCTCTAAAAAAAAAAAAAAAAAAAAAAAAAAAATTAGACAGGTCTGGTGGTGCACACCTGTAGTCCCAGCTACTCAGGAGGCTGAAGCAGAAGGATTGCTTAAGTCCAGGAGGTCGAGGCTGCAGTGAGCTATGACAGACACCACTGTACTCTAGCCTGGGTGACTAAGTGAGATCATCACTGAAAATAAAAATTAAAAAAAGAAAAAGCGTAGAATAATCTGATTTTCCCAAGACTCAACCAGCCAAATGAGATAAAATAAGTCTCAAATCTTACTGGATCCCATTTATGTCTGGGGGGTCCTCTTAAAAAGTCTCCCTGTGCCCGCAAACAGTTCCTTTCTGGTCTTCTCTTCTGATTGCTGCTTTGACGGCTACTGTTTGAGGATGGTTTTATGCACAGTGTCCAATATGAGGAAAGCTTGTATCTTACAATAACCTTTCAAATAAGGACTTTTATTATTCTCACTTTGAAAATGGGGAAACAGAGGAATGGAAAGGTTCAGTCAGTTATCCGGGATCTCCTAGCTAGAAGGTAGGATGCAAACGCAGGTAGTCTGGTTCAGATTTTCAATGGCAAACCATCACCCTATGCTGTCTTTTTTTTGTTGTTATTTTGTTTGTTTGTTTGTTTTTTGAGATGGAGTCTCCCTCTGTCACCCAGGCTGGAGTGCAGTGGCGCAATCTCGGCTCATGTAACCTCCACCTCCTGGGTTTGAGCGATTCTCCTGCCTCAGCCTCCTGAGTAGCTGGGATTACAGGTGCGTGCCACCATGTCCGGCTAATTTTTGTATTTTTAGTAGAGACGGGGTTTCACCATGTTGGTCAGGCTGGTCTCAAACTCCTGACCTTGTGATCTACCTGCCTCAGCCTCCCAAAGTGCTGGGATTACAGGTGTGAGCCACCATGCCTGGCCTGCCGTCTCTTTAATAAAAGCTGATCTCAACCCAGCGGGGCTGCCTCCCCAAGCTCTTAAGTTTGTAATGGCTTCAACCTTCCAAGTAAGTGTTTGCTAACTCACTGATTAACTTGACTAACTGAAAGAATGAATACTGATTGACTTTAGGATGGCCAAATTCAAGCAAAGCTATATAATATTTCAAATTCCCAGGCATATGGGTTTGCCTACACCGATCAGCTTATTTAAAAGTACAAACAACGCTCAACCCTGCAGTCAATTGCTCTTCTCTGCTTTATGTTTCTCTATAACTCTTGTAACCACTGATACATGATGTATTTTATTTGTCTAACTCTCCTACTAGAATATAACTTTCATGAGGGCAAGAATTTTTCAATATTTTGTTCACTGCTGTATCCTCAGTGTTAGAACAGTACCTGCCACAAACTGTGGTCTTGATAATTATTGAATAAATGAAAGAATTATTAGGTATTTCAGGCATAAATGGGATAAGAAATGTACTCTATCTTTGGTTCAGAAATATATCCTTAGACCTATGTGCATTAATGATAAGAAATATAGCATTAAAAAGCTGGAAGGAACTTAAATGCTCATCTTGTGCTCTTTGTCATTTTCAGAATAAGTCACTTGCTTTTGGTGACACCAAGCTGGTGGCAGAACTACAATGAAAACCCTTTAACTGGAGTCTTCCCAACCCGTAGCCCACCTATGTAGTGTGAACAGATCTAGGGATTTCTTTTTCCACTTAGCTTTTTGTTAAACGCTGTCTTAGAAAACCCCCAATTGGCCTGATGTTGCCCCCTGCCCCCAGTTTAGGCTGCTTCCCGATTGGCTGACTCTCGGGACTTTAGAGGGTCTCTGTGGTTTTGTTGGATCAGGGGGTTGCTAGCTGTTGCTTTTGAAGCAGTCCTGTTCATTGCTGATTTCCTTTAGGCATTTGTTTTTGAAGCCAAGGCTTCAAAGGCAAGCAACATTTGAAATTCCTCAGCTATTCATCCAGCTGGAGAAGCTAGATGCAAACCCTCAAGAAGCCATTTGTTACTTTCATTGGGTTCAGAATAGATAAGCTAGAAGCCACCATTTGGGAGGATGGGCTGACACCCTGCTTTGAGGAGTGGTGTTTCTGCAGAGGGTTGCTCAGGGTTAATATTTTGATTTGCAGTTTCCCAGAGAGGGGCTGTAGTAAAATAGAGCGTGGAAATTGCCATGTGTGTTTGTATGTGTGTGTATGTGTGCTATTTTGTTCTTTTTTTTTTTTTTTTTGATGGTGGGTAGGCAGAAGGTTTGAGAAGAAATGTTAACATTTCCAATAAGAATTAACAGAGCAGCAGTTTTCAAAGTGTGGTCCAGAGACCCCTGGGGATTCAAGAAACCCTCTAAGGGGGTCTGTAAGGTCAAAACTATTTTCATAATAATACTAAGACATTAGCTCTTTTCTCTCTCATTCTCTCACCAGCATACTGAGGAGTTTCCAGTGGCTATGTAGCATGTGATATTGTGAAAGAATGGGTGCAGAAGTGGATATGAGAAATGAGCTGTTTTCTATTAAGCCCCACATTAAAGAGATTTGCAAAAAGGCAAAACAATGCCCTTCCTCTCACTCTTTTTTTAAACAGTAGCTATTTATCATAAAATTATATTTTATGTTAATATGTAATAGGCTTATTTTTAAATAAACGAATATAAATACATATATTTAAATTTCTGTTAGTTTTCTTTCTTTTTTTTTTTTTGAGACAGTTTTTTTGCTCTTGTTGCCCAGGCTGGAATGCAATGGCGCCATCTCTGCTCACCCTAACCTCTGCCTCCCTGGTTCAAGCAATTCTCCTGCCTCAGCCTCCCGAGTAGCTGGGATGACAGGCATGCGCCACTACGTCCAGCTAATTTTGTATTTTTAGTAGAGACAGGGTTTCTCCGTGTTGGTCAGGCTGGTCTCGAACTCCTGATCTCAGGTGACCCACCCACCTTGGCCTCCCAAAGTGCAGGGATTACAGGCATGAGCCACCGTGCCCGGCCAATTTCTGTTTTAGTTTTTAATACAGAAAAATACTGATATATATGTGTAATACAGAAAATACTGATATATATGTGTATATATGGATATAAAACTCACTTTATAAATGAAAGCTCTTTCGGATCTTCAGAATTTCTAGAAGAGTAAAGAGGTCCTGAGACCAAAAAGCTGGAAAACCACAGTGATAGAGCTGTCAATACTCAGCCTGAATAAGGTCACAGAGAGCTGTGCCTTTCAGAACAAGAAGAATCCTTGAAAGATGACCTGGCCTTGTTTACCAAGGCAGACTAAGTGTTATCCCTTTTTACAGATGGGACAACTGAGACTCCTATCACAGACTTTACAGATGCTATACAGCTATTGAGGGAGGAGTTAGGGAGCAGAGTGGGGGTGAGACAGGACCCAGGTCTTATTCCTTCTGATGCAGACAGAGCTTCACTCACTAACCTACGCTGTCAGAGAAATGAGTGGTCCCTATTAAGAAAACAAAAACAACAAACAGACAAACCTATCTCCTTCCTTTTCTGTTTTCCTTTATTAAATTTATCTTCAGCGATTTTGCTGATGAAGGTTCTGAAAGTGCTGGAAAAACCCTTTATTCGCTCAGCTTCTTAGCATTTAAAACTTTGGGCTGAGGTTGGTGCTGTCAATAATGCTGGCGGCAATCCTCTCAAGGCTTGACTTGGGGAGCATCTGCTTCCAAGCCCCCTGGAGTGACTGTTGGCAAATCTCAGGCTTTTGCTGGCTGTTCACCAGAGAGCTCAGTTCCCTGCCATGTGGGCCTCTGCACAGGGCCGCTCACAACATGGCAGGTGGCTCTCCTCAGAGTGAGCAAGTGTGTGTGAGTCAGACTGCACAAGGTGAAAACCACGATCTTCTCGCAACCTAACCTCAGTAGACATAGCCTATCACTTTTGCTGTATTCAAATTTTAAATTCACCAGGTCTAGTGCACACTAAAGGGGAGGAGACTACACAAGGGCATAAATACCAGGAGGTGGGGATCCTTGGGGACCATCTTAACGGCTGCCTACCACAGCCCCTAAATCCAACATCTGACCCTCTCACTCCTCCAGTGAATCCACATCATCTCACAGTGCCTTCCAAGTGTAAATAGCTTGTGCCCTCTCTCTACAGGCACAAGCTAGTGTAGCGGTTAAGAGCATGGACTCTGAAGCCTGTCTTCCTGGGTTTGAATCCCTGTTCTACCACCTGTTAGCTGTTGGCCTCAGGCAAGTTATTTAACCTCTCTGTGCCTCAGTTTCCTACCCACGAAATGGGGATGATAATTGTTGCTCTTTGATGGAGGCTGTTGTGAAGATTGACATAATACACACCACAGAGTGCTTAAAACAATGACTGGCATGGATTAAGCACCATATAGATACTTACAGTCATTATTACTATGTACCAGAGGCATTATATAAATGGTCTTATTGCTAACAATGTTCATACAAAGTAGGTATTTTCATACCGTCTGACAGGTGAAAAACTAAGGCTTAGACAGTGTAAGCATCTTGCCCAAGGTAGCACCACTTGTAAGTAATATGATGGTTATTCTTTCCTAGGTTTGCATGTCCCAAAGCTGGCCTTCTTCCATTCACTACATCTTTAAGAAATGCACCATGGAAAGAAAATGGTCATGTGAGAGTTCAGGGAGAACAAGATAAGGATATATGTAACATACTGCTGATGTAATTATGAATTAAAAAGGAGACACTTCTTGAGCATTCCTGTATATACCAATGAGAGATTTTCTAGGACTAAATTTTTACTTAGAAAATAAATGACTGGTAGCCAGGCAGACTACAAAATAACCAGTACTTAGGCTATAATTGTTTACCATGTGATTTTCCCATGCTTTTCTATGGTATTTACCTTGCAATTAAATGATCAATAGTTATCCTATAAGTAATAAGTATACCCATGAAATTTGTGACCTGGAAAATCAACCATTACAAGAGTGGAAGTGTTAAACCGCCTGGAAATGATCAGAGACATCAAATCCACACCACTGGGCAGGTAAGGCTGCTTCCTCCCTTTGACACATCCATCTAGGCACTAAATTCAGGGATAGCTGAATAAATTCCCAGGCTGTGACTTGGCACCATCTGCAGGTCTTCCCACGTGGGAGCTGGAGCTGCCTGTGGCAGTGTCTCCTTCCAGGCTGGGAGGGAGGTGCAGCTCTCTAGGTTCCATTCCATGAAATTCCATAATGCATTTCCAGGGTGAGTGACTAGGTGTGTCCAGTTGTGTTCCAGTGGCAGGTTGCATTGGCTGCTCTTGTGGTGCATGTTTCCTTGTGATCTCCTTGCAGAGAGAGAAACTTCAGAGAAGGCCAGTGTCTGCTGATAGGCCTTGGGGAATTGGGGAGTGCCCACTCCTTCTAACATGAGTGCAGGCAGACCGTGCTGGGGAGAACGCAGCCATTGCCGGTCTCCATATCCTCTCCAAAAAGAGAGAACTGATTCCATAATTGCTTATTCTGGGGCATGATCTGTTCCTCTTCTTTAAGAACTTGCATTTTTATTGGGGATTCATGATGGATTCACATGATCCAGTAAAGATTTTGTAGGGCAGTGGGACTCTGTCAACAGTATTTGGGAATACAGAGGGCCTGGAACATTCAGGAAAGGCCTAGTGAGAAGGGTAGGGTTTGAACCAGTCCTAGAAGAATTTAACTAGGCAAGGAGGAAGGAAGAATCCAAGTTCTTTAGCTTTCTAGCATGTGGCCATAATCGGCCTTTTCCAGCCTCAGATCCAGGAAAGCAGCTTAGTGTAGAGAAAGTGAACAGACTTTGGAGTTGGGAAGACTAGGCGAAAAGTCCTGGACCTGCCACATCCTAGCCTTTGGGACCCAAAACAAGTCACTCAATCTCTTTAAAGCTCTGTTTTTCTGCCTACAAATAGGAATAATTCAACCTATTGAGGGTAATGGTAAAGATATCTGAAAATATATGTGCTTACACATAGTAGGTGCTCAACAAAGGTTGGTTTCCTTCCTTGTCACTGTCCTTTCAGATCCCTTGTCAGACCAATCAGGCCTGCGGGCGCAGTCAGGCCAGTTGTTCTCTCATCCTCTTCTCATGCCCATCCTAGTCTCTTGAAACCCTCCTTCAAGACACCATTGCTGCCTCCTCCAGGAAGCTTCTCACTCCCTCCAGCCATAGGAATCTCTTCTTTCTTCACACTCTCTCAGCCACTCCATCAGGCACTCATCCCACTGTAATCACTAGATATTTACTGCTGGAATTCCATCTGCCTTACTGGGGACCAAGCGCCTTGGGAGTATTGATCATGTCATGTTTATCTTTCTAGATCCATAATGCCTAGCCCAGTGCTGAACCCCAAAATGTGTTCAAGAAATCTTTGTTGTATGCCAATCAAAGGGCTGGAAGGAGGAGAGAAGGCAGTTCTGGAAGGGAAGGCACAGCAAGAGCAAAGGCATGGGGACGGGCACACCAGTGTGTCCAGGGAAACAAGGTCAACTTGTAGGAGGGACAGTTTGTGTTAGGACAGTGCCCAACTCGGCAGCTTGGGAGCATCAGGGCCTTTGTCCCTTCTCTACTTGACCACCTCCACCCGCTTCCCTGCTTTTGGGGTTGACTGGATAAACATCTGAGTTTGGTTCACTTAAATTTACTTAACACTCAAGCTGGAAAATCTCTTTCCCACAGAGCTAGTTACATCAGCTCTCTGGAGTCGAGGTGATGATATCTGGGGCACGGTTTTAATGGGGAGGGTCTAGTCTAACAGAAATGCTCTAAAAGAGAGGTTGGCTGTGTCTATCTCTGCCAAGAAGGAAGGAGATTCTGGCTGTCTGAAGTCATACACATCGTGTTTGTTAAGCCCCCAGCAGTGTTCATATTGTAGGCCACTCAATCCTCACTTGTTCATGGAATTAAAACTCAAGAGCAAGGAGCAGAGCTGCCTGAACCTCAGCCAAAGAGTCACATTTCCTCTCCAGAGCCAGGATGCTTTGCAGGGAAAATTCTAAAGTAGCTCTGAGACTACCAGAGTGGGAAAGGGGGAAGAAATGTGGGATGGCAACACTATTTAAATTGAAGCTAAAAGAACTAACTCCAGATGATTAGGTACAGAGGATACTGTTGAGTTGAGCACCACCTTAGCCATACAGAAAGTACTTGGTGATTTTTAATTTCTGTTTGACTTTTTTTTTTTTTCTTGAGACAGAGTCCTGCTCTGTCACCAGGCTGCAGTGCAGTGGCGCAATCTCGGCTCACTGCAACCTCTACCTCCCGGGTTCAAGAGATTCTCCTGCCTCAGCCTCCCGAGTAGCTGGGATTGCAGGCATGCACCACCACGCTCGGCTAATTTTTTATTTTTAGTAGAGATGGGGTTTCACCATGTTGGCTAGGCTGGTCTCGAACTCCTGACCTCAAGTGATCCATTCATCTCGGCCTCCCAAAGTGCTGGGATTACAGGTGTGAGCCACCGTGTCTTTTGTTTGACTTTTCACAGGATCGTGGAATTTTTGGAAGGGACTTTGACAATTATATTCACTGTCCATTCGAGCACACAACTAGTTGGTGTCAGAACTGAACCTTGTGATGACCTTTTCCACTTGCTTTATGCTTTTTACATTTTTAGAGTCTTTTTACTAATATTTGTACTTCTTGCAACCAGTGATATAGGTTGCTATCCCATTTTAAAGATGAGGCCATTGAGGTTCAGAGTCAGAGTCAGCTAAATGGTAAACCTTCTATTGAGAGCTGCTTTCCCTTTTCTTCTTCCCCTCTTGTTTCAACTTATTGCAGGGAATAAAAATGAAATGAGGCTGGGCGCGGTGGCTCACGCCTGTAATCCCAGCACTTTGGGAGGCCGAGGCGGGCGGATCACGAGGTCAGGAGATCGAGACCATCCCGGCTAAAACGGTGAAACCCCGTCTCTACTAAAAATACAAAAAATTAGCCGGGCGTAGTGGCGGGCGCCTGTAGTCCCAGCTACTTGGGAGGCTGAGGCAGGAGAATGGCGTGAACCCGGGAGGCGGAGCTTGCAGTGAGCCGAGATCCCGCCACTGCACTCCAGCCTGGGCGACAGAGTGAGACTCCATCTCAAAAAAAAAAAAAAAAAAAAAAAAAAAAAAAAAAAAAATGAAATGAAATGAGTGCTAGAACTAAGGACAGGTGTCCGCACAGTTGCAGCTTTGGGGCTCTGCTTACGTGACAGAAGGAGAACACTTAGGAGTCCCTGACAACCTTGGTGGGGAGGAATGTCGCCAAGAGCATCACTGATTCATCACCCCACCCTGGAAATCCCCAAGGCTCTGCAGCCCAGGGGACTGCTGTGCATTCCCCAAGAAGTTCCGACTGCAGTTCTCCCGGCAGGGTATGAAAAACCTCAGGCACACTTTTTCAGGCAACCGTTACCAGGCCACAGAAGTTCCCTAAGACACTTGGTTAACCTTCGTCAAATCTGTTCTGACTGTGTGGGTGGCTGGGTTTCATCAAGAGAGTGCTGAAAGCAGCAACCTGGAAGGTCGGAATCTGGACCCAGGAGATCCTCGGGTCTCTGCCCCCTCTCCTCCTTTCTTTGCGACTCCCCCTTTCTGAAATGTAAACCCTGACAAAATACTTACATATTACACATGCTCCTTTATTTGCAAGCTTTGCCAGGATTTATGAGATATTTTCTCTAAATGTGTGTTAAGCTCTAGGTTCTAAAATCCAGCAGAGTTATATGTGAGGGGAAATCCACTGTGGGATCTTTCAGTTCTTAAAACACACACTAAGAGATGCCGTGCTCACTGGGCATTGCCAATGGGTTCAGTCACATTTTGGAATGATTTCTGCAATTAGTACTAAAATGAAGGAGGACAGATTCTAGTTTTGAAAATTAAGGCAGGAGAAGCTTGGATAAGAAATCTTTACTTGCTTTTATTTCTCATTTATCATCAAGTCCCAGCTTTCCCAGGAAGTTATTGAACCTTGCTGGTTTCACTAACTTAAAAAAAAAAAAGCTGCTCTTCTTTTGCCCACAGAGTGAGCTGCTGGTAGCTGAGATCGGGGTCGCCAGCATGGTGACTTTCAGAGACTAGCCAGATTGGTTCATAAACAGATTCCCTGAGTGGCGAGGGCAGAGGTGAGGACAGACAATGAAGATGGGGAGTGTAAGCGCGAAGCCGGAACATCTCTTGGAGACAGCAATGGGTAACAGGGAAGCAACACATCTGACTTGGTGTTTAAGAAAGGTTAAGCAATGATGCTACTCGTATCAGACTATTAGTCCCTAGAGAAGACCTCAAGAGATGCACGTTTAAAGTTTCCATAAACCCCAGATGATAAATCTTCTTGTCTTTCTTCCCAACTTTCAAAAATGGCGCTTATTACTCAAGAAAAACCACAACGCTTTGAGCTGGCACTAGTTAGCTCAATTGAAGGTCAGATTTTGCATAGAAGATTCAGAGACAGGAAATTTATTGGCGTAAAAGCCATCAAGAGGGTATTGAAACAATACCATCCTTTCCACAATCTTCACACCAAGATGTGCTGTGTCATCTGTGGGTGTCTTTCTGGATGATTTGCTTGTAAAAATGACTACAGCACCTCTGCATTGCCAGGGAGACTCTGTTGTGAAATTCCATGGAATGAAAGAAAAGGGGAAATTTTGCTGTGTAGCCTGGAGTCCATTCTCAGTTAGGAAGGAGGAGGAGGAAGCTGCTGGTCTGATGGATGAGTCTGTACTGTGACCTCCACAGTTAAACAAAATAAAGTACTGGTTTCTTCTCTCATTAGGAGTGGTGTCAAAGCTGTCCGAAAGAAAACACTGCTATCCTTCCACGCACTTTAGTAAACAGATCTTTGGGACAACATCTTCACAATGTGCTTTTTACAATTTATGCCCTTAAAGCATCATTCATTTCTGACAAGTCAGCCAGGTTGGCCTGTTACATTTTAAACTTTTAGATTTTCATAATACTTTTATAAATGAATATACTCCCAACTGGCTATTACTCCTGGGAAAACTAGGAAGTGATCTGAAAAAGATGATAATTTATGATAATATAAGGCAAGACCAATTGTTCCTCTTTGGATTAATAGTTCACAGTTGAACTGAAGTCCAGGGACTTGAATTTCTAATCAGTATTATCCCCCTGCAATGTTAAAACTTCCTGGGCCAATTTTGCCATTGATAGAACTTTCATTTAATAAATATTAGACTGCATTTCCTAAGAAAGATTAACTGAAATATATTATTCAACCATTTTACATAAGAATATAACAAACTTAAATTCTTATTTCAGTTTTTTTGGTTTTTAATTATCATGGATACATAATAATTATACTTATGTATGAAGTCGTGTGATATTTTGATCTGCGTAAGGCTTCTTATACTGATGCACCATATTGGCAGGAGTGATTATCATGAAGAACTAGAATTGCTGACACACAGCAAGGATAGGAAGGAGAATGTCTTGAACCAAAACATATGATCTGTAATGACCAAATCAGGGTAATTGGGATATCCATCACTTCAAACATTTATTATTTCTTTGTGTTAGGAGCATTCTAACTCCCCTCTTTTGGCTATTTTGAAACATGCAACAAATTATTGCTAACTATAGTCACTCTATGGTACTACTAAACACCTTCTTCCTTCTATCTAAAACTTAAATTTTAATAATATGTATTAACAGCTATGTTCTCATTTTATATTGATGAGCGTAAGATGCTTTCAAATATATTTTTATATTAAGTCAACATATGTATAAATTAGAACTAATGACATCTTCTTTCTATCAAAAACTTAAATTCTAGTAGTATGTATTAACAGGTATGTTCTGATTTTATATTGAGGGGTCTAACACACTTTCAAAGATATTTTTATATTAAGTCAACATATGTATAAATTAGAATTAATGACATCATTACAAAAATGGTAAGATCAAGGTTTATATAAACAAGACTTATTTAAGAATTTTATGGGCTGGGCATGGTGGCTCAGGCCTGGAATCCCAGCACTTTGGGAGGCCGAGGTGAGTGGATCACCTGAGGTCAGGAGTTTGACACCAGCCTGGCCAACATGGTGAAACCCTGTCTCCACTAAAAATACAAAAATTAGCCAGGTTTGGTGGCACACGCCTGTAATCCCAGCTACTCAGGAGGCTGAGGCAGGAGAATCAGTTGAACCTGGGAGGCAGAGGTTGCAGTGAGCCCAGATTGCACCATTGTACTCCAGCCTGGGCAACAAGAGCTAAACTCTGTCTCAAATTAAAAAAAAAAAAAGAAAAAAAAAAATAGAATTTTATCAATCAAACTGCTACCCCCAGAAATACTACCACTCTGAATTGTACATATTACAAGTTACCCACATTTCATGTTAAACACGCACACACACAACTTTATGAATTTTTGTAATTGGATTTTAAAATTATAACTTATTTTGTTACCTGTAACTTATTTATTTGTAATTGGCTGTAAGTGCATGGCCATAATTCATGTATAATTTAGAAATTCTTTTGGAGAGAAAAATCTAACCTACAAATTGTTTTCAAATGCAGTTACATTTTTCTAAATATTAAATTTAACAATTAGTGTCATGTCACTTTTTATATTTGTAGACATTGAATTAAACATTTGTTTTGATTTTGTGATTTTATTTTTGTGTTATGGAATCAATACGATTTTTTCCAGTGGTCTCTAGCATTTCTGCAGAGTCTTGAGAAGCACTGTTCATAGTGCCTGATGTTTATAATGGCCCTATTTATAAAATTCTTTAAGGTCATAAAATATGATTTAAATGCATAGGACATTGAACAAGTGGTAATGTTGTATTATTGTTGTGTTCTGTCTCTTGTTCCTATAAGCTAGACTACGCAGGTCTGGGAACCAAGAGTTAGAAGTTGTATTGGTTCTCCAATGTACACTCCTAGTGACCTGCTTGTAAAATTCTTACTCCTTGTCCTTTAACTCTTAAGCTCTGCTGGATTGGAAGCCCTGGTTCTTGTGAGAGGGACTGAAGAACTTCCTGCAGGGGATGCAGTAAAGGTACTAGTAATCTATATTTCTATAAATCTGAAGCTGTGACCGCTACCCAATCAGTTTAGGCATCTTATGCTGATGGACCATATTGGCAAGGGTGATGATCATGAAGAACTAGAATTGCTGCCACATAGCAAGGATAGGAAGGAATATATCTTGAACTAAAGGAATTCCTTGGGTGTCTCTAGGAGCTTCCAAAGCCTGGTATTAACTGTTAATGGACAAGGTCAAGAAGCACAGCCCCAAATCAGTAAAGAAACTGAAGGTTCAGATTCTTTGAGCATGATGGCCTGGGTTCACTATAGTGTTAGCTGAGGGGGAGGGAAAGCTAAAACATGTGATTCAGAAAGAAGATGAAAAATATCAGATATGGCTTTAGGATCAGCTGCATCAGCAGGAACTAGGATCTCTACCACAGAAGCTTGGGTTTGAAGGTTTTGATAGAGGTTTCAGCTGGCCACCACCTTGAAGATTCTGTGATAGTTTGGACTTAACATAGGGTTGAGCAAAGCTGGGCAGTGTGAGGGGTGGACTGCACTGGGCAGCTTATGTGCCCTGCTTCATATCATGTTGGACCACCTTTTCTCTCCTTTCCCTTCCCCTTCCTTCCCTTTCCCTTTCCCTTCCCCTTCCCCTTCCTTCCCTTTCCCTTCTCTTCTTTCTCTTTTCTTTTCTTTTGTTTTTTTTCTTCCCCCTCCCCTCCCCTCCTCTCCCCTTCCCTTCCCTCCCCTCCTCTCCCCTTCCCTCCCCTCCTCTCCCCTTCCCTCCCCTCCTCTCCCCTTCCCTCCCCTCCTCTCCCCTTCCCTCCCCTCCTCTCCCCTTCCCTCCCCTCCCCTCCTCTCCCCTTCCCTCCCCTCCTCTCCCCTTCCCTCCCCTCCCCTCCGGTCCCCTCCCCTCCTCTCCTCTCCTCTCTCCTCTTTCCTCTCCTTTCCTTTCCAGAAGGCGTCTCACTCTGTTGCCCAGGCTGGAGTGCAGTGGCACAATAATGGTTCACTGCAACCTCCACCTCCCAGACTCAAGCAATCCTCCCACCTCAGCCTCTGGAGTAGCTGGAACCACAGGTGTGTACCACAATGCCCGGCTAAATTTTGTATTTTTTTTTTTTCATAGAGACGGGATTGTGCCATGTTGTCCAGGCTGTTCTCAAACTCCTGGGCTCAAGCGACACACCTGCCTCGGCCTCCCAAAGTGCCAGGACTATAGGTGTGAGCTACCGCACCCAGTCTTGGCCCACCTTTTTAATTTCAACATTGCTATAGCAACCAGCTCATGCAGGTATATTCTGAGAACACCTTTCTTCAAACATTCCTCACTTCTCTTGCTTTCTGCCATGGGACTTCTCGGCTACTGTGATGGGAGATGTCCAGCCATTCTGATACATTAAAAAACCTGGACAGCAGTGGCTCACGCCTATAATCCCAGCACTTTGGGAGGCCGAGGTGGGTGGATGACCTGAGGTCAGGAGTTGAAGACCAGCCTGACCAACATGGAGAAACCCTGTCTCTACTAAAAATACAAAATTAGCCGGGTGTGGTGGCACATGCCTGTAATCCCAGCTACTCAGGAGGCCGAGGCAGGAGAATCGCTTGAACCCAGGAGGCGGAGGTTGCGGTGAGCCAAGATCATGCCATTGCACTCCAGCCTGGGCAACAAGAGCAAAACTTCATCTCAAAACAAAAACAAAAACACCTGGACATTTGAAGGTATTACTACCCTTCGGGGCAACCCTAGACCAGGGATGACAGAACCCTGTGGATAAATGCCCCTATATTCTTTTCTTCAGATGGACATATCCAAGGTAGATTTTATACAGATCCTCAGAGAATCCCCAGTGGGACTGGTCCTCAGGAATTCATAGAGATGATCAGCTTGAAAATGAATGCCAGTATAGGCTTTCCCTTTCCCTCTGCTCTGTTCTTCCTAGTCAATCATGCCTGTTTCCTGGGATCACTTCCTAACATAAACTACCTGTGTGCAAGTCCCTGTCTCAGGCTCTGAATTTGGTGAAACTCAGACAGAGAGAGATAAAAACTGTTCTAATTCCCTATCCTGAATATATTGGCTTTTCCCTCCTGCAAATTGTGTGTGCGTGTAACATAAATTTATAACAATAATTAATAGATTTATAAAATTAATCAGCTTTACAGTCAAGGATTGAGAGGCTTGGTTCTGAAATCTGTGTGATCATTGAAATTGCTTGGAGACGCCCTCAAACCTACCATGGCAGAATCTCCGGGGTTTTGGTCCAGAACCTTACATTTTCTTAAAATTCTATGATTCATTCTATACCAGCTGTATTCCAGAACTACTGATTGGGATGCTCTAAGTCTGTTCCAGTGACAGAGGATTAAGAACTCATGAACTCCCAGACATTGTCAAGCAAGAGGATGATGTATAGGACCCTAAACTTTCTTTAGGCAGAGAGAGTCAGAGGAAAGGCAGGTGCACATGAGATTTTCAAAAGGCTGTGTGCTCTGTCAGATGCCTCACAACATTTCCTGGTGTTACATGGGGTGGCTGATATTTTGGTTTGGCTTGATAAAATACTTTGTGAAGTTGCTGGCTTGTTCCAGTTTTGAAATTGTCATGGCATTCATTGCTTCAAAAGCTTCTTCTCTTTTCTCTGTAGATGACTATGCTCTCTTCTGCATCTGAGAGCCCTCTATTTAGTTCTAAAGGCATTCAAGTTTACAACACACGGAGAAAACAACAATCATGCTACATTTTCACTTGTTGAAAGTTCTGAGAATATAAGTTTTTAATGTGTAAATTCTATGACATTTGAAAATTCTTTTTTTTTTAAAGATATTAGCTTAAGAATCACAAGAGATGGTCTCCCTTGATCCTGCCTTAAAGAGGCCTTCAGAGCATTTTATAGACAAGGCCATCTTCCCACTAGGCTATGGCTACAGTGCCAAGGGCCCTCAGGCTTTACAAGGTCTGTGAAAACGGTGCAGGCTGGTGCCCCCTCACTTAGTGCCTTTGTGAAAGGTATGCCCTCTAGGCCCTTTGGGGTAACACAGTCCTGTGGTGGGTTCTCCCATTTTACATAACAAATCCACTTTGAAAATTTCCACTTTTCTGAGCCTTCCATTGCTCTCCTTCTTATTCTGCAAGACAGTTTGGTGCATCTCTTTGCATTTTAGTCTCATCATTGTGCCCAAACTTCAAGGAGCCATCCCAGCAGTGTATTAGGACTGGTTCCAGGTGACTGCATCAGGGTGTCAAATTGGATCCATGGGACATTGCTCTGATGTCAGTAGAATCCCTCCTTATTCAGTCTTACATTCAACTTCCAAGATCCACTCCCATGTGCTCCCTCAGACCCCGCCAGCACACATGGGGAGCTCTTGTAGTGTGAGGTTGTGTATGTTGTTTCCTCCCATGGCAGGGACAATATTTCCTCACTTGAGTTGTGCTTAAACTGACTCTAGTTTTTGGTTTGGAGTGAAGGGAGAGGCAAGGTGTTCTGGAGGAAGATAAGCATCATGGTACAAAGTACCTGCCTCAGGTGAGGTCTTATCCTTGTTTCCAGGTGAGAGGAGGCTGGTTTTTTTCCAGCCAGGGAAAGGGAATGTCTTATTAGTTTAAAGGTTAAAAGGATTCAGAGTGTTCCAAGTTCTCAGGCTCATCTACCCAAACATCCTCATCCTGGGTCTCTAGATCCCATTCTTTCTGTATTAGAACTCTAACTGCAGCACAGGAAAACATTGAAGCTGTGCATTCAGTCTGTGTGACTCTGCTACCCTTCTTTTCAAATTCAGGGTCTGGATTTCAGCACAGCCTGCTCTCTGGCTATAGGAGACAAGTATTATCTCCCAGCTTCAACACTGCGAAGGAGCCATTTTTACTTTCATAGGATGTCTCGAAGTTGTTAGTTGGATAACTTGAGCCTCTTTTTTCTCTTTTTTTCAAAGGGTCTAAAGCCCTTAACAAAAGCTGGATAACTCCATAATTCTTAAAATTACCATTGCCTGGCTGGGCTCGGTGGCTCACACCTGTAATCCCAGCACTTTGGAAGGCTGAGGAGGGTGGACCACCTGAGGTCAGGAGTTCAAGACCAGCCTGGCCAACAGGGTGAAAACCCGTCTCTACTAAAATTACAAAAAATTACAGGTGGCAGGCGCCTGTAATCCCAGCTACTTTGGGAGGCTGACGCAGGAGAATCTCTTGAACCTGGGAGGCAGAGGTTGCAGTGAGCCGAGATCGTGCCATTGCACTCCAGCCTGAGCAACAAGTGTGAAACTCTGTCTCAAAAAAAAAAAAAAAAAAAAATTACCATTGCCCCTACCACTGAAGGGCTCCCACTGCCACATAAGCCAATGCTTCCCATACCACCCATGCTTCATCCAAGTTCCACCTGTGAGAGTTTTAGTAATCATGATGCAATTGCATGCCAGAGTTAATTACCACCTTACTATTAGCAGTGGAGTCTTTACTGCCCTCTGATCCAATTCCAAAATCCCATCTCAAGGGTCTGCTTTTGAGGCCCACTTCTGGTATTCTTTGTCTTAACCTGGGTTTTCCCCAAAAGTGTGAGCCTGAGAGAAGGGCCTGCATTCAGGTAGTTAATTTTAGTAAGTGACTCCAAAGAACAGGTGCCAAGGACTGAGGGGAGAGAGGATAATAGGCAAGGAGTGGGAGTTAATCCAAGAGGGCAGTCATTAAGTTCATGAGCCCATCATCCCTTTGGGAGACTGGAGCTTGATCCCAATGGGGTCCGTCTGAAAAGCTGTGCAGCCTGTGCCTCAGGATGGTCTGCTTGGGAGACACAAGAGAGGGGTGTTTACCCAAGTATCCACTTTCTTCCTTTCTCTATTAGTCAAGGGTTGCTCCATGGTGTGCTAATTCCTCATGCTTCCAAGCTTGTGCATGTTTTAAAAATGCATGGCGTCCCATATGGCGGAATAGAGATATCTGGTACAGCTGCAGCAAGACGTTTTCAGGTTATTCCTGCACTTAACTGTTCCTCGACATCGGCTGGGGTGAAAAGGTGGGCCATGATCACCTGAGGCAGGGCACGGGAGGTATCCTGTCGGGACCCAGCCAAGAACTCATCTGTTAAGTTGAAACCAGGATAGAAAATTAAAAACAAAACACACACACACACCCCACTAATGTGCATCTTATGGGTTGTATGTTACTCTCAATTTAAAAAAAAGTATGCGTGGAAAAAATCTCGTTTCATTTTCTCTCCTTTTATTTTTCTCTAAATGTTTAAACCATGGAGAAAATAAAATACCCCTAGGAGAAAGTCGCTTGTGTTTTCCAAAGGAAAAAAAAAATAGAGTAAAAAATGAAGAAAGGGAAACAAGTGAAAAGCCAGCTGCCCAAAGGACTCAATGGAAGAAAAATCTAACCCCAAATGATGCCTGATTTGTCTTGAAGAAGATACCACATCCCTCTGCTCCATGCCAACGGCTCCTCAGCCCCAGCACCTTTTCAGCCCCAGTGCCTCCTCAGCCTTCAAGTCCCAGTTGATTTCTCTGTGGTTTCCAGCTCCTTCCCCCTTCCTCCACTCCGCAGGGCTGGCCCTCCCACAGAGTTACTGGCTCTGTCATCTGTGCCCCTGAAGCCTTTGACACAAACCTCTGTTCTAGCATCTATCAGCACAGCAGCTCTCTGTTTAACCTTCCTAATAGATCAGGGCCTCCCTATTTTTTTTTTTTTTTAACCATGGGTGCCTTTTCCAGTCCTTTGTATGAGCTCAATTTCTGAGTTTCACTCATTTAGTTATTTAGCAAATGACCTTTCCGGGTCTGCTGTGTGCTGGGCACAGCGAGAGTGTGACACTATTTTATAAGACCCAGGTCCTTGCCTCCGCAGGAGGCAAAGAAATCCACTGGGCAGGTCGGAGAGGTAGCTGATTAAAAGTCCCAGCTCCATTATAAAGCCGGAAATCCTAATTTCAGGTGTTAGACGAATGGTCTTGAGCTGGCAAAACCCATGGGGTGAGCTGTGGAGATAATGATTCCATCAGAGGTGAAGACACAGGGTAGCCTGTGGAGGAGGTGGGTGACCCTCAGCTAGGGACCTGAGCATACACTTCCCACCTCACACAGGCGCGTGCGCGGAGGAAACAGAGCAGCTGTGACCAACCAAGGCCAGCTTGGGCGGGGAAGAGTGGGAAAGGGGGATGGGCTGTCAGATCGCTAAATCCAGTTGCATCCAGAAAGGACGAACTTGCTGGGTGCCCTATTAGGACAATAGTTCTGAGGACCAGAAGCAATTTAAGCAAAGTCTGCATTACCTGGCCCAACCCGTGTTTCCCCCACAGACTTTACTCCCTCCCCACCTGTTGTCCATCTTGGATCAAACTGACCCCTAGAATAAAAGTCAGCATGTGGATGTAACGGGCTGGGGCTGCCCACAAACCGGCCCTGTGAGTGCTTTGGAAAAAAACGCCTTGCCAGGAAAGAATGATTCAGAGACATCAGGGCTTCCACTCTCAATCTCAGGTCTCAGGGCAGTTTCAGGTCTAGGTCAAGAGTTGAAACAGCCCAGACAAACCATCCTCAGCTCCCTCAAAGTGAGGCTGCTCTGAACCTGTCTGAGGTTTCTGGTCAGGCCTGTTCAGAAGCTTGACTAGGCCTCACTTTTCCATTGGCGGCATGTTCTGTTAATTTGGAAATTTTCATGAATTATTTTGAAAGCATCCATGACTGGGGGGAAAGAAGTGGATGCCTGATTTGTCACTTTTATTTTTTCATTATTATTGTTATTTTTTGAGACAGTGTCTAGCTCTGAAGCCGAGTCACTGTCTGGGGTAAATGACCGAGATTCGTTGTCTCACGGCCATGGAAAACTAGGACGCAGACATACAAAGAGTGAGGTTCAGAGCGGAAGTTTAATAGGCAAAAACCCCGTTTTCTTTCTTTCTTTCTTTCTTTTTTTTTTTTTTGAGATGGAGTCTCGCTCTGTCGCCCAGGCTGGAGTGCAGTGGCGTGATCTCGGCTCACTGCAAGCTCCGCCTCCCGGGTTCACGCCATTCTCCTGCCTCAGCCTCCCGAGTAGCTGGGAGTGCAGTGGCGTGATCTCGGCTCACTGCAAGCTCCGCCTCCCCGGTTCATGCCATTCTCCTGCCTCAGCCTCCCGAGTAGCTGGGACTACAGGCGCCCGCCACCACGCCCAGCTAATTTTTTTCGTATTTTTAGTAGAGACGGGGTTTCACTGTATTAGCCAGGATGGTCTCGATCTCCTGACCTCGTGATCCGCCCGGCTTGGCCTCCCAAAATGGTGGGATTACAGGCGTGAGCCACCGTGCCCAGCAGAAAAAAAACAAAAACAAAAACCCGTTTTCATGGTAAAGGTTAAACTTTACCATGTTACCCAGGCTGGTCTCGAACTCCTGTGCCCAAGTGATCCACTTGCCTCGGCCTCTCAAAGCACTGGAGTTACAGACATGAGCCACTGCCCCCAGCCATCACTTGAATTTTTTGTTTAACTGAGGTCAATTTACATGACACACAACTAAGCATTTTTTTTTTTTTTTTTTTGAGACGCGTCTCACTCTGTCGCCTTGCTGGAGTGCAGTGGTGCTATCTCGGCTCACTGCAACCTCCGCTTCCTGAGTTCAAGCGATTCTCCTGCCTCAGCCTCCCAAGTAGCTGGGAATACAGGCACATGCCACCATGCCCAGCTAATTTTTGTATTTTTAGTAGAGATGGGGTTTCACCATGTTGGCCAGGATAGTCTCAATCTTTTGACCTTGTGATCTGCCCACCTTGGCCTCCCAAAGTGCTGGATTACAGGCATGAACCACTGCACCTGGCCCAAAACTAAGCCTTCTTTTTTTTTTTTTTTTGAGATGGCGCATCCTTAAGTGTACAAGGCAGTGACATTTAGTACATTCATAGTGTTGGGCAATCTGTATCTGGGTCCAAAACATTTTTGTCACCCCAAAAAGTTATCCCATATCCATCAAGCAGTCCCTCCCATTTCTCCCTCCTACAGCCGCTGGAATCACCAATCCACTTTCCATCTCTACAGATTTAACGATTCTGGATACATCACGTAAACACATTATACAACAAATGGCCTTATGTGTCTAGTTTCTTTCACTTTGTGTAATATTTTCATGGTTTATCCATATCGTAGCATGGATCAGAACTTTATTCCTTTTTTTTTTTTTTTTTTTTTTTTGCGATGGAGTTTTGCTCTGTCGCCCAGGCTGGAGTGCAGTGATGCTGTATTCATCCATCACTTTTATTTTTTGCCACCTCTTAATATCTTGGATGTTGAGGCATCTGAAGATGAAACTGGGTCACAGAGTCCCTCCTGTGTTCTTCGAAAAGGAAGCAACTTGTAAAGGAAGTGAGGACAACCCAAAGTGCAACTCCCTAAATTCGGTACCTTTAGGTTAAACACACATTTAGCTGGTTAGGAAAGTCTCCTTCTGACTCTGCTGTGAAGGAGACAAGAGAGATCTTTGATGTATTTATTTACTTTCTTGCTTAAAATAAAGCACTGAGCTTGAATTCCCTAAATGGGTCTCTCTTCTCTGATTAGACAGTTTTCTTAATGCTATAAAGTGGACTTTTTGGGCAGGATAGAAATACGATGGGTGAGTTCAGTTCTCCAAATCTTGAAGTATAAATACAGCAGGGCTTGAACAATGAGATGAGAGACAGACATCTGCTGTGGGGCTTGGTGTTTGGGTTTGGCTTGTCTCCACCCTTGGGGTTCAGCCTCCACCTTATCACCAGCCCACCATTTGTGCTCACAGACCTGGGGTCCAATCAAGACAAGAGAGCTCCTTTTTCTCTGATCTCTTTCCTTACCCAGCCACAAATTACAACAGAGGAGAAGAGATAAAGAAGAGGAACCTAACAGTGTGTTTGCCACCCAGTGACAAGAAAGCGGCATGAGAAGGGCAAATTGATGTACAGTTAGACCTGGCTGGGAGCAGAGAAAGCTCTCTTTCCTTGTGGGGGACTCACAGTGTGAACCTGCTAATGCTGAGGGACCAGCCAGGGCAAGCGCCCCTTTGACTTTATTCCCAGAGGATGGACTCCCGGATATCCAGGCTGAATTTCACTAGCAGATTTTTCTAGAATTTTCCCCAGAGTCCATTTACTTGAATTAGAGTACTTACAGTGAAGCTGGGGTCTGAACCTGTTAATTAAATGCGATTGGTGGAAACAACAGCTTTATGGGGCTACGGCAGAATTGGTGGATGGATTTCTCCACTCTGAATATAACTCTGGTTTTATTCTAGTATTCCTGTCACTCTTAGCTTTGAGATCCTGTTGGGGTCTTAGCCTTTTTCTGGGACAGCCTATAAGCTTCCAGCATTGCTTTATCCCCAACCTCATACTGAAGTGGTAGAAAAAAGGGAAAACAAGAAGCAGGAAACTCGAATTTTAGATCCAGTTCCTGCCATGGGCAAGTCATTACCATCTCAGTGTTGTGATCTCTAAAATGAAACAGGGAGGGGAGACGTTTGCCCAGGTGTGTTCTGTATATACCACTTCTGTGTGTCATTGTTTGAAGGATGACCTGGGGGAGGCTTTGGTCCCCACCCCTTTCCAGCCTGCTGATTACTTGGATAGAGGAAGACCTCAGGCAAAGAAATGCAGATAAGTCAGGAAGTGTAAGGCCTGAGGGCATGGCTTACACACATGGCATGAATTTCCCTAGTGTTCTGCATTTAGGATGCTATCAATTTTCACGTTAAAAATCACAGTAAAATGGAACAAAATGTTAATTTTTGTGGTTATTGTTGTTTTTTGAGACGGAGTGTCGCTTTATCACCCAGGCTGGAGTGCAGTGGTGCAATCTTGGCTCACCGTTCATGGCAACCTCCGCCTCCCGGGTTCAAGCGATTCTCCTGCCTCAGCCTCCCGAGTAGCTGGGACTACAGATGCCCGCTACCATGCCTGGCTAATTTTTTGTATTTTTAGGAGAGACGGGGTTTCACCATGTTAGCCAGATGGTCTCCATCTCCTGACCTCGTGATCCACCCACCTCGGCCTCCCAAAGTGCTGGGATTACAGGCGTGAGCCACTGCACCCGGCCCAAAAAGTTAATTTTTGCTCTTTGTTGTTTTTGTTGTTAGTTATGGTTAGTTGTTAGTTAGTTGTGCTTCCCCACTCCTCCACCCCCACCCTTGGCAAATAGTATAATGACTTAACAAAGAAGGAAGTTCACTTTTATTTCACACAACAGACCAAAGTGGTCCAGGGCCCGAGGGTTGACTCTGCCATTGTCCGCACCCAGCTTCCACCTTCGGTCTAGGATGGCTGCTTTAGGTCTCGTCAAGACCCAGGCAACAAGGAAGGAAAACGGCTCAGAAGAATAGGGTCTGGAGGCAGGGAGCATAAGGCCGATTCATGTTGCAGTTCTAGAAATAAATCAAACGGAAACACCTCAGCTATGACAGGAAATATCCTCTCCATTTACATAGGGTGTACACTGAGTAAAGGAGTTTGTAACTTTACTTCATCCACTTCATTTACAAAGGGCATACACCAAGTAACCAATGAAAACCTCTAGAGGGTATTTAAACCCCAGAGAATTCTGTAATTCCAGAGAATTCCAGAGAATCTCTGAATTCCAGAGAATTCAGCCCCTAATGATCAGACCACTCCCACCCTGTGGAGTGTACTTTCGTTTTCAATAAATCTGCTTTTGTTGCTTCATTCTTTCTTGCTTTGTGCATTTTGTCCAATTCTTTGTTCAAGATGCCAAGAACTTGGACACCTTCAACTGGTAACAAAATGGCAAGAGGACACTCACACCTTCCTTAGTAGGATATGATCTGGAAGTGGCACATATTCTACTCGTTTCATTACAAGATTTAGTCACATGGCAACATATTAAGCTGCAGAAAGGCTATAAAATGTTGTCTGTAGCTTGGCTATGTGCCTAATTAAGATTCAGGGCTTTGTTTTAGAGATGGGGAGAATGACTATTGGTGGACCATGCTATTCTCTGCCAGTAGGCTCATTATTTTCCAAAATGACTTGTGTCGAAGTTTAGTGCCACTAAAATTGCATGGTCATGCCAGTTTAACAAGTGTTTATTAGGGATCTTTTATTGTGTAAAACCTCCAGACACCATGGGAATGTTGATATGGAATATGCAGGCAACGGTTAGCACACAAGAAACAACTATAGACAGGGACTAACTTAAATGCTGACTTTCATAGTTCATACCCCACATATTTTGGAAAGGATCAGCAAAATCTGGAGTATGCAGGAATTTCCCTGGAGGAGGTGACTCCAGGTGGAATCTGCAGGATGGTGTTTCTCACCAACTCCTGTATCTGCTCATAGGGTCAGGGGTCACTAAAGGAAGTCCTCACTTGACCCTCAATGCCATTCTAACCAACTTGTTAACCTTTTCACTGTATCTTTCCACTGTCAACATTGCAAAATGATAGGGTTTTGAAACGTACTTCCTCTTTCTTTTCACTTCATCTTTACGGACATATTAATGAGTGGAGTAAAGCACTCAGAAGAACAGCAGGAAAAGAGGATTCATGTATGTCAGAGGAGCTGAAGGCTCTCAATAGGTTCAGAGAATTCAGGTCTTCCAGCTGCTGAGGGTGTATGCTTCCACTATGCCTCATAGCAACCCCTGAACAAAGTGGGGTCTCTAAAGTTCTATTAACAGGCTCAATTACTAAACACCTTTAACCAGAAAATATTCCCTCTGGGTCCTTTTCCTTTACATTCCATGAGTTGGAGAAGGGAAGGAATTAGTGTAGTAGTTGAATGAATGGCTGAATGAAATGATACAGTTGATAGTGTAAGACTCTACAAGCAGCAAAAGTCTTGACTATAAAAGATACTTCCTTAAAACTGAGAAGAAGATATTCATTTTTGTCCCCCACTCCCCGGATTTTCATCTCTTAGCCATTCTCCGCATTCCTCCAAAATGTGTCCTGTTTGGCAGGATCTCATGCTCTACTTTCTTGTTCTACATTTTCTGGAGTCTAAGCCTACCTTCTCTTCTCTCATTCTTCATTCCTCTATCCACCCATCTATCCTGTCATCTACCCATCCAACCGTCCATTTGTGAGAAATAAAATTTAAAAGCTGTTGGAACCCAAAAAACACTTTGAGAGATGTGAGTGTGATTTGAGTCACATAGAGTTGCTATTTTTGTTTCTCAGATTATAGATTAACTATTTTTCTTATTTTTCTTGTTCTCTATCATGGCTAGAGGCAATTAAATGACCTCAAGGACAAAAACCTCCTGCCTTCTAAATTAATGACCATTGTTACAGACTAACTTCCCCTGTGTTGTGTTGCTTTGCTTAGACCAGATGACAGACAGCCCATGACTATTACACCCTCTGTAAAAGGTGACAAATGCACCCTTTACAAAAAGAAACTGCCTATAACCAATCAAGTTGCTGTAACTATGTGACAACTTTATGAAAAATGCTGTAATCCTGCTAAAAACTCCTCTGTCTCTGTCTATATAAATGAAACCTTAACTTCTGTATTTTAAACTCTGACTCCATTTCTTTGGAATTGGTGTTTCCGGGTAGGCCATCCTCAAACTGCACTTGAATAAACTCTTTGAAAGTTGGGGTTCCGGCTGGGCATGGTGGCTCAAGCCTGTAATCCCAGCATTTTGGGAGGCTCAGGCAGGTGGATCACCTGAGGTCAGCCTGACCAACATAGCGAATCTCCGTTTCTACTAAAAATACAAAAAATTAGCCAGGCGTGGTGGCAGGTGCCTATGATCCCAGCTACTCGGGAGGCTGAGGCAGGAGAATCACCTGAACCTGGGAAGCGGAGGTTGCAGTGAGCCGAGATCAAGCCATTGCACTCCATCCTGGGTGACAAGAGCGAAACTCCTTCTCAAAAACAAACAAACAAACAAACAAACAAACAAACAAAAAACAGAGAAAGTTTGGATTCCAACAGCTTTTAAATTTTGTTTTTCACAAATGGGTGGTTCTGACTCTTTAGATTATTTTATAATATTTTATTATAGGTTGACACATCCATCCATCCTCCCATCCATCTATCCATCCATCCATCCAACCAAACATTCAGGTAAACTAATGTAAACCAGAGTGTTATTGGCTTTAAAAATCATAACATTACATTGTTCCCAGTTGAGAGAATTTCTGGCATAATAACAGACTAAAGGGGTAGATATTGAGGGAGAACACAGAGTGGGTTTAACTATCTTATGTTCTCTACTTAATCAATAGCTGGTTAACTTAAATCTGTTATGCCAGGATAAAAACAAATTTGAAGATGGTTCTGCTCAGTCCACAGTCACTTCTGCCTAGTTGCTATCATTATAGAATGTGAAATAAACTGCAGCTGTGGCCACAAAGTCCCTTTTGCTGAGGCTGGGAGGGCCCAGGTTGCAGCAGATGCGGAGGCCTCTGCCAGGCACCTGCCCTGGTCTTGCTGCTGACCTCCTTGCAGGGTTTCGGTGGTGGGGCTCCTCCTGTGGTCAGGTCACTGGGATTTCGAATACGATCTGTCCTGTCATCACTTTCACTTTGATTAGCTTCATTCTGAAGAACTTTCGACAGCATTCGCAAACATGGGTCGGCATGAGAAAACCAGTTCCTCTGTATAGGACTGATTTAATCTCTTTGTATAGAGGCTGATCTTGGGAAAAAATACACTCCTGTTTACGTCAAACATACAGGACGCGTCAGCCCACAGCCACTCTCAATGCTTCCTGGGTTTTCTTGGTGGGGGCCCCTCTGCATCGCTGGGACAGTGAGTGAAGAGATTGGCCCTGATGTGTCAGTCCCTGCTGGGCTTGGTGCTGTTGTCTCTGGGTGTAATCAAACAATCTGTATCTTAGTGGGACATCCTGCTTGCTCTGTGTGACTCAGAGCTCTCAGGCAGCTGGTTGAAGCTTTGTTTATAGTAGTGCCACCCACTCACTCCACACCCCCGACTCCCTATAAACTACTCCACAGGTGGCCAGACTTTTGGTGCAAATAAAAGTTTGTCAACTGTTGCACCCTTTCTCCTGTCTTTTTTTTTTTTTAACTTATCTAAACAAAATTAAGCTGTGGGGAGTTCATTAATAAAAGGTTTCTTTTACAACATTATTGGCACTCTGCAAGGCGCTTTGGAGGAGAGTGGGAAGATCAATATTACCTAGAGTAAAATAGCAGGGCAGATATTACTCAAGGGAAATCGGTTCTTAATAAGAGAGAGAATATGGATTTCTATCCGGGCAGTCAGTTTGAATATGATGAAACAGTGTGTTAGAGTCGGCGGTCTAGTAATTATCTGAGAAGTCTTAGAGACTATAAATGTGTGTGTGTGTTATAAAAGAACAAACCAAAAAACCTCTCAGCCAAAGCTTTTCAGAAATAAAAAGCAAGTATTTCCACAGATGACCAGACACCAAAAAATTAGAACAATGTGAATCCATTAAATGACAAAAGTGCAGAGCATCACACAGAAATGGTGTGATGACTTCCTGCGTTTGCCTCTGGGAGGGAGGCAGAGAACAGGGAGAAAATGCAGGCTTCTAGATGGGACCGCTAATGAGAAGCCATTCCTCTTCTTTAAGCCTGGGTCTTTTACTTGTCTCTTGGACGCTTCGTGAACATGTGAAAACGGGCAGAAAGCGCAGTGGAATGGTACTGAGAGCACACCAATTTAATGGGGTGCAGGTTACTCTCCATCCTTGTCATGTGAGCCAATTAACCTTCCGGCTGTTGAAATGCAACTGGCAGTTAATTGGGCCATTGTTGAGAACAGTGCAGAGGCCTTAGTACCATTTGCAAATTGCTGAGATAGGAATCTCTGGATGGCTCCTGGGATGAGGGCAAACCAGTTCAGCTGCAGCTATGGTGGAACCTTGGCTCTTAGGCCCAAGGAGTTTCCAGGTGACCCCTGGAAGTCCCAGTGCATTGCAGTCTTAGCACATTGCTCGAGAAGGTGAGGGAGAAGAAGAGAGAAATGAAAGAAAATTTCCAGATGAAGAAAAGACAGGAAAGACAGAGGAAGAAAGGAGGGAGGGAGATTGAATAAAAGAAAGAGGGAGAAGGTGAAGAAGGAAAGAGAGAGAGAGAATATATATAACGCTTTTAGGTGTTACCTTTGATCAGGGCGATTGACCAAGGTCAGCTTTCTTCAACGTGTATTCAGAGGAGGGCTCATGTCCTATAAGGTATTCATTGGTGTTTTACGGGGGAAATTTTTAAAAAGTGGGGCAGGGAAATCCACTGGTCCCACCCATTTGGGAAGTGTTTGGTTCAGCAGGTTTCTCTGGTGTAGCTCCTCTCAGAGCCTTTCGTAAACTGGAGTGCATTATGGAGCTCCAAGATGGGGCCATAGTATACAATTTCTCCTTACATTATTTTATTGAGATATTGTTTATTCAAGGACAAGCAGTCTGAGAAATGGAGTTTTTGAAATAATGATCCAGGCCTTTCCTGCAACACTGAGCTGTTTCTTTCCTTTTCTTTTTTAACCATGCAACAAAACCTTTATTAGCATTTTGAACAGGTTCAGCTATTACTGAAACTTGTAATTTCTAAACTTAAGTTGGGGCAAATGGCTATACGGCAGAGTAATGCCATCACTGGGCACTGCGAATGCAAGACTGGAGAATTAACAGCCACCCCTCAGGTGCAGGACCAGGTGCAGGGTTGACTCTTTCTGGATGTTGTAGTCAGAAAGAGTGCGGCCATCTTCCAGCTGCTTGCCTGCAAAGATGAGCCTCTGCTGGTCGGGGCTGGGGGTGGGGGGGTGCCTTCTTTATCCTGGATCTTGGCCTTCACATTTTCCATGGTGTCACTGGGCTCCACTTCCAGGGTGATGGTCTTGCCAGTCAGGGTCTTCACGAAGATCTGCATACCACCTCTCAGACACAGGACCAGGTGCAGGGTCTACTCTTTCTGGATGTTATAGTCAGAATGAGTGCAGTCATCTTCCACCTGCTTGACTGCAAAGATGAGCCTCTGCTGGTCCGGGGTAATGCCTTCCTTATCCTGGATCTTGGCCTTCACATTTTCGATGGTGTCCCTGGGCTCCACTTCAAGGGCAATGGTCTTGCTGGTAAGGGTCTTCACGAAGATCTGCATTTTGACCTGTTAGCGGATATGACGAGGCTCCGAAACACCAGTCATGTCCAGCCACAGGGACACCACCACATACTCACCCAACAAAGCCAGTCATCCCTACCACTGAGCTATTTCTATGCGAGTTCTTCCCTTGGCCCTTAAGCTGGGATAAATCCCTGTCTTCATGCAAAGTTAGAGACATGATTAGATACAAGATCTACAATATTTGTGGATAAAAACCAAACAGTTCCTTAAGAAAACTACAACTATTTTTTTTGGCTGACACCAGAGTGAAATTTCCCCCATTTATCCCCCATCAGCCTTTGGTAGGAGCACAAAAGCTACGTGGCAGGGCACATTCCAGCACCATGCCCATGACACCAACTCTCGTTCATTCATTCCTTGACGTATTTACATTCAAACTCCGTCCTCGTTTGCTGCTGTGCTGCTGGTTCTGGCTCCAAGCACTTCTTTCCTTCTTTTTTTTTTGAGACAAAGTCTCGCTGTCACCCAGGCTGGAGTGCAGTGGCGTGATCTCAGTTCACTGCAACCTCCGCCTCCTGGGTTCAAGCGATTCTCCTGTCTCAGCTTCCCGAATAGCTGGGAGTGGGCCACCACACCTGGCTAATTTTTGTATTTTTAGTAGAGAGGGAGCCATGTTAGCCAGGCTGGTCTTGAACTCCTAACCTCAGGTGATCCACCCGCCTTGGCCTCCCAAAGTGCTGGGATTACAGGCTTGAGTCATCACACCTGGCCTCCAAGCACTTCTTACTCTGTCCTCAGACTTACGTGCTCATGCCTGACTCCCATATCTTCAAAGTTGAAAATGTTCTGATTTGTTTTCTCGTGTTTTGACAATCAGTACTCTCGCTTTTTTTTTTTTTTTTTTTCGAGACGGAGTCTTGCTCTGTCACCCAGACTGGAGTGCAGTGGCGCGATTTCGGCTCACTGCAAGCTCCGCCTCCCAGGTTCACGCCATTCTCCTGCCTCAGCCTCCTGAGTAGCTGGGAATTTGAGACGGAGTTTTGCTCTTGTCACACAGGCTGGAGTGCAATGGCGTGATCTCGGCTCATTGCAACCTCCGCCTCCTGGGTTCAAGCAATTCTCCTGCCTCAGCCTCCCGAGTAGCTGGTATTATAGGTGCCTTCCACCATGCCTGGCTAATTTTTGTATTTTTAGTAGAGATAGGGTTTCACCATGTTGGCCAGGCTGGTCTCAAACACCTGACCTCGTGATCCACCCGCCTTGGCCTCCCAAGCTCTTGCAGTTTTTGATACATTCTTTGGCTTTGCCTTCTCCTCTGAACTCAGGGTTTCTAATGTCTTTACAGTCAACCAGTCTCCAGTGCAGCCCCTCACCTTGGATAACCCCACCTGTCACTCAGGTGGCTCATCTGTGGCTCAGTTCCCTCAGTCAGAATAAGCAACAAGTCTCATCTCCACCTCCTCCTGGGATTCACGTACCACCTATCCTCTAAGCCTCTTCGAGTGTCTCAACTGTGCCAGGGTCAGGAAGATTTTTCTTGTAGTGACCTAAATGTTTCTGCCAATGGATGAGTCAGTTACTTCCTCCTGTTTCTTCACAAGGGCAATGCAGAATGTAGAACGCTGCAAAGGGGTATACTGGGCATTGGCGTGTTGGTGCTGAGGTGGGCAGGTCCCTCTCTGTTGCTTGGCAACTCTGCGTTCTTCTTCCTGAAAAGGAACAGCTCCCACACTAGTGTAGCCCTCCAGATGCCCTCTGAGGACCTCCATGGTGTGGAAGGTGCTGGCACAGTTGCCTTAGGTCTGGTTTTCACTGCCAACCCCCTCATGTCATTGAAATGGTGACAACCCCCAGAACCCCCATCCCTGAAAGAACTCCCTCTAGAGACACAGTTTCAAGGGCGTGTGTCCAAACTCTGGGTAGGATTGCCCAGTGGATACAATCCTCTGGGCAGGCTTATGAGATGCTGCCCCAAATGTCCTCCTTCTGTGCAGATTCACTGCTTCCTCTGCAGACTCACGGCGTTCACTGCTCCCCACTGCAGGCATTTACTCCATTTATCTCTCATTTATGAGAGATATATAAATATACAGCAGGAAAATTACCCTTACCCAGAAGCTTAGGGGGAATGAATAAAGGAATCGAAGTACTTAGGCTTCCCATGAGCTCTGGGAGGGATTAGAAAGAATAATTAACTACTCTTAGAAGCCTCTTAGATCTACTTTCTTCCACTTTCTACAAATGAGGTTCCAACAAGTTGGGCCAAGCAGGAGCCTACAATATGGGGAAACTTAGGCTTCACTCTGTCTCCAAAATTAACAGGAAAAATAGTAGTGGGAAAGGTGCATGTGGAAGGAGTTATGTTTTTAGAAGGTCCAGTTATTTTTCAACAAATACAATTATGGTCTGCTCATTATAGACATTTTGGAAAATGCAGAAAAGTAGAAAGAATAAAAATATGTCTATGAAGATAAATGTGGGAGGTTTCACTCTGGTGTCAGCAAAAGAAGTAGTTGTATTTTTCTTTAGCAACTGTTTGGTTTTTATCCACATTGTAGATCTTGTATCTCATCATGTCTTTAACTTTGCACAAGTTGCTAGAAAACTCTGGAATGTTCATTTGTGAAATAACTAATTATTTTTGAACAATGTTTATTAAGTGCCCACCATGTGCCAGGAACTCTGCTAGGCTCTGAGGATGTTTGACTGAGCCAAACAGATGTGTGGTTGCCCATGCATACACACCATTCATAGGCGGTGTGACCTGATGGATGTTGACAGGTGTTAATAGGACTCATGGAGTGTGTAGCTAGCACTGTGTGAGCACTTTGCATCTGTGTCAGGAAAATTTAATTTCTTCATTGTATAAATATTCTTCCAGAATTTTTCCCTTCTCCTCACTCCAAGGGGGCTAGCCCACACGATTGTGCTTTCTCCTATGGGTGAGGTTGACAGAGGACAGCTCTGCCCTCAGCTTTTGTGGAAGTCTCTTGGCATAATGTCTTGGGCAAGATTGTGGCTGGGGTCCAGGAGGAAGAGGGGAGAGAGGAGCGTAGGATGGGGGAGGAGGGTGGAATCTGAGAGACAACAGCTTCTAGAGACCTGAAAGGCAACAGAGGGGGCTGGCTGAAAGCAGTATGGACCTGTGAGTTTCTCCCTGGGGAGACTCAGAGGGGAAAGGCTGGTAGCAAACCAGGGAGGAAGACTCCAGGCACCTGTGTTCCCAGCAATAGCAAAGGCCATCAGACTCCCACTTGGGAAGAGAGTAACCCAGCCACCTGACTCAAGGGACCATGGAGACCTTGACAGTGGGCATCTGCTTGCTCACCAGGGTGAGTGATGACAGGGTGTCCCAGTGTTCCAGGATTCTTGAGACCCTTGGGCATTTGTAGAACTCATCTAAGCTGCTTGGGTCACACACTTAATCCATTTTGTGTTGCTATAACAGAATACCTGAGACTGGGTAATTTATAAAGAACAGAAATTTCTCGCAGTTCTGGAGGCTGGGAAGTCCAAGACCAAGGCACTGGCAGGTTCATTGTCTGATGAGGGTCTGGCCTCTGCTCCACACTGACACCTTGAATGCCGCATCCTCCAGAGGGGTGTGCTGTGTCTTCACCTGGCAGAGGAAGAAGGGCAAAGAGGAGCAAACTCTGTCAAGTCCTTTTATAAGGGCACCTAATTCCATTCACGAGGGAAGAGCTATAATTAGTTACTTTCCAAAGGCTTTTCCTCCCAATATTGTTGCCCTGGGGTCACCTGAATTTTGGAGGGGACACATTCAAACCATAGCACACACCAGTCTTAAGTTCTCTTTGCAAAGTAACAGTAGCCAACATTAGCTCACTCCCATCAAATGCTGTCCCACAGCACTGAACTAGCATGTTTTAGCAAGCAGAAAACACACTCTTCCTGCTACTGGCTCTTATATACTCAGAGTTCCAGCTCTCTGTCCTCCTAGGTGTTTGGAACACTACCTGCTATGCAAGATTCACTCAATACGGATTTAATATTATACCATAGGCAGGATTTTTGTCCATTTATAGGGACAAAAGCAACTGGATTTTTCCAGACCAATAGTTCAAGCAACTGGAATTTTCCAGACCAATAGCTCAGCAAGGGATTGTTGGTAGATTAAGTCTCTGTGCTGTACCTACATGTCCAAGCTGAAGGTCTTTGCTAGATTCTTATACTCAGTGTATGCAAAGATGATGAGTATCTCTCAATTATTTCAATTAGTCTTCATAGTTGACCAGTGAGGGCCTATTTCTAGCATCTTCAGGTGGACTAACATACCATTACTATTATCAATTATATTAGTTTCCTGTGACTGACATAAGAAATTTCTGTAAACTTGGTGGCTTAAAACAGCAGAAATGTATCCTCTTTCAGCTCTGGAGGCCACAAGTCCAAGATTAAAGTATCAGCAGAGATGTGTTCCCTCCAGAGGCTCTAGGGAAGAATTTGTTCCCTGACTCTTCTAGCTTCTGGTGGCTCCAGGCATTCCTTGGCTTGCAGTGGCATTGCTCTAACCTCTGCCTGTCTTGACATTACCTCTTCCTCTTCGGTAGGTGTAATCTGCCACTGCCTCTTTCTCATAAGGACATTTATCATTAGACTTAGGGTCTACCTGGCTAATCTAGGATAATCTCTTTATCTGAAGATCCTTCATTACATCTGCAAAGAGTCTTTTTCCAAATAAGGTAACACTCATATTCATATTGATGAATAAGGCCCCCTAAAATGATGTATCAACATCCTAATCCCTGGAATCTTATTTATCACTGTGAATACGAGTGTTGCCCATATCTGTTTACATAGCATCTGTGTGTGTATTAGTATGTCCTTGCACTGCTGTAAAGAAATACCTGAGACTGGGTAATTTATAACAAAAAGAGGTTTGATTGGCGCACAGTTCTGCGGGCTGTGCAGGAAACATGGTGGCATCTGCTTGGCTTTTGGGGAGGCCTCTGGAAACTTACAATCATGGCAAAGGCAAAGGGGGAGCAAGGCATCTCACATGGTGGGAGCAGGAGCAAGAGAGAGGTGGGGAAAGTGCTATACACTTTTAAACAACCAGATCTTGTGATAACTCACTCACTATCATGAGAACAGCAGCAAAGGGATGTTGCTAACCCATTCATGAAGGACCACCCTCATGATCTGGCCACCTCCCACCAGGCTCCACCTTCAACATTGGGGATTACAATTCGACATATCAGTGTGGTAGAGTGCCTTGTCCTCAATTCTTCACCCCTCCCTGTTTCCCATTGACATGTGGGTTTGCAGTTCCTCCTCCTAGAGGCAGAATATTGCCTCATCCCACTGAGATTGGACTTGGCCACATAACTTGCTTTGACCAATTGGATGTTATTAGATATGATGTGAGCAAAAGCTTTACATGTGCTTCAGAATTGAGCCTGTGCTCTTGTGCTTCAGCTATTGCCATGAAAAGAACACAATCCAGCTAGTCCACAGCTCCAAAGTGGTTTAGAGAGACATGGAGATGGCATGGGTTCAGCCTGCAGTTTGAAATCTGGCCTAGCTAAGCCTAACCTAGATCAGCCAATTGATGGGTAACCTACTGGTACCTAGGTAAGACTCATTGGTTGTTGTTTTAGTCCACGCCACTCTATTTTGGAATGGCATATTGCAGCGATGGCTGACTGATACATTCTGCCTCTGTACTTGTCATAGACACCTCCCCTCATCCACATCCCCACTGTTACTGCTACATTACTTTTCAGCGGTACCAGCAGCACTAGCAGGACTTACAGCCCTAGGTGCTAAGGTCACTCCTTGCCATAGGGCTGGGTTCCTGAGGGGCATGCCCAGGCCTTGGGAGAGAGGAAGATGGGTCCTTTTCCTATCTTGCACCATGCTGCAACTGCCCCCTCTCGCAATCTTCCCAGGAGAGACCTAGCATCTGCATATAGCCAGTTTTCTGAAGATGAGCCTGCAGATATAGCCACCCCCTCACCCCGTCTGTAGGTGTGGCATCTCCCTAGCTGGTTATAGACATGGATATTTGCAACTTGAATTGAACCAGCCAATTTAAATTGACTTCCATCCTTTCTACCTCTCTAACTGCCCACACCCAGGCCTTTGCTTCTAGCAATATTGAGGGGAATGGCATTATGGCAGAGAAGCTTTTTGGAGACACAAAAGGGGACAGCCAATCTAAATTCCTGTGACTTCGGTAATTAGCAGCCAGCCAGGGTGGCCACCAGTGGTTTTCTCTGAGTGGTAGAATTATGGAGGTTTTAAAAACAGTTCTTTGTTCTGCGGATTTTCTAAGTCCTCCAAATTGGATATTTTTCTTGAATCTGAGAAACAATAAATGTTAATAAAAACCAATGAAACAGCCCCACTGCTTTGAGTGAAGCCCTGAGGGCTGGGACGAGTTGGGAGGCAGGCAGGGTGGCTGAGACAGTAGATGAAACCATAGCCAGGGGAGTCAGCACCCAGCGCCTCTTGCAGCAGCAGCCCACCACTGTGGAGTTCACCTCGTCACTTGGTGCTGGCCTCCCCTGAGGGTCAAGGCTTCTAACCTTAGCTGGGCAGCTTGCAAAGAAGGTATGGGGGATACCTGAGGACCAGTGAGGGAGTAGGACCAAATCAAACTAAATGCATCAGCACTGTAGGGGTTCCTTGCTTTGTGTGGTAAATGGATTTCTGAAAAATCATGCGAGTTACAATTCTAAATCTAAAACCATTTTACATGTGCCTGGGGAGTTTCCTGAATAAAAGGATCCTATTGTGAAGCCTTGAGTTAAGTGAATAGTCCTTCTCCATTTTGTCTTTGGCATAAATCTGGATTTTCACTTAGAGTTTTTTGGGTTTCCATGAAAAGGCAGATGATAGGAGTTCTGGAAAAGCATATCGTGGAACTTCTGCTTAGGGTTTATGGCCAGTGGCATCATCTCTAATTGGATTATGGCTCCTGTTTAAGTCCCAGTCCTGGACCTAACATGCTATGTCCTTTGCATGTCCTGCCTGGAATGCTCTCCACCTAGATATGCCTATGGCTCCCTCCCTCTCATCCTTAAGGCTTGTGCTCAGATGCCACTCATCTTCTTAGTGAAACCTTGCACATCATCCTATTTAAAATTGTAATTCTCCAGTACCCTCTTGCCCTTTTGCCTGCTTAGTTTTCCCTATGGTACTTATTACTACTCGTTGTACTGTAGGCACACCTGGTTTTATTGTGATTCATTTTATTGCACTTCACAGATATTGTGTTTATTACAAACTGAAGGTTTGTGGCAACTCTGAGTGGAGCAAGTCTATCAGCATCATTTTTCCAACAGCATGTGCTCACGCTGTGGCTCTGTATCATATTTTGGTAATTCTCACATTTCAAACTTTATCATTATTATTATATCTGTTGTGGTGATCTGTGATCAGTGATCTTTGATGTTACTGTTGTAATTGTTTTGGGACACCATGAACTGTGCTCATATAAGATGATGAACTTAACCCATAAGTGTCATGTGTGTTCTGACTGCTCCACTGATTGTCCATTCTCTCATCTCTCTCTCTCTCTCCTTGGGCCTTCCTATTTCCTCAGAAACAACAATATTAAAATTGGCCAATCAATAATTCTACAATATTCTCTAAGTGTCCAGGTGACAGGCAGAGTCACACAACTTTCACTATAAATCAGAAGCTAGAAATGATTAGTTTTAGGGATGAAGGCATGTAGAAAGCCAAGACTGGCCGAAAGCTAGGCATTTTGTGCCCCTTAGCCAAGTTGTGAATGCAAAGGAAAAGTTCTTGAAGGAAATTAAAAGTGCCACTCCAATGAACACATGAACGATAAGAAAGCAAAACAGCTCCATTGGTGATATGGAGAAAGTTTGAGTGGTCTGGTTAGAAGATCAAACCAGCCACAACATTCTCTTAAGCCAAAGCCTAATCCAGAGCAAGACCATAACTCTCCCCAATTCTATCAAGGCTGAGAGAGGTTAGGAAGCTGCATAAGAAAAGTCTGAAGATAACAGAGGTTGGTTCATGAAGTTTAAGGAAAGAAACCATCTCCATAACATAAAAGTGCAAGGTGAAGCAGCAAGTGCAGATGGAGAAGCTGCAGCAAGTTATCTAGAAGACCTAAGACAAATAATGAAGGTGGCTACACTAAAAAGATTTTCAATGTAGTCAAAACAGCCTTGTGTTGGGAGAAGATGCCATCTAGGACTTACATAACTAGAAAGGAGAAGTCAATGTCTGGCTTCAAAGCTTCAAAGGACAGGCCCACTCTCTTTTTAGGGGTTAATGCAGCTGGTGACTTAAAGTTGAATCTAGTGCTGATTTACCATTCCAAAAATCCTAGGGCTTTTAAGAATTATGCTAAATCTTTGACTCATCTTGAGTTAATTTTTGTGTAAGGTGAGAGATGAGGATCCAGTTTCATTCTTCTGCTTGTGGCTTGCCAATTGTCCTAGCACCATTTGTTGAATAGGGTGTCCTTTTCCCACTTTTAAGTTTTTGTTTGCTTTGTCGAAGATCAGTTGACTGTAAGTACTTGGCT
The DNA here is from genome assembly GCF_000001405.40 of Homo sapiens. Classification (NCBI taxonomy): domain Eukaryota; kingdom Metazoa; phylum Chordata; class Mammalia; order Primates; family Hominidae; genus Homo; species Homo sapiens. The sequence goes on from NC_000002.12 coordinate 136,338,408, forward strand.
TTATTTCTGGGTTCTCTATTCTCTTCCATTGGTCTATGGGCCTGTTTTTATACCAGTACCATGCTGTTTTGGTGACTATGGGCTTTTAGTATAGTTTGAAGTTGGGTAATGTAATGCCTCCAGACTTGTTCTTTTTCCTTAGTCTTGCTTTGGCTATGCCGGCTGTTTTTTGATTCCATATAAATTTTAAGATTGTTTTTTCTAGTTCTGTGAAGAATGGTGCTGGTATTTTGATAGGGATTGCATTGAATTTGTAGATTGCTTTTGGCAGTATGGTCATTTTCACAATATTGATTCCACTCATCCATGGGCATGGGATGTTTCCATTTGTTTGTGTCATCTGTGATTTCTTTCAGCAGTGTTTTGTAGTTTTCTCTGTAGAGGTCTTTCACCTCCTTTGTTAGGTATATTCCTAAGTTTTTTTTTTTTCTTTTTTTTTGCAGCTATTGTAAGAGGGGTTGAGTTCTTGATTTGATTCTCAGCTTGGTCGCTGTTTGTGTATAGCAGGGCTACTGATTTGTGTACATTAATCTTGTATCCTGAAACTTTGCTAAATTCATTTACCAGTTCTGGGAGCTTTCTGGATGAGTCTCTAGAGTTTTCTAGGTATATGATCATATATCACCAGCAAACAGCAACAGTAAAGACCTTTACCGATGTGGATGCCCTTGGTTTATTTCTCTTGTTTGATTGCTCTTCCAGTATTATGTTGAATAGAAGTGGTGAAAGTGGGCATCCTTGTCTTGTTCCAGTTCTCAGGGGGAATGCTTTCAACTTTTTTCTGTTCAGTATAATGTTGGCTGTGGGTTTGTCATAGATGGCTTTTCATCACCTTGAGATATGTCCCTTCTATGCCGATTTTGCTGAGGGTTTTAATCATAAAGGAATGTGGGATTTTGTCACACACACACACAAGAATTATGTTAAATATACTCTGCCTATGCTCTATAAAGGGAACAACAAAACCTGGATGACAGCACATCTGTTTACAGCATGGTTTAGTAAATATTTTAAGCCCACTGTTGAGACCTACTGTTCAGAAAAAGAGTCCTTTCAAAATATTACTGCTCATTGACAATGCATCTAGTCATCCAAGAGCTCTGATGAAGATGTACGCGGAGATTAATGTCATTTTCATGCCTATTAACACAATATCCATTCTGCAGCCCATGGGTCAAGGAATAATTTTGACTTTCAAGTCTTATTATTTAAGAAATACAATTCATAAGGGTATAGCGGCCATAGATAATGATTCTTCTGATGGATCTGGGTGAAGTATATTAAAAACCTTCTGGAAAGGATTCACCATTCTAGATGCCATTAAGAATATTCATGATTCATGGGAAGAGGTCAAAATATCAACATTAACAGGAATTTGGAAGATGTTCATTCCAACCTTCATGGATGACTTTGAGGGGCTCACGACTTCAGTGCAAGAAGTAACTGAAGATGTGGTGGAAACAGCAAGAGATTTAGCATTAGAAGTGGAATCTAAAGATGTGACTAACTTGTTGCATTCTCATGATAAAACTCTAACAGATGACGAGTTGCAAAAGCAAAGAAGGTGATTTCTTGAGATGGAATCCACTTCTGGTGATGATTCTATGAATATTGTTGAAATGAATACAAAGGATTTAGAATGTTAAATATTCTAATTGATATACTTAGTTGATAAAGCAGTAACAGGATTTGAGAGGACTGACTCCAATTTTGAAAGAAGTTCTACTATGAGTAAAATGCTATCAAACAGCATTGCATGCTACAGAGAAATCTTTTGTGAGAGGCAGAGTCAATCGATGTGGCAAACTTTGTTGTATTATTTTCAGAAATTGCCACAGTCACCCCTGCCTTCAGCAACCACCACCCTGATCAGTCAAGGTCCTCCACCATCGAAAGGATTGCAACTCACTGGAGGCTCAGGTGATTGTTAACATTTTTAGCAATAAAGTATTTTTTGGTCAGGCATTGTGGGAGCACTTTGGGAGGCTGAGGCAGGCAGATTGCTTGAGGCCAGGAGTTCAAGACCAGCCTGGCCAACATGGCTAAACCCTTGTCTCTACTAAAAATACTTAAAAATTAGCTGAGCATGGTGGTGGGTGCCTATAATCCCAGCTACTCAAGAGGCTGAGGCAAAAGAATGGCTTGAACCTGGTAGGTGGAGGTTACAGTGAGCCAAGATTGTGCCACTGCACTCCAGCCTGGGTGACAGAGCAAGACTCTATCTCAAAATAAATAAATAAATAAAATAAATACATTTTAAATTAAGGTATGCACATTGTATTTTTATACATAATACTATTGCATACTTAATAGACTACAGGATAGTGTAAACATAACTTCTATATGCACTGGGAAACCAAAAAATTTCTGGGACTTGCTTTATTATGATATTTGCTTTATTGCAGTAGTCTAGAACTGAACCTGCAATATCTGTGAGGTAGGCCTGTATAGGTTTTCCTGATTTTTCTTACAGTCTGTGTCTCTCACTGGACTGAAGACTCCATGGGGTCAGGATTTTGGTTTATTTTGATCACTGCTATATCCCTGGTGTCTTCAATAATGTCTGGCACAGAGTCTATGCCCCATTAAATATCTGCTGACTGAATTAAATGTATGACGTTAGGTATGTGAATTTTTTTATGTGTGCGTAAAATATAAATGAGTGAAATGGGCAACTGCCCCCTGGGCTGAGTGTTGCGGGGACGGTAGGTGTTGGTGGAGCTGGGACAACCTGCAGAGAGAAGCTCTTCTTTGTCTGATGGGGCAGAACTCCTCAGCACTGGCCAACTCTTGTCACAGGGAATCTGGGCTGTATTGTCAGATTGTAAAGTATGTTTTTAAAGAAAAGCTAGAAAATAAAATTTAAATAAAGTAAAATCACCTGATTTTGTTTTGTTTTGTTTCATTTTGTTTTTTTTTGGAAATGGAGTTTCACTCTTGTTGCCCAGGCTGGAGTGCAGTGGCACAATCTCGGCTCACTGTAACCTCCACCTCTTGGGTTCAAGTGATTCTCCTGTCTCAGCCTCCCAAGTAGCTGGGATTACAGGTGCCCGCCACCATGCCCAGCTAATTTTTTGTATTTTTAGTAGAGATGTGGTTTTACCATGTTGGCCAGGCTGGTCTTGAACTTCTGACCTTAGGTGATCCATCTGCCTTGGCCTCCCAAAGTGCTGGAATTACAGGCCTTAGCCATGGCACCTGGCCAAATCACCCGATTTTTAAATATTAGTAACCAAGTCATATTTTCACCAAGACCTTGTGTAGGTCAGACAAAAATATCTGTGAGTCAGATGACAGGTGGGTACCCAGGATGAGACCTCTGCAGTAGATATTCCACCTTGAAAATTCTCTTCTGTCCTATTCTAGCCTATTCTAAAATTCTGTACTTCCATTAAATTGTTTCCATATGACCCACTGTAGTGGGAAGCATATTGACTAATCAAACATAAATCAAATTATGCCTTAAATGGTAAAGACGGGGCCAACTTATTTGTCTCCCCAAACTGACAGGGGTAAATTTGCTCCCTAGAAAACCCAGCCGCCTCTTTAATAGCACAGAGAAAACCGACGTGCAACGTGGACAGATTGGTTCAAGGAGCGAGGTGATGGGACTCCTGTCACATTATTTATCAGGTTTATAGAATGTAGAAGATTTCCTCCATACAAGATAGCGACCCCACTGGGCCCTAGCTCTGTGCTTATTGGGTGGCTTGCAGAAAAATAATCCCTTCTTTTCCACTCGGTCACTCCAAATTTCATTTTGTACATTGCATTTTATTCTCACATCATGGTTTCTGCTGCTTGGCTGCTATTAACAATCCTTAATGCATGTATTTGATAACTTGTGAAATGTCCCAGCAGGTCCACTGGGACCTGTAAAGGACTGTGATGAAACCATGGCTGAAACAAACAGGAAAATGTCCAACAAATGGAATTGCTCTGATGACCTCCAATCCCAAGGCCACCGTGATGAATGACGCTCTTTTGCCAATTACATGGGCTGTAATTGGACCCCTTCCTGCTGCAGAACAAGTTATTTTATGACTGTAATATGGTGTATGATATGGAAATATGGGCCTTGGGACGCATCGGGAACTGTAAGTTCCTGGACAGGGTCAGACAATAAGAGAGGAGCCAGGACATGCTGGTATGCACTAATGCAGAGGTAAAAAGAGTGCTGGGGAAAAGAGAGCTAAGAGGCAAGAAAGAGCAGTCATCATGGCCAGTGGCAAGAATCGCTCCAGAGGAGCACAAAGAACTCTGGCTGGAGGCTCACAAGACCTCAGTTGAAATATCAGCTCAATTTTTTTTTTTTTTTTTTAATCAGCTGTGTGTGACTATGGGCAAGTTCCTAAATCTGAGACTCAGTTCCATCATCTGTAACATGGAACTAGTAGAGCCTTCCCTCCCAGGGTTGACATGAAAAGCAAATGAACCAATGCATGTGTGATGCCAGGTGCAGCCTAGAGATCTCAACAGCTCCCCCTCCACCCCAGATCCTGGGCCTCACAATCTTCAGGTATAAAATGGTAACTGGGATTGAGCCAGACCACAGGTGTAAACTCAAATGCTGACAGGCTTGAGACAGACAACCTTAAGGAGCCAGAGAGAAAACTGCTGCACGCTGCTGACCGCTTCAGGCTGACTGGAGACTGTTAGCCCTGCTGCGTGCTCTGAGTTCTTCAGCACTTACAAGAGAAGCCTCAACCCTGATCTCAAGGTAAGACCTCCTGACTTATAAATGTGGGCACCTAACTCCCCACTCCCTGTTAAAAATGCATTGCCTGGGCCACCAGTGTGTAACAGGCCAAACAAAACTCAGATCTTTCCAGCCCGTGCACCACCATTTTGCAGCCTCTAAACAGAGGATTTAGAAGGATTGTAGAAGGATTGTTTATCAGGGCCTGGGTAAATAACTCTGGGTTTAGATGACCATAGGGAATGTAATTTTGACTCAGAACCCAAGCTGTGCTTGGAACTCAACAGAAAAGTCAGAAAACTTTGGTGACCCAAATCTAGGATTCAGAGAGGGTCCATTCTTTGTAGAATATGGGGAGAACCAAAAAAGCCAGACATACATCAAATAAGTGGTTTTTATACCCCCAACCAATTGCACCAGAATCTCTTGTGGTGATGCTGGGGTATTGGTATTTTTAAAGGCTCCCCAGGCCGGGCGTGGTGGCTCATGCCTGTAATCCCAGCACTTTGAGAGGCCGAGGCAGGTGGATTACCTGAGGTCAGGAGATTGAGACCAGCCTGGCCAACATGGTAAAGCCCTGTCTCTACTAAAAAACTACAACAAAAAAAAAAATTAGTTGGGCATGGTGGTGGGCACCTGTAATCCCAGCTACTCAGGAAGCTGAGGCAGGAGAATCGCTTGAACCCAGGAGGCGGAGGTTGCAGTGAGCCGAGATTGTGCCATCGCACTCCAGCCTGGGTGACAGAGTGAGACTCCATCTCAAAAAATAAAAGGCTCCCCAAAAGTTCCTTGGGAGACTGAATGATGCAGCCATGATTGTGACAACCACTATAACATTTTGAAAAGGTAATCTGGGCTTACATGGAATCATAATTCTAATTTATCTTGAAATACATATTCTGTGAAATAAACAAGGAAATTTGTTTTCCAAGAACTTTTTATTTTGTTCTGTAGTCTCATCCCTCAAATTGCAGAATAATAAAAATACTTGCCCTCTTCACCTAACTCATCAACATCTTCACCTGCATAAATAAATTAACATACGTGTACCTATAAGATCAGTATGTACAATAGAAAGTTTTGTTGCTGTTGCTGCTAGAGAATTGCATTTACGTTGGCTATCAATTTTTAACTATGGAGAGTTGCAAGTACATTGAGTGGTAAATTAAACCTGGCCACACGTTATTTGAAGCTCCTTTCCTGAAGGGCTGGAGGCTGTTTCCACACTCATGGAAGTTGGGCTAGGCTTGTGACTTGCTTTGACCAATAGAGTGTGATGAAAGTGATGTGTGACTTCAGAGCTCAGGCTTCAAGGGACTTTGCAGCCTCCATTCTCACGTTCTTGAAACCCAGCTGCCATGGGTGGAAGCTGTGCTATCCTGCTGGAGTGGCCAGAGAGGAGATGCAAGTTGCTCTCATGGACAGCCCAGCTGTCAGACTCATGAGCAAGGCTGTCTGGGACCATCCAGCCACCAGCTGACTTGCCAACTGAGATCTGCCAACAGATTGCAAATGTAAAGTCGGCCTGACTGACACCATATGAAGAAGAGATGGGCTGTCTCAGCTGAGCCCAGTCCAAATTATTGACCCCCAAAATTGCGAGCAAATAAATAATGGTCATTTTAAACCACTCCATTTCAAGGGTGGTTTATCACACAGCAAAAGATCACTGATACACCTTGCCTATCTTTTAGGCATTTCTTTAATCATAGGGAAACTCTTAGAAAGTTGAGCAAATACTCATTCATTAATATCTGGGAGGCCCAGAAGTTAGCGCAATATTTCAAAAGGAATACTTACTGTTTGGATCTATTTATGCTTTGAATAATGGATAGGCATCTGAAGGAGGGAAGGGAGGTGCTGAGGTCTGGGGAGGATTTAGGAATCTCTGGATAGAATTGGATAGTGCTGGCTGGGTGTGGTGGCTTATGCCTGTAATCCCAGCACCTTGGGAGGCCGAGGTGGGGGGGTCCTTTGAGGCCAGGAGTTTAAGACCAGCCTGGGCAACATAGTGAGACCCTATCTCTATAAAAATTAAAATAAAAATTGCCGGGTGTGGTGGCACACGCCTGTAGTTCCAGTGACTTGGGAGGCTGAGGTGGGAAGATTGCTTGAGCCCAGGAGTTCAAACTGCAGTGAGCCATGATCGCACCATTGCATTCCAGTCTGGGTGATACAGAGAGACCCTGTCTTTTTTTTTTCTTTTAAAGGAAGAATTAGATAGTGCCCTTTATTCCATTTGGATGACTATAACAAAATACCATCGGCTGAGTGGCTTATAAACAACAAAAATTTATCTCTGATAGTTCTGGAGGCTGGAATGTGCAATATCAAGACACCAGTGGATTCTATATCTGGTGAGGGTCAACTTTACGGTTCATAGACGGTGTCTTCTCACTGCATCCTCACATGGCAGAAGGAGCAAGGGACCTTGCTAAGGCCTCTTACAAGGGCACTAATCCCATTCATGAAGACTCTTTATGGCCTAATCACCTCCTAAAGTTCCCATTTACTATTACCATCAATTTCGGGGTCAGGATTTCAATATATATTGAAATATATATTTCTATGTATATAAAATATATATAAAAATATATTTCATATATATAAAATATATATAAAATATATATTCTATATATAGAAAATATATATTCTATATATATAGAATATATATAGAATATATATTCTATATATATTCTATATATATAGAATATATATATAAAACATATATTCTATATATAAAATATATATTCTATATATATAAAATATATATTCTATATATATAGAATGTATATAAAATATATATTCTATATATATAGAATGTATATAAAATATATATTCTATATATATAGAATGTATATAAAATATATATTCTATATATATAGAATGTATATAAAATATATATTCTATATATATAGAATATATATAACATATATATGAAATATATATAAAATATATATAAATACATATTTCTATATATAAATATATATAAATACATATTTCTATATATAAATATATATCAATACATATTTCTATATATAAATATATATAAATATATATTCATATATATAAAAATATATAAATATATATTCATATATATAAAATATATATGAATATATATTCTCTATATATAAAATATATATAATATATATTATATATATAAAATATATATAATATATATTATATATATAAAATATATATAATATATATTCATATATATAAATTATATATAAATATATATTCATATATATAATATATATAAATATTTATTTCATATATAAAATATATTTAAATATATATTTCTATATAGAATATATATTCTATATATAAAATATATATATAAATATATTTTCTATATAGAAATATATATGAAATATATAGAATATATATAAATATATATTATATATACTATATATACAATATATATTATATATAAAATATATATACAATATATATTCTATATATTAATATATAGAATATATATTAACATATATTTCAATATATTAATATATGAAATATATATAAATATTTCATATATAAAATATATATTTCATATATATAAAATATATAAAATATATATTTCATATATAAAATATATCAAATATATATTTCATATATTTCATATATAAAATATATATTTCATATATGAAATATATAAAATATATATTTCATATATAAAATATATAAAATATGTATTTCATATATAAAATATATAAAATATGTATTTCATATATAAGATATATAAAATATATATTATATATAAAAAATATATAAAATATATATTATATATAAAATATATAAAATATATATTATATATATGAAATATATAAAATATATATTTCATATATAAAATATATAAAATATATATTTCACATATATAAAATATACTATATATATAAAATATAGATTTTATATATATAAAAGATATATAAAATATAGATTTTATATATATAAAAGATATATAAAATATAGATTTTATATATATAAAAGATATATAAAATATAGATTTCTATATACATAAAAATATATGAAATATATATTTCATATATAATATATATATAAAATATATATTTCATATACATAATATATATAATATAAATAAAATATATATTTCATATATATAATATATATAATATATATAAAACATATATTTCATATATAATATATATAAACTATATATTTCATATATAATATATATAAACTATATATTTCATATACATAATATATATAATATATATTTCATTTATATTATATATATAATATATATTTCATATATATAATATATAAAATAGATATAAATATATATAAATATATATTTCATATATAATATATATAAAATATATATTAATATATATTTTATATATAATATATATATTTCATATATAAATATAAAAAAATATATATTTCATATATAATACATATGAAATATATATTTCATATATATAATTCATATATATTTCATATATATTTCATGTATAAAATATACATTTCATATATGAAACGTATATAAAATATATGTTTCATATATGAAATGTATATAAAATATATGTTTCATATATGAAATGTATATAAAATATATATAAAATATATATGAAATGTATATATGAAATATATATAAAATATATATTTCATATATATATATGAAATATATATATCTATATATTATATATAAAATATATATATGAAATATATATATCTATATATTATATATAAAATATATATTTCACATATATGAAATATATATTTCTATATATTATATATAAAAATATATATAATAGATATAAAATATATATATAATATATAAAAAATATGTATATTATATATATATAAAATATATGTATTTCAATATTTGGGTTCCCCGAATGGGAAGGTGGTGGGAAAGAAGGTTCTACTTTCATGTGGCTCTATTTATAAGAGAAGAAAATTTTTCCTAGGAGTTTCTTCGTAAACTTTTTCTTATGTGTCATTGACTAAAGTGAGATTACTTGGCCACCCTACTGCACAGGAGGCTGGGAAAGTAGCCATGTGTTGTTTCCAGTCCCTGTTGTGAGAGGGGGGCTCTGCCTTAAGAAAAAAAGGGTAAAGATGGCTGTTAAAAAGCAACACACAGAGGCGGAGCTGGCCTTTGCCCTCTTCCAGAGGACAAGTGCAGAAAGGAATGAGTGCCTTAGGATTCCAAGGTTGTGTGGTCAAGCCAGGGGTCTATTTGGGTTGCATAACAAACATAATATACAGAATACATAAATATGTCCCCAAATTATCCAAGATCTTAGATCTGTGAAAAGTGACTTAAAAAGGAGAAATATTTCAATGTTCTGACAAGACATCAAGACAGATATTCCATAGCTATTTGCCTTTTGTATGAAGTGCTTATTGTGAATTTACTCTAACCATAACACAGAAACTTTTTGCTGTTATAGTGAACAGACATTGGGCATTTGCAGAACTGGCTGACTACATTAGCAGAATGGAAGGTGGTTGTGATGGTCTGAGTGGAAAATTCCCGTTAATCCATTGTGTCTTGGTGGCAGGAAGTCCGAGACAAAGGAGCTTTCTCTGTGGATGCTTTGGGAGGTTGGGTCAAAACCAAGATGGTGCCCAAAGTAATCTCTACACCTTAAACTGTTAGAGAGGAACATCATTCTCTGCATCTTTCAAAATAATGCCTGCTTCATGTTACCTGTTAGCAGAGTTGAGAGCGGATTTGGAGCCTGAGGGAGGCAGGTAATTGTTGCATTCCTCATTTCTATCAGACTCACTTTAGGCTACCAAGGTGGTAGTGGTTTCCAAGGCTGGCTTGAGACTTGACCTTTTCAAACCAACTCTTCTAATTTGCTTCAGACTATTTCTCTGTTCTTTTAAAAAGCAAGTTGGTAAAGCTTCACAAATCACCTATTAAATTTGAGTTTTGTTTTGTTTTTTTACCTATGGTAATTTGTTGACTTTTTTCTTTCCTTCCCCTTTTTTTGGGGGTTGGGGAGGTGCGGGGATGGAGTTTCACTCTGTAGCCCAAGCTGGAGTGCAGTGGTGTGATCTTGGCTCACTGCAACCTCTGCCTCCCACATTCAAGTGATTCTTGTGCCTCATCCTCCTGAGTAGCTGGGATTACAGACACTAATCTTCTGGATTTACTTGACTCTTTGGACTCTTCTTGACTGCTTTGTATGTGACACTCAGTATCTGGAGTTGTTCTAACGGTTTCCCCAGATAGCATGTAGCTAAGGATCCAAATGTCCAGTCCTGTGGGACATTAGCAGCTCCCTGAAGTCTGACTGGGAGCTGCAACCTTAACTACTTTGACCATGCAGTGGCCAATTCAATAGTTTGCTTTAAAAAAATTCTTTCTTCTTAAAATTTAAGAGATATGGACTAGTAAGAAAGTAAAATATAAATAATTTATAATTGTTATCAGAGATAACTCTCCTTTCCATGAATATCCTATTCTTTTTGGGGAAATAGTATATGTATATACTATACATATATATGCATAAATATTATATATGTATAATTTCCCCTCAAAAAGATATATATGGGAATTTATTATATATACAGTATTTACAAAATGGAATCACATTGAACATTCTGTTCTATAATTATTTTTTTATTTCATTTTTCATTTAACAGTATCTCATGAACATTTCCCATGAGCATTTTTTCTCATGAATGTTTAACTATTCTCTAACAAGATTTTTAAAGTTATTATGCCATCATGTATTTAATCTTTCATTTTTAGATATTTACATTGTTTTCATTTTTTTTCTATTATAAGCAATGCTATGACATAAATAGCCATGGGGCTAAATATTCAAATAATCATATTTTAGAGTACATTCTTTACAGTGGAGTCAATTGTTTGCTAATAAACTGCCTGCTGGTACTGACCCAGAAGTGCTATGGGGTGGCATGTGTAGGATGTGGCCAGGTACCAGTGGTTTCGGGGCATTTGTTGTAGGGTATGCAATGGAGATGCTAGACACGGGGAGACTGCATGGACTCTTCCAATGAGGTCAGTTTGAGAAACTCAGCACTTGACAAATAGGGGTTATGTATGTCTCTAAAGTAAATTCTGCTAAATTAATTTCTGTTCAGTGACACAGACCCACTTGGCCTTGGCTTTGGACTGCAGTGACCAGCAGAACAAAGTTATATGGGGTCAAGTATACATTCCCCTCCCCACCCCCCATAGTCTCAAATGCATGGTTGAAGTCTGAGAAAGAAATTGTGACAGGAGCAAGAGCTGGAAGATTTACTGCTCTAAAGATGACTGGGTGATATGGTTTGGCCCTGTGTCCCCACCCAAATCTCATCTTGAATTGTACTCCCATAATTCCCACATGTTGGGGGAGGAACCTGGTGAGAGATAATTGAATCATGGGGGTGGTTTCTTCCATACTGTTCTCATGGTAGGGAATATGTCTCACAAGATCTGATGGTTTGATATGGGGAAACACATTTTGCTTGGTTTTCATTCTCTTCTCTTGTCTGCCACCATGTGAGATGTGCCTTTCACTTTCCACCATGATTGTGAGGCCTCCTCAGCCACATGGAACTGCGAGTCCAATTAAACCTCTTTCTTTTGTAAATTGCCCAGTCTGGGGTATGTCTTTATCAGCAGCGCAAAAACAGACTAATACACTGGGTCATATTTTTGCTTACAAGTCTAGCCTCTGTTTTGTGATTTCAGGATTGTAATCTAGGATCCATGAATTTAAGAAGTCAGTAACTGATAAAATAGAAACTCAGCCAAGATGGTGGTGAATTCTGGTCCTAATTATTACTTTGCTGGAATGTTTATCTTTGGTATCTTCCCGACTTTAACCACTGTTTGCTTTTTTTGTGCCCTTTTTCTCTGTCATGTGTTCTAATATAATATATAATTTTGCTGGATAAACACTTGGGGCATTTGATACAAATGGATAAAATTAAATTAATAATTAGCCCAGTTCTCTGACTACAAGTATGGGTGTGGGAGTTAATAGTAACTTTTAAATTTCTCTTTATACTTTTTCAAATGATATATATGTATTTGAAAAGTGCACTCCCTCCACCCCTCCTTCTCCTTTTTTTTTGAGCTCTCAGGAGGATTTAAGGTGATGTGAGGTAATGACAGGATTGTAAACTCAGAAACCAAACTGTCCTGCTGTGGGTCCCACTTTGCTATCTTCTGGCTGCAGCGTCTTGGGTTAGTCATTTAATTCCTCTAATCTTCAGCTTCTTTATCTGAAAATAAGTATTTCATTAGTTTCTTTAATATGTGAAACGGACTCTGGTTAACTTAAGCAAGAAAAAGATTTACAGGAATGATACTGGGAAGCTCATGAAATGGAAGAAAGAGCTGAAGAACGGAATCTTTGTAAGGACTGGGTCAGGGATTCTACCCAGGGAGAGCAGACTACAAACGCCCTAAGCCCTGACCTGCCTCCAGCCCCCGGAGGAGGAACCTCATTGGCTGGCATTGAGTCAACACATCCTCCTCTGGCCTCTCCTCTCCCTAGAGGGGTGTTACTGGGCAGTTTGATTGGCAATTCCACCAGAGTCACATGAAATACAGAAAGGACACTTCCTTAACACCGAGGAGACTATTACCAGAGGAAGGCACATAACGAAACCCAGAATACCACCTCACAGCTCTTAGGAAGATCCAGATACTGTACCTAAGGTACCTCAACAAACAACAGCTATTGTGGTCATTATTTCTATCAGAAGTTAAGCCCAAGGTTACCCATTGGGTTAGTATGAGAGTAAGAAGGGAAATGAAGTGTTTTCTTTTTTTTTCTTTTGAGGTCAGTACATTCTCTTCACATGACATTTTACTCAGAAGTAGATTGTCTGTGCCCCTTCTCAGGCAGACTGAATCAGAATCTCTTTGGAAGAGGGTCCCGGGACTCCCCCTCTTTAACAAGGAACCCAGGCGAACCTTGTGCACACTAGTTTTGAGACCCAGAGCCGTTACTGAGTAGGTGGGAGAATTTGACTACCTGCTTAGAAAGCATTTTCAAAGGTGAGATTTTTCTCTACCACCGTAGCTACAGAGGGCCTGTGTTTTGCTTGAAGGAGTAAAACAACCTAATCAGACAGATTGGTCTATAAGCTGTGGCTCACAACACTGGCTGCACATTAGAATCACCTGGGGGGCATTGACAACATACTGGTACCTGGGACCCATCATGAAGAGCCCCCGTGTGACCGTTTCCCACCAGCAATCAGATGTTTTCAATGTGCTCCCAGGATGGGAGCTGCGGAGAGACATTTTTCAACCCAGTCTGGAAGCCCAGTGGCTTTGCCCTTCTGGGAAATGGCTAAGGATGCTGTGGTTTCAAAGCAAGTGCACTTCAATGACCTTGTTTGATCCTAGGGCAGATGGGGGCATGTAGTGATCTCCTGCTCCTGATTTTACAGAGGCAGAAACTGATTGCTCCGAAAGATTCATTGACTGCAGAGCCTAAAAAAGGCAGTGTGAGAACTGTTGTTCCAGCCTGAAGCTCGTATTTCCATCCTCTTCCATCTCAGAGACTGGAGGAGCATCCAGATTTTCCAAACTTTCTTTCCATTACAGGTTCAAGGAAACCTAAACATGAGCCCCTATACCCCTTACAAGAGAGCTTATGTGAGAATTCTTACTCTTCAGGGCCTTCAGCCACTTTCTGGGAGGTCTCCTAAGTCATTTCTGTCCCTCAAGCTTTGATTTAGCCACCAGTGTCATGAGTGTCGTGCCTTCCGGGAATTAAGGGAGTGAGGGCAGCACGTGTAATGACATTGTCCCTGCCAACATCGTACTGGCTGGGCTCATCTTCTGAAGGAACATTCCCGAAGGAGCTGTGAACTCTGCTGCAAACAGAGCCTGCCTTAGAGTTCTCTTCCTTCCATGCAACACCAGACTGAGCGCTAAGCATGGTCAATACGCCATGATTAGACACAGTGGGAATCTTCTCACCCTCTGACCTCTCCCGCATCTGCCTTCTCGTGACCACCTTTTAAAGCTTATTTTTTCATTAAAAATATATATATATATATATAGTCACCAAAGGACATACAAAAGCACATAAAATGAGAAATAGGAAAAAACCACATGTGATTATAAGTATTTATTACAAACACTATGTATCTACTAAACTTGTCTTCTGTTATCTATATAACAGCCCTTCACATGAGGAGCTTCAGAGCCTGAGTTCTTACCCCGCTCCACCTTCCCTTCCATAGCCACCAGGAAAGCACACGGCCTCTGCTAAGGCATGAGGTACTTCCTTCTGGACCCCTTTCCTGTTTTCCACCTGTGCAAACCTCTTGTTGTTCCCTGAAGGAGGGAGGAATTGGATATTTCTGGGTCTTTGCTCTGCTAGGCTTGGCATGAAGAATAATTCCCTGTTCTGCCCATCAACTCTGCTATCAAGGCACAGCCCAAAGATAACCTCTCTGTTATGGGCTGAATTATGTCTCCTCCAAAATGTAGGTGTTGGAACTTAATGGTCAATGTGATGATATTGAGAGATGGGGTCTTTAAGAGGTAATTAGGCCAGGTGTGGGGGGGGGGCGGGCCTTAAGCTATAATTAGGCCAGGTGGGGGTGTTTAAGAGGTAATTAGGTCATGATGACTTCTCTCCTCGTGAATGGGATTAGGTGCCATTATAAAAGGGCATGGTAGAGAAAGCTGGTCCTTTTTGTCCGTCCTTCTTCTGACATGTAAGGAAGTAGCATTCCTCTGGAGGACTCAGCATTCAAGTTACCATCTTGGAAGCCGATACTGGATCCTTACCAGACAAGCAATGTGCCAGGGCCTTGATCTTGGACTTCCCAGCCTTCATAACTGTAAGCAAATAAATTTCTGTTCTTTATAAATTTCTCTTAGATATTTTGTCATAGCAGCATAATTGGACTAAGATAGGGCCTTTAAAGAGTTAAAATAATGCTGTTAGGTTGGGCTCTAATACAACCTGACTGGTGTCCTTTTAGGAAGAGGAAATTTGGACACACAGAGATATCAGGGATGTGCCTGACAGATGATAGGCTATGTGAGAACACAGCAAGAGGCTGACAGCAAACCAAGGAGAGAGGTCTCAGAAGAAACCAAACCTACTGACACCTTGACCTTGGACTTCTAAACCTCCAGAAGTCTGAGAAAGTAAATTTATGTTGTTTAAGCCACCGAGTCTGTGGTATTCTGTTATGGCAGCCTGGGCAAACTAATACACCCTCTGAATCCTTCTACCACCCGGCCCTGCTCCTAGGCAGAGGTGATACCTTTTCCTTGGTGCACTCACCATGTCCCCTTTATTTAACAGTTCTCCCATTTGTCATCCCCTCTTTGCAATAAGCTCTTTGAGGGCCAGGCCTGGCTCATTTCTGCATTCTCAGCATCTATCACAGCGCTGAGTACATGCCATACTTGGGAAAACATATTTGAATGAATGAGGGAATGAATGAATGAGCAACAGACTGCTTTAAGCTCTTGCCTGGTATCCTGGGCTCCTACAAGGAGCCCAACAGCTGCTTGTGGGTAGATGGACTCATGTATGTGGCAGACCTTCAGGGAAGGGCTCAGGGACTCCAGACATGGAGAGAGGTCAGGGAGATGGGCAGGACACAGGGATGATGGTCCAGACCCCCACCCACTGCACCCCCTCCTGCTGACTCACATACCTTGGAGCAGTCCTGTGCTTCACAGCCTGCCAGCCTAGGCCCCGGCTCCCAGCCCTGCTTTCCGCCTCCACCAGCCACTTAATCAGGTGCAGAAGTTGTAAATTCCCTGAGGCCCCGTTGTGTGGTCCTCTCCTCAAAGGCTGTCTCCCCACCCCAGTTTCTGGAAGTCCCTTTGGAGGGTCTGACAGACGGTCTTCCTTTCCCACCCCTCCAGCTGGACAGGCTCAGGGAACAGAAGGAGTTTTCTGGGAACAGACCGGGGAGGAGGAGCCAGGAACATTGACAAATGCACAAATTGGGGCTTTCTGTGCTCTGTGCTTGCTGTCCAAGCGGGGATCTGAGCTGCCCCCAAAGTGGTCCATGGGCAACAGTGAAAGAAAAGAGATTGCTCATGGTGTAGTGTTTGCCTGGCCCACCTGGGATTCAGCCCTGATGCTGGACAGCCTCTTTGAATAGGAAACCCTCTGGAGGAAACAGTTCTAAATGAGAAAGAAGCCAGGCAAACAAGCCTGGCCTAGGATCAAAGCTATGGGCCTTAGAGGGTGGGCTCAGCTTGAAGACAGGCTGCATCTATCTACTGGGTCAATGTCATGAGCAGGGCTGCAGGAACCAGGCCAGGCTTAGCATGACACAGGGAGAGGGCAGCATCCCCTACTTTCAGAATCTGGCCCGTGGGCACTCTGGGGGCTCCTGCAGTGCTGAGAGGTGTCAAAAAATCTGCAATGGCAGGATATGTTGGCTGGCAGAGTCGGATGTGCTCCAGGGAAGGCGGGAGGTTGCCTGGGAGCCAGGACTGACTTCTCTAGCAGGCGCAGTGTCTGGAGCCCATGACACTTGGGCCCACAATAATGCCTTACTTTCTTTTAAAATCGGGAAGGAAAACAACATGAACTTTTAAGACACAGAATGTCTCATATCATTCTACGTATACGAAATATCCAAATTAGGCAAATACAAAGAGACAAAGTAGCTTAGTGTCTGCCAGGTGCTGGGAGAAGACAGGTGTGAGGAGTGACTCCTAAGAGGCTCAGGGTGTCTTTCTGGAGGGATGAAAATGTCTGGAATTAGTGGTGAAGGTTGCACACCTTGTGAATACACTAACACCCCAGAATTGTATGCTTCAAAAGGGTCAATTTTGTGTGGTGTGGCTTTTCTCAATAAAGCTGTTGCTTTACTTTTGAAAGGCAAGAGATTTGTGGACAGAGGAAAATAGAAGAAAATAAAGAGCAACTGTACAATATGTAGTCTTTAACCCAATGAACAAGAAGTGTATTTAAACGAACACAAAGATGAGATGGTTAGACAAAATTAAAATTGGGAAAAAGTTCATCTGGTGTACAAACTGTTGGTGGCTTTCTGGAATGCTGAGCTAAAGATAATTTAAGGCTGCATAAGTCTTTTTTAGACTCAAAAAGAACAAGCTGTGTGATCAATTAGTGATGCCTGCCCTGGGCACAGGAGAGGGAGGAGGAGGAGGTACAGGTGGCAACTATTTGCCATCCTTGACTGGATGATCTCTGTGGTCCCTCCCCAACATCAAGCTCCCTCATCTGAGTCACTCTGACATGGAGTGGGTGGGGAGATGTGGGCCACAGGGAGCGGGGTTAGAAGAGGAGGGAGGATGGAATAAGGCAGAGGCCTTTTTCCATCCAACAGATGAGACAGAGAACTCTCCTTGGAGAAGAGGCAGTGGAGCCAGCGATTTAGAACAACCCCTCCTGGCGCAGACACTTATTAAAATACGTGCATCGATAGCACACTTCTTTTTCCAGTGGGGCTTAGCAATTAAGATCCTCTGTCACTTCTCGGTGAGTAAAGAGACTCGCTCTGGGCAGCAAAGAAAAATACATTTGTCATTGGAATGACAGCCACAACTGCCAAAGCCATTTTTATTAGTGGCAGTGGAGCTGGCCTTACCCCTTCTGGGAAAAATAATGAATATTAGAGGTTCTGTTTACAAATATGCACCTTTCACTGGTTTCTCTCATGGCTCAGCAATTTTTCAACGGGACAGCTTTCCTGGAAACAGTGTACACGGCCAAAAGATGATAAAATGTATCCAGAGAGATGCCTGGGGCTCTGTTTAACTGGGTAATTGGGCATAGACTTGGAAAGGTCAACCTCCCGCAGCCAAGTTGCCCCAGGTGTTGTTCTAGAAGGAGCCTCTCTGGTTAAGTAATCAGGTCTAAAGGTGTTCCTCCCTCCTTTAACCTGCTTCCCAAAGGGGCACCCTTTTACAAACCCCCTACCAACCTTTATTCAAGCAAATCTTGAGCTCACTTATCTGCACAAACCTTTCCAGAAAGAGCCCAATCTGTGAGAATCATTTCCCCCATCCCTTTGCTGTTTGAAGCTCAATCTGCTTTCTCTCCCGGGCTCACTAACATACTTAAACCCTGGAACTGCTAATGAGATCAGAAAGTGATCAGCTGTCAGTTCCCAAGTGAAATTGATCAGCAATTGTCTCAGGCTAAGGAAAGAAAATGCTTCCCATGACAGCCTGCAGATTTCTCTGATCCTATTTGTGCTCCTCTTTATCATCTATGAAATTTATTTTAGGGGCTATTGCCTCTACAAGATTATCTGCAGAGCCTCATGGCAGGTGCTGTCCACATGTCCACTTTAGAAAGCCCAGAGCAACTATTATCAAAAACCAAGCTCAGGGATGAAGGCACAACAGTCAGAGTTTGTTGCAGCTGTGATTTGTTTAAGAACTAAATACTCCTGGCCAGGTGCTATGGCTCACACCTGTAATTCCAGCCCTTTGGGAGGCTGAGGTGGGCGGATCACCTGAGGTCAGGAGTTTGAGACTAGCCTGGCCAACCAACATGGTGAAACCTCATCTCTACTAAAAATAAAAAATTAGCTGGGCATGGTGGCATGTGCCTGTAGTCCCTGCTTCTCAGGAGACTGAGGCAGGAGAATCACTTGAACCTTTTTTTTTTTTTGAGACAGTCTCACTCTGTCCCCCAAGCTGGAGTGCAGTGGTGCTATTTTGGCTAACTGCAAACTTAGCCTCCCAGGTTCAAGTGATTCTCATGCCTCAGCCTCCTAAGTAGCTTGGATTACAGGTATGTGCCATCACACTGGGCTAATTTTTGTATTTTTTACTAGAGATGGGGTTTCACCATGTTGGCCAGGCTGGTCTCGAACTCCTTGTCTCAAATGATCCACCTGCCTGGGTCTCCCAAAGTGCTGGGATTATAGGTGTGAGCCATGGGGCCCAGCCAAAACTAACCATTTTAAAGCATGCAATTTAATGGCATTTAGTACAGTCAGAATGTTGCTCAGCCATCATCTCTCTAGTTCCAAAACATTTTCCTCACTTCCAAAAAAGATTTTGTCCCCATGAAATAGTCACTCCCCATTCCTTTCACTGAGCATAAGGTTGTCAAGTTTCATTCATGTTTCAGAACTTTATTCCTTTTTGAGCTAAACGATATTCCATGGTAAGGACCTACCACATTTTGTTTATCCATTCATCTGGTGATGGACATTGGATTGTTTCCACTTTTTGGCTAGTAGAAGGAATGCTGCCATGAACATTTGTGCAGAAGTTTCTATCTGGACGTTTTTCATTTTTCTTGGATATATACCTAGGGGTGGAATTTCTGGGTCCTGTGGTGACTCTAGGTTTAACTTTTTGAGAAACTGCCACTATTTTCCAAAGGGGCTGCACCATTTTCCATTCTCACCAGCAGTATATGGGGGTTCGTCGTCCACATCCTCTCAATGCTTATTATTGTCTGTCTTTTTATTGTAGCCATCTTAGTGGGTGTGAAGTGGCAGTCCTCTCATTTTGAGAATGAATAAGCTGAGGGCAGAGAGGAGCTGTGACCTGTTTAGCATCATTGTCTGTCAGTCTCTGGACAGCAAATCTCTGTAACTCCCAATCTGATGCATGTTCCCATCAGAACAGGCATCCTTTCTCAACATTGAGAAAGGAGCAAAGGCAGAGCAGGAAGTGAGGCTGCAATGAAGCCAGGCTTCCCCCACCAGCTATTATGATAGAACTCAATGGCTCACCATGAGTGGAGGATGGCAGCAGTGGGCCTCGGGGGAGGGGGTTCCCACCCAGTGGGCAGTCTGGCTGGGGTTTGCCCAGGCCCTTGCAGGCCTCACTTTACTTTCTAAACTTTTCTTTGATGGCAGAGAGCTTCAACAATGACATAAATTGGCTTCACCTACACATGATTGAGAACCTATTCAAAACTAGTCATAGTTTTACACGTTGGAGCCAAGATAGGAGGTAAATAAAATGGGGCTGAAATTCAACATACAAATGTATAGTCTCAATATGATTCTGTCAAGTGTTGACAACAGAAGGTAGAAGTAGGGCACAAAGGGAACACAGACAAGGGGCTCCAACCCATTCTGGAAAAGTGGAGCAGGAGCTGAAGGTTGAAGGCCTTAAAGTGATGGTGGGAAGCTTGCCAGGCTTGCTCTGCAGACAGAGGTGGGTGAAGTATACAAGCAACTTCCCTGGGAAGGGAGGGAATGGCTTTGAAAGTCAAGTAGCAAGTCCAACAGCCCAAGGCTGCAGTGCCTTGGTGGGTCTCAACAGAGCTTTGCACAGCTGAAAAAGCATTCCTAGCAATGGGCCTATCAGCTTTATATGTGCCGGACCTATAAGCAACCCAACACATAGAATGCAAGCTGAGGACTTTTGGACAAGTGCTAAGAGGTGGAGTGAGAAAGGCGAGCATGGACTAGCTGAGAAAATAACCCTCACAGCCACGAATCAAGCTCTGTGCTTGAATGTGTACCTTATGGAAAGTATGAGGTATCAGGCTGGCTTTGTTGGTAACTCCTCCCCGACATGCAGCATGACTATTTTTCAGTTATGAAGGAAATATTATATCCCAAACAGCCCTACAAATAAAGCCTACTTTGATTCATCTTTTCCATCTTGGTTTGCATAATGCACCATTTTTTTTTTTTAAACATCAGTGTGGTTTCTGCCCAGGTGGGCCTCAGCAAATTGTGAAATAGCTGAGGTTTCTTCCTCAGACCATGTAAGGCTATTATAACTCCACCTCCTCCTGATATACTGTGGAGAGTGATGTATACAGGTGTAATGTGCCCTAGGTGCTGTTACTGTAAAGTTGAATACATTTTTTATTTTAAACCTTGGTTTTAAACTCTTTACTCTTGCAAGTTGTGTTTCCAGTGCTTTGTGCTGGTAGAGATATCTGCTGAGTTCGCTTTGAGGGTCTTTTATATGAAAATCTAAGATCGGTTGACTAGTGACCTTGGCATGCAAACATGAATGTTTGCAGCAAATTTCAGCTGATATTCAAAGTTATTTCTAGTGTAAGAATTCTGGCAGGCTCTAGAATTTATACCTAGGAACATGTAGGAATGGTAATTTTTGAGTTATAAGAGGGTGAGAGAGTAGGAACCTGTCTAAAGCTTTTAAAATAAATTGGTTAGATTATATATTACCAATTGATAAAGAAATATTTCTTAAGACATTTAGTCACATTTTAAGTAGGTGAGGAGATGGTAATTGTTCATATCACAGAATGTTATTTTTAAAAATTGGGATTGCTAGGTGGGTGCCCCAGGTCTCTAAACTAGTGGTCCCTAACCTTTTTGGCACCAGGGACCAGTTTCATGGAAGAAAATTTTTCCATGGACCCAGGGAGGGGGGATGGTTTCAGGATGATTCAAGGGCATTACATTTATTGTGCTTTCTTTTCTTTTCTTTTTTTTTTTCTTTTCTTTCTTTTTTTTTGAGACAGGGTCTCTCTCTGTCACCCAGGCTGGAGTGCAGCCAATCTCGAGATTGCACCAACCTCCACTCACTGCAACCTCTGCTTCCCAGGTTCAAGCAATTCTTCCACTTCAGACTCCCACATAGCTGGGACCACAGGCATGCACCACTATGCCCAGTGAATTTTTGTATTTTTAGTAGAGACGGGGTTTCACCCCATTGGCCAGGCTGGTCTCAAACTCCTGACCTCAAGTGATCTGCCTGCCGTGGCCTCCCAAAGTGCTGGGATTGCAGGCGTGAGCCACTGCGCCTGGCCTGTGTAAATGAAATAATTATACAACTCACCATCAGGTAGAATCAGTGGGAGCCCTAAGCTTGTTTTCCTGCAACTAGATGGTCCTGTCTAGGGGTAATGGGAGACAATGACAGATCAGCAGGCCTTAGATTCTCATGAGGAAAGCACAACCTAGATCCCTCGCATGTGCAGCTTTGCGCTCTATGAGAATCTAATGCCACCTGTGATCTGACAGGAGGCAGGGCTCAGGCAGTAGTGCTTGCTCACTGGCCACTCACCTCTTCCTGTGTGGCCCGGTTCCTAACAGGTCACGAACCGGTACCGGTCTGTGGCCTGGGGTTTGAAAACCCCTGCTCTAAACCATCCATAGCACCACAGTTGTGGAAGAAGAAACATTCTTTCTCCTTTAGAGAATGAATATGACTTTCTTCTGGCTTGGAAGTAAGGCCTACTCTCTAGCCTGTTAGAATATAGACATATAGTATGAACCCTGTCTTCCTCTTTTTTCTTCCACAGATTGTGGAAGGGTTCTAGAGAGGGCACAGGCATCTTCATTTCTCTTATTGGTGCTAGGTCCTGGGCAGCATCTGGCAAAGCCTGGAGGGAGGGCTGAGAGAAGCCTGAGGGATATGGTAGGTCAGGAAGGAGAATTTCCAGGGCTGCATTTTTGGGGCACTCCTGGAGTGAGGGTGAGAAATGAGGGAGTTTTGGAATTTGATGTCTCACCTTCCCTTCTTCCTTCTCTCTCTCCATCCATTCCTTCCCTCAACAACTTTTTAAATGAGCACCTACTACATGTCAGAGAGTCTATGCTATTGGTGTGTGAGAGAGGCATGAGCCAGGGTTCCCGTGCTCCCAGAGCCTGTGGTGGATCCAGTGGAGGATGTGACATGTGTTCTCGGGGAGAGTATGCAGAGGATGAGTCTCACCCATTGATTTCAGGCAGTGTGGGTGGTTTATGAGTGATGTCTTCACAAGAGCCCTTGCAGTGGCTCACACTGCTCTGCTTTCCTGCAATTTAGTTGGCTCCACAAATACCTGTTCGCATTGCCAAATTCAGCTGGAACATCACTTCCTGACACTGGACATAGATTGCAGCACTCCTAATGCCCTGTTTGTCTCTGCCTCCTGCTTCCAGGTGGAGAGGTCCTTGAAGCCTGAGACCATGGTTTACTCAGCTGGTATCCACTGCTCAGGACAAAGAAGATGCTCAGCGATGGTGCTTGAGTGAATGAATGAATGAACCTCAGGACTTGTATTTTGTTCTCAAGCACTGCTTGTTGAGGTCATTTTCTTCCCTGCCTGCAGGCTCCTGAGTTACCACACAGCCACCTAATTTAGTCAGGGGCACTATGGAGAGGGCCTGGAAACCTGGTTACACAAGTGTTTGGCCTATTAGTTCTCTATGGCTGCTGTACCAAGTTATCACAAACTTAGTGGCTTAAAGCAACACAAATGTATTATCTTACAATGCTGGAGGTCAGATGGAGGACACAGGGTTTGAGCTAGCAGGGATGCATTCTTTCTTCAGGCTCTAGGAGAGAACCTATTTCCATGCCTTTTCTAGTTTCTTAGGGCCATCCACATTCCTTGCTCCCAGCCATTTCTTCCTGTTGCTTCTACCAGCAACAGCGGCTTGAGTCCTTCTTATACCATCATCTCTCCAGGTTTCTCTCTTCTGCATCCCTCTTCCACTGAAAAAGACCCTGTGATTCCACTGGGACTACTCCAAATCCAGGATAATCTCCTATGTCAAGGTCATCTAATTAGCAAACTCAACTCCATCTACAACTTTAATTCTTCTTTGCCATGTAAACTGACATGTTCACAGATTCTGGGGAGTAGGTCATGGACATCTTTAGAGGAGTCCATTATTCTGCTTACCACTGCCTGTGATACACTTCACATCCCAGATAGGGAATCTCTTGGTTACCTTCCCATAATTCTCTTCCATTCCTGTGAATAACTGAGAGTTAACTGCTGTAAGACTTGCCATTCAAGCCAAAGACCAGTGTTAGATCCAGAAAGAACCAGGTGGGTGCTGTGGGTGAACACCTTCCTCTACAAATGGGGGTGAAAGTAAATGAGTCATGTAAGGTGCTGGCTTCTCTTTGGTTCTGAATCATGACCACAAAGATGTACTTGACCACAGATGAACCAATCTTGGGTAGAGATGACTGTTAATAACCTTGTGCCAGGAGCTCTTTTGCATATATCATCTCAATTACCACTATCACTGCAGGGTAGGTATTATTGTCCCCGTGGTTCAGGTAAGGAAACTGAAGTTGAGCCAAATTAAGGTCATGCAATAAGTGGCAGAGCTGAGTTTAGAGCTGGGGCTTAACTGATTTCACTCAATTTATGGTCAGCTCCAGGAATCCATTTCTCTTAAAAGTCCTCCTGAGGCCGGGTGCGGTGGCTCATGCCTGTAATCTCAGCACTTTGGGAGGCTGAGGCGTGCGGATCACCTGAGGTCAGGAGTTTAAGATCAGCCCGGCCAACATGGTGAAACCCTGTCTCTACTAAAAATACAAATATTAGCCTGGTATGGTGGCGCATGCCTGTAATCCCAGCTACTTGAGAGACTGAGGCAGGAGAATCGCTTGAACCCGGGAGGTGGAGGTTGCAGTGAGCTGAGATTGTGCCACTGCACTCTAGGCTGTGCGACAGAGTGAGACTCTATCTTAGGGGAGAGGCTGTGCACTTGAATTACCTGGTATGCTTTTAGATAATACCAATGACCTGCTGCAAATCAATTGCAACTGAATCTCTGGGGGTGGGGCTTGGTTGTCTGCATTTTTTTGTTAGTTTCCCTAATTGTAAACTGCGGTTGAGGTTAAGAGGCGCTGCCTTAGGAAGTGCTGTGTGTTCCCTTCAGAACCAGCTTTGTAAGAGCACTTTGTGCTCTTAACCTCAGAGTACCCAGAACTGCCCCCATCATGTCCTGTGACTAGGGAAGAAAAGTCCAGCAAGCTGGTTTCTCTCACTCTTTTGGGACTGCACTTCTTGGCAGACTTCTTGATGAAGTTATATGGGAGCCTCTCCGACTGCCCTTCACCCCTTTCTTGACTTAGCCGCTATCGGTGGGTGCCTTTGCCTGGGTGTCTCGGTCTCCCTAAGTGAACAGGGAAGCAGAGAAACAGCTCCACAGAGTGCAGGAATATATATGTTGCACTTCAGAGGATAAAAGTACTTCATTTTCACTCTCTTCTTCCCCTTCCCCTCATTGATTTTATGTTGGAATAAGTTCAGTACCAGCAGAAAATACTAATTTGCAAAGACAGTGATTTAAGTGTCTCTCCAGACTTCTTGTTGGTTTAGTAAATCCACATAACACTTTAGAGTGGAAATAACTTGAATGCTTGCCCAGAATGGCAGACATGTGCTGTTGCCAGAAAGAGCAGTCGACTGGGGTAGAGGGAAACGGAGGTTTAGCCATGTTTTCGTGACAAGTTTGCTGTATGGCATCAAGAAGGTAATTAAAACCTCTATGCCTTACACAAAAAACAGACCCCAGGAGTGTGGTGGGGTACGTTAGGGGATTCCTCACCTTTCTAGGCCACGTGTGTTTTAACATATTAAGAGTTCTTATTCGTGAAACACTTCAAGAATACAGATTAGAGGAAATAATATAATGCCTATATATCCATTGCAAAATTTAGATAATGGTTATTATTTTGCCAAATTCATTTTAGATTTCTTTTAAAAAGAGAAAAATACATCGATGCTTACCAACCTACTGTCCCTTTCTTTTTTTTTCCTTCCTTCCTCCAATATGACCATGTACTTGACCTTGATATGTTATTCTCATGCAAGCTTTTCTGTTTTTTCTGCTTGTGTATGTATGTTTAATTTTGTATTTTCAAATTAATCATACATTTTCTTCTGTTTGTGATTTGAAAATGCTTTTCTATCCCAAATTCAAAAATATTTTCCCATCTTGTATTTTAAAGCGGTTTCACAGTTTTGCTTCTCATATTGAGGTCTTTAACCCATTTAGAATAAATACTTGTAGAGGATTGCTCGATGCCAGGAATTGGAGGCTAAAGTGATCTATGATTGTACCACTGCAATCCTGCTTGGGCAACAGAGTGAGACCCTGTCTCTAATAAATAAATAAATAAAATCGAATCCATATTTGTAAAGTTGTGCAGGAGAAACAATTTTTTTTCTATGATTTCAATAGTTCATTCTTTCTCTACTGATTTATAATATCACCTCTATTCCGTGTCAGGTCTTTGTATACGTAGGTCTTTTTTTATGCTCTGAATTCAGTTCTATTGGTCTAATTGTCTATTCCTACAACAATACCACGTGGATTTAATTACTGTAACCTCATAAGTTTTTCAATTAATTTTAAATTGAGATATAATTTGCATACCATAAAATTCACTCCATTAGAGTATAAAATTTGGTGTATTTGCAGAGTTGTACAACCATCATCACTATTTAATTGCAGCACATTTTTATCACTCCCCAAAGAAACCCTGTACCCATACAGTCAGTCCTCCTTCCGCCTCCCCCTAGCTTCTGGCAACCATTAATCTACTTTCTGTCTCTATATATTTGCCAGTTCTAGTCATTTCATATAAATGGAACCGTACAATATATGCTCTTTTGTGTTTGGCCTCTTAGCATTTTTCAAGTTTCATCCATGTTGTAGATTATATCAATACTACATTCTATTTTATGACTAAATCATATTCCGTTGTATAGATAGATGCCAAATTTTATCCATTCATCATTGATGGGCATTTGGATTGTCTCCACTTTTTGGCTATTATGAATAAGCCAGCCAGTATGTACATTTCTGTACCAGTATTAGTGTAAACATATGTTTTTATTTCTTTAGGATATATACCTAGGAGTACAATTACTGGATCAAATGGCAACTCTATGTTCAGCATTTTGAGAAAACATCAAATTATTTTTCAAGGTGGCCTACCAGTAATATATGAGGGTTCTACTTTCTCTACATCCTTACCAATACTTGTCTGTGTTTTTTATTATAGTTATTCTAGTGGATGTAAAGTCATATTGCATTGCGATTTTGACTTGTATTCCCTCCTGACTAATGATGTTGGGTGTCTTTTCACGTGCTTATTGTTCATTTGCATACCTTCTTTGGAGAAACGGCTATTTAAATCCTTTGTCTCATTGTATGTTTTGACATATAGTAGATGGTTCCTTCCTTTTACTTCTTCAAATTGGTCTTGGCTACTCCTGATCCTTCACTCTCTCATATGAAATTTATGAATGGACTTATCTCACACAAAAATTCATTGGGATTTATAATGGAACCTGAGTGTGTAATTTGAGAAAGTTGATTTCTGCAAATGTCTACAAACGTAAATATTGTTGGTTTCGCATTTTAGTACCATCTCTGGAAGACCTACCACCAAATTGTTACATGAGAGAGAAAGAGACTAATAGTTTAAACAAACCACTATAATATAGGTCTCTATTATACTCAGTGAAATTCATATCCCAAATAATAAATGATACATTATCTATTTAGATTCATTAAATACACTCTTCAGTTAGTTAAAAATTATTTTGTCTATAAAGACTTTCACATCACTTGTTAGATGTATTTCTATGTTCTCTATATTTTTTGTTGCGATTGTTACATGTATCTTTTTCAAAACCACATGTTCTGTTATTGTTGTTAATATATAAGGACATTATTAACTTTGTATACCAGCAACTCTACTAAATTTTCTCAGGACTTCTATCAGTTTGTCTTTAGATGTTTCTGACTTTTTTGTGTTGATTAGCATATATGGGGATTCTGACCTTTTTCTCTTTCAATTCTTAAATCTTAAAATGTCTTCTTGTCTTTCTGCATTGACTAACATTGACAGTACAAGCTGTAATGATAGCTGGCATCTATATATTTTTTCTTATTTTAAAGAACAAAACTATGTTCTCACCATTAATGGTTAAGTTTGCTGTTCTGTTTGTTTGAGATGGAGTCTCACTCTATCTCCCAGGCTGGAGTGTGGTGGTGCAATCTCAGCTCACTGTAACCTCTGCCTCCTGGGTTCAAGCAATTCTCCTGCCTCAGCCTCCCAAGTAGCTGGGACTATAGGCATGCACCACCATACCTGGCTAATTTTTATATTTTTAGTAGAGATGGGGTTTCACTATATTGGCCAGGCTGGCCTCAAACTCCTGACCTTGTGATCCACCTGACTCCTGATTCGGCCTCCCATAGTGCTGGGATTACAGGTGTGATCCACCATATCCGGCCTTGTTTGTTTTTGATATTCTTCATCTGGTTAAAAATA
Organism: Homo sapiens; assembly: GCF_000001405.40. NCBI lineage: Eukaryota > Metazoa > Chordata > Mammalia > Primates > Hominidae > Homo > Homo sapiens. The sequence continues at coordinate 136,367,045 of NC_000002.12, forward strand.
AATCTATTTTTTTTTTTTTTTTTTTTTGAGACGGAGTCGCTCTGTTGGAGTGCAGTGGCATGATCCTGGCTCACTGCAAGCTCCGCCTCCCGGGCTCATGCCATTCTCCTGCCTCAGCCTCCTGAGTAACTGGGACTACAGGCCCCTGCCACCACACTCGGCTAATTTTTTGTATTTTTAGTAGAGACGGGGTTTCACCTTGTTAGCCAGAATGGTCTCTATCTCCTGATCTCATGATCCACCTGCCTCAGCCTCCCAAAGTGCTGGGATTACAGGTGTGATCTGTTCTTTCTATTAACAGTTTTTTTTTTTCTGGAAGTGACGTTAGTAAGATGGTGAAATAGGAGGTCCCTGGCTCTAGTTCCCCTAACAGAAATGGCTGTTAGCAACTAAATATCAAAGGAAATATTAACAGAACTGAAAGGAGAAACAAGCAGCAATACAGTAATAGCAGAAGACTTTAATACTCATCAATAGATAAGTCATCCAGACAGAAAGTCAATAAGCAAACAGAAGACTTGAACAACACTGTAGACCAAATAGACACACCAGACATATACATAACATGTCAGCAACAGCAGCAGAATAGACCATCTTCTCAAGCACATATGGAACATTCTGCAGAATGTTAGGTTACTGAACAAGACTTAAAAATTCAAGAAGTATGTAAAGTATATTTTTCAACCATAATGGTATGAAAATATAAATTGACAACAGAAGGAAAGCTGGAAAATTCACAAATACATAGAAATTGAACAACACACTCCTGAACAAACAATGGGTCAAATAATCAAAGGGGAAATTTTTAAAAAATCTTGAGATAAAGTAAAATGAAAACAGAACATACCAAATATCATGAGATGCAGCTAAAGCAGTTCTAAGGGGACTGTTTATAGCAATAAATGTCTACATGAAGAAAAGATCTAAAATAAACAACCTAACTTGATATCTCAGGAACTAGAAAAAGAACAAACTAAGCCCAAAGTTGGCAGAAAGACAGAAATAATAAAGATCAGAACAGAAATAAGTGAAATAGGAACTAGAAAACAATTAAAAAAATGAAACCAAGAATTGGTGTTTTTTTACGATAAAGAAATTGACAAACGTTTAGCTAGACTAACCATGAAAAAGGAGTCTCAAATCGTAAATGCAAAAGAAGGTAGTACAACTGATATCACAATAATACAAAGGGTCTATTAACAGTACCAACAAATTGGATAATCTAGAAAAATAGATAAATTCCTAGAAACAATCTACCAAGACTAAATCATGAAAAATAAAAAATATAGACACCAATAACAAGGATATTGAATCAGTAATAAATCTGTCAACAAAAAAAAGTCCAGGACCAGATGGCTTCATGGACAAATTCTATCAAACACTTAAGAATTAATGCCAACCCTTATTAAACTCTTCCAAAAAATTGAAGTGGAGGGCACACCTCTAAACTCATTCTATGAGACCAGTATTACCTTGATACAAAAGCCAAACAAGGACACAAGAAAATTACAGGCCAACATCCTTAATAAAGGATGTAAAAATCTTCAAAATATTAGCAAATCAAATTCAACTGTATATTAAAGGGATAATACCATGCAAGTAGAATTTATTCCTGAGATGCAAGGATGTTGCAACACATATAAATCAATAAATGTGATATATCACATTAATAGAATGAATGATAAAATCATATGATCCTCTCAATAGATGCAGAAAAAGCATTCAACACCCTTTCATGACATAAATGCTCTGTAAATTGGGTATAGAAAGAATGTACTTCGACATAACAAAGGCCATACATGACAAGCTTCCAGCTAATATATTAAAAGGTGAAAAGCTGAAAAGTCTTCAAAGATCAGGAACCAAAAGGTTCTTCCTCTCATCATTTATATTCAACATAGTAGTGCAAGCCCTAGTCAGAGCAATTAGGCAAGAAAAAGATAAAAAGAAATTCAAATCAGAAAGAAAGTAAAAGTGCCTGTTTGCTGATATAATCTTATAAATATATTAACCCTAAAAGAACTAATAAATCAGTAAATTTGTAGGTTACAAAATCAACATATAAAAAACCAGTAGCATTTTTATACACTAACAATGATCTGAGTAAGAAATTAAGAAAACAAACAATCCCACTTATAATAGCATAAAAACTAATAAAATACTTAGGATTAAATTTAACCAAGTCAGTGAAAGATCTGTACATTAGAAACTATATGACATTGATGAAAGAAATAGGAAAAAAACCACAAATGAAAGATATCCTATGTTCATCAATTAGAAGAATTAATATTGTTAAAATGTCCATACTAGACTATCTAAAGTGATTTATAGATTCAATACAATCTCTATAAAAACTCCAGTAACATCTTCCACAGAAACAAAAAAATCCTAAAATTTGTAAAGAACTACAAAAGACCTTAAATAGCCAAAGCTATTTAAGAACAACAAAGAGAAGAACAAAGCTAGAGGCATTACACTTCCTGATCTCAAGCTAAATTATAAAACAATAGTAATCAAAGCAGTATGGCAGTGGCATAAAAACAGACACAGAGGCTAATGGAACAGAACAGAGAGGCCAGAAATAAACTCAAACATATATAGTCTAACATTTGACGAGGGTGCTAATAATATGATAGGGAAAGGGCAGTCTCTTCAATAAGTGGTATTGGGAAAGCTGGATATCCACATGCAAAAGAATGAAGCTGGACCTCTATCTTATACCACTTACATAAATTAACTCAGAATGAATTACACATTAAATGTAATACTTAGTAAAACTCCTAGAAGAAAACAGGAAAAAAGCTCATTGACATTGGGCTTGGGCTTGGCAAAGATTTTTTGAATATAGCACTAAAAGCACAGGCAACAAAAATGAAAATAAACAAGTGCAACTACAGAAAACTAAAGTGTCTGGATAGCAACAAACCAATGAACAACACAAAAAACAAAAACCAACAAAATGAAAGGTAACTTATATAATAGAAAATAAATGCAAACCGTATATCTGGAAAGAGATTAACATACTAAATATGTAAGAAGCCCACACAACTCAATAGCAAGGAAACAAAAAAATCCAATTAAAAACTCAACAAAAGACCTAAATAAACATATTTCCAAAGAAGACATACAAATGACTGGCAGGTATCTGGAAAGGTGCTCACCATCACTAACCATCAGGGAAATGCAAATCAAAACCACAAAGAGATATCACCTCACACCGTCTAAGATGGCTGTTACCAAAAAGATAAGAGAGAAGTGTTGGTGAGGATGGGGAGAAAGGGAACCCCTTGTGCACTGTTGATGGGCATCCAAATTGATTCAGCCATTATGGAAAATGGTATGGAGGTTCCTCAAAAAATTAAAAATAGAACTACCATATAATCTAGCAATTCCGCTTTTGGGTATATATCCAAAGGAAACAAAATAAGACCTCTTGAAGAGATACCTGTACTCCTATGTTCATTAGTTACAGTAACCAAGACACAGAAACAATCTAAATAAAGAGATACGGTACATGTACAATGCAGTATTGTTCAGCCTTAAAGAGGGAAATTCTTCCATATGCGGCAATGTGCATGAGCTTGACGGCTTTATTCTAACTGAAATAAGTCAGACAAAGGCAGATACTGCATGATTACACTTATATGTGGAATCTAAAAAAGTTGAACTCATAGAAACAGACTGGTGGTTGTCAGGGAGTAGGGAGAGGGGAGAAAGAAATGGGGAGATGTCTGTCAAAAGATACAAACTTTCAGTTATATGATAAAATTCTGGGGATCTAAGGTGTAGCATGATGACTATGGTTAATACTATATTATATACTTAAAATTTGCTGAGAGATCTTAAGTGTTTTCACTATTTATAAAAAATGGTAACTATGTGAAGTGATGGATATGTTAACTTGATTGTGGTGATCATTTCACAATGTTTACTTATATCAAAACATCATAATGTACTACTTAAAGATATACAATTTTATTTGTGAATTATACCTCAGTAAAGCTGGAAAGAAGAAAAACTCAAGAATGAGAGTTTAATTTCATCAAATGCTTTTCTTTACTTCTATATGTTTTTTTTTAAAAAAATTTATTGTACAGATTATATGAATAGATTTCCTAGCAATAAACCTTTCTAGGATAAAACCTACAGTCGGGATTTTTTGGTACATTGCTTAGCTTATTTTGTGAATAGTTTATGAAGTTTTTATGTGTTCCTGTGTTTGTGAGATTGGCCTATGGTTTTCGATTTTTATACCATCCTGTCTGGTTTTGACATCAAGGACATACTGCTCTCATAAAATGAGTAGGGAACATTCTCTTTTTCTCTTCTTTGAAGCAATTTGAATGAGATTGAAAATATGTATTTTTTATGTTTGTTAGAATATACCCATGGAATAATTTGTTTGGGTTTTTTGATGAGTATATTTGTGCATGTGTGTGCACGTGAGCCTCTCTGCTTGTATGTGAATATATTTTAAAGTACTGTTTTACTTCCTTTAATAATAGACCTATCTAAATTTCATACATATTCTTGGACAGTTTTGATAACATATTTTTCTAGAATATTATACCTTTTCTGGAATATTGTACCTTCAATCTAAGTGTTCAAATGTTCATAATTGTTATTCATAGTATTTTCTTATAATTTCTGAAAATCTCCGCTGCATTTGAAATTAGGTTCTTATATTTCTTCATTGGTGGTGGTTTGTGTGTGTGTAATTTTTAAATCGATCTTAATCTTTGTCAGAAGTTTGTGAAATTTACTTAGCTTTTTTCCAAACAAATGCTTTTGGTTTTGTTGACTTTTTCTGTTTCTCTTTTCTCTTTTATTATTTATTTCTCTACTCATCTTTATAATTTCATTTATTCATTTTTTGATGGGTGGGGGGTTTACTTTGTTCCTCTTTTCTCAACTTTTTGAGTTGGATAGTTAGCTCACTAATTCTTGGACTTTCTTCAGTTATATATGCATTCTATACAATTTCCTCTAAGTGATGCCTATGCTCTATTACCTGAAGTTTGACATATGCTATTTTTATTTCCTTTCAATGCAAATTATTTTCTAATCATTAAAATTTATTGACTCATAAATTATTTCCAAACACATGGGAGTTTGGAGGGTTGCCTTTTTTGTAGAATATTTTAATTTTTATTGTATTATGATCAGAAAGCATGGCTATGTGATATTTGTTGTTTGACATTTGTTAAGTTGACTGAATTGTAATACTATGTATTCTCTAATTCTTAGGTACAGGGATTTTGATATATCTATTAGATCAACTGTGTTAATCATGGTCTTCAAAATTTCTACAGGCTGTCTGTTATTGTATTTTCCTACAGCTTTCTTTTTATTTATTAGCTATTTAATTATTTTAACTATTACCAAGTTTCAGTTTGTAATTCTATTACCTCAAGTTGTTGAGAGTCTAATCTTGCATTTATAGTGTATTCTACCTTTTGTCTATGGTAGATTTCTCCTTGTGGATTTTGAAATTTTTAATTGTGAGGTTAACATTTTTCTTCCATGAATTTCTTTTGGCATTAATGGTTTTGCTTTTTCCAGCTGATCAGAATTATCACTGGCCTAGAAAAAATTTTTATGCTAATCTCTCAATGAAGAATTCCTAGAAAAGGTGAGTAAATTTGAACCCCAGGTCATTTGGGGGTTTCTAATTCCCAAGGGAGACATTTTTGCTCATCTAGAACACAGGCACAGACAGATAAGACTCCTTGTTTATCTGTGCTGACAGATTTTGTTCCAGTCTGTCTTTTCTGAGAGGGTATCAATTTTTGAGAGTTCCAGTTTGAGGGTTCTCAATTCCAACTCTCCTCCTTGCATTGGCCCAATATCTTGTCTCTTATACTTTTAAAAACCAAGTCGTCGTATTATTTCCCTTCTGGTAACTATATTATCAGCTCCTAAGTTGCCACTCTGGTTTTATGCTTCTCTTTGGCACCTGGAAATTTCTACTTTATTTTTATTGTGAGCCTAATCATATATTTAAAATATTTTTAAAGTTATATTTTGTGAAGAATTCTTGGTTTTGGGAGAAAGAACTTTCACAGTTGTCATTGGTCTTCATCTCAGTGTTCCATATTTCAGGAACTGGAATTCATCCTTAGAGTCTTTTAATTGTGAAAGATGAATGTTTCAGGACATCACAAGGCAAACACCTGTCAAAACGTTTTGACTGTTCATTTTCTACTGAATTCAACATCTCAACAGTATTTAGATAGGTGCTTCATTGCTGTCAGCCAGAATGAGCCAGAATTGTTCCTGGGTTGGTGCTGGGTAGAAGACCCTGGTGGGGGCTAGCAGCCTATAGGGGGGCCACTGGAGGGAAACTGAGCTGTGGTTCTCATATATGGAAGAGACATCTTATGTTCTTCTTTTTTTTTGGAGACAGAGTTTCGCTCTTGTCACCCAGGCTGGAGTGCCATGGCATGGTCTAGGTTCAGTGCAACCTCTGCCTCCTGGGTTCAAGAGACTCTCCTGCCTCAGCCTCCTGAGTAGCTGGGATTACAGGCGCCTGCCACCATGCCTGGCTATTTTTGTAATTTTAGTAGAGATGCAGCTTCACCATGTTGGCCAGGCTGGTCTTGAACTCCTGACTTCAGGTGATTCACCCACCTCGGCCTCCCAAAGTGCTGGGATTACAGGCATGAGCCACTGCGCCCGGCCTATCACCTTCTTAAAACCCCTTTCCTGGGGCAAAAAATAGCAGGCCCATGGTGAAATTTACTTGGATTTGTTTCCTGGAGAAGTCCTCTTTGATTTCTGCTTATGGGGAGACCCTGTTATAAGATTTTTCTTTGCTTATTCCAGAAACAATGGGCTCTCCCTGATCAAAAGAAAAAACAAGCAGAATTTCCAAATGGAGTGCCTCCAGGGGAGGATTTTTCTATGTTATTCATTCTCCCTCTGTGCAAATACAGAGATATATTATGGGGAAATATGCAGAGGCCTTAGTAGGTGTTCCTTGCTTAAGAAAAATGGTGACATTGATTAAAACCCTCTATTCCCATATAAAGGAACAATTATTACACAGCAATGCCAGGAGGTTCAGGCCCCATGTGGAGATTTCTTTGTGGCCTTCCCATGGTAGCCAGGAGCAATAATGCAGCCAGAAGAACTATAATTTCAGTGTCTTCTAAGTGCTAAGCCATGGTGTTGGGAATACAGAGATGGAGGAATCTTGTGGTCTTTACCCTGGAGGGGCTCACAGACGAGGTGTGTAGAAGCCACTAGAGAATTAAGAATGATAACAATCTGTAAAAGAGAATGTTGAGGAATTGAACTTCATCACAATTAAAAACTTTTATTCTTTAAAATACACTGCCAAAAGAATAAAAAGACAACCCACGGACTGGGAGAAAATATTTGTAAGCTACATATCTCATAAAGGACTTGTGTCAAAAATCTATAAAGAACACTCAAAAAACAAATACCCAATTAAAAAATAGGCAAAAGATTTGAAGAGTCATTTCAGCAAAGAAGATATATAGATGGCTAATAAGCACATTGAAAAGATGTTCAACATTCATCATTAGGAAAATGCAACTTAAAACCACAATAAAATATCACCACCGATCTATTTGAGTGGCTAAAATTAAAAAGATCGATCATATCAAGGGTTGGCTAGGATGTGGACTGCAGCCCTCATGCATTGTTGGTGGCAATGTAAAATGGAACAATCACTTGGTAAAATAGTTTGGCAGTTTCTTAAAAAATTAAGCACACTCCTATCATATATCCACCCACTTCACTCCTAGATATGTGCCCAAGAGGAAAGGAAATATATAACCACAAAGAGACTTGTACATGAATATTCATAGATGCTTTATATGTAATAGCTGCAAACTGGAAACAGCCCAAATGTCTACCAACAGGTGAATGAATAAACCAAATGGGGTCCATCCATATACCAGAATACCCCACTCGACAGTAAAAAAGAAATGAACTATTGACACACAGACAGATGGATGAATGTCAAAATAATTATGCTGAATATGAAAGAAGACAGACCAAAAAAAAGAGTACATGCTACATGATTTCATTAAATACAAATCTAGAAATTGCAACCTAATCTAGAATGAGGGAAAGCAGATGAGATGTCGTATGGGGATGTCGTTGAGGGAGGTGAGGGGAAGCATTACAAAGAGTCATACAGAAACTTTCAGAGGGGATGGATTGTTTACTATCTTGATTGTAGTGATGGTTTCATGGGTGTATACCTATGTGAAAACTTACAAATTGTTCAGTTAAAGTATATGCAGTTTACTGCAGTCCAATGATACTTCAAGAAGGCTACTTAAAAATAGGGTGATAGCACATTAGAAAAGGCATGTTCAGACTGCCATCAGTAGACAGTACCTGCGAGTATCTCTTGACTCAAACTAACCAGGGGTCAGGGAGAGGGGAGGACGGATCTGAGATTTGAAATTTGAACGCAGGTTATTCAAGGAAAAAGGAGTGAGGAAGGGCAGGAGGGGTGGAGGCCTCTCCATGTTGGGGCTATAACAAATGCCAAGGTCCAAGCATGTCAGAGTGTGGTGTGTTCAGAGACCTGCCAGTGGCTTGGTATGATGGAAACATAGGATGCTTATGAGCAGGAGAGAAGAGAAGAGGAAAGGAGAAGAGAGAAGAGGGGAGAGGCAGGAAATGACTGTCTCAGATCTCTTTCCATCTCTGGGTTTATGAAATTCTCATTATATGTCACTTACTTGTGTCACCAACTTGTCCAGGCATGCCCAGCCCTGCATACAAAATGAGATCAGAACTCCATTTATGTACAAATTACAATGGTACCACTCTCTAAGTGCCCTCCTGCCCAAAGTATGCCCTAGTTATTTGGCAAAATCCCTGAATGGGGCCTCATATGTTCTGGAAACAGTCTGCCATGTTCTGTTCTTCCTTCTCAGCTCATACTTTTTGCTATCTACTACTCAGGAAGCTGATTGACAGAGCTGCAATGATTTTCCTGTTCAAAGTGCCCGCTGGGAGTACTCCAGAGTTCATGCCAAGATGCATGAAATGCTGGGTGGGCCCAAAGCTTCCAGTTTCAGGTACCAGAACATGGAGACAATCTTGTCACAGATCTGCATTGTGTTAGGCTAGCTAAGTGAGAATTACCCTTTGGAGAATTCCCTTTTCTCTATAGGTCCAGGATAGCATTGCTCACGAGAGATATTTTGCGTGAGATCTGTAATGCGGGAGTAAAGCAGCAATAGTGTTTTTTCACTGCTGATCAGTGTAGGTGCCATGGCAGCCTGCCCATGTTTGTCACTGATCAGCTGTCTCGCTGGGGTGACTCTCACCAATCTCCTGCTTCTTTGAGTCCTTGGCCAGGTGTGTGTGCAGCTTTGTGGTGAAGGGGCTGGCATCCTGCAGCTCAGCCAGGGCATCGCATTGAGGCTGGAGGTGATAGATGCAGGTCCCACTTCATCCTTGTGGGCTTCAGTTTGTCCTTGCTCTTGTCGACAACCAGCTTTGCTTTGTGACTGCCAATCCAGCTGACCTACAGCAACTTCAAGGTCAACACTAGACACAGAGGGACCAGGCTGCACAGAAGGGTCTCTCACCTCCCCCAATATAATAAATCTCTTATTTTATATCACTCACAGTGGTTCCTCTTCCCTGAACCCTGACTAATTCAGGTTTCCTGCTCACCTTTGTGCCACCTGGATCTAGGAGCAGCTCTGCTTCCCTAAAACATTTGTAAAAGCTTCTCATGAAAGCCACATCTCCGAAGTCTGACAACCACCCTTCCACACAGAGACTCAAACCCCAGGTCTGGTTGTGGGGAGGTGCCAATACAAACCTTGCAATTTACTCACTTTTACCAACTCCACCCCAACCAAATGCCTTCCTCCTCTTTCAGTTAATAAAAACAAAAGCTCGCTGCACTTCCATGGGTGTGAACAGATGTTCTGTGTGGGCGTGAGTGCTGGTCCCCACCAGCTGCCTCAGGGCCTTGCTGCCCCAACAGCCCCCAGTGCCCTCCGAGACGTGATTAACTCCTCCCTGAGTCTTTGATTCTTCCGTTCAAAGAGTTCTGGCAACTTGACCCTTTGCTCATATGTCTTTGTTTTCACTCATTTCCTTTCCCGGCTGCTTTGCCAGGACTCTGGGATGGATTACAAGGCCTTGGTGAGGATCTATCTGACTGGAGTAGTGCACAGCGACAGACAGGAATATTGGCCTTTGTCTGCCATGCAATCCTATGTCTGGTAAATGTGATTTACAAGGCCCACAGAAAATGAGAAAATGCTTTTTATTATTGTTTTAGAGATGAGATCTTTGCTCTGCTATCAGGCTGGAGTGCAGTGGCGTGATCATAGCTCGCTACAGCATCAACCTCCTGGGCTCAAGCAATCCTCCTGCCTCAGCCTTCTGAGTAGCTAGGACTACAGGTGTGCACTACTACATCTGGCAAAATTTTTTTTTTAAATGGCAGGGTCTTGCTATGTTGCCTAAGCGGGTGCTGGTCTTGAACTCTTGGCCTCAAGCCATCTTCCTGGCTGAGCCTCCCAAAACATTGGGATTACAGGCATGAGAGCCACTGGGCCCTGCTGAAAGTGAGAAAATTCTAAAGGCTAGAACAGGATGAACTAGTAATAGAGGACTTAAGTTTGAATCTGCCTGTATGAGTCTCTCGGACTGTGGGCACGTCTCTTGCTATCCCTTCTCTGTAAAGAAGAGCCTGGAGAGTTTTAAGATTTCCCTCCTACTGCTCCCATGGGACATTCTGAATATGGTGAGAAAGTGCTCTGAGGTCTGAAAAGCAGTGTTGCCTAGTGCAGCTGTTTCTAAACCTCATTGGAACCCCCTCAGTTGGGTTACTATTCCTACACATATGCTAGAAACCAACACCACTTTCTAGCTCTGCCACCTCCTTTCCAAAATTTTAAAATCAGTAGGTGGAAGGTGATATGGCATCTGTACTTTAAAAACCAAAATAAGACCGTGGGTGATTCTGTTGATCAGCTGAGCGTGGAAACAACTGGTCTAGTGAACAGTAGATGAAGAAAAGGGTCTTACAAAATTTAGGGGTTCTGTCTATAAGGCCAAGAAAAATGGAAGCAATTATTCAGATAATCTCAGCACAAAACCACAGTTTCATTGGAATTGCGGGAATCATGAGTATCAGTTTCTGAGATACTTGGGTGGAAAGTATGTGGGTGGAGCCCAAATCTTATGTATTTAAATTCAGATCAAGCCTGTAGTAAAGATGACAGCGGTGGGAGATTGAGCAGAGAGGGGAGAATGGCATTTTCTGAATTCTCATTGTGCCACCATACATTCTGGATGTGTTGGGAGCCCCTTCATTTCACAGATGCTTATTGCTAGTAAGTACTATTGTAGCTCACAAACCATGAGTCGCCACGTTTGACATGGGAAAATGATGCTTGCTATTTATTTATAATACAACGTGTTTTGACTAACCATCAGAGAATATATTTTGAGGCAACTTTCCACTTTGCTTAGGATATAACATTTTTAATGCATCTTTCAATGGATATCTATTTTTAGGTCACCATTAGTTGCCTTGTAACTGAGATGGCCACATATTCACAGATATTTGGGGAGGCCCACAGATTTATTATTCTGCCTCATTGTCTTGTTGGTACCATATGACCAGTTAGCCTCTTGTTTCCTCATTTGAGTGTGGGAAACGGCTCTGTCTTTAGACACTAAATGGCATGCATGTAATCTTGTTTAGGGTCATTGTTCCCGGGTCTGAGTTTACTAGATGGAGAATTTCTTCAATGCCAGGTTTCCCAGGAGGAAAATGAGCCTATTTTGGTTGCATCAAATGCATCAGTTCACTGCTCTGGGTATCATCTGAAGAGCAAGAGGAGTCTGGGGGCCAGTATTGCATTTCATGTGAATGCTGGCTGAGTACTGCCATCTTGTGGCTGGGCAAACCCTAAAGCCTACCAGGGACCTTGGAGCAACCTTACAAAAAGAAACCAGACATCAAGAACCCATGTTCTCTACCTGCATGGAAGAAAAAAATTGACCATGAATCCCTAACAACAGTGCCATCCCTCCTTTCCTAGCTCTTGAATAAGTAACTGCTCTCTTATTAAGACAGAGTCCTGTCTGTTTCTTTAAAGAGAATACATCCATTCTTCTTCTGGTTTTAGTAATTTTTGGACCAGCCTTTAGATAATCTTTTGAGCCAAGTTTTGAGAAGTTTGGAGAGGGAAGGCCTTAAAAATATGTATAGTATCCAAGGCCAGAAAAAGAGGCAGAAATTGGAGACAGGTGACTCCTGCCTCTGGGGCAGTGGCTTTCTAAGTGAGGTGTGCCAGCAGCATCAGCATCACCTGGAAACTTGTTAAAATGCACATTCTTGGCTCCCAGCTAGACCTGCTGAGTCAGAAACTCTGGAGGTGAAGCCCAGAAATATGTGTTTTAAGATGATTCGGATGCACATTCAAGTTAGAGAACCCCTGTCTTGGGGAATAGAAGCCAACCCCAGGCAAATGTGAAGCGAAGACATCCAAGGTCCATTCTGTGCTCCATTATACTCATTGCTGTTCTGTTCCCTTTTCCTGTGTTAGGAACTCAGTAAGCCATACATATTTATTGTGTGAATACTATTGGTAAGCCACTGTATGGCATGACATGGGGGTTGGTCTGAGTAAGGGACTGGGAATTTGCGTTTCTAACAGTTTCTCAGGTGATGCTGCTGCTGCTGCTCCAGGGACTGTGTTTTGGGAACCCAGTGTTAGAGATAAGAGCAGCAGGCCCAGAAGCCCATGTGGTTTTCAGATGGAGAGTGCAGTTCAGGCTTTTTGGGGAATCCATGTGGCTACGAGCCTGCTTCTCAACACTCCCTGCCTCTCAACCCTGCCTGCCTCCTACCAAGGGCACAGGGAGACATGTTTATTTGAAGTGAACTCTAGTCCATTATAAAGAGATTAAAATAACATGCTGTGATTTTACCACCCAAAGGTTAGGCAATTCAAAAGCCAGAGCAAGCATGTGATGATTAAAAAGCATGGCAGAAAATTGTCAATAGCTTTGGAGATTTCATCCATACATTAAAAGACCTGTTTCGTGTTCTATTGGATCAATATGGCTCCAACGCTAGCACATTCACCTCTTGTTTAATTTGCCATTTAAAAATTTTGGTTAGTCCAATGACTCTAAACAATTCCAATGCAAAGAATAAATAAGCAGAACAGCAAATCAAACTGGATTTGTGGGCACAATTATATAGTAAGAACTCCAGAGCTGGAAGTAGAACTCTAATCACAGATTAGAATACAAATGTTTGCTTGTACATCGTACGCAGGCTCTACTATCTGCTGAATATAAATGGCTCCCTGATCGAACCTCTAGCCTGCATCGGGTGGGAAGGTAAGAGCTGGGTTTTGCTTTGCAAAATCTTAAGTCTCACCAAGAGAATCAGGGAGGCAGCCAATTGTAGTGGCAAATACGCAAAGCTTTGGAGTCAGGAAGTTATTTATTCTCTGGCTCTCGTTTTTATTATGTATTTAGTTTTTTGAGACAGGGTCTCGCTTTGTCACCCAGGCTAGAGTGAGTGGTGCGATCACAGCTCACTGCAGCCTTGACTTTCCGGGCTCCAGTAATCCTCCCACCTCAGCCTCCCAAGTTGCTGGGACAAAGATGCACACCACCACGCCTGGCTAATTTTCATATTTTTTTGGTAAAAATGAGGTTTTGCCATGTTTCCCAGGCTGGTCTCGAACTCCTGGCCTCAAGTGATCCACCTGCCTCGGCCCCCCAAAGTGCTGGGATTACAGGCGTGAGCCACTGTGCCCAGCCTGGATCTCATTTTTTAAAACCTGTAAATCTGGGACAATGCAACCTACTGCATGGAGTGGTTTTAGGGGTCAAGTAAAAATGGCCGGCAAGGCACAGAGTAGATGCTTGATATATAGCAGCTTTTCTTTCTTTCTTTCTTTTTTGAGATGGAGTTTCGTTCTTGTTGCCCAGATTGGAGTGCAATGGCATGATCTTGGCTCACCACAACCTCTGCTTCTCAGGTTCAAGCGATTCTCCTGCCTCAGCCTCCTGAATAGCTGGGATTACAGGCATGCGCCACCATGCCTAGCTAATTTTTGCATTTTTAGTAGAGACAGGGTTTCTCCATGTTGGTCAGGCTGGTCTCAAACTCCCGACATCAAGTAATCCCCTCCCACCTTGGCCTCCCAAAGTGCTGGGATTACAGGTTTGAGCTATCATGTCTGGCCCCCTATAGCAGCTATTCTTAAGTCTCCAGCTTCAGAGGGCTGGGGCCAGGAGAGGTTAAGAGGTGAACATCCATATTTACAGCCTTCATGTTTGGGGCCTTCTTCTCCCTCCTAAGGTTTTTCTGTGTTAAAATGCAAGTACATGTGCCCCTGGTGGAGAAACTCCCCGGGCTATAAAATTTTTACTACAGAATTGACAGAAATGGTCCCTGTAGATTTGGCTGAAATAAGATGTGCTTGAATTGTAAAGGGATGCCCCATATTTGGGGTAGGTGCTGTGCTAGTCACAGTCAATGTGCTTGTCAGGTGCATCCCCCTAGAAAACCAGCTGAGTTTGGTGTGAAGATAATTGGGAGGAGGAGAGTTTGGGTTCAGGGAGGAAAGGCCTGGTGGGGGCCTGCAGTGGATGGGAGAGCAAGAAAGAAGGGGCGTGGAGAAAAGTAGGGAGGCAGGTGTGGGGGTGCTAGAGGTTGTTACTTCCTGAAGTTGGGTCCCTCTGGGTGGAATGCCTTTCAGTGACCAGGGGCCACCTGTCCCACCATGTGACTCCATTGCTCAAGGAGCGTCCAGTGGAATAAGTGAGAATCTGAAGCAGAGAAAAATCATCCAGCAGCCATGTGATGAGTATGTAGGGGAGAGTTGAGGCTATGTGGTCAGCTTCGGTCCCGAGTTAGAATCAGATCTGTGACTTCAAGCAGAGTGACCCTGAGCTGGTTATCCAACTAATTCGTGACTTAGGCCTTCTGATAAACTGGGCTTCATAATATACTCATCTCACAGGGCTGGTGTGAGGATCGGCAGGGGTCATGTGAGGAAGCACTTAGCAGAGTCTAGCAAGCACTTAAATAGCAACTAGCGTCATGACAAAGCTTTATGCTCTGGATGCCCTTGACGGGGCTTTTAGCTGTGTGACCTTCAAGAAGTCACCTGCTCTTTCTGAGACTCAGTTGCTTCAGCCCTTTAAAAACAGAAACAAACACAGCCGACCACAGGGTGTGTATGGATCTGAATGAGTACAGACAAAGTCACTCATTGCAGGACTGAGTAGGAGGCAGGGTGCTGGGATTGGTGGGTTTAGGGAGGTCTGGGAGGGCCCTGAAGCTCAAGAGAAGTTTGTTTGGAAAGAAAAGCATCTTCCGTTTTGACTGAGAGGAAATGGGGAGGGGATGTGGTGCAGCGTCAAAGGCAGGGTCTGCTGACGAAACTTGGTGGTGGTGTTTCTCAAACAGAAATAGGACATTCTCACTCTCCGTGACACTCAAACTCCAAAGTTTCGGCCTGGGTGGTGGTTGCACCTGTCACTGACGACCTCACTTGACTTTGAGTTAAGCTGCCCAGGCAGCCAGAGCAACTGTGCCCTGGAAGGCGGCCCTGCCATCAGACAGACATGTTTTTCATATATTCCTGATTTTCATGTAGTAGTTCACTGGACATTTACTGCACACCTACTATATGCTAGGTGCAAGGGATTCAGCAGTGAATAAAACAGTTGCAGGTCTTGCTCTCAAAGACCTTTCAGTCCTGCAGGAGACAGAGGCAATAGAGAAAGAACAGCTTACTTGCATGTATAATTAAGATTTTTGCTGTGACGTTAAAGTTCAGAATGCTGTGAGACTGTACAATGGGGCAAAACCTAATTTAGATTGGGAGACCAGCAAGATAAATGAAACAGGAATGGAGTTCAGATGAGAGATGAAATAACACTGGACTGAAGTGGAGACAGGCTTTCTTTTTTCCTCAAACACCTCCCTTCACATCCAGGCATAGACCACTGGAAAAGTAGTTGCCCTGCTTCCTGATATTACTGTCCTCTAAATACACACACTTTGTGTACCCCCTCCATTCATTTCCACCCCGTCAGTCATTCTTGCCTGTATAAATTTCAACTTTAGCCACAGCCCTGGCCTCACTTCTTATAAAGCCTGCTTCACTCTTCAGTTCTCCAAGTTCTCTCTTCCTTTAGGCCTTTTTTTTTTTTTTTCAGGGTGGTCTGGACTGCTCTTTCAACCTGATTCTATTTGCCCATGTGGCATGTTTTGTTAATCCCATGGCCATACGTATGCTGGCATGTCTATAGTCCATCTGTGCAAATAGATGATACGTAGCATTTCCTCAACCAGAATACTGAGGAGCCTATGCAAATGAGCCATAATAGATCTTATCCTTCAGCCTGCTCACTTGAATGAGTTAAAACTGAGATACAGAGTAGTTAAAGGGGCCCACCAGTCACTGGACGAGAGTCTCAGACTATGATCATGTCTTGTTATTTTATCTTTATATCTCTTCAGGGCATTTGTTCCAGAGTCAGAATGCAATAGATGTTTTCTCTTTGATTGTTTATTCCTCGAGTTGGCCCATACATGTACTATCCCCTGTTCTTCCATTACTCATTTCAAGCAGTAGCTGTAGCATCTGTATTATTTAGCTCCTCTGTATGACTTGATTATCTTATCTGTCAAATGGGTATAGTAATTCAAATCAACAAACATTTATTCAATACTTACTATATCTCAAGGACTTTGCAAAGCTTTGGCGGGGGGCGGGGGTGGGTGCTGCAATAAGCCTGTTAAGATAGATCTGTACTCTTGCCTTAAGGAAACACACAGTGGTAGAACTTGGTAAAGGAATAACTACACTATAGCAAAAATGTCTATAATAAAGGAATATGCAACATATGGGAACACAGAACAGAGTAACTATTGCCTGGGGTAAGTGGAAAAGCTCATTAACACCTTCTCTACTTACCTTGAGTTTGCATTATGAGATTCTAATGAGATCATGCAGTGAAAGTGTGATGAAAAATGGAAAGGATTGTGCATGAAAACTACTAACCAAATGGATGGCAGTGTGATATGGGAGACTTTGGAGAGAGGTGAAAGAAGAAAGTGGTGGCTGCGACAAGAGGTTTGGACAGCATCTGTTCTGATGAACCAGTAAGTCTTACACACAGATAAAATTCAGAGGCATGGCTATAGACCATCTGAGCTACAGCCACCCCAGCTTTAAATTAAGATTTTGGCCACAGGAATGACCCAACCTCTTCATTCCATTAACATAGGTGAAAGCTCTGTGACCTGGAGTATTTGTCACCATTATCCTCCCATTGGAAGAAGATGATTGGGAAGACTGGAATTAGATGAGCGGAGGGAATGCTGGTGGGAGTGGGCCTTTGGAATGGGAAGCCCATAGCTATGACCATCTTGTCAGAACTAGGAGCCCTGATGGGCTAGTGAGAGAGTCACTTCTCTCTCCTTGTCCCTGCATCTGTAATCATGGAGATCTGAATGATGTGTTGTTTTGAAATAAGTGGTTTGCAAACATGAGCAGCTGTCATAATAATGAAAGCACAACATTCAGAAAATTACTCTTTGGTTAGGATTGACAATAGTTTGGGTCAAAGGACATTGCCCAAAGCAAAATAATTATGTATGGTGCAAGTCTGACATCATGCTAGGAGGCATTCTTTAAAAACCAAAAACAAAAAACCCATTTGTGTACCGTCCTTGACTCTTGGTTCTGCCCAAGCTCTAGAGCGACATCCAACCTAGCCCTGAGAATAGGAGAGAAAAGTGACAACAGGGCACTCTCTGCTGGTGAGGCAGACCCACTACAGCTCATTGCCAGAGTCTCTGCCTCTGAGCCAAACCTATAAATCTCAGGAACATCTACAAGAACTGTTTTCATGTCCCAAGATGTAGAGGGATATCTTCTGCTTGCTGAGAAAACATTCTGAGGATCTTGCTGGGCTCTGTAGCAATAAAACAGGCAAGTACCATGTAGTCTTTCATAAATGGCTCATTATTGGAGTGAAAATGAAGCAAGAATAGCCCCAGTGTAAATCACTGTGACAAACGAGTAACTAAACTAGCATGAGGGCTCTCTGTCTTATACAACTGTCTCTCTTCCTCCTTTGCTTCCTCCACTTAGCTAACATTAACCAGCAAGGGGTATTCTTTCTTTGAAGTTGAATCTGTGGTATACTGTGGAAACAGCAGCAATTGTGGTACCCCCAAACCATTAGTGGGGTCTCCTCTTTGTGGTTCTGTGAGCCTTCAGGAAGTATAAATGGAAAGAGGAAGACTAGAAAGGAGATAATTCAAATAACCTGTTGTCTTCTCACCCCAGGAGGGATGCCTTTGCTACTGACCAATACACAGATGTTGCAGTGGCTGTTAGCACAAGTCTCTGTGTGAAAAAGGGTTGTGATCTCTGAGCCCATGACTGGAGCTGTCCTCTGCTCAATTTTATGGCAGTACTGCATGATACCTTAACTGTAGTAAAAATGAAGGGAGGTCTGTACAAACAACAACACCTCAATGCTGTCTGTCTGGATTTATTTATCTTTGACAAAAGCTGACTTGAGATACTCAAAGCCAGCTGGAGATGGCTCCACTGGAAATTCAGCAGGACGGACTTTCCTAGCCTTTGCCTGGACATCCTTGCTTACCTATAGGATCCTTTTGGCCTGATCATTTGTCTATGCCATGATGCAAAATACCAGGTTAGAAAATGGAGTCTCTGGCACCCCCCATTTTGCAAATAACAGGAGCAGGCCTGTGATTACTGCAGCAGAAGTTTAAAGCAATGAATACTGGATGGATCATAGGTTGAGCCTGTGGTGGGAGGGTTTTGCTGCATGCATGTGCTTTAGCTACTATATTCTTTTTCACCTAGTGATTCCCTCAAAATCATTCTTTGGTTATGGCAAAGAATGTATAGTGGCCAATAGTGCATTACCCTCACATAAGGTCTGCTACCACCACCCCTATATCCTTTGTGCAACTTTGAGTGAGCTGGGGAGAAGGACAGGGAAGAAGGAATAGAAGTATTTTTTATGGTGGAGTCTCTCTGCAGCAAAAACATGCTCAGGCAGTTCCTGGGCCCCAAAGGATGCAGAATCTGGCACCACCTTACTTGAAGCAGAGCGTACAGTGTATTTTTCTTCATAGATAGCCTGTAAAGCTCTGCCAATAGGCCTATTTTTCTCAGGGCTAGTGACTCATTTGGGGCAGTGAAGCAGGAGTGAATCTCATGGACAGATGGTGACCTCGTGTTTGGAGGACACCCTAGAGGGAATCAATCAGACCAACATTTTTCACTTTTTTTTTTTTTGCAACTAATCCAATCCACGTATTTTGAACATTTAAGTAAATTGCATAGTACACACTTTTAACTAAAACATGCAAACCCAATGTCAGTAGTCATCACATCATCGCAAACAACTTTTGTAACCAATTCAATCTTTGTCCCTTTCTTTCTTTCTGACAGATTCTCACTATGTTGCCCAGGCTGGAGTGCAGTGGCGCAATCTCGGCTCACTGCAACCTCCACCTCCCGGGTTCAAGCCATTCTCATGCCTCAGCCTCCCGAGTAGCTGTGACTACAGGCGTGTGGCACTACATCTGGCTACTTTTTGTATTTTTGGTAGAGTTGGGGTTTTGCCATGTTGGCCAATCTGGTCTGGAACTCCTGGCCTCAAGTGATCTGACCACCTTGGCCTCCCAAAGTGCTGGGATTACAGGTGTGAGCTACTGCATTTGGCCCAGCCTGATTTTTTATATTTTAATGCTCAGATAGCTCCTGCCCAATAGATACTGCAAATCAACATGTTAGCATACTTGTTTATAACTTAAAGATCTCCTGAAACCATCAATGGGAAACTTAAGAACATGACCTGTCAGGAGCATACTGATCCTCAAGGGAGTTTTCCCATTGCTCAAGTGATTCTCCTGCCTTGGCCTCCCAAAGTGCTGGGATTACAGGTGTGAGCCACTACACCCGGCCTCGATTGCTCTTTTGAGGAACATTCTGTCACCATCGAGAATTTTCCCCATAAATCCTCAGGAAAATAACTTATTGAAAATGTTCCTTGGTCAATGCCCATTTCTTAGTCAATGTCCATGAATGGGTGGGGGACTTGGGCAGGTTACATTGACCAAGTTGGCATATGCATAACTTGTCCTAGATACTTGATTATGTCTAGGCATTAGGCCACTAGGTAAAGTTGCTAGACTGCTCCAAATGACACAGCTACCTTTGACTCTCCCATAAAGATCTCCCCGTGTGTAGATTACTCATGTTGAGAGTTCTGAATGCTGCCATTCAGCTGGGTATCTGGTCTACACCCAGAGTAAGTCATGGGACTTATTTGATGGAGAACTGTAAAATTGTGTGACTTGATCAGCAAGCAAAGTTGTTTTTCTGATGTCAAAATTTCAAGTCGACAGAGCATTCAAAATTGCTCCTCTAGGTTTGTAAGAGACTAGGTCCAGAAAGAGAGACCAGGGCTGAATGTACAGGTGATCTGACACCAACTCATCTAAGAAAGCCCGGGGGTTCAGCTCTAAGGGGTGAAGCACAGATTTGTCACCTACATAGCTGGGCACTTGCCAAACCATTGCTCTTATTTGGAACATATCATTGGTTCATTTAACAAATAAGTATTGATGCTGGGAGCGGTGGCTCACGCCTATAATCCCAGCACTTTGGGAGGCCGAGGTGGGCAGATGACCTGAGGTTGGGAGTTCGAGACCAGCCTGACCCACACAGAGAAACCTCATCTCTACTAAAAATACAAAATTAAACGGGCTTGGTGGTGCATGCCTATAATCCCAGCTACTTGGGAAGGCTGAGGCAGGAGAATCGCTTGAACCTGGGAGGTGGAGGTTTCGGTGAGCCGAGATCGCGCCATTGCACTCCAGCCTGGGCAACAAGAGCAAAACTCTGTCTCAAAACAAAACAAAACAAAACAAAAAAGTATTGATGGTGGCAGGCACCTGTAATCCCAGCTACTTGGGAGGCTGAGGCAGGAGAATCGCTTGAACCTGGAGGCGGAGGTTGCAGTGAGCTGAGATTGCACCACTTCACTCTAGCCTGGTGACAGAGCGAGACTCATTCTCAGAAAGAATGAATGAATAAATAAATATTGAGCACCTACTACATGTCAGACAGTGGGAATACAAGAGTGAACAGATATTTATCTTCTCAGATATTTTACGTGTTTATTAAAGTAATGGAGGTAGTCCAGAAGAGCTTGTGATGGGAAGCTGCAGTCTCTTGCCTTGTCAATACCCCTCCCTAGCCCCTGCTTTGATCTGTTTATGATTTAATTCTTTTGGTGGTTATCTCTTTATAATATGTTCTATTCTATTTCTTGGTTTATGAATGTTAGATAATATTTTTAACTCCCACTATGAAAAATGAGGATTTAACTCATTTATACTATGTTCACCTAACCTCACCTCTCTTCTCTCTCCTTTCCTTTAGTCTTTGATGATGATTGAATTAGAATGTTGAATATGCGCCCCCCCCCCCCCCCCACCCTGCCCCACAGCCATCACTGGAAGCTGCAAAGTTGAAAACAATAGGTGGCAGCGACAGATATCCTCACATTCTAAACAGAGGCACCAAACTCTCTACATGCAGGACCTGCTAAAAGAACATCCCCATGGAATCTAGCCCATCACCACCTCCAGGTGATAAGTGAGAGAAGGGAAGAGTTGGAGAGAGATGGGAGAGTAAGAATTTCTTTTGGAGTGGGGGTTATTGGGTTCTTCCTTCCTACCTTAAACCAAGAGAGAAGGGTCTTTAAGATTGCCTCTAAGAAAAATGATGGTCTTTGCCAGAAGGAGATTGGCACATGTTTCTCCTTTAGGTACCACAACCCTGGGATGTCTTTTTCATGAATGATGCTTGTGTTTTTCTCTGAGATCTTGGATTCTGGATCTATGATTCCTATTTCACCTTTCTTTTTAAGATGACAACTGATTTAGACTCCTTTCCTGAAGTGTACACAGTAACCTAATTTCTCTTCCATGATATGGAACAATAGCTCCCTGTACGTGTATCACATCCACTGAAGACTTTTGCTTTATAAGTTTAGGTAGGCTATGCCAGATCTCTGGGGATAAGGGGCACTAGGCTTTTCCTCAACCCCAAGAACTCATTCTCAAATCCTTCTCCAATCAAAATGATATCCCCTTTTCCTCTGTCACTCCCTCATCCTTACTAAGCCATGCTTACTAGTGTCCCCACTGTTGATTCTTTCTCCAGTCCAAGGAAGGCCAAGAACATTTTCTCTCTGGTTCCAATTTGATCAGTAGTTGGTAGTGGGTGCCACAATGTTATAAAGAATTAGGTTTTTATAGGGGACACACTATGGTTATTCCTCACATCCATTCCAGCCCAGATGGATGAGTCTATCATCTCCTTCCCTGGGCCAGTGGCTAACTGAGGAAAGGGCAACAACCTGACTTTGAACACTGAGATGTCAGGAGAAGCCTGCTGGTGGTTTCTGGGAAAGTTCAGTTTTCTCCTACAGGTAGAGAAAGATTATCTCTCTGGACCTTGTCTTCCTGGATATGATTTCTGCTGTAGCCATCTTTCAATCAGGTTAAAGATGAAGCCAATTTTGAGGATGAAACAAGAGACAGATGGAGAGAAACCAGGTCCTTGATGACTTAATTTAGCCCCCAAATCAACTAACCCTAAAGTTCGCTCTTCTTCTGACCTTCCTAAATTCCTGTTACGCGAGACAGTGCATTTCCATGTTGTTTAACCCAATTTGAGTCGAGGTTTCTGTTGTGTGCAGCTGAAGTCAAACTAACTGATATAATGTCCCAAGTCATGTCGAATTGGTGGGAAAGGGTGCTGTGATCCATTAGCTATGTCTGTCAAAGGTGGGGGTTTCAACCTTTGCC
This sequence comes from Homo sapiens, assembly GCF_000001405.40. Taxonomy (NCBI): domain Eukaryota; kingdom Metazoa; phylum Chordata; class Mammalia; order Primates; family Hominidae; genus Homo; species Homo sapiens. The sequence goes on from NC_000002.12 coordinate 136,389,972, forward strand.
AGCCTGTGCTCTTTAGTTCCTTATTTGCATCTTGTGCAGGGGTTATCTACGGGGTTTGTTTTGCTTTCATTACTACCCAGATTAGTGCTTTTAATGTGCAGACAGTGGTTATAACATAAAATACCCTTATTTGTATGTCTCAGTCTGTGCTTCAGCTTCCTGAGCTGCCCAACCCATTCTGCACCTCATTTCTTCTGTTCTTTTTGACTCCCCTGGTTACTAAAGTGTTGTTTATTCCATTCTTACGACTTTCTCACTTGCCTGATGCTGAGATTTAAAAATTCACCTGGAGATAGACCAGGAACACAGCACACTGCAGCCTATTTGAAGCATCAGATGGGTGGTGCTGACGATATCTTATATGAGGCTGATCTGGCCTGCTGTATGTGTGACCCCATCAATTGCTGGCTGATCCGAAGGGCTAGCGTCTCCTTCATCTGGTCTTCATTGAGCTGTGGACAGCCCTCCAAAAGCTGAATGCTCTGTCAAGAAGGATGCCCTTCCCAGACAGGAAGAGCTGTTCTTTGGTCAAAGGTATACAGGTGGTATACTGATGATGTGAAGAAACACAACTTTTGGGCTGACACTGTTCTATGAGCTTTTCTTAATTTCTGGAGTGTGCAAAGCATTATCTAGGTCTATAAACAAGAATAATAAGAGGAAACAATGGGGCTGCCATTTCCCAGCTCTCTTTTTTTTTCTTTTAAACTTGGAAACAAGCTGCAGGGTCTCAAATCCAGCGTTCCTTGTAAATTCTGAAAATAAAAATGGACGGTGCACACAGGTATGGCTTGTGGAAGAATTAATGGAACCCTCAGCAATAGACTCTCATTCTTTTTTTCTGTTTGCTAATTGATTAAAAATATGTATATGCATTGCAAAGCTCATGTATTGATCAAGAGAAGAGTGAAAAGGATAGCTTCTCTAATTAAGACTGATTGGAGCTGTGAAAGTTTAATTAATTGGATGCATGTCACTTCATTTCCATGTTATGTTGTGCACAGCACTCTGTTTTCATAATTACCGTGTTGTGTTGGGGTGGCGGGTGTCTCTCTAATTAACAGTCTGGGGGAAAAGTGATGTATGGTCCTGCTGAGCAGACAGAGTGGGTGGAAAGAGAGGACCCAACCAGAATCCACAGGCTCTGTCCCCGTGGCCTGATTCTCAACCATTTCCCTTACCCTTTGTTCAGTAAACGAGGTTTTGGTGGATGTTCCCAGAGACTGCTGTTTATGTATTTGTTCCTCAGGTTTCTCCATCAGGAGACAGGGAGGCTGGATGACACTTCCAGGGATTGGAAGGTGAAATGCCCACTGGTTGAGAACCACTCCAACAGCTTTCTCCTTAGAACCCCCAATATTCACTCCTCACTTGGCAACTAACACTTGCCCACCTAGCCATGACAGACCCTTACTGAGTGTCTACTCCGTGCAATGTATGGTGATGGGCCGGGTGACTTTGAGTTCAGATTGCTGTTCCTTACTAGACATGTGGCCTTGGGAAATTTTCCTGAGTTCTTTGTGCCCCAGTCTTCTAATTTATAACATGGGAATACTAAGACCTTCCTAGTAAAGATGCTGGGCACATTACATGAAATAACAAATAGTATGCTTAGTGTACAGTTTTATCACCCTAGATTTATTAATCCTTTCACTTCCCTGTGTAGTTATTTTTACAAAAATACTTTGTTGAATGATCCTATTGTAGATTTTAACTCCTAACTGGCCTCACTTCTGTGACCACCCTCTTAAATCCATACTCCACTTTGGAAACAGGATTCTTTTTTCTAAAGTGAAAGTTGATTATATGAATGCCTTGGTGAGACACCTGCCCAGATGATGTTTCACCTCTGTAGAATGGGAATTCTACCCCCTGCACCAGCTGGCCCCTGTGGCCGCACCTTCAGCACCCCTTCTTTTCACAGCCTTTCCAGGGCTGCCCAAACCCCCAAATTTCCTTCACACCTGAGCATAACATGCATTTCTCTCTTCTGCCCAGAAGACATTTTTCCTCCTAAAAGCAAAAGTCCCACAAATTATTTTCATATTCAGCTCAAATAGCTCCTTTTCAATGAAATTATCTGTGCTCCTGCCCTATCCCCTCCTCCCTGCTTCCCCTGCCCCAGCACTGTTTTCTTGTTTGGAGTCTCTTCCTGACTAGGCAGGAAGTTCCTATAGGCAGGGACAGGAAGTTTCTATAGGTAAGGCTGTGTCTCTGTTATCTTTGGGTCTCAGTGCCTGGCAAGCATATACGATGAAGCAGGCTTTTAATAAGTGATTGTTGAATGATGGATACAAAAAACAAAAGTTGTCTTCATATGGAACTCCCATTAAACATCTGACTTCCTACAAGACTTTCGGCTCCATACAGGCAGGGAACACGTCTGTCTTGTTCTATATTGTCATGTCCCTGTTTGCCTGGCACATGGTAGGTACTCCATAAAGAAAATTGGCACATCATGTGGTCCGTATGCTTTATAGGTTTGTTGTGAGGGCAAATTGATAATGAATATAAAAGTTTTATAGTTTAAAAAGTTGGAAAAATACTGTAAGATTGTTTAATAGAACAATAATGTCGACAAAAAGAGTCAAACCCTGTAAAATATTTGAAGGTATTTATTCTGAGCCAAATGTGAGTTACCATGGCCCATGACACAGCCCTCAGGGGACTCCAAGAACATGTGCCCAAGGTGGTCAGGGGGCAGCTTGGTTTTACAAATTTAAGGAAGACATGATACATCAATCAAATACATTTAAGATATGCATTGGTTCAGTCCAGAAAGGCAGGACAAGGTCGGGGGGGATGCTTCCAGGTTATAGGTAGATTTAAAAATTTGCTTTTGGCAATTAATTGAAAAAGTTCTTATCAGTAGAAAGGAATGTCTGGATTATAAGGGATTGTGGAGACCAAAGTTGTATCATGCAAATGAAGCCTCCAGGTAGCAGGCTTCAGAGAGAAAAGATTATAAATGTTTCTTATAAGACTTAAGGTCTGTGTTGATGTTTAATGCTGGTCGGCTTTTCCTGAATTCCAAAAGGGAGGAGGGCATAATGAGGCATGTCTGACTCTCCCTTCCCATCATGGCCTGAACCAGTGAACCAGTCTTTCAGGTTAACTTGAGTGCCCAGGCCAAGAGGAAGGAGTCTATTCAGATGACTGTGGGGTTGGGGCAGGGGGCTTGCTTAGAATTTTATTTTTGGTTTACAATAATTGCTAATGACATTATTATTATTTTTTTTGGAAGGCGTGCTCTTTCTGTTTTGGAGTAGATTTCCTGACTGTCAGTGACCTCTGAGTCCTTCTGCATGTTGTCATTACAACTGGGTGTGGTGTCTCTCCATAGAGAGGCTGTCCTCATAACCTTCAGAGAGGAATTCGGAAGCCTTTGTCAGCAATACTCAACTGAGTCTCAACCTGTCCCTTTTTAAAAATTCGATAACTCTCTGGATTTCCTAATATACTATTCTCCTACCTCAGTGACATGTGCAATAAATAATGCATTCTGGTAATTTTAGAAAATCATTTTATTTCCAGGCACTTGTCTGGAGTCAATCAATATTTATACTTATTCAAGGTTTTTTTTATTAGGAAAAGTTTTTTTTTTTCTTCCTATGCATGTTTGACCTTGTGTCAAATAACATTTTTCTCCAGTGTAAAACCTCCAAAACAATGCCCAGCCATGAAGATTGTCAGCCACACCCCTTCTCACTAATGAGGAACTGCTGAGGGAAATAAGCCCTGATCCCATGTTTCATTTTGACTAGCTCTTCACACTTGACTCTAGTTCAGGAAATTGGACTATGGACTAGTCTTCCATCTCTAGTCCAATGCCAGCGCAATTCTATTAGCAACATTTTTAGTACTGGGAGTGGGAGTTTATAAAGACCCAGGGTGATTAAAAATAAATTTGGGTTGAAATAACTAACTTGTTTCAGTGACCCCCTTTCTCCACGCCAAAATTTAATATTAATTTTAAAAAGTTCAGACCCTGCACCATTATCCCAGGTGTATCTTGACTCTGACAGAAAAGCACTGAAGGCTAGCCTTGAGGAGTTTGTCTGGGTGTGGAGTGTGGGGATGAAGGCCCTGGAGTGTGAAGGTCCGGGTTCTAGGCTGCTTCTGCTATTGGTTGGCCCTGTGACAGGGGAAGTCACTCAATTTTTCCGTGTTTCAGTTTCCTTGTCAGTCAAATGAAGATGCTGGCTCTGTAATTCTGGGTCAGTCTGCAGGCAGCTAGTCCACAAGGATAATGACTGTATTCCTTTTTGTACCAGCACTGTGCTGGGTGCCAAGGACATAACAATGGAGACTCGCTGCCCCAAAGTACCAATGCAAGACACATGTGTGCTCGGCCCTCAGTCCCCAAGCACGGTGTGCCACGGTGATGGGCTTGGGGTCTAGGTCACCAGGTCAACCTTCTCCTCCACACTGCATGAGTTTAACTTTGCCTGGGCTCTCTCTCCCGCTAACTGACTTTACCCCAAAGCAGATTGTAGGAGAACTTCTAAAAGCATTGGCTCTTGAAGGTGAGGAAGCAAGCAGAGCTTAGCTCTCCATCCTCCCTGAGAGGCCTTGACACTCCTCTTCTGCCTGGGACAGTGTTGGGTCCCCAGGGCTCACATGGGGAGGAAGTAGAAGCCAGTGCCTCAAAGGGCCCAGGCACTGTGGGCCTCCTCAAGTTATGGAACTAAGATAATGTGCTGTGCCTGCTCAGAAAAGCAGCTTTTCTTACTGAAAAAAAAAAAAAAAATTCTGCTTTGCCTTACCAGGTAAAAAGAACAGCAGTTAGGAAGTCCTCAAAGCACACTGGAGGAACAGAAAGTACAGGGGGGTTGAGGGTAGAGAGTCTGGGAGGCCACATTCAGACACTGTCTGTTACCCTAAGATAGTGGTTTTCAAATGTTATTGAGCACCAGAATCACCTGTAGGGCTTGTTCAAACGTAAACTAATTGTTTCTGATGCAATAGGTCTGGGCATAGCCTGAGAATGTGCCTTTCCAGCAAGCTCCCAGCTGATGCTGATTCTGCTTTGTGACTAGCTGTGCTTAAGGGGAGCGGCTTGAAGGGAGTACAATCTTAATGAGTGAAATATTGTATCAACTAACATTTTCCATGGAATGTTAATAAGCCATGACAAAAACCCTGGGTATGGATTGACTACAATAGAAAATTCTATGCCAGTGAGACTTTAGAATGGTGTTTCTCAAGTGTGATTTGCAAACCACCTTCATCAGTCAGAGGGCCTTGCTACTCAAAATGTGGTTCCCAGACCAGCAGGATGGATGTCACCTGCATGTGTTAGAAATGCAGAATCTCAGGCCCCACTCCACACCTACTGTACCAGAACATCGATTTTAACAAGATTTCTGTTACAGGTTGAGAAGCATTGCTCCAGGGTTTCTCAGATGTGTTTCTAGAGTGGGTGTCTTTTGGGTTTGGGTTGGGGAGGTGAAATATATGATTATTATAATCCAGAGTCATTGCACACTAGCTCAGCCTAGATGTTAGCCTGGGTGTGACCCTGGGTGGGCAATGGCTCAAGCCTTCATAGAGCATCCATTCCTGGAAACAACGCATACAGGAAGGTAGGGTGTTTCAATGTGTATGTCATCTGTCTATTTTGACAGCGTATTTTTGAAGATCAATATGCAATTGTTCTTCCTTAGCTTCTATGTGGCAGATAAACCTTGTCATTTCTGGGAAGAAGAGATCATGGCTAAAGTGGAGGAACAGGAAGAGGAGGAAGCACTCCATACCAGGCTGCTTCTGCCATTGGTTGGTCCTGTGATAGGGGAAGTCTCAATTTTTCCATGTTTCAGTTTCCTTGTCAGTCAAATGGCTCTGTAATTCTGGGTCAGTCTGCAGGCAGCTAGTCCATATGAATAATGACTGTATTCCTCCGTTATGTACAGTCTAAGCACAATTCCCTGTCTCACATTTCTCAGGGTATTGGGGGTGAATGAAATAAAAAAATATGGCAGGGTCTTTGTCCTATAAAACATCACTAATAGTATTTTTCCAAAAGACCTAGAACATTTAAAAATGATTTTATTGAGATAAATTCAAATACCACACAATTCACCTGTTTAAAGTGTAGAGTTCAATTGTATTTAGTATCTTCACAGAGTTGTGCAACCATCACCGCAATCTAAGCTTAGAACATTTTTATCACCCCCCCAACCCCCCCGCCGCCAAAAAACCCCTACCCACTAGCAATCACTCCCCGTCGCTCTCCTCCAACCAGCCCTGGGCAGTCACTGGTCTACTTTCTGTCTTTATAGATTTGCCTATTCTGGATATTTCATATAAACAGAATCATACAATGTGGCCTTTTGTGACTGACTTCTTTCACTTATATACTATTTTCAAAGTTCATTCATGTTGTAGCATGTATCAGTACTTCATTTTTTAAATAATAGCTATATGGTATAGTTTTTACGTTTGGTGTAACTTATATGTGTAGTTTTTACATTTAGGTCTATGATCCATTTTGAGCTAATTTTGTATATGATGTGAGGAAGGGGTCTAACTTCATTCTTTCACATGTGGATATCCAGTTGTCCCAGCAATACTTGTTGAAGGCTATTCTTTACCCATCTAATTGGTTTGGCACCTAGATAAGTTATTTTTTATTTTATTTTATTTATTTTGTTGAGACAGTGTCTCATTCTTGTTGCCCAGGCTAGGGCGTAGTGGCATGATCTTGGCTTAATGGAACATCTGCCTCCTGGTTTCAAGTGATTCTCCTGCCTCAGCATCCCAAATAGCTGGGATTACAGGCATGTGCCATCATGCCTGGCTAATTTTTGTATTTTTAGTAGAGATGGGGTTTTGCCATGTTGGCCAGACTGGTCTCAAACTTCTGATCTCAAATGATTCACCCGCCTCAGCCTCTCAAAGTGCTGAGATTACAGGCATGAGCTGCCACACCTGGCCCTAAACAAGTTATTTTTAAAAGCCTAGCTCTATATTAGACTCACCTGGGGGATGTTAAAAATATATCCATGTCTGGGCCCCTCCTCAGTTAATTAAATCAGAATCCCCAGTGACTCTAACGTACAGTCAGGGTTGAGAAACACGTGCCTAGGGTATGGCTCTCAAATGTGGTTTCCAGATTAGCAGCATTGGCTACACCTGGAAATCTGTTAGAAATGCAGGTTCTTAGGACCCTCCTCACGCTTGCTGGAATCAGAAATGCTAGGGGGTAGAGCTGAGCAATCTGTTTTAGTAAGTCCTTCAGGTGATTCTGGTTTACACTTAAGTTTGAGAACCATTGGCCCTGACCAGTGTTTTGCTTTAAGTGATAACAAGATGCTCTGTGGCATCAGACTCACCTGTGAGCTTTATGCTCCTGTACTTATAGAGGGCCCGGAGGGCGGAAGAACCAACGGCCCCTGCCTTGGGTCCTTTGAAGTCCGGTGTCTCCTGCTACCCATGCTGTGCTTGTGATCCTTTCTCTTCCTGGGCTGAAAGCCGTGTCTGCAGAATGGGCACATGTCCTGCTCCTCCTGCCTTTCCTTGTGGGGCTAGTGACTGCCCTGAACAAGATGTGGCTTTTATCCTCAAGGAGCTCTCAGCCTAGCTTTAGGGGACTCCTGTGACTAGTGTTGGTTGATCTTCTCACCCACCCAACTTGCTCCACTCGTCATAGATGAATGTATTTAATTCATACCACAGGAGGTTCAGTCTTCCCGTAGACTCTGGGATTTCAGAGAGGATGAAGGTAAGGAAAAAAAATTACTGTCAGTGCCACACTGATTCGGGCTGCATTCCTAGGGTGCAGAAGCCCCAGGCTCCTGTTGTATTCTCTGTGCCCAAATCCTAACCTTGTGCCACACATTCAGCACCTGTCCACACTCTTGCTTGGAACCTTACTCCTGCCTTTCTGCCCAGATTCCCTAATTGTCTTGAAGCCCAGACCCAGTGGTTTCAAGGGCTTGCAAACAAGCCGACAGATCTCCCCGCCTTTGCTCAGCCTGCCCCGGTGTCTGTGATAAGAAGGGCCTGGCACACCTCTAGCATGTCAGGTGCCCCCAGGTGTGTTTGCCTGGCTCCCATCCCATTGGCCCCACCGCTGGTGTGAGCCCTGGCTCTGACCTTACTCATGTGTCCTGCTTCTGAACCAGATCCCCTTCCTTCCAAGATTATCAGCATTTACAGATACGTTGTGCTGTTAAAGCTCTTTAGATTTCCACAACTGAAAATGTTACCAAAACCAGCCACAGCAACATGGGGGTTCTCATGTGACTGAAAAGCCTGGGAAGGTTTGATGTAGATGCTTGATCAGGACTTATGTTCTTTTTGATTCACCATCACTAGGTTCTTCTCTTTCATCATGATTCATTCTTAGGCTCTTCCCTGTGGTAGTAAGAGATGCCTATAGCAGGTGTAGATCTTGCATTTTTTCAGCTTCATCTCTCATGGAAAAGCATGAAAATTCCTTATTCTAAAGTCTCATCGTGACTCGTTGGGTCTGATCATGTCGTATGTTCAACCCTGGACCAATCTCTGTAGCCAAATCTCCTAGACTGGAGATTTGATGCACTGATTGGCCTGGATCTGTTTTTTTTATTTTTTTATTTTTATTGTTATTATTATACTTTAAGTTTTAGGGTACATGTGCACAACATGCAGGTTTGTTACATATGTATACCTGTGTCATGTTGGTGTGTTGCACCCATTAACTCATCATTTAGCATTAGGTATATCTCCTAATGCTATCCCTCCCCTCTCCCCCCACCCCACAACAGTTCCCAGTGTGTGATGTTCCCCTTCCTGTGTCCATGTGTTCTCATTGTTCAATTCCCACCTATAAGTGAGAACATGCGGTGTTTGGTTTTTTGTCCTTGTGATAGTTTGCTGAGAATGATAGTTTCCAGCTTCATCCATGTCCCTACAAAGGACATGAACTCATCATTTTTTATGGCTGCATAGTATTCCATGGTGTATATGTGCCACATTTTCTTAATCCAGTCTATCATTGTTGGACATTCGGGTTGGTTCCAAGTCTTTGCTATTGTGAAGAGTGCCACAATAAACATACATGTGCATGTGTCTTTATAACAGCATGGTATTTAGTCCTTTGGGTATATACCCAGTTTTTTTTTTTTTTGTTTTGTTTTATTTTTTGTTTTTTGAGATGGAATCTTGCTCTTTTGCCCAGGCTGGAGTGCAGTGGTGTGATCTTGGGTCACTGCAACCTGCGCCTCCTGGGTTCAAGCAATTTTCCCACCTCAGCCTCCTAAGTAGCTGGGATTACAGGTGGGCATCACCATACCTAGCTAATTTTTATATTTTCAGTAGAGACGGGGTTTTGCCATGTTGGCCAGGCTGGTGTCGAACTCCTGACCTCAGGTGATGTGCCTGCCTCGGCCTCCCAAGGTGCTGGGATTAGAGGCATGAGCCACTGTGCCAGGCCTGGATCTGGCTCTTAAGCTTGACCCTTGGAGCTGGGAGTGGGTAGTGCTCCATATCCACCACAAAACAAAATGGGGAAGGGGCAACGTGGTATAAAACATAAACATTTGGTCTTTGTCTCTGGTTTCTGGCACAGAGCTCCCATGACTCTTGGAATTGACTATTTTTTTTTTTTTCTTTTTTGCAACAGTGTCTCTCTCTGTCATCCAGGCTGGAGTGCAGTCGTGCCACCTGCCTCAGCCTCCTTAGTAGCTGAGATTACAGGTGCTTGCCACCATGCCTAGCTACCTTTTTTGTATTTTTAGTAGAGACAGGGTTTTGCTGCTATTGGCCAGGCTGGTCTTGAACTCCTGACCTCAAGTGATCTGCCCACCTCAGCCTCCGAAAGTGCTGGGATTACAGGCATGAGCCACCGTGCCCGGCCAGAACTGGTTCTTTTGTATGCTTATGAATGACTGGTGGCTGAGTCAACCTCCAGTGATCAATCCCTATTGTAGATAACTTCAGTACAGGGGTTGATTACTAGAGGGACAAAGCCATGATTACGGGGTGGAACTTTCAGCCCCACCCTGACCTCCAGAGGAGGGCTGGAGATTGAGCTCAATCACCAAAGGTCAGTGATTTCATTAATCATCCTACATAATGAAACCTTCATAAAAACCCATAAATGACGGGGTTTAAGGAACTGTGGGGTTGGTGAATGCACTGAAGTGCTGGGAGGGTGGTGTACCCAGAGAGGGCAGGGAAGCTCTGTGCCGCTACTCTCCATACCCTCCCTGTGAATCTTGGGTTATGTAATAAATGAGTAATAGCAAGGAGATTTCCTGAGTTCTTGGAGTTGTTCTAGTGAATTATTGAACCTAAGGTGGATGTTGTGGGATCTCCTAAATTTATAGTTGTTCCATCAGAAGTGCAACTGGCAACCTTGGACTTGTGAGTGGCATTCGAAGTGGGGCAGTCTTGTGGGACTGAGCCCTTAACCTGTGGGGTCTATGCTAATTCTGATAGTGTTATAATTGAATTGGATTGTTGGATACCCAGTTGGTGTCAGAGAAACAGAATTGATGTTGGAAAATATACCAAGTATTTAGTGTCGGGGGAGGGGGAAGCCCCTAACGTGGATTCCTAGACAGGTGGTACCAGAAACAGGGTTAATGGAAGTGTTGCTCAAAAAGCACATGCCTACAGTATTCCTTGGCCCTGGCTGGATTTCGGATTTGCTTCTCCGGACAGATGGATTAATCTTGTGGGGACACTCTCATAGGATACCACCTTTCTTCCAGCCTTGAATGCTATGGCTCATCTGGGAAGTGGTTCAAAGTTTGATATAGAGAGCAAAAGTTCTATAGTGGGTTGGGGGAGTTTAATGGGTGAAACTTTTCTTGAGGTCAGTGTGATATTACACATCACCTTAAAAATGCTCCTACTCTTTGGCCTTGCATTCTTAAATTTTGAGAATTAATCCTAGGGTAGTGATCTAATAGGTGAGTCAGGCTTCAGGCAAAATGTTATTATTATACCATTATTTATATTAGAAAAAAATTGACCTTGAAAAGCATCTGTTATAGGATTGGTCAAATAAATTTCAGCATATCAGCATATCCTTAGGATGGAATAATATGTAACCACCAAAAATTATACAGAATTTAAGTCCATTGGCAAGTGATACAAAATATAATTTGATATTGATATTATCATATTAACAGTATACTCAATATATAATATCATTTAAATTGTATCAACCATGCTTTATTGAAAGGACTAGAAATTCACACTCCAATACAATAATATTGTTATCTTGGGTGGTAGGATAATTGGTGTCTGAATTCTTTTTCTTATATTTTATTCCGTATTTCCAGATTTTTCTGTGAGGATGCTGTCATTGTGTCTAATCTACAGGGTAAGACCTAGAAGGGCAAGAAATAGAGTTCTCCTTTTATAATCAGGAGAAAAGTTAATAAAAAAAATTCCTCAGCAGTGAATTCTGCATCAATTGAGTTAGACTCTTATCTCTAGAGCTGTGCGAAGAGGCAAGGGAATGAGAGTTTATGGGCTGCATTGATTTTGCACTTTTTTTTTTTTTGCTTATAACCTGTAACCCATTCAGGGTTACACTTGAGTTGAATTCTCTTAGGATGTGGTGTGAGTAGGAGATATAAATACAAATCAAAGGCTGGGACAATTGGGAGAAGGCTTGTCAGAAGCACACTTAGGAAGGGGGCCATAGGATGGATAATTCCCCTGGGTAGACTCAGTGGGAGTGAAGGGCCAGGCTTGTCTTTCAGATCTGGAGAGTGTTGTCAACTGATGCTAGTTGTACAATTGAACTTAAATCACTGCTGAGGACAAGGGGAGCTGAGAGCTTTTTCTGAGGCCATGACATGCAGCCTCCAGCATCTTTGGAAGACCAGGCTCCTTAAATACGAGTCCTAGCAAAAGAATGAACTTGGGGAAACACATCTCCTTTCCCTGCCCTCTCTCAAGGAATGCTTAGGGCTCCTTTCTGAGATCCCATCAGCTCCCTCTGCCCTGCCACTGTTCTGGCTTCATATGGCTCTGACAGCTTTAGTGGCATCCCCAGATCCTGTGTCCAGTACCTCCTCAAACCTCCCTGACCAGGGTCCTTCTCTTTCAGTAGCTCCCATCTCTGCCGATCTAGAAAAGTAGGCACATACACCGTATTCCCTTCCCAAGTAATGCTTGAATTTGCATTCAAGTTTTGGCCCAAAGTACAATGATAGGCAAGAGGGACCGCATGGTCCCCTAGAGCCCTTTTCCAGCTTCTGCACTGTTGTCCCTAGCTGTGCATGTGTTTTGTAGCCTCTTGGAAGAAGGGTGCATGTACTCGCTAGAGAAGCCAACCTCCTCCTGGGATTCCTGGCCCTTCTCCCAGACAATCCATCTTTCATCACTTCTGGAGAACTATTTATCTATCTTTTTTTCTTTGACTTTTTAGAGTGGGTAATACTTTTGAATAGGTGCTACTTCAAAGATGACAAAGCATGGAGAGCAAACGACTCTGGCGCATTCCTGTTCCTCTCTGCTAGGTTCACTCCTCCCCATTGGAGAGGACGAAGGCAGAGCCAGCTCTTCCAGATGGCCACCCGATGGTCCCAACCTCATTTATTGAACAGTCCATTTTTCTCTGCTGATTTGAGAGGATGTCATAATGTTCCATATGTATTTGGATCTACTTCTGGGATTTGTATTCTCTTCCACTGTCTGTCTATTTACACGCGGACATCACTGAGAACTCAGGGCAGGCAGCAGCTATTTAAGCCTAGAGAGAGGTGCACAGCTTTTCTCTTTCTCACCTTGTTCTAGACTTTAGTTTCCTTCTCCTTTTAGACTCAGTGCTGGTGCCACACTAATATTCTTACAGTGACATATGGGGTAGATACTATGATTCCCATTTTATGGATAAAGAAAATGAGGAACAGAGAGGTTTATGCGACTTGCTTAAGGCCATACAGCTGCTAGGTAGAAGAGCAGGGGCTACAAGCCCAGGCAATACATCCCCAAGACAGACATCTAATTACCATGCCTCTACCCTTTTTCACAATGGTCTTTATGAATATAATTAATATTAATAGCTACTGTTGATTGACAGCTATCTGCTAGGCGTCGTGTTGAGTGCTTTGCATATAGTGTCTTATTTAACTTACTTTCCATAATAACCCTACAAGGTAGATATGATCATCAGATTTATTATGGATGGGAAACAGGCTCAGGGGTTACCCAAATTGCTAAAGGTCACTTGATATGTGGCTTCTGGGCTCATGCTCTTTACAATGATGCTTTACAGACTCTCCATTTTCATGATTAGGTATTCTTCCTTATTTCATTGATGTCACTTCCTTTATCAGCCACAATCCTCAAGCCTTGTCTAAAGGCACAGAGTCAGGGATGGATGGGGTGTAGGGCACCTCATGGTACTCTCTTCTCTGAACTCCTGAGGCAGTCCCACTCTTCCAACACTTTTTTGCTTTCTTAGGCTATGAAACTCCCTCAAACAACAACATGTAAATTCATAGTGCAGGGTCTTCGTCTTTTAAGGCAATTAATACATGTGTTGATGTTGAGATAGCTGATGGGGAGGTCTGCATTAGGAAAAAAAAATGGAGAATCCTAACAAACAGGGAAGCTCCGATTTGATGGTGAAGGCACTGGGGAGCTACAGAAGATTCTTGAGCAGAGAAATAAGACACCAAAATGGTGTTTAAAGAAAAGTAGTTATGGCTTATATGCTTTCTGTATAATCCTTTCCAAAGAAAGATAAGAACAAGGACAACTAACTACTAAATACAATTAACGCTGTCTGTAAATGCTTTCATCTCTGGGAGCACTTTGTCCAGCTGCTCTAAACACCTTTTCATCTGAAAGTCCCAATACCTCATTATTTTTCTCTGTAGATTATGGATCTCTATGTCCTAAGAGTCAAGAAGGACAGAGAAATACTTTATCCTTTAGCTTACCCTCTTTATTACAAAGTCTGGGAAGAGCCATAGGCAGAACACAACCCCTCAGGCAGCAAGCTTCCTCATGACAGGGCTCCTGCCTCATCTCTTGAGCCATCGCCTTTCACCTTTCTACATTTTGCCATCCACCCTCCATCCAAACTGAACTTTTCACTTCCCAAATGACCATGCTCTATTTTGCCCCTGGGCAGTTACCTGGAACATTTCCCCTCCTGTTTAACTCCTTAAGTCTTGGCTAGGATTCTGCCTCCTTGGGGCAGCCTGCCTTAGCCCTCTAAGTGGGTGCTCCTTCCATGACTTTCGGCTGCTTTCTGTAATCTCCCCATCATTCCTCCTGGGTCTGTGATGATCTGATACTTCACTTCTTTCCCTTTACTCTGATCTCCTAATGGAAAAGACCCATGTCTCAGTTGTCTCTGGGCCTGGCACATAGCAGCTGTCCAGAAAATGCTGGCACATGAATAATGAAGGAACATTGCCATGGACCAGCTGTCTCCATCTGTTGCACCAATTGATTAGATGGTGGCTGTTGGCTCCTTGAGTCTCCTCTTTGTCATCAGGAAAACATTTTCTCCCAAGTCAGAGGCACAGCAATGCTTTCCTTCCTAGGAAGACCTTTCTTTATGCATCCCTGACTCATGCCTCCCAGGTCCTTGAGTCTCCCTTTTCCCCCACACCAGCAGCTGTGCCCTTCATAAGCTCCTTCCCTTGAGCCAATAAATGAGAAAGCCATGCTTCCATTTGCCATGTGACTTTCGAGGTTACCAGGCTGCACCCCCAACTCCCCACTTTACACCTCTTTCCTGAGCCTCTGTCTTCTGAGATGCCCGCTGTTCCACCAACTTCCCACAGCCTCACTTCTCCTCCTCCTAAGACTTTACTCCCTCTTTTGGTCAACTGCTTCCTGCCTTTGATTTCTGTGATCGCTCAGCATTTGGTTTTCCTCCCCTTCTATTTTCTCCCCAAGCTGGTACTTGTCCACCCACTTCTTAAATACAGATTTTTCCAAGTTTGTGTTTTTAACCCCCTTTTCCTCTCACTAGCAGCACATTCCCTCTCCAGGGAGTTCCCTGCAAGCCCTCAAAGTGACTATTGTCTCAGGGTGGCTGAAGACTTAGCAAATGCTGGTAGGTTTTCTGGGAGTTCAAACATAGGAGGTGTTCTCAGGCATCAGCTCAGCCTATGCCCCCAAGATCAGGATCTCCTCATCCCTTGGGGTGATAGATGGGGTCTCAGGTGTCTCTCAGGGCATCTGAATGGAGTGGGGTCCACGGACATGCCCCACAGTCCTGCTCTGAACCCATCCACCACTTGCCCTATTTCCTGGACATCCACATAGGAAGGCGGCTGTAGGACCACCACTGCCCACTGAGGATGAGGGCCTAGAAAGTGGCTGGAGGAGCCAGCGTTGCAGGTGTCCAGAGAGCAGGGTAGGTTGTGCAAGGCGTGGGCTGCTTAGTGTATCCTGGTGGGCATTAACTCCAAGTGTCTTCACATGCCCTGGATAAGTATTTTTGTAGCTTCTATACCTTTCAGTGGCATCTAAGCCAGCTCTGTGTAGGCTGACTATCCTAATAATTCATGTACATTTTGCAAATGTACATGTTATCATTATGTTGAAGTACTTGGGATGAGAAATTTGATTGAATTTGAAATCTGTTTACATGATCACAAAAATGTCAATATTCCTTATTTGTCAATGAAAGAAAAGAGTTATTGAATTATTTCATTGTAATTTCAGTGTAGATTTTTGAAGGTTATAAAAATGATTTAAAAATTTGTATTACCTCCTTGTGTGAGTAAAGTGTCTTGTTGAGGGAGACCACCAAGAATTTAAAGGGATAGCCATGAAGAAGTGTTGTTCAAAGATTACGTGGAACCATTTCCAACCTGTGTCCCCCAAGAGAATGAGCACCTTATACCTTGCAGAGAGGTTGTACAAAGTATGTTCACGGACACAAATTCAAGTTTATCCACTTCAATATTTGAAAATATTTTATTTGGAAATTTTATATAAATTCAAAATTTAATACCTTTCTGAAACTTTTACATTTTACTTTTCTTATAATGATATAAAGTATAATGATCTTTTTTTTTTTTTTTTTTTTTTCACCAAACTCTAAATTTCCTTTAGCTTACCCAGGGTATGATACCAATGCTATCTTTTTTTTTTTGTATGCTACAACATAAAAAATGTTTGGAAGTTTTTAAAAACAGCTTTATTGAGGTATCATTTACACAGTGTGCAGTTCACTCAAGTGTACAATTCAATGATTTTGAGTACATTTATTGAGTTGTACAACCATCGCCATCTAGTCTTAGAATGTTTTCCAGTAAAACAGGAAGCACATTTTGAAGAAGATGAGAAAGGATGAGAAGGCTTTCCCGGGAGGGCAGAGCTTTGGGTCCCAAGCAACCAAAGGGCGAGTATGAAGGTGCTGAAATCCTGAGTGGGATTAGTGCCCTCAGCCCAGGAAGACCAGGGAATAGGTTATTGCTCAGAGAAGGGGTTTGTGGCTTAGCACAAACATCACCTCCTCCAGGGAGGCTTTTCCAGCTCAGACAGCAGCCTACTGCTTCCTTTCCAGGGCCCCAGTGTCCACCTCTTTTGCCATGGCAATCATAGGGGGATTCTTGGTTTGTGGATTGCTGTTCCCACTAGACTATGAGTTCCCTCTTCTGTGTCCCCAGAACTTAGCTTCATCTCTGGTGGAGGGCAGAGCCTCAAGCAATGTGAACCCAATGAAGAAATTATTTCCAGCCCTGGATCGTTCTCTCCAAGGTTGCTGAAGCCAACCACGGGCACACATGGAGATTCCCAAGCAAGTCACAAGGACGGGAGCAGAATCAGACTCCCTCAGCACATGGCTGAGAGAGTGTGCAGGGGCAGGTGTGGGAGCCCTGAGCTCCTGTCCGGCTCTGCTTCTGTTCATCTGTGCCTCTGTGCCATCACTGCTCCACTCTGTCATTCCATCACCTCCGAAGGGGGTCTGCCAGATCATCTGCTGCTTCATAGTTGCCTTCCCACTAGAAAATCCCATGATTCCAATGGCACGTCCCCCAGCGTCTAGTGGAGCTGCCTGCATTTGAAAGGACAATTTCCAGGGAACAAGGGAGGCAACTATAGGGGCTCTAGCCCCCGGCACTGCATGGGGACTTGGTGTCATAGCATTTGCCAGCCTGCTGCAGCTACCCCCAGACACGAGGGAAGGCAGCAAGCAGACAAATTGCCTTCACAACCTCAAGAAGCGGGTATATTGGCACAACAGCTTCTGTGGTTGAAGAAAAAAATGAACAGGTTTAAAGCAAGCACATCAAGCTGTTTTTGAGTGCACTTAATGGCTGCCCAGACGTGCAAGCCCCTTTTAAAAGCAGAGTGACTTCACTAATAATAGAGCTCCGTTATTCTTTATCACTGACTCTCAACTCTGCTCCATATTTCCCCTTGGTGTTCTGCTCACTAACCTGTTTATCCTCTCTTAGAAACCTACACTTAAAGGCAACATAAAATACAGCATGACACCAAGGGAAAGCTTTCTGGTGGTGGCTTGAGCTAGCAAAATGATTGTGGCGGTGAGAGAATCCTCTCCAGGCAATTTTGTTTCCAGGGAACTCAAGCAGGTGTTGGGATTGGGAATGGGTGTTGCTTCTTGGTGCCCACTTGAAAAGATGTGAGGGCTCCTTGTCTCTCTTTGGGCTCCAGTGCTGAGCCCTGGTGTGGGGGCAGGAGGACAGCCCAAGGGGAGACAGTGACTCTTCCTCTCCCATTCCCTGGGTCTTTCAGGACCAGTCTGGGCACCCAGGGACAGATCAGACCTGCCTGTGGTTTTCCTGTCTAATCACGTTATTAATTAACATAACAAATCTTCGCAGCTGGTGGCTGCTGTTTGTGTCTCATCCCCCCGCTCCCCCTTGCACACTAATTAGTGCAAAAGCAGGGAGCAAATCTTCAAGCACTGATTTGCCTTTGTAGTAATGATTATTTTGGGAGCAACCCAACCGCCTCTAAGCAGTTACACTCCCCCCACGCTCTCAATTTGAACCACATGCTTTCTTCCTCATAGATTTTTGGCTTTGCTAGTTTGGGAAGGGGAACCCAATTATTGAAGAGAATAATACCACATTTGTCTCATCTGGTTTTAAAAGACAAAAGGAACTGTGAGCCGAGAAGGGGAGAGAACACCTGGAGAGGGTGTGACTCATTTAAAGGTGTTGGTTCATCTTCTTTTCAAAAAGCCCCTTGAAGGTGGAAGCCTCGCCTAGCCATGTCCGGTGGATGCCTCGCCCTTTATGAAGTGGTTCACAGCTCAGACAGCGCTCAGCCTTGTGGTGCATCTCGCCCTCCCTGGGCCTCTACTGGTCTGCCACACAGCAGGGACTGATGAGCCTCTGTGTGACCAGAATCGTGCCTGCAGCAGCCCGGAGGGGGGATCTGAGGATGGAGGGGTGGAGGGACCAGTGGCCCAAGTGGCCCAGGGACAGAGGCAGAGGTTTTGAACTTGGGTCTCTGTGTATTTGCTCTAGCTCTTGCCCATAGACCTTGCTGCCTTTGTGGCCAATTGGTGCCCTAGTAAATGATAGGTGAATGCGGTTCCAGCATGGGAGCACTGGCCTTCTGCTCACTGGGCAGTATTTTGAAGACTCAATTGTGCACACTGTGTTTGAGGGGGCTTTGTCTGTTGGGCCTTTTTTCCTCCCTAGCATCTTTGGAGGACAATCTCCTTCATTTTTCCTTACTCTCACTCCCTCATGCCCTCTCCCAAACACAAATTCTCATAACTTTCCTCACCTCACTTTCTCCCCATCTTTTCTCACACTGTTCTCTCCAGTGTCAGGGAGTGTGAGGATCTGGGCTCTGTGTGGAAGCATGCAGTTATCAATGAGCAATGTTTGGTGGGGGTGAGGTGTGCTATGAGATGTCTACCATCCCTGTCTTAAAAAAAAAACTTAAACTGTGATAAAACACATAGAACATTAATCTACTGTCATAACCATGTATGCACTTTAGTAGTGTTAAGTATATTCACATTGTTATGCAATCAGTCTCCAGAACTCTTTTCATCTTGCAGAACTGAGACTCCGTACCCAGTCAACAACACCTCGCCATGTCTCTGTCTCCCCAGGTCCTGGTAACCACCATTCTACTTTCTGTTTCTGAGATTGACCAATCTAGGTATTTCATATAAGTGGAATCATACAGTATTTGTCTTCTTGTGACTGGCTTATTTCACTTAGCATAATGTCCTCAAGGTTCACTCACGTTGTGGCATGTGTCAGAATTTCTGTTCTTTTTAAGGCTGGATAATATTCTTTTGTCTGTATATACCACGTTTCATTTTTCCTTTCACCCATTGATGAACGCTTGGGTTGCTTTCACATTTCGAGTATTGTGAATTCTGCTGTGAACATGGGTGTACAAATATCTGATCCTTTTTGTTTTTTGAGACAGTCTCACTCTGTCACCCAGGCTGGAGTTCACTGGTGCAATCACGGCTCACTGCAGCCTCAGTCTCCTGGGCTCAAGCTAACCTTCCACCTCAGCCCCCTAAGTAGCTGGGACTACAGGCCTGTGCCACCATACCTGGCTAATTTTTTGTATTTTTTTTTTTTTTTTATGGAAACGGGTTGGCCATCTTGCCCAGGCTGGTCTTGCACTCCAGGGCTCAAGCGATCTGCCCGCCTTGGCCTCTTCCCAAAGTGCTGGGATTATGGGTGTGAGCCATTGTGCCCCCGGCTCTGATTCTTTTTTTAAAGAAAAATTTCCAACCATTCAGTGATCTAACCCAGTGGTTTTCAACTCTGTGTACAATAGAACCACCTGAAGAGCTTTTAAAAAATATTGTTCCCTGAACCACCATCCTAATTACATCTAAGTGACTAGAGGTAGAGTCCATTGATTAATACATTGCCTTCCAAACACGCTGCAGCTCAAGAATCATAGCAGCTTTTAAAGAATACAGATTCTCTGGAGATTGTGATTTAGTCAGGGATGGGGCCCAGAAATCTGTGCTTTTAAAACAGCCTTAGGATATTCTCATGACTCTAAAATAGCATTTTAGAAATTACTATTGAAACCATCAATTAAAGGCCATCCTAACCTCCATAAAGCCTTTTTCCCTGGATCGCAAACTGCTTTAAGCTGTTCTATAATTGCCTTATTATGTATCTTGGTCTTATATCCCCACCTGGATGGTAAATTCATGAAACTGTAGAATTTTAGGAACTCAAAGGGGCCTTGGAGACCAGATCATCTGTTTGGCCAAAGCCACACATTAGTCAACTTCAGGGCTGGGTCGAGAAGCAGTTCGAGAGTCCCTCCATTCAACTGAAATTTAAGATTTTGTTTTCCCACAGTGCCAAGGCAGGCCAGCACTTTACTTTTAAGAAAGACAGTGTGACTTCCATTGCTCTGGTGAAAGACTTGATACTTATAACTTCTGCTACTCTGAGAAACCCCTGTCAATCAATGACTGGCATGGTGTTCATGAAAATGTGAGAGATCTGAAGTTGACTGAATGACAAAATTATCTAAGAGGCTGGAAATTTTCAGCATATACTGGGCTGACCAGAGCACTAGTTACAGATAACTGACTTGATGTTTAGGCCAGGTTCAAATACACATCAGCTATGAGATTCTAGATCAGTAAGTGACTTAACAGTTACGTTGGCAAAATGGATGTAAGCGTACTTATTTCATTGGGTCATGAATTATAAGAGCTTGCATTAATTGAGCATTGACTCTACACCAGGTGCTACACTAAATGGATTACATGGATTGTCTGACAGGGCTCTGAGGAAACCCCAGCTTGGAAATGTTAAATGACTCGTCCAGGGTGACCTAGCTAGCAAGTGGCAAGGCATACATTCAAAGTCACTCTGTTTGATTTCTCTCTCTTAACCACTGTTATTTAGAGATGATGAAAAAAGGTAAGGTAAGCAAAATGTTCGGCATAGTGTTAGTTCATTTCGGAAGCTCAGAGGATTGCAATAATCATCATTGTCGTCATCATCATCGTCATGGCAACAGTAACTAACCCTTACATAGCTCTTATTATGTGCCAGGCACTGTTTTAAGAACTTCACATATATTTATTTGCAAAATAACACTATGAGGTAGTACTCTTATTACGGATTTCATAGATGAGGAAGCTAAGGGACAAAAAGATGAAGTAATTCCAAGTTATAAAGCTAGTAAATGGCAGAGCTGGGATTTGTACTGGGAAGTCTGGCTCCAAACTTCGTACCATTAACCAGTATACTCTCCTGCTTTCCACATGGTAAATGGTAAATTTTAATAATTATAATGATTACTGATAAGGCTGTCAGTTTCTTTCAACACAGTATGGATGATACTGTTCTATATATTTTCCTTGTAGAAGTGCTATTAAGATACAAATAAATATGATAATAGATTCAAGTGTGCTTTTGATGTCTCCCCTTTCTGCCCTCTCAAAATTCTTATATGGTTCCATTTAATACTGATGCACAGCATCTGATTTCTTAGTCATTTTGGAAGTGACTTCTGGGGAAGAGATGTTCATAGGGTCATTACATATTTTTAAGATGGAAGAAACCTTTGGGATTCTCTAGGACAAAGATCTCTACAGGATGTACAACGTTACAGATAAAAGTCGGGGAAGAAAATGTTAGTATAAAGTAAATGAAACGAAGGGCCACGAATACAATTCTATTAAACCAGATAAGTCAGCCAAAGATGTCTTGAAACTATCAAGATATTTGATCTATAGATTGTCATCTAATGTTATCAGGATAAGTCAATCTTGCCCCAGTTCATATTGTGCCTTGAGGTATTAGCTGATGATAGTATCCAGCCATCACAATCGACAGGATATTTCATATTGCTATATCACCTTTATCTCATCCTTTTAAATATTTTATTTTTCTGCTTTTTAATAATATATGCAATGTTTCTTAAAGTGCATATTTATGGCTTATAAATATATGGATAAATAAAAGCATAGATACTGGCAATATGTGCTCTTTTAAAAAAACGGATGGAGTTCATGATCAAAACTAGAGACCCCTAATCTAGTCAATATTCATCCCTTTTTATGCATAAGGAAACAGGTCTAGGGTGGTTATGTGAGTCAGAATCCATTACCAAAGTTAGAACTTGAACTTGGTCCTTCTGACTCCAGGGCCCTGTTCAAGCCTCTATGCCACTCTTTCCCTCAAAGATGTAGTGAGATGCACACTGTGTCCCATTTTAACATCCTGGGACCTTGAATGACTTTGAGCAAGGTGCTCCTCTTTAGCAAGCCTTCTGGTGAGCAGAGATGTTCTAGCAGCTCAGGCAAATGTGGGATTGAATTCTGGGTCTGCCATCTACTAGCTGTGTGACATGGGGCAAGTAACTTCTCTGATCTTCACTTTCCTCAAACATAAAATACGAATAATGTATATTACAGGGTTTCTCTATAAGGAATAATTATATTGTCAAAGTGTATACTATGTGTTCCTTATAGTTGCAATAGTAATAGTGAATATTACTGTTATGATTTTGAAGATACAGGAGATACAGTTCAGTCTTATTTGAAGGAGATTCCTGGGGACTGATGGGTGCCCCATGTCTAGATGGGAATGGTTTGCCTGGCTGGCAAGGTGGCACAGAAGTGGCATGGTGCCATATGTGGCACCCAGCTCAGGACCCCAGAGGTTGCCTCTGTGGGCCCATGCAGAATCCTATCTTTTCTTAAATCAGAGAGAGAAGGTTTCAGGCTTAGATTTATTATGTAAATGACAGAATCTAGCCAGCAATTGAAAATATCCTCTTTTCAATTTATTGATTGATGCTTATCTTCTCTTTATGACAAGTAATTGTCATAACAATTTTCTATGGGTGCTAATGATACAATATTTTTCTTCAAAATTAACTTTCAAGTTAAAAAAGGAGTGAATTGAATAAAAACATTACATTCATCATAGTCCAGTCAATACTATGACTATGGAAGAAAATCATGGGCGGCTGGTACATCAGGGAGAAAAGTTTAGAAAGCAGGGTCTAGCCTGGTTAACTCAGTGGTTTTCAAATGATTTGCTTGAATACTCCCAAAATATTTTAAAATCTACAAATCTCTTGCCTATCTCAAAGTTGACACAAAGTTTTTATAGTAAGTTTTTAAGTTTTCAAAAGATATAATTTCTCTCCCTTCAACTTTCATAATACAAATATCAAGTCTACAGAAAAGTTGAAAGAATAGTGCAATGACTACTCATATACCCTTCATCTGTAGCCAACAATTGTTAACATTTTGTATCATTGCCCTATCTCTCTGTTGTTTTTTTTTCCATGTGATAGAACATTTGAAAGTCAGTTGCAGACATTCTGACATTGATTCCTAACACTTTAGCATGCATTTCCTATGAATAAGGATATTCTCTTATCCTAAGACAATAAGTATCTTTATCACATCTAAAAAATGAACATGATGCAAAGCATGTAACCTCTGACATAGCTTAAATATTGACCTTTAAAAATAAATTTCTTACGTTATGCTTTTAAATTCAGCCAATGAAATCTAAATACCAGAAGGCTTTGATGCCCATCACTATCCATTTATAAATACATAAG
This sequence comes from Homo sapiens, assembly GCF_000001405.40. Classification (NCBI taxonomy): domain Eukaryota; kingdom Metazoa; phylum Chordata; class Mammalia; order Primates; family Hominidae; genus Homo; species Homo sapiens. The sequence goes on from NC_000002.12 coordinate 136,413,459, forward strand.
TAAGTTCTTCTTTAGCATTTGAACATTTTACACCTTTACTTTCTTTCCTTGAATTTACATATCCCGCTGACTCCACAAAATCTTATCCTACTATATAATTCTTTATGCTTGAAAGTTTTTTATTGATCATCCTAGCATGTTCTTCTAAATAAAAAAAGCATTGATTAAAATTGAATTCTTTTTTATATGCTGTGATCACTAAACGCTATTAAAATTATTTTCAAATGGGTTATTTTTATAATCGTACACAGATGCACTATGAGTATACTATTAGCACAGCAAGATTACAGTTTTGATATTAGTCATAAAATGTAAAAAATGTTTTGGAAATGTATCTCCTAAATGACATGATTTAACAAATAGTTACTGTATTTATCGATGAATATTACTTATTGCTTGAAAGAGATAGGGTGCAGCATCAATTGTATTCTGTTTTTATAGAAATAAAAATTCATATGTACTATTTATTTTGTAATAAAATCATGGTATCCATTACAAAATAAATAGTAATAGAAGGGGTTTATTATTTGTGTATATGCATTTTAAATTACTTCATGGTTATATAACAATCACACAGTGCTATATCACAAAAATTATTTTAATAATTTTAATAATCTATCATTTGACAACTCAGGTCCTTCTTCAGTTTTATTAAAAGCAATGAATTGAAAATAACCCACACTGCAAAAGATTTGTTATCTAGTTGTCATACTTATTCACTCTCTTAATTTTTAAAAACTTTGCTGGCAAGTGTCAATCCACATTAAATTATTATTAGACTTAATTTTTCATTTAAAGGCATCTTTAACCTGATATATTGGTAAGTGATTGAGAAAATAAAAATATCAGTCATTGCAAAATATCTTTGCTAACACAATATTTTTCTCAAATGCAAAAACTTTAAATGTACTTACAAACTGTGGAATTGAAGCTTTTAATTTATGGAAAATATTTACCATGTCAAACCCATCAGCCAAAGTTAGCTGTTTAGTGCCGGAAAGCTTCTGACTTCTGGGTCCAATTCAAGTGTATATCTCTGTGATGACCCTCTTGCTTCTGGTTCTGACTCTCACAAAGAAACAGCTAAGTGGGACGTGGAGCCTCACTTGGTGCTTGTAGCCCTGGTGAAGTAAGGCCTGGGCCACTTTTTTGGCTTTGCTCAGGTCTCTGCAGCCCTAATTTATCTGATGCAAGTTGGGGCTAGATAAGAGGACACAAAGTCGAAGTTCTGAGTATTTGAATTCAGAACTTTCAAACATGACTGAAATACCTTGTCTTTAACCCCACAATTTGTCTTTAACAGAATATGTTTAACACCAAGAAAGACAAGCAGCCTCAACGAGTGCCTGGCTGAGACACTGACATTCCCATTTTCCCCTGGTCTGGAAATACCTGGACCCATGACCCTTGGATAAAGCCCCGTGGCAAGAGACAGGCAGGGTGGGAGGATAGGCATTTATTGTAAAGCGAGCCCAGGGGTCGGTGGAAGTAGGGAATGGGAGGGGGTACCCGCAGACCAGCAAGAAGCCTCTACCATCGAGGAGGCCACAGGAGGGTCTGTGTTAGGGAGAGTGGGGATGTTCGTGGGAAATCTGGAATTTGATTTCCCTAACATTATCCATGGCTGCAGATCCTTGGTGAGGTGTCTAGTTCCCCTGGGATGCACTTGTCCCGGATGAAGCCTGCTGGACTAGCGAACTACTGTGCTGGAGTCTGGATTGAGGATGAAGTTGGGGAATGGGCACCAGTCAATGTCCCCGCTGGTCCTGGGTGTCCTGGGCTGTGGCCTGCTGACTCAGCTCTGGCCGGCCTGGGAAGCCCTTGGATCCCTTCATCCACTTGAGAAGCTTCCACACAGCCTGGAGGATGGTGGGGGAGCTCCAGGCTGATCTGGCTAATTCTTCCCTGGTAACCAAAAAATGCACTTTGTCTTTTTAGGCAAAGCTTCTGACTCTTCTATTTTCTTGGGAAATGGCCTAGCAAACCATTAACATTTGATCAATTCAAACCATCATGCCATATATGATAAATATATACAATTTATATTTATCAATTAAAGATTTTAATCATGTATATTCATATTTGATATTAGAAAAGTCTATTGCATTTCAGTTCTGAGTTGAAGAATATGGAAATAAGTTGAAATAAGTAAAAGAAGGGGGATTATTCAGCAATTGTAAAATCAAAAACAAAAAAACCCCAAACCATTTGATTGAAACTTTGCCAATGTCGTGCGAGGGTAGAGTGGATCTCACCAAATACATACTGCGGAACCGCTTGCGTTTCCTTCCTCTGAGAGCGAGACTTTCTATCATATTTGGGAAACTGCTGGTATGCAATAATCTGTTCTGAACCTTCCTGAATCAGCTCATCAATTAATTGCTTAGCTTTCTAGGCTAGGTAAAACCCGAGCAATCTGTTCCTAAATCTCAGCTTTGCAGAGTCACACAGGAGAAGAGGGGAAACTCTTTTGATGTGTCTCCTCCCCGTCTTCTCCATTTTAGCCATTTTTGGGTAGTTTGGGTCACAGAGAGCTCATAAAGCTGTATTGTTTAAACACTTTGCTCGGTTTGAATGGCATGAAGTGCTCATTATCCAATTTAAACACTTTTTCTCATACATAAAAATGAATGGATTTCACTGTTCTTCCCAAAATGCCAATTTCAGGTTTGTTTGTTTGTTTGTTTATTTATTTATTTGAAATGGAGTCTCTCTCTGTCGCCCAGGCTGGAGTGCAGTGGCATAATCTCGGCTCACTGCAAGCTCCGCCTCCCGGGTTCACGACGTTCTCCTGCCTCAGCCTCCGGAGTAGCTGGGACTACAGGTGCCCACCACCATGCCTGGCTAATTTTTTGTATTTTTAGTAGAGACGGGGTTTCACCATATTAGCCAGGATGGTCTCGATCTCCTGACCTCGTGACCCACCCGTCTCAGCCTCCCAAAGTGCTGGGATTACAGGCGTGAGCCACCGTGCCTGGCTTCAGGTTTATTTTTAATAGAAATTAAAGCAACATGTCACATGGCAATGATTGGCTGGGCTAAGTAGTGGCTGTCTTCTTTAGATGGTGGCATTAGCTCTCTAGTTTGCCATAGAACTCATGTCACCCTTGAGTTTTCCTGTGCATTCCCTGTAGGAATTTGGTTTTGTGACCTCTAGATGAAGGCTTATGGAGGCAGTTTATTAATTTCCCCAGTAAACATTAATTGAACACCGAAGATGGCTAGCCATCCTTGCAAAAATCCCTGTCCACATAGAGCTTAATTCTAATGTGGAAAGACAGACAATAAATAAGCAAATTATACAATATGTTAGAAGTTGATCTATTGAGAAAATAAAGCAGAGAAGAAGATAGCAAGTGTGCATAGGGGGCAATTTTAAAATAGGAAGGGCAGGCCGGGCACAGTGGCTCATGCCTGTAATCTCAGCATTTTGGGGACCGAGGTGGGTGGATCACTTGAGGTCAGGAGTTTGAGACCAGCCTGGCCAACATGGTGAAAAAACCCCGTCTCTACTAAAAATACAAAAATTAGCTGGGCATGGTTCCTTGGGAACCTTGGGAGGCTGAGGCATGAGAATCCCTTGAACCCAGGAGGCAGAGGTTGCAGTGAGCTGACATTGTGCCACTGTACTCCAGCCTGGGTGACAGAGCGAGATTCTGTCTCAAAAATAAAATAGGGAAGGGCAGGGAAAGGCTCACCATAAAATTTAAATCAAGATTTGGAAGAGGTGAAGGAACTGTCATGCAGTTATGGGAAGAGCATTCCAGAGGGAACAGCAAGTGCTAAGACCGTGAGGCAGTGGGAAGTTAGGGCAGTAGGGCAGCTGTAGAAAGAGTGATGGCTGGGGTGACAGATGCTGCTGTGTGCTCTAGATGAGCCAGTAGCCCACTCTGAGCCTCACCTTCTTCATATGAAAACATGGGCTTGAGCAAGGAGATTTCCAAGTTTCTATTCAGCTCTGACATTTGGTGATGGTAGGGCAAAGCCCTTCTCTTAGGGAAAGCGGGAAGCTGTTTGCCAATGGGAATGTGCTTATGGAATTAGTCTTTTATTATTTCTCTTAGAATAGAATCTGAAAAAGTTGGCTTTGGCTTTGGACTCCTCTAATAAGGGAGAGAAGGGCCAGGCTAGAGTTTGGCAGCTGAAACGCACACACACGTGCTCTCTGAGGGCTGAATTTCCGATGTACCTGGGGCACAGATGGGTCAGAAATGAATGGAATCAGCAGAGGCGATTGCTATCATTTTTTATTACTGTTCAGTGTTTGATTTCTGCTGTAGCCCTGGCAGATGACAACAGATTGTTGGGTATGAACAAGAGAAGATTATTTTCTATCTGATCATTCTTTGTGTGTATTTGGGGTGACCGAAGGTTTTTAATATTGAAAAGTCAAACAGCCTGGACCATTTCACCCACCATCAGCTTAGCCTATTATTTACAGTCCCATTCCTTTAACTTTCCAGTTCTTGGAAAAAAAAAATCAACTATCGACTGTTTGGACAGATAATGTGGGAAGATGAAAGTGGGAGATAAATACACATCTTCCATTACTCTTAGATCTCTTCTGGAGTCTTCGGTTGACACACAGTCTCCTATTTGTGCCTTATGTGGGTGTCCCATGAGAAAGGTCCATGGATATGGCAAGTATTCTTTAACCATGTCATGCCAAGGATTTGGGCATAGCAAGGGACTAAGTGCCTGGAAGAAATATTTCAGCATCTGGGGAGTTCTTTAAAATACACAGATAATTACTTCGAGATTTCTATAATTTAACTGCAAGTGTTAAAAATATATTTCCGAGGATTGATTGGGTGCTAAGCCAGTGTTTACATCTGGGAGGTAGGTCAGGGACAGGGGGCGGTGACAAGGAAGAAAGGGACATTAAGACTGTGACTGGTCTGGGATTTTACCCCACTTGCCAGCCGACAAGTTAACCTGCCACAGTTTAATGGATGCTGGTGGACTCCTGGGTCAGAGACAAATAACTTTACTATATTCCACATTAGCAGTAACCAGAATATCAACATTTGTATCAGGGCAATGTGGAGAAGGCCAGGTAATGCCTGTGTGTGCAGTGAGTTGTGTTACAGAGGTACCCTGAGTTCAGGGAATCCAAATCTTTTCTAACAGGGAATAAGCATGGCTGGGCTTAACTCCAGAGGCAGATGCCATCTTTATGACGTGGGCAATAAACAACCTTGCTCTTTGCTCTGGAGGGAGGCACAATTTCTGTCTTCCAAGGCTGCTCTCTATACAAACATCCTGGGAAAGATAGTCTCCAGCAAAGGCAGTCAGACACATGGAGAATTGTCTTCCAAGAGGGACTTAGAAATATTTTGGCCATAAAGATGAAATTAACTCCCTCCCCGCCAGCTCCCTTAGGTGAGTTTACCCCTTGGGTCACAGTAGCTTTTTCTCTTTAACTTCCAAGGAAATCCAAGGAGACACATTTCTATCTGAACTCAAGGCACAAGTCAAACCCTTCCTGGGGTCAAAGGCTGAGAAGAATTGTGAAAGCTCTGTCCACTTCATGACCTGTATATCCCTTTTACTTTGCTGCTCATTGCAAGGTAGTTGAACATTCCGACTATTAGAAATGCTAATTTTACATCATCTTTAACCTCGAAGGGACTGCAGGTTGTTGCCTGGGTCAGTCCTTGACTGAGACAGACTTTACATTTTGGGCAACTAAGGTTTGGAAGAATTAAGTGTCGTCTTCAAAGTCATTCAATAAAGACCTAGTGGAACGATGATTCCAAGTGAGGTCCACGGAAATGGAAAATTTCCTGTCATTTTCCTCAAAACCAGAGTTTTGACTAGGGAATCTTTTTAGACAGGATCGACCAAGAAAGGTTGAGGGGAAACTAAGATGAAAGATGGGTGATGGTCCTCAGAATACCTTTCCTTAGCAGTTGTCCAGAAAGCAGTGTGTGAAAGAGATTGCCAGTTGCCTACCCAGTATCCATGCTCTCTTGTTTTTTTAGGATAAGATCCCTGTATATTTGAGTATGGCAATTCTTCCAACTTTTATTTAGTTTTTAATTTTAAAATTTCTAATTTTAAAGATTTTAATTTGTTTTTAATTGAAAAATAAAAATTGCATATATTTATCATGTAGAATGGGTTTTGAAATACGTGTCCATCATGGAATGGCTAAATCAAGCTAATTAACATATGTATTGTCTCACATACTTATCTTTTTGTGGTGAGAACATTTAAAATCTCTTTGAATTTTTCAAGATGCCCTGCTTAAAAAAACAAACATATTTGTTAGCTTTCCTTGAGGTTGGGGTGGTCAATGAGGTGTGAGTGGAAGTCACTTCCAGCAAAATTCCTTCAAGGGGATTCACCTGGCTGGCAGGAGACCCATTCCTTTCCCCGTCTCCCTTCTCCCTGCCTGGAACATGGCTAGGATAACAAGTCCCAGTGACAGTCCTGGGATGGTGAGGAGACCTCATGGATGGAATCTGAGTGGAAGATGGTGGAGCAGAAAGTGAGAAGAAGCCTGGGTCATCGCTAACACCATAGGGCACCACGCCAGCCCTGGACAATGCACTTTTGGATTTCTTCTGTGTGAGCGAAAAATGATGCCTCCTTTTTTTTTTTGCCACTGTATTTTTGGGTAGCAGGTGAATGTTAATTTTTAACAGATAGTGGGTGCTTACTGATACCTAACTGTGATCCCTGAATGTTCATTGTATCCAGTCGAGTTTCTTAGTTGCAAGTAACAGAAAGTTTGGCAACCTTTAGCAAAAAAAGGACTAATGAACTTTTTAAGAAGGTTTACAGGGTCAAATAATGGAAGTGATGGCTGAGGAACTTGGAGCAGGTGGGCACCAGATTGTTCCAGAACATCTTATAGTGGGCTCTGCTCATTGTTCTCTCCAGGGCTCCACAGGAATCAATGGATCCTAATTTCTTGTCTGTCCTTGTGTCACTGTCAAGATTCAACATCTCAGGGAAGCGAGTATTCTATTGGCTGAGCCAAGGTCACAGGACTGCCCTGTATCAAGCTGGCGAGAGGAAGGACAGAGCAGAAGGAGCCTCGTGGAGCCCCTCCAGCTTCCACTCTGGGAGGGCAGGCACGTGGTTTTATTGTCCCACGAAGACTGCACACAGTGAGGGCCAAGGTGATTCCCTACAAGGAAATCAGAGCATGGTTGGGAAGTGACACTACTGAGTGCCTCCCACCATTAAACAGGATTCAGTATAGCAGATTTGGCGCTTTCTGTGATGAGGTGAATTGGTCAGGATAAAAGGCAAAGATTGTTACATGAAGGCTTCAGGGATGAGCAGTTTCTTACAGACCTGATAATAGCAGTGCCTTTGAGGAGGGCAAATGCTTCATGCGAAATAATTCTTTTAATCTTCTCCAGTTGATGTAGATGTAAGTGATATTTCATGGTAAAAATACTAACACATCTATTTCCTCAGTTGCCTCTTTTTCTTCCTTTAACTGGCTGCAGTTTCTAATTCACACTCATGAACCTGTCTTCAACAATTACAGGTCTTCATGGATCTCCCTAAGTAGGGGCAAATAGTCTTGTTCCTCTGTGTTGGGAAACCAGGGCTCCAGAAAGATCAAGGGCTGTCCCCAGGGCCACAGGGTATGAGGGTGGGGTGGGGAGGTAAAAGCGAATTACAGAGTCTGTGGCTAAGGTGGCTGTAGGTCGTCAGTTAAGTGCTGGCTGCTGAGGAGAGCGGGCCTCAGTGTGAAGAGGCTCATGAGTAGAGAAATGAATGTGATTGTCTAGCCTCAGAAAGTCTAGGTTGTCGTGAAATATTAGTGAAATATGTCAAGGAATGCAAAAACTTGGAAACTTAGACTCTTAGGGTCCCCACCAGACCTCAGTTTCTTGTTGCAGCCATGTCTCAAATGCATCACTGGGGATGGGTATTGACAGGAAAGCAAAGGCTGAAGTCTCTACCCTGCTGAAAATGCTCCACTGGCTTCCCAGAGACAGCAGAATAAAACCCAGTCTCCTCATTCTGGCCAATATCTTTTTTATTTTTTTGAGAGGGAGTCTCGCTCTGTTACCCAGGCTGGAGTGCAGTGGCATGATCTTGGTTTACTGCAACCTCTGCCTCTCAGGTTCAAGCGATTCTCCTGCCTCAGCCTCCTATCTGGGATTATAGGCACATGCCACCATGCCCTGCTAATTTTTTGAATTTTTAGTAGAGATGGGGTTTCACCATGTTAGCCAGGATAGTCTCCATCACCTGACCTTGTGATTTGGGAGGCCTTGGCATCCCAAAGTGCTGGGATTACAGGCATGAGCCACGGCACCCGCTCTAATGAGATCTTTCATGACCTGTTGCCTTCCCATGTGCTCTCCTTTTTCCCTCTGACTTCCCTGCTGCTGCAGCCACTTTGGTCTTCTTTCGGTTTCTGCAACCTCTTCGCGTGTGGTGCCAGGGAATGCTCTGCCCCAGAACCGTTGTTTGGCTGACTCCTCCTTGCCATTCTGGTCTCAGTTGAGACGTTGCCTGCCCTAAGCGGGCTCTATTGGCTGGCTTCCATTCTAGGCTCCACCATAGGCAGGCTGTGTCATATTCAGCTAGCCCTTAACTGCTCTGTGCCTCATTTTGCTGAGCTGTAAATGGGAATCAGGTTAGCCTTGTTATCATATGGTTACTGTGTTCTGGCTTGCTTTTGTTATAGCACTAAACACTCTTTGAAATTATTTTGTTTGCTGATTTGTTGTCTGTCTCCTCTAGGCTATTAGCAGGTTGAGTAATTGGAACTACATAGAACCCAAAGTTTATTCATTAGGCAGGCAGTGATGGAGCAAAACCTCACAAATGCATCCTCATACATCATCTGGACCCTGGATTCCCCACCTGAGTTGTGAAGGAGTGGGCTACACCCGTGGTTCTGTGTATCAGAATCACCCTGGGGCCTGTTAAAGCTAAAGGTACCAAATAGAATTACCAGACAATCCAGCAATCCCGCTTCTAGGTATATATTCAAAAGAATTGAAGCAGGACCTCAAAGAGATATTTACACATCCACATTCATAGGAAAAAAAAAAAAAGCTGAGAGGCAGAAATAACCCAAGTGTCCATTGACAGATGAATAAACAAACTGTGGTATGTAACACAGATAACTATTGTTCAACCATAAAAAGGGAGGAAATCCTGTCTCATGCTACAACATGGATAAGCTTTGAGGACATTATGCTAAGTGAAATAAGCCAGTCACATAAAGACAATATCGTATGATTATATGAGGTACCTAGAACAGTCAAATTCATAGAAACAGAAAGTGGAATGGTGGTAACTAGGGGCCTGGAGAAGGTGGAAGGGGAGGAGTTGTTTAAAATACAGAGTTTCAGTTTTGCAGGAAGAAAAGTATTTTCTTGATGATGTGAATATACTTAACGCTACTGAACTGTATGCTTGAAAATAGTTAAGATGGTAAGTATGTTATTTTTAAAAATTACAATAAAGGTAGATTAAGTTAAAAAAATAACGATGCGGCACCTAGATTCTGAGTAAATAGATTGGAGTGAGTGGGGCATTGACATTTTCAAAACCTCCCTGGGAGATCCTGACACTGCTTAAAGTTTAAGAAACTCTTGGCCGGGCGCGGTGGCTCACGCCTGTGATCCCAGCACTTTGGGAGGCCGAGGTGGGCGGATCACTTGAGGTCAGGAGACCGACCACTTTAGGTCAGAGTTCAGCCTGGCCAACATGGTGAAACCCCGTCTCTATTAAAAATACAAAAAGTAGCCGGGCGTGGTGGCTTGTGCCTGTAATCCCAGCTAGTCGGGAGGCTGAGGCAGGAAAATTGCTTGAACCCAGGAAATGGAGGTTGAAATGAGCCAAGATCGCGCCATTGCACTCCAGCCTAGGCGACAAGAGCGAAAACTCCCTCTCAAAGAAAAAGGAAAAAAACTCTTAGTTAACACTAGCGTTAACCCCAAAGTTAAAGGTGAGTCTGGTTTGGATTTGGGGCATTTAAAACTTGCATCACCCCTGACATAAAAAGTCTGAATTATGCGGAGAAAAAATGCTCCCCAAATCCTCCTCACGAGCTAATTTTGCCGAACGAATCCGCTTCTCACCTGCATTCGCGCCTCTCGCCGCCTTTCTTTCAGGCGCACAGAGATAAGGTGGGCAGAGGGCACTGGAGCCAGCCCACCGGCGGTTTTACTCCTGGTGTCCACAAGGTGGCAGGCCAGGCACTTGGATTTGCGCAGCCAAGGGCGTGCGCAGCCCGCGGCCGGAAGCGTCCCGGCAGATCGCAGACGGGGTGTTGAGGGACCCCGCGCTTTTGCTTTCTTATGATTTGGGGGCTGGTACCTGGGCTAGAGCTGAAGCCGGCAGGTCAGTTTCCTGGGAGCAGGGGTGTGTCTGTTCTCAGAGAAGGGTTTAAGCCGACTCCCACGTACGCCCTGGAGGCCATAAGAGCATCTCAGAGGCACGCAGGACCTCCAGCGTGTGCACGAGTGTTCAGGGATAATGTGAACAAGCTGTTCTGTTTTTTTTGTTGTTGTTGTTTGTTTGTTGTTGTTTTTGGAGGGCAATGTTTTGGTGATAGTTTTAAATACTAAAAGGTCAAAGGCAGAATAGATGTTTTGTGTGGTTTGAAAACTCCTCAGTGGAGGGCCGAGGACTCCAGTTAACATGCACTTGCTGTTGGATATTTTATGGGCATTTAAAATATATGGACTTGCTCACCCACTTCAGGCTTTGACCCAGCAAGGGGATGCAGTCCATAACAGTAAATGAGTCAGCGAGTGGCCTGGTGACACGTTAGGATGAAAAGTGGAGGGGGAATTTTTATATGCTTTTAATATGCTGTTTGTTCCTACCTCAAGCTAGGACAGTGGTTTCCTGTAGGTACAAAATGCTTGCACGTGGTTTAGGGCTCCTGAAGACACGAGGAGGCAGCCCAAAGAGCAGAGGCTTGGGGTTAGACGGGCACGGGCTGCACCTCCAGCTCAGCCTCCCACCAGCTGTGGGATTTGAGACTGGTACCTCATCCTGGCTGAACCTGAGTTCACTCCTCTGTGCGATGGGGATGAGAATCCTGGGGTGGGGTGAGGAGTAAAGGAAATGCAGTTCGTCTGTTCCCTCTTTTAGCACACACAACTTCACCACCTGTGTGCCAGGCACAAGAAGGTTCTGAGGATGCTAAGGCAATCAGGCATGGTGATGCCTCCCAGGCAGATATGCTGAGGGGTGTTTTCAGTTCAGCAAGAGAGACAGGGGTCTGCATGGGGTGCCCCGGGCTGGGGACTGGCAGGGGAGGCAGCAGGACGAAGGCAGGCAGAATTAGCGGGTGTGGATGTTCAGGGAAGGAGCGGAGAGAAACATAGATCAAGCCAAGGTAGCAGATTGGAGACCAGGGGGTTTGGAGTGTACACTATTTGCCATCATAAATAGAATTATTTACCATGATTTTAAATAATGGAGAGATTTCTCTTGAAATTCCAGGTCCTCAGCTTCCCTGGAAAAAAATAGACATGGCTACACCGAATCAGTATTTCCACATCAAACAATGGTCTGAAACTATGTAGTGGTTGCCTTTCTACAGTGTATAGACTGCAGTCCCCACCACACCCTATTGCACACCCAACTCTACCTGCTTCCCTTGTTGACTTTTAGTCCTTGCTTCTGTGCGGAGCAGCTGCACACAGTGGGTCCTTAATACCTGTTGTTTCCCTTCACTTCTTGAGGGCCCAGATGGCCTCACAGGTGGCTTAGAAGAATAAAGGAGCCATAGGTGTAGTCAGGATTCCATTTACTGGGTCTTCTCTTTCACTTCAGGGGTCTTTTCACCTTTGCAGTGAACTTCTGGCCACACAGCTAGGTGTTTGGTGAATGTCAGGGAGGCTTGCTGAAGTTACAGTTTGTAGGGCATTTTTTGTCAGCCATGCTTGGCTCACTTGAGAGAACCACATGCAAATCCCTCTCCAAAGCACCATTTCCCCATGAATAATAGAAGACTGTTTTTGGGAGGATGGAGACCCTGTAGTTCTGTAATAATAGCATTTTCATGAAGGAAAATCACAGCCTCACCATGAGCACAGCTGAGAACATGGAACCTATTATTGAGACATTCTGGTTAAAATAAAGCATTATCCCATAAGATGGGTCTGCCTGTGGGAGTCTTTGGAAAACCAGGTGAGAGGGATTTGCAGGTCCTGCTGGAAATGAGTTGGTAAAAAAACATCCTTCCATCCAAGGATGATTAAACTCAATCATGAGGCTGCTAGGAAGCCCTGGTCTCACCTTCCTAGTGGGAGGCAAAAGTGGATAATTCACTGTCACAAAAGAAAGAGAGGAGTGAGAATGGGGTGAGGGTGGTAAAGTAGAAGAGGGAGGGAGGAAAGATTGCTTCATTGTGGAGTCCAGGCTCACTGGAAGTGTCAGGGGGAATAGCTACAATCAAGGGGTCCTTCTATGGGCTTGAGGGTGGTGCCATTTGTAGAGGACAGTGGGTTGATGTGGTTGTGCCATTGAATGTGGACTGTACCCCGAGTCAGAAACCAAGAGATGGGGAGACAGCTGCTGACAGAGGAGGCTGGGACCAAAGGACTTAGAGGGGAGACAAGCGAGCCCTTCATCCTCAGACAACGCGGGAGGCAGGGGCTGCCCCTTGACCCTCCTCTTATTACTTAACTACCCTTTTGTCCCCGTTACATTAAAAGACATTTTTGTTCTGCAATTTACTGAAACTCAGAAGTATAGAGAATAGTGTTTCCTGCATATTAGAATCACTTGGGGATCTTTTAAAAATTCCAAAGCAGAGTCGCTTTCCCAGACCATGTAAATCACTGTCTCTGTGGGTGGAACACAGGTATCAGTGTCTTTGACACTCCCTGGCTGGTTTTGATGCACAGACAAATGTAGGAACCACTGGCATTCCTGCCTGCTCCTATCACTCAGCCTCCCTCATAACCAACATGTGGCCAGTCTCGCTGATCCCACAGCTTTTGTGTCCTAGATCCCTAATTTTGCCACTGCCCACCCTCCTTCCCAGATTCTTCAGAAACAATACTAGGCTTCATGTTATTTCATTCTTACATGCTTCAATATATAAAAACTTTTTAAAAAGTGTAAAACAACATTATCACTCCCCCCTCCACAAAATGAACAGTATTCCTTAGGATCATCTAATATTCTGCCTGTGATGCTCAGTTTAGCTTTTGAGACATTTATTCCTCTACTTTATCTTTGATTTTAATTTGATTCTGAAGGGATAAAGTTTCCCCCTTATTTGGGGGGTAGTGGTGTTGGTGAAAGGGACATACAACTAGCTCACCCCTGATAACCTGCCTCTTTTCCTTAGGGTGACTGGGGGTTCCAGTCTCTTCAGGGACAGTCCCGCCCACATTTGTGAGGACAGTCATTCAGGCACAAGGGGCTCGTACAGTCATTCAGCAATCGTTGATTGGGAGCCTCTATATATTCAGACACTGTGTTAGGTGCCAGGGGATTGAGTCTGTCTTTGTCATCATTCTGTTTAGCACGTTGTAGGGACTCAAGAAGTATTTAGTTCAGTGATAGAAGTATATGTTTTGTTCCCATAAAAGTATATGTTTTTGTTACCATTATGGTCAGCAGCCAATCCATTGCTGATGTATTGAGTCTGGGTATGCAATACCACTTTATAAATCACATATGCACAACACTTCTACATCATACCTCTTTACCTCTGGAACTTCTACATTGTACCTCTTTACCTGAGAATCTATGAACATTTTTTCTATTAAGTAATTTTCACGACAACTTCATATGTGGTTCCCAAATGAGGTGAAACAACATGGCAGAGTTAAATTGTAGTAGCAGGGAGTGGGGGCAGCCTGAATGGTTGAAATGCAAACATGCCGTCTAAGCCTTATTCCAGCCACGAGGCTTCAGCCGCCTCTTTCTATCAAATCCTTTCAAAGGAGTGCTAACATGCAACAGAAATTGATTGGTATGAAGCTGACCTTCTTTTATTTATTTTACCCAGCTTCTAAGTGTAACACTTACAAACAGAGCAATAAAATGTCCAGAAGGCAACCAATGTAACCAAAGGAGAAAGTGGGATCTCACTGACCCACATGTTTTTCTTTTAGACTATTTTTTCTGCTTAACACCCTACTATGTTTATTATTTAACAATTCAAAAAATATGGAAGGAAGAAATGAGGAAATGAAAATCACCCATATGTTACCATTTAGAGATAACGACCATTATCTGCCAGAGATAATTGACTGGGTGTATTTCCTTCTAGTCTTTCTTTTTTCCTATGCCTAAATATGGACTGTGTACTCTGATTTAATTAGAGTTAGTGTTATTTAAATATTCTTAGAACTTTGTGCTTTCATTAGCAATTTTTATTCCGTTTTCTCCTTCTTTTTCTCATTATAATCTTGTAAAGGATGTAAGGAAAATATTATTCTAATTTTACAAATGAGAAATCAAGGCCTGGAAATGTTAAGTGGTTTTTCATCAATGGCCCAGAACTCCTCACTTTTTTTTTTGAGACTGAGTCTCACTCTGTGCCCAGGCTGGAGTGCAGTGGTGCCATCTCAGCTCACCGCAACCTTGGCCTTCTGGGTTCAAGTGATTCTTCCGCCTCAGCCTCCCGAGTGGCTGGGACTACAGGCGTGCGCCACCACGCCTGGCTAACTTTTTTGTATTTTTAGTAGAGACAGGGTTTCGCCATGTTGGCCAGGCTGGTCTTGAACTCCTGACCTCAGGTGATCCACCCGCCTTGGCCTCCCAAAGTGCTGGGATTACAGGCATGAGCTACCGCGCCTGGCCAATTCCTCACTTTTAATCCAAAGGTCTTTTATCTTTTCCACCCCTCTTCCTGCCTCCACATTTAGACTGTTCCAGAAGGTATCTGACTTAAACCTTCTGGAGATGGGAACAGAAATAGCAGTAGGTCCCACTTCCATAAATAATCTTAGGGATTTCCGCACTGACGGTTCATGCCTCTTGTATCCAAGATGAAGCAGATTTAGAGAACACATCTGACTGGACTGTATATTTGCTGGGCAGAAATGAATACAGCCCATTGCAGTGATTGGTGGTTTGGATTCTCTAAACCATTTTTTCAACAATATAACCAGGATTTGACTTGAGTGGAATTGGAGAGGAAAAGGAGTTCAGAACTAATATTTTAGATGGATGGTATGTAAGTCTCAATTCTTTTATTTTTTTTAATATACTATTTTGTAGAGCTATTTTAGGTTCACAGCAAAATTGAGCAGAAGTTAGAGATTTTCCATATACCCCCTGCCCCATACATGCCTCCCCCATTGTCAACATTCCCTACCAGAGTGGCACATATGTTACAACTGATGAACTGACATTGACAAATCATTATCACACAAAGTCAATAATTCACCTTAAGACTCACTCCTGGTGTTGTACATTTTATGAGTTTGGACGAATTTATAATGACAGGTATCCACCATTATGGAATCATACATAAAATTTTTCTGCCCTAAAAATACTCTGTGTTCTGCTTATTCATTCCTGCTTCTCCCTTTAATTCCTGACAACCACTGGTCTTTTCTACTGTCTCCATAGTTTTATCTTTTCCAGAACGTCATATAGTTGGAATGATTCAGTATGCAGCCTTTTAAGACTGGCTTCTTTCACTGAGTGTTAATATGCATAAAAGTTCCCTCTATTCTTTTCAAGGCTTGATAAACCATTTCATTTTAGTACCAAATAATATTTCATTGTCTAGATATACCACTGTGTATCCATTCCCCCATTGAAGGACATCTTGGTTGCTTCCAGGTTTTGGCAATTATGAATAAAACTGTTATACACATCTAGGTACAGGTTTTTGTATGAGCATAAGTTTCAACTCCTTTGGGTAAATACTAAGCACAACTGCAGAATTTTATGTTAAGGGTATATTTAGTTTTGTAAGAAACTGCTAAACTGTCTTCCAAAGTGACTACTATTTTGCATTCCCACCTAGTAATGAATGAGAGTTTCTGTTGCTTCATATCCTTGCCAGCATTTGGTGTTCTCAGTGTTTTGGATTTAGGCCATTCTAATAGGTGTGTTGAGGTATTTTATTATTGTCTTAGTTTACATTTCCCTGATAACAAATGATGGGTACATCTTTTCGTATGCTTATCTGCAATCTGTATATCTTCTTTGGTGAGGTATCTGGTTAGGTCTTCGGGCCATTTAAAAAATTAGGTTGTTTTGTTTTCTTATTGTTGAGTTTTAAGAGTTCTTTGTATATTTTGGATATTAGTCCTTTAAGAGACACATATTTGACAAATATTTTCTTGCAGTCTGTGGCTCTTCTTACTGTCTTGATGGTGACTTTCATAGAGCAGAAAATTTGAATTTTACTGAAATCCAGCTTATCAGCCCTTTCTTTCATGGATTGTTCCTTTGATGTTGTATCTAAAAAGTCTTTGCCAAACCCAGGTCATCTCGATTTTCATCTATGTCATCTTCTGAGAGTTTTACAGTTTTGCATTTTATATTAGGTCTTTGATCTATTCGAGTTAGTTTTTGTGAAGGTTGTAACGTCTGTGTCTAAATTCTTTTTTTTTTTTATGCGGGTGTCAGTTTTTCTATAACCATTTGTTGAAAATATTATCTTTTCTCCATGTGTTGCCTTTCATTTTGCCATAAACCAGTGACTATATTTATGTAGGTCTATTTCTGAGCTCTCTATCCTGTTCCATTTATCTATTTGTATTTTTTTTTTTTTTAGGCCCATACCACACTGTTTTGATTACTGTAGCTTTGGTCATCAAGTTGACTTGTTTTAGTTTACTTTTAGTACTGTAATTCTTGAAGCTGAGTAATGTCATTCCTCCAACTTTGATCTTCTTCAGTATTATTTTGACTATTTTGGATCTTTTGTCTTTTTGTATAAACTTTAGAATTAGTACCAAATAATATTTCATTGTCTAGGTATACCACTGTGTATCCATTCCCCCACTGAAGGACATCTTGGTTGCTTCCAGGTTTTGGCAATTATGAATAAAACTGTTATACACATCTATGTGCAGGTTTTTGTATGAGCATAAGTTTTAACTCGTTTGGGTAAATACCAAGCACAATTGTGGAATTGTGGAATTGTTAATATCTTCAAAATAGTCTGCTGAGATTTTGATTGAGATTGCCTTGAATCTATAGATCAGTTGAAAATAATTGATATTTTGACGATATTGAGGCTTTCTATCCATGAACATGGAATAACTCCATTTACTTAGTTCTTCTTTGATGTCTTCATCAGAGTTTTGTAGTTTTCCTCATATAGATCTTGTATATATTTTGCTAGATTTGTACCTAAGTATTTCATATTTTCGTGTGCTAATATAAATGTATTGTTTTTAATTCCACTTGTTCATTGATGGGATATAGGAAAGTGATTAACCTTTGTATATTAACCTTGTATTGTGCAACCTTGCCATAATTGCTTATTAATTTCAGGAGGTTTTTTGTCAATTCTTTCAGATTTTTGTACATAGAAAATTATGTCATCTGCATACAACAACATTTTATTTCTTCTTTCTTATTCTATATGCCTTTCATTTCCATTTATTGTCTTATTGCATCAGCTAGGACTTTCAGAATAATATTGAAAAGCAGTGGTGAGGGGGGACGTTTTTGCCTTGTTGCCAATCTTATTAGCAAAGCTTCAAGTTTCTCATTTTGTCAACAGATATTTATTGAGTGTTGTGTCAGGGAGAGCCAGAGAGACAGAACCAATAGAATTTATATGCCATATGGCATATACATATGAATTAGGGCTTACCCTAGTGACCATATATAATATATATATACGCCATATATAATATATATATACACCATATATAATATATATGTGCCATATATAATATATATGTGCCATATATATTATATATGTGCCATATATAATATATATGGCATATATAATATATATGCCATATGTAATATATATATGCCATATGTAATATATCATATGTAATATATGTATGCCATATGTAATATATATATACCATATGTAATATATATATGCTGTATATAATATATATATATGCCATGTATATAATATATATGAGAAGGAATTTATTAGGGGAATTAGCTCATGTGATTATGGAGACTCAGAAGTTCCATGATAGGCTTTCTGCAAGCTGGAGACTTGAGGAAGCTGGTGACATGACTCAGTCCAAGTTCCAAAGCCTCAGAACCTGGGAAGCCAATAGTTTAACTCTCAGTATAAGGCCAAAGGTTTGTGAACCTGGAGTGGGGGTAGGGGGGTGGGAAAATTGCTGCCGTTGCAAGTCCTGGAGTCTAAAGGCTGGATGACCTAAAGTTCTGATGTCAAAGGACAGGAGAAAGAAGGGTGTCCCAGCCCTGAGCAGGGGTGGGGGTGGGTGTGGGCAGGAGGGCAGGGAGAGAGAGAGAGAGAGAGAGCGAGAGCACAAATTCACCTTTTCTCTGCCTTCTTCTTCTATCCAGGCCCCCAGCCAATTGGATGGTGCCCACCATGTTGAGGGTGGATCTTCTGTACTCAGTCTACCAACTTATATGCAGTCTTCTCAGGAAACACCCTCATTGTCATGCCCAGAAATAATACTTTACCAGTTATCTAGATATATCTTAATCCAGTTGAGTTGACACCTAAAATTAACCATTACAAGTGTCAATTCTGTCCCAGGCATTATTTTACATGCTGGGAAGACCGCAGTAATCCAATCCTACAAAAATCCCTGTGCTCCTGGGCTTGTATTCTATTGGAATTGCAAAGTTACTAATAGGAAATGTGGCATGTATTAGGTTGCCATGGCTGAAATAACAAAGTACTACAGGCTGTAGCTTAAGCAACAGACATGTATTGTATTACAGTCCTGGAGGGTTGAAGTCCAAGATCAAGGTGTCAGCAGGATTGGTATCTTCTGAGGCCTCTCTCCTTGGCTTGTAGAAGGCCATCTTCTCCTTATGTCTTCACATGGTCTTCCCTTTGTTCATGTCTGTGCCCAAGTTTTCTCTTATAAGGACACCAGTCATATTGAATTAGGGCTCACCCTAGTGACCATTTTCACTTAATTACCTCTTTAAAGACCCTAGCTCTAAATACAGTCATATTCTGAGGTACTGGGGGGTTAGGACTTCAACATATGAATTTTGAGAGGGACACAACTCAGTCATGACATGGCATAAATTAAGAAGTGGTTTTGATGCATAACGATTAACCATATTTAAAGCATGAAAGTTTTTGTATTGATTTTCCAAGTCGGGAAAATTGTCCACTGACAATTGTGTATGGCCCATGTGGGCTTGGTAGGAAGACTGGCCTTGGCCAGCAGAATGGTACAGCGTTGTGTATGGAGTAGCTTTTTTCTCATGAAACTTCCCAGGCCATATAGTGATTGAAGCAATGGCCTGGACTTGATTAAAATGATAGTCTAAGCATCGTATTTTAGA
The DNA here is from genome assembly GCF_000001405.40 of Homo sapiens. Taxonomy (NCBI): domain Eukaryota; kingdom Metazoa; phylum Chordata; class Mammalia; order Primates; family Hominidae; genus Homo; species Homo sapiens. Next base: position 136,432,857 of record NC_000002.12, read on the forward strand.
TGTTTAGATGGGCCTGTTTAGACTATATTAATTAAATCATATATATATATACACACACACATATATATATATACACACACACATATATATATACACACACATATATATATACACACACATATATATATACACACATATATACACATATATATACACACATATATATACACATATATACACACATATATATACACATATATATACACGTATATATGTATATATATATGTGTATATATATGTGTATATATATATACATATATATATATAGCCTAGCTTGCCAGAAATCAGTAAATTTATTTTCATAAACAACAGCTCAGGGAAGAACTGCAACCATTCCACAGGAGTGCATTAAAGCCATTTGTTTTTTTTCGCTTGTAATCACCTCCTATTTTCCTAATGGTATTGGAGTGTGTGTGATTCCTGCTGTTTTATATACTTTCTTGCCATGTGGCTCATTGGTTTCTTTTTTTGTTTATGCTTTTGTGATTTTACTGAACAAATGATTTTCTGTGACATAATGAGTTTCTGGGCCTTGACATGCTGAGCATAAATCCACCAAACCTGCAACTCCTTGCTGTGGAAGATTCAGCTTGGCTTCTGAAATAAGACAAAGGTGCTGAAATAGTTGGTTAAGTACATAGGAGAAAGTCTCATGGTCCTCCGGAGGCTTTAACACAACAGATGCCTGGACTGACTTGTGGTGTGTGAACTTGGTCCGTCTGTCAAGTAGGAAAAACCATCCGTCTGCCAATCTAACAACAGGGGCTTCTTTCAGGGGCACTGGTAGACTAATTTGTTAGTGAAGGGCTTTTCAGGGCACTGAGTAATGAACAGGGGAGTATCAGTGAAGCACTACGTGGGGTTGCAAAGGCTGTGTCAGTTTTTTTGCCAGAGGAACTGGTTGAAAAATGAAGGATTTAGATAAATCAGGGGAAGTAGGTGGGTTGATTCTAGAAGCAAGATTAGGAAGAGAAGTTTTCTTTTGTGATTTCTGTGTTTTTTTTTTTATTGTCTTGAAAGTCTTTATTGGAACTTTATTCATTGGTTGATTCCCTCATTTCTGTATTTATTCATTTATTGAACATCTGTTGGATACCAGGAATTGAGCTAATGTGTAGGCCCTTCTTCCAAAAAGCCTGTGTTAGTCCAGGACTTCTGGAAGCAGACACTAAGACAGGATTAAGTATGCAAAAATTTTATTAGTGGAACTGCTTCACTCTCTCAGGCTCTCAGGCTAGACACCCTAAGCATTTTCTACTCATCTTTCTTTTTCACTCTAAAATCCCTCCTCTCCCCACAGTGAGCCACAAGCTCCTATCATTCTGTGTCTTCCCAATTTCGCCTTTCTCTTCTGTTGAACACTCCAAGTTTGTTTTCTTGTCTCTTGCCTGGATGATTACAATGGCTTTATAACTGGTTTCTCTGCCTCTAATAGCTTGTCTGTTAGGTTCACCTTCCACAACTGGGGTTATCTTTCTCAACGACAGTTATAGTCATGCTTCTACCCTGTTGGAGTCTTATCAGTGGCTTCCTACTGGCTACAGTTTGGATTCCTTGGCTTGGAGGTTGCATCATTCCCCAGCTGGCCCCATCTCCATCTTCCACCACACCTCTTCACAAACTCTATGCTGTCGTCAGTTGGAGCATGCACAGCATTTTGCATCTTCGTGCCTTGGATCATGTGATTTCTTTAACCTGTCAATCTCTTCCCTGCCTTCCTTGCCTCTCGAAATACTGTGTTACCCAACAGGCTTCAGTTCAAGGTCCACCATCGTTGTGAAATCTTGGTATCTAGTCAGTATAAACTGTGCTTCCTTACTGTAAATTGTAGCTCTTCTTTACATACTGCTGTACAATTGGTGTTCACATTTTCTCTTTCTTTCTAGACTGCAAGCTGTTGAGTACATCAATTGTCATCTTTTATTTGTCTTTATGTGTAGCCTCATGATTAGCATAATTCTGCACATGTATTCGTTGCTCAGTGAGGGTTTACTGGGTGAAGGGACTATTGTCAGACAACTCCATTTCTCCCCTGGGAGGCCCCACCATCCACCTTAAGCACAGCATGTTCGAAACTGAGCTCCTGAGTTCTGCCCACCTCAGAACTGGCTCCCCTCCCCAGCTCCCTAGTTCTGTCAACTGCTGTTGAGTCACTGCAGCCCAAAGGCTCCGCCATCCTTAATTTGTCTCTCCTTTCTGCCATAACACTTGTTAATTCCAAGGCCTTGCACCTTTCACCTAAGGTATGATAAATATGTGGCCCTTTATCTCTGATGAACCTTGCCCTTATCATTTCATCTCAGCTTTTATTTATTTATTTAGACGGAGTCTTGCTGTGTCGTCAGGCTGGAGTGCAGTGGTTCGTTTTCGGCTCACTACAACCTCCGCCTCCCTCGTTCAAGCGATTCTCCTGCCTCAGCCTCCTGAGTAGCTGGGACTACCAGTGTGTGCCACCACGCCCAGCTAATTTTTGTATTTTTACTAGAGACGGGGTTTCACCATGTTGGCCAGGCTGGTCTCCATCTCTTGACCTTGTGATCCTCCCACCTCGGCTTCCCAAAGTGTGGAGATCACAGGCATGAGCCACCGCGCCTGGCTCATCTCAGCTTTTCTTAGTAACATTTTAAGTAGTCTCACCTGGTTCTATTTCATAGCCATGGTTTAGAGCAGGTGTATGCTGAACCAGTCTAGAGCAAAGAACATAGAACAAAGCTCTCTGGGGACCAAGAACTATGTCTACATTTTAGTGAGCACAGGCAGGGCCTCACTGTCAAAAAATGGTTTTTATAACTTTATTTCTGTGAAAACAATACATGTTCACTTTAGATAATTTACAAAATACCAATAGGAAAAAAGAAGAATACAAAAATGACATATAATTTCAGCACTATACATTTTGGTATATCCCCCCACACCCTTTCTTACACAGCATGTATGTGTGTGTCTGTGTGATGTATGTGTGAGTGTGTGCCTGCGAATGTGCATGTGCAACCATGGGTTGCATTTGGCTTCAAGTGACAGAAAAACCAACTACAGTGTCTTAAGCAAATAGAAGTTAATTCTCATCTAACAAGAGATCTGAAGAGAGTGAGAGTTGGCAGGTTTAGTGGCTCATCACGTCAGTGCTGAATTCTCTGCAGTTCCCTTGCCATTTGCTCAAGAACTGAAGATGGGGGCTGCAGTTCTAGCCATTGTAGCTGCATCAACTTCAAGAAGAAGGCAGAAAGACAGCATCTGCAGACTTGTCTGTCTTTCATTGGTCAGAACTCTGTCATAGGACCAGTCTTAGCTGCAAGTGAGGCTGTGAAATGAACATTTAGCTTTTATACCTTTACTGTACAGCAGACAAGAGGCCTGAAATTGGTGCTGGCTATATTGAACTATAATATCTGCCACATGGACAATGCTGCATTTAATACCCTTCTTGCTAAATATTTTTGTGTAGTCTGGATTGTAGAATTATCAGAGGATAAATTCTAGACATGATTCTTTTTTTTTTTTTTTTTTTTGAGATGGAGTCTCACTGTTGTCCTGGCTGGAGTGCAGTGGCACCACCTCGGCTCACTGCAACCTCCGCCTCATGGGTTCAAGCGATTCTCCTACCTCAGCCTCCCAAGTAGCTGAAATTACAGGTGCCTGCCACCAGGCCTGGCTGATTTTCGTATTTTTAGTAGAGAGGGGTTTCACCATGTTGGCCAGACTGGTTTTGAACTCCTGACCTCAAGTGATCCACCCATCTTGGCCTTCCAAAGTGCTGAGATTATAGGCATGAGCCACTGCACCTGGCCCTAGACATGAATTTGTGGGTCAAAAGATGTATGACATTTTAAAAAAGCTTTAAAGAATTACTTTTGAACTGTGTTGATAGCAATAGTGAATCATGGTTTTTATTGCATGTCAAACAAACTTGACTTTGGGGATATAACCAAATATAACTTCATTGTTATTTCTCATTGCCTTTTTAAATTTCACCAGGTAGGCTGGGGTGGGGAGTAAATTTCTCTTGCCTATGATAAAAATTTGGGCAGGTCTGTGGCTTTTCTGCTCACTCTTAGGCAGCAAACCAATAGTTATACTAATTGCAAACACAGTTCAGAAAATAGAATCTCCAGACCTCAACAATAATCAAATCTCTGAATATAATTAGCATGAGATGTTGTGCCTCCTGTGGCTGGACCCCCACTGTGGCTGACCCTTTGTAAGAGCAGAGCCATGTCCTTCTTGCTTTGTCTGCTCTTCTCTCTGTACCGGATAACTGCTGTTCCCAGTCACTGGGGGAGGAAGATGGGGAGGGAGGAAGGGAAGGAGGGACAGCAAATCTCCTTGCTGAACTGCCATCTGTGTCGCACTCCCAGGCCTGGCAGATATTTTGAGCTGACTCTCACTCCCACGGATGTGAAGATCGGGGGCTGCAGTTCTAGCCATTGTAGCTGCATCAACTTCGAGAAGTTATTTTATTGATTGATTGATTGATTGATTGAGACAGAGTCTCGCTGTGTCACCAGGCTGGAGTGCAGTAGCTTGATCTCGGCTCACTGCAACCTCTGCCTCCCTGGTTCAAGCGATTCTCCTGCCTCAGCCTCCCAAGTAGCTGGGACTACCGGCGTGTGCCACCACACCCAGCTAATTTTTGTGTTTTTAGTAGAGACGGGGTTTCACCATGTTGGCTAGGCTGGTCTTGAACTCCTGACCTGGAGTTTGCTGGAAATCCTTCTACCTGGGAAACCCACTGACACTACCTTGATACAGGCTGTGCAATTCCTTCCCGCCATGCTGCCCGCATCCCTGTTATCTGACATTCCTCCACACAGCATCTCACACTCTCCACATGCTCCTGGGCAGCCTTTGGGCAGGATTTAAAATGGCTCCAGGCTAGCTTTCCCTCAGGGTCTGCATCCTGTCCCAGTAAACCCTAGAGGTTCAGACCAAGCCCAGCTGTGTGCTCTTTCCAGCTGCCACATGCCAAATGCAGCGGCTGCCTGCTCAGTTTTCTGTCCAGAGCACAGTGTTCCCTCACTACAGGGATGCTCTTCATGGTCTTTGAATGGATCAACAGAAGCACCTTCTCCAGAAAGCAAGTCCTGCTTCCTCTGCATGGAAGGGTTAGGGTGGGACTCCCAGCATCATGATAGTTCTCTTCAAAGCAATTGCTTCACACATTTCCCCTTCCTCCACTCTCAAAATTTTATATTTCCAAAGCAAATAAAGGCCACTGAGTAAGGAGCTCAAGAGTTACAAAACTGGTTCTCAACCATTTCCTGAAAATTCTGTATTGGAAGCTGTTCCATACTCACTTTGCTATCAGATATCTGTGATATTGGCATTTCGGTTGGAGCAAACAGAATTTCAGTGTAGCATCTTCTTCCAGAGGAATGCAAGGCGGTAGAGATGAAGAACCCCTGCTAAAGATGGAATGCTTGTGTCCCCCCAAACACATGTGTTGAAACCTAATCCTCAAGGGGAAGGTGTTAAGTGGCGAGGCTTTTGGGAGGTGTTTAGGTCATAAGTGCAGAGCCCTCATGAATGAAATGACTGCTTTTATAAAAGAGACCCAAAAGTGTTCCCTTGTCCACCACATGGGGACACAACGAGAAGACAGTCATCCAGAAACCAGGACATGGTCTTTCACCAGACACTGAATCTGTTGGTGCCTTGATCTTAGACTTCTCAGCCTCTAGAACAGTAAGAAATAAATGTTACTCAGAAGGCACCCATTCTTCTTTTTTTTTTTTTTTGAGACGGACTCTTGCTCTTTTGCCCAGACTGGAGTGCAGTGGCGCAATCTCGGGTCACTGCAAGCTCTGCCTCCTGGGTTCATGCCATTTTCCTGCCTCAGCCTCCTGAGTAGCTGGGAGTACAGGCACCCGCCACCATGCCTGGCTAATTTTTTATATTTTTAGCAGAGACGGGGTTTCACCATGCTAGCCAGGATGGTCTCGATCTCCTGAGCTTGTGAACCACTCGCCTTGGCCTCTCAAAGTGCTGGGATTACAGGCATGAGCCACCGTGCCTGGCACACCCATTCTTTTGGTATTCTATTATAGCAGCCTGAACGAAATAAGATACCCCCCCCCCCCCCAAGGCCTCTCTAAAGCTCAGACCAAGAAGGTTCCCACTCTCCCTGGAATTGAAAAAATAAAAAGCCAGCAATTGTCCTGGTGGTAATAAGTATGTGTAATGATTTACGTAATCCAAATGGCCATGAGAACTGAAAACCAGCTCATGCAAGAGGTTAGGCAAATCCTTGCTAAGGAGGATAGTGCTGCAAACTGTCGTTGTCTATTTAAACGTCACGGGAAGTGCCTTATGGAAGAGGCAACTGGAATTACTGTGTTCTTTCAGGGAATAGAGTGTGATGGCTTCTTATACTTATGGTTGTCCAAATGCAAATGCAGCAGCTGTCTGCATAGCCTCGTGTTGGAGGGTGTGCTGAAAGCCCAGGAGTGGATTTCTGCATCATAAAGGAAGGTGTGATTTGGCCAGAAGATTAGTGGCCCTGCCTTATGGCAGTTCAGCAGCTCCTGCAAAGTTTCTACTGTTCAGTTTGGGGAACTTCCTCCACCTTGGACAGAATGCTGCCTGCAGGACTCTGGCTGGCTTTCTGCCAGAAACCTGGAGCAAGGGGCTGCCTTTGGGGTAGAGGGCTGAAGTGGTCTCTCTGCATGTGAGCTCATATCCTGTTCATTCCCAGGAATCCTGACATGTTCTTCCTCTATCCACACAGCCTAACCATTTTCCAAGTCTTCTGCTCAATTCCCCCTCCTCCATTAAGCCCTCCTTGATCACTGCCTGGAAGCCCTCTCACCTTGAGGTCGCACAGCAGCATTGTTATTTACTTCCTTTCATTGTTGCTGTGGACCTTGAGTAAGGGCATCTCTGCTGTTACCTTATGTGCCTTCTGGGAGGAGCTGAAGGTGCCCATGTGATAGGTAAGAGCCCTGGGGGGCTCTGATTAGAAATCAGTTGGAAGGTGGGACCCTCTGCTGTGGGATTCAGTTTGTTAGATATTTGAGCCCTACCCAGCTTGAAGTTTACAGATTCTTTTTTCTTTCTTTCTTTCTTTTTTTAACCTACAACAGGTGTTAACTGGGCATGAACTGTGTGCTGGGCTCAGGGATAGGCCCTGAGACACATTAGGAAGAGTGGTAGTACTTGTTCCTCCAAGAACCCAGTGTTGAGGGAATCTTGCCACATGTATGTGTAATGAAGTAGAGAATTTCATCCATTCCATTCTAGGGGGCACTTTCTGGCAAGATGAGAATTCAGAGGCTCACATTGAGCTGTCCTTCCCTAAGAGGTGAGGCCAGGAGGTTCTCTCATCAGAAGCAAGGGTGCTGGAGCAGAGAGGCTAGTGTGCATGGGAGTGAATAGTATAGCGGAGAGGGAGGACGAGAGAAGGAGAGATTTTTGGCAGGTGCTGTGGGTGGGAAGCTTTGAGGAGAGGAACAGATATCCAAAGAGGATTTTTATGAGGGTTTTCTGTGGCTCGTGTGGTATAATCCCCAGTTCCCCCAGGCAGTGTCCTTTAAGGAAATTGTGGTAGATTTGGGGACTTGCAAGTACAGGCTGGGCTCAGAGAGCTCCACAGTGATGATGGGTGGTGAGATTGATCAGATGGCCCGGGCTGCTCACCTCTGTGCTGGTTTCTGTATTGCAGCCTGTATGTCCAGTATTACCCTTTGGTTAGAATGTGTTTCTAGCAAAATTTATGCATCCTAAATGATTTTATTTCACTATTTAATCTTTTTAATATGTTCCATTAGCTAATATTATTTACTTTTGCCTTTTTATCTGTAGTTTTTATTGTATTATTTATCTTTTATGATGTGATCTTAGTGTTTATTTTATCTTGGCTCTCTTACAGTTCTAACATTTTAAGTACACTGTTCAACTCATCAAATTTATTTTCCAGCATTTTTTGATTTTATTGGTTTTCATTCCAGCATGTTTTAAGCTAATGTTTACTTATAGCTTTTTACTTTTTACTCCTCTGCAAAACTGTTTTTATCCTTTTAGCTTATTTCATCTTGTTACTGTCACAGAGAGCTGTGCTGATGTCTTGCCTCTTGGTCCTGCGTTTTTATTCTTCCACAGTCCCTGGCAAAGCAGGTGGCCCTAAATCTTTGCGGAGAGAGTGATTGAATGCACGATTCATTCATGTTGAGTCAGTCACTGAGTTCTGGCCGTTTCACCTTCTGAGCATTTTAGCTCCGTCCCTTCATCTGCTCTGCCACTGGGTTAGTATAGGCACCGCCATTCCTCACCTGCAGCCCTACTGAGGCCCCTTAATGGCTCCTGTTTTCTCTTTTCTTTCTCCCAATTTAGTCTCCATCCTGCAGCACAGTGATATTTTTTAAATGTGGAAAAAATACCCAAATACTCTCCCATTAGTTTTTGGCTGCTAAATTAGGATATTTAACATTGAAAAAAAAGTATGAATTTAATAGGACTTCTTCAGATCTTATTTTTTTAATAATTCATGTGATTAAAAATATATCTACTATGAAAAGTTTAAACTTACACAAAAATAGAGTGAATAATATCATGAACCCTCACATACTCATCACTTGTCTTCATTATCAACAGTTCATCATTTAAAAAAAATCAGTCTCCCTTTTGGTTTTTATATTTTGCTTGAGTAACATGTTTTTATATTTTGCAATACCCAGACATCATGTCATTTCAGTGCCATCATTCTTAAACACAAAACTGAACTTGTCACTGGCCTGCCTAAAAGCTCTCAATGTCCCTCCAAAGCCACCAGATCAGGTATCAATACCATTGCCTGCACCTACCAACACTGGCTTCACAGCAGCCTGGTCTACCTCTTCTTATCTCTCCCACACCCAGGCCACGGAACCCTTTGCTTCTCACGCTGCCATCCCTCTCTGTCTGCAGCTTTTGCACTTGTGGATATCTTTGCCTGCAGTGTTCTGTCTCTCCCATCCCTCCCCACCCCTGTGCACCTAGATCTGGGCATCGAGGCGCTGGGCTCTGGGGAGCCACCCTGACTCCCCTTCTCTGACTCCTCTCCCTCCTACTTAGTACCCCTATAACACCCTGGACTCTCCTGCCATAGAACTTACTATGCTTCTGCAATTATTTGTTTACATATTTATTTCCCATCTAGGCTCTGAACTCCTTAAGGGCAGGATGTTCATTTCTCTCCAACATTTAATTATGGGAAATAATAAATGGAGGGGCAGCTGATAGTGTCCTCAGGGTTGTTCTGGCTGCCTGGGATTGGGATGCTCCAGTTTCGCTTTGTTACTCATTCACTGAGCATCTCACCATTCATTGTCATTCACATATCACCATTCACTGTGCTGAGCTCAGGACAAGTTTGGTGAGAAGGGAGGGTGAGACAGATGCATCCTTGGGCATGCATCCCTGCTTTCCTGCCAGGTAGGGGACTTTCTGAGGCGTGAGAGGCCTCTGCAGATCCCATTATGTGGGGCTACTCTGTGCCAGTGCCTTGTCCTGGAACCTGGGAATTGGGGTGCCTGGGTGGGGTCTGCACATGCAGGAGGTGACGAGCAGAGGCACAGCCTGGCTCTTCCTACAAGATGTTCAGGGCTGGCCTCTGGAAGTCAGTCGGCAAGTCTGACAAATAGCTCTTGGGTGTCTGTGGAATTGCTTTTTGTTAGAGGCATAATCGTTGGACCACTTGCTGTTTTAGCCTTTGTGTAAGAACAGAGTGTGTTCCTTCAGCGGGGCTGCATCTTATCCATTCGCCTTGCACATATTTATATCTGGATGGATTCGGCGAGGCCAGTAAATGGTCTCTCTGCTTTCCCAAGATAGGGCAGATTTTTACACCCACATATAATCTCTTTTCTGAGAATATTGTCCAAAAACTAGGTCATCTATTGTAAAGGAAATTAGATGGTAATTAAATTTAGCTGGAAGTTACAGTATTGGTGGTTTCATTTTAAAGAGAGTGTGCTTCCCTAATTACTTTATTGCTACAGTTATACTGGTTGGTTTTTATTTTTTGAGGGGGGCATGGGGTGGTGTTGGAAAAGGTTGTATTTAGTAAGTTAGATGATGAATTCTGGACTTGAATTTTTAGTTGGCAGAGTCCCACGTCCACGTGCAAGTTTCCTTTCCTTTGTGCCCTTTTCAGATCTACCTGACAGAAGTCAGCTCTACTCCCTGCGCAGTCATTCAGCTCAGCCTCCTCGGGATATCTTTTGACAAGAGAGCCATATAGACAGATGAGACTAGGCTAGCAAGAGGCAGCTGATTTCAGTGGGTTTTCCTGTATGCGGTCCCTGGTTACAGCTGGATGGGACCTAAATGATCTCGCACTGTGTCCCTCCCTTCTCATTTTCCGATTAGAAAGGGCACAAAGACAGAAGCCCGGCAGAAGGCCAGCTTGCTAGTGGAGCGTCAGAGCTCCTGGGAGAGCACAGGTCAGGTGACACCCTATTCAGTGACCTGTCGTTTGCCACCTTTGATGGGTGGCCCTGAGGTCAGGGAAGCTGGGAAGAGTTGGCCCCAGCTGGGATTTGGCGTCATCATGCCCACAGGAAATGCTGAGTGACAGGACAACCTTGGAACAGGCTAGCAGGCCCTTGCCTTGGTACATGGGTTACGTGACTTCTGCACTTTTTCTTAGCGCTGAGATTCACAGAGATCACTCGATCCCGGGGAGCAGGCCCAAAGTGCTCATGGCTCACCACTTGCTCTCCTCCTTGCCCCTCACCATGAACGTCTTTGACATGAGGCTAGCTGCCTCTCCTTCCTTCTGCTTAAACATTCTAGAGAATCATCCAAGTAAAGGCCATTAAAGTTCCCAGAGGTGGCCATTCACCATCTCCTGTAGCTTCTTCACTGGGTGCTATTATCATTAGTGTTGGTGAGGAAAGCCTACCGTGAAACTTGTTGCTATGTTCCTTAAAAAAAAAAAAGTAATTTATTTCTTCTGAAAGCCCACAAGTATGATCCGGTGTACTGTTTCCTAATAAGTACTTTTCATGCTGACTAACTCTTCCTTAATTAGGTGGTGCAGGAAGCAGGCAGCCAGCCTGGTGAAGCTGTTCTTGTATCTTTGTGTGGAAGTCACCTGTTCACTGAAGCTGGAGGCTGGCTTTGGATTGAATCCTTGCCCAGCAAGGAGGACACCAGGGCTGTTCCTCAAAGTCCCATCTTGGTGTGGTTCATGTGAGGTCCTTGTAAAGCTCACAGTTTAGGAGAAAATCATAAACAGCAAAATAAGAGCTCAGCTCAGGAGATTTCTTAAAGAGCAAAGAAGGATCCCACAGAGCACATTTTAGCTGGTTAATAAGGAAGCTAGGTACAAAAGGTCTGCATATAACCTGTTCCCACACTATATCAATATATAATTACCACATATTTTCCAATCTGCCCCTGGGAAATGTGGCAGGTAAAATAGATTGAGAAGAAAATAATGGTGCTTGCTGCACAATTTACTAGATTGATATCTGTTAATACTTGAGCAGGCTCCTTGCAGGATGAATAGAAAGCCCCGAATGCTCCAGTTCAGTCGAAACAAAGTGACTGTTTAAGCTCTTTGTTCTTTTAAATACCTGGTGTGCACTCGCCTGCATAGGGAGAGCAGAACATGTACATTTATTAAGACTTCCCTGTCTTCGGGGTGGCAGGTCTTGCTAGACTTGATCAAGCCCTGTGTGCTATGTGGAAAACGAACACATTTCCATTTCCCGCCATGCCCTCCCACCCCAACAGGAAATGGAGACTTTCCACATTGGGCTGGTGGATGGAGGCCTTGGCAGGGATCTGTGGTGCTAGAATTAGTCATGCGGGTTAGCTATGACCAGACCAGAACAGTCTGGAATCTCCATTTTGTCCTTCTCTTTCTTCTTCTTCCTTATTAAAGAACACAAACAAAAAAAGAATATTTGGAAAGCAGAACTGCAGCCTTCTAGATCCCTACTACTTTTTTTTTTTTTTTTTTTTGCATGTTACCTTTTGGTTTTTGTTCTTATGAAAATAATAATATAAAGATATGTTTTTATAGTTACAATTAGTGTACACATGATTTTTGGAATTCTAATCTCTTTCTGCCCAATAATGTATCAAATTTCCCCAATGTTTTGCCCAGATTTTACACCAGAAATTTTAAATTAAGACAGCCTAACATTTCATCATGACTGGAGGTCCCCAGCGCCTGGGCCATGAACAGGTACAGGTCTGTGGCCCATTAGGAACTAGGCCATACAGCAGGAGGTGAGCAGCAGGTGAGTGAAAGAAAGTTCATCTGTATTTACAGCCACTCCCCATTGCTCACCTTAGCGCCTGAGCTCCACCTCTTTTCAGATCAGCAACGGCATCAGATTCTCATAGGAGCATAAACCTTATTGTGAACTGTGCATGTGAAGGATCTAGGTTGCATGCTCCTTATAAGAATCTAACGCCTGATGATCTGTCACTGTCTCCCATCACCCCTAGATGAGACCATCTAGATGGAGGAAAAGCTCAGGGCTCTTACTGACTACATTATGGTGAGTTGTATAATTATTTCATTATATATTACAATGTAATAGAAATAAAGTGCACAATAAATGCAATGTGCTTGAATCATCCTCAACCATCACCCTCAACCCCAGACCATGGAAAAACTGTCTTCCATGAAACTGGTCCCTGGTGCCACAAAGGTTGGGGCCACTAATCATGATGATATATAAGAATTTAGCTGGCTGCAGTGGCTCAGCCCTGTAATCCCAGCACTTTGGGAGGCCAAGGCAGGCAGATCACCTGAAGTCAGGAGTTCGAGAACAGCCTGACCAACATGGTAACACCCCGTCTCTACCAAAAATACAAAAATTAGTCAGGCATGGTGGCGGGCGCCTGTAATCCCAGCTACTTGGGAGGCTGAGGCAGGAGAATTGCTTGAATCCGGGAGGCAGAGGTTGCAGTGAGCCGAGATCATGCCACTGTACTTCAGCCTGGGTGACAAAAGCGAAACTCCATCTCAAAAAAAAAAAAAAAAAAAAGAATTTAAATAAACATAGACGTTTCTATGAGATGCCCAGCACAATGACTCTCATTTATTTATTAATTCCTTTGCTTAATAATTCACTGGATAAACATTTTCCTAAACATCCATTCTGTGCCAGGCATTGGGGAGAAGGAGGTACATAAAGCATGGTCCTTTTTTTTTTTTTTTTTTTTTTAAGACGGAGTTTCACTTTTTTACCCAGGCTGGGGTGCAGTGGCATGATCTTGGCTCATTGCAACCTCCACACCTCCACCGCCCTCCCACCCACCCACAACCCCGGTTCAAGCAATTCTCCTGCCTCAGCCTCCCAAGTAGCTGGGATTATAGACACCTGCCACCATGCCTGGCTAATTTTTGTATTTTTAGTAGAGACAAGGCTTTGCCATGTTGTCCAGGGTGGTCTTGAACTCCTGACCCCAGGTGATCCACCCTCCTTGGCCTCCCAAAGTGCTAGGATTACAGGGGTGAGCCAATGCACCTGGCTTGGTCCTTGCCTTTAAAGAGTTCCCTGGCTAGTGACATGCAAGCATGGGATGGCCATCCAGGCAGGTATGTTAGAGGATAGCACTATGTGCTCTCAGGCTGCAGGTCAGTGGTTTAAAGGGTGGAAGAATGATCTCACTTGGAGTCATTAGAGAAGGTCTTGGGGGCTGTGCTTGAGCTGGGCTTTGGTAGGTAAGTGGGGTTCAGCAGATGCAGGTGGGGGCAGCAAGAGAGGAGAACATGAAACGGCATGGCTCACTCTGACTTGGCTGACTAGCTACAATGTTGTCTGGACTGGGACACTCTTGAGGGTAAAGGGAAGTGTCAGTGATAACACGGAGCACTGGGTGTATACTGAGCCTGCTCCTGGCAAGTAGGCTTTATGGATATTCTTAGTGGAATCCTCCTACCAGAACCACGGGTGTATTAGAGCCTGGGAGTGGGTGGGGGTGTCAGAGAGACCTGGAGAATCTGCATTTTAACAAGCATACCAGGTAATTCTGAGGCAGACAGTTCATGGACTATATGTGTCTCTGTGTGTGTGTACACACACACACACACACACACTGTTAAATTAGAAGCTCATTTAAGTTTACTTTTAAAACTTTTCACTATGAAAATCTTTCAAAAGACATAAAAAGACAGCAGAATCAAGACCCCATAACTGCTCATCCAGCTTCAGCAATTAGCAACACATTTTCCTAATCTTGTTTCATCTGCTTATCCTGGTACTCTTTTTTTTTTAAATGCTGGAGTATTTTAAAGCAATTTTTAGACATGATTTTACCCATATCCAATATAGACTGTGGTTTTTTTTTTTTTTTTTTACTCTGTCTCTGTTGCCCAGGCTGGAGTGCAGTGGCGCAACCTCAGCTCACTGCAACCTCCGCCTTAGGTTCAAGTGGTTCTCCTGCCTCGGCCTCCTGAGTAGCTGGAATTACAGGCACGTGCCACCATGCCCAGCTAATTTTTGTGTTTTTAGTAGAGATGGGGCTTCACCATGTTGGCCGGGCTGGTCTTGAACTCCTGACCTCAAGTGATCTGCCTGCCTTGGCCTCCCAAAGTGCTGGAATTACAGATGTCAATATAGACTTTTTAAATTTTTTTTAAAGCATAATCACTATTTATCACACCTAAAAAAATTAACAATGATTCTTCACACCCTCCAATACCCCATCATTGTTCAAATTCCCCCAATTGTCTCAAATGTCTCTTTGGAGTTGGTTTAAGATCTGAAAAATATGCACACGCTGAATTTGGTTGTTAAAGTTCTTAAGTCTCTTTTAAGAAATTTTTCTCCTCTGTGCTGTTTATTGAAGAAATGGATCATGTGTCCTGTACAGTTTCACAGATCACAGTGGTCTGATCTTTCTTGTTTAGGTTACTAGCTCTATTTTGGAGGATTTTGTGGTGGCTTTGGGTAGTCCCTTTCACAGGCTCCTAACTATCATGAGCCAGGACATCAGCCACGTGGTTAACGTGATTCTAAGAAAACAAATGGTTTTAATAAGTGACAGTTGTGCTACAGATTCGATGATGTGAAAAAGAGTTCTTGCTTTCAAGGAGTGAGAAATCTAACCGGGGCAGCAAAAGTGCAGTCAAAAATTCTGGATGCTGAGTCTTATACACCCAGGTGGGGAGTGGGGAGGTATCTGGGAATGTGTATCATTTTTCCACCTTTATATGTGTTTTACTTTTTGATTCTGTCATGACTTTTTAAACCATGATAAATATTTAAACAATACAGAGCTGAATAATTGCAGTGTTGACAATTGCCCTCTAGCCTCTTCTAATCTTAATTTGGGAGGTCATCAATATCAATAACTTGGTGTATGTCTGTCCATATCCTTGAGCTGAATCTTGCTGAATCTTGTAAGCGGAGAGGGCCTTCTCCAGGTGGCCAAGGCAGCCAAGGGCCTTTCCTGGGTGGAGGTTTCTAGCTAAGGAGGATTCCCTTCCCCCTGGAGCACTGGGGACCCCCTGAAGGATGAGCTGGAGAGAAGTGTGCTTGGATTTATGCTAGGACTTACATGGCCACAGCGTGGTCCAGGGAGACAAAGAGCCCATGAGCCAGGCTGACGGCTGTGGGAATGGAGAGAGGGACACACATAGCAAAAGGGGTTAGGAGTATCTTTTTCTCAGAGATACTCTCTTCCCCACTATGAGAAAAATCGCATTTGCTGGCCTCTACTTCCACTTCACTCACTGCTAACCAAGTGTGTCCATTATGTTTGCTCATGCAGCCCTCAGATGGGCTGGCAGCAGCTGCTTACAAGCATGGCTCTCAGCAGGGTTCTGCAGTGGAGGCTGAGCCCAGCAGGATGCATGGCCATGAACTCCTGACTAATGAGCACAGGAGGGGAGCAGCAGCCTGTGTGCTGTTCCTGCCTAGATACCATAAAGAGTGATGGCTAGGAGGACCCAGGTTCTTTGGGATGCTGCAAGAGCTGAGAACAGCAGTATTAGGGATAAAAGCATAAGCTTTGGAGTTGGAAATATCTGAGTTCAAACCCTGGCTTTACCAACTATGTGATCTTGAACATGTGACTAAACTGTCCTGATCTCCGTGTTTTGCATCTGTGAAGTGGGATTGGTGAGACCTGCCTTATCGGGCCCCTGGGATAGTGAAATGAGAAAATACACCCCAAGCACTTGGCATGGTGGATGGCACACAGTGAGCGAGGTGGTTCTTGTTATACTGAGACATTAATTTATGCAGACCTCCCAAAGTGGTGAAGCAGGATGGCCCTGGGGCGAGTCTGCTGTTATTGAAGGCAAGTGGGCAGCTAGGCATGGTTCCTGACTAATGCTACCTCTCTGAGCTTCTTTATCAGGTTGTGGCCTTCCTTTCTTACCCCCCAGGCTGGCTGCGGCTCTGCATTTTACTTTCTGCCCCTGTGGTGCAATCTTTGATGTGTGCTTTAATGAGATTTCACCCAGGCAGGGCCTGGCTGAGAGGCTTGCATTTCATATTTGTCTGCCTGTCAATCCATCAGGCCCCAGAGCGATGGGCACCCACCATATCTCATTTAGCCCTGGGCTTGCTATGATCCATCCCTCGGTGCCCAAAGGGACACTGTATTTATAGCATCATGCCTGTTTGTCTCCTGCCTTAACCTTGAAATGGTGGCTTTAACTGATTTTTGTTAACCCTGCCTGGGGAACAAACTGCCGATTCTTACCATTCCGTTCTCACCCTGTTCCATTTCTCTGCAAATGGAGCCTCTTTATCTCTAGGGAAGAACTTTATCATCTCCATTCACTCACACCCTGATTGGAAACACTGCCTGTGGGGGTGGCAGGCTATCTGGAAGTAGAATATGCCAGAGATTCCTGGGTCTGTTTTTCCTGAAGCAATTGCTTGTGCATGGAATTGAGGAGAGGATGAAATGCTAAGTAGCCATCTTTTCCCTTGGGGTGGAGTGGTATCAGCTTTGTTAATATTAAATCATTTTGATGCAGCTTCTTGCTTGGCATTTTTTGGAGTTCAGCATCTCTTTCTGGTTCCAGAATTCTGGGATATTAAATTAGGTCCCTTGTTGGCCTTGCCCACTTAGATGCAAAGGTTTTCTGGGACAATGTTTGGAGGCTGGAATGTAGCTAAAGGGGTAGCTGGAGAGCGTGGACAGCACATTCTCTAGCGGCCCCTTTCTTACAATTACTTTTAAAATGTATTGACGTGATGGTTGTTAAGACTGTGTTGAAAACATCTTTGGGGAGCCGCATGAAATAAGCAATTGAAACATCAGTGGGAAGATGGGCAGATGAAGAAATAAGGAAGCCTTTGGGGCACAGTATATTGAAGTGCTGGTTTTCCCCACCAACCCAGGATGCAGGCATGGCTCATGCTCTCTGCCCACAGGTTTGTGGGTACCTGTTTTTGACAGTGGTCTTTATCCATGTGTTTTTGTAAACATTAGGACACAGTAAGCTTTTCTTTTGTATTTTTTTAACAGCAACTTGATTTACACCTGACATTTTGTATTATCCTCATCTGCTAGAGTACATTCAGTAGAGAAGGAGAGGTGGGCACAGGAGGCAGGAGTGGTGGGAGATATAGCTTTCAGTATTGATAGTATTCTGTGGTGATCTATGCATATGGGCCACCAAGCTTTGGGATAATGAGTTAACTAATAAAATGTCTATTGATTAAGAAGAGGGTATTCAGTGTCAGCCACACACTATGATCAGAAAAAGCAACCTCTAACCCCAGCCCAAGTCAATGACACTGATTTCTTCCTCTTGCAGGTGAGCTTTCCCTTGGCTGTGGGTGGTGGTAGTTGTAGTCAATCAGTCAAGATAGGGTAGGTTATGCTGTGGTAACAAACAACTTCCAAATTTCTGTGCCTTAAAATAACGAAGGTTTGTTTCTTGTACTTGTTCACACTGTGTGCCCTTTGCAGGTCACAGGAGTAGCTCTGCTTTTACTGGAATTACTCAGGGTCCCAAGCTGACTGAGTAGCCACCACCTAGAAAGTTGCTGATATAGGTGCAAAAAGCCAAACTCTATAAACTATTTAATGAGGTTTATTCTGAGCCATTATGAGTGATCATGGCTTGGGGTACAATCTCAAGACTTCCTGAGAAAATGTGTCTGTGGTTGTCAGGTTACATCTTGGTTTTATACATATTAGGGAGACAGAAGTTACAGGCAATGACATAAATCAATACATGTAAGGTATATATAGGTTTGGCCCAGAAAGGTGAAACATCTCGAAGCAGGGTAGGACTTACAGGTCATAGGTAGATTTAAAGGATTTTTGGTTGTCAATTGATTTAAAGAGTTAAGATTGTCTAAAGGGTTGAAATCAGTAGAAAGAAATGCTTGAGTTAAGATAAGGGGGGGTGTGGAAGTCAAGGTTCTTGTTATGTAGACAAAGCCCCTAAGTAGCAGACTTCCAGAGAGAATAGATGGTAAATATCTCTCTTCGGACCTTATGAGGTGTCAGACTCTTAGTTAAATCCCTCCTGGATCCAGAAAAGACCTAGAAAAAGAACGAGATTCCCCATAGTTGCAAATTTCTCCCACAAGAGATGGCTTTGCAGGGCTACTTCAAAATATGTTAAATAAATATATTTGGGGATAAAATATTTTTATTGTTTTCAAGGCTTGCTATCATGTGATGCTATACCAGAGTCAGGTTGAAATATGGTATATTTTATTGCTATGAGGAGTCTGTTTTGTCAGTCTTAGGATCTCTATTTTAACCTTAATGCTGGTCAGTTGTGCCAAACTCCAAAAGGAGGGGGTATACTGAGGTGTGTCTGACTTCCCTTTTTGTCATGGGCAGGAATTCAGCCTTTCAGGTTTCTCTTGGTCCAGAGATGGTCCGTTCAGTCAGTTGGGGGACTCAGGATTTTATTTTCGGCTTACATTGGTCATTGTGCCAGGGGAAAAGAGTTCTGGAGGGACTTGCACTGGTAACTAAATGTTTCAGCTTAGAGGTGAAGGAGATCTGAATATGCCACCCCCAAACGGCTACTTTGGCCTAAGAATTACTTTGATCTGAAGGCAATTAAGAAACAACAGACAGAGGAGGAACCCTCTCTCCTCTACCTTTCTTCCTGAAAGCAGGGCATACATTTTCCTTTGTGAAGGTGTCCCCCCTCCTCTCTCCCGTACCAGGAAGAGGAGAACAACTCTTAATCACCAGAGATTTACCAACTCTTATCACTGGAGACTCACCAATGACTCTGCATAACCAACATTACTAACATAACCTTATCTTCCATTAGTTTCTTCCATATATTTATCTTCACACAATTTATAACCCCTAGAAGCCCAGACCCTTTTTCCTCTCTCGTCACTCTTTTACAATTTACTGCCCTTTGTTAACATGGTATATAAGCTCACAAGCCTTTATTTCTTTTCTGTAAAGCTCTTGTGTGCATAAAAAATGAAATGTTTCTCTTGTTAGTCTGTCTTTTGTCAGTTTAATTTCCAGGCCCCAGGCACAGAATTTAAGAGAACAGAGAAAAAGTTTTTTCCCTCTCCTACAGAAGCAACATCATGTCATTGACTATAGCTAGTCACGTGGCCACACCTTATGCCCAGAAATTAGACAGAAATATGTGTCAAACAACATTCATGACTACCCCAGAGGACATTGGTTGCTCTTTTTTGCCCACTGATTGTAACCATGCAATGGGTTCACCTTGCCCACTGCTTAGAGAGAGCTAACTTATCAAGATAAGAATTGCAATAGAGAAAGAGTAATTCATGCAGAGCTGCCTGTGCAGGAGACTGGAGTTTTATTATTACTCAAATCAGCCTCCCCAAGCATTCAATGATCAGATTTTTTAAGGGTAATTTGGTGGGTGAAGGGGGTTAGCCAATGAGCAGGAGTGCTGATTGGTTGGGTTGGAGATGAAATCATAGGGAGTTGATGCTGTCTTCTAGCACTGAGTCAATTCCTGGGTGGGGGCCAGAAGATCAGATGAGCCAGTTTTTCTGGGTGGTGGCTCCTGAACCATCAAGCGCAGGGTCTGCAAAATATCTCAAGCACTGGTTTTAGGTTTTACAAATAGTGACATTATCCCCAGGAGCAATTTGGGGAGGGTCAGAATCTTGTAGCCTCCAGCTGCATGACTCCTAAAGCATAATTTCTAATCTTTTGGCTAATTTGTTAGTCCTACAAAGGCAGTCTAGTCACCAGGGAAGAAGGGGTTTGTTTTGGTAAAGGGCCATTACAGTCTTTGTTTTAAACTATAAACTACAAACTAAGTTCCTCCCAAAGTTAGTTTGGCCTATGCCCAGGAATGAACAAGCCACAGCTTGGAGGTTAGAAGCAAGATGGAGTTGGTTAGGTCAGATCTCTTTCACTGTCTCAGTTATATTAATAATTTTGCAATGGTGGTTTCATGATAATGCAATAGCAATCACATTTTACTAAGTATTTATTATATGTCAAGCACTATGTCAACTGCTTGGTATAAATTGTCTTGTTTGTCTTCCCAACAGCCCCATGAAGTAGATACTATTACCATTTTCCCTATTTTACAAAGGGGGAAACTAAATTGAGGCACACAGAGGCTAAGTAACTTACTCAAGGTCAGACAGAAAATGGTAGAAACTGGATTCAAACTCTAGCATGTATATTCAGAGTACCAACTTCCTACCACCACAATTTCCTGCCTCTCTAACCTGAGTTGGAGCCATTAGAACCATTAAAGATATTCTAAAAATATTGAACCTCGAGAGAAACATTGTTCAGCATCTTGGTATCTTCTCTCCTGGGAACTCCTTAGTTTCTATGCAAATTTGCTGAATTTCTACCCAGAGGTCTTTAGCTTCAAATATCAAGTGGTAAGGGGAGTATGGTGGGTGCTGGGATGACAACTCTCAAGTCCAAAGAACATTTCATTTTGACAAAATGAAACAACAATAGCATATAACATTTATTAAAGTCTTGCAATATGTTAGACATTGTAAGTCTCCATTACATTTATTTGATCCTCATTACACTCCAGTGAGTATAGGTCCTATTTTTATGCCCATTTTACAAATGAGGTAACTGAGACACAGAGAAGTTAGGTAAGTGGGATAAGTTCACATGAATGATAAGCAGAGGAATCAGCACACCTTTTGGAAAGGTAGGAGATTAAAGAATGGTTGGATTTGATTTTCTTGCCAGCCCCTTACCATAGTATCAAATGATTTTTAGGAAGAGTGTCAGCCCTTTCATTGGAATGTATTTCTTAATCTTATAATTTAGAACTAGAGGCAGCAGCAAAATGGAAAAGGGGAAACGTGGAGACATGAAGAGAAATGGCCACTGAAAACTCAAAGTGGTGCTTCATAGAGGACACCTACTTTAGTGTTTAGAGACGGAGTGTTTGCATTTGGCATATCAGTTGTCAATGAATGTTTAACAACCTGAAAATGTTGTGTTCTCTTAGGTATCTTAAATGGCTCCCATCCTATCTCATTTACTTCACTTTGCTATACCTGTTAAGAAAGGGCATACTTGGCAGTGCTCACTCACAACAGCCTTGCTGTCCAGTTCTCCTAAATTCTGATTTGGAGGCTTTGGAATCAGTGAGGTTGTTTGTTTATTGAAACAATTTCAAAATTAAACAAAACTTCCAAGTACATTACAAATAACTTATCTCTTTCTAAACCACTTGAGAATAAGTTGCTGAACAACAGCCTATGGCTCCTGAAGGCAGTATGCTTTTTTAAAAATAAATACAAATATTCTCCTTCATCAGTGTCTCTAAATAGTCTCTGAATCAACAGCATTGGTGTCCCCTGATAACTTTTCAGAGATACACATTTTTGGGTCTCACTGCAGACTTCCTGAATCAGAAACTCTGATATAGGGTCCAGCAATCTGCATCTTAACAAGTCCTCTAGGTGATCCTAATGAACACTCAGGATTACACCCCAGGTATTTTGTAGAGTGTCCCATATTATCTCAATAGAACCATCAAAATCAGGAAATTAATACCAATGCATTACTACCTCTACTTCTCACAATGCATTTGCATTCTGCCAATTTCCCCAATTTTCACGTCCTTCATAGCAAAAGGATGACAGTCGGAGCTTCCCATTGCATTTGTTATGTCCCTTCAAAACCCTTTAGTTTGAAACTGTTCTTTAATCTTTTCTAGGTTTTCATAACCTTGACATCTTTGAAGGTGACAGAACAGTGATTTTGCAGCGTGTCCCTCAATTTGCCTTTGTCTCATGTTTCCTCATGATCAGATTCAGGTGATGCACTTCTGGCAGAAATATCATGAATGTGAAGCTGAGATCTTCTCATTATATCCCATCAGGTGGTGCATGATTTCAATTTCATGTCTCATTTCTCATGATGTTTACTTTGGTAACTTGATGAAGGTGAAGCCCATCAGGCTTCTCCACTGTGCAGCTGACATTTTCATTCTGTAATTAATAAGTATTTTGTGGTGAGAAATGTTGAGATTATGTAAATATACTCCTTATTAAACCTTCCATTTATTTATTTATTTGTCTGTCCATCCATTCATTTATTTATTTGGGCATGGGACTCATGGATTTCTGTTTTATTAAATGGGTTGCAATCCATTACTATCATTATCACTATGATCACACTGTCTCAGATTGGGGTAGTGGAAGCCCTTTCAAACTTGCTTCTCTGTCCTTTTCACATGTCCTCATTTGCTGAGCCCTCCCTTGCTTTCTGGTGCAAAAAGATATTCCAGGATCATGTTATGTTTTCTCCCCTAGACTCGGCTGTTTCCTAAGGAGCCGTAGTTTCATTTTGTTTCTTTTGTTTTGTTTTAGTGGCAGATGATATTTAGAAATCAAGATCTGGGCGCTAGATGTTCTCATTGCTACTGGGGTGTTACTGCTTCCAGACCCACTCAGTGGACAGAGCTAGAGACTATATATATGTGTATGTACACGCAAACACACTTACATCTGTATTTGCTTCAATATCCAGCTATACATATTAAAGACGATGAGTTCACACTGCTATCTCCAATTCCAGTCTAATACCACAGAGTTTATTCTAGTTTTCTCTGTTTCTGTATTTGCAGCTTCCTGCTGTGATGGTGAGAGAGATGATTCCTAATCTCTTTACTGTGTTATATATTTGATCAGCCTCCCAGTCTACACCAGTCTCCCCTCACCATGGCTGCTCCACTCTGCATAGACACCCTCCTCTCTTCCTGCTGGGTTCTGACACTGTGCTGCATCTGCCACTGCTCTGGCCTGCACAGATGTCTCACATCCCACTTGTGCATCTTCTGATGCTCTGGCCCTCTGCCTGGCTGTTCTCTTCACTCCACTTGGGCTCTGACACCCCACACTGGACCTCTTTCCTACATAGATATCATTCTTACCCTGCTCAGACTCTGACGGTACGGGCTGGGCTGCCCCTCACATATACACAAGACCTACCTCTTCATGCAGCTAGGGCTCTGATTCTCTGCACCGCCACCCTCCTGGCCCCACTGAGTCTCCAGAATCACAGGCTGGGCTGGGCCGCCACCCCTTCTCCTTCACCTTCCCCTTCCTCACTGCACCTGGGCTCTACAAAGCATCCAGCTATTCTCTGCTCTTTCCCCTCCTCACACCCTCACACACTCATGGGAATGCTCTCTGCACCCTGGGAAGGCTACAACACTTCACTCTGGGGCTTTGCAAATTTCTCCCCCATCTGGGGCATTTGGAGTGAATTCTTCAGGTCAGAATGGGAAGGGGGAAAAGGGGAAGAGAGAGGAAAATACAGGAAGGCTTCAATATACTTTTAAAATGGACTTCGTTATCCACAGTACCAGAAGAATTTAATCTTAGCATTTGTTTAGGAAGGGTACAAAGTCACTCCCACTTTAACTCAAAGCTTATGAATCTTATACTCTCCTAAAATAATAATTTCATATCTATAGTGAGATAGATATATAGATAGAGATACATGTCAGGTTCCTAGAGACATTAAGTGTTTTTCTATGCTTACAGCTAATATGGTAGGGTAGAAGCATTTTTCTTTCTTTTTTCTTTTCTTTTTTTTTTTTTTGAGATAGGGTCTGCCTCTATTGCCCAGACTGGGCGGTAGTGGCGTGACTGCAACTGACTGCCGCCTTGACCTCCCAGGCTTAAGCGATCCTCCAACCTCAGCCTTCCAAGTAGGTGGGACTACATGCACAAGACACCATGCTGGACTGCTTTGTAAAATTTTTTTATAAAGACAAGGTCTCACTATGTTGCCCAGTCTGCTCTTAAACTCCTGAGCTCAAGTGATCCTCCTACCTCAGCCTCCCAAAGTATTAGGATTACAGGTATGAGCCACCACACCTGGTATGAGAATTCTTGAATTTAAAATCTGCACAGTGTTGCAATTCTTGTTTTTTTGTTGTTCGTGTCACAGTTGGATTATATCTGTGTGTCTCTCTTCCTCACTAGACTCATTAATGTCTCTGATGCAGGTCCTGAGGGTTTTTCCCATTCCCAGCACTCTGATCTGTGGGCTTGCACTTCAGAAACAGCAGCTAAGGAAGCTGCTTGTAAAAGTGTTAGATGAAAGAGTCAGATACAAAGTTTGAAAGCAGGCTTGCAAAATGAATTTTCCTGTTTCCATAAGCTACATCAGTCTGAATTGGGGAAGGAGAGGCACCTTTGAAGGAGGGAGTAGGGAGGAAAGAGTTGGAAACCCTCTGGGTTGGGCTGGTGGCTGGGAATGATGACAGGGACTTTCTGGGGAGAGTATCAGAGAATCATGTGTAGGTCACTCAGCTGTCCTGCTTATTGCTGTCACCAACAGCCAGTGGTCAGCCTGTTAGCCATGAGTGTCTGGGTTGAAGTGACACTTGTCAGGGCTATGGAGAGCCCATTCAGCCTTTTTCCCTGTCCCAATCATAACTTGGAGATAGAGACTGGGGAAAAGATAACCCCTGGTGGGCTGAGATGATGGTCTGAAGAGAAAGCTTGCCCTTAATAAAGATGGGGCTAAGCGGGGACTGGATAGAACCAGTGGGCAATTGCGTCTTGGGCCAGTAGAGTGGTAAATGTGCAGTTCCTGTTATATTATTGTTATTATAGTAGATGTATATGCAAATTAAAATATTAGCACAGCACTCTCCCTGTGTTAGTCTGTTTTTTTGTGTCACTATAAAGAAATATCAAGCCAGGTGCAGTGGCTCACAACTGTAATCCCAGCATTTTGGGAGGCTGAGGTAGGAGGATCACTTGAGGTTAAGAGTTCAAGAGCATCCTGGGGAACATAGCAAGGCCCTGTCTCTACAAAAAAATAAAAAACTAGCTGGGTGCAGTAGTGCATGCCTGTAGTCTCAGCTACTTGGGAGGCTGAGGTGGAAAGATCAATTGAGCCCAGGTCTTCTAAGGCTGCAGTGAGCTATGACCATGCCACTGCACTCTAGCCCAGGCAACAGAGTGAGATCCTGTCTCAAAAACAAAACCAAAGAAACACCTGAGACTGGGTAATTCATTTAAAAAAAGAGGTTTAATTGGTTCACAGTTCTGCAGGCTGGGCAAGCATGCTCCTGGCATCTGCTTGGCTTCTAGGGAGGCCTCAGAAACTTTTACTCATGGCTGGAGGTAAAGCAGAAGCAGATTCATCACATGATGAGAGTGAGAGCAAGAGAGAGAGAGGGGAAGGGCCACATACTTTTAAACAACCAGCTCTCCCATGAACTAAGAGAGTGAGAACTCACTGATCACCAAGGGGATGATGCTAAGCCATTCGTGAGAGGTCCACCCCCATGATCCAATTATCTCACACCAGGCCCCACCTACAACACTGGGATTCACATTTCAACATAAGATTTGGAGGGGACATATATTCAAACCACATCATTTTGTCCCTGACCCCACAAATCTCATTGCAAAGTATAATCATCCCTTCTCAATAGTCCCCTGAAGTCCTAACTCATTCCAGCATCAAGCCAAAGTCCAAAAGTTCCAACTGAGACTCACCTCCTTCCACCTATGAGCCTGTAAAATCAAAATAAGTTATTTACTCCCAAGATACAATGGTGGCATAGGCACTGAGTAAACAATTCCATTCCAAAAGGGAGAACCTGGTCAAAAGAAAGGGGTATAGGCCCCATGCAAATCTGGAATCCAGTGAGGTGGTCATTCAATCTTAAAGCTCCAAAATATTCCTTGAATTTGTGTCCTGCATCCAGGGCACACTGGTCCAAGGGGTGGGATCCCAAGGCCTTGGACAGCTCCACCTCTGTAGCTTTGCAGGTGCAGCCCATGTAGCAGTTCTCATGGGTTGAAGTTGAGTGTCTGTGCCTTTTCCAGGCTCAGGATGCAAACTGCCAGTGGCTCTACCATTCTGGGGTCTGAAGGGCAGTGGCTCCTTTCCCACAGCTCCACTAGGCAGTGTTCCAGTGGGGACTCTGTGTAGGCCTCCAACCTCACATTTCCTTTCAGCACTACCCTAGTAGTTTCTCTGTGGGGGCTGTGCCCCTGCGGCAGTCTTCTGCCTGGGTACCCAGGCTTTCTCATACATCCTTTAGAATCTGAGGAGGTGCCAAGCCTCCTTCACTCTTGCATATTGTGTGCCTGCAGGCTTAACACTACTGGAAGCCATCAAAACTTATGGGAGACTGCACTCTCTACAGCAGCAGCTGGAGCTGTACCTGGGGCTCTTTGAGCCATGGCTGGAGCTGAAGTGGCTAGGATGTGGATAGCAGTATCACAAGGCTGTGCAGGGCAGTACAGCCCTGGACCTGGCCCCTGAAATCATTGTTTCCTCCTAGGCCTCTGAACTGTGATGGAAAGGGCTGCCTCAAAGATCTCTGAAATGCCTTGGAGGCCTTTTCCCCACTGTCTTGAATATTAGCACTTGGCTCTCTTTTAGTAATGACAATCTCTCTTGCAAGTGGTTGCTCTGCAGCCTGCTTGAATTCTGCAGCCAGGCTGCAAATTTTCCAAACTTTTATGCTGTTTCTCTTTTAAATATAAGTTTCAACTTCAAGTCATTCCTTTGCTCCTGCATCTGATCATAGGCTGTTAGAAGCAGCTAGGTAACATCTTGAATGCTTTGCTGCTTAGAAATTTCTTCCACCAGATACCCAAGGCCATTACTCTTAAGTTCAAATTTCCACAGAGCCCTAGGACATGGTCATAATGCAGCCAAACTATTTGCTAGGGCATACATGGGTGACCTTTGTTCCAGTTCCCAGTAAGTTTCTTATTTCCATCTGAGACCCCATCAGCTTGATTTTCACTGTCCACATCTTGATCAGCATTTTGGCCGCAACAATTTGACCAATCTATAAGAAGTTCTAGACTTTCACTCATCTTCCTGTCTTTTTCTTATCAATTTTTTGAGACTGAGTCTCGCTCTATTGCCCAGCCTGGAGTGCTGTGGCGTGATGTTGGCTCACTGCAAACTCCACAGCCCGGATTCAAGTGATTCTCATGCCTCAGACTCCCGAATAGCTGAGATTACAGGCGCCTGCCACTATGCCTGGCTAATTTTTGTATTTTTAATAGAGATGGGGTTTCACAGTGTTGGCCAGGCTGGTCTTGAACTCTTGACGTCAGGTGATCCACCCACCTTGGCCTCCTAAAGAGCTGGGATTACAGGCATGAGCCATCATGCCTGGACCTTCTTGTCTTCTTCTGGACCTTCTTGTCTTCTTCTGAGCCCTCCAAACTCTTCCAACCTCTGCCTGTTACCCAATTTCAAAGGTGGTCCCACATTTTCAGGTGTCTTTATAGCAATGCCCTATTCCTTGGTACCAACTTTCTGTGTTAGCCCGTTTTTGTGTTGCTATAAAGAAATATCCGAGACTAGGAAATTTATAAGTAAAGAGGTTTAATTGATTCACAGTTCTGCAGCCTGTGCAAGCATGGCACTGGCATCTGCTTGGCTTCTGGGGAGGCCTCAGGGAGCTTTTACTTATGGTGAAAGGTGAAGCAGGAGCAGGCATATCACATAGCAAGAGTGGAAGCAAGAGAGAGGGGAGAGGTGCTACATACTTGTAAATAACTAGATCTTGCATGAACTAACTGAGTGAGAACTCATCACCAAGGAGATGGCACTAAGTCATTCACGAGGGATTTGCCTTCAGGATCCACCTCCCATTGGACCCCACCTCCAACCCTGTATATTACATTTCCACATGAGATTTGTAGGGGTCAAACATCCAAGCCATACCATCCCCTAACCCAGTTCTGTTAGCACCCTGAACACATAAATCTAAATAAGTATTTACCTCAATTTCTCAATTTTTTGACCTAAACTGTACTAAATGATTGACATCTTACTAAAAGGAGGATGTAATTCACTTACATTGCCTTTTTAAAAAAAATCCAGTACTTCTTTTCTCCTTATTGTGATTTATTAAATTTTTAAATCTATACTTTGTAAGATGAGAAATTTAGTGCCTTAACCCTTTCTACTCTATCTCCTTCCTCTACTTCTCAGCTGGCCAACCATACCAATACATTTTTATTGATAAGGTTTATAATGTGTGCATTATGTTACATTTCAATTGAGTAAAATTAATATTGAGCAGCATTATAATATTTACTATAGAACTAGTGGGTGTTATTAGACCCTTAGAAAATACTGTGTAATATATCACTAAACTTGGGCCATACAGAGGAAGATACTCCAAGCTTCAAGGTCAACCAGAATTTTTTTCAAAATCATGCCTTTTTTTTTCTTCCTATTTGGAATATAATGGTCTAGGAATATGCATTGCTTTACTGAAAGTTTGATTGCCTTCCTTTTTTGTTTCTTGTTGCCTGAAAGAACATATGCTTTCTTCACCATATTCCTAAGCTCATTCAGCTTTTTAAAGCAAACCACTTATTGAGATACCAAATGTCTTTATGGGCCTGCTCCACAGCTATCAGCCTGGGGTTTTAAAAAATTGTATTTTTAATTGATCATACTGTTTCTAGAATCCTGTATCTTTTTCTGTAATAATTATTTTTTTCTCTACTTTGTTTTAGTGGGGTATAGTCTCAATTTTTTCAGAAAATGTTTATAGAAGGTAAACTTTTTGAGTTAATGCTTGTCTGAAAATGTCTTTTATTTTACTCTTGCACTTGATTGATAGTTTGGCTCAGTATAGACTCCTACATTCAAAATCATTTTTTCTTTTGAACTTTGAAAGCATTGTTTCATTGTTTTCTAGTATTCCAAATCGCAATAATAAATGGTCAATTTTTAAATTTTAATGTATTCATCGCAGGTAACTTCTTTTTCCCCTAATTCTAGATCTTGTTTTTAGATTTAGCATTCTTAAGTATTAGGTAAGCTGTTGTATTAGTCCGTTCTCATGCTGCTAATAAAGTCATACCCAAGACTGGGTAATTTATAAGGGAAAGAGGTTTAATTGACTCACAGTTCTGCAGGCCTGGGGAGGCCTCAGTAAACTTACAATCATGGCAGAAGGGGAAGCAAACACATCCTTCTTCACATGGTTGGCAGCAAGGAGAAATGCAGAGTGAAGGGGGAAAAGCCCCTTATAAAACCATCAGATCGCCTGTGAACTCACTCACTGTCACAAAAACAGCATGGGGGGACTGCCCCCATGATCTAATCACCTCCCATGAGGTCCCTTCTCCAACACATGGGGATTATAATTAGGATTACAATTGAAGATGAGATTTGGGTGGGAACACAACCAAACCATATCAGCTGTGATTATTTGCATTTTGGAAAATCATCTTCAATTATTTCTGTGATTTTTTTGTGACTTCCATATTCTCAAACTTCTAGTGGAAGTTCCTTTCCAGAACTTCCACTGGATGTATATGGCCCTTTTGATTGAATTGATCCTCTTTTATGTTCTCTTTTCTTTTTTCTAAGCTTTGACTTTTCACTTTTCAATACAGTATTTTTTAAATGTTTTTGTCCAGTCATTTTACTGAATATTTCAACTATCATATTTTTAAATTCCATTAATTCTATTCTTATATTATCCCATTTTCAGAAGTATAATCTTATCATCTGGAACAATATATTCTCTAATGTTAATTATACGTGTTTTTTTTTTTTTCAGACAGGGTCTCTGGTGTAGTGGTGAGATCATAGCTCACTATCAACTCCTGGGCTCGAGGGATCCTTCCACCCCAGCTTCCCAAGTAGCTGTAACTATAGGTGTGCAACACCATGCCCAACTAATTTTTAAATTTTTTTTTAGAGATGGGATCTCATTGTGTTGCACAGGCTGGCCTCAAACTCCTGGCCTTAAGCAGTCCTCCCGAAGTGCCGGGATTACAGGCATGTGTCTTCTACGCTTGGCCTAATTATACATTTTTAATCCTTTAAAACATTTCCTTACATTAATACGTCCTTCAGGTTAATTTTTATACTAGTTTGTCTTATGGTCTGTCTGTTTTTTCCCAAATGTCTAGTAATCCTTGGTTATGTATTTATATTTATGATAGAAAGATTGTTGCTTAATGGGTAGTTGGGTAGACTTCCTCAGTCAGTACAGAACTGAATGAGAGCTGAGAATGCATCTGTTTATGTGGTTAGGTCTCATCTATTAGAAGTCTTCATATTAGGATACAAATAGGAATCTGAAAGCAGGCAGACCCCTTCCTTCGACCCCTGATGGTCTCACCTCTGGGCTGCCAGCCCCTACACAAGAGCCTCAGCCTGCACAATTTGGATTGCTTAGTTTCTTCAGAGAGTATTTCTGTGACTTCAGCCTATGAACAAATGCCATCTGTACAGTTCTTCAATCAGTGACTTCAATTCCTGAATTCCTGTCCCTCATCTTACTTCTGTTCTGGATTGCTGCTGACTTGGAAGAGTTCATCCAAGAGGAAAGGCTCCCTGCTCCTTGCAGCCTTCCTTAGTGGATGCATCAGGCAGTGGCATTTCTGCGAGTTCATCCAATTTGACTTCTTCCATCTTTCAGAAACTAATTAGGACCTTTGGTCTATTGGTATCCCTCCCTCCAAGGCTTAGGACTTGGAGGAATATATTCTTTTTCTTACTGCCACTACGATCTGTTTTAGGACTAGGAGCAAAAACTTGCATTCAGCCTAAGATTTTGATGAAGAGAGGAGATTTACTCATTCAATTTTACAGTTGGCTGGAGTATCTCTTCAAATTTTTTAATTTTGTGGGGGTTCTATTTTAGAACCCTATGTATCTAAGAATGTCTTTCTGTTGTTTTCATATCAGCAAAAATTCTTAGTTGTGTATAAAATTCTTAGCTCAAAATTACTCTCAAAATTCAGGACATGTCTCTCCATAGCCTATTTCAGTAGAGAATTTGAGGCCAGCCAGATGTTTTCCTTCCAGGCCGTACCCCTTCACCCTTTGTTTCTGCTAAGAAATATGTTAGATTTAATTTAATTTAATTAATTTATTTTTAAATTTCCATTTTTATTTTAGATTCATGTAGTACATGTGCAGGTTTATTACAAAGATATATTGCATGATGCTGAGGTTTTGGGCTTCCAATGATCCTGTCACCCAGATAGAGAACATGGCACCCAATATATGTAAGATTTTTTAACCTCATTTAACCGTTCAAACATTTTAGCATGTAAAAATGAGGTGTGGGTCTTTCTTAAAGTTACTTTCCCTGGAATGCAATTGTGTTCACCTGCAAAACTTGGCATGCTGTAGGCACTCATTAATAGCAAGTAGATAAATTAATTAATAAATTATTTCAATTTGAAATCTCAGTTTCCATTTTTTAGGAATGTCTTCTTTTTTCTTTTTTATTTTTTGAAACAGAGTCTTGCTCTGTCATCCAGGCTGGTGTGCAGTGGCACAATCATAGCTTGCTGCAGCCTTGAAATGGGCTCAAGTGAAGTGATCCTCTGACCTCAGCCTCCTGAATAGTTAGGACTACAGGTGGGCACCACCACATCTGGATAATTTTTATTTCAGATGAGGTCTGACTATGTTGTCCAGGCTGGTTTGGAACGGCTGGCCTCAAGTGATTCTGCTTCAGCCTCCTAAAACACTGGGATCACACGCATAAGCCACTGGGCCCAGCCTTTATTAAGTTTTTGATATTTCTTGTTTTTCAGTTATTCTGGTTTCTCTCCCATAAGCTGTTATAATTCTTGGTTTGTTCTCTTAGTCACTGATTTGGTTTTATACAATGTGCTTCTGTTATTTATTGCCTCTGTTGTGGGTTTAAATCCTCTTATTGCATTATAGTGTCCTTGCCACCTTTCCTCAAGTTATCATTTTCATCTCATTCTGTCATTCTTACATCTCAATCTTTCTTCTTATGGCTTTTTGTTCTGTTCCACAAAGGCTATGTCTCTAGACATTCTAATTAGAATGACAATTTTAATAGTTTTCTTCTAGTTTTAGTAGTTGCCTTCGTTTGTGCTGCTGTAACAAAATATCCCAGACTGGGTAATTTGTAAGTAACAGAAAGAGTTCTAGATACTTGATGTCCAAGATCAAGATGCCAGCAGATTCAGTGTCTGGTCAGGGCTCTCTCTCTGCTTCCAAGATGTCACCTTGTTGCTGGATCCTCCAGATGAGGGGAGCACTGTGTCCTCACATGGCAGAAGGGACAGAAAAGCAAAAAAGGGCCTAGCTAGTTCACTCCAGCCCTTTCATAAGGTCGTTAATCCCATTCATGGGGTCTTCATTCTCATGACTTAATTGCCCCTTAAATGTCCCACCTCTTAATACTGTCGTATTGGCAATTAAGTTTCAACACATGAATTTTGGGGGATGTTCAGATCATAGCAGTAGAAAATCATCTTCAGAGGTGTTTAGTTTTTCTCCATGTGTTACTTTTTCTGGTTCTGTAGTAATTGTTCATAAATACCATTTCTTACCCTTCTGCTTTCTCACCTCAAACAAAGAGGGATCTATACAGAGTCAGTTTTTATCTGCAGAGAGCTCAGACCTCAGCTTCGTAGTCTGCCTACTTTGGTATGGATCACATCTTCTTCTCACTGGGGTTTGGGTGTGCACAGCCCCTACACCTAGTCCTGGTATTATCAGGGCTTCCTCTATTATACTTCTCTTGGCTGGATTGGGATTCTCGCTTTCCTTCTCTGCTTGAACTAGTAGTCCCCTGAGTGCATTTACACTGGGTTTCTACTTTTCTTTATTCTATCCTCAATGTTTCAGTTGAGGGGACTTCATCTCTCAGAATTTAATATGCTACCTCACTACCTTGAATTCCTCTGTCTTCTCCCTAGCTGTTATTTGGGGGTTACTTGAGTCATTTGATCCTTGAGCCTTCAATCATCTGTACGAACATTAATTTAATTTGTACACCCGTGTTTATAGCAGTATTCATAAAAGTTGGGAGCAACCCATATGTTCACGAATGAATGAATAGATAAACAAAATGTGGTATATACATAAAATGGAATATCAGTCAGCCTTGAGAAGGAAGGAAATTCTGACACATGCTATAAGATGGGTGAGCTTTAAGGACGTCATTATGCTAAGTGAAATAAGCCAGGCACCAAAGGACAAATACTGAATGATTCCACTTACATGATGGACCTATAGTAGGCAAATTCATAGAGGTAGGAAGTGGAATGCTGGTTGACAGGGGCTGGAGGTGGGGATTAAGGAGTTATTATTTCTAACAAAATTGAGATAGAGGAAACCCAATGTAGCTACTTTTGACTGGTACTATTGTTTCTGGGATGTACTGTGGAGAGATACAGGTGAAATAGAAGGCACACACCTCGCACTGGAGAATCTTTTATATGCTTGGGAAAACAGGATATACATGTTTAGAATAAATCAGACCTAACTGTGCACCTGTGGCAAGTGCCTAACCTCCCCAAATCTATATTTCCTTACCCGTAAAATGTGTATACTATAGTGGGTACAGGGGCTAGGATCAATACCTTCATTGTGGAGTTGCAGTAAAAATAAATTGATGTATAGGTAAAATAGCTACATTTGGCACACAGTAGGTGCTCAACTATTGTTATTTTCCTTTCCCTTAAGAAGTGAGATTAAACAATGAGAAAAGCTAGAACTTAAACCAAACATTTCACTAAGACTAGAGCATAATACTCTTTCTCCTAAAAGGCAAATGTTCTGAAATGAAGGAGGCAGAACTAACATCATCTATGAGTGCATTTCACTATGGATTCTTGCCTGTGTGGGCAGATTGATGATTATCTCTAAATATGTGAGAATACTAATATATTACACAATTGCAGGTTGTAATGCTTATTTGATTAATTCTGTCAACTTATGCTTTAAATGTACAGTAAAGTATCTGTTATCTAAGCTTACATTTACCAAGTATGCATGTGCGCACATGCACACGCACACACACACACACACACACACACACAAATTTTTCTGCTTTGATGATTCAAAGGCTCATATAAAATCATTTTTTAATAATTTGATGAGGCATAAACTACTGTGGTCTTTTTGGGTATGAATTTATAAGGAGCAGGGAATTTAATAATGATTATAATTCTTATGCTCCATCAAGACCCTTTCCTTGGGTTGGATGTCCTTTCACAAGTTTCTGTATTATCCTGTGTATATATCTATTATTTCACCTCCAAGTTGTATTTAAGTCCTTATGTGTCTATTTCTCTCCATGGATTGTGAACCCCTTGAGAGCAAGACTGTCTTATGCATTTCTATATCTAGACCATCCTGTATAACACCTGATCATAGTTAGGTGATCAGTAAATGTTTATTGAGTTAAATTGAGCCTTGGCAAATTTTACTTGGCAAATTCTTGATGTTAACTTTCTTCCCTTTCTCCCGATGTTAAAGAGAATTATCACTACTCTATACAAATCAAGCTAAAACCTTAAGTTGGATACCAATGACTATAAATCAAATGACTCAAGTAACCTTGGGGTACAAGAATATTTTTTCACTAGTTAGAAATGTTGTTCAGAATGTTCCAAATATCATTCATGTTGATGATACCTTTTTTCCTCTCAGCCTCCCCAAAAGAGCAGTTGAGTACAGACAGCCCCAACTTATAATGGTTTGACTTATGATTTTTTTGACTTTATGATGATGTGAAGACAATATGCATTCAGTAGAAACATACTTCAGTACAGTATTCAACAAATTACATAAGATATCTAACAGTTCATTATAAAGTGGGCTTTGTGTTAGATGATTTTGCCCAACTGTAGGCTCACGTGTTTTGAGCATGTTTAAGGGAAGCTAGGCTAAGGTATAACGTTTGGCAGGTTAGGGGTATTAAATGCATTTGCAACTTATGATGAGTTTTTTGGGTTGTAACCACATCATAAGTTGAGGAAAATCTGTATATGGATTTATTGTGCTTCTAAAAGATCAATTTCAGAGCTTCAGGATCATGACATGGCATAGTCTACATTGTGAGACCACATTAGATAAGGTCTTTTAGGCTTTTCTGTAATAAAATCCCACAGGATAATGTTCAGGCTAGAAGCACCTCCTCCTCAATTCTGCTCACTTCTTACCAGTATTGTAGAGAGATTCTAGAGTCCTGACACTGAGGAAAACTCAGGACATTGTGATTCCTCCTTTTCTGTTACTTCCCTTGCAGAATAGGAGATCTTGACATGGAGGGGCATGAGATAATGTTTGGTGACAGAATTATGAGGAGTGATGTCTAGGTGGCTGATTTTTGGCATAGGAGCTGAGACTGTAAAAAGCCATCAATAAGGCCTTTTTTTCATTTCTTTTTTTCAACAACAAGCAAATATTAACCTGCAAAATTGAACAACAACAAAAAAATCTTAACAAAATCAAAAACATCTCCCCACCCCAAGCAACCTAGTTTTAAACTGATAAAAGCGAGATATACTGGGTTTCGGCATTGGCAAAGAAATAACTTGTTTCATCAACATCTGTAGCAAGAAGGGCGAGCAAAATAGAATCCACCTTTGTAGTGTCTGGTAGATGTCTTAGAGGAATTTACTATTAAACTGTAGGTAGGAACTTTCATAAATCCCAACCTGCCAGCCTTTTGACCCCCAGATTGACTAAATGGATTCAACTCAGAGAAATGAGGCAATTTCTTCTGAGAATGCAATTTAGGGACGTAGCCAGTACAATCCTGGAGACAAGGGTTATTTACTGCATGCCATTGCACAAACAAATCACAATTGATCAAGGGGGAAAAATTCTATCAACAACTCAAATAAAGATGCAGGAAAGGGTAAGGGTTAGATAGCAAGAGGAAATAATCCATCTTTGCTGGAGAACACTGGGATTTAATAAATGACAAAATAAAAATTCCAGACTGTTGTCCTGTCTTAGCAAACGGTATACCAGGAGATTATATGCAGCACCTGGCTCAGTGGTGGGTTCCACACCCATGGAGCCTTGCTCACTGCTAGCACAGCAGTCTGAGATCGACCTGCAAGGTGGCAGCCTGGCAGGGGGAGGGGCGTCTGCCATTGCTGAGGCTTGAATAGGTAAACAAAGCAGCTGGGGAAGCTCAAACTGGGCGGAGCCCACTGCAGCTCAGCAAGACCTGCTGCCTCTGTTGACTCCAGCTCTGGGGGCAGGGCATAGCTGAACAAAAGGCAGCAGAAACTTCTGCAGGCTTAAATGTCCCTGTCTGACGGCTCTGAAGAGAGCAGTGGTTCTCCCAGCACGGCATTTGAGCTTGGAGAACGAACAGATTGCCTCCTCAAGTGGGTCTCTGACCCCGTGTAGCCTAGCTAGGAGACACCTCCCAGTAAGGGCTGACTGATACCTCATACAGGTGGGTGCCCCTCTGGGATGAAGCTTCCAGAGGAAGGATCAGGCAGCAATATTTGCTGTTCTGCAATATTTGCTGTTCTGCAGCCTCTGCTGCTGATACCCAGGCAAACAGGGTCTGGAGTGGACCTCCAGCAAACTCCAACAGACCTGCAGCTGAGGGACCTGACTGTTAGAAGGAAAACTAACAAACAGAAAGGAATAGCATCAACATCAACAAAAAGGACATCCACACCAAAACCCCTTCTGTAGATCACCAACATCAAAGACCAAAGGTAGATAAAACCACAAAGATGGAGAGAAACCAGAGCAGAAAAGCTGAAAATTCTGAAAACCAGAGCACCTTTTCTCCTCCAGAGGATTCCAGCTCCTTGCTAGCAACGGAACAAAGCTCAATGGATAATGATTTTGATGAGTTGGCAGAGGTAGGCTTCAGAAGGTCAGTAATAACAAACTTGTCCAAGCTAAAGGAGGATGTTCGAACCCATTGCAAGGAAGCTAAAAACCTTGAAAAGAGATTAGACAAATGGCTAACTAGAATAAACAGTGTAGAGAAGACCTTAAATGACCTGATGGAGCTGAAAACCATGGCACGAGAACTGTGAGACGCATGCACAAGCTTCAGTAGCCGATTTGATCAAGTGAAAGAGAGGGCATCAGTGATTGAAGATCAAATTAATGAAATAAAGCAAGAAGAGAAGTTTGGAGAAAAAAGAGTAAAAAGAAATGACCAAAGCCTCCAAGAAATGTGGGACTATGTGAAAAGACAAACCTATGTTTGATTGGTGTACCTGAAAGTGACAGGAAGAATGGAACCAAGTTGGAAAACACTCTTCAGGAGATTATCCAGGAGAACTTCCCCAACCTAGTGAGGCAGGCCAACATTCAAATTCAGGAAATACAGAGAACACCACAAAGATACTCCTTGAGAAGAGCAACCTCAAGACACATAATTGTGAGATTCACCAAGGTTGAAATGAAGGAAAAATTGTTAAGGACAGCCAGGGAGAAAGGTCCGGTTACCCACAAAGGGTAGCCCATCAGACTAACAGCAGATCTCTTGGCAGAAACTCTACAAGCCAGAAAAGAGTGGGGGCCAATATTCAACATTCTTAAAGAGAAGAATTTTCAACCCAGAATTTCATATCCAGCCAAACTAAGCTTCATAAGTGAAGGAGAAATAAAATCCTTTACAGACAAGCAAATGCTGAGGGATTTTGTCACCACGAGGCCTGCCTTACAAGAGCTCCTGAGGGAAGCACTAAACATGGAAAGGACAACTGGTACCAGCCAAGGCAAAAACATGCCAAATTGTAAAGACCATTGATGCTAGGAAGAAACTGTATCAACTAATGGTCAAAATAACCAGCTAGCATCATAAAGACAGGATCAAATTCACATATAACAATATTAACCTTAAATGTAAATGGGCTAAATGCTTCAATTAAAATACACAGACTGGCAAATTGGATAAAGAGTCAAGACCCATTAGTGTACTGTATTCAGGAGACCCATCTCATGTGCAGAGACGCACATAGGCTCAAAATAAAGGGATGGAGGAAGATCTACCAAGCAAATGGAAAACAAAAAAAGGCAGGTGTTGTAATCCTAGTCTCTGATAAAACAGACTTTAAACCAACAAAGATCAGAAGAGACAAAGAAGGCCATTACATAATGGTAAAGGGATTAATTAAACAAGAAGAGCTAACTATGCTAAATATATATGCAACAATACAGGAGCACCCAGATTCATAAAGCAAGTCCTTAGATACCTACAAAAAGACTTAGACTCCTACACAATAATAATGGGAGGCTTTAACACCCTGCTGTCAATATTAGACAGACAAGGAGACAGAAGGTTAACAAGGATATCCAGGACTTGAATTCACCTCTGCACCAACTGGACCTAATAGACATCTACAGAGCTCTCCACCCCAAATCAACAGAATATACATTCTCAGCACCACAGCGCACTTATTTCAAAATTCACCACATAGTTGGAAGTAAAGCACTCC
Source organism: Homo sapiens (assembly GCF_000001405.40). Taxonomy (NCBI): domain Eukaryota; kingdom Metazoa; phylum Chordata; class Mammalia; order Primates; family Hominidae; genus Homo; species Homo sapiens. Next base: position 136,471,454 of record NC_000002.12, read on the forward strand.
TCAGCAAATGTAAAGGAACAGAAATCACAACAAACTGTCTCTCAGACTTCAGTGCAATCAAATTAGAACTCAGGATTAAGAAACTCACTCAAAACCACTCAACTACATGGAAACTGAACAACCTGCTCCTGAATGACTACTGGGTAAATAACAAAATGAAGGCAGAAATAAAGATATTCTTTGAAACCAATGAGAACAAAGACACAACGTACCAGGATCTCTGGGACACATTTAAGGCAGTGTGTGAGGGAAATTTATAGCACTAAATGCCCACAAGAGAAAGCAGGAAAGATTTAAAATTGACACCCTAACATCTCAATTAAAAGAACTAGAGAAGCAAGAGCAAACACATTCAAAAACTAGCAGAAGGCAAGAAATAACTAAGATCAGAGCAGAACTGAAGGAGACAGAGACACAAAAAACCCTTCAAAAAATTGATGAATCCGGGGTCTGGTTTTTTGAAAAGATCAACAAAATTGATAGACCGCTAGCATGACTAATAAAGAAGAAAAGAGAGAAGAATCAAATAGATGCAATAAAAAATGATAAAGGGGAGATCACCACCAATCCCACAGAAATACAAACTACCATCAGAGAATACTATAAGCACCTCTACGCAAATAAACTAGAAAATGTAGAAGAAATGGTACGTTCCTGGACACATACACCCTCCCAAGACTAAACGAGGAAGAAGTGGAATCTCTGAATAGACCAATAACAGGCTCTGAAATTGAGGCAATAATCAACAGCCTACCAACCAAAAAAAGGCCAGGACCGGATGGATTCACAGCCGAATTCTTCCAGAGGTATAAAGAGGAGCTGGTACCATTCCTTCTGAAACTATTCCAATCAATAGGAAAAGAGGGCATCCTCCCTAACACATTTTTGAGGTCAGCCTCATCCTGATACCAAAGCCTGGCAGAGACACATTTTAGGCCAATATCCCTGATGAACATCGATGCAAAAATCCTCAATAAAATACTGGCAAACTGAATCCAGCAGCACATCAAAAAGCTTATCCACCACGATCAAGTTGGCTTCATCCCTGGGATGCAAGGGTAGTTCAACATATGCAAATCAATGAACGTAATCCATCAAATAAACAGAACCAACGACAAAAACCACATGATTATCTCAATAGATGCAGAAAAGGCCTTTGACAAAATTCAACAGCTCTTCATGCTAAAAATCTCAATAAATTGGGTATTGATGGGATGTATCTCAAAATAATAAGAGCTATCTATGGCAAACCCACAGCCAGTATCATACTGAATGGGCAAAAACTGGAAGCATTCCCTTTGAAAACTGGCACAAGACAGGGATGCCCTCTCTCACCACTTCTATTCAACATAGTATTGGAAGTTCTGGCCAGGGCAATCAGGCAAAAGAAAGAAATAAAGGGTATTCAATTAGGAAAAGAGGAAGTCAAATTGTCCCTGTTTGCAGATGACATGATTATATATCTAGAAAACCCCATCATCTCAGCCCAAAATCTCCTTAAGCTGGTAAGCAACTTCAGCAGTCTCAGGATACAAAATCAATGTGCAAAAAATCACAAGCATTCCTATACACCAATAACAGACAAACAGAGAGCCAAATCATGAGTGAACTCCCATTCACAATTGCTACAAAAAGAATAAAATACCTAGGAATCCAACTTACAAGGGATGTGAAGGACCTCTTCAAGGAGAACTACAAACCACTGCTCAATGAAATAAAGGAGGACACAAACAAATAGAAGAACATTCCATGCTCATGGATAGGAAGAATCAATATTGTGAAAATGGCCATACTGCCCATGGTAATTTATAGATTCAATGCCATCCCCATCAAACTACCAATGACTTTCTTCACAGAATTGGAAAAAACTACTTTAAAATTCACATGGAGCCAAAAAAAGAGCCCGCATTGCCAAGACAATCCTAAGCCAAAAGAACAAAGCTGGAGGCATCACACTACCTGACTTCAAACTATACTACAAGGCTACAGTAACCAAAACAGCATGGTACTGGTACCAAAACAAATATGTAGACCAATGGAACAGAACAGAAGACTCAGAAATAACACCACACATCTACAACCATCTGATCTTTGACAAACCTGACAAAAAGAAGAAATGAGGAAAGGATTCCCTGTTTAATAAATGGTGCTGGGAAAACTAGCTAGCCATATGTAGAAAGCTGAAACTGGATCCCTTCCTTACACCTTACACAAAAATTAATTCAAGATGGATTAAGGACTTAAACCTAAAACCATCAAAACCCTAGAAGAAAACCTAGGCAATACCATTCAGGACACAGGCATGGGCACGGATTTCATGACTAAAACACCAAAAGCAATGGCAACAAAAGCCAAAATAGACAAATGGGATCTAATTAAACTAAAGAGCTTCTGCACAGCAAAAGAAACTACCATCAGAGTGAACAGGCAACCTACAGAACGGGAGAAAAATTTTGCAATCCATCTATCTGACAAATGGCTAATATCCAGAATCTACAAAGAACTTAAACAAATTTACAAGACAAAAAAACCCAATCAAAAAGTGGGCAAAGGATGTGAACAGATATTTCTGAAAAGAAGACATTTATGCAGGCAACAGACATATGAAAAAATGCTCATCACTGGCCATCAGAGAAATGCAAATCAAAACCACAACGAGATACCATCTGACACCAGTTAGAATGGCGATCATTAAACAGTCAGGAAACAACAGATGCTGAAGAGGATGTGGAGAAATAGGAATGCTTTTACACTGTTGGTGGGAGTGTAAACTAGTTCAACCATTGTGGAAGACAGTGTGGTGATTCCTCAAGGATCTAGAACTAGAAATACCATTTGACCCAGTGATCCCATTACTGGGTATACACCCAAAGGATTATAAATCATTATACTATAAAGACACATGCACACGTATGTTTTTTGTGGCACTATTCACAATAGCAAAGACTTGGGACCAACCCATATATCCATCAATGATAGACTGGACTAAGAAAATGTGGCACATATACACCATGGAATACTATGCAGCTATAAAAAAGAATGAGTTGATGTCCTTTGCAGGGACATGGATGGAGCTGGAAACCATCATTCTGAGCAAACTATCAGAAGCACAGAAAACCAAACACCGCATGTTCTCACTCATAGGTGGGATCTGAACAATGAGAACACTTGGACACAGGTCGGGGAGTATCACACACTGGGGCTTGTTGTGGGGTGGGGGGCTGGAGGAGGGATAGCATTAGGAGAAATACCTAATGTAATGATGAGTTAACGGGTGCAGCAAACCAACATGGCACATGTATACCTATGTAACAAACCTGCACGTTGTGCACATGTACCCTAGAACTTAAAGTATAATAAAAAAAAAAATTCCAGACTGTTGTCATATAGGTGGCGTAGGGTCAGCAGTGATGTATCCCTAGAGCTTTTTAAGACAAGCTAGAAAAAGCAACCATACATTGGTGAGACGAGATATCTTCAGACACATCTTAAAAAAACAAAGCCCCAAATCAGAAGAGTGGGGTATGGGTGTAGCCTGAAAGGTGGGTTAATATGGACAAAGACTGCTCTCAAGAGAGAGACTATTGCCATGGGTTTAGAGAGAGGGTATGCAAGGATTTAGAATTTGTTGGTTTACACATGCTGTGCAAATAGAGACAGAACATCTAGGGAATTTTAGCTATCCAGGCTTTTTTGAAAAGTGTGCTCTGTGCTCTGTTTTGGGAAAGGCTTTATGAGGCTTCACCATGACCTTGGCTGCCTGCAGTGGCTGGTGCCTGAGACATTTATGTCTGGGAAGGCCTTATTCATCTCACCCTGTCAATTAACCAACCAGGATTTACTAATTATTTCCTATGTATTATTACTCACGATTATAGCATTCCCTCCCTCCAACTGAAGACTTTCAACTTGACTGCTGTTCTCAGTGTAAACTTTAAGACATTAAGCATAATTTTTTTGAATGTTTAGATTTTTTAGTGTAGTGTCTTCGAAAAGCACTTCAAGAAGTATTCCCACACAAACATTTTTACCTCCATAAAACCAATTTTTAAATGATTCATTTGTTTATTATTTTACAAACATATGTCAAGTAGCTGTTGAGTAGTCAGACTATATTAGAGAATAGGGATATAGAGATAAAAGACAGAGGAGGTAATGATCCAGTATGGGAGGTGGACATTTACAGTGGAGTTTGAGAAATGTTCTGATAGAATAGAGCAGAGGGTGCAGAGGGGAGGGAAATGTAGCTGAAATTCCTCTGGGAAGGGTGTTTTCAGAAAAGGTGATCTCTCAGCTAGGTTTAGAGGATCAAGTAGGAGTTAGGTGCAGATGGGATGGAAGGATATATAGAGGGAACCACTCACATTAATTGAATCAGTAATCACTGAACATCTGGTGTATACTAGCCAGTCTTCCAAGTACTGGACATACAGTATCTGCCTTCATGAAGTTTATGTTCTAGTTAAAGGGTGAAGATGGGTAGACAACAATGAGTATCTAAATAAATAAATGATAAAATTTAGTTAAAAGTGTGATGGTTTTTTAAAATTTGTATATATATTTTATATATTTAGGGGTACAAGGGTAGGTTTCTTGTATGCATATATTGCATAGTAGTGAAGTCTGGGCTTTTAGTGTACCTACCACCCAAATAGTGAACACTATATCCAATAGATAATTTTTCAACTCTCACTCCATTCCCACCCTCCCACATTTTGTAGCCTCCAATGTCTATGATTCTATTCTGTATGTCCAGGTGTACCTATTGTTTAGCTCCCACTTACAAATGAGAACATGTAGTATTTGACTTTCTGTTCCTGAGTTAATTTACTGAAGATAATGGCCTCCAGTTCCATCCATGTTGCTGTAAAAGATGTGTAAAAGATGTGATTTTATCTTTTTTTATGGCTCAGTAGCATTTGTGGTATATATATATATACACACACACTATATATATATATATATAGTATAATGATATGTATATACTGTATATACTGTAATATGTAGTGATATATATACATATATACTATGTGTGTATATGCGCATATATACTGTGTGTATATGCGCATATATACTGTGTGTATATGCGCATATATACTATGTGTATATATATCACTATATTTACAGTATATACATATATATTTCACTTTTTAAAAGATTTATGTTATAGTGATATATATATAGTAGTTTATATAGTGATGGTGTATGTATGTATATGTATACAAGTTATAATTTGACAAGAATAATTTGATCTCTTCTTTTCCAATTTGGATGCCTTTTATTTTTTTCCCTTGCTTGATTGCTGTGGTGAGGACTTCCATACTACGTGAAATAAGAGTGTTTAAAGTGGGCATTTTTGTCTTATTCCAGTTTTTGGAGTAACTGTTGTCAACTTTTTCCCATTAAGTATGACGTTGACTGTTGGTTTGTCATATATGGCCTTTATTATGTTGAGGTATATCCCTTCTATGCCTAGATTGTTGAGAATTTTTATTGTGAAGAGATACTGAATTTTATCAAATACTTTTTCTGCATCTATTGGGATTATCTTATGGTTTTTGTCCTTAATTCTGTTCATGTGATGTATTGTGTTTACTGATTTGCATATGTTGAGTCATCCTTGCATCCTCAGGATAATTCTACCTGATTATGGTGTATTATCTTTTTGATGTGCTGTTGGATTCAATTTGCTAGTATTTTTTTGAGTATTTTATGTGTATGTTCATCAGAGATATTAGTCTGTTGTGTGTGTGTGTGTGTGTGTGTGTGTGTGTGTCCTTGTCTGGTTTTGGCATCAGGGTGATATTGGTCTCATAGAATAAGTTAGGGGGAATTCCCTCCTTCTTGATTTTTTTTGAAATAGTTTCAGGAGGATTGGTATTAGTTCTTTGTATATTTGGTAGAATTTGGCTGTGAATCTGTCTGGTCCAGAGCCTTTTTTTTTTCTTTAAATTGGAAGATTTTTTATTGCTGATACAATCACTACTCATGTGTTCCATGTGTGGATGAAAAGAATGTATACCCTGCAGTTATTGTGTAGAATGTTCTGTAAATGTCTGTTAAGTCCATTTGGTCTAAAAGTCCAATTTAAGTCCAATGTTTCTTTGTTCATTTTCTGTGTCAATGATCTGTCTAGTGTTGTGAGTGGAATGTTAACCCCTCATCACACACTATTATTACACAGCTGTCTATCTTCTTTTTTTAGGTCTAGTAATATTTATTTTGTGTGCTCCAATTTGGGTGCTCCAATGTTGGGTGCATATATATTTAGGTTTTGTTACATCCTTTTATTGAATTGCATCCTTTATCATTATATAATGACCTTGTTTGTCTTTTTTTTTCTTTTTTTAATTAAAAGTCTGTCTTACCTCATATAGGTATCTGACTTTGATTTAAAGTTTGTCTTATCTGCTCACTTTTGGTTTCTGTCCATGTGAAGTATCTTTCTCCATTCCTTTACTTTCAGTCTATACATGTCTTTAAGGGTAAGTTGAATTTCTTGTATGCAACATATAGTTGGATCATGTTTTTTAATCCATTCTGCCCATCTGTATATTTTAAGTGGAGCACTTAATCTATTTATACTCAAGGTTAATATTGATATGTAAAGCTTTGTTCCTGTCATCATATTGATTTTTTTCAAGTTGCTTTATAAATTGTTTCTTTCTTTTTCAGTGTCTTTTTGTTTTTGTGGTTTGATGAAATTCTGTGTTGTTGCCATTGGTTTCCTTCCTCTTTCCCCTTTGTGTCATTGTTTTATATAAACTGTGAGTTTTATAATTCCGGGTTTTCATGAGGGTGAATGTCAACTTTTTGTTTCCATGTTTAAGACTGCTTTGAGCATTTCCTCTAGGAACAGTCTAATGGTGACTAATTCCCTTAGCATTTGCTTGTCTGGGAAGAACTTTATTTCTCCTTTGTTTATGAAGCTTATTCTGACAAGCTACAAAATTTTTTGCTAACAGTTTTTTCTTTCAGCACTTTGAAAATTCCACCTCATTCTCTACTTGCTTGTAAGATTTCTGCTGAAAAGTTCACTGTTAGTCTGATGGGGTTTCCTTTGTAGGTGACTAGACACTTTTCTCTTGCTAATTTTAAAATTCTTCCTTTCACTTTGACTTTAGACATTCTGAATATTCTCTCTTCCCCCTCAGAAATACTAGTAATTGTATGTTCAGTTACTTTATGTAGTCTCAAACATTTCACAGGTTTTTAAAATTCTTTTCAGTTCTTTTGCTTTTATTTTTGTCTGACTGGATTATTTCAAAATACCTCTCTTCAAGTTCTGAGATCCTTTCTCCTGCTTGGCCTTGTCTGTTATTGAAGTTTATCAATGTATTTTGCATTTCCTTCAATGAATTTTTTACTTCCAGAATTTCCTCTTGGTGTCTTTAAAAACATGTCTTATCTCCTAGATACATTTCTCATACATATGCTGGATTTATTTTCTGATTTCTTCATATTTGTTTTGAGATTTCTCTTGAATCTCATTAAGCTTCATTAAAATCAATATTTTGAGTTTTTTATTTGGCATGCAAGGAATTCTTTTTGATCGAGGTCTACTGCTGGAAAATTGTGGTCCTTTGGTGGTGTCATATTTCCCTGCTTTTTCATGTTTCTTGTGTCTTTCTGTTGATTTCTGCACATCTGATGTAGCACTTGCTTATTGCAATTTTTTGAAATTGCTTTTGTATGGGTGAATTTTTTCCTAATTAAGTATATGTGTTGTTGATTAAGATATTTTGTCTTTGATTTTGAGTGTCTGAGGCAATGTGATCTTTGTATTACCTCTTTGACATTACCCTCGTCAGTGGTCTCTGTGATTTTCTCAGTGACTTAGGGTATACTTGTTAGTTGAGGTTGTGATGAAGTTTACCTGGGGACTTAGACACCAACTGAGCCAGTCTTTGGGCCCCAGTAGTGGCAGAAGTTGGGTGGGTGTGCTTGTGTCTAGACCCCACAGCAGCTGATATTGGCTTGGTATTAGTAGGTCCTGGAGCACTGATTCTTGAGCAGCTCCAGGTGGTTTGCTTAGAAGGTAGTGGTAGGAGAGATGGGCCTAGTGTGGGGGTGCATCCTCAGGTCCCTGGGCAGCTAGTATTGTGTGGGTAATGGCAGTAGTGGTAGTGGAGCAACCCAATGGGACCCAAGCACACTGTGTTGATGTTACTGGAAGTTGTGATGGATTGGGTGGTATAATCTCCAATCCCATAGCTACCCATAGCAGGGTGGTTGGTATTGTCCTAAGTGTGCTTAGGAGCATTGGTTGTCCCCTGTTCCTCCACAAGCTGGGTGGTGGCTGCAGTCACATCATCTCAAAGTTGGCCTGAATGTGGGGCATAGCCCAGTGTTAAACTCTCAAAATGGTGCCAGCTGTGGGCTTGTGGTCAGAGAGGGCGGGGTCCCTCTCAGGCGAGCAGCATGGGCAAGAAGCTGTGGGGAGTGCTGTCAGCATGAGTGTCAGTTTCACAGCAGCCCACAACAGGGCATTGGGTATTGTCCTAGGTATGCATAGGAGAGCCTGGCTTCCCTGTCTCTCCTCTACAGGGAGGCAGCCACAACCATGTCAGGTCAAACTTGGCCCACAGGTAGGATGTAACCCAGCATTACACTCACAAATGGTGCATGGGGCCTGTGACCAGGGAGGATGTGACTCCTCCTAGGCAGGCAGCATAGCATCGGCCAGAAGCTGTGGGGACTGTGGTTCATTTGTGACTCAATATCAACAGCAACCCATTGCAGAGCCATGGATATTGTCCTAGATGTGTATAGAATAGCCTGGTTTCCCTGTTGTTCCTTGGGTGGGTGGCAGCTGCATCCATGTCAGATCAATCTCAGTCTGAAGGTGTGTTGCAGCCCAATGTTAAACTGTCAAAATGGCATCTTGGTCCTGGGACCAGAGAGGGCAAGGCACCTCTCAGGGAAGTAGTGTGGACAGGAAACTGTGAGGAGTGCAGCCTGTTCACATCTCAGTCTAAACAGCAGCCTATTGCAGAGTAATGGGTCTCACCTTAGATATGATATGCATAGGATAGCCTGGTTTCCCTGTTTCTCCTTGGCTGGGTGGTTGCTGCAGCTGTGTTAGCCCAACCTCGGGCTGAGGGTAGGACACAGCCCAGTGTTAAACTCAGAAAATGGTGCCCTGGGCCTAGAAACAGAGAAGGTGGGGTTCCTTCCAGGCAAGCAGTGTGGGTAAGAAGCTATGGGGAGTATGGTCTGCTCCTGTCTCATTCTCAACATCAGCCCGCAGAAGGGTGGCAGGGACCCTCCCAGGGGCATGTGGGAGGGTCTTGTCTCCCCTCCCCATCCTTGGGGCAGCACAGTGGCAGCAGCCATGTCTGTAGATCCCCAGTATCAAGGCTCTCAAAATGGCTGCCAGCTGAGCCTTCTCCAGGCTCAGATGCCTGTGGGATTTTGTCTGGGTTCCCATTCTGGAGCAACATCTCTGTGCAAACTTCAGGCAGCTCCGTATGTCAGGCCCAAAGCCTAATGGGTTGAAGGTTTCTTTGGTAGCCAAGATTGTAAAAGCCCATTTTGGAACCCTGGGGGTTTCTCTTTTACTGTTTTCCTGCATCCAGAAGCCTTCCTTGGTTTTCAGTTGGTTCCTGGCTGGGCGAGCTGCCTTGAACCCTCTTACTTACTTCTGTGCTTTCCATCTCTTCTCTGGTGAATCCCAACATTCTCTCCTACATGATCTGTTCAAAATCTGAGTTTCTGCTTACTATTCTAGCTCTTCTCTATGGAGAAGGCATACACTACCTTCATCTAGTCAGCCCTCTTGATCCGTCTCTCCTGTAATGATTAATTTTATGTGTCAGTTTGGGCTAAGGGTGCCCATGTAGCTGGTAATTATTTCTAGGTGTGTCTGAGAAGGTGTTTCTGGAATAGTCTATGATTTAAATGGATAGACAGAGTAAAGCAGATGGCTCTTACCAATGTGGATGGGCATCATCCAACTACTGAGCACCCTGATGGAACAAAAAGTGGAAGAAGAACAAGTTGTCTCCTTCTCTCCTTGTGCTGGGACACTTATCTTCTCCTGATCTCAGGCATCAGAGATCTTTATTCTTAGGCCTTTGGACTCTGGGGGCTTACACCAGTGGTGCCCCTGGTTCTCACGCTTTGGGCTTAGACTGAATGACACCACCAGCTTTCCTGGTTCTCCAACTTGCAGATGGCAGAGCGCGGGACATCTTGGCCTCCATAATAGTGTAAGCCAATTCCCATAACAAACCCTCAAATATATGTATCTCATATTTGTTCGGTTTCCCTGGAAAACCCCAATGAATACCAAGGTACTAGGAAGAAAATGAAATGTGATACAGGACAGAAAATGACTAGGAGAAGTGGCAGGGAGGGAGCTGGCACTTTAGCTAGAAAGGATGGGAAAAGTTCCTCGGAGATGACCAAAGGAAGTAAAGTAGGCTTGCAGGAGAAGTATTCTAGGCAAGTGAGCCAAAATTGCATGTTTGGAAGGGGCAGGGAGAAAGACAGTGGAGGGGACTGGGGATACAGGGGAGGGGAGACTAGTAGATGAGGTCAGAGAGGGAGCTCTGATACTGGCTGGCTTTGTGGGTCATGGTGAGAGCTAGGATTTTTACTCTAAAGTCAATGGGAAACTTTGGAAGTTTTAGTCAGAGGAGTGGTAAGATCAGATTCATCCTTTAAAAAGATCACTCTGGTTGGCACATGGAAAAAAAGGATGTTGGGAGTAAGAATGGAAGCAGAGTAAGTAAGTAAGTTGGCAGGCCATGCTGGGATCCAGGCCAGATATGATGATGGCTTGGACCAGAATTTGCGCACTGGAGGAGGAGAGACGTAGTCAAAATTCAGGATGTATGTTGGAGGCAGATTCATTTTGTATAGGGAGTAAATAAAGGCAGTGATCAAAGATGAACCCCCTGGGTGTTTGGCAAAAGTAAAAAGACAGGCAAAAGCAGAAAGTAATAGGGACCAGCAAAGAGTTGATTTAGGGTACTGAATACAACATTAACTTTGGAATCAGAAAACCTGTTTAATTCCTATGTCACTTCCCAGCTGTATGACCCTTGGACAAGGGACTTACCTTCTCTGGGTGCTGGTGTCTTCAGGGTGACAGTATTTATGTCTTCCCTAGATTGTTGTGAGGGTTCAATAAGCTAATATATGTCAACTATAATAGTATCTGACATGTAGTAAGTACCTAATAAAAGGTAGCTCTTATTACTACAGGTTCAAAACTATGCTGTGTTTTGTCCTCACAAAAGGCTTGTACATTAAAATATAAATATAAACGCATCCAGGTTCTTCTGTCTTCACATGTATAAGTGTTTTGGTTAGAGCTCAATGAAGGAGGAATCAGCTTTCTAGGACTGCTGATTATTTATTATAAACATTCTTTTTGTTTGTGCAGTTGAATATTTCCCCTTTCTGCTCTTCTTAATCTTGCCAACATTATTTCTTTGATTGATAATGATTGGTTTCATCAGGAATTAAAATACTTATTGTGCATTGAACACTCATAGGTGTATTCCTTTTATCAGCCGGGAATAGGAGACCCGTGCTGAGTACATCCTAGCACTCCTGATGTTAAGGCTAATTTACAAAGGAAAAATAGTCACCTTTTCTCTTTTCACTACTGGTTAAGAAGCAGCTTATGAAGGCAGTGCCATGAGGAAGGATGAGAGGATTAAGTGATTAATAACTGAATGGGAGGGGCCTGCTATTGGGCTGCTGGCAGGCTCTGAAAATGTTGCTCTCCAGATAGCAGAAGCCAAGCACTGAGTGCTTACTGTGCCTATGCAGCATGTAAAGGGATGGGCACGAGGTTGAAGAGATTGACTATAGACTTGAAGGAGTTTGGTAGAGCTGGAGTCAGGCAGGCATGGCATAGGGCAGAGACTGACATACAAAGGGCAGAACACAAGGGGGATTATAATGAGGGCTTACATATTGGGGCAACAAAAGCTACGGGGGCACAGAAGAGACAGCAATTCATTTCTACCTGTTCATCTTAGAAGCTTCTTGAAGGAGGTGGCATTTGAGCAAGACATACAGGCCAGTGGCACTTTGAGCTGTGGATCTGGTCTGAGCACGGACATGAAATGTTTTTTATTCTTCTTTCAGCCCTCAACATGGTACCTGACACACAGTGAGCTTTCAGAAAACACGAACTGACTAAATTACTCTGAAAGGTGTGTATATGGAACCATGGGTAGTCAGGCGGGTCTGGGATGTGGTGGGAAGGAATATTTTGCTGTCCTTAACTCTGTATTTTGATTTCACCTCCTTGTGTGTTTTTTTTTCATTGTTGTAAAATATATATAACATAAAATCTGTGCTTTTAGGCATTTTAAAGTGTACAATTCCATACCATTAATTAAATTCACAGTGTTGTGCAACCATCAGCACTGTTTCAGAAACTTTTTTTATTACCCTAAACCAAAACTCGATAACTGTGAAGCAATGACTCTGCATTCTCCCCTGCCTCTTAGCCTCTGGCGACCTCTAATCTACTTTCTGTGGCTCTGAATTTGGCTATTCTAGGTATTTCATATAAGTGAAGTCATACTATATTTTCTTCACCACCTCCTCTTTTTATTATTAACCTGGAAATATCAGATAGTTTTGAGGCATTTTCTGCTTTAGCATGGCTTCAGGCTTTATGCAGGTCATATTGAGTGTACTGTCTTGTGACTATTTGATCTCACAAAGTAAAAATCTCTTACAAAATGTTCAGCCTCACTTCTGGCATAGTCATGGGTGTGCTCATCTTTCTCTCTCTAGACTGCGAGCTCTGGGCAGCCAGGCAGGTGCTTCACTTTCCTTTTTTTTTTGGATGTTACATATCTCTCTTGATGATGACAGTGTAAATAAATATAAAATAATACAAATTAACTGAATTCGATACACAAGGTATGATCAAAGAGAAGATAAAAGTGATGGAGAGTCATGTGTGTTTATACTAGAATGATTTATAATCCTCTGGGTATATACCCAGTAATGGGATGGCTGGGCCAAATGGTATTTCTGGTTCTAGATCTTTGAGGAATCACCACACTGTCTTCCACAATGGTTGAACTAATTTATACTCCCACCAACAGTGTAAAAGGGTTCCCATTTCTCCACAGCCTCACCAGGATGTATTGTTTCCTGACTTTTTAATAATCATCATTCTGACTAGCGTGAGATGGTATCTCATTGTGGTTTTGTTTGCATTTCTCTGATGATCAGTGATGATGAGCTTTTTTTTTTAATATGTTTGTTGTCTGCATAAATATCTTTTTTTGAGAAGTGTCTGTTCACATCCCTCACCCACTTTTTGATGGGGTTGTTTGTTTTTTTCTTGTAAATTTGTTTAAGTTCCTTGTAGATTCTGGATATTAGAACTTTGTCAGATGAGTAGATTGCAAAAATTTTCTCCCATTCTGTAGGTTGCCTGTTTACTCTGATGCTAGTTTCTTTTGCTGAGCAGAAGCTCCTTTTTTTATTGCAGCACTAGTCACAACAGGAAAGACTGGGAATCAACCCAAATGCCCATCAACGATAGACTGGATTAAAAAAACGTAGCACGTATACACTATGGAATACTATGCAGCCATAAAAAGAATGAGATCATGTCCTTTGAAGGGACATAGATGAAGCTGAAAGCCATCATTCTCAGCAAACTAACACAGGAACAGAAAACCAAACACCACATGCTCTCACTCGTAAGTGGGAGCTGAACAACGGGAACACATGGACACAGGGAGGGGAACAACACACACCAGGGCCTGTTGAGGGGTGGGGGGCAAAGGGAGGGAAAGCACTAGGACAAACACCCAATGTATGCAGGGCCTAAAACCTAGATGACAGGTTGATAGGTACAGCAAACCACTATGGCACATGCACACCTATGCAACAAACCTGCACATTCTGCACATGTATCCCAGAATCAAAAGTAAAATTAAAAAAAAATTGAAAGGTTAGAGGTCAAAAAAAAAAAAATTCTTCCCTTTGGGAAGGATTTTTAGCTCCCAAATTACAAAATGAACTACCAAAGATTATGCATTTATTTTAGCATTATAAATATGTTACTAGTTTGACCTCCATTGCAGTTCTAAGGTAAGCTAACTGTTTTAATTACAATAGTGATTTTGTAGTACATTTTAATAAAACTGGAGTGTTTCATAAATTTCCCAATTATGACATCATTTTAAGGCACTATTTAATTGACACTTTATTAAATTGGAGGATTACACAATTAGAGCTCATTTTTTGTTGATTCTGAAAATTTATTTTTAAATAAATATTTTTATTTTTGAATCGGCATTCATTTTATTACAAAGACTAACATATTTTTGCATGTAAGATAAACTTTACTTTCTCTATTTCCCACTGAAATATCCTATTATTCCAATTTTATTTAATAAATGGTAATTTTTTCAGTACTATTATATACCAAGTTCTATATACCAGCGTATATATAATTTGTAGGCTCTTGATTCTTTTTTTTTTTTTTTTTTTTTTTTTTTTTTTTTTTTTTTTACTTTAAGTTCTAGGGTACATGTGCACAACGTGGAGGTTTGCCACACAGGTATACATGTGCCATGCTGGCCTGCTGCACCCAACAACTCTTCATTTACATTAGGTATTTCTCCCAATGCTATCACTCCCCCAGGCCCCCATCCCCCGACAGGCCCCCCTGCATGATGCTCCCCGCCCTGTGTCCATGTGCCCCCGCCGTTCAACTCCCACCCATGATTGAGAACATGTGGCGTTTGGTTCAGGGAACACACAGGTCTGGGAAGTCCCATGCACTCAGTCATGTTTGCTGAATAAAAGCATGAGTCAATGCAGGAAAAAAAAGAGGAAAAAACTTTTTGCAAGAGAATGTTTAACAGTGGGGAATGAGAAAGACTGGTATTGAGACCAAAGATATTTAAGAGTTTTAAGAAAAAAAGAGGAAGCACAAAAGAACATATCTAGAGCCCAGAACGACACAAAACTCATCCAAGCAGTGAGATAACAAGGCAGTAAGAAAAGCCCTTAGCAGGCCGGGTGCGGTGGCTCACGCCCGTAATCCCAGCACGCTGGGAGGCCAAGGCCGGCGGATCACGAGGTCAGGAGATCGAGACCATCCTGGCTAACACGGCGAAACCCCGTCTCTACTAAAAATACAAAAAAAAAAAAATTAGCCGGACGTGGTGGCGGGTGCCTGTAGTCCCAGCTACTCTGGAGGCTGAGGCAGGAGAATGGCTTGAACCCAGGAGGCGGAGCTTGCAGTGAGCCTAGATAGCGCCATTGCACTCCAGCCTGGGCGACAGAGCGAGACTCCATCTCAAAAAAAAAAAAAAACCTTTAGCAATATCTTACAAGGCAGGACATTGACAGGTGAGGTCAGTGAGGATAAACGTTAATGGTGTGATTGATTGGAGTAACAGCTACCTTTCAATAGGTCTGCTACTGAACCTTATATAGGGTATCCGTTTTCTTTGTGGCAGTCTTGTGATGTGCCATTAATCCACCTCTCAAGTGACGAAGTTGAATTTTAGAGATACTCAGTTACCCGCTCTAACTCATAAACTCTAGTAAGTAGCTGAGTTGGGATTAGAATCAAAGTCTGTCTGGCTCCAAGGCCCAGGTTTTTTTCCGCTATGAGAAAAGCTGTCTCTCACATTTGGAGTGTGGACTAGGGGAGAGACTGAGAAAATGACGATCCAAGAATGAGATTAGTAAAGCATCATAGATGAGTTTCTTGAAGACATTGGTCCAAAGTGCACCAAAGGGCCCCAAGAAATATTGGATACCACAGTGAAGGAGATTAGGGAAAATAAAACAACAAAAAGTCTTATTCTGCTCACAGCAAAGCCAGAAGAAAAATGATCACGAGTGCAATGCTAGTATAAACACTGGAAGGGTGAGGACTTGTAATAGCACCCACCCCTGCATGTTCCTTGTCATCATGTAGTGCAGAAGCAACACATATTATTAAAAATAGTTCTGAAGCCCATGGTAGAGCAGCCACTTCTCTTCCTTTTAGCTCACCCAGGCTAACACAATAGCAAAAGAAAACTCGTCAATTTTTTACAAAATGCACAGCAGGCATTTACCCTCAGATGCTTTAAAAAACAGAGATATTTGTACTTACAGGCTATTAGTTGCTACAGAGTAATGTCTGCTAGGGCTGTTTTTTCCATCAGGGGAATCAAATTTCTTGTTGTGCTATTAGCTTCCCACTATATCATTTTTAAAGGCGAGTCATAAAATGTTTTTTCTCTACTGTGGCAGCAAGGGGGAAACTTTATTAGGGAAAAAGTAATGCAGTTAGAAAGAGTCCTGTAAACTCAAAATCTGTTTAGGGCACTTAATTCTGGGCTTTACAGAGCAACTGCATCTTTATTTGCAAATAAACATGCAGCTCTTCAATGCACATGTCAGGCAGAAAGAATGTTCATGTGGGTGTTTGGGCTGTGCCGATTTCATGGCACGGTGGAAAATTTGGGGATGAGAAGGGTAGGTTGGTAGGATCAATCAAATAAGGACTTCTGTTTGTTGCTCATTTTGTGGCTGGAGTAGGTGTGGAAGGTCAGTGTGTCTGAGAATGAAAGTGGCTTGATGTTTCCTTCTTTCCTATCCCCTGACCTCATTTCCAAAGAGTAACAACTAGTCTGGTTGTTACTCATTGTTACTCAACTGATTAGTGACTGATTTTGACTTGTTATTTGCCCCACCATGAAAACAACCACAAAAATACCCTAAGCATTATAAAAATAATATACATTCATCACAGAAAACTTGGAAAATATAGAAAAGCAGAGAGAAAAAAGAGAACAAGTAATCATCATCTTTTTCTTACCACTCAGGAAAAAGTAACTGGATTAAGTTTATCTGTTGATTTTTTTTGCCGATTAAAAACATAGTTATGATCATATTCTATATACAAAATTACATATACTGAGTTAAACATCTATTTTTGTTCTTGTGATCCATGTGCTTTGCAGAAAACTTGAAAAATGTAAAAGTATAAAGAAAAAATAATTACATAGAATGTCACCATCCGGAGATAAATGCTGTTGTTCTATTTTAATGTATCATCATATAGTTTTTTCTATGCATTTAAAAATGTATTTGTTTCAAAGTTTAAAATATAGTAAATGCAGGGACATTTGTAACTGTGAGGTGGAGGATGGGATAGGGTTTGGAGGAGATGATATTTTCCATAGACTAGTTTTTATTTGGTTTTCACCAATTAAAAAAAGACAACTCTGAGACTTAGGCCATTCAATATGAATTTTAAAGTTGCAGAAAATCATTACTTGAGCTCTTTGGCAATGAAAATGCTTATTATATTGCTCTATGTAGCTCTACTTTTATGGAAGAAAAAAGAAAAATATTTTAGTGATTCTCCCAGCACAGCATCTTAACCATGTAAAGAGTTTAGCTATTATTAGAGCAAGTGCCGGAATAGAGTAATATAGGTCATTTTAAGTGGCACTCAAACATGGCAAAAGCTTTTATTTGAACTCTGGGATAGAGAACAGAATTCAAGAATGGATGTTTTCTGGAATTGATAAGGGAGAAAAAGCAGCCAAGAGTAGCACTGTTGGGCCAAGCTTCCCCTGGGATGTGAAATCCATCTGAGGACATGGAATCCAACAGACATTAAGTTTGTGGCCCAAACAGAGTAAGGGAAGTGATTTTATCCCATAACTGACACATTTTTGAGCTCTTAAATGTGATTCTTCTTTTGGTTCCTAGAGTACATTGTTAGTGACTTC
Organism: Homo sapiens; assembly: GCF_000001405.40. Lineage (NCBI taxonomy): Eukaryota > Metazoa > Chordata > Mammalia > Primates > Hominidae > Homo > Homo sapiens. The sequence goes on from NC_000002.12 coordinate 136,489,192, forward strand.
TTTTTCCACAATGGAATGTTTGGTAGCCTGTTGCAACTTTGCCTTGGGAAACAAGTTTGCTGGGTATACAATTCTTGGCCTAAAACCTCCTCCTTTGAAATAGTAATTGTAAAATAGTTTTAAAAACTAAAATTCTAATATTAATGTTAATAGTAAAACAACTAAGTTTAAGGTTTATTTGCTATTTTTTACTTTTAGAATATATACCCCTAAGAAGGTACAGTCATAGTTTTGTATTCAAAGAAATTTTAAATACTGATTTTCTCTGTGTGATTACCAATTTTATATGCAATTAGACTCATTTGTTTCCAATTGTGTGTGATTTTAAGGCCTATTTTTACATAAAATCTTTTAAATTATTTACTCCTTTTTCATATAAGGTAAACATTACCTCTATTTGACAGATGAGAAGAAAGAGAGGTTGAGTGATTTTACATAGGCTTGTGAGCACTAGCATCAGGACCAGTGCTCATGGCATCTACTGCTGAGAAGGTGAGTATTCCATTCCATTATCTCTCTCTGAAATCCACCTAGGGGATGGTAGATGGTTTTTATCTGCTGGCATCCAGTGCTGTTTCTTTGGCAAGGAAACAAGACCTCATATTTTCTATGGAAAATTTATGCTTATTTTTAATTTAATTTTTAAATATGTAAAATATATATATTATACATGGTTCAAAAATCAAAATTATATACAAAAATATATTTTAGAGAAGTTTCTATTCCTTTCTTTTCCACCTTATAATCCTTATAATCACCACTCTCTGTAGACAACCATTAGTCAATATTTATGTTTCTTTAAAAAATAAGCAAAATTGTGTGTGTGTCTTTGTATACTCATTCCCCCATTTTTCTTACAAAAACATGCTGAGCTCTAATAACATTTTATACTTTGATTTTTTTTTGCTTAACAATGCATTATAGAATATATATTACTCCATATTTATTCATAGAGATCTTGATTCTGCTATATGGTTACATGGTTCCCTATGGTGTATCATAGGCTACTTAACAGCCCTCTATGGAGAGACATTTGGGTTTCCAGACTTTTGCTTTGACAAATGCCACAGCCTTAAGTAACCTTTTACGTAGGTAGTTATTTTTAGGCTCTTTGTCATTGTATTTTTGTTCATGTGGTCTCTGTCCTGTGGAGAAGCCCATGGTCAGATGTTCTCATTCAAGTTCTACTTGCTTTATAGTATAAGTAAATTCATTTTGGATACATGGTGTTAGGTTGATGCAAGTTTAGACGTCAGTTGTCATAAGTACAAGCTGTTCTTTCCTTTCGTATATTCTTGAAAGTTTGTACAAGGGTTGAATGTGGAAAGCCAGACAATAGACTTATTTGATATAAAAGAGGTAGGAGTTCCATTCCTAGAAAGCTAAAAAGGTGATGAAACCACTAATTACACCTCCGTTTTTTAAACACAATCATTTATGATTTATTGCCAACATTTGGTACATGTTCTTTAATTGTGTTCTGTTCCTTCACAATTAATTGAACATGCAATTGACCTGTCTGAGTCCAGTGAGAATCTGATTAAGGTGAAAGATTCTCTGTCTTCAGGCTGCTTAAGTGATTTTCATCTTTGTCTCAATTGTTAAGTTTATATGACCTATACTTCTTATCCCTGGTATCAGCACTTTCATTTTTCTGTTTTTGACTCATTTTTATAAAACAATTTGACAATACAATAAACATAAAAACAATTGCATAAACATTTCTAGACTGAAGTAAACAATGGAACCGCAGGTAACACCACTATGTGATAGCTTGAATTGATTATTTCTAGGCAGTTGCATGACAATCAGAATTTAGCATACACAGAGAGGTTTGGAGTGATAATATGTAGTGTTTGGAATGTACAGACTGTTTGGAAGGCAAATTAATGAAAGCTGAGCAGCCTCTGTATTTTGTGAGAAGTTGGGAGAGTTTGCATGGGCAGCTGCTATGTCAATGCCATTTAAAATTGAACAATAAAAATGCTGAGAAAAATGTGTAGGCAGCCTTCAAATTATGACCTAACAGGAACACAAATTGCATGACAAAGTTGGTTATTTGATAGACAGTTCTAATTCTTGCCCTCACTTCTATTTTACCCTTTCCGTCCATCCCCACCTACCCCCAAGTTTTACTTGAATCCTGGGAGGTCTCTGAAAAGAGGAATACTGAGGGCAGGAGCCAACTAAAAAAATGCATGAATGAGAGGTGCTTTGGTTCTTGTATTTGTCCAGGTCCTACTCACTAAGTTTTAATAAGGCAAGTGATTTTACCTTTCCGTCTTGGGTGTGAATCATGGCTTATCAATGACATTGAAATATGCACACCAACTCTGGACAGTGCTTGAAGAAATAATTCTACTGGCTTTAGAAAGCCTGCAAGGGATGGCAGGATACCCCTGCTGACTTCATGGGGAAGAAATGTGTGGCCTGGAGCAGGGTGCCAGGAAACGCAGGATGGATCAGAGAGCTTCAGGGTGTGCACAAGATGAAACTACAAGCCAGGGTCAAGTCATGAGTCTGAGACTGAAAAACATCAAAAGAAGTCAAAAGAAAGGTTTTGGAGGAGGCCAAGAACAAACCCTGAGGGGTGGAGTTGGGATCAAAATGGGATGCTGAAGAAGAGAGGGTGACACCAAACTACAAGTTTTAAACAGGAGAGAAACCAGAATGAACTGTCGTTAACAGCAGAGAGTTCCTGGGGGGTGTGGCTTAGAGACTGAGAGCCAGCTGTGCAACCTGCATGCCCCTTTTACAAAAGGCACACACACAAGGCAAGGGTTAGTTAAATAGAAAAGCAAGGAGAGAAAAACTGGATGCATGGGATGAATGTCCAGGGAATTAAAGCATTGGAATAATGACTATGATGAGGATTTTTGGAAGACTGGTTTTCAGACTGTTTCATGGAGCAGCTTTGGTGCTCCCACATGGATGGGGAGTTTGCCTTCAGTGTTCCCCATCAATGGGAAGGGAGAGGGTGGGAGAGGAGAGATGACTTGCAAGGGAAGGGATGGGAGGCTGCTGCTTCACACTCCCACTTGACCACAATAGTTCTCCTTTTACATATTGGTGGGGGGATCTGTGTAAGATTTCATTTGAAAGACAGGTTCTGCTGTGTATTAGTTTCCTGTGGCTGCTATAACAAATTGCCATAAGGTTGGTGGCAATGTCAGAAATGACAGAAACTTATTCTTTTATGGTCCTGGAGATAGGAAGTCTGCAATCACAGGGTGCCCAGCATCACACTCCTGTGGGAGGCTTTAGGGGAGAACCCGTTCCTGGCCTCTTCCAGCTCCTGGTGGCTGTCCACGTTCCTTGGCTTGTGTCTGCTTCTCTCTGCTCCATCTTCATGTCATCTTTTTCTCTGTAGAGGTGTCTAATACCCCCTGCCTGTCTTTTATAAGGATACTTGTGATGTTGTTTAGGGTTTACAGGGATAATCCAGGATAATCTTTTTATCTCTAAATCCTCAGCTGAGATACATCTACAAAAGACTTCCAAGTAAGGTGACATTCACACATTGCAGGGATTAGGATGTGGACATATCTTTTTTGGGCTCATCATTCAGCCCATTACATGCTGTTAAAAAAGGTATGAAACTTTTTAAATCTTAAATGATGAACCTGAAAGAATTGGTTAAAAAAAAAAACGAAAAAGCCTCAACCTTTTGGAGGGGAAGGAAGAGAAATACAATTATGCTGCCATGTGATGTTTGAATATGTAGATAAAACAGGAAGGGAAGGTGGTGTAAGCTGCACAAAAGGAGTAGAATGCATATTTATCCAGGACTGAACGTGATGGTAGCTCCCTTGAGGACCATTGGCCTCATTACAACTCATCAGTAAAGGGTTAGCTCGCTCAATTTCAACCACTCAGTCTTTTTGTATCTTGACACTGAACACTGATGGTTTTGAAGAATGATTGCGTAAGGGCTCACCAGATGTGGTGTGGTTCTCTAACAAAACCTAAGTGTATGAAAACTGTCAAAGGAGTATTAGAAATGTGCTACCCCCGTGTCTATGTAACTAGTGCATAACGTAAGCACAGCATATATAACGAAGGTATACGTGAGATAGTCAGTGAGGTTCTGATTTTATTTTCCGTTTCCTCCTCAGGAAGGAAGAAGTGGGAATCATTAGGCATGTCTAAGGAAATGGTCTTTGTTTTGTCCATTTTTTCTACTGTATAGTTACCATTTTTTTCTTTTATAAATTAGTAATTTGTGGGGAGAGATTTTGAGACCAAATAAATATCCTATTCCTTATTAAATTTTCCTTCCTAGATTTAGCATTCATTAATGACTTTTTTGCCTCAATTTGTGCTTTGATGGTTGTAAAATAGAGTTTTACTAATCTATCATTCCCTCTATATTTATTAGTCAGCATTCTATTAAAAGGAAACATTTTTCCTTCTTTTGTGTTTACTTATTTAATATCTTTAGTATCTGTATAGACTCCTAGATTCTTTTTTTATTTGATAAGTTATGGCCCATTACTGTTACTTCTTTTTGTTGTTTGAATCGTCCCAAATTTAGCCAGTAAGAATTCCTTAAAGCTGGCTGTCATGTCCCTTTAATATGTCCCTATTGTTCTTGAGCAGATCCTTACTTTTTGGTACAGTAAGATGTTCCATGATTGTCTCATACCTTCCCTGCCACACCCTGGAGTCAGCCTTTCCTCCAAGAAGCCTGATCCCTTTAGGGGACAATGGTATTGTCTAGTAACCAAGGTCTGGACAAGATCTTTTTTTAAAATTTTGCATCACATGGACACTGTCTAAAAAACAATTAAGAAAATTTTTTTTGAGATGGAGTCTCACTCTGTCTCCCAGGCTGGAGTGCAGTGGTGTGATCTCGGCTCACTGAAACCTTCACCTCCTAGGTTCAAGCGATTCTCCTACGTCAGCTGCCCGAGTAGCTGGGATTACAGGCGTGCACCACCTCACCTGGCTAATTTTTGTATTTTTAGTAGAGACATGGTTTTGCCATGTTGGTCAGGCTGGTCTCGAACTCCTGGACCTCAGGTGTTCTGCTCGCCTCGGCCTCCCAAAGTGCTGGGATTATAGGCGTGAAATTTTAAAAAATATATCATAGGTGATCTGAGTTTAGGATCGGACCCTGAGCCAAGAATTAAAGGGGAAGCTTTTGATGGGAGGATCATGGGTGCTGCTAGGTGAGGAGAGAGTGAGATAGGAAGGGTACTGACAGGCTGGTTCCACAGGAGACACTTTGGAAAATGGTGCAAAACACACACCTCAAAACCATCCTAGTCAGGAATGAGAAAGCTGGGGTATTTATACCCCACACCTGTCAGCTGTAGGTCCAGGGCTGCTGTTTGTGGGTAGGGGAGTGCAGAGAAGAGGGATGGATGGGGGTGGGAAGGTGCAGTCACTCCCAGGCCCCTCTAGTCTGGATCAAGCAGGCTTGCACAGACATGGTAAGGGGGTTGGAGGGTGTGAGCACTGACAATATTGGCTACAAGTGATGGCACCACCAGAAAAGGGTGGTGAAGCTGACTGAGAAAACAAAAGAAGCTTGGGCCCTCTGAAGGAAGGTGCACCGAGGGGCCTGGGGTTTCCTGACTGGGGTGGTGCATTTTAGACCTTTAGGTCTTTCTGTGCAAAAGCCACTCTGGCTTGGTTGTTACTACTCTGTCCTTTCTTCCACAGAAACTTGCCACATGCTTGGCTTCCTTCACTATTGGCTGCTTTCTTTGATCTCTGTTTGTACTGCTGGGCAAGGAACTTTAAAGAGGAATGGTAGTGAGAGTGTGGGGGTGTGGAGGGGTCACTCATATTGGCTGGAGAACAGGAGAGGAGGAGAGTAGGAGCCATCCTTGGTTTCTCACCTTCTTTCTCACCTCACATTCAACACTTTAGCAAGTCCAATATCTACATCCCAAGTCTGGCCACCTCTTACCACCCTCATTATTCCACACTAGTCGGGGTTGCCAGGATCTTCCATGTGGATCATTGCCGTGGCCTCCCACCTAGTCTCAGTCTCCCCCCATGACCCCTGTTCTTCACACAGCAGGTGGAGTGTGGATATGCCCTGCTCACAACTAACAGCGTCTGAGGAGGTTCCGAGTCCTTCCTGTGGCTGACAAGCCCCATGCCACCTGCCATCTGGCTGGTGGCTGCCTCTCCGATCCCCTCCCCCAGAACTCTTTCCCTCCTTTCTTCTCCTTGTTAATTCTGGAAGATGCCAGCTTATTGCCCATTCCAGGCTTTGTGTTGCTATTCCCTCTGCTTGGAATGCTTTTCCACCAGAGTCACATGGTTCCCTCCTGCCCTGCTTCTTTCCCTCCCTCCCTCCCTCCTTCTCTCCTTCCCTCTCTAATTCCCTCCTCCCTCTCTAATTCCCTCCCTCCCTCCCTCCTACTCTATCCTCCACTCCCTCCTTCTCCCTTTTCAGGACTTGACTCCAACACCACCACCTTCCCAAACTTCCCATCCATTTACCATTCTGTTCCTCTAATCTGCTTTATTTACTTTCAAAACCCCACAGAAATCAACAAAGACCACCCAAATGAGAATAAGCAAAGGCTGCTTACTCAGAGCTTGCTATAGCAAGGCAGCAGCCACCATCACTTCTGTTGGGCCGAGACTCGCGGGCAGGCAGAGGGGTGAGAAAGCTTGAAAGTGGAGAAAAGGGAAGTTCTCAGGGGCACCCTGACTGGAGGCTGTTGGTGTGGAAAAGCCATAGGCAGCTCACTAGAAGCACAGCATCCTATGTGATTGGTGAGGGACGCATATTTGACTTCCTCTGGTTTGTCCTGAGTTGGGAGCAGGAACAAAAATTAAGGACAGTCAGTGATTAATCCCGGCCTTGCCATTTGGGGCTGATCATTACCTGGGCTGTTGTTTGGCTTCCGGGACTGGTTGCTACAGATAGTAGTCTGACTTCCTGAATTGATAACTTTAGATATATAGTAGATTGTCTTCCTGGACTGGTTCTATTTTTATACACAGTCTGGCCACTGTCCATTTGTATATTCAGTCTCTCAGCACTTATTGTTTACCAGATGTAATATATATTTAGTTTTTAGTTGATGATTGCCTGTGTCACAGAGGAAGAAAGTTTGGTGAGGAAAGGGGGTCTGGTCTTGTCACTGCTGTCTCTTCTGCTCTGCAAACCATGCCAGGCACATGGTGGGTGCCCAGAAAATGCAGGTTACATGAGGAGACGATGATGTCTCATCCTTTAGTTAGGTTTCTAAGTGTAAATTGTTTTCAGAAAAGCTTCTGTTTTACTCCTTTTCCTCTTTTTTTTTTTGGACTGCTTACCCCTCTGGTATTTTGGACTAGCCTAACCACCATCTGAAGAAACTTGGAGAAGGGGCTTACTTAGAGAATACTGGGTATAGGCTTCAGAGGAAAGACGCCAATGTCTACAGGAGGTAGGCAGGTAAAAGGGTGAGCAAGCCTGGTGGGGTGGGACCATAGTGATGAAGATTCTTTGTTTTGTTGAAATACGGTCACCTCCATTCAGAATTGACCAATTTTTAACATGCCAGAATACAGGCCTCCTTTACTTCACTTTCAGAAGAAGCTGGCACCCTGGAGTTTTACGTAAATGCTTCTAATATTTAAATGTTAGCCACTCATAAAACACTATGCTATGTACCAGTAAGAGGAAGGGAGAGGGAAAGTAACGTGTCTGTGGATTGCATTCAGTCCTTGGGTGGCCAGGCTTGGCCTTTGGTCTAGGCTGTTGCCTCAGATACTCTCTGGAAGTCTCTTTGAGTTTCCCTTCTTTCTACTTTCCTTGACCTTCCCCTGGATCAAGGCTGGACATCTGAGAAGAGGAAAGCTGGTGTGAGCCTCCAAACTCCAGCCACTAGAGATTGCACACTGGGTCTTAGCATACCCGTTTCCTTTCAAATAATTTTCTTCACTAGGAGTCATCTGTAGATTTGAGAAGGGTGATTGCATGAGGCCGTTTTGGCATTGAGCTGATTGTAAGTGAAGCTGCAGGAGCCAACTCCCTGATTAGAACTGAGATCCTGAAGCCAGATGAATTAATAATGAGGTGATGGGGAGAAAGAGAGACTCCGTGACAGCTCTCTTGTTTATGTTAAGAGAAATGTTAGTTGCTTTCACTTGAAAAAAAAGATTATTTCTCTAAATTTTAAACCACCGATGATGACTAGAGCAATTAAGCTCATCTTCCCGGAGTATGGCCCTTCAGGAAAATCATTTTCCTAAGCACTGTTCATTATAGGTTGCATAGGATTGAAAGGTAAGACTTCTGGTTAATGCAGATTATAAAATGAGGGAGGAAAGAGCAGAGAAGTTATCGCATGTCATCAGAGGTATCGCTTAAGAGCCCAACAAAAATGATATTCAAAATGGATTTTTCCCCTCTAATTACAGAAAAACACCAAAATGCAAACCATATAGTTTTGTAATATTTAAAAAGCTATTGTATTAGGCTAAATCTAAGCATAACAAAACAGCTATCCACTGTTTTTAGAAGTGAGAGATAAATCATAGTTTTAAGTTGTAGTTGTAAGGTTAGCATTTTGCCAAATTCTGTGGTGGTAGCAAACCCCATATTTATTTGAAATTGCTTGAATTTTTATTCCCCCAGCCCTGATTGAGCTAATTAGAACCCACTGGGAATTATGTGGGTAATGGCAGGAATTGTGGAAGTATAAATATGCAATGCAATTAGCTCCTGCTCTTTTTCTGTGTGATGCAATCTTGGCACTTATGGGCTTGCTAAAGGCCTGGAACAATAGGAACCATTGAGACTCAAGCTGCTAGGGGAGTCCATAATTATGATATAATAACTTGCCAGCCTCTTGCATGCGCGGAGGTAGAATGTAATATGAGTAAATTAAACCCAGTAATTTTCTCCATTCGTAATTCTTTATATCAATAGCTTATTTTTCTCTATTCTCTCTCCTATTTTCTCCCCCAAAGAAGATAGAAACTTATTTGTGTGAGCATTTTATATACTGTTGAAGGACTTCATCTTCATGGGAATAAATTTGGTTTGCAATCAGTTAATTGAAAGTTTTTCTCAGTGTTATTACAAATTGAAGAAAGCTATTCTGCAATGCCCTCTGCCTATCACATGCAGATTTCTTCGACTTTGCTTTCTACTGTTGTGTGAGTTCATGCCAGGAGATACTTGAATTTTGCCATGTATTCCTTAATTTGTTAGGACTGTACCCAGGCTGGGCCAACTTCATGGGCACATGACTTGTGTTGTCTCACTCTTAAAGTTTCATTTAAAACTAACATTATACAATATAAAGATGAACAATAAAATCTTACTAATAATTTCAATATTTAACTTTTTTTTTTTTTTACTTAGAATGACATTAAATAGCAAATAAAAGATATCATGACAAGTCAAGAGAGAGACTTTAGAACAAAGAAAAAAGATTTATATTTTAGTACCTTTAGTGTATTTGTCCATGTTCATAATGCTATGAAGAAATATCTGAGACTGGGTGATTTATAAAGAGAAAGAGGTTTAATGGACTCACAGTTTCACATGGCTGGGGAGGCCTCATAATCATGGTGGAAGGCGAATGAGGAGCAAAACCACATCTTACATGGCAGCAGACGAGGGCGTGTGCAGGGAAACTACCCTTTATAAAACCATCAGATCTCATGAGACTTATTCACTATCTTGAGAACAGCATGGGAAAACCCACTTCCATGATTTAATTACCTCCCATTGGGTCCCTCCCACAACACAGGGGACTATGGGAGCTATAATTCAAGATGAGAGTTGGGTGGGGACACAGCCAAACTGTATCATTCAGTATTACTTTTTCCTGCTTTTTGAACAAGGGGTCTCAAATTTGCATTTTGCACCAGGCCCCATAAGTTATGTAGCTCATTCTGTACCCAGGTACAGATAGGTGGAATTCAGAGATTGATGCATTAATTCAGCAACATTGACCGAATACCTGATCTGTATATCATTAGTGCCAGGTGTACAAGATGCAAAATACGAAGGAGCTTCCTGGTTGCCAGAGACATACCTGCAGTCAGTTCTTAAAGGTGCTGGGTCTTTGGGCGTCAAGGCCCAAATAAGGGAGAAGGAGTGAATTCACAGTTGTGCCTGGTCTTGGAGGAGTCTAGAAAGAATGCAAACTCAGATTGCATCAGAGTATTTGAACTTGTAAGACATTTTATTATTTTTTAAATTATTTTTTATTTTTTTGGTGAGAACATGTGAAAATCTCTTTTGGCAATATTCAAGTATAAAATACGTTGTTATTAACTGTAGTCATCATGTTATACAATAGATCTGTAAGACACTTTAGAAACCCTTTGTTAAGATGAAACCAAATAATTAGAAGTACCATTGCAGAGACTGGAGGCTTTCTTATCCTCTACTGTATCCTCATAGGTTCATGAGGAATGTCCAGCAATTACCTTTATTCAGATTTGAGGTAGTGACTATATTCTGCTGGTAAATATCAAAACTAGGGTTGAAACCCATGTCATCTGATTTCAAATACTGTTCCATTCCATTCCTATTTTCTATTCCACCTCAATCCTCAATTTGACAACTGTTTCTACTTTTATTAAGATACTGTTACTGATATTAAGAAGTTAGAAAATGATATAATATTTTGTAGAATATCTTGCTTTTTACTTCATAGCAAAACTTATGTAAGAGTTCTCTTACAGAGAAAATTCTAGCTGGGTTTGGTGGCTCACATCTGTAATCCCAGCATGTTGGGAGGTCAAGGAGGGTGGATTGCTTGAGCCCAGAGTTCAAGATCAGCCTGGGCAAAATGGTGAAACCCCTCCTCTACAAAAAATCCAAAAACTAGGTGGGTGTTGTGGGTCGTGCTTGTAGTCCCAGCTACTACAGAGGCTGAGGTGGGAGAATCACCTGAGACCAGGAAATTGAGACTGCCATGAGCCATGATTACACCACTGGACTCCAGCCTGGGCAACAGAGTGAGACTCTATCTGTCTCGCAAATAAACAAAATAAATAAATGAAAGAAAAACTCTATTAGTGTGTTTAAATAATAATTTCTTTTAGAAAAACCAACTTCTCCCTGACCACTACCACCCCGGCTGAGGAATGGCTGTGGTCTGGAGCCAGCCTTGTGGTGTGGAAAAAGCACAGGCTTTGCAGTCAGGCCTGGGTAGAATCTGAATCTGACTTCGAAGAGCCATATAACCCAGTGACTGTCATTTGCCTCCTTGAGCCTCAGTTTCCTCATCTGTAAAATGGGGGCAGCAAGGACTGCCTCATGGCGATATCATGAGGTTGTAGTGTACCCAACAGCTACTGGGTCCTCAGGGAATGTTGTTTCCTTCTTTTAAGAGACAAAACATCTTTTCTGTCTTTTCTCTAATTCTCTTAAAGCTGTTATGTGAAATTGCTTATTTTATTGGGTATTTTATCTCTTTTATACCTAAAAATTTTATGTTACTTTAAACTTTCTATTAATCTATTGATACAGGGAGACAAAGATGATTCTTCAATTTCATTACTTTCTTCTGTGTTCACTTTCCATCCCAATAGAGAAATCCCAGGATACTAAAAATTTGGGAGGAGGTATCAGAGTCATAGAGTTGAATAATTTTACAATTGAAAGGCACTTTGAAGATCATCATAATAGGTTACATATAGAAAGGGCTTTACTCTGGGCCAGGCACTGTCCTGGCACTTTCCATGTACCTTCTGTTAACTCTCATGAGGAGTCTTTGAGGGAAGTCTGTTATTGTCTCCATTTCACAGATAAGGAAACTGAGGGACACAATTAAGTTATCCAAGGTCACCTTGGCTGGCCCAGAGACCACACCCTGATCACTATGCTAAACTGCCTTAATCATGCTGTGTTCCACATTTTTTTGTATTTTACAGATGATAAGCTGTGGCTGCAAAGAATAACTGACTTCCCAAGGTCATGTAGGTGCTTAAATGCAGGTTCAGGACTGGAACCCCAGGATCTTGACTGCCCAGTGCAAAGCTCTTTCTACTCCCCCTAGAATTACTGGCAGGACAGGCTCATGAGAGGGTCAAACTGGGAACCATCTGAGCTAGATAATATTTCTATTCCTGTGTCTTTCATTAAAGATGCATGATTTTTGTAATTCTTTGCTTTAACAGTAATTGCTGAAGGAACCTGGGCAGGAGGAGATAAGCCAGTATATCTGCCTGTTGAGCCTACAGTTAAAAATAATTGTAAGAGAACATGGTGATGCTTCAGATGCTGTAAGGTGGTGGGACATTTTCAAATCATAACTTTTCACATTATTCAGTTCTAGTATAGAGGAAAAACCTATAGATGGAACGGAAAGAGAGTAGGAAAAGACAAGCCAAATGTTGTCCACTAGTTTCCTTCATAAAAAATACCTGACCGAAGGTAGAGGCCAATGAAATTTGGATCTAGAGGTTCACCAAAATTATTTATTGACTACGCTCTCACTTTCCCAAAGAGAATTTGGTATGTACAATGAGATTAGTAAATCAGGTTCATAACCTATCGTGTAGCCTGAGAATGAAGAGAAAGCAAGGAGGCCAGCTGTAAGGGGCGATGCTATTGTGGTTGGGGAGCAGAACCTTTTGTCTGAGCTTCCCAGCTGCCAAATGAGAGGGAGGCATTTTCATTAATCAGAAGGGAAGGAGCATAGCAACGGTGATTAGATGAGACAAAATTTATTTGAATGAAATTCAAAAGGTGGTTTCTCCCAAAGTAGCAGAACAGAACTTACATTAGTCAGGGTTCTCAAGAGAAACAGAATCTATCTATCTATCTATCTATCTATCTATCTATCTATCTATCTATCTATCTATCACATCTGTCTATCTACCAAATCTATCTAATCTAACCTATGGGTCTATTTATCTATCTAATGTAATCTGTCTATACCTATCAAATCTATCTATTTAATCTATCTGTCTAATCTATCTAATCTATCCTATTGGTGTACACACACACACACACATACACACACATACACAAATATAAGGATACATCATTCCTTATAATAAATCTCTTTTGGTCTCCCTATCTATCTTTAAATAGATATTTATATTTAGATAGAGTTAGAGATAAAATTAGATTGATTATAAGAGATTGGCTCATGTGATTGTGGAGTCTGAGAAATTCCAAGACCTGCAGCAGCAAGCTGGAGACCCAGGAGAAATGATGGTGTGGTTCCACTCCAAATTCAAAGACTGAGAAGCAGGAGAGCTGAAGGTGTATGTTTTAGTCTGAATCTTAGTCCGAAGGCTTCTGCCTTCTGATGTCCCAGCTCAAAGACAGTTATGCAGAGAGAGCAGATTCTTTCTTACTCAGCCTTTTCATTCTATTCAGGCCTTCAACAGATTGGATGAGGCCTGCCCAGCTGGGAGGGCAATCTGCTTTACTCAGTCTACCAATTCAAATGATAAGCTCATCCAAAACACCCTCACAGACACATCTAGAATCATGTTTAACCAAATATCAGAGCACCTTGTGGCCCAGTCAAGTTGACACATAAAATTAACCATCACAATCCCCTTCTTTTTCAAACATAATCTTTCAAACATAACCTTAATTCAGGAGACAGATAAGAATCAGGATTCTGTACTAGTATCAATCTATGTAGTATCAAGAGTTCAGGTTGATTATTTACTTATTGTAAACAGCCAGTGAGGGGAAATGAGACTTTTGGTGAACACAAAAATATGGAATCTGGGGTTATGGAGGGCAGTTGCAATCTTACATCAGCCTCAGGGCCCAACCTTCTGCCTTGTGACTTGATTGCATGATACTCACAGAAGTCTCACAGACAAGTAGCTATGAAATGTAACTTTTTATGTGTGGCTTGCCTTGATATAGCAGAATGTGTTTCCATTAAACTCATTTGGAAGACAAAAGGAGAAACAGTAGGGGATGTTTGTTTCAAGGTTAAAGAAGTGATTATATGGACTCATGTTTACTTATAAGCATCATAAAAAAGCACTGAGGACTTAAAACAAGCTGTAGAGAAACTCTACGTTGTCACTTGTCATCATGCAGCTCTCTCAGTTGGATCTAGATCTGAAGAGATGAGCCTGGCTGGCCTGGCACTTGAGTGATGGACATGTGGACTGTAGCAGTCATACTGTTCCTCTGATGTGGTTTTCTATCCACAGGGTTGGAATTTTTCAAAAGGTGCAATGTAAAACAACACACTTTCTGGTTAGTAACATAGTTACTGTTATTACTAGCTAACAGTTTACTTCTATTCCTTACATGTGCTGGACACTTTCTTGAATGGTGGACACCTTCTCTCACTCTCTGTCTCTACACACACACTTACATCCACACACCTACACACACACAAACGTAGATGCTCTTTACTCCACAGTGGGGCCATGTCCTGATAAACCCATCATAAGTCAAAAATATCACAAGTCAAGATGCATTTAATGCCCTGATAAAACCGATAGCTTTAAAAATTAAGTTGAACCATTCACTTCCAGATGCTCCTCAACTTACGATGGGTTACATCCTCCTTGTAAAGTTGAAAAAATCTTAAGTCAAATCATTGTAAGTTGGGGACAAACTTTATGTAACGGTAGGACCTCAAATAATGTCATTTTGCTCAACATTGTTTCATCATAACGTCGATGAGAAAAAAGAATCAATTCCTGCTGGGCCACTACCTGTGTGGAGTCAGCACGTTCACCCCATGTCTGTGTGAGTTTTCTCTGGGGACTCCAATTTCTTCTCATATCCCCGAGCTGTGCACATGGGGTGAATTGGTGTGTCTGCATTGTCCCAGCATGAGTGAATGTGGGTGTGTGAGGGTGCACCCTGCGATGGAACTGTGTCCTGTCCAGGGTTGCTTCCTGCCTGGCACCCTGAGCTGCTGGGATAGGCTCCAGCCACCCTTGACCCTGAGCTGGAATAAGAGGATAAATAATTATCTTACTTATTTTTACCAATCTTTCTTAAATGTCTGTACAGCTCCCATTTATTTCAATGTTTAATATTAGAAGTGTTTTGGTCTTCATTAGGAAGTTTGGTGATGTTTTCATTCCTGGAAATATGCTGTAGGAACTTAACTCATTTATATCAATTAGCTTGTGGTAAAATTGGTAAAGTTGCAGTTGCCAAAACCTATGGATGATCTTAAGAGAGGACTTAATGTATATTCATTTGCTAGGGCTGCTGTAATATGCAACAGAATACCACACACCTGGTGGGTTTAACAACAAAAACTTACTTTCTCACAGTTCTGGAGGCTGGAAGTCTGAGATCAAGGTGTTGGCAGGTTTGGTTCCTTGTGAGGGCCGTGGTGAAAGGATCTGTTCTAGGCTTCTCTCCTTGGTTTGTGGATGGCTATCTTCTCCCTGTGTCTTCACATTGTCTTCCCTCTGTACGTATCTGTGTCCAGATTTTCTCTTCTTATAAGGACACCAAGTATATTGAATTAGGGCCCATGCTAATCACTTCATTTTAACTTGATAACCTCTGCAAAGATCTTATCTCCAAATAAAGTTACCTTCTGAGGTACTGGGGTTTAGAATGTTAATATATGAATTTTGGGGGAACATAATTCAACCCATAACACATATATAGTCATATATGTGTGTGTGTATATATATATATATGTGTGTGTATTTGTGTGTGTATACATATGTTTAGTATATACGCATATAAATTTGTGCATGTGTATATATGTATACATGTCGTATACATATATACACATACACATAAACTCATTTAATCCTCAAAACAGCATTTGAGGTAGGTACTATAATTATTTGCCCTTCAAATGCGGTAAAAATGAGGCACAAAGAAGTTAAAGAACTTGGGCAGTGCCCCACAGCTACAAAGTTCTGGAGCTAAGATCTGAACCCTGGAAACTGGCTCCCAAGATTGTGACAAGGTTCACAGAACAGTGAGCTTCCCTAGCAGCACATGGTAAGACATCAATAGAATGCAAAGGGTGAAAATCAGGGATTTAGTCTACTGAGTTTAGAGCATATAGTTTTCTGAATATGTTGCAGCACTTCAGAAGCAAGATGTGGCTTGGAAAATCTCATCTGCTTGGGGTACTTATTAGAAGTCAGTTATGGCCTGACCCAAGCAGTAGCCCATAGCCCATAGGGCATCTGCACTAACCTTCTACCTTGCTAGCCTGGGCTGCCAGATGCCTGTGCACTCAGTCAGCTGGCTGTCATGTACATGCCCAACTCTAGGTATTTCCGAAAATAAATAAAACAATGAGGAGTCGTTGTTGACCCAAAGTGTAAAGACCCCATTTGGGACATGGTGGCTGAGGTCATGGGATAAAAGAAGTGTGGCCTTCACCTGGTCCAGGTTTGGGATCATAGACAGAGGTCCATGTTCTCTCCTTCCACCAGTGGGTGGCTCTTCCTTCAGAATATCATCAGGATGGCATGAAAGAAAGTGCAAGCCACTAGAGATATGACACTTTAGGCTACTGTCTGCTCCCCAATTGTCTTTCTAACCTTGGAGACGCTGTGTGACCTCACTGTGTTTCAGTTTCCTTATCTGCAAAGTGATACTTGTTGACTAAGTCGTTTGTCTGTTGAAGAGTCTTTGTTGAGGGCCATCCATGTGATGGGCACTGCGGGGCACAGAAGTCTAAAACACAGAGTGTCTGGTGGTTAAGAGCATGATCTTGGAGCCAGCCATTTTAAGTTCAAATCTCAACATGGAAGCTGATGAGCTGCCACCTTGTTATTACATTTATCTGTTATTACATTTATCTATGCCTCAGTTTCCTCATTTGTAAAACAGAAATCCTAATAGTAACAACCTCATAGAGTTGTTATGAGGATTTAACAAGTTAATGCTTGTAAAGTTTTAGAGCCACGATTGGCACAAACATGCTATGTGTTTATTAAGTAACAATCTCTGGCTTTAAATAATTTATCCTGTTGTTAGGTTGAAAAGATGTATCCTGGTGGAGCGAGACAAAATTGCTAAACCCAGACCATAATGTTCTAGGAAAGAGCATGAGGTGGCAGTCTGTAAGAGTCATGGGGACTCAAAGAACAGAGAGAAAAAGCTATTGGGTGTTCACTGTGTGCCAGGCACTGAACTAAGGACTGTGCATGCATTTTCTCTTAATCTTCAAACAATCTTTGATTGGGTAATGGTCAATATTGTCTTCCCCATTTTACAACTGAGAAAACTGAGACTTCAGAGAGGTCAGGTGTGTCACTCAACCTTCTTAGTGGCAAAGCTGGGATTTAGGGTGTCTGAGTCCAGGAGGAAGGGGTGGGGTAGGTGGAGGCTGAGTGCCCCAGGTTGTGGCAGGCACCTGTGTGGCCAGACACTAATGGCTGGACTGTGAGGTCTGGACATGCTCCTGCATTTTAAAAGTCCTGAGCCAGATGCTCACATTGCCCCTTTTTGAAATCCCCTTTAGACTGAGGGGTCCTCAGCAGGTCTCACCGTATTGCTACTGGGATTGTGCTCATTGCTGCAGCAATAATCCAGTGTCAGTATTTTATGCAGTGACTTGATTAGACTTTGTTCCTGAGGCTTTAAAAGAAGAGCATATTTTTAACATAAATAAATAAGTGTTTTAGCTTGGTGTTATTAACCACACTTGATGCAGATAAGGCTTTCCTTGAAGAGTAAAAGAATGACGCTCTGTGTTCATGAATTTCTGAAGTCAATTACATTTTCATTAATTGGTTTTGCTTCCCCTTCTTTTGGCCTTCTCTTAACATAGAAAATAAAATCTGGGGTTAGGCTTCTCTTGCTGATGGATGGCACCCAGGGGCAATACAAGCACTTTTCAGTCATCTACTTTGTTTTCCAGAAGTGTCTGAGCAGCCATTACATAAGTCTAAGGGACCCAGGGTCAACTTTTATTTGTGGGACAGATTCTTTACGTTTGTTTATTTCACCTGAAAATCTAACCCAGAGGTAATGTTTCAGGATATTGACTTTTAAACACTATGCTTCTTTTCCATGCCTAACAATAAAAACTACCCCTGTAATTATTATTATTATTTTTTAAGACAGAGTTTTGCTCTTGTTGCCCAGGCTGGAGGGTAGTGGCGTGATCTCGGCTCACTGCAACCTCCACCTCCTGGGTTCAAGCAATTCTCCTGCCTCTGCCTCCCAGGTAGCTGGAATTACAGGCACCCGCCACCATGCCCGGCTAATTTTTGTATTTTTAGTAGAGATGGGGTTTCACCATGTTGGCCAGGCTGGTCTTGAACTCCTGACCTCAGGTGATTCGCCCGCCTCAGCCTCCCAAAGTGCTGGGATTACAGGTGTAAGCCACCATGCCTGGCCACCCCTACAATTATAATCGCAGTTACTGACTGTTTAACACATTCTGGGGACCCTATTAAGCAGTTCTCATGTATAATCTCACCTAATTCTTCTAGTAACCATGTGAGCTAGATGGTGTGTTAATCTCTATTTGGCAGATGAGGAGACTGTGGTTTAAAGTAGTTAGGTACCAGGCACAGAGTCACACGACCAGTGGCTGGTTGAAATGGAATTCCAACCCCATCCTTCTGCCTTAGGAATCAAATTCCTAAATCTGTAAATGCAGCTCTAGCAGCAAGCGGGGCTTACGTTCTGGAACAATTCATGTAACACAATGTTGTATGTTTGGGGTTCCAAAGCAAAGGAGGTGAGCCCATCTCAGCTCAGAGACTTTGGAACATCCACCACAGTGCCCAGAACCAGCACCAAGGCACAGTGGTGTATCATGTGACCTGACTGGCCAAATGGCCAGCAAATGAAGCTGGTAGCTTTTAGTGCCTCATAGCTGGAGGAATCACCTGAAACCATCAGTTCTTACACACACTGCCTTCCTGCTCGGTTACCTTTCCCAGGTGTGAGTTGATCCAAGTGGAGTGGTGGTCACCTGGTCCCTCTTTGTCTGGGCTTTCCTTGTTTTAGTGCTGCGTGTCTCACTCCCTAGGAAACTCCTCAGTCCTGTGCAAATTGGGAATGTTTCTTACTTTTCCTCTAAGAGAGAGTTCAAAATCACTAGTCTGGGGTTCTACCTCTTGTTATCAATTCAACCTCCTGCTTTTCCTTGTTGCTCACTGTGTCAATGCTAGCCAGCTGGCTAGAGCGGCCCACTGAGAAGACTCCCTCTTTGATCGAACTCTAGCCAGGCTCCTCTGAGCCTCCTTCTCAACCCGGCCTCAATCTTTGTCTATAAAGACTTGACAGACACTAAGAGTTTCTGACAGGTCAAGGCTGCATCCCTAAGATGACCCTATTCCCCTTTAAAAAACTCAGGGCTGCCAAAAGAATTTATATTTGTTCTAGCTGACACCCAAAGATATGGCCCCTGTCTCCCAGCCTCTGTGGGAGGCTAGGAGACTAATTCTGGTAGTGCCAGTTAGCACACCCAGATGGGTTTCACATGGACTTAGCTCCCCTTCCCCCTTTTTGTAATTTTTAACTTCCCTGACTCTGTTGAGTCCCTGCTCGAACTCCTCCCTATTCCTTCCTGCTCCCTTCAAAACTCCCAGTCACCTCTGTACAAATTGAAGTTGTGTTCAATTCATGCTGTACTTTTTCCTATTGGAATAATATATTACTGATTAAAATCTGTCCTTACTACTCCCACCAGTGTCCAGCTTTACATTCTTCGAGTGTTGCCTCCAATGCCTGCCTCCATTGTCCCCACCCCACAACATGCAAATAGGATCCAGATTCTAAGGTCCTGCTTCATCCCCATGGGTCTGCAGTGCCTGCTCCACCTCTGTTCATCCCGTTCCAGCTCTTGACGGCCTTTCTTTGACTTCCTGTGGCATTTGTGTTTGGCATGTCTCTCTGGGAAAAAAAGATATGCCATGTCATATTGCTTTCTCTGCAGACATTATATTTTTGCACCTAGTTTTGGGTCTCTTGAGGGCAAGAACAATGTCTTGCAGCTCTTTGTATATCCAAGGCCTCAAGAAGGCTTGAACAACAGCAACCAAATTGTGTGTTGTCAGTGATGCTTAGAAAAGGTGATTATCCAGTTCTTGCATTACCTACCCTCCTTTAGAAAACAAGGGCTCCATTTTTTCAAGAACTGTCAGCTCACAGGAAGAGACATACAGATACACACACACGCACACATACAATCACAGGAGAGATATATGTATTATATATATATATCTCCTATGTGCATGTTATGTGTATGTGTGTGTGTGCGTGTATATATATATATAAAATGGGACCTTAGAAAGGAGATCCTATGTGCATGTTGAGGCATGGGGATGATGGAGGCAGGCATTGGAGGCAACACATGCAGAATATAAAGCTGGACACAGGTGAAAGTAGACAGATTTTAATGGGTGGTTAGCATAATGAAGTAGCTAAGACCATAGTCTTTGGAGTTATATTGGCCTGGAATTTCATGCTCCATAGCTCATCTTTTTAAAAAAATCATAGACGAGTTTACTTCCCTTCTCTGAGCCTCATTTCACCAACTGTAAAATGAGTATATCACGTTCTTCAGTGGGTGATGGTAGTTGTGAGGATTAAATGTCACGATAGTACCTGCCACATGGGAAATACCAGTAAATGGAATCAATGTAAAACATCCACCTAACCACACAAAACATAACTGGGATAGACAGTTACAAACGTGAAATTGGAAGGAAGAAAAGGAAAGGAAAGGGGTGAAACAGAAGCTGGAGCAATTAAAGTCTCTAGAACTTAGGTCAGGGAATCTGGAAAGACTTGAAAGATTAGGTTGGAAAAGGAAAAGGAAAATTGTCTTTAATTTATTGGGCTTCTATTTTGTGCACTAGATATTTTGCATACTGCGCTTCTTTTGCATATTGCACTTCATTGAATTCTCAGAACAATGCTGTAAGATATGGTATTCATCCCGTAATTTACAGATATTGACACTTTTGTGTGGTCACAGAATTATTAAGGGGTAGAGCTGAGAAGGACCCAAGGCTGTCTCATTCCAGAGCCCTGTTTTCCTCATTTGGCTAACTTCCCTCCCTCACCCAATTACAAGTGTGCGGGTACTTTAAAAACTTTGAGCTTTCTTTTCAGCTCCAAAACAATTGCTCTATCTTCTCTGATTAAAAATTCTGAATGGGGCTGGGTTAAGACACTGGCTTCACCCAGGAAGCCCCTCTAACCTACTTTGAATATATTGGCTTGTGCAAATAAAAGATGTGTTTGACTGTAAGGAACAGAAATCCCACTTAAAGTAGTTTAAACAATGAGGAAATTTACTTTTCCTTGTAATGGAAGAAAGGAGTTAGGGAAGCTTCCAGGCACAGTACCTTAATCCCCTGGACTATGGCTTTGTTTCTCTGCCAGTCTTTGAATTCCCCCATAGGCCTTATGCAAATGTGGGCTTTGTCCTAAAGGGGGCTGCCCTCAGGATTTCAAGAGGACTGCTATTAGCAAACAGCTGGGACAAGAGGTTGCTTCAGTCTATGTGAGTGAAAGAAAAATCTCTCCCTCACTCATGGACCAAATATTCCTTTTCTTCAGTCTGATTGGGCCAGTTTGTTTGTAAGTCCAATCCTGGACCAATAGCAATAAACAAGGGGAGTGCTCTGTACTAACTGGCTCAAGCCAGAGTTCCTAAACCAATCAGGGGAAAAAAGGATAGGATTATTGTGATAGGCTGATGCTAATTAGGACTCATTTCTGTAGTCAGTACTGGTACATAGACTAGTGTGAAGAGAAGCAAAATTCTAAATATGTCACATCTAGTACAGTATGGACATGACCAATCAGAATGAACACTAGCCTGAAACAACCAGTAAGTCTGTTGTGAATTAGCTGATTATCAATCCTGAATATTTAACCACAATGTGGGTTTTCATAAGGAGGAAGAAGGAAGAATGGTTCCTGGATAGGCATCCAACAGTGCCTGCTAAGTCTTTTATGTGTCTACCTGAGTGTTAGGCTTAATGGACAGCTAAGATATTCTAGTCTGACAGCTCAGTGTCTATGGCCACAGTGATTAGGCAATCTTCATTTGTAACTTGCCCTTTAAGTTAGTCTCATCTGAAAGGTGAGCCTACATTTCACCTGACCTACTCAACACCAACTCCCTCCTATGTATAGGGATGTCATAGCAAGTTAATTCAAGTTACATCTCCGTTGATGGCCAGGGCAAAACACGTAGGCAAAGCAAGTAAACCTAGGCCTTGCCTAGAGTGATCTCCCACACCAAATAAAAGTTTTAAGAAGTCCCTATCCTGTCTTTCCTTTGGTTTACTCAGTCCTAACAAATCCTAATTGGGAGCATAGGCAGCTTAAGCCAGTGGAAGGTCTGATTACAGAAGATTTTAAGAGATGTGCAGCATCACTTTCAAATGCAGGCAGTAACCCAAATTAGATTATAGAGGGATATCTTGTAAAACCCCTAATATTTATAGATAAGACTGATTAATTATGAGCTTATCAATTATTTGCATTTAATTCTTTGCTTTCAAAGTGTTTATGGTGGCTTAATACTAGTGTGTTCTGCCAACTACTTTAACCTTTCCCCAGAAATCTTGTTTGCACTAATGATTTGGACTATCAATGCCAAGTCTGAAATAATAGGGTTTTGGCCTATTCCTGATTTTGCAAGGAAGACTGAAATCTTATGTGTTCATGAAGTTAGTCTTTCGTTGGACACACAAAAGACTGGTCTTTGAGTGCTATTGTTTGGGAAGTCACCTGGAAAGGTGAGGATTTTTTTTTTTGATATTATAATTATTTTTGAAGGGGAAATGTCAAAATTTGATCTTTAAGATATATATTTTTATTTTTCAATTGACAAGTATAATTTATGTGTTTATGATGTACAACGTGCTGTTTTGATATATATGTATACATCATGGAAAGGCTAAATTAAACTATTTAATATATGCATTACTTCACGTGTTTATTTTTTGTGTTGAGAACACTTATGTACTCTCTTAGCAATTTTCAAGTACATACACAACATATTGTTATTAACCGTAGTCATGATGTATGATAGATCTCTTGAATTTATTTGTCTTGTATAACAAAATTTTGTGTCTTTGACCAACATCTCTCCAATCCTCCCAACCCCCAGCCTCTGGTAACCTCCACTTTACTGTTTCCTTGAGTTTAACTCTTTTATATTCCACGTAAGTGATATCATGCAGTACTATTCCAAATGACAGAATTTCCTTTGTTTTTAAAGGCTGAATAGTATCTTATTGTGTATATATACCACATCGTCTTTGTCTTTGTCCAACCAGTGTCTATTTGTCCATTGATGGACACTGGTTGGTTCCATAGCTTGGCTAATGTGAATAGTGCTACAATAAACATGGGAATACAGATATCTCTTTAACATACTGATGTCATATCCTTAGGATATATACCCACTAGTGGGCTTGCTGGATCATATGGTAGTTCTATTTTTAATTATTCTGAGAAATCTTCATACCATTTTCCATAATGGCTGTATTAATTTACATTCCCACTAATGGCATCAGCATATAAATGTTCCCTCCTCCCTACATACTTCCCAACACTTGTTATCTTTTGTCTTTTTAACAATAGCCATTCTAACAGGTGTGAGGTAATAGTTCATTATGGTTTTAATTTGCATTTTCCTGGTGATTAGTGATATTAAACATTTTTTCGTATACCTATTGACCACTTGTATATCTTCTTTTCAGAAATGTCTACTCAGGTCCTTTGCCCATTTTAAAATCAGGTTATTTGTTTTCTTACTGTTGAGTTGTTTGAGTGCCTTTATATATTTTGATTATTATTCCCTTATCAGATGGGTGGTTTGCAAATATTCTCTCCCATTCTGTAGGTTGTCTCTTCTCTCTGTTGATTATTTCCTTTGCTGTGTAGAAGGTTTTTAGTTTGATGTAATTCCATTTGTCTATTTTTGCTTTTGTTGCCTGTGCTTTTGTGGTCATATCCAAAAAAATCTTTGTCCAGCTGTGTCGTGGAGCTTTATACCCTTGTCTCTGAGATACATTAAATGAACACACAGAGGAGCAGTTTGCACAATCTGAATGTAAACAGTGAAATCAGTCAGGAGAAATAAGTATCCTCAAGGCTGGCAGTGTGGCCAAGTGGGAGGAGTGCTGAAATACATGGAAATCTGGGTTCTGTTCCTTGTTTTGCACTGGTTAGCCATGTGATCTTGAACAAGTCACATAGCTTTTCTGGGCTTTAGCCCAGTCTTAGTGTTTTCACTAGACCAGCAGTGGCAAACATACATGCCCACAGGGACCATATGGAAAATACATGTGAATAAAAAGGCCTGGGAAGGAAACACAACAATGAAACAGGCAACAAAACCCCAGCTTTAATATGAGACTAAGGGCTATAGGGAATGGTGGGGTCTGTGGCAGAGCACAGCTCATTCATAGGGGGAATTCCACTGAAACTGAACACAACCCTTATGTGGCCACATCTGATTTTTCTTTTAAAGAGAAGCCAGAAAATCCAGATTTTTATGTGAAATGTATTAGTTGTTAAATATTGGGTGAAACAATAAACTCTATGTAGACCAACACTCTGTGAACAAAATGACATTTTTTTCCTGGGCTGAATTCAGCTTGGGGTTGCTAATTTGCAACCTCTAGACAAGATGAACTGAGAAATATGTTTTAGGTACAGAATGCTGTGGCTCTGTGAGTTTAAGGCGAATGTCTCCTTGAAGTCGCACCATCTTAGAGTTGGAAGAGGTCTTAGCAGGTGTCTGATTTGTCTCTCAGACACCTCTCACACCATCCCTGACATTTGTTGTTTAACCTCTGGTAGCTGTTCCACAGGATGGACTTTTCTGCTGCAGGAATGGACTCTGCTGCAGGAAGCTCTTTCTTGCATTGGGAAGAAACCCCTTGGCCAACAACTTCTCTTATTGATCCTAATTCTGTCAACTGGGGCAATACAGAATACATCTTTGGTCTCTTGGGGCTTTAGATGTGGACAGGCCTGCTCCTATTTCCCTCACACAAGCCCAAGAGCACTTTCCTGGGGACAGTCAGGACTTGGAAAGGTCTTAGAACCCAGAACCTTGGGTGAGCTACAGAAAGTTTCCTAAATGAGAATTCAAACAAAATCCCTTCCACCATTACTTCATGCCATGGGGGAACACAACTTTGGGTTATTTCTGATGGAGCCAAATTTCCCTCACTTGGGGGAAAGGGGAGGAAGCTGGGCAGTGTGGATGGCAGATTCACAGCTAGCCTGTTGGGAGGCATGAGGGAAGCTGGGCTGCACATGCCCCCTTCTGAGGGTCACCACTGGTGGATCTTTGTTCTCTAGGACGAGTCAAACTGGGGGAGTCTTTTTGTCTCAGAAAGGTAGCTCTGTGACTGTGTCCACCTCTCACCTCAAGTATAACCTTAGAACACTTCCTCCCCACACAGGACAGAGCCTGGAATCACTTTCTCCTACTCAGCATCTTCCCATGCTCTTGCATACAGTAGCAGAGATGAGGGTTTTTCCAGCTGGAGGGAGGTGGGTGAAGTTTCTGCCACCTGTGACTGCACACGTGTAGTTCAGGGACTGCACGGGAGCCAGTGTCCAGACAGGGGGAGCGGAGTCTTTCAGAGAAGTGGAGGGGCTCAGCTTCTGTTCAGAGCTATTCTGTGGGGGGTGAAATACTTCTTTCTAAATGTGACTCTGCATTATAGTGGAGTCTTCATGACATATTACGGGGATAATCTTTCAGATGCTTTGTGATTCGACCCATAAGGCCAGAACAGGGAAATTAACTAGGTGTAATAAATAATATAGAATCTGGTGAATATTTAGGGTCTGGTAATGATGATAAATCAGGTTTGAAATGTTCCTTGAGGAGATGGTGAGATTCTGAGAAATGAAGCCAGGAAGATTGATTAGAACCTATTGCTGCTCAGAAAATCTACTGCAAAAAATACAGAGAGGTATTGCTAGGCTAATAGGAAAGGTGAATACAAATCCACCTTGGCCTCTAAAAACCAAATGGGTGTAATCAACAAATGTCATTGCTCTTATGGGCTAATGCATAGGAGAGCAAAAGACACCTCAAAGCACTGGAGAGTTTGATCTGTAATAGCAAAGAAAGAACACATCAAGCTTTCTATATGGTCATCATTACAATGAAGCCTCATTTATTTACTTATTAATTTGTTAGTTCATTTATTTATCTGTCCAATTTCAAGGAATGACCCCTATTGAAGAAATAAAGATTATTTTCTTAAGAGTTTGTGTCACTAAAATCTGTTCTTAGGGGCCACATACAACAAGTCCTTAAATAATGTCGTTTGGTTCAATGTCATTTTGTTATAACATTGAGGAGAAAAAAGATCAATTCTAGGCGGAGTCACTGTCTGTGTGGAGTTGGCATGCTTTCCCCATGTCTGCATGGGTTTTCTCTGGGGACTCCAGTTTCCTCTCACATCGCAAAGCTGTGCATCCCCAAGCTACATGATACTGGCATGATTGAGTGTGGGTGTGTGTGAGTGCGTCTTGGGATGGAACACTGTCCTGCCCAGGGCTGGTTTCTGCCTGACATCCTGAGCTGCTGGGATAGGCTCCAACCATCCATAACTCTGAACTGGAATAAATGGGTCAATAATTATCTTACCTGTTTTTATTAATCTATCTTTAAGTATATATAGTTCCCATTTATTTCATTGTTTAATATGAGAAGTGTTTTGGTCTTTGGAAGTTGGGTGGTGTTTTTGTGACCAGAAATATGCTGTAGGAACTTAACTCTTGTTTAATATTAATTAGCCTATGGGAAAATTGGTTTCTTTAAACATTGTTTCACTTAAAGTTGCAGTTTCCAAGAACCTACATATGATGGTCAGTGAGAACTTACTGTACTTGTTTCTCAGCATCTGGTGTGAAGATTCATATCTTACATTTGATACCGAAGCTATACTGAGTGGGGGGATTATGTTAAATGCTGATAAGTCATCCCTTTCCTTACAAATCTGTCCAACTTGATTGATGAACTTAACAGTAATGTAAAATATAAAATCTTTTGGAAATTATCTGGGAAGAGGGTAGCTTTAATTCTGTGGTATTAAAAAAAGAGGGAGAAAAGCCTTGAGCATTTGTGAATAGAGGAGGAAGCATAAAGAATGAAAATGTGGGGAGAAAGCTGTAGTTAATTATCAGTGGACCAGGGGTAAATTTGTGATAGAGCAGAGAGAAGATAGGCTTTGGGCTCAGATTGACCTGGGTCCACAATGAGCTGTGTGACCCTGGGCAAATTACTTGACTCCTCTGAGCCTCAGTTTCTGCCTGGGCAAAATGGAGAGATTATGCTTTATCTTGGGAGAATTGAAGGAGATTATGTGTGTCAGTGCCTAGTACTGAGTATGACACATGGTGGCTCCCTTCTCCCCACCTGGTGGCCTTCTAAATCTCCACATTCATCTCTGTGGTGGTTCATTTTATATGCCAATTTGGCTGGGTTATGGGATTCCTAGACATTTAGTTAAATATTATTTTCTGTGTATCTGTGAGGCTGTTTGGATGATTAACATTTAAATCAGTCAATTGAGTAAAGCAGATTGCCGTCCCTAATGTGGTGGCCTCCTCCATCAGTTGAAGGCCTGAATAGAACAAAAAGAATGACCCTGCACCATGTCAAAGAATTCTTCCTGTTTGACAACCTTCAAACTGGGATGTCGGCTTTTTTCCTGCCTTTGGACTCAAACCAAAACATCTCTTCCTGGGCCTGGAGTACTGGCCTTTGGACTAGGATATAAACCATTGACTCGCTGGGGTCTCCAGCTTGCTGACTCACCCTGCAGATCTTGGCAGTTGTCAGTCTTTATAATTATGTGGGCCAATTCTTTATAGTAAATTTTTCTCTCTTTCTACATATATATGACATATATGAGATTTATAAGTATATCATATTTATAAATATACACACACACATATATAAGTGTATCCTATTGGTTCTGTTTCCCTGGAGAACTCTAATACAACCTTGTTCAGTCCCTTAAACATAATGAGCTTTATTATTTGTTGGTTAATACACAGAGCCAGGGAGTCAGAGAGCATACTCCAAAATCTAGATGACAGACAGGCAACCTTAACACTGCTGTCTCATCTCTTCATTTGGAACCTAGGGCCTTTTGTGGGAGCTCGGTGGAGCAGCATGCTGCAGGGAAGGTGTACAGTGCGAGACAGACTCTTCACTCTTCTCCCACGCATGTGCACACATGGGCACCGCATGCCAGGCAGAGCTGGGTTTGTGTGTGTTCCAGCATCTTCCCTTTATTCTTTCCCCCTCCCAAAGTGAAGAGAGCTGATGGTGGCAAACCGGGTTCCAAATTAAAAACCAGAAACTTAAGAAATTTTTCTCTCTTCCTCCTTTTCTTAATGTGAAGTATGAATTAGAAATGCCAATTCTGTGTAAATTATCTGATTAAACATGACATCCGTGTGCTCAATGGTTAGACTTGCCAAGAAACGCGAGGCAAGCTGGTAATGGTTTTCCTAATTTACTCGAGGATAAATAGTGCAGGAAGCTCATCAGATAGGTCTGCAGATAGATTTGAATGAATTAGATCCTCAGTGCTTTGGAAGTGGTGATGAAGGAGGAAAAATATTGCTACGAAACTGGTTTAACTGCTAAAGAAATCTGGAGCTGCAAAAAGCCACGTTAAAAATCACATCACAGATTTGTCTTCAGCCAAAAAAGGAAATGGAGAGTTAAAGAAAAACTTCCCTCTCAGACTTGGTTCTATTAATCAGCTTCCATACTGGGCAGTCTGTTTAAAGATTGGCCCATTAAGGCTATTGTGCACTAATGAGACCCTTCCCCAATGGGCCATCCTGGTGTGTGGCTGCACTGTTTGACAGGAAGTGGATTATCATAAGAAGGAGTCTCATAGATGAACAGTGGTATGTCACCACAAGAGTTTCTAAAAATATGCCTGCTGTCTTCAATTGGCTGCAAATTACCAGCAGTTGAAGGCATCGGGGGTATTTTATGACAGATAAATATGCAGTTAAGAAGGCTGCTATTCCTGAAAGGGGATGGAATGGACAACTACCTTTGGAATGTGTTTTGTTTTCAAACACTTCCCTGATTAAATCACCAGATTGCAGCCCTGGAATCTTTCTACTGGTTACTTCTTTGAGGTGTAAAGGTGTGAAACCATGATCACCCATGAATGTCTGAGTACAAATTCATTGATTAGCTCTGTCATCAGCTGGGTCCTGAGGGAATGGTGTGAATGGGAGACCATCACAGTATCTCATTATCTTCCCTCTCTTTTCTATTCCTTTCTTCTCTTCCTTCCTTTCTTCTCTTTCTTCCTTTCTTCCCTCCCTCCCTCCCTTCCTCCCTTCCTCCCTTTTTTCCTTTCCTTCTACAAATATGAGTCAAGCAATGTTCTAGGCTCTAGTACAGCAGTGAACACCAAAGAAAAAACCACTGCCCTTGTGTTACGGTGCTTGCCATCCTCTGTGTGTGTGTGTGTGTGTGTGTGTGTGTGTGTGTGTGTGTGTGTGTAGGGGGAGACAGACACCAAAACAAATACGTATTTTTTGTTTATGTACACATAACTGTATATGTACGTGCCAGTTTTTTTGTCATTTAAAAGCTTATTCTGTGATCAATCAGATATTAGAAGACTAAGCTGAGGCATTTAAGGCCCCAAAGATTTTCCCAGAACTCCCCACTATCTCAAAGAGTGGTAAAAGGGCACAAACAACTACAAATTATCTGTTGTTTGTTCTCCAAATTTATTGCCCTGGGAGACCTCTGAGGAGGAGAGTAAGATGGCAGGCTGGAGGACATGAGACGGTTGTTATTTCAAATTCGAAAATACTCCTGAAGAACTGAAGGACCCCCTAAAGGACAAATAGGTCTTTAATGTCAAAAACCTTCTAAGGTTTGGTTCAGGGCAGGTTGGTCCTGGAGGCCACTTGAGGCTCATACTCACCTTGATTTAGGTCAGTGGTTCTCAAGGTGTCTAAGGTAAGGTCTGCTCATCTGCCTGTCACCTAGAGGGTTAATTACCTGTTGCTGTGGAAATTTGAGTCACCTGGTGTCTTTATTTCATGTTGCTGTGTAATAAATTTCCACAAACTTAGCAGCTTTAAACAACACACATCTGTTATTGCAGTGTTCGTGGATGAGGAGCCTGGGCGCAGCTCAGGGGGGTCCTCTGCTTAGTTCCTTACAAGGCTGTGACTGATGAGAGGCTGCCTGGCCTGCATTCTCTTCTAATCGTTAGGCTGTGGAAAGATCCACTTCCAAGTTCTCTCAGGTTGCTGACAGAATTCGCATCCTTGGGATTGTCCAGTGAGGGTCATGACTTTTTGCTAGCTGAATGCGGGAGGCTGCCTCAGCTACCAAAGACTGCCTGCAGTTCCTAGAGGCCACCTGTAGTTCCTGACACATGGGCTTTTCCAGCATGGCCTTTTAGTTCATCAAACCAGCAAGGAGGACCTCTTGAGCAAGGGTCTTCTAGTAAATGGAGTCTTACATACCATAACCTAATCACAGGAGGGATACTCTATCACCTTTGCCATATTCTATTGGTTAGAAGCGAGCCACAGGTCCCATCTGGGAGTTATACCAAAGTGTGAATAACAGAAAGGGAGTCTGCTTTGTTTGTCATAAATGCAAGTTCCTAGGCTCACTCTGGACTGACTAAATCAGTGTTTCTGGGGTGGGGCCCAGGAACCTGCATTTACTCAACTCCGCAAGTGCTTTCTTGTGCACATTATGGTTGGAAAAGCTGAGGGAAAACATGGACTTGGGATAGCTTCAAATTCCACTAAGCAATGTGGGATACCTGGTGTTCCTTCCTGCTAGTTCTTCTGAGGGGCTCCCAAGGCAGTTGTAGTGCTGACCGGAGGCCACGTGGGGATGGATCTGTGAAGCCATCTTGACAGATAGCTCAGCACCTGAGGGATGGGAGTGCATTCACAGCTCATCTGTGTGGAGTCAGTTCAATGCTTAGTGACCATTTAAAAATACGGCCTGTCTGAGAATGTGGTCTCTAAATTCCATATCCCTGGGCATTTAAAAACCTGTACATGAATATGTTTATAGCAGCCTTATTCATGATAGTTGAAACTGGAAACAGATGCCCTTCAATAGTAAGGAGTTAAACTATGACACATCCGTAGCATAGAATACTGCTCAGCAATAAAAAAGAACTATCAATACACCAATAAACTATTGATATACACAGCAACTTGGACAAATAGCTAGGAAAGTCTTCTGAGAAAACACAGCCAATCCTGAGAAGTTACTCTATTACTCCACTTATACAACATTTAGAAATGACAAATGTTAGAAATGGTAGACAGGTTTAGTGGTTGCCAGAGGTTAGCGACAAAGTGGAAGGGGTGGTGAGAGGGAGATGGGTGAGATCATAAAAGGGCAATGCCAGGGATTCTTGGTGTTGGAACTGAACTGTTAATTACTATGATTGTGGACATGTGAACCTACACAGGTGGTAAAATTGTATAGAACTTAATCTGCATACAAATGAGTACAAATGAACTGGGAAATCTGAAAAAGATTGGTACATTGTATGAATGTCTATATCCTGGTTGTGATAGTACAGTAGAGTTTTGCAAAATGTTACCATTGGGGGAAACTGAGAAAAGTATACAAGGGATCTTTCTGTATTATTTCTTACAACTGAATGTGAATCTATAGTTATCTCAAAAAAATTTTAATGAAAAAAATAGGGCCTGGACTTGCCCTCATTTTTGCTGGCCCTTGCCCATCTGGAGTAGGTAGTTGTTAAAATTTACCTTTTCTTTCTTCCTGTACAACCACCCCCTCCGGGGGGAGGAGTTCTCAGCTTTAGATCAGTTCTCTCCTTTTTCTACAGAAATTGTTCTCCTCAGGTGACTGCCATTCTTGGGTGAGAGCTTTGGCCACAGAAAACTCAGAAGTCTGAGAAATGAAATTTCTTGGGTTGGGGTTAAGTGGAACCTTGCCTCTTCTTATCTCAGGGCCATAGCCTGCAGCTTCAAAAAAACAAGAGAAAAAGCGTGACTCCAAAGCCACACCCCTTGCATAGCTTTCTCTCAGCATCCACTGAAGAATTAGTATGTTGTACCCATCTCAAGATAGACTCACTCCCTATAGCCTCATTCCACCATGTGACGCCGAGGTTAGTGGCATAGTTATCTGTCTCCCTAGTTACATCAGGAAATTGTGGATTGGCACTCTGTCCCATTCCTCTCTGTACCCCTTAGCACACAATGGTGTTCAATAAATGTCTGTTGAATGAATGAATGTTGAACCTGACTTCATTACTGTTCAGTTCCACTGGAGGGAGGAGAGGGGCAGACACAGTGGTTCTTTAGGAGACATGCTATGTGGATATTCTTGTCAAGATTTATTTCTCAAGGCTGGAATCAGTGTCAACACGATATTTTTTTTTTTTTCCCTTTGATTTGCATTTCAGGAGTAAGTTCCTGCTGAGCAATTCTAAAAGAATGGTTAAGAGGAATTTTGGGCCAGGGACTTGAAGAGGGGAGTTTTCTTAGCCTTTGAAAGCTGTCCCTTCTGATTTCTGAATATTTGGAAAAGAGTTCTATAAGAAAAATTGAAGTAAAGGATTGGGCCCTGTGTGGCTGACAGCCTCACCATTCTCCTCAGGCCGACTGTCTGCACCCCTCCTCTGAGCTGTTTCCAGGGAACTGACTCATCCAAGATGTTTTGCAAATTCTTCTTGATTGATAGGTTGAAGCAGCACCCCATCTTCTCAGCATCTCTGTAAGGCCAGCTCTGCATGCAACAAATTGCTTCCTTCCTTCAAAATTTTGAAACTTTCACTTCATGAATTCTTGAATAAAACGTCTTCAGCCGAGTGAAGAATAACAGCAGAAATATCAACCAGCCTGTTGACAAGGAAAGAGGGTTGCGTTTGGGGTCTCTAAGGATGCATGCTCCAAACGTCAAAGTTTAGGTCTCTGGCCCAATCATCCTAATATCTGTGAGCACTAGCCTACTCAGGCAGTTGCACTATGTTTTTTTGTTTTGTTGTGTTTTGTTTTTGTTTTTGTTTCGCCTTAGTGGGACAGTAATTCTCCAGCTGGCAGCTTTATGTGATTAGAAGTGGAGAGGCAGGAGGACTTGCCCCTTATTACTCCTCCGGTGTTTGGGTAAAATGACGTCTCTCCTCCCTTCTCACTGTGCTTCTCCTTGCATTGCTTCAGGGTGCAGGCCTGTGGGTTTCCTTACCTTGATGGCCACTAGGACTGATGGTGCCCTGGGCTGTCTGGTTGGTCATCGGGAGCAAACTCTACTGTAAAAGGTACCCGTGCATGGGGGCACATACTTGTTCACCTTCTGGATTTATGTAGGTGAGTTCCTTAATGGAGAATATGCAATGTTATTGTGGGACAGTGATGATGATGGTGCCTCTAGGTGAGGTGTTAGGAACCAAAAGTACCAGATAACCATAGTGAGCAGTTGCTAGACTGTAGATCCCAGTGGGGTGGGAGAAGGAAAGGAGGCTGCCTAGAGTTGCTGTAGGAGATCTGTAAGGAAACATTATAGGTCAAATCAACACTATGCTAGACCTATGTGTATAAGTCATGTAAAATCCTAGCATCCAGAATAACGGGGATAGGAATTTCAGGACTTGGCAGTCTCTTTTGAAAATGCCGAAGGGTAGATGTGGGGTGGGTGGCAAGCATATTTGGTCGGAAAATCTTTCTCTTCGCTCTCTGTAAATTCCCACAGGCTTTCTCTGACACCTTGCCTGGAGATGATCTCTCTCCACCAGCCTCTGCTGACCGGCTTATTATTGTGTGCATCAACTCAGCCTCTCTCACTTCTTTGGACTGAGTCAGCTCTGCCGCCCGCTGCTTAGTCCTGACTAGGAATTTGCCAGAGGAGAGCACAGGCCTGGACCAGTAGGTTAGAGTCCTTGCTCTCTGGAGGGGCCGTGGTTTGGGGATGTCAGAGAGAAGGAGGAAAGATTGAATGCCATATAATTTAAAACATTTTCTTTTATCCCTGATACATGCTTAGCTCTATCTCAAGTGTGTGTAGAGTACTGTTATGATTTACATAATATAAAGCTATTTAGAGGGTCACTGAATTTATAGAAACTTTTCATCATTTACATTTTTCTAATCAATAGATATTAAAAGGACAAGTACTATCAAGTAGGAGTGTGTGAAATTTTTAGGTATTATTATAACAGTTTTCTTATTCTTAAAGGAGGTGGGGAAGCTATAGGTTGAAAGCTGCCACTTTTATTTTTTTGGAATAACTTTCTGAAGTGTTACTTGTGCTTTTAAAAATGTTTTGAACGTTAGCTTTTTTTTCTGACTTAGTGAAACCAATTTGAGGGTAAATTGTGTCACTCTGTGGTATACTTGTAACATGAGAGGAGTGATTAATCAAAATAATATCCCTAATGAAACAGTAGCTATAGGCAATGATTGTCAGTGGCCACCAAAAACACTGGGTGAAAGGTCATGTGAGAGATTTTTAATGAATGGACTAGGCTGGCATCATCTGAACCTATCACTGATTATCTCTAAAAGTTAGACAGTCAGACATTCTATGCCTTCTGATGTGATTCAATAGGAAGTCACAGCATTAGCTATGTCATCTTGTGGCTAAAAATACTGAACCTAGATATAGTTAAGTTTCTAGATCCAACTACCAGTTATATGGGATGCAGAGGAAAGGGAAGCATATTGGATGGCACTCCAAGGATGCATTCAGCCACTGAATAAATGACTATTCAAATAATAAAGGGCATAGGGAAGAATGGGAGAGAAATCCGTTTTGGATAAATAGAGACTTAAAAGGCTAACAAAACAAATGCTATGTGTGGACTTTGGATCCTGATTTGAACCAATTAACTATAAAAATATATTTTTGAGATGATAATGGAAGATTAAGGCAAGTTATTAGATGATAGTAAGAAGTTTCTATTTTAGTAGGTAACAATATTGTAGTGATGTTAAAAAGAAAAAAGTTCCAATTACTTAAAGATACTTGCTGATATATTTATAGGTAAAATAATAAGAGTTCTAGGATTGGCTTTGAAACACAATAACAAAAAAGGTGGTGTAGAGATGAAATAAAAATAGCAGGACTAGACAGGCATGGTAGCTAACACCTGTAATCCCAGCACTTTGGGAGGCCAAGGCGGGCAGATCACTTGAGGTCAGGAGTTCGAGACCAGCCTGGCCAACATAGTGAAATCCCGTCTCTACTAAAAATACAAAAATTAGCCGGGACTTGTGGGCACCTGTAATCTCAGCTACTCGAGAGGTTGAGGCAGGAGAATCACTTGAGCCCAGGAGGCAGAGGTTGCAGTGAACAGACATTATGGCACTGTACTCCAGTCTGGGCGAAAGGATGAGACTCAGTCGCAAACAAAAACAAAATAGCAGGATTGTCCATAATTATTGCAGCTGGGGATAAGCACCTGAGGGTTCATATTCTATTTTTTCTATTTTGTATGTTGTTTGAAAACCTGCATAACACATGGTTAAAGTCTAATTGAAACAAGTTCTAGTTTTTATTTTTAGGTCTCAGAGAAATGAAGCAGAGGACATACGTTATAGAATCGGCTATGCCTCTTATCGATGCTTTTATTTTTCTTTCTTAAGAATATGTTTTAAAGGTGTCTATAAGATTAGAAGATGAGAATGCTGTAGACACAGGCTTTGGCTATCTCAGGTGAGGGGAGCAAGGGTTCTGAGAAGGTGGTGGTAATGGTTGGTCAGATGGCCAAGTGCAGGAGGGCCAGTGCCAATTTAACCGAGGATTGTTGGGGGCATGTTTCTTTCTAATATATTTCCCTTTTCTGCTAAACTTGAGGCTGGGCGCTATGTCTCAGTTATTGACCTATCCTTATTCCTTTCCAGAGTGGTAGTGAAAATTTTAGGCACTTAATGCAATATCAACTTGATAAATAATTAAATTTTAATGAATTGGCATCAACTTTTTGTATGAGTGATGTAGTTAAGGCTTTAACAAATGGTTAATGCAGTGAGTAGGCTGTTCTAAACAAATCCTTAGTCTTGAAGACCAAACAGCCACTATTAGGTGTGGAGAACATTATGCCAGATAAATATGTCATCTTCATTATGGTTCGGCACGGGGCTGTTTTTAGATGGAGTCACTGTACCTGCTTTTCAGCCTCATGAATCCCCATTATGATCTCCCTGGTTATAACAAACACACATAATGCTAAAGATACTACTTTCTTAGGGACAGCGTTACAGCATGGAGACACAAGATTACTTGTAAATGAGGAGACAAAAGAAGCTTCAATAAAATTACTTCCTATCAAGCGTAATAAACCTGTACAATAAGTTATTAAGTACCTTTAAGGCAGCTCACATTAATGATCCATCGAGACAACTACATGAGATTTTAAGTAAAATAGAAAAAGAGAATACAGATGAATGTAAAGAAAAGAGGAGAATGGAAAATGAAGAAAACAAAGAGAAGCAGGTATGATGGAAATTGCCCTGCCATCCTGAAGCAATGGTGAAAGCAAATCTAATGAGTTTCTCTGCTTTCAGTTTTAAAAATAAGACACATTTCTCAAATATGAAATGCAGTCCATTATCTGTCAGTAGTGTTCTGAGTTGTCTTCAGGCAGCAAATATATGCCATAAAATAAACTTCAAACTCCCCACTCCTCCTTTTGAGGGGTGGCACAAATTTAGCCTGCTTGGAAAATTGGTTATTGATGACAGTTTTTATAGTCTAACTAGAGAAATTCATTGATGGATGTGATATGATGTGATGTGTGTGTGTGGCAGTTCATAGATTTTATGATGAAAACTTTTAACATCTCTGAAACCAAGGTGTGTGTATCAGGGTTTAATTAGTAGCATTTTTTTCTTGATGAATTACAAAATTGTGTAGAATATTATAATCAGCCATGTCTTATATTGTAAATTTGATCTTGATGAATTATAAAATTGTGTAGACTATTATAATCAGCCACATCTTAAATTGTAAATTTGATTTATTTGAGGGGGGAGAAGGAAGAGTATAGAAGAAATGGAAGAAAATGTGATGTCCTATGTAATGGCATAATTTAGAAAAACTTTTTAAAAACTTTAATTCCTACTTTTTGTTTGTATGACTATTTAGGGATAAAAGTCCCATTTGCTTATGTTCCTTAGAGGGACCCATGAAAATTGTTCAATTCTTCCTTCTGAATGGTCCTTCACTTTTTTCTCTTACCTTTTCTCTGCTTCTTGTATACTTGTAATTTTGGCTTGCCAAGCTTCACATGCACAACTTTCCAAAAGGTGTTTATGACTTAGATCAACCATTGATTTGAGAAGAATTAGCTGTGACAAGATATAAAGACAGCACCCAGATCTGTACCATAAGGTGGAACACAGATGCCCCTTAATATCTTCATGAATACCGCTTCGGCTACACCCAAACATGCTTATATGTGGCCTACAAGCTGTGCTTCTGCTTCCATTTCTCACAACTGATTTCTGGTTTTCTGGGTACTTGCTCATGTTAGATGCCACACAGCAGCAAAGTTCAGTTCAGCAGCTATGAGAAAAAGGGGCCTTGGCTCTGCCCCACAGAAGTGAATAGCTTTTAACCCTTTAAAGCAATTCCTTTTGTTCCTTTGCAGCTGTAGGTCTTGTAGATTTCCACTGAGAGCTGGGGACATTAACCATTGTGGGCTCAGTTGGCCAGTTATCAGTCACACGGAGAGGAAGTGAAGCTGGAAACCCCAATGCCTGGCACCCTCAGGTCAGGAGGCTTGAATATCGATTTGTGATGTAGGCCCAGGTTTTGTGAGACAACGAGTCTCAGATGAACAGGTGATAGGACCATAGCAGGGACTGGCTCAGCAATGTGGAACTGCCAGAGGGTGTGGGGGAGAGGCCAAAGTCATCTGTTTGGATACTGGTTGCTGAAAATCAGATGAATTTGGACAATAGGTGAAAGAAAGCAGCATCAGTCTCTGGCTGTATCTATCACCCAAACAACTGGCAAAAATTCAGTGAAAAATATTCATTGAGGCAATTGAACAAAATCAGTGTCTGCAAGGCTTAAGAGTTCTGGGCATACACTCACTGCAGGCAGTGGATGCTTTCTAAAGCATCTAGTTTAGAAATCTAGTGATGTTCACTTGTGTTCTATGCAAATGTCCTTTATACATCCATATAGTTACTGTTTCATCAGACTCAATCATTCCTCTCCAGAAACCAAACAAAATGTCACCTCCCCCTTGGAGAGATTTAGTCATTGACAGAAACATAATTTCACTTACCCAGCAAGAGAAATGTTGACACCGACAAGAAGATAGTACCTTTTACCTTCAAAACTGTTTTATAGGAAACCATTTAAGCTAAAATAGCTTTTTCTTCCATTTTCTCCATTTTATCAGCAATGATTACCCCCTTTGCTGTTCCAATGACCCTGCCATGTCAAACCACGCCCACAGTGCCTGAGACTGATCTGATTGATCTCTGGTTTAAAATGAAGATTAAACACACATGGGCCAGGTCTTAGGGTTGGGGCACCTGAGAGGATCTTGGGCAAAGGTTTAGTATCCTGGCAAGGTTGGCTTTGTAGCTGTGAGGGGATGTTCATGTGAGGGAAACATGAAAGCTCAGTGCACTGACAGCCCCCATGCCGGGCCTGCCTCTGTATCAACACTGCGTTGAACAAAGTCATTGCAAGGAAAAGAGCTGTCCCAGGTCCTGAAAAAGGACTCACAAGAGAGCAGGAGAAAGCCAAGGAGAGTAGCAACAAAGTGGGCCATATGTGTGTGTCCCCATCTGGAGGCAGATATCTTTGTGGTTAGGAGGGCACCTTGGGGGTCCTGTTGCCTATCTTTAAATCCCAGTGCACCATACCACACTTTCTGGGCTCTGGGAACATTGGTGAGCCTCTAATTCTCTTCGAGCATTATCTGTAAAATGAGGATAATAATGATTCCTTCTTCACCCGGGGCTTTGAAGATAATGCACGTACATCATTTAGCTCAGTTCCTGTCACATAGTAAGTGCTCAATAAATGTTACACTAGCTTTTTATTCCTTCATCAATCATATCGGCCTTTCTCATCAGTCTGTGAACTCTCCTGGAACGAGAATTCTATCTTATTCATCATTTGACTCTCGCATCTTCCTTCACCTCTTCGCAACCTTAGAACAACCTCGAGGCAGTCTCTCTCCTTGCTCCCATAACATGGCTCTCTCCTGGTTCATCTCAGACCTCACTGGCTATTCCTTCCCGGTTTTCTTTGCTGCATTTTTCCTCCACTAGATCTCTAAATGTCAGCTTTTTCCTTGGACTTTTCCTCCCCTTTTACTCACTCTCCAAACTCTAAAATAGATATTTTCTGAGCTGAAATCTTCTCTGGATCCTAGACTCACATAGCCTAATTTTTACTAGACACTTCTGCTCAGAGGTCTCAGAGCAAGTTGGATTTCAGAAACTACCGGTTCAAAATAAAAATTATCGTTTCCTTTTCTTCCCTTATCAAATCATCTCAGTATCTGGCTCCACTATCCATCTAATTTCTGAAGCAGAAACCTAGCAGTCTAATTCTTGTTCTCTTCCCATAGCTAATCTATTAGCAAGTCCTTGTGGTTCAGTCTCCAAGGACCTCAGAACCAGCAACTTCCCTCCACCTCTCTGCCACCACTCGAATCCAGGCTGTCTTCATCTCTCTCTTGGAATGTGCAGGAGCTCTCTAACTGTTCTTTCTGTCTCTACCCATGACTTCTGACAGTCCACTTACCATGTGCAGACAGAGAAATATTTTAAGATAACAATCGAATTACATCCTCACCTTGATGAAATTCATCATGATTTTCCATTCCATATAGCATAATGCCCAGGGTCCCCAAAAGGGCCTACAAAGGCCCACAGTCTCTGGCCCTGCCCCTGCCTATTTCTCAAGCATCCTGGCACTTGCTTCTTCCCCTCACTCCCCATTCTCCAGTCTGGTGAGCCTTCTTCACACTGGTTTCATGTCTGGAATCTTTTCTTGGTTGTTCCTGCTGCTTGGGAGCCTTTTCTCCCAGCTGCCGTGGCTGCTTCTCTGGCTCTCCAGATCTTGTTTTGAACGTTGTCTTCTAGTGCAGCCCACCCTTCTCCTAGTGTGCTCTGTTCCAGCCTCCTGTTGATTGCCTTCACAGCACATTCCACAATTTGCAATTTGTAATTCTTTTATTTAATTGCCTTGTGTCTCTTTCTGTCACTGAGACACACTGAGGTATCCCTAGTGCCTAGCATAATGCCCAGCACATAGTAGGACTCCACAAATCCTTGGCAATTGAGTGACTCCAACAAAGTGCTTTGGAGAGGTGCTTTGAATGATTGAGCGAAGTTAGTGATATCTAAAAGTGTGTGGTTCTTTTTGGGTGATTGCATTGTTGTCAAGAGAGAAAGTGTCAAGGCTGAGGAAGGCACATGGTTTAAAGGAAAGACTGGAGGCTTTGGGGGTATAGCTTGAGTCTGCCTCTTATTAGCTGTGTGAACTTGGGAGTGTTTCTTCACCACTCCCAGCTTTAATTTTCTTATCTGTAAAATGGGGGTTAAACATGTGTATGTCAGAGAGCATCATGAATATTAAATGAGGTAATGTATGTAAATCCTCTGGCACAGAGCTGGCACACGGAGGTACTTGATAATCTGGGCATTTCATTCCTTCTACCAAATAAAAACTCCATGGAGTTGCAGGCATCAGTGAGCTGGGAAGAAAGGTACTTTTGGAGGAGAGAGGCTGTCTGGGTGCTAGCTCTCTCCCAAGCCTCATCCTCTGCTCTTTCCCCCAAATCACATTGTATCAGGAATCTCAGATAAGTACAGGAAGCACATTTTGCCAGCAGTGAAGATTGCTAGTCATTGTAGGACACATGGACCAGATAATTGCCCTTGTTTCTCCTTCCTTGAAGTTGCAAATTTCAAATGTAAAGTTCTCAGATCCCTCAGTTTGGAATATGAGTGTATTTTGGGGTGAAACTCAGTGTCATTTTTTTTCCTATTTTTTTCCAGTTAAGTTTTACAATACCCTCCTGACTCCCACCTCCATTGTTTGCAAAGCTTGCTCAGATGAATGTGAGGAGGCCTCTAAGAGCTCCTAACCATATTTCACTAAGTGGCTCTATCCACTGTTGTTTCCATGTCTCCTTTTAAAGATGTTCCCTTTGTCCAAAAATCTGCTCTTTGCTCTTCACCCTGTTCCTTGAGCAGGTAGAGAGAATTTTATCTTATTCTCTCTGCATCAAGGCTGCATTGAACAAAGTCATTGCAAGGAGAAGAGCTGTCCCAAGTCCTGAAAAAGGACACACTTTCATGGGATCTTAGCTGCTCCCTCTCACTTGACTTCTGGATGCCTGCCTTTCCTTTTCCCATCTCCTTCCTGTCCTGTGCCTACCATCTTTCTTGCTCTTTGTCCCTCCATTCCTCTCTAGTCCCTTATCCACACTATCTCTCCTTTTATGGTTCATTTTATAATCTTTCTGCTCTATGGTCCTCTTTGATTGATAGTTGGTGGTGTGGATGCTTGGGTGCTCCGTGCCACATCCCTGGGTATACCTGTGATTTCAGCTGCAGATGTAAAGATGCTTTTAGACCCTCCTTACTCTCTGCTTCTAGGCCTCAGGGCCTTCTCCAATGCCTAAACAAGTAGCTCACCTCCAGCAAGTGCAGCCTGAAAGTGCAGGGGAGTTATCAGTCCAGGGATTACTCTCAACCAATGGGGGATTAGAGCAGTGATCCTGGGTCTTGGTAACTAATTAGATTTTGCATTGAGGGAGATGGAGGAGTCTGAGATGATTGCCAGGTTGTTGAGGCTAAGGAGACCAGCAGAGTTCCAAGGATGGTGCAGGCTGTCAAAATAGAGGGTACAGGAGAGACATCAGGTGGAGATGAATGACCTCAGGGCAGGGATCATATTTTATCTCTGTATTCCCAACACCTAGCATAGTGCCAGCATTTGTGTTCACAAAAGGTTTGCTGAAAGGGCCAACTCATTTCTTCATGTGCTGTCCCTTTCATGAAAGCTGTTCTGTTGATATTGGGAAGCCAGGTGTGGCTACC
Organism: Homo sapiens; assembly: GCF_000001405.40. Taxonomy (NCBI): domain Eukaryota; kingdom Metazoa; phylum Chordata; class Mammalia; order Primates; family Hominidae; genus Homo; species Homo sapiens. Next base: position 136,531,124 of record NC_000002.12, read on the forward strand.
CATGCACCTTAATACTGTCCTCAAGATAGTGATAGATTTTTTCTCTTTCAGTATTTGTTCTGTTGTTGCACAGAACATCAGCATCAGATTCATAAAACTGCTATTTCTTTGTCATTTGTCAGGCCACTTTGGAAGTCATTTGCTTTGGGGGAAGATTAATCTTCTGGAATATCAGTATTGCATGGTATTTCAATAAGCATCCTAAGTGGCTCAGCACATGTAAATTGTTTAGCACTTATATATCACTTATATTCTCCAGGAGCTCAACATTAGTTTATTCTCATGATACTTAAGAGATAAGTGTCATATCAAGTCATGATTTGTATATGTTTCAAGTTTGTAAGTGTTCTCCACTGCTTTTTTTTTTCAGTAGCTGTTTCATTTTTTATCACCAGGACTTCTATTTAATTTTGTTTACTGCTCTCTTTATGGACTTGGAACATATAAAGACTTTTGTTTAACAAAATGTGCAACAGCTCAAAGAGACCTACAGGGTCCTTTGTCCACGTTCCTCGGAATTAGAGGTTTGTAACGGAGATACAGCAGCAAGGGATAAACAAGGACGTTGCTTCATGAATGGCAGAGTTGTCCTGAGTTCTAGCTGTTTCTACCCTTGAGAGGTTATCCAGGAGGCTTCACAAAAACATCTACCACCAAACTTTCCCACCACCATTCCAGCCCCTCAAGTGGCGAGAGTGTGAGCATTAGCTTGGGAATGGGTGCCAGCATGCTGCCCTGGAAGATGCCTGAGTGAGTAACAGGGTGCACACCAAGAAGCAGGACACCCTGATGGGGCATGTGTCTCTGGTGACAGCCACAGGGACCCTTCGTTGCCCTTTGAGGGTCTGTATACTGAGAGGCCAGGAGGCAGCTGAATGCTGCCAGAGAAGGCTGTACACCACCCAGGAAGAGGCATAACAGCAGGCAGCACCAACACTAGATCAACCCAGATATAGAACAGGGAGGGCTATTCCCACTGCTGGGTTTGGTCTTGGCTATGGCTGGCATGGACCCTTCCCGCATGGGGACCAGAACAGATGTGGACTCCTACCATGGGAGCTGAGCAGACAGATACTACCTCCACCCTAATACCCTGATCTTATGAAAGAATCCCCTTGGAACTGCTTGCCTTTCAGGGATGGGGAAGTTTGAGGGGTGAACCCTGAATTTAAGTGACTACCCCCAAAGAAAGTCTTAAATTAGAAAGGACCAAGTTACCTCATACTGAAGGGTTAAAAGTTTTCCACTGTCAGCAGAAATGAAGGCTCAAGCGCTAAGCTGAGATTGGTGATAGATAAATTTTTACAAATCAATTTTGCAAATTTTATAGACTCTCATGACTATCAAACATTCTATCACTTATTTTATTATCTCATTCAGCAAATGAGGAAATTGAGGCTTAGAGGTATTGAATCACTCACGCAAAGACACTTGACTAATAAATGGTGGCAGTGTTTTCAAAGCCAAGTCTAGCCTTTGCTCTCAACCCTTACCCAAATGGATTATATATGCTTCTTAAACTTTTCCACCAAATGCATACCCCTCCCTCAGGTGGGAGCTGAGGTGGGAGGGTGAGCTGGGTAGAGGTTACACTGGACACTGCAGGGAACTTGGAATTTCTCTGAGTGTTTTTTTTTTTTCCAAAAATCATTTTTGCTATGAGGAAATCATGCATTTTGTATTCTGCTACATATTATGTATTTTCTCTACTTTTAAAATGTTTTAAATTTTGTAACATTTAGATAAATGAGCCATTTTAATCTTTGGGCACCCACCATCCCTCAGCAAACCTGGCAAACCCTCCCGGGCACACACATCCCAGTATGAGAGCCAGTGGGTGGTACAAGTCTTGGGGACATAAAATGCATTTATTTCATTTATTTATTTTTTAAAGAACTAAAGCAAAATAGAAAACATTTTTACTACTGTATAAGGAAACAAGGAAATAAAGCACACACACGTGTGTGTATGTGTGTGTGTGTGTGTGTGTGTGTGAGAGAGGGAGAGATGGGGTGGGGTGGGGTGGAGAGAGAGAGATTTACTGGCCCAGCATGGTGCTAATGAAACCTGAGGCTATTGGCATTATGCCCGTGGGCCTGTGGGACTGATTAATTTTGTAGATTAGAGCAGAGACTGATATTTTTTGATCATGCGGCTCATCCATGACCATAGACCCCTCTCCTGGCCACATGTGTGAAGGGAGCAGGCCTTTGGCTTGGCTTGGCTTGGTGAGAGCAATTGTCCTCAAGACAAGAAGAGCCAGAGAATGGATCCTTCAGTGGCTGTGGACCCCAGCTCTGTCTACAAATGTGTTCTGGGCTCTAGGAACCTCTCTCACTGCTTTTCTACGTCTCTAGGGTTACATTTATAGTCACCAAGCAACCTTCTGATTCCTTATTTGTTTTCTAGAAGGGAGTATCCTAGGCATTGGTCACGAATATTCCCATTGTTGTAAAGATTATACTTCTTCACCTGTGAGTTGGTAAATTAGCATCCTGGTGTAGCAACCCATCTCTTGTGAATTTTCTTAGCAAACTTCTGTTCTCAGAGCTAGAGAACACTTGGGTGAACAGAAGAAGACAGGTTTTACATCTGCAAAGCTGAGGTGCAGCCCTTGGGACCTATATTAAGACACAGTCTGAGGCTGGATCTGAGCAGCCAATAGCCCATCTCACCTGCTCTCTTCTGTGCTGTCTCTTCTGCCAGGGACCAATCTTATGCTTAGGGGTTGTGAATGCACTTACAAGTGTTCAATCTCTTTAGTAAGTAGAAGAATGCAGATAGGAAAATGACATGGCATTCTTTACTTAGCAAATTGGCAAAATCATAATAATACCCAGAGTTGGGAAGCATAGAGAAAACTGCTCTTTCAAACTGCTAGTGAGAGAGTAAATTGGTGCACTTTCACTTTTTCTCAAAGTAGTAAAAAGATTTTAAAATGCCCATGCCTTTTGATTCACCAATCCTATGTTCAGGACTGAGTCCTAAGGAAATAGATGACAAGAATTGCTTGTAACAGTGAAAAAATTGTGACTACCCTACTGTACCTGCCTTCCAGTAGGGGAGTGGTGAAGTAGATTGTGGTTTATATACATGATGGAATGTGTCACACCACTAATGTAATCTTGTTGCAGCACATTCACAGACATGGACAGACGCTTCCTGATCCAGTTGAGTAAAAACATACTGAATGACATAAATTTGGTATCATTTCATTCTTAATATTTGAGAATGCGTACGGGTATATGTATATGTCCATATATGCACGCTTATATATATGTGCCCATGCCCATCAACAATGGCTATCTCTGAGCAGTGGGATGGTGACTGCTTCCAACAGAAAGCCCACTGGTCCCTTACCCTTGTGACATCAGAATACCCTTGGTGTTATTGCACTTAGACTTCCTAAGTCTGTCCACCGTCCCTGTGTTAATGATCTCCTGTTTCTGGACTTATAGACCTCGGTAGTCTTTTGGTCGCTCCTCTCAACTGCTGCCTGCTCTGTGTTCCTGGCTCTTCCACCTCTGCCCTACAGAATCCCATTTCTCCCCCACCAACCCCAGCCAAGCCCCTCATGCTTCTGGGGTGTAATTCTTCAGTAGTCCTTCATAATGCTGTCCTTCATTTTCTGGCTGTTGTTCTTTGCCAAGCCTAGCGTCTTTGGGACTCAACTTCTTTGCCCCTTCCTGGCACATGAACTCAGCTTGCTGCTGTATCTCCTGCAGCGCCCACAGAGAGGCCATACCATCTGTTTGGCTTTTGCTCATCCCTGATGTGTTTCTTCTCTCTCCCAATTTTATCTCCACTGCCCCCATGCCTTTGCCTGCTCACATGGCAGGGCCTGTCACTCATTCCTGGAGAACGTCCAGGGCAGTGGGGTTGAGTGACAGTGAGCTCGCCTTCCATGTGGGAGGACTGGCCAAGATCCAGGCAGCTTTGCTGATGACCCTGCCCTGCCATTCTTTATTAAGCAGGACTTGTGCCTGGCATGGATGACATTGTCTTTCCACAGAGAACTAGGCTTAACATGTGCATGGAAAATGGCCTCAATGGTGGCTAGAACAGTGGGATTTAGAAAAAAGAAAGTTTCAGAAACCAACAATAATTCAATGCTGTACTTTGAAGTCAGTATCCAAACTCTCTCTCTTTCTCATTTAGGATCTCTGTAGTTTGTCCATACAGCCCTGAGATATTATTGGAAAGAAGGTGCCAGAATCACTGATACTCTTATGTAGGTATACCTGAGTTTTAATACTGATTCTATTACATATTACCTGAAAATCATGGGCAAGTGGCTTAGCCTTTATGGTCTTCAGTTTCTTCACTTGATAAAAGGAGGCTTTACTACTACTAATAATAATGACAATGGCTATTTATTGTGTATTTACTATAAGCCAACTACCATGCAAAACCCTTAAATTTAATCCTCCTAAAAATGATATGGTAGATACTATTAATTTCCATTTTATAGGTTGGGAAAAGGAAATTTTAAGGATGTTATATATTCAAATTCACACTGTTTATAAGGCATGGAGCCAGTAATTGAACCTAATCAGCCAACCTAATGACCCTATGCTTGAAGTCTACGTTATTTACTTCTCCCAATGAACCGGTGTAGGTGAAGCACCTCCTTCAATGTCTCTCACATACTAAATGCTCAAAACTGCCCCTCCTAGGGGCATCCTGGGTCAAGCTTTGGAGTCAGGGGTTCTTCTTTTCATGGACATTTCAGGACTTTACAACTAAAACCAGGAAGCAGGCTGGCTGCCCATCTCATATCTGACGCTCTAGGCTGAATCTTTCATTCCCTTTGTGACAGTGAAGAATGGAACTCTAATTTATGATCTCCCACTCTCTTTATGGAGTCTCTGTTCCTATACCTCATCAATCATTGTCACTTTGAATTTTGCAGTGTCTTATAAAATCAACCTATGTTGATCCACCCATTGGTTTAAAGCTTCTGCAATGAAGATCTGTGTCTATCTTGTCTGTCTGAAATGGACTTTATACCACATAGAATCTCCAACAACAAACCCTCAATAACAGCAATGAGGACAACAATCATATCAGCCACCACCACCATGATTAATGTTATCCCGGATCCCACCTGTATTAGTCTGTTTTCACCCTGTTATAAAGAACTTACCGAAACTGGGTAATTTATAAGGGAATGAGGTTTAATTGACTCACAGTTCCCTATGGCAGGGGAGGCCTCAGGAAACTTACAATCATGGCAGAAGGTGAAGGGGAAGCAAGGCATGTCTTACATGGCAGCAGGAGAGTCAGTACGAAGTGGGAAGTGCCACACTCTTGCAAACAATTAGTTCTCATGAGAACTCACTATCACAAGAACAGCAAAGGGGAAGTCTGTCCCCATGATTCAATCACATCCCACCAGGCCCCTCCTCCAACACATGGGGATTACAATTTGAGATGAGATTTGGGTGAAGACACAGCCAAACCCTATCACCATCACACTGGGTACCCACTGTTTCATGTGCTATGTGCTGAGCTCAGAGGTCTCAAACTAGAATTCCTGCTGGGCTAGGCAGGAGCATAAATGAAGAGTCAGGCAATGTGGGCTACAGTGAGCCAGAGCCTGTGGCCTCACCAAGGAGGAGGCTGTTACTTAGCTTTGGCTGAATGTTGCCATGCTAGACTGCAGTCTTAGTTTTGTCAGATCTTTACATTTCTTAAAAGAAATTGTAAATATGGATTTTTATGTGCAATTTCCCAATGTAAAAACGTTGGCAAAGAGTTCACATTAAAAAAAAATCCTTATCTGTGGGATGTGTACCATTTTCTTTTACAGCCTCTCATCTAGCTCTTGCAGGCCACTGAGTGAACATCATACAATGATCACAGCATAAGCCATGATCATGGATAGTGGATATAATGAAGGGTTTTATGTCCTAGAGGTCTCTAAAGGGCTATTGCAAGGCCACTGCCACTTTAAGGGGCAGCCCAGGACTCCAAAGAGGACATCAATGTAACTATGCTAATTGCAGTGGCTTGCACGCCAATCCCAGGCTCCCATCCTGGCTTCCACATTTTTGTTTCCTTGGCTTTAACACTCTTTGCTCTCTACTTGGCCTGATCTCCTACCAGCTGACCACAAGTTTGACCTGGTTTTCCTTTTGGCTCTGGTGCCCTCCAACTCCTTCTTTAAAAGGAACTGAGCTGCCCACCCACACTGAAAATCTGCTAGAGGTGAAGCTTTCCCCACCTAGACTTCTCTCTTGATACCTGTGCTGTTCCTCCTACAGGGCCAGCTTTCCATCTATTCCATTGGGAGTCTTGGAAGTAGAAGCCAACACAGATCCTAGTCATGTAGTACAGTCTCTATGAGTTTCTGTCATCCTGAAAAATTCATATGTTGGGGACCTAACCCCCCAGTACCTCAAAATATAACTGTGTTTGAATATAGACTCATTAAAGAGGTGATCACATTAAAATGAGGTCATTAGGGTGGCTCCTAATACAATGTGACTGGTGTTCTTATAAGAGGAAGAGGTTAGGACACAGACACACACAGAAGAAAGAGCGTGTGAGGATACAGGGAGAAGGTGGCCATCTGCAGACAAGGAGGGAGGCCTCAGAAGGAACCAATCCTAAGGACAGCTTGATTCCAGACTTCTAGCTTCCAGAACCCTGAGGAAAGTTCTACTGGTACTTTGTTATGGCAGCCTTAGCAAACTAATGCAGACCCTGAGCAAACATCTCAGCCTAGTGTTTCTTGGTTCCCCATGGTCATCACTACATGCAGTCTGGCCTCACCATTACAGTGACCCATATCATGCACTTAACCGTTTGGTTTAGAATGGGAGTGTGGGCACAGATAACTCCTGGTCTGTTTGGGGTCCTACCCTGGGACTGAGGTGAACACAGAGGGATTGTTAGGTATTAGAGACATGCATAACTGGGGAGAGTTTATGACAGTGGAGTTAAAGGGAGAATCCAAGCTTACTCAAGAGGGGAGGCAAGGTTATGTTCTGATGGAAAAGTCTCACCAGAAACCTGTGGAGTTAGGGGAGGTTTAGACTCTGGTTCACGGATAGGTTGGAGTAGGTGGTTTAGGATCAAAGCTGTGAATAATGAGAGGATATTAGAGCCCTATTTTTGTATAAACTTAAAGGGCCTGGGCAAGGCCAACTTAAATCTCTGGTCTGTGATACTTGATTATATCATCTTGGTTGATTTTCTGTCAGATGGAACCTGTGTATTGAAGTGTCCAGTATGAAGAACATTTGTAGCTTCTCAACATCTTCCCACATCTTCATCTTGTTATTTTGCATTGAATCTGGAACTCTTACACATATCGACCAGCACCGAAGTAAGCAAAGCAAAAACATGTTAGTTGATACTTGTGAAATTCATATTTTCCAGGAAAGGAAAAAACCACTGTGACATATTATTTTAACATCAGAGAATTTCCAACAAATAAAGGCCTCTCTTCTTCCTGGCAAAGCTACGGAAGTCACTAAAGGCTGCCAGCCTATGGCCACGTGGCACAATTAGCAGACCATGGCTCCTTGGCTTTGCCAAGCTTGGCAGAAGTGGTGTCCTGTGACATGTGAGGTCTGTCCTGCTGGGCAGCTTCCCCATTGATCTCGTCTTGGCTCCAAGAACTGGGAGGGATGGAATCTCAGCCTTACAGAGCCTGCAAGTGTCAGGCTTGCATTTCCAGCAGCTGACAATTCTTGTTTTTGACAAGTTAAACGGTCTTCTTGGTGTATTGGTGGTTCACTGCAAATCATTAATGCAAGTTTGTCTGGAATAGAAAGTTCACGACATTGATTTGTTGAAATGAGGTAATAGAAATGCCAGATCGTCAGATGGGTGAGTCTCTTTAGGGCCAGCAAAAATGCTCACCCTGGGCTCAAGAAAGGGAGAATATTGAACTATGCTAAGTGGGACCTGCCCCCGCCCCCGCCCCCTCCCCTCCCCCGGCCTCAAAGGCAATCAGTGGCAGCTGAATCTGGACCAGCACACTCCTTCACTGAGACCTCGATTATTCATTCCTCCAACATTTATTGGCCACCTACTATGTGGCAGGGACTATTCTAGATGCTGGGGATATAGCAATGAATAATTAACATGGTCATTTTTCTTGTGGCTCTTTCATTCTGGTTATGGGAAGGCAATGGACACATGATATATACCATAAAGAACATTAAATAGGTTAATGAGATAGAGAAGGTGGTGGAGGGCTGTCTTAGGGCTTGTTAGGAAAGGACATTAATTCCAAGGAGGTGACATTGAAGCTGAGACCTGAATCATGAGGAAGAAGCAGCCCATGAAGATCTAGGAAAAGAGCAACTAGTGCCAATGGAAGAGCAGCACAAACGCCCTGAAACTTGCCCTAGTTGTGTTTGGGGGAAGAGCTGTGCGCCTGGAGCAATGTGAGCAAAGGATCGAGTGGAAGGAGCTGAGGTCAGCAGAAAGTCTGCTCAGGTGGCGCCTTATGGGCAAAGTAAGAAATTTAGATTTTATTCTAATTGCCTCTTTCAACCAACACCAATAAGGCACTGGGTTTAGAAAAGCAATGTTAATCATAACCTCATGCAGCCAGATGAATGTCCTTGTTGGTCACGTGTCCCAGGTGTACATCAGGTTCACACTAGAGAGTGGCCAAATCAGTGTGCACACCCAGGCCTGTCTGCCTCCAGAGCGTGTGCCTTCCCAGCGCCTCTCTGACTTCCTTCCTACCTGATACTGAAGACGGGTTGTGTATTACAGGGGACATGGTTCTGGAGGCACCATGTGGCATCCACTACCTGTGACCACATAACACTCTGAGACTCAGCATCTTCATCCCACAAAAAGGCCTCAGGTAAAGCTCAGCATAAAGCTCTCATCTGGGCATTACATGGGAGGAAAGATTTTATAGCCCAGGGGTAACAGGGTGAGAGAGGATGTATTAGGGTTCTCTAGAGAAACAGAACCAATAGGGTATATCTATCTATATCTATATATCTATATCTATCTATAGACTGTGTCTCCACTCAAATCTCTTCTCAAATTGTAATCCCCATGTGTTGGAAGAGGGGCCTGGTGGGGTGTGATTAAATCATGGGGGAGACTTCCCCTTTGCTGTTCTTGTGATGGTGAGTTCTCATGAGATCTAATTGTTTGCAAGTGTGTGGCACTTCCCACTTCATGCTCTCTCTCCTGCTGCCATGTAAGACATGCCTTGCTTCCCCTTCACCATCTGCCATGATTGTAAGTTTTTATATGGAGATTCATTATAGGAGCTGCCTCACATGTTTATGGAAGCCAAGAGGTCCCATGATCTGCCATCTGCAAGCTGGAGAACCAGAAAAGTCAGTGATGTAATTCAGTGTGGGTCCAAACGCCTGAGGACCAGGAGCTACTGGTGTGATTTCCATTCTGAGACTAAAGGCCCCAAACCCAGGAGATCTGACATCTGAAGCAGGAGAAGATGGATGTCCCAGCTCAAGAAGGGAGAGGGAGGGCTCACCTTTCCTCTGATTTTTTTCCTATCTGAGTCCCCTAAATGGATTAGATGACAGCTGCCCACATTGGTGGGCACACAATCTGCCCACACTGGGTAGATCTTTTTCACTCAGTCTATGAATTCAAGCACTATTCTCTTCCAGAAATACCCTCACAGACACACCCAGATGTGTTGCATCAGCCATGTGGGTATCCCTTAGCCCAGTCAAGTTGACACATAAAATTTACACCACAGTGGATTTCATCATAGTTCCAAAATAACTGAAGTGCATTTTACGAGGAATAGTAAATCTTACCTATTTTCATTGGGGACAGAACAAGACAATAGGTTCCTTTAAGAAGAAGTTCTTGACTGGTGTCCATACACTTCTCAGGGATCCACAAAGGCAATCGTTGGGTACATAAGCTATTTTCCACATTTCAAAAATGTCTAATGAAGCCACTTCAGCAGATTGGCAGAATCTATCTACTAAAGCCAAATATGCATGTATCCCAGGGCCCAGCAATTCCTCTACTAGCTATGGATACTAGGTACAGAAATTCTTACATATATTCCCCAAGAGATATGTTCAAAATGTTCAAAGTAGTGCACTTGGAAATAGACAACACAGGGAAATTACCCAAATGCCCATCAACAGTAGAACTGATAGATGTAGTATATTTATATAGTAGAATATGAACTAAGCACTGAGAATGAATGATCTTTAGCTATGTGTAACATGGATCTTAGCTGATGCTGAGTGCAAATAGCTAGACACAAAGAATATATACTGTAAGAATAATTTACACAAAGTCCCAAGACCGGGAAACCTACACTATACTGTTGGAAATCAGGATGGGCTTATCCTTATGGGAGCATAGTGTTTAGTGAGTGACAGGGAAGTTGAGGGTGCTGGTAATCCAAGGTGCTGATGATGGTCTGTTTCTTGATCTGGGTGCTGGTTATGTGGGTATGTTTGGTTTGTGAGGACGAATTGAGCAATACATTTTTTGGTATGCGTGCTTTCTGTAGTATGTTACGTTAATACTTCAATTAAAGTTTTAAAAATGTGGAAAATTTAAAAATGGGAATTATGCTATGGCTATTGGTGATTTTTACTGCAAATGCAATTAAATGTAACTATTCATAATATATGATGGGAGAGGAAGTTAATAATTGCTGGAAAAACTGTTTGTAATGCTTTTAAAATGTGGGCTCAACCCAGGGCAGAGAATTATGAAAAATGTCCCTGGGGAACACACTTGTAAAAAGTTTCAGGGCCAGTAGGCTAAACTTTTAAAACAAATTGTCTCCCTTGTAGTGTGTTTGTTACCAAGGGTTTCCAGAGACATTTTGTGGCATTTTCATGAAAGATATAAGAGAATGTTATCATTCCAGGATGACTTAGATTTAGACCTTGCAAGACACAGGGAGGTGAGTTAATGCTTGCTTCCTGCGGACATTTTTAGATTGGCTTATTATGAGTTTCCTGTTCAGTGAAAATGAGGTGAGAGGCCCTAGTTAACCTGGCCTTTTCCCCTTTGCCCCATCCAGAGAACTGCAGGTGGCCAGCTTTGTTTTCCAAGGCTCAGATACGACCTCCAGTCAATCAATAAGCAAGACCTTGGGAAAGAGGAAGAATGGTTTGCTTGATTGAAAGTGAGTTTGTCATGTGTATCAATAAGACAAAGTGCTTATGGTCTTCTAGTACTAGGCTTTACTCTCCTCTTGGCAACCAGACAACTTTCCACCATCTGCTAGCCACTTTTTGCCACTATCTTCCAGTCACCAGCCAATCCAGTCTCCTACCTGCTGTGTGCCTCTGTGGGGGGAGTCAGGGAGTCCTCAACACTAATCTAATTCATCTCGATTTTTACAGAAACTTTGCCAGAGCAGGGTTTGCTGCAGTTGGTGGTAAGGAAGTGAGAAACTGCTACCACTTATTACCTTGCTCCATTAAATTAGTTCATGAATTAGTTCAGACAATGACTTCAATCTGGGTGCCTGGAGGAGCTGAGGGTCAGCTGTCTCACCTGGAAGGACTTGGAAACCCACGTTCTAGACAGCAGGTGGAAGGGCCAGCAGCTAGAAGAAAGCTGTCTTCAGCAGGAGTTGTGTGACAGTGAGAACAGCTCATCAAGAGCCATGGCCTTGGACCCCAAGACTCAGCCAGAGGTGCAAGGTGGTGGAATGCCCTACCCAGCAGCCATTCTCATTCTTCCTCTTGAGCGTCCACTTCTCTTGGCCCAGGTGGTAAATCTGGATTAATTTAAGCCAAACTTAGGAGTCCAGTTCTTCTTGACAATGACTGATTTAAGGAGGAGAATTTATCCCAAATCTAGCCAAGTAGAAGAGAGGGGAAATATACTGAGGGGTGTCTGGTAAATGTTTCTTCTTCTTTGTCATGCCTTGACGAGACTTCTGAAATGCTTGCAGCCATGCTGTAACTAAGAAGGCAGCAGGCCTGGGGATAAGCCGATATGTTTAGGTTGCTGAGGGGAAGATGGTAAGGGCCTGGATCCCTGAGGCCACTAGAGAGCCTTTGAAGTAAGTAATACCAGACTGAATTTCCATTATGGGAGCTAATACATTTTCTTTATCATTTAAGCCAGTTGAATTTGAGTATTTGGTTACTTGCAGCCTAAACCTCCCTAGTTAATCTGAAGCTTCATCCCATTTTTTCCCATCTGCATACACATATTGTCAATTTCCAGCTAGAAAATCTTACTTGGATATATCCTGTAAGGCATTATTTTTCAGCCTAAAACATTTAAAATTTAACTACTTGTTTTTTCCTCAAATATACCTCTCAAATTTTTACTGGAAATAATTAGAAATCTTTGACTTACCCTACTTTCAATCAGTTAATGCACCCTACACATACACAAAATTATACAATTTTAACAAGCATACAAAAATTTAAATCTTTTATGAATGCTCTCTGTATGGCAGGCCTTGTGCTAGGAACTTTTATGTAGATTTATATAAACTATTGCAAATTCTTAAAACAATACGGCAGAATAGATAATTTTATCCCCATTATGTATCTTAGGAAAATAAAGCTAGAGCTGTTAGGTAACTTGCCCAAAGTCACACAGCTTGTCTTGGCTGAAAGGAGACTGGAATGTAGTACAGACATTCCCCCTTTGGGTGTTCCTCTTGTCTGGCCACCTCTTCCTGCAGACCTGTCTTTCATCTATATTTATGTTTCCTCTCCCACTATCAGTTTTCAGGTTTAGTCCTAAGTGTTTCGTGCCTGGACTATTGCAGTGGAAAAACCTTCTGGACTCTCTTGCCCTCAAACCTTAGCTGCACATTACTGCACTGACTTCCCCAAGATTTGGCTCATTCCACTTTCCCACGTTAACATCTTCAGTGATTTATCATCAACTGTAGCAGCAGTAACAGTGGCAGGCAGGTAATATAAATATGTGAAGTCTGTTGAAGACACTACGCTCTAAACTGCTTATGTGGGGACCAAATGCCTCTTGAAACACTGGGCACTTTAAGTAATAAAGCGTAAGTTGGCTACTAGTTTGTAACCAAGTGCCCTGAAGACAAAATTCATTATTTTTCTCACAGCATTCAAGGTTATCTAAAACTGAATCCCAAACTAATATCTCCCTTTTATCTCTTAGTCACCACCTCTCTGAAGCCTCTCATTTAGATACAAGGCTGAGTCCCTCCATACTCTAGATGGACTTGACTGCTATGCTCTTTCTCATGCCTTTGTCCCAGGAATTTTGTCCATTCATTCCTACCTACTCCTCGATGGTCACAACCCAGCTCCAGTCCCTCTTCCTTGATAAAGCAATTCTGGGATCTCATAGAAGGGACTCTCAGGTGTGCAAGAGGCCTGCAAAGCCTGCAGGCCAGGCTCCTAGATGATCCTTGCTGGGCATTTGCTGGGCCTGAGTTTGAACACTTAGGTCACTACTCCCTAAGACAGCTTCTGCCACTACTGGGCTTCACTGGCTGTTCAAAGACCTGCTGTCAGTTAAGCCAAATGTTATTACCCTAATGTCTACCTTTTGACGTCAGGTGTGATAAGTCTACTTTTTCCTTTAAAATATTGAAAGAGCAATTGTATGTCTTCCATGTGTTCAGAATCCTCCGTATTCAAAACTCTCTCAAAGAGATAATTTTAGACAGACATATGAAGAGCTTCAGAAACAAATTAATGAATTTATGGCAGGTTTTTATGTAGTACTGAATACATTAAAGGAGAATTACCAAATGCTTACTTTGGGAGGGGATGCCAAACTGGAGCTTGTAGGCAGCTTGGGTCCTTTCTCTGAAGGAATCATGTTCACTGTTTGACTACCTATGAAAAGTTGGAAGAACATCTTCAGCCTTTCAACAGGAGAGAAAATGCTTAGTTCATTGGCTATTTATTTATTTACTTCTTATTTTCTTTGAGACAGAGTCTCACTCTGTGGCCCAGGCTGGAGTGCAATGGCACGATCTTGGCTCACTGCAACCTCTGCCTCCTGGGTTCAAGCAATTCTCCTGCCTCAGCCTCCTAAGTAGCTGGGATTACAGGCACCTACCATGCCTGGCTAATTTTTGTATTTTTGGTAGAGACGGAGTTTCACCATGTTGGCCGGGCTGGTCTCAATCTCCCGACCTCAAGTGATCCACCCGCCTTGGCCTCCCAGAGTGCTGGGATTACAGTCATGAGCCACTATCCCCAGCCATGGCTTTAGTATTAGCTCTTCCCCTCTATAAACCCACTCCCTTCTACTTCAGGGACAAGGTTGATGCAGCCGTTGATTTTAAAGATGTGTCCATTGTTGCATTTTATAAATATGAACAAACAGAAATACTCAGTTCATAATTTCTCCTTGAAATATTAATATGTTTGCAATTTCAGATAGACTTACTGGAATTTACAAGATCTACAATATAACAAAAAATGTTGCAGTAAGCCCCAAATAAATTGCATCTAAAGGACTTTGTTGAACTTGTTTATTCTTCCAATTGAGTTGGCATAGATTTGGTGTATTGTATTACTGATTTTCTATTTGTAAAGGATTATGAGTTATATAGAATACATATTTTTAAACTGGGAAGAAACCCTCTAAATCTCTCTCATATCTTGCCTGTATTCTACAAGAGGATCAGATGCAGTGTTTGACTGTCCAAGTACATTCTAAAGCTCTCTAAGGAAGCATTTGGCTTTGAGCAATGAACAGGTGATCAGACCAAAGGGGACAAAAGTGAAGAGAAACACAAAGGTGGTATGGATTCACCATGCAGGAGCCATCCTTTGAAAAGCCTTCCCTGCACAGTGATAATATGTGTGTGTGCGTGCACGTGTGTGTGTGCTTGCACACACCTGTGTATGTGTATGAGGTGTTGGTATGGGGTGGAGTTGGGGACTTGAGAGTGGGGTAGAGATTTTTCTGAAACTTCTGTCTGAGGGAACTGGAAAACTGTTTTCCTGATAGCATATTTAATCTAAATTTGTTAGGAAGCAGCCACAGTGAATTTTGGTATATTCATCCATGTCTCTACTGAATTTCCACAGCATTAATCATCTGTGGCACTTCCTTGGAAGTAACCTCCCCGCTCCTTGTGATGCTGTGAGCTGTGTGTCATTGTGGGCCGCCTCACTGGGCTTCCCATGGCTGTCCATCAGCTGCCCAGGTAGAAGCCAAACCCCTCAGAGGGAGGGGCTATGGTCCCGGCCCAAGTGTCCCTCATAAATCTTCACAGAGTGACAGCAGAGCATAGGTGTCCATAAGCATTTGTTGTCAGACCCACAGAGAACAGAAAGAACCCTGAATAAAATGGAAGAATTGCCAGGTGGGCTCCTCAAGTTAAATCAGGCTATTACCAATATCATCACATCTCAGGGTTAAGGGGCTTTAAAGACCATCTGTTTGAAAAGTCTCCCTCCCATTTAACTGAAAAATGTTTCCCTATGGCTTCTACCAGTTAGTCTGCAAAGAACAAAGCTTTCTATTTCTTAGACAGCCATTATGTTTCGTCTCATACATGTAACATGGGTAATGAGTATGTGTGAGTATGTGTGAGCACTTGGGCATGTGTGTGTGCCTGGTGGGCACATTATCTTACCTGTAGTAAACAGTTGTAATAATGGACCATGCCAATCAGAAGGTCTACAAGTAATAAAAATTTTTACATTATAAATTTACTGTATAATTCATACATTTGAAAGAAGACTACAAAAAATAAGTAGATGTGGTTTTGCATTTAGTTAAGGTGAGATTTAGTTGTGATTTTTATTTGCATTTTCTCTTTCTCATATCTACTGGTATAAATTAAAATTATGGGCTTTTAAATAAAACTTTTTTAAATCTCAAAAATAATCTCACTGTTATCCTGAATTGATGATAGTATGTGGAACCCTGGCAAAGATTATTAAAGCAGACGGAACTCTGGCAGAAGGTTCTATTCTTTGGAGACCCCATCCCAGGAAAGGCCTCAGGCCAGGCAGTAATTTCTATTTCCTGTCTCTTGTCTTCACCTTCTGGGGACTCCCACGCAATCCAGCACCCCATCTGGACACCGAGATCCATAAGGATAGTTTATTGCCAGACCTCTGCTGAGCTAGAAACATTCTTCAGACAGTGCTCAATTCTCCAAAAGACATCCACAGTCTGCACATTTCAGCCTTGATTTCTGCATCAGATGTGAGCTGGGGCAAGAAAGGCTGTGAATTAAAAAGGAGCTATAACTTGCTCATCAGTGATAAGGAAGAGGAGGGCCTACTTCCCCTTCATTGGCCATTAATTAAAAATAGTAAGTTTATTTTTTTCTAAATACTTTCTTGTGTACTCCAGTTTTACAAAAATGAGCATACAGTCATATTCCTTTATTCACTCTTCTACTAAGCATCTATTGAAATATTTACAGTGAGCTAGGTGCTGTGCTAGGGTAAACAATGGGTAAAAAGTGCTTGCCTGCGGGGAGCTTATCATCTGTTGGAGCAGTTTATTTTATTGAATAACTACTATGTGCCTGGCATTGCACCAAGTATTTTACTGACATGATCTCATTTAATCCTCATCATAATTTCATAGCATGGGAGTAATCATCCCCATTTAATAGATGAAGATTTTGAGGCTCAGAGAATATAAGCAACTTTACTAAAAGCCATTAAGTCGCAGGGACAGGGTTGGAGCCTGTGGTAAATAGTTTTTCCAGTTACCCATGTTTAATGCCCCTTCCCTGTTTTGTTGACTTTGGGTGTGGGTCCGTGGCCAACTTTGACTAGTGAGAGGAGAGTGGAAGGGATGTCTTTTCTGAACAGAAGCTTGAAGATCGGTACACAGTTTGCCTTGTTCTCCGCTGTGATGACAATTCCAGGTGGAGGCTGCCCAGGTAACCTTAGTCCCAGAGTGAAGAAGACATAGAGTACAGATACAGCCCACCCATAGCAGGCATGCGGAGGGCATGAAAAATCAACTGTTGCTGTTGTAAGTCACTGAAACTCTGGGGTTATGTTTTCTGCAGCCTGGCTGTCCGACTGGTGCAGAACCTTTAAGCCATTATACCAGAATGCCTTCTTTTATATTATTTCTATAATTAGAAGTGAAAAAAAAAACAGTTGAAATTGGAGAAAACATTAATCTGGGCCAGATTTTTTGTTCTAAAAATGTTTACATGAATGATGATTTTTTTTCTTCTGCCTTATCTGCCACCCTTCTTCCACTGTTAAAATCTTCTATATCCATGAGGATGACTATCTACAGGACTCATCCTGCCCCTTGCTGTTTTAATGCCTTAGTGGATACCTCTTCCTGCAGTGCTTATAGCTGAATTCAGTTCCACAAGCACTTATTGAGCATCTTTTGGAATGTCTATTATCCCGCTTCTTCAAAGTCCCAAACTCCTACCCACTCCGTGCAGCCATCCTGATGACCCCATACCTATATGATCTCTCTCGCTCTACCCTAGACTCTAATACCATTATTTGCCACACATTATATGTTCCCTTAAACTGTTTACTATCATTTTTGATTGGAATAAAATTCAAATAACACAAAATTCACCATTTAAAAGTGGACAATTCAGTGATTTTTAGTATATTTACAATGTTGTGCAACCATCACTATTTAATGCCCCAAACTTTTCATTACTCACAAAGAAACTTCATTATCTACAAAGTAAGCACTCCATATTCTTTCCTCTCGGCAGGCCTTGGCATCCACTAATCTGTTTATTTTTCCTTTATGGATTTATCTCTTCTGGACATTTCACATAAATAGAATTGTGCAGTATGTTGACTTTTGCATCTAGCTTCTTTTACTTAGGATATTTTCAAAGTTTGTCCAGTTGTGGCATGGATCACTATGTCACTTTTTTATGGTTGAATAACATTCCATTATTTAGATATACCACAATTTGTTAATCTATTCATCAGTTGATGGACATTTGGATTGTTTCCATATTTAGCTTTTGTGAATAGTGCTGTTGTGGGTGTGCAAGATTTTGTGTGGATATATGTTCTCATTTCTCTTGAGGATATACCTAGGAGTAGAATTGTTGGGTCATATGGTAACTTTATCTATGGTAACTTTATCTTTTTGAGTTTCTTTTTTTTGTTTGTTTTCTCTAAGACCCTGTGGGCTTCTAGCAGAAAGTTTTCCAACTCTATCTGTGCTGCTGCAGTACATACATTCATTCCTTTGACAAATGTGAGTCAAGGGCCTATTTTGTGCCTGGTACTCCTCTGGGCATTTCTGCCAAATTGATTTTCATAGAATCCTAGCCTGTGATCTGAGAGGTCATTTGGTCCCTTTTCCCATCCAGTAGAAGAATCCTATATCCAAATCCTGTGGTCTTCGTATCAACTTTCATCCTTAAACCATAGGGCGTAGCTCCTTAAATGTAATTTTGGTTGCATTTTGTGACTACAGAAACAATATATACTTATTGTGCAAAACTTCAAAGTATAAGAACATATTAAAAAAGAAGCAAAAATTATCTATAATTCTATAACCCACCACTAACATATTGCTAAATTTCCTTTCAGACTTTTTGTCTGTCCAATAATGTAATTCATGTAATTGGGATCATCCTGTATTCAGATACCTCTTGTGCATGGCTTCAAACCCTCTCATCATCACCCCATATTATGAAAGCTTCCACCAGTCTCCCACAGGCGTCAGCCAACAGCACCTCACCTTGGGCAAGACCATTGTACCTCTTGCTTCTCTGACCTAATGGTGTCAGTGTGATGTGTCTAAGGGATCTGCTCAACATGTGCAATCTAAACCTTTGACCAAAGATAAGTGACCTTCTGTTCCTTGGGCTTCTCAGAAAGAGATGGAACAATCAGTTTCTCCCAATAGTCATCAATGGTGTGATACATCTTTCGATTTTCTCTCTCTCCTCCTCTGTTCAGTCCTCCTATTCCTCCCTTGCTTCCTGGAATCATCATCCCGAATAAATGACCCACACATCAAAGTTTGTTGCAGATGTTACTTTGGGAGTGGGGGAGAAACACGGACTAAGGTATTGTATATGCAATTTCAGACACAGATTTAAACATTATGCCATGAGTTTAGAATATACACACAAATACATATATATGTATGTATACGTATTTATAAATTTGAATAGTATGTGAATTGCTGTATAAGTGTATATAAATTTATATTCTTGTATATGTAAATTCAAATATGTATTTTAGGTATAAATATTTTTATATATAATACATTGGCATTCATCCCTCTTCCCTTCTATGATCTCCTATATCAGAGATTCTGGAAGCCTAGGACACCATTTCCCAGAATCCTTTGCCAGCAGGCATCTAATTTAGACTCTGCTGCTCATAAATGAATGGATGGCAGAAAGAAGCAGAAGGTAGTATTGTTTCTCTGGCACTGGTGGGCGAGTGTGTGGGCTTTACATATGGTGAATGTGAATTTTTTGCAGTGGCTTCTTTAGATTCACATGCAGTTGTAAGGAATAATATAGAGAAATATTGTATACATTTTACATAGTTCCTCACAACAGTAATATTTTACAAGATAGTCATATGGTATTACAACTGAGATGCTGACATTGATACAATTCACTTATCCTATTCAGAATTCCTTGGTTTTACTTGTACGCGTGTGTGTGTGTGTGTGTGTGTGTGTGTGTGTATTTAGTTATATACAATTTATTCACATTTTTACTGTGATATAATTCACAAAATATAAAATTCACTAATTCAGAGTTCAATGGTTTTTAGTATATTCACAAAATTATCCAGCTTTCACTACTATCTAACTCTAGAATGTTTTCATTACCTCAGAGGGAAACTCTACCCTTAGCAGTCACTCTCTATCTCTCCCTCTAGCCCTAGGCAACCAGTAATCTACTTTCTTTCTCTAAGGATTTGTGTATTGTGGACACTTCATATAAACAGAATGATATAATATGTGGTCTTTTGCAATTGGCTTCTTTCCCTTAGTATAATGTTTTCAAGGTTCATGTTGTAGCATGTATCAGTACCTCATTCTTCTTTATTGTAGATAATATTTTATGGTATGGACACTTTATCCATTCATCGGATGATGACATTTGAATTGTTTTCACTTTGGTAGTATTATAGATATGCTGCTATAAAAACTGTGGAAACTTGATGTGCAAGTTTTTGTGTGGACATATGTTTTCATTTCACTTCTATATATACCTATGAGTGCCATTGTTCATCATATGGTAACTCCATGTTAACATTAAATAACTTTTAAACTGTTTTCCAGAGTGATAGCACCGTTTTACATTCTTACTAGCAATGTTTGAGGGTTCCAGTTTTTCTACAACCTGGCCAAAATTTGTAATCATATGTCTTTTTTGATAGTTCTATATATTTTTATCAAATGTATAGGTCCATGTGTCCACCACCATAGTCAAGATACTGAACAGTTTCATTAACACAAGGATCCCTCATGTTGCCTTTTTTTTTTTTTTTTTTTTTTGAGACAGAGTCTCGCTCTGTCGCCCAGGCTGGAGTGCAGTGGTGCGATCTCGGCTCACTGCAAGCTGCACCTCCCAGGTTCACGCCATTCTCCTGCCTCAGCTTCCCAAGTAGCTGGGACTACAGGCGCCCGCCACCACGCCCGGCTAATTTTTTTGTATTTTTTTAGTAGAGACGAGGTTTCACCGTGTTAGCCAGGATGGTCTCGATTTCCTGACTTAGTGATCCGCCCACCTCGGCCTCCCAAGTGCTGGGATTACAGGCATGAGCCATGGCGCCCGGCCATGTTGCCCTTTTAAAACTGCACCCACCTCGCTTCCACATCCTCCCAACCCCTTACCAACTCCAGGAACCACTAATCTTTTCTCCATTTCTAAAATTTTGTCATTTCAAAAATGGAATCACAGGAAGTAATCAAAGGCTACTTAGTATGTAAACAGAAAAATATATTAAGTAACCTTTGGGGATTGACTTTTTTCAAACTATTGATACATACAACATGGATGATGTCCTGTGGATATACTACAATTTGTTAAATTGTTTAAGCATTTATTCACTGAAGGACATCTGGGCTGTATCCAGTTTTTGGCTATTATAGCTGCTATAAACACTTATTTGCAGGTTTTTGTGTGAGCATAAGTCTAAATTTCTCCAGCATAAATGCCCAAGAATGCAATTAGTGGGTGGTTGTATGGCTATTGGAGGTTGAGTTTATAAAAATTGCCAAACTATTTTCCATTTTCCATTCTGGCCATTTCGGTATGAGTACTGTAGTTTCTCTGCATCCTCACCAGCATTTGTTGTTGTCACTCTGTTGTTTATTTTTTAATCTTTGCTTATTGTATCTTTCTCTATGCAAACTTTCAAAAATTTACCTTTTTAAAAAAGTCCTCTTTTTTATTTATAGCGGTGATCTTCATGTTATGGTTAGGAAAGTCTTTTTCACTATCATATTATAAAAACTATTTCTTATATTTTCTTCCAGTATTTTTATAGAGAGGCAATGCGGGATGGAGTAGATCAGAATGGTTGGAGTCTGTCTGCAGTGAGATCTGCTCTGTTTAAGTCTTGGCTCCATCACTTGCTACTGTGCCCACTTTTAGTTGACATGTATCTCTATACTTTCCCTGTATATCTCCTCTCCTGATATCTCCTCTCCTTCAACTGTTTCTTAGGTAATGCTTTCTCATCCTGGTCAACCTCTGCTGGAAATTCTCCAGTATGACAATGTCTATCTCAGCTTCCATTCCAGATAAATTTTGACAGTGCAGAGAAAGTGGGTCTTAACTTGCACTGTTCTGCACACTGTTAGTGTTAGCAAAGATTGCAGTGACTTTTGGAGGTGACCATGTTAACTCCCTGGCCATTAGGAAACTTCTGAAAGCAAAACACCATCATTTTCACATGAACTGCTATTAAAGCAAGTCTCTTCCATCTCACATTTCTGCAGGCAATTTGATGATTTTTATCTGTTCCTCCAGTAGTTTCTTTGATTAATGTATAGTGGCCCTATTTGTTCCTAATAATGCTTTTCACCTTAAAGTCTATTTTGTCTTATAAAAATGTTGCCATATTAGAATATTTTTGCTAAGGTATTTCTTGAATATCTTTTGCCTTTATTTTCTATTTTCAGTATTATTTTGTTTTAGGGGTGTCTCATATATAGTATATAGCTTGATTTTTTAAAATCTTATTTGATAATCTGAATGTGAATAGGTGAGCTTATTTGTATTTGTTGAAAACCTAATATAATTGGACTTACTTATGCCATGTACTTTGTACTTTTATTCACCTTTCCTGTTTTCTGTTTTTAAGTTCCTATTCTGTTTTCTTCTGTTTGAGGTTATAGATTGTTTCCGGTTTTTAAGTACTTATCTTTAACAATTTTAACATTCCTTCATAACTTTTTTAAAGCCTATATTTATTTAATGTCTTTGTCCTATTCCATACTGTATTTCTTCTGTTCTTTTTTTTTAATCTTAGGACAGATCTTTATATTTTTCTAATTAAAATTAATCTCATTAGTTTCAGTTCATCCTGATAGCCTGTTGAGTGATCAAGAGGTCCCAATCCAGTGCTGAGGGATTCTCCTCCTGTTTTGTGCCATCCTAACTTTATTACGCCTGAGTCTACCCAAGTAATTAATTTTAAAAATATGTAATAGAGCTAGGTTCAGGATCCATTGTTTTCTATTTAGGAACTCCATGCCTTGGGGCTGGAGGGTGGAGAGTCGAACATAAAAATCTACTTTTCTAAACTGCTTGAATTATTTCTGACCATGACCAGCTTTCTTTTTCTTGACTATTACAAGACAATTTCATCACTTTCCCCCCAAAGTTCCTATCACTTCCACTCCATCATTCAAGCCAGGCTGTTGATTAAAATTAATTGAGGTAAAGCTGCTCCTGTGGTGGCTTCTTCAGTCTTCTGAGTGATGAAATTGTCAACGATGCGAGGCAGGAATCCATCAGATTCTCATCAAGTGAGACTGCCGGCCGATGTGTAGATAAGAGTCCTGTAGCTGTGATGGGGTGGGGGTGGGGAGAGTAAGAGGACACAAAAAGACACTTGCATGTGGCATGGCATGGTAGACTAGGGACAACTGGGAGGCAGTAAACGTGGGCTCTTGCATCATACTTTAGGAATTGAAAACGCCACACATTTGAACACATACAAATGCTAGACCATTATTTAGTTACCTTGGAGATTTTCCCTCAGTTTGTCACCTACGCACTTCTTAACCCCTTGCAATCTGTTTTGTCTTCTTGCTTCTATCAAATCTATTTCTTCCTTCTTGCTTCTATCGAAACTATTTTCTTTTCCTTGACCAGAACCCCAGAGCCTGTTTACTGTTCTAATTCTAGGAACCTGTCTTTTTTATTCAGCACCACCGACCCTCTGCTTTCTTAATGAAATTCTTTCCTTTTTCCATTTCTCTGTCGTTGTCTTCTCATGTTGCTCCCCTACCCCCTTCCTTTGCTGATGTTTCTTGTTCCTTCCCCTTTTCCTTGAATGTGTGCCCCACTCCACCCAGGCACAGCCACAACTTCCTGCTTGGATGTCTTCTTTCTGCTCCTTAAAAGTTAACATGCCCTGCATTGAATTCTTTACATTGTTCCTAAGAGGAGTTCATCCTTGATTTCATTCTTTCTCTTAATGGAACATCATTTCCCCAGGGACATTGGCTGAAGATCCTGAGTCCTAGAATGGAGTGCTGAGCTATATCCAATCATACTGCAGTTTAATAAGCATGTACTGACTACATTTGGCGGTGCTGGGTTATAGGCTTTTTCATCGAAGAGCTCATCGTCTAGTGGATTAGAATGAGAACACCACATAGCCAGGGCTGCAGCAAACAGGTACACATGCTCTGGCAGCCCAGAGTAGGGAGGGAGGGGAAGACGATGAATATTCATGAAGGACCTGCTAGGTGCCAGTTTTTGCACTAGGCTTTCCATATATATCATCTCAGTGGAAGCTTATGACCCTCTGAGGTAGATATTTTACAGCCAAGGCAAGGTAAGCTCAATGGGGTCAAGGTCAAATGACTGCATAATAAATGCTGGAATCAGGATTCAAAGTTGAATCTGTTATTTTTCCAGAGCACTACATTGCCCCCTATGCTGTTACAAAAGAGGGTAAACATGTGTTAATCATTTAAGGATGAACTTTTCTTGGTAGTTAATATGCAGAAGAGAATTCCTGGCACAGGGAGTAGAATATAAAAAAGCATAAAGAGTATGCGTTAGAGTTTTAAGTAGAAAGAAGGAACAAAAGAGGAGGAGGAAGTTTAGGGAGAAAGATGATGCATTAGGCTTTAGACATGCTGAGTTCCAGGCATTTATAGGCTACCCACATTGTCAGTTCAGTGAATAGTTGGAAATATGAGTTTGAGAAAGTGATAGGTCCCACAGAATGAGAGAAAATACTTGGAAATCATACATCCAACAAGGGGTTAATATCTAAAATAGATAAGGAACTCAAACAATTCAATAATAATAAAACAACCCAATTAAAAAAATGGGCAAAGGACCTGAACAGACATTTCTCAAAAGAAAACATACAAATGGACAACCAGTACATGAAAAGGGCTCATCATCAGAAATCATTAAGGAAATTCTAATGAAAATCACAATAAGAGATCACCTCACACCTGTTAGAATATCTTTTATTAAATAAAATGAAAGATAATAAATGTCGGACAGGATTCAGAGAAAAGGGGACCATACATTGTTGGTAGGAATGTAAATCAGTACAACCATAATGAAAAATGGTATGGAGGTTCCACACAAAGCTAAAAAGAGAATTACTATATGACTTAGTAATCCCACTTCTGGATATATATCCAAAGGAACTGAAATCAATATGTTGAAGGGATATCTCTACTCCCCTGTTTATTGCAGCGTTATTTACCAAGGTATGGAAGCAACCTAAGTGTCCATCAGTGGATGAATCTATAAAGAAAATGTTATACATTTTACACACATTACATGCATTTACATACGTTGTACACAATGGAATGCTATTTAGCCTTAAAAAGGGGGAAATTCTGTCATTTTTTTTTTTTTTACAACATGGATGAATCTGGAGAACATTATGTTAAGTGAAATAAGCCAGGCATAGAAAGACAAATACAGCATGATCTCACTTATATGTAGAATCTAATACAGTTGAACTCATAGAAGTGAAGAGTAGAACAATGGTTACCAGGGGCAAGGAGGGCAAAGGGAGTTGTTGATCGAAGGGTACAAAGTTTCAGCTAGATCAGAGGAATATGTTTTGAGATCTGCTGCACAGCAGGGTGACTATAGTCAATAATAATGTATTATAAATTTCAAGATAACTAAGAGGGCAAATTTCAAAAGTCACATCATAAAAATGAAAGGTAAACGAGGAGACACATAAGTTAACTAGCTTGATGTAATCATGCCACATTGTAGACATGTATCAAAACATCACATTTTAGCCTATAAATTTATACAACTATGATTTGTTAATTAAAAAGAGATAGGAAACTAGAAATTTAAATCTGCATGTTTTCAGTGTCAACGTAAGGGATTGGAGTTGTGGAGGTGGTAAAATTATCTAGGTAGACTGTATTGTGCCAAAAAAAAAAAATGAGCGAGATGTTACCAAGGACCAGGAGATTGAGAGGGAGCTTCCAGAGAGAGGGAAGCAGGAGAGAGCAGATGATGAAAACCAGAGAAGAATTTCAAGAAGGTCAAGATCAACAACAGGGTTTCCAAAGAGATAATTTGGGGTCAAGACTAAAAATGACAATTGAATCAGGCAACTAGGAGGTCACTGGAGAATTTGTTGAGAACAGTTCTAATTTAGAGGTGAGGAATGGAATGCAAGTTTCAAGGGGTTAGGAGATGTGCAGGGGGTAAAGAGCAGAGAAAAAAAGTCATGGTGGTTGATCTCTATGGTAGTATCTTCTCCCATTTTCAAGGCCAGCTCAAATATAATCTTGTCTATGAAATTTCCCCCCATATCTCTCTTTTTCTCTGTGCTTCCAGGTCATTCTTACCTCCATTGTATCCCTTGTCACCATCCAATCTGTGTTTGTGATTTGGGTACAGTTTCTAGGACTGGATTGCAAGCTTCATGAGGTGTGAGATCCTTTTCTTGATGTCACAACACTAAACTGGTACTCGGTGGGTATTCACATAGTGCCTTGGATTGGCAACCGTAGGCATTAACAAAATAGTTGCTACACTGAAGTAATCAGACACCAGCATTACAAAAAGTAACAACAAGTTCTTGTAATAAGTGAGGTTTACTTTTTTTTTGAGGGGAGGGAGTATATGCTGAGTGAAAGAAACCTGAGTAATTCTTCTGTCCAGGCAAATGGGGTGTGTGCATTCTGAAGATAGATAGCTCAGTCAGCAATTCTTTCAGAACTGTAAGTCTTTTGTCTATATGAAACCAAACAATTGGCATGAAATTTTTGTCAAAGCTGACATTTTCTTCAATTTGTTAAACTTTTCTTCAACCAGTTGCAATTTTTAAATGAACTTATCTGGGAATTTTGACTTTGTTTAGAAATGAGCTTTTAGGGGTTCTGATCAAAGTGTGTTCTGGATAGTTTTGGAGTAATGAAATGAAGTAAAAAAAGAAGCATGCTAAATAATGTTAGCCAAAAAGAGGGAGAGCAGTGCTGTGCGGCATTCTAGAAAGAGAGGTAGGATATATCTGACTTCTGCTCCTAACCCTGCTCCTAATAAGCAGGGTTACCTCACTTAATGACTTTGTGTTTTGGTCTCCATATCTGTAAAACAAGGCAGTGAGACAGGATTCTAAGATCCCCATTCCTGTTTTAACATTTTATGAATCTAAGAAAAACCCTTCTACAGTGATAGTCTACAAAATATTTCCACCCTCATGATCTCTACTTTCCAACATCCATTTGGCAGTGAATATGGAATTACTGAAGGAGGGAAGCACAAAATTGGCTCGTTTCCTCCTTCCTCTTCACCTTAATCCTGATTTGCTGTCATTACAGAAAACTAAATGCAACCTGATGGCCCCAGTTTGATTATTGAACTGTAAGCTCTGCAGAGAAAGGGACCATGTCTAATCTCCTCTGTGTATCACACCAGAACCATGGTTCCGGATCCTACACACGCTGTTTGCTTAACTGACTGTTTGAGAGCTTGGCTGTGTTGAATCTGTGTAGTGACCTGCTGAAGGTGAATTGCTCAGCTTGGCAGGTAATTTATGATTCCTATTTGTTGCTATTGATTTTAATTATGTGCTGTGTTTCTATAAATATTTTACATAGACCCAGAAACTTCAAAAGCACATGGCATATATATTTTTTTAAAGATTAAAAATGAAAACCAACAGAAACCAAGAGAAACTCTAGCACTGGCCTCTTTGTTACATTTTCTGTCACAAACCGGTGGACAACTTCCTCTGTTCTAGCTTCCTGAGTAATTTCTCAGGTGAGCTCTGGGGAGTAAGGTATGAGTGGGTGGATAAGAGCCTTCTTATCTAATGTGACAGGACTGGTAGTTGTTTTAAAGATTGATTAAAAAGAAGAATTTGAATAAATTGTGCACACGTAGCTCACCATTTGATTTGAGTATAAAATTCTGTGAATGCATACCCCTTTTCCAACCTTTTGATATAAAGTCAAGGTCTTTTTTCATGGGATGGGGGCGGATTTGGGAGGATTCAATACTCTTGCATACACATTGCCTACAACACTCAGTTTCTATCTCTTGAGATGCAAGGAAAACCTATACCTTTGTAAAGCAGTTTGACTGTAGAACCCTTCTAGATATGTATGGTCATTTCCCCAGTCTTTTACAAATCTTTTACCCTCACCTAATTAAACACACTTGGGAATCTTTCCAAAGTATTTAATTATCATATAATTAAATCTCTTTTTTCACTCACATTTTATCTGCTTAGATAATATTTAGCTATATAATTTCAACAGCATGTAAAACTGTTAACAACAAGCTAAGAAATATTCAACATGCTCTTGGTAGATGTGAGGGCTTCTCAAAGCGGCCTCATAGTCACATGCCTGGATGGTGCCACAGGCATCAGACCTGTGTTCTGTAGAGGAAATGGAGGCTGCTGGGTCATATGGCAATTTGGTTATTGGAAAGCCCTTACAAGTGCATCTTCTGTAACTTCGAAATATCTCTTCAGCCAAATATCCAGAGGCATTCTTTTTAATTTTTTTCACCTTTATTGAGGTATTATTAAAAATTATATGTTTTAAGGTGTACAACATGATGTTTTGTTATACATTGTGAAATGTTTACCACAATTAAGCTAATTAACATATCTTCATAGTACCTTTTTTGGTGATATACTTTCTTATTAGGATGTACCCTCTTAGCAAATTTCAAATCTACAGTACCGTATTGTTAACTACTGTCACCATGTTGAGGTCTTCAATAAGCTTCCTCTATGATGAGTTTATCCATGACACCTGTCCTTAAACTATGAGTGGTCCACCCCTTCTCAGATACAATAATAAACTCTTTCCATAGCTTATTTTCTCTTAAGACAGAAGAATGGCTATCTCATTATTGTGTTTGCTAATTTATCTTATTTAGGAAAGCATTTAACCAATACTAGAAATCAAAACCTATTTCTATCTGGGTCTCATTGATTCATCTACATTTTCTCTGATTCCTTGTATCTTTGAAACCAAATCTAAAACTGAAGATCTAACCTAATGAGAGTAATGTTACTTCTAGTATGAAATAGTCATTGCAATATTCAGTGAAAAATGTCTTCACAGAGTGCCATCTGCTTTCCTCTTCCTGCATTTCTCTTGAAGGTGATCATGAAAAAGGCATTAGGAAATTCCCCTGACTTAGGGGGAATTCCAATCAGGCCTAAGGCTAGGGTCTGCTGAGGAATATTAGGCCAGGAAAACTGATTTTTATTTCTTTTGTCCCATAATCCACACAAGTAGTTCCTTTTGCACCTGTTGAGGATGTAGGCTTGCAGCTAAAGCCTATAGACACTCTGGACAGCCATGTTGATGAAAAAGGAAGCCACTTTACACTTTCTTGTACCCTCTCCCATCATGGGCAGTATCACCAGTGGCTGCACATTCCTGTGGGGACTTGGGGATCATATTTCCATATGGGTGTCTGTTTTGTTGCTTCCTTTTTGTGCCATTTTAATAAATTTCCCTATTTGCCGTGAAATGTACTTTACATCTGTTTGTTATCTGTTTTCCCCATGAGCATACAAGTCCGTAACTTTTTCTAGATATATTCACAGTGCCCACAACAGAATCTGCACGTAGAAGGTATTCAATAAATAGCTGTCTAATGAATATGTTCTCTAACTGTGTCTATTGCATATTTCCATCAACTATCGGGTAGACAACAGACAAGATGCCAGTCACTGGAGCAGAAAGGGGTAGGTGAGGTCAATGATAATGGAAAAGCAGGGCCTTGGTGCCATAGGACCTGTGACACTGGACAGGCTATCAAAGGAGGCTTGGCAAGGATTCTGTCACCAGAATCAAGACTTAGAGTTTGATTCTAAATCCCCCAGATGAACACAAACCAAGTGACAACTTCCTCTGTTCTAGCTTCCTGAGTAATTTCTCATTTGAGATGAAGGCTTCAATGTAATTGAAGACTGCGGTGTAATGGACCGCAGTCTCTATATTAGCATCATTAACCCCAGACTAAGAAGAGGTGTGTCACATGGACAAAAATTGTGGCAAAGCACAGTAGAGCTTTCTCTCCTTAACCTTTTTGGCCAATGTAACACTTACGCATTGACTGAAATCAGGCATCCTTGGTCTTTACTGGGCTGAGTGACAGTTTAGTTGTTAAATAACTGACTTGTGGGCTAATAGTTGTTAATTAAATCTCTTTATGAAGAGCATTTTAAAAATTACCTCAATATCCCTTCTGCTTGCCTCTGAAAACTGAGTGCTTAATAGCAGAGAGAAAAAAATATTGTTTCCATAGGAGTCCCAGAATATTGGCAGAAGAGAGCGGGCTGCCTCCAAAGAACTAATTTCAGGCACATAAACAGGTCGGCTTGTAACGGTGGAATATCCTTTTGTTTATTCCATTAAATAGAATTTTCCTGGGCTTTTGCTGTGCATAAATATTTGCTGCAACGTTGCAATGCAGCACAACCCCCTCCCCATCCTTACCCCACAGGTGAGGGGCCTTTGGGCCAAGGCACTGTTGAGAGTCGCACCTCTATCAATTTGGTCTGGATTTATTAAACTCTGTTACCAGAAATTATGTGTCACAGGGACATTAAGGCCATATATAGTGAGCCCTGTCCTATATTTCCTAACCTCACTTCTGTGCCTGCATCTCTCTCTGCCCAGAATTTTTGTGTTTCTCTGCATTTCCAAATCACCTGTAAAGTGCCCATTTCTCTTTCCCAGCTGCTCTCTTGTGTTATTTATAATAGGCCCCAGGAGGAAATGTTCATTCAAAGCAGTAAGAGGAGATTATGATAGAGAAGAGAGAGATTTGGCAGTGCTCTTTGGAGTTGAAACCTGTGACGTTAAAAAGAAAAGAAAAAGTCATGTGCTGAGCAAAGGCTGTAGCTGAAGGTGAGGTGTGATCCAGGGGCTTCAGGAATTGATTATTCTTCTGTGAAAGAATTGTTTAAGAATAGGCAATTTAAAAAATGTTATTACCACACACTTCTTATCAGGGCTAAAATAATTAAGTGAATTATCTTTTAAGGAATATGACAAGGGAAGTAGACAGTTGGGGTAAATGAAAGCTTTCTGCTTGATCTTGTCCAATCAATAAAAACTCCAGGGGTCCCTGTTCAATGAAGAAATTCAAAAGACCCCTGGCATTCCCACAAGAAGAATTCTGGTTTCTGAACTCTTAACATAAATTCTGTAGCAACTGATGGATTTGTTTGCTCAAGAATACTCGCATTCAGTGTGAAATCTATTTTTAACAGAACTTTGGAACATGTGCCCAGAACGTAAGTGGATAAATCACTTGTTTCTAGAAATATTAATGATTCTAGTAACAGTTAAATTGTTAGAACTAATATTCTACCTTCAAATTCTGGGTGGCCACTTCCCATAGACTTGCCATTTCACTTTGAAAATCTGCATAATTCCTTACTGGTCTAAAACTATGTAGGTCTATGATCAATGGAGAAGTTTCTAAATTTCTTTGTGAACTCATTTCTAGGTCTAAGTGAACTAAAAACATGTCCTGTTTTCAGGACATTAAATCTGATGTTCAGTATTGTAACCTCTATTCACCCAGCCCTCAGCCCTGAAATTTCCTGGTATGTGGCCCTGACACCAACATAGATTCTCAAACCAGTAACCTCTGAGTCTACCTTGGCTCCTCTCTCTCCCTTATTCTCCACATCCAGTCCATGACAGAGACCAATGGTTTCTGCGTCCTAAATATTGCTTGAATCTGTTTTCTTCTTCCCATCCACCTAGTGCAAGCTATTACTCTCTCTCCTGGTTTACTGCAAGAGCACTTCAGTGTCCTTGCTCCTGATCTTGCCCCCATTTGCCCCACAGTCCGTACTTTCCTGCCTTTTTTCTTGGCAGATGTAGTTATTTCTGCTGGAAACATTTTCTCATCCCCACCCCCCTTCAGTTAGCCAATTCATACTCCATTTAAAATTCAGCTTGGATTTAATTACCTCAGTGGAGTCTTTCCCGATCGCGTTGTCTACATTGGAATATCTTTCTTTAAGCCCTTATAAAATACTGCACTTTATAGTAGCACAAATCTCACTTCTAATTGATGGTTTTATGCTTGTTGGGTTATAGGCTCCCTGAGGGCAGGGATAGGGTCTGTCTCATTCACAAGACCTGAAATATATCAATTGCTCAGTAAATAGTTGTTGCACACAAGAGGAATCTTAGAAATGATTGATCATCCTTCTATAAATGTATTTTGCATGTGTAAGAGGCCAATTGACAAAGCAAAATGGACGGTGGAGGCATTATCTAGTCATAGTGATATGAAGGTAGTTCTGATCAATGCTAATTTGACTCCCTAACTGAAGTACAATTGGTCTCCAGATTTTTTTTTTAACTTAGGTGTGACATCTGCATCCTGGGTGAGTAAGTTTGATTTTAATTTGTCATCCTGTGCCAATTCTTTTGCGGTCATTTGTGTTCAGATGGAAATAGAAATGTAGTCATCTCCCATGCTGTGCTACTTTTTTTCTCTTTTTTCTTGTTTTCAGTATTTTTCAGAGCCTGTGTCTTCTCTATTTCTATGACCTTTCATACAAATACATACATGCTTTCAAGGATATTTTGTGGGATGGGAATGGGTTAGAGACATGCATCATGTATTATTTTGGTACTTAATCTTCTAAAAGCATGTCTTGGTAACATGTTGAAATTTATAACCACCCCAAGTCGGAGTTGCTCTCAGAAATATTGCTGAGTAGAAAGTTCTAAGTAAAAGATGAAAAAGTTGGCTGACATGCCACATGTTACAGTTATAGAATCACTCTTGGGGACTTGCTGTGGGCTGAATCTCAGCCCTTGTGTTTATGAAACTTTGCTGCCGTGAATGTGACGAGGTGAGAAACGGTGCTGCACTCGTGGGGTTTACTTCAGCAAGATGGACACTGTTTCATTACACAAAATATCATGGATTTTGGCATCTCCAGATTAGCACCAGTTCAACTTTCTAACCTGCTACTTGGCATTTTCAAGGAATTATTATTTTGGTTTGGTAGAAACTTTGGCATCATTCTTGCCAAAGGCAACATCTCCGTGGGTTTGTCATGAAAGGCACATGCAGCTTTTGCCTGTAGAAAGACAGATGGAGACTTCAAAGGTTGTGTGAAAACGGTGCTCATGATGTTCCTGGAAGACTTCAGTGTTTTCATTGATTAGCAGCAGGGGCGAGCAACATCATCAGCATGTCTGAATGTCTCAATAATGACTTTAGTTTACTCTTTTGAGTTTAGAATGATTTTGGGGAGAAATTCTTTAGCATATTTACAGTTTTAGTATTTGATTTGGGGAAATATTTTATGTTTTTATATTTGCTTTTTCTGGAAGTACCCTTTAAATTAAGACTTGCTGAATCAACCTTTAACAAACTGTCACACTTTTCAAAAACATTTTTAATATAAAGTACATTGGTTATCTGTATTTTTTCTTATATATCTAGTAAACTCTTAGTACTTTAAACATTGATTTTCCAGTTTATGGAGTTTCTAGTCTTCCTTCCTTCCTTCCTTCCTTGCTTCCTTCCTGTCTTGTGATTTGTTTGTTCCTCCTCAGAAGGAGGAATTTGACTACAGAATCCATCATTCTATCAACAAATGCTGATCACATGTTTGTGCCCAGTGCAGTCCCTGCTTAATGAAAACTTGCTGTTCTTCTTAGAAAGTGCTATCCATGAAAAAGTTGTGATCGATCCAAGGTGGTTTGTTATCAGGTTCTGATTTGGTGGTCTACACTATGTGAGAAGGGTAGGAGGTGGGTGAAACCTAGAAGGAAAAAGCATTAGGCTTTTCCTAATGCATAGGCTGAGGAGAGGTTGCATCTTAGTTGTAAAGACTTTGGAGGATGAAGAAGAGTTAGACATAAATAAGATAGAGAGGAGAGCATCATAGACCTTCAAGGGATCATTTTTTTTTCAGCTGGGATGTGCTATGAACAAACAGGAGAAGCGACTTTGGGAGACAGTGTGGACTGGATTACAAAGGGCTTTGATTGTTGGAAAATACCTGATATAAGAGGATTTTTGGCTTTGTATGGTAGGCAATGAGAAGGCATTGCTGATTTTGACCCAATCCCTGAAAATCAGCGGAATTAGCATGATATTTTTGTAAGAAGCTTTGGCTAAAGCCATGACAGAGAGAAAACTGAATGAAAGTTTAAAATTAAGTTTTGGGAGATTTATCAGTTAACTTTAAACAATGTTAATCCATCTAGTTTTCAGAGATGACAGAGAATTAGCTTCATGTCATTTTCCTCCTTTTTATCTTGCCCCTTTGTACGTTCATTGATAGGAGATTTGCATTTGAAAAGTTTTATTATACATTCCAGTAGGAAAATTGTACATTGTTGATAAATGTATCTTTTATAATCCTTGCTGTTATTGGAACGCTGCTAATTTTATTAACACTTTCTCAAAGGAAAAATAAAAGTGAAATAAATGCCTGTGCAACCCCTTCATTATCTTGTCTGCCCTTGCCTCACTTGCTTTGCTGAAATTCTAATGGGAGAAAAAGGGGGCTGCCCAGTAATTTTCTTTTCCTCTGACATTTCAGCCCTCCTCCAGTTCACTGCTGTAATGAAAATTGGCAGCTTTTGAGAAAAACAGTAACCATTTTGAGGAGAGCACCTGCTACATGGACCATAAACAGCACAAGAACCTCTCCAGCCCAAATATGATGCCATTCTTCAAATGTATTAGAGAAAACCCTGTTAGATTGTCAGAGGTCAGTCAGTCTAAGCACAGGAGGTGGGCTGAACATTCTGTCCCAAATGTCTTATCATCCATAATGGTGCTCACAATGATCAGAAGTTTTCAAATTAAGGGCAATAATGTCCCAAGGTCATTATCATTTCTCTTTGGACTTTTCAGCAAGAAGTTAGGGCACCAGGTGACCTAACAGAATTAACATCAAAGACTATTAGGTTTTCACTCAGTTTTTTTATTTCTTTTTATAGAATGTTCCATTCAGCAGTAGTTAAAACAACTTCAAATTGATTTGCCTTGAAGGATGAATAAAGTGTGACTTTATTGCCACAAGCATAGTATTTTAACTATACCAGTTCAATGTTGAAGTTTGAAGGCACAATCTTAGGTTCCTTTTTATTGCAGCAATGGGACATTTGCTCAGAATCTGATAGCAATTCTCCTTTGGGAATTTCTCTGAGACAGTCAATAAAACACATAAAATAATCATGCTGTTTTCTCTTAAACCTTACATGATTATCACCCAACAGTGTCACCTACAGTGTTTACCGGTTTTGCTCTGTGTGACTTCTGGCTGTCCCCTAAGTAAGCTCCGCTCTGAAAGCACAAGGCTCTGTCATTATTGAAGATAATCAAGAATGTACTCTAGGTGGGAATTGAACAATGAGAACATATGGACACAGGAAGGGGAACATCACACTCTGGGGACTGTTGTGGGGTGGGGGGAGGGGGGAGGGATAGCATTGGGAGATATACCTAATGCTAGATGACGAGTCAGTGGGTGCAGTGCACCAGCATGGCACATGTATACATATGTAACTAACCTGCACATTGTGCACATGTACCCTAAAACTTAAAGTATAATAATAAAAAAAATCCCTTAAGAAATTTTATTCCAATTGATTTAAATAAATGAGTGCTCATATAAAATAAAATAAAAAAAAGAATGTACTCAAGGCTAGAATGGAAATTTCAAAAGTGGGTCCCTAGGGGATTTTCATGAATGGTAACATCATTGGAACAGTGTCATATTTCAAGATGACAAATTTAAACAAGAAAATATGCAACTAAGTGTACATATTCTTGATATAGTAATCAACAGCATAGGATTTGGAGCCAGATAAACTGTGTTTAAATTCTGGTTCTGCTACCTTGGAGAAGTCATTAGCTATGAGAATTTCAGATTCTGCAGGGGGACAATGGGTATTGAAATATCTTTTTTGGGTTGGGCGCAGTGGCTTACGCCTGTAATTCCAGCACTTTGGGAGGCCAAGGTAGGTGAGTCACCTGATTTCAGGAGTTTGGGACCAGCCTGGCCAACATGGTGAAACCCTGTCTCTACTAAAAATACAGAAATTAGCTGGGCGTGGTGGCAGGTGCCTGTAATCCCAGCTACTTGGAAGGCTGAGGCAGGAGAATCGCTGGAAACCAGGAGGCGGAAGTTACAGTGAGCGTTGATTTACTTCCCATTCCCTAAAACTTTATGGCTTCCTCATCAAACGAGACAGGTTGCTTTCTATCTCTTAGACGGTAAATATGGTTAATGTGCTGAGCAGTGTTGCACCCACTCTCAGGCACTTTGTTAGGAACAAGAGTTATTTAGTGACTCTTCCTAAATAAGGATTAAGTTAACTGGAATTAAACTACATGACATCTATGTACATATATGCATAGCTGCATACCTATTTATATATTCATCCATCCATTCATCCCTGTCTCACATGGCAAGGGCCTGATAAATGGTAGTTATTGTTACTAATGCAAGAAGAGTCATTGTGATCCTTCCTGTTCTCTAAGATCTAAACTTCTTGGGTGGCTCCATTGGTTGCTCTTCTTTTTTCCTCCCTCTCCTCTTCTATCGTCTTATCCCTTCATAAGTCAGTCTTCTCACACTTGTCATCATTTCTCTCTATCTTTTTTTTTGGTCGATCTCTCATAAATCCCTTCTCTCATAAATGAAGACCTGGCCTGCTTCTCTAGCATGGAGACAGAATGAGGATGAGCAGTCTGTGGACTCCACTTGGGCTTTATCACTTTCATGCTGAGCTGGACATTTACTCAGTCTCCTTGGCAAACAGGGGCAAGTTTGAATATTCTCTGCCCGCTTTTGGTCTTCTATAGAGGGACTGCTCCTCTGAGGGGAGGTGTACAGCCTCCTTCTGCTCCCGTCCCAGCTTCTCTATCTCAAGCACTTTTCTTTCCACCAAGAATGAGGGAGAATACACCAATCCTGCTGAAATTAGACACTTTCTTCTATTTCTGGAGTTAATGAAATATTAAGACTGTGGTTGTCAACCTGGGTGTTTAGACATCCTAGAGAGAAAATCAGGATTTCTCTGAGGAAGGGACAGGTGGGTTGAAAAGCACATTCACTATTATAGTACTACTTTAAGACTAAGTCAAAACCAAATAAAACCAAACACTGATTTCTTAAATAAAACTGCAAAAAAAAAAAAAAAAAAAAAAGCCCTCGGAAGATAGACTTTATCTTTGGAGCAATATAGATTATCAGTAGGAGGGTTTAGTATTCAATTATTCTTTTTGTTTTTTGAGGAGGAACTGCATAGAGAATATTCACCAAACAGAGAATACATTTTTAAAAAGTACAAACACTGATGAGAAATACTGTTTATGGAGTTAGCAAAACAGTCGTCACAACCCAAGCAAGACAGCCTGACCTGGAGGCTCCTAGGAGACCCGTTTCTATTTAATGAGAAGCTGGTCTAAGAGAAACCAACTGAGATTCACATGCCCATTGTATTTGTTTGGGGCATTTTAATTTGATGTTTATCTGCCCATTACAGAAAATTCACATGAAGTCTCAATCATAATAAGCACCACTTTTTTACTTCAATAAGTAGAATTAACAATCCCTGTGTGAACTGGATATATGAAATTGATGATAACCTTCCTTGGGTTTTTCTATTATTTGCCCCAATGTTATTGGCTATTTCATCATACTTTAGGAAAAGTGGAACTGCTGGCCAAACTCATAACCGTAAAACCCTCTAGTTTCACTCAAGTGAATCTCCCAATATTGATACTTTGGATATTCAGCTTTGAATATTACATCTTACCTACATAATAACATATAATCAATTGTTTATTTTTATCAAAAGGCAGACAAGTATTTGGCACAGGCATAAATTCCAGAAAACACCAGCTTTTGATTGTAACTCTTCTGACTGACTTTGTATGCTGCCCTTTGCTTGAAATACCTTATGCGGAGTAAACATGAAGAAAGCATGGTGTAGTGGAAACAATGTTGAATGTAAATAAGCATGGGTTTGAACCTCAGCTCTGACACATAATAGCTGGGTGAACCTAGATGATATATTTAAATTTTTTGAGCTTCAGTTTCCTTATCTATTAAATACCTTCTCTACAGATTTGTTGTGAAGGTTGAAGACATGCTTGAAGAGCATCTAGCATTCCTGGTACAAAGCATGATTCAGAAGCTCATTTTTATTTTTATGCACATTGGCTGACTTCTCCAGCTTGAAGTTTAACTGAGTAATATATATACATTCTTACACTGATCCCCCTCTCACATGTCCTAAAACCTTTGCCCATTGATGTGCATAGTCATAACTCTTACCTGTGTTTACACACAAATTAGTTTTACACATTCATATAACTATATACAAATACCCACAAACCCACTCAATTTAAGGTTAGACTGATTCTGCTTTTAGCACCTACTAATAAGACGTGCATAAGGGGATGGGAGGTGGGTCACAGAGCTTGATGCCACTTTCTACTCAACCCATTGATGCTGATGCTGTGATGCCCAGGAAAGGGAAGCTGAGAGCTGATTGCAGGAGGAGCCTTTGGCCCTGTACTGGTGTCTGCTCCAGCAGATACAAATGCATTCTAACTGAATTCCAGCTTTTTGGAGTCTCTGACACTGCAGAAAGCCCTACCCTTTGGACCACAAAGTGGTTGGCATGATATAAAGACAGGGAGGCTGATCTGATGCCAGGCAGAGCTGGGCTGAGAGCTCTTGAACTTCATCAAGTTCTGCTGTGTGTTTTGCATATCTGTTAAATAGTGTGTAAGCTTGTTAGGGGTAGGACCCATGTCTCCTTGCCGTCCTATTTCCCTGGGAGTTCTTTTTACTCAGGGGAAACGTATTGACCAGAAGAGGAGGGAGGAGCTGTGGTCTTGTAAGATGGTCAGTTATTGATTGCCACCTGACTGTCAGGTGCTGGCTGTTTAGCTGATTAGCCATCTGGACTCCTCTTGCTGAGAAAGACATGTCCTTTTTCTGGGCCTTGGTGAGAAAAGCCCTTTCAAGGTCAGGTAGGAGAAGGGAGAAGAGGCAGATGCCAATTACAGTTGTCTTTGTTAATGACACAGGAGTAAGATTTGGTGAGGTGGCTGGTAAATCTAGCTTTGAAGGTTATGTATAAGAATTACCTAGCGATTATTTTCACAATGAAAAAACATCTATACTATTTTTTCTGATTCTGTAAATAATACATACTCATTTTAAAAATACTTGTACAATACCAAGAAGTATAAGGAGAAAAGGAGAAATCATCTGGAATGCCAACATTCTGGGATTACTCGCATTAACATTTGGTGATCTGTTCTTTCATACAACTTTTTATGCATGTGGATCTAGAAATATCTAATTTCATGTAAATTATAACTGTTTATCAGATTCATAGGCATAGTTTTTCTGTGTGTGTCATATTAAAAGTGGTGTATATGCACTGCTCTACATCTTGCTTTTCTCAGTTAACATTTTGGAAATTTCTTCATGTTAACCAGTATGGATCTAACTCATGGTTAACCTCAGCACTATAGGCTCTTTGGGTAGGATAATTCCTTCATTATTTTACAGTGCACAGGGGCTGTCCCTGGGGCCATCCTGTGTGTTGTCTACAGGGGCTGTTCTGTGCATTGTAAAATGTTTAGCAGTACCACTGCTGTCCTGTACTTCAGCAGTCCCCAACCTTTTTGGCACCAGGGACTGGTTTCGCGGAAGACAGTTTTTCCACAGATGTGGATGGGGGAGGGGATAGTTTCAGGATGAAACTATTTCACCTCAGATCACAGGGCATTAGATTCTCATAAGGAACATGCAACCTGGATCCCTCACATGCACAGTTCACAATAGGGTTCATGCTCCTATGAGAATCTAATGCTGCAGCTGATCTGACAGGAGGCATACCTCAGGTGGTTTAGCTCACCAGCTGCTCACCTGCTGTGTGGCCCAGCTGCTAACAGGCCATTGACCAGGCCACAGCCTGGGGGTTGAGAACCTCTGTTCTACTTATTAGCATACAGTCACACATCACCCCTGGTTGTGGCAACCAAAAATGTTTACAGACATTGCCAAATGTTCCTTGGGGGGACAAAAATTTTCCCTGTTTGAGAGCCACTGATCTGATTTTTTTTCAATAGCTGTATTACATTCCACAGTATGGATCTGCCACTTTTAATTCAATAGTTCCTTTCCTAGTGATCATGCAACTTACTCCCAGTATCTTTTTTTGCTGTCAAATTGATTATTTCAATGGGGGCTGCCCTTGGTCCATGGTTATCATTTAGGAAGATGAATGTTTTGCAAAGACAAAACTCAGGCTGTATCTTTCTAAATACAATACTGCTGTGATTGGGCTTCATTCACTTTATTCCTGGGTGAGCCCTCAGAATGACCACAGGCCAGTGAAACTGATGGCAGGGCCTGTGTAGCACTGGGGAGCCCTGTTCCATTTATCATGGGTTCAGGTAGGTGCTCTTCAGCCCCAAATGGTGGTGGCCAGGTAAGAATGTAGGACCTGTGTTAGCAAATAACTTAATTTTCAAGAGAAGCAGAAAATCCATATTTTTATGTAAAAAGTTCTCCCAACTTTTCACGGATGAAAATGAATTAATTCTTTAGGAAAACATGTGCAGATGAAACAAAACAGATCTCCTGCCCAAATCTGGCCCAACAGTGGCCAGTCTGCAATCTCTAGTGTAGATATTTATTATTGAATGTGATCTTCACTTTTCTAGGGTTCAGTTCTTTGAACTGTGAGATGCTTGTGTAACTTTTTGGTGGTGAACATTGTGCTTTGATGCACTTTGTCTATAGCAATGTTTGCCTCTCCTCCAAATCCCCATCCTCTCTGAGAGAGAGCTCGTGCTCCTATAGTCTGTATTGTCTCCATATCTGACACTGCTTACATAGCCTGGGTGTTGGGGGCTGCTGGCTTACATGTTCTCAGGAGAATCAGAGTCAGTACTGTGTGATGCCTCAGAGTCTTGGATCTTTGATCTTCAGGACTTTACAGTGCCTAAGGTAGCTCTGTGGGAGGAGGTGTTTACTGGAACTTGGTGGCTTTCAGCAGCATGGAA
This sequence comes from Homo sapiens, assembly GCF_000001405.40. NCBI lineage: Eukaryota > Metazoa > Chordata > Mammalia > Primates > Hominidae > Homo > Homo sapiens. Next base: position 136,571,769 of record NC_000002.12, read on the forward strand.
GTTATGTGCCTGTTTGGAATCTGCTGTTCATTTAGAGAGTTTGTTGCGAATTTATTACCTGGTTTCTTTCCAGGCAAAATGTTAGAACCAGAAGGGACATTGGAGATCTTTGAATCCTACTGTTTCACTTTGCAACTGGGGAAATTGAGGCTCAGGGAGAGGAAGGAACTTAGCCAAGTCTCCACAGTTGGTCCCAAGGCAGGGGCAGCACTTCCGGCCCCTTCCTCCCTTTCCAGCATGTCTATGCTACCACCTCTGAGTGGGTGGCTTGGGTAGAAATCTTCTTTTTCTGCTTTGGGTTTTCAGCTAATTTGTCTGGATATCCATGTTTCTATGACCTATTTTTGGGAGGGGACACTTATGTGCTATGCATTTATTTGAGTTTTTGCAGAGCTAATTACCTCCCCAAGTGTTTGAAGACAACAGCCTTATTCTTTTAAGGCAATGTTTTAAAGATAATAATTTTGTCCTGGGAATAGATTAGAGAAAGATTTTGTCCTCTAATCTAGCATGAAGACTAGGTTATATCAGATTTTCAGATGCTGCTTCCAATAAATTAAATTTGGAGCTGATGAAGATTTTGAAGACACAGAAACATGTGATAACTAGCGAGCTTTAAGTGGAATTGGATTGATGGGAAGCTTGTCCTTTCAGTAGGAAATGTGTTGTACCACAGTTTCTATGGACTCAATTCGCTGGCTCTCTGCACCCACAGCTGCCAACAGCTCTCAGCTGCTGGAGAAAGCAGTCTGAGAGGAATGCCATGTGTTGGAACAGGCATTTATCCCAGTGCCAACTCTGCTGCCAGGATGCTGTCAGCACAGCCTAAGAAATGCTTCAGGGACTGCCCACCAGCTTGACACCTGGGTTGGCCAAGGTCAAAACCCTCAGGAATTTGACTGCTTGTTGGAGACTGCAACAGCAGAAGTGATCCCACAAGAAGAGACATACTGCCCCAACAGAGGACAAAGTGCGTCCCACTAGGAGCCTCAAGACCTTGGAGTCCCCTAATCCCTTAACTTCTATGAGCCTCAGCCGTCTTTTCTGCAGCACAGGAACAAAAATAAATTGCCTTTTTGATCTCTTAGAGATAATATTAAGGTCAGTTTTGTAAACACCGTACCCGCGTATGTGCACATTTGTGTGTCTTATGGGTTGAATTGTGTCTCTCCAAAATTCACATGCTGAAGTCTTAATCCTTAGTACCTCCCCAGTGACCTTATTTGGAAATAGGGTCATTGCATATGCAATTGGTTAAGATTAGGTGATACTGGAGTAGGGTGGGCCGTAATCCAATATGACTGGTGTCCTTATAAAAAGGAGAAACGTGTACACACACACACACACACACACACACACACACACACACGGATAACATGGTGTGAAGATTGAAGGTATGCTGCCCAAGCCTAAGAACTACCAGAAGCTAGGAGCAAGACCTAAAGCAGAGCCTTCCCTATACCTTCAGAGGGAGCATGGCCCTGCTGGCACCTTGGTCATCTAGCCTGCAGAACTATGAGACAGTAAATTTCTGTTGTCTTAGCAAACTAACACAGTATAAAATATAGTGTATAAATATAGACATACATTCACATGTAAAAATATTTAAGTGTCAGTAGCAACCTCAACCAACATCTTGGGCCAGTACAACTCTGGTCATGGTAGAGTGTAACGTTAATTGAGTCACAATAGCAGGCTGGGCTGATGATGAAGCTTAGGTACGTGGATGTGCAGACTAAATAGTAAGATCCCTGAGAGCAGAGACTGTATAGATAGTACTGTCCTTGACATTTTATCCTGAGCATGCAGCACAACAACTAGCTCATGGGTGGTCTTATTTGTTGAGTGGATTAAAGGTTACGATCATTGCAATTATTATTACTCCAAAAAGAAGGCCTGAACACATTAAGCAGTCACTCCTCATTCCCTCCAGGCCCTGTCAACAGTGAATGTATTTTCTTTCTCTGTGGACTTGCCTATTCTGGACATTTTATATAAATAGGATCATATAATATGTGGCCTTTTGTAGCTTGCTTCTTTCAATTATCATAGTGTTTTCAAGATTTATCCAACTGTATTGTGAGCAAGTGATTCATTCTGTTTTTAGTGCTGAGTAATATTCTGTTTTATGGATAAAGCACATTTTATTTATCCATTCATCAGTTCATGAACATTTGGGTTGTTCCCAATTTGTGGTTATTTATAAGTAATGCTACTATGAACATTCATGTACAAGTTTTTTGTGAATATTTATGTACAAGTATCCTCTTGGGTATATGCCTAGGAGTAGAATTGCTGGATAACTCTGTGTTTAATTTTTTGAAGAAGTGCTAAACAATTTTCCACAGTGTGTGCACCATTTTACATTCTCACCAGCAACGCAGAAGGGCTCAAACTTCATTTTCTCCACTTCTCTGCCCACATTTGTTATTTTCTGTTTTTATTTATTTATTTTTTAAATAGCTGTCCTAGAGGATCTGAAGTATCTACTTGTGGTTTTGTTGTGCATTTCCTAAAGGATTAGTGATATTAAGCAGCTTTTCATGTGCTTATTGGCCATTTGAATATCTTCTTTGAAGGAATGTCTATTTAAATCCTTTGCCCATTTTTGAATTGTTTTTAGTTGCAGGAGTTCTTATATATTCTGGATCTTAATCTCTTATCAGATATATGATTTGCAAACATTTTCTCCCATTCCGTGGGTTTTTAAACTTTTTTGACAATGTCTTTTGATGCACAAAATTTCTTAATTTTTACAAAGTCGAATTTATCTAGTTTTTTTGTTTGCTTATGCTTTTTGTGACATATTTCAGAAACTATTGCTTAATCTAATATCACGTAGACTTACATCTCTCTTTTCTTCTAAGAGTTTTATAATTTTAGCTCTTATATTTAGGTCTTTGATTTATTTTGAGTTAATTTCTGTATGTAATGTGAGGTAGGTGCCCAAATCCATTTTTTTTTTTTGCATGTGGCTATTTTTTCCTGCACCATTTATTGGAAGACTATTCTTTCTCCATTGAACAGTCTTGTCCTTCTTGTCAAAAATCAGTTGACCATAGACATGTTAGTTTATTTCTGAACTCTCTCATATACATATATACATATGTGTGTGTATTCCATATATATTGTGTGTGTATTCCATATATACACACACATATGTATATGTATGAGAGAGTTCAGAGATATATGCACACACACATAGGTACAAATGTATATATGCTTATGCCAGCATCACATTATTTTGATCGGTATAGCCTTGTAGTAAGTTTTGAAATCAGGAAGTTTGTATCCCCCAGCTTTGTCCTTTTTTTCAATATTGTTTTGGCCAATGAGGCTTTCTTAACCATCAGGGATAGCTAGGATTTAGTCAAGCATCTGAGTTTGGCAAATTGATTGCAAGATAACTGTCCCCACTCCCCAACATACCCCTTCCCAGAATTGAAGACATCTCTGCCCGTGATAATAGCTCTAACCTAAAAGAGAATCTGGCCATACCAGAACAATGGAGATGTTGGTGATTGAAGTAGCTAGTCACTTTCAGTGTTTTCCTTGGCTTTGTGTCACATTGAAATTCAAATATGTATCATCTCACTTTATTCTTCAAACATGTACCTGAAGCAGGTAGGGCAAATGTGCTTATGCCCATTGTATAGGTGGGGAAAGTGAGTGCCAGACTCCAAGACTTGTTCAGATTACAAAGCTAATTCATAGCATAACAACTACTAGACATCTCTCGGCACTGTATACTTTTTAGTTTTGAAAAATATGTTTTAAAAATAATTACATGAATTGTACATGTTAATTATTATATAAGTAATTATTGCAGATAAGAAGAAACAAAAGAAAACAAGAGAAGATATTTTAGTCTGTTTTTTGTTGCTTTAACAGAATACCTGAAACTGGGTAATTTATAAAGAAAAGGAATTTCTTACGGTTATGGAGGCTGAGAAGTCAGAGTCAAAGGGCCATATCTGGTGAAGGCTTTCCTGCTGGTGGGGACCCTGCAGAGTACTGAGGTGGCCCATGTGAGGGGGCTGTGTGTGCTAGCTCAGGTCTCTCTTCTTATAAGGCCACTGGTCCCATTCCAATGATAAGCCATTCAGCTATCTACCAATTTATCCATGAATGGATTGACCCATTTATGAGGTCAGAACCCCCATAACCCAATCTCCTCTTAAAGGCCCCACCTCAATACTGCCACAATGGGGATCAAGTTTCAACATGAGATTAGAGGGGACAAATATTCAAATCACAGCAGAAGGAGAAGGAGGCGTGGAAGCAGAAGCAGCAACAGAAGGCAAAGAAGAAAGAGAAGGGTTACTCATGATCCCATTACTCAGAGAAGAGCCACAGACTGTGGGATTACCCACTGGACCATGAGCAGGGGTGTGTCAGTAAATGTTTAGCAACTGGCTCTCCAGAAAAGTCATGTCCTAATGTGACACCAATTTCTATTGTGTAAATACTTTCACCATGGCTGATTCCAAGCTACCAACCTGGCAACAGTGAATGTAGATTTGGGAGATGACATAGTTGGCTGTCAGGAGCCAGTGCCAGCACACCACTGAAGGGGATCCTAGTTTCTTGCTGCTCAAAGTAGAGTCCATGGACCATCAACATTGCCATCACTTGAAAGCTTCTTAGAAATCCAGACTCTCAGGCTCTACCCTGGCTTATGGAATTAGAATCTGCATTTGAACAAGCTCCTCAGATGATTCCTATGCATATTAAAGCTTGAGCAGAACTGCATGTCCAATACAGTAGTTGTTAGCTACATGCATCTGTTGCATATAATACATAGCAAATTTTGAATACTTAGCATGAAAAAAAAAGGTAAAATATCTAAAAGATTTTTTTTGTATTGACTACATGTTAATAAATATGGTAATATACAGCATAAAAATGTTATTAAAATTAGTTTACCTACTTTTTACTTTTTAAAAATGTGGCTACTAGAAAACTTAAAACCGCTATGTGGTACACATTCTATTTCTGCTAGAGAGCATGACGCTAGAGCATGGGATCCCTAGAACTCTGATTGCTTTGTGTGTCCCCAGGCCCACCTTATTCTAAACCCCAACTTAAGTTGACCTGAGCATTTCTAATAAGGTAATTAGTTGCCCATGACCATACTTTTAGGAAGGGCAAAAACCACATCCCTCTTCTTTTTACTACTGCTCGTGTGCCCCACTGTGAACTCAGAAGATATTAATAAGCTAAAATGAATAATTACCTCTCTACCATTGAAGTCCTTGAGAATATTCAACTTCCAGAGTGAAGGAGGATTCTGGAAATGAGGAACACCCTGCATGCCTCTTCCTTCAACTGTTGTTATCCAGGAGGACCCCCAGGCAATGGTGTATTGGGCTGAGCATTATTTCTAGGGCTCTCAATGATATCTCAGGGACTCATCTCTGCGACAAAGGAAGAGTCACTAAATAACTCTTGTTCCTAATAAAGCGCCCGAGAGTGGGTGCAACACTGCTCAGCACATTAACCATATTTACCATCTAAGAGATAGAAAGCAACCTGTCTCTTTTGATGAGGAAGCCATAAAGTTTTAGGGAATGGGAAGTAAATCAAGGCTTCCGTTTGCCTTGTAAAAATGCACTGCCTTGTGCTGCATCTCACCCTTCACTCACACGAGTGTATTTTTATTCCTCTGCATAAATAAAGCATGATTTGTAGCCACCCTCTTGACTTGCTCCTGGCACCAGGTTCAACAACCAAAAAATTAAAGATGGCATTGCGTTTCTGATGAGGCCTGAGCATTAGTATGAAATACCTAAAATACTTGTAAGATGAAAACAGCTGTAAGCTGGGAAGGGGCAAAAAAAAAAAAAAAAAAAAGAAAAAAAAAGATAAATCTTCCTCCTCAGTCCCTGTGACAGTGCATGCAAAATGCCTGATGCAGTTCTAGGTACAAAATAAGACCACAAAACAGTTTGCTTCACCTTTTCTTTCCAGGTGTTAGCACCAAGAGCACTATGAAGATAAGAATAGATAAATAAGTGAGCATTCAGATTCAGTGAAAACAACCAGCTTTTAAAATTGTTTCACAAGATCAGCGGCAAGTGCTAAACTGTGTGCTACAGTCATATGAATCTGTGGATATTTGGAGACGTGACATTTTGTTGGTTGATTTTCGTTGCCATTTTCTTCTTTTTGACCCAGAGTATTTCAGGCAAAAGCTGCTTTGTTGGCTACTAAGTCTGATAGCTCCTTTTTGCTTTTCCTGAACTTTAATTTTAGAGCTGATGTGGAGAGAAAATTGAGGACCACATATCTTATAGAGATTGTGGAGGGGGTCCCATGGTGGGAAGGTCCCGAGGGGTAGATGTCTGGATCGAACAGACCGATGAAGTTGGACTGAGGCTTGGGGACAGAGGATAAATAAGAGAACTATGGAAAGTGTATTGAAAGTTGCGAACTTTGAGCTGCAGAAAAGTGTTCAAAATGGATTATCCCATCCTGCAGCCCTTGAATGAAATATTGGGGGCTGAGATGTGGTATCTATGGGTGTCTGGTAATTGGGGAAGGAAGACAGAGGAAAGCTGTGCTGGTGAATTCGACTCAGCAGGCCCACTCTTCTAGGAGGGCTTGTGCATCTCTAGTGTATGTTTTCCCAGTCAGCTTTTAAAGCACCTGGGATATGTTTGGTAGAGAATGTTTTCTGTCTAGTTTACCTGACTTATTTATTTATTTTTACTTTTAGGTTTTATCTAAAGAGTAACATTCTCTTTAGGGCATGTTCCCTTTTATAGATCTTAAAATATAAATTTTCTGTTAACAGAATTTGAAGAAGGCATTATCTTCATGTCAGAATTTTATATAAAGCTTCAACGTTGAGAATAGCAGGGAATAAATAACATCATATTCTAAAAAGGACAGTGGACATGGTCCACAACACATGAAGACAACGTGGAAAACTACAGAGACTCTAGCACCTCCTCCACCAGCCTATATTTAAAAAAAAAAGCCTTGGGATTGGAAAGAATGTGAGCTGTGGGTTGTAGATCTAGGGGAGATTTTGCCCTCTATTATCCTGAGGTATTTTCTTCCAAGCCAGTTGAGAGCATTGTTTGTGGAGATTGGTGGGTGCCTGCAATAAGGGAAGATTAGTCCCTTCCTCCCCTTTGAGCTGGTGTCTGTGGAGCAGCAGAATCCATGTCTCTGCTTGGACCCACATTTGGAGCAGAGTAGGGTATGATGAGAAAGGCTTCTGCCTCTTCACATCTGTCTTGGGAGTTTGGGGGCATGTGAGAACCAAACCATGTCTCCTGATTACCTGGAGAACCCTGAAGTCTAGAAGTGGCCTGGAGTAGCCTGAAGGCAAGATGAGAAGAGAGGGCAGTCATGGGGCAGCCTGCACACTGCATTTGACTCAGCAGGGATGATTGAGTTTTCTGTGGGCCAAGTGCTTATTGCAGAAAGCACTGAATTAGTTCTTCTTACTGTACCCTGCCAGACTATGGGACCAGGATAACATATTATGGACATGCCGTCTGGGATAGGAATGAGTGCTAGAGGGAGGTATTTTAGAGGTCAGCCAGAGTGTATCACCATGTGAAGGAACAGTTAAGGGGCTCTCCAAGAACTTACTCCTGCAACCCACAAGAAAGCTAGCAATGATACAGCTCTACCTACTGGGTACATTGGTGGCCAGCCCATAGTGAACCAAAACAATGAGTACAGTTAAGTGAAATGCTTGTTTCCTATCCTCTACTTCCCTTCCCTCCTCCCCAGTGAAAGACAGAAAAGGAAGAGAGAAGGAATGGAGGAAGAGGAAAAAAACAGGCCATATCCTCTTCCCCACTTCTGGTCTTGAACCAAGGGTTGAGCCTAAGGAAGAGGCCAGTGGGAAGCATTGAATTGCATGTGAGATTCAAGTTTTGATTTGCACTGGCCTGTACTTTTCAAAACCAAAAAGGGAATCTAGAATGGGACTTATTCTTATATATCTGAAACTGCCTGAAAATCTACTGGATCTGTTCAAACTGAACTGTCATCAAGAGTTGATTTGTCAGATCAGGGAGAAGGCAGTGGCTGGGGAGAAAAATAAAACTTCTTCATGCTTGAACTCCACTGGGACTGTTCAGAATGTCCAATAAACCAATGTTAAGATAGTTCTTTCCAATGTTATTATGCCATGGCAAAATGGAAAATAGTAATTCTACTTGTAAGGAATATTGAGGCAAATAGACAAGCATATTTACCCCTAGAGATTGTAGAGGTGGCTGGCGGAGGGTCTTATTTTTTTTAAATAGAAACGGAGTTTTGTCATGTTGCCCAGGCTGGTCTCAAACCGCTAGACTCAAATGATCCACTCTCCTTGGCCTCCCAAAGTCATGGGATTACAGGCATGAGCCACCACCCTCAGTAATGCTGAGGGTCATTAGCTCCCTTCTCCCCTAGGTTCTACCTCAAGGACTGATGACTGTGGCCCATGGATTGTGATATTATTTTACAGTGTGTGAATTCAGAGTGTCCAGGGAGAATTGTCCATCTTACTTTATGGGAGATAGGATAATTTTTAGTCTTCATATATAGTCTCTTAAAAATGACATGCATTATGGAAATCCCTAGTTTTAAAGTCTCATCTGCACATCAGCAAGTAGAAGCAGCAAATAATAATGGAACAAATATTGGTTTGGGAGAAAAAGTTCCAACATTGTTAATAGCCAGGTGTTTACCTTGGGCAGGACTCTTAATCTATCTGGGCTTTTTTTTCTTAATTGTCAGGTGAGGGGATTGGAGAGCAAGCATTTAATAAATGGCAGTCATCACCACTGCTACCACTGTCATCACCATTAAACAAGACTGAGTTGCAAGGGAAGGAGCAATAAGCATCTCGTTCAATTAGTTCACCAAACTTTGATTGAATGCCTGCTACATGTGAGACACAAAAGGCAATATGAAACACTCCCAAAGCAAGTAAAGTGGAATGTTTTATGCTCTAAGACCCCAGAACTCTCCAAAATCCTCAGTATCCTCTAGGACAAATGATGGGTGGTCAAATGTCTCCCTGTGGCCTCTGAAACCTTTCCTGTGATGTCTGTTTACTCCATGCAGCAGTACATACTGACCACATATTGGGTAGTTACTGGATGGGAGCGATTCCCTGGCACTGCCTGTCCTATTCCTCAGAGCTCCACTCCTCTGGTTTCTACAAGGATCCAAAGGAGGCAATATGTCTAGCAAAGGGCTCACCTACATCTGATGCCTGAAATATTAAAAGTGGATTTGGGATATCCATGGCATATCAGTACTGTGTTTGGTCAAATATCAAATTTTAGCTGCTATTTGCCCAAAGGTCTAGACATTATTATCTGGGAGGAGGGTGGTGTGTGTGTCTGGTAGGCATGGGGATCACTTTATGGGTATTCACTTTTCTCAGACAAGGAACTCAGAGTCAGGAAGCTGGGTAGAATTCTCTCTTGTGAAACAATTAATGAACATCAAGCAATTTGTTAATTTGCCTACTTCCTCCTCCCACACCATTTTGGTTTGGGTTCTTCTGAAAGCAGAGCCTTGAGACTAGGCCTTGGGGGCAGGTGATTTATTTGAGAGATGATCCTAGGAAGAGGAGTGAGGGAAAGAACTTTGAGAGTGACTTAGGGAAAGAGGAAAGTCAGTATAAGGGTGCATTATCAAGCTCATTGCTAAAAGAAAGGGGAGCTTGATTCCACCAGATTCTTCTTAGTCTTTTTTTTCAGCTGCATTTGACACCTTTAATAGGTCCCTGTTTTCTGAAAGTCTTTACTGCCTTGCTCCTGGTGACCCTGCAATCCTGGTTCTCCTTGAATTTCTTTGCTTTATTCTCATCACTTTTTCTGGGTTTCTCTTTCTCTACCTACCCACTCAGAGACTCCAGGTCCTTCCTTCAGTCCACTACTCTTCTTCAATCCATCTTCTTGAATCATCATCTGTGCTCCCAGATTCAACTACTTTCTATGAAATGATGATTCCTAAATCTGTACCTGAAGCCTCATATCTACTTTGAGATCCAAGATCATATCTTCAACTGCCTGTGAGACATCTCCACCCAAACCCATGAGCACCCCAGCTGGGCGTTTCTAAAACCAAAATCATCTTCCTTACCCCCAAACCTACTCTAATTTTTTCTAGATCATGTAGTAGTACCATTCTTTACTTGCTTGAACCAAGCTAAAAACATGCAAGCCACCCCCAACTTCTCTCTGTCCCTCACCTTTGAAAGTTTAAATGATTTGGCTATAGTCACACAGCTAATGGGTAGCAAATTTGAAGATAAAGATAATACATTTTTTATCCTATATTAGCAGTTGATTAACAATCTCTGAGTTTTCATTGTTGAATTTTATTTTACTCTTTATACTGTCTAAAGAAAAAAATTAATGAGAATGAGAAGCAGCTGACAAAAGAAAAAGAGGATAAGAAACAGATTCAAAGTTAGACTAATTCTGAAAGTAGTTGGCACGTTCCTCTAGTATCTAAAAGTGGCCATCTATTAATGGGACCATCAGAGAACCACCAATCACAACTGCATCTTATTTATATCCTTTTCCCCACCCTACCTTAGCTTTTCTTTTACTAATCATGCTTTGTGGGAATCCATTTGCCTGTATTCAAACATAAGAAACAGCAAGATAAAACGCACACCAAATTTTACAATAAAGATTTTGACAATGATGTAATTCATTGCATCCCCTTGTCCTCTCTGAGGATCCATAGGAGAAACTTCTGTCTGATATCAGTGCCAGAAATAGTTGTGCTCCTACTGAAAAACTAGTTTATTTTTGCCTTTCAGTCAAATTTGTTCTTTACTGTGCTTTGCTCTTCCTGTTGACTCTTTCCAAATTCAAAGGCTTTGAGTTCCACATCTAAGAAGTGTATAGGATTAAATGGCATCTGTTGACTCCTCATTATGTATAGATATTTGTTAAAATGCATGTTAATGCATAAACATTTGTAGGCCACCATAAGTTCTTTTTAGAATAAGCAGACATTTCTGGCACCTTTGTCACATCTCCCAGCCCACATCTGATTTCAGCACTAACACGAGTGGACAGCTCCCAGTAACAGTGACCCAAGAAGGACATGCTTTCAGCCCCAGCGTCTTCTCCAAAGCCCTGGGAGCTTGCCACGCTGATGCAACTCAAGAAAGTGCAGGGGAAGCAATGTTCCTGGGGGATAACCATTAAACAGTGAGAAAAGGAAGCTGGTGAATAAAGACTCCAGTCTCTCACCTTGGATGATTCTGTTGTAGTCTGAATATCCACCTGTGCTCCATTATCACATCCCATTTCTGTCTCCTGTGTTCCAATTCAATCTTGCTCATTTATCTCTATTGCTTTGAGATAGTCTTTTGCTTTGGGGTCTGGTTTGGCAGAGGAGAACAAGGCGTAGGAAGAATTCATTCCAAAAAGCACAGGTTGCAGGGGCCACAGACATAAGTGCCTCCAGGACAGGCTGGTCCCAGGAGTGGGTTAAGCAGGCAAGAGGGAGATAGCCTATCAAAAACATTCTAAAAGGGGCACTATCTGCGTGCACTGATTATAGGTAGATGGGAGCTCAGACCCAGTGTTGCTGGCTTTGATTTTTTTTTTTTAAAGAAAGAGACTTCTGTGAGAGTTTTTAATATATATAGTTCTAAAATTTTTTAAAACAACGTGTGAGCTATAAAATCCATGTATGTGGGCAAAATCTTTGACTTGTAGAATGTTTCCTGTGCCAGGCACTGGGCTGTGGGAAACACTAAAATGAGTGAGAAGCATTATTTTGTCCTCTCTGGACATCATCCTTTTCAGAAGGGGCATCCTTGTCCTGAAGGGACTCATGGTGGAGCAATGAAACCTGTAAATTCCAACTCTATAACAAGCAGGATAAAAGTAATACATTCTGGGAAAAGAGAGTCCAGAAATGTTGTGGGTGCCCCAACAGGAAGAGATTTTTATGAAGACATTTTTCTTTATATGATATTAACATGAAATATTGATTCTACCTTAAGTAAGTAAATGGACTTCAAAATATCCAGGGGAAGCTATTTATTCTGCTGTTTGTGGGGTCTGTGGTATGGGACTGGCTTAACAGTGAGACCACTTTAATAATGAGATCTTTTGGTACTTCACTAAATAAATCCTTTTGAGGAAAGAATTTATACTTTGCTAATTTCTGCTTTGGAGTGTTACAGCGACATGCCAGTGTAAATAATGAAATAAGATTTGACAAGATCACTCTTTCTAGGCAGGATCACTAATGAGTGAGGTAATCTCTTAAGATGTATCCACATGTTCTGGGGCCGACCATTCCAGGACTCCCCATGTATGGAGCTTGGTAAATAGTGGCAGAGACAGACCTGAAGAGGCCCCAGGTCAGGGGATCAGCAGTCCACTGCGTGGGGCTTTGATTGAGGGCAGGAGACAGAGAGGCCAGAAGTCAGCAGAACACAGGCGTCAGGATCAGGGATGATTATATCGTCCCTTGTGTCCTCATGGAACTGGGCACCCACCCCTTTAAAGACTCTTCACATGCTATATTGCACCCTATACACTTTCCCTTCAGCAAGCTTTAGCATCTTGGAGCAGGGCCAAGTTGTCACATACTAGTGCCCAGCAGATGGCGGGTATAAAGAGACATATTGAATGTCAGTTGAATGAATGAATAGAATGATAAATTGAATAAAATAAATGGATAAATTGATAAAATGAATGATAAATTGAATAAAAACCTAGTCAGATGTATGGCATCAGGGAGATTCAGCAAGAGGTGGTTGTACTGGCAGGTGAGTGGAGCAAGGTGATAGGCAGTTTGGAGCTGGCAATGTGTGGAGATCTGGGTCTGTGGACCAGAAGGTGAAGTGAAAGACAGGCTTCTGCTTGGGGACTTCTGAGTGGGTTATCAAGGCAGAAACTTAGGCATGAGGAAGCACAACAGGAATTCAGTTAATAGGTTGAAGGAACAGAGCACAGCTGTAGGGCATCAGATAGCAAGTGGTAAGAATGAATGCTCTGGCATCAGGGAATTCAAGTTCGAATCTTGGTTCGACCTTTTCCTAGCTACCTGACTGGGCAATTGGTCTCTCTGTATTTTAGTGTTCACATCTCTTAAGTGGGGGTGTTATTGTAATGAAGATCAAATGAAATGTAGCATGTGAAGCACTTAGCACAATGACTGGCAGATAATTATTAATGAAAATATAGATAGGGCTTGATTAGTAACAGGATGCTGGTGCTGAGCCTTCTAAGCAGGGACCAGGAGCTGCAGAGTCAGCCTGAGGTGTTTTGCAAACCATATATACTCTCAGCCCAACTCAACCATTGTGTTTCAGGGAAGAGAATGCATATTATAGTTTAGAAGTTTTCTAGGAGACTCTAATATCTTCCTTACCAAGCCTTCTCCCTAATGCACTTGGATTCTTATTTTTTTTAAATCATCCACACAAAACCAGTGTAGGTTGCAGCATCTTGTTAAAGGATTTTCCCAGAGGTGAAGTTAAAGTAGCCCCAGACTATTGGGAATAAAAGGATATAGGGATAGGCAGGGCTGATGTATCCATGAGGCCTACAATACTTTTATGGGCCCACAAAGTGTTTTAATTCCTCTTTTTTTTTTTTTTTTTTTTTTTTTTTGAGACGGAGTCTCGCTCTGTCACCCTGGCTGGAGTGCAGTGGCGCGATCTCGGCTCACTGCAAGCTCCGCCTCCCGGGTTCACGCCATTCTCCTGCCTCAGCCTCTCCGAGTAGCTTGGGACTACAGGTGCCTGCCACCACGCCCGGCTAATTTTTTGTATTTTTAGTAGAGACGGGGTTTCACCGTGGTCTCGATCTCCTGACCTTGTGATCCGCCCGCCTCGGCCTCCCAAAGTGCTGGGATTACAAGCATGAGCCACCGTGCCCGGCCTAATTCCTCTTAAAATGAGAAGAAAAGGGAACTTTTAGGTCAAATAAAATGTTGTAATATGTGATGTTAATATATTAGTCTTTATACTGACAGAGTCATAAAATATACTTTTTAATATTTTTATGAAGGAAGGGGCCCACGAAAGCCAGAATGCCAAGGTCGTTCACAAAAGTCACCCATAAAAGTCATAATGAGGTCCTGGGGACAGGGACCCTAGCCAGTTATTGCACTAGAAATTTTCTACGTATAGGTGCATGAGAAACATTTAGAAAGCTTATTAAAATGCAGTTTCTTGGGCCCCAATCCAAAAAGTCAGATACAGCCTGTTTGTAGTGGGTCCAAGAATCAGCATTTTAACAGAGGCTCAGCTCATTTTGAAGCAGTCTTAAGGAGCCTTGAAAAACCTGGACCACACTCAGCCAGTTGCTGTCACCCACCTGACAGTGTGACAGAGGTGCTAGGAGGATAGGAGTCTGCTGTCACAGACAAATCCATCATCAGCCCTGCCAAAAGTGTGATCAATTCAGTGAACAAGTCAATCTGATTCTGCAGCACTAATAACTGCTGGATTGATCAAACTTTTTTCTTGCCATTTACAAGTTAGGAGTTCACTTAAATTTGCTTATAGAAAACATGCTTGAAGCAGCTTTTCTTTAATATGTTGTACCATTGTGAGATGTTCCTTTGCATTTAAAACCCAGTTTCAAAAGGTTATTTTACAAAATCATTACGTGAAACTTTTGCATTAAACACGGGTATTACACAGGCAGCAGAGTTTGCTCCACTTGTGGTGAATAAGCAGATTTCTTTAATTAAATATGTGATTTTCTTTAATTACAGCAGTTAGTTTGAAAGGTGATAACTAAATAAGATTTTATCCTGCAAAATTTATAGAAGAGGAGTGACATTAAAATAACATTAACGTTGTAGGACAGACTTGGTGAAGGAGCAAATAGTCAGAAAATTGACAAATCCCTCACCTTAATGACTTGAAGCTGTGCTCTGTCGGGAGCGGTGTGATTTTTATCTGCCTTTTCTTGCATTGGTGACTCTTTCCAATAACATTCAATGATCTTTTAATACTTTTGTCTTGTCTCTATTATTATTACTACATAAATGATTACCTTTAAAGATCTACCTCAGAGACGTTGAAGGTTCAGCTCCAGACCACTACAATAAAGCAAATATCACAATAACATGAGTCACACGGATTTTTCGGTTTCCCAGTACATATAAAGTTATATTTATACTATACTGTATTCTATTTTTTTTTTTTTTTGAGACAGAGTCACCCAGGCTGGAGTGCAGTGGCGCTATCTCAACTCACTGCAACCTCTACCTCCCCGAGTTCAAGCGATTCTCCTGCCTCAGCCTCCCAAGTAGCTGGGAGGCTGGGAGGTACCCGCCACAACTCTTGGCTTTTTTTTGTTGTTGTTTTGTAGAGGCGGGATTTCACCATGTTGGCCAGGCTGGTCTCAAACTCCTGATCTCAGGTGACCCACTCACCTCAGCCTTCCAAAGTGCTGGGATTACATGCGTGAGCCACTGTTCCCAGCCTATACTGTATTCTATTAAGTGTGCAATAGCGTTATGTCTAAAAAACAATGTATATACCTTAATTGCCTCAATTAAAGATACTTTATTGTTTACAAAATGCTAGTGATCATCTGAGCCTTCAGTGAGTTATAACCTTTCTGCTGGTGGAGGGTCTTGCTTTGAGGTTGATGGCTGCTGACTGATCAGGGTGGTAGTTGCTGAAGGTTGGGGTGGCTGTGGCAGTTTCTTAAAATAAGACAACAATGAAGTTTGTGTGTTCCTTTCATGACAGATTTCCTTGTAGCATGAGATGCCGTTTGATAGCATTTAATAAAGTTGTCAAAATTGGAGTCAGTCCTCTCAAAACCTGCTGCTACTTTATCAACTAAATTTATATAATATTATAAGTCCTTTGTTGTCATTTCAACAATGTTTGGAGCATCTTCACTGGGAGTAGATTTCATTTCAAGACACCACTTTCTTTGCTCATCCATACAAAGCAACTCTTCATCCGTTTAAATTTTATCATGAGATGGCAGCAATTCAGTCACATCTTCAGGCTCCACTTCTAATTATATTTCTCTTTCTGTAACATCTGCAGTTACTTTCTCCACTGAAGTCTTGAAGCCCTCAAAGTCATCCATAAGGGTTGGAATGAACTTCTTCCAAACTTCTATTAATGTTGGTATTTTGACCTCCTCACATAAATCATGTATGTCATTAATGACGTCTAGAATGGTGAGTCCTTTCCAGATGTTTACAATTTATTTTTCCCAGATCCATCTGAGGAATCACTGTATATGACAACTCTGGGCTTATAGAATGTATTTCTTAAATGTAACACTTAAAAGTAGAAATTATTCCTTGATTCATGGGCTGCAGAATGGATATTGTGTTAGCAGGCATGAAAACAATTTAAATCCTCTTGTACATCTCTGTCAGAGCTCTTGGCTGACCAGGTCCTAATTTTGAAAGAAATCCTTTTCTCTGACCAGTAGGTCTCAACAGCAGGCTTAAAATATTCAGTAAACCATACTGTAAACAGATGTGCTGTCATCCAGGCTTGGTTATTTCATATACAGAGCACAGAAAGAGTAGATTTAGCATAATTCTTAAGGGCCCTTCAATTTTTGAATGGTTAATAAGCATTGGTTTTAGCTTAAAGTCACAAGCTGCATTAACTGCTTACAAGAGAGTCAGCCTGTCCTTTGATGCTTTGAAGCTAGGTATTGACTGCTCCTCTCTAGCTACGAAAGCCCTAGATGACCACTTCTTCTGATATAAGGCTGCTCAGTCTACGTTGAAAATATATTGTTTGGTGTAGCCGCTGTCTTCAATGATCTTAGCTAGATCCTGTGGTAACTTACTGCAGCTTCTCCATCTGCACTTACTGCTTCTCCTTGCGCTTTTATGTTATGGAGATGGTGTCTTTCCTTGACCCTAATAAACCAAGCTCTGCTACCTTCAAACTTTTCTTCTGCAGCTTCTTCGTCCTCACCTCTATCAGCTTTCACAGAATTGAAGAAAGTTAGGGTCTTGCTCTGGATTAGACTTTGCCTTAGGGAATGTTGTTTCTGGTTTGATTTTTCTATTCATAGTACTAAAACTATATCCATTTCAGCAATAAAGCTGTTTCACTTTTTTTGTCATTCATGTGTTCACTGGAGTAACACTTTCAATTTCCTTCAAGAACTTTCCTTTGCATTCACAACTTGGCTATCTGATGCAAGAGGCTTAGCTTTTGGCCTGTCTCAGTTTTCTACAAGCCTCCCTCATTAAGCTTAACCAAGAGGCTTAGCTTTTGGCCTATCTCAGTTTTCTACAAGCCTCCCTCATTAAGCTTAATCATTTCTAGTTTTTGACTTAAAGTGAGAGACATGCAACTCTTCCTTTTACTTGAACAATTAAGAAGACATTGTAGAGTTATTAATTGGCCTAATTTTAATATTGTTATGTCTCAGGGAATAGAGGCCCAAAGGGGAGAGAGACAGAGAGAGAAAGAGAGAGAGAGAGAGACAGAGAGAGAGATGGAGAAAGACCAAAGGAATGGCCAGTCAGTGCAGCAGTCAGAACACACACATTTATCAATTTAAGTTCACCATCTCATATAGGCATGGTTTGTGGCGATCCAAAACAATTACAACAGTAACATCAAAGATCACTGATCACAGATCACCATAAGAGGTATAATAATAGTGATAAGAATTTAAAACATTGTGAGAATTATCAAATTATGACATGGAGATATAAAGAGAGCAAATGCTGTTGAAAAAATGACAACAATCAACTTGCTTGATGCAGGGTTGCACAGACTTTCAATTTGTAAAAAATGAAATATCTGCAAAACACAATAAATTGAGGCACAATAAAACAAGGTAGGTTTGTACTTTCCTGTTTTTGCAGAACAGTTTATCACTTTGAGACTGACCCATTTGGCATTGAAGACAATTTCCTTGAGTTTGTTCTGAAGCCCAAATCTACCTCAGAGATTTTCTTACCCTAACAACTTTAACACCTCTTTTTTTCATAAAAATAGTTTGTAATGCCTCCTTCACCACCTTAAAATAAATGTCGTAGGTAATAAAATCTACCTAGTCATATTCATTAAAAATTAGTATAATGTCTTATCTATAATAAACAAAAAAAGAGGTAAGTAATTAATAATAAATGAGTATGTATTTCAAAATGCAAATGCTTGGGCAGGGCAATATTAGAAGACATAATGAAGTTGTCAAGTGCTTACACTTTCATAAAGAATCACACTGAATGTAAAATCCTCCCTGTATTTGCTATTGGGAACTCAAATACCCAAGTGACATCATTTTTATTTATATGATTTTCTAAAATGATGAAGGACTGCTGGTGATGTTCCAGAAAAAGCAAAACGCATTCTACCCTCAATTTCCCTAGTAATTATGCTCCTGGAAATTCAGTGTATACAACAAAATGGTGCAGAAATACCTGTGTCTCTATGTAAAACAGGCTTTTGTTCTAGGCTCAGATAATTGTAAGCAATATTTCACCCTCATTAATGGTAGGATTATTCATTATGTGGGCCACCACCCTTTATCTCTCTGCCTGCTAACTGCCAGTAGCATAAAAAATCCCCACAGAGGTTTTCAGAATTCACCCCATTAAGAATAACTGGCATTTATTTATTTTTTAAAAAGGAGACCACACTATCAGCATGAAAGAGAAGCAGCAGAGAGAGAGAGGGCAAGAAACTAACATTTATTAGATGCCAGGGAGCAGTTCACAAACTTAGAGCTTGAATGAGATTTTGTCCTCAGAAACAATTTTTAAAAATAGAATTTGATTGCCAATCCAAAACACAATTTTCATCATTTCTATTGCTTTATATCTACTGTGCTTTACTTATTTGTGTTACCTTCCAGTTTTCTAAAGATATGTAAATTGTTTTTGTTCGAGTAGCTGAATGTCCATCGATTTGTTTAATCCTTACAACTACCCATCCACGGGAAAATTCTATGCTCTACATTTTACAAATAAAGACATGGAGCCTCTAAAAGATGAAGTAATTTGTCCAACATTACACAAACTTGTAAGTGATAGAGTCAAGATTCAAAACAATATTTACTTGAGTTAAAACAAAAAAACCCTACGCTGTTTCCACAACACGTTCACCATGTATACATTGCACATCTGGCTGTGAAGCTGCAGCTCTTAGGAGCTGATCTGGGACAGGTGCCATGTGAGTCTTGAAAAAGTCTTGATTTCTGACATTGATATCTGGAATGAGCAGATGGTGTTCTCTGGACGGGTGACACCAGGACCACAAGTTCTGACTGTTCCAAGGGATACCAGAAAACATTGAACTCGTGTTGCAAGCCTTTCCCGCTGAGTTTATTCACTCTTGTTTAAGCAGCCCAACAGCATCTATAAAGATTTTTCTCCACAGTGTGCTCCTGTAAATAAGTAGTTTATCAAAGAAAACCTTTCAACAAATAGCATGAAGACATGCCATATTGACAACCTCTCACTGACTGCCTATTCCTTCCAGGGATCCTGGTGAGGCAAATTCACCTCCCATTCAACAACTGCATTTGCTGCAGGTCTGGTGGCTGAAGAGGTTTTGGATGAGTTTGAATTTGCAATTTATTTGAACAATCCTGGTCTTCTGATTCCATCCTAAGGAATAACTTCTTGGAATTCAATAATGTATTGCAGAACATGATAAACAACTCATTTCCCTGGGATTTCCTGTAATTATCTTTGGGATATAAATCTCACATGCATGAGAAGGCAAGGTTATAGGATGAACTGGACAGTATTTATTTATCCTGGCATTTTGGGTAGTAATAGCTATAAAATTCATTTATTGAGCACCTAAGCAACATGAAGTGCTACAAGGATACCAGAGTGGCCATGTGTGCACTTTGTGTCCCTCCATCTCTGGCGATTGCTGGCTGGACCAGTGATGGAAACCTTACCCAATTTGAATTTACTATCAGAATTTGGAATTGTGACTGTGAATGGATAATGACTACTAATTCTTGAAGGACATTTTGTGGTGTGTGGGAGAAAGGGCATCTTCACCCACCTGCAGGGTCCGGGATAGGAAAGAATGAAGTCCAGGAGCAGAAACGGGCAGAAGTGGGAGCCCGTGCAGCTCCAGAGAAGGAACTGCCTGAAGCACTGTCTTGGTTCCTGAAAGTACTTTGGTACTGCATACACAGGCCTTGGGGTTACGTGAAGTGACTGATCATTAAAATAAATTCCCTTTTTCTGTCTAAGAAAGTCTGACTAATTTTTTACTATGTTCAAGAAAACAATTCATGATGAAAACAGCTAGATTCTTTATATACTTCATCTTGTTTAGTCTTTACAACAACCCTTTGAGGTAGATATTATTATTTCTGTTTTCTAGATGAACAAAAAGAGATTCAGAGCTATTAAAAACTTCCCTAAGGTCAAAAAGCTAGCAAATGGGCAGCCAAAAAGTTGAACCCATAAAAATTCTTTGCTGCATCTTTACTCTTGTTAAAAAAATCTCCTTAAGCTTGTGTTATACTTTATAATTTCCAAGACATATGTTTTGTTGTTGATTTCTTACAATGACCTAAAGAAAATGATATGTTTAGACAAGGAAATTGAGGTATGGAAAAGCTAGATAAGCAGTTGAATTTGAACATATGTATGTGTGTGTGTGTGTGCGTGTGTGTATTATATTTCAATAAGCTCTTTGCTTTTGAAGAATTATACTCTCTAAACCTCCTTCAACATTACTGAAATAAGAACTCAGTTGATTGACTGGTAGAAGGGAATGAGAAGTTCTTATTATGGAATAGTCTAGTCTTTACTACTCTCTTGTCCAAAACATATATCACCAACATTTACAGAATAAAATCAATATGATTAGTATTTCATACATATAAAGAAATATGTAAATAAGGCCTGTAATTACATGTTGCATTAGTCAGCTAGGGCTGCTATTAAAAAAATAACAAAATGAGTGGCTTAAACAGCAGAAATTAATTTTCTCATAGTTCTGCAGGCTAGGAAGTTCAATATGAAGGTGCCACTTATTGGATTTCTGCTGAAGGTTCTCCTCCTGGCTTGCAGGAGGAAATATCATGTGATGTTAGGGGGTTAGGGCTTCAGTATACCAACTTGGGTGGGATACATTCAGTCCATAACACTTGTTTACAAAGGTTCTAGCAGAGTTGTGACACAGATGGGCAGATTTCCTTGTCATCTCTCTTTCAAGGCGGGCTCTCTCTCTCTCTCTCTCTCTCTCTCTCTCTGTATTGTGAAAGGAGGACATCTCAGGTCCTTAGATTCCACTTCAAATTTGGGAAACCTTAGTTTCCAGTTTCCTTCGTGGCCCACCATTAATTCCAAATTGCTGGATTATTGATAAAGACATTGGATTGTTAATCACCCTGACTTTATTTACCTCCCTTGTATTGTTGTTTGTTTTTGTGTTTGTTTGTTTTTGCCACTGGGAATTTCCTTAGCTCCCTGTTTGTGATCTCAGCAATGTTTTTAACTTTCTGTGTAGTAATTTATCCAACATCCAGCTCTTTTGGAATGGTACATTTTTTTTTCCCCAGAGCATTGAGTCTCTCTTCTTTTTTTAAAAAAATTTATTCTGGTAAAGTACACAGATGATATTTACCATCTTAACCATTTTCAAGTGCACAGTTCAGTGGTATTAAGTACATTCATGTTGTTGTGCAGCCTTCAGTCCCCGTTTATCTCTATAACTCTTTTCATCTTGTAAAACTGAAACTCCGTACACATTAAACAGTAACTCTCCATTCCCTTCTCGCTCCAGCCCTTGACAACTCCATTCTCCTTTCTGTCTCTATGAGTATGACTCCTCTGAGTACCTCATATAAGTTGGGTCATACGGTATTTGTCTTCTTGTGAATGGCTTATTTCACTTAGCATAATGTCTTCAAGGTTCATACTTGTCATAGCATATGTCAAAATTTCTTTCTATTTTCAGGTTTTAAGGCTGACTGATAAGGGGGATCTTCTGTCATTTTGCTATTTGTTTTCTACATGTCTTATAATTATTTTTCTTCCTCATTTCTTGCATTACTTCTTTTGTGTTGATTTTTTGTAGTGAAACATTTTAGCTCCTATCTCATTGCCCTTTGTGCATAGTCTGTAGTTTTTCTTTTGTGGGTATTATGAGAATTACATTTAACATCTTAAAGTTATAACACTCTAATTTGAATTTATACCTGTTTAACTTCAATAACATACAGAAACTTTGTTATTTTACTTCTCTATCCTTACTCTTTTTAGTTTCTGTCCAAAAATTACAATGTCTAATTGTTTGTTCAAAGACATAAACTAATACAAATTTAGCATTCCAAATCTGAAAATTCAAAATCTAAAACACTCAAAACTTTGAAATTTTTTGAGTGATGACATGATGTGCAAAGGAAATGCTCATTGGAGCATTGTGGATATCAAATTTTTAGATTTGAGAACTGGTAAGTATAAAGCAAATATTCCAAAACCTGAGATCTGAAACACTTTTAGTTTCAAGCATTTCAGATAAGGAATAATCAACCTGTAATTTTTAAAAATGCACTAGTCTGGGCACGGTGGCTCACATGTATAATCCCAGCACTTTGGAAGGGTGAGGCGGGCAGATTACAAGGTAAGAAGTTCGAGACCAGCCTGACCAACATGGTGAAACCCCATCTCTACTAAAACAAAAATTAGCCAGGTGTGGTGGCACACACCTGTAATCTCAGCTACTTAGGAGGCTGAGGTAGGAGAATTGCTTGAACCTGGGAGGCAGAGGTTGCAGTGAGCTGAGATCATGCCACTGCACTCCAGCCTAAGTGACAGAGCGAGACTCCATCTCAAAAAAAATAAAAATGCACTCATCTCTTAAATTATGTAGAAAACAAAATGTGGAGTTACAATATTACTAGCTTGTAGAGTAATAACTGCTTTATAAATTTTTTAATGTTTAAATTTTTATATTTTAATAATTGCTTTGAAAATGTATTAGTGTCTTATGTAGAAAATAAAAAGGCGGAGTTATGAATCATTATTACAATAATACTGGATTTTATAATTACTCATTTATTTACCTTTACTGATATCTTTATTTCCTTATATTGCTTCAAGTTATTGTCTAGTGTCCTTTTATTTCAACCTAAAGGACTCCCTTTAACACTTATTTCAGGCCAGATCTAGAGGTGAGGTGATGAACCCCCTTAGCTTTTGTTTATCCGGGGATATCTTCATTTCTTCCTCACTTTTGAAGGGCAGTTTTGCTAGATATAGAATTCTTGGTTGACAGGTTTTTCTTTTTTTTCTTTTACCACTTTGAATATCTCAGCCCACTACCTTCTGGCCTTCAAGGTTTCTGATGTGAAATCTCCTGATAATCTTATTGATCGTCCCCTGTATGTGACAAATTGCTTCTCTTTTGCTGCTTTCAAGATTCTCTTTGTCTTTCACTTTTGACAATTTGATAATAATGTATCTAGATCTGGGTGTCTTGGAGTTAATCCTACTCCAAGATTTCATTCCACTGAGCATCTTGGATATTTATATTCATGTGTTTCATCAAAAGTGGGAAGTTTTTGGCCATTATATCTTTACATACTCACTTTATTTCTCTTTACATACTCACTTTATTTCTCTTTTCTCTTTCTAGAATTTTTATCACACGTATGTTAGTCCTCTTGATGGTGTCTCGTGACTCCTTTCTCTTCAATCTTTTTTTTTCTTTCTGTTCCTCAGAGTTAATAACTCCTATTGTCCTATCTTCAAGTTCATTGATTCTTTCTTTTGCATCCTCATATCTACCTTTGGATCACTCTAGTGAATTTTTCATTTCAGTTATTATAATTTTCTGTCCCAGAATTTCTTTTGAATTATTTTAAAGTTTTCTATATTGATATTCCCATTTTGTTTATACATTTTTGTCACATTTTCCATTTTTTTTTTTGTTATTTGAATGTCTTTAAGATTGTTGTTTTAAAGTTTTTGTGTAATAAATCTGCCATTGAATCTTTTTCAGGGACTGTTTCTGTTTATTTTTCAAAAAAATCTTGAGTAGATATTACTATTCTGTTTTTATGTCCATTGCTTTGTTGAAAACTGGACATTTACACCTTATAATGTGGTAACTCTGGAAATTAGATTCTTCCTCTTCCTCAGGGTTTTCTGTTGTTTTTGTTTGTTTGTTTTTATTGTTATCTGCTATCTCTATGCCAAGAAACATACAGATATAAACATAAAGTTTTCTTGGTCTTTTCTGAAGCTATACCTTTCCCTAAGCATGCATGGTGACTTTCTAATTCCCCTTGTGTATGTGGCTGCTTTAAAAAATCCTAGTCTTTAATATCTGCCTCCCAAAAGAAGAAAAAAGAAAAATAAGGAGGTGGTTCCAAGATGGCCGAATAGGAACAGCTCCAGTCTACAGCTCTCAGTGTGAGTGATGCAGAAGATGGGTGATTTCTGCATTTCCAACTTAGGTACTGGGTTCATCTCACTGGGGCTTGTCGGACAGTGGGTGCAGTCCACTGAGCGTGAGCCGAAGCAGGGCGAGACACTGCTTCACCTGGGAAGTGCAAGGGGTCAGGGAATCCCCTTTCCTAGCCAAGGGAAGGGGTGAGAGATGGCACCTGGAAAATTGGGTCACTCCCACCCTAATACTGCGCTTTTCCAACGTTCTTAGCAAATGGCATACCAGGAGATTATATCCCATGCCTGGCTCAGAGGGTCCCACGCGCACAGAGCCTTGCTCATTGCTAGCACAGCAGTCTGAGATCGGACTGCAAGGTGGCAGAGAGGCTGGGGGAGGGGCGCCCGCCATTGCTGAGGCTTGAGTAGGTAAACAAAGCAGTCAGGAAGCTCAAACTGGGTGGAGCCCACTGCAGCTCAAGGAGGCCTGCCTGCCTCTGTAGACTCCACCTCTTGGGGCAGGGCATAGCCAAACAAAAGGCAGCAGAAACCTCTGCAGACTTAAATGTCCCTGTCTGACAGCTTTGAAGACAGTAGTGGTTCTCCCAGCATGGTGTTTGAGATCTGAGAACGGACAGACTGCCTCCTCAAGTGGGTCTCTGACCCCTGAGTACCCTAAATGAGAGGCACCCCCCAGTAGGGGTAGACTGACACCTCACATGGCCGGGTACCCCTCTGAGATGAAGCTTCCAGAGGAACTATCAGGCAGCAACATTTGCTGTTCAGCAGTATTCACTGTTCTGCAGCCTCTGCTGCTGATACCCAGGCAAACAGGGTCTGGAGTGGACCTCCGGCAAACTCCAACAGACCTGCAGCTGAGGGTCCTGACTGTTAGAAGGAAAAATAACAAACAGAAAAGGACATCTACACCAAAACCCCATCTGTACGTCACCATCATCAAAGACCAAAGGTAGGTAAAACCAAAAAGATGGGGAAAAAACAGAGCAGAAAAGTTGAAAATTCTAAAAATCAGAGCACCTCTCCGCCTCCAAAGGAACACAGCTCCTCACCAGCAACAGAACAAAGCTGGATGGAGAATGACTTTGACAAGTTGAGAGAAGAAGGCTTCAGATGACAAACTTCTCTGAGCTAAAGGAGGAAGTCCAAACCCATCACAAAGAAGCTAAAAACCTTGAAAAAAGATTAGACGAATGGCTAACTAGAATAACCAGTGTAGAGAAGTCCTTAAAGGACCTGATGGAGCTGAAAACCATGGCATGAGAACTACGTGACAAATGCACAAGCTTCAGTAGCCGATTTGATCAACTGGAAGAAAGGGTGTCAGTGATTGAAGATCAAATGAATGAAATGAAGTGAGAAGAGAAGTTTAGAGAAAAAAGAGTAAAAAGAAACAAATGAAGCCTCCAAGAAATATGGGACTATAGGGAAAGACCAAATCTACGTCTGATTGGCATACCTGAAAGTGACAGGGAGAATGGAACCAAGGTGGAATACACTCTTCAGGATATTATCCAGGAGAACTTCCCCAACCTAGCAAGGCAGGCCAACATTCAAATTCATGAAATACAGAGAATGCCACAAAGATACTCCTCGAGAAGAGCAACTCCCAGACACATAATTGTCAGATTCACCAAAGTTGAAATGAAGCAAAAAATGTTAAGGGCAGCCAGAGAGAAAGGTTGGGTTACCCACAAAGAGAAGCCCGTCAGACTAACAGCTGATCTCTCGGCAGAAACTCTACAAGCCAGAAGAGAGTGGGGGCCAATATTCAACATTCTTCAAGAAAAGAATTTTCAACCCAGAATTTCATATCCAGCCAAACTAAGCTTCACAAGTGAAGGAGAAATAAAATCATTTACAGACAAGCAAATGTGGAGAGATTTTGTCACCACCAGGCCTGCCCTAAAAGAGCTCTTGAAGGAAGCACTAAACATGGAAAGGAACAACTGATACCAGCCAAGGCAAAAACATGCCAAATTGTAAAGACCGTCAATGCTAGGAAGAAACTGCATCAACTAATGAGCAAAATAACCAGCTAACATCATAATGACAGGATCAAATTCACACATAACAATATTAACCTTAAATGTAAATGGGTGAAATGCTCCAATTAAAAGACAGACTGGCAAATTGGATAAAGAGTCAAGACCCATCAGTGTGCTGTATTCAGGAGACTCATCTCACATGCAGAGACACAGATAGGCTCAAAATAAAGGGATGGAGGAAAATCTACCAAGCAAATGGAAAACAAATGCAGGGGTTGCAATCCTAGTCTCTGATAAAACAGACTTTAAACCAACAAAGATCAGAAGAGGCAAAGAAGGCCATTACATAATGGTAAAGGGATCAATTCAACAAGAAGAGCTAACTATCCTAAATATATATGCACCCAATACAGGAGCACCCAGATTCATAAAGCAAGTCCTTAGAGCCCTACAAAGAGACTTAGACTCCCACACAATAATAATGGGAGAGTTTAATATCCCACAGTCAACATTAGACAGATCAACAAGACAGAAAGTTAACAAGGATATCCAGGAATTGAATACAGCTCTGCACCAAGCAGACCTAATAGACATCTACAGAACTCTCCACCCCAAATCAGAATATACATTCTTCTCAGCACCACATCGCACTTATTCCAAAACTGACCACATAGTTGGAAGTAAAGCACTCCTCATCAAATGTAAAAGAACAGAAATTATAACAAACTCTCTCTCAGACCACAGTGCAATCAAACTATAACTCAGGAGTAAGAAACTCACTCAAAACCACTCAACTACATGGAAACTGAACAACCTGCTCCTGAATGACTACTGGGTAAATAACGAAATGAAGGCAGAAATAAAGATGTTCTTTGAAACCAGTGAGAACAAAGGCACAATATACCAGAATCTCTGGGACACATTTAAAGCAGTGTGTAGAGGGAAATTTATAGCACTAAATGCCCACAAGAGAAAACAGGAAAGATCTAAAATTGACACCCTAACATCACAATTAAAAGAACTAGAGAAGCAAGAGCAAACACATTCAAAAGCTAGCAGAAGGCAAGAAATAACTAAGATCAGAGCAGAACAGAAGGAGATAGAGACCCAAAAAACCCTTCAAAAAATCAATGAATCCAGGAGCTGCTTTTTTGAAAAGATCAACAAAATTGATAGACTGCTAGCAAGACGAATAAAGAAGAAAAGAGAGAAGAATCAAATAGATGCAATAAAAAATGATAAAGGGGATATCACCGCCGATCCCACAGAAATACAAAGTACCATCAGAGAATACTATAAACACCTCTACACAAATAAACTAGAAAATCTAGAAGAAATGGATAAATTCCTGGACACATACACCCTCCCAAGACTAAACCAGGAGGAAGATGAATCCCTGAATAGACCAATAACAGGCTCTGAAATTGAGGCAATAATTAATAGCTTACCAGCGAAAAAAAGTCCAGGACCAGACAGATTCACAGCCGAATTCTACCAGAGGTACAAGGAGGAGCTGGTACCATTCTTTTGGAAACCTTTCCAATCAATAAATGCCTCATTTTATGAGGGCATCCTCATCCTGATACCAAAGCCTGGCAGAGACACAATAAAAAAAAGAGAATTTTAGACCAATATCCCTGATGAACATCGATGCACAAATCCTCAGTAAGATACTGGCAAACTGAATCCAGCAGCACATCAAAAAGCTTATCCACCATGATCAAGTGGGCTTCATCCCTGGGATGCAAGGCTGGTTCAACACATGCAAATCAATAAACGTAATCCAGCACATAAACAGGACCAAAGACAAAAACCACATGACTATCTCAGTAGATGCAGAAAACGCCTTTGACAAAATTCAACAACCCTTCATGCTAAAAACTCTCAATAAATTAGGTATTGATGGGACTTACCTCAAAATAATAAGAGCTATCTATGACAAACCCATAGCCAATATCATACCAAATGGGCAAAAGCTGGAAGCATTCCCTATGAAAACTGGCACAACACAGGGATGCCCTCTTTCACCACTCCTATTCAACATAGTGTTGGAAGTTCTGGCCAGGGCAATCAGGCAGGAGAAGGAAATAAAGGGTATTCAATTAGGAAAACAGGAAGTCAAATTGTCCCTGTTTGCAGATGACGTGATTGTATATCTAGAAAACCCCATCGTCTCAGCCCAAAATCTCCTTAAGCTGATAAGCAACTTCAGCAAAGTCTCAGGATACAAAATCAATGTGCAGAAATCACAGGCATTCCTATACAGCAATAACAGGCAAACAGAGAGCCAAATCATGAATGAACTCTCATTCACAATTGCTTCAAAGAGAATAAAATACCTAGGAATCCAACTTACAAGGGATGTGAAGGACCTCTTCAAGGAGAACTACAAACCACTACTCAATGAAATAAAAGATGATACAAACAAATGGAAGAACATTCCATGCTCATGGGTAGGAAGAATCAATATTGTGAAAATGGGCATACTGCCCAAGGTAGTTTATAGATTCAATGCCATCCCCATCAAGCTACCAATGACTTTCTTCACAGAATTGGAAAAAAACTACTTTAAAGTTCATATGGAACCAAAAAAGAGCCCGCATTGCCATGACAATCCTAAGCTAAAAGAACAAAGCTGGAGGCATCACGCTACCTGACTTCAAACTATACTACAAGGCTGCAGTAACCAAAACAGCATGGTACTGGTACCAAAACAGAGATACAGACCAATGGCACAGAACAAAGCCCTCAGAAATAATACCACACATCTACAACCATCTGATTTTTGACAAACCTGACAAAAACAAGAAATGGGGAAAGGATTCTCTATTTAATAAATGGTGCTGGGAAAACTGGCTAGCCACATGTAGAAAGCTGAAACTGGATCCCTTCCTTACACCTTATACAAAAATCAATTCAAGATGTGTTAAAGACTTAAATGTTAGATGTAAAAACCATAAAAACCCTAGAAGAAAACCTAGGCAATACCTTTCAGGACATAGGCATGGGCAAGGACTTCATGTCTAAAACACAAAAAGCAATGGCAACAAAAGCCAAAATTGACAAATGGGATCTAATTAAACTAAAGAGCTTCTGCACAGCAAAAGAAACTACCATCAGAGTGAACAGGCAACCTACAGAATGGGAGAAAATTTTTGCAATCTACTCATCTGACAAATGGCTAATATCTAGAGTGTACAGAGAACTCAAATTCACAAGAAAAAGACAAAGAACCCCATCAAAAAGTAGACGAAGGATATGAACAGACACTTCTCAAAAGAGGACATTTATGCAGCCAACAGACACATGAAAAAATGCTCATCATCCCTGGCCATTAGAGAAATGCAAATCAAAACTACAATGAGATACCATCTCACACCAGTTAGAATGGCGATCATTAAAAAGTCAGGAAACAACAGATGCTGGAGAGGATGTGGAGAAATAGGAACACTTTTACACTGTTGGTGGGACTGTAAACTAGTACAACCATTGTGGAAGACAGTGTGGCGATTCCTCAAGGATCTAGAACTACAAATACCATTTGACCCAGCCATCCCATTACTGGGTATATACCCACAGGATTATAAATCATGGTGCTATAAAGGCATATGCACATGTATGTTTACTGTGGCACTATTCACAACAGCAAATACTTGAAACCAACCCAAATGTCCATCAATGATAGACTGGATTAAGAAAATATGGCACATATATACCATGGAATACTATGCAGCCATAAAAAAGGATGAGTTCATGTCCTTCGTAGGGACATGGATGAAGCTGGAAACCATAATTCTCAGCAAACTATCGCAAGGACAAAAAACCAAACACCGCATGTTCTCACTCATAGGTGGGAATTGAACAATGAGAACACTTGGACACAGGAAGGGGAACATCACACACTGGGGCCTGTTGTGGGGTGGGGGGAGGGGGGAGGGAAAGCATTAGGAGATATACCTAATGTAAATGATGAGTTACTGGGTTCAGCACACCAACGTGGCACATGTATACATATGTAACAAACCTGCACGTTGTGAACCTGTACCCTAGAACTTAAAGTATAATAAAAAAAGTAAAAAATAAATAAATATAAAAAGAAAAAAAGGTTTGATGTTTATTAATAATTCAATGAAGGCATTTCTGTAATAACCTTAGACAGCATTACCCAAGTAAATATTTTTGCAATAAAACTGAGTAACTTAAAAAAAAAAGAAAAATGAAAAGGGAAAAAAATGGATGCTGGACCTTTACATTTTCTGGAATTCATTTCAGCTAGAGGAAAGGGCCCTGCAATAGTTAAGTGAGGTGCAATAAGTAGTGCCTACCTCTTTGCCCCTCTGTGATCAGAAGCAGCAATCAGCAGTCAGAGCACAGATCTGCAGTATTTGGAGAACAGTATCCTTGAATTTCTCCTTGGAAGATGGGTTTTCCTTTTTTGTCACATAAGCTACAAATTTTCCAAACTTTTATGCTCTGCTTCCCTTTTAAACGTAAGTTCCAAATTCAAACCAAATCTTTGTGAATACATAAAACTGAATGCTTTTAACAGTACCCATGTCACCTCTTGAATGCTTTTCTACTTAGAAATTTCTTCCACCAGATACCAGAAATCATCTCTCTCAAGTTGAAAGTTCCACAGATCTTTATGGCAGGGGCAAAATGCCCCCAGTCTCTTTGCTGAAGCATAACAAGAGTCACCTTTCCTCCAGTTCCCAGGAAGTTTCTCATCTCCTTCTGAGACCACCGCACCCTGGACTTTATTGTACATATCACTATCAGCATTTTGGTCACAGCCATTCAACATCTCTAGGAAATTCCTGACTTTCCTACATCTGCCTGTCTTCTGAGCCCTCTCAGTCTCTGGGAAGTTCCAAACTTTCCCACATTTTCCTGTCTTCTTCTGAGCTCTCCAAACTGTTCCAACCTCTGCCTGTTACCCAGTTGCAAAGTCACTTACACATTTTCAGGTATCTTTACAGCAGCACCCCACTCTACTCGTACCAATTTACTGTTTTACTCTGTTCTCATGCTGCTAATAAAGACATACCTGAGACTGGGTAATTTATAAAGGAAAGGTGTTTAAGTCATGTCTTACATGGTGGCAGGCAAGACAGCTTGTGAAGAGGAACTCCCTTTTATAAAACCATCAGATCTCGTGAGACTTATTTACCATCACAAGAACAGCATGGGAAAGACCTGCCCCCCAAGATTCAATTAGCTTCCACTGGGACCCTCCTATGACACATGGAAATCATGGGAGCCACAATTCAAGATGAGATTTGGCTGGGGACACAGCCAAACCATATCATTCATGAAGCAGGCTGATGTTTCAGAACCTGTCTGAAGGCAATTGGAAGCTTTTTTATTTTTCTGGAGGATTTTATAGATGTCACTGAGGTTGATCTAACCACTTGTTGGTTGGCTTTCTTTGCTTAT
Source organism: Homo sapiens (assembly GCF_000001405.40). Classification (NCBI taxonomy): domain Eukaryota; kingdom Metazoa; phylum Chordata; class Mammalia; order Primates; family Hominidae; genus Homo; species Homo sapiens. The sequence goes on from NC_000002.12 coordinate 136,603,535, forward strand.
ATAGAGAGTCTCAGTTATCAATCTACTCACTTAAACCTTGGTGCCAACGATCTCTAAATAAGAGCAACAAATCTCAGCAATGGCCTGTGTGTGTGTTTATATAAAACAACCTGAAACTCCCCAAATATTCAGATTAACCTAACTAAAATCAAACAGGTAGCTTGAGATAAAGTTAGCTTTTTTCCGATTTTTATTTTATCTTGTAGGTTTTTTTTAAGTGGAAATATGCATTTATGGCAATCATCAATAATTAATTGATTGTCACCTAGTCTTCTGAGGTCGGGTAAATTAGTAGCTGGTGCAAACTAGAAGCCTATAGAAGCAGGAAGCACAGTGGGCTGGTCCGGATTTTTTTGACTAAATAAGTTTTCTGAAAACAAGCATGACTTTAGAAAACTGTTTTGCAAAGGCTAAGGTCATTCTTCTTCTTTGAAATATACCTTCTTATTTAGTAAGGTTTTCCATTACTGTTTTCTACTTCATGAAAAATAAACTGCACCTTCTTGTCAACCTAATTCCCTTGAAAGTACAATCCTGGGATCCAATAACAATCTAGCCAACTCTGGGAAAACCTCATGAGGCAGAAATTGAGTTCAGTGACTAACAAGAATAAGAGGCAATTAATTAGAAGTATAGCATGCATTTTGTAATTTTACTAAGGAAAGATTCACTATCCAGATGACTGGCTGAATTTATAGATAGTAAAAAAACTTTTAGAAGAACTGAATCAAGTGATTTAGAGTATACAATCCTAAATCCTGGATTGGTGGGAGCAATTTTCACTATCCTTTATTTATTAAACTCAAGTCTATTTGAAAAGGGGAGATAGTGATGGATGTGGATTTGCTTTGCTGCCAATTTCAGGCATAAAACCTTTTAAGTACCTGGTAAAGATGATAGTAAAAATAATTCTATCTGGTGAAAAAGAATGAGTATGTTTGTAGGCACCCCACATAGTTACCTGTGGGGGTGTGTTTGAATATACATATGCATGCATGATATAGTCCCTGTCGCAGGGTCATCTTGTAGTCTCTGCTTTTGCATACAAATCTCACATTTATCTGTCACCAAGAAGATAATGGAAAATTGCTTATTCGCTGCTTACATTGCAGTGCTCTGTGATTATGTGCTCCGAGTGATGTACAATGCACATGTCTTTATAGCAACAATGCAATAGCCAAAGAAAATTGTTAAAATAAAGCTTTTAGTACAGTGTACACAGCCCACCTGCACAGAGAACCCATGGAGTGTAAGAAGATCTGGAACTGCTCCTGCTTCTGTTCAGCAGCCTGACTTAGAAACATTCTTTTATTGATTGATTGATTGAGACAGAGTGTTGCCCAGGCTGGAGTGCAGTGATGGGATCCCAGCTTGTTGCAGCCTCAACCTCCCGGGCTCAAGCGATCTTCCCACCTCAGCCTCCCAGGTAGCTGGGACTACAGGAGTGTGCCACCATGTTGAGCTAATTTTTTGATTTTTTTTATAGAGACAGGCCCTCACTATGTTGCCCAGGCTGATCTCAATCTCCTGTGCTCAAGTGATCCTCCCACTTTGAGCTCCCAAAGTGTTGGGATTACAGGTGTGAGCCACAGCACCCAGCCAAAACATTCTTTTTATAGACCTACTCCATGGGCTTATCTCTGAAGGGTCACCTGACCAGTTATTGTTCCTGTTCTGCTGAATCATAGGTCTTTGTCCCTTCTCCAACCTCTCCCTTACTTTATTCTGATTCTGAAACCCTCTCCTCAGAAATGGTCACTAATTCAAGGGGTTGGCAGTACAGTCGCAGCAACAAGCTCTCAAAGACTTTTTAGAAACAATCTGAGAATCTTAATTTCATGGGTGACCCCTCTCCTCATTTTCATAAAGCCTAAGAGCTACAGAATCAAGCATTTATACATTCCATGTGTTCAAATGTAGATACCCAAATGTAAGGGAACCTGAAGTTTCTATGTATCTTTGTCCTGAACTTCCAGTCTTCTTGCAGTTTGATGAGCACACTGTATTCAAGACTCTCTGCCTTTGCACATGATGCCATCCTGTCAGGAATGCCCTCTTACCTTTTCACTTTGAAAACTCCTATTCATCCTGCAAAATCTATTCTTTTTTTTTTATTATTATACTGTAAGTTTTAGGGTACATGTGCACATTGTGCAGGTTAGTTACATATATATACATGTGCCATGCTGGTGCGCTGCACCCACTAACTCGTCATCTAGCATTAGGTATATCTCCCGATGCTATCCCTCCCCCCTCCCCCCACCCCACAACAGTCCCCAGAGTGTGATATTCCCCTTCCTGTGTCCATGTGATCTCATTGTTCAGTTCCCACCTATGAGTGAGAATATGCGGTGTTTGGTTTTTTGTTCTTGCGATAGTTTACTGAGAATGATGATTTCCAATTTCATCCATGTCCCTACAAAGGACATGAACTCATCATTTTAATGAGACACCATCTCACACCAGTTAGAATGGCAATCATTAAAAAGTCAGGAAACAACAGGCGCTGGAGAGGATGTGGAGAAATAGGAACACTTTTACACGTTGGTGGGACTGTAACCTAGTTCAACCATTGTGGAAGTCAGTGTGGAGATTCCTCAGGGATCTAGAACTGGAAATACCATTTGACCCAGCCATCCCATTACTGGGTATATACCCAAAGGACTATAAATCATGCTGCTATAAAGACACATGCACACGTATGTTTATTGTGGCATTATTCACAATAGCAAAGACTTGGAACCAACCCAAATGTCCAACAATGATAGACTGGATTAAGAAAATGTGGCACATATACACCATGGAAAATCTATTCTTTATCATCTCCCATGTAAGGCTTTCCATGATGTTTTGGACAGATGATTACTTCCTTCTCTCAATAAATTATCTGCCTTATTTACCTCTTACTGGAAATATTCTAAATTTAAAGTGTTACTAATTTATTGTTTATAATTATTAAAAGCTTGTCTTGCCTTCTAGACTATGAGCTCCTTGGTGGGAAGGACTGCCTCCTATCTGCCTTCTACCCTCTGTTTCTATTACAGGACGTATTTGAAATGTAGTGTAGATTCTTTAACAGAACTGAATCTCTTTACAATGGCAGATTTGTCTGTGTATCTTTGGATGATTTGATGGACTTTACTAGTTATGAAAAGAGCTTCTCAAATCCTTAGACTTCCACTCTTCCCATTTAAACCTCAGTCCATGACACAAATGTAAGGTGGCTCACAGTAGAGGATATATTGTTGCTTCTGACTCTCTCTAGTATTCCAGGGAAGTAGCTTATTAATCTCATTACCATAAACTGTGAAGTAAGTAGATAGGCATTATTCATGCTTTCGGGTTGCAGTTAGAGACCATTCTCATTAATTAGGTTGCCTACAACTCAAGTCTGTAACTTTCTGGGGGCACTTTTGCCACAGAAGGGCCATGGATAATGTCTTCCAAATATGATCCAAAGTCTAGATTATCTTCAAATGAGGTAAAATCTTCCTTTATTTGAAAAGTAAATAGATTTATCTTTCTTCCCTTTTCCCTGGACTCCATTGCCTAAATTTCACTGTGGATCGGTTGCTGGTTGGTCGGACTCTTAAAATTTATGAGCATCTTTTTGTGTTGTTGGTACTGACTTTAAAGAGCAAATGATTTCTCACCAGTAATTGAAATCCCCTAAAGGTAGTATCCTTTGCAGATTCACAGCCTGTCACATCCCTAGCCCTAGAAATGCAATGCTTTGTTCAGCTTTAAAAGATGGGTGGGAGAGGTAAAATTCTGCATTAGGAAGTTTCCAACTAAAATGACTTTTAATTAAAAGCAAGTGATTATTTGTAATCATTTATCAATTGTGTTTTATATTTTCATTCGTTTGGTTTTTCAGGAAGATTTTCAAACTATTTGGTAAATTTCAGAGAAATCAGCTGTTAGGATAAAATATTGGTCAAAAAAGTCAGAAACTCTTTTCTTAAATACACTGAAATTTATTCATTCATTCATTTCTTCATTAAACAACGGGCCTCAGCCATGCATGATGGCTCGCATTTGTAATCTCAGCACTTTGGGAGGCTGAGATGGGAGGATTCCTTGAGCTCAAGAGTCTGAGATCAGCCTGGGCAATAGAGCAAGACCTCATCTCTACTAAAAATAATACAAATTAAACAGGTGTGGTAGCTCATGCCTGTAGCCCCAGCTACTCAGGAGGATAAGGTGGGAGGATCACTTGAGCCCAGAAGATCAAGGCTGCAGTGAGCCGTAATCATGCCATTGCACTCCATCCTGGGCAACAGAGTGAAACCCTGTCTCAAAAACAAACAATCAAAAAACAAGAGGCCTGAGACATAAAGATAAATAATGAATACTACTCTCAACTAGCTCACAGTCTGGTGAGGAAGAGGGAAGTTAAAGGAAAGCCAATGATAAGATCAAGGGAAGGATTGAAGAATAGTCTGGACACACAAAGAAGGATTAGCTTACTATATCTGGGGAATGGAGAGAAGTAGTCAGGAAAACTTTTTAGAGTCCAGATTCACCTATGTCTTCTACTCCCAAAATCCAGTCTTCAGAGATGGTGGGTCAGTGTGTTCCAGGCAGTAGGAATAGTATGGATAGCAAATACATGGAGGCCCAGGAAGAAATAAAAGCTATCTCCGTCTTGGGAGCATAGAGCAATAGAAGCAAGGGATTGACTCATGCTACAAAATCAGTAGGTTCTAAAAGAAATCCTGAATGATAGCTTAGGAAAGGAAGGAGCAGATATTACAAACAGGAACAAAAACCAGAGATGGGTGGAAAAGATTCTTGGACCCGAATAGTGGTTCTGGGGGAAAAGAGATCAAGAATGCAGGCTACAGTGGGAGAACAGGAGGGCCACATTTAAATGTGAGCTCTGAGTAACAGCTCAGCACATCAGCAGCAAGAATGGAACTTGACTTCGTATCAGGGGTCTGTATGTAGTCAGGTCCCTTGAATCTCTTTGGATTTCAAGCCCTGGTCCAGTGTAATACACACATACCAATAGAGGAAGGGTGTGATGATGAAGACAGTGACTATGCTTCCAGTTGCTATGAGAGTGCGTGTCTCAGGCCCCAAGTGTCAGGACAATGGTTTAAGTCAAAGATGCGAGTGAATGAAGTAGTAGGGGTGGCAAACAGACATTCTCTGAATAGAGCCTGCTTTGAGGTTCTAATAATACTATGCAACACTTTCTCCCAAGGTCGAAGCAACTTTGCTATTGAAATTTTTTATTCTTTGCTAGATTAATAAGCTTTTTGAAATAATAAAATTATGGAGCAGTGCTAGAAAAATCTTGTTGAGGGTAGACATGCCTCTGAAGAAAACTGCCCTTAGGCTGCTTCTGGAGGCTGTTAATAGGATTGATTGATTTTTTTTTAAGTTGTTTTATGGTGACGGTTGTATTGTGTACTGACAGGAATTATTAAAGCCTCAAAATGAATGAATTTAATTGCTCATGACTGAATGAAATTGAAACAGGTAAAAGCGCTAAGACAGGGTCAACTCCCAAAATCTCCATAAAAGAAGCTTCTTTGTCCAACCTAGGTGTAGTAGCAATTGGAGCTCATTCACAAGGGTTGACACTGGATTTTTATTTAAAGAAGAATAATCTGTTGCCACTTGCTCCTAAGCCAGGATGGAGGCCTAGGCCATGTCAGCTAAAACCTAGCAACTTTCTAAAGAACTTGCTGACACAGAGAGTTCATGCCAACCAGAGAAGAGCCCTTTCAGCTTGCCTGGCCCATCCTCCACCCCAACTCACCCAGAGCGGGGAACAATAACACTTATGGAGGATAACTGCATAATTAGGACTGAGCATTTCTTTACTATGACATGGGTTGTTTTAAGGAGAAATAAACTTAAGCATACTAACCAAATACACTATGCTATGCTATACTAATTATAAAAATAATTTGTAGTGTACCTTCCATTTGCATCTAAGATCTCACAGTATATTGTATCAAAAATTTATGAAAACACTGTATCACAATCTACGTAGTATATTAGTGTAGTGTAGTCCTTGCCTGCAGGGAGCTTATATTCTTGCTGGAGAGATAAGCAGGAAACCACATTAAAGAACATATTTTAGGCCGAGGCGGGTGGATCATGAGGTCAGGAGATCGAGACCATCCTGGCTAACATGGTGAAGCCCCATCTTTACTAAAAATACAAAAAATTAGCCGGGCGTGGTGGTGGGCACCTGTAGTCCCAGCTACTCGGGAGGCTGAGGCAGGAGAATGGCATGAACCTGGGAGGAGGAGCTTGCAGTGAGCGGAGATCGCGCCACTGGACTCCAGCCTGGGTGACAACAAGACTCCATCTCAAAAAAAAAAAAAAACCCACACAAAAAAACATTTTATTCATTACTGTTTATTTTATTTCTACTCTGTACCAGGGGATGCAAAGATAAAGTGAAACCTCAAAATAATAATTTAAAACACCAGGAGAATCAATGAATTTCTTGTGGATTTTAGAAAGGTCACCGCCTAGCAGACCACCGCTCTATTTGTCTGGCATAGCGTATTTTTTCTTTTTCCTTGTTTTAATTGTATTGGAATACCTTTAGGGAAGACACGTTCTCTCTTGTTTTCCTAATTACCCATTTCTGCTACATGCCTGACTCCTGGAGGCACTTGAGTTGCACCTTTAAGTAAATGCCTAGTTCGGAGGAAAAAAAGAATACTTTGAGATGAGGGAGGAAAGACTGATATTGAGACAAATATGGGAAATCTGGGTCCTAAAGGGTGGATAAAATTTGAATAAATAAAGTATTGGTCACATGGACACAGGGAGAAGAACAACACACACCAGGACCTGTTGGGGGATGGGGGGTGGGGGGAGGGAACTTAGAGGAGGGGTCAATAGGTGCAGCAAACCACCATGGCACACGTATACCTATGTAACACGCCTGCATGTTCTGCACATGTATCCTGGAACTTAAAGCAAAAAAAAAAAAAAAAAATTTCTTCCCCTGTCTTATATGGTAAAGCATAAATAGATTTTATAGGTTTGGGTTTTACATTCAAATCTTCAATGAATTTTGAAATGAGGTTTTTGTTGTTGTTGTTGTTTTGTTTTTTTTTGAGATGGAGTCTCACTCTGTCCCCCACGCTGGAGTTCAATAGCCTCAGTTGCCCTTGTCCACTGTTTAAAAGAAAAGCTTTAACCCATACTGAATTTTACTATTGTTCCTTTCTCCAAGGTGTAAACAAAACAAAACAAAACAAAACAAAAAAAACCCCAAAAACTAGAGCACCAAAATGAGAGAAAATTTGAGAATGTACAACTCCTGAGAAATAATTTTGGGAAAGAGAGTTTAAGAAGTACTAACGGGAGCTGGCTACAGAATCGTGGCCAACACCTTCCTTCCTTTGATTAATCCACTGGTCTACTGATTGATAGATGAATCTATCTCATCTACCTTAAATGTAAAATTCAGAAATGAGATGTTTGTCATAGAGACACTTATTAAGATGGGTTGAATTTTCAGAAATAAAATCATGTTTTTGTCAGCAACCTTGATTTGCTGCTTGGTTTGAAAATGGAGACCATCTTGCTCATTGGGTTATATGGAAGACATTTTCTACAAATTAAATGAGTGACATCTGCAGCTCCAAGGTTTTAATGAAGATATATTTAGAGCACACATTCAACATGCAGCCTGGAAGTCACATGCTTTTTGTTGTTGTTGTTGAGACAGAGTCTCGCGGTCACCCAGGCTGGAGTGCAGTGGCATGATCTCAGCTCACGGCAACTTCCGCCTCCTGGGTTCAAGTGATTCTCCCGCCTGAGCCTCCCAAAGTGCTGGGATTACAGGCATGAGCCACTGTGCCTGGCCTGTCACATGCTTTTAAACTATTAAACACATGATAAACATTCTAGGTGTAAGCTTAAAAATTTATGAGAGGATATAAAGACTTTTAAAAAAGTCTTTTAGGGAGTATGCTAGCAATAAAAAGCAAAATTTAAAGACCACTATCTAGTCTTCTTGGTATAATGACAAGGTTGTGACACCTCTAGATGGAGGAGGCCGCCTCCTAGGAAGCAGTTTTGCAGATAGCCTTCAGGGAAGGGAAAATGGAGAGGAGGGCCCAGCAAGAGAGATGGGGGAGGGCAAAGGCAGAGACTAATGCCACAAAATGCTCCAGCAGCTCCTGCTGGGGTGGGAAAGGCTGAGCTAAGAAGGTGGAGGTTCCAGGCCTTTTCTCCAAAGCCCAGAGCTTCCCTTAGGCTGCCAAGATTGCACTTCTGCCATCTCACCAAGGCCTGTGCTGTCACAGAGAGGACCAGCAGAGGCAACAAGTTTGTGCCTTAGCAGAAACCCATCATCAGAAACATATAAATAGCAAACATTTACAAAAAAGAAAAAAAAAGAATGCTAACATTCTGAAGTGGTAAGGTCAGGGACATAGCTGGGTGAGGAGAGCAACCTTTAAAAATAGATCTGTGAAAAGACTTTGAAAACCCTTGTTAAGGACATGTGTGGGGAGCCAGCTGTTCTCAGGGTATACATGCCATCCTACCTCATTTCCTTGGAGTTTCTTTTTTCTTTTTTTTGAGACAAGGTCTTGCTCTGTCATCTAGACTGGAGTACAATGGCATGATCTCAGCTCACTGCAACCTCCTCCTCCTGGGCTCAAGCAATTCCCCTGCCTCACCCTCCTAAGTAGCTGGGCCTACAGATGCATGCTACCATGCCCGGCTAATTTTTGCATTTTTTGTAGAGATGGGGTTTCGCAATGTTGCCCAGGCTGGTCTTGAACTTCCGAGCTCAGGTGATCCACCCACCTCAGCCTCCAAAAGTGCTGGGATTACAAATGTAAGCCAATGCATTCAGCCATTTCCTTGGAGTTTTTAGCCCCACTTACCACTTTCTCTTTCAGGGAACTTCTGGAAAGAGTATCATCAGGGTAGAGACAGCAATTCTAGAGAAGAAGCTGACATCCAGTATTGTCCATGCCCAAGAAGCAGCTGCTGATCTGCTTCAATTTTTCTAATTTCTGGGGAAAAAATATTTAGGCAAATCAAACTAAACACACAATGAGAAATATTTTTGGCAGTGTTTTTTTTTTGACTTTTTATTTTCATAGAGGAAAAATAATTGGAAACATTGATACTGACTTCTGTGAAGTCGACCTGTGAAAATGAAGTGGGACCAAGAGGGAAAGGTGTTGGATCTTAATTAGTCAGAACATTGTGAAGGGGAGAGGCAAGGCTCAACACTGTGTTGGATTTCTGTTTTGCTCTCTCACAGCCCCACTGTCTGCAGGCCTCAGCATGTGTAACCCCATTCTGCGTCTGCTCCTGGGCTTGGCTGGCTGGTCTGGGGTGAGAGGACAGAGCAGGGGCTGGAACCTTAGCCTCGAGCCATCTGGACCATGGCTCATTCCTGGGCTCCAATGTCACTGGGGACTTACCGTCTTAGTAATAATCATATCTGAATTATAACAACAACAATAACATCCTCTAACACATCTATGGAGTGCTTAATATGTGACAGGCACTATGTTAAGCTTTTCACGTCTTGTGTAATATCCAAACAGCCCTATAAAATCAATTCTATTATAAGGAAACTGAGGTTTAAATAATGGTCCCATGGGTGGTATGTCAGATTCTCAAACCTTCCCTCTGAAACCATGAGCTGTGCTTCCTTGCTTTTCTTCACTGCACAGCAGGAATACTGTGGAGCACCACTGCAGCAGAGCTGCAAGAATTCAGGGAGCCAGGGTGTGCAAAGCAGATGGTACAGCGACTGCCATTTTATTGAGTTAATAAATGTTGACAGCGGAAAATGCTAACCACTGATGTTCATTGCGTGCTTAATACATGCCAATCATTGTTCTACACTCTTTGTGTATTCACTCATTCATTCCTCCTCTTCTTACAGCCCCACGAAGTAAACATCACCCTTATTCCTGTGTTTACAGATGGGGAATTCAGGTTTTGGAGTGGTTAAACAACTTACTGAAAATACAACTTACCCAAAAAACAACTTACCCAAAGCAACAGAGCTAATCATCAGTGAGGGGGATTTGTAGCCATGCCATCTGGTTTAAGAACCCAAGCTCTGATTAAGTAACATTAACTATTATTATCACTGTAAAAGGGGCTGATACAAAAGGAAAACAAAAAAAAGAAATAGTCTCAACAAACTGTGCTCCCAACCTGTAATACAATTATTTGTGACTGTGCTTGTTTGCCCTACAATTCTGCTGGCTCCTGTGCAGCAAGGGCTGCGTCTCTTAACTTTGACTCCAAACTCAGCATGATAAATGCCTGTAGGACAGAAATGAAGTCTGTTCATATGTTGGGCACTACCATCGGAGAAGGAAAAGACAATTCCGTTTCTTATGAATATAAAAATGGGATGGAGAAAACACCTTTTAAGCAAATAGTGACACTATAACTATGGTGCAGTAATAGAGTCACAGTCAGTGTTTCACAGGACAAGGAAGCACTTTATTCCATCCTGGTTAGGGATGGAATAAAGGATGAGTTGGGGTCTGGCATGCAGAAATAGATTCCAGAGGAGGTGACTCTGGGGCTCAGATGTGAAAGATACAAAGAGTTTTCCTGGTAGAAAAGGCCTTAAGTATACCCGAAGTAAGCAGCATCTGGAAAAGTATCCGAGGGAGACATGGGAAGGGACTTTGTACAAGAGCTAAAGAGTTGATACTTTATTTTCTCCTTAACAGAGATCTTCTAAAAGATTTTAAGAAGGAGAGAGATGTGATCTGATTTGCATTTCAGAAAAATCTCTCTTGTAGCTCTGCGGATGATGGATTGATCAGATGGGGTGATGATATTGAAGACTGGAGGCCACCTGCCTCTGCTCCACTTGTGAGAGGAAAGAATAAACTAGTGTTAGCAAATGCAACTTGTGCTTGGACGTTCAACTCCCCTAGCAGGCATTTGATAAACAAAGTAAAGGGAGCCTGACAAGGCAAAGATGGAACAAATAGCCTGGTGACTACCAGGTGTCTCCTCCCTGACTTTTGTGGGTACATGTAATGAAGGAGCTGCTATCCCTTGGACTCCAGGAAGGATGTAAGGTGATGTTACAATGTGTAAGAACTCTATCTTCAGGGCTGTAATCTCAGTAAACTCTTGCCTGTAGGATATAGGAAAACAGTTGCTGGGAAAAACTTAAAAAGAGGATATAACTCTAGATGAAATGAGGCATTGTTCTGTTCACATTATTTTTATGGATGTTGAGCACCAATAAACTATTAATAATAAGATATAATACAAAAAACTACAACGTTGTTAAGAACTTGTAGTCTAAACAATACACATCTTAAAAAGACTTGTTCCAGGTGATTGGAATATTCATTTTGCATTGTTGAATTACTAGAAAGACCCTTTTTGTTATGTGGACACTGTGAAAGTTACGCTGGAGAGCATTAAGACATCCTCCTGTGGTCTTTGGGCCTATATAGAGTTCCATATTCCTCCTCTTCCTCTCTCTCCACTGAAGGAAAGTTGGAGGGCTGCCTCTGGGTGGAATGTAAGGGGGAAAAATCCTGTGGCTGTTCCCAGCATGGAGAATTATCACTGCAAATCTCATTCACAGAATGATTAAGCTGTGGATCAAGTTAGAAGTCCAGGCTGAATGGAGTCTGAGAGAAACACAATTACAGGGATGACAAGGTGACATGGGAAGGGGCCAAGAAGGGCTAAAACAAAACCATTTTCTCCTGCCATATTTGCTGGTCTGGGAATGTACTTCCATCTACCTGGGTACCCTATCCTGAAACATCAAGGAATCTTTGATTCTTCCCTGTATCAGTTAGTATAAACTATGTTCTTCAGCAGTAACAAATGACTCCAAAGCCTCTATGGCTTTCAGCAACCAACATTTATGCTATTTTATATTCATACTGATTGTCATTTGCTATTGTCTGAGTCTTTGCTCCAGATTGGCTGACTTAGGAACTCAGACTGATGGAGCTATCTCTATCAGGACCATGGCTGGTCTTGCGGCAGGGGGAAAAGAGAACACGGTGATCACACACCGGATCAGTAAAACCTGCTGGGAAGTGATACACATAACTCATGTTCATATCTTATTGGCTAAAGTCTGATGTCAATGGGACAGGGGACTATAATTCTTCCCAAGGAAGGGTAGGAGGTATTTCTGTTCATAAAGATGTTGCAATAGTCTGAATGTTGGTGTCCCTCCAAAATCCATGTTAAAACCTAACACACAATGTGATAGTATTAAGAGGTGGGAACTTTTGGGAGGTGATTAAATCTTGAGGGCTCCACCTTCATGAAAGGGACTAGTGCCCTTATAAAAGAGACCAAAGCAAGTACCCTAGCTCCTTTCACCATGTGAAGAGGCATGTAGAAGGTGCTATTTATGAAGAGGAACCAACCTTCACCAGACACCGATTCTATTGGCTTCTTGATCTCGGATTTCCCAGCCTCCAGAACTGTGAGTAATAAATTTCTGTTGCTTATAAACTACCCAGTCTAAAGAATTTTATTATGGCAGCCTAAAGGAACTAAGAGGGGGTTTTGTATCTGGAGCCACAGAGAACAGATTTCAACTTCAAGCTCTTCTATTTTCTAGCTATATAGAATGTGCTGTTATTTCCCCATCTCATGTCTAGAATAGGCTTTATGTTTTGGGCAGAGAGGGACTTTTTAAACATAGCATTTTGGTTATCCCTATTCTACAGGGTGTGTGCTCAGTTGAGTCAATTTGTAATTTAGTGCAGTCAGGGCTTTCCCTGTACTAAGACTTGGAGATGGGTGGGTGTCTTCCTTGACCCCTCCCCATTGATACTCTCAAGTTATTTTCACTCCTCCTTCAATCAATGCTAAAATTCCACTAAAGCTTGTGTTGTCAAATGTTACTACCCAATGCCCTTCCTTCTGGGTTTTGCCTATTGACAGCAGAGTTGGTCCCTGTAGTTCCAGGCCTCTCCCTTCCTCCCTACTACTCCTGCCATTGTTGGGAACTTGGGCATCTATGTACATGATCACATTAAACATCTTGGCCTCTTGGTTCCTTTACCTCCTTACCGCAAATGTTTTTCCCTCCACTCTACTTCAGGTACCCTTCCCCTGGTCTTATGTTAGAATTTGTAATCACCAATAATTGCACCAGTTCCGAAATATCTGTTGCAAGTACCTTATCCTCTGATCACCAACCCGTCCTTTCCATCTCACTTCCTTTAAAGCATTCCAAGTAGAATAATTATTTAACCACTCTGAGGCCTTCAATCTATTGCCCTTACTATTTTGTCACTGTTCATCTGTGTGTCACGATATCCTCTATATTCAGCTTACACACCTACTGCAGTTGGCCAAACTGTGAGGCTAAGGGCACAATCCACCAGACTGCTATGTCAGCCCAAAACTATTGACACCAACTGCAAGTTTGAGGGTATATTAGTTTCCTAGTGCTGCTGTAACAAAGTACCACAGACTGAGTAGTTAAACAATAGAAATCTATTTTTTATGATTCTGGAGGTTAGAAGTCTAATATCAAGGTCTTGGCAGGCTTGGTTCCTTCTGAGGGCTGTGAGGAAGAATCTCTTCATGCCTCTGCCTGAGCTTTTAGTGGTTTGCTTGCAATTTTGGCATCCTTGACTTGCAGAAGTGTCACCCAAATCTCTGGCTTCATCTTCATACGATGTTTACCTGTGTCTGTGTCCAAATTTCCCATTTTTATGAAGATACCAGTCATCTTGGATTAGAGATCAAGATGGTCACACCCTACTCTAGTGTGACCTCACCTCAACTGATCACATCTGTGATAACCATGTTTCCAAATAAGGTTACATTCTGAAATACTGGGAGCCAGTTCCAACTTCAACATATAAAGTTTTGGGGGTACACAATTCAACTGATAATAGAGATGCCCAAAACTATTCTCAAGTTTGATAATTTGCTAGAAAGACTCAGAAATCACTGAAAGCTATTGCACTCATGCCTATGTTTATAATAGGGAAAGGATATATTAAAATCAGCCAAGGGAAGACATGTATAGAGTACAGTCTAGGAGGATTCTGAATGCAAAGCTCAGGACATGCTACTTTCCCTACGTTGATATGTGACAATATGCACGAAGTATTGCCAACTCCAGAAGCTCATGGAAGCTTCAGTGTTTAGAGTTTCTGTTGGAGCTTCACTACATAAGCATGATTGGTTGATTGTTTGCCCACGCAGTTACACTATGGTTGTCTTTTCTGGAGTGACCAGCCCCTACTCTAAGGCTATCAGCTGTGGCCAGTCCAGCCCTGAGTTATCTTGTTTGCATAAACAATCAGGTGTGGTCTCAGGAGCTCACCATCAATAACAAAGATTTTCCTATCACAAAGGAAATGTCAGTAGAGGTTACCTCCCAGGAGCCGGGACAAAGGCCCGACCTCTCTTTTGATAAGGCCAAATTCCTTATTACACAACACCCATCCTTCCTTGATTACTGCCTCCATTAAACTCATCTGATTAAACCCTTATCTGGTGAAATCTAACTCCTATTCAATGCCTGTACTCCAGCAGCTAAGCACTGCTGGAGAAAATACCCAAACAAGGTAGATGGGTCCCACTTTATAACTACACATCTGAAATATGCACTGTACTCTGCCAGACAGTCCTACAGTTCCCCAGGACAGCCCCTTTTCCTCACTGTACATACACCTGCCCCATCTATACAAGCCTCTCTCAGATGATGAATATCTTACTCTTTATTGAAAATAATGGTTATAGTAAGAGCAACTTCATATTTCCTTTGCCAAATCCATCAGCCTTTGAGCTTCTTCACTCTACATCCCATAAAAGAAAATTTCACAATCTTCCATTGGGCTCAGACTTAAAACGAAGGTAATCCTTGATTTCTTCATACCTCACATTCAATGTATGAGCAAGTTGTGTCAGTGACACCTTCACAACATATTCTGAATCTGACCACTTCTCACCATCTCCACTGTTAAAGCCTTAATGCGGCTCTGTACCTGGAACCAGTGCAGACATTTCTTAAGCAGTTTTTGCTACCATTTTCTATACCTCTCCAGTATTTTCTCCATGCAGCAGCTAGAGTAATCTTTTCCAAGTGTGAATCATATATAATCACCATCTTGTTGCCAATTACAATAGAATCCATTCTCTTTTCATGACCTCTGCACACACTGAGATTATTTCAATCTTGGAGACTGTGGCAAACGATGGCTAGTTAGTTGCTCACTAAACTGTTTGTCTGTTACTCCCAGCCACACACATTTCCTTGCTCCCCTCACAGGTGAGTATTTAAGTTGTAGCCAATAGAGTCTGAGCAGAAATGACACACATTATTTCCAGGTCCGGTCCATAAAACTGTCAAGCTTAAGTTCCTTCTCCCTCTTTCTTTATTTACTACTTGAATGCAGAGGAGGATGAGGACTTAAAGATGATGAATCCACATTGTGGAAGGAGTCTCAGTCTCTGATTGATCCTGAGGAGCAAGACATCCCTCCCTACACTCCTGAGGCCTGCAATGAACTGCGCTTCAGTCCAGGTGAGACATATACTCACATTGTGTTATGCTATTGACATTAGGGGCTGTTTGTTACAACTGTTAACAAAGCTCTTGCACTTTCTCCTCCTCTTTTTTGAATTCTCTTTTCCAAGTTCTTTTTCTGGCTTCTTCCCTCTCAAGGTCTATGGCCCAGCTCAAATGTCCCCTTCCCCTCAAGAGGCTTCCTCTGACATCTTTATCTAAAATAGTCCCCCACTATGATTTTATTTTATTTAACTCTATTTTAGGTTCAGGGGCACATGTGCAGGTTTGTTACATAGGCAAACCGTGTGTCATGGGGTTGGTGTACAGATTATTTTGTCACCCAGGTAATAATCATAGTACCTGATAGGTAGTTTTTTGATCCTCTCCCTCCTCTCACTCTTCACCCTCAAGTAGGGCCTAGTGTCTGTTGTTCTCTTCTTTGTGTCCATGTGTACTCAGTGTTTAGCTCCCATTTATAAGTGAGAACATGCAGTATTTGGTTTTCTGTTCCTGCATTAGTTTGCTTAGAATAATGGCCTTCAGCTTGATCCATTGTTGCAGAGGACATGATCTCATTTTTACGGCTGCATAGTATTGCATGTACCATATTTTCTTTTACCAGTCTACTGTTGATGGGAATATAGGTTGATTCCATGTCTTTGCTATTGGGAATAGTGCTGTGATGAACATATGTGTGGGTGTGTCTTTGGTAGAACAATTTACATTATTTTGGGTATATACCCGATAATGGGATTGCTGAGTCAAATGGTAGTTCTAAGTTTTTTGGGAAATCTCCAAATTGCTTTCCACAGTGGCTGAGCTAATTTACATTCCCACCACAGTGTATAAGTATTCCCTTCTTTCTGCAACCTCACCAGCATGTTATTTTTTGATGATTTATAATAGCCATTCTGACTGGTATGATATTGTGTCTCATTGTGGTTTTGATTTGCATTTCTCTAATGATTAGAGATGTTGAGCACCTTCTCATATGCTGGTTGCCTGAGTGTATGTCTTCTTTTGAAAAGTGTCTATTCATGTCCTTTGCCCACTTTGTAATGGGGTTGTTCATTTATTGCTTATTAATTTGCTGAAGTTCCTTAAAGATTCTGGATGTTAGACCTTTGTTGGATGCATAGTGTGCAAATATTTTCTCCGATTCTGTAGGTTGTCTGTTTACTCTGTTGATGGTTTCTTTTGCTGTGTAGAAGCTCTTTAGTTTAATTAAGTCCCATTTGTCAATTTTTGTTTTTGTTGCAATTGCTTTTGGTGTCTTTGTCATGAAATCTTTGCCAAGACCTATATCTAGAATGGTATTTCCTTGGTTATATTCCAAGATTTTTATAGTTTTAGGTTTTACATTTAAGTCTTTAATCCATATTGAATTGATTTTTGTATATGGTGTAAGGAAGGGATTCATTTTCAATTTTCTGCTTATGGCAGAATAGAAAACCAAATACTGCATGTTCTCACTTATAAGTAAGAGCTAAATGATGGGAACGCATGGACACAAAGAAGGGAACAACAGACAATGGGGCCTTTTTGGGGGTGGAGAGTGGGAGGAGGAAGAGGATCTGAAAAAATAACTATTGGGTACTAGGCTTAGGACCTGGGTGACGAAATTATCTGTACAACAAACCCCCATCACATGAGAGTTATATAACAAACCTGCACATGTACTTCTGAACTTAAAATAAAAGTTTAAAAACGAAAAAGAAAAAAAAGTCTGCATATGGCTAGCCAGTTATCCTAGCACCATTTATTGAATAGGGAATCCTTTCCCCATTGTTTGTTTGTGACAACTCTGTCAGAGATCAGATGGTTGTAGGTGTGCAGCATTATTTCTGGGCTCTCTCTTCTATTCCCTTGGTCTATGTATCCATTTTTGTACCAGTACCATGCTGTTTTGGTTACACTAGCCTCGTAAGGGTAATGTGATGCCTTCAGCTTTGTTCTTTTTGCTTAGGATTGTCATGGCTATTTGAGCTCCTTTTCAGTTTCATATTAATTTTAAAACAATTTTTTTCTAATTCTGTGAAAAGCCTCCCACTATTACTGTGTGGCTGTCTCTTCATAGGTCTCTAAGAACTTGCTTTATGAATCTGGATCTCCTGTGTTGGGTGCATGTATATTTAGGATAGTTAGGTCTTCTTGTTGAATTGAACTTGTTGCCATTATGTAATGCCCTTATCTTTTTTGATCATTGTTGGTTTAAAGTCGGCTTTGTCTGAAGTTAGAATAGCAATCCTTGCTTTTTTCTGTTTCCATTTGCTTGGTAGATTTTTCTCCATCCCTTTACTTTGAGCCTGTAGGTGTGATTGCATGTGAGATGGGTCTCTTGAAGACAGTATATGGTTAGGTCTTGCTCCTTTATCCAGCTTGACACTCTGTTCCTCTTAAATGAGGCATTTAGCCCATTTACATTCAAAGTTAATATTGATATGTATGAATTTGATTCTGTCATGTTTTTAGCTTGTTATTGTGTAGACTTGATTGTGTAGTTGCTTTATAGAGTCAGTGGTCTAGGTACTTAAGTGTGTTTTTGTGGTAGCTGATTACAGTCTTTCCTTCCCATATTTAGCACTCCCTTAAGGACTTCTTCGAAGGCAAATCTGATAGTAATAAATTTCTTTAGTATTTGCTTGTCGGAAAAGAATCTTATTTCTCCTTTGCTTATGAAGCTTAGTTTGGCTGGATATGAAATTCTTCATTGGAATCTCTTTTCTTTAAGAATACTGAATATAGACCTCCAATCTCTTCTGGCTTATAGGGTTTCTGCTGAAAGGTCCACTGTTAGCCTGATGGGGTTCTTTTTGCAGGTGACTTGCTTCTTCTCTCTAGCTGCCTTTAACATTTTTTCTTTCATTTGACCTTGAACAATCTGATGATTATGTGTCTTGTGGACTATTATCTTGTGTAATATCTCATAAGGATGCTCTGCATTTCCTGAATTTAAATGTTGTACTCTCTAGCAAGGTTGAGGAAATATTAGTGGATGATATCCTCAAATACGTTTTCCAAGTTGCTTGCTTTCTTTCCCTGTCTTTTAGGAATGCCAGTGAGTCATAGACTTGGTCTCTTTACATAATCCCATAGTTCTCAGAGGTTTTGTTTATTCTTCTCTATTGTTTTTTCTTTATTTTTGCCTGACTATTTTGGAGAACCAGTCTTTGAGCTCTGAGATTATTTCCTCAGCTTGGTTGATTATTCTGTTAATATTTGTGATTGTATTATGAAAGTCTTGAAGTGAGTTTTTCAGCTCTGTTAGATGTTTGGTTCTTTCTTAAATTTACCATTTCATCTTTTATCTCCTGTATCATTTTATTGTATTCTTTAGATTCTGTGGATTGGTTTTTGGCTTTTTCCTCAATGTCAATGATCTTCGTTTTTATACATATTCTGAATTCTATTTCTTCATTTCAGACATTGCGGCCTGCTTAGGAACCATTGCTGGGGAACTAGTGTGGTCACTGTGAGGTAAGAAGACACTCTGGGTTTTGCATTGCCAGAGTTGTTGTGCTGGTTCTTTCTCATCTGTGTAGGCTGATATTCCTTCAATCTTTTAAGTTGCTACCCTTTGAATGGATTTTTTTGCTTTTGTGTTTGATGTCCTTGGGGGCTTGGAGTATAAGGTGGGTTCAGTCAATGGGGCTTTTTTTCTGAAAGATCGTAGGGGGCTGTAGCTCAGCTCAGCACTCCTGATCTGCATGCTGTCACTCTGGGGGGCTGGTACCAGACCCCCGGCTTTGTTCTCTGGCTCCTCAAGGTAAGGAACCTGCAACACTGGTGGGGCCAAGGTGTTCCTGGTCTGTTGATCACAGCACTCTGACAGGTGGTGCCAGCCAAAGCAGTTTGTCCAGTTAGTGGCAGTGGGATTCATGTTTGCTTACATGTTCCAGCAGCTGTGGCAGCATGGCAGGGTACACATGCATTGGCTAGAGGGGTACTGGCAAGAGCAGGGCTGCAGTGTTCCTGTATGCACTTGTGCTGGGGCATGGCACAGGTGGGGTTGGGGTGGTTGTGGTGTTCACGTTTGCACTCATGCTGGTAGTGATGGGGGCAGAGTGCTGGCACATACAAGACTGCTGGCCTCCATGCATATGTTTGCACCAGCGGCTGTAGTGGAGTGGCAGCGGATGGTGTTGCCAGTGTTTGTGTATGCATTTATGCCAGAAGTACCCACCATTGTTTTATCCAATTGTCTATCTAAGCTCTTCAAAAACACTTACCATTATCTGAAATGATAAATATAAATTTCTATTCATTTATTTATTTGTTCATGGTACATACATGGCTGTCTCCCCCACTAGAGTGTAAGTTCTATCAGGGTGTAAATCTTGCCTGTCTTGTTTGTCACTATATTCCCAGCTCTTGGAAAAGTACCAGGCATGTAGAAGACACTCAACAAACACCTATTTTAAATTGAAAATTACATTTTAAAAGGCTCCAAAGAGATTTAGAATGACAGCATAAGTTCCCAATATGATATTATTTTTTATCTGAAGGAAAGATTTGCTTTCATAGCCTTGTCTTACAAATAAGGAGGGAGTAGAAAGGCCAGTTCTAGGAAAAGAAGTGGAAATTCTATGGCTTTAAGGCATTGAATACCTGGCTTCTTACCATTAGACCTTTAGGTGGCAGCCAAAAGTATTTATGCTGAGTCCCACCTTTCCTATTTTTGAGTACATTTTCACTATTGAGACATACAGTTATGATGTCAGGGACCTTGTTCAACACAATGCAGATGAATAGGAGGAAGAAAGGAGAAAATGAAGAAATAGAAACCATTGAGGAAAAAGGTCTCTAACTCCAACTCAATCTCTATGTCTAGCCTAGTAGAAGGTAATCTCATTGCGTTTCCTGAACTGTAGCAATAGGCTCCAGATGTTACACTGGTCCCATTCCCTAACTTTTTTCCTATTCAAACATCCAGAAAAATGTTTCCAAAGCCCAAATCTGGTTACAACATTTCAGTGGCTTCTTATTGTTCAAGGCCTTGTATGGTCCACTCAGGTCTACCTCTTTAATTTATTTCTGCTGGACTTCCACAGGACACTGCTCTAGCCACCTCTCTCGGTGGGACTCACCAGAATCCAGGAAACCAGGGACTGTGTTCATTTTTATTTACTATTCTATCTTTAGTGCCAAGCACAGTGCCAACAAATAACTATGTTCAATAAATATCTGTTTGAATGAATGGATGAGTAAAAGAATGAATGACGTTCAGGTTGTGTCTCAACTGATAGTAAGAGAAAGGCTAAGGCTGTTAGAGACATGAAAGTCAGAACAAGTAAATGGATTCTATTGCACAAGTGAAATAGAAATTTCAGTCATCACGTCAGCTGTGGCCAGTCAGTAGTGGTGGGAGGCAGTAAGCTAGATATTCAGGTCCCTGCTGTAAAGGTATTCAACCTCTTGCTTGTAAACTGCTTGTAGTCATTAAAGCCCATAGGTAGTGTGATTGTCTCGGGGCCAGGGATACTTACTCACAGGAGATTCCTGGAAACCTTAATGACCAAACTGAATCACCTGCATTGTAGCCTCTGGTCGCCATGGTACAGGCCAACTGAGTGATCATTAACATTGACTGATTTTTTTATCTAAATCTTTTGTACTAGTTTTTCAAGCCACAGCTTCCTGCTTGTCACATTCACATAATAACATTTATGTTCTGTGGGGGGAAAAACAGAAGGAGAGATTCTTATACTGGGAGTGTTTTATAACAGACATCAACTGACAAACATGAAAGACAACAGGTTGAAGATAATAATGTATAAGGAGGCCATACACATTGATATGTAAAACAATGAGATCTCCAATAGAAAAGTGGAAAACGCATTCATCAAAGAGGAAATCAAACTAATACACATAAAAACATGTTCAACCTCTTTAAGAATCAAAGACAATAGAAAATAAAAAAAGATACTATTGACAATAATGTTTAAAGATTTAAAAATATGTTGTCAGCAAGACTGCATGTAAGAGACACTTTGATAGAGTGCTTATGAAGGGGCGAATTGCTCAAACTTTTTTTAATGGCAAAGCATCTTGGTAATATATAACAGGGCACAGATAATATTTTATACTCTTTGTAAATCATCATCTGAAAATCAATCCAAAAGATGTTTGACACAGTGTTATTTACATTGAAAAATAAAACCTCATGAAAATATACCTTAAATATCTAATAACAGAGGAGAAGTTTCACAAATATGATGCAGTCATAAAACATTTATGAAGAATTTTAATAGAGAAAATGCTCATAAGGATATTTAGTAAACTGATCATAGTTTAAAGCTGTATGAAAATTAGATGTCAAGTATAAAAGAATATTTGCATACAATAAAAAACTATATAAAATGTCTTTATGTCTAGACATAAAGAAAATAAAAACCAGCCTACTCTCACAATTCTGGGTACCCATGTAAGACAGCACAGTATGATTCTTTATATTGATTATGTATTTCCAAGATATCTACACTAATCATATATGTTTAGAATATTATTTTAAAAAGTTATTGAAAACACAGTGGTTTTCAGGTCAGCTGGAGCTGGATTCTGATCATGACTCTTCCACTTCATATCGTGATATTGACTAAAATGGTCAGAATCTATGGGTTTCAGTTTTCTCATGTGCACAGTGAGTACAATAATGTACATTACAGAAGAAGGCTTGTAAGATCAAATGACATAAAACTCATAAAGTGCTTAGTATAGTACATGATAGAGTAGGCTTTAATGAATTTTAGTTTCTTATCTTAGAATCACATAATTTGAGGAATCCAAAATGCTTGAGCACATTTTATCTCACGTTTATGTGAGTCAGATAGGAGAGCTGTTAATGGTGAGAGAGGCTCATCTCAGCTGCATAGCTCCTGAGCAGCAAACCTGTACTTGAATCCAAACCTCTTGATTTTGCACCCCTGTTCTGTGTTCTTTGTGCTAAGCCTCCTTGTTTCCCAGGGGAACAGAGTTCAGCTTTGAATTACTCCCGTTTTTTGTTTGTTTTGATGTTTTTTATGCCATTTATCTTTGCAAAGTGAAGCAAATTTTCTAGAGTGATTGTTGATGTTGAAGCGAAGGAAATTACATTCTGAGAGAAGAATTTAAATGACAAATACTGCTGGATATCAGTTGAGGGTCACTGAGTGCAGAAAAGTGACAGGACAAATCAAAGGAAGTTGGGTTAACCTATCTGGAAACTTAAGCTTTACCTTGTAGCAAAGCAAAAAGGGCTGTGCTTGGGAAAGAGGATATTAACATATTCACCACTAGACAGCCTTCTAACTGGCATCTTCTTCTTGCCTCCCTTCTGGCGGGTCCAGATTTCATACTATAAGCAGGATAAGCTTTATAAAATCTGTCTCTGCTTGAAGCCCCTTCTAGACCTCTTGGGATTGCACCTAATTAAATGGGCTCTGTGAAATCCCTTGACCTTCTGTAAAGTCCTTCAATACTCTATCCTATGTGCCTCCACAGTCTATGGTTTAAGTTTCTGTTACTATATCATAATTACCCATCGACTTGTCTGTCTCCTATATGGAACTGCAAACTTCTTGAGGACAAGAGCCATCTCTCTTTATTTTTATTTTTTAAGTTTTTTTTTGAGACAGGATCTTTCTCTGTTGCCCAGGCAGGAATGCAGTGGCATGATCATAGCTCACTGTAACCTCAAACTTCTGGGCTCAAGCAATGCTCTCCACATAGCCTTTTGAGTAGCTGGGACTACAGTCATGTGCCACCTCACCCAGCTAATTTTTTATTTTTGTAGAGATAGGAATCTTGCAATGTTGTCCAGTCTGGTATTGAACTCTTGACCTCAGCTTCCCAAAGTGCTGCCATTATAGGTGTGGTCCACTATGCCTAACAGGAGCCATCTTTTATATAGGTTGGAAGGTCCAGCATTCAGGGTACATAGGTTCTCAGTAAATGTTTCTTGATTGATTATCTGTACAAACATTGTCTAATCTAATCTTTTTCTTTTATTTTCTTTTTCTTTCTCTACTCCCAACCTCTCTTTTTATGTTCTGTCTTCATTAAGGCCATTAGTAATGTTGTTAGTGCTTGAATTTCCATGTGTTTGAATTTCACACATCTCAGGTCACACTTTGAAATGCATTTCTGGTATCTGTAATGAAGCCTGAAGCCCTGCTAAAAATGACAATAGTTATATAAATAGATTTTGATTGAAATTTTTATTAATAATTTTTTTCTTTGGGAGATAAAAGCGAGCATTTGGGCTTTATCAAAGACAATATAAATTGAAAATTGAAAAGTTCAAGTCTTTTGCATGAAAAATAGGCTTTATGCAACCAAAACCTAAACAAATCAAAAAGTTAATCCAGCTTTTTTGAAAATGACAGCCTCAGTCAAGCTGATTTATAGAGCTTCCAAGAGGTTTTTGTGGCTCTTTCTCTCTCCTTCCCTGTCCTCCATACTATTCATTTATGAGAGAAAATATATGCTGAGAAAATATAACTATCTACAGTGGCATGAATGAGGGGCTGTCATTCTCTAAATGATCATGTCTCAGAACCTGTGAAAGAAAGTCCATGACATAGTTTGTGCAGTATGCATCTGTGCATGTGAGTGAGAAAAATTGCTGTAAATTAATGTGGCATGAATAAATATCTCACATCTTTTTCTTCTTCTGAAAAACTTTCCCTGACCTTCCCATCTGGGTTAGGAAACCTTCCTCTTAGTTCCTTTAACATCTTCCTTACCCTGTAATTATCTAACTGAGCACAGTGAACATGCTAAGAAGTAAATGAGATTGTACAGTGGAGATTTCTGTGTGTATATATATGTATATGTGTGTGTTCTGTATGTATGCAATTGTTTATTTAGCAAACACATATAAAGCACTTACTATATGCAAGACATGCTTCTAAATGCTTTACATATCTACGCATTCAGAACTTTACAATTTACCGAAGCACCTTTGAGACATTGGATCATTGCTTCCTTATTTTAACTTTAGTGAGCAGATGGATAGAAATGATCTCCATATCACAGCTAAGAGAACACATGCAGAGAGGTTCATCTACTTACCCACAATTACACGGGGGGGCGGGGGTGTCAAAATAAGGTTTCTAAATTTAGCAAATAAATAAAAATACAGAGCACCAAGTTAGATTTGAATTTCAGATAAACATCAGATGTGTGTTAGTATATGTATACCCCAAATATGGCATGAAACATACTATAAAATATTTATTGGTTCTCTGAGATTCAATTTAACTGGGTGTCCTGTAGTTTATCTGGCAATCCTAGTTTTAGATGAATCACTTGCTCTTCACAAGGTTAGATTAATTGTAAGACTATATAATTGACCAGATTGTGCAAAAAACATGCCCACGTTGATTTCTCCAATAACCACCGTCTGCCAGTATTGGTCTTTCTCTCAGAGAAGAGGCATTAGCTTCCCTGAAAATATCACTAATTATTTTAAGGGGCAAGACAAATGAAGCCTTTAAGGCTAGTTAGCCACTGGCCTTCTTGTTAAACTGTCAATGAAGGAGGCGGCAGAAGATGCTAGAGATTTTGTAATTTTAAACGATGTCAGGGAGCAAATCTGGGCAGGCTGTCCCTGAAATCACTCCCTGCAGTAGAATTCCAGGCTTGTAACTGTATAATCTGAGAGTAAATAGAAGTGTTTGTCTTTATCATGGTTTTTGCCTCTTTCACACTCAGTAGGCTGAAAAAATGTTGGTGTCCTTAGCACCAGGCGAAGAATGGGATGTCCACTCTCTGCCCACCAAGGCCAAAGCAGATTCATTTTCATTTGGTGGCCACTGATGTTGAAGTGGTATGAAATCTTTACTTGGAATGACTCCTCCCTTTATCTCTCCTTCGTCAGTCACCCTCAAATAATTATTTATGGCCTACATACCTCTGCCACAGCTATTAAAATGGAAGGACAAAGGCTACACCTGTGAATTGCTCCAGCAAGCCATTTGAAAGGGATTCGTTGGAGCAAATTACTTTGTTCAGTGTTTGATTGCTGTGGTGCCAGTTGTTTTTTGGACCAGTACAAAGGGTCTTAAATTGCTGTGTGTGTCTGTTTTTAAAGGCTGAGGAGGAGGTGCAGAGATAAATAGCATGTGAGAAGTTTGGGATTCTTTTCTTCATGCCTTGCTTTTTGTCCAGAAATATTTATATTCAAATGTGAGGCCTGGCTTTTGTAGATGAATGCCAACATCATAAACTCAGGATGTTAATTTTCATTTCTGCAGGGATTGGAAATGATTCATAGTTTTCAGGAGTTAGAGACACCAAAGCATTTTCCATTAACACCTGGAGCTGACTGCCGAGGTGAAAGGCAGGTCTCGTAGGAAGAAAGATGTTCTCTAGGGAAAAGAAAATGTCACTTTTGTGGGTTTTTTCTGTCTTTTGTTTGTTTGTGAAGATAAGAATTTTTTTTCCTTGAGAAATAATTCTTACCTTGTTGAAAAATGTCACTGCAAAAATCTGTTTGAAGAAAATAGTGAATCATCCTTCTGTTTCTTTTTTTTTCTGTGTTCATGAAATATCACTTAAGCATGTGATGAAAATTAAGGGAAAATGCGCCATTTCACCCGGTTTTATAAATGACAGGATTCTTTATACTCCTCAATTCGGTGAGAGTAACAAAGGAACATTTCCCTTGACTAGCTGATTAAATAAATGTCTATTTATTTTCGAGGAGAAGTCAAGACACAAATAGGAAGGGGGTGGGAAATGTGGCAAAATAAACAGGCACGTAAAGTCTAATCATTTCTCTGGGTAACAATTGTGTTTTGGTAGCTGGGAGGCTCAAGAGGATCAAGAGGGCAAAATTTCTTCTTTGAGTGGCACAGGTCTTGGCTTTCTTGCTTTTGTCCCTTTTGACTGCTAACTCAAAACAATTTCAGAGAGCTCTGATAATTATTAACTGCATAATGATGATGAATATATTGAAAAAGTAATAATACTACTAATGATAGCTATCCTTAATTAATCACTAACTATGGTAAAGACACTATGCTAAGTGCTTTTTATACTTTATCTCATTTTTAGTTCTCTAAAATTCTATCATGGGGATGATATTATGGTCACATTTCACTGTTGAGGAAGTGAGGTGTAAAGAAGTTAAGTAACTCATGTGGCATTCCACAGTTATGTAGCACAGCTATCCTTTGAACCCAGACACTCTGACTTCAAAATACACCCCCCCAAATATTTTTAGAGATGGGGGCTCACTGTATCATCCAGGCTGGAGCACAGTGGCTATTCACAGGTGCACACTACATATATCATAGTGCACTACAGTCTCAAACTCCCGGGCTGAAGCAATCCTCCTGCCTCAGCCTCCAGAGTAGCTGGGACCACAGGCACTCACCACTGCACTTGGCTAAGGCCGAAATTTTTAATGTCTAAATTCTGCAACAGGTTGTTTGTATTGGTGTAATGTGAGAGACATTCTAAGATCTAACTCTGCCTCACCTATTAGATTCTGCCTCTGTTTGATGTGCCACTTTTTCAAGGTTATATTTGGAGCCCTGGTTTTAGGTCTTGGCAAGTCAAGAGAGATGTTAATTAAGGAACGAATGCTGGGAACATTTTCCAGAGCCAGGAAGTGAGAAGTAAGCTGGTCCGACAGAGCTACCAAAGGCTGGTGGAAGAAGAGCCTAGCACAACATGAAGTGCCAAGGGCCAAAAGTGTGGCAATGTGAGACATAATGAGAAAAGGGAGAAGGAAGATTCTTAGTGTTTGCCAAGTACAGCTCCATTCTCCTTTCTAGGGAGGGTGTCAGGTGCCCTGGGTTCCCTGGGTGCTGGGATCAGCCCTACTAAGAAGCAGGTTGAGACAAAAGTCAACAAACTTTACATGAACCTCACAGATGCTGGTTTTGATTTTTCCAAGCTCCATAATCATTACTCTTTGTGCATGAGTGTGTATGACAGGAGGTGAAGGTGGCTATAAAAATGAGAGGCTTTGCTGATGGGATTCATTACTTTCAGTTCAACAAATATATTTCCCTTTGGGGAAGTATATCGAGTTAGGAGTTTGCATTTCAGGAATATTTAAGTAAACTCTAGATCTCATGGGATAATGTATTTACCCATTTTTCACATTAGCATGTATTACTCAGACACATAGATAAATTTTGACGATGGAAAAGGTCAGGTCAGAAAAACAGGTGCAATAATATTTTGAGTGCATCCAGACTGGGCCCTGCCAGGTTTACATGAGAGCATTTCATGGGCACTAAGTGAGGTCTGGAAGACAAACTTTCCACTTCACAATCTCCCACAGCCCATCTCTGCCAGGACCTATGCTGCCTTGGCCTGTCAGCTTTATGGGTAGGTCAGTAGAAGGCTGAGGGCATCTACAGCACCCATAGTGGAAAATCACCCCAACTGTCCTTTCAAAGCTCAGGCAGTAACGGCATGGGGGTGGGAGATAGAGGACCTTCCATCCCTATGTGCTACCTGTGACATGTCTTCCCATGTGTGTCTTTTCAGGCATGTGTCATGCATGTAGAAGATATAGTCCTTAGTTGAGATTTCCATAAGGAGGGTAGTGTGGCCAGTGAGTTGGTGACATTCCTGCAGGAGCACTTGGTAGTTGGCTGTGGCTCTCGAGAATGGCTGGACTTGCTTCCTTTTTCATGGTGCCCAGTTTTTATCATGCCAACCAGCAGGGGAGAGGGCAGCATTCTGTTGCTCAGAGCTGTAGTGCCTACCTTACCCAGGGGCATGTGCTCTGAAACCAGTGCTGGTAGAGGCCCAGAAATCCTGGCTCTGGGGATCATGCCCTATCCAGATGGGCCTGGACTCCTAGTTGAATGGAAAGCTGCAGGAAGAAAAATTCCTGGATATCTGTTTAATGGACACAGCCTTAGAGAGTTCAAGACATGACATCTTCCCCCCACGATAACCTTATCTTTCTTGGCATCAGGCTATAATACACTTGAATAACAATATTGTCCGAGCAAACCTTCTGTGATGATAGAAATGTTCTATATCTGTGCCATCTGGTGATGCAGTGGCTGCTAGCTTCATGTGGCTATTGAGCACATGAGATGTGGTTAGTGTGATTAAGGAATTGAATTTTTAATTCTATTTAATTTTATTTCATAAAAATTTACATAGCCATATGTAGCTAGTGGTTACTATATTGTATAAATGCACTTTGGAATAATTTTCTTACGGCTTGGAGATGACTTGTTAGAAAGAATGCACACACACACACACACACACACACATATATACACACCATTTGTGTAGTTTCTATTTACCAACTCTACACATATCTGTCACTTTATTACCATATCCATTATCTCTCAACATCCTTGGAGGATGATGCTCTTGTTTTTCACATTTTATAGATGAGAAAGTCACAGAGAAGTTAATGTGTTTTGTCTAAGGTTACTTAGTAGGCAAACAGTGGAACCAGGGCTGCAGCCCAGTCCTGTTCCTAAATTCTGCAGGCTGTAGGTGGTGATTATGAATCTCTCAGGAAAGATTCCACCGCAGCCTGTCTCGTTAATCCACTGACATTGTGACTAAGATAGTCTTAATGTGGCCCACCCAAAAAAAAAAAAAAACAGAGCCTGAGGCGAGGGCTTGGTTCCTATCATTTGTTTTGGGAAGAGACTCTGAGGAACAGAATTGAGGGTCTGGGAAGTGAAATAGGAAAGGAGACAAAGCCAACCCAAGGGTATGTTATTGAGGGCATTGCTGCAGGCAACCAGAGCTTGATTGGCCAGTTCTCCTAGCAGAACTGGGTAGCAGGCTCCTTAGAGGCATCCACCAGACACACTGAAGAGGGGAGTGTTTGTCCACCAGCCACTGCCCCCCATTGGTCTAAGAACCCTAATGGGGTGTTAGATCCCTCACAGTTCCAGGTTTGGACATATGCTAGTGTAGCTGACAGGGCTTCCACAGGCTCCCTCCATGGTGATGCATAGCAGCCCTGGGCAGAAATCAAGAGCTACGGGGTGTAACTGAGGCAAGGTGCTGTCAGCTTATACCTGTGTGCAGCTGCACTGGGTGCTACAGCAAAAGCAGGAGCTAAAACATTGGGCTGAGAGCATGTGGGATAATGCATAAAAGATGTCCACAGAAGGAAAGGAACTAAACAGTCGAGCTGGGGGAAAGTCAGAAATGAGAATTAGAATTTGCAGAGAATCCTCTGCAAATGGATTCTTCTATTAAAATTGAAAACAAATGGGCCTAACCTTTGACACTGTCAGTGAGATATGGTCTACTTGGTTGCTAGCACAGTGATATTGCTTTTACGCATCGCGCACGGTCCTGTTTTAATGAAAGGCTTGATTTCTCACATTGCCCCATCTCTTCCTGGTTGACTTCATTATTCCACCTAGATGGAGTGAGCTCAGGTAAAGCAAATGCATTTAAAATCAGATAGGGCAGAATAAAATTTTGAACTCAAACAATAATTCAATGTATTCCGAAGCCACATGCAAAGTTCTAAAATAATTACAAGTATCTCATTCATTCATTTATGAGCCGCGCAGCATAGAGGTTAAGAGCATTGGCTCTGAAGCCAGATCACTGGGTCCATATCCTTGCTCTACTACATTCTAGCAATGAACCTCTCTGGGCCTCAGTTCCTTCATCTGGAAATAGGAATTATAGTTCCTGCCTTATAGCGTCATGGTGAGGATTAACTGAGCTAATATATGTAAAGAACTTGTAACAGTGTCTGGCACATAGAAAACACAACCTGGATGTTTGCTCATTTTTGTTCACTCATTAATTGGTAAGAATTAGTGTTTGATACATACAAAGCATTGCTCTCCTTGATCAGTGCACATGCCCAGATCTAATGATGTCTCCATTGATTGCTCCATGCTTTTGAAATTCTGTATGGTCTACATTCTCAGGCCACCACCCTCTCCTTTTATCTTTTCTACTTTCACTTGATGAAGCCTTCTTCTTTTCCTTTTGTGGTTCCTCCCCTTTCTACAACGTTTACATGTTGGAGCACTTCACAGTTTACTCAGCCTTTGGGCATCTTCTCTTTCTTGTTGACATATTCTTTCTAGATAATCCTGTCTGGTTCTGTGATTTTAAAAGATACCTATGTGCTGATAACTCCCAAATGTGTTTTTCTAGCCCTGACTTCTATCCTGAGCTCCAGTCTCATAAATTCAACTCCCTACTTGACATCTAATTTGGATATTTGTTAGGCATCTCAAACTTAACATAGCCAAAAAGAACTATTGCTTTTCCTTCACATACAGCCTCCTTTCCCACCCCCTTGCCACTGTATCCTCCCTCTGTCTTCCTGGTTTCAGTAAACAGGACCCTCAATGACCAAATTATTCAAGCCATAACCCAACAGATGTCTTTTCCTCATACTCAACACCCAATCCAAAATATATCCAAAATTGTCTCCAGTCAGAGAAGTCTCAATATAATCACTGCCAGGATCTCCATATATGATCGTGCAGGTTGTGCACTGCATAACAGAGTTCCCACTAATGATAGACACCATAGTTTTTTTTTTTTTTTTTTTTTGACAGAGTATCCTTCTGTCGCCCAGGCTGGAGTGCAGTGGCGTGATCTCGGCTTACTACAACCTCCACCTCCAGGGCTCAAGCGATTCTCCTGCCTCAGCCTCCCAAGGAACTGGGACTACAGGCGCACACCATCATGCCTGGCTAATTTTTGTACTTTTAGTAGAGATGGGGTTTCAGCATGTTGGCCAGGCTGGTCTCAAACTCCTGACCTCAAGTGATCCACTCACCTCAGCCTCCCAAAGTGCTGCGATTACAGCCACCATGCCCGGCCAGATTTGTATTTTTGTAATACAAAACTTCCAGCAGATGGTCTAAATGTTTTCTCTTCTCAAAAATCCAGAATATCATAATAATCTTCTAACAGATATCATTAAAATTCCTCGAAGACTAGGTGCCTCCTTCTAATTTTCACAGTCATGCTATAAGAATTAGTAGTGACCCTAACCATTGCAAACCATTGTTTGTGCCACCATAATCTCTTGCTCAGATTATGACAATAGCTTGTTCATCAGAATTCAGTCTCCCCTGTAGTCTATTTTCCACACAGCAGCCAGAAAGACCCTAAGGTATAAATTGCATGAAATCATGCTTGTTCTGAAATTATCTATTGTTGCCTAACAAATTATCCACAAAATTAGCTTAAAACAACAGGAGTTTATCATCTAACAATTGGCATTCAGGAGAGGCTTAGCTGGGAGGTGCTGGCTCAGGGTATCTCATGGGATTACAGTCAAGATGTTGGCTGGGGTTGCAGTCATCTGAAGGCTTGACTGGGGCTGAAGGATCTGCTTCCACGGTGGTACACTCCCATGGCTGTTAATAGGAGGCTTCAGTTCTTTGCCATATGGGCCTCTCAATGAGGCTACTTCAGTGTCATCCCAACATGGCATCTGGCTTCCCCCAGCCTGAGTGATTGGAGAGAAAACAAGGCAGTAGCCACCATGAATTTTATGATCTAACTCAGCTATTCCCAACCAGGGGGGATTTTCCTCCATACCCTGTGGCAGCATATGACCTGGTTTAAAGAAATATTTTTGGTTATCACAACTGCAGGAAGGAGTACATACTCCCCTCTAACTGGTAGAGGCCAGAGATTCTGCTGAATATTCTATAATGTGGAAGACAGTGCAGTTTTGAGGCTCAGAAAATGATACCCCAAAGTGAAGGCTGCCAAAGCAGTCTCAGAGCAAAAGGTTTTCTCTGAGCTTCTCTTACCCCTCTGTTTCTGGCCTCTCATTCTCTGCCAAGGTTAGCCATAGAAATTAGAATCATTCTTTCCCAAGGCAGGTCATAGAAACCAGAAGCCCTTTTCCTCAAAGCCATCCATAGAAGCTAAAAATATACTCCATCTTTCCTCCCACATTTCTGTGTAAAAGCTGGCCACAAAGAAATGATCTGACCTACCTTGTTTGATTGTAGGTCATAGACCCCCATTCCAGAGACAGTCCTGCCCCATACCCAGAAGAAAGGAATGTTTCACAGGCAGGCCAAGAGTCTGGACAGACAGGCCTTGCTGCGTTTCCCCACTCAGTCTATTAGCATTATCTCATACTCTTTTTGTCCAATTATATTTCTATATGACTGTCCATAATTTGTTGAAACTAAGCATAAAAATGAACAATTTCCTGTGTATTTGGGTCTTTATTCTGAAGGCTTCCATGTCATTTAAAACTATGATTAAATAAATTTATATACCTTTTCTCCTATTAATCTGCCTCTTCAGTGATTTTCAGTGAACCTTCATTGGGTGTGAAGGGGACATTTTTCCTTGGCCCCTACAACAGCCTTGCACAACAAATAATTATCTGGTCCAAAATGTCAATGGTGTTGTGGATGAGAAATTGTGATCTAGACATCACATATGATCACTTCTTCCATATGCTGATGTTCCTGCAGACAAATTCTGATCTGATGTGGAAAGGTGTAATACAAGGGTGTGAATACCAGGAGGCAGGATCATTGGCAGCCATCACTGGCTACCACCACTCTCCAGTGGTTTCATCTTGCAATTGGAATAGAAAGCAAACTCCTTGCCATGGTCTTCAGGTCCTACCTGATTTAGCCTCAGCCTCCTCCTACCTCATGTCCCACCATGTTCCTCTTCTTCCACTAGGCTCTAGCCATGCTGGCTTTATGTCTCCTGAACACACGAACTTGACCCTGTTTCAGGTCTTTGTCCCTATTTTGAATTATCTCCCCTGATCTTTGGGGGATACTTGTTTCTCATGGTCCAGGTCTAGCTAACATTACCTCCTCAGAGCTCTGCCCTCACCTTCAAAGCTAAAGTTGAGACACTTTCCTTAACTGACACCAGTTACTCTCTATCCCATAGTCTTATTTTATTGTTTATACTTTTCACTATGTGAAGTTACTTATGGATGTGTTTACACATATCTTCCCAGTAGAATGAAAACTTCATGAGGGCATCTCTGAATTTCAGGTTCATCTCTGTATTTCCAGAGCCTAGGGTAGTGCTTAGAACACAGCAGATGATCAATAAATATTTGTTGAATGAATGAATGAGTGTGTTCTCATTTTTAAAGTGCTCCATATAAGCATCTGGTGGATTGTGTACATGAATTTCTTAAATATATGGGAAAAGGGAGAGACAAGGTGTAAAGAAGTAACATCCTTTTGAAGTAAGCTTCTTTACAGCAATGTCAGAGGAGACTTCTGCATATGCTTTGAGTTGTTTATCCTGTTATCTCTGATAAACTTACTACTTCAAATCCCCTTCTTTTTCCTTCCTGTACCCATCCTCCCTTGTGGCCTTGGCATGTACTTGCAGGAAAGTTAAAAGGCATCATCTTTGAACATGGAATAGGACAAGGGAATTGATCACCTGACCTGGCCTCATTAATCTAGTACTACAGCCTTTGTCACTAACTCACCAAGGAGTCCCTGAAATCAAGTCCAGCTACATTAACCACGTTAGGATTTTTTGACTAAAGAGCTATTTTTACACAGTAGCAGAATGTACTGCAAACAAAGAATCAATCTTTTATTGGAATAATTAAAAGCCAGGCTCACTGCATCATACTGCAATGTTAGTAGAGTCAAATCTGCAGAGTTCTGCCCGTCCCTTGGGTGTTCTGAATTTATAGACACTCTTTATCCTGAGTTTACTTTGGGACTTGGCTGTCTCTGGAGCAGTGATTCATGTAACTCCAGTATAAGAATCACCTTTAGACAGATCCTAGCTGAATTCCAAAGCCCCCAAATCTTTACACAATCTGACAGTCCCTGACACCTCCAAGAAGAGGAAGATGTCTGCTCAGAATAAGTTGTCTCTTATGACAGGAGTTGCTAAGCACAGTAAAGAAAGAAACAATCCCCTCAGTGAACGGGGGTAGGTTGCTTTCTGGGCAGAGACTGTTGGTCAACCTTGTCTCACATTATTCCAGTTAGGCCCAAATCATTCCTCTGGCTGTTTCATACTTCAAGATTTCAATTAGAAGGTAGAGCAAATGCTGGTGGAATTTCCATTTATTGGATGAAAACTAGAACTGGACTCTGTGAGCAGACTTGAGAGAGATCATTACTAGCATTTGGAACCAAAGTCTAAAAATTCTTAGTTGCTGGGCATCAGTGTGTCACTGAGATGACACCCCCCCTCCCCCAATGGTGTGCTGGGAAGCAAACTAGCTCTGCTTGAAATAACATAATTATAGCAATTGGCAAAAAGTAGAGGACAACAGGAATGAGATTCAAGAATTCAAGCACATCAGCCAGACAGAAAGGCAGAAAATCTCAATCTAGACATCCTGGGGGAATATGAGGTGATGAGGTCTGAGGTGCACACAAGCAGTTGTGCTATAAATGGCAGCTGCCTCAGGCAGAAATTTTTATTATAGGACTAAAAGAGAGATTCAGTGGCACATTCTTGTAGGTGAATGAGTCAGTGCAAGTTTCCTTCCAGATTCCTGGGTCATAGGCTCCAGAGAGGCTTTGAAAATGGGAAGGCACTAAATCAGGATATAAATTCCTCCAGTTTGAGAGGAAGGTGATATGAAAGTAGGGATCTGCCTTGGGTGTTCTTATCTCTGCTACTAACTAGGAGCTGTTTCTGCTACTAACTAGTGGTGTTGACAAATCAATTAACCTTTCATGATCTGTTGAGACCTTCAAGTATCTCTAATAGAAAAGTCTCAGGGCCTGGAATTCTGAGGGTCTCCCCTGGCAGAACTGTAAATACTCTCCTTGTTTTGCTATCCTATGGGCATTACCTGTTAGGAACTACTGATGGCAAATGAGAAACAACAAAAAATGTTGATAGAAGACTACACACTGGGTACATTGTGTACATTGTTTGGGTGCACCAAAATCTTGGAAATCACCACTAAATAACTTTTCCATGCAACAAAATACTACCTGTTACCCTGAAATTATTGAAATAAAAATAAAAAGTTTGATGTGATGCACCAGTAAAACAGCCACCGCTAACATACTAAAAACCCACCAGATTCGTTTACATAATAATCCCTGTTGCCTTCCATTTTCTCTTCTGTGAATTGAGAGGACAGAAAGAGAAGTTTTATGGACTCTCACAGATATAATTTATGAACATGTCCCAAATGAAGTGAAAAATAAAATCATTGAAGTGAGGATTTTTGTCTGTCTCATTTATTCAAAAACGTTTATTGAGCCCCAACTCTGAGCCAGGGGCTATATTGAGATCTAGGAATTTAGAGTTAAACATACATGGCGTCTTCTCTCACTTAAAAAGATATTCAGGCCAACAACCCCTTATATATAGTATGGTGATTGCTGTAGGGAAAACAGCACAGTGGAATGCACTTTGTCCTAAAACAGAGGTTTGAATGAGGGATCTGGTTTATTTCGTTGCTGAAAGAGTTTGCTACCAGACTCAACCCTGACATTAAAAAAAAAAAAAAAAACAAAAAAAACACCGAAGCTGTTAAATGCTAACATCATAGCACACCTATCCTGTTCCAGGGAGTGGAAAGGATGAGCTGGGTAGAAGTCATAAGGTGAGAAGTGTTCCTAAACAAAGGTGAATGCTTCTCTCTTTTCTTTTTTTTGAGACTGAGTTTCGCTCTTGTTTCCCAGGCTGGAGTGTAATAGCGCTATCTGGGCTCACTGCAACCTCTGCCTCCCAGGTACAAGCGATTCTCCTGTCTCAGCTTCCCAAATAGATCAGATTACAGGCACGCGCCACCATGCCTGGCTAATTTTTTTGTATTTAGTAGAGACGGGATTTCACCATGTTAGTCGGGCTGTTCGCAAACTCTTGACCTAAGGTAATCCACCCGCCTCGGCTTCCCAAAGTGCTGGGATTACAGGCGTGCGCCACCGCACCCGGCCAGGTGAGTGCTTTTCATCGGCCTGAGAAAGGAGGCCCTGTCCTTAGCATGCAGTGGAGAGGTGCGGAACAGGAAGCTGCCAGTGTTCCATCTTCTTAATTAGGCTGCATGATTATTTGTGAACTCTTAGATGCCAATGCAAATTCGTGGGTCCAAATCTTTCCCAAAGCCAAACATAAATGATTCTTCATTTACCACCATTCTGGTGCCAACATATCTGCCCCTGCCCTCTGTCTGGGCATGCAAACTAGAATTGAGCATTCTGAAATACCTAGTAAATACCTGTAAAGCCCCAAAGGTAGATTTGAATGGACAGGTCAGCTTCCTTCCTTAATCTAAGATTTCTTATTTATTCTGTCTGTATTTCATCCATTATAATACTCCATAACTTGTTTTTTCTTTTTTTTTTTGAGATGGAGTCTCACTGTGTCACCCAGGCTGGAGTGCAGTGGTGCAATCTTGGCTCACTGCAACCTCCGCCTCTGGGGTACAAGCAATTCTCCTGCCTCAGCCTCCCTAGTAGCTGGGATTACAGGCATGCACCACCAGGCCCAGCTAATTTTTGTATTTTTAGTAGAGACAAGGTTTCACCATGTTGGCCAGGCTGATCTCAAACTCCAGACCTCAGGTGAACCACCCGCTTCGACCTCCCAAAGTACTGGGATTACAGACTTGAGCCACCATGCCTGGCCATAATATTCCAGGACTTTTGCATCTGAATAAAACACTTTTGCTTTTCTCCTCTTATCTGGAGCTCAGCAAGCCTGATTTGCTTTGTTCTGTTGCTGGTGTCACCACAGTGAATTATGGCACTGCTATGAATTTTTTGCTGAAGAGTAACTCCCATCCTTTCAGATTCATTTGTGTATTTCCTCTCATCTGACGATAATGACAGGAGTCAGTCACATAGGCCTGAGCCAGTGAAGGAAGCTGATGAACACCACTGATGCAACCTGCAGGCTAATACTGATTAAAAATGCCATTAACAATACTTCTGGCAAAGCAAATTTTAATAACAGGAATTCAGTTAACTTTCTCTCTGTGTTAATGGAGGGGGCAGTGGTGCAAATAATCCAAATGTCAGTTGTATTTAATTTTTCTCTGCTTGCCCTGTGCTCAAGGCACATGGGGTGGTGCAGGATCCCACAGGTGGCTCAGAAGCCTGAAGATTTACACAGCAAAGGCCAGTGTGACGTCCCTGAATGAGGTTGAGAATTCTCTTCTTTTGAAGGTGGAGCTGTTTCAGTTCTCTGTGTGTTTTTAGTATAGCTCAGCATACATTCAACAAGAAGCTCCTGTGTGCCAGGTACTGCATTAGGTACTGAGGATTCAGGAATGATTATGGGACTATGAGTGTAATGTGTGTGACAATGACTGAATGGAGTTGGGGACAACCACGCACCATCAAAGTACCAGTGTAGTTCATTCCTGGGGTTAAACAATAGGGTCAATAGCTGTCAAATGCCCCCTATGCTCAGCTGGGCATTCCCTCAGGAGGTGGGAAGGCTTCTTAGGACTTTTTCCCTGGAGTTTTTGGGTTTCTGAATTTTTCTCCTACCTCTGTAGTTACTCTTTTTTTATTCTTTTCCCAAGAATATTTTTCTCTACCTTGCCATTAAATGTAGAGTTCCTTAGTCCTGGGCTTTCTCCGTTTTTGTTTGTTTGTTTGTCTTGTTTTGTTTTGTTGCCTCTGGTTAGTTTCAGAGTAAAAAAAAAAAACGATTTTACTCAATTAACATTTTCTTGATGGTAACTCATACATGTCATACATGTGCATCTTTAACCAAGACTTGTCCTCTACCTGCAGCTTATTAGACAACATATTGTGCACATTGCTGAGGTCGCTCATACTCAGCATGTCCAAACTCTAATTCATAATCTTCCTCCCCAGGAGTGGTCCCTACCAGGACTTCTTTTCTCATTGAGTGGCATCATCATTTATCTATCTAGGAATGTGCTGTCAACCTAGACACCTCCCACACCCCAACTCTCAGCCTAATCTATCACCAAGTCCTGTCGGTTTTACCTCATAAATGTTTCTGGGACTCACCCAGTTATCTCCATCACTGATATCACTATCAATGTCCAAGTTAACTTCCCCTCTTGCCTAAATGAACAAATTTACCCACATCTACTTTGGGTCCTGTCACATCCTTTCTTCGGAGTTGTATTAGTCTGTTTTCATGTTGTTAATAAAGACATACCTAAGACTGGACAATTTACAAAATAAAAAGGTTTTTTGGACTTACAGTTCCATGTGGCTGGGGCGGCCTCACAATCATGGCAGAAGGTGAAAGGCATGTCTCACATGGCAGCAGCAAGAGAGAGAATGAGAGCCAAGAGAAACAGGTTTCCCCTTATCAAACCATCAACTCTCTAGAGACTTATTCACTACCATGAGAACAGTATGGGGGAACCGCCCCCATGACTGTTATCTCCCACAACATGTGTGAATTATGGGAGTACAATTCAAGATGAGATTTGAGTGGGGACACAGAGCCAAACCATATAAAGAGTGTAGCCAGGGTGATTATCTCAAAATACAAATCTGAAAGAAAATGTCTTTATCAGTTGGATATGCATACTGAAACATTTCTAGATGAAATAGTGTGATGTTTTGAATTTACTTTAAAATATTCCAGATAATGGGCAGAAGAAATATCAAACAAGATAGGCAAATACTGATTACCATTGAAGCTGAGTGATGAGTACAAAGGGGGTTAACATCACTATTCTCTCTCCTTTGTGTGTTTGAAATTTTCTATAATAAAAAGTCAACACATGCACACACATAAATGTAGACATGCTACCTCTTTGCTCAAAACACTCACTGGCTTCCTATTGCTCATAGTATGATGATAAAATTTCTCAAAGAGAACTCAAGTTACTGTGCAGTCTGATGTCTGCTGATCTTCCCAGACCCCTCTTGTACCACGTTCTCTCTCTCCCTCAGCCCTCCAGTTCCACCTCCCAGGTGTTATACCCTTATGCATGCTACATTCTCCCAGCTGTAAGCTGAGCACCCTCTCCCCTTCCCTGACTAGGTCAAATCCTTCTAATATAGACACTCAAAATACTGAATACCTACCTCCCTTTCATAGTATATGACACCACTGCAGTTTTTGTGTGATTCTGTAAGCCATTCAATCAATGTCTGGTTATTCCACTAGATCATAAAACCATTTTATCCCCAAGCATAGTGCATAGCACATGTTATCATGATCAATAATTATTTATTGGCTGAATGAATGAATGAGAAGGAATGGAGAGTACTTAGAAGTGGCAATCACTTTGTCCCTTGACCATAGAAGCTCCAAAATCTATTGGAAATGAATTAAGGTGGGCCCACTGGGAGCACTGATTTGTTCATCCGCAATGCCTATGGGGCTATGAGGTGCTGTCTCTTGGCTCTGCCTCATGTTCCTTGAGACAGTAAATAGCAGAGCAGTCTGATGCCCATGATCAGAATATTCTCCTTTCCAGCCTCAGGACTCAGGGGCTCTTTGACTATTGTAACTAAGTCTCCTTTTTGCCAATTGGTCCTGGGACTCAGTGCTTCTAGGGATGACCCTTTTCCCATCATCTGATGGGCTAGGCCTGGGCTTTATCCTTGGTCTTTTTCATGATCTGTATCTCTGAGTTCTGATCAGTTATTCTGCCTAATTCTCTGTGTTTCTCTAGGATAAGCCTGACCCAAACTCCCTCCTGGTGGAGCCTGCTCTACCCATTTCAGCCCTCCTATCTAGGTGCCTCACCTACCACCCTAGCTTAGTGGCAGAGACCTCTGTGAGTGGACAGATTGTCTGGCTGACAATCACCTGCCAGCCAGTCTGCTGAGTATTGCCTGCCACCTGGATTCATCACTACTGTCCCCCACTTCTTGGGTCTTCAGGGACAGTTTATGAAGGTATGTCTGAGGCTATGTTATTTCTTCTAGCCCTCTGTCTCAGGCAATACTAATACTCCCAAGCCTCTAAGCTGCCAACATTCTGCCTAGAGAACTCCTCTGCTAGAGGCAGCTTCATAGCCTGACAGGTCCCCTAGGGCATGGCCTTTGGTGGTGAGAAGGCCCTGAATCAGCTTATTGTCACCTCATATCTGTTGTATAAGTCACTAGTTAACATCATTAGGATAAGATTGAAAGAACTCAGGATCAGCAGTCAGGAGATAGCTCCAGGAAGGAAGGAAGGGAGGAAGGGAGGAGGAGAGGAAGGAAGGGAGGGAGGGAGGGATGGATTATCTGGTCTAAAATGTCAAGAAGCCAACAACTATTTTGTGTGTCTTCTACAAACCCAGAACTATGCAAGGAAGGAAGGAAGGGAGGGGGCTTTCTGCTATAGTCATGTCTCCCAAACATTTATACCAATAAAAATGGTGGACAATTGTATTTGGAGAATACTTAGACTAAACAGACTTCAACAGCTTTCATTTTAGCAGAACTTCTTAGAGTCTTTAATGGCTAATATGCACTGTGACTCTCCATGAAACATGTATAGAATAAAGAGTTAGCCACACTTACATGAATGCTTATGGAAGTCAGTTAGGGAAATACTGGACAAGATTATTTCTCATTCTAAAAGTGTAGTCTCACAATTTAAAATGTTGGCTTTTTTATCCATATGTTGAAGTGTGATAGCTAAGTAAAATATGGTCTGAGTCTTTGAAAGGAGGCTGTTAAACTGGTTTAGGTCAGGACTTCTGAGCACACCACGTAGAAGGAGAACATCCACTTTCCATCTGGTACTTTCCCAATCAAAAAGTGCCAGTATGCACCATGGAAGATCATTAACCTGAGAAGACAAAGTCACTCATTTCAGAAGGGGAGAGGCATGAAGTCTTAGTTGCCCAGATCAGGATCTGTTTTAGAGGATGGCAACCTAACCCAAAGCCAGCTCATCAGCAGGTCTTCTCCAACCTGTGCATGTTGGGTTCTTGTGTTTAGGGGACATGAACTCTAAGATTCCACAACATGGTAAGTAGTTCTACCTCATATTACTCTCTTATGCCAGATCATAAGCTTGATCTTTCAAGCCAAAGTCAAGACATTTCAATAGAAAAATCTAGTATTTAAGTAAAGCTGAGGGTCTATCCTGGTTACTCTGGTGTCAAAAGACGAGTTTTATAAACATGGGCTATTTCACCTGCTACAACTTTGCAAGGTCTGCTCCTTGGTCAAGGTCCACAAAAAGGGTGGATTTCACCTGCTTCCCAGACCTCACAACCTCTCCCTGAGTTCTCTCCTATGAGGCTGGTGCAAAAGTAATTGTGGTTTTTGCCATTGAAAGTAATGACAAAATCCGCAATTACTTTTGTACCAACCTAATGCCAGATTTCTTTAGCTCTTTGTCTCGGCTTTCATGTAGACTCTCTACTTCTGTTATCCAGTTTAGCAACTCACATCTCCCAACTCTTCGTCCTATCTTCAGAGCTCCCTGATTTCTATTTTCTTGTCCAGCATGCTTGCTGCTAAATCCTTTTTAAAAACTCCCCCACTTGGCAGCCCTCTTAACCCACTCCATTCTGTGGAAGGCAGTCCTTCCCTCCCCACTATGGATTTTTGCCAGTCTTTTTGTACACTCTCCAAATCCCCAAGTTGGTCACGGAGTTCCATCTGGTAAAACTCTTGGAAGCTATATCTGGCAATTTTTTTTATTCCTAAATAAAAAGATGGGGAGAAATAACAACACATATTAATGGACCATGACAAACACAGGCTACTTCCTAACAACCCGTGGTATTTGTCTTTATTTTTAGAATGTCCTCCTGCTGCTTTTACTATCACTCTCTATTTGTTCTTGACAAGGTTCATAGAACAGGAGTGAAAGGAAGGAGGCAGGAGGGAGTATAGAGAAACAGTTCATTAAAAAAAAAAGAATAATGAGGAAAAAAAAAGACAAGCTGCTACTACCACAACTCCAGCTGATAGGAGCCTAGTGATGCTCTGGTTTCTCTGGTTAATGTTAGGCAGCACCTGTTGTGACCTTGATTCTTCGTGTCTTTGTCTGCTGGTCTGCTGAGTCCTAAATGGGATACACCATTGTCCTTTGATCATCAGTGACTTCTTGAACTGAGAAGTGACACACAAATCCTGGTGTGGTTGGAACAAAGGGGAAAGAAGGCAGGATTGCTCAATGTTGAGGTGTTATAAGGAAGGGTTTTTGTTTTCTTTTCTCTTCCTCTCAATAATGAAAATGATGGAGGCTTTTTGGATGTCTTTGGGAAGATCAAAGTGTCAGAAATGGGATTGTCCTTCTGAACACAGGAGACGTTGCTTTTCTGGAAGTCTTTTCCTAATTAATTCATCACTAGCACCCTGGGCTTCTAGCTCTTCAACAAGAAGCTAACAACTATTTTGTAGTGTCTGCTACAAACCCAGAACTATGCTAGGAACTATTGTCAATCAGCAGTCCTAGTAGTCATCTGGTTGTGAATACAAAACATACATAAAAGAAAATATTAGAGAACAGTATCACATGGTATGAATGGCAAAACTTTGTCCTCTTATGTAGAATCACGTTAGAATACAAGGTTAAAGGGTTGACTAAATTTCCCCTTCTGTCTTACCTCTTCCCTCAACATGACTCTCAAACCACATCCCACTCCCTGCAGGCCACCACCACTGACACTCACACGTTTGCCACCCAGTGACGTAAACACCAACTTACCACTCCATTCAAGTCAACTCTCTGATGCCTTTAGACTCCAGTCTCTTGGAACTGACCACTTACACCTCTGTGTCCTGCTCTACTTGGTGCAAGTAGTTTTTTTAAGAGACCTATGGCCCTTTGTTGTACATATTGATATGGGGGTGTGTTTTCCTACAGTAGATTGCCAGGATCTGGACAGAGGTCTTTCTTTCCCACCATGAATCCTGGAGCTGATCTAGTTGACCTTAGGCAAGCAATATAACCTCTCTGGATTCCAGATACCACATATATTAACTGAGAGTTAATACTGTCCTCACTGCATTAAGTTGTTGTTGAGGTTTCAATTAGATAATAAAGATAATGCATGTAGCCTAGTGCCTCACATATAGTAGTGCTCAAGAAGGGATAAATGAAACCCAAAAGAGAACATCTGTATTCTCAATGCTGGTGCAAACTGGGCTTATTCACAAAGCTTCTTATTAATATCCAGTGAATGACTGAAGCAAATGCTTTATCCAAGGGAGTTTTCCTGAAGATGAACAATTTCTAAATTGTTCTCAAGCTGGAGATAAATCAAGATATCTAATTTTTAAAAATTAAAC
The DNA here is from genome assembly GCF_000001405.40 of Homo sapiens. Lineage (NCBI taxonomy): Eukaryota > Metazoa > Chordata > Mammalia > Primates > Hominidae > Homo > Homo sapiens. Next base: position 136,647,116 of record NC_000002.12, read on the forward strand.
ATAAATCATACCTTTTTCTGATTCTTTCATACCTTTTTGTAATTCCTTGTAAGAAAGAAATGTAAACTCTGTTAAAGAGGGAGCACAGACCCACTGAATAAAATTTCAGAAGGAATTGCTGAGCTGGCAAAGAAAAGCACCAGTGTGGATTGATCTGAAATTTTGGGGAATGCACCACTGGGCAGAGGTTTAAAGGTGATCTGGCTCTGAGCCTATCCCTTCCTGCTTGGTGCCTTGTTCCAGCCCCTTGGGCTGTGTGTGATAGTCACAAAAGACCCCTGGACCTTATTATTTTCTAGATTTCTGACAGCACTATCAGCCGCACATAAAAGGAGGTGAGTTGGGGTCAGACGCCTACACTATACCAACAATAAATGGGCAGCAAACAGCTCTTATGGCCCATGACCAATAAACTCTGAAGTAAAAGTATGAAGGTGGGAGAGGTCAGTGGGAAAATCAAAAAGTAGGTGGAATGTGTTGGACGCTACCTTTCTGTGCCTGCCTCTTCCCTCTTGGTACTCTCCTTTCTGTTAATTCCCAAGTCTCTCTGCCTTATAAACTCTTGGTCTGGTTCTGCCATTTCCAGCTTTCTCAGCTGAGGTCAGGAAGGTGTGGTACCTAGAGGAGTATCCCTAGGAATTTGTGGCTCCACCTCAACCAAGACAGGCAAAGAAGCTGTATTGGCCTGGACCCCAGACTTGCAGGGACCCTGACATTCTGCTTAGTCCTTGTCCTCTGGTGACATGTGCTGTATGCACTGGGCTGGCATTCTCTTCCAAGCTGTGTGGACAACTGCTTTTTTTCTGCCTCCATGTGATCCACCACAGGAAGATTCCCATTGTTGTGTCTCACCTCATAGATCAGATCCTCATTCATGTGGGCACACGCCTTGTTCAAGTCCAAGTTTATTATTCCTCTTGGATAATGAGATCTGAACTGCTATCTTCTCCCTACTTCCAGGACAGAGGCCCACAGTTGGGTAGCCTCCTTTATTTCATATTCTGCAGATTTTTGAATACCTTCATTTCCCACTGCTTGAAACCAAAGTCCCAGTGTGCCTTTAGTTAACCACCCATTTCCCCTTGATTTTGTGTAATCTGCTCTCCATAGAAGGGGAGTTGGAGAAAGATAGATAAACTAATTTGAGAGAGAGAAAGAGAAAGAGAGAGAGGCTTCATCCAAAATGACGGTGGAATTTTATGCCCTAATGACTTGTTACTGGGAGGATTAGCAAGAGGAAGTACAGATCCTCCTGTCCTCTTTCAAGTCACCTCATATAAAGTGGCTGGCTACTCTATTGCCAACCCAAACTGACCTGATAAAAATCTATTTAGTAAATTAACATTTATAAGTGCCTTGCTCTAGGTTTGCTCCCATATCACAGGATTTTTGCTAATTTTAAATGACATTGCCCCTTCACTGGAGATTAACAAGATACGAAGCAATCCCAATATTTTAATCAGGGAGGGGATGATTCCTGCTGAATAGCAGAAAATGTGGTTCTTCTGGAAATCCATTTTTCGTTTGTTTTCTCATTTGCACCCCTAGTTTAAAGAAAATTGACTTTTTAGAAGAGAGTGATAATTAATCTTTGAAAATACTGCAATTGGTTGGCTTTACTGCTGTTTTGGAATACCAAGCACATACCCCAGTCAAGTGGAGCTCTGCCAGGGGAGGGGTTGGCATGACGGGGAGGAGCAGCAGTGTCATGCAGACACATTGGCGTTAGAGTGCCAGCCCAATTGGTGGGGAGGGGCCGAGAGGCATGAGACCAGCTCTCTACAGCCCTCTTAAGCGGTCCGGGAAAAGCTTGTGCTCCTTTGAGACACTTCACAGTCTTTGCAAATGGAGAAATGGCCTGCTCAATTCAAATGAACTGCAAGGGCAGACTGATGGATAGTACAGAAATGTGTTATAAAAGTTAGATTATAAAGAAATGGATTTCATCTCCAGCAGTATGATACTAGATGGGCAGATAAACCCCTCTAGGTATAGAGCAGATAAAAATGCTGGATAAAATACTTCAATATATATTTGTAAAGCATGGTTGAGCTCACAGTGAAGTAAGGGAAACAATTAAAGTCTAAATGACAAGAATACATTATTCTACAGGGGTAAGTAAGCATTATGGCTGGTGATTGTCCTGAGGGCATGTGCTTCAAGGAAAACGTCACATCTTCAAAGGCACCTACATGCAGACTACACTTCCCCGTGCGTATTAAAAGCTCCGAGCTCTGGTATCCAAGATCCTGGGTTTTCAGACACTGTGAGGATGCACAGTGTGCAGGTGATAAAGCTTGGAGCCTTAACAGGTTGGGAAGTTGGATTAGAAACTCTTGCATGAAGCTACAGTTCTCAAAGGACAACATGTTTGGTAGGTGAACTAGAACATAATCTGCCTTACTGAAGGAGAATTGCCTTCTCTGCCTTGTTTCAGCATGGAGTAAAAATAAAAAGAAAGCAAGCTCCACTAAGAATTCCTATCTCATGTGCCTGCCTTTCAGCTTTAAGGGCAGAATTCATACCAACTGTGTTATTAAAATGAAAAGCAAGACACAAAGCACACAAACTCATCAGACATCATGAGCCTCTGGCTTGACAGTGGCCACAAGAGCTTGGCAGAAACAAAGGCAAACCTCTATGAAAAAACACACTTACGATTCAGGTTCCAAAATTTCTGTAAAAAAGTTTAAAGGAATTAGAACTTTTAGTTAAAAATCACCAAATATACAAGAAAAAAAATCCATCATGAGTAAGCGTCAATAGAAAGAAAAAGCTATAGAGTCAGACCCACAAAGAATGCAAATATTATAATAATCTGATACCAACGTATGTTTTATATATTTAAAGAAAGCTGAGAAGGATGAAAAAGCGTCAAAACATATGACCAGGAAGATTTGGGAAAAAGGAAACAAACAGAATACTTAGAAATTAAAAGAATAAAATTGAAATTAAAAAACCATATTTACAGACTAAACAGCAGATTGGACACAAATGAAGAGAGAATTAATCTTCCAGAAAATAGATCTGAAGCAATTAGCCTGAGTGAAGTTTAGAGAGGCAAAGGGATAGAAGATATGAAAGGGGTTAAGAGACACAGAAGATGATATTTAAAGATTCTGCATCTGTCTAATTGAAGTTCCAAAATGAGAGACTAGAGAGAATGGTGGAGAGGCAATATTCAAAGTAATAGCAGATGAAAAAATTTCCAGAATTGGTAGAAAAACTGTACACCTTGAATCAAACACCAAACCAGGACAGTACAAATAAGAAAATTGCAAGCTAATCTCATTCATGAACGTATATATGAAAGTCCTCACCAAAAAGTTCCAAAATAAATCCAGCAATGTGCAAAGAAGATCATACATCATGACTGGCCCTACACCAGTTTTTTCTCTCCTAGCTCATTTTATCAGCTTGTGTGCATTTAAGTACCATATTTATGCTGATGATTTCTAGGTTAGGGTTATATCACTAACCTAGAATGCTTCTTTGAGTTTGCACTCAAGTTCCAGAAAAAGAGAGTAGAAAGAATGGTGGAGAGGCTGTATTCAAGTACCAGTTACCTAAGTATCACAGACATCCCAGCCAAAATAAGTCTAAAGTAGAGCCCTTCATTTTTCCTCCCAAGTCTATTTTGTTAGCCCTGGTTTTCTTCTGCTTTCACCCCTAAGTCTTTTTCTTGGTTGTTTCAACTTCTTTTCCATTCCTTTTATTTAAACCATTCCTATACGTTCTTCTCATCTTGAGTTCCTGCACCATGAAATTTTTCCTGACTTACCTCTTCCCTCCCCACAAAATCTGGGCTAGTTGGCTCTCCTATTCCTTCCATAGCTTTCTGAAGTTTTCAGCATAGCACTTATCAAGGGGTGTTGCAATGGTTGTGTATTTGCCTGTCTGTCTCACTAGAAGCTTCTTGAGACAGGGACTCTTGTTCATTGAGAGAACATGTGCCATGAGTACAGAGTCTAGCCTTTAGTTGTCAATTGCTCAGTAAGTGTTAGTTGACTAACTGAATAAACAGAGTAGCATAAATGTTTTAGTCAAAGTATGCACAAGGCAATAAGGAACTAAGGAGAGAGATACAGGAATGTCTCCTATCCAATCTGAAGGATGCAGCCCAGGAAATGTTTGAACTGAGTTTGCTAAGGTAAGTATAATCTTTGACCATCTTGAGAGGAAGGACACAAGGGGTATGAAAAAGAACATTTTAGATAAAGAAAACACCATGAGCAAAAACTAGTGGAAAAATGTAAGCAAATTACTTGGAGCTAAGAGTATTTGGAAAGCACAAAAAATGTCTCTGGAGAGGTGAGATTTTCTGGAGCTTTGGTCAAATCGCAAAGTTTGGCAGTCCTTCTTGAAACAGGGGAGCCTCTGAAGGAAGTATAATGGGAAACTTACATGGCCAGATTCATGCTTCAGAAAGATCATTCTAGACATACCTAGGAGAATGACCCAGAGGTATGGAATCAGATACAGGAAAACACATTTTGTAGGGCTTGCAGCCATCTAGTTGATAAATGACAAGGGCTGAGTAATAACAGTGATGGTTATTAGCAAGGAGGGAGCCAATTGTTCTCAGAGTGCTGGGGGAAGGTGCTAGTATCGAACCAAAATATTCTGTAAGAACTGTCATTTGGGGGATTATCCAGCTGTCAGCACTGTCACAGGCCTGGCTGGGGCTAAGCTGATCCTGTTTGTGTATCTCTGGAACCACTGCTGGAGTCGGCGGAGAGATCTCCCCCCTACTTCAGGAACCATCTGGAGAAGGTCAGTCTGATCATTGGGATTCATATTCATTAAAAAGTTTACAAAAGCACAAGTCCTTGCTCAGAAAGGGAGAGATTACATCAACTTTCATCCTGTCTTTCACTCATTGTTTTCTGCTGGTTTTATTACTGTTTTGGCACCAACCTTGATTTTGAAGCTGAAAACAGACAGTGGCTACATGTCAATATTCATTAAATATGAGAAGATAGGTTAATCCTCAGAAATCTAATTTTGATGTTAAAACTGAAACTCATGCAGGCTTTTCTTGCCTTTTGTGGAAACTGGTGACTATTAAAGATAGGTTATGCCTGATAGGTTGATTACACAGCATTCTTTTTATAATATTCCTTTTTCATAATGTTTTAGAAAATACTAATTTATTAAGCAAACATAGTAATCTTCACAGACTGTTATCTAAATATTTAATTTGCATATTGAATCACACATCTGACAGGGCAGGATAAATGTGATTAAATTCATTAATATAGATGTTCCAAGATGAGTGTTTTCCTTGCTGTGATGTTTTTTGATTCAGATTTGAATTAGAGCACACTGGCTTTTCATGCCACACATTACAATCTCCTGTCCTTAATGGCAATGTTGTCAGTATAGCTAAACAGAAACACACTGGCCAAGGAGTGGTGTGTACTTTCCAGCTCTCAGGAGGAGGCCAAGTGAGTGTTGGGGATTTAGACAAATGTTTTCCAGGGGCTTCACCATAGGAGTAGTTTTGCATAGCAGAGTTTTGTGTGTTTTCCTGCACCTAGCTTTCCCAACAAGATGGGTCAGCCCTGGAGGCCTGTTAGGAGACCGGGCCACAAGACGGACTCCAGAGGAAAATAATCCTTTGACTAAATGAGTGTTCGGGAGTCCAGAAGAAGACTAAGACTATTATATTACAGCATGTCACCAGCTATAGAATAAGGTTGACTACAAGAGAAAAATGTATGGGAAACCTTTGCCAAAGGAATGTACTTTACAAATGAAGTTGGTTTTACTGAGAACAGCAAGGCATAGAGGTTAAAGGGATGGACTTTGGATGCAGACTTCCTAGTTCCAAATCTATGCCTCAATTTTCTCCTTTGTAAATGGAAATCTTAATTTTATCTCTTGTGTATGCTTCCCATGAGGGTAAAATAAGTGAATGTATATAGAGTGCTTAGAAATTGCCTGTCATAACATAACCAAGTTTTCTCCTTTGCCCATTGGTGTCTGATCCTCTAGCACAGGGTCTGGCCAATTGTAAGCACTCAGTGTGCCTACATTCAACTCACTGTACACACTCCCTGGACATCTATTAAGTGCCAGACCTGGGCCAGGCACTAGGACAATGATGAATACGACATATGGTCTGCCTCAAGAAAAACAAAGTCTAGTAGAGAAGACAGACATACAAATGGTAGATTCTATTCTGTGTGATGAAGGGAATAACAGGGGCAGATATGGTGACAAATTCCAGAGGTGGTTAGGGGGAGACTGAGTTTGGATTTAGGAGGTTTATGAAGGAAATGGTTTACATGGTTTCTAACTACTAAGTTGGGTTTTGAGGTGTGATTAGGCGTTGGATTATCAGGAGTGTAAGTGATGAGGGAGAGTAAAAGGGTTAAAGAACTCAGGTATAACAGGAACAGAAAACCAAACACCGCATGTTCTCACTCATAAGTGGGAGTTAAACAATGAGAACACATGGACACAGGGAGGGGAATAACACATACCGGGGCCTGTCAGTGTCTGGCGGGGCCACACTGGGGTTGTGACGGGAGGGAGAGCATCAGGACAAATAGCTAATGCATGTGGGGCTTAAAACCTAGGTGAGGGATGATAGAGGCAGCAAACCACCATGGCACACGTATACCTATGTAACAAACCTGCACATGTATCCGGAACTTAAAAAAATTTTTAAAAAATCATTTCACATTCCAAAAAAAAGGACTCAGGTATAGAATAATGAATATGGGATGAAAATATGCCATGTCTTTCATCCCTTTTGTTGTTTCTTTGATTTGGCCATGAAATTTATTGTTTGGAGTCTCCCCAGTTCCTAATCTAAGTTTGGAAAGAATCACATGCCTAATGAAAGCATCAAACTGGAGAATCCCCTCCTATTCTGGGAACTGGCGAGCTGGTGTTCAGCTGTGTGTGTACTGCTGTTTATAGACCACTGGCTTGTCTCCAACAGTCGAGTCTAGACTTGGTCCATTACTTTGCTTCTGAGACAACCTTCTGGCCAAGAAATTGCATATCAAATCCAAACTCTTAGCTATTCAGAGCTTTGTTCTTCTGGAAGAAACAGGATGGAAAATATTTGAGATAACTTAGGATTTCCAAATATAACCACTTCCTTTGCTGGAGGGGGCTAGAGAATGGGAGTAACAATTCTCACAATCACCTTCTTCATTTCTTCTGCCCTTTAGTCACTTGCCTGTCTCTCAACATACTATCATACTGAGAAATTGATTAAAAACACACTTCGATTCCCAATTCATTAAAATTAAATGTGTCACATCTTACAAGTGAAACTACAATTTTCAGACGGAAAATGAAAACATTTTTCCCTCATATTTTGCTATTACTGTCCCCACAGTCTCACAGTTGACAGTCTTTACTTTAAAAGGCCGCTTCACACAGATATGCACAGAATTCATATTGGAAGCACCAGGAACAGAGAGGAAGTGCACATGGATACTTTCAGAGGAGCCAGGCTGTGTGAAGGACCTCTGAGCTGACCATAAGAACCACACTTCTTTTCTGATGGTCTTGCCTGGCTGAAGGATGGATCACTTCCTTAAGCTGAATCTGCATAACCAAAGCATGCTCTTAAATTTTAAATGATGTGTATTGTTTCTAGGCTGGTTGTATTTTTTGTCCCTCCTTCTATCTACTGGCCAAAGGAGAACACAGAACTATCTATTTTCTTCCTTAAATCTCTTCCTGCTCTTAGATCCTCAGTCTTAATGGTACAATTATCTTCCCTAGTGAGAAATCTGGGAGCTAGCACACATTTCTAGTTGTCTTTAATCTCTTGACCTAATTTTCACTGTTATTTCCATCTCCTTAACTTTTTTTTTGTTTGATACCTCTCTCTTTCATATGCCTTTTAGTGAACTGTGTATATAGATGAAGACCCTTAATTGAGAAAGAAAACACAATTTCTACAACATATTTCAAAACATTTCTCATCTGGACTTCTGTAGGACCCTGTAGGATTTCCTGCTTTTGTTCTCATACTTCCATCCCAGATTTGTAACACTGATTGTGCTTTGCACTTTAGTGGCTATAGGGCCAAGTAAAAAATTTCTTAGCATGAAATAGAAGGCCTTTAGTCATCCGGCTCCACCCTTCTTTCTAATGCCTCCTAGTTTCTCTTCATGCCTTTGCTTATGTTCTTCCCACAACTTGATGTCCCTTTCTTCTCTAATATCTTTGTCAAACCCCTTCAACTCATCTATGAATTTTCTTAAATTACATGTCAAGCTATGTCAAAGGCAGGACATAGCTTACTCAAAGTGGGTAACTTGAGGAGAGTTTAATAAAGAGATTATCTCTAAAGAAGTAGGCAGGATGTGGGGAAATCACAAACGGTAGGGTAGTAAGTACCTGAGGCTAAAACAAGGGGCTGTCATCTGCCCCCTCCCTGGGCAAGGGAGCTGTAACCTGAACCCAGAGACACTAACAACACCTCTTTATGCCCACCGCCGCCTTCACCCCCATATTCTTCGCTCCTGTCTTCACTTCCTCCCCCTAGTTTGTTGGTCACTTCCTCAAAGGACACTGACGTCCAGAATCCCAAAGTCTCAAGTCATCCAGCTCCCTTGAAGTACTAAAAAAGACACAAGAGAAACCACTTCAGACGAATAACTCATTTCTCTCCAGTTTCTACACCAGGTCCTAGCTGCACTTCTGCTCTGGTTATGTGAACTGAACCGTTTGTGACCTTGAGTTTCTTCCCCTGTGATCCTTAACACCTAAAACCTAGAGTAGAATCATCCCTTCAGTGGCCTCCTAGCTGTTTCCTTTTTGGGTTATACCACAGTTTCCTACTTGGCCCTCAATAGGCTGAAGGCATTCCAAGAAGAGTTCTCCCTAGCCTAAAATGGATCATCTGCAAACAAATGAAGAGAGGATTCCCTCCTCATTTCAATCATCCAAGGTCCATGTCCAGTGTGTCCTATATGGGGACTTGAGCTGGTCTCCCTGGTGTGCTAGATGCAAATCTGACTCTACGAAGTTTAGATTGTAAAGGGGGAGGCTGAGGGCTTGGAACAAAATTTTGATGAATGGAGAAAAGAGGGTCTTGATAAGAAAAAGCAAAACAAACTTCCTTGTGTAGTTTAATTTGTGGGTGGAGCATCTTCGCATGATTCTGGATGTGAGATTCCCAGTTTTGGTGAGAATTAAAGCTCACTGAGAATGTCACTGAAGTTTCATATACTTTAGACTCTTTTTTTTTTTTTTTTTTTTACAATTTCCATCATTAAAGTCAACAAATATTAATTGGGCCCTTGGTATTCAAAAATCCTTTTCCTATGGACTGTCTTCAGCACACAGAAGGCATATATCAGCAGTGTCTATAGTGATGAAACTCAAGTCTTTTTTCCATGAAATAAGATACTGGTATGGAGGGGGAAGAGTCAATGTGGTTGACCACAGAGGGAGAAAAGGTGCAATAAACCCCTGGTGCAGGTATTCTAACCCTGGGATGTGGGCTGTGAACTTCCTGTTCCTTCCCTATAATAGCTCCTAATATACTTTATTGTAATTGCCTTTTTAATGTCTGTCTCTCTTACTAGATTATATGCCCATGAGGGCAGGGAATTTGTCCTATTCATCATTGTCACCTAGTATTTAGCACAGGCCTAATGAAGAGCAGATACTCAACAATTATTTGTGTGAAAAAAATGGCTTCATGTTGTTTGAAGAACATCTCTGTGCATACAGGAGGCCCTCACTCTATTCAGTAAATGGGGCCAAGTCTAGAGTGTCCTGGCTGTGGCCATGGGAAGGAAGATTCTTTGATTTCTTCTGACTGTCATGGAGGGGTAAGGCATGTAAGTTATTTTCATATACCCATGTAATAAGACCTAGGCACATGTCACCTATTTATTTTGATTTGAAGACTCTTGCAGTCTTAAAATACCACCTCTTACCACTTGTGTTTGCTAGTTATTATCAGCCTCTGTCAGAATAAGACTGTGTGTTATGCAGTAGCGGCACAAAGATTCAGCCTAAGCTATAGACTTCCCTGGACTTGTTAACTCTTAACAGTTTGTTAGATCAGCTGGAATAAAATATGGACCTGGAACACAGAATGGCTAAGTTTTGATAAAAGTTAGGGAAAATGGAGAACTCTTTTATATTGCTCCTCAGTGTAGAGTGAGCGTAAAGGAAGGCAATTCTGTGGGGGCTGAAACCCTTTATTGAGCTGGTCCTCTGACCAAGCTGGAGTGTGCTGTCACAGCAGAGCCGGTCTGGAAAAAAACACCTCAGGTAGGGGTAACTTGAGAGCCAGGAGAAAGAAGGATGAGGGGAGGAGTCTGCAAATATTTCAAATCTTACCAGGTATTCTTCTGGGAAATGTATAAGATGAGGCAAGTTAGAACATGTGGCCCTGCTTCAGACATTAATGGCCCTCAAAACACAGATCAAGCACTTCATAAGCCCAGGAGGGAAATTGATGGCTGAAATGGGTCCAATACAGATCAAAGTGAGTGTGAGGACCTCCTCAATATCTTCAAGACACAGTTTTGGATGATTGTAGGGCATGCATGGGCATGTAAGACACCATCCTTCCCCGCAGGAATCTTACAGTATAGTTTTGAAGACTTTTTAACAAAATATCAAACCAACCACTTCTTTGCCTTGTACATAAAACGTATCAATCTTTGCTCAATCAATAACATAGACCATCTGCTTTCCAGACACTTGTCAGAGAGAATAACCTCAAATTGTCAACTCTCTAACCCCTATCAGAATTCAGTCTGAGAGAAGAGATACTTAGGGAAGATAGCCTGTAAGGAATGGTTTTCAAATTATTATTTTTTGCAACAGGTTTTTTCTTCTAATGATATCTTACCTGGCAAGGCAGAACAGGAAATAGAGAAAAGTGGAGGTGTGCTAATTGAAGGGGGCAAGAGACCCCTAAAGTCCCTCAGCCCCTCTTTGGTCCCTGAAGTACCTGTGTGTGACTCTACTGCCCCTGAAGGGTAGGCTTTGGAAGCCACAGGTCTAAAGGAAATACAAGATCATTACTCCTCCATATGTTCTGCCTTTGTAAGCATTCAGTGGAAAGCTACAACCAGGACTCATTTAGCTTGGAATGTGCAAAATTACCTTCTTGAGTTATGCCCTTAGCTTACCCTGAGGGTGAGAGTAAGATCAGTCTTATGGGATTTTTTTCTCTTTATATATTTTTGAATTGACAGAAAATATTATGAAAAGCATGTGACTTTTGTAATTCAAAAATGTAGAAATGGATGATGTAATAAAGGTAGAAATGGATGATGTAATAAAAGTAGAAATGGATGATGTAATAAAAGCAGAATGTTAGAAAAAATGGGCTTAATCTAAGGTAGAAATATTAGAGACTGAAAGCAGAGAGAAGTTAGGAAGTTGGTGTTGTCAGCCCAGAGTGACACTATAGACACCTAGACCAGAGCGGTGGCAGGTACAAGATGGAAATCATTTAGCATGAGGATAAATGAACAGGGAAATATCAGAGGCAGCATAAGGACAGAAGAACAGAGGGGCCATGGCAAAATGGCAGAGGGTATCTGTGGGGAAATCCTGAGGGATTTGATCAGTGGGGTTTGTATAAAAAGAGGATAATCACTGTCCTTTAGAAGTCAGAATCAGAGGGAGCCGTAGGTGGTAAGAAGACCTTGCTTCCTTGTGTCAGGAGGGACATGGAGGTTAAGGGGATGAGGATGCTTTTACACTTGGAAGTGGTAATCACACTTGCTCACTGGGGATTCTGGTCCTACATATAAGATGCTTCCCTCCAGAACTCCTCCCAAATGAGAGAGCTGCCCACATCCCGGGATCCTCCCTGAATAATGCATTCTGACCTGATTCTAATGATTCAATAAAAATAATAATCATTTACATCTGTATACAGAGTGGATGATACATTTCTCTAAAGGGGTTTCACATTCTCTTGTTTCACTCTTCCAATCATGCTGTGAGGGAAGAAGAGCTGATTGTGCCTTGATTTCCTGAAAAAAGATACAAACAAAAAGTTACATAACACACTTCCTAGGTAGTGGTTGACTTGTGTCTGGGACCTGAGTCTTTTTTTTTTTTTTTTTTTTTTTGAGATGGAGTCTTGCTCTGTTGCCCAGGCTGGAGTGTAGTGGTGTGATCTTTGCTCACTGCAACCTCCACCTCCCAGGTTCAAGCAGTTCTCCTGCCTCAGCCTCCCAAGTAGCTGAGATTACAGGCACCCACCACCATGTCTGGCTGATTGTTTTGTATTTTCAGTAGAGACAGGGTCTTGCCATGTTGGTCAGGCTGGTTTCAAACTCCTGACCTCAAGTGATCCACCCACCTTGGCCTTCCAAAGTGCTGGGATTACAGGCATGAGCCACTGCGTCCAGCCGGAACTTGGGTCTTTTGCTTGCAGCCTTGCACTCAGTCTACCCTCCCCACTGGCAGGCTCTCCAGCAGGGCTCTGCATCCCTGTCTGTCTACAGGTGCACAGGAAGTATGACTCTTGAAATCATTCAGAGTTTCTGCTCTGTTTGGTAGTCTGCACGTGACCTTTCCAGACTTCTCTGAATTGGATATTGATGTTGGCCACTTGGCTCGAAGGGCTGTGTTTCATTTTTCCAATGTCTCAATTTTCTTCATTTAGCTGGTATCTTGTCTCTTCTTATCCATATTTTATCCACATTAGCACCACCTTGTGTGTCTGAGCTCTCATTTGATATGCACCGGCAGGTGTGGTCTGCATGCCGATGCCTTTGAGGATGTCTTCTTTGAAGTTTCCTGTCCTCCCATTCTGGATATTTTTTGCTTGTTCTGTGGCCTGACTCCAGTTCTTGTCAATGCACTTATGGTGATGTCCTATATATTTTGTGTAAATGTGACCTTTGTCATGTTTTAAAATTGGCCTCTTTTACTAATGAGGAGTGATTCCTCGTTTGTGAAGTAGTATGTGATTAGGTACTTAAAAATACACACACACACATATAGTGTATATATAGAATATTTCGTATATATTATATAGTATATATATAAAATATGTGTGTACATATTTATAAATGTATATACGTGACTATCTATCCAAGTATCCAAACTATTTTTCTGTCTATACACATGCACACACATGCACATATATTACGTTCAGGATTAGGTCCTGAAATCTAGATATAAAAGGTCCCTAAAAGTAACCTTAACCTTAACTATAAAGTGTCTATGGGAGACCGGGGTCCATTTGGCCTATCCAGTTAGCTGAGGGGGTTATTTTTGCAAAGGGGAATTGTTTACTTAGAAGCACTGTTTTAGGCATAGTAGTGATCTTAGAGATCATTGAATCTAAACTCTCATTTTGTAGCTAAGAATGCAAAAGTTATGGGTTTTGCTTGAAGTCACTCAGCTCACTATGAATTATAACTCAGCTGGGGTTGGAGCCTGGGAGCCTCCTAATTCCCACTCTGGTTCCCTTCCTTATATCCCTTTGTCTTTTCCTTGAGTGTATCTTTGTTTTCAGGAAATATAATAGTTTACAAGAGAAATTAAAGTTGGAGTTTGGCATCATCATCCCATAGCATTTTATTGTGGGAATTGTTGTAAATGATCATGTTTGACCCTGAATTCTCCTGAGACCACGAAGTGCCCAGGGACATGGAAAAGAAAGGCAGAGAATTAAAAGCCTTGTAAGTAGGTGAAAAGGCATGTTTTCAACATTGTAGCAGAAAACAGGGGCTTGGGTTCTACATCTAGTCTGAGGCATCCCTTCCTTAACCTTCAGTCTATGAAGGACCCAACACCACCTTCTCCTCTCACCTATTTCCCCATCAACCCCTGGGTATTGGGGCCAACCAGGAGTTGTGCAGGTATAAGTCACTCTGCTTCACAAAGGGGATACAATTACCAAACGGTCTTCTGTTCCCACTGTCCTAGGGATGTCTTTTTGCAGTCATCCTGGGCCAAGAGGAGATCATGGCATTGGATAGTTAGGTTTGCTCTGTGTTGAAACAACACTTGATTTATGCAATTTGGTCAGACACCTGGTAAAATCACTGAATAGAAACCAAGTTGGTTCAACTGACTGGTGTATGGAGCAACTGGTCATTTGAATCAGAACTCTCAGCCTAGCAGTTTGGTGCTATTATGATACTGCAAATATAATAATACAGAACAGCAAACTGAGCCTAGCCTTTGTACAATTTTAAAGAAATAATAAAGCATATGCCCATAAACTTGCATAGAAAGTTTGCAAGGGAATTCTTTCTAAATGAGCTTGTTGGTGGGGATTTTTTACTCTGGAGAAATAAAGTCAAGATGCGAAACCTGTGGCTGACACAGTGCTAACTATGTGCCTGAACAGGGGCAAGGTAGGTAAAAGGCAGGCAGCTGCTGCTTTCCCATAGCCATGAGGATTCTGACCATTTAGACCATTGATTGATTGATTGATTGATTGATTGGAGACAGGGTCTTGCTCTGTCACCCAGGCTGTAGTGCAGTAGTGCAATCATAGCTCACTGCAGCTTTGAACTCCTGGGCTCAAGAGATCTTCCTGCCTCAGCCTCCTGAAGTGGCTGGGACTACAGGCACATGCCACCATGCCTGGCTAGTTTTTAAAAAATTTTTTATAGAGATGGGACTCTCTTTGTGCCCAGGCTGGTCTCAAACTCCTGGGTTCAAGCTGTCTTCCTGCCTTGGCCTCTCAAAGTGCTGGGATTATAGGCATGAGCTACTGTGCCTTTTAACTGGATGTCCTGGTCACCAACCAAGTTGTAACTGTGAAGTGACCCTTTGGTTCAGCTAATGAGATGGACTGGTGATGCACACAGCCATTGTCAAGGCCTCCTATTTTTGAAGTTTTGTGGATAGAGCAGGTCTGCACTTTGTTCCTGCCTTGTGGTCTTAGAACAAAAACACCTAAGCAGTCTCTGTATGAATTACATAAATGCAGTCGAGTTGTCTCTATGACCAACTAGCCATAAGACCATTACTTTCTCTACTTGTTAATAACGTTTGTCTTTATTAATTCACCTTCTAAACTCTAAACTTTGAAATAATTTTAGACGTACAGAAGAGTTACATTTTCTGTCTCCCTCCCTCCTTCAAATACTCTGGTGTATATTTCCTAAAAAGAGCATTCTCTAATATAACCACTGTACACTATGTAAATATCCTGTTTCTCACTAAAGTTTCACGTGCTAGATTTGCATCTATTGATGATTCATCTACTGATGACTTATTTATCTTTGAATGATCAATTTAGTGAATACTATGTTTCTGTTATTGGATTAGACACATACATGAATACAACTCACTCTGTAACCTCAGTCTATTAGAAAAAACAGACACATAAACAGATACATTACAGAGTAACAAGTGCAACCAAGACAACCAAAATGTAGTTCAGAAGAGGTCGGGATGAAATCTCTCTGGGCAGAGAGGTCAGGGAGAACCTCACAGATGAGGTGATTTCTGGAACAAATATCTCCAATTAGAGCTGGGGACATATTCTGGGTCCTATACATTATTATGGTGATAAGAAGTTCTAGCTATTCTAAATTTAAGACATCTGTACTGCCTGCATTTTTAGTCTCTGCATTTCTCAGTGTTTTTAAACGTTTTGACCTCTATCCACAGGAAGAAATACATTCCACATTACACAGTCTCCAATAAGCAATTACAAATTCTCTTGAAACAAAGGGAAAAACTAGACAATCTCAGCAAAGAAATATAACTTATAAAAAGGAATTAAATGGAAATCATAGAATTGAAAAAATACGGTAACTGAAATAAAAGCCTTGCTGAATGAACTGCGTAGTAGAGTGGAGATGACAGAGGAGAAACTCCACAAACTTGAGGAAAGATAAATAGAATTTACCAAATATAAACAACAGAGAGAAAATAGCCTGAAAATAAAGATGAACAGTCTCAGGGACACATGGGACAAAACCAAAAGAGTAACATTTGTCTCATCAAAGTTCCAGAAAAAGAGGAGAGAGACAATGGACTGAAAAGACATTCAAAAAAATGTTGGCTGAAAACTCCTAAAATACGGCAAAAACATGTAAACCTATATATTCAACAAGCTGAATGAATCCGAAGTAGGATAAACCCAAACAAATCCCTGTTAAGACAGTGTAATTATACTTCTGAAAACTAACACATCTTGAGGGCAGCCAGAGAGAAATGATACCCTGCTGATACCACCTATTTCAGTAGATAGAGTATTTCTACTCTAAAAACATGAAGGCCGAGAAGGAAGCGGTGTAACATTTTTCAGGTATTAAAAGAAAAGAATTGTCAGCTCTGAATTCTGTATCTAGTGAAAATGTCCTCCCCAAATAAAGGGGAAATAAAGACATTTGCAAAAGAAGCAAAACTAAGAGAATTTCTTGCTAGCACACCTACCCTTAGGAGTAACTAAAGAAAACCAATAATATAATCCATAAAAGGAAAACTGATAAATCAGACCTCATCAAAATTTAAAACTTTTGCTCTGTGAAAGACTTTTTTAAGCGGATGAAAAGATAATCTACAAACTGAGAGAAAAAAATTATAAACCATGTATATGACAAAGGCCTAGTCTCTGGAACATATATAAATTTTTTTATATATTTTATAAATACATACATACATATATGTATGTATAAAATACCCTCTAAAGTGAACATTAAGAAACCATATGATCCAATTAGAAAATGGGTAAAGCACTGAAGAGGATATGCAAATGGCAAAAAAGCGTAGGAAAATATGTCCAGCATCATTAGCCATCAGGTAAATGCAAATTTAAACTACAGTGAGAAATACAGAATAGCTAAAAGAAAATCAGTGACAGCAACAAATGCTGAGAAGGATGCAGAGAAACTGAATCATTCCTACATTGCTAATGGGAATGTAAAATGGTATGGCCATTCTGAGAAACAGTTTTGCAGTTTCTTATTAAATAAAATATGCCAACTATCTTAAGACCGGGCAAATGTACACTTGGGAATTTATCTCAAAGAAATCACATTGATTTTCACACACAAACCTATGTACAAATGTTCACAGCCATTTTATTAAAATAGCCTAAAATAGGAAACAACACATCCTTTAACAAGTGGACAGTTAAACAAGCTATGGAACACTACTCAGCCATAAAAAGGAACAAAATATTGATAAACACAACCATACGGTTGGATCTCAAGGGTATTAGACTGAGTGAAAAAAAAGCTAATCCCTAAGATCACATACTGTGTGGTTCCATTTATAACCTATTCTCAAAGTGACAAAATTATAGAAATGGGGAACAGGTTAGTGTTTACCAGGGGTTACTAAGGAGGTGGCCGTGGAAAGCAGGTGCGTGAGGTTAAGAGTAACATGAGGGACCCTTGTGGTGATCAGACTGTTCGGTATTTTATGGTATCAATGCTGGTATTCTGTTCTGATATTGTACTATCCTTTTGCAATATGTTCCCATCAGGAGAAATGATGCAAAGCATACGCATGATCTCTCTGTATCATTTTGCACAGCTGCATGTGAATCTGTATCTCAAAACAAAAATTTAATAAAAAAGCATACAAGAACCTTTAAAAAACCCGGATGCCTGGATCCCCTAACATATCCTTCCTTTTAGATTCTGATACAGTTGACCGGGGGTAGGGGTTTATATAACTCGATTTTTGAAAGTTTCTCAAGTGATTCTAACATGTAGTGAGGATAGAGAACCACTGGCCTGAATTATGAATTGGCTCAGGTCACATGGCTGGGGAGACAGCCACATCTAGTCATGAGTTAATGTTCTTTCTTCCTCCAACCGTGTCACTGGACCGTGGTAAGCTTCCCAAGTGCATGGCCTGTGCCTGTGATCACTGGTACAGCGCCTTGCTCTGTGCAGAGGCTGCAGATCTTTTCAAAGTTGCTGCTGCTGCTGAAGATGACATGACGCCGCTGGTGGTGGGTATGGTGGGAATGTAACATCCTCGATCCAATTCCATTCCTGTTTCATTCTTCAGGTTCATCTGAAGAATGAAATAATGAAATTTCCATGACTATTTTCATATTGGCTCTGCAGGGAATCTGAGAACGGAATAAGATAGACACGCATACTGCCTTCTCTTCTTGCATAAATCACAGCTCCTGGCTTATCCATTCTGAGCATATGTTTGGTAACAGTTATGAGTTGAACATATGTTGTTTTAGGAGATTATTTAAATCTTACTCTAAATCCAAAATAATCTTGTCTGAATATAAAGAGGCCTACAAAGCACACTGAGCAACCAGAAGTGGTGTCATGAATTCTACCCCAACTGTATGGAACCATGTTCAGGCCTTCTGAATGTAACGCTTGTCACTTTCGTTGGTCCAGGGCCCTTAGGAGAAGGTATTTTACTGATGTGGTTGGCTATTACTTTTAATTGTTAGTAATTAGAATTAATTAGAATATTTGTTTCATTATAATAAAAATTCATAGCTGTTAGGAACAGATAAAGATGTTCTAGAGGTATTGACTGGGCCCAGGAATCATACAGCAGCTTTTTTTTTTTTTTTTTTTAGTGCCGGTCATGGGTCAGGCACTCTCCTAGGCACAGAGTTGCAAAGATAGATACCTAAGAGCCTACTGGGATGCTATAGAGTTCTCATAATTTGGGAACAAATATATCTTTATAAAAATGAAAATTATCCTCAGGCAAAATGAATGTTTCCTGGCACGTTGTATTGATTGGTTTTAGCTTCTCTTTAAACATAACAGCTTTTTCTTTCTCATTTTCCTCTTCTCATTTAAAACCAAGGAACATACTCCCTGCTGGCTTGTGTAGTCCTCCATCTCCAAAACCTCTCACAGTGCTTGCCACACATGCATCCTGCAGCTCTTGCTTTCCAGTCCCCCCTCCCACGTCCAGACAGAATCTCCATCTGTGCACTCCCTCCCAACACGAGCAGTGGAAGAGGCCTTTCATCTCCTATCCACAGCTCATTCTATCACCCTGAACTTACCCCATCCTGTCCTGTCTCCTCTGTGATTTTGCTTCACCAATTTTCTCCTCTCTCTCTTATAACTTCAAACTTTCCTGCTCCTTCTTCCAAAAAAAAAAAAAATGTTCGAGTCTGTCTTTTTCTAAATGGAATTTTTGGACCTCTTTAATGCTCCCTCTAGCTACTGACCTATTTCTTTTCTTTGTCCTTTCTCCTCAAAATTTCATAAAACAGTTGTCTTAAATTCACTGCCTTTGCTTCCTAATCTTCCATTCACTCCTCAATCCATTGCAATTTGGCTTCTACCTCCCTGAATTTGCTGCAACTGACTTCTGTCCATGGGGATGCTTCTACTTAGAGTGCAGTTTCTCTTAAGGCCTCCACCATAAAACTTTCTCTCAACCTCCCAGTTGGGTTGGGTGCCCCTCTGTGGCCTCCATGGGCATATCTTTTTCAGGGTGATTACTACTCCAGTCCTTTCATGAAACTCTAAGACTTTTAAAAGCATCTTTTTGTGTCTAACCCCTAGGCAAGTGTCTAATGAGGTAAACATTCAGTACATGTTTGTTTATTGAATGTATCAATAAATGAAATGAATGGAAGACTCCCAAATCTACATCTATAGCCCAGTTCTTTTGCACATGCTTTTGAAACATACAGACAACTGTGTATCAAATATGTTTTATCAAAATCTCATACTCAAGATAGACAACACTGAAAGCATCATCTTCTCCTGAAAACTCATTTGACTACTGATGTTAATATCACCATCATTAATTTCTTCAGACAAGAAAAAAATTCAGAGTCTTAGACTCTTCTCTTTCTCCCACCCACTTACTTGAATCATTCACTAACTCACACAAGTTTATCCTTCTAAATCAATTTCAAAACCATCCTCTCTTCTATTCTTACTGCCATTGCCTTAACTTAAACATACATCATCTCACACCTGAACAATTTTAATAGCTTCCTAAGAGGTCACTCAGCAGCCATTATCTTCCCTTCTAATTCATTATCCACTCTTCCTTGTCAATTCTAATTTTAAAACTCAGATTTGACTCGTTTATTCAAAAACTATTTACTGAGTACCTACATAACTCTGGATACTTTCTAAGGCACTAAGGATACAGAAGTGACCCAAACCAACCAAGCCTTTGCCCTCAAGGAGCTTACCCCTACTGAGATATGATCATATTTCTGCCCTCTAAATTAGCTTTCACCAGACAATTGACTGCATAAGAAAGAAATTTTAAAATGATACACAAGGTCCGTCACCATCCAACTAGGTAGTTCTCAACTTACGGTGTGCATTTGAATCACACTTGGGTTCTTATTAAAAATGTGTCTTTATGATTTCCTTCTTAAGAGAGTCTGATTCTGTCAGCCAGGGGTGGAGCCTCTGCATCTTTAATTAGACTCCCAAGTGATTCTGATACAGGCAGCTCATGAGTCACACCTTGAGAAACACTTCTCTATTTTGTCTACCTTTTCAACCTCTCCTCCTGCCACTTCTCTCTGTTCATCGTATGTTTCAATAGTATCGAACTATTTTAGCTTCCTCACCACAGTGTGATATTTTTTACCTCTCTGCACCAACCTATGCTGGTTGTATTAAGCTCATTCACACCAACTGCTGTACCAACAACAACAACAACAACAAAGTCACAGTGACTTAAGTTGATGGAGATTATTTCTCATCATCCAGTGTGGGTATTTCTGAATATATTTTCTAGGTGGCCTTCCTTGGAGTGGTTATTCTGGGATCTAGTCTCTTTCTATCCTGTCCTGTTGTATTAGTCCATTCTCACACTGCTGTAAAAAATACCTGAGACTGGGTAATTTGTAAAGAAAGAAGGTTTAATTGATTCCTAGTTCCACATGGCTGGGAGGCCTCAGGAAACTTACAATCATGGTGGAAGGTGAAAGGGAAGCAAGCTTGGACCTTCTCACATGGCGGCAGGAGAGAGAAGAGTGAAGAAGAACTTTTGAACACTTATAAAACCATCAGATCTTGTGAGAACTCACTATCACGAGAACAGCATGGGGGAACCGCCCTCATAATCCAATCACTTCCCACCAGGTTTCTCCCTCGACACCTGGGAATTACAATTCAAGATGAAATCTGGGTGGGAACACAAAGCTTTTACCCATATTCTTTTCCCATTATGTGGGCACCTTGGAGTCCAGGCATTGCTCTCGTATTCCCACACACAGTACAATTCATTCCTCCTCCCAACAAAGGCTGACCCAAAGTCCTATCGAGTCAGTGTATCCAGCTCAAAGTCCACAATTTCTGAGTGATGTGTAGTCTCTCCATCAGTTGTGGATATTCCTTCTCTTGGCTTAGCAAATTGTATACTAAAAGGACAAGTTATCCTTCCTACCCCACATCCAGTGTGTAGTGATAGAGCACAGATGGGATAACCTCAGGACAGGATCCTGAAAAGGAAGGATGCCAGACACAACTCAGTTACTGGTCCTTAGCAGTTATGGAATGGCAAGCATTTTGAAGGCCCCTTACCTTGACAATGAGTGAATTTTCTTATTTGGGTCCTGATAATGCTCTCTGGGGGTAGCTCCCTAGTTTGTTATTCTTCTTTGCCCCTGGCTCTGTCCTCTGAGAGTTTTTTCTTTTTTTCCTTCTTCTTCCTTTTGCATGTCTTCCTTGGCCACCTCTGAGGAAGCTGTTGGAGAGCGTGCCCTCCCTGGGGAATGCATAACATTTCCATCCTTCTTCCTGCTTACAAACTAGAGGACCCAGAGGGTATTGTACTATTGGAATAGTCAAAGCTTTTGTTTAGCAATGAAATTTCTTTGAAACTTGGTAGTCTTCTGATTGATTTTCTTCTAGTCAGTTCCAGATGCCTGTAAGTATACTGGAGGATTAGACTAACACTCAACACTGATTTATTTCATTGCATTTTCTCCTCCATGCCTCTTTCTGTTTCAACCTAATGACGAAACTTAGCTATGTTAAGACTATTTGAAACTATGGATGGAATAGGTGTATCTTAATATAATCTTTGCATTGAGTCACTTTAATCAACTGAAAGAGGTTTCAAATGTCACTCAGAACTCTTTTAATTTTTAAAATTCCAATTTCTTAGCTTTGGGGTCTTGAAATAGTCAAATTTTCAAACATGCAAAGTCTCATATATTTGCCCTCTTTCTATCATTTCATTTTTGCTTGCAGGTCAGACAATTCCAAATCAACCAACACAACTCACTAGTGCTGTTTTTCAACCTCTTCTCTTAGAGCAGTAGACTAAGCAGTAGACTAGGAGGAATACCTGCCTCCTAGTTCACCATATGAAAAAGTTTAACCAGATGTTTTGTTTCTATATTACATGAACTACTATTTTTCCAATCTTCTTGCTACCCAAGAGCCAAGCTCATGTCACATTGCTCAATTTTATTCTTTAATAAATATATAACTCCAATCGCCCTAGTCTTCACTAGCCTGAAGATTCCAATCAGAGCCATTGATGATGTCTCTGATGCCACTGGATCATGTTCACAATCATGCATGAAGAATCTGTAGAGCCCTAGAAGGCCTTAATCATACTTTGAAGTTACAAAGTAAACCCAAGCAGGTTTACTTTGCACCATACTGCTTCTGCTCTTCTGTCAATATCCTCTGGGCACTACATGTTGGCCTAGCTTCCACTGTTTCCTGCTAGGCATCTGCTGGGTATTTCCATGTGCACTGGGAATCTGCCATCTCCTGCTGAACACCTCAGGTTCTACTAGTGTTCTTCTAACTGCCCTTTTCA
Source organism: Homo sapiens (assembly GCF_000001405.40). NCBI lineage: Eukaryota > Metazoa > Chordata > Mammalia > Primates > Hominidae > Homo > Homo sapiens. Next base: position 136,669,802 of record NC_000002.12, read on the forward strand.
TAATGAACTAACTTTCTCAATCCCAAAGGGGTGCCGTGTTTTGCAGAGATTTTTTTCCTCTCTTTGGTGTCACTATTTGATGTCATTCATACTGCTTATGCACCATGCTTCAAAACTCATATACTTTGGTCCCGCAACCTACTTCTGTAGCACTCTCTCTTCATGAAGCTCAGACCATACAGTCAGGCCCAGTCTTAGCCCAGATGCCGCTTCCTACATGTGCTGACTTTCTCTAGGTACAGTCACACAACTTTCCCTTGATGATCCTTTTCTCCTGGGTAAATCTGCTTATTCAACTGACCTCTGAGGATCCCTTGGCTCTCACCCTTAGGCATTTTTCCAATCTGAGTGTACATTTTCCTATGACCCCTCCTACAAATACATTGTGTCATTTGAGTAAATAAATGTTCTCTTTTCCTAGAGTATCCCTTCCATCTTGCTTAGCTGAAAACTCCCGTTCAGTCTTCCAAACTCTACTTCAAGGATGACCTTCTTGGTGAATCATCTCAACCATCTCTACCCCTCACTTGAGAATCTCACTTTCTGTTGCGTGCAAACTCAGCCTATAGCTTGTGAGACTGAATAGTGAATATTAGCTTGCCTGTCTCTCTCCCCTATGTGGTAGTGAGATCCTTACATATATTCTGTGTCTGCCATGTAGAAGGTATTTGGTCAATGTTAATTGAGTTTAATTTCACCAATTTCCCTTAGAACACATTTTATCTTCACAGGATGTGTGGCCTTTTCCACCTGGTCCCCAGCCGCCCCCCACCATGTCATATCCATGTGGATTAACTGCCTGCCTCAGCCAGCTCACAAAGGGCTGTGAAGTGGATGGAATGCCCATGAAGCACTATGTGATTCTGAGCATCATTTAGCACATAAAGATGTGCCTCCCCCATCGCCATTCCTTGTTATCTGAGTAGCTAACTATCCTTGATGTAATAATGTTTTATCTGCTTCCAGTATTTCAAAAGTTTAAGATCAGCTTACAGAGCTGCATGTGTCAGGGAACGACATTTTGTCTTACAACATTATTTGAGTTGTGACACAAGCCTCCTTGACCTAATTCATGAGAAAACATGATACCATTTTGATCTGAAAACTGCTCTGGAAAGTAATTGTCCTCTGAAACACATCTCAGACAATGTGGGTACCAACTTAATTTTTCTCCTTCACTACTGTTATTTATGAGGTAGAGGCAAGGAGAAGAGAGATTTTTTTAGATGAAAGGTGAAATATTCTATCGTAGAGTATGTTTTATGAGGAAGAAAAAGAGATATATAATTTCTGACTCTGGGTTTTCATAGGCTCCAGATATCTTTTAAGTTACCGTCTCAACACATTATTTAAGGCTCTGTTCTCTGGGATTTTGAAATCTTAGTTTATTTTTTGATATAAAGTCGTATCATTCACAGGGTAAATTCTCCCCTAACAATTGCCAAGTGAAGGGCATTGTTTTTCCACATATCTTCAAGGTTAAAAGGTTTCATTTACTCAGAATGTATTTAATAAATACAGCATCATAAAATATACTCTCAATGACACATGGCTCATCATGTGTTATTTTCCACTAATTTATTTAACAATAGTATCCTTCTCTGCTATTGTTTGGATCCTGGAGTTGGGACCATGAGTGAAATGAGAGATTTAAAAACAATTCTGATGCCTTACATGAAGAAAGTGTTTTTAGGAAGTTCTCCAAATAGAACTGGTTCCTGCAATGAATTCTTATGGGCCCTGGCTCCAATCTGTGTCCCGAACCCAACATTGCACAGATGAAATGACTGCTGTGGGGACAGTGGCATGAGAAAGTGTCATTCAGGCATTTGAGAAGTTCTATGACTGAAGAAGGTCCTTTTCTCACTGCCTCTCTTCCTAAGTTAAGGTAAGTCCTAAAGTGACCATGAAGGGAGCAGAGGGTGTGATCTGGCACATGCTGGGAAGGATGTGTGATAGCAGACAAAGGCAGAAGCATGGGCCAGAGAGTTTTGAACAGTCTGGTGAGCACAGAATGAAGAGAAGTCATGGGGCATGGAGAAGGGAGGGGGGGAAGTTGGGAGTAGCAGAAATGACAGAAGAGGGCTTTAGATTCTAAGGTCACATGTTCTGTGGAACCCCAATGAGAGACATCAGATGTCAGGCATGATCTTGAAATCCCAGGAATGGCCCTATAAGAGACACTGCCCTACCCCATTCCTCAAGGCTGCACAAGTGCCAGGGAAGGCCTGGATGCCTCCCCTTAACTTGAATGCTTAGACCCCAAAACAAAGGAGGTCACCATCTGACATGGTTTGGCTGTGTCCCCACCCAAATCTCATCTTGAATTGTAACTCCCACAATTCCACATGTCGAGGGAGGAACCTGGTGGGAAGTGGTTGAATCATGGAGACAGGTCTTTCCCCTGCTGTTCTCGTGATAGTGATTGAGTCTCATGAGATCTGATGGTTTTTAAAATGGGAGTTGCCCTGCACAAGCTCTCTGCCTGCCACCATGCACGTAAGATGTGACTTGCTCCTCTTTGCCTTCTGCCATGCTTGTGAGGCCTCCCCAGCCATGTGGAACTGTAAGTCCATTAAACCTCTTTCTTTTGTAAATTGCCCAGTGTCTGGTATGCCTTTATCAACAGCATGAAAACGGACTAATACACCATCCAATGCAGGAAGAAGGCCATGGCCCTTTCAATGTCCAGAGTTCCAACCACAGGGGTGATTGGGGCTGCTTCCAAGCAGGAGTGTTAAAGCTTCCTTCCCTTTAGGCCAGGGTTTCTCAACTTGGCACTACTGATGATTTGAGCTGAATAATCCTTTGTTGGAAAGGGGGTTGTCCTGTGCTTTATAGGATGTTTAGCAGCATCCCTGGCTTCTACCTACTGCATGCCCCTAGAAATAGCCCTTTCCTCAGTGTGACAACAAAAATGTTTCCAGACATTTCCAAGTGTCCCTGAGGGGCAAAAGTGCCCCCAGTTGAGAACCACTGCTCCTAGCCAATGTGGGGGCAAAATTTACACATCCCTAAGCTGTAGCTTCACTCAGAACATTCTAGAATTTTCCCTAGTTTCTTGACCTGTTTTTCTAGATCTCAATCTCTCAGCCTCTCTGAACAACAAACCCCATCTGAATGATGACTCTTGTGCAGCATGAGGCTGTTGCTGCCGGCTGAGTCCACCACTTGGAATCCCGTTAATAGGACTTTTTTTTTTTTTTTTTGTAAATTGAAAACTCTTTGAGCATTGTGCATAGAGCAGGAAGGTATAGGGTATTCGAGAAGAGTTTGTATAAGGAGTTCCACTGGAAATCATACAGGTTTTGGTCCCAGCAATCTGATTTTGCATTATCTTTCTGCCATGTAATATCTGTGTGACCGTCAACAACTTATTTAATCTCTTAGACCTGTGTTAGTATTAGTAAATTGTGAATTAAAAAGATAATTCTCACTCTGTCTCAATGAGATGTTGTGAGGGGAGTATTAATGTATGTACAGGGATTTACACATAGCAGATACTCAATGGACAAACAGCAGTGATGAGTGAGGAGATACATTGGGAGTAGTATTTGAGATTGATAAAAGCCCAGACAGACTGCAGACAGGAGCCAAGGAGGAAAATATAGCTATATATCTGCTCCAGGTTATTATAAAAATATTATTATAAGTCCAAATGCTTATTAGTATCTTGCTTTCATATGTTCAAGAGGCAACATATGAAGAAACACAAGGCCTGGCCATGCTGTCCAGAAGTGGCAGAAAACCGAGTGGATATGTGCAGTGAGGGGGGCAGGTATTATGTATGTGGGGTTTTTGAGAAAGCGAGATTTGAGTTCTGCATTTGACTTGTTTAAAATAAGCACAGAAGGGTCTGGAAAGACACTCCTCTACCCTTTCTGTTTCCCCTGAGGGAGGACAAAAGCTGAGAAGCACTTGTGAAGATCACAGCCCAGGGGTACAGGCTGACTATAAGACTGTGAGCTAATCATAGATTTACAGAATGCTTCGCCTCTCCCCACACCCTACCACCACATTAGCAGGGCTCCTGTGTTACGACGGATTACAACAGAAAGCCCTGTAAGGCCCAGATTCTATTTCAGAAGGATTCTCTAGGGAATCCCAAAGGCAAGGCGGGTAGACAGAAATAAGCACACTGCAGAAAATTCTAGCCTCTGGCACCTACATCTATGGAAACAGTAAACATGTCCTAACTCCATGCAATAATAAATATAAACACAAACATAAAAACCTCACACTAAAGGCCTATTTGCCTCAGATCCTTTTACCCAATATATTCCATTTGGCTTTAAACAAAATATTACAGGGTGTGATAAAAGGCAATAGAGTTCCAGTAGATGGAGTGCTCCTGGAGGGCTTCTCTAAAGAGCTGACCCTGAGCTGAGGCTGAGTGATGAGTGAGCCAGTCACAGTCAGAGGAAGAGTGAACAGCAAAGGTAAGGCCCTGGGATGGGGATGAGCATGGTTCAATCCAGAGACAGAAAGTATGGCTGGTGGAGGGTGAGGAAAGTGGAAATTGGCATGAAATGAAGTTAAAGAAAGTCAAAAGGATCTTTTAGACCATTGTTAGAAGTTGTGATTTTATTTGACTTTAATACAAGTGTCTCCAAACCTTCCTTTGCCATTAAGGCATCAACCTGGATGCTCAGTGATGACATGACCATTGCCTCGGCAGGACCAGACTGTTGTACTTTCCTCTCCCATTCCACAGGAGACCAGTCTCCTTTAGGATGAACACGGACTTCTCTTGAGAAGGGCTACCAAGTGAAATCCTGACGAGCCCCATGATAGGCAGCCTTTGGCAGCAAACCTCCATTGGCCTAACTTCCCTGGCAGCCTCTTGCATCTTTAGTCCCCCATGTCCCTGTCTGTAACTTGATGAGCAAGCACTTGCCTTTCCTGCCCTCAGCATAAGCTTGACTCCCAGTGTAGGAGTCCCTGGCCGTGGTCTTGCTCCTGCCAACCTAATAGAGCCCCGCCTGGCCCCTCATTCCTGATGATTTTGTTTTGACCCATTTCTTAATAAGGAAGGTCTAGATCTACTGTGGAGGGGTTGGTTCTGTTCTGGGTTTTGTCCCTTGCCCCAGACTAGCTGCTATGGCCATGTGAGACAGAGAGGAAGAAGAAGCATGAATCTAACCCTGCATCATTCAGACTGACCTGCAGTCACCTGTATGTGCTGCTCCATAGTGCCTGAGGCTGGCCTGGTTCTTCCACCCATAAGCCTTGACTCTCCTGAGCTGAGTAAAGGCCCTGGAGCCTACCCTCAGATGCGGCTCTGACAGATGGCATAGAGATGAATAGATAAACAGATCAAATAAAGCAATCATCAGGCTGCCGTCATTTCTGGATTCTTTATTTTATTGATTGATTTCCATAGAACAGTCCTGCTCTCTAATATAGTGTGTTTATCTGAATATCCCAGCAGACAGAGATAATCATGGACCTCATAAACCAAGAGGAGGCACATTTATGCTTTTAACTGTAGCAGATATTTAGCTGTTTGTTCTGGTTTGCATTTATTCTTTATGAGCTTATCTTTTCCCTTCCCTTCATGGTGAGTTAAAGACCACTCTCAAGTATTTATCATCCTCCATGGCTATTATTAATAAATAGCATCATAACAACCACCATTTGTTGAGCTCCTTTTACATGCTAGCATAGTAACAACACACATTCTCCTCACCCCACCCCCCTCCCCACTACACACATATTGCAAGTAGTTTTATTCCCATTGTTCAGATTAGAGAACTGAGGTTCCTAGACATCAGGCAATTTGCCCACCAAGAAAGTAACTGAATTCAAATTCAAACTTTGGCTTTTCTGATTACAAATTGAGGCCCTCTTAAGAGTTCTCAGATTTAGGCTCCTGAAACCACCTGCAGAGCTTCATGCCACTGTGGGGGTTATCAGTGTTTTTTTCTTGCCAACGAGTGAAATATTTCGGCAAATAAACACTTTACCTACAGCATAGAAATAGGAATTTATTTTGCAGCAAATAAACATAGTGGTGGGCTTAGCTACTCAAATGAGAACACATAACCCTACATTCATGCCTGTTATACCACCCATCATGTTGCATTTTATTTTCTACATTTGAGCCTCTCAATCCTCTACTTGTCTGTGAACTCTTCTAGGACATTCATAATGCCCCACTCATTGCTGGCGAGTAAGGTGCTTCTGCTATTTCTCATATATCTCATGTTTCCATGTTTCTCATGTGTCCTTACAGAGATAGTCTATGCTATCTCTGTATAGCACAGAAGGAAGCTATCTAAGGAAATGTGTGCAGGGGTGTATATGTATATGTTTATATAGATACAGTTTAAATTATCCATTCTGAGAATTGTGTATGCAATATACTATCATATGTTAAACATGTATACACATATACTTTAGATCATATCTTATGCCAAAGTATCTAATACAGTTACTAAAGATTACATTGTTTTATTTGATACAGTGTCATAAAACTAACCATATAATCTCCACTTTGGTTGGACTGGATATAAAGTCATATGCAGTAGGATTACTGAATGCCTTCTTGAGACGCAAATGGACTGTTGCAGCTGACAAATGTGCCTTCACAGGATAAGTCCAAATATGACTGTTTCATGATATTGCTGATACAGACAGAGAAATTTAGGTGGCCTTAGGCAGCCTCTGATCACCGGTTAGTAAGTCTTTTCTAATGCCTTTGCTACTGGAAGAACTACTGAACCAATTTGTAAGACACAGAAAAGCTATGGCAGAATGTTTACCTCCTTAGCAAGTGTCAGCCTTGCTGAAGGGTTTAACGTTCATGAATGGAAAATATGGAGAGAAGTTTTATTTACAAAGTCCATTTTAAGGCTTTTGTAAAAATGAAACATATTTCTCATGTTTTATCTTGGCTTACAACAATGCCCTAAAGTATGAAGATGTTTCTAAAGTAGTTTGTTCTAAAACATTTTGCTATTGGAATCCTGGGGGCCAGGTTCACAAAGAGAATAAAATAAAAGGAAACTCAGCCAAGAAAAATAGGAAAAGAGTGATTTTCTTTTTCTTTTTGTCAGACTCCCTAACTACATGAGGGATCTCACCAAACACTCTCCAGATTGTCCCTAACTAGGAGTCTGCTTTTGGTGAAAAGACAATGTCATGCCCTGCCTCTGATCCGGATTCTGGAAGAAACTGCCGTTCATCAGTTCCCTTGGGAGAGTCCAAGGCTCTGTCTCCATGGGGTGGAGAAGGTCTGCATCTTGGCCATATTATAGCAGAATTGCCCATATTATCTGCTTGAACTTTTTTTCCTCTTTATACTGCAGTTAAGCCATTTTTATTCATAGTCTCTCATTCCATAATAGGAAGACTGATCTGTCAGTGTTATGGGAAAGAAAAGGGCTCTAGCTCACCTTTGTCTCTTGAGCAGTATGGTAACCTGAGGCAATGGCAGAGCACAGCACTCTGCCTAACTATTTCAATTCTGTGTTTCCTCCCTCAGGGGCAGGTAGAGACTTCCATAAAAACCATCCTGATGAGCCCCTTTTCTTTTTTTCCACATAAGGAAAGGGAATTTGAAAGCTTGGTGCTAGGTGAAGCCTGAAGAAAGCAATTACGTTTGGTCAGAGGGAAACGAATGTGTTAACCAACATAATGGAGCCAGATGAACCTTAAACCAGATTGGACTAATGGCTGATGAATTTCTGGCAGGGCCTCTAGGGATTGGGTACAGCGGGGTTATTTGTTGGTTTGACTAGATTCGAAGTTTCTTTCTAGGTACTCTCTGAAGAGGGAGGACTAGGATAGAGGAGGCACTTGATACATACTAGTTTTCTTCCTTGCCCTTTCCCTATGCATCAGCTTTCTTCTTGCTACTTCCATTTCTCTTGGATAGCTTCAGTTAAGTCTCCTGTGTGTAGATATTTCCCCCTAAACCAGACACTAGTTTTGTTCCATGAGAGAAACTGAATCTATGGAGCTCTATCTAAAGCAACTCTCTCCAGGGGATTGAATTGCCCTCTGAAGAAGAGGATGCAGAAGGATGCAGCTGTGTAAGTAGGTGGAAGAAAGAACCACAGAAATGAGGCAGTTTGTCTTTAATGTGACTTTATTTGCACGTCCTGTTGGGTGAATTGTGGTAAAGTCAGGACAAGCAATCCATAGCAAATTCTTCAGCATGTTGTTCCCTATCCAAGTGCTCTTGAATAAGGACATAAAATTAAACATCTGTGGAATATCATGTTATACTGAGAGCATGCCCATTGAAGAGCAGTAGGATATAAACATATAAACTCTACTCTGATATGTAACATTAATTGAATGTGCATAATATACACCCTATTCCAAGCATTCCATGTAACTTATCTCCTCAATCCTCCCAACAACCCAATAAGGTAGTACTGTTATGCTTTACTTTACGTATGAGGAAAATGGAGTTTAGAGATATTAAGTGACTTTCCCAAAGCAACATAATCAATAATTTGTGGATCTGGAATGTGAATGCAACTGGGTCTGCTCCAAAGACTCTGATTTTTTAATGTTTAATTTTTATTTTTAATTGACAACAAATAGAATTGCCATATAGATATAGCAATGCCACTTCTATATATATAATATACATATATATCAAATACATATTATATATATAATATACATATATATCAAATACATATTATATATAATATACATATATATCAAATACATATTATATATATAATATACATACATATCAAATACATATTATATATAATATACATATATATCAAATACATATTATATATAATATACATATATAATACCCATTTATATATATATATATATATATAAATTTATAAATTGACACCAGTATCCCGAAAAGACATATGCCCTGTCATGTTCATTGCAGTATTATTCACAATATCTAACATATGGAATCAACCTAAGTGTCCATCGGTTGATGAATGTATTTTAAAATGTGGCGTATATACACAGTAGAATACTATTCAGCCTTAAAAAAAGAAAGGAATTCTGTTATTTGCAACAACATGAATAAACATAGAGGGTATTATGCTAAGTAAAATAAGCCAGGCACACAAAGACTATGTTTTTAGCCACTAGGCTAAGTTGTCTCCCTTGTTATTTACCTAAAATTACATAATTCCCTAAACTGAATTGGAAAGGATACACTAATTGCACATTCTCCAGGCAGTAGAGCTGTTGGAGAATATTCAACATTCTTCACTCTCTCATTGCACTTGATGGGCATATGCTACGTAGTGAAAATAACTGTAGATCCTATAATTTTTGTTTCTATATCTAAGAGAAGTGGAGAGAGTGAGAGAGATGTTTTTTCTCTTAAGAAAGGGAATGGATGGGGAACTATTATTGACTGAATAGGTACTATGGAGAGGCACTATGTTGGACACTGCTTATATTGAATGACTTCTGTCAGGTAAATAAGGGTAACAAGTGAGGCTACTTCTATATTTCTTTTCGCTCTCCAAATTTTCCGCCAATGAATATAAGGCAATATAAGTGCTAGATTCTGGGCTTTTGGAGTGTTTAGAGGTGTGCTGGGATATCAACTTACACTTCTATAGATTATATAATTACAATAATAAGTATCATTTACTACCTACATGTTTATAGGTTTATTATATCGCATATTATTATAGTGACATAATTCTACACATATATGATTCAATATAAATCTGTTACTCAAGAGACTAGTGAGGCAAATTTAAGAAGAATGGAACTGTATACTAAAATACATGAAGTATAACTAAAAATGCCCTTAATGTTCACAGATTGGAACTCTGTTTACTCTAGGGACCAGAGTAAACAGAAGACTTTTGGAGTAGGTAATACTTGAGCTTGACTTTTTGTGGGTAGAAATGAATTAATTGTTTGGGCTCTGCCAGACTAGCTGTCATCAGAACAACTCTCCCACCAACAATGCCAGAAAAGTGGATTTAAGAACTATTGTTTAAAGGCATTGGAGAGCTCCTAAGCAGCAAGGACTTTAGGGTCCTATACAAAAGGAAAGCTCAGAGATGCAAGCATAACATTTGACACTGCTTCATCAACCAAGATATTAGCCAATTCTCAACAGCCTACCCACCACCACCACCACCAAACCCCGGACCCAGACTGATTTACAGCTGAATTCTACCAGAGGTACGAAGGGGAGCTGTTACCATTTATTCTGAAAATATTCCAAACAATTGAAAAGGAGGGATTCCTCCCTAACTCATTTTATGAGGCCAGAATCATCCCGATACCAAAACCTGGCAGTGATACAACAAAAAAGAGAAAACTTCAGGGCAATATTCCTGATGAACATTGATCCAAAAATCCTCAATAAAATACTGGCAAACTGAATACAGCAGCACATCAAAAAGTTTATCCACCACAATCAAGTTGGCTTCATCCCCAGGATGCAAGGTTGGTTCAACATATGCAAATCAATAAATGTAATTCATCACATAAAAAGAACTGAAGACAAAAACCACGTGACTAACTGATAGATGCAGAAAAGGCCTTCAATATAATTCAACATCCCTTCATGTTAAAAACTCTTAATAAACTAGGTATTGAAGGAACATACCTCAAAATAATAAGAGCCATTTATGACAAACTCACAGCTAATATCATACTGAATGGGCAAAAGCTGGAAGCATTTCTCTTGAAAACTGGCACAAGACAAGGATGCATTCTCCCATCACTCCTATTCAACATAGTATTAGAAGTTCTGGCCAGGGCAATCAGGCAAGTGAAAGAAATAAAGGGTACTCAAATAAGAAGAGAGGAAGTCAAATCGTCTTTATTTGCAGATGAAATGATCTTCTTATATTTAGAAAACCCCATCATCTCAGCCCAAAAGCTTCTTAAGCTGATAAGCAACTTATCTCAGGATGCAAAACCAATGTGCAAAAATCACAAGCATTCCTATACACAACAGATAAGCGGAGGGCCAAATCACAAATGTACTCCTATTTGTAATTGCTACAAAGAGAATAAAATACCTAGAAATACAGCTAACAAGGGAAGTGAAGGACCTCCTCAAGGAGAACTATAAACCACTACTCAAGGAAATCAGAGAGGACAGAAACAAATGGAAAAATATTCCATGCTCATGGATAGGAAGAATGAATATTGTGAAAATGGTCATACTGCCCAAAGTAATTTATAGATTCAATGCTATTCCCATTAAACTACCATTGACATTCTTCACAGAATCAGAAAAAAACCTTTTAAAAAATTCATATGGAACCAAAAAAGAGCCTGTATAGACAAGACAATACTAAGCAAAAAGAACAAAGCTATAGGCATCATGCTACCCGAATTCAAAGTATACTACAAGGCTACAGTAACTGAAACAGCATGAACTGGTACAACAGCAGACACACAGACCAACAGAACAAAATAGAGAACTCAGAAATAAGACCGCACATCAACAACCATCTGATCTTTGACAAACCTGACAAAAACAAGCAATGGGGAAAGGATTCCCTATGCAATAAATAGTGCTGGGAGAACTGGCTATCCATATGCAGAAAATTGAAACTTGACCACTTTCTTACACCTTATACAAAAATTAACTCAAGATGGATTAAAGACTTACATGTAATACTCAAAACTATAAAAATCCTATAAGAAAATCTAGGCAATACTATTCAGAACATAGGCATGGGCAAAGATTTCATGATGAAGATGCCAAAAGCAATTGCAACAAAAGTAAAAAATGGCAAATGGAATCTAATTAAACTGAAGAGCTTCTGCACAGCAAAAGAAACTACTATCAGAGTGAACAGACAACCTATAGGATGGGAGAAAATGTTTGCAATTTATCCATCTGGCAAAGGTCTAATATCCAGAGTCTGCAAAGGACTTAAACAAATTTACAAGAAAGAAAAAACAATCAATCTTATTAAAAAGTTCGCAAAGGATATGAACAGACACGTCTCAGAAAAAAACATTTATGCGGCCAACAAATATATGAAAAAAAGCTCAACATCGCTGATCATTAGAGAAAAGCAAATCAAAACCTCAATGAGATACTATCCCATGACAATCAGAATGGTGATTATTAAAAAGTCAAGAAACAACAGATGCCAATAAGGTTGCAGAGAAATAGGAATGCTTTTACACCGTTGATGGGAATGTAAATAAGTTCAACCATTGTGGAAAACAGTGTGGCTACTCCTCAAAGATCTAGAACCAGAAATACCATTTGATCCAGCCATCTCATTACTGGGTATATACACAAAGGAATATAAATCATTCTGTTATAAAGATTCATGCATGTGTATGTTCATTGCAGCACTATTCACAATAGCAAAGACATGGAATCAATGGAAATGCCCATCAGTGATAGGCTGGATAAAGAAAATGTGGTAGTGGTACACATACACTATAGAATACTATGCAGTCATGAAAAGGAATGAGATCATGTTCTTTGCAGAGACACGAATGGAGCTGGAATCCATTATCTTCAGCAAACTAGTGCAGGAACAGAAAAACAAACTCCACATGTTCTTATAACTGGGAACTGACCAATGAGAACACATGGACACAGGGAGGGGAACAACACACACTGGGGCCTATTGGGGGGGCAGAAAGGGACAACATAAGGAAAAATAGCTAATGCATGCTGGGCTTAATATCTAGGTGATGGGTTGATAGGTGTGGCAAACCACCATGACACACATTTACCTATTTAACCTGCACATCCTGCACATGCACCCTGGAACTTAAAAAAATAAAAAATAAAATAAAAATCTTTAAATGCAAAATATCTGATATTTCTCCAATTTCATTCACAAAATAACCAATTTTAGTGTCTCTAAGTTTTTTTTCTGATAATTCTCAGCATAATGAATTGTGTGCTTACTTTATTTTTAACTTTATAAACTTCATTGAGATATAATTTTTATATGACAAAATGCATAAATGTTAAGAGTACAGCTTGATGAGGTTTTGACAAATCTGTACCTCCATGTAACCTCTATCTTAATGAAGATACATCTGCCAGAAGCAAGACTTAGGACTAGCTTGCAGCTTCTGCTCAGACAGAGCAACATGTGGAGACTCACATCGTGAACTTTTGCTCCAAGAACTACCACGGGAATATATCAGGAAAGCCGAGAGTATCCACAGACCCTTTGAAGGAACTGGATCACCACTGCAGGCTCTCTGAGACACTGAAAAACCATGTCTGCTTACTTTCTCAGTGGGGAAGCTTTTGGTCTGGGGCAAGTTCTCAGCCCTGGTCACCAGCTGCCTGGAAATAGACTACGTGCTGTTGGAGGGGCACAGTGAGAGTGAGACCAGCCTTTAGGACTGTGGGCTGCATGGGAACAGGGGTGAGGCCTGTGACTGCCAGCTTTCCCCCACTTTCCTGGTGACCTGTATGACTCAACAGAGGCAGCCATAATTCCCATGAGAATATAACTCCATTGTACTGGGAACCACACCCCTATTCCCCACAGCAGCCATAGCAAGCCCTGCCCAAGAAAAGGCTGAGCTCAGACACTCCTTATCCCTGCCCCAACCTGGTGGTCTTTCTCTACCCACCCTGGAAGCCAAATACAAAGGTCATAATGTCTTGGGAGTTCTATGGCCCTGCCCACTGAGAAACCTGAATACTTAACCAGGTGTCCCTAGGGAAAGTTTGCATCCTCCCTATAGAATTGCAGTTGATGCACTCTTGGAAGCACCACCCCCTGACTGGAGGCCAACCAACAAAACCAGCACACTAAACAAAACACGACCAAGGACCCTCACAGAGTCCACTTCACTCCCCTGCTACCTCCACCAAAGCAGGTGCTGGTATCCACAACTGCACGACCTGAAGACAGATCACATCACAGGACTCTTTGCAGATACTCCCCAGTACCAGCCCAGGGCCTGGTAGCTCCGCTGGGTGGCTAGACCCAGAAGAGCAAAAACAATTGCTACAGTTTGGCTCTCAGGAAGCCCCATTCCTAGGGGAAGGGGGAGAACACCACATTAAAGTAGCACTCTGTAGGACAAAAGGCTCTGAACAGCAGCCCTTGAGTCCCAGATCTTCCTTCTGACATAGTCTACCCAAGTGAGAATGAACTAGAAAAACAATTTTCATAATATTACAAACCAAGGTTCTTTAACACACCCAAAATATCATAGCAGCTCACCAGCAATGAATCCAAACGAAGACGAAATCTCTGAATTACCAGAAAAAGAATTCAAAAGGTTGATTATTAAGCTAATCAAGGAGGCACCAGAGAAAGGTGAAGTCCAACTTAAAGAAATAAGAAACATGATACAGGATATGAAAGGAAGATTCTTCAGTGAAATAGCATAAATAAAAAACAATCACAACTTCTGGAAATCAAGGACATACTTAGAGAAATGCAAAATACACTGGAAAGTCTGAGCAATAGAATCAAAGAAGCCGAAGAAAGAACTTCAGAGCTTGAAGACAAGGCTTTTGAATTACCCAATCTGTCAAAGACAAAGAAAAAAGAATTTTAAAAAATGAACAAAGCCTTCAAGAAGTTTGGGACTATGTTAAATGTTCAAACCTAAGATTAATTGGTGTTCATAAGAAAGAAGAGAAATCTAAAAGTAGAAAATAATCAAGGAAAACTTCCCCAGCTTGCTAGAGATCTAGACATCCAAACACAAGAAACTCAAAGAACACCTGGGAAATCCATTGCAAAAAGATCGTTGCCTAGGCATGTAGTCATCAGGTTATCTAAAGTCAAGATGAAGGAAAGAATCTTAAGAGCTATGAGGCAAAAGCATCAGGTAACCTGTAAAGGAAAACCTATCATATTAACAGCAGATTTCTCAGAAGAATCCCTACAAGTTAGAAGGAATTGGGATCTTATTTTTAGCTTCCTTTAACAAAACAAATCATCCAGAAATTTCATATCCAGCAAAACTAAGCTTCATAAATAAAGGAAAGATACAGTTTTTTTTCCAGACAAATGCTGAGAGAATTCACCACTACCAAGCCAGGACTACAAGAACTGCTAAAAGAAGCTCTAAATCTTGAAATATATTCTTGAAATACATCAAAATAGAATATCCTTAAAGCATAAATCTCACAAGACCTATATAATGATAACACAATGCAAAACAAAACAAAAGCCCACACCAGATACTCAGGCAACAGATAGCATGATGAATAGAATAGTGTCTCATGTCTCCCTACTAACATTAAATGTAAGTATTCTAAATGCTCCACTTGAAAGATACAGAATGGGCCAGGCGCGGTGGCTCATGCCTGTAACCCTGGCACTTTAGGAGGCCGAGGTGGGTGGATCACCTGAGGTCAGGAGTTTCAAGACCAGCCTCACCAACATGGTGAAACCCCATCTCTACTAAAATACAAAAATTAGCTGGGTGTGGTGGCGGATGCCTGTAATCTCAGTTCCTTGGGACGCTCAGGCAGGAGAATCACTTGAACCCAGGAGATGGAGGTTACAGTGAACAGAGATTATGGCATTGCACTCCAGCCTCGGCAACAAGAATGAAACTCTGTCTCAAAAAAAAAAAAAAGAAAAAAAAAAGATACAGAATGGCAGAATGGATAAGAAATTCAACCAAATTTCTGCTGTCCTCAAGAGATTCACCTAATGCATAAGGACTGGGTTGGAAAAAGATATTCCATGCAAATGGACCCCAAAAGTGAGCAGGAGTAGCTATTCTTATATCAGACAAAAGAAACTTTAAGGCAACAGCATTAAAAAGACTAACAGGGACAGTATATAGTGATAAAAGGACTAGTCCAACAGGAAAATATCACAATTCTAAATATATAGGTACCTAACACTGGAGCTCTTAATCTTATAAAACAATTACTACCAGACCTAAGAAATGAGAGGGCAACACAATAATAGAGGGGGAGTTTAATACTCCACTGATAGTGCCAGATAGGTTATCAAGACAGAACATCAACAAAGAAATAATGGACTTAAACTATACACTACAAGAAATGGACTTAACAGATATGTATAGAACATTCTACCCAACAACTACAGAATATACATTTTATTCATCAGCATGTGGAATATTCTTCAAGATAGATTATATGATAGGCCACAAAACAAATCTCAGTAAAATTAAGAAAATCAAAATTATATCAAGTACTATTCAGACCACAGTGGAATAAAATTGGAAATCAACTCCAAAAGGAACCCTCAAAACCATGCAAATACATGGAAATTAAATAACTTGCTCTTGAGTGATCATTGGCTCAACAATGAAATCAAGATGGAAATTAAAAATTTCTTTGAACTGAACAGTAATAGTGACAAAACCTATCAAAACCTCTGGGATACAGCAAAAGCAGTGCTAAGAGGAAAGTTCGTAGCATTAAATGCCTACATCAAAAAGTCTGAAAGAGCACAAATAGACAATCTGAAGTCACACATTACAGAACTGGAGAAACAAAAACAATTTAAGCCTGAACCCAGCAAAAAATAAATAACAAAGGTCAGAGAAGAACTAAATGAAATTGAAACAAACAAAAAACACAAAAGATAAAACCAAAAGCTCGTTCTTTGAAAAGATAAAACCAAAAGCTCGTTCTTTGAAAAGATAAAACCAAAAGCTCGTTCTTTGAAAAGATAAAACCAAAAGCTCGTTCTTTGAAAAGATAAATACAATTGATAGACTATTAGTGGGATTAACCAAGAAAAGAAGACAGAAGATCCAAATAAGCTCAATTAGAAACAAAATGGGAGGTATTACAACTGATACCACAGAAATACAAAAGATTATTCAGGTCCACTGTGAACACTTTTATACGCATAAACTAGAAAGCCTAGAGAAGATGGATAAATTCTTGGAAATATACAACCCTCCTAGATTAAACCAGAAAGATATAGAATCTCTGAACAGGCAAATCGCAAGGATTGAGATTGAAATGGTAAAAAAAATTGCCAAAAAAAGAAAAAAAAATCCAGGACCAGATGGATTCACAGCTGAATTCTATCAGACATTCAAAGAAGAACTGGTACCAATTCTATTGACACTATTTCAAAAGATAGAGAAAGAGTAAATCCTCCCTAAATCATTTTGTGAAGCCAGTATCACCCTAATACCAAAACCAGGGAAGGACATAACAAGAAAAGAAAACTACAGACCATATCCCTGATGAACATAGATGCAAAAATGCTTAAAAAAATGCTAGTGAACTGAATCCAACAGTATGTCAAAAAGATAATCCACCATGATCAAGTGGGTTTTATGCCAGGGATGCAGGGATGGTTTAACATCCATAAGTTGATAAATGTGATACACCACATAAACAGAATTAAAAACAAAAATCACATGATCATCTCAATAGATGCAGAAAAGCATTTGACAAAATCCAGCATCTCTTTATGATTAAAACCCTCAACAAAATCGGCATAGAAGGGACATACCTTAAGATAATAAAATGCATCTACAACAAGCCCACAGCCAACATTATATTGAATGGGGAAAAATCGAAAGCATTCCCCCTAAGAACAGGATTAAGACAAGGATACCTACTTTTAAAACTTCTACTCAACATAGTACTGGAACTCCTAGCCAGAGCAATCAGACAAGAGAAGGAAATAAAGGGCATCCAAATTTGTAAAGAGGAAGTCAAACTGTCGCTGTTTGCTGATGATATGATTGTATGGCTAGAGAACCCTAAAGAATCATCCAAAAAGCTCCTAGAACTGGTAAATGAATTCAGCAATGTTTCAGGATACAAAATTAATGTACACAAATCAGTAGCTGTGCTATACACCAACAGCAACCAAGTTGAGAATCAAATCAAGAACTCAATCCCTTTCACAAGAGCTGCAAAAATAAAATAAAATGCTTAGAAATATACCAAACCAAGGATGTGAAAGACCTCCACAAGAAAAACTACAAAACACTGCTGAAAGAAATCATAGATGACACAAACAAATAGAAACACATCCCATGCTCATGGATGGATGGAATCAATATTGTGAAAATGACCATACTGCCAGAAGCAATCTACAAATTCAATGTAATTCCCATCAAAATACTACCATCATTCTTCACAGAACTAAAAAAAATCCTAAAATTCATATAGAACCAAAAAAGAGCCTGCATAGCCAAAGCAAGACTAAGCAAAAAGAACAAATCTGGAGGCATCACATTACCCAACTTCAAACTATACTATAAAGCCATAGTCCCCAAAACAGCATGGTACTGGTATAAGAATAGGCACATAAATCAATGGACAGAATAGAGAACCCAGAAATAAAGCCAAATGCGGCAAACTTGTCTTCAACAAAGCAAACAAAAACATAAAGTGGAGAAACCCTATTCAACAAATGTTGCTGGGATAATTGGCAAGCCACATATAGAAGAATGGAACTGGCTCCTCATCTCTCACCTTATACAAAAATCAACTCAAGCTGGAACAAAGACTTAAATCTAAGAACTGAAACTATAAAGATTCTAGAAGATAACATCAGAAAAAATCTTCTAGACATTGGCTTAGACAAAGACTTCATGACCAAGAACACAAAAGCAAATGCAACAAAAACAAAGTAGATGGGACTTAACCAAACTAAAAAGCTTCTGCACAGCAAAAGAAATAATCAGCAGAGTTAACAGACAACCCATAGAGTCAGAGAAGATCTTCACAATCTATATATCTGACAAAGGACTAATATCTGGAATCTACAAGGAACATAAACAAATCAGCAAGGAAAAAATAAACAATCTAATCAAAAAGTGGGCTAAGGACATGAATAGACAATTCTCAAAAGAAGATATACAAATGGCAGACAAGCATATGGAAAAATGCTCAACATCACTAATTATCCGGGAAATGCAAATCAAAACTACAATGCAATACCACCTCACTCCTGCAAGAATGGCCATAATCAAACAATCAAAAAATAACAGATGTTGCTATGGATGCGGTGAAAAGGGAAAAACACTTTTACACTGTTGATGGGAATGTAAACTAGTACAACCACTATGGAAAACAGTGTGGAGATTCCTTAAAGAACTAAAAGTAGATCGACCATTTGATCTAGAAATCCCACTACTAGGTACCTGCACAGAGGGAAATAAGTCATTATTACCAAAAAGATACTTGCACACACGTTTACAGGAACACAATTTGCAATTGCAAAAATATGGAACCAGCCCAAATGCCCATCAATCAATGAGTGGATAAAGGAAATGTGGTATATAAATACCATGGAATACTACTCAGCCATAAGAAGGAATGAATTAATGGCATTCGCAGCAACCTGGATGGAATTGAAGACTATCATTCTAAGTGAAGTAACTCGGGAATGGAAAGCCAAACATTGTACGTTCTCACTCATATGTGAGATCTAAGCTCTGAAGACGCAAAGGCATAAGAATGATACGTTGGACTCTGGGGACTTAGGGGAAAGAGTGGGGTGGCAAGGGATAAAAGACTACACATTAGGTACAGGGTACACTGCTTGGGTGATGGGTGTACCAAAATCTCAGAAATCACCACTGAAGAACTTACTCATGTAACCAAACACCACTGGTTCCCCAAAAACCTAGTGAAATAAAAAAATTAAAGCTTAAAAGTAAAAAAGAAAAAAAGAAAAAAAAAATAAGAGGATAGAACAAAAAAAAAAGATACATCTCCCAAAAAGTTTTCTCATGCCATTCCCAGTGAAAACCCTGCCTCCCAAGGAACTACTGATACAGTTTCTATCACCATGGTTTAGTTTTTTCTGTTCTAGAACTTGAGATAAATGGAACCATTCAGGATTTACTCTTTTGTGTTAGGTTTCTTTGGTATACATAGCATTTATGGGATTTCTTGAAGTTGTTGCATGTATTAGTTCTTCCATGTTTATTGTGGACTCGTATTTCATTGTATGAATATACCACATTCTCTTATTGATAAACTTTGAATTTTTTCTACATTGTGGCTGTCATGAATACAGATGTTATGAGCATTCTTTAAAAAAAAAGATATTAGCCAATTGTAATGTAGCAGCTGAGAGGGGTTTTGGTGATCACGGGGCTGAGGAAACAATGAAGTCCAGCATCTGCCAAGGGTGGAAGTCCCTCATAAGTATTTGAGGCTTTTAGCTGAGACCCTTAAAAGCTACATTGAAGGAATGAGAACAAACTGGAAATAGACCAACTCTCACAGAGATTAAAACTCCATTTAAATCATCTCAATTTTGGGTTAAAGAAAGATCTGTTCCTACTCTAATTGTCTGCCACAAGCAAAAGGGAGTCCACTTTGGAGGAATATAAAATCATTCACAGCCTTAAGGTGATGGTTGGTGTTTAAATAAACAGAACAAAAACAAAACTAGGCAAACAATATACAGAAACTAACCAAGAGGATAAAAGTTTATAGAAATTCACACATAAAAAACCCTCATATTCTAGTTATCAAACACAAGTTACTGTGTCCAAAAAATTAACAAAATGGAGAATTTTAGCACAGTGTGAAAATGATGAAATAGTGTCACATGGAAATTTCAAAATTGAAAAATATTGTAGCTAATGTTAAGAAACTAATAGATGGGTTTATCAGCAGATTAGGCACAATTTAAATGTTTAAAAACAGTAGACTGGGTTGGGTGTGGTGCGTCACACCTGTAATCCCAGCTACTTAGGAGGCTGAGGTGGGAGGATTGTTTGAGCCCGGCCTATGATTGCGCCACTACACTCCAGAACCTGGGAAACAGAGCAAGAAAAAAATGTAGACTGAAACATAGAAATAAAATATAGAAAAGAGCGTAAAAGATTTATAGGGTATTTTGTAAAGGCCTAATGTTTGTGTCATTGAAGTTCATAAGGCTAGGAGAGAGAGAATGGGTGAAAAGCAATATTTGATGAGCCATTGCTAAGATTTTTCTAATACTTATAAGACATCAAGCTACAAGATCTAAGAACTGCTTCAAACCCAAAGCAGGATAAATACAAGACTCCCAAGCCTAAGCGCATCTACAACAGTAAAACTGTTGAAGGCAAGCAAGAGATCTTAAAAACAATAGAAAAAAATGAGCTTCAGAAGAAGTAAGAATATCATACAGAAACAATGGAAGCCAGAAGACTATAATTGACAGCTTTAACATGCTGGGGGGAAAAATCACTGCCAACTTAGAGTTCTATACCCAGTGCAAATATTCTCAAAAAGCAACTAAAGTAAACATAATTTCAGGCAAACCAAAACAGAGAGTTTTTTTTTTTTTTTTTTTTTTTTTTTTTTTTTTTTACCAGTAGACCTACACTGAGATAAAGAATGACAAATCTTTTTCAAATAAAAGGAACATGATCCCAGATAGGAGGATGGAAATGCAGGAAGAAGTAAAGAACAATGGAAAGAGTAAATATGTGGGCAAATCTAAGTGAATATGTCCTGTATGAAACAAGTAAAACAATATTTTGCTGGGCTTAAATTATATTTAAAGTATGTCAGTAAAAGTCCAAAAGGAGGAAGGGGTAGATGGAACCAAAATGTCTTCAAATTGTCCGAGATGTTGTACATCTATTAATTTACATTAAACATTAATAAGTTAAATATGTCATAATCTGTAGGGTAAACATTTAAAGAGCAGTGAATAGAGGGGAAAATTGTTGTTTTGCTTTGGGTTTGCCCAGAAGCAGGCCATGAGACAAGGGTTTAAATGTAAGTAGTTTTTCTGAGAGATGACCCCAGTAATACCAGTAGAGGGATGGGGCAGCAAGACATGGGTAGGAGGGAAGCCAATGAAGAGCACCTTATCAAGAAACATACCTATGGGAGCAACAAGAGCTTTCTACTACGGAACATTGGAAGCACATTAGACTCATCTCACCCAAGGGGCAATCCTATCATTAATTATTCCAGGGTTGAAAATTTCCTGGCACTTCTGTCCTGCTTAGTATATAAGCACAGAGGACTTCAGTGGTGAAAGATCCTTCAAGTATAGAATCATAAATGTGGGCAGTTGGAAGTTGGGCTACAGTACAAGGAAATTGCAGACTCCAAGAGGATATAGATGGAACAGACTCCAAGAGGATATGAATATAACAGATGCTGCAATACCCAGTAAAATGTGTACATGTATGTGCCAAAGACATATGGAAGAGGACATGAGTACAATGGCCCCAAACTAGAAATAGCCCAGATTTCCCAATAGTAGAATGAATAAATGTTAATGCATTCATACAATGGCATATTATATAGCAATGAAAGCAAACTATAGCTATAAACAAGAATATGCATGGATTTCACAAACATAATGGTAAGTGAAAGAAGCCATATGTTACAGATGAATACTGAAGATTCCATATATAAATAAACTCCAGAAATCTACAGGATATGTGGGGAATCGGGAAGAAGCTGGTCTGTAGGAACCATGTTAGATATTATTGGGAATATCAAGCTCAATTAGTAGGTTGAGACTAGTTATGGGAAGCTGAGGAATTTGTCCTTGACATTACAGGTAACAAAAATTCATGTTTACATGTGAAACTCCAGGCTCTGTTCCAATTGCCATCTCTCACTCTTCACATATAACCCTATACTTTAGACAGTAGAGATCACATATACTTTACGAACCTGATAAAATGTGTGTATTAGTCAGAGTTCTTTAGGGGAACAGAATTAATAAGATAAATGTTTATAAGTAGGGGCATTTATTAAGGAGTATTGACTCACAGGATCACAAGGTGAAGTCCCACAATAGGCTGTCTGCAAGCTGAGGAGAAAGGAAGCCGGTCCGAGTCCCAAAACCTCAAAAGTAGGGAAGCTGACAGTGCAGCCTTCAATCTGTGGCCAAAGGCCCAAGAGACCCTGGCAAACCACTGGTGTAAGCCTGAGAGCCCCAAAGCTGAAGAACTTGGAGTCTGAGTTCAAGGGCAGGAAGCATCCAGCACGAGAGAAAGATGAAGAGCAGAAGACTCAGCAAGTCTGCTCATTCAACTTTCTTTTGCCTGCTTTATTCTAGCCACACTGGCAGCTGATTGAGGGTGGGTCTGTCTCTCCCAATCCACTCACTCAAATGTTAAACTCCTTTGGCAACACCCTCACAGACACACCTAGGAACAATACTTTGCATCCTTCAATCCAATCAAGTTGACACTCAATATTAATCATCACAATGTATAACACAGGTAGGAACTTAATGGATTGTGATGAAATTAAAGCTAGCAATGATGGGGAACTTTACTCATAATCAAAATGTGGACAATATTACATACATACATCTGGCCATGGTGAAAATCATGTATTTGGCAATTTCCAACTTCTATATTAAAGGTACTAAACTATGTACCAGGATGACTTCAGCTATGTGAGCATGTCTGACCCAAAGTAGAAACTCAGTATCTGTGGTTGATTTATAAGAGGCAGTGAGCAGAGAGGCAGGTTTAAAGTAACTTAGTCTAATTTTTGGAGGCAAATGTTTTGAATACAAATATGAACAAATTTTAATAACATTGTGTGTTTAGGGGGCAAGGCAACAGATATTTAAGGGGGTGCCATTGTTGTGGCAGACAGAAGCTTTTCATGAAGAGAGCGTTATTCTGATCTGTCTGTCACTTCATCTTTTTTTTTCTGTCTAACACAAAAGGCAAGTGAAAATTAAAATGGAAACCTCTGGAGGGGGCAGGTAATGAGTATTCTAATTATTAAAGATGCCTTTCAAGACTTCAGATAACACATAGGGTTAAAACTGTCTCTCTTCAAATCCCATTAACAACAAAACAGATATGCCTGAGAATGTTATGAGGGTGTTTCATGTCCAGCCTTCTCTGTCAGCCACAACCCAAACAAAACAGAAAGTGAAGTGTCTCTTTGGTTAGATTATGACTTGTTTTTGGAAATTAAGTTTCTTACTGTTAAGATGAGACAATAGATATCCTCTTAGCAATGCACATTTTCCTGTGAGGCACTGTCTAGCCAATGATTATCTGAAGGCAGCCTTCTTCCTTTATATATGGAAGGCAGGACAGATGGTGTGATTGATGCAACCAGATATATTCTGGAGTTGGGCAAGTGAAAGATTTCTCCAATTTCCAAAGGGTCATGCAGTGCAGACATGATTTTTTTAATAATAATAGAAATCCATACAAATTTAATGGTGATTACTTGTTTATTGACTGTTCTTGTTGCAAGAACAGTTTACCTCCTCATGAACAAAATACTGCTTTCAAATTCCAATCCCTTCAGCTAACAGTGCCAGCAGAAAGGACTAGATTCAATTGACTGTGACAACTAGCTCCATGTTTTAGAACATTGCTTTAAAACCCAACGCCAGGTCTGCATAGCGTTTGATTTTGCAAAAGCCAGTGCCCACAGTTGGTTGCAGTCAGCAGCTAGAGCAGGGAGGGCTACCAATCCCTACTGCCTGGTTTCCTGACCTGCCCAACCCTTGCCTTCCTGGCTGGATACCACATTCACCCCTTGGGGCTTCTGATAATGTCTGTGCTGACGTGCAGACAAGCTCCGTTAGAGAGCACAACACAAACACATGGGCAGTGCTAGAAAGCTGCCTGTTGGGTGTAACAAAGGAGCCCTCAGCACAGTACCAGGATATGGAAAGCAAGCATGGAATTATTCTATGCTCGGGCTTAAGAACTTTGCAGACTTTCTATATGGAGCTCAAAGTGCTGGGTGGTGACAAGCTTCTCTTTGCTCCAGCGGTAAAAATACTAGCTAGCTTGTCTTTCTCAGACAAAACATGACTAATGTTGAACAAAATTTTTGATTTTCCTTCTTACTCTTCTATTTTGCTTTGGCCCTTAAGTGGTAGCCTACTGTCTGGGTTCCCAAGCAACATGAGTTTGCAGTATGTGAGTGTATATATATGCAAAAAATAAATGGATCAATTTTAAAAGCTCCTTCTTGAACTTCTCTGCATTGATTAATTGATTTTCTTTCCTTAAGAAAGTTGTATTCTCCATTATGGCCCTACCATGCAATGCCAGCTCCAACTCTGCATTGATTAATTGATTTTCTTTCCTTAAGAAAGTTGTATTCTCCATTATGGCCCTACCATGCAATGCCAGCTCCAGGAAAAAACAACTCTAATTTGAGGAATTGCACTTGTGTCTTTAGAGACCTCTGAGGATCTTCCCTGGATGCTGGTACCTTGGCTAGCACGCAGAGCAGTGGAGAGCTGCTGAAGGATCCTCTCTCGTGGCTTCACTTGTTTTCTCTGGAAGCAGACAAGGCGTGACGGAGAGAGGAACTCTTCTTTGTCAGCCCGGTTAGAGCACTGATTGTATGGTAATTATAGAACTCAAAGGGAGCCCATGAAAGCTGGATCAGCACTTCCAAGTTTTCTGTTTCCAGATTTTTATAACTCAACCATAAATACTCACTAGCAGGAAGAAATGAAACACATAATATCTAAAAGGAAATGATTTTTTTTTCAATTTTCTTTCTGTAGGAAAGGAGAGTTGTGTAGGTCCCTGCTCTTTTATGAGCTTTTCCAATAATAATGGCAATGATAATAATGATAAATTCTTCTCTTCCTAAGAGTTTTAAGTTGAGTGTTTTTGCTTTCTTGAATCCATAACATTAATATAAATAATCTCAAAATTAATTATTTGAATATTCTTTTGTTCCTTCAGTTCAATTTGTGGCTTAGCTGAGAAGAAAATCCAATAAACCTTCTACATAATTGAAATTTTAAAATTCTGTTCCGATTCTCCTATCTGATCATTTCTCTATCCAGTTGTCAAACACTTATACAGTGGCTTCTTCCCATTTGCCAATCACTTTGCTAGACAGTAAGGACCAGCATGGATAAGGCAGCATCTTGACCCTCGAGAGTCAACAGATAATCATAACACACTGTGGTTCAAACAATAATAGAAGTGGTGACTTAGCAACATGGCGTTATGGAGAACAGAGGCTTAGTCTAGAGTGGGAGGTAGACTGGTCTCAGGGAAGACCTGCTGTAGGAAGTGACCCCTTAGCTAAGTTTTAAAGACTAGAACTGAGCAATGTAGAGTGGTGTCAGGCATTCCAGATACAGAGGATTCAAGGCATAGAAAAATTGTAAACAGGTTAGTTAGTAGTGCTGAGAGGCAGAGGTAGGTGAAAGGTAAGAGTGAAGTGACTGTTAGATGGTAGATCCTGGAGGATCTTTTAAACTAGACTAGAGGCTGGGCTACTGTTGGGAAGCTATTACTGACATCCAAGTTAAAGTTAACAAAGGACTGAGCTAGGGAAGTGTTAATTATATTGACAAGCAAGGAAGATGAGAATTTGAAACATTGAAGAGTTGGGAAAAATTTAGGATGCCTCTGAGATTTCTACCCTGGACTTTGGCATGGATGTTGTTTTGCATGTAGAGGGTAAGATGCTGATGTACACAGTTTGGGCTTGGCTGGTTTGAGGTGCCTGTGGATATCTAGGTCGGCATACCCTACAGAGAGTTGGATTTGTGTCTGAGGCTTAGGAGAGAAGATTTGGCCTGAAGATAAGAAGTAGGGAGTCATGAATATCTAGGTGGTGGTTAAAACCACAAGCGCGGACATATTAGATTATCCAGGGGAGAGAGACAAGAGGAGGAGAGCAGTATACTGCATATAGAACAATGAGGAAGACCATCTTTCAAAGGGAGGATGGAGAAAAAGAATGAGTAAAGAAGATAGAGTAGGAATCATCAAGGAATTATGAAGAGAACCAGGTAAGCACATTGTTGTGGAAGCCAAAAGAGCAGATTTCATATAATGAGGGAGCAACCAATAAGTGCTGCAGAGAGGCCTAAGGTAATAAAACCTGAAATGTGTCCAATAGATTTGACCCATCTTAGCATTCTAAGCCCTTTCGATGTGAACCTCACTACCCCACGATACATGCACATGATGTGTTAACTGTTATCTTATCTGCTACACCCTCTGGGGCTGAGATTAAGCCCTCCACAAGGTTGCAGCCCTAGCTGGTGTGTGTGCCTGTTTCCCTACATGGTTTCCCATTAGATCAGGGTTGACAGTGCTCTATGGAGGTGGTGTAACAATTCCAGATGTCACAATTAAAAACACACCATTCCATCAGCCATGTAGCATCTCCCTTATCCTATACCAAGATGATCCAGAATTAGAGGTTCTCAGTATTTTATGTACACTTAAAGATTACTCGTATCAAGCTTTCATGATGCAGGGTCATCTTTACTATGCATGCAGAGTTGCTGTGTTAGATGGGGATGTTTAACACTACCCTAGATTGCTCCAAGCTGTGGTCTCATATTAAAATAGCTACACTGGCCTTCTTTTTTAAAATTGTAATTTTATGGTTTCCCATTACTAGTGTGGTGGGGGCTGTCCAAGGTCTGCCTCCAACAGCTTCCAATCTTCTCCTGACTTCAAGGCTTCACATATGTAATGGGCATAAAAGGCATGGCAGAAATATCCCTTTTAAGTGGCTATTTTCTCATTTTAAAAGTGACTTAACAAGACAGGGATAATCTGAAAAAAGCAGATAGTTCCCTAAGTAAGAGATGATTTGCTCATATATGCAATGTTTGGGATATCTTTCATATTTATTAATTTTGAGAATATACTGTTAAGATGGCTCATTTGTGTTGCCAAATGCCCATTGAATTGCCACCTCTCCACGTTGTTTGCGTGCAGATATTGATAATGCATCACAGATTGATGACTTCGTCCCAATCCAGTCTCAGGGTCTGTTTACAGAGCACTCCTGTCGTCACTGTGAATTAACCAGACATCATGTGAGATAAAAGCTATTTGCTGATTAGAAACTATAGATATTATATAAAGGCAAAGACATTTATTTTCTAGACTGTTTGTAATTAAACTGAAGAAACAAAATATATCTGAGTAATTGAAAGGCATTATTCAAATGTGTCCTTTCTATAGGAGGAGAATCAGTCACTGCACTTGGTTCTTTAACCTGATAGTCAAGTATTATCTGAAGCATTGGGGTTTACATTATTCAAGGTTCTCTAGCGAAATAAAACCAAACCAGTCAATTCTCCAGAGAAACAGAATACACACATGCACACACACACATGCATCCCACATATTTATTCTGAGGAATTGGTTTATTGGCCTACACAACTATGGAGGCTGCGAAGTTGCACAATCTGTTATCAGCAAGCTGGAGACCCTGGGAAGCTGGTAGGGTAGTGAGGTTCACGTCGAAAGGGCTGAGAATTCAAAGAGGTGATAATGTAAATCCTAGTCTTGGGGTCAGGGAAGTTGAAATGAGATATTCCAGCTCAAGCAGTGAGGCAGGATAAAAGAGACAAATTCCTACTTCCTCTGCCTTTTGTTCTATTTAGGCTTTCAACAGATTGAATGATGCTCAACAAAACTGGAGAGGGCAATCTACTTCACTGAGTTTACCAATTCAAATGCTAACCTCCTGCAGGAATATGCTCACAAAGGCAACCAAATACAACATTTCATCTGGGCACCCAGTGACCCATTCATGTTGACACATCAATTAATTACCACCAGTAATTAAGAGCTCCTGTAACCTTGGGAGATTTGTTGTATCAGGGACCAAGCAGCCCCTAAAGCAGTGGCTATCAACATTGAGATGTATAAGGATTACCTGAAGAACTTATTTAAAATGCATACTCCTTGGGCCTTATACCAAGATTCCCATTAAATAAATATGGATTTGGGCTCAGGAATACAGATTTTTATAATAAACCTGTTGATTCTGGTGTAGATGATCTGAGGATCCTACTTCAAAAAAATACTCTGGGGAGTGGTCTTCGAAGTAGGGCATGTATCCTTTTGGAACAATCCTTTATGGTATGGGAAAATTTTATTTATTATTTATTTATTTATTTATTTATTTTTTGAGGCAGAGTCTCACTCTGTCGCCCAGGCTGGAGTGCAGTGGTGCGATCTCGGCTCATTGCAACCTCCGCCTCCCGGGTTCACGCCATTCTCCTGCCTCAGCCTCCTGATTAGTTGAGAGTACAGGCGCATGCCGCCATGCCCGGCTAATTTTTTGTATTTTTAATAGAGACGAGATTTCACTGTGTTAGCCAGGATGGTCTCGATCTCCTGACCTCGTGATCTTCCTGCCTCTGCCTCCCAAAGTGCTGGGATTACAGGCGTGAGCCACCGTGCCCGGCCAGTATGGGAAAATTTTAGAACTTTTATTTATATTTATTTTAACAAATGAAAGTTCTTAAGCTTTGTTGTTGATTGGAACTGGTGCACACACTGAACCTGTATGGTAATGTTCTGGACAAATCCTGCAGAATCCTGAGGAGTTGAGTGGGAGTGGGAGTTGACTTGAGTTCAACTTACTGTGAAGTAGTTAGGTGTGTGTTGCCTGGGTAAATAGATTTAAGGGCCAATGATCTTGTTTAACTGAACTACCTCTCCCAAAATGGGTAAGAATCTTAAACAAATTATTTCCAAGAAGATGTGATAATGCCATGATAATGCCAAAAGAATATCCACAAAGGAGCAAAAGAAAATGGCCATGCTGGCACTTGTCCTACTCATTCAAAGCTCCTGATCACCTTCATTAAGTGGTAGGAAACAATGACAATCTAATCAGATATGATTAGTAAGAAGACTATTTGAAATATGGATTTACAGCCGCTATCATTAATGATTAACCTCTCCCAAAGTGCACATCATGCTTTGAAAAATTAACTAATATCAGCATGGCAGAAGAGCAATTATAGAGGCAGGAGACTGTAATGCAGAGTTAGGACTTAGTTGCTACAGCCAGACTACTGGGTTTGAATCCAAGCTCTGGTGCTACCAGCTGTGTGACCTTGTGTGAGTTACTTATCTGTACTGCGTTCATCTGTTCTTGCTGCCATTTCACAATTACTGTAAGACTGGGTAATCTATAACAACAGAAAGTTATTAAGTTACAGTTCTGGAGGCTTGAAAGTCCAGGATCAAGCAGAGCCCTCATGACCTAATCACCTCCTAAAGGCCACACCTCCTAATACTATTACATTGGGGATTAAGTTTCAAATGAATTTTGGAGGGACACAAACGTGAAAGCCATAGCATTCTTCTCTGGATCCCTAACATTCATGTTCTTCCCAGTTACAAAATATAATCATTCTATCCCAATAGCCCCCAAAGTCCTAATTCATTCCAGCATCAACTTTAATGTGTAAGTCCAAAGTCTCATCTGAACCAGATATGAATGGGACTCAAAGCACAATTAATTCTAAGGCAAATTGTTACTCTAGCCATAAGCCTTTGAAAGGAAACAAGTTATGTGCTCTCAAAATGCAGCAAACCAACATGGCACATGTATACCTATGTAACAAACTTGCACATTGTGCACATGTACTCTAGAACTTAAAGTATAATTAAAATTTACAAGAAAAAAAAACCCCAACAAAAATGGGCAAAGGACATGAACAGACACTTCTCAAAAGAAGACATTTATGCAGCCAACAGACATATGAAAAAAATGCTCATCATCACTGGTTATTAGAGAAATGCAAATCAAAACCACAGTGAGATACCATCTCATGCCAGTTAGAATGGAGATCATTAAAAAGTCAGGAAACAACAGATGCTGGAGAGGATGTGGAAAACTAGGAACACTTTTACACTGTTGGTGGGAGTGTAAATTAATTCAACCATTGTGGAAGACAGTGTGGCAATTCCTCAAGGATCTAGAACTGGAAATAGCATTTGACCCAGCAGTCCCATTACTGGGCATATACACAAAGGATTATAAATCATTCTATGATAAAGACACATGCACAGGTATGTTTATTGCAGCACTATTCACAATAGCAAAGACTTGGAATCAACCCAAATATCCATCAATGATAGACTGGATTAAGAAAATGTGGCACATATGCACCATGGAATACTCTGCAGCCATAAAAAAGGATGACTTCATGTCCTTTGCAGGGACATGGAAAATGAAGCTGGAAACCATCATTCTCAGAAAACTATCACAAGATCAGAAAACCAAACACTGCATGTTCTCACTCATAAATGAGAGTTGAACAATGAGAATACATGGACACAGGGAGGGGAACATCACACACTGGGGCCTGTCGGGGGATGGGGAGCTAGGGGAGGGATAACATTAGGAGAAATACCTAATGTAGGTGACAGGTTGATGGCTGCAGCAAACCACTAGGGCACATGTATACCTATGCAACAAAACTGCACATTCTGCTCATGTAACCCAGAACTTAAAGTATAATTTAAAAAAATACAGTAGTGAAATAGGCATAAGATAGACCTTCCCATTCCAAAAAGAAGAAAGAAAATAGGAAGAAAGAACGGGGTAAGTTGTCCCAAGTAACTCCAAAATCCAAATGGGAAAACATTACATTTTAAGACTCCAGAATAAGCTCCTTTGACTCTCTATTCCACCTGCCAGAGACACGGGGCAAGAGATTGGGCCCCCAAAGTCCTGGGAAGTCCTGCCCTTATGGCTTTTCTGGGCACAGCCCACACAGCAGCTCTCACAAGTTGGAATCTCCTGCTTGCAGCTCTCTCAGGTGAAGTTGCACATTGGTAGCTCTACAGCTCTGAAGTCTTGGGAATGGCTCTGCTTCCCTGACTTACTGGACATTGCTCTAGTCGGGGATCTCTGTGGTTGCCCTGAACCTGTGCTCTTTGGAGCATCCTTTGAAATCTAGATGGAAGCAGCCATGACCCCACAACTCATGCTCTCTGCACCTTGGTGGAGATGGCGCCATATGAACATCACCAAGGTTTACCACTTATGCCTACTGGAGGGCTGGCCACTGTAGCCTGCACCATACTTGAGCCCACTGGAGTCAATTTGGGATGACTGAGAAGAGCTGCACCAGAATTTGTGAAGCAGAGACTTGAGGCAGCCCATGCCAATGAGTACTGAGGTCATATGTGTACCTAAATCCCCTCTTTTGACAACATTCTGCTCTCAAGGCCCTGGCACTCTGAGATGGGAGTGGCAGTACCTGACAGGTTTTGAAATGGTTTTGGAGTCATTCTTTCATTGTCTTGATGCATAGCACCTAGCTTCCTTCTGTCCATATTAATCTTATCAAACAGTCTCTTGGGCACATTCTTGGTATTCGTTCCTGAACACATTTTCTCTCTCTCTTTTTTTTTTAATAGACTGAGAATTTTCCAACTGTTTAAGTTCTGCTTTCCTTTTGATGATAAATTCGGTCTTTAACTTGTTTCTCTCTCCCTGCATTTTACTGTAAGCAGTCAAAGAAGCCATGCTGCACCCTCAACACCTTACTTAGAGATTTATTCTGCCAAATATCCTAATTCCTTTCTCTTCAGCTCTGCCTTCCACAAATCACTAGGACACAAACACAATTCAGGCAAGCTCTTTTCCTATTTATAACAAGAATGTCCTTTCCTCCAGTTTCCAGTAACATGTCTCTTATTTTCATCTAAGACCACATCAGAATGATCTTTACTGTCCACATTTCTACCCACATTCTGATCACAACCATTTAAGTAATCCCTAAGAAGATTGAGGCTCTCCCTACATCTCTCCTCTTCTTCTGAGCCCTTTACAGTCCAGTCTCTACCTATTTCCCAGTTTCAAAGACATTTCCATATTTTTAGCAACACCACTTTTTGGTACCAATTTCTGCCTTAGTCCATTCATGCTTCTATAACAAAATACCTTAAAGTGGATGATTTATAAATAATGGACATTTGTTTCTCACAATCCTGGAGAATGAGTAGTCCAAGATCAAGGTGTTAGCAGATTTGGTATCTGGTAAAGGCGTGCTCTCTGTTTTTCAGATGATGCCTCTTGCTGCTTCCTAATAAGGCAGAAGGGATGTAAAAGGGATAAACACTCTGTCTCATATGGCAGAAGGAGCAAAAGGGCCAGACAGCTCTCTGAAGCCCATTCAAAAGGGCAGAACCATCACAAGTTAATCACCTCCCCATAGGACCTACCTCTTTATTCCACAATTGAGATTAAATTTCAACATGAATTTTGGAGAAACACAAACATCAAAACTATAGCATATAGTATGCCTCAGTTTCCCCATCTGTAAAATGGGTCCTTAATAATAGTACCACCTTTGAGGGCTGACATGAGCATTAAATGGTTAATACGTGTAATGTGTTTAGACAAATGCACATATACTGTACACAATAGAAATGTTTAAAAGTATATCCTATTATATGTTATCATTTAAAGATTTCTGAGTTTTATAATTTATATGGGTATGTTTTATTATAACTTGTAAATATATGTTCAAACATTGATATATATTTTTATACCAATATAAACATGGGACATATGTTCAAACATTGTTACTCATAGTAATGAGCAAATAAAATATCTATGGTCCACCTCCCAGCAGATGCTGGTACTCCTGGAAGTGTCCCAGGTCCCTGGAAGCATAATAGTTACTGCCATTACTCTCGAATGGGACTGTGGTCAGGACCAATGATGGGGACTGGATATAAAAGCTGAAACATGTTATCTTTTGACAATCCTCCTTTCTACACAGCTCTTATGTGTATTAAACATTCTGATCAGACTGTCACTTTATTCTGCTTCCTTTCATAGGTTTTAATCCTACTCCTCAGTACTGTCATACCAAGATATTACCTGAAAAAGTGTTTGGAAGTGTAATAGTTTGAAAATAATGAGTCTCTGGGGAACTCCCCTTCTTATTTTATCCCATCCACCTGGCCCCTCATCCTCTGCCCCAGGGCCTCTGTTCATGGGCATGAGTGTTCACCTGGACCAGACACGCCCAGACCACATGTACAAACGTGTGTATGCAAACACACTTTGTTTCTTTTTCCACTCAGTATAGGTAAGTGAGACTGGATTTTTTTCAAAAACAACATTTCTGGGCAGAACATAAAAGGAAATAAGCAAAAGAAATGACAAACCATTGAAGTAAATGGCCATGTCCAATATTTTCTCTAGTTATCATTTGCTGAGCACACAGTCCTCTCTTTTCTCTATCTGCTTTAGCAAACTCCTGCCCAAGGTGGCTTCAGGTTATATCCTCTGTTCCCATCCAGTGCCTGTTTTCCAGTTGTCATTGCCTGCAGATCAGAGTCCAGACTCCACAAACTTTCATTTAGTTTCCTGACTATTCTGACTCTCTCTTAAGGATTCATGCACAGGGTTAAACTAGAAGACCTTCACTGTCCCCTCCGACATTCTCTGCTTATTTCTCCAGACTCTTCCTCCAGGGTTGTTTTACTATTTCTAAGCTCACCACGTTAATTTGCCCATGGCCTTTTCTTTGAGTCTTCCCCTGCTACTCTCAGCCGAGACAAATCCTCTCTGGCTTCCTAGAATGCCTCAAACCCCTACTTTCCTGAGGGATCACACCCCAGAACTGTTCACTTTGTATGTAGAACTGCATATTATGTCTCCATGCAGGTCTACTTGATCTGGAGCAGAGCCTTCAAGTGACATTTCTGGGGTGTCTTTCCTTCTAGTGCAGGTCAACCATATCTAGAACCATTTTAACCATTACAAACTTACACATGATTAAATCATCATATCTCAGGTTTGGAAAATAAGCTACCTTCTTCTTCCACTCAGTGTGTGACTCCCCTCTGCCCCTCTGAGCACCTCAGTACACAACCATATGCCAAAACATCTCACATGATGGTAACTTCATTATGTCTCTAGGCATCTCATTTCTCAAAGCAGAATGTCTTCCATTTATCATAAAACACAGCCTCGATTTCAAGACAACAAAGCACATTTTTTTTTAAATTGGAAAATGTGACACATATACACCATGGCATACTATGCAGCCATAAAAAAGGATGAGTTCGTGTCCTTTGCAGGGACATGGATGAAGCTGGAAACCATCATTCTCAGCAAACTAACCGAGGAACAGAAAACCAAACACTGCATGTTCTCACTCATAAGTGGGAGTTGAACAATGAGAACACATGGACACAGGGAGGGGAACATCACACATCAGGGCTTTCGGGGGGTGGGGACCTAGGAGAGGGATAGCAGTAGGAGAAATACCTAATGTAGATGATGGGTTGATGGGTGCAGCAAACCACTATGGCACGTGTATACCTATGTAACAAACCTGCATGTTCTGCACATGTATCCAAGAACTTAAAGTATTAAAAACAAAATTAAGGTTGAACTAATGATGAATTTCAAATATGATCAGACTCATTGAGTGCTTTGGAATCATATATTGAATATAGTCAAGTTATCAAGGCTTAACATTTAATATATGTGCTTGGCTACTTTCTCCAAAAAATGAATGTTGAAAAGGCAATGTCCTGTGAAGCAGGTGAGCTTGTATTGGAAAATATGGAGCATTCTAAAACAATAAAAGGCCAAAGAGGACAGAGGACTCTCGGTCTTTATATGAAATCTAAACTTCTTTCCAGGCACTGGAAGACTTACTAATCTTAAACTATTACAGTGTATTGGTTTGGTATTGACAATAGGCTGGTTGCTTTGTAAAATACAAACATGCATTAACTTTGCCTTTGAGACATAAGAGGTAGATGGGGAATTCTTGTTGACAAGGCTAATTCGATTATCTTAAACACTTTTAAGTGCATGGATATTTGCACTTTACTGATTTCTGGTGCTCTAATGTTATTTTCATTCTTATATCTTGTTTTAGGCTCAAGGGAATCCTATTACTCAGATGATTCTTCAAAGTTCTCTGTCAGACCTTGCCTTGTTCCTAAGCTTCCAATTGCCCCAAATTCTCATGCTAACTTGCACTGTTGGCCCGATATGGCAGGACTGACTCTTTTACTGATTTCTCTTTCTATGCAATGCTTGATGATACTGAGAACACATTCAAGGCCTTAACACACTCCTCAACTGAGGATTGAAGCCAGTTGGTGTTTCTAAAATAAGGAATTTGTTTAGACATAATTATGCATCTTGTCAAATGCTTTAAGTGAGTTGGAGACACCCCAGAATAGAAGAAATTATGTGACATTTTGTTGCCGAATTGTCTTTTACTGGTCAAGTAGTACTAGTGAAAGCAGAAGAAATTGCCAAATCTCTTTGTGGGAGATAGAATAACGCCCCTTCCTGCCTGCCACCCCAAAATGCTCATGTCCTAATCCTCTGAATCATGAAACTGTTAATTCACATTGCAGATATGATTAAGGGTATAGAACTTGAGAGAGGGAGACTATCTTGGGTTATCCAGATGTGCACAGTTTAACCACACAAGTGTTTAAAAGTGGAGAACCTTTCCCAGCTGTGGTCAGAGAGTGATGTTACTATGGAATAAGAGTGGGAGAGAGACTTCACTTGCTGACTTTGAAGATGGAGGAAGGGAGCCATGAGCCAAGGAATTTGAGTGTCATCTAGAAGTTAGAAAAGGCAAGGAAATATCTTCTTCTTTAAAGACTCCAGAATGGCATGCAGCTCTGCTAACACATTGGTTATAGCTGAATGAGACCTGAGTCAAACTTCTAACCTACTATAAAATAATGGATTCGTATTGTTTTAAGCCACTAACTTTGTGGTAGAAATCTAATTCACTGTATTTCAGATATTCCTTTTCATCTTTATTGGGAATGTGGTCATTATTTATGTTCTGCACTTGGAAGG
The DNA here is from genome assembly GCF_000001405.40 of Homo sapiens. Taxonomy (NCBI): domain Eukaryota; kingdom Metazoa; phylum Chordata; class Mammalia; order Primates; family Hominidae; genus Homo; species Homo sapiens. The sequence goes on from NC_000002.12 coordinate 136,706,250, forward strand.
ACTTGGATAGCGAAGAAAAAAACGGCTCATCCAAATAAATCTAAGGATCTTTGGGCAACATGAGTGTCTAAATGCTCTAAGGGTTATTTGTTTTGGAATAATCTAGAGTTGGAATGACTGACACCTCTTCTATGAAATCTTAGAACTCTGGCAATTCAGCAATTAATTTTTTTTTGCATCTGCTCGTGACCTTTCTAAAATGCTCGCTGGACAGCACTCCTCATCTTAAACTCCTTCAGTTGCTCTACTTTTCCTTCAATAAAATCCAAGCTGCTTGGCATGCTCCACAAGGCCCTTCAAGAAATAGCCTCTGCCTACTCTTTCAACTTTCCTTTTTACCACTTCTTAGGCTCTAGACATATCATTGTTTGCCATTCTCTGAAAGCATCACACTCTTTCTGACCTTCATACCATTGTGCAGGCTGCTCAAGCCTCCTTTTTCCCTTGGCTTGCTATTTGTTCATGACTCGGCTCAGGGAGTATTTTCTGCATGGAGACTTTCTTGTTGCTCTCCAGCCCCTCACACCCTTCGATCTTTTGTATTACCATATAACACTCACCTTAACCTCCATATCAGCACTTATAATTCTGTATTATGATGCATTACTTGTCTATATTTTATATGCTCCTTATAAATCAAAAGAACACCTTTCATTTCTAACTTTAATGACTACTACTGCACCTGGCATTTGGGAGGTACTCAGTAAGTACTTGATGAATGAAAGAATGCATCATGTACTCATTGTCTTTGAAAACTCTGGAGCCTCAATTAGGAATCAAAAGTTAGGTTCAGGTATTTAGAAGTTACAGGTTTTTGTGTGTGTGTGTGTGTCATTTTAAAGGTTGCCCAAGAGTTCCTGATTCTTCTTTCCTTTTTTTTTTTTTTTCAAAATAATGAGATATTTCTCCTACTCTGACCAATGCAGGACACACAGGGAAAAGAAGCAAATTTTGGAGCAAGAAGTTTTAACCTGGAACCCAAGTATTCCCTAGGAATTCCATGAATGGGCTTAGGGGGATCCTGTGGACCACCTGAAATATATACATTACTTGTCTACATGTTTGTTTCTGGGACAGACTCAGGAGGTTTCATCATATCAACACACAAATGTGGTCCAGAAATGCTGTTCTAATAAAGGACAGTAGAATTGTGGAGAAATACACTCAAACAAGACTTTCCTTGACTTTAGGTATCTCTAATTGAATTTCAAGCTTCACTCTTTTGGGAGATTCTTGTCACCACACCACATACAAAGGAAGAAATTATTTCTTTTCTTGCTTAATAGGCAGTTTGAGGAGGTAACCTCTCTGGGATGGTGGTGCAGTGGAGGGTGACATTGTGGCACACTTATGATAAACAAATAAGGATATCAGGATCAGAGTGGCCTAAGCACACTAATTTACGTGAGTTTTATATTTTCTTAAGACTGACAGGAAACTTTGAAGTGTCACCTTGCTTCATCACCTGCTTTGAAAAAATATTTTCAGATAAACTATATAAATTGGACTAAACTACATCCCATTCGTAAGTATACCTTTCCCATCCCTGAGAAGGTGGTTGCCGAACCTTATCCATGGCATTCCACACTTAAAAGGCCACTTGAAAAACAAAAAGCCAGAAGCCAGTTGCTTGGAAAATATTCTGTGCTTTCTCTTTTCCATCAAGTGTAATGAAGTGGAGAGAGATAAACATATGACCATGGATTTAAATCCTTTGGTTAAATGGTGTGCGGTCTTCCGAAGCAGGGCTCATGGCGTGTTCTCTAGACAGGCAGTATGCCTGCGTGCAGAAGCTCTTCTGCAAATAAACCATGAAGTTGCAAACTTAGGCACAGCATTTGAATAAGAGAAAGTAGAAAAAAAATCCCTTCCTTAAGGTCAACATCTATGTCTTTGTGAACTCATTTGGGGGACCTGAAGACACTTCCTTTGATAATTGGGAAATTTTTCCTTGGAGAAGAACAATTTTCTGACTGCGACATCCTAAATATATCCATGATTATCGAAACTATGACGCCAGGGCAGAGAGAAGCTGGCCACTCTGCCTCAATTAATATCTAACTGCACTTAATGCTGCATTAGTGATTTGGGGGTTTATGAGAATCAGGATGAAAGAATCAATCCTGCCATTTGAATCCACTGCATTCATTTGTTCATTGAAATGTCAGTTATTTAGAGGATCTACTGTGAAGCAAGCATTTTACTAAGTTCTGAGATTCTCCTAGATAGGTTGGTTGCAAGGGGCCAGGTATTTAGTTTTTTAGTAGAAAATGCCAGTGATTGCATCTTAGCTTTGTTTATTCTGCTGAATATTAATTAATCCATCTGTATTCGTTAGATATGTATTACTCCTACTTCTACCATGGGCAGAGCTATGAGCAAGGTGTGTCAGAGAAATAGAGATGACAGAGCACCAGTACCTTAATGATTTTACTATATACTTTTAAGTTACCCCTAAGCTCCCTTTTAGAAACAAGGAAGATATACACTATGAATAGAAGTGTTTTACTCTCCCCTACTACCTCTTTCCCTCTGGAGGAAGAGTTTTAGTATTAGAGTTCTGTTTACAGAGCCTGCTTAAGAGTCCAGGAAGGGCTGGGTTTGGTGGCTCATGCCTGTAATCCCAGCACTTTGGGAGGCCAAGGCGGGCGGATCATGAGGTCAGGAGATTGAGACCATCCTGGCCAACATGGTGAAACCCTGTCTCTACGAAAATGCAAAAAATTAGCCAGGTGTGGTGGCACGTGCCTGTAGTCCCAGCTACTTGGGAGGCTGAGGCAGGGGAATCGTTTGAACCCAGGAGGCAGAGGTTGTAGTGAGCTGAGATCATGCCATTGCACTCCAGTCTGGTGATAGAGTGAGACTCCATCTGAAAAAAAAAAAAAAAAAAAAGAGTACAGGAAACCTTTTGGCTGTAAGAGGTTGGTACTACTCTCTTGCATCAATTAGGGCTGGCTTTGCTTAAATTCAGGTTCACCAAAAGTTTTCAGTCTTCATAAAATCATGTAAATTAACAAATAGAAAATAACCTTAGGCCAGGTGCAATGGCTCATGTCTGTAATTCCCGTGCTTTGGGATGCCAAGGCAGGAAGATTGCCAGGAGTTCGAGACAAGCCTGGACAACATAGCAAGATCCTGTCTCTCTCTCTAAAAAAAAAAATAGCCAAACATGATGGCACACATCTTTAGTTCTAGCTACTCAGGAGGCTGGTGTGGGAGGATCACTTGAGCCCAGGAGTTTGAGGCTACAGTGAGCTATGGCTGTGCCACTGAACTCTAGCTTGGGCAGCAGAAAGAGATTCTATCTCTAAATAGATTTTGTTTTGGTAATTAAAAGAAAGAAATGAATCTTAGGAAGTTATTTTCCCTCTTCTTTTCTCTTCATAGCAGCATGTTTCATCTAGTCTATGGAATAGAACTCAATTTATTCTATGATTTTTGCTCAAATTTTACAGTCTGAATTACCCATGTATTTCTGAAGTTCACCCTCTTTCTACCTGCTAGCATCCTTTACTGCTTGTGACAAATGAGCTCACACCAATTGTCTTGTAGTTTCTTGGAGCTGGGACTTTTACCTTCCTTTGAATTATGTTGATGTCTGTATAACCTTTGTGTTCCTTCTCTTCAAAAATCCTATAAAATTTGCCTTTTGTTCTGCCATTGGCTAATATTGGTTCTGACTTGGAGTCACCCTAACTTTAACAGGACAAATGATTGCCCTTCTACCCATTACTGTAGTTAACATAACACATACATGATTGATTATACATGAAAGTTGTCTCTTCTCAAGTTCTTCTTTCCTCCTTTTGCACCACCCCTGTTCTTAAGTAAATCCTCATGACTAAAAACAAATCCTAACAATTTTTAGTGACTATTTCTGACTTCAGAAGATCTCTAAAGCTAAGAACATCGTTGAATTGGGCATTTTCTATTTAACTAGAGAATAAAGAATCTTGGGAGGTATAAATAGTGCTTTTTGATGTTGAGTTTGAGGAATTTTCCCTAGCCAAGAACAGCCTTACTTAAAATTCCTTGTAATTGTGACTTCATTAATAAATCAGGAAAATAAAGGAAGATATGTATAAATCTTTTTGGTGGTTTCTGTACACATTCGCTATGTTTATTTGCTATGCATTTAGAAGATAGGCTACACCGATTGATTTAAACCTTTATTTCTGTATATAATAGAGGAAAAAGATTAGTTAGAGAAGATAAAGGCTAATAAATCCCTACTAATAGATTTCAGTGGCAGAAGTTTGCATCATAACTCTAGGTAAGGAATAAGGTGGTACTTTTCTGTGCTAGGCTAGTGTGTTGTGCCTGCATTTAGTGTGGAATTTATCACTCTCCATTATTATTATTCCTATTATTGTTTGACTAACTATAAGCTCCTTTTTATTTTATTTTATTTTATTATTATTATACTTTAAGTTTTAGGGTACATGTGCACAACGTGCAGATTTGTTACATATGTATACATGTGCCATGTTGGTGTGCTGCACCCATTAACATGTCATTTAGCATTAGGTATATCTCCTAATGCTATCCCTCCCCCCTCCCCCCACCCCACAACAGTCCCCAGAGTGTGATGTTCCCCTTCCTGTGTCCATGTGTTCTCATTGTTCAATTCCCACCTATGAGTGAGAACATGCAGTGTTTGGTTTTCTGTCCTTGCGATAGTTTGCTGAGAATGATGATTTCCAGTTTCATCCATGTCCCTACAAAGGACATGAACTCTTCATTTTTATGGCTGTATAGTATTCCATGGTGTATATGTGCCACATTTTCTTAATCCAGTCTATCATTGTTGGACATTTGGGTTGGCTCCAAGTCTTTGCTATTGTGAATAGTGCCACAATAAACATACGTGAGTATGTGTGTTTATAACAGCATGTTTTGTAATCCTTTGGGTATATACCCAGTAATGGGATGGCTGGGTCAAATGGTATTTCTAGTTCTAGATCCCTGAGGAATCGCCACACTGACTTCCACAATGGTTGAACTAGTTTACAGTCCCACCAACAGTGTAAAAGTGTTTCTATTTCTCCACATCCTCTCCAGCACCTGTTGTTTCCTGACTTTTCAATGATCGCCATTCTAACTGGTGTGAGGTGGTATCTCATTGTGGTTTTGATTTGCATTTCTCTGATGGCCAGTGATGATGAGCATTTTTTTCATGTGTGTTTTGGCTGCATAAATGTCTTCTTTTGAGAAGTGTCTGTTCATATCCTTCGCCCACTTTTTGATGGGGTTGTTTGTTTTTTTCTTGTAAATTTGTTTGAGTTCATTGTAGATTCTGGATATTAGCCCTTTGTCAGATGAGTAGGTTGCAAAAATTTTCTCCCATTTTATAGGTTGCCTGTTCACTCTGATGGTAGTTTCTTTTGCTGTGCAGCAGCTCTTTAGTTTAGTTAGATCCCATTTATCAATGTTGGCTTTGGTTGCCATTGCTTTTGGTGTTTTAGACATGAAGTCCTTGCCCATGCCTATGTCCTGAATGGTATTGCTTAGGTTTTCTTCTAGTGTTTTTATGGTTTTAGGTCTAACATGTAAGTCTTTAATCCATCTTGAATTAATTTTTGTATAAGGTGTAAGGAAGGGATCCACTTTCAACTTTCTACATATGGCCAGCCAGTTTTCCCAGCACCATTTATTAAATAGGGAATCCTTTCCCCTTTGCTTGTTTTTGTCAAGTTTGTCAAAGATCAGATGGTTGTAGATATGTGGCATTATTTCTGAGGGCTCTGTTCTGTTCCATTGATCTATATCTCTGTTTTGGTACCAGTACCATGCTGTTTTGGTTACTGTAGCCTTGTAGTATAGTTTGAAGTCAGGTAGCGTGATGCCTCCAGGTTTGTTCTTTTGGCTTAGGATTGACTTGGCAATGCAGGCTCTTTTTTGGTTCCATATGAACTTTAAAGTAGTTTTTTCCAATTCTGTGAAGAAAGTCATTGGTAGCTTGACAGGATGGCATTGAATCTATAAATTACCTTGGGCAGTATGGCCATTTTCACGATATTGATTCTTCCTACCCATGAGCATGGAATGTTCTTCCATTTGTTTGTATCCTCTTTTATTTCATTGAGCAGTGGTTTGTAGTTCTCCTTGAAGAGGTCCTTCACATCCCTTGTAAGTTGGATTCCTAGGTATTTTATTCTCTTTGAAGCAATTGTGAATGGGAGTTCACTCATGATATGGCTCTCTGTTTGTCTGTTATTGGTGTATAAGAATGCTTGTGATTTTTGTACATTGATTTTGTATCCTGAGACTTTGCTGAAGTTGCTTATCAGCTTAAGGAGATTTTGGGCTGAGACAATGGGGTTTTCTAGATATATAATCATGTCACCTGCAAACAGGGACAATTTGACTTCCTCTTTTCCTAATTGAATACCCTTTATTTCCTTCTCCTGCCGAATTGCCCTGGCCAGAACTTCATGATTATCTCAATAGATGCAGAAAAGGCCTTTGACAAAATTCAACAACCCTTCATGCTAAAAACTCTCAATAAATTAGGTATTGATGGGACGTATCTCAAAATCATAAGAGCTATCTATGAAAAACCCACAGCCAATATCATACTGAATGGGCAAAAACTGGAAGCATTCCCTTTGAAAACTGGCACAAGACAGGGATGCCCTCTCTCACCACTCCTATTCAACATAGTGTTGGAAGTTCTGGCCAGGGCAACTATAAGCTTCTTAATGACAGTGTATATTTTTTATTCTGTATTATTGTTTTACTGGCTAGAATAATTTTTGACTCTAAAACAACAACAACAAAAACACAAGAACCCTACTCGGGCCTCTTTAATCATAAAAGGAAATTTATTGATTCAAATATCAAAAAAGTCCAGGCTCCAGGGAATCAAATGCTTTTGAGGAGCACTTTCTTTTTTGCTCACTGCCTCTCATGCAGATCACAAATTAACTGCATTTTCTCTCTCAAAGAAGAGTCCCTACATATAGCTAGAGATGATGACTGCATGCAGGTGCAACATACTTGTGACAGTGTATTTAATATGTTTCTGATAGAATACTTCCAGAGATAAATCATTTTGCTTTACTCCACCCCAAACTACTCAATCTTGTCTCCCTCCAAAATCCAGCTTGAATTCCTTTCCTAGATACCCTCTCAGTTCACTGCAACCATAATCTAGTTTTCCACTGGATTCATAATTGGTTTCCTTCTTTCTTTTTTTTTTTTTTTCTTTTGGACATTCATTTGAGAATGGGGCATTGCCTTGAAGCTTGTTGTCTTGCTTTGACACTTGATATCTGGCTCTGGAATTGCCATTTAACTTTTAATTTACTTGGAAGACCATCTCTAAATACTTGTTGATTTGATTTGCTAGAAATAACTATATGGCATGACAAGTTTGCATAATGTCTCCCTTTGAGCTCAACATTTAAGATTTGGGGATGAATGTACTCTGTGTGTGTTGGCTTTCTTTTCCATAGTGGTAGAAACACTGTGTATTGGTGATATGAATTAAGCTAATGAAACTTCTTACTTGGTAGTAAGAAAATGATTTATCTTATTTGCCCTCCATTTCTCCCTATGTAAGATATGGGTAACAGAACTTTCTACTTCAGGTTTTTGTGATAATAAATTAAATCACATTTATTTGATTGCCATCATTATTTTCATAGCTGTGTTTTGTGGATAGTGAAAAGTGGCTGCTGTCCAGTGTGCTGCACAAAGCCCCGTTATTGTAGGAACAAGGTGTGCAGGTCTGAAATGGGACTAGGGCATCTTAATTTCTAACAGGCACGGCAGGCAGGTCTGATACAAAACTACATGGATCATAAGACATAAAATAGAAAAGATATAAAGTATAAAAGTAACCTTTGATACTTATTTGCCTTATATTTCAAATAATTTCTATTATTTAATGATTCACTCGTTCATTTAGTCAACAAATGTTTCTTTGTTGCTAAAAACAAGTAAGACAGTTGCCTTGTTCTCCTCTGTCCAACAGTGGTTTGAGGATTGCAGGCAATGATTCTGAAATTTATGTATAAGATTCACATGGAGAACTTGTTAAAATACAAAGTATATGATCCCATTCCCAGAGAGTCTGACTCAGTAGGTCTGGTGTGAGATCTCCTAAACCTCCATTTTCTCATACTGTAGGTGGCCATTTGCTCACGCTTTAAAAGCTGGTGACCTATTCTATGTGAAAATTATCTGAAGTGTAATCATTATTCTGAAGAGCTAATGGGAATAGTCTATTTGATTTCACTAAAGGCATGGATTAGTCGACTTAGGGAAGACAAATGCCACCCAACAATACCTGAGCCACTCAATGATGGGTAAGAAAAATGCCCAAATATGCCTTGGAGGAATCCAATGCCCTAGAATAAAGGTGCACAGAGCAAAATTTTGAGACTAGGCTGACATCAGCAGTTTTATTGTCAAATAGAAGTAATAGTGAGGGGAATCCCCAAATCATTTCTACTGAGTTTCCTAATGTAGAATTCAGCCTTGTGAAACTTTCAGGTGAATTGAACCTTGTATCCTTCCAGTTACTAGGAGATCAAAGGTCTAACAGGAGATTTTTGTGACTCTCAATATTGATTCTGCCAAAGCCCTTAATGTTTATAGCTGCAGTTTGAGAGGACTTTAATTACCGTGTTGCTCTCCAGTATCCCTACAGGTTCTAGCAGTTTTACAAGCTATATTTTGAAAGAAATGGCTAATAAAAATTCTACATTTTAATGGTTATTTCAAATGCATATGTCATTGACCAAGTATAGATCATCCCAACCATTTCCTAGATGAGTAAGCCTGTCTCTGCAGCCTTCTTTTTTGAGAGCATCCCTGTTGATGGCTGCTTGACTTCTAAGCCCTAAGTAATTGCAGCATATTCTTCCTTCTGTCCATCAGGAAATAAAACTAAAAATGGCCATACTGCCTGAAGAAATCTATAGATTTGACAGTATTCCTATCAAACTACCAACATTTTTTTTACAGAATTGGAAAAATCTATTCTAAAATTTATATGAAAACAAAAAAAGGAGCCTGAATTGCCAAAGTCATCCTAAGCAAAAAGAGCAAAGCTAGAGGCATCACATTGCCCAAGTTCAAATTACGCAATAAGGCTACAGTAAACAATATCATGGTACTGGTACAAAAACAGACATGTAGACAAATGGAACACAAAAAAGAACCAGAAATAAGCTTGCACACCTATAACCATCTGATCTTTGACAAAGGTGACAAAAATAAGTAATGGGGAAAGGACCCCCTATTCAATAAATAGTGTTGGGATAGCTGGTTAGCCATATGCAGAAGAATAAAACTGGACCCCCTACCTTTTACCTTATGCAAAGTTAACTCACATTAACCCAAGACAGATTAAATATTTAAATGTAAGATCTCTAGTTACAGGAATCCTAGAAGAAAACCTAGGAAACATGATTCTGGACATGGGCCTTGGGAAAAAATTTATGACAAAGTCCTCAAAAGCAATAGTAACAAAGACAAAAATTGACAAGTGGGACCTAATTAAACTAAAGAGCTTCCGCTCAGCAAAACAAAACAAAACAAAACAAAACAAAACAAAACAAAACAAAACAAAACAAAAAAAACCTATCATCTCACACCAGTCAAAATGGCAATTATTAAAAAGTCAAAAAACAACAGATGTTGGTGAGGCTGCAAAGAAAAGGGAATGCTTATACACTGTTGGTGGGAAGGTGAAATATTTCAGCCACTGTGGAAAGCAGTTTGAAGTTTTCTCAAATAACTTAGAACAGAACTACCATTCAACCTAGCAATCCGATTATTGGATATATATCTAAAAGAAAACAAACCATTCTGTCAAAAAGACACACGCACACATATGTTCATCGCAGCACTATTCATAATAGCAAAGACATGGAATCAACCTAGGTGTTCATCAACAGTGGATTGGATAAAGACTATGGTATGTGTACATCATAGAATACTACACGGCCATAAAGATGAATGAAATCATGTTGTTTGTAGCAACATGGATGCAGCCAGAGGCCATTATCCTAAGCAAATTGAGGCAAGATCAGAAAACAAAATACCTCATGTTCTCACCTATAAGTGGGAGCTAAATATCTGGTACTCATGGACATAAAAGTGGCAACAACAGACACTGGTGACTACTAGAGTGAGGAGGATGAGGAGGGGAGGGTTAAAAAACTGTTAGGTATTATGCCCAATACCTGGGCAATGGGATCATTTGTACCCCAAACCTCAGCATCACGTAACATACCTAGGTAACAAACCTGTACATGTACTCCTGAATCTAAAAATAAACATTGAAAAATGAAAATAAAAAAGAGATACAACTTGTCATCAGAAATATTCTAAGGGTGCCTACATTGAAAATACACTTGCCTAAAATGGAAACATTAAAATTAGTACTGCATTTTTCCTTTTGTGAGACAAAGAGCATCAAGTTACACTTCAGTTGTAGAAATAACTGAGTAACAGTATTTTCTAAACACGTCCAAAACACTATAGAAACACATCTCCCAGCAACAGCATTTTTTCTTTAAAAACCTGCATATTTATTGCTTATGTCCCCCAAGCTTAGTAGTTTAGTAGATTCTGCAAGGCAAATATTTAAATGTTTAGCAATGTGTATGGTTTACCTCCTTGTCTGCATTATCCTCCTCTTAATATGCCAAGTAGTAATGTAAAAGCATATAAACTGTAAATTAGACTCTAGTCACAAATGAAATCTGATTTATTACCTTTCTAGGCCCTAAAAACCTAATCTTCATGTAATCTCAGGCTCTAATGTCATAATAGCTACCAATTAAACAAACCATCATTTTCAATGGGGCATTGCTTACAGGGATACTATTTACTAACTTGCGTATTGCTGAAGACGACTGGATGATGGACTTTTAAAAAAATTAGAATGTACAATATTATGGAGTAGGGATTTTTAAAAGAATCTGAACACAGACATCTTGGAAAGTACAAAATTTGTTTTGAGGGATCTTAGATTCTGGGAAACAACTTTATAATATCCGTGATTTCTAATAACCCTCTGAATCAGATCATGACTGCTTTACTGAGGGTTTAGCCAAGGTTTTACCTCTCCTCTCTTCATTGTGGTTAAATAAGAAAATATTCACCCAAATAAGGACAAATAGAGGCTATTTACCCAGCGCTTGCTATAGCAAGGGAGTCAGCCACCATCATGCTTTATTGGCAGAGACTCAAAGGCAAGAAGAAGGACGGAAGAGCCTTATGGTGAAAAAGAGCGATGGTCTCAATATGCTTTGATCATAAGTTGCTGGCATAGGGAAGCTAGAGATGAGCAAAAGAGAAGTGGGGAATCTTTTGTAATAGGTTTGGGGAACATATGTGGCTCTCTCTGGTTGGTTTTATATTGGAAGAAGGAGCAAGAAGTAAAGAAGCCAGCAGTCAATGACCAAGTCCTGACCAGTAGGGGCTGATTGCTGCACAGATGTGGTTTGGCTTTCTAAACTGATTGCTACAAAAGTTGTGGGTCAGAATTATACTGTCGTATATAGTCTGGCCATCATCTATTGGAATATTCAGTCTATTCATCCCCTCTGTGCTCATTCTCTCTCTTGTGAAGGGTTGAACAATTCATGGAAAACTAAAGATTCAGATTTTCAACTCTTGAGGATTGTTTAGATGTTTAGTATTGTGAGGTTTTCTTGCCTTTTTGTTGTTATTGTACCAAGGCAATTATCTCATGAGAGGGCAACTGTGCAAAAGCATTTAAGATTCTGAATGCAATGGTACAGCATCATACTCTAACAAAAACAAGAAAATTAATAATCTCTTTAAGATATTTTGGAATCAGGAAGTCCAACTGCCCAACCCAGGCCAAGAGAACAAATCCAATAGGCTATAAAGTGTAGGCTGTTTTACCTAATCTGTTTCATCAATCCAAATACTTCAAGAAGCATTAGCAATGGAACAGACACTGTCTAGATAAGAAATCTAGAGCAATGCAGTTGCCCATCACTAACTCTGCCAATGAGTTTAGACTAATCTCTACACATCTAGGGCAGAGGTGGTATTATTAATGCTTTCTGCCAGTAGTATGTTGACATATTGGATATGTGTCCCCACCCAAATCTCATGTTGAATTGTGATCCCCAAGGTTTGAGATAGGGGCTGGAGGGAGGTGATTGGATCACAGGGGCAGTTTGTCATGGTTTAACACCATCTTCCTTGGTGCTGTCATTGCAATAGTGAGTTCTTATGAAATCTGGTGGTTTAAAAGTGTGTACCACTTCCCCAATTTATCTCTTGCTCCTGCTCCAGCCATGTAGGGCATGCCTGCTTTCCCTTCACTTTTCACCATGATTGTAAGTTTCCTGAGACTACCCCAGAAGCAGAAACTGCTATGCTTCCTGTACAGCCTGCAGAACCATGAGTCAATTAAACATCTTTTCTTTATAAATTACCCAGTCTTAGGCATTTCTTTATAGCAGTGCAAGAGTGGACTAATGCAGTCAGAGTTAGTGATATGTTTATTGTAGCCTATTTCATTTGCATAGTGCCCACTAATGGAGACACTGCTGTGATTGTTTGCCAAAAGAATGATACAGTAGAGAACCTAGAAATAAAGACAAATACTTACAACCAAATGATCTTTGACAAAGCATACAAAAACATAAATGGGGAAAAGGAAACCCTATTAAATAAATGGTGCTGGACAAACTGGCTAGCAACATGCAGAAGGTTAAAACTGGATCTACATCTCTCACCTTCTACAAAAATCAACTCAAGATGAATCAAAGACTTAAATCTAAGACCTGAAACCATAACAATTCTAGAGGATAACCTTGGAAAATCTCTTGTGGACATTGGCCTAGGCAAAGAATTCATGACTAAAACTCCAAAAACAAATACAACAAAAACAAAAATAAATGGAACCTAATTAAACTAAAAATCTTTTGCACAACAAAAAATTATCATCAGAGTAAACAGACAACCCACAGAATAGGAGAAAATATCAGCAAACTACACATCTGACAAAGGACTATCCAGAATCTACAAGGGACTCAAATCAGTAAGAAAAAAACAAATAATCCCATCAAAAAGTGGGCCAATGACATGAACAGATACTTCTCAAAGGAATGTCAACAAACATATGAAAAATGCTCCACATCACTAATCATCAGGGACATGCAAATTAAAACCACAACGAGATACCACATTACTCCTGCAAGAATGGTCATTATTAAACACCAAAAAAGCAATAGATGTTGACGTGGATGCAAGGAAAAGGAAACACTTATACATTGCTAGTGGGAATGTAAATTAGTATAACCTCTATGGAAAATAGTATGGAGATTCATTAAAGAATTAAAAGTAGATCTACCATCCAATCCAGCAATCCCACTACTGGCTATCTACCAGTAGATAAAGGAAAAGAAGTCATTAGATGAAAAAGACACATACACATGTATGTTTATTACAGTACAATTGACAGTTGCAAAGATATGGAACTAATCTAAGTGCCCATTGACCAATGAGTGGATAAATAAAATGTGGAATATACACACACCATGAAATACTATGCAGCCATAGAAAAGATGAAATAATGTCTTTTGCAACAACTTGGGTGAAGCTGGAGGCCGTTATTTTAAGTGACATAACTCAGAAAACCAGATACCATTATGTTCTCATGTATAAGTGGAAGCTAAGCTATGAGTATGCAAAGACATACAGAGTAATAAAATGGACTTTAGCCACTCAGAAAGTGGAAGGTCAGAGGCGAGTGTGGGATAAATAAAACTACATATTGGGTACAATGTATACTACTCAGGTGATGAGTGTACTAAAATGTCATAATTCAGCACTTTATAATTCATCCATGTAACCAAAAACCACTTGTGGCCCCAAAGCTATTGAAATTTTTAAAAAAGTATGAGATAGTAATTTTCCTAGAGTGCCTAAATAATCAAGGGTGCACCTCATTTTGAAGCTCTGATCTGTGTTGGAATTTCCAGCCATGAAGATTTATAGAATTGGGATCTCTATGTTCAGATAAGCGTCAGAATACTATTCCTAAAGTACATGAGTTGTTAGTCTGAGGTAAACAAGGCAAAGCGATCTGGCCGCAAAGTAAGTAGTATCCTGTAGGGCCACCAGGAATAAATGAGTTGTTCATGAAACAGGGATATAACCAACTTACATTAGTTGGGTTATGCATTTAGATCTCTACTGGTCTCTTATAAGTGGCAATTATTTGGCCCATCACCCTAGAAAGGTTGCTGAATTCAAATTTAGAATTACCTAGAGTCTGATCAGTAGATTGTAGTAATTGGTTATACTTTTCTGGGAGAGGGGACACTAGCGAAGCCACAGATTGATTTGTTTAAGGTCATTTATCCATGTCAGTGCAAGTGGAAATGTCATTAGCTGTAATTCCCTATAGTCTAGTTTGGTGAGATTGGAATTTCCCAGAGGTTTCTATCACGGGGATCTGGTGATCATTGACACATCCAGCAGCCAGTAAGATGGAAGGCAGAGGCTACAATTTGGGATACATGAAGAATGGCTTTGAATTACAGACAGTGGCAAAACACTTTGGGAGTCCTAGGTGAGAGGATTGCTTGAGGCCATAAGTTTGAGATCAGCCTGGGCAACACATAGTGAGACCCCATGTCTACAAAAAAATTTTACAAAGTAAAAATTTCAAAATGCATGAACCTTCCAGCTAGCCAGTTCATAAGGTGACAATTGATTCATCCTCGGGGAGTGGATTGTATGGCCATAAGGGCTAGTGGGAGTATCTTGGGCCAAGCTCAAATATTTCTGAAAGTTTTATGAATTTTAATTTAAGGATGTTATTGGTATTTCCAAACATTTCATAAGATTTTGGGTGGTAAGAAAAGTGTAATTTTTGAGTAATAGTGCATCACAGAATTCTTTCATAATTACCATAAAATGTAATCCTCAGCCACTTGGTAGCAAAGTTGGTCTGCTCCAGGTTGGAATCACAAAATCGAGCTGCTTTTTAGTGACTGTAAGCTGTAGTTTTTTTGGCAAGGAAATATTTTACCCATCCTGAAAGTAAACATACAATAGCTAAAATATATTCAAATCTCCTAGAGGGTAATCCATCTGAGAGGGTTCAAAAGGCCTTTGAAGCTTTGATTTCTGGCCATGCCTCATTTTTATACTTTTTCCAGGTTTCTATAGTTGACAAGTAACACAGGACCTGAAAATAACCTTTTTAAAGTTTCCCCAGCAATACTTAATTGAGATGCTAAGCATTTTTTTCTGTACCATGATGAGTAGCTTCATGGAGAAATTTAGGTAATAGCTATTGGAAATCATCCAATGCCACCAAGCAGCTGTCTTACAAGAGCCAGAGACTATTTGAGCGAAGGGTACAACCGGATTACCAGATTCTTTTCCATTCTTTTTCTTTTTCTTTTATTTTAAATTTTATTTATTTATTTATTTTGAGACGGAATCTCACTCTGTCCCCCAGGCTGGAGTGCAGTGGTGTGATCTCGGTTCCTGCAAGCTCTGCCTCCTGGGTTCAAGCGATTCTCCTGCCTCAGCCTCCTTAGTAGCTGGGATTACAGGCGCCTGCCACCATGCCTGGCTACCATTCTTTTTAAAATCAGAGGATAAACATAGATATTTTAAAGAACTTCTTTGAATCATTTCAGAGACTTATCCTTTGACGGCTTGGAAATAGAATCACCTAGGTTAAGGCTGCTTGTTTGTCATAATAATCTAGAAGATTTTCCTTTTTTTTTTTTAATAATTTCAACTTTTGTTATAGATTAAAGGATACATGTGCAGGTTTGTTATGTGAGCACACTGCGTGATGCTGAGGTTTGTGGTAAAAGTGTCCCATCACCCAGACAGTGAGCATATAACCCAAGGGGTGCTTTTTCAGCCCGTGCCTCTTTCCTTCCCTTTATTCCTAGTAGTCCCCAGTGTCCATTTTTCCTATTTTTATTTCTATGTGTATTCAATATTTAGCTCCCACTTATAAGTTAGAATATGAGTGTTTGGTTTTCTGTTCCTGTGTTAATTTGCTTAGGATGATGGCCTCCAGCTCCATCCAAGTTGCTGCAAATGACATCACTTCATTCCTTATGATAGCTGCATAGTATTCCATGGTGTACATGTACCATGTTTTCTTTATTCAGTCCACTATGGATGGGCACCTAGGTTGATTCTGTGTCTTTGCTATTGTGAGTAGTGCTGCGACAAACATGTGAATGCCTATGTCATTTTTGGTAGAATTATTTGTTTTCTTTTGGATATGTGTACCCAGTAATAGGATTGCTGGGTCAAATAGTAGTTCCGCTTTAAGTTCTTTGAGAAAACTCCAAACTGCTTTCTACAGCGGCTGAACTAGTTTTCATTTCTACCAATAGTGTGTAAGCATTTCCTTTTCTCTGCAGTAGTGCCAGCATTTGTTATTTTTTGACTTTTTAATAATCACCATCCTGACTGGTGTGAGATGATATCTCATTGTGGTTTTGATTTGCATTTCTCTGATAATTAGTGATGTTCAGCAATTTTTCTCATGATATTTTGGGAAGTGTCTGTTCATGTCCTTTACCCATTTTTTAAATTGCATTATTTCTTTTTTGCTTGTTGATTTAAGTTCTTTGTAGATTCTGGATATTAGATTTCTGTCAGATGCATAATTTGCAAATGTTTCTCCCATTCTCTAGGCTGTTTATTCTGTTGGTAGTTTCTTTTACTATGAAGAAGCTCTTTAGTTTAATTAAATTTCACTTGTCAATTTTTGTTTTTGCTGCAATTGCTTTTGGGACTTAGCCATAAATCCTTTAACAAAGCCAATGATGAGAAGGGTATTTCCTAGGATTTCTTCTAGAATTTGTAAACTTTGAGGTCTTAGGCTTAAATTTTTAATCTACCTTGAGATAATTTTTGTATATCATGATAGATAAGGGTCCAGTTTCATTTTTCTGCATATGGCTAACCAGTGATCTCAACATCATTTATTGAATTTCCCCACTGCTTATTTTTTTGTCAATTTTGTCAAAGATCACATGGTTGTAGGTGTGCAGTTTTATTTCTAGGTTCACCATTCTGTTCCTTTGGTATGTGTGTCTGTTTTGAACAAGGACCATGCTATTTTGGTTACTATTTCCTTACAGTATAGTTTGGAGACAGGCAATGTGATACCTCTGGCTTTGTTCTTTTTGGTTAGGATTGCTTTGGCTATTTGGGCTCTTTTTTGGTTCCGAATGAATTTTAGAATATATTTTTCTATTCTGTTAAAAATGATGTTGGTATTTTAATAGGGATAGCATTGATTCTGTAAATTGTTTGTGCAGTATTGTCATTTCAACAATATTGATTCTTCCAATCTATGAGCATGGAATATGTTCCCATTTTTTGTGTCATCTCTGATTTTTTTTTTTTTGGCAGTGTTTTGTAATTCCCCTTGCAGAAATCTTTCACCTTCTTACTTAGATGAATTTCTAGGTATTTTTTTTGTGGCTACTGAAAATGTGATTGTGTTCTTGATTTGGTTCTCAGGTAGAATGGTATTGGGGTATAGCAATGCTATTGATTTTTGTACATTGATGTTCTATCCTGAAACATTTCTAAATTTATCAGTTCCAGGAGTCTTTCAGTGGAGTCTTCAGGGCTATGCATAGAATCATATCAACAACAAAGAGAGATAGTTTGACTTCTTTTCCTATTTGGATGCCTTTTATTTCCTTCTCTTGCCTGATTGCTTTGGTCAGGAGCTCCAGTGCAATTTTGAATAGGAGTGGTGGAAGTGGGCATCCCTGTCTTGTTCCGGTTCTCAAGGGGAATGGTTCCAGATTTTGCCCATTCAGTATAACGTTGGCTGTGGTTTTGTCATTGATGGCTGTTACTATTTTGAGGTATATTCCTTCAATGCCTAGTTTCTTGAGGGTTTTTATCATAAATGGATGTTGGATTTTATCAAAGGCTTTTTCTGTGTCTGTTGAGATGATCATATACTCTTTGATTTTTATTCTGTTTATCTGGTGAATCACATGTATTGATTTGTGTATGTTGAATCAACCTTACATTCTAGAAATAAAGGGTACTTGATCATAGTGAATTAACTTTTTGTGAATCAACTTTTGTGCTGCTGGATTTGGTTTGCTAGTATTTTGTTGAGGATTTTTGCATCCATGTTCACTAGGGATATTGGCCTGAAGTTTGTGTGTGGGGAGGGGTGAGTGCACATGCACACCAGATTTTGGTATCGGGATGATATTGGCCTCATAGAATTAGGAAGAAGCCACTCCTCCTCAATTTTTTGAAGTAGTTTCACTAGGATTGGTATCAGTTCTTCTTTGTGCATCTGGTAGAACTCAGCTGTGAATCCATCTGATCTGGGCCTTTTTTGTTGGTAGGTTTTTTAAATTACTGATTCAACTTCTGAACTTGTTATTGGTCTGCTCAGCTTTTCACTTTCTTCCTGGTTCAATCTTGGGAGGTTGTGTTTCCAAAAAAGTATTGATTTTCTCTAGATTTTTAAATTTGTGTACATAGAGGTGTTCATAATAGTCTCTCAGGAGCTTTGGTATTTCTGTGGGACCAGTTGTAATGTCATCTTTGTCATTTCTGATTGCACTTATTTGGATTTTTTCTTTTTTTCTTTATTAATCTAGCTAGAAGTGTATCACTCTTGTTTATTATTTCAAAGAACAAGCTCTTGGTTTCATTGATCTTTCGTATGGACTTTTGGGTCTCAATTTTGTTCAGTTCTTCTCTGATTTTAGTTATTTCTTTTCTTCAACTAGCCTTGGGATTGTATTGTTCTTTTTTTCTAGTTCCACTATGTGTGATGTTACATCATTAATTTGAGATGTTTCTAACCCCTTGATGAAAATATTTAATACTATAAACTTTCCTCTTAACACTGCTTTACCTGTATCCCAAAGATTTAGGTAAGTTGTGTCTCTATTTTCACTTATTTCAAAGATGTTTTCGATTTCTGCCTTAATTTTATTGTTCACCCAAGAGTTATTCAGAAGCAAGTTGTTTACCTTCCATGTTTTGTATAGTTTTGAGAGATTATCTCGGTATTGACTTTTATTTTCATTGCATTGTGGTTGTATAATTTAGATTTTTTTTAATTTATGGAGACTTGTGTCATGGCTGAACATGTAGTTGATCTTAGAATATGTTCTGTTTGCAGATGAGAAGAATGTATATTTTGTGGTTGTTGGTGGAATATTCTGTAGATGTCTATTAGGTCCAACTGGTTAAGTGTTGAGTTTAAGTCCAGAGTTTCTTTGTTAGTTTTCTGCCTCAATGATCTTCCTAACCTGTCATGGGGGTGTTGAAGCCCCCACTACTATTGTATGACTGTCTAAACCTTTTTGTAGGTCAATAACTTGTTTTATGAATCTGGGGGCTCCAGTATTGTATGCATATATATTTACGGTTGTTGAATCTTCTTTTTGAATTGAACCTTTATCATTATGTAATGCCCTTTTTTGTCCCTCCTGATTGTTATTTGTTTAATGTTTGTTTTATTTTATGTAAGAATAGTGACTCCTGGGCTGGGCTGGGCGGGGTGACTCACACCTGTGATCCCAACACTTTGGGAGGCCGAGGCAGGTGTATCACCTGAGGTCAGGAGTTCGAGACCAGCCTGGCCAACAGGGTGAAACCTGTCTCTACTAAAAATTCGAAATTAGCCAGGCATGTTGGCGTGTGCCTGTAATCCCAGCTACTCGGGAGGCTGAGGCAGGAGACTCACTTGAACCTGGGAGGCAGAGGTTGCAGTAAGCCAAGATCACACTATTGCACTCCAGCCTGGGCAACAGAGCAAGACTCTGTTAAAAAAAAAAAATAGTGACTCTTCATCTTTTCCATTATTTGTTTGCATAGCAGATCTTTCTCCAACTCTTTACTTTGAATCTGTGGGTGTCATTACATGTGAAATACATCTCTTAAAGAGAGCAGACAGTTGGGTCTTATTTTTTTTAATCCAGCTTTCCAATTTATGCCTTTTAAATGGGCTGTTTAGATCAGTTACATTTGAGGTTAGTATTGATATCTGGGATTTTAATTCTGTCATCAAACTGTTGGCTATTTGTTCTGTAGATGTGATTGTGTAATTGCTTTATATTTTCTGTGGGCAATGTGCTTGAGTATATTTTTATGGTAGCAGGTTTCGATCTTTTGTTTCCATGTTTAGCACTCCCTTAAGGACTTCTTATAAGGCTGATCTGGTGGTACCAAATTTCTTTAGTGCTTGCTTCTCTGAGAAGGATTTTATTTCTCCCCTACTTATAAAGTTTAGTTTGGCAAGACATGAGATTCTTGGTCAGAATTTCTGTTTTGCAAAGAATGCTGACAAAAACCTTACAATCCCCAATCTCTCTGGCTTGTAAGGTTTCTGCTGAGAGGTCTGCTTCTAGTCTGATGGGGCTCCCTTTTTAGGTGGCCTGACCTTTCTAGCTGCCTTTGTGATTTTTTTTTCATTGACATTAGTGAATCTGACTATGTGCCTCAGGGTGGTCACCTTTGGTAGTATCTCACAGGGGTTCTCTGTAATTCTTGAATTTGTATCTTCTCCTCTCTAGCAAGATGGGGGAAATTTTCATGGACTAGGTCCCCAAATATGTTTTCCAAGTTGCTTACTCTCTCTTTCTCTTTTAGGAATGCCAATGAATTGTAGATTTGGTCTCTTTACATAATCCCATATTTCTTGGAGGTTTTGTTTATTTATTTATTTTTAATTTTTGTCTGACTCTGTTGATTCAAATAACCAGAGTTCAGGCTCTGAGATTCTTTTCTCAGCCTGATCTATTCTGTTGTTAATGTTATTGATTGTATTATAAAATTCTTGAAGTGAATTCTACAGTTCCAGAAATTCAATTTGGTTCTTTCTTAAAATGGCTATTTCATACTTCAGCTTCTGGGTCATTTGACTGGATTCCTTGGATTGGGTTTCAACTTTGTCTTGGATCTCAATGAGCTTCATGGTCATCCAGACTCAATCATCTCAATCTGGTTAAGAACCATTTCTGGGGGACTAATGTGCTCATTAGTAAGGTAAGGGGAACACACTGGCTTTTTGAGTTGCCAGAGTTCTTGTGCTGATTCTTTCTCATGTGTGAGGGCTGGTATTTCTTTAACTGTGATGTAAGTTGAGTATAGTCAGTTGACTTTGTTTTCAGAGGGCTAAGACTCTGTACAGAAGAATCTTTATTTGCGGCTGAATTTTTGTATTATGTTTCATAGGCTCTATATACTGGAAAAAATTTTTGGTGTTGTATTTTGGGGTGCAATTCATTAGGTGGTGCTGAAGAGTGGTGGCAGGCAAATAGGCTATTACTCAGCCACACAGCTCTTTTGTATTTTGGCACAGTTGGCAGTTGTATTCTGTGGTGGAGGAAGAAAGATGACCTCCTCTCCTGGTCTGCTCCTGGGCCTTAGAGGAGACCTCTCTGATCATTGGCTGCATACCCGCATTTCCTCTGTTAGGTGTGCTGGTCCACGGGGCTCCCCCAGGCAGGGTTCATGGATGACAGATAAGCTGTACACTTCTCAGGTCAACTCTGTGGAGGAATGGATGTCCTGCTCTCCTGCAGGCCTGTGAACCCAAGGGTCTCAACCTTTTCAGTGTTCTGAGAGTGAGGGCTCCCCTTTGTTTGGGTGCTGCCCAAGCTGGTGAGTCTTAGCTGGCTAGGAGCAGTAGGGACGTGCGAAGTCACCAATGTGCCTCTCAGTGCTTCCCAGGGGACCATGGAACTGTGTTTGCCCCCAGAGTTCAGGCACAAGCAGGTCTGCTGCACTGGAAGCCCCAGCAGATGTGTCTCATCCAGCCAGGAGCATTTGGGGTGGGTTGAGTTGCCTGCTCTGCTATTCAGGAGCTTCCTGGGGGGACATGGAGCAGTGCCTGTGCCACAGACTTCTGGCTGAAGCAGGGCCACTGGGCTGGAAGCTGGCACCGAGCCTTGTATGGTAATGGGGAGTGGACCAATATGACGGTTCCTCAGCACCGTGACTGCAGCCTCTATCAGGGCATAGCAGTTGGTGCTGGGCTGCTCCAAGGTTCAAAGCCTGTGGAATTCCCTATGGACTTGAGTGTTGCTTCTGCAAAAAATCCAGGCAGTTCTCTGTATCACTCTGGAGGCCTGGGGGATCAGGAGGTTCTCTCATTCCCAGAATTGCACAGTTCCCTGTAGGAAATGTGGATTCCCCAGGGGATGTCCCTCACTCACCCTTTCCCTGTGTTGGGGAGCTTTTCCTGACTCCATGCCTGTCCCAGATGGGCAGCTGTCCAGCTTCCCTCTTCTCTGTTCTTTGTCTGCCCTCACTCCTTTAATGGATCTTGGCATGATTTCTTAGATGATTGTCTTGCAGGTTCAGTGTTTACTCACGGGTTTGTTTCCTTTCCCTGAGAGTGGTGCACACTAGCTGCTTCTATTCTGCCATCTTCACTCCTATGCTGCTTTTAAAAAATAATGTTGTATAAATACAAAATACAAATACAGGTAAAAGATTGGAAAAAGGTACATCACACTAACACCGATCAAAAGAAAGCTGGAATGACCTAGAGCATTTTCTTTAGCTTCCACGTGATCTCTTTTTGCATGAGTTGCAGTCACTGTGATAGTCACTTCTCCAGAAAGTGGAATGCATCTAAAAGTGCTTAACTTGCTCATTTTTTATGGAAGTTCCAAATGGAGGTGAGAAACAGCCTTTATTTCCAAAGCATCCTAAAGCCATGTACTACTCCAAAAGCATACCTGCTGTTTATATGCATGTTGACTCTCTGTTCTTAGGCTACTTGATTAGCTCTTAGTAAGTGTAAAAAGTTCTGCCACCTGGGATTATTATTATCTCAGGTAGAGGACCATATTCTAAAGGAGAGCTTAAGTTAAGAATGCCATATCTCACTTGATAAACTCCAGTTTCAGTTTTCTGTCAGCAAATAATGTTAGCGTAAGATTCTCAGTGGAATCCTGTGGAGTGAGGGCAGAAAACTTCTCTGTGACGTAAGGTCGTCAGAAGATTCTGGGTGTGGCTGAAGTGAATAATAATGTGAGAAGAAGAGAATAATGGAATCTAATAAGAGGTTAATTGGCTGGCTGAAAAATGTTGCGTGTTCTCCATCAGTTGAAATGTCTGTACTGTATGAGGAGCCATAATCTTCCATTGCCCTAAGACAAGGGTGGTGAACCTTGGCAACAGGGTCAAGGGTGAGGTTATAGCAATCAATGGGTTTTTAATGGTTCCCATGATGTTAGGTTTCACACCCAAGGGTTTGTTCCAGAACACTTATGTTCAAAGAGAAAGGAGCTTTTTGTGGTTAGGGTTGCTAAGGGAAGGAGGCTGTTGAAGACCATGTTCTGGGTTCCAGAAGGTGTATTTATGCTTGGGCTTCCAGAGAAGGGAGTCTCTTTCCGAGGACTTGGTCAATTCCTATAGAGATGCCACAATCTCAGAAAATTTTGGCACTCATTAACTGCAATATCCACTTAAACTGAGAAATTTGATTGTCATTTTGTAAAGGGTCTGGGATAAGTTAGGATATTTTTTAGTCTATTAGGAGAGGATGTTTTTCCCTCCTTGGACAGGTCATGCCATAAATAATGGACTGTGTTTTGGAAAAAACGTATGGCCCTTTTTTTTCTAAGGCTGGGGGCAAGAAAACTGAATTCTTTGTGAAGCCTTCCTTGTTTACTCAACAAAGATGAGCAAAGATCATCCACATATTGTATCATAACTGAATGGCAAGGGAAATTGAGATCTTTAAGTCTTCACTGAAAAGCTTGGAAGAATAAGAGGGGGCTTCAGGGAACCTCTGAGCACGCCTGTGCAGCTGTATTGTTGTCTTCTCAAGGTGAAGGCAAAAAGATTATTAACTGTTCTGGTCTAGAAGCACACTGAGAAAAGCAGTGAGTCACTACATTGAAGCTAGGTTCTATTAAATTTGCAAGAGTAAGTATCATAGAGCAGAAAGGATTTGTTTCAGATAAGAATCCAGGGGTTACTATTAAGGACTAGAATATAGGAAAATCCATGGGCTATTTGAAATTCCAACCAGCTATGTGATATATTTACTCTAAGGAAGAAGCTAAGAAAAAGTGACAAGGTTCTATGTAGAAAGAGTAACCATCAAATCCACCAGGAATTCATGAGGTTGACCATCTATATTTATAGTTAATTTATCTTGAGTGTTTAAGGCTAAGGCAAGACATTGGGCACTTTTGTCTTCCTCAGAGCACCCGAAACATCAGAACATTCACTGGTATGACTTTTCTGATTTTTCATCATCTTGGTTTTTATTTTGCAGATAGGACCTTCTTTTTTTTTTAATCATTGTCCCTTCTGTTTACAATATCTACAAATGTCTTTGTCAATAGGTGATCAGTTTGAAGTTTGATCTGTTATTTGATCTGAAGGCCCATAAATTTATTTGGAATTCATCTGGTTTTTGTTCTAAAACTCTTTCTAAATGTACTGCCTGGAGCTGTAATTCTGGTAAAAGGGCTATTTCCTATTCTACTTTCTACTTTTTTAATTAGGTCTCCAATATCAGGTTTAACTCCAATGACAAAGTGAGATAAAAAGGCTGCTGTTACATCATAACCCTTTTTAATTTCCAAGTGTTGTTGGAGAGTATTTTCTAGCGTATCTTGAAAATATTCTATAGTTTCATCTTTTCTTTCTTTGCATGACTGAATTATGGTCCAATCAATTTTTATTGGAAGCATTTTAGGTGTGGCATTTGGGACACTTTTTTTACCTTAAGGTTTTGAAAAATTATTATTATACTTTAAGTTCTAGGGTACATGTGCACAACGTGCAGGTTTGTTACATATGTATACATGTGCCATGTTGTTGTGCTGCACCCATTAACTCGTCATTTACATTAGGTATATCTCCTAATGCTATCCCTCCCCCTCCCCCCACCCCACGACAGGCCCCAGTGTGTGATGTTCCCCACCCTGTATCCAAGTGTTCTCATTGTTCAATTCCTGCCTATGAGTGAGAACATGCAGTGTTTGGTTTTCTGTCTTTGAGACAGTTTGCTCAGAATGATGGTTTCCAGCTTCATCCATGTCCCTACAAAGGACATGAACTCATCATTTTTTATGGCTGCATAGTATTCCATGGTGTATATGTGCCACATTTTCTTAATATTGTGAAAAGAGAGATCCTGTAGGCCCCTTTCTGTGTCAATGCAACCAGCTTTTGCCATTCATGATTTGGTCTCTGAGGTTCCAACCAACACATGTATAATTTGAAAAAGATTAGATGACCTTGAGTCATATGCACTCCAAATAATTCTGAATTATTATATGAATAGTTTCTGATCTTCTCTGGGTTTAGAGACATCCTTAATTATTGCCCTTAATTCAGATTGGGTCAGTTTAAGTTCATTGCCTGCATATTTGGCTCATGGAATGATGGAGCTTTGTAGGCAAATGGCATTTTGGGTCTTAGGAGAGTCACTGGGAAAAAGCTGCATGTCTGGACAAGGAGAAAAGACAGTAGAAGTGTTGACGGAAGTGTGGAAGGAAAAAGAATAAAAGGGCCAGGGAGAGAAATAGCTGGACATAGGGAGGCAACTGAAGAATGAGGAGAAGATATTACTAGGAAAATGAGTCTAATTTGCTGCTACTTAAGTTGGTCAAATTGCTCATTAGTTCTAACCAAAGCATCTTTTAGTGAAGCAATTTTTGAATCAGAATTTCATTTGGCGGCTTCTCCATCCTGCACAAAAAATATTGCTGCCAATTGGGACTAAATAATCTCATTCAATTTTTTTTCTAAATACTTCCCAAATAAACGATTTTGTCCAACTCAAATGTTTCCCAGAGTGGCAAATCATCCATAGTCAAGTCATGCCATTTAGAAAGGTAGGTGCAAGAATTAGAAATATAATGAGAGTGTATTTACGAAGGAGGACTTTCTTTGCCCAACCCCATGAGAGCTGGCAGCAGTTGGAAGGAAAGTAATGCTGTGTGCTCGATGTCTCAGGCACCTAACCCAATGGTTGCCTTCGTTCTAATGTGGATCAAACAATCCATGCCCTAGCAAGCAGAGAATAAAAAATAACACTCCTTCTTGATCCAAGCTGGGATCTCAAGACAAAAATACAATCTGAAGAAAGGAAAATCTCACCTGGTTTTATTGGTGACACACAGCAAAATTTGTCCATATTGATACCACTCACCAGTCTGTGAGGCCAGCTCAAACAACAGACTTATGAAACTTATGTCCGCATTTTCTACTGTGATTCTCCTCTTTATAAAAAGTGATACTTATAGACAGTACAACAAAATATGGAAGCACAAAAGAGATGAAAAGAGTGGAAAGGGAATATATTGAATTCATCAGTGATACCAAACAAATAGAAACCAGTAACAAAACTTTAGTACCAAAGTGAGACTAAATAGCTGCAGAACATCGTTTAAAGCACAAAGCCAGGTCATCTGCCCTATTTACATACACGGCTAAACACAGCACATTCTCTAGCTAGCGGATAGTATGGAAACTTTATTCTGGATCATCCATTTTTCCTGCTGTACTGGATCATTCCAATCAGAACATTAAAGTGATAATACTTCCCATATTTAAAAAAATCCTCCTTGACTGCATATTACACAACACACACACACACGCACGCACGCACACACACACACACACACACAGAGACAGAGAGAGAGAGAATTCTATTTTTCTGTTATTCGCAAAAAAGTTTATTAAAACATACCAATTTCCCAACATTTTCTTCTGCTTATCTTCAATCCTACTCTTCCCTTTATCTCTTGAATCCTGCTCCTCCCTTTATCTCTTGAATCCATTTTAACCAGGCTTCTTTCCTCACCACTCCAGGAAATTTACCTTTGTCAAGGTCACCAATGACCTCCATGTTGCTAGATCCAATCTTAAATTCTCTTCTTGCCCCGTGTATCAGGAGGATATGACCCAGCTGATCACTTTTTGCCTCTTTA
The DNA here is from genome assembly GCF_000001405.40 of Homo sapiens. Taxonomy (NCBI): domain Eukaryota; kingdom Metazoa; phylum Chordata; class Mammalia; order Primates; family Hominidae; genus Homo; species Homo sapiens. The sequence goes on from NC_000002.12 coordinate 136,733,195, forward strand.
AACACTTTCTTTTATAAGCTTTCAATAAAGCCATCTTCTTTAGCTTTTTTACCTCCCTTCCTAGCCTCACTTGTTGTTTTCTAATCTCTCTCTCTGACATTTAGATAAGTATTGCCCCAAAGCTCAGTCTTTTCTCATCTCTTGTCTAGCTACACTTATCCCCTAAATGATCTCATCCAGTCTTCAAGACTTAAAATAGCATTATATACTACTGTCTCTTATGTTTGTATTTATTGCCTGGACCTCTATATTCAACAACAGTTGGATACCTAATAACTCTTATGTTTAATTGACATGGAAAATGAAACATGAACAAAATTTCAGTAGTGGTTTCCTTCCTTGAACCTAACTTCTTCCACAATTTTCCCCAGATTAGCAAAAGGCAATTCTAACCTTCTAGTCACTCAAACCTAAAACTCAGCATCTCCCTTGACTCCTTGTTTGTCTCCTCCACTCCATGTTTGATTCATAAGCAAATCCTATCAGTTCCAGCTTCAAAATATATCCAGAATCCAGACACTTCTCACCATCTCCACTGTTACTATCTGGACAATGGCAGTAGTCTCCTAACTGGTCTTTCTACTTGTAGTCTTGCCTCCCTACAATCTAATCTTGATATTCTTTAGATGTGCTAACTATCACCTAGCCTCCAGGTCTTTGCATTTGCTCTCTCAACCCAGAATACTCTTCTAGGAGATATCTGCATGCTTTACATCTCTACTTCCTTCAGATCTCTACAACTATCATGTTGTCAACAAGGCCTTTCCTGTCTAATCTGCTTAAAACAGTGACTATTCCCAATCCCATTGCTCTGAATCACTTTTTAATTATATATATAATTTATATATGTTATAAATTATATGTAATGTATTACATATAACATAAATATATATTATATATTATATATACTGTATATTATATAGTATATATAATTTATTATATATAAGTAATATATAATAAATTATATATGATATATTATTTATATTATATATAATAAATTATATATAATATATAAATACAAAATATATAAATATATATATGGCTATGTATGTCTCTGCTTAATTTCCCCTATAACACTTCTCACCATTTGTCATAATCGTTCTTTGCCTTATTTGTTGATGACTGTCTCCCACCATTAGAATGTAAGCTCCATGAAGGCAAATGACTTTGTATTGTTTCCTGCTGTATCTCTATACTCATAACAGGCTCTGGCAGAGTCAGTGTTTGACAACATTTATCAAATGAACTAGTAAAACCATTATCTATAAAAATATTTGACAAGTGCCTATTATGTGACTCTGCTACTATGCCAAATACTCTGGCTGATCCAAAAGAAATAGAAAATTGTCTACAACAGTCTACAAAATCTCATTGTCTTGACCAAGATGAGAATATAAAAATTTTTTTTTTCAAAGGGTTGGGGAATGATTGAGTGCTAACTGAATTACAATTAAGTAAAAATTCAGAGGAAGGAAAGATCATAAAGTTCAGGCAAGAAGGGCTTTATAAAGGTGGGAAAATGGCCTATCAGGTATTTTGAGGTTGTAGGAGAGGAGCCCCACCGAGATAAAAGATGTCAGCTGTGATCAGCAATTCCTAGTTCATATTATGAAACTGATCAAGGCCCGAAATTGGATAGGCAGGGATGCAGCCTCAATGTGGAGCCACATTTCTTAACTTTCAAAAGCCCTGGGTTTAGTGTTATTGGGGTAAATTGTAAAGGCTTCTTCTCTAATGAGTCATTCTCTGTTCATTCATTCTCTCAAGTAATTCATTGAACATTTATTGTTTATTCAGCATTGTGCATATATTATTTATATGGCATGATCTTTGAAGCTTTTACAAGCTAATTGGAGAGAGAAAACCATTAGACACATACAAAGCAGCCAAGTAAAAGCACAAGGAGGCTTATAATTACCTGCCTAATGAATAGCTCAGCCATCACCTATTTGTTTTTGGTTAATGTGTCATACAGTTCAGTGTTCAATAGAGATAACATTGCCTACATCACAGTACTTCTGTGCCTTTAGTGAGCTATCATACAACAAAGTACTTTGTATACTGTAAAATGCTACTCAGGCATCCATTATTGCTATCTAGAAGTATGGGGGTGGGTAAATGACTCTGCAGAATTTATCTGTGCTTCCAATGAGAAATCATGAAACTTGAGAATAATTAATATGAAGCTCTTTAGAGTTAACCAATTTAAAACTGTGGAGAAAAGGTGGAAAATACAGAATTCGTACATCTCAGTAAAGGCAACAAATTAAACTTGCCCAAACTTCTAACACAAATAGAACATTTCAAACTCAGAAGCCAATGCGAATCTACCCTTTTCTTGAATTATTTTGGAGAAAATGCATTATTTAAAGTCCTTCCATGAAATCAAAGTCAATAGGTTGCACATTTTTAAAAAGCCTGTTAAGTAAAATTGCTGTTGGTGCAGCACTTCTTAGTTATTTTCTCTCTTCTATGCTAGAAAGAAGTTTAGTTGCTAATGTGATCCTCCTGGCTGAACTTGGACTTCCCCTAAGCTGCTACCTTGCAGATGGTACCTTCTTGCAAAATGCATATATTTGCAAGAATTACCCCTTGGGATATTGTCATTACCCAAGAGAACCAGCTATGAGAACCCATTTTTTCTCTCCTTTATCAACAAAGTTAGATTGGATTTTTTTTTTCATTTTCAAGAACTGATGAGATAGGAAAAAAGCCGCACTTAAATTTTAGAAACAAGAAATTGAATAAAACTTTTTAAAGCTTGAGAAAGTTCAAAGTGGAAAAGGGTAGGGGCACTTTGACACATACTCTTTTAAAGTATTGATTTTTCTTTTCAAAATGGATCTGAAAGCATGACAGACGTTTACTCCGACACCCAATACAGTATTAAAAAACCCAAATGTCAGAATGAAAATCTGATGGGCTGCAACCTTAGTGGAAGGAAGGATAAAATATCTTATGTGACCCAGGGCTATGGAAAAGCCTTATTCTTCTCTTTTTTTGGCCAGTTTCATCTTTATTCACCTCAATTGTATTCACCTAGAAAAGAATTTTTTCCTAGAAAAAAGGAGGGAAGAAACTATTTCTACGATTAATATTACCAGCAAAACTTTGCTACCCTCAAGTAAAAGATAATTTGTTTTCTTGTTGTTGAAGTAGAAATGAGCAAACTTGTTAATATTGTACCTTAATTACTCTTTCAGTAATAGATGTCCAATCATTTGGCATCTATGTAAAGGTGATGAATCAGCACTCTGTGGAATCAGAGGGCGGCCATGCCATGCTAAATAGTTCTCCTTGCAGACCTCACAAATGTTCTTTGCACCCCAGAATGTATTGATTTCATTAGATGTGCTAATTTAGCAGTTCTCTGGTTTAAAGACCATAATTACAACACAATGCACGACCTGTGTATATATGCTTATTGCAAGGAGAAAAACTTTTGCTTTCAACTTATTAACAGCAAATGTACACATTTTTTTCCTGCAAATGCTAGTTATAAATCTCCCTTATAAACCCACAAGCCTCGGTTATTGTAGTCTTTTATTAATAAACTGAACAATTTCATACAGCGTTAATGAGTTAGAGCTTATCTCTTACTCTCTTTTATGGTTAAAATGTGCTGGAGAGCTGGACAATTTATCTAAGCACCTGGGTGACTAAGGTACATGACACTTTTAATAATTAGGCTCCATCTATCTCTATTTTCACTGATGGAAAAATGTTACACTTGATTTTCTTATTTTCACAGCTGTATCAGAGTTCAGTGAAAACAAATCGAACATAGTAATATGATAATAGAGCTGAATTATAGAGCATCTTCACTATAAGTGGATTTTTTACTGCATTCTGTGTTCACTGTGTTTTTGAAACAATTACTAAGACACGAGGAATAAATTAGGTTGTTCTTTGTTATTTTTCAGAATGCTAATTTCCTTTAAGGCGCATCTACGTGTTTGTAAATGTTTGCTCCCCTGCCACTCTGTCTATTTTTTAAAGAATCAATTGCATACCTACCATGTGCTGGATACTGTGCAAAGAACTTCCACTTTATTCTTCTACTTAGCTAGATTTACTGGTGGTGCAGGGATGCTAGTGGAGGTGAGTGAGTGAGTGTGTGTGTGTGTGTGTGTGTGTGTGTGTGTGTGTGTGTGTGTGTGCTGCCCTCTACTGGACTTGGTTTCTAAATACTGTAAGTATTTAGGAAATTTATTTTTATTTTTATTTATTTATTTATTTTTAGGAGAAAAGAGGAAGGTGAAGGAAAATCTAGGGAGGGTTATATCACTTTATGTTGCCTATAAATTCTCTGGGCATTTTATATAGCTCAGGAGTTCCAGAGTCTAGCACACTACCTTGTACTTCCTAGGTGCTCAATAATTATTTGTTAACTAAATAAGTTAAAGAGCTTACCAGAATTTCTCTTTTCACTGACAGAGTCTGCATGTATTTAACCCAAGGAACATTGCCTCAATCTTAGAGTCTGTAACAGACTTGGGGAAAAAGCCACACAGCTTATTAGAGATAGGGTAGGTTTGTATATAAAACCCCACGTTTGCATAACCAACTTTATTTGTCAAATGCCAATATTAATAATTTGGTATATTATAGATAGGGATCCAGAAGCAGGAAAACGAGTAGCCATTTAGATACCTACTAAAAATGTTACACAAGTGGATAAGAACTTGAGATGCAAATTTGGCTAAGAGTAAAGCAAGTTTATAAAGGGGAGTGATTAGTCTTTCATCAAATATCTTGCACTTCAGCCATATAGCAAATTTCACCTACAAAACCCCAGCCAACAGACAAGTAGAAGGAAAGGCTTTTTAGGGGTGTGCTCTACAGGGAAAAGGAACAATGCAGGAGAGTTGTTTAAATGCTTACTGAAATCTATTTGCAGCATCCACATTGTGGAATTTTAGCTGGAAAATGGGTCCAGTAAAGGACTGAATTTCCCAATCCTCCTTGCATCTAAGTCTGCCCCTCTGGCTGTGCCAGTCACAACCTGGAATGAGAATGAAAGTGACAAGTACCACTTCTGCCTCAGGGCTTTATGAAGCTGAGCTGCTGCATCGCTTCTCCCCTCTCTTTCCCTTTCCTAGGGGAGCTGACAGCAGCACGGCACAAGACAGGAGTCTAGCAACTTACCTGTACTTGAGCAGTAGATGGGACATCAATGACAAAGAAGCCTTTTGTAGTAAGTCTCTGGGATTTGTTTGTTATAACAGCTAGTATTGCTTACCTAACTAACACACACATATATATATATATATTCCATATATTCTTCCAGATTAACAAGGCAGAAACACATATCTTTTAAGAAGAGGACCAAATAAAATATGTAAAACAACAACTTTGCTTAGTTATCCTGAAGACACATACGCTAGGGGTTTCCGATAGCCAGGACAGCCCTGCAGCCTGTTCCTACCTGTACTGGGAATTAATTTGGTCTGTCGTTCAAGTAGGGATGGCTGCAAACAGAAAGGGCAGAGACTATGGACACAAAAAATATATGGCATGGACACACCAGTGCTGTGGTCTTAGCAACAGGGAAGTGGCCTTGGGAGTGCCAGTGGGACACAGGCATAAGGGACAAGGAGGAAATTAATGCTCTATTTTTATGCTAATTCATTGTCAAAAAGCTAATTTCTACTACCATTAGATAGCTGGCTCTCCACAAAAATCAGCTTCTTTATCTTCAAAGGACAACACAGCAGTTGTTTTGAAGATAGCTTTAATTAATTCATTATTTAGCTAATTAATAATGTTTTGTTATTTTCATTCATTTTAGTAAACGAAGATATTTGACTACTGTTGTAATAAACCTGATACTGTGAGAAAACATGACACTGTGCTTTGCTGAATATAGTTGAGATGTCTCAGAGGAGATGCCTTGACCTATGCTGTGTGCAAAAAACATCTAATAATGAGCTGGATTATAATTGAGTTCGGATGCATGCACTTTAGGACCTGCTGTTATCATCTTATTTCATAAATGATCTTTGCATTTTTTAATGGAAAAAAGTGTGCATAAAAACTCACTTGTTGGGTTAGAAGGTGCTCAGAGATATTATCCTTCTCTTCCTCTTCTTGTTCATATTTTATTGTACATTTGCCCAAGGGCTATTGAACAAGATCATGTTTATTAATCCAATAAAGAAGTACATGTAATGATGATCATTCACTCCTGACCTATAAGAAATAGGTACTTACTTTATTAGTGTAATGAAGTTTTATGCTTCCAGAATGTAATGTCTTTGCTCTCTAATTCCTCTTAGGGTTCTGGGTTTTCAGTTTCAAAAAATAGAAAGAGCACATCGATGCAAATCCACTCTCCCGGAGTCTTTGGTCTTTACATAGCTTTTTGAAATTCTCTTCTTGTTTGACTTTGCATTTTCTGGCTCACTAAGATGTTTCTTGCTGGAATTCTGCCTTATCAAACACTGCTTGAAATAAACTGGCCAATTGCTGGATCAGAGGGATCTTTTCATCATTTGGAGATCTGAATTATCATGGGTTATAATAAGATTTGACCTGTAGACACAGGCAGAAATGTGTTCATGATAGCTTTGTTGTAGTTCTGCCTGGAGGCAAAGTTATAAGGCAGATAACCTCCCGAGGTTCCCTACACCTCCATAATTCCACAATACTAATCTCCTCGAGTGAATGCAACATTTTTTTTCCTCCTTTGAAGATACTACTATCCTTGCTTTGAAAATATGTTTCTCTTTGTTCTTTTGAGGCTTTAGAATATGTTACCAAAGAACAAAGTGGAAATTTTCAGGAAATTTGTGAGTATGAAGCCCTCTTCATTTTTTTCTGAAAGGAAGGAGGAAAATGGAGCAGATCCATGGTTTCCAAAATTTATTCCAATTTAATTTAATTCAGTAAAGAAATACTGAGCTGTTCATTTGGCAGACACTGTGGTAGGATGAGATACATCACCCACACAACTGGGGAAATAGTGTCTGACTTACTGCATAGGTTTGTTGAAAAGATGAAATGAAATCACACATACTCCCAGAACCTGGCCTATAAGAAGCCTTTAATAAATAGTGGCTATTCTTGTCAGTATTAAGAAGTACCCCAGACAACCTGAAAGCACTTTGAAATGTAAAGCCTTGTTAATGTCAAGTTTATGATGCCTACAGTTCTGAACAGTACTGCATGGAAGGCAATGCTGACGTTTCTAGCAGATCTGGGTTCGAATCCTAGTTACATCATTACTACATCACTCAGCGTCAGTTTTCTTATTTAGGAAGATCTGTTTTCTTTTCTTTTTTTTTCTTTTTTTTTTTAATTATACTTTAAGTTTTAGGGTACATGTGCACATTGTGCAGGTTAGTTACGTATGTATACATGTGCCATGCTGGTGCGCTGCACCCACTAACTCGTCATCTAGCCTTAGGTATATCTCCCAATGCTATCCCTCCCCGCTCCCCCCACCCCACCACAGTCCCCAGAGTGTGATATTCCCCTTCATGTGTCCATGTGATCTCATTGTTCAATTCCCACCTATGAGTGAGAACATGCGGTGTTTGGTTTTTTGTTCTTGCGATAGTTTACTGAGAATGATGATTTCCAATTTCATCCATGTCCCTACAAAGGACATGAACTCATCATTTTTTATGGCTGTTTTCTGAATAAAGTAACTAGCCTATGGCAGGCTTACATCCAGAGGTAACCATGGTTATGATTATTATATTCTAGATGTCTTGGGCTAGGTCCTTGTCAAAGCAGAGCTGGAGTCAGAATGCAGAGTTCTGGGTGATTTGAGAAATGACCTCCGAGAGTAGGAGTAGGGGCTGAGAAAATAGAAGAAATAAATAAATAAAGGAGAACAAATAAAGTTTACCAAGTTGGCTGCAGCTACAGATGATGTGTTCACTCTTGTCAGAGACTTCTGGAGACTCTTATGAAATATGTCTCAAAATTGTCTTAAAAGGGAAGTATTTATTCAGCGACTCCCAGGCAGTGATGGGCAAGAAGAAAGAGGCACGTGACTGGGGCTTTAGCTTGAGTTTGGGGCATGGCGTTGGCATTGTTAAGTTGCAGCCAAATGCAAGGGGTGGGGTCAAGAGAATATGCAGTGTTGCACAGAGGTGTCAAATAGGCTGGAGGACATCCAAGAAAAACAAACCCAGGCAGTCACATTGCTCACAAACTTGGGAAGATGACAAACACATGTAAAATATCTAATGCATTGATAACTAAATTTCAAGTGAGAATTCAAGGATCTGCTGGTGATAGTAGGCCTGTTTTAATTGCTTCTGCTGCACATCCTTTGAACTCTGTTCTCATATCACATCAGCTGTTGGGGTTTAGGGAAATAAAAAGAACACAGAAGGTTCCCAACCTTGAAATGTAATAAAAATTGTAGGAGTAGATCATTTTTGCTGTCTCTTCCTACTCTCGAATATTGTGTAAACCATTCTCTTAAAGCAGAACTCCAAGAACAGAACGTTTTGGATTTAGATTGGTCAGCAAATCTTTAACTAGAGAAGGAAAATGAAATATAGATGTCTTGAATTGCAATTGTGTTCAGAATAGAGCACTCCTTACAATTTTTTTGGACCAAAAGATTGTTTAAGTGTTCTGAACTGGTGGAAAATGATTTTAGAGAGAGAGAGAGATGCCTTCTATTCTCCTACCCCCATAGCTATTAGAATTCACATTTATAACAACTTTTTGTCCTCTCCAGAAGAAAACCCTTATTCACCTGTAAGAATAGCCAGTGTAATATTAGCTTTTACAGGTTTCCTGGTAAGCCTCTATAAAGAACGTCTATATTTCTATAAATACTGTGAGTGTGCTGGCAGAAGCTTTGGGCATTGAAAGCAACATTCACAATGAGGAAAAATTTGAGACTCAACTGTCATTCAGGTCTGTTTTAAACATCTTCTAAAAAGAGTGAAATTCACTTTAATAAGTATGCTGAACATTAAAAAAATATATATTCAAATGTGTAATTATAGACCGTCCCTGACTCATATGATGGCTCGCTTAATGATTTTTTGACTTTACCATTGTGCAAAAGTGAGACACAGTTGGTAGAAACTATGTCTGCTTTTGAATCTTGGTCTTTTTCTGGGCTAGTTATATGTGGTACAATATTCTCCTGTGATGCTGGGCACTGTTGGAGAGACATTCTGCTTTTCACTTTCAGTACAGTATTCAGTAAATTACATGAGATATTTAACACTTGATTGTAAAATAGGCCTTGCATTAGATGATTTTGCCCAACTGTAGGCTAATGTAAATGTTCTGAGCATGTACGCTGGGCTAAGCTATGATGTTTGTCAGGTTAGGAGTATTAAATGCACTTGACTTGCAATGTTTTCAACTTAAAATATTTTCAGCTTCTGATGGGTTCATTGGGATGTAACCTCATCCTAAGTAGAGGAACATATGTACACACTACTGAGCAGGCAGTATATGTAATCTAAATAATGAAAAATTTATGGTCCTTTATTACTTAGTGAAGTATTTTAAAGTGACAGGCTTTTATTATTTAGTGAGAATTTAAGAGCTCATTGGCTGAAAATAGTGAGTGAAAATTTTCATCTCTTTTTCCAAGGTCATGTCATAATTTAAGGTTTTTTTTTAAATGATATAAACTCTACAAAGCAAAAGGGAACTGGGATTTCAGATATTTAGATATCTAATTCTTGAATTATTTCATGTTTTATATATCATTAATTAAGGAATTAACTACTTAATTAATTTTTATTAGTACAACTTTATGGAGTACGTGTGAAATTTTGTTACGTGTATATAGTGTATAGTGATCATGGTAGGATATTTAAAGTGTCCATCATCTGAGTACAATATATTTTTGTTAACTATAGCTATCCCACTCTGCTATCAGACACTGAATGTATTCCTCCTGTTTGTATACTTTAACCCACTTCTCTTCATCCTTCCTTTCCCTCACTCACCTTTTCCATTACTTTAGTCTTAATGAAGATATATGTATGTGGGTGTTAAATATAACATGTCTCACTTTAATGGCATTTGTTTATGCCTAATTTAAAAATAAAATTGTATATATTCATTTTAATCAAAATGTCTATCAGTATTTTTTCAGTTTATTAATTATTAAGTTGCTTTTCTGTTTAAAACTGATTGTAGGTTCAGGATTCTAATTTTCTCTAAATGCCTATAGTTTTTTAAATCTTCCATGATAAAATTACTTGATATTTTGGAGATTCTTTTCCAAAAATATATAAAATTCATCAATCATATCATAGGTTTTCTTTGACTAATATGAAGGATTGAGCTATCAAAAAAGTTGGGTTTAAATTAACTCTTAATTAGGAAGAGAAAAAATTTAAATTCTGTGATTGTGTTAATGGCAAACTGGTAGAACATGTTTAACTTTAGCAGTTAGGTTTTGTCTATTCTCAGACATCTTTTGTCTTCCTCCTAATTACTAGAATGTCAGTGCAGAACTCAGAAATTAAAGCAGGAGATGAAATACTGAAATAAGTCTTTTGTTGTTGTTCTATTGGCTTGAGAATGAGAAACAGTTTCTGATTCTCACAATAATGAGTCAGAGTCCTTGTTTTAAGATGATAAACTGGAATATTTTGGATAAAATGCTGAGTGAATTAATGCCATTTCCGGAGTTAATCAGCAGTGCCTGTGTCTGCACAGAATTATGAGTTCAATTCTTTCAACTGAAATAATTGGTCACTTCCAACAATAGATTTGAGAGATTTTTAAGGTCAAAATGAAAAAAGACAGACTGTTTACATGCATTACATATTCACTGGGACTGAATTTTCCACTGTATTGACTAAATGACCTAATTAGCAGCTAGGTTAAGCATTCTGTCTACATGGATGACCTTCCAAGCATAGCCCACACATGGAGAGTGCAAGACCAATGTCTGGAGATATTTAGTTTGTGTGAGAACATGGCCCTATTTTGGTGGAAAGCCAGCTTCTTGCCTTTAATGTTGCTAATTGTGTCTAAGCTCATGTTCTCCTTTTATTTCGGAAGCATTGCTGCTTGTTACATATCTGTAAACACCTGGGAAATGACATTTCTAAGAATAAGAATTACACTCCCTTGGGAGATAAAGATTGGTCAAAAAAACCTTTTATCTCCTATAATTTTGGAGTCCAGCCTGAGCGAACTGTTGGCCTTATTTCAAGGGCTATGTCTCTACCAGTCCATCACGTGGGGATGGCAAATAAAATATTTAAGTAGTGTTTTTGGAAACTTCCGCGTGTTTTAATATTTTTTATCTCCTCTTTCAGACAAAACATCTGAACAAATGAATGTAGATGCTGTTTTAAATTGGGCAAATTTTAAAGCTGAGCTACAGACTTTCAAAGTGAACTTGTAGATTAAAAGAAGTACAGTATTATGTTTTCCTCTGGCACTACTTTTAGAGGTTTCATCTCCCTTCAGATCCATGTGTACGTGTCAGGAATTGGCTACTGGTTCACTGTTATCAACTCTCTTAGAAAGATTCATTAATTTTATAACACAACATCTCTTAACAATGAATAGTTCTGCAAACAGGAGCTTCGTTATTTTATTCATCTCAAGCCTGCTTGGCATGCTGCAGGATTCTTTGGGAATAGAGCTTTGCAGGATGAGACTATTCCCATTTTCAATAACTCTTGCATCTGTTCTTGCAGTGTCATCAGTAAAGCAAATAATAAACCACTCTCAAGAAAACCTATAAAAGGGCTCTCCTCCCTATTCTGAGCTACAGCATAATCCTCCTAAAGACCACTCTTATCAGATTCAATGAAACAGTGTAAGCAAATTATTTTGGCTATTAACCAGTCAAATCATAGAAGGAGAATGAAAAAAGATGCCTGTGCTTTCACACTGGGGAGACCTTGCTTTAAGTACTAAATCTTGGATATGTTACTCGATCTCTCTGAACTATAGTTTCTACATCAGTAAAATGGGGACAACAGTGGCTTCCTCATAGAAGTGACATAATAATTGCATGAGATGGTAAAAGTAAAGTGTGAATGCACACCATCAATTATTGGCTGATATTTCAGTCAACAGTTTTATTAGTTAATAGACTTCCTGCTTTAAGTGATGAAAATCCAACTCAAATAGCTTAATAATGTGATTTACATGTCACATAGCAAGAAGTCTGGAGGTAAAGCAGGCACAAGTTCGGCAATTTCAATGGCACAATCACGCCCAAGGAGGTCCAGGTCCTTCCAACTTTCCACTCGAAAGTTCTGAATATGCTTCCTGGGCTAACTCCCTTCACAAGTCACAAGATGGTCTGTTTAGTTTTAGGGGTTGTATCTTCATTACTAAATGTCCATAGTCAGAAAATGAGGTTTTGTAGCCTAATATCTCTTGTAATTGTTCAGAAGTCCTTCCCAGGAGCCACCTGTCTCCCTCATTGGTAACTTGGTTGGGCTTGTGTCCCATGCTTATGTCCCTGCTCCCCAGACACACTGGGAAGACAAGTGGCATCACCATGATTAGCACTGACCAGTCCTGACTTGTCCCCTGGGTTAGATGGGGCTGGAGATGGGGTAGGCATCTGGACATACCTCCTGATTCAAAGCTATGCAATTACTATTAACAAGATATAAAGAGAAATAGTTGGTGGACAGATAACCAACAGTTTCTTACACAATTACCCTCTTAAACTCTACTCTAGACTTCCCATAATACCAAATGCTGAGAGAACACAAAAGTTGCTCCTTGTAAGGTGTAAGAATTGAATTGGAGGAGACAAAAGGTTTGAAGCCAACTCTAATGAAGTGTCATACGGTATACAGCAGTGCTTCTCAGGCTTTAACGTGCATACAAATCCCTTGGGAATCTTACTAAAATGTAAATTCTAATACAGTAGTCTGGAGTGGTGCTGAGATTCTGCATTTCTAAATGCTTTCAGGTGATGCTGCTGCTTCTGGTATGAGGACCACACTTTAAGGAGTTGAGACATAGACCGCATGTGATGCTAGATGTGTAGGAAGAGTGGAATCTGGATCATTCTGAAGTGTTTCTCAGAGGTGGCACGATACTGTGTGAGCCCTAAAGCTGATACGATTTTGATAGATGGAGAAGACAAAATATAATATGATTTGGGATCTTTTATGGAAACACATTTGCTAACTTGATAATACTAAGGACAGTAATGTGGTTATTAAGACACAAAAACAGAGTATATATTTCCTGGATTAAACAGCAGGCACACCATGCCAGAAAGCCATGGCTGTTAGGATTACCTGCTCTTATATACTTATTTTTTGTCTTAATGCCTAAAAAGAAATAGACAAAGTAAAAGTACATTTGTACCTCAGAGCAGAATAGCAAGTTACAATAACTCAACCAGGATTTGGATATATTTTCATGAATGGGAACAGGTCTTTTCCTAAAGATAAATTAACCTTTTTGAGATTTTTTGGTATCTTTTATCCCTCAAAATAACCCAAACAAAACTTTACCACTATCTTAATGGTTACATTTTTTCTTTCTTAATGCTATGTGTTTTCTGAATAAATTAGTCACATGAGTTCTTAGAAAATCAAGAATTCAATAAGGGAAACCAAAGCAAAGAGTAGATATGTTCTTAAAATCAACTTCCTCTTAAAAAGCGTGTACATATGTGGGTAAAAAGGCCATTACACCAGTTGACATTGGTTGACCAGCCAATAGCCCTGCTGAGGCAACACATCCATGTCCCTGAGTTATAATGATGTCATTTTTCTTTTGGGGATGTAACTGGAGACTACTTGAGAGGTCAAGAACAACAAAGCTATAAAAGGTTAAAAGGAAAAAAAGATAATTATGGAATGTCATTGCTGACATGTTTCTTGAGAAGCTTTCCATCCTCCCCCGTGAAGGCCAGGAGGCTGGTGGTTAGGAACATCAGGGAGACTAATGCATTTTTACATGGGATAGAATGAACAGCAATGGGGAGTGGAGAAAATAGAGGAGATACTAGCTCTGAATTTTGGATTATTATGCATTTGGTGGCTTGTACTCTGGAATAGTATATTCTACTATTACACATTATATGGTATTGTTGATCAAGTGAAAAAATGATAGGATTGAGTAATCAAAATAAATTAAGCGTGGAGGTCAGGATGCTAGCTTTGGCAGTCCTGCGAATTACCTACCTGGTTCTCAGTTTCGTCACCTGCAAAATGAGAGAGTTGAACCTGACAGTATTCCCCAAACCTGCCAAACATCAGAATAATCCAAGGGGTTTATTAAAAGCACAGATTCCTTGGATGCACCAAATACCTGCTGAATTAAGATTCCTGGAGTGGGGTGGGCTCAGGATGGGGCCCAAGCAATATGCACTTTTAAAAGGCTCCTTTGCTGATTCTCTTGTACCTCCTCTTCCCATGTTCGAGGACGCTAAGATCCAATTCAGCTCCCCAATCCTACGATTTTAATGTGACAGGGTGGTGATTTAGAAATAGAGAATGATTGAAAGGAAAATTATCTGGATAGCCACAACAATAGTATTCTTAAGTTATCAGTTTACTGTGAAATGGTTTTCACAGTGGTTGGGCTCCATGATTTGCCTCAATCTTGCCGCATGTCACCTTTGCCTTTGGGAATGGCCACCTATCAGTGCAAAACTGATTTGGAGGCAGAGAGGAGAGATAAACCACTTTATTTGTACCCGGAGATCCTGGTCTGCATTTATTCAGGCACAATTAAAAACAGTAGGGTTTCCCAGTTAACATTTTGTAAAGCTCACAAAAGATTGTTATTTTGCTTATTGCTTTGAAAGCCTGTCTGGGAGGAGGCATGTTTTGATGAAAGTATTGTCTTAAATCTGCAAACGCAAAATTGTGTGATGGCTTATGCATCAGAGGGTTGGTTCTAAAGCACTTTGTGGTCAACTCCAAGGGCCAGTTGAGAGCAGGAACTGTTCTTTCATCCCTTCTTCATAAGCTGCTGAATGTGTGCTTCTTAAAAGGACAGGCCTGTTTTCCTTAAAAGCTATTGTTGGAGTTTTGTAATTTTGGTGGTGCTTTTACTGCCTTATTGACTGTTAAAATGGCACCCTAGAAGTTTCATTTAGGGGAAATACATGCACATCTCATAGGGTGGGCGGACCTTCTCTGTATCTGTGCCTTTAAACTAGGCCAGTGGCTGCTGCACACAGCTGGCACTCAGATCCAAGGAGCTTTGCTGTTCTGGCTGATTTCTATGTTTGCGACAATTACCCTCTCTCACCACCTCCAGCCCTGCTCTCACAGCCCAGTTGTGTTAGTTCCTTTCCCCTCTATTCCATGTCTGTACTTACCTGGCCTCTGGCCTTCCCCATGTCTTCTACTCTTAGTCCTGAGGACAGAGTTAGAATTTGAGTGGTTTTTTTTGTCCCTGTTTCTTAGACCCAGGTAGTGATTGCCTTCTGACTGTATCTGCTACTTCAAGTGACTGTCCGCTGAAGAAAACTCCAGTCCCTATTTTTACATCATGGATGGATCCTTCCCCCTCCCTCCCTAATTCGTACCCCACTAAAACAACTTCCTGACATTCGGTCTCTGTGCCTGTGCATGGGGACTAGACTGATGTATGAGATTTGTCTTATTGCAGACATATCACAAGATGGTAGAATTAATAGTCTAACTCACTGCCTATCTAACTTTAATGTGCAGATGAATCATCTAGGGATCTTATTAAAATGCAGATTCTAATTGGGTAGGTCTGGGTGGGCCTCTCTGAGAAGCTCCTAGGTGATGCAATGCTGCTGGTATACATACCACATTTTTTGTAGCTAGGGTATAACTGATCCCAGAGGCAGTAAAATATAGAGCAGAGGTTTTGAACCTCTGCACTGGAATTCTTTGATGTATGGGGCTGTTCTATGCATTATAGTGTGTTTAGCAATATCCTGGCTTCTACTCACTAAATGCCAGTAGTATTCTCCTCTCCTAGTTGTGACAATCAAAACTGTGTTCAGACATTACTAAATGTCTTTTGGGGGGTAAAACCACTCCTGGTTGAGAACCGCTGGCATGAAGGTTATTACTAAGGGCTCTGGATTGGAATACCTGGATTCAAATTATAGCTCACCAACTTACTAGATGTGTAGCCTTGAGCAATTTGCTTTTCTGTGCCTCAATTTCCTTCTACATAAAATGGGAATAATAATATCTACTTTGGATATTCATAGGTTTGCTGGGAGGATTAAATGATTAAATATCCATGAAGTGCTTACAACTATATGCATGTGAGCACCTGGAAATCAATAAATGTTAGCAAATATTATCAACATTTCACTCTGTACTAGCCTTTTCATTAAAGAATACTAACTTACTGTCTGCAAACATACTTTGATCAATCAAAAGAGAATAAATATTACATATTCTTGGATTAATACAATGTAGTTTATTTACTTATCCAGACTAAGAACAGAAAAACAGCTCATTAAAAATACATTTTGGCATTTTGTATTGATTTGATTTAGTTAATTACTATCCAGTATCTGACACCTAATTAATTCCACTTGAACCTCATATAACAGTAGGGGGGTGTGGGGGAGGAAGATAAAGCATGCCTATGTATGCAATTCCTAACAAAAAAACAACTCATCTAATCTTCATCAAATCTAAGTTCTGAGATTTGGATAATAGTCTTGCAGTCCCCAAACCTTCTTCTAAGATTGGGCATTAGTAATTTCTATGACGTGTCAGGGTATAATGTTTTGTTATGTACTTAATTAATTTTTGCTTTTTCAATGGAAGAAGTAGGTGTAAAAATATACCGTGAATTCCTGCTACATTGAGATTGAAGTCACCCAGTGAAGGCCCAGGGAGACTCAAACTAGTGACTAGAAGATAAGGGTGAAACTAACTTGGTAGATGTGGAGTTTCAAACTTTGGGTGTCTGGCCTGTAGGTTGGTCTGATACACAAAGACCTCAGGGAGGAAATATGGCAGTGTTAATAGAACTGTGCCTTCAAGTTGGCTGGATTTTAGTCTCAGATATGCCTCTAACAAATCTGTGACCTCTACACAAGTCTGTGACAAGTCACCAAGCCTCTCTGGGCCAGCTCATGCCTGCCTTGGTAGTGATTAGCCCTTCCAGTAACCCAGAACCTGGCAGGCTCAAATACTCCCTTCCCCAGACATAACTGAATAAATCCTGCTGAGTGCTAACTCGCCACTTGGCACTTCTCTCAAAGCACACTACCGATGTCCATTCTGGTTGCAATAAATAGAATCATATTTTCCAGGCTCATAGGGATATGACTTGATTTAGTTAGTCATGATTCTATATTCAGTTATCCTGTATTCAGTGATTCTAATTAATGCCACCTATCTGCTTAGTGAAATTTTTAGGAAGAATCTTTCCTTTCATTGTCAGCACTTTTGCAAGGATAGCAAAGAGTTTACTTTGAAGAATCCTATCATTATAATACTTGAATTATTTTTCCATAATCATATACTGCCACTGACCTTGCATGGAACTTTAGGAATAAGGGCTCTTTAGAGTTTACAGGTGTCTGTGAGACAGCTTAGCTATGGAACAAGAAAGCAAAATGTGATTACTGTAGTTACACTTAGAGCATTTTTACATGGTGATAGAACAGCTGGTCATTTCAGTGGAAAAAGTCCACCGGTATTTGGTTTTATGTAAATCAAAAACAAAGGATGATAAATAAAATTTGAAATGTTGATTGAATTTGCCATCAGATGTCCTAGCAAAAATGAAATGAGAGTCATAGCAGTCTTACTTGTTGTCTAACCATATTCATGTACAGCCAATAGTTGTTGAGTGCTTACTGTGTGCTGGACATGATGTTAGACACGTTTTACGCATTATGGTTCACTTGATCCTCATTCCAAAACAATATGTTCATATTTACCACCCCACCCTGCCTCATTTTATGGTTGAGTAAATGGAAGTCCAGAAAGATTTAGTATCTTGTTCAAGGTCACAAGGCTAGTAAGTGATAGAGCAGACATTAGGTCTAAGGATTTAGACTTCAGAGCTCTTATCCATGATGCCAGCTCCATCAAACTTTACGCAGTAATTTTATTTTAAAATGTTTTCAGTATTCACACTCTCAGTGATACTAACAACATTCTAAATGTGTTAAATGGAAATTCCCTGGTACTTCAGGTTGGAGAATTATGCAATTCACATAAGAAACAAATAAACAGATTCTTCTTGGATATCACGGGCACATTGCCCAATTTCATTGCCTATTGACATTTTGGAGATATCTCCAGCAACAATATCTAGACTTCTTTGAGCACTTATTTTTGTTTAATAGAATACTATGTTTGCTATCTGTCTTCATTGTCATACCAAGGGAAGACCAATCTGCTATTCTACTAACTACTTTTTTTTCCCACTTATTATAATCACTGTAAATACAGAGCTGGTAAAAATGTCAGATTGGTAGCACTGCTCTAGGAAGCCACAGAAAGGAAGTGTAAATCATTTCCTCACTTCCTGCCAATAATCGCAAACCAAAACTTGAAAGGTGCATTTTTAGAAAGGAGAGACTAATTCGTGGTCTGAGGCAGTTACTATAAAATTTCCTTGAAAGCCCCAATTAGGAAGTGGAAGGATACACTAAAGTAAAAAGGAGTTGACTCCTTTAGAGTTGTAATGACTAAAAGAGAAAACACCTTTGGAAAAAAAGGACTTTGTATTTACTAATCACCATTAAACTGTTAGAAAGGAGAGTACATTTTTTATCTTCAAGTCTTGTGGTAAAATCATAATTAGTTTCTTAAGGGTTCAGAGGAGGTAACCAGGATGGAGAGCCATTCTCAAATCAATATGATTTTGATTGTAAGAAGTAGGGTGGGCTGGGCGCCATGGCTCAAGCTTTGCAATCCCGGCACTTTGAGAGACTGAGGCAGGTGGATTACTTGAGCTCAAAAGTTCAAGACCAGCCTGAGCATGATGGCAAAACCCTGTCTCTACAAAAAGATACAAAAATTTGCCAGTTGTGGTGATGCACACCTCTGGTCCCAGTTACTTGGGAGGCTGGGGTGGGAGGATCACTTGAGCCCAGGAGGCAGAGGCTGCAGTGAGCCAAGATTGCACCACTGCACTCCAGACTCCAGCCTGGGTGACAGAGCCAGAACCTGTCTCAAAAAAAAAAAAAAAAAATACTGAAGAAGAGAATAATAGGGGCCTCTCGTAATTATTCTAAAATATTCTAAAGAACTGTCATGTTAACAATAATGATATTAATAAAAATAATATCTACTGTTTGTTGGCACTTCTAGATGTTAGGCTCACTGTACATCATCTCATGTAATTCCTACCACAGCCTGAAGCTTTATGTACTTTTTTCACACCCATTTTACAGATAAGAAAATAAGTGTCCTAGAGGTTGAGAACCTTGTTCCAGGTTCAGGATAGTAGTTCGTGGTGGAGTCAGGCCCTAAACAAGGTCTGACTGCTTTTGGAACCCTTTCTCTCAACCACAATACACACTCCTCTTTGTGAATGAAGGCTTAGGTTGATTCTTATTCCATTCAGATCTTCGCAACAGATCCATGACTAATGGGTAAAAGTTACAGGATGGCATATTTAGGCTCACTGTATCTAAATTTAAAGTAAGTACATTTAAAGTCATCTATTTTCCGTGTTAAAGAATTTTGAATTTATTATTTAGGCAGTAGTAAGCTACAGATGGGCTTTTAAGCAAGAGTATATTGGATTTGGAGAAGGTAGGGAAAATAAGATAAAATTATTACCTTAGAAGATTGTTGTAAATAGTCTTGGCAAGAGGTGATGGAATCTGGACTTTGGGAACATGATGATGAGATGCTATATAGAAAACATATTCCAGAGGCAGCTAAGAGATAGGCAGGAGGGACTATTGATCAGCTGAGTGTGGTGAGTGAGGTAGAAGGAGGAGTCAGTGATGCTTCTGAGACTTCAGCTTAGACAACTGAGTGAGTGCCTGGTGACACTATTAACCTTGATACATTACAGAGACTGATTTGGGGTTGGAGAATAGGTCATGAATTTAGTTACAGGCTTGCTGAGTTTGAAGTGCCTGTGCCACATCAACATGGAGATATACCTTGGGCAGTTAGAAATCGGTCTCAAGTTTGGGTCCTTCACATTGGAGGCATGGGAGTAGATGGACACACCCAAGGAGCATGCAGAGTGGGAAGACTGGAAGGCCAAGGACCATTCACAGAGTGGTCATGTCTTTTCTGGCCATTGAGCAGGTGGTTGCTGGTGAAGGAAAGCTACAAAGAGAAAATTAGATCATCAAGCCTCAAATCACAAGAGAACATGTTGGGTTTTTTTTTTTTTTTTTGAGATTGTCTGCTAAATAAAGCAATCTGTGTGCAGCTGAACATTTCCAGTTTTGTCTTACAAAAGGCTCCTGATAGACTAGAGTCAGTAGAAACTGGTTCCAGGGTCTATGATTTAGGTTGGTATTCTTAAGAACTTGCCTCCTCTCCTCCTACTGCCCCCTTCACTCCAGTCATCTGGGAATTAACCCCTCTTTTCAAAATTATAGTTTTCCAACATTCTTATGTTCTGAAGAACTTTTCTGCATTAACAACATACCTATACTTGAAGTGTGATAAAATACAATGAAAAGATGTCAGGTTTTTGTTTTTTGGTTTTTTTAAAAAAAAATAAGAGCCTGAAATCACTTCTCTTCCTTTTTAATCTTTTTAAACATTCTTCTTTAACTAGAGGTGGAATGGTAAGAAGGCCATCTCACATGTTTTCTTCTCTTCATTTCTTGACAGTCTGTGTGACCTTGTACAAGACACCTCAGCTAGCTGGTGCTGAACTTTCCTTATCTTTTAAATACAGGCATTGGACTATATTTTTTGAAGTCCCTTTCAGGACAAATGTTTTGTGATTCCACAATTCAAGTTTTGCACATAAATGCCATTTAAATGTCATTGGTTAGATCACCAAAAGTCTAATAATTGTATAATCAGGAATAGATCAAATACCATTACAATAAGGTTCCTCAAAGATTGAAAAAGTCCTCTTTACAGGAATGAAATCAAAAGAATTTTTTTCATGAGGACCAAATCGCCATTTTGGTATGAGCTCTAATTAAATTAAAGCCTGAGAAATTTAAACTGGAAATATAGCAGAGCCCCTCCTGCCCCTGACTGACTCTAAAGGTTACAAGATAATAGAACATGTTCTTTGGGAAATGTACAGACTTTTAAGAAAGGTGAATAACTAACTTGTTGAGGAAGCTGTAGCTCTAAGCTACAACTCAAAGTGGGTGAACTTAGCAAGAAAGCCTGCTTTGACAAAAAGGGACACAGAGATCAGACTAGACTGGGTATGGTGTTGTCCTCAAAGAGCTGACAGCAATATCCCCTGAGAGATGGACCAAATCATGGCTGACATGGAAAGCCAATTGTCCAAGTAGGGGAAGCATGCTGAGTGCCACTCCTGGTAAGAAAGATAAAAGAAGCCCATAAATAGGAAGCTAAATGAAAGAGTCAATGATAGCATCAGGAGTAAGTTGAGAAGCAAGGTGTGAGAACATTTGCAGGGAGAGTAGTGCTGGATAAAGGTCATTGCACCATGAAAGCCTTCCTTTATATGTCTCCAGCTACCTGTCCTGAGAGTTTTGAGAAGCCAGGCAGAACCAGACACTAGGAGGTAAACTGCCTTTTGGGCTCTGAGCATCCTTGGTCTAGGCAGAGCAGACTGCTAAGGAATGGAAGTCTTTCCTTCCTTGAGAACTCTAGAAATTGGGCCAATGGTGCATACAAGTGATATAATGTTGTGGTATCAAGATGTGACTGTGTATCATGGTACCTGCACTTTCTATTTATTTCAGTGGACTTGGAGATGAACCCTTAGGTCAGTCCTGTCTCCCATCCTGTCACTGCTTCCCCTGCACCTTGGGCGAATCACTCCTTCCAGAACAGTGACAGCCATCACCAAAACTGAGAACTCAGTGTGACAAAAGGGCTGTTTTCACAGTTCTCTGGCAACATAATATAAAAGTTCACCACATCAGGCACATCATCTTAATCACCAGGGTCAAAAGAACCTTTAGACGTGACAAGTTGCTGCCTTCTTAGTTAACTTTTTCCCTCTGACTGGCAAGGAGAAGACTGCAAATCACCAACCAGGATGATCACTTCACTGTTTCATTTCTTTAGATTTGACTCTATCAGTTGCAAATATGGATTTCAGCAAGAGTCTTTTGTATTGAAAGGATATATGAAAGGAACCCAAAGCTCACACTTAAAGGTGAGAATGAACAAGGGCACCAGAATTCGTAAGGAAACCAGTGAATGCATTTCTTCAGTCCATGATTTTTTTTTTTTTTTTTTTTGAGACAGAGTCTTGCTCTGCCGCCCAGGCTGGAGTGCAGTGGTGCGATCTCGGCTCACTGCAATCTCCACCTCCCGAGTTCACACTATTCTCTTGCCTCAGCCTCAAGTAGCCGGGACTACAGGTGCCCGCCACCACGCCCAGCTAATTTTTTTGTATTTTTAGTAGAGACGTGGTTTCACCGTGTTAGCCAGGATGGTCTCGATCTCCTGACCTCATGATCCACCCGCCTTGGCCTCCCAAAGTGCTGGGATTACAGGTGTGAGCCACCGCCCCCTCCCCACGCCCAGTCCATGTTTTTTAAGGACCTACTCTGTGCCTGACACTGTTTCTTTAGGCACTGGTGGCTACAAGAATGAACAGGCTGACAAAGTTCAGCTCTAATTGAGCTTATATTCCAGTGGATAAACAAATACACAACAGCAAAATGTTACATAATGACAAGTACTATGCAAAGAAACAAGTAGGGGGATGTGATACAGAATGACAGTGGCTACTTTATTTAGGTGTTTGGAAAGGCCTCTCTAAGGTACTGACATCAACACTGAGGTCTGAATGATAAGAGAGAGGCAGCTGCATGCAGGTCTGGGGGTGAGTGTTCAAAGCACAGCACAGAGTTGATACAAAGTCCCTGAGGCAGAACTGAAATTGGCATACAAGACAATCTGTCAATGGTGACAGAGTAGAGAAGTAGAAGATGAATTCTTAGAGAAAAATAGGGGTCAGATTGAATAAAGAATTTGGAATTTATTCTAAGTGTACTGGGAAATCATTGGAGGGTTTTAAGCAGAAAAATGATTTTATCCAATATACCCTTTGGAAAGATCACTGTGGCTGCTATGTGGAAAATGGATTGTATGAAGACAGGCATGTAAGAACAGGAGTCCATTAGGAAGCTACTGCTATTACCTACTAGGAAAGATCATGGTGGCTTTGACCAGAGTGGTGGGAGTAGAAAAGAAGAGAAGTGGATGCCTGTGGGATTTATTTTGGGAGTAGATCTAACAGAACTGGTTATTTCCATGTAGGTGGAATGACAGAAAGCATGAAGGATAATTACTGGAGTTTGCAGGTGAACAGAATCAATGTTCAATTTGAAGTACATGTGTGATGTCAAAAAAGATGTCAAGGAAGCACTTGGATACAGAATTGGAGCATGGAGGTATGCACAGCGCTAGTGTGGAAGAGACAGGTACTACTCACTGCTTATTCCTTTGCTTTCCTATATTTTTTGATCCCCTCTTCATTTTGGTGGGTCACATGACTGGTTCTGGACAATGGGCTATGCCAACTTGGGCTGAAACGTAGAAGAGGGAATTTGAGTTTTGCAGTGATCCCTCCTGCTGCTGCCACAGAGAACAGCAATGTCCCAGATGGCAGAGCCCTTTTCAACCTGGGTCCCTGACTGGGTTATGTGAAGCAGAGTCACCATTTCCTCTCATAACCTGTATTAGTCATATAGGATGAGACACACATAAATCTTCTGTGTCAAGCCAGTAAGGTTTGGGAGCAAATTATTATTATTATTATTATTTTTACTGTAGCACAACTTAGCCTGTACTGACTACTACAGCCAAAGAAATGGATTAAGACATTACCAGTAAAAGGATACTTTCTAAAATGATGGGAATGGACATATTCATTCAAGGAGAAAGTCTAGATGGATAGAAAAGGGGAGACCAGTCTAGAGCCCTAATATGCCCCAGCATGCAGGAGTTGAACAGAAGAGGAAAGCAAGTGTTGTGTGAAGCTTAGAAAGTTAAGAGAAGAGTCATAAGAACAGGATTCTTGGTGTTGAAGTGCTGAGTATTGATGCAGAAGGGATTTTGCAGCATGCATAGACACTGCAATAGCAATTGAGTTTTCCCTAGACACATGGGTGTGAGAGAGAGCCTGTGCTATGATTTCGTAGAATTAAGTCATGACTGGAGCACAACACACTAAAAATGTCACACTGATAAATAAACTATTTCAAACCAGCAGGTCACAAAAACTGAGGATTTTTTTTTTAACCTGGCTCACAATTGGGCAGAGGCATATGTATTCAACACATCAAGCTTTTCTGACCTCACTCCAGACTAGGTTAGATGCTTCTCCTTGGGGTTTCCACTGCATCCACTGGATGCCTCTAAGGGTTGGTATATGGCAATTTAAGTGTCTGTTTCCCCAGATAATATCTCCTCCAAGACACTCTCCAGTGCCTACAGTGGTGTCTGCCACAAAGCGAATTCTCAGTCAGTGTTTGTTCAATGAATAAATAGTCTTCCATGGCACCTGCAAGAGCACCTCCCACAAATATAAGGTGATAAGGGTCTGGTTGTTAGAAACGTAAGGTGATAATGATTCTATTAACATCACATGACTAAGAAAAGTCTAACCCTCGGTTCAGATTCCTCACACATCCTAGTCCATTGACAAGTATTTAACGGAGTGCCTGCTGTGTACCAAAAGTTGTGCCATTGGAAAAAAAAGAAAATATCTATCTTAGCCTCTATCCTCAAGGAACTAGCAATGCAGTTGAAAGGACTAGCTAATGACTATGAAACCATTAGAGACCAGTAGGAAATACTACACAGTTAATTGAAAAACTGAATGGCAGAGACAATGAGCATTACAGGAGTATGATAATGGGAAGACATAGATAAATGTAGAATGAAATAATATCCAGGAAAATTTCATAGAAGAAGTGGGACTTTGAGGGAAGGTAAGATTTGCAAGACTGAGGAGGGAGAGATGGAGAGGACCGGAATCAGAATGAGTGGGAAGGTAAGGTGGGGCCAGATTAGGAAGGATCCCAAAAGTCAGTGAGGTGCTAATGAGAGGTGACAGCGTGCTGGCAGCCCTCGCAGCCCTCGCTCTCAGCACCGCCTCGGCCTTGGTGCCCACTCTGGCCACGCTTGAGGAGCCCTTCAGCCCGCCACTGCACTGTGGGAGCCCCTTTCTGGGCTGGCCAAGGCCGGAGCCGGCTCCCTCAGCTTGCGGGGAGGTGTGGAGGGAGAGGCATGGGCGGGAACGGGGGCTGTGCACGGTGCTTGCGGGCCAGCTCAAGTTCCGAGTGGGCGTGGGCTCAGCGGGCCGGCACTCCCAGCGGCCAGCCGGCCCCGCCTCCCCAGGCAGTGAGGGGCTTAGCACCTGGGCCAGCAGCTGCTGTGCTTGACTTCTCGCTGGGCCTTAGCTGCCTCCCCGCGGCGCAGCGCTGGGAACCTGCAGCCCGCTATGCCTGAGCCTCCCCCGCCTCCCCACCTTGGGCTCCTGCGTGGCCTAAGCCTCCCCGATGAGCGCCGCCCCCTGCTCCATGGTGCCCAGTCCCATCGACCACCCAAGGGCTGAGGAGTGCCAGCGGACAGTGCAGGACTGGCAGGCAGCTCCACCTGCGGCCCCTGTGCGGGATCCACTGGGTGAAGCCAGCTGGGCTCCTGAGTCTGGTGGGGACTTGGAGAATCTTTATGTCTAGCTAAGGGATTGTAAATACACCAATCGGCACTCTGTCTCTAGCTCAACGTTTGTAAACACACCAATTAGCACCCTGTGTCTAGCTCAGGGTTTGTGAATGCACCAATCCACACTCTGTATCTAGCTACTCTGGTGGGAACTTGGAGAACCTTTGTGTGGACACTCTGTATCTAGCTAATCTAATGGGGACGTGGATAACTTTTGTCTCTAGCTCAGGGATTGTAAACGCACCAATCAACACCCTGTCAAAACGGACCAATCGGCTCTCTGTAAAATGGACCAATCAGCAGGATGTGGGTGGGGCCAGATAAGAGAATAAAAGCAGGCTGCCCTACCCAGCACTGGCAACCTGTTGGGGTCCCCTTCCACACTGTGGGAGTTTTGTTCTTTGGCTCTTTGCAATAAATCTTGCTGCTGTTCACTCTTTGGCTCCACACTGCCTTTATGAGCTGTAACACTCACCACGAAGGTCTGCAGCTTCACTCCTGAAGCCAGCAAGACCACGAACCCACCGGGAGGAATGAACAACTCCAGATGCGCCACCTTAAGAGCTGTAACATTCACCAGGAAGGTCTGCAGCTTCACTCCTGAGCCAGCGAGACCACGAACCCACCAGAAGGAAGAAACTCTGAACACATCCGAACATCAGAAGGAACAAACTCCGGACCCACCGCTTTTAAGAACTGTAACACTCACCGCGAGGGTCCGCGGCTTCATTCTTGAAGTCAGTGAGACCAAGAACCCACCAATTCCGGACACACTAACTTATGCCATTCATTCAACATTTAGTGAGGCCCCGCCATTTGCCAGGCACTGTTGTATGTATGGGGGTTTGTGTGTGTATAGTTCCTGACCTCATGGGGCTTACATTCTTAATAAGAGGATAGATAATAATCATTGAAAAACTATGTAGCAAAATTTTAGATTGTGATAAAGGCTGTGAAGGAAAGGAAGACCAGATAAGAGATATAGAGAGATGGAGGAAGATATTTTCTATAGGGGAAGGTAAGAGAAAGCTTTTCTGTGGAGCTGATATTTTTGAAGGGACTCACATAAAGTGACAAGATGAAGATAATAGTGGGTTCCTGGGAATCAAAGTGATATGACAGAGTATTTCAGGAAGATAATGCATAATGTAGAGAAATGTGGAGAGTCAATGAGGTAGCAGCAAGGAAAATGGCATAATTCAGAATCTAAGAATATACTAGAAAGCTTTAGTTATGGGATTTATTTTATATGCTTTCTTTTAAACATCAGAGGTATTGGGGGTTTTCCCTATAGATACTTAGGTCCTGTAGTTGAAATGACTAAGACATGAAAAAAAATGATGCTCTTTTATCTGTTCCACCCCTTATACCTCACTCATGAACACTCTAGCTTTCAATCTGTTGACAATAGTCATTTTCCAATATTATCTATTCTTCCTATCCTATAAAGGGACCTACTGTCCATCAGTCAGGCTGGTGTCCTTAGAAGACAGAGAAATAGAAGACATGGGCCCTCTTGCCCATCTCATCAAAGTTAGGCTTATGAGTATCGTGTGGCTTTGTGCCCAGCAGAAGAGGATTAAGGTTGCCAAATCTTTGGATAATAACAGGCTCCAATCTACATAACACCTGGTCTTTACAAACCAAGTCATTATGAATGTGATCCAAGTTGTCACTCCAGGGGTTTTATTATTTCCACATTAGTCGGTGTTGTGTCTTAGATATATGGAGGTTGCCGGCTTGTTTAGTGTGGATTGAATGACTGCTTCTCCTTTCTTTGCTCTGGTTTGGTAACGTTAGATAGCAGTGGGGAAGAAGGGATCATTGTACTATAGATCTCTTGGTCAGTCAATATTATTGGAGATGAGCAGCAAAACAATGAACCCAGATAATGCTGGGCATTAGAGTGGGTGGTACAGACTTCTAGGACAGGGATCAGAAGCAAGGGTCCCAGAACTGACTGGATGGGGCTGATCACTGTCCAGCCTCTCCACAATGCTGCTATATGACAAGAAGACAGAGCCAAGATCCTTCCAAATATTCATCAAACCATCTGGTTCTCTCTCCATTAAGCCACTTCCATCTCTTCCCTGGACACTGGCATCCCTGTTACACTCTTGCCATTTTCTTGGTTGCGGCACAGCATCAAGTGATCTTTTTAAAGTCTAAATTAGATGATATTGTTCAAAGAGATAAAACCACCCATTGGTCACAAGCACCTGCCCCTCTGCCCCTGCCTGCCTTTCCTATCCCACTGCACTGCAGTTTTTCCAGGCTTACTCATCTCCGGCTACCTTGGCCCCCGATGGGTTCTTCATGTGCCAACCTCTTCCAGCCATAGGCTCTTTGGCCATGTATCCTTCTTCTTCCCCTTTCTTGGCTGATGCCTGCTTATATGAGATGCAGTGTATCTTGGTGATTAAAAATGCACACACTAGTGCCAGACTGCCTGGCCAAATCCTAGCTTTTCTACTTATCAGCTGTGTGACTTTGAATAAGTTGCGTAAACTCTGTATGCCTCCACTGTAAAATGGAGTTGAAAATAGTGTCCACATCTTGGGGTAGTTATGAGGATTAAATTATATATATATATATATAACATTTAGCCTGTTGCCTAATATCTAGAAAAATCTTCATAAATGTTACCTCTCATTCATGATTGGGTCTCAGCCTAAATGTCATTTCCTCTGAGAGCTCTTGCCTGGTTCTGACCTTCCTTTCTACCCCTGCTCCATTGCATTCCTTTTTTATTGCAGGACTCTTTTCCTTTTCTTTCATATTATATATTTAGGATCATTTGCATACCTGTTTATTGTCACTGCATTAGACTATAAATGCCATGAGGGCAGGGACTCTGTATCACTGAATAACCAATACCTAGTGCAGTGCCAGGCACATAGTAGACACTAATCAAATATGTTGCTGAGTGAATGACTGAAGCTGATGGTTCAGGACTTCGTTTGTGAGTGTTGAGCGTCTGCTGGGAAAGCATTGGTGCCTCAGAGGGACTGAACTGGGCCAGAAGCCAGTGGAGTTCCACTACACTACTTTTCAATACATTATCTTTACATTGTATTTTAAGATGTTGACACATCAAAATCAAATTACTGGACCAAGCTCAAAAGTTACATTTATATGCCAGGATTAAATGTTCTTTTTTGGCAGAAAAAATGTTCAGATTTGCCACAGAATCTCTTCCAACCTGGAACTGGCCTGAATGAATTGTGTAAATGAGACAATCATGGTTCTTTTTCTCTTCCCCCTTTCCTCCTATTTTGTCCCCCAGAGTGACTGAATATTTGACTCAATTCGCTGCTTCAGTGGATGGGCCATTGTAGACCTGGGCAGCAACTCCCTGGGTGGCAAGTCCAAGATACTGGCTTATGTTTGCATTTATCACTTGTGTTTTAGATTGGGCTTCTTTATCTATGTGCCTTCTTTAGCTCTTCCTTGTTTAATGCCACTGATTGTTTATTTCATTTCCATAGCACTTTCCCATCCAAGCTTGTTAGACTATATGGAGAACATCATGTTCAGAAAAAGCAGTGGCAAACACACACGACAACAACAAAAATGTAAATTTACACTCTGCCTGTACTTGGCTAGCATAGGGTTACTTTTCTCCGTGATTCCTTAATGGGAAGACTCATTAGGTCTTCCCAATGGAGACCTAATCTCAACAGACTTTCTCCTTCTATCCCCTCTCTTCTGCCATTGTATTTTTGTTTTGTTCATTCTCATTGGAAGTCTGGTGGTGATTGGGGCCTTTGGCATCTGTGTGTGCAGGATTATGGGAATTTCTAATCTCAAGCTTATTTTCCAACCCTGGCACATTCAACTATTTCTTACACATAATGATGCCACCTTTGTTTTTTTTTAATCAAGCCTACCTTCTTCCAAATCCTTTCTTTGTTCACTTATTTTTAAAAATTTCTGTTCCTGCTCTTACGGTCTTCATTACTAATATTCCTTTCCCTGCCTAGGTTATCCTTTTAATGTTTCTAACCTAATCTAGATTTTGAGAGCAGTGTTTTTATTAAGAACCAAAGCTAACTATGTTGGCAAGAAACTCATATTATGAGTAAAATATACATTTAAAATATAAATTGGGAATTTGAGCTAGAAATGGAAAGAGAAAGTTAGAATGAGTCTTGTGCTTGCATTCTCCGTCTACAAAATTTGTATGTAATCACACAGATAAAGTTCAGACATCTTATACTCTTTGACTATACTGAAATATATGTTGTCAGCAGTGCCTTAATGAAAAGTGATTGTTCTCTAAAGGAATCAAATGTAACAAGTTTAACATTCATGGTTCTTTATTTTTCAAAAATAATTTAGATTTCATTCTCCTTTTTTATTTTAAGAAGCCCAACAGAATTACCATATGACTATAATCTCATATCCTAGATTCAAAAACCAGGAGACCAAACACAAACAATGCCTCAGAGGAGAAAAGTTGTGTCTTAAGAATCAAAGTATTCTTGGGTATCGTAAGTGATTGCTGACGTAGAGCAAAGGGTTAATGAGAATGGGCTGGCATATTAAATCAGAATGCACGTTGAAAGCAAATTGCCAGCCTAAAGGAAAATATACGTATCATTGTCTCTGGTGAGGGAGGGGGACAAATAACTACTAAGATGTCCATACATGCCATACTCAGAAGTCATCCTTGATATCTTTTTTTCCAGACAGATTGCAAACACAAGTCTTTCTCCCATATGGGGGTGTGTGTGCAGGGGGTGTGGCCTGAAAATGCAGCATTGATTCTGGGAAAACTGAAACCTGGGAAGCCTGGGTATAATAGTTCAAGAAAACAGAAATGTTTTTCTTTGGCTGTTGTTCCTGAAGTTACTTAAATGAGACTCATTGGCTATTGATCTGTATATATTGAGATTACAATAAAACATAATGGACCAGTTTCTCTCTCCCCTGGGTCACAGGATTGGCCTTTTATCTCTTGAGAGTAATAAATCATGGTCTTGGATTTAAGAAAATATTCTGGGATCTGGTTGGCAGCTGATTTATTTTTAAGACAGTGATGTCAGGAAAAAAAAAAAGCATAACCCAGAATGTGACTGTAGTGGGAGAATAGCGATTGCTGTTTAAAATATTAAGTAAGGCTTCCCTGCTTTCAGAACCCATCATCCCACAGCAAGCTGAGTTGAAGCCCCTTACCAATATATTCACATCTTTCTTTACAATGGCACTTACATTCTTTTGATTTCTTTTTATCTGTGACAGATCCTAGCTTCTCTATTTATCTCTTGAATCTAATTTGCTCTATGACATCAAGCTTTAATTTTATCATTATTATTTTGCTTCATTTTAAGCACCCATGGTGTGCCAGGCATTGGATAAAATAGAAAAGATACAATCCCTGCTGTCGCTGGGCTCACACATTTAAAGAGATTTGACAGGCAAAATATCCTGTAATTGGCAATAGGTAGTCCTCATGCTTCCCCCCGCCCCTTCTCCCTTTTGAAGCAACTTCATCTCTCTGAACAAGCTTAAGAAGTTCCCTAGATCAAAGGTGTCAAAAACCAGAAGGGTTTGGAACAAGTGTCAGAGAGTAAGCAAACGACTTTCTGAGCTGTGACTCTGCTCCTCGACTGCCCACGTGCTCTCCGCTGTCTGCACTCCTGCCTCACCTGGGCTGACTCGGACTCTCCACCTCCTTTGCTGCTTCCGGCATGAGCTACCCAGGAGCCTAAGGCGCTCCTTCCCGCAACTCCGGTCCCCGCGCCCCGGGACTGCAAATCCTTTAAACAGAGGCCCCAGAGCTAGGGGTTTTCCCAGGCTCTGGTGGGCGTGGGCTGACAGTCGCTGGGAGCCCCGCAACAGGGGGGATGTCCAGGCAGGTATGCACCCAGCTCCCGGCGTTTCCCGGAGTCACCACAATGTTTCCCTTTCTCTCTCCCCCACGTATGCTGCTAGGGGTACTCCCCAGATAGGATTTTCTTTGTCTTTTCTCCTAGTAACACCGAAGCCCTCTCGTGCCCGGGGACTGCAGAGGAACGCCAGACCATCCGGACCTTGCGGGATGGCTCGGTGTGTGTGTTTTACTGTGTGTCGGAGTGTCGCGCATGTGTGCGTGTTGGGGCGCGTTATCAACAGGGGCCTAGGGCACCCCCACTCTTTCTTGCTCTCTTCCCCCATCACTTCATGGACCTCCGAGGCGCAAAGCGCTCGACCCTCTCCTGGGCTCAGTGGCTTGGGTACTCCGGGCTGAGCTCAGCTGGGGAGTCCCCTTACCCAGCCCGCACCGGCACCCCGAAGCTTCAAAGTTGCGGCAAACAGTTGCGGGGAGCAGAGGAACTGAGGTCCAGGCCAGCGCGCCCGCGGTCGCTCGCCTTGGGGAGCAGGCTGAGCCGAGGGTCGTGCGGGTGCGCGGCAGAGGCGGTAGGAGGCGGAGGAGAGGGGGGAGAAAGAGGGGGCGGTGGGGAACAGCTGCCGGGGTAGGCGAGGCGCAAGGTGGCTCCCCGCGGCCCCGCGCCCCGCGGCTCTCGGACGCACCAGGCAGCCAATGGCTGCGCAGAGGTGTACAGCAGATGGCGTCTGACTGCGCCGTTCCTTCCTCCTCCTCCTCCTCCTCCTTCTCTTCCTCCTCCTCCTTCTCTTCCTCCTCCTCCTCCTTCAGTGCTGAGGAGCCAGAGTCGCCGCCGGGTTGCCAGACGCTGGAATGGGTGGTCTTCCGACACACACCACCATCTTTCTTGCGCTCGGGAAGCTCGGGGCTCAGCGGCTCCCAGAGGTTACGGCGGCGGCTCTGGCGAGACGGGTGAGTGCAAGCACGCGGAGCCCCGAGTCGGGGATGCCGGGCCCCCTGGCCGGCCGACTGGGGCGCGGGGTGGCAGCGCCGGGGAAGGGGGCGCGCTGCCGGCGCAGACTTTGCTCTTTCCTCGCCGGACAGCCATCGTCGCCCCTTCTCCCAGCCAGACGCGGGAACTTGGAAGCGGATCTTCTCGGACGCCTCTGGCTTGGGGCTGCGGGAAGCGTGGGCTGCCCGGGGCGCAGTGTGCGGAGACCCTCTAGGCGGGCGGGGACGCCCCACGCGGCGACCTGAGCACCGACCTCATGCAACGGGACCGAACCTTGGGACCCGGGCAGCAGGAGCTCTGTTCCCTTCACCTCCAGCTTGGTTTGAGGGATACTGATGAAGGAAACCGGGGGTTTCCCGTCCTGCGCGGAGAGCCTCGGCGCCCAAAATCGAAAGGCCGGGAGTTGTTCTGCAGGCTTTGCAAACAGGTTGACTGAGGGTTTCCTTTCCCGTAGCGCTGACTGCGAAATCTGTGCATAGGCGTTCAGTGCCAGTGGAGGATAGCTGAGCAAGCCAAGAAGTTTTGCAGCTTCCTCTGATTTATCGGTGGAGTGTCAGGAGGCTGTAGCAACAGTTTACATTTCCCCTGTCCCTGCGAGTGGCTAGGGGCAAGCTGGGCTCGGACGTGATATCCTGCTGTTTGTGGAGAGGAAACTGGGAACGGGGCTTGAGAGTGAGGGGCAGGGAGGGGGGGACAGGCATATTTTCTACTGCATCGCCCATCTGCACCTGTCCCCTTTGCTGTCTTACATGTCCCATAGTATTAAAGTTATTTGAATAAGCAAATGAACCCCGCTCTTTGGTGACCGCGTATTTTGAAGTTGGAAAACTTTGCAGGGGACGAGGGAATGTTGAGGAGGGGGCGTTAAGCTCTCTCACTCTATCCCTTTTTAAAGACAAGAAAAAAACTTTCGTTGGCGAAGGTGGTACTTTTTTCTTTTGGAATGTCTGAGCTCAGAGCTTCCCATAAGAGGTATTGCGATTCAATACTGTACAGTCAAGGTGAAGTTCCACTAAGATTATGGGACCGTGGCATATTCTACGGAAGATACCAGGGTTCCTTGGCGCTCTGTTCATTGCCAGGGTGGTCTGCTGAAAGCCGGCAGTTTCCCACCCTCAGACTCCTTGGAGCTCTTTAAATGACGGTCTGCCTGGTGTTTCTCAGCGGTACACCTGTGAGTGCTCTGTTATCATGGAAATGGTAACCCATGCAGGTAGGGCTCATGCCAACCAGACTGTGGTGGGGTGTGTGTGTGTTTGTGTGTGTGTGTATACATGCGCGTGCGTGTGAACGTGTGTGTTTGGAGTTTCCTTTTGACAGGTAATCTTTGGATGTCAAAGGGATACAGTTATTTGTCTGGCAGTGTCAGGGCAATCTGAGTTTCTCGAGTAACTAGGAGGAGGTAATCTCCAGGGAAGCCTTTTTGTGCTCTTGACTGTCTACTCAGCAGTTGGTGAAGGCTTCCTGAAAGCCACTTAGGGTGTTACTAACCAAATCAAGAAGTCTTACTCAGTGGTGAGTGAAAGCTCGTGTCTTTGTGGGTTAAAAGCTGTTTATAAAGTTTCTGTCTTGAGGCTTCACTTTGACAGACTGCTGTTTTTAAACCTTAGTGCCATTAATAATAGGAGTCTTCTTTTGAAAAGTAATGTGGCCAGTTCTCTGTTTTCTGAGGGTAGTTGATCTAATCTGGTAGATTCCCTGGAATTGTTTTATTTTCTATCCCTGGGAAGTGTGTGTGTGTGTGTGTGTGTGTTGTGTGTATTTGTGTGTGTGTGTTTTCTTCATCTACCTGCTGAGAGTTGAGGGTTAGAAACTCTTTTTCATGCAAATTTAAGTGAAAAAAATTATGAAGAAAATTCTTCTGACACTGTAACAATATACACAGATACTTCTGAAAAAATTGTAGGTGTCATTGTTGACTTTAAAAACATCGGATAGTCTCGTATAAATCAGCACAGACAGATCCAGCAGCCCTGAACACCTACAAACCATTCAGGGTTTTGGATATTCTAGATTAATCTGTGATAAGGGCTTGGAGATACGTGGTCCAGGAAAGGGCTGTCTACTGTTGGTGGACTTTGATAGTCTGTTTTGAGGGTTCATAATACGATGAGCTCACTTTATGTCAACCTTAATATTTAAATCAATACTTGAGAAATGATCTTACAATATTTCTTAATCTTCTGGCCCATTGTTTTCCATCAAAGTTGTTGATTGTTAGAGAGTTGAAAGGCTAAGAAAGAGGAACACTGTTAGACAGGTAGAAAATAATTACCGATCATATAAACAATGTAAATACAGACTCTACTGTTTGAAGACTGACATTAACAAATTGGTAACGAGAGGTACCTTTCTGTTCTCTGCTGAGTGTGCCTTTTGAGAGAAAGTAGGGAAGGAATGAAAGGAAAATGGTACTAAATTGTACTTCATCAGAAGGGCTATGAAGGACCTTGTCTGCTTGCTACAGATCCTATTTCTGAAGGAATAACTCTTTTGTTAATATCAGCAAAAAGAATGTTGTCCTTAAATGATAGACCGAAAAAGCAGAATAAAAAGATAGGCTCTAAGTTAAAGGAGGGAGAATGTCCAAACAAGAACAATTCTAAAGCATGTCAACTCACTTTAATTATACTTCACAAATTGAAACTGGAGTTGTATGATTCCTTTAAAGAAAAAAAGTCTTGCCAAAACTTCAATTCTGCTGTTCTGCACACTTTACAAAGATTAGGCATTAAAGTAATAACATTATGTCAAAAGTTTGAATAGAATGATGAAGAATATTTGACTGGTCTTATTTAGTTAACTGTGAAAATGACAAATGATACAATATATTAAATACATGATTAAGACAAACAGATTAAAGAATTCTAAGTAGTGACAACTATATTAGTTGATGGGAAAAAAAGAATAGCACTATTAAGGCTTCAGAGATGCTCTACAGACAAAGCATAAAGGCTGGGTCTTTGAATAACTATTGGGTATTGTATTATCAAAAACTACATGAGTTACTTAGATATGCTGTTGGATTTTTGAATATGGATTGCACATAAGTGCTTCATATTTTCAAAAGAAAATGTTTCCCAGTATATAACTATAAAAGAAGCTGCTTCATTAACTTTAACACCAGGCAGCTTCCTAAATATAACACAGGTCCTTAATTTAGAGCTGTTAACAAGATTAATATCTAAGTGATAATTAGCACGTTAAACCTGTGAAAGTAGAGGGATTTTTAACTCCACTTCTAGT
Organism: Homo sapiens; assembly: GCF_000001405.40. Classification (NCBI taxonomy): domain Eukaryota; kingdom Metazoa; phylum Chordata; class Mammalia; order Primates; family Hominidae; genus Homo; species Homo sapiens. Next base: position 136,768,974 of record NC_000002.12, read on the forward strand.
CTAGAAATTTACTATTGTGAATTTTAGTGGGGTCTGTAGTTTAACAGATCTAAAATCACAGGCACCTGTGCTCCAAGATGATAAGCATTCTATTCCCACCCTTTAAAACTTCTCCATCTACCGAGATTATTTTGTGGACGTTTTAGTAGGATGTTCATGGGTGGTTATTCTTGAGAGCTAACAGTGGCTATTTTTGAAATGAAGCCAAGGAGGATTAGGTAGTTTTTGGTCATCTTGTAAGTATCTCTTGACAAAAGGAAATAGGAATCCCAGCCACTGAATTCCTACATTTATGCTTTCATTCTAAGCCATGAATCCTGGTATGGGCTAGTTATACAAAATATAGAGACGTAGTTATTTTGCCAGGTTATAGTCCACCGGTGATTTAGTATGATCATTTTGTTGCTACCACATCAAGCATTTCATTTGAAAGGGAAAATCAGATATTAGTGAAACCCAATTACTCCGTATCTTTTGGTAAAACTTTGAAACTAACTCTAGAGATGCTGTAGAATAGTTTCACTGCTGGTAGGGACTCATGCTTTTGGTAACAGGAGTTGAATCTAAGCGTGGTTTGTAAGCTGAACAATGAAGTCATCTGGCATCTATAAGAACTACTTTAAGTGTGTATATACTGTTGTGATGACTAAAACACAGTATGTATAAAAGCATCGCTAAATTCATATTAATTTTTGGTTACTAGGTATTTTTGCAATTTATGGATTCTAAAAACACAACTCTTTGCTGTGATGTGGAAATCAGTAGAATTTTTTGACGTTAAAAAGAAGAGGTCCACCTACTAGAAAAGGTTAGACATTGACCTAGATGTGGAGATCTGTGAAAGTGTGAAAATGTTTCCTGCATGAATAAAAAAGGCTATCATTGTTGAACTTAGGTGTTTTGCAGCAAGGGACATGATGCTCGCTTTTGATTTTGCCTTTCTGGGCATATTTTAATTATGAGCCTCTTGTAATTAAACATGCCATAGCTAAAAACAGAATCCTAAGTAACTAATGCACAAACGATTTTTCAATGCCTTGACTTGGAAGAAACTCATGGCCGTGTTCCACTTGCCTGCATGAGGGCTGGCTGCTGATTTGTGTCCTAGTGTTATGTTAGCGAACAGCTCATTACTTCTGGAAAAATCACAATGTTGAGTAAGGCTCTGAACTTCGTGGCAGTTAGGCACGATTGCCTTAGTCTTAGACTGCAGCTTTGTAGCAATGCATATTTTAATTTTGAGTTCTTTCAGATGGTTATTTTAAAAAGCATACCATGTAGTATGCATACATGAAAGATTTTAATTATAATAAGACTAAGGCTTGCAGTAATCTCTTCTTGCAGAGTTTGCTTCTGGGCTCTCCTCTATTGATTTTTGCCTTTTGTGCTTACGTTAGACTTATTCAGGGCAAGTTAGACAGGGCACATGAATACAGCCTTACTGGTAAAAATATTGAACTATTTGTAAAATATTGAAATACTTGTAAAAATATTGAAATACATGTGCTCCAGTAGGTCAATGAGTATTGCTCTGAGCCCTCTGAAGGTCCCACTATCATCCTGGTCCTACAGACCACTCCCCTTAGATCACTTCTTGAGAGAGCCACTGGGTGTCACCCACCTGGTATGGCAAAGAGGCCTTGGGACACACTCCAGTGATATTACCTAAGGCTGTTCTGATTGGCTTATGCCCCAGACCTACCAACTGGTAAATATTTTAAATATTATCCCTTGATATTTGTACTCGTGACAAGAATGAATGCAATCATTGGCATTATCAAGTAGTTGAACATCAAATGTTTACATTTTAATTTTCTCTGTGTCTAATATTTCTGGCTGTTAAAACACTTAAATATTGTTATCTTTATATTATCTAGGAGCCCAAAGGTATCAAAACCCCTTTCATCTGAGTTATCAATTCATATAAAGCCACTCTAACTTCAATTTAATTTGTTTTCTTAGAAAATATAAAATAAGGATATTAAGTTCCTTCCTTCCTGTTAAGAGGAAGAGCCAAATTTCTCACCCAGGTCATCTGCCACAACTGTAAATTCTTCTACCTCACAGCTGTCTCAGACCACTTAATTAAAATGTATGTATGTGGGAGTAGTTCAACAAGGCTTCTTTCTTTTGGGGAAAAAGTAATTATTTTTTTTCAATCTCTGTTTCTAGTCTTCAGAATTAACTCAATTTATTTCATATTGACTTCCATTCACTTTTGTGATTAAATATTGTTAGTAGGGCTTTCATTTCATCTGACTTGACCCATTCTATGAACTGGAATATCTTCTGGCCAATCACAGAGAGGCAAGGGATGTTAATGACTTTGAGTAAAATTTTTTGGTGCTTTCTTCTGGATCTCTTCTAGCTAAAACTAAACTCCAGCACTGCTAGATGGTCCCTGAAAAACGTAACTTAAATTATGCTTATTTCTTGAACAGAAAAAATAGGATTCCAGATACTACATCAATTTAACTCTTGCCTGTCGTTAATTTCCTATTATCCACTTTCTTCTTCTTTTAGACCTATCTCTTTAAAGTCACCCACAAGACTCACACTTATTTAAAGTGGCCAAAAATGTTGCTTTCCCTACTCCTGTGGTCCCAGTTATCCAAATTATATCTATTAGTCAAAATCCAGTTCCAATTATACTTCCACTGAGCTTTCACTGATGATGCCAATTCACAAAGCCCTCTCTCAGTCTGAACAACTCAGGTGGTAAATTCTAATTTTCATGTTTGATTGAATCTATTTTCTTATTAGCATCTATGTGTGGAGTTCTGATAGTAAAGGATTTAAATGGTGAAGGGCACCACTCTCTACTGAGAATTCTGGAAAATGTTGAAGAGGGGAGTGTGATGGAGAGTAGGGGCCTGGGTAATAACAGCCATTTGAGGATCTGTAAGGTAAGGCTTACCAATATCCAGGTAGGCAACAAGTGTGACTAGTAATTATTACTATTAGTTAATTACCTATGAATTGCTGCATACCTAGCTAGGTACATTAGAATTTGTTTGTCTAATCCTCATAATAATGTTGCAAAGTAGGTACTGTTATTTAGTCCCTTTTTTTTTGTAATAGGAAACAATCTGAGGGACCTCTGGTACCTTGTCTAAGGTGAATGCAACTGGTAAACCACAGAGCCTAGATGTGTATCCCAGATTGTTGGACTGCAAGGCCTATTCTGCTTCTGATAAACCAGACTATCCAAAGCCCGAGGTTTTACTCAGCAGGTTCAGTCTTTACCGCTGCTGGAATTTATCCAAAATGCAAGAACACACACACTTACCTACTGCCAAGGCCTCTATAGTCAATGGAGATGACTGACAGGAAGAATATTGCTGAATTACTTCTACCTGGAGGTAGAAGCATCATTTGGAAATATGGAAAAAGGCTGCATTTTGATTTTGCACAGACCTTGTGCATGAAGATTATATCATCTCAAAATCATAAAGAACTAGATACATTCACTTATAAAAGTGTTGGCTTCCTGAGGAACCATTGGAAAATTCAGAAAAGACAGACATATTTAGGAAATCCACACCATATTTCTTTGTATTAATGGCTTATCATTAGAACAGAACTGTCCTGCCAACTATGCAAAGCATTAGTTTTTGAAATTAGCATAATGAATACAAAAAAGGGAAAATGAGTTGTTCGATGTGAGTGGGGGTTGCTGGTGGGTGCCTGGGTCACTCTTGTGATTTGGTGAGGTGAGTGCTCTTGTCTGTTGTCTTTGCTCTAAGTATATCCCAACTGGAAATTGTTCTTGGTCAAAGAGGACAACTTACTGAGAAGAGAAGAACTGTTCTTTAGTTGAGCATGTGTAAGAAGTCACAGTTCTGAAGATCTGTTTCTTGAAAGTATTTTGATGGCTCAGTATGAGTTTTCTTGACATGAACTTTCATGGAAGTGTATAATAAACTCATTTCCAATACTAATGTCTTGTAACTATTTCTAAACAAATATACTGTTGGAATCTGACCAGTTTCTGTCTTTGCCTCTGGCAGAATCATATAGGAAGAAGCTCAGAAAAGTCAAAGTTGTAAAGAGATTTTTACTCATTCCAGGAATGAGCTTTTTCACATTCAGCGCTGTCTAAAAGTGTGATCGGCTGTCTCAGGGAAATGTGAGTTGCCCGTCTTTGGGAGTATTCAAGCAGAGTATGAGTAACTACATGTCAGGGTGCTTTGCAAAGAGGATGTGCACATTGAATATTAGTAGATGAGATTTATTGAACATATACTGTGTGCCAGACGCTACTCTACGTGGATTAACTTATGAAATCCTCTCAAAAAACTTATGAGGTTGATTGTATTATTATTATTTTTATTTTACAAATATAGAAATAGTGAGTGATTTGCGCCAAGTCGGGAGGTGCATGCAGGCATTCTCCTTCTAGAGCAGTACAGGTCCTTAGAAATTGAACAAGAGCCACAAATACAATTCATGTATGCAACCTTGTATTTTTTAGTAGCCACATTAAAGAAGAAAACATTGAAATTAATTTTAATAATATGTCTTATTAACCCAATGTATACAAAATATTGCCATTTCAATATGTAGTGATTATGAAAGTTATTAATGTGATGCTTTAGATCTTCGCTGTATTACATCTTTAAAACCCAGTCTGTATTTTACACTTACAAGCACATACATTTTAGTTTAGCCATGTTTCAAGTGCTCAGTAGCCACATGTGGCTGGTGGCCACCATATTGAACATGCCTAGAATCTGTACTATTAACGACTCTACCCTACTGCCTGCCTATTGACAGAAGAGGGTTTCCTTTTAACGGTACATACCAGACTACATAGTAGAGGGTTTCCTTTTAACTGTACATAGTAGTCTTTGTGTATGTAAGACCATTCATTTGTTTATTAATGTTTTCTTTAGATACCGGCATGGATAATCTATTTAAAAAAAAAAAAAGAAACCACTTCCATGACTGCTTTCAAGAGCACAAATTAAAAACCCATCAGATAGGAAGATTTCTCTCTATCTCATTACTCTCATCTACTAAAAACTGAATCCCACATACCTTTCATTTTGGAAGAGGGGGCATGTCTGGCTTGCTTCTACTTTACAACTCTTCATACATAGTATGAAATCACCTCACCCTTCTTGTTTCCAGCCTAATAATCCCAGTTTCTTTTTTTATTTTGATTAGTTTGTTAGTGTGTATGTGTAGCCTAATACACATGAAATGGGCATAGCCTAAAAGTAACCTTTAACTAAGATTTTAAGTAACCAGTGTTTCTGATTTACATTTAATGCATATTTCTCATCCCTCTTTTACTGTATCTTTATTATAATGACTGTAATTGGAGATGACATGCAGCCCACCAAGGTGATATTTCTGATCAAATGGTAGTAATTTTTTGGTAGATTTGATTCATTCCCTGGTAGGTAGCATTCTTCTCAGTGATCTGAAGGTCTTTTCTCAAGTTGAATTTCTGATAGTAACAGACCCTCTGGGCTGTGACATGCTTCAATTGAAAAAACAGAATGTGACATTCCTTTCATTGTGTGCAACATATAAAAAAAGTCCTGTGTTTCCTTTGTGAGTGCAACCTCTATTCAGCTGTACATGACAATGTGAAACATTTTAATAATTCCAAGTCTCTTTTGGTGGGGGGATGCATATTTCACAGGTAGCTTAAATCTTACTTCAGTTACTTTTAAAAAGAATATTAAGAACAAGACGTCTGTTAGAAAAATTCTAAACTTCATAAAGAAGAACTACCTTGTGGAGACAGACTCTAAGGCTATATCGTGTAAGAGTATGTGCATGATTATTAGATGTTTCCGTTGGATTACAGAGTTGGTGGAATAAAAACATAATGCTTGTGGACATAATATATTCCCAGTGAAGCACTTCTTTTATTTTTATTTTTTTATAGCTAAGCAGTTTTCAAATAGCAAGACAAACGAATGTAAAGTCCAAGATGCATTTGTTTGTAAGCTATATGAATAAATTCAAAGAGTATTTATTGTGCACCTGCTGTGTCCGTGACATAGAGTAGATACACGCAAGAGTAAAATGCCAGTTCCAGTTTCTAGGAATTTACAGTCTACCTATGGAGATATGACATGCACATTCTCTGTACTTGGCAAAGCCAGATCACTTTATTTATATATGTCTATCTCTCTTAGTAAGTATGAGCTCCATAAAAGCACAGAAGGCATCTTACTCATTTTTGGATCGTTGCCACCTTGCAGGGTATGTACTCAACAGGTATGTATTGAATTAAATGAAAGGGGTACATTAATTGAATTTACACATGTGAATTAAAATATAGCTGTCAAGCCATATTTACAGTGGGACCATCTATATAAAATTTGCAATTCAAATAATGAAGACAAAGTCTGGTCTCAATCCTTTTCTACTCCTGTGACTGGATCAGCTCTGCTCACTCCATTGGTGACTTGTAACAAGTCAAGGCACTAGAAAAAGGTTTTCATCTGAAAGGAGTAAAGGATGTGGACATCTTTTTTCAACATGCCAGGATTCTATTCAGATGTACCCTTAATCATACAGTCATTCAATATAAAAAATTATTTTGTTCAGGGGATAAAGAACCTTATCATTCAGTCACACTAAGTGATCTTTGGAAGTATGCATATGGGAGGTGGGAAGTGGAGCAGGATAAAAGTGTATTCACGTATGCCTGCATAGGGCTCCCAATAACTCTTGAAGAATATAGTGTTAAGCAATACCAGGAGGACCATTTAATATTTGTGAGCAAAAGGAATCAGCTAAAAATTAGAAATGCTATATAAGCTGCAGAGGTGAAGCCCCTTTAAGTATCCCATTAAGTGCATAGAATATGCTGCATTGCTAGTTTAACTATTTGAGCCAGTTACAGAACAGTGGCGATTACCCGTGGGGGCATCAGATCATCAAGAAGACATTTCTTCAGCAATTTCCAGGCAAGGAGTTTATTATACTTTGACAGATTAACATAATTCTTCTCAGCCTACTGGGTTCCTCAAGGCAAATTCAGCCAATCTTTATGTACTGGTTGCCTGTAGTGTGAAATATATGTACTATGGTTGGCCCAGTCAAGGTGCACAATGATATCCAAGAACTGGCCATGCTCTTAAGGAATTTTCACAGAGTTTTTATGGAGTTAGGAGAACAAAGAAGGATGCTTCACGGGTAATTATTGAATCTGTGGGGTTTTATAGGTGAGTAGATTCAGCATGGGAAGAAAGGAATTGGGCTCCCTGTCTACCTATTTGTTTCTGTCACAATTTTCCCAGCATTGTTTGGATTCTGGGTTATATATGCTGGTCTTAAATGCAAAGTATTTATATTTTCTTTAATCTTTAATAACATCTTATTTCATGGTGTTTTGAAGTCTGGGGTTAAGGAACCTAGGGGTTAAGATTCAACAAAAACAAAAAATGGCAATAACAATGCCCTCCCATGGCCTCCCAATGCAGGCAGAAGGTTTATCTCTGGTTTACTGGTCCACCTAGAACTTGATAACATTCTTAAACTCTGTGTTTTGAAAACCTGTGATGCTCACAGCACAGTCTAAATAAAGAGAGACTCAAATCCTTATAATCTAAGATAAACAATTTTGTCCTGGCATGTGTCAGTGTGTGGCAGAAAAATGTACACAGGGACAGAATTATCCATTGATTTGGCAACAAGGTTGGCAAGCATTGATGTTCAGCAAATGCCTACAAGATAAAAGCACCTGAAATAGCAAAGTAGTTATTCATCCCCAAAAACTGAAAGCCAAGAGAGGTTCAAAATAGTATGAAATAATTTATGCTGTGAAGACTTAGGAAGGGGAACTAGGCTGATGGAAATATGGTAGAGCATTCATGTGTGCATGCAAGCCCATGCACACACTTGTGCGCTCACACACGTATGCACACACACACACATACAACCAGAAAGAAAACATACAGATATTTGAATGATAGGAAAATGATTCTAAGATGAGAAATGACAGGAAAAGAGGAGAGAAGAGGAGGCAAACGATTCAACTGAAAGGGAAAAACCATTCTCAGCTGTTGGGACTCGACATGTGTTCAGAAATATCATTTGTTCAAACCAACAAATGAGATAATTACAAGGGGTAGAAGGAAAGAAATATAGGGCTCCAGAGGTTTCACCAGTTGCAAAGGTGAGAGAGATCTGAATAACACAATCAGATTATGCATTCTCTTGGATTTAGAGAAGCTTTATGAACAAGACCAAAAACGAATGGGAAAGAAATGAAACGGTGGGTGATGTAGTGAAATTGAAGGTTACTCATAATGTACTGTCAGAAGTTCATGTATAGTACATGAGAGCCCAAAACTTTCCCATTTAATACAAAGCAACTACTCCTGACCCTGTTTCCAGTTACTGCCTCATCTCTTGCCCTCCTTTCAAATTCTAGCTTCTGAAACTAGTAGAATTTGCTCAAGGTCTCCACTTTGCACTCACTCTTCAAATCACCAGTCTGTATTCTGCCCTCACTGGTCCTGCTGAAATAGTTCTGGCCAAAGTAATGAATTACTTCCCAGTTGTCAAATCCAAAAGACATTTTCCAGTCTCTATTTATTGTGGTGATTAAAAGAAGAATCTTAGTATATGAGAGGAGCCAAGAACGGACTGGCAAAGTTCCCATGATCCTGCCATTTTGATTCTCTCTTTTAAAGCTGCCAAAATAACTACTGAAGATTTAGACAAGGAAAACGAGTAATTTTGGACTAAACATAAAATGAAAAAGTTTGACATATATGATACTTGGCCAAAAAGAATAGCTACCAAATAAAGTTAAAATTGGAATTTTAGGTTTTGGAAACAGAGAAAGACACAGGTAAAAGGGAAAATTAATTAGAATTTATTAGTAGAAAATATCACAATGCTTTATGGAAGAAACCCTGTTAACTCTGCAGGGCATGAGGGGAGATGTTGCCTAATACACAGACATAATCCTCTTCCTAGAGGACTTTGAAGCCAAAAAGTTGAAAGTGGCAGAGTGTTAAAGGAATGCATAAAGATGAACATGCAGTCAGACACAAATGTCCTTATAAGCACCAAATGTTTATGGATCCAGAGTGTGGAGAGAATGAAGGGCATACTTATAGAATATTCTGGTTGATGGAATTATCATGGAAATAATCTTTCCAAGAACACCTACAACCCTCTGTCTGCATAGTTCTACATTTGCTTTCACCCTCCTCATGGCACTAGATTAATTTGCTTTCTTCACCTTGCTTTCCTGCTCAAATTCTGTCATTAGATCCACATGGTCTAGACTGGCATTCAAAATCTTACACTCTGAGGTCTCATACTTAGTTTTCAACCATTTGCTTCTATAGTTTCCTTCAATAGATCATCAGTGGCAGCTACACTTGTCCCTAAAAGAAATCCTGTACACGTCTCCCTCCCGTGACTCAGTTCAAGCTTTGGTGTCCCTTCTGCCCCCCTCTGTATCATGTTCACCCAGTCATAGCTGAATGAGGTGAATATCTACCCCCACACTCTCCACCTCATGGTAGAGCCTGCCTTCCACAGCCTTTAACCATGAATCCATCAATGTCCTACCCAGGAATTCACACAAAAGACAAGCCAGGGGCTCCAAAGTTCTATGAGAAATATTTTGATGCATCTTTTAAAAACTCCTCTGTTACCGATCTAATAATTGCTGCTGGGGTTTCCCAATGAAATTCTTAGATATCTGTTTACACACAGTAGGTTTATTCCATATTTACTTTTTCCTCATTAAAAAAATCTGGTCAGAAACCGTCACCTTAAGGAAGTTCAAGAGATAGAAGAGAATGAAATGAAGAAATGTTAGGTCAGTCTTTTTAAAAGAGAAGAGATGCACTGATACCTCTATAAGCACTAGGAACAGACATTTACTAAATTCCTTCCCTGGGCCTATAAGTCAGCTCTAAGGTAAGGGAGGAATTTGGGCACTGCAGAGAGATTTATCTGTAGAAAAAGAATGCATCAGCTCATTTTTAAAAGAGACTCAGGCCATCAAAATCATCCCAAAAGTACACTTTAAAATCCAACAAGTCAAGCAAAACTATGGTTAATGATATACTTGTGTTTATCAGAGCTGGCATTAAGTTTATAATATATTACAGTTTATATTAGAGTTTTATTTTTATGAAGTGTGTAAACTTGAGTACATTGGATCTTCTTGTATCATTTCTCCATAATTATTATCCCTTTTTGGGGACACGTGTTAAAAGGCTATATATATATATGTGTGTGTGTGTGTGTGTGTGTGTGTGTGTGTGTGTGTGTGTATTCTTTTTTAATGTCAAGTCCTTGATCAGGAAAACAACTTATAATATTTATAAAGTTTTTCCTTTGGGAAATATGTCCAATTTATGACCCAATTTCTCAGGGCACATTAGAGTAGAAAGACAAGTGTCTTTGTTGGTGTGTGGCATTAGTGTAAATATTGTTATATTGTAGCTTAATTTATGTTGTAGCCTTTCTTTTCTTATGAGTATTGTAACTGCTTTAAGGTCCCACACCTTGTATTACATTTGGAATTGTCTCCATTATGCTGAGCACATTACTGCATATACATTAGGAGCTAATTTAAGTGTTTCTTAAATGAATCATATTAGAGTAAGAAAAAAAATCTTGGAAACTTCATTGAACATAGGTTAATCTTGCTTTGATGATTTAAAGTTCCTTAGGGAACTTGGAGTATTCCCAAAAACACTAAGAAAATCAGTTACCATGGAATGGCACTATAAATTCTGTTTATTTAAATTTTCTGGGGTTTTCAACATGTGATACATGGGATTTTGCTCTAAATAGGAATAGATATGCATGTGCACAGACCCATTTGGTCTACAATAAGCCTATGAAAAAATGTAAACAAACTGGTTATTGACGCAAATAGGGTTAGTCCTATGGAGGAGTTGAGGTCCAGCCTGCTGAGAAAGGTCCTGTATTCAGAATACCATGGACAGAACTTGTGGAAGAGAAAGAGTCTGGTCCGAATCAGTAAAATTTAAAGGCCAGAGTTGAAGGGATGTATTAGCTAAGGCTGTAAACTGGCTGTCCACCACAGATGAGGTGATTTTTTGAGGGGGGTGTGTGTGTCTATGTGTGTTTGTGTCTGTCTGTCTTAGGCTGTTTTGTGCTGCTATAACAATAATTTATAATTTATGAATTATGGGTAATTCATAAATAATTTACTCTCTCACAGTTCTGATGGCTGGGAAGTGCGAGATCAAGGCATTGGCAAGTTCCTTTGGTTCCAAGAATGGTGCCTCATTGCTGTGTTCTCTGGGGAGGGAGGAACATTGCGTCCTCATATGGCAGAAGAGTAGAAGAGAGAACCCACTCTCACAGCCCTTTTACAGCAGCATCCATCCATTCATGAGTGCATGTGCCCTCATAGCCTAAGCACCTCCAAAAAGGCCTAACTCCAAATACTGTTACCTTGGAGGTTAGGAGTTCAACATATGAATGTTGGTGAGACACAAACATTCAGATAATAGCTCTGTGTGCGTGTGCATGTATTTGTATTTTCTCTTTCTATCTCTGTCCTCCCATCTCGTTGAATTTGATTTCCTTTATGCAAGGAGAGCAGATTCAAGTTTTCCCTAATGATCACCTCTCTTTAGTGTCTAATGTTGACTTTTCATTTTCACTGTATGTACGGAACTTCCCCCTCCCTAAATTATTCTATAGAGTAGTGAGAATCACCTGACAAAGTCTTTCATATATAGGGCTCTCTTTCAAAAACTTAATTTTTGAACAGAGTGTTTAAACAGAACTTTTAGTTTCTTTATCCAAAATCTGATCTCTTTAGATGTGCATTTAAATACAAAGGCATTTCTTGTTTTTTATGCTCTTCACTGAACAATCCAGGCAGCAGTTTGTTACTGCTCCTCAAAGTTACAGAGAGGTGTAAAACAGGCCCACACTTCCACCCATAATTAAAGAGTAAAATAATTAGAAGGGGGTGGATAGCCGTAGTGAAGGCCAACACCGATGCCTCCAATGCCTGTGAAGAATGTGAAGAAGCATATAAAGAGTATGTGTAAAATGCTTCATGCAATGTGTGAAAGCAATATTTCAAAATCACAATATGATTTCTTATAATGTGATTTTAAATATGCCTGTGTAACAGGGTTAATAACAAATTTTAATATGTAGATGTTTTCAATTTAATATACATTATCAAAAATTAAGTATGTGTTGGGGAGTGGGGTGGTGGGGCGTTGTGCAAGCTGGCCCAACACAAATTAATTTGTATTTTATCACTGGGAAAATGGGGCCTTGTATTTTGACTACTTACCAGTTCTATTTTTTTTTTTTTTTTTGAGATGGAGTCACTGTGTCACCCAGGCTGGAATGCAATGGCCTGATCTCGGCTCACTGTAACCTCCACCTCCTGAGCTCAAGAGATTCTCCTGCCTCAGCCTCCTGAGTAGCTGGGACCACAGGTGCACACCACCATGCCCGGCTAATTTTTTTTTTTTTAAATTTTTTTAGAGACACGGTTTCACCATGTTGGCCAGGCTGGTCTTGAACTCCTGACCTCAGATGATCTGCCCTTCTCGGCCTCCCAAAGTGCTGGAATTACAGGTGTGAGCCACTGTGCCTGGCCGCCTACTTACCAGTTCTATTGGATACTTGTCTATATGTCCAGCTCCCTCCTGCTACTCTACTATGGCCCCTCCCCTCTTCCTGTGCCTGGCATAGGCTCTCCATGCAGCCCATGTCTACCACTTCAGCTCTCTGGCCTTCTCCGCAACCACATTCCTGTCTCTCCCTCTGTCCTCCAGCTACTTCACCCTGGCGTTCCTCTGATTCCTTCTGTCTATGCCCTGCCTCCTGTCTCCGTGGCCATGGCTCTCGCTACCCTTTGCTACTCTGCTCTCCTAGATGTGGAGAAATAACACCATTACCCTTTCCTTCAAAGTGTAGCTGTTTGATTAACATGTGACATATACATTTTTGAAAATCATCATGCTATGCAAAAATTACAGAATGAAAATCCACAGGGCTTGTGGGAAAAAGGGGTAGGGCACAGCATTAAAAAACTTCCATAGTGACACGTAAAATAAAAGATAGGAAGCTAATACAAAATGCTGGTATGTTTTTGCATGTGTAAAGTGGTTAAGAAATGCCTAAATACTTCAGTAAATGTATTTTACCTTGGAAAAGATCTGAAATGTACTTGTGGAAGTAGGCTTTGGAAAATCTGCAGCTTGTGAGTTGCGACGTGGTAGAAAGGGTTTACCTGCGATGTGTGCGGAAGTTGTAACGCCAGAAGAGGTGTGCGCTTCTGCTGCGTTTGTGTATTACTACCTTGCTGTAACTCCCTCAGGGTTCTAGGTCTCTCTTGGTGGCTCCAGTTCTGGGCTCTGCTAATTCCACCTCCTTCATTGGTCTCTCTTTCCTCCTTCTTAGCTGTAACTAAGCTCTGAATTGTTTCACCATCTCTTGTTTGCATTTCAATTGTCAAAAACACCCTTTGAATGAGTACCCATCTTAAATTCCCTTCATTGAACCACTTGGCTGTGGTCAGCTGGGTGCAGATTTTTGCTTGTTCACCTGGTGCTTCTGCCAGATGAAATTGCTGCGTAGCAAAGATGAAATTATGTTATGCTCTAGAAGTAGAGAGTAGAATGGTGGTTACCTGAGGCTGGGGTGGTTGGGGGGTTGGGGAGATGTTGGTCAAAGGATACATAATTAAAGTTAGGAATAATTTTCAAGTGATCTATTATACAGCAAGGTGACTATAGTTAGTGTCGATATATTGTATTCTTGAAAAACTTGGAGTGTGCATGTTACATGCTCTTAATACAAAAATTATAACTATGTGAGTTAATGCATGTGTTAATTAGCTAGATAGAACCATTCCACAGTGTGTATATATACTTCAAAGCATCATGTTGTACATGATAAAAACATGCAATATTATCTGTTAATTAAAAAAAAGAAAAAACAAAATAGAGGAATGACAACATTCAACAGAGGAAGATCACATTATGCTCAAATTGTTCCCTAATATATGAATTTCACATTTCAGAGCAAACATCCAGGCAGAACTGACTGTACGCTGTTGCAAACTTACGCTGAGTAGCGTGATTTTCCATGCATGCTCATCTTCTTCATTATATTAGACACTGTGAAGACTGTGTTTGCTTTTGCTCATGTTTGTAACCTCATCATCCAGCACACTGCCTGGCATTTGAAAAATGAATGAATGAGTCTTTTTGTCCATTCTCATCTTGTTTTCTCAGGACCCTTATACCTGCCGTATACCTTGTGAGCAAAAGGGTTAAAGGCTGACTATGGCTTAGTGTGTTATTCTACCTAGCTAGCAAAATCTTGGGATGGTTTCTTCATGAATTATCTATGTGGTTCTCATATCAGGCAGAATTGAGCTGGGAAACAGAGTACATGCCACGTGGTTCTCGTTGAACCAAAGGGAATTTAAGATGGGTACTCATTCAAAAGATGTTTCTGACAATTGAAATACAAACAGAAGATGGTGAAACAATTCAGAGCTTAGCTACAGCAGAAAGGAGAGACCAATGAAGGAGGTGAAATTAGCAGAGCCCAGAACTGGAGCCACCAAGAGAGACCTGGAACCCTGAAGGAGTCACAGCACTGCTGAAAATGCTGTCCTAAGGGAGGTAGAGAGGCTATAAAAGCTAAGAGCTTCTCCTGGCCTCCCACCCGCAATCTCCTGCCAGGCCCTCCAGTTGGAAGACCATAATCAGAAGTTAGTTGGAAGGGGAGTGTGGGAATTGTAATTTGCAGGAATCAGCTCCCCTCCTCACAGAGGAGAGGAAGAGTAAGGTAGAGAGCCCTGAGGCAAATGACTGGTGAGGACCCACTGTTTCATCACCTCCTTTTCAACAAGTTAGTTAATCAGTGGTGTCAATGCTGCCTGTGAATCAGTTTGTGAGAGTCTTCTTCATCAATTTCGTAAGAGAAATGCATGGCAGTTAGGACTTTAATTAGAGTTTCCTTGAGAGAACTTACTGGTGAATGGATTATTTATGTTAAAAGTGTGAAGCATAGGCCACATAGATCCAGTGAACCCGAGGGTGTGTTCTAAGAATGTGTGTCGTGAGGAAACTTCTGTTTCCCAATGAGTCACCATGTGAAATACTTTTTTAAAGAGTGGTCTCTCTTTAGTTTCAAATCACAGTAGCAATATGATACGACTCACCTTTACCCTGTCTTATTTTTCTTGCAGTTTGTAGGCAATATTGTCATTCATAAATTATATTTCTAGCTGAATATTAAAGTATTCTTCAGGGCAAAACAAAAGTAATCAAAATGGAGCTTTTACAAATAACAATTTTGAGCACAGACTCTGCAAGATGGAGAACATTCTTTCTACTTGGGCTGCCTTTTATTTGGTTCATTCCTTCTATCATTTAGAACAACAATGCTCTCTGATACAGAAATGGCTAGGCACAGATTTTTTTTTTGTAAGACATTAAAGGGCTTAGATTATTGCAAAGATGATATTTATTTTGTAGGCTCCATTCTTTGTTTTGTTTTTGTAAAATATGTTAAAGAAAATTTAAAATGTGCAAATAGAAGGCTGTTAAATTATTGATGAATTTATTCCTTCATGAAGGATTATAAAATAAAATGAAATTCAATTTTAATAAATGTGTCTTAAATTTCCAAAACCTTGAATCGTTTTCTATCTGATAATATTTAGTTCTGAGCTTCAAAGGTGTTATATACAAGATACTTTTTTATCCTTAGTCTATAAAATTGTCATCATGATGAAATATTTGTTAACCTTTCCTCTGTTAGTAGCACTGTGAAGTGCAATTTTCAAGGCAAGTTACAGTGACATCCACTGGCTCTCTAAACAGGTATAAATTATTATACTAGCTACTACCAATATTTTTAAGCCACATACTTATGCATGCAAATGAGGAAATTTCTTAGTTGTTTTTCCTCTGGCAAAACAATCTCTATTTTCATAATGCCATTCAGCCTAATGGCAGAAAATGTAATCTGAGCTAATTGTAGGTTAACTTCATTATGTCTCTCTCTCTCTATATTTTAATCATTCAATTCTGGACATTACTACCACCTTTCTCCCCTGGTGGCACTTGTTGTGGGAGGGGCTTCTGGCCCGCAGGAGTCTGCCATGATCTGAGCTGGCATCCTCTGAGGTGTTAAACCATTGCTGCTCCTGGGTATTGTCAAGCCTTCCACTCACTGGCCTCTGCAACATATCCTAGTGCCCACGTGCTCTGTTGTCCTTAAGTCCACACTGCCCTTCACACTGCATCCTCTAGCACTGGGAGATCCATCAGGTCTGCTGCTTGCTCTGTCAAAACCTTGCCCTTCTTGTCACTAGGATGATGTTTGGCTGTTCCCCTTGCCCCCTCAGGTTAGAGCTGGTGAGGCAGTGTAGCCCCTCTGCCTGGCCCCTGGCTGCTGTCACTACCCTGCCACCTTGGCCACAGCAGTGTGGGGACAGTGAGATGAGGGCGCAGGGGCCACTTTCCATCTTGGAGGACCCAGAAGGAAAGCAGGATAGGGCTCCCGGGGTCTGAGTGCTCTCCACCACTCCTTTTCATAGAAACCCAAACTGCTTCCAGCTCTTGTTTTCCATTAAACATGTCTGCTCTGTTTCAAACACACATCCAAGACCAATCGGCAAACCCAAAAGTAAAGAGTTTGAGATTTCTGTTTTCTGATTCTCTTACAGACTTCCCCTTGAGGCAATGAGCAACTCATTAGGTGGAGGTCTTTGGGATTTCCGGGAAAGCCCTTACAGCCCCAGTTCAGAAATTCAGTAAAGCTGGATGAGAATGCCTCACTTGATACCCAATACATGGTCTTAAACCACGTTGTGTAACTCCTGGGAGCCTGTTTTATAAAATGTAAAATGAGATGATAATATCCAGTTTGTATGGCTATTATGAAGATTAAATGTAGTAGATTAAGTCAAGGACCAAGCCCAGTGACCAGTCAAACAAATGAGTTCTTTTCCCTCCACGTCTCCCTTCCCTGCTATAGTTTAGAGACAGAAAAAAGTTTAACTGACACACAAGGATCAAATAAAATCAGAAAACAAACTCAAGGCTGTAATTCAAAGTATTGTCCATATAATCATGTTGAGGCTAACCCCTTAAAACACAGTCTTGTGTTATTACAGAAGCAGTCATATGCAGTGTAGACAATTAGACAATACTGACAAGCAACAATAAGGAAAAAATCATCATATTTCATCATGTAGAGATAACTATTTTAACACTTTAGTGTATATTCACTTTGATCTGTCTGTCGGTATACATATATGTATATATGAATTTATAAATATATTTTCATCTCCTGTAGTACCAAAGAATATTCACATTTCACATTTTCCCAGTTGTCACCAAAATGTCTTTCACTGCTGCTTTTCCTGTCCAGCATCCCAAAGAGGACCATGTATTGTTTCTGCTTGTTATGATTCTTACGTTTCTTTTACCTAAGAGCTGCCTATTTTTTAATGATGTTGGCTTGTTGAAGAGACCTGTTCAGTTTTCCTGTGAAATATATCACCTCCTGGATTCGTCTGATTGCTTCTTCAATGTGTTGCTTGCTTGGCTTGTTTCTCTTGTATTTATTTAGTTAATCAGACGTTTCATCTAAAATGTTCATCAACAAACATTTTGGGCTTCACTGGCCATTTTGTATAATTCAGATTGCACCATATCGGAATGCGCATGGTCTCTGTGATGCTAAAAATAATGGCTGGATTAAAACGATGACACTGGTATTTCCATTGTGCAGTTACGTGTTTCCCCTTCTGTCAAGAAATTACTTTCTTCTGTGTGTAGGCTTGTTTTGGCATTACATAAATGTCGATGATTTCTTATCAGTCATTCACCTAATAATTTTAGCACCATTTAAAATACAGAAAGCTATTTTGAATCAAAAGGAATGTTTAAGTATGTTGTAGGGATGGAGATTGGCATAGTATATTTAAAAAAAGGGGGTACATCAGCTTTCTCTGGGTTAATGGGGTGGCAGATTTTAGCAGTCTTTGAGTGAGGCATATGTTGGTGGCCAAGACACACAAGGTTGCCAGAAGTATCAAGAACTGAACCTAAAATTCAGAAGAAAGCATAGGGTAATTTTAACAAGATACTTTGAGTTTGTTTCCAGGATGAGTGTAAGGAGGAGAGTCAAAATTTAGAAAATGATGGAATTCATAATCCAATATTATTCAGAAAATGCAGAGCACCTTACAAATGAAATCCAAGAAGCTTCAAAAATTGAAGTTGGATGATTCTTTTTTTTTCAAGGAAAGTTTTCAGTTGGAATATTTTTTTCTTTATATCTGTATAGTATACTTTTGATTAAGTACCCAAGTTTTATGAGCTCTGACAATTTTTTCATAAGCCCTCTCTTTTTTAGCTCTCTAGGTGTAAATTATTCTTTTCTGTTTGCCAAGAGAAAGTTACCCTCTGCTCTGGCACAGTGAATATTTCTCAGGCCGCTGGAAGGACTAGATGGTACTGGATTCTTATAGAATTTCAAGGACTGATTTTTAGGAATAGGTTGCTTTATAAAATGTGCCTACAATGTAAGTTTACAAAAGGAACCAACTTCCCTGGTCTTTTTGTCCCTTTGGATGTTAAGATTCAAAATCTCTTGGAGATTTGGAGTGGAATATGAAGTTTTTCTTGGCAAATATAAATATTTATGGTTGTAGTGGGTATGGTAGATTGTATTAACCTTATTATTCACTATATTATTAGAAATATACTGCTATCCCTTGTTCCAGGAGCCTCTTGTACAAAGCTTGGCCGTGTGATTTGCTTTATCCAGTGAAATATGAGATGATATCATGAGTGATTTTTTCCAAGCAGAACTTTTAAGAGCCATTGTGTAGTTTCCCCTAATGCTATTTTCTCCTTCTGTCCTAAGGCTGCCATGTCCCAGATAGAGGCTGCTTTTCCAACCTGGCTCTCAGATCTGTGATTAGTGTGTAGCCTGTGTGAGACACAAACCTATGGTTGAAAGCCTGTAAGACTTTCCTTTGTTTCTTAATGCAGCACAGCTTAACCAAAACTGACTGATGCAGAGGAGAAATGAGATATGTGAGTATAAGGCAGGATCGTGTTGAAGCCAACTGGAGGGTAAGGTTAAGAAATTTCAAGCCTGTGTTCAGCTACGCATAGTTGACTTGAAGGCATCTGGATTTTCCTTTCAGTTTTGTGATTCAGTGAAGTAAACTGCTAACCCAGAATGGGGTTAAAGTGCCCGCTGGGAGAGACCTTAAGCTACTAGAGTTATGCATACACTACAAATCACAATTGATTGAAGGAATGAGAAAGGACTTCTTCCAATTGGAGTATGGTTCTGCTCTGAGGTTAATACTAGTGGTCTGTTGGAACAATTAACTGAAAGTGTGCTGGGACTTTTAAGTTATTATTTTTTCCAGATATGCTGTATGAAGTAGTTATTCAAATTGCAGTGCCCCATTGTGAAAGAACACAATCTGTTTGTTTTATAGTCATGCAAATTAATTTTCAACTGAAGTATAAATGTCAGATGATGTATGTCTTACTCAGCTCAGGAAAAAAATATTCTTTTATATTTGATTTTTTTTCCTTTGGAGAATACATGCTTAGAATAAACTGTGAGAGCTATGAATTGAGAGGAGAAACCATTCTCTCTTCACTTCAAATTAATTTCTTAGAACTAAAGCAGGATAAATACTCCTGCTGAAGTGTGTGCCTTAATTACAAACCTTAAGTTTTATGGCCCATTTTAAGCATCTAAACCTGTGCGACATGCCTTAAGTAAGCCAAGTTATCAACTAGGTGTTTGTAAATCATTATTTTGCATAAGGAGTGTTATATAAAAATTAAGAATTAGAGGCATGTCTCTTTTCTCCTTATCTGGTTAAATGAAGTTGATCTTCAAAAAGTTGTTATTTTCAGCAGATCATTTTGTTATGTGTTGGAAGTTTCCGGATATAGGTTCTTTGGGTAATCAAGGAACAGAGATGAGGGTCTATAATTCATAATTGAAATTTAGCCTTTAGATTAATTTCATTAGTATGCAGTTGATTAGGAGGTACGTGTTTATTAAATGAAATGACCTCTAGATTTCCATATTCAGTACAAAATTAGGTTCTTGGAGATGTAAGGATGTTTAAAATCACTAATTAAAGGGATATTATTGCAAGGATTGAATAATTAAAATTATAACAGTTTGGTTTTTTTAAGTTTTTATAGTTTTTGAAACTGCTTCCAGGCCATTTCTTTCTATGTTTCTGTCCTTAGCAAAAAGTAATTGTCTTTTTAACATGAAAAAGGTGAATGTGAGTTTCCCAATCCTAAAGAGCTGATGATCACTACTTAGTTTTATTTTTTTATTTTTAATTTTTTAGCTTTTATTGATACATAATAAATATACATGTTTTCAGGGTACCTCTGATAATATGATACATTCACATAATATGTAAAGATCAAAGAAATCAGGGTAATTGGCATATCTACCACCTTAAATATTTATCTTTTGTGCATGCTAGGAACATTCGAATTATTCTTTTCTAGCTATTTTGAAATGTACAGTAAGTAATTTCAGTCTAGTTCACTAAGGAACTCCTGTGTGTCAGACACTGTACCAAGCTGATGATACAAAGATAAAAAGATTTGCTGTGTGCTCTCAAGATGCTTGCAACCTGATCAAGGAAATAGATACTTTAAGAATAAGTAATGTACAACTTGATATGTGACATTTATGGGAGTACTCTAGAGGAGAGAGTAATGAATTTTCTTATGGGGAATTAGGGACAGATGAATAAATGTTACAAAAACTGATTTTGTTTCCAAGATTGGTTTTTGTATCTAAACAACAGCAAAGTTAAAATGGATACCACAAACTCTTTGTGGAGGGGCTAGTTTAGAAAATGGGAAATATGTTACTTTATACCAAGCTCATTGCATGAGCAAAGGACTCTTCAATTTTAATTGATAGAAAAGATGGAGCCCTCTGTAGACAGATTTTGTCTTTTTTTATTTCTTAAACCCATTAGGGATCTTTAATGGCCTGGGAGGGGAAGGAGCTTTGTTCTCAGGGCCTTACCAAATTGTAAGCTTACCCTTTCTAACTCTCTGTGGTCTCCTAGTGCTTGGGAATCTTTCCTGGTTTGTGTGTGTGTTTGTGTGTGTGTGTGTGTGTGTGTTTGTGTGTGTGTTTATTATACATTCTACTTGCCTTGGGTTTCCTTAGAGAACAGGTTTTGAAACTTGATTCGCCTTCACCAGTCCTCACTTTTGATGAATTATGTTTCACCACAGGTAATAAACCCCACTGAGTTAATAGAGAAAAGAGTGGAAAATAGAAGAAAAAAACCACCTTATTTAATATCTTAAAATATTCAAATAGTGCCCTGACACTTCTACTGAACTAGATATTATTAAAAACCTAGATTTCAATTCTATAAAAAATCACATTTGTTCATCAAAGTTGAAGTAAAATCCTGCCTTCTTTATGAATGTTTTATCAATAGTTTAAGTCACAGTGATCTCCACTTTTATTGCAAATTTCTACAACATTTACAATTTCTGTAGGTAATAGAGCTTTCAATTATATACTGCCTTGTATCTTATTTTCCTGTTGTCTGTGTTAAAATATTTTCTCCATAAAAAGATGAAAGTTTTTGGAGATTCAAAGACTGTAATTTATACTTATCTCTGCCATGATAGTTAGCATATTGGGGGTAGTAAAAATGGTACTTAGGATGTCTAATCCAAATGTATCCAGGTTTTCCAGAGAAAAAATACAGATCAACAAAAAGAGCAAATAAAATCACAACATAACCTAGAGACCAAGGACGCTACAAACTGTGTATTACCTCTAAATAGAGAAACACCCAAGTGTAGCAGAGGAAACTGAGAAAAGAGGAGAGGGGAAACAGCGGGAGTTGATGGAAACAGAAAATATTCACTCAATAGAGGGAAAGTACCACTGACATTGGAGGCCTTAGGAGGAGGTCTAAGACTTTGTAGACCAGTGTGCCAGCTACTGGGGCACTGGAAGGAAATAACTGGGATGTTTGTGGGACATGACATGGCTGTCTCAAGAAGACATTGCATCTGGTGGAGAAGGGTGACTTGACATGGGGAGCTTCCATTGGAGAGTTGGTGATAATTGGAAAGAAAGAAGAAAGAGGGAATAATTAAGGATCCTACAGAAATAAATGAATAGGATAAAATAGAAAGATATAGCAACTTCTAGGTTTTCTCCCCTCCAAAAATACAAAACTACACTTTTTAATACCAGTAGTCAGTGCTCTTGGGCAAGGAAACCTGGCAAGGAATAGTTATGCAACCATCTCCACAACCCGGTAATTTTATTTTAATGACATCAAAAAAACAGGGTTTTTAAAAAAAATTACAACTTTATTGAGATGTAATTCGCATACCAAAGAGTTTACCCATTTAAAACGTACAATACAATGGTGTTTAGTATATATATGAAGTGGTGCAGCCATCACTACAATAAATTTTAAGCTATTTTCATCATCCAAAAGGAAACCCCATGCCCATTCACAATCACTCTCCCTTTCCTCTCAACTCCACTCCCTCCCCCGCCCCCCATCCGAGGCAACCCTAATCTACTTTCTGTTCCTATAGATCCTATAGATTTTCCAATTCTGGACATTTAATATAAATAGAATTATACAGTGCATGATCTTCTGTGACTGACTCATTTCACTTGGCATGTTTTCAAGGTACATCTGTGTTCATGAATATGTACCAGTATTTCTTTCTTTTTATTGTCTACTAATATTCCATTGTATGGATACACCACGTTTTATTTGTCAGTTGGTGAACATTTATATGTTTCTGCTCTTTTGGCTGTTATGAATAATGCTGCTACGAACATTTATGTAGTGTTTGTGTGGACATGTTTTCATTTCTCTTGGGTATATACCTAGGATTGGAATTCTGGATCATATAGTGACTCTATGTTTAACCTTTTGAAGAATTATCAGCTTGTTTTCCAAAGCATGATTTTACAATCCGACCAGCAGTGTATGAGGGTTTCAATTTCTCCACCTCCTTGCTAACCTTTGTTATTATCTGTCTTTTTTATCCTACTGGGTATGAAGTGGCATCTCATTGTGCTTTTAATTTGTACTTTCCTGGTGGCTAATGATGTTGTGCATTTTTGCATGTCACAATCTAGGATTGAAATTCCTGGATTCAATCCAAGGGTTAGAAGACTTCCATCACCCCCTAAAATTTCCTCTGTGAGGAAACTTAAGTGCAAATTGTAAGTGAAAGGGGCCAATCTGAAAAGGCAACATAATGAATGATTCCAACTATATGATACCCTAGAAAAGGCACAACTATGGAAACAGTGAAAAGATCAGTGGTTGCCAGGAGTTCTGGGGGAGGGAGAGAGAGATCAATAGATGGGGCACAGAATATTCTTAGGGCAGTGTGACTATTGTGTATGAAACAATAATGGTGGATACCTGCCATCGTACATTTGTCAAAACTCATAAAATGTATAACTCCAAGTGTGAACCCTGGTGTAAACGATGGGCTTCTGGGTGATGGTCTCGTGCCAATGCAAGTTTATAGATTGTGACAAATGTACCACTGTGGGTGGAATGCTGGGGAGGCTGTGCTGATGGGGAGACAGGGAGAGATGTGAGCACTCTGTATTAATTCTACTGTGAACCTAAAACTGCTCTAAAAAATAAAGGTTATTAAACCAAAGTTCCTCTGGGATTATTTTCCCCATTAATCAGCCTCTGTTATTATAAATCCCCATTTCAAACCCAAATAACCATTGATCTTTTTCCTGTCTCTGTATTCCTATCTCCTACTGCCTATCCTGAAAATTTTATAGAAATGGAATCATACAAATACAATGTTTTGTGTCAGACTTCTTTCTCTTACCAGGATGTTTTCAAAATTCATCCATGTTATTGCATTTATCAGTAGTTAATTCCTTGGTATTGCTGAGTAGTATTCCTTTGTCTTGATATGTCACAGTTTGATTATTTCACCATTTGAAAGTGATTTGAATTGTTTCTGTTTTTGGCTGCTATGAATAATGCTGCTATAAACATTTGGCTACACGTCTTTCTGTGTGGGCATATATTTTCTTTTTCTTTAAGTAAATAATATATGAGTGGAATTGCTGTGTTTTAATATAAGTTTAACTTTTAAGAAACTGCTGAATTCTTTACCAAAATAGCAGTAGCATTTTGCATTCTTACCAGTAATGAATAGGGTTTCCAGTTTCCTTACAACCTTGCCAATACTTGGTAATGTCCATCATTTTGATTTTAGCCATTCTTGTGTTTATGTAAGGTATCTCATCTTGGTTTTAATTTGCATTGCCTACATGACTAATGAAGTTGAGCATATTTTCATGGCTTATTTTCCATTGGTGTATCTCCTGTTGTAAAGTCTTTATTCACAACTTTTGCCCATTCTAAAAATTGGGTTGGAAGTCCTTTATCATATACGTAGTTCATAAATATTTTTCCCAGTGTGTGGGGTTATCTTTTGCTTTGTTTAATGGCATCTTTGAAGAGTAAGTTACTTAATTTTGATACACCAAAACTCACAGATTTTGTCTTACTTATGCCATGTTGATTGACTTTTGGTTGTTAAACCTATCTTGCATCACTGGAATAAATACCTCTTGATCATGTTGTGTCATCTCTTTATATATTGCTGCATTTCATTTACTAATATTTTGGTTAGAATTTTTGTATCTTTGTTTATGAGGAATAATGATGTGTAATTTATTTTCTTGTAATATCCTTCTTAGGTTTCAGTGTCAGGATTATCCTAGCCTCATAACATAAATTGGAAAGTATTTTTACTTTTTTTTTTATTCCATAAGGGAGTATGTTTAAGCTTGGTGTTGTTTCTTCCTTAAATGTTGGGAGGCATTCATTTGTAAAGCCTTCTGGGCTTTTGTGGAAAGGTTTTAAATTATAGATACAAATTTTCATTGTTTTTCATACATTTTGGTAATTTGTGTTTTTTTTGTGAATGTATCCCTTTCATCTAGTTTGACAGATTTATTGCTATAAATTTGTTCATAATATTCTCTCATTATCTGTTTCCGTGTGGTGATGCCCCTCATTAATTCCTGATATGTGTGCTTTGTTTTTTTTTTCTTGTTCAGCTTTGCTATGTGAGACTAGACAAAAATTTTGCAAATCTTTTCAAAGAAAGTCTGACTATATTGAATTCTGTATATCTGCTTTCTGTGTCATTAATTTTTATCTTACCTTTCTTATTTCCTTTTTATGTTTTCTTAAATTTCAAATTTTTTTTATTTTTCCTCTAGGCAGAAGCTTAGATAATTGATCTTTTACCTTTATACTTTTCTAATATATACATGTAAAGCCAAAATTCCCATTAGGCATTGCCTTAGTTGCATTCCATAAGTTTTAATATATTATATTTTTATCTTCATTCACTTCAAACATTTTGTAATTTCATTTTTTTTCCTATTTTCTTATTTAGAGGTATATTACTCAATTTTCAAAAAGTTGGTGGATTTTTCTAGTTATCTTTCTGCTTTTTATTTCTAAATCAATTCCGCTGGGGGCAGAGTGCATAATCTGTATGATTCAATCCCTTGAGATTCATTGTTTTGCTTTATGACCAAATGCATGCTTTATTTTGGAAATGTTTTATATGCCCTTGAGAGGAATGTGGATTCTGCAGTTGTTGAGTATCGTTTTATACATATTTGATTAGGACAGTTTAGCTAATTGTGTTCTTCACATCTTCTACATCCTTAAGTATTTTTGTCTGCCATTCTTTCAGTTCTTGAGAGAAGGAGTTGTTAAAATCTCCAATGATGATAGTGGATTTGTCTAGTTCTCTATTTTTTTCCCTCAGATTAAAAAAGAATTAGGATATCCATGTCTTTCAGTTAAATTGACACTTGTACACTTATAAAATATTCCTATTTATGTGTAGTAAAACTTCTGGTCCAAGAGTCTACTTTGTCTAGCATTACTATAGCCATACCTGCTTTCTTGTGGTTAACATCTGCTTGATATACCTTTACCATCCTCTACCGTTAATTTATCTATATACTTATATTTAAGATATTTCTCTTACAGCCAACTGTATTAATTTCCTATTGCTGATGCGACAAACTGTCATAGCTCGTTGACTTAACAACAGCATAAATGAATTTTCTTACAGTTCTGGAGGTTAGGAGTCCAAAATGGCTCTCAGTGTGCTAAAACCGAGGTGTCAGCAGGGCTGTATTTCTTTTGGAGTGTCAAGGGGAGAATGCATGTTCTTGCCTTTCATCTTCTAGAGGCTCTCCACATTCCTTGGCTCATGGCTGCTTCCATCTTAAAAGGGGCTGTTCGAGGCTTCCTTACGTTGCATCCACCTGATGCTGACTCTCTTGCATTCCTGTTTGACTCAGAAGGACTCCTGTGATTATGTTGGGCCCATCTGGATAATCCAGAATAATCTTTCTGTTTTAAGATCCTTAGCTTAATCACATCTGCAAAGTCCGTTTTGCTGTGTGAGGTATCATATCCACAGGTCTTGAGAATGACGACATGGACATCTTTGTGAGGGCCGTTATCCTGCCTATTACACTAGCAAATAGTTAGGTATTGTCATTTTTATTATTCTGACAATTTTTGTCTTTTAATTTGACTATTCATCCATTTATATGTAATACAATTAATGGCACAGATGAGTTCAGGTCTACCATCTTGCCTTTATTTTCTATTTGTTGCATTTTTTACTTACTCTCACTCCAACCCCTCTCTCTTGCCTTTTTGAGAATTAAATGAGTATTTTATTATTCTATTTTTCTCTTCTAATCTTTTTAGTTATGCATTATTTTATGATTTTAGTGGTTACTGGAGAGATTTCAGCATGCATACTTATTATAGTTTATCTTGAATTAGTTTTATCATATACATTTTTTAAGTCCTTGGATGTTAACTCTAATACTTGGATCATATGTGAGTCTGCTTTTATTTTTTCCCCTTTGGTTATCAGCCTCATTTGCATATTACATACACACATAATCATATCTTACTCTCATTTACCCTCATCTCACCTAAAAAGTGTTCTGTCCTCTCTGAAATGTTAGTTCATGTAAACTTTATTGCTCCTACTGCTTTTTGATTTTTTTTTTTTAGGTATGAATTTTGAAATGTATCCCTTTTTAAAAGTAGTTTCCGTAGGACCTCTACAGGTTTCCATGACCTCTACAACTATCCTAAAAACACAAGACAGGAAATATTATTTATGAGGGAGAAAAGTTAAAGAAACTGGCATAGAGGATGGCAGGCTGATTGCCAGGGACACTGGCCTGAGCAGGGAAATGGCATCCACTGGTCTTTGAGGACACTTTCACTTGTTTTCCTATGATCTGGTAATTTCTTCGTGGGATGGTTTGTAAATTTTGACCTCGCATGGAAACTTGCTGGCGACCGTGGAATTTTAACAGTAGCCTCTGCAGCCATCTAATTCACACAGGTCTGAGGAGTTTTCTTTCAAAACTAGACTAGCTCTACCAAGGCCCCACTTAAAACCTTTTCAGAGGGGATTATGAGTGTTGGGTGCTACCTGTAGGTGACAGTAGAGAGTCATTCAGTTGTGATAAAATCTAATTCAAGATTTTCAGAGATTAAGTTCTAAATTATAAAACTGAAATATTCCCCAGTATTTTAACCTTTGTGCTTCTTATCAATTCTGGGAGTTTTGAGTTCCTCTAAAGTCAATATTTGTTTAGGTTTGGAAAAAGACCCATTATGAAGTTATAAGCCTGTTACAGTATGATTTCTGTGAAGGCTGAAGTCATGAATTTATCTTTCTCCTTAAAAAGCTTCCATTTTAAAGACTTGTGTTTTTTAATAGTAATTTAAAATTATAAACATAACTTTCTCTGCTTCTATATCTGGGACATATATGAAGAAGCCATAAATAAGGTTTGGAAGAGCTTGGGAGGGTATAACTACCAATTTTACTGGCCAAGATAGTGATATCATATTTGATCACACACACACACACACACACACACACACACAACCTAAAAAAACTGAAGACTCATTTGTTTTTGTCATGAAAAGAAATAATAATTAGGAATAAGTGAAATGTCTGGAACTTTTTTTATAGAAACCAAATTTTGTTCACTTGGGGACTTTTCAAGGACAATAGAGAGACACTCCTGTATATCACAGACCTTCAAATGCTGGAACAAGTTATTGAGAGTGGGTGAGAAATTATCATAATTATTCAAGTTTCTGCTGGTTGGTTTAGATAACCATCATCCCCTTCTTCCCTCAAGTCAAGGGAAAGATGTAAATAAACACTTTCTCTCACTCTCTGAAGGCCATGAGTCACTAAACCACACAAATTAAATAACCCTTCCATGTTTTGAATGAATGGACTTAAAAACCATTGGAGAAGGCGTAAGTCTTTCCATAGGCAACTCCATCTGAGTGAATAAACTCAAAGAAGATGTCTGGCTAGTGAAGTCTTACTAGTGCAGATGGAACTTCACAGAAAGACCATAGAGTAGGGCTTAGTTAAAACGAGCTTGTTCATGCGTTGCAGATGGGTAGGCCATTGATTATACATAATGTTGTTCATGGTCTTTTTGAGATTGGTGAAATGGAAAGCAGTACAATTTCATGCACATTTTAATCATTTTTATTGAGTGTTGGCGTTTGCATTTTTCTGAACCACTGGGGGACAAGTCATGGTTTTCTTTTTATTCTTTTTCCTTCAGTCTTATGATTCAAACAATGCATGTAGCCTGGTACCAAGTGATGCTTGTTTCAGAGCATTAGTACCTTAGAAGGAAAATGACATTGCCAAGTACTCTCTACCATATGCAAATACTTACAGTTATTTAACATCAAAACTTGTATATGAGATTTGTTGCAAACCTGTACTAAGTGGCCTGGTGAATTTTCTGTCCTGCTGTTTGTTATGTCTGACTTCTATTTGGAGGTGATTTATATATGAGACAAGTCACTTTCTCACTACTATAATTCTAGACAAGTATCTAGCAAAATTATGCATTCCAGTAGACTTATTTTTTCTTTCCCATGCTCTCTCTTATGACCATTTCCTACTTGGATGAGCATTTCTTGGGCCCTTACAATCAAGGATGCCTGTTGGTTTCCACACTATGCTGAGCTCTAAAATTATACCTTTTATTCAAACCTGATTCTTTCAGTTTGATTATTTTTCCACTCTCATTAGAATAACAGGGTTCAGAGTCTGGATACCTCAAATCTTGCATGTTAGCAACCCCTATTTTATACATTAGGATATGCCTGCCTTTACTTTAATGATAGACTAGGGTTGACTGGTTCCTAGCCACTTGGGAACAATTCCTTGAAAACTTTGTGTTCAGTTCTTTGGTTTCTTTGCATGATTATAGAGTTACAGATTGCTTTAGGCATCATAGATTGGATTTTGAAGGGAGCGATTATGATGGGTAGGGAAAGATCTCAGTATTCCTTAAAGGAGTCACTAAAGCATGTTGAGTGGGACAGTTCTTCACCTGTCAGACTGTTCTGCATATTCCAGAATGGTTAGTACCCCTATCTGCTTCCCTGTCTTCTAAATGGTAGTTTCTACTTTTAGTTAACGACTCCCTCCAGAGGTGGTACTGTCTCAGGTCAGGGACCACTGACCTGATATCAACACTGCGCTAAAAACAAAACAAAGCAACCACCTCCAAACTGGCCAGTAAACATTTTTACTCTCTTGCAAAATCAGCACTGGCTGAAGCCACACTGATTGTGACCTTTCTCTGTGGAACTTAGTTAAAACAAAAAAACCATTTGTCTGCAGTTTACCCAACCAATTTCCTTTGAAAATTCCCATAAACTCAAATTCCCATAAACATTGACCAAAGGACAATAGAAGTAGTTAGCAATGCTTTCTTTTTGGTTTTGTAGTCTACACACATTCCCTAACTTCCTCTAGGCCTTGCCCAGAGATTCCCTTGCCAATTTTTGGCATCTTGCCCTGCTAGCCTTTCATATGGCTGCTTTCAAAGTGAATCCATAGATTTTCTAGGGTCATCTAAAGTCTCCCTTTGCAGGATTAATGCTGCCTTTCCTGATGAAAGAACTTCTTTTTCTATTCTCCTTTACTAACCAGCAACAATATCTTTCATCTAGATTTGCTATGTAACACTTCTTTGTTAGTTGAATAAGAAAAATGATTTATTTCACATAGCAAAAAAGATGTTGGCTGGCCATGGGATTTTACCACAATGTCATTATTGCCCTCCACTGTAATAATCCAATTTCTTAGATTCTTACAAAATGTATTTTGTAAATGTTTTGGGAGATTGAAAAAAAAAGATTTTAACATTTAAGTTTCACAAAATAAAAAAAATTCTTTTGAACAGCAAGAACCATTGATTAGAGCCTATATATTTTCTTTTGGTGACAAAAATGCTTACATATTCAATAGTTTTCATAGATTCCATTTTTTTGTAATCCATCTTCACCATCAAATCCACTAACCTGCATCCTAAGCATGTCTATACTTTAATTCAGGTCAGTTCGGGTCAGCTATATTGCACATCATTACTTCCTTTCTAGCTAATTAACATTTGATTTTTTGAAGTCAATTTATAATTGCAAAGAATGTTTGACTACACATACACACAGACAGAAATACACAGACACACATCCAAAAACATAGTTATGTATATTTTACACATTTTTTTTTATCACTGTGAAGTGCTTCTCCTGGACCTGAGTTAATTTGAAAGAAATAGAACTTTCAGAGATTTGAATATCACTTTTTCAATGGGATCAACATGAATTCTATAACCTCATATAAATTATTCTTAAACGCCCATTCTTATTTAATATATCTTATACATTCAAGGGCATCTCCATTGTTCTAGATCCCAAGATGGGTCACTTTGGTTTTACTTCTGCCCTCAATAACATGACATGACTGAATCATTGTGCCCATGAAATAACTATGTCAATATCCTGGTACTACAGTAATTGAAAGAAGAAAACCTTAAAAAATATATAGAGCTCCCTTTGAGCTATGTGTTCACTCTAGGGGGAATAAGAAATATTCTGATATGTGATGCTTTATAGAAAATTGATTTCATTAAAAAACAATTGTATATATTATAATTTAAAGAAACGCTAATTGGTTAGTATCTGAACCCTCAATTTTTTTCACATTAATTAGATTCTATAATCATTTACAGAGGATGTACTTTAAATAGTTTTCAACTCCCAGACCACCAAATTTTGTACAGTCATTATATTTGCATCAGTTTCTGCTATTTTTTTCAATAATTATTTTTTGTGATTACCTCCTCCTTTAGGGAGGTGATTAAGCATCATATTAAGTAGTGTGGCTTCTTGGCTTTGGCTATCTGGACTTGGAACTGTATCTCCATCATCTCAAGGCTTATTTCACCTCTCTGTGGCTTACAGTAAGTATCCATCAGTAGGCGAATATTTCATAGTATCTTCCCCACAAAGAGAGTTGTAGCATAGTCCAGCTTGTGGCTTCCAAATGTGGATAGAAAACTTAAAACGGGCAACCAATAGAGAATGGGTGTTTTTATCTGTTAATCACACAGTTAGGTGAAACTGTTTAATGTATTGTTCAACTTGCATCAAACCTACTAAAATTGTTGTATTTAGAAATAAAATGTTTGCAAGATGAGCCGTTTTTCAAGTAACTGCAGATTTGTATGGGCTTCCGTAATTTTTTCTTGTTTTCCATGTTAGCATTTGGAATGATGGGTCAAGCCTCTATAGAAACTGTGAGATAAAATGGTAAGGCAGAGAGAGAGAGAGAGAGAGAGAGAGAGATTAACTTCTCAATTTTTTTTCTCCTAAAGTTTCTTGCATCTCAGATAACACAGCACTTTTGTAGATCTTAGAGACTTACTTTCTTTTTTTATTGCCTATGCAGTTCCCTGGAATGAGCTTACCAAGTAAACTCTTAACTCTTAACTTCCTTTACAACACACCCAGAGTCACCTTATTCATGAAGACTTTCATGACTTTGCCAGGTAGACCTGGAGTTTTTTTTTCCTTTGTCCCTCTTTACCCACTGTGTGTACGTCCATTGTAGGAATAGTCCTAAGTCTTGATGGTTTGCATATCTTTGCCTTCACAAATAATTGATCACCTGGAAGACAGAGATATTTACTCCGACAAATGATGTAACTTGCAGCATAATTGGCTGTGAACACTGGGGAATCAGGGACACAAATAATTTTAGACTAAAATAAATCTTGAAATGTTTTTCTGTTAAAATTTCTCACTTCACAGATGAGGAAAACGGAGGACCACCAAAGTTCAGTTTCCATTCTGTAGACTTTATCTAGAATCATTTGAGGTAGCATTGGGTAGGCACCTTCTGGAATAGACCTCCAAAGTTCAACTTCCATTCTGTAGACTTGGTTGTATCTAGAATCATTTGAGACAGCATTGGGTAGGCTTCCAGAATGCAACCTTATGTCAAGAAAGCAAAATGATAGGGCTAGGCTGCTTTATCCCAAAGCTTCTCAGAAAGGCTTATTTTGGCCTCAGTCCGATGTAGTCATGACTACCTTTTTAAATAAGGTTCAAACAGTTTGTTCTTCCTCTTCTGCTGTTTTGATATTCTCTGGTTAGCATCTGTATTAGAAGAAAAATGGCGGTGGAGCAAAGGAAGGGCCCATTAAAGAGGCTGTAACAAGTATAAGACGACATTTTGAAAGCGAGGAGGATGGTTTGAATAGTATTGTAATGCAATTGGCAAGCCAGTGGAATTGTGTCTGAGGGCAGGGTGTAATTGTGCAGCTGTGAATGGCTAAAACGAAGGCAGTAATTTTCAGCACATGCTGTGATCTGGAGTGCTAGAACTAAGAGGAGACTTCAGGGAAGGAAATGATAGCATCTTAAACCAGAGCATTATTTCATTCTGATTGCATAATATAGACATGGTGGTTAAACTGTTATTGTGGGGAAATGGCTTATGCATATTTAGTGAGCTGCTTGTATTGAAATGAGTGGCTGTTACAATAACACAAATGCATGTGTGGTTTCCGAACAGTTAATAATTGTTTAATAAGCAATTCCTGGTAAACCTCCCTGAATCATTGTAAGTTGGATAGGGATGTATTATTCTGTCCCCCATTATTAGGGACAGAATAAGAAATAGCTGGTAATGAGGAAAACACTTTAAATATAAGGGGAACGTTAATGGGGTAAACTGCCAATTACCATCAGGAGAAATTTTCAAAGCTGACAGAAATGTACCATGTGGGAAAGAAAGTGAGAATAGCAGAGACAATATAATCCCGTGGATCCTTGGAGAATTCACTTCCTTTTATTTCCAAATATATTTTTGCAATATGTGTACAGTGAAGGCAAAGAGGAAAGCTACACTGTAGAGAGGGAGCCAGCATATTTTGGCCAAAGACCTGAATTCCTTTATAACATGAGCAATAAAGATAGCTTCTCTTGATTTCAGAAATGTACACAGCAGGAATAAAAAGTGTGTGCTTCTCCCCAAGTTGGCCCTCCTGAGAGGATAACAAAATATTCAACAATTGAAATGCTGTACAGCTTTGTGATAACCTGGTGTTATGGTCCTTCAGGTATCCCTGCATGTGTACTATTGATTATAATGCCTTTAAAAATAATTTATGAATTAAGTTTATATATATATATATATATATATATATATATATATATATATATGTAGTATTTGATCACTGCTTTTGCATCCATGAGTGGGCAAAGCCTACTATGATTTGTCTACAATGAAATATTAAGCAACCCATTAAATATTTAATTCACCTGCTGAACTGCAACAGAATGGTTTAGAAATGTGAGACCTCCCTCTTCACTTACAGAGACACTTACTATATAACCAAATGAATTATTAACACCATTATTTAGATCTTTATTATCACCTCATGATGGGTATGCTACGAAACATTTTGCCTACATCAGAGCTAATATCTAACAACAGAGTCAACATTATTATTTTTCAAAGAGTGAATCTAAGCTCATAAAAATTATAAGCCATGGTGTAGATCAAGGAAAAGATGCTTGCTCATAAAATCATTTGATAAACTACCTAGTAACATCCTTGATATTATAGATTCCTATTTCATGAATTTAGATATATTATGGATCAAGTCATATTTCCTGGAATATAAATACACCCACACACACACACATGCACATATATATAAGACTGTTTATTTGTTCTGTCCAAATTTTCAATAAGCAAACAGAAAATTAATGTAATGAACACTAAACATCATGAAAAGATGGAAGAAGTGAATGTACTACCAGAACCCCAATATAACTATTGTGATTGAATCTTAAATTTGATGCTGACCTTCCTGGCAGTCAAGTCCAGGAAGCATATTATGATTGGTTGCAAAATTCTTATTATCAGGAAAGAGGGAACATGTCAAATTTTAAAGCTAAATATCTGTCTGCACTAAAATTAATTTTTACGTGGAACTATGTGTAGAGGACATTAGGGATTATGAAAGTTAAATGTCTACTGTGGCTGTTTTGTAGAATATGCAGAGAAAATTTTTACCTGGCAGTTTAATAGAGAATTTTTAAATTAGATTATATATTTGTATTAATCAAGGTTCTTCAGAAAAACAGAACCAATAGGTTATATATAGAGCAAGACAGATATGTAAGAAGAGATTTATTATAGGAATTGGCTCACATGATTATGGAGCTGAGAAGTCTGACAATTTGCCATCTTCACGCTGAAGAACATGGAAAGCCAATGGTGAAATGCACTTCAAGTCCAAAGTCTGAGCATCAGTAGACAATGATTATGTAAGGCCCAGTCTGAGCTCAAACACCCAAGAACCAGGAGTGCCAGTGTGGGAGGGCAAGAGAAGATGGATGTCTCAGCTCAAGGTGTGAGGAAATTCACCCTTCCTCTGCCTTTTTGTTCTATCGAGGCCCTCAATGGACTGGACGAGGCCCAGTGACAATGGTGAAGCCCATCTACTTTACTTAGTTCATCAATTCAAATGGTAATGTCTCTTGGAAACACCA
The DNA here is from genome assembly GCF_000001405.40 of Homo sapiens. NCBI lineage: Eukaryota > Metazoa > Chordata > Mammalia > Primates > Hominidae > Homo > Homo sapiens. The sequence continues at coordinate 136,804,021 of NC_000002.12, forward strand.
TCACAGATACACCCAGAAATAATGTCTTACCAGGTATCTGGCATCTCTTAGTCCAGTCAAGTTGACATATAAAATTCACATGAAAATACTCCTGTACAAAGCTGGATATGATATGGCCTCTGAAGGTAATGTGGTGCATTGGAAAGTGCATGCTCTGTGAATACTGCCTTGGTCATGTATAGCTGTGTGATCTTCAGCAATGTAATTACCTTTCTATGTTCAGCTTCCTCATGTGCAAAGATCTTCCGTATATAATTATTTGTGAAGGTATAATGAATTAATGTGTCTATATAGAGGTTGAAACTTAATGTTGGTTTGTGGCTTCATTCTTTAGCACCAATGCATTAAGTGAATGTACTGGAACTCACATACACACACACATAACACACACACACACACACACACACACACACACACACCCTTACCCTTGTGTGTTTTACATTTGAGGTTTATTCTTAAAGATGTTAATGCTGGAGAAAACAGAGTGATTTCTTTATTAAATTTAAGGCCATAAAGACCAATATGAATATCAAAGTTTAGCTTGGGGTGTTTCCATAATATTATGGTGTTTTGTAAGGTAGTCAGCTGGAGTGTTTGGATCCTGTGAATTGTTTGAGAGCTTTAGGTTGTATTGGTTGTTTTGAAGAGGAGAGTATGGATCCTCCTTCCTACAGATAACCTGGACCTCCTCAGATATTTGCATTTCTTTTCTTGAAGTTACTTTTTCCATTTGGGTACTTCAAAAATCTCCTTAAGTAAAAAAGCTTGCTTAATTATTAAGGATGAGGTGTCATGCTGCTGCCAGAGAGTGATAAATGCAACTTTCTTCAGGCCTTGGAGTCAGGGCCAGCAGGTCAGCCCATTCTATATTCATTTTTTATTCTAGGGAAATGGTGTCCCTACAGTCATTCAGTGGAAATGATCTTGGAGTTGGGCAACACAGGTCCCTTTCTGGGGTGATGGCGAAACAAATTTAAGTTAGAATTGAATGATGTTCACATAGCAGGCTGTTATACTGAGCTAAAAACCTTCAAAGACCCAGGGCATAGCTGCTCTTTCTTTCTTCACCCTAGAAAAAATGCTGAAAGTATAAGTGATTCCATACAGTTCTTATTTTTATTGCAGAACCATATAGACTGCATCTTCAGGCTCCTTTACCTATTTGCTTCTGACTGGGTTTGGTCAGGAATTGATGAATTAACAGGCATTCTCTCTTTTCAGCCCCCTTCAACCGATAAAACTTCTGTTGGAGTAGCCACCTGTGTTTGCGGCAGTTAGATAAATTAGTGTCCACAGTTCAATCTGTCTGTGTTCATGTGAATTAGAACTAGAGGGAAATATATAGCACAATTAAACAGCATTTTTGCATCCCCACCAATAGGAGGGGAGAGATGATCTGTTTCATGAATCTAAATGGATACAGCCTAAAATTCCAAAGTGGTGGCCATGAGAATGGACCTTCTAAGCCCAGCACAGTGAGAGTCAGTGTTAGCTATGTGTAGGTGGGACAGCTAGCCATTTTCTCTTGTGTGTTGAAGAGCTGTTGTTTGCCCATCCAGTTCGGTTCTCTCTCCCCTCTCATTTATCCCGCTGTGAGCTCCAGGAAGCAGAACCGTATTGGCTGCATCTTCAGGCTCCTTTGCCCATTGGCTGCTGATCTGCTGATTGGGTTTGGCTAGTAGGGGAGGGGCTGGGAGAAAAGTAAAAGTTGGAGCCTTTAATTCCCATGGTTTTGTCCTTGCAGAGTCTGTAGCTCCTCTTGTCTTTCCTCACCTTGTTCATTTTCTCAGCTTCCAGCAACTGCTCTGTCCTCTGGTCCCTTCAGGTTAGGGGGTAGTAACAGCTCTCCTGTTGCTAGCTCAAGGGTGCTGCACTATTCCTTGTGGCTTCTCCACTTCCAGCCAACACCTTTGTAAGTAAAACCTTTAATGAACTCTCTTCATATTACCTATTTAGAATATGCCATGTGTTTCTGCAGGGACCTTACACTGCTGTTGTCACTCAGTGCTGGTGCCCACTTAGAGGGTGGGAGTCCCTCAGGGAAATTCAGGCTGCTAATAAATGAGTCCAAATATAACTTGGCCACAGCATTGCCAAAGTTGACTCTTGTTCTCTTGGAGATCACAGTGCCAAGGCTACTACTTTTTCAGGATTGTGGATAAAATTTTTTTATCTTTTTCAGCCCATGACATTTTAGACATTTTAGGAATTATATCCTGGGATTCAGAAAGGCGTATTGGACAGTGCGGGCTCTGGAGTCAGCAAACACAGGTTTGAATTCCACCTTCCCAACTCCTAGCTGCATGGCCCCAGGCCCTTTATATAATCTATATTTCTCTGTCTGTAAAATGTGAGAAAAACACTCAGCTCCTCAGGCTGTTCTGAGAGTAAGTATGATAATCCATGAAATCTATCAAGAAGAGTATGTGTACATTTAGGATACTTAATAAATGATAATGGGATATGACACAACTTAGCAAGAAGAGTGAAAAACATATTATATTCAGCCATGTTTTCTTTTTTTAAATAAACTTTTAATTTTAGAATAGTTTTACAGTCACAGGAGAGATGCGAAGATAGTACAAAGAGTTCCCATATACCCAGTGCCCGGTTTCCCCTGTTGTAACATCTTACATCAACTATGGCACATTTGACAGAAGACGAATCTGCTAACTATTGAACAAATAGTTTCCTATTATTATTAGCTACTTTCTGCGCTTCATTTTTACTTCATTGGTTGTTTTCTAGTGTCCTTTCTCTGTTCCAGGGTCCCACCCTGGATACCACATTACATTTAGTCTTCATGCCTCCTTAGGCTTCTCTGGATGGTGATAGTTGCTCAGATTGTCTTTGTTTTTGAGGACCTTGGCAGTTTTGAAGAGTTCATAGTCAGGGATTTTGTAGAATGCTCTTTATTTGGGCTTTACTCATATTTTTCTCATGATTAGACTGGGGTTTTTGGGGGGAAGACCACTGAGGTGAAGTGCTCTTCCCAACACAACATATCAAGGGCGTTTATTGTCAGTTTGAGTCATCACTATTGATGTTAACCTTTTACATTTGACAGCTGGCTAGGGTAGTGCTGGGAGGCTTCTTCATTGCACAGTTACTTTTTTATTTCCCCCTCTTCTATATGGTGCCTTTTGGACAAGTCACTAAGTAGAGCCCAAACTTAAGAGGTGAAAAAGTTACACTCCATCTCCTTGAGGAGAGGAATATTTATGTAACTTATTTGGAATTTTTCTGTGCAGGAGATATTTTCTTCCCTTCATTTATTTATTTATTCAAATATTTATTCATATCAGCATGGACTCATGAATATCTTATACTTTGGGTTATTATCCAATAGTATGTTATTTATTTTTTGCAGACATTATTCCATCTTTGGCCATTGGGTGTTCTTTGAGTTGGCTTCTGCATTCCTTTGACATACCCTTATCATTTTGTTTTTGAGAATTTCCTTACTTCCTAGCACTACAAAATGTTTCGTTTTTTTTTTTTTTTTGAGACGGAGTCTTGCTCATCGCCCAGGCTGGAGTGCAGTGGCACAATCTTGGCTCGCTGCAAGCTCTGCCTCCCGGGTTCACGCCATTCTCCTGCCTCAGCCTCCCAAGTAGCTGGGACTACAGGCGCCCGCCACCAGGCCTGGCTAATTTTTTGTATTTTTAGTAGAGATGGGGTTTCACCGTGTTAGCCAGGATGGTCTCAATCTCCTGACCTTATGATCCACCCGCCTCGGCCTCTCAAAGTGCTGGGATTACAGGCGTGAGCCACCACACCTGGCCACAAAATGTTTCTAGCTAATCTTGTATATTTCCTGTCCTAGAACCAGCCATTTCTCCAAGAAACTCTGGTTCCTTTTGTTGAACAGTAGTAAAAACTGAAATCTGGGAACTGGATATGCTCTTTGTTACTGTGATTTCATTGCTTCTGGACCCTCTTAGTGGATAAGAGCTAGGACATACATGTGTGTATACACTATCTATATTAAGCTAAATAGGACTTCCTACTGATAGCTCCAAATCTGATCTGTTACCTTGTGTTTTATTCTTCTCCCTTTGCTTTGCTGCCATCTCCCACTCCAATAGTGAGAAGCCTTCCATTTACTTACTTGTTCAATCCAAATACTCAAGCACAGCACTTTCAGAATTATCAATGTGCACCTCCATGAGGAACAACTTCACTAATGTGGTATAGTGCTTATGTGCAGATCTTTTTGTTTTTAAGTCTTACAGTTTCCAGTCATTTCCAAAGTTACTTAGGCCAACATCTCTTTTTCCTTACTCCCTCCAGTGAGGTTATGTCATACATTTGTAATTGAGTTAGATTCCTTTGCCCATTCCTTCCTGGTTTATATGCTTTCCTGTTGCACTTATTAATAGCTTGTTTCTTTTCATGGCTTTCTGGTATCACCTGTTGAATAGATGCATTACAGTGTGTTTATTGAAGGTTTATGTCCATCACCTATTGAAGGACATCTTGGTTGCTTCTAGGTTTTGATGATTATTTATAAAGACACTATGGTGTGCAGATTTTTGTGGGACATATGTTTTCAATCAGTTGGCTAAATGCTTAGATGTGTGACTTTCAAAGTGGCTATACCATTTTGCATTCCCACTGGCAATGAATGAGAGTTCTTGTTACTCCACATCCTCATTAGCACTTGCTATTGCCGATTCCTTTCATCCTTAGGAATATCTAAATTTAAACACATGTAATTTTTAGGTTTAAACTATTCTGTATCTTCTGGCCACAGTTAAAGCTACCTGAGGTCGTCTGGTCTTTTACAGATCTGTCCCCTTATGCTGGAGTTTTGCCAGGTTACTTGCCAATTATGGCTAATTTTCTTTTAGGAGTCAGAAGTGCCTAAGTTATCTTTTTAAGGTCTATAAAAACCTTGCACAAGTTTGGATACTTGCTTAAGCCACTGTTTATTAGAAGCACTAGTTTCAGTTACTCACTTGTTCATCAAATAGTTATTGAATACCTTCTATGTGCTGGGCCTTGGGGATCAAGCAGTGAAATAAATAAATGACAAAGTCCTTGCAGTTATAGAGCTTTTATTTGTAAGGGAGAGGAATTTTTCATATAAACATATAATATAATGTAATGAACTTTATAAAGTAATGATAAATGTCATGATCAAATCAAGGCAGGGTCTAGGAATCTGGAGAACACGAGTTGGCAGGGGAGAGTAGGGGTCGTCAGGGCCCCCTTAGAAGACAGTGAGCAGGAATCTGGAAGTGGTGAAGGGATGAGCCAGTCAGATGTCCTAAGGGATGAACATTAGGGGCAAAGAGAAGACTCAGAGCAGATGCCTGAAAGCACAATGCTTGCCACATTTGAGGAGGAGTGAGGAGCCCAGAGGCTAGAGCTAAGTGAAGATGGTAGGACATGGGGTTGTAGACAGGATAGGAGCTTGGTCTTGTTGAAGTTGGTAGACTTCAACCAAATTTAATGTGCCATGACATCACCTTGGAATCTTATTACAACGTAGACTCTGATTCATTAGGTCTGGGCAGGACCTGAGACCCTGCCTTTCTAATAATTTTCTGGGTGATAGTTCCACTGCTGGTCCATGGATCACAGAGGAACAACAAAGTTAGACACTCTGGCCGGTTTTTATTCTGAATGAGACTAAAAGTCTTACGAGGATTCTTAGCTTGGGAATGGCATGATTTGTCTTAAAATTTTTAAGGCTCTTGCATAGAGAATTCTCTGTGGAAGCAAGGGGGAAAGCACAGAGACCAGCTTGGTGCCTACTGCTGCAGTCTGGGTGAAAGATTCTGGAGCTTGGACTTGGGTGGTGGAGATGACAATAATGAAAAAAGTGCCAGCCAACACCATTGCATAGTTTGTGCACTGCCCAAGGTACTCACAGAATAGGCATGATGGGCTGGCAATCTAGCCACCTACCACTTGCTAAGCCATTCATTTTGTGATTCATCAGCCCAGAGCAGGCAGCACCCTTTTTGCAGTTCCTACTCTCAAAAGGTAAGGGGTGCCTTTTTATAATTCATGTAAAGGTAGGGGGTATGCTGGCTGTGCTCTGGGTGAGAAGTGGTAGGAGACTCCGGGTAGTTAACGCATAGAGAAGGCAAGTGTGACAAAAACCTTTCCCTTTCAGTTTTCACTTGTGCTGTCACGTGCTGCTGCCTGAGTTCATGGCCCATGAAAGCTTTTCCTGGAAAGTAGTGCAGCCACAGAGGAGCTAAGCTGAACTTTGCATTTTCCAGAGAGTAGTCTTTCAAAGAAATTGCTTTTGCCAGAGGAGATGGAAAACAGACCTAGGTCATTTGTTTTAGGCTCCTCTCCATGAGCAGATAGAAGTGAAACTTCCTTTAAAATGTCTCTATACGACTATAAAAGTGGTCACTAAGTGTAAAAAGAGAGTCATAGCTCTCTATGCCAGTCCCCAAACTGCATCTGGTAGTTCATCTCCCTCTCCCCACTGCAGTCTGAAGATAATGTCTTGTCCAAAAAGTGAAACTATAAAAGATACATCATACATTCTGCAGTGCTGAAATGGTGTGCTTTCTCTGAGAAAGTCTTAATCAAGCTGGTTGTTGGATGGTGCCAATGATGGGTTTCTTTACCGAAGGTTGATTCACTCTCATGGGTTTTCTGCTAGTGCAATGGGCTCTGCACATGAAAGTTCAGGTGTTACATCCTTAGTCGTTATATAGTATAATTAGTTTGTATGCTCTTTTTACTTCATGTCAACATAGTCTGCTCCCTGAAGGCATGCTTCTTGTGGACCTGGCATTGGCACAGTACCCAACTTGCTTGAAAGGTAAAGAAATAAAATGTGATGACATTGTTGTAACCCTTGGGCCAGTGGTGCTCCTGGCATGGATTCTTTGAGTTCCTTCATAGGGGTATCATGCTTGACTTGTTCCCTTGCACTGAATGTGGGGTGGTAGATCCTGCTGAGAGCTGTGCTGCATTAACCAGCTCTCAACACACGGTTTTAAATACAAGTTGCGTGAATGGAACCCAACTTGACAGAAGTTGGCAACAAAGGGAGCCCTTGATGGCGGAGAGTCCTGGAAAGTCTCATTCACAACTCAGGTCCCCTGAGAAGGATTAATCCAGGCTCTACACAGGAATGGGCCCTCTAGTGTCCTCTTCCACTGCGTTCCCCACTGCTGAATCTCCCAGATCTGGCCTGGACTCCGGGATTTCCCCCTTCTGGACTAGATGCCTATCCTGTTTGTAGTCAAGACTTTGAATTTTATTTTATTTTTACAAACTCACTAGATAGATGTAGGGAGTAGCATTTTTCTCATTTTTCAACCCTCAGGCCTTAGAATAAATTCACAGCACATGGGAGGTAAGTAATTGTCATGTGAAATAGTAGAGAAATGAGGGTGAGGACTCATGCCCTTCTTGCTTTGATGCTCTGCCCTCCACCTTCTTGGGATGGTTTATTATCAAGATCATAGACCATGGGTTACTTCTTTAGATTAAATAAATTAATTCCATAGTGTATAATAATTATTTATTTATCATGAAAATTTCTTTTCCTCAGCTCTCCTTTGGCCCAGTAGCTTATCATTATGATTAATACATTTTATTTTGGAAAAAGCATGATGGTCATACACTAGGATTGGTCTTGGGAAAAACATTTCAGTAGTTGAACCTAGACTTTAGATATAATTTGCTTGATCTGAACAGTGTTTAAAATCTTTTTGAATTATTTTCCATTATTTCACCGTCGGGAAATTTTACACAAGACGTATGATTTCTGGGTTCTGCTGAAATGTTTCTACATGGCAGCACAGGGGCCTCTTTTGCACATGTTGACTATCAGCATGTGCTCAGTCATGGTTGTCCTCTTTGGAAGGGTGTCGGCTCTTCAAATTCCCACCATCCTCCATACTCATTGATGTTACCTACCTGATCTCAGTAGGTATTGGATTTTGGGTTCTGTGATCTGAAGAACAAATTCCTCTAAGACTATGCTTTGCAGTCAAGAGTTTAGTTCCAATTCCAGTCTAAACTAACATAAAATGAATTATTAAGTGCAATAGACAGCAAATTACTTGATTAGAGCAATATTTCTCAAACTTCTTAGGATCTTGTGAATTATGTTTAAGTGATTAATTCATTCTAAATAATGTACAGCTTTGTTTTTAAAATATCAATAATTTGAAAACTCATTCTGGTTGCTGGATCACACTCTGAACACACTTAGTGATTTCTGCCTAGAAATGGCGATTGTATTTTTCTTGTTTAATTGGCCAACACCTTACCATGTTGTTTGCATAGTAATTGTCATGAAAAATTTTAATGGCATAGCCACTGAATTATCTAGAAAGAATATAAAAAATTCACAGTACTTTAGTTGACCTGAAGCTTGCTAATTGACAATAAGATATTGTATTTGGTTCTTTGTAATATAAAAGCACATTTTTATTCTCTAGCTTACATGATTCTGATAAGACTGTAGTGAGGTAGTTGTAAGCTAAAATTCAGAAGCTGAGCAAAATAGTTGTAAAATAGTAATAATAAGAACTACTATTTATTGAGAAGTCTGTGTGTGCCATCACCATGCTAAATACTTTATATACAATGTCCTATTTACTCATCAAAGCAATTCACAGAAGTAGGCATCACAGTATGTTCATTTCCTAGATGAAGAGACTGAAGTTGAGAAACTTTAAGCAATTTGCAGTAGGTCACACACAAGTAGACAGCAGAGCAGAATTCGGCCTCAGGCTTGCCTCACTTTGTTGTCACCACTATGAACACTCTAGGCTGCTAGAAATAATGATTTATTACTACTAATAAATAACAGTACTAGGATTCACATGCAAATCTAATTCAGGATACCATTGTTTTTCAGACTGGGTAGTAATCTTTGCTCTGAAAATGCATTATTTTTGCAAGTTCATATAAGTAGTCATTACTGGGCAAATAAGAATCTATTTACATACATCTGGTGATACAAATGAGCAATACCAGTTGACATTTGGCCGGCAATTAAATGAAATTCTTCCAACTATTACTGAATCAATTGATTCAGAGGATAAAATAAGGATTGGATAAAAGTAAGCATGTCTTATTTACCACATTTTTCTTCTGTTTAATTACTTTTCTTCTGTTTAATTAATATCCTTTCTGAGTCCTCATACTTTTTGCTTCTTTTTGATGAATATGCAATGATTTTTTTCCCAGCATGGCTACATCAGTTTGAAGGAAAAATATTGACCTATGTGTCAAACAGTCTTTCTTTTTTTATTATTATTCTTAATTAAAGCCATTTAACCTGACCTCAGCTCTGCTGTGACTTACCAGACACTGCTGTGCGTTTAAACCCTTCGGATTAGCCCCACAGTATGACTACAAAGCTCCTGTTGGCTGGAAAGTTAATGATAGATACTTCCCATTTCCCAAGAGAAGGAAAAATGGAGCGCCTGCTCTTCGAGATGACTTAAACGTATACACACAGAATTGACAAATGGCTCGCCTGTATTTACACTGATATTAGTTTGGAGACAGCTGAAGGTTTTTAACTCCTAATTTGAAGTTTGAACTCATACAACTTTGAACTTCAACTACAGAATTACAAATAATATTTATGAAAATGCCATGATTCAGTTCACGTGCTATTCTATCATTTTTTTTTTCCAGTGAACTCTACGAGTCAATACAATTTCTAAGAGTGATTTTTTGTTGCTTCCAGAAGCACAGCGTGAAATAACTATTTTCTTCAAAGTGAGGTTGCTTGTTGTGTTACTTAATGGAGATGATCAAGTTATTTCTCTGCTTGTGACTCTACAAAATTTCTCTTTTAGAGTTCATTAATTTTTGTGTTATTTTCCTGTTTATAGAGCGCTTTTCTCCTTTTATTCTCATAAGAGTTTTGTGAGTTAAGTGATGCCCATTTTATATGAAGAACTGTGCCTCAGCAAAGTAGCACAGTGACTTGTTCTTTTGGCTTCCTGGTGGCTATGCAGGGACTGATGACCTCAGGTTTTCTGACTCAGGCTCTCCTGATTTCCAATATCCCCCTGTGTTCTGTTGCATGCACTCTCCAGAACCACCAGTTGGGAACTTTGACTTCTATTTTGCCTTGATCTTTGAACTCAGCTGGAGTTCCTTTAGAGTAATTATTGAATAATCATTACATGAACTGCATAAATTGCTTTGTTCCTAGATGAAGATATCTAAATTCCCATGTAAAATGAAAGTGGGTTTTAATGGGAATAAGTGGAAAAGTAAAAGCTCTGTTATACACTCACTTATATTAGCCTCGGAATGGGCTTGCTGGTAATTATGTATACGTAATTAAATGACACCAATTACAATTCTTTTTAAAACTCTTTAAAAACATTGTTTTGGAGTAAGATTTGTTTTTTTTCTTTTTATTTTATTATTATTATTATTTTTTGAGACAGAGTCTTGCTCTGTTGCCCAGGCTCGAGTGCAGTGGCATGATCTCAGCTCACTGCAAGCTCTGCCTCTGGGGTTCACGCCATTCTCCTGCCTCAGCCTCCTGAGTAGCTGGGACTACAGGCGCCTGCCACCACGCCTGGCTAATTTTTTGTAATTTTAGTAGAGACGGGGTTTCACCGTGTTAGCGAGAATGGTTTTGATCTCCTGACCTCGTGATCTGCCCGCCTCAGCCTCCCAAAGTGCTGGGATTACAGACGTGGTTTTATTGCCTTAGTATATAATTTTTTATATATGCAAAGAAATCTTTAGGGAAGAATATTACAAACACTTGGATCTTTGTCTTCCATCAGCTTATATGGCAGCTATAAAATTGCCAACCCTAGTGGTCTAAAATAGGGTTTGGCAAACTATGGTCAGTTTGGCTCACTGCCTGTTTTTGTATGGGTCTCAAGATGAGAATGTTTTTTATACTTCTAGATAGTTGGAAATAAATTAAAAGAATAATATTTCTTGACATGCAAAATAACATCATATTCAAATTTTAGTGTTTGTGGTCAAGTTTTATTGGAATGCAGCCATGCTCATTAATTTATCTATTCATTCATTTATCTGTCTATGGCTACTATTGAGCTATAATGACAGAGCTGAGTGGTTGTGACAGATAGTATGCTCCATGAACTCAAAAATATTTACTATCTGGCTGTTTACAATAAGTTTGCCGACTCTTGTTCTAAAGGAACTTAGAAGGGAAGTGTAACTCTGTTGTTTTAAATGCACATTTTATTATCTAAATAAATGGCTGTTGCTGCCTGTATTTTGGAGAGAAGAAGCACAGGAGTCCCTGATCTAGAAAAAGAATTGACTTGAGTAGGTCAGTCAGGCAAAAAGATGGTCAATTTTGGGTCAGTTCCAAAAGATCCCTCTCATCCAGCCTTCCATGGTTCTTGGTGCTATAGAATATTTAGATTAATAAGATGTTGTTTCTCCTGATAGACTCTGTTAAACTATACCCAGATCACCTATCAGCATCCATTAAGCTGGCATTCCCATGTGTTTCCTGTTGGAATCAAAAACAATGGTGTAATTGCAGGAGATAACTTATTAGATGCTTTTTCCCCCTTGATAGGTATTCATTTTAACCTATATTAGAAAAAAATAATTAGAACATTAAACCCATGGTTTCATGAGTGAGACTAAAATATTTAAATAAAAACATAAGCTCATATAAGAAAGAAATAGAGTAACAGACAACATAAATGTTGGTAAATGTCATGAACTTAGTAAGCAAATGGCCAAAGTTTGGAAAACAAATTAAGTTATAAGTTGAGTTGGAAGATCCAGGATATGTCAAAAACACACAGAGAGGTTAAATTTTGACCAAAGTGATGAGATGAGGCCCAGCTGAAAGTGAGAATCTTCTTCCACTTGGGAGAGAGCATCAGGCGAGGGATGTCAGAATTTTTTATTTTTATTTTTTTTCTGAGACAGTGTCTCACTCTGTCTCCCAGGCTGGAGTGCAGTGGTGTGATCTCAGCTCACTGCAATCTCTGCCTCCTGGGCTCAAGTGATCCTCCTGCCTCAGTCTCCTGAGTAGCTGTGATCACATGTGTCAGTCACCAAGCCTGGATAATTTTTGTATGTTTTGTAGAGATGAGGTTTCACCATGTTGCCCAGGCTAGTCTCAAACTCCTGAGCTCAGACAATCTGCACACCTTGGCCTCCAAGTGCTGGGATTATAGGTATGAGCCACTGCATTTAGCAGACATCAGAATTTGGTTTGGTATTATTGGAACATGAAGAAAGTGTTTGTTTGCCCCATTCTTTTTAGAGTTTATTCAGTCAGCTATTACGTAAAGGAGTCCTTACATTCTGGGGATTTGAGAGGCCTGGAAGGTATCCTTTGATATTGTTAAATGTCTACTACATGCACACATTTTATGAAGTGGAGAATATTCTGCTTCTTCAACCTGGTATCCTGCTTTAAGAGTATATTGTTTAATGCTATTTTAAGGCTTTTTTATATTTTTGAAAACTATGATTTTAATAGCTGCATAGGGTTCCATTGCATGAATGAGACAGTTTATTTACCCAATATCTCTGTTCTTGAAGTTTTTGAGTTTTTGTTTTATTTTGCTATTATGAATAACACTGGGACAAACAAACTTCATCCTTGGTTACATTTCTGGTAATTTCTTTAGGATAGATTTTTGCATAGGATTTCTTGAGTGAAAGAATATACATATTTGTAAGACAATATGTAATGCCAATGGTCCTCCATAAAGGCTGCACATATTTGCATCTCCACTGGGAATGCACTTGAATGCCCTGTTTTTTTGTTTGTTTTTATATCTATATCCTTATGGCTGAGAAAGGTTTTATAATCTTTTGAATATTATACACGAAGATTGAATTATCTGTTTGCTAGGTGAATAAGAATCTTTATTCCATTGTTTTCTATGGGGTATTGCTGGTGTGTTAAGAAAACAGTCATTTTTGGTAAATTTTATATATGGACATATTGCTGAACTTTCTTATTAATTCTAAAAGTATTGCAATTGATTCTCTCCATTTGCATTTAGGCAACAGAAAGGTTAGAGTAGATTCTAGGAGTGAAGATCTTCAACTTTCCTCAATGTGTAGAAGCCTCTATTGTCGGCTCATTCTTACCTGAGCCGAAAAACAATGCTAGCAGTAACATGCTGACCGGATGTAATTTAGATAAATAAAACTGCATTTATCTACCATTCTGAATGCTTCCCTTTAAGAGTAGAACTTACGGAAATATTACAGTTTTGTTTGCTGTTACTTGTCAAATTTGTTTAAAAAATAAAAGAATATTAGCCCTTTGTCAGATGAGTAGGTTGCGAAAATTTTCTCCCATTTTGTAGGTTGCCTGTTCACTCTGATGGTAGTTTCTTTTGCTGTGCAGAAGCTCTTTAGTTTAATTAGATCCCATTTGTCAATTTTGTCTTTTGTTGCCATTGCTTTTGGTGTTTTAGACATGAAGTCCTTGCCCATGCCTATGTCCTGAATGGTAATGCCTAGGTTTTCTTCTAGGGTTTTTATAGTTTTAGGTCTAACGTTTAAGTCTTTAATCCATCTTGAATTGATTTTTGTATAAGGTGTAAGGAAGGGATCCAGTTTCAGCTTTCTACATATGGCTAGCCAGTTTTCCCAGCACCATTTATTAAATAGGGAATCCTTTCCCCATTGCTTGTTTTTCTCAGGTTTGTCAAAGATCAGATAGTTGTAGATATGCGGCTCAAACAAATTTACAAGAAAAAAACAAACAACCCCATCAAAAAGTGGGCAAAGGACATGAACAGACACTTCTCAAAAGAAGACATTTATGCAGCCAAAAAACACATGAAAAAATGCTCATCATCACTGGCCATCAGAGAAATGCAAATCAAAACCACAATGAGATACCATCTCACACCAGTTAGAATGGCAATCATTAAAAAGTCAGGAAACAACAGGTGCTGGAGAGGATGTGGAGAAATAGGAACACTTTTACACTGTTGTTGGGACTGTAAACTAGTTCAACCATTGTGGAAATCAGTGTGGCGATTCCTCAGGGATCTAGAACTGGAAATACCATTTGACCCAGCCATCCCATTACTGGGTATATACCCAAAGGACTATAAATCATGCTGCTATAAAGACACATGCACACGTATGTTTATTGCGGCATTATTCACAATAGCAAAGACTTGGAACCAACCCAAATGTCCATCAATAATAGACTGGATTAAGAAAATGTGGCACATATACACCATGGAATACTATGCAGCCATAAAAAATGATGAGTTCATGTCCTTTGTAGGGACATGGATGAAATTGGAAATCATCATTCTCAGTAAACTATCGCAAGAACAAAAAACCAAACACCACATATTCTCACTCATAGGTGGGAATTGAACAATGAGATCACATGGACACAGGAAGGGGAATATCACACTCTGGGGACTGTTGTGGGGTGGGGGGAGTGGGGAGGGATAGCATTGGGAGATATACCTAATGCTAGATGACGAGTTAGTGGGTGCAGTGCACCAGCATGGCACATGTATACATATGTAACTAACCTGCACAATGTGCAGATGTACCCTAAAACTTAAAGTATAATAAAAAATAAATAAATAAAAGAATATGATTTTTCTTAGAAAAGAGTGCTGAATTATGTTCAGCACTCCAAAGAACCTGGAATGGGTTAGGAATTGACTATAGTCCCTTGCTTCTTTTAGCTTAAAACAGAATTTATGTTTTAATTTAGTTCTTCAGCCTCTATGTGAAATTGGTTAACATGAGTGTTAAGGCCAATGGTATAATAAAATGTCACTGATTCCTCATTTCTAATTTTTTTTTCATTTAGCAGTGTCCATTGGCTTTCAAGTAAGTTGATTTTTAGGGGACTGGATTTGGTGGCTTATAACTCTAATAAAATTATGCTGTTATAAAGGAGAATTGTCATTTTAGGTGCTATCAGACTTTTATGTTCTCAATATCCTAGCATCTCAGTGGAGCATTAGGTATTTATGCTCGGGTGAAAGCAGATTTAATGAACATGAAAACCACTGCCTTTACTCTTTCAAAGCATTCTCCATATTTGTCATGTAAAACGAACTGAGCGGCTCTGTGCTTAATACTTTGTTTTGCTTATTTCATCTGGATCCTCCAGTGTCAACAGTGGGAACGAAAGGATCCAAGCTAGTGTCCTTGAAAAAATATATAATAGGCAAAAAAACAAAGAAGCCCATGGTCAAATGGTCATTTATCAGGGTCTTTAAAAGTCAAGATCATTATTATTTCTTTATGGAGACAAAGTATAATTATGTAACTGCAGTAATAGTGCACATCTGTTGTTTTTTCCTGCTCATTACATCTTCTTCCTTTCTTTACAATTAGGACCTTTGGAGAATTGTCCCCCATCCCCTACTCCCTCTATTAGTGTGTACTGGGTTGGGATTGGGTTTGTCCAGGTGGATTTGTGACCCAGACTTTATCAATCCAAACACCCTCCCCCTTCTTTTTCCCTCAGTCCTTATCCCTTAGGGATTTACTCAGGAATAAGACTGGAGCCAGGTAATGTCCATAACCTTGTTCTCTGGACTTATCCTCAATGTACTGGGGAAAAGGCACTCACTCTCCCTGGGAAGACTAAATGAGTACCATGAAACATGGGACTTGGGATGGCCATCTGAGCCACCACCTGGAGGAAGG
This sequence comes from Homo sapiens, assembly GCF_000001405.40. Classification (NCBI taxonomy): domain Eukaryota; kingdom Metazoa; phylum Chordata; class Mammalia; order Primates; family Hominidae; genus Homo; species Homo sapiens. Next base: position 136,819,642 of record NC_000002.12, read on the forward strand.
AATTGGGGGCAAGAGCTAGAGAGGCTCCTGAGGACCTTGCTTATGCCCCCCCCAGTCCAGCTGAGGCTGAACTGAGCTCTGCTATTGATGTCAAAATTATATTGGCCAATGCATTTCCTCTCCCTCCCTTCTTTCTTCATTTTAGAAGTGTAGGGAGTTTTCTTCTTGGGAAAGAATCCCAAGAAGCCTACTACTCTCCTCGTTGCTTAGATCACTCTGCTTCAGCTAAGTTGGCTCTTTGGTGTTTCTTAAACATACTAGGCACCTCAGGCCATTTGCATTTGCTAGGCCTAATGTCTGGAAAGCTCTCCCCTTCCCCACTATTCTGGTCCTCACCCCTTCAAGTCTTTGCTCTAATGTCAACTCCTCAAGCAGGCCTTCCCTGACCACCCTACTTAAAATAGAAGCACACGCATTCCTCTGTAAACTCTCTTCAGCTGTCTTCTTGCATACTAAATACCTTATTATTTGTTTACGGCCAGTATTTCTCCACCTTTTCTGGATCCTAGAAGGAAGACATTTTTGTTTCTTATTTTCTGTGATATCCCTAACACCTCAAACGGTGCTGGATAGGGTGGGTGCTCAATTAGTATTGGTTGAACTACAAATAAAAATGGTAGCTAATTCCTCCAGAGATCATTTACTAATTCCAAGGGGAAAATAATAACTTACTCAGTGGAATAACCTGGAGGATACCCTGAACCTAGTGATCAAATTCAGCATTCCCAACAGTGAAACAAAGCCATATCACCTGCCTCCTGATGCAAGGCACTGAGGACATAGCATCACTTCTGTGTTATTTTGCCACAAATGCAAGGAAACATGAGAATACATCAGATAAATTCAACATGAGGTTTAGTTAACAAAATAACTGTCTGGTATCCTTCAAGAACACTGATACTACAAATGAAAAAGAAAGGCTGAGGAAGTTTCTGGACTAAGGGGAACAAAAGAGACAGTAAACAAATGAAATGTGTGGTCCTAGATTAGAAAAAAATGCTATGAAGGTCATTATTGGGATAACTGGAAGACTTAGAATATGGACTGTATATTAGATAACAGTAGCATATCAATGTCAAATTCCTGAATTTAATAATCATACTATGATTATATAAGGTAATTTCCTTGTTCTTACAAAATACATATGAAGTATTTGAAAGTAAAACATTATGATGTTGCAGCTTTCAAAAATTTCAGCACTAAATATACCAGTATCTGTATCTACTTGAGAGAGGGAGAGAGACAGAGACAGAGAGAGAAAGAAAGAATCAAAAAGCAAATGCTACAAAATTCTACCAATTAGAGAATTTAGGTGAAGGGTAAATGAGAATCCATTGCATTAAAATACAAACTTACAGATAATTGCAAGAATAATATTAGGTAGAACCGTATAAAATTACTAATATTTGGACTTTTTTGTGTATAAAAATGACAATCTCATTGAATATTCTTGCAACCTTTCTGTGAGTTTGATGTTTTTAATGAAAATTAGAAAAAAAGAAAGCGAATGTGGTAGGTATGACTGGCCAGTCTTTACAGAGTCACGTATTTACATGGACTATTTTTTTTCCCAGTAATTTGTATCAGCTCGACTTGTTAAGCTTCCATATCCAATGTACTAGCTGAGGGAAAGAAGGAAAGAAAATGTAAAGTTGCCAATTAGTGGCTTCTCAGTCCCTCCTGATAATTTTGTCATACTTGATATTCATTTATAATTAGTTTGAAACTGGAAACTCCATCCTGTGTTATAGTTCAGAACTCCCTGGGCCTGACTCCTCTGGAATGTGTCTGCAGGGACTGGCTAGCATGAACTGCTTCCTTCCCCTTCCCTCTCTCTCCTCCCTGCTCCAGTTTCCTAAACAACTGGTGGCTGAGTTGGAACAGGGCATGGTAGTGGCTGATGGTGTGGAGAAAAAGTCCTTTTTTGTTATTGACAAGCACAGCAGCTGGACTTGGTGGAGAAGGTCCCTTTCTTGGGTATCACTGGCTTATCTGCCTGGTGCTGGAGTTAGAAGACCAGGAGCTCTGCAAAGTCTCCTTCCGCGGTTAGGCTGGTGTTCACTGTGAGCTTCTCCTGCCTTGAAATTCTTAGTATAGGCAATGTGTGTGCTCTGCTCCAGCTCCAAACTCAGGGGCTTCTATGGGAGCCTTCACATCATTTTAAAACCTTCTACCAATGATGCGTGCTGCAGCTCAACTTTAACTGTGGATCTCCTTGCTCTGTTGCAAACTTTAGAAACACAGAGCTTGTGCTATGCATAGGACCTAGTAAGACTTCAATAAATGTATGCTGTCTACAGAGAACACAACAAATTACATCAGGATATGAATAACTAGGAACATAATGAAATAGCGGGGCTCCTGGATCATGGCTCAAGGATCACCACCCTTATTTCAAGCCCCTCTGAAGAGGGAGAGAACCATATTCACACTAGAAAGGATGAAGTAACTAGGGCATAATTGTACGATGACTTGGGAGTTATAAAGAGGAGGTTCAGTCTTCTTGCCTTTTACGTTCTCTGAATGAAGTAGAGACTAATGCTTTTGGTCTCTTGGTGAATTGATTGCTCAGAGTTATAGGGACTATGCCTCTGAGACCCCATCCAGACCGGCCTCCACCAAACCCACTTTAGATGATTTAATTTCAGCAAAGAATCCCTTCGGCCGTTTGTGTATTGACATACAAAAGCCAAGGGGCATCTTTTCCTTCTAGATGTTATTGTGGTTCTGAATTGAGACTGACTCCTGCTGCTGCTGGTGTTGTGATCACCTTGGCAACAACTAATTGTCCTCTGAAGGAGAAATCACTGTCAAGCACCTTAAACACTTAGAGCTTAGGGTCATTTAGTCCTTAGATTAACAGAGCAAACTTTTGAAACAGTCATTATTTTCCCCATTTTACAGATGAAGGAAGGAGACTTAGAGAGGTCATTCAGCTATTACATTATACAGCAGGGTTTTGACTCTTTCTGTAATTAATTCCAAGATTTTGCTTTTATACCCTGTTTAAAATATGCATAAATTCATCTAATAAAATAAGGAAGGGAATGTCCCATGGAAGGAGCTAGCGGAAGATGGCCCAGGGCATACACTTTCCTTTGCCTGGTGTCACCACGGAGCATGTTTGAAAGGGAGAGTCCTACCTGCATTCATCATGACTCTGTGGATGGAGCAGAGAATCTAATATTTTTAAAAACTCCCCAGGATAATTCTGATATCTGACTTCCCTAGAAAGTAGGCTAGATTTAGCCCTATACATTAATGAAATTGTTTATTCTAAGGAAATGTGTGATTCTAATTTAGTTTGTGGTGTACTGATGGGGAGCTTTCCTTGAAGAAGTTTGGAGTTTAATTACAAGACAATATTATCAATAAGCACCTGTTTTATACTTCTTTCATGACTGAAGTAATATCTAGAGCAATGATAGGCACAGCACACGCTTTCTGGTTAGTTGGTTGGTTATTTAACGTGAAAGAGATGTGTATCATATGGAGGATGAGCATTATCTTGTAGGATATCCTTGTGTAAGGTGATTTCTCAAAGATAAAGGCAAGGAGATGATGAATAACCAAGGAGAAAGGAGCTCTTAGTACTAACGTCCAGAAATTCCTCAATTCTTCTACGATGTGGGCCATTAAAGTTCTGATTTGAAGACATCCAGCTGCTAAAGAACAGTTTAGTACTTCATCTCTCAATGTCAGTTTCATTTTGTTTTCTCTTGTGACAGACGGTGCTTGCTTTGGTTAGCAGAAAGCAGATGATACTTGTTTTTATAGACATTTTGACGACGCAAGACGGACTCCTTAACATGATCGGTTAACCTTTTCTCCCCGTGTCTCTCTTTTTGCTTCGTCAGGTATTTCTGTGTCTTTTGCCAGTAATACCCTTTAACTTTTTTTTTCATTGTTTAAACTTCTATCTCCATACATTTACTTCTTTATATTTAAAACTTTTACTTTTCATGACATTCCCATTTGCTCTGAATTCTGCAGAAATATCTCATTTTAGCCAATTTATTACTTGGGCAGCACTTTCTTTTCTAAAGTTCATTTTTATTATCTTCCTGATTTTTCTTCTCATTTTCTTGGGATTTAGATTGTATTATCGTGTAGTTGCTTCTAACAGTATATACCAAAGGAATTTCTCTGTAATTCTTAACTAAATTAACAAAGAAGATCTGGATAAGTTTCTTCCTTTGAATTGTCCCTGTTGGTATTAGGAAATTGACCAAGGTGTAGCAAAGATATATATGATGAGCTGTGGTCCATGGACTGGATTCCTACCCTGAACATTTGATCATAATTGATGAAAATAATTACTAATATGTATTGAGTATCTGCTGTGGCTCAGAATTGTACTAAACATTTTGCATCCATTATCTCTTTATTAATCCTCACAACAATGTACTAAACTCAATATTCATTTATCACCATTTTACAGATGAGGAAACTGAAGTATAAAAAAGAAACTTTTCCAAAGGTACAAAGGCAGTACATAGTGTAGCCAAGATTTGAATGTAGATAGTTGCTTTAGACCAATGCTTTGTCACTTCTCTGCTTTTAAAAACATTTTCTAAATATTGTTTTTGATATGTATACTCATTCATTACATATATACAAGTATATATTATTATATAAAGAACTGTTTAGTACTTTGTACTAAGTGCTTATATATAAGTACATATATATGTACTTTGTACTGAGCAGATATATATATATAAGCTCCCTTTGATTATTTAATATTATCTGAGATTAAGGTCTTTTTTTTCTAATATGTTAGCTAGGAAGCTCAGTTTTGGATGCATCTAATATATAAACCCCAAAGTTATCTTTTTAAAGGGCTGTTCCTGGAATGTTGACAAATCATTTTGTGTGGCTGAGCTTCAGTATTTTGAGTGTACCAAATATAATCAGTGTTTGACTGATTAAATATGTTACTTGCGAAATATTTTATTAGGTTTGCAAACTCTAACACATGGCCTGCTGTCCTGTTTCTGATAGCTAAGGGTGGATGTGGAAACTTTTAATACATGGAGTGTCTTCTCTTTGCTGATAGATGTTTCTGTAAAAAATGGATAAGGTGATGAGATCAGAATCAACTGTGTTTCTTATGCAGAACTAGTGCTCGAGATGCATGCTAACTCCCTAGCTATGCATCTTATTAACTTGCCTAGCAGTTGGAGGTCTGCATACTGACTTTGAGAATATTTCATTACTGTATTTTTCTAAGGGAGGCTTTACATTTGCCGAAGAACTGACAAGATATGTGTCTCTATAACTCAACTTGTTTTGTATTATGATCAATATGAAAGATTGCCTCTGATTACCTGGGGATGCCATGAAACTGTTAAGATATATTAGGTTTCTGGTTTATTTTCTAATTGACTCCTGTCAAATATAGTAAAAGGAGGTACATTGAAGAAAATTTTAGAATGTGATTTCTTTTTACTATTTTCCTTTAAGAATCTTTGTTCAATATTTGTCTTTTAATGTTTGCAACAATTTAAGAGAACAATGAAAAGAAAATTATCCTATTTTACAGTTGACAAAATAGAAAGGGAAACAAGGTAGTCTTTTACTGCTGCTTTAACAAATTACCACACATTTAATGGTAATTTAATGGTAATTAAAACAAATTTATTATCTTATAGGTCTGGAGATTAGAAGTCCAGCATGGGTCTCACTCACTGCACCAAAATCAAGGTATTGAGAGGACACCTGTGTTCCTTTCTGGAGCTTTCAAGAAGCTCTGAAAGCTGTACTGATTACCCTTTTCATATTCTAGGGACAGCTTGCGTTCCTTGGCTTATGGTCCCTTCCTCCACCTTCAAAGCCTGCAGCAACAGTCCAGTCCCTCCTATACTTCCAGTTTTTCTTCTTTTCTCTCATCTTTTTAACCTAGCCAGGAGAGATTCCTCTCTTTCTTTTTTTTAGACAGAGTCTTGCTCTGTCGCCCAGGCTGGAGTGCAGTGGCGCGATCTTGGCTCACTGCAACCACCTCCTGGGTTCACGCCATTCTCCTGCCTCAGCCTCCCGAGTAGCTGGGACTACAGGTGCTCACTGCCATGCCTGGCTAATTTTTTTTTTTTTTTTAGATCTGGGGTTTCACCATGTTGGCCAGACTGGTCTCAAACTCCTGACCTCAAATGATCCACCCACCTTGGCTTCCCAAAGTGCTGGGATTACAGGTGTGAGCATTCACGTCTGGCTAGATTCTTCTCTTTTAAGTACACATATGACTAGATTGGGCCCACCTTAATGATTATTAAATGAAAATAATCTCTCCATCTCCAAGTCCTTTTGCTTCGCAGCACCTGCAGTGTCCTTTTTGCAATGCAAGATAACATATTCACAGGCCCTGGGGATTCGGATGTAGGCATCTTATGGGAGGGGCATTATTCTGCTTATCACAGATTCCCCAATGTCGTGACAGATTGAAAAAGGACTCATTATACATAAATTAGTTTCATCCTTTTAGTTATGAAATTATATACTCTGAAGTGGACCTTCCAAAATATAAAATAGTTATAATGATTGAATTGGACTCTAATGACATAAATTTCAGGAAATGGCAGATATGAAATAAGGAGTCTCTGTTTAATAAGAAGCCAGGTTCCCAGGATTAGCATTGAGAGGATTTATTATCATTTGCAGTTTTTATCTGTTTTGTACATTTGCACAAAATAAACTGTAAGCAAATAAACTGTAAGCACCTTGAAGGAGGTAAATCGGATTCATCCTCTTTTCCCTGAAGGGTGCTGCTCCGTGCTGAGCCTCTGATTTCTTGTTCATTTGTTGATTGTTGTTACAGAGCTCTTTGATTACTAAGTAACTGCAAGAGGACTGGCCCAAGGAACACTGGGAAAAGGATCAGACTGGGTTTTCCGGCTTCAGGCTCTTTCTTCTCTCTTCTTCTCCAAGTCACATTGTCCCATCTCTCCTCCTCTGGAAGGCATGGGGAGCCTTTTGTCCTAGCAAGAGCTAAAGTTAGATTCTTCATTCATGATGCCTGGCAAAATGTGCTTTTTTTGCATTCTAATAATCATTAAAACCACCAAAAAGAGAGGCGATGAATTTCAGACGCAGTAAGAAAATAAAAGGAATTTCTTCACAATAAGAGCTTCCTTGTCGTCCCCAAATCACACTCTGCTACTCTTCCCAACACTAGAAGATGTCTCCATCTCTATGTGACCAGTGATGGAGAAGGAGTGATCTGACATGGTTTAGCAATAGCATTGAGCATAATAATCTCTATGTCTGTGTAGACTTAGTGATTAGCTGGTTAATTTATATACTTACATCTCCATCTCTTTGAGACAGAGTTTCTGACTTCTCTTACCTAACAGTACAGTGCTGATAAATAGAAACCTAGGATTAGAAAACCAGAACAAACACAGGAAAAGAAAATATGCCACAGATTAACATAGTTACTATAGTTTCTGTGATTAGTGGTCAGATTTGACCTGATGGTAACCATAGCAAAAAGACAATCATGAAAATTATTGGTTTCTCTGGCAGTGTTAGGTCAGCTCCAGACTCTTGCAGGATTTCTGACCCAATTTTTCTGCGGATCTTTCATTGACTTGGAGTACATAGCATAATATAGAGTACATGCAATATCCACAATACTTAGAAAACTCACATTTTTGGTATTCTGGTGTCCAGACCTATTTGGACCAGCATCTGAAAAGATGAATAGCTGGTCCTGAGCTGTTAGGATATACAGAAAACAAGAAGTTTGTATGGTCTTAAGCATCAAGGAGAAAGAAATTTAAGTTTAGTTCTCTAGGCCAGGGCAACAATTCATCTATACACCAGAGGATGAAAGCAGTGTCTTATTTGAGGAAAGAATAACCCAGTGTCTCTCAGATGGCCTGCCTCTGCTGCCACAGTGTTGCTGCAGTTTAGTGAAGGTTGAAAATGGGGTGATGAGGGGCAGAAAGAACCTCCCAGCTTCAGGCTCTGGATTGAAAACCAAGGCAGAAGCTCTTCAGTGGTTTGGGTGTGTCTTCCTGGTCCACTTTCTTTAGAGGAAGATACAGGTAAATTTCTTGAGTTAATGCTTACAAAGATGTAACCATTGGTTATCAGTAGAAAGGTATGAGATATTTAGAGAGTTACACTGAAATGAGAGAGAGAGAGAGAGAGAGAGATTGAGAGAGACACAGAGAGAGAAATATTAAGGAGAATAAAAGAAGCAACATATTTTGTGCTTTGAACCATTTCAGACTATAAAAATTGAATTTAGCCCATTTCTTACCTATTTGCTCATTCAGGGATAATTTCTAATAAGTGATTTGAAGAGTGTGTGTGTGTGTGCCTGTGTATGTCTTGTTTGTGTCTGTTATATCAGCATGGGATATAACCTATGGGCTCCTGTGTTGATAACATAGGAGCCATGAAGATGCTGACAGGTGAGTGAAGATTGGGGTATACTTTACTCTTAATTTTTGTTCTCCAGCCCTCATTCCACTCTTATCTGCCACCTGACCCCACATGCCACCTGAAATTACTGTCTTGAATAATCTTCATGTTTCTAAACTCAAAAGCCCCATCTTAACCTCTCTAGAGCATTTCATCATCCTCTCTTTCTCTGGGTAGCCTTTTCTATGTTTCTTTCTCAGTTAATGGCACTATCATTCCTTCTGTTATACAAATCAGAAACCCAGGAACTATCATTGACAACTGTCTCTTTCCTACACCCATATCCGTTACATCAGCAAATTTGGTCATCTTGACTCTCTCCCTCCCCACAGCCACCATCCTAGTCAAACATGTCATCATTTCTTACCTGGTCTGTGAAGTAGTTTCTTAAATATCTCCCCATATCTGCTCCTGTCTTTCTCTATTCTCTTCCCCACACAGTTACCAGATATGTACATCTGGCAATATTATTGTTTCAAAATGAAAATTGCTACCATGGCCTACAAGGACCTGTATGCCTGGTCTTGCTTTCCTCTTAAGCATCATCTTGTGCTCCGTGCTTTTTGCATTCTTGACACATGTTCTTCTTTCAGTTCCTCAGGCCTGCTAAGCACATAATTGCCACAGGGCCTTTGCACATGCTATACTCAGACTGCAATATTCTTGCCTCGTTTGTTTCACCTGGCTAGTGCTGTTTTGTTTTTAGATTTTAGTATGAGGGTCACTTCTTCATAGAAGCTCCCTCTGAGCTTTCTTACTAGGTTCTTTTCTCCTTTTATCTCTCACATAGCAACATGGTCTTCTCCTGTCAATGCCTGTCTTCTGCTAAACTGTAAGCTTCATGAGAAGAAGAATTATGTTTGTTTTTGCACCTGACACAGAGCATGCACTCAGTAACTAATTGCTGAATTAGCAAAATCCTATTTCTTCTATGAACTCTTTGTTAGTTATTTACATCTGCATGGAACTGTCCCTTTCCAAGGCCACTCTATTACGTATGAGTCTTCCTTTGTTCTCTTTCTTACTGTATTTTTGAGTTTTCTTCTAACTACATGGTAAGTTCTGTAAGGACAGATTGTAATTTCTGTGAGGAGAAGGAGCATATCTAATTCTTAAAAAAAAAAAAGTCCTCCAGAGTGCCCAGAATGCTTTTGAGCACATAGTAGGTTTTGAACCACGACTTGAAGATCAGTGTACCTTTGTTCCTATATATGTGGAAGTTCAGCCACAGTGTTTTGCACATAGCATCTCTTTTCTTGGCTTTCTCCTTCAACCACCTCAGATATGGGACAGGTTGGGGATAGATGAGAGGTGGGAGTAGAACCATTGATTTGCATCCTCTTCTCTGTGGGAGCTTTCTGGAACCTTGGAGAGGACAGGCTTAAACTCTTCACCTTTCAGATTAGGAAACTGAGCCCCAGATGGGAGAAACTCTTGCACTGCATGGGGCAGGTGTGCAGTAAATTGTACCAGGCTGAGTAACTAATTAGAAGAAAATCTGTGGTCATAACTTGGGTCCCCTGACTCCAGGCCCATTGTTCTTTGCTAGGTTGTCTCATTTAAATTTGGAGAAGAAAGATTAAGCACTCATTAATAAGATGAGGAGCACATACTGGGAATCAAAATTAATAGGGACAGGGAAAGCCATGAAGATCCTGAGGGAAAATATGGGTCTGTGGGTGAAGCCAGGAAGAGCAGGCATGGGTTATATATTTGGCTAAAACCATTATCTAGAATTTATTTTTCTTTGAAGCATATACATTCCATCTATTTTCCTTCTGTCTTACTACTTTAATCTTCATTTATAGAATAATTATACATTAAAACATGCCTTTACAAATATCCTTTCCCTCTTGCCTCTTTTTATCTTTTTTATATTTTTATTATACAAGCTCTAAGTTGTGGCCCCACTGGGTATTATAGTCTGTAACTGCGAATGGTAGTGTGTGTGGCTTAGTTTATGTTCAGACACAAATCTAGTTGTGTTGTTTTCCCAGCCCGTCTATGCCTTTCCTTTTCCTAGGTACCAGATGTCATTTTCTTTGTATGCCTGTGCGCGCACACACACACACACACACATACCTGAGTGTGCATAAACAAAGATTAAATTGAAGTGAAATACTGTGACATATGGTACCTGAAAAATCAGAGTCTCAGTAGCAGATCCGTAATCAAGGGTGCAGATGTTTGGCATTTGACAAATGAAATTTTTTATGTAAAACTGTTTTAGTACATTAAGTCAAAAGATGGAAAATTAGCTGCATACCATAATGAACATTTTCTTCCATTGAAAAGGAATAAAATGAGAAAATTAACCAAACAAATAAGTTAGGCCCCCAGTGATCCTATGTTTTTCCAAGTACTCAGATTTCATTTTTATTGCCTCTTGGGGGTTCTTTTCTTCTGCCTTCATTATTCAGTTTACTACACAGATAGTGTGTTAAGGTGTTCTAAGTTTCATTAACCTTAAAGTATTTGGAAATAGATTTTCATGGGGATACTGTAATGTTTTCTTTCTCCAATGCTGAATTTTATTGTAAATGTATTTTCTTCTTCTCTCTATCCTTTCAGACTTTTGTTTCCCATTTTATCTTAGTTTCTAAAACATCTTGTCTCTTCTAAACACCTTTACTTAGCTATTTCAAATGGGTATCAGCCTATTTTTCAAATGTTTCATTGTCTGTATCATTGTCATTAAATTCAGTTCCATATACAATTTGGCATTTAGTTATGCCCTGTCGAAATTGCTTTTTGCTTAGTGCGTGCTATTATTTTACTCCACCTTGATTGTAAATTCCTTAAAATTAGGAGTTTGATCTTGGGATAAGTGATCCATAAATCCCCCTTGATTCCTTTTGGACTGTTTTTAGAAAAGGAAGCAGTCATACTGCTTAGCAGAAAATGACATATGTGGATCAATTATAAATACATAAAATGATAATCAACTAGTAATTGCTATCAATAAACTGATTTGGCATTTCTTCTCAATCTTTTGGAACTATGCCACCTGTTTCCTAGTTTGCCTTCTTTGTTTGGTGGTCTGGAGTTCTCGGCCTGTAGAATCTTTTTTTTTTTTTTTTTAGCCATATTCAATTTTCCAATGGGATTTTCATCCTCTTTTCATCAGAAACAACTCAAAATTATATTTCCTAACAGTATTTTTACATTAAAGACAAATATGGATCTCAGTTAAAGATTAAAAATAACATACATATTTAGTACTTAATATTTGTATAATATTCTCCTTCATCTCTTTATTTGACCCATATAACCTAATCCTAGGCAGGCATTTATATTTTGGTTTATGAATGAGAAAACAGGATAAATGATCAGGCAAAGCCCATATAGCTGTTGAATAGCAGAGCTTGAGTTCCAACCTAATCATCTGGCTTCAGATTTTTGGGCCTCCCAGAGGCATTGTGTCTTTGGTAGAATAGCTAACCTTTAAGTACACACTATTGTGTTTGATGCACTGTGTAAAGAGGTATTCTCCAAAATGCACAACAAGGCCATTTCTCTATGGCAAAGACATAACTGTTACAATGTTTTGCCTAGTGACATAGACTTGTGCAAAAAGACATGGACATCACCTGTTGGTGGATGTGCCAAAGGCTGGTGTCCCAAAAGAGAAATGCCCAGTGTTAGAGTTGAATGGTTTTAGATGCTTTCGAAAGAAACTTAAGGCCCTACCAAATATCATCCTTTGAGGATATACTCCTTGGTCTTGGCAAATGAGCCTAGGTATACAATCTTCCTTTTCTTTCCTAGCCCACTTATATAAGGCTTATCCTTCCTTTAAGCCCAGCGCAGTCCTTCTGTATGGGCCTTTTCTATGTTGCTCAGGATACTGAGATATCTTGCTTTTAGGAAACTCCTGTAATAATTGTCCTGCTCATTTGGCACCTAGCAAATGTATTAGCTTAATTTCATTATAAATGTTTTGCTTCCTCAACTGAATTTAAAGGCTGTTGAGGCTGGAACCATGCTTGTGCATTTTGTATTAGCAATTTGACCATAGTACCTTATACCCAGTAGGCTATAATAAGTACTGGTTGAGATGGTTATTAGGGTTTTCCAGAAAGAACAGAATCAATAGGATATACATCCTATTGTGTGTGTGTGTGTGTGTGTGTGTGTATACACACACACATATATACAATTGTGTGAGATACATATATCTCACACAGTTATGGAGGATGAGAAGTCCCATGATATGCCATCTGCAAGCTGGAGAGCTGGAAAAGCTGGTGGTGTAGTTCCAACTGAGTTTGAAGGCCTGAGAACCAGGGGGGTGGATGGTTTAAGTCTCAGTCTGAGGACAGGAGAAGACTGATGTCCCAGCTTATGCATTCAGTCAGAAGGGACAAATTCCTTCTTCTGCCTTTTCTTCTATTCAAGACCTAATGGTTAGGTTGATGCCCACCCACATTGCAGAAGCCTATCTACTTTACTAAATTCACTGATGTAAATGCTAATTTTATCCAGACACACTCAGAAATCATGTCTACACTGGGCACCCAATCTCCCAGTGAAATTGACACATAAAATTAATCATCACAACATGGAGCTGTCCCCAGTGGTCCTCATCACTTTGCCACTGGCTATCCCAGTCTCCAGTCATTAATACAACTTAAAAGAATACAGAGATCATTTGTTTTGCATATAGCATATAACAAGAACTATGCTGGTCCAGATGGTATCAATATCCCCATTTTATAGTTAAGACACTGAATCTCAAAGTAACTTGCCTGAAGTTACCAAGTAGGTGGCCGACTTGGGATGCATTCTTTCTTCTACCACTCTTGAAGCCTGGCCAGTATTCATCCTCTAGTTATACTTTATCTCACTCTTACGTTTGCTTTACACCTGAGAATATTGGTAGCTAGACAACAATTTGTGGATTTTCCTGATGAAACCATCACTCTTCTACTGATCTCTTAATAGACTTTATTTGTGTTGGGTGATTATCATATTGGTAGAAATTCATACTCTAATAAGTTTAAAAGGAGAGGGGAATTGGCTGGGTGTGGTGGCTCACGTCTGTAATGCCAGCACTTTGGGAGGCCGAGGTGGGCGGATCACGAGGTCAGGAGATCAAGACCATCCTGGATAACATGGTGAAACCCCGTCTCTACTAAAAATACCAAAAATTAGCTGGGCATGGTGGCGGGTGCCTGTAGTCCCAGCTACTCGGGAGGCTGAGGCAGGAGAATGGTGTTAACCTGGGAGGTGGAGCTCGCAGGAGCTGAGATAGTGCCACTGCAGTCTGGCCTCGGCGAAAGAGCGAGACTCCGTCTCAAAAAAAAAAAAAAAAAAAAAAAGAGAGAGAGAGAGGGCAATTATATGCATAGATCTTGATTATTTTCTATTTTTTTTTTTTTTGCAATTAACTGTTTGGTACTTTTAATGACCAATCTCTTTCCTTTTTAGATTTAAGGCAATAATTAGAGCTAATCTCTGCTGGGCGAACTATGAAGGGTCAAGTGTGGGTCATATAATTCAAAGAGGTTTGTAATGAATATAGTTAGAAATATCCTACTTTGTGATTTTACTTTTGTGTATTCAAAGTCACATTTCTGACAACTACTGATTTGGAGCCTAGTTTATAGAAGGGGGTGTTTTTCACTCAGGCAAAGTGCAAAAGGTCAAGTAGAATAATTTAGACCATCATTAAGCGTCTTTCTTTCTCATATGTCATAGGTCTCCTTGCTCAGCCTTTGATGAGGGGAAGAAGATGAAAAAGGTTTGATCCAATGAGGGAAGTTTTTTGAGATGTGGATAATCACTTCATAAAAATTGTAAAATTCACTAATTAATAAAAATATTCACTAAAAGTTTCACTCATCTAAAATGCATGGCATGGCCTCCAAATCCCCATAGATTTTTTTTGAGATTAATTCCTGGAATTTTAGAGTTTAATAGTTTAGCCAGAACTCTTATCAGAACCTTTTCCTGCTAGAGAAGTTGTTCCCGTGACTAATATGTAGCTAGTACACAGCAGTATGATGATATATCATGTCAAAATATTGAAATATTTCCATGTTGTTTGGTAAATGACACTGCCCTGACTTGCTGAAACTTCTCACAATCCAAGAGCTAAAAGGTTAATGTCTAGTACACTAGAGGCCAGAGAGGACCCAGCCCCTGGTCAGCATCTATCCTGTTGGTGGTGAAGTGTTTTAAATATCACCGTTGGTTGTTCTTGCACAGTCTTTCTGCCATAGAACACACTCACAGCCACAGTGGCTATGGTCCTTTGCTGCTCTTTGTCAACCTGAGAGTTGACTTTTGAATGCTGACAGACGTTGCTGTAATAGAAAATTAGTGGTAGAGTCTTCTCAGTTGTAGATACAATGCCTTAAAAATATGCCATATATCTAGGTAAAAGTGAATGGACAAATCTAAGTTTTGCTTCCTTATTTTGTTACTACTGTTGTTTCCCAAGGAAAGCCATGTAGGTTGACTGTGACCCTGTGACATATTTGTGGAGTTCTCAGCATCTCGGTGTCAGAGTTTTATGCTGGAAATGTCTAGGACTAGGGGTATAGTGTTAGTATCTGTGATTGTAGATGGAAATACATTCTATAAATTGTGAAATGCTTTGACTCCAGGATTTTTTAAAAGAAGATGATTTTATGAGGTTAATGATACAACTCCAATAGTAGTAATTGCAGTAGAGCACAACAGTTAGCACTGTTTGGACAGCTGCTACTTACCACTCAGTTTTATATGGACAATTGACCTCTAGAAAATACCAAATAGATACTAATAAATCTACTAATAAATCTATGTTATCTTCTGTATTTTAGGTAACAATAGAATGGTTTAAATAATTAATGAAATAAGGTTGGATGTAAATGTTCAAATGTCCCCATTGTCTTTTTTTCCCTCATAAAACCAGTGAGAGAGGTCCTACTGTGTATTTTACAAAGACGAATTGGCTTGATAGCAGCCATATTATTTTGAATAGTGGAGCCAAAGCTGAGACTTAGATTTGCCTCCAGAGCCAACACGCAACTCTGATCACACCTACTCTGATACTGGGGCATCTTCTAATTATCAGGACTCTATTTCTATACAAAGCTTAATATTTTAAGTAACGGACTTTTAAAGTTACAGAAAACTGACAGGTCATACAACAAAACATAACAAGAACACCTCTTTAAATTGAAAAAAGAAGACTAAATTTGTTGTGTTTTCATACCATAAAGTGAGTGAAAAGTAGGATGATATTTGAGCTCTTTAATTGAGTCCAGGTGTAACTCTCTCATGACTGCTAAGCCATTTTTTCTTAGTTATTGAAATAAGGTTATTAACATTAGCTTGCCTCATAGGAGATGTTATGGAGTGTTGACAAACTTTTAAATTAGCAATATTGATGATGCAAAGTATCATGATATAGAATGTGAATTCATTATATTTTTTAGTTGTGAGGAGGCTCTGATTGTAACATCTTTTGCCTCATGCATGTCAGGAGTAGATTAGACTCTTCAGCAAGCTGACTTTTATACCCATACTCCCTCTACACTCTGTGGGAAACCTTTTGAATTATATATTTCGTCTTTGCGGGGAGTAACCCTTTGTTTTAGCATCTTCATTCTATGTTGTAAAGAATACCTAAAATAACTCTTGTACTTCAGTTTCCTCACAAAGTGGAGAAATGAAAGATTAATATATATTAGTCCTTTCTGAAAATATGCCATACTTCCTGAATTCCATGGCCCAAGAAGAGAAACTGGTACACATTTGAGTTGTTAGATAAAGGACTGAATCTATCCCTGATAATGATGAAAGAACACAGGGGTTTGAGTTGCATAAAGACAGAGAAAATGACTGAGAATTAATGTCTGTTTATTTTTGCTTTCGGGGAAGAAATTAAACTAGTCTCATCAAAGTTATTTAGGAAGTTTGCGACTACTCTTTAATCTTTGTTTCCGAAAACAGCAGACTGCATTATTAGAAAGGAGATCATTGCGTGTGGGAAGAACATGCAGCTGTTGTCTGTTTTCAAATATGAAATTAAAGAATTTGAAGTTAATTTCAGAGCTAAAGAAAACTGCTAGTCAAAACAGTGTAAGCCATTTTGGAAATATTATTGTATTATTTAACACATATTTATTCAAAAAGTGTGTATGTGAGCTGCAATGCAAACGTCTTATGGATGTAATCGCACATGAAAATGTCACTAATGCTGAGCTCCAACTACAAATTGAACAACTGGACCTGAGGGTGTTAATTTGGTCTCTTTGTTTCAGATGGTCCATACTCAGCTGTTTCCATACTTGAGAAGAGAGAGCCTTTTTTCATCTTCACTGTCAGGAGGTCCATATGCATGCAGTATTTTAATTTCATATTGTCTAGTCCTGTGGCTAGCAGGGATGAGATTTATTAGTGTGTGTACATTCACTTTTTGTATATATTGTATTAATTGGTAAAGCCACCTTGCGACCTAACATCCTCCTAGGGAGCTTAGCACCTCACTGGCTGTCCTTTCTCCATCACCTTTCTAGATCCCCATGCTATGTTGACCTTTGAGTTTTAGAGTGCTCCAGGGCTCAATTCTTGGACTACTCCACTTATCTAACTATATCACCTCTTAGGTGATTTCTTCCAGTCCTATGGCTGTAAATGCCATCTACATGCTAAAGATGTTTATATTTTTCTTTCTAGTCTCAGTAACTCCTGAGCTTCAGGCTTTTGTGTCTGCCATCTAGTGTATATCTCTCCTTGGATGTCTAAAGTCATCTCAAAACTAACACACCTAAAATGATGGGTATTAATTTCTGTTGCTCACACCCCTCCATGATCTAGCTCCTCTCTTGTCTTCCCCATCTTCCCCATCTTTACCCAGTTGCCAGGCCAAAAACCTGAGAATTATTCTTGAACTTTCTCATTCATTTCATATTCAACCCATTAGCAAGTCCTGTCAGCTATACTTTCAAAATATATTCCACATATATCTCCAGATTAATCCCAGCAGGTCACTGCTATCTTCCTAGGTTGGATTGGCTTCATCTTTCCCAAAGATCTCTCTGTGTCCACTCTTAACCTGGCGGGTCTGTATTCGATCCTCTATATTCATCATGAATCATCAAAAATATAAAGCTCTTCTTGTCATCCCCTGTCTTCCAAGGGCTTTTCTTCCTACTTGGAATTAAATCTCAAGTCCTTACTATGGCCTGTAAGATCTGCCAGGGTCTGGCCATTGCCTGTGGCTCTTTATTTATTTTCTACCACTCTCCTTCTGCACTTACCTCATTCACTCTGCTCTAGCCATAGCCTCCCTTCTGGCCAACTAACTTTCCATCTCAGGGCCTCTGTTCCCTCTGCTTATAATTCTCCTCACCCAGATACATGCATGACATATTCCCCCTCCTCATTCACAAATCTGTGCTCTTCCTCCAGATAGCTGCAAGGCTTCCTTCCTCATGTCATTCAGAGTGACTGCTCTGTCTAAAATAGCAACTCTGCCACTCTCTATTCCTGCTTAATATTTTATAGCACTTCTCATTACCTGAAGTAATATTGGTTATTTCACTTGTTTATTCATTGTCTGTCTCCTTGGCAAGTGTGGAAGCTCCATTTGGACGTGGCATTGTGTGTGTTATTCATCACTGTCTCTAGAAACAGCATCTAGAATATGGTGATGAATGAATGACTCAATGATGGAATTACATTCATCTTTTTTTCCTTGATATCCTTACCCATCCTCTAATTTTCATCTTTGATGGTTTAAGTCATTTCTTTATATATCCTCCTACCTTGCAATTAATATTCAACAATATCCTGGTCCTTTTAGAATGGAGGAGCATCTCATTTAAGAGGCAGTCAAAATGCATAATGGGTTCAGGCATAGGACCTGGAAAGAGACAGACCTGAGTTACATTCTGGCTGTCTAGTTACTAACTTTGTGATTTTTGGACAATTTGCTTCATTCTCTTGACCTCATTTTCCTATGCTATTATCACACCTGTATGTTTTTTATAAAGCATAAGTAAAATCATACATGTAGAGCTCTTGGTTTAGAATTAATGCTCAAGTATGATACCTGTTATTATTGCCTTTGATCCTAAAGAGTTGTGTAAACTAATTTTTTGTGATTAAATCATCGATTAACAAGTGACCACATTTGTTTTTTTTGTTTGATGCTCTGGATGTGATCCCTGCTTTTCTTAAGATCTGCTTCCTTGGATTGGGATTATAAATTGGGTATAGAGGGAAGGAGGAGGGGAGAGTTTGCTTGGCTATTCTTAAATGAGATGAGTCATATTTTGGGCTTAGGGATACTAAGGGCAGAGTTCCCCTTTCATCATTTAAATATGTAGTAAGGTCAATATTTAAACCACTCCAAATGAAGCTGTATAATAAAAGTAGCTTCTGTAGTTTCTATAACTGATTTCATCTTAATTGCAAGCCTCACTCTACTGGGTACTAGAGCTTGGGGGAACATAACCTTTCAAATTAAGGGTATGCCAGTCTTTCTTGGTTAAACAAGTTATATTTTGGTCATTTAATTTTTCGCTTTTACATATTCAGCTTTTCTATGTTCCTCTGCCTTCCCCATCCTCCCTTTCAAAATGAGGTTATTGAGTTAAGAGGAACCTATGGGGCTGACACACTGACTTCTGGGTCTTTCTTGGCATCTGACTGGGGGTGGCCATTTTGATCTGACCCTGAGGGTCTGGCACTGTACTTGCAGAGGTGTTCAGACCTGATTTGCATGTGCTTTGGGTACCATACTGGCACTCAATGATAAAATATGTTTTTTCCCCAAGTATAAAATCATCATTTCCTGCCTGAAGTCTCTACTTGTGCAGCTGCCTTGCTCTGTGAGCATGGGTTTCCTTAGTTTTCTTCATTCTCTCAGCTCCTGGAAAGCCGTGGATGGTGAAGGAGGATATTAGGACCTCTCAGGTGCTTTAGCTTCACCATGCTGGACATTTATAGTTCAAGTGAGAGAATGCTTTAGTCCACTAACCTAGAAATGTTTGTAATTTATGTATAAACTACCCTTGAGACACTGTCATGTTGTTCTCATGCCATATAGGACAAAGGAATTGACAAGGGAGCTTGCAGATTTTCCTAGACTATGCTTTGAGGAGCAAAGATCAAGCATGCCTCACACTAGAGTTTCCTCATACACTTGAGGGTATGCACCACACCTACCTCCTTTCTACTGCCTGAGGGTCACCCCTGGCTGGGAATATACTCCTTCTAACTCATGTTTCTCCCTTTCTGTCTCCAGCCTCTGCTAATGAGAAATGGAAGAACTGTTTTTCCTGTCTGGTAGGAACTTCTTATCCTCCATCCTCAATACACTATGGCTTATAGTAAAACTCTGTGATCAGAGTTCAACATGGTTAGTTTTGATATAGAAATAGGGAATTTGTAGTAATAATAATAAAATCTCAGAATCTTTTTCTTTAGCTACAAATTCTGACCTTTAATATTATTGTTTCACTATATACTCATTAATTTTAGTCTTTGAGACTCAGAGTCTGGCATTGACCTTCTTCCTTTAGGCAGAGCCCCTCCTCTCCATCCTAGGAGACACTTGACCTGCACAATGGAGGGTATAAAGGGAAAAAACTTTCAAAAAAATGATCAATGCCTCTCTTTAACCTATTGATCACATTATTGTCTTGACATGTTTTATTTTTTCTTCTTCCTTTTTTTTCTGCTGGTTTGGTGCTGCCTGATGGTCATTTAGATCTTGTTGTTTATGTTGGTCTTGCTAATTCATGATTTTTTAAATCAAAGAAATTAGTCATAGACAAAGGCATGTACTTAAGTTGAGTCAATGAGCTTCAAAATGGTATCTTTTACACACAATTTCAAGTTTATGCATTCAGTAAGCATTTATTGAGTACCAGCTATATGCCTGACATTGTATCATTGTCTGGGGATATTAAGTTGGAATGACATGGATTTTTGCCTTAAAACCCAGTTTAGTAAAGGAAATAGATAGAAAAATAAGTACAAGGCAGATTGATAGCATATAACTGAGTATGCAAAAGAGTATCAAAAAAGAGGCTGAGCGTGGTGGCTCACACCTGTAATCCCAGCACTTTGGGAGGCTGAGGCGGGCAGATCACCTGAGGTTAGGAATTTGAGACCAGCCTGGCCAACATGGTGAAATCCTGTGTCTACTAAAAATACAAAAATTAGCCAGGAGTGGTGGTGCATGCCTGTAGTCCCAGCTACTCAGGAGGCTGAGGCAGGAGAATCACTTGAACCCTGGAGGTGGAGGTTGCAGTGAGCTGAGATTGCGCCATTGCACTCCAGCCTGGGTGACAAGAGCAAAACTCTGTCTCAAAAATAAATAAATAAAAAAGAATATTGAGAAAGAAATCGCCAGTTCTCTTGGGTAGTTGCAGAGCATGTCAGGGTTCCCACTGAGTTGGAAGTTGGAGAACAGCTTGCTAGGCAGGCAGAAGAGGAGCAGCACAAGCAAAGGCATTGAAGCAAACCTGGTGTGTTATCTAAAATCACCTCTGTGTTTGGGGCATTGGAAGTTCGAAGGATTGGCAGAATATAAGACTGTCAAAGTAAACAGGTCCAGATCAACAAAGGCTTTGAATGTCTTGATAAAGAGCTTGAACTTTATCCTAAAGATGGGGGTCACTGGAGAATTTGAAACACAGGAGGGGTATGATCCAAGTTATATTCCAGGGAACTTGCTCTGGATGGTATATGGAGAAGTGATTGGAAGGGAATAAGCCTGCTGGAAACCCAATGGAAAAAGATGATAGGGGAAAAAGAAAAATTAAGTCAAGGGGCATGCAGTAAGTAGAGTGACAGAACAAGAAATTAGGGCTGTGGGAAATGAGGGGGAAAATATGGAATGATTCCAGATTTTTTGGTTTGATTGGATAGTTGGTGGTGCTACCAAAGGAGAGGGAATATATTTAATATCAAGAAGAGCTTCCTATACTATCATCAGTGAGGCTAGCATTTATTGTTCACTTGCTGTGTGCTGAGTCCTTTGTATTCATTACTCCTAGGCAATTCTTCTAACAGCCCTATGAGGTAAGAATTTCAAACCCCATTTTACATACCAGTAACTGGAACTCCAAGGGGATATAGATACCTTGGCCAAAGTTTTACAGTGGGAAATATCAGAACTAAGACTTGAACCCATCTGTCTGACTCCGTAGTGTGCTTAAAAATATATTTTACTTGTTTACACTTAATGTTTAATATATTCAGTTTTAAAGGTAATGCACATTTGTTATGGAAATGAAAAAAGACCGGGCGCAGTGGCTCATGACGGTAATCCCAGCACTTTGGGAGGCTGAGGCAGGCGGATCACAATGTCAAGAGATTGAGACCATCCTGGCCAACATGGTGAAACTCCATCTCCACTAAAAATACAAAAAAAAATAGCTGGACATGGTGGTGTGCACCTACAGTCCCAGCTACTCGGGAGGGTGAGGCAGGAGAGTCACTTGAACCTGGGAGGTGGAGGTTGCAGTGAGCCGAGATTGCGCCACTGCACTCCAGCCTGGTGACAGAGCAAGACTCCATCAAAAAAAAAAAAAAAAAAAGAGGAAAAGAAAAAGAAATGATAAAAATACCTAAAAGCAGGAATAGGAGAAATTATTGTTCAGCGTATTATAACACAAAAAGCTGATTCTTGGCTTTATTTTGCTGGGTGAACTTCCTGGTGGGGATGCAGGAGTTTGAGACACCTACAAGAATACACAGCTGGGTGTATCTTCTAGATGGTTGCTTACGAATCTGGATCTCAGACTAGCAGTCAGAGCTAGAGACACATATTTGGGAAAAGTCAGTAGATGGGTGGTAGGTAAATTGTAAAATTAAAGAAAAGAAAACCAAACTTTTCTTAATTATTGCAGCTGTATGTATCCTGACCTTCTGCAAAGAAAATAAAAATATGCTTATTTTTTCTGAAGAAATGAAGGGATCAGTTCATGCAAGCAGATGTGTATGGAATGTCATACCTACTATCATGATAGCAAACTTTGTCTCCATGACACTCTGAGGCAGCTACGTCTGTGGAAGCATGAATTTGTCAAATGAAAGGATTTAAGGACAACTGTTTTTAAAGAACATCTTGCACTCTTGCATTATCACTTCCTTTTTCATCTGAATGATTTCTGTGTTCTTGGGAAAATACTAGCATTTCTCATTGTTAACTTGGAAAAAAAGAACTGCGCTGGGTTATTTTATAGGTGTCAAAAGCTACACAGGAAGTAGAGAAGCCAAAGAAGTACTAACAGTGTGAAACAGTTTGTGTTCTTTGTTCCTTGTCCAAAAATAATTGATTCATTAATCTCAGCTATATCAATCTGGCCCCATTATGAGGGTCAAAGACAGGTTAATTCTAATAAGTTGATGAGTATCAGTTCACAGATAAGGCATGCATTTAACAGATATTATCTTAGCAAGAAAGCAATAATTAGAAAAGTTATTCAGTGAGGTGATTTCAGGGAAAACAGGATAATAAAACCCCTAGTTTCTATCTCAGGGTTATTAGGAGAATAAAAACTGAGCTATGTTCCTAAAATTGACATTTGGAAGTAAAGCACAAGGTAAACTTGTCTCCTCTTTGAGAAGAACCTTTTTTTGAAAATAATAAAACACTTTCACTAAGGGAGCAATAATTTCACCCAAATCACAGAACAGTTGGGGTGAAGAATTATGGGAATTCAACCTTAGGTTGCTTTGGCTTTGATTCCTGAACCCATTACTTCATTATCTGACTTTGAGCAAATAACTTAATCTTTATAGATCTCTGTTTCTTTCTCTATGAAGTGGGATGAGAATCTATTTCTCAGATTTGTTTTAGGAATTGAACAAGAATATGCAGGTGAAAACATGAAGCACAGTCTTTCATGTACTTTAATTGTTCAATAAATGTTCTTTCCTTGCCCCTTCTGAATAATGTACTCTAATCAGGTACTGACTGGCATGGTCTCCCTTTCCAGAAGAATGTTATTGTAATTTTGAATTTGAGCAAAATAACCAAAATAACTGTTCACTCGTATCGAGTGGTTTCATTTTTTTTTTTTTTTTTTGCTTCCTTCCTTTGCTTCCAAATACGGCATTGCTTTTTCTTTCGTGAAACTTAACAGATTTAAGAGCACTGTTTATACTTCTATTGTCGAGGGTAATCATTCATTGGAAGTAAGGCAATGTCCCATTGTTACAGTTATTGGTGTCTATTGGGAGAAAAGTTAGAATTTTATTAAGTCTGTTCAAACATTACATTTCTTACACTTCCCAAGAGGCATCCTGGCTTATGTAAATTTCTCTCTGATGATACTTATATTAACATGCTTATCCCTCATAATGGAATCGTATTCGTGAATGTCCATTGTTCTTTTCTCCTGCATCATAACCATCACCACATGCATAGGGAAGCCATTAAAATGGAGAAAAAAATATTACATAAAACTTTTTTACCATTCAAGAGAAGAGTACAGGAATGAGAATCTAGTTTATGTCTTGTACTTTCTTAGGGGTGGAATCTGATAAATAAGACAGAGATATTGCCACACTCCGATGGAAGAGACAGGCATGTGTAGAACCAACAGTGAGCTCAGTGTGGTACTGGTGGCTTGCATCTACTTTTACTGATATCTACAGCTGATCCATGTGCAGTCACTTGTTACCTGATTTGCAGGTAAATGGTACATATTTTAGTTAGGATGTTTCTCTGTACTGAGTAGGCAAAGAAGGGTCCCAAATATAGTGCCCTGACAGTTTTGGGGTGGCTGCTTCTCTGATGTGTTGTCATATGGTGGGGTTCTGGGGGTACTCCTTGTTCTCCTAGGAACACAGAATCCTTTGAACACTATGGATTTATTCCAGTTTACATAATTCCATGATCCAACAGTTATTCACTGTACCCAGCTCTGGGGGCAGTGTATACCATCACACTTAAGAATCATCCACAGGGATTTCAAACTATACTCTGAGAGGCCAGAGGCCTCTCTCAGACTGAAAGCAATGTTCTTCCAACCCCCTTTAGGCAGAGCTTTGTGATTTTGATCTTTTTCAGATGTTGGGCCTGTACATGTGGTTTTGATTCTGATAAAGTTTTATTAGTCGGGATCCAGTCAGGTATACCAAAATTATTCTAGAGACCTAAATAGAGAGAATTTAACACAGGGGTTAACGTAGGTGTTGGAAGAGTGGAGAAGCCAATCAGTGGACAATGTGGTAACTATGAGGCAACAGCTGAAAGCTACCAGCATTCCTAAATCCAGAGGAACAAGGGAGGGAGAAGTGTTGCAAAAGCTTAGGAACTGGGGCCACTTGGTGGAAGCTGGAATTACAGCTGTCCTGCATATTGGATGCTGCATCTGTATCTACCTAGGGCAAGATTTTTCAGCAAAAGCTGGCACCAAGGAGGAGAGGCCACCCAAAACAGAGAGAGAGAGAGAGAGAGAGAGAGAGAGAGACAGAGAGATCGGTTTTCTGGTTTCTCCTTTTCTTTTGTTCTCCAACCTCCTTTCATTGTCTCCTGATGACCAAGCCTAGCAAGGGAATTGGAAACTCATGAAAGGTAATTTGGAGAAGGGCTAAGATTGGATCTGAGCACACATAGGTGATGACTATTGAGGCAGACGTGGAGATGGAGATGAGCTCTCCTTCAGGAAGGAAGCAGCAGTGTGGTTAGACAGCCTCCAACTGTCAGCTCTTTCAATCTGTCTTAGCTACAGAGAGCTTGCTTGCCTGAGGTCATGCCCAGTTCAGGGCAGCCCACAGCTGGAGAGGTAGGAGAACATGTAAAGGCCTAGCCATCAGAGTGCAAGGTGGTATAGCTCTTAATAAGCAATATTCTCTCCAAAGCTCTAAGCTAGGTTTGCCAACACTTTAACAAGCCTGAATTGCACTTCACTTTCTTTTTCTGCTCACTTCACCCTTCTTCCTTTCATATGTGTTGATACCTAGTAAATGTCTTGTGCTCCAAACGCCATTTGCATCTGCTTCTAGATAACTGGAAGTTGGAGAGAGACTTATTAACTCAAACCTTGGACATGATCCAGGGCAGAGGGAGAAAAGAACATGCTTTGGATCTGGGAGGGCCAACAGGATTGTAATTCTCTAGAGATGTTGTGAAGCCTCAGAAAAGGGAGAGACTGTTGTGCATTGGAGCATCTGGGCACATTCCTATGGAGGAGGTGAAAGGATTGGAAGATATGAATAGCGTAGCGGTAAAGGGAGGCTTCTGGAAGACATGAAGAGCTCAATCAAAGGGTAACAGTGGGCATTATTATGCTTAGTGCAAAAGGCAGTGCAAGAATTTAGGACCTGGCCTTGATACTAAATTCTGCTTCAGGGAAGGATGAGAAGCCGTGATAAGCAAAAGAAGTTTTTCTTTTTAACTTTGCAGCATCTGGGGAAACATATTTCACAGTGTGGCAGAAAGAGGTGTGCAGATTTTAAATAAGCTTTCTAACAAGATTTTGTACCCTGGTTTGTTTATGTATTTATTTTGCCCCATAAAACATTTAATCATAAGAGCATAACTGAGGCAGGTACAAGTCATTGTTTAAATATAAATTCTTTTCATTTTGGGGGTTTCATATGAGAAAGGAAGAACATCAGAAAGGCACTGTTATGTAAGCAATTACAGGCTGGAATGTTGTGCTAACCTATTATGAACTTTGGTTTAGGAGAGGAGTGGCGGTAGTATACTAAGGCAAGATGTGCTTGTTTGTTTCTTCTAGATTAGATTTAAGTAGTCTGTAAGCATGAACTTGAAGAGAGAGGTTATTCCTCATTCCTCATCACAACTTATTCCTGAACATTTGGAAACTGAAATTAGAAGTTTCCACTGATTTCTTGAGATATGATATAGCTCCCACAGTATGTTGTTTATACAAAAGGGGTATTGGGATCATTCCCGTGACTGGCCATGGTGTGGATGGACTGATGAGGGGCTCTGGTGAGCACAGGGGGTAGTCGGTCATCTTCCTGTCACTGTCCCTCATCTTGGCTGAGGGATGACTCCTTAGACTTCCCAAGACGAGCAAGGGATTTTCTATTTGTATTAATGATGGATGCTTAACCCCAGGGGTTGAATCAAGGGTGGGGTGTGGAGTCTTCCAGATAAAATGAGGTCTTTGTTGCATTTTCCATGGCAACATCCACAGCAATTTGGCTTGAGAGTTTGGGGTTCCTGAGTCACTGCCTCTTCTGTCTCCTTGGTTATCACACTCATACCCTGGGTTATCGTACCCTGGGTTGGGTAACTAAGGAGACACCAGGTACTGAGCAGATGTCTTGAAGCCACTCTTAAGATTACCTTTCATGCTTAGTGTTGTGTGGGAAAGGAGTCATAACTAGGAAATGTGATCATTTTGTTCATTAAAGAAATGAAAACACTTTCTGCTACAGTAATTTGATAATAAAATTTATATATTATGAGAAGCAGGAGCAACACCCCAGTACCTGCCTGATTTTCTTTAGGTATGAAGCTAATACTAAATAATTAACATAAGAATCGTTTATGGATGCCCTAATTTTATTGAAAAGCACTCTGTGATTCCATTTTAACCTTACTTAGTAATTCATACAGAGTGCAGGCAACATGGGCATTATTATAATTATACATTGAAAATTGCCCTACTAGGATATAACTTTTTTACTTGTATAATGTAGAATTCAGCAGGAATATGACCAGAGCTTGGTAGGTGCAGAAGAAAATCACCCACTGAAGCACTGTATGGGTTTTACGATACACAGATTTCCATATTACCTTTAGGACAGCATTAGGATTTACTAGCAACTCTATTTCCTAGGACTCTATTGATATGCAATAAATATCAATAATAAAAATAGTGATGAAAAGTTGAGACTTCATCTTTTATATATTCTCCTGGGTCTGTGTGTAATCATATGGGTTATTTAGAGTTTATGTAAAGCTTAGTTCTGGCCACAGGAGAAACATTTGAAAAATCTTTCATTGAATATAATTTTTCTATTTTTTTTCCAATCTAGAAGACTTTTACAGCTGAATTAAAGGTGGGAATGAAGATGCCTTGTGAACACATCTTCATTTGGATGGAAATAGTAAATGGAATTGCTTTGATTTGGAATAAACGTCCGGAAAGGAAGCCTTCTACCCCACTTAGAGAGGACTCTGTTACTGGCCGAGGGGCCAGTATTGCTAATAAAGTCAGGGAGAAGTGGGAATAAATGCAGAATGAGAAAATCAGATTTGGTCAATAGGATCTCAGAGTGGTGGACTTTCCATGATGGAAGTGAATATGCATTAAGGATTACTTGATTTTAGTTTTATCTAGAACACTCTGGAAAGCAGTTCTTAGAATCGGGAATCCTCTTTCTATTTGGATAGGATTACAGGCTCAGAGGGGAAAGGATATTTTGGAAAGTTTGGGGGTGATTTCTGTCTCATGGAGCAAAGATTATGGGTATTCCTGGGAGGGGCCCCATGGCTTTCTGATAAAGTCCTTAGTGCCCAGTTTAGAAAAAGCTGACTATATATCTGGATTTTTTCATAGACAGAATCTATTTCTTTTAAGATACTTCTTTGTGGCAACCTTGGATAAGAGTTGTATGACTGCATATGATTGCTGGCTGATTCTCTATAGGGACACAGAATCCCTTTGCTTGACAGGGTCTTTCTGTCAGCGCCCACCAAGGCAGTCTACCTACATCCCACCCTTCAAAAGCAGGTCAAAAAGCATGTAAGCAGAACTTTGTCTTTTGAGATTCTTGCCTTTAATGTTTACCTTACACATTGGCAGGATACTTTCTCTACTTCAGGCTTCTATTTAGTTTGAATGAATATATCAGAAGCACAGGGTGTGGAATTCTAAAACCATGCAGCCCAGCTTAGCCTTATTCCTCCCTTCTTATGAGAAAACATTTGCCAAGATTCCAGTGTGCATTTAAAGGTTCCCCTCACACCATACTGGGTTGTCTCTCACTGTGGGGGTGGAAGGGACTTAAAAGATCATCATATGGAATCTGCTATCTGTTTTGAAGCACTTTCTGCAAATACAGAGACCATTATTTGTAGCATCAAAGATGTAAGAGATCTTAGAGGTCTTCTAATCCAGGTTTCTCATACAGTGCACAATTCCTGTACAACATTGTACAGTGCTTCTCTGTCAAATGTGGTCAGAGCACTACAGATAACACTGTGCTAGTCTCCTCAAGATTTGGAAGCTGTGAATTTACTATTAGGCGGCCCAGTGCATCTTAAAACTCTAGCATGCATCAGAATCACCTGGAAGGCTTGTGAAACATTGTTGGGCTTCATTCTTGGGGTTTGGGAATTAGTAGGGCTGGGATCTGGCCCTATAATTTGCATTTCTAACAAGTTTCCAGGTGCTGTTGATGCTGCAGGTCCAGAGACCACATTCTGACAGCCAGTGATATAACATACAGTTTTGGAGATTTGAAAACTAGCAAAAGAACATAGGATAAAAAGACAGATGCTAAATTAAGTGTGTAATATAAATTCTAATAATTTTTCAAGAAATAGCTCTAATTTGAAAATCATAATTTTAGATTTTATTATGATTTCCTGAATATATTTGTGAGGGGCAATGAAGACTTAAAACCTAAGTATTTATTGTATCTTTTAATCCAATTTTTGCCTAGAAGTAAATCTGTCAATCATTTTGAGAAAGCTCTAGGGGTTTTTAGTTATGCAAAGTTTTATTGAGAATGAAATGTTCTTATTCTCTTGAAAGTTTGTTTAGAGACATGTTAAATTGAACAAGACTTTTGGTGTTTTAAAAATTCATAATTAATTTCTCACTCTGTGATCACAAATTCCCAATTTCTTTTCCTCTTTTACTCCCTTCTCTCTCAGTTTTTAGACAATAATAATTTTGACAGCAACAATAGCAGCTACTGTTTATTGAATGTCTTTTTGAGCCTAGCACTTTATGGCATCTCTGAGTATTCTAATAACCCTGCAAGTTAAATTTTTTAATTCCCATTTCCAAGATGAGGAGGTTGATACTGAGAAATGTCACCTGACTTATTCAAATACATATGCAATCTGATATCTTACATTGTAAAGACTTGCATTTTCTTTATTGTAAAACACATCCCCTTACCACCACTGATACATCTGGTTTCTGATGCATTTTGTCTTTGCTTACATCAATGTTGTTTGAAGGAAGTTTAAGAGACTAACATGTTGAGTGCCTAGTAGGTGCCATAGCTTTTATATGTTGTTTCGTTTATTGCTCACTATACTCTGCCAGTAAAGTAATGCTAAACTCATTTTGAGAATGAGAATTCTGAAGCATTGAGAAGATTAAAGGACTTACTAAATAACTTGGGAAGGAGTATTTGAACGCTAGTCTTTTTGCCATCTAAACCTGTACTCTGTCCAAGGCACCATGTTGCTTCTCTAAGCTTTGAGATGGCCTGATCTTAAATGCTATTAAAGTTGCTAATTGTGCCTAACTATGGCCAGACTTACTGATGGGCAGAACAGAAAATCTTCTTGCTAGAGAGATTTGAGGGGAACAGGGATGTCCTGTCCCCATCCTAGCTCCTAGTGAAACATGCAGGGGGTGGGGAGTCTGATATATATCCATTAGTGCATTATAGCAGTAAATATAGCCTTGATCTCTCTGGTTGTCTTCTGCAAATATGTCCACCCCTGGGAGGGCTAATGCACTCAAATAGCCTTCCAGATTGCATTTCATTCTCTAGAGAAATAACCTGAATAATATTTAGAAAAATTGTTTAGATATTTTTGTTACAGAATATTAGAGACATACAGAAAGGTAAAACAAACAATATAACACCTAGGCATAAACCACCTAGCTTTATCAAATCTTAATAGTTTTTTTATATTTGCTTCAAAAGGTTTTTTAATATCCTACCATTACTTTTACATTGGAAGTCATTTATGTTTTTGCCCTAAAACTGTTCCCTTCCACCTCTGCTGAGTTAAGCAGTATCCTTTATTTGGTGTTTATAATAACTCTAATATATATTTTAATTCTATCACTGCATATATATGCTTTTATAAAATATATTTTTTGACATTTTTAAACATACCTCTATGGTATGAAGCCATAAAGTATGGTTTCATACTTTATGTATCATTCTGCAATTTGCTTCTTCACTTAATCTTATGTGTTTTGAGATTTATCTATGTCAATAAATACAATGTTAGTTTATCAATTTTTACAACTGTATAATGCTGCATTGTATGAGTACATTAAAATTATTTATCCATTCTTTTCTGAATGGTTTTTTAGGTCATTTCAATATTATGCCATGGAAAACAGTGAAACAGTGAACATTTTTGTATATTTTTCTCTTTGAGCACATTGGAAAGACCTCTCTAATATTGCCTAAAAGAAAAGTAAAGCAAATGATATAAAACAAGTGTAATTTCAGGGATAAAGAAAATATACATCTTCAAACTTCCCTCAGTGATGTCAATTTTTAAAAAGGGTTGTTCTGGTGACTCTACCATTAGCAGCTTGTAAGAGTTTCTTGTTGCAAGACTTCTAAATGGCAGGCATTTTAAACTTTTTTTCAGGCTGAAAGTGTAAAAAAAAAATGTGAGTATGGCTTTAATTTTAATTTCCCTAATTACTAATGATATGGGACTTTTTTTCCATTTGTTGCTTGGCAATGAATACAGGATAGTTTCTACCTATTTTTAAGCAAAAATAATTATTTTATAGCTAATATTTAATTATAGTTTTAATTTAATAATGTAGTTTCATGAATATTTTGTGCTCACTATTGCTTATGTCCTACATTTTCCCTTTATTTTTACTTCTCTTCTTTTGGAAGTATATCCTTTAATAATTTTTAAAAGCCCTAGTGTTTATATGTCTTAAACTATCATTATTTTGAACTCAGCCAGGAGTGATAATTTAGCTGGTTATAAAATGAGAGATTTAAATTTATTTTTCTTCAGCTATTGGAAGATATTGCTGCACGATTTTTTGTTGCTGATGAATACTCTGCCATCAGAGTAATTTTTCTATTATTCTGGTCATCTCACTTTTCTTTCTGAAAATTTTGTCTTTCAAAAATATATTGGTGTGTTCTTCAGTTTTTCTGTATATCTAAATATGAATTTATCTTTAATGATCTTGCTTGATACCTAACATATTCTTTTCATTTGAGGATTCGTATATTTCCTAAATTATGGCGAAGTCTCATCTCTTATTTCTATAATTATCTTTTTATACCATTCTTTTATTCTCATCTGCTATAAGTATTCTTGTCCACCATTTCTTTATTCTTTCTTTCTGCTATCATTTGCATGGTATATAGCTCTTCATTCCACTCCCCATGTCTCTTAACAGCA
This sequence comes from Homo sapiens, assembly GCF_000001405.40. Taxonomy (NCBI): domain Eukaryota; kingdom Metazoa; phylum Chordata; class Mammalia; order Primates; family Hominidae; genus Homo; species Homo sapiens. The sequence continues at coordinate 136,851,368 of NC_000002.12, forward strand.
GCACCTTGCCATTATTTTTTGCTTTTTGTCTTTGTATCCTGGATTCTGTGTAAATTCTCCAGTAATACTTTCTGATTTATTTAAAGTTTTCTTTGACTACTTTTAGGCTAACATTTATGTCATTGTATTGTTAGGTCTTGTTGCAAATGAAATTGCTATCCAAATAGTAGCTTAAAACTATTTTTTATTATTGTTTACATGTCAGTGGGTCAGCTGGAAATTAGCTGATCTGGGCTGCACTCAACTGGGGTGACTTTGTTCTATTTGCCTCTACTGTTTTTTGAACCGGGGCCTAGAGAGGGATGTTTTTCTCATGATGGCTTTGGAGATATAAGATGGCAAATAGAAATACTTGAAGTCTCTTAAGGCCTAGTCTTGTATCGTTACAGCCTTTTTCTACAGGACAAAGTAATTCATATTGGCTAAGCTCCAAATCAAGGGATGTGGAAATATCCTCAAAGGATGTGGAAATATCCTGCCATTGTGGGAGGAATTTCAAAATCAGTGACAAAGGATCTAACCACAGGGAAAGATGAAGAATTGAGGCCAATAATTCAATACACAACTATATATATATATATATTTGTAGTAACAGAATAAGGGCCCCAAAAAGACACTCATATCTTATTCCCTGTTGATAAGTTATATGGCAAAAGAGACTTTGAAGATTTAATTAAGATTATATAAGGTCCTTAAAATAGATGATCCTGGATTGTTTAAATGGGCCCAATCTAATCAGATGAGCCCTTAAAGGCAGAGAACTTTCTCTGGCTCAAAGTGGAGAGATGTGACAGAAGAGTAATGCAGAAGAGATACAACGAAGTGAGGAAGTCAGAGAGATTCTGAGTAGGGAAAGGATTCTGAGTTATAAAGGGACATGTGGAAGAAATAGAGACTTGTTTCTAGAAGGTAAGGCAGTCCTGGGCTGAAAGCTGGCAAACAAAACAAAACAAAACAAAACAAAACAAAACAAAACAAAACAACAAAAAAACCAAAAAACCACAGGGGAGGATTTCAGTCCTTCTACAAGGAACTGAATTCTGTCAACAACCTGAATGGAAGTAGATTATTCCACAGAGCCCTCAGAGAGGAACACCGCCTTGCTAACACCATGCCTTAGGGTCTTGTGAGACTCAGAGAAGAGGCACTGGTTGAGCCACACCAAACTGAGACTTGACCTACAAAAATTGTTAGATGATGAGTATTGTTTTAAGCTGCTAAGTTTGTGATTATTTGTTATGGTAGCAATATAAAACTAATACAATTGCTGTGGTTTTGATTTTGTTCTTTTATATGTTTTCTTTTAATATAACTTATGCCTGTCTTTGCTTTATGATTTATCTTTGTATTAAAAACTATTTTCATTTTATAACTAAAAGAGCACTCTAAATATTTTTATTTTTGCAGTGTCACACAAAATTAATTTTATTTTTGGTGATTTCAAGTTCTGATTGTTTAGAACAGAACTTGCTGTCTTTCATACCATTAAATTTCTTCATGTGTTTTGGCATTTCCATTAAAAAAATTGTATATGATTTTAAAAATGTTGAAACTGCTTCAAATCTACAGAAAGGTTGAAAGTACTTCTGCCTTCCTATCACTCAGTTTCCCTAATTGTTAACATTTTATATATTTCCCCATCCCACCACTTTGCATGTGTGTGTGTGTGCATGTGTGTGTGTGCATGTGCATGTGTGTGTATGTGTTCATGTGCGTGTGTTTGTGAATACTCTACTGTTTCCCACCCAGAAACAAGGACACTCTCTTATATTCCACTGTACAGCCCTCTGTTCAGGACATCAACCCTGGTATACTGTTTTCCATTCTGCTGACCTCACTCAAATTTCCCCATCTGTCCTATCAATGTCTCTTATTCCTTTGTGGTCCATATGGAATCCAGGATCTTGTGTTTCATTTAGTCGTCAGGTCTCAGTAGTCTCTCTCAAATGGGAACAGTTCCTCCATATTTCTCTTATCTCTCATGTCCTAAAGAGTTTTAGAGTACAGGCCTTTATTTTGTAGGATAAACCTTAATGTGGGTCTGTCTGGTGTTTCCCCATGACCAAACTCCAGCCATCCATTCTTGGCAGGATACCATAGAAATGATTCTATGCTATTCTTGTTGCTTAATCTCAGGAGGCACACAATGCTGACCCATCCAATACTGGTGATGCTAACCTTGATAACCTGGTCAAGATGGTGCCTCTACATACTTTACCTTTAAAATGACCTCTTTACCTTTGTGTTTGAGTAACATTTTGTGGGGAGATACTGCCGTATTATGCCAAACCTTCATTTATCAGACTTGGCATTCATTGATGACTCTTTCTTGAATTAACTACCACTATTGTAATTGCCAAATGGTGATTACCTAGTTCTATCATTCTTTTTACATTTGCAGATTAGCATTCTATTGTGAGAAATAATTTTCCCTTCCATCTCATCATTTATTTAATTATATGGACTCGTGGATTCCTATTTATTCAACAGGGTATAATTATGTACTCTCATTAGTTTTGTGTTTGTGTGTGTGTGATGCCTAAACTGTCCTAGATTTGGCCAGAGGTACCTCTTCAAGCTGATTTGTGTTCTTTTAACATATCTCCATCCCACCCAATCTTTGAGTGTTTTCTTACTTTCTGGCACAACAGGATGCTCTAGGCTCATCTTATCATTTTGTATATTTATTAACTCAGCCTAGAATTAGCTATTTATTCCTGGAGGATGGCATTTCAATACCAGATCAGGTTACTCAGTGTGCACATTGGTAGTGAAATGTCATTGCTTCTAGGCCCTCTTAGGAAACAGCTGGGGGGGAATAAAATACCACACAGACACATACTTACACACACACACTCTCACACACACTTACATATGTGCATACATCCATATCTGTTTCTATATGCATGTATTTTTGTTCTATGAATTTATACCAATGTTCTCAACTCCAGTTGAAAATTTTGGGATTCATTTTCATCTTTTATTCATGTTTATAAATTTTTTCTTAGAGAGTGAGAAATGGCTCTTATTATCTTTCATAGATTTACTTCTTTGCTTCATAAGTGGGCACATTTCCTTAACTACACAACTTTCTAACCACCCCGCACTCCTTCCCCATCAGGCCTGTCTCTAGTGATGTCCTCCCATGGCCCCCAGCTCTGTTCCATCCCTTTCTCAAGTGCACAGCACCATGGCCTTAGCACAGCACTAACTGTCCTCCATTGTCCTGCTTCTATGCACACTCTTTTTGCTAAGGCTGGAAAGGGATAAGAAAGAAAGATAAGTTGGGAACGGAAAGTGTGAAAGGAAAGGCAACTAGATCACTTTCAATGAGAAGTAGTTCAACAGTGTTTTTCCTCTGTCTTTACTTAGCTCTCTCTGTGTAGGGTTTTATGATGACATTTTGTGCTCCCAGCTCATGGTGATACTTGGGATGTGGGAAATCCAACCACAGAATCATTGGGCACCATGTTTCAGATCTTGATTGCTAGTATCTGTAGCGTCTCTCTCCCCCATGTTTTCCTATAAGCCATTGCCCCAGGTGATGGGCAGCAAGGGGTTTTATTCTTTTTAAATTTCTCTTTAAAATATAAGAAGCCCTTTCCCAGGCACTGGCTTCAAATAATTAGTCTCAATGTGGTCTGCTGTGATATGTAAGCATTGTTAGTTTTCTTTCTGCCTCTGATGGATTTGTGGTTCCTTCTGCCTGTTTCCAGTCATGGAACTGAGAATGCTTATGGCTTTAGCCTTACTCGCGTCTCCTTTATAGAGATATATCTCTTTGGTTTTCTGTATATTTATGTATGCATTTTTTTGACTTGAATATTATTTACATGTATGAAGTGAAGAGTGGGTACATCTTGACTAAAATTTGAGTGTATATATATATATGGATTTTCCAGTATACATCAGATCATATCACCTTTCTACCCTATTCACACACCACCCTACTCTCACCACAAAATCTTAAAATCGCTTCCTTTACCTTAGAATATCCAAACTACTTAACATGACTTTAGAGGACGTCTATGACCTGGCACCTGCCTGTTTCCCTTCTTCTTCTCTCTCTTTTTTTTGAGACAGAGTCTCACTCTGTGGCCCAGACTAGAGCACAGTGGCACAGTCTTGGCTCACTGCAGCCTCCACCTCCCAGGTTCAAGTGATTCTCCAGCCTCAGCCTCCTGAGAAGCTGGGATTACAGGTGCGTGCCACCGCATCCGGCTATTATTTATTTATTATTTATTTATTTATTTATTTATTTATTTATTTATTTTTTGTATTTTTAGTAGAGACGGGGTTTCACCATGTTGGCCAAGCTGGTCTCGAACTCCTGACCTCAGGTGATCTGCCCGCCTGGGCCTCCCAAAGTGCTGGGATTACAGGCGTGAGCCATCACGCCCGGGCTTCCCTCATTCTTCTCTTATCACTCCCTCCCTCATTGATTATGATCCAACTCCAAGGATCACCATTTTGCTCTCAAAGACACCAAGTGCACCCTCTCCTGTGGCCTTTGCAAACTCTTTCCTCTGCCTGGATTACCCCCCTCCTTTTCCCCAGATCTTCACATGGCTGGCTCCTTCTTACCATTTAAGTCTCAACTTGAATGTCACCTTCTCAAGGAAGTTTTTCCCTATCCACCACCTACGTTCATACTCCCATAAGCACTTTCTATTACACCACACTTTTTCATTTCCTTAGTGGCATTTATCACTTTCAGGAATAATTTTGTGTAATTATTTGTTTAGTTCTTAATTTCCTGTATGTCAGTGAAGAGCAGGGCACTTCTGTTCTTGGACAGTCACTGGCATATGGTAGACTCTGGCTTGTTGAATGAGTTGATGAACGGATGATTCCCACATTAGCAAGAGGGAATCAGATAAACTTGGGCATTTAGAGAGTTGGGAGGATGGGACTGTTAGGAAAGGTTGAGGGGTCTTCCAAAACACATCTCAACCACCTTTTTAACAGGCTGAGGCCAGTGCTTGTTTGTTATGTTTCATCAAAAGGGTCTTAGTATTGCATTCAGTGTCATGCTTCTTTCCAAATTTTCTTTAAAATGACTTTTAATGTCACTACTAAATTCTCTCTTGAACTTAGGTCAATTTACTTAGCTCTTGAAGACACAGATCACTCCATTATAATGAGCTGGATTTTTTTTTTTTTTTTGAGACAGAGTCACTCTGTCACCCAGGCTGGAGTGTAATCACGAGATCTCAGCTCACCAAAACCTCTGCCTCCTGGGTTCAAACAATTCTCCCTGCCTCAGCCTCCTGAGTAGCTGGGATTACAGGATTCCGCCACCACGCCTGGCTAACTTTTGTATATTTTAGTAGAGATGGGGTTTCACCATGTTGGCCAGGCTGGTCTTGAACTACTGACCTCAGGTGATCTGCCCACCTTGGCCTCACAAAGTGCTAGGATTACAGACATGAGCCACCACACCCAGCCATGAGCTGGATATTTGACTAGTGTTCAGACTTCCTGTTAATTGTTTTCCTTGAATCTTCAGTTTAGTATTTTCTCCCAAAGAGAGAAAGAGAATGAGAGAGAAAGTGATCTAAGATTTCATAAACAACTTTTCTGAAGTTTAGTTAATTTTACTTTTCTTATTTTTATTCCTTTAGAATAGAGACCTAGATTGGTTTCTTGATATGATGTAATTCTGTTTTGAAAATTTCATTTTAGTTCATTGGTTTTCATTTTGACTGTTTTCATTTCTACAATATCAGGAACATGACTTACCTTTTATAAAAATGATTTGCTATATAAGCATTAAATTAAAACTTAAATTGGCTATATTGATTTGAAATTGCCACCAATTTGGAAATATGAATTCATGAAGTTATATGATCAAGTTTACATGTTTAACAACAAACAAAATGATCTGTCCTTGGGTCACCAGGGTCAGGCTCTCCATGTGACACTGGGCATGGCCACCCTGGACTCAGGCTTGGGCTGGAACCACTCTGATCCCACTGGGACTGTGCACTCATGGTAACCACATGCCTGCGTTCCCACCAGATGCAGCAGTAAATGGCTGAAAGTGGCAGCAACTTGTGCTTTTTATTCCCTAACTGCCAAAGTGTTAAAGCAGATGTTCTTTTACCAAGTCCTAGGCATCCCGTCTTTTCTCTCCCTTGTTTAATTTTACATTTGGATCTATCTTATTCAATGTCTATAATGTGGTTCTATAGCTATGTAAAATTTGCTAATTTATATAATTCATTATATGTAACACACCACATGCACACACACACAAACACACACACACGAATGAATTTAAGCTTACTTAAATCCAGGGCTATCAAGTGAAGACAGAATTATGTGTATCTGAAGTAGTGATTTGAAGGTTCAGATCTGGGTTGCTAAATTCATACATGACTACTCCAACAAAATCTCACATAATAATTGCATTTTTAAATAATTTGAGGAACAAAGAGTGTTCATGTCACTATTGAACATCGATTTATCATTTTTCCTCTTTTAAACTAAATTCTGGTTCTTATATCAGCAGTTTAAACCCATTCCTTGCTGTTCTAGCATCTGTAGAGAATAGTTGTTTTTCTCCTCTGTCTACTACCCACTGTACTGCTGGAAGGCAATTATATTTATGCACTGGCTGCCTTCTTTTTTTATTTGAAATGTTTGTAGAGTCTGTAGCCTTTCTTCCTAAGCCTAGTAACCAAACTCTTTATTTTGGATGGTAATAGCATTACAAACAGATGTCTTACAAGCATAATTGAAAACAGCATTGGAGAAAAATAATTAAGGATGCAAGTGAACAGAGATTAGTTATTTAGATATGTTAATTAAAAATACATTTAAAGCGATGATTATTAAATAAATAGCATTCTAGTCTTGGGCAGCATATTTTCACTGTTTCTGGAATCCTTCCTTTTGGGGATTGAAAATGTCTACTTTGAAAAAAATCAACAAATAAGGCCCATTGTAAAAATAATCTATAGTTCTATCCAATGTGGGGATTGCAGACATGCTGACATGTGGTTTATTCTCAGCTCTCTTAAGTTGTTATTGCCATTGTCTATTCATGCCACACAATATAAGGCTAATGGTCCTTTGCATTTCTGTCCATTTCCAGATCATCCTTGGGCATCCTGTGAAATGCTTAGGTAATACATCAAAAATGTCTTCTTTTACACAATACACACTATTTAGATAGTGATACTTTACTTGACAGTAGCTTCTGCCAATACCATATTTTATTTATATGATCTAAAATAGTGATGCCACTGTGAACATGTAGCTTCATAAGTCCAAGCCATTTGTTATTATTTTTATATTCCTTTCAAATATGTGTTGGATTGCTACACTGGGAAATTGACCTAATATTTCCAGGTGATCAGGTACTCTTTTCCCTCCCATTATCTGAATTGCTTTTACCACCCAGTGTGAAAATGGAAAAAAACTTAAGCAGACGTCCCATAATATCTTCCCATGGTGCGCCCTTATTGAATTATTTCCAGGCGGATGCGACAGATGTTCATCAAGTTGCTCCCGGCTTCCACTGTTAATTGAACCATAATGGGAGTGACAGCAGGGAAGGACAAATTACGGGAATAGAGAGACAGTTTGAACTCTGGGTTCTTATGACCTTCCTGGAAATGCTGGTTGGGCTGACAGTTCCTGTTTCTTTCCCACGTGTGGGAAGGAATATGAGATTGTTTCAGCTGAAAAGATCAATGAACTAATGTCCTCTAGGATTAGTAGTGTCTTACTGTTGGCACCTGCTACCAATCAACTTACTATTTCTGTACTTGTGAGATGTTAACAGCTTACTAAACCAGGAGTCATAAGTCTTCACTATGAACATCTTCACTATGAACAATGCTTTTAGACAAATCACTTAATCTTGATGAACCATCATTTTATCATTTTAAAAAGGAACAAACATTACCAATTTTAAAGTGTCTGAAATGAGGCCTTTTCATGTCTATGAATATTTTTATAAGGGAGGTAAGTTTTATGCATGTATCTGTTTTAAAAGCCACTTAACTAGAATTAAAAATTCTCTTCTCGAATAATTGAATCTGGTGGAGAGAAGATAGACTCAAAGTTGACCAAGTTTAACAAGCACTGTGCTGATGTGCTAATAGATCATAACTATAGTAACCAAGAGTTAAGGAACAGGCTACTTAGAGAGTAGAAGAATTTACAAAGTTCCTAGAGATGAGTTCCAAGGAAGAGCGAGTGGCAGTGATCAAATAAGATGAGATATGAAGGGGGTGACTAGAAGGTTGGTGTGGCTGGTGTGTGCAAGGTATGCCCCTTCTCTGTGTGTCCAAAAGGCAGTTTGAATGGTCAAGCATACTTGGCCACAGTGCGTTTTTATGTTCATCAGAAACAGCATTACTGTAAGTTCTTTGGCATTTTTTAAAAAGAGAAGTAGTATAGCCCCAAAAGAGCAGCCCAGCACTGAAAGTGTCAGGAGTGAAGGGAAGGAAGACCTGAGACACATTAGCTGAACTACAATGGAATGAGCGCAGGACTGACCATCCCTTTTCCCTTTGTGTATCAGTGGATGATGAGAGAACAGTAAGAGAAACCAAATCATTCCAGAAACTGGTGTTGGAGGAATTAAGTGTGGATCCCAGTTTTACATTGGAGTAGATTCGAGAAAACAATTCATGATTTTTTTTTTTTTTTTTTTGAGATGGAGTCTCGCTCTGTCGCCCAGGCTGGAGTGCAGCGGCGTGATCTCGGCGCACTACAAGCTCTGCCTCCCGGGTTCACGCCATTCTCCTGCCTCAGCCTCCCGAGTAGCTGAATTCATGATTTTTTTGAGGAGTTGAGGATGGTATCTTAGGAGGCCAGGGCAGTAGAATGAGAGAACTCAAAGGAGACAGCGATGCGAGTAGAGGGAGTGCGTTGATGGTGGTGCAGGCCTTGGTCTTCTTCTCTATCCATTCTCACACTAACTTGTCCTCATCCAATATCACACTGTTTTTAGCTAATGTCTCCCAAATTTATGTCACCAGCCCAAGGCTGTCCTCTAAACTCCAGGCTTGTGTACAGTTTCCTATGTGCTATTTCTCCTTGGATGAATAATAAGCATTTTGGTCTCAGTATCCAGAACTGAACTCCTGATATTCTTCCTATTCTAAATCTGTTCCTCTTACTGCACAGCCTTCCCCTATCTGTTAGTAGCAATTTTATTCTTTCAATTGCTTGTGTCTAACATGTTGGAGTCATCCTTGATTCTTCTTTCTTACTGACATCTAATCCATCAGCAAATCTTGCTGTCACTACCTTCAAAATATTTCTAGAGCCTGAATAATGATTTCCACTGCCACTCATAACTGCATCATATCTAGTCTCCTGGTTTCCCAAATATATTCTTAACACAGCATCTCGAGAGATCCTGCTAAAATGTAAGTCACATGACGTCACTGTTCTGTTCAAAATACTCCAGAAGCTCCCCAAATTACTCATAGTAAAAGCCAAAGTCATTACAGTGGACTGTAAGGGCCCTGGGCCTACTCTGATGCTCTCCTGGAATCATTCTATTTCTCATGTTGTTCTCTCCACTACAACCTCACTGGCTTCAGTGCCTCAGGACATCAGCACTTACTGTTGGTTTTGCCTAGAACGCTGTTTCGCAGATAGCTGCGTAGCTCACTTCTAATCTGTTTCATTTTGTTTACTGCTGCATTCTTAGCACAAGGACAGTACTTGGTATGTAGTAGGTACCCACTGAATGTGTATTGGAAAATTAATTTACCTTGAATGAGGATATGGGGAGAAGGCTGGCAATTTGGGTAGCATGAGTGAGATTTGCTGAATAAGTGAGATGAACCTATTTTGTTACATGTGGAAGGTAGGACCTGGCATAGGAATATTAAGTGAGGCAAAAGTCTCATTTTAGGGTCTCATTATTTAGTGGTTTGCCTTCTATAATGATTTCTCCCACTTATTTCTTAGCCTTTTAAAATCTGGTTTCTCTTTGAACTGCCTTTAGATTCTCATTCCATTCATATTTATTGAACACCTACCATGTGTGAGATTCCGTGTTGGGTGCTTAAGATATTTTGTCTCACTTAAGACAACTCCACAATAAACATGTAGTTAGGTATTATATTCTCATTCTACATGGGAGGCAATAGTGTTTCAGAAGAATGCAAGGACTTGCCCTGAGTCACAGAGTATGCCAGGACTGGGTGAAGACTTGAGTTTTGTTTTCCCATGAATCTGGTTTGCTCCACTTTGCAGTCTTTAATCCACCAGCAGAATAATCAAATGTCTACTCTGTAAGAGTTGCTGTTACTGACTCTCCCTTTTTATCTTCTTTCTTTTGGGGAGGAGGTCTAGAGAAATTGAAAGAACCTAAATGTATTGGTCATTTATTATTGTATAACAAATTACTTAAAAATGTAGTAGCTTAAAATGATAAACATTTAGCATCTCACACAGTTGCTGTAGGTCAGGAACCTGAGAGCTACTTAGCTGAGTGGTTCTGGCTCAGGATCTTTCTTGAGGTTGCAGCTTGGGCATCACCTGGGACTGCAGTCATCTGATGGCTTGACTGAGTCTGGAGGATCTGCTTCCAAAGGGACTCACCCACAAGCCTGGAATGTTAATGCTGGTTGTTGGCAGAAGACCTCAGTTCCTTGCCATGTGGACTCTTAATAGAATTGCTGGAATATCCTCATGACATGGAAGCTGGTGTTCCCCATGGTGAGTGATCGAGAAAGTGTGAGACAGAAGCTGCAATATATTTTATGTAGTAGTCTAGGAAGTCACACACCATCACTTTCACAATTTCCCATTAGGGGTGGGACTGTACAAAGTGTGGATACCAGGAGGTGAGGATCAGTAGAGTCCATCTTGGAGCTGGCTGCCATAGTCTGTCCTGTGGCCTCCCATGACCCCACCTTTCCCACTTGCAAAGTATAGTAATTTCTCCTCCAGGCCCTGAGAGTTGCTGCTCATAACAGCATCAGCTCTATGTCCAGGATCCTATCATCTAAATCAGTTTCAGGTATTATTAACTTTTACTTCACAAAATCTTGCCATTTTGGGTCCCCTTCTACCTGCCAGGTTACCTTTTCTCTTCTTTGCTGAACATTGAACACCTGGTTAGCATTGATTAAGTGTGTTTCTGTGCCAGGCACTAAGGTATGAGTATGAAAAAAATAATAAGGCAGGATGTTGATCACTGGGGAGCTCGCAGTCGAATGGGTGAAAGAAATGTGTAAATGATTATTGTACAACATAATTTAGGATCATCAACTGGGGAGTGAATAACTGCCCAGATGAGCTAGAGAAGACCCTCCAGATGAAGCGTCCTTTATGCTAGGCCTTGAGTGTTGTGGAGAAGTTCATAAAGCGATCAAGTAGAAAAAAGCATTTTATTCAGAAGAGGCAGAATGAGCAATGTCTACTTCTTCCTCCTGAATATGAGCAGACTACAAAACTTAGCCCTTAGCCTTCTCCTCTTTCTATATCACATTCTCTCACTTGGAGAGCTTGCCCTGTTTTCTACTTTCAGGGACTTAACTGCTAACTTAATGGGCCTGATTTTCCAAATCCGTTGCTTATAGAGTGAAATCAGAAGTTTTCACGTTTCAGATCCTTTACCATGGGGACTCAACCTATTGCTTACGCTTTCTCTCCAATCTCAGCACTTTAGTTCACAATATTCCCTTGTTTGATATTCTGTGTGTTTCCCCATGCTCCAACCTTGCCTAAAATCACCTCATCTTTCAAAGTCTTCTTGAAGTCATTCTAATAGTGCCTAGAATACCCGTGGTCTGTCATGGGAAATTGGCACTTACACAGGTTACTTTGTTAATTAAATCTTTACTCATTGTATGCCCAGCCATTGGCGATTAGTTGGTAAGCATCCTGAAAGGTGATTCTGTGTGTATGTCCCCCTTGTTTTCACCGGAACCCAGCACTCCACCTGGTCTCTGCATTCTGCATTTGTCACTATTTGATGTTGGCAAGTTTTGAGATGAAATACAGTGCTGGAGGAGGAGCAGAACCTTGAGATTCTGTTCACTGTGATACTGAGATGTAATATCATGAAGTTAGGTGTGTCAGCTTTTCACAGCGCCCAAGGGGCCATCCAGATCCTTTTGCAGTAGAGTCTACAGCCATACCACCCGGAACACGCCTGATCTCATTAGGTCCTTTTGCACCAGAAATTAATCTACTACTGAATGAAATCAGCCGAAAGATGGCTGTCGCAGTGACTATCATTGTGATGGAATTTGGCCTCATTTCTCTGAATAGAAAGCCAATTGGAGCTGAGAATATTGAGAGAAGGAGATGTTGCAATGTATTTTGGTTGGCTTAGGGTCTTAGGAAGAGGGTTCCAGCCACAACTATTAGAGGTAGAAAAGCTGTGCAGAGAGGAGTAGATATTTCTGTGTTTGACTGTAAGCTTTCATTATTGAGCTTCAACAAAAACAAATCAAACTGATATTAACCTCTTACAAGGGACAAATCATTTACGTTTATTTTACTTTTCGTGATAAAAGATGTAAAAGTTATCCAGCAACGAGCCTTGGTGATTTACAGGACCGTGAAACCCAAGGGTCTGCTTCCTGCTTGGCTCCAGGCATTTCCATTAAAAGTTGATGGTGGCTCTGTGTTTAGATAAGCTTTGTGCTGCATGACGGAGGGAGAGGCATGTCCTGTCTTTGCTGCTTAGAGAGGAATGGCTACATAGGGAAACAACACTATTTTTAAAGTAGTCATTACAGTTTATTTTGCCGCAGATTATTTTCCTTCCTGGGAAAAACATTGTTTCACTGACAAATTGCCAAAATCCACACAGTTCAGTGAAGTGGCCTTGCTGAGTTGGCTTCCTCAAGCAGGCAGCAGATACTTATTAAGTGCTCAATATATGCTCCAAATTGTGCCACATTTGGTGTTGGGTACACACAGTGTGTTCTCTGGATTTTCTTTTTTGAAAAAAATCTGCAAAATTCAAGTAGTCTGAATTACACAGCCTGAATAAATGTTCTTGTTGAAGCTTGGAAAAGTAAGAGGACAAAGAAGAATAAAATCTCTCATATTTCTACCATGCAAATACAACGAACATTTTTAGTATATGTCTTCCAAAAATTTAATGTATGTATTTTTGCTCATAATTTTCATCAGCTATAATATTGAGTTACTTTTTAAACATATCATATTTCTTTTTTATCATTTTCTATATTTTCTTTTCTTTTTTTTTTTGAGACAGAGTCTCACTCTGTTGCCCAGGCTGGAGTGCAGTGGTGCGATCTCAGCTCACTGCAAGCTCCACCTCCCAGGTTCACATCATTCTCCTGCTTCAGCCCCCCGAGTAGCTGGGACCACAGGCTCCAGCCACCATGCCCGGCTAGTTTTTTGTACTTTTAGTAGAGATGGGGTTTCCCCATGTTAGCCAGGATGGTCTTGATCTCCTGACCTCATTATCCGCCCACCTTGGCCTCCCAAAGTGTTGGGATTACAGGCGTGAGCCACCGTGCCTGGCCTATTTTTATACTCTTGATAGCTGAGTAATATGGCTACATAATACTCCATGGAGAAGACATGACAAAATTATTTCATTATAATAGACACTTAGGTTGCTGCCTTTCTAATCAATATTACCATGTGTCTAATTAAAATTAATAATAAGTTCTGATATGAATTCTTTTGTGCACAGTTTGGATTATTTCTGTACTGGGTTATTACAGTACTGGATTATTTCTGGAGCAGTTGTTGCCCTGTCCAAATCCCCTTTACCTGGCCAGGTACTGTGAATGCTGGTTGCTCATGGATCACAGCCCTCTCCTTCCTAGAGAACTGCCCTTTGCCTCTTGGAGGCATGTCCAGAGAAAGGGGCCATTTTGGCTAAGGATGTGGGAAACCATGCTTCATAGAGAATGGTGGAGAGGGCTGGACATGTTTGGCTGAGAAGAGACAAGGCTTGGAGCTTCATTGCATTGGGAAAGATGAGACATACTTTAGCTATAATTACCAACAGAAGAGTTAAGATCAAAGGCTTTAGATTAAAAAAGGAGAGCACCTATTTCAATTTGAGATCCATGTCCTAATATTTGGACTGGGCTGCTTGGTGGGACATTGGATTAATTTTCTGTCATTGGAAATATTCAATTACTGCACAGGGTATTAGAGAAACTTTGAGCTATGGAGATCTCTTCCAACATTCTTCTGATTCCTTGATCCTTCAAATGTTTGTCTCAGTACTATCAATATGCTCTTCTATGTTTTAACATTAACTTCAACATTCATTTCTTCTTGTCCATGTGAGTTAGAAGATGCAAGAAAAGCTTGTCTAGAAAGAGAAAGGTTTAGAAAAACAATAGCATGTGTTGAAAATTGTTGAGGGAAGATAGTACCATCAGTTAGGAAGATGTCATCCCTGGAGCTGGCGTTACCAGTTAAAAGCTGTATTCTTCTCATAAGTTCATTGATCCTCTATCATAATCTCTCTACTGTATGTTTTTAAGTAGTGGCAAAGATGTGTTGGAGTGCATCATCCCACCTAAGTTTATTCAGGACTTCCACCCTGCAACCAATAACAAGCATTTTTAAAGCAGGTAGAGGGTTAAGGTGCAGCTGTGGCCACAGAACAGAGTGACAAATGACCTGTAAGATGACATATTGTGTTACCTATTGTCTCATAAATATACAATTCCATGAGAGGATGATTTGATCAGCTTGGATGGTGAGCATTGCCTCTGGTTCCCCAAAAGTATTGTCAACACCTATGGTGTGGGTGTGATTGTCGCTTTGAGCACAGGAAAAAGTGGGATTTCTTTTTTTAAGCACTTGTGAGAGTGCCTATTTCATTCTTCTTATTTACCTAGTTCTTCATAAGCTGACTTTGTGTTTGTCCTAATGTATTTAGATTGTCATTTTTGTTTTAATGCTTTTAAGAAGTTTATGAATTTTTTTTCTTTCTCAGGCTTTATTCCCGCAGACATCTTCTCATGTTCTTTGAATTTCTGAGTATTACTTCTTTTTCCCTAGCTGACAGAGGTCACGTTCTGTATTACTGTTAATAAAATATCAGGTCTGTAGGAAGCTATATTTTGAACTTTAATAAAAAATCACTATATTAAACTATGTTATTTTTAATGGCCAAGGTCCTTTAAAAACTTCCTGAAATTCACTCTTAACTCTGAAAAAAGGTGGAGGGGTGTGGGGGTTATTTGAAGAAACTATAGGGCATCTGACATTCCAAGACTATTAGTTTAGGAAATATAACTCATTTATTTTCTTTAAGAATTGTACCTAATTATTCAGTAAGGCTTACTTATGAAAACATTTGTTTGGTATTTAATTTTTAACGTATGGTTACACGCAGAAAAGCGTTCCTACCTAAAACCTTAGAGATTTTCCAACATTCTACCTGTTGGTTCTTACTTCAGTTTTGGAATTGGCAACAGTCTGGAAAGTATTTGTTATGAAAGGTGTAATGTTGATGGGATGAATAGAAGAAAGCTGGGTTTCTAGCAGAGTCTGTGAGAAATGGAATTTTGCAGCGTTTTGGAAGGAGCCTAATTGGTAATCAATTTTCCATATGTGTTTGAGGTTGCTGGCTTTTCTAGCCCAGTTCTTTTTTTTTCATTAATTGTATTATATCATAATCTACTACTGGAATAGAATGTACCTTGCTTTACCTATTCACTTCATTCATTTCTTCATTTATTCAACATCTACTGTCACCCAGTGGGTCTAGACTACAAACTAGGACTACAAGATGAAGAAAATTATGTCCCCTAACATCCAGGAACAAACTTTTGTTTGGATGCTGCAGAGTCCACAGGAGTATTGTTGAAGCTTTTGAAAATACATGTCTTTAACATGCTAGTGTCTCAAGTAAATAATTTAATTCATGCCAAGAATAAAATCACAGACAGGCTATGACCTTGGCTGTCCCTAACGGACCACCATTAATTCAGTGGACATTTTGATGGACATTTGTGGGCTCATTTGCCTTCTTTTGAAGCCCGTGGGTTTCCATGCAGTGTGGAGCTACCTCAGGTGCAGTTCACCAAGGACAAGCATGCAAACAAGAAATGCTTTTCCATTCCCACATGTCTTTAATGGACCTTCCCCTTTTTCTTACCCACACTTTTCTGCCCTTATAACTGAGAATGAAAGGTTTAAAATACTTTCCATAGTGAAATAGTTTCAAAGAATATATTATATAGTAAATAGAGTTAATGAACTGAGGGTAACAGTAATATCATTTCACAGAAGAGATCTATCCTATTGCTGTTTAATTAAAATCTTTCTGCTGATGGAAAGTTCTCTCTCTGGTGTTTTCTTTAATGCATTCATGATGCGTCTGTCTGGGCTCCCTTGCTAGAGATATCTTTCATTATAATCCACTTATCTAAGTTTGTAATTAAACTTCTAAATGTAAAATTTCCAGTGGTAAATTGCCAGGATACCCAGTGAACTTTACTTCTTTCTCTGGGAGAAATTGCTCCTTGAAATTTTTGATTTTGTGTTTTGGCCACTTTATTATTTAGAAAGTATTTGTGTGTACACACACACATATGTGTGATATAGCAATAAAGACAAAGAGTGGCTTTTTATTTAGTATTATTAATTTCTGTCTGTTTCTGTGAAATTGGAGATAGATAATATGGACTGAATGAATGAATGGCTGTTTTTAAGATGGGAAGTGGTAAATGAAATATACTTCAAGACAATTGCCTTCAGGCTCTATTGGTCTGTTTAAAACATCTAGAAACACACCACACCACACACACACACGCGCGCGCACACACACACACACACACACATCCTTGAAGATGCAAGTTGAAATAATATAATTTGTTTTCCACTGGTCAAACATGTTCTTGCAAATTTTCTTGGAATTTATACAGGGAAAAAAGAATTTAAAAATGCCTTTTGCATTTCAACTTAATTTAGGATGTTTTCTTTCAAATAACACTCCATTCTTGTGCAAGGAGGGATGATACAGGATAAAAGTAAATTCTATCAAATCTCCTGAATCTAATGGCAAATTACTAATGGTCAATGCCTAGACATAATAAATAAAAACTTGTAAAGATAATGGAAGAGACTGCTAGAAAATTTTATAGGCTTATAAACTTATTATTTTAATGTCAACTGTAGATACATTTTTCAATAAATTTCTTTGCAACAATAGATGCATAATTAATCAAGAGAATGCAAAGCTATATTTACAGTTTAACTGGATAATTCTTTTGACATTAAATATTTAGAATCTTACATCGCAGAAAATGTTAATGAGTAATTAAGTATTTTTTTAATCTCAAAGTTCAACAGCATTTGAGAAGAGGATGTTTTCTTGTTCACACATTCCAGTTATCTTGAATTCTTATAAAGCTCCTTAGAGTAACCGTTAAATGTCAGCCTACATAAAATCTCTCTTTCTCGACAACATTCACATATATGTGTGTATGTGTGTGTGTAAATTTGGTGAAAAGAGGTTATCACATTCTTTCCTGTACCTTCAAGCAGAATGGACTACAGACTGACTTTCTCAGGTATCTATTTTATTTCTTAAAATATCTACAGAAGGTAATTGTGTCAATTTTATTACTTTTTCTAGAAGGTAAGGTTTTCAAATGGAACGTATTTTCTTTTTATAATTAACCTAAACTCCTCCAAACAACAGATTATATAGATTTTATTTTTTCTTTAGTGACTAGGTTATGTTTTTTGATATTATTTCTATTAAATGATTTAACTTCCTTTTTTTATAATTTGTAAAAAAAGTTCTCCACTTGAGTAGATTTAAAGTATAGGCAATTTAGAACTTCTTCTGTTCTGATCTTTAGGGGTGGTGGAGTGGGATATTCGTAATGTATTTATAAAGTAGGTGGAATTTTAAAGCTATTTACCGTAGGGTTGCGTAACTTCTGAATTAACTTTACTAAGCACAAAACAGATAATTCAGAGACTCAAACCAAGAGACATTCCTAAAGTTATAAAATTTACCTTTTCCCTGTGCAAAACTTAATTTAAATGCTATTTAAGAGATAACCTACTGCTGTTCTCAATTTAAATAATTTCCATTTGTCTGTAAACTAAATAAATTTTAGTAGCCATTAAAGTGAAAATGCCAAATACACATTTTAATCAATGATTTTCCACCTTAAATGCAAGGATTTAGAACCTGACAACATCTTTTATTGAAGCACAGCAGTATTAATTAACGATAACAGTCGTTGTTGAATAATAATGTAAAACGGTCCTACCATAAGAAGTAAAAAAATCATACCTTATAGAAACCATTCTCTTTAAGTGAAGTTTGTTTTCTTTGATTCCATAATTTCATTCCTTTCCCACAAGAGTCATAATGCTTTGTGCTTGGGAGCCATTTTGTGCTTTAAAAATGTAAACAATAATTTGTTCATCTAAGACACTTGGAAATATGATTCTTTTAAAAATGAGTGTCAGCGGCTGGGCACGGTGGCTCACGCCTGTAATCCCAGCACTTTGGGAGGCCAAGGCGGAAAGATCATGAGGTCAGGAGTTTGAGCCTGGCATGGCCAATATGGTGAAACTCCATCTATACTAAAAATACAAAAATTAGCCAGGCATGGTGGCACGTGCCTGTAATCCAAGCTACTCAGGAGGCTGAGGCAGGAGAATCACTTGAAACTGGAAGGCAGATGTTGCAGTGAGCTGAGATCACACCACTGCACTCCGGGCTGGGCGAAAGAGCGAGACTCCGTCTCAAAAAAAAAAAAAAAAAAGTGTCAGCATTTGTGCCTGTATTTTAGGTGGCAGCAGATAGTTCTGTGTGTTGGGTAAGATATCATTACCTGTGTGTTTGTATGTATGCATACCTTCCAAATGTTGGTATTTTATGAATAATTTCTCAAAATGTTTTAAAATAGCCTAATTTTTCAGTAGTTGGATTTTTCTATCCATATTTCTCCCATCATATGCTAAAGCTTCTTCACTGAAGTTATGGTCCAAGATTAAGAAAACTTCCTCGAAAAAATTATTTAAAAGTTGACTCAATAGTCCATGGATCCATTGAGCAAATCTTTGTTGAATATCTGTTTCCCAGGCAATATACTAGGAACTGGACATATAACACTGAACAAGATAAAGTACTTAGATAATACTAGAGGACAGGAACATAAACCAATATGCCAATTTTAAGTACACTAAATTATCAGTTATTGAGCTGTTGTAAGTGTTACCAACAAACAACAAACTAAACATCTAGGGACAGAGTCATCTCAGTTGTGCTGAAGAGACGGGGGTCTGGGAAGGCCTTTGCTGCACAATGAAGTGAGGAAGCAGGTCACGTGAATAGGAAGGAATGGCAGTGCAAGGACGTTAAGAAGGTGCATGCTTGAGGAACAAGAAAGAGGCCAGTGTGTCTGGGGCACAGGAGTGAATGGAGACTGGTGAGAAAGGAGGAAGGAGAAGAGGTAAAGTTCAACTAGCAGAGTCTTAGATTTTATCCTGTGATTGAAAGCCACTAGAGGATTTTGTAGAGGAAAGTATATTTTTTCCTTCCTAAAGATTACTCTGGATTTTCTGTGAGGAATGCATAGAAGGAAAGCAAGGGTGGAAGCAGAAAAGCCAGGCAGGAGGCTGTTAGCAGCTCTGGGGAGAATTGGTGTCTTGCATTAGGAGGGGAGTGGCTTGATACTGGATAGATTGCAAAGGTAGGTGCTGTCAACTAGATTTGCAGATGGATTGATTTTTCGATGCGACAAAGAAGGATTTCAGGATGACTCCTGGGCTTCTGGTCTGGTGAAGTGTGACACTGTCGGGGAGATCCGGTCTGTGGGCTCTGTAGGGTAATCAAGCTCCATTTATTTTGTATGTTACATGTGTGTGCCCATCCAAATGCAGATGTTCAGTGGTAAGGTGTGAGTTCAGGGGCGAAGTCAGGTTGAAGATAGGGGAATAGATACAGAGAAGTAGAAATAATGAATTGTGGAGTTTATTATTCCACCATGGGACTAAGTCAGATCACCTGGAGAGTGAGCAAAGCTAGAGAAGAGGAGTCTGAGGACAGAGTCAGAGCCACACCCATCTAGAGGTTAAAATGAGAAAGACATACCAGAAATGGAGGCTGAAAATAAATAGCCTGAGAGAAATAAGACAAATTGAGGAGAGTTTGATGTCTCTGTCCCAAGGGAAGAAAGTGATGAAGAAAGAGGGAGTAAGGGAACATTTGGGCAACAACCAGAAATGTTAGGGGGTGATAAAGAGATGATCCCATGAGGTAATCAGAGAAGGTGATTTTCCATGAAATGATGACAAGGCAGTTCTGAAATTATAAGAATGTATCCATGATACCTTCAGAATCAGGTAGGGCCTGGCAACTGTGTAGAAAGAAGCCGCATAAGTAAGTTCTTACTTTGGACTCTGTATGAACAGATTCATTCTCATTGGGGAAGCTGAGGCAGCTTATCAGAGTAATTACTACTTTTCTTGGTATAAGCTGTGTCAGAGCCCTCAGTGAGAACAAATCCACTTACAGAACTTCCTTCTATGCAATTGCCATCATAAATGAAGCACCCCTTTCTTCACTGAAATGACACATGAAAAATGACAACAGATGCAATTACTCTACTTCTCATGTATTAATCCTGTTTCTATGAAGGTGAGTTTGTTTTATTCCCCATATTGGTTTCTCCTATGTTCACGTTCAGCAGGATGTTAGAGGCACACTCATACAACATACATCAACATACATAGATGTTTATAAATAGACCTACTGTATTTAGTGACATAGATACTGTGGGACTTACAGCTCATGTAGCAGAAGGCACACAAAAACATGGCTTAAAAACAAAGTGGTTTATTTGCTCACAAAACAGGAAGTCCAGAAGTTGACAATTCAGACAGTGGCTGCAGCTCTGTGATGGTGTCTGAGCCTCAGGTTTCCTCTGTTCTCCATTCTGTCTTCCTTAGTAGGTGGCACATATCCCCATGGCTTCAAGCAGGCTCTGGCGACTCCAGGTGTTGCCTCTGTGATCTATGGGAAAGAGATAAATGGCGAAAGACCATACTTTTTTCGGGGGGGTGGGGGGGACTTTATATTTTTATTGGATAAGGGAACTCTCCATACCCTTGATACTTCTGCCTCCTAATCTTTGGCCAGAACTGAGTCACATGGCAGCCCTAGCTACATAAAAATCTGAGAACGTGATCTTTTATTTTTTCTTTTCTTTTCTCTTTTTCTTTTCTTTTCCTTTTCTTTTCTTCTTTCTCTTTCTTTTTCTTTCTTTCTTTCTTCCTTTTTCTTTCTTCTTTCTCTTTCTTTTCTTTCTTTCTTTTCTCTCTCTCCTCTCTCTTCTCTCTCCCTTCATTCCTTGACAAGTGGACACTTTAAAGAATAGTAGTTTTAGAAGAAAAGGAGATTGGGAGGCCAAGGCAGGTGGATCATGAGGTCAGGGGTTCAAGATCTACCTGGCCAAGATGATGAAACTCTGTCTTTACTGAAAATACAAAAAAAAAAAAAAAAAAAAAAAAGCCAGGCATGGTGGCAGGCACCTGTAATCCCAGCTACTTGGATTTATAAAGTAGGGGGAATTTTAAAGCTATTTACCATAGGGTTGCATAACTGCTAAATTGCTTCAACCTGGGAGATAGTTTGCAGTGAGCCGAGATCGCGCCACTGCACTCCAGCCTGGGTGACAGAGCAAGACTCCATCTAAAAAAAAAAAAAAAAAAAAAAAAGAAGAAAGGGAGAATATAGCAATGTTTGTCACAGATACCCGGATACCAAATTATGTTTTTGAAGGTTTCAGAAAACCTATTTCAATCCCTCTTTTTATCTGTTATGTCCAGTGGCAAAAGTTTGTTAAGAGGTAGGAAACATATTTGTGAGGACTTTTTGCGAAATTTTCTGTGACTTCATTACATGACACCAAGCTATTGCAATTATAATATAGCAAACCAAAGACACATGTGATTGTATACTTTTATGGTATGCATTCCCATGCCACATTCTTACATTTCACACCGTTTAGGATTCTTCAGTTACCTGCAGAGTGTCATGCTGAGGTCTGCAGAGTGAGGTGCAGAGAGGAAGAGGCTGGTGGTTCAAAGGCCTGAACAAGTTACTAAACATCATGTCATTGCAAGGCCGGAGGTTGTTCTCTCATAAAATAGAGATGATAATACCTGTTTTTTCCTTCGCAGGGTCAGTGTGAATCTTTAATGGAGTTCTTGGTACAGAGTGCTTTTTAGCTCTTCAGAAATATGGCACAAAGTCACAAGATTGGAAAGTTGAAAAATCATCTTCCACTATTTTGCTGCAGGGCAGGATTGCATTCAAACTGTTCCTTAAATATTGCTGGAGTGGAGTTCTGACTTTTGAGAAAACAATGACAATAGTAATAATGACAACCCTTTAGTGAGCTGTCAGTGTACACTGTCAGGCACTCATCTATACACTTTATATACATGCTTCTGTAGCATCCTTCATTCCTAAGGGTTATCAATGACTGTCCTCCTCATTTTGTGGATGAGGAACCTCAGGCTCCAAGGTCGTGCACTGCCAGGGTTCACAAGGCATGATGTAAACAGAATGGGTTGTGGCGTCAGGACTGTTTTGTGACCCAGCTTGACACTTGTTTGCTGAGATGGCCTTGGAATATTGATTTAACACCCTTAGGGATCAATCTCTTTTGCATCTAAAAATAGGAATAATTGCTCATTGTGACGATTAAGTGAAATTATTTGATATAAATTGGCTTGTACAGATGCTAAGAGAACCTACATCAGGCTATAAAGGATCTACATTATCAGAGACATGAAAAAATGCTTGTGTTGATATTGACTTACAACACTAGTCTCTCTTGCTTCAGTGGGAGATCATTGAGGTCACTTGGAAACAACCGACTATCTTTGGGACTTCAGGTTGTTGCTTGATGGACCATGCCTCAGTTTTCTTATCTCTAAAGTGGGGCATAATATGAATAACTACTTTGCAGGGCTGTGGTGAGCATTAAATGAAGTGTTTAGGTCATTGTCTTGTATACAGCAACGTATGGTAAAGCCATTATGGAAGGTAAAGTGGGATGCAGAATATTGCAGTCAGACAATAGCCCCGTTGATCGGCCATCTTTATTGAGCCATCTTCTCTGCACAGTTACCATGAGATGGCGCTATGGAGATGTGCATAATCACAGTTTCCTTTTCTCCCACTCATTGCTGTTTCTTTAGGCTGAAAGCAAATTGAAACTATTTTTACTTTATTTTATTTTTTAAATGTTGCACCTTTTAAATATTTAAGGGCTTCAACGATAAGAATACATTTAAGGGAAAATGAAATGCGTATGAAGTGTGAGGCACTTTTTTTTATAGTCTCAATGGCCTTTCATTGATTAGAAAACTGAGGCTAAAAGGAGAAACTGTGTTTTTTATTTCTCTTAATATTCATCAGTTTAGAGCTAACCTTGCAAATACATTTTGGATGCTAAGATATATAGTAAAGAAGAAGATTTGGAAACTCAACGACCTTCATGATATAAATTATTCAAGCCATCGTGGGTAGCACATGTCTCCCACATAATGTATTTTTGTAATCATAGTCATAGCATTTTTTTTTTCATTTGTGTTTTACAAACAGAGGAGTGGAATCTCTAATTGTTTCTTGTCCTCTCATTTTGTTTATGGTGAACTCTTGTGTAGCTTCCCAAGTTACAGATACAAAAATGACTCCCAATACTTTCCAAGGAATAATTTAATGGGAATTCCAGGCATTTCGGGAAGAGAGGCAACGTGGTTCAGTGGAGTAGGACACACCTGTGTTCAAACTCCATTCTGGGCTGGGCACAGTGGCTCACGTCTGTGATCCCAGCACATTGGGAGGCCATGGCAGGCTGATCACCTGAGGCCAGGAGTTTGAGACCAGGCTGGCCAAAATGGTGAAACCCTGTCTCTACTAAAAATACAAAAATTAGCCAGACATGGTGGTGGGCACCTGTAGACCCAGCTGCTCGGGAGGCTGAGACACGAGAATTGCTTGAACCTGGGAGGAGGAGGCTACAGTGAGCCGAGATCGTGCCACTGCACTCCAGCCTGAGTGACAGAGCGAGACTGTCAAAAAATAAATAAAGAAAGAAAGAAATCCATTCTGCACTTTCCGTCAGCTCAGTAGAAAGCATGCAGCACATATTTTTTAGGAGTAAAAGTCCAAAATTGAGATTCTTTTAATCATTGTGTAAGATCTGTATTCCAGATTGTTTTGGTCAAGATCAGTTTTTGGTTTCTTATTGGCACTAGGCCTTGTTAGTGATAGCCAGATTATGGGGACCACAGGAGCCCCGTAGTTTCTCCAAGCCACTCTATCCGGATCTTCTGCTGTTGGGTCCTGGCTTGGGTAATCATAGAAGGCACCTTAAAGGAGTTAGGTCACTTTGCAGAGTTAATACAGTGTTCTAGACTGCTGAGGAAGCCTAAGAGAAAACCAAGGCTTATAGCAAACTGTGCTAAGACAATGTTAATGTGGCTTTCTTTGGAATTAAAATTCAAAGATAGATGCAAAATTCAACATCTTTCCATATGACTCCTTGGCCAGTCATTCTGGCTCATGTGCTATCTCATTTGAACTCATAATCCTTTCAATCTCTTTTTAGCTTCCCACCTACAGCCATTTGGAGTAGAGAAGATATGCTTTTGGCCCTCCTTCTCTTTAGTTTTCATGGTAGTGATCTGAATATATTTTCAGATATGCTGAATGGCCGTGAGAATGGACAAAGTCATCTTGTATACCCTGGTGATTTTGTTTCATGAAAAAAAGTAGCCTCTGTGTAGAACTGGTCCTGCTAGCTATTACTTTATTAACTTTGGAAATAATAGCTTAGGAACAACCGCTGCCAAACACAGTCATCATCTTTATCAAAAGCTCTCTGACATGGCATTGACTTTGATCTATCATTATATATAGAAGACCACTCATTTGCTTTCCCAGGGGTATATTTTTAAACTAATTTGCTTTGTAGGATTCACCAGGAAGCTATATTGTTTTATGAGGGCAATATTTAGGTTTATTTCAACTGCCTCAATGGCATATATAATTGGCAATGATGTCTTCTGAAAAATGTCCAGACTAAAATCTTTGTATCAAATCTGTATTATGCAGAATTAACCACCCATTTGTGTGGTGTGGTGTGTATGTGTCTGGAGAATATAATAGCCTGGCTTCAGTCCACCATTCCGTAGAAGTGGAGTGAATGTCTATTGAGACAAAAGACTTAGGCAGTCTTTAAATATCATGATATAATTTCCAGTCCATTCTTTGTTGTGTTGCTTCTTAAAGCATGTGAACTTACATTATAAGTGTGAAATATCTATAATCTAGTGTATGTGTGTGTATGTGCATAAAAATGTCTCATCTATTGGGCCACAATTCATATCACAGACAGATGCCAGCTTACCTGGGAGCATCAGGGCAGAAGCTGAGATTCCAGGGCTTCTAGCTGGAATGGGGAGCTCCTGCCTGTATGAACCCACAGCTGAAACTTGTACACTAAGCAGAGCAGGCACTGATGGGTAAACACATGTGTTTGTGGCTGCAGTCTGTCTCCTAACACGCTCTGGGGTCTCTGAGGCTCTTCTCCAGCTCTGCTGTAGCTGCAGTTCTGACTGTGGCACTGTCTCCTCTTCTGGAGAGGCAGAGGAAGGGAGCGTGCAGAGTATGCTCCCTGATGGTGATGTGTGCGTCTGTGAATCTTCACATGTGCAGGTGGGTTCCAGTGCGCCCGTATGTGCATAGAGCCTGGGCTGCTGTCCACTAGGGTTCCAGAAAAGGACTCTTGGTCAGAACAATTCAGGTTTTGTAATAGTATACTAACTTAAAAATATTTTTACTTGAGGAGGGGGACTACCTTTTTCAGCTTCACACAAAAATACCATGTAAGCTAGTAATTGCCTTAGAATAAACTATAATTTAGTAGCCATTTTGCCTAATTTTTAGCAAAAGCGCAGTTGTGACAAGTCATATTCTTGGATGTTTGCTCTAAGGAAATGTGGCCAATTCAGTTCTCTAGGCCAGAAGTTTTAGAATTGTGTCTAGTAACGCCGCAAAAGTTTCATGAAATCATCTAACAGGCCACTCTTGGAGAAAAAAACCATTCAAGCAACGGAGCTTTACCATCTTTCAGCTGGAGCACTCCACTTTTGTTCTTCTCAATATTGGTATGCAGTGTAGAAATTTGAAGAAAAGTTTTGGTTGCTTTTTACTTCTCATCCCTGGATTGAGGCAGGCTGTCAGAGAGCTGTGTACTGGAACTTCATTGCTTGACTCCTTGTAGAATAATTTTTACTGATTTGTACTTTGCTACCGTACCCTTGGAGTGTTCTAGGAATGCCACGAGACTCCACTACAGACAACTTGCTGTTTTATTTGATGAAGTAATGTGTTCAGCACATGGCCCAGCATACCACCTGTATTTATAAGGACTCCTGATATAAATCCCAACAGTGCTTGGGAGCAGGGCAATGTCTTTTCCTGGGGGGAAAAAAAAGAAGGCAAAAACTGTGGGCAGGGTGGTATAATTTAATCCTATACACATGAGGATCATAGACTGCAATAGCCATTTCTTTTCTTGTTTTTTTAATTATACTTTAAGTTTTAGGGTACATGTGCACAATGTGCAGGTTTGTTACATATGTATACATGTGCCATGATGGTGTGCTGCACCCATTAACTCGTCATTTACATTAGGTATATCTCCTAATGCTATCCCTCCCACTTTCCCCCACCCCACAACAGGTCCCAGTGTGTGATGTTCTCCTTCCTGTGTCCAAGTATTCTCATTGTTCAATTCCCACCTATGAATGAGAACATGCGGTGTTTGGTTTTTTGTCCTTGCAATAGTTTGCTGAGAATGATGGTTTCCAGCTTCATCCATGTCCCTACAAAGGACATGAACTTATTTTTTATGGCTGCATAGTATTCCATGGTGTATATGTGCCACATTTTCTTAATCCAGGCTATCATTGATGGACATTTGGGTTGGTTCCAAGTCTTTGCTATTGTAAATAGTGCCACAATAAACATACGTGTGCGTGTGTCTTTATAGCAGCATGACTTATAATCCTTTGGGTATATATCCAGTAATGGGATGGCTGGGTCAAATGGTATTTCTAGTTCTAGATCCTTGAGGAATTGCCACACTGACTTCCACAATGGTTGAACTAGTTTACAGTCCCACCAACAGTGTAAAAGTGTTCCTATTTCTCCACATCCTCTCCAGCACCTGTTGTTTCCTGACTTTTTAATGATCGCCATTCTAACTGGTGTGAGATGGTATCTCATTGTGGTTTTGATTTGCATTTCTCTGATGGCCAGTGATGATGAGCATTTTTTCATGTCTCTTGGCTGCATAAATGTCTTCTTTTGAGAAGTGTCTGTTCATAGACTTCGCCCACTTGTTAATGGGGTTGTTTGTTTTTTTCTTGTAAATTTGTTTGAGTTCTTTGTAGATTCTGGATATTAGCCCTTTGTCAGATGAGTAGATTGCAAAAATTTTCTCCCATTCTGTAGGTTGCCTGTTTGCTCTGGTGGTAGTTTCTTTTGCGGTGCAGCAGCTCTTTAGTTTAATTAGATCCCATTTGTCAATTTTGGCTTTTGTTGCCATTACTTTTGGTGTTTTAGACATGAAGTCCTTGCCCATGCCTATGTCCTGAATGGTATTGCCTGGGTTTTCTTCTAGGGTTTTTATGGTTTTAGGTCTAACATTTAAATCTTTAATCCATCTTGAATTGATTTTTGTATAAGGTGTAAGGAAGGGATCCAGTTTCAGCTTTCTACATATGGCTAGCCAGTTTTCCCAGCACCATTTATTAAATAGGGAATCCTTTCCCCATTTCTTGTTTTTGTCAGGTTTGTCAAAGATCAAATAGTTGTAGATGTGTGGCATTATTTCTGAGGGCTCTGTTCTGTTCCATTGGTCTATTTCTCTGTTTTGGTACCAGTACCATGCTGTTTTGGTTACTGTAGCCTTATAGTATAGTTTGAAGTCAGGTAGCGTGATGCCTCCAGCTTTGTTTTTTTGGCTTAGGATTGACTTGGCAATGTGTGCTCTTTTTTGGTTCCACATGAACGTTAAAGTAGTTTTTTCCAAGTCTGTGAAGAAAGTCATTGGTAGCTTGATGGGGATGGCATTGAATCTGTAAATTGCCTTGGGCAGTATGGCCATTTTCACGATATTGATTCTTCCTACCCATGAGCATGGAATGTTCTTCCATTTGTTTGTATCCTCTTTTATTTCGTTGAGCAGTGGTTTGTAGTTCTCCTTGAAGAGGTCCTTCACATCCCTTGTAAGTTGGATTCCTAGGTATTTTATTCTCTTTGAAGCAATTTTGAATGGAGACCCATCAGTGTGCTGTATTCAGGAAACCCATTTCATGTGCAGAGACACACATAGGCTCAAAATAAAGGGATGAAGGAAGATCTACCAAGCAAATGGAAACAAAAAAAGTCAGGGGTTGCAATCCTAGTCTCTGATAAAATAGACTTTAAACCAACAAAGATCAAAAGAGACAAAGAAGGCCATTACATAATGGTAAAGGGATCAATTCAACAAGAAGAGCTAACTATTCTAAATTTATATGCACCCAATATAGGAGCACCCAGATTCATAAAGCAAGCCCTTAGAAACCTACAAAGAGACTTAGACTCCTACACAATAATAATGGGAAACTATAACACCCCACTGTCAACATTAGACAGATCAACGAGACAGAAAGTTAACAAGGATATCCAGGACTTGAACTCAGCTCTGCACCAAGCAGACCTAATAGACATCTACAGAACTCTCCACCTCAAATCAACAGAATATACATTCTTCTCAGCACCACACCACACTTATTCCAACATTGACCACATAGTTGGAAGTAACGCACTCCTCAGCAAATGTAAAAGAACAGAAATTATAACAAGCTATTTCTTTTCCTTGGCCACTAGGAAGCTCATAGTCAGATTTGCCACCCACCTGTAGTAATTGTGTGGGTATATATTTAGGGGCAATAACTTCTACCCTTCAGATCCCCTTTTTACTGTTCAATCTTTTTACTCTCCAGTACCTATATCTTTTTATTTTTCATAATACATATATTGCGGTAAGTTATTTTAGATCTCCTTCACTCCACTACAGTTTTCTTATTATCTTTTGGAAAACTGTACATGGATATCTGGTAGCCTCATCAGACTTAATCTATTCTATTCTAAAGTAAAGCATGTTCTCAAATGTGCCCCTCTTCCTGTTTCCTGTTTTTGGTAAAGGGATCCCATCAGTTCAGGCATCTAAGTTTGCAGTCTTTCTGTCCTTTTTCATCATCTTCCTCTTATGTAGCACATCCAGTTGTTAACCAGATCGTTTAAATCCAGAAGCAATTTCTATGACTTCTCAAGTCTCTCCTGATCCTTGATCTTTTCATTCACCAGTACTTGCCTGGACTACTGTTTCACTAATTTTCTAACTGCCCTCAATTTCTCTACCATTGTCTACTAGTAATCCATTATGCACACTGATTCTAGTTATTTAAAAATCATTTGCTCTTCTATGATTCTTGTTACTACTTACAGCATGAAGCCCAAATCCCTCATATGCCATTCACAGCTCTTTACAATTTGGCTCCCAACCTATGTTTTAAATCTCATCTTAGTCCATTCCTCCCTCTTGTTTGTGTCCTTCACAGCAACCACCAGCCTAATCACCAGTCCCCAAACACAAAACGCATTTCAACGCCTTGTTGTTTTCTCTGCCTGAGATGCCCTTCCCAACTCCTTCAAGTCCTAATGTTTCCCTAGTCTCTTCTCAAATATTATCTTGTGTGAGGCTCTCCTCTCTTTTTTGCACAGCACAGAGGAACTAGTTGCCTTGTCCTCAGTCTTTCCATCCCACTTTCTTAATACTACTGTTAGAGCATCCCTTGCCCTGCTTTGGACTTGTTGTGTATGCATATCTCTTTCTCCAAATCATGAGCTCCTCATGGACTTTGTCTGAGTAGAAGGGAGGGAATATACAAGGTATCTGCCAACTCTGCTTTTAAGAATAAAATATACCGACACAGAGACTGTGGAGTCCATAGAATTGATGAGGCCTTCAGTGGGTGAGGATTGAAAACTTGGCTAATTAACTGCTGACCTTCAAATGTTAATATTATAAAGACTATCTTCATGGCAATAGAAAATTTGCAATACCATCATAATAAACGTTCTAGCAGTCAAAGTCAGTTTTTATCATTTCTGTACAGAAGAAACTTACTTGATTTTTTGTACAGAAGAAACTTACCTGATTTTATTTCAGAGAAATAAAAGGTATACATTTAACATTTAACATAACATATATTTACTACTTTCTTTTAATAATGTGTACCATTAAAGCTTATTTTCTTACCAAAAGTATAAACATGAGTTAACCACCTCAGGCTTTTGTTTCTTTTCTTTTTAGAGCTACTATGGGAATCAAGTAACTACTTTGGATCCTGTGAGAATCCATGATAATATTATCACGTTACATTGATCTTTTTTTACCAAAAGTATAAAATAAAAAGCAATTGGGGAAATAAGTAGTTTTATCATCCAGTGGTAGATTTCATTCATGAATACACTTCACTACAAAAAATAATACAAAACATGGTAAAAACAGAATGTGGATTTGCTTTTTGTAGCTTTTCCCACAGGGTTGATATTATATGTACTATCTTCATGCTAATGAAAAACTTGCAATACCATCATAATAAAGGTTCTAGCAGTCAAAATGAGTTGTTATCTTTTCTTTACAGAAGAAACTTACCTGATTTTTCTTTTTCTCTTTTAGGAATAGGCAAGTCAAGAGGCTGAAAAATCTGAAGCATGTTTCCAAAGAGCAACCTAACAGTCACTTGCTGGGTATGGAGGAGCATGAGGAAGCTCTTTCTATTGCTTTCTCTCTTGCTGTCCCATGCAGCTCATTTGGAAGGCAAAAAGGATAATCAGTTCATCTGGAAACCAGGTAGGAATGTCCTGGCTGTTCCTTTGTCCTATTTTCATTAACAGGAAGAATATTCTTTCCATCCTTCTTCTTCTTCTTTCTAAAGTAGTGGGAAATATCCAGAGAGGAAAAATAGACTCTTTTTTTTAAATTCTGCAGCTCATATTTGATTTTTTACTCCTGCATAATTGTCTTCTCCATCCATGATGCTTGTTATCCTTCTGAATTTTCATGTTGTTGTCAATTAAAGTTATGATTTCCATAGTTACATCTACTTCTCCTTTGTCAAATATTTCACCAGTGTGCAGCACATTTGTAGCAAAAATGACATCTGAATTTAGCTGATATTCTCAGCTAAGAACGCTTTGGACCAGTTCTGCATGTCTCTTTCAGGGTTTAAACTAGTTAGCTATTTATTATTAAATGCTTTCCAGCATAGATCTTCTATGTCTAGGTTTGAGAGCATGAAAAATTATCCTGACAGCTTTGCTCATTAGTTGTGACTGCAAAGTCACGTTAATGTATTTTGAGATTCTTAGCTACCTCATGCATTATCCTTTATGTATATGAATAATTTGAGTTGAAATTTGGGGCTGGAATATAACTTATGTTCATCTCTAAATATTTCCTTAATTTGGCTGTGAAAAAGATCTGTTAAATTTAATTTCAGAGCCTAATAATTTATTAACTTAAATTATGAACCCTAAACATCTTAGCTCTTTGTATTACTGATGCTTTTCCTTGCTCTGGATTTTAATTTTCTTTAAGTTTCACAATCAGATCATTTAAAATATTTATTGCTTTCTCAAGACTCCATTCTTTCAAATACTGATAACTTATATACTTAATATCTTGGAACTGGAAAATGTGATGTTATAGAAGATCTATGGTCCTCAAAGAATTTTCATTTTGGCCCCATCATCTGTAAATTAAATAGACTTCAAATATATTGTGTCACCATGGAAATATGTATAAAAGTGATGTTTGTAATATTTAAATAATTTTGCAAAAATGAAAGTGAATTATGCTTTAAAGTCTATTAAGTAAAAAAAAAACACAGCCACCATTAGAGATACAGTCTGGATGAAATTTAATTGCATTAAAGCCCCTATAAATTAATTTAACTGTGGGCTCCAATACTTCATTACTGATTTGCATTTTTTTTTCCCTCAGAGTAGTTTTAGGCAGCTTTGGAAATAGTCCTGAAAGTCAGTATTTCCTTTCTGGGAATGGGGTTATTTTGTTTTAATCACAAAAGATGAACATTTGATCAAATCAAAATATGCACATTTTTATGACTACTGTCGAAAGTTTTAAAAAATATATGGTTAAAATGGAAAGTGGCAAATTTGAAAAACGAATGAGATGTGTTAAGAAAATGGGGTTATTTTGAAGCAAGTTTTAAAATAAGCGTGCTTTTCTAAAAGTAGGTCATTGGAACAAGATGGTAAAAACAAACTCTACAGTGGATGAATTTTTTTGGTAACTGTCAAACTTAAGTTTCAGAAGTGAGGATCCTTTTCATCATACATAACACATTGTTTAAAATGAACATATAAGTCACTACTGTCACTTCTCCTGGTATTCATTACTTCTTTCCCTCCTTACAGTGCCATCAAAAAGGTAACAATATAATTTTTTCCTATTTGGTTTTGCTTTCAAAGCAGATTACTTATGTATGACTGACATTTTAAAAGTGAAAGAAATCTAAAAGGTACAAAATTAAGAACAAAAGCTCCAATGTATCCCTTTCCAATCTCTTTTGTATCCTTCAGAAAATTTCCTTGTACATGTAAGTACACATTTATGCATGTTTATGTGTATGAATCACACAGAAGATACACATATAGTTATTAATTAGGTTCTGTTAAAAAAGAAACAGCACATGCGAAGTCGGCAGTTGAGAAGAGTTTCATAGAAGGACATTTACAAAAGTAGGCAAGTGTGAGCAGTGTGTAAGGACAGGAACAAGGGATTGTGCAGTGACCCTGAACTGTATCAGTTGGGAGCCTCTACAACTTCTGGGTATGTAGGGGCCAGGAGAAAGAGTGGTTCCCAGAATCTGGAGAGGTGCTTGACAAATGCTGTGGCTTTTAAAGGGATACAGCCAACCTGCAGCAAAATAGGAAGGAGGCCAGGGGAATGAAGGGCTCCACCTCACTTTCCTCCAGCTTTCATATCTGCCAGGCCTCCCATTGGATGAATTCAACCAAAAACCACAAGGCAGGGGAGCCCATGGATATATCCATTCAGGTAAACATCTTGAGCAGGAAGCAGGATGGAGAATGGTGCACCTGAAAATATTTAATTCTTCCATATGTGCATGTATGTATACACACATATTTCATGTAAGTGGAATCATACTCTGCACTGCTTTCTGCAACTATCTTTGATCATATAATGATATATTGATGAATATTACATATTAATGCACATAGGCCAACCTCATCTTTTAATGACTGCATAGTATTCTTTAGCATTTTTATTTAATAAATTTATCTAGTTTTCCTGTTGCTTTATCTTCTCTTCCTCTATTGCTTGGCATTTCAGTGGTTTCTAGTTTTTTTGCTATTATAAATAATGCTGACATGAATGCAGTATTATTTTAAAGGTAAGCAATAATAAATTGATTTAAGGAGTTATATCCCTAGAAAAATTCTAGTTTATAACCTTTGAAGACAACATCAACATCTTAGAATCTGTTACCTATTTACGGATGAGTTTAGTGTATTTCATTTTGATTTTTAACACTGTATTGCAGTTGAAATTAGCTGTATTTTTAGGGTATGTTATCAAATCCAAGAACTCAGGTCCAGTGTAATTTGGAATTTGAACAGATTTCCATGGAGACCCAGATAACTGTACTTTATTGTAGAAACCTAGAAACCATTCTCTGGGTTTTGATTGCTGTGTCAACCACTTTACTCTTTTGCTGGTGTCTATTGTTCCCCACCCCCACACCCCAAATCGGTAGGTCCGATGTTAGTCAACCTCATCCAAATTACAGGCATTTCTAAGTGAGTCCTGGCTTTGGAAAAACAATGGATTGATGAATAATAAGTGAGTGTATTATGTTTTTTAGGATTTCCATACTGAGGGAGAGTCTGCTGAGTTGTAGGCTGCAAGGTCATTGATCTGTCAAGGCTGTTAAATGCCTATCATTATTGTGATGAGATCCTATAATCTATATTGGTGTCAGACACTCTGTTAGCTGTGTCAAGAAAGAAGGATCACGTCAGCAACAGTATCAGATAAGGGACAATGTTGTTTGCGGTTTTAAGTTTCAATATAAAACTATTCATGCCTGCCTGCTTTGTGGAGATGAACAGATTATGGTCTCTGATCCCACAGTAAATTGTGCTCTCTTAAAAAATTCCTCAGTTTTGGTTCTAAGAGGTTCACTTATTTCTAGTAATACTTATTGAGTCCTTACTGTGTGTCAAGCATTGTTACAAGTACATGAGATAAATTGATTGAGAATAAAATAGGCAAATCCTCGGTCCTCATAAAGAGGGCAATAAACATGATCAGTAGTTAAATAGAGTATGCTAGATGAGGGCGAGTGGTAAGAAGGAAAAATGAGGCCAGGAGGAGGGATATGCAGTGGGAGCAGGGAGACTAAAAGCTTAAGGAGGTTGTCCATGAGCTGCCTGAGGAAGTGAATCTGAGTAAAGACCTGAGGGAAGTGAGGGAGCCAGCTGTAGATATATCAAGGTGAAGAAGAACATCCCAGATGGTGGGAACAAGAAGGACAAAGGACCTTAGGCAGGAGTGTGGGAGGCATACTTGAGGACATGTGGGGAGGCCAGCATGCAGGAGCAGAGTGAACATGGGGAGGGTGATGGGAGCTCAGGTGAGACGGGTAACGGGGTCCACATGGGGTATGTCCTCATAGGTCAGAATAAGATTTTGTCTTTTACTCTATGTGAGATAGAAAGACATGGGAGGGTTTTGAGAGGGTGGTGACATAAGCTGACTTTCTTGTTGACTTTCTTTTCAATAAGATTTGAAGAGGATCCTTGTGGGTGGCTGGCTGAGAAGAGCAGGGCAAGGAGATGAGGTAGGAGGCTACTGCAGAATTAAAGGGAAGAGCCATGGTGATAGCTTGAACCAAGGCCATGGCAGTGGAGGTGCGGAGAAGGAGTTGAATCTTGGCTATATTATATTTAAGGCCACAGTTATCAACCAAGGGTGATTTTGCCGTGCTGGGGACATTTGGCAATGCCTGGAGACATTTCTGGTTGTCAAAACTGGGGGTGCTACTGATGTGTGTTGAGTAAAATCCAGGGATGCTGATAAACATTCTAAAATGCACAGAGCAGTCTTCTACAATAAAGAATTATCAGGCCCAAAGAATCTCAACAGTGCCCAGGTTGAGAAACCCTGAGTTAAGATAAAGCCATCAGGATTTATTGATGTGGGATGGGTGATACTGACTTTGCCCTGAACAACTGGAAGAGTGGAGTTGCTGTCATTTAATATGGGCTGAGAAGGAGCTGGTATACAGGGAATATTAAGCACTCAGAATTGGGCATGCTACACTTTTGATTCTGTTAGAAATTCTTGTGGAGGTGTCGACTAGGAAGTTATGGGGTCTGAATTCAGGAGAGAGGTTTCTGCTGGAGATATAAATTTGAGAGCTACTACCAAAGAGGTAGGATTTAAATATGTAGTCCTAGAAATGAAGAGATTAGCTTGAAATTTGTGATCTGGCATAGGTAGAGGATAAAATTCTAATATATTTCCTTTTAGGACTGAAACGATGTTAAAGAAAATTGTTGTGGCAAAATATACACAACATAAACTTTACCATTTTAACCACTTCAAAGTATACAATTCAGTGATATTAGTACATCACAGTGTGGTGGAATCATCACCTCTATCTAATTTCAGAACATTTTCATCACCCCAAGCTATATTTTGCAAGTGAGCTTATAAAAAGTCTGGAAAACAAATTATGTTTTGAATAATACGTTCTGAAATAGAAGAAAACTCCATATTTGTTGTGTGTGTGTGTGTGTGTGTGTGTGTGTGACAGGCTTTTAAAATAGCCTTCAGTCATCCTAAGAGATTACTCTTGATATAGTTTGGATGTTTGTTCCATCTAAGTCTCACATTACAATGTAATCCCCAATGATGGAGGTGGGGTCAGGTGGCAGGTGTTTGGATCATGAGGGGGGATCCCTGAAGAATGGCTTGGTGCCATCCTGGCAGTAGTGAGTGAGTTCTTGCTTTATTAGTTCCTGAGAGATCTGGTTGTTTAAAAGAGAATGGCACCTACCCCCCATCTTGCTCCCTCTTGCCATGTGACACACTGGCTCTCCCTTTGCCTTCCTCTCTGATTGTAAGCTTCCTGAGGTCTCACCAGAAGCAGATGCTAGCACTGTGCTTCCTGTACAGTCTGTAGAACCATGAGCCAAATTAAACATTTTCTTTATAAATTACCTAGTCTTGGGTATTCCTTTGAGAAATGAAAACATACTAATACAAGTATAATACTAACACTAATACAGACTAATACTAATACAGGTAAACAAATGTTCAAATCCTGGTTGTCTAAGGGGAAAAAGTTGTTTAACCTCTCTGAGCCATATTTATCCATCTGAAAATGGATATTGATAATAAACACTTTACAGGACTCTTTGAGAATTAAGTAAGACACTTTGAAATACCTAATATATAGTGGCTATTCAATAACTGTTAGCTACTATTTCTATCATTGTTGTATAATAATTTCAGGTTTAAAATATTTACTTGTGCTTTTATGTTATACAATTTCTGTATACTTCTCTTAGACATACAAAAAAGAGGGGATTATTTGACAGATATGTGCACTTTATTAATAAATGGTCAAAATTATTTCACTGGCTTTTTTAGGTCTAAAACTTTATATATGCCAAACTCTAGGAAAGTTTTAATTTCAGTAGCTCATGCTCAATGAATAAAAAGGGTGAGGATAATGACCTGTTTCTAAGAACTAAGTATATAAATTGGAATTAATATTTTTGGAAAAAAGAGACTATGAAAATTGCATTGCATAAGGAATAAAGTATCTTACATATATTAATATTTAGTTATAGCTTAAATAATAGTGTTTTCAGCATTGAATGTACTTTAAGGAAAAAATTGCATTATGTATATTACCTATTTATATATTAAAGGTTAGGAATTTTAGAGAAAATAAAATGTTCTTAGGAGAGAGCTATTTTTTAAAATATGTGCTAGAAGTTCATGAAATTTTTTTCTGGAAATTTTACTTATGTTGACATCATTTTAATTACTTCCATGGATATTGGTTTATCTAAGAGGCATGAGTGTTAAATCAGCAATATCCAAAAGTATAGACATATGGCCTGGAGTTCACCACTAAAAATTCTAATTTTTTTATAGACCACAGTCACTAATTTTCCAAGGTTTCCAATAGGTCAGAAAAACATCCATCTTACCTAAATTGCATAAAATAAATTACTCTGCTATATTTTTTCTAAGTAGTATTAAAATATAGGCTCCCTGAGGACAGGGCATTTTGCTGGTTTTATTCACCAATATACTCCAAGTGTCAAGAATATACATAACCTATATAATAAGAATAAAATATGAAAAATATCCCCAGCACATTAAATAAAATAAGGGACACTGTCTTTTGGGGTGTGTGTGTGTGTGTGTGTGTGTGCTTGTGTGTGTGTACATGTATTTAGGGGAGTTGAGAAGAGATGAAAGAGAAAATATGACCCATCTTATTCTAGAGCTTGTAGTATATATTGAGGAGAGGATATAAAATGACTATAAATTAAAGTCAAACTTATAAATCAGTAAATGTGAAAATGTATTTCCATGTCACTTTATTCCAGTACCATTTCTGATCATCTCTGGAAAAGAGGTTGAACTCAATCTTTAAAAAACAGGCTCACATAGTTAAAGATTTAAATATTATTCTAAATCTTATAACAAGATATTATAGTTATATCTCACCTTCCAGTTCATTTACATAAAGAGACAGTTTCAGCTCTTTTTGCTGTTTATTCTGATATTCACCTTCATATTTCTAGGTAATATGCTCATGATTGATACTTCTTAGTTGATAGATATTAGATAGTTCCTATTGACTCTCTGTTATGTTAGTTAAGGATTTATGTCTCCTAGATCTACTCCTCTCCTCCTTACTACAGTTATTCAGAATAGTTCTATCAAAATATTTAAATCAACAAACAGTGCCCATACTCTTTGTAGTGTCCGCTGCTGAGCCAAGCAGTGTGCTGTGCACCTGCATCCTTTCTTGTTCAGCTTTTTCTTTTACATGGAAATGAAAAATTTCCTTCTTTATTGTTTTGCTTGGTTTTCTTTGAACCTACTGCTGCTTTTCCCCAAGGCTCCATCTGATATGTCACATGCCCATCATTAATTTATTCAAAGATTCAAGCGCAGTTCCAAGTGCTCTATTATATTTTTTTCTTTGGGAGATTTTCCCACAGTCCTGTCCCCCTGCACAGCCTGCATAGTCATCATCTGTGGAACATCCTTTTGCTCTCGATCATCTTGAATCCCTTGTTTCCTGTTCTGTTTCTCTTCTTTGCCTTTATTGTCGTGTTTTCCAGAACTGCTAAACGCATCCTCTAGTACTGCTAAAATAGGGTGTACTGGAAGTAATTTTTCAAATCCGTTGATGTCTGAAAGGGTCTTTGTGCTTGTCATATA
The DNA here is from genome assembly GCF_000001405.40 of Homo sapiens. Lineage (NCBI taxonomy): Eukaryota > Metazoa > Chordata > Mammalia > Primates > Hominidae > Homo > Homo sapiens. The sequence continues at coordinate 136,889,992 of NC_000002.12, forward strand.
CTTGATTGATAGCTTGGGTGTGACATTCAAGGTTAAAAGGCATTTTTTCCTTCAGAATTTTGAAAGTCTTGCCCTATTGTATTATAGTCCCCAGTGCCATTACTGAGAAATTTGACGCCATTCTGATCCCGACTTTTTGCACATTGCTACCTGTTTGCTTGTTATTCTTTCTCTGGCATCTTTTTTTATCCATGAAGTCTGAAATTTCGTGATTATATGCTTTGAGGTAAGCCTGTTTTCTTTATGGTGCTAGATGTTTGTAGGATATTTCGATTGGTGTACTCATTGCTCATTCATGTCCATGTCCTACTCCTTCTTCTTCTTCTTCTTCTTCTTCTTCTTCTTCTTCTTCTTCTTCTTCTTCTTCTTCTTCTTCTTCTTCTTCCTCTTCCTCTTCCTCTTCCTCTTCCTCTTCCTCTTCTTCTTCTTCTTCTTCTTCTTCTTCTTCTTCTTCTTCTTCTTCTTCTTCTCCTTTCTTCTCCTTTCTTCTCCTTTCTTCTCCTTTCTTCTCCTTTCTTCTTCTTCTTTCTTCTTCTTCTTCTTCTTCTTCTTTTTTTTTTTTTTTTAAGACGGAGTCTCACTCTGTCGCCCAGGCTGGAGTGCAATGGTGTGATCTCGGCTCACTGCAACCTCCACCTCCTGGGTTCAAGCGATTCTTCCGCCTCAGCCTCCTGAGTAGCTGGGATTACAGGCATCCACCAACATGCCAGGCTAAGTTTTTGTATTTTCAGTAGAGACAGGGTTTCACAATGTTGGCCAGGCTGGTCTCGAACTCCTGACCTCAGGTGATCCACCTGCCTCAGCCTCCCAAAGTGCTGGGATTATAGGCGTGAGCTACCGTGCCTGGCCATGTCCTACACTTCTGAGATTTTTTTTTTATGCAATTTCCTCTTCTCTGTTGTGTGAATTCCTTCTGAAACTCCTTAGACAAAGGTTTGACCTCTCTTACTGATCTTCAATTTTTAGATAATTTCCATATTTGTGTTTTGTTTGTATATTTATTTTAATGTCTAAATTTTTTTTCTACTTCATCTTTTAACTATTATTTTGAACTTTTTTTATTTCTACAATCCCTTTTTTTAATTTGTAAGGTCTTTTACTTGTTCTATGATTTTTTTAAATTTCATCTTGTTTCATAGATGTAGTGACTTTTCATTCAGAGGATATTAAGGACAGTTTAATCTTTTTCCTTTCATTCTCTGCTTCCTCTGAGTCATTTTTTCCTGTTTCCTTCATTTATGTGTTTGATCATGGCCCCTGACATAGTGAGCTTTCTTCTAATGTCTATTAATTATTGGCTATCTCTTTAGTGTTTCACATTATTAAAAGCGAGGCACTAAAACTGATTCAACATTCCATGTACATGACTCAGCTGTTGGGCTTCACTGTCAAAATATTTTTGTGTGGAGAGCTGGCTTTTTTATTAGAGTATGGGTCCCTCAAATAATCTATATTTATCAATACCCAGAGTTTTTTCTCTGGAAGTCTATTCTTTAAGGTGGAGGCTAAGCAGCTGTAACAAAGATGCTCCCAAATACAGTGGTTTAAAAAGATAGAAGCTCAGACCTCTCTTATGTGAAATCATGTAGTTAGTGGTCCAGACTGGAGGCTCCGCTCCCTGTGTCCATTCAGCCAGGCACCTTTCTTTCATATTCGGGAAAGACATCATCATTCTCTGCCCATCCAAGCTGGGTCACAGGCATTTCCATGTTCTAGTTGATGAAAAGAGGTAAGAGCTGAAGTCCAGAACAACAGATTTCAAACAAGTGACACAGCAGTTCCATCCATGTTGCAATTCTCTATTGCTGTGTAATAGCTCACCCCAAAATAGTGATTTAAAACAGTAACACACCAATTTTGTTCACACATCAGTGGGTCATTAGGCCCTGCTAAGTGTTCTCACTTGGGTTCGTTCTCTTGTGCCATTGTAATCAGCTGGTTCAGGGGCTGGGGTCATCTGGAGGGCTTCATCACTCACATAGCTGGCACCTGGGCTGGGAGGACTTAACTAGCTGGGGTTGGAACAGCTGAAATTCTTCAGGTATCCCTTTCTCTCTGTGTGGTCTCGCCATATGGAAGCTTCAGGGCAGCCGGGATCCTTACATAGGTGTCTGAAGGCTCTCAGAGTAAGCTTCCACAGAGAAACAGAGAAGAACTGCTTGGCTTGTTCTTAACTAGCCTGAGGGCCATGCATGGTCACTTTTTCTGCCTTCTGTTAGTTACAATTAAGTCTCCAAGGAGAGAGCTTCCAGATCATCTCTTGATGGGAGGAGTGGCAAATAATTTACAGATGTGTTTTAAAGCTGCCATGACCCATCACTTCTGTTTACAAATTTCACTGGTGAGAAGATAGTTACCTGGCCACTCCTAGCCACAAGGGAAGGTGAGTCTGTGACTGGGCTGTTATGTAAGAAGGGAAATTGGATTTAGTCATAATAAATGCATAATTTTTAGTATAGGAGCTATTCAGCGTCTCCTCAAATAGGAACATTTTTTCTACTACCTACGCTGGACTACTGAAAAAAGGGCAAGGGAGTGGGTCTCGGTGGAGATGGCTCAACATTTAGTCCCCAGTATTTCACGTATATCCTCTCTTTTGAATGATATACCTCAAATTGCCTTCCACGTTGTCTACTCTTCTCAAGAATGTCCTCTTGAGAAGTTGAATTTTGCTGTCTGTTTTCCTGCAGAGATTAAGGAAGGGACAGAGGAAAGGATCTGGGGAGCTAATTAGTTCCATGTATGGATTTTAAAGTATTCTTCATTTCAAGCCACAAGCCTTGCCCCTTCTTAGAGTGTCTAGGTCCCAAGCCTTCCCAGAGTTCTGCAAGTATAAATTGCCTTTTTGTTGTTGGTTCATACTCTTCTGTAGGCCCCTAATATTCAGCTTCTTTTACATTGCAAAGCCGCTTAGAGCTCCTACATTTATCTGCCTCTTCATGTTGCAGAATTCATTGCTATATCTTCTCGACCTTTCTCTCTTTTTGACCTTTACTGAGTTATATCATTTAATGCTTTTAACTGTTATTTCAGTGGAGTATTAGCAGGGAGTGAAAATTATACCTATGTCATGTCTTCCACATTAACGGGAAGTCTTCTCATTTACGTTTTACCACTTCTACCACAGTCTGTTTGTTCTGGAATATAATAGCATGTTGAACTGGGTTAATTTTACAATAATTGACCCAGGTATCCTCTTTGCACATATGCTAGAAAATCTGTCTATAATAACTGGCCACTAAAGCTTTTTCAGATTAAAACTTCAAAAAACCTAATTCAAATGTTCATTGGCTTTAGATGATTGGGAGTTGAATTGAGATACTGGATTGACAATTTGATATGGGAAATATTCTGCCTCGTGGTGAAATTATTGGTGGAGAAATTTCTTTTTGGCACCTGGAAATGTCTCCCTGCACCTTTTTCGGCCATGGCAGAGTTTTGATATTTTACTTAAGTTTGAATTATTATTAACTGGGAAATACAGGTCACTATATAAATACAAACAAAGGTCAGAGTTCAAAACAAGTCAGACATATCAGAGTGGAATTGAATCATAAACTAAAGACTGAACAACAGTACTTTGGAGTAACAAAGGAACCTTAAAAGCTTACCTTGTAAACACCTTTATGGTCATGACCTTAGATGCCATAAACCACAGTCAATTTTTATTGGAATCAAAGTTTTTAAAAGCCCACCTTCTTCTGTGTACCTTATGGATTTACCCTATTTATGCAGTTATTTTGATATTTCACTAAAGTTCCCAACACTATAGCCACAGATGACATATATGCTGTAGATATTAGGGCCACAGATGTTATCTGAGACTCAATTAGAGAAATAAAAGGTGTACATTTAACATCACTCATACTTATTACCTTATTCTAATAATAGGTACTATTAAAGCTTATTTTCTTAGCAAAAGTAGAAATACAAATTAACCATCTCAGGCTTTTGTTTCCTTTCTTTTTAGAGTTACTATGGGAATCAAGTAACTATTACAGATCATGTAGAGAATCCATGATATTATTACTCTCTTACATTGATCATTTTCCCCCAAAAGTGTAAAATAAAAAGCTATTGTGGAAATAAGTAGTTCTGTCATCCAGTGGTGGATTTCATTCATGAATACACTTCACTACAAAAAGAATAAAATGTGGATTTGCCTTTTGTAGCTTTTCCCTCAGGGTTAATAATTTTCTAATTGAATGCAGCTGCTCAAAGATTTCTATTGCTAAATATATGTGCTATGTTGCAAAAGAGTGCTGCACTTTTAATCTTTTTAGAAACTGTTTTCAGCTTAATTACTTGGCTTTATTTGTACAACTTTATAACATTTTCAAATACTGATGACTGTACATGATAAAGGAGCTGACACTACATACAAGGCAGGTTGGTGGAATGGTTCAGAGCATGGACACTGGAATCAGGCTGTCTAGGTCCTAAGCCATGCTGTGTGTGACCTTGAGCAAGTTCCTTAACCTTATGCCTCTACCTTCTCATCCAAAAAACGGGAATGAATGAGAAGCATGATATAAAACCTAGTTGATATTCTATGTTACATACTGAAACTAAGTTTTCTATACTCAAAGTACATATTACGTGCTTGAGTCATATAAAGCATGTAACTAATGCTACTTTTTATTTCTGGTAAATAGGTGTTACTTGAAGAGACTTATTCTTTGGCCCTCCACCTTCTGACACGTAGAACGTAATGTAGTTTGGATACATACACATGCATCTAATGATAAATGTTATTTTTCTAAAGTGGCCATTAGGTATTCCTTTTCTGCACGTTAAAGTTTATTTTCTAAAATATTTAAATTTTTTTATGTTATTGCATGTCTCTAGTGACATTCCTAATATACTTTAGCTGTTTCAAATATTGGGCCTCCAATATTTTCCTCTGATATTTCCATTCATAAAACTCTATTGTTTTCAAAGCAAGAGCTCTGGGATTCTATCCAAAGCAATTACCAGGCAGAATGTAGTCTCAAAGCTTTCTTAGAACTGACAGTCTGTGGCATGTTTGAACAAACCTGGGTTTGAGCTTAGATGGGTCCATATGATTGACTTCTTCAATTTCAGACTTAACATGAGGAAAAGCCAGAGTGTAGGTGGGAATAAGTGGCATCTTTATATTTGGTAATGAGTTCAAAAAATATTATATTATGGCACCTTCTCTTTTGTTTCTCTTATATAGGCCTTACAATAGCCCTGGGATGCTGCAGGCAGGACAGGAATACCATTTTATTTTACAGTTGAAGAAACTGAGTTTGAAGAGTGTAGATATGTGATAGAACTGAAACTTGCCCAGTGCCCTTTTATGACTTGAATTTTCTTTATGAAAAGGTCTTAGGTTTTCTTCTTTTGAAACTGTAACTTAGAACTGCTTATGATGTTGCCATTCTCCACAGAGGATCTCATTAATAAAAAAAAATACAACTTTTTAATACCATGTAAATGGGTTACCATTTTGGGTGGTTGATGATCCAAATGAACCAATGTTTTATGCCAAGTGGAGACTTTTTTTTTTTTTTTTTTTTTTTTTTACAGAATTCCATGCTATTACAATACTAGTAATTGTTAGCCTGAAAGATTGGCTATTTATTTTAAGCAACTTTATTGAAGCATAATTTATATTACATAATATTTACCAATTTAAAATGTATAATTCAAACTTTTTAGTACATTTATTAAGTTGTGCAGACATCAACACAATCTAATTTTAGATCACTTTAATCACCCCAATAAAATCCTGCATGCCCATTTACAGTTAGCCTCTGTCCTGCCTCTAGCCCAGGCAACCACTAATCTACTTTCCGTCTCAATAAATTGTCTTCTCTGGATATTTCATATAAATAGAATAATACAATATTGGCCTTTTAAAACCAGCTTCTTTCATATCACATAATGTTTTGTGGTTGCTCTATATTATAGCATCTATCACTATTTCATTCTTTTGTATTACTGAATAGTATTCCATTGTATGGATATAACACATTTAAAAATATTCACATTTGTGTTGTTTCTACTCTTTGGCTGCTATGGATAATGCTGTTATGGGCATAACATGCAAATTTTGGCATAGACATATGCTTTCATTTCTCTTGGGAGCAGAGTTGTTGTCTTGTATGGAATATACATGCTGAACTTTTTAAGAAAAACTATTTTCCAACCTGACTATAGTATTTCACATTGCCATCAGTGATATATGAGAGTCCCTGTTTCCCCACATTCTTGCTAATATTTGATATTGTCTTTTTGATTGTAGTTATTTTAGTGGGTGTGAAATAGTTCCTCATTGTGGTTTTAATTTGCATTTCACTATATCTTTGAAAGTATTAGCCACTTGTATATTTTCTTTGGTGAAATGTTTATGTACATCTTTTTTGCATTTTTTAAAACTGTTTTCCTATTAGTGAGTTTCAAGAGTCCTTTGTACATTCTGGATGCAAATCCTTTATTGGATGTGAGTTTTGCAAATATTTTCTCCCAGCTTGTGGCTTTTCTTTTCAGTTCAATGGTGTCTTTTGAAGTGCAAAAGTTTTGTATTCTTATGAAGCCTAGTTTTCCAATTTAAAAAAATTAATGGATTATACTTTGGTCTTTTATCTAAGAAATCTTTGCCCTGTTCAGAGTCTCAAGATTTTCTCCTATGTCGTCTTCTAAAATTTTTATAGTTTTAACTCTTACATTTAAGTCTGTGACTCATTTCAAATTAATTTCTTTGGTATGAATAAAAGTCTAAGTTCAATTTTTTACATGTGGCTATTCAATTGTGCTAGCATAATTTGTTGTAAAAACTATGGAAATTCTTCATTGAATTGCCTTGGCATCTTTGTTGAAAATCAATTAAATGTAAATATTAGAGTTTATTTCTGGAATGTCTGTTCTGTTCCATTGATCTATAGTCTATACATAATCCTTATGCCAGTACTATATACATATATACATATATATATATATTTTTTTAAGACAGGGTCTCACTATGTCACCCACTCTGGAGTGCCATGGTGCAATTACTGTTCACTGCAGTCTCAATCTCCTAGGCTCAAGCAATCCTTCTACCTCAGCCTCCCAAGTAGCTAGGACTACAGGTGTGCACCACCCTGCCTGGCTACTTATTTTTAATTAAAAAAAAATTTGTAGAGACAAGGTCTCACTGTGTTGCCTAGAGATCATTATAGAAAGAATCATTCTCTTAATGTGTCCGTAACTGGTTCCTTCCGGTGGGTTCTTGGTCTCGCTGACTTCAAGAATGAAGTCACGGACCTGCATGGTGAGTGTTGCAGTTCTTAAAGATAGTGTGTCCAGAGTTTGTTCCTTCAGATGTTCAGATGTATCCGGAGTTTCTTCCTTCTGGTGGGCTCGTGGTCTCGCTGACTTCAGGAGTGAAGCCACAGACCTTCACAGTGAGTGTTACAGCTCTTAAAGGTGGCACATCTGGAGTTGTTTGTTCCTTCCAGTGGGTTCATGGTCTCACTGACTTCAGGAGTGAAGCCGCAGACCCTCGTGGTGAGTGTTACAACTCATAAAGGTAGTGTGGACCCAAAGAGTGAGCAGTAGCAAGATTTATTGTGAAGAGCGAAAGAACAAAGCTTCCACAGTGTGGAAGGGGACCCAAGCAGGTTGCCGCTGCGGGCTCAGGTGGCCAGCTTTTATTCCCTTATTTGACCCTGGCTATGTCCTGCTGATTGGACCATTTTACAGAGCACTGATTGGTGCATTTTTACAGAGTGCTGATTGGTGCATTTACAAACCTTTAGCTAGACACAGAGCGCTGATTGGTGCGCTTTTACAGAGTGCTGATTGGTGCGCTTACAAACCTTCAGCTAGACACAGAACGCTGTTTGGTGCATTTTTACAGAGTGCTGATTGGTGCGTTTACAAACCTTTAGCTAGACACAGAGTGCTGATTGGTGCATTTACAAACCTGTAGCTAGACACAGAGCGCTTGCGTTTTTACAGAGTGCTGATTGGTGCATTTACAATCCTTTAGCTAAACACAGAGTGCTGATTGGTGCGTTTTTACAGAGTGCTGATTGGTGCGTTTACAATCTTTTAGACACAGAGCGCTGATCAGTGCATTTACAGTCCTCTAGCTAGACAGAAAAGTTCTCCAAGTCTCCACTCAACCCAGGAAATCTAGCTGGCTTCACCTCTCATTAACAATATTGAGTCTTCCAATCCATGGACATAGAATGTCTCATCTCTTTAATTTCCTTCAGTGATGTTTTATAAATTTTAGTGTATAAGCCTTGTCCTTCTTTTGTTAAGTTTATTCATAAGTATTTTTTATTCAGTTTGAATAGAGTTTTTCTTTAAATTCTGCTTTTAGAGTTTTGACTTCTAAGACAAAGAAATGCAATAGATTGTTTAAAAATATAGACTGAGTGCAGTGAACTCCTGACCTCAGGTGATCTGCCCGCCTCCGTCTTCCAAAGTGCTGGGATTACAGGCATGAGCCACAGCGCCCAGCCCCATACTGTGAGCTTCTACTAGGCAGAGAGTACTGCAAGTAAGTTTTACTCCAACATTTACTATCCAGAAAGTCTAGAAAATTCTATTTAGCTCCCCTTGTCCCCCCGCCCCCCCGCCAAAAGAGCTCACAGTATGTTAAAACTCACTTGGGATATAACAGTGGGGAACTGAGACTTTTTTTTTTTTTTTGAAATGGAGTCTCCCCCCATCACCAGGCTGGAGTGCAGTGGCATGATCTCGGCTCATTGCAACCTCCGCCTCCCAGGTTCAAGCAGTTCTCCTGCCTCAGCCTCCTGAGTAGCTGGGACCACAGGCGTGCACCACCATGCCCAGCTAAGTTTTGTAGTTTTGGTAGAGACAGGGTTTCACCATGTTGGCCAGGTTGTTCTTGATCTCCTGACCTCGTGATCTGCCCACCTCGGCCTCCCAAAGTGCTGGGATTACAGGTGTGAGCCACTGTGCCCGACTGGGAACTGGGACTTTTAATGATCATTGTTACCCCTTATGTCCAGAGGCCACTCCTGGATTTTTACCATGGAAAAAGCCATTTTTCCAGCAAAAAGGAAAATAATATAGCAAATACCCTTTAAAGTACCAAGGAACCATAAAAAATACCCTTAGTTAAATGAATAGACTATTAAGTGATATCAGGAACTGGCCAGTGTCTTTTAGCTTATATTGTCGAGAGGACCTGGTTCAAATAGTAAAGAGATACTACTTTTCTGTTTCTTAAAAACTCTGTTTTAAGATCCACCTTGTAGGCTATGTCGAGTGCTCTAAAATCCCAACCCCTGGGGGTTAAATATCATTTTTTCATTTTCATATTTATTTGTATCGTGTATTATTACACACCTTAAGTAACTACCATTTATTCAACTGTAAGGTGCATGATAAATATTTATTGCATTCTTAAATGTGATTTTAAAATTGTATTTTCACACTGTAACTTTTCTTCTGGGAACATGTGTCCAATTTTATAAGGCAAGCCAATTGGACAATATATTTCAGTAAACGCACAAATCGGTTTTGTACTTCAGTTTCCAGTGAAGCACAGCTATATTTAGGTCCCTCAATGGTGTGAGGTTTCATAAAGTTCACAAGGAAGTTACAAGTAGGTGAAAATCTTGTTCATTGCATTTTAATGGGTTTATGTTACAGTTGTTGTAAGTGGGGTTCCTAAAATTGCTGGTGGATGAATTTCAGAATTATACATAACTGGGCATTCATGTGTTGGATGCTTGAGTTCAGAGAATCAAATAGATTCTCATAGTGCGACCCAGAATACTTATGTAGAGTATTGAGTATTATAAGCTGATTTTAAAAATCAATAATTGCATAATTCAAATGAAGTATAAGTTCTAAAGTTCTTAACATGTTGCTAATATGCCAGTGGATGCTTAGCTGGCAGGTTCAATAGTGCAGCCTGCTGCTCATAGCATGTCTTGTTTGGCTGGTCATGAAAAATCACTTTTCAAATTAGAACTTAATAAAAACTTTCCTGCTCTGAACACTAAGCTCCACTCCCTGTGCGATTAGTGGTTTCATTTCTTTCTCAGCAGTTGGGTAATGATTATGGCTCCAGATGCAGTGAGAGTGATAAAGAGATTGATTAATTTCACTTGAAAGGGCATATGTTCAAAGAGAATCCGATCTGAACACCATGAATGATCTGACATGTTTGCAGCTGAGAATTGTGTATACCCTTACTTTGTGCCCCACTAATGCTGAGACCAGGATCTCTAAACCAATGTTACTAACCCACTTGGTCTGTAAAATATTGGTCCTTGCTCATACCTGTTGTGTACATGTGTGGATGTGTGTTTGTTCTTACTGCCTTTCTCTTTGTAGTAAGTTACTTGTGATAGCTAAAAAGTTTCCTTTGGCTCCTTTACCCTTGAGATGGCTTTGAGTTATGTGTTGTTATCGATCAATAGAACCAAAGTCATCTCTGAACCATGGCTTAATTTAGATCACACTACACACACATACACACACACACACCACACAACAAAATCTCTTTGTATTTTTGTTTGAAAAAAACAGTTTCAACATTGTAGCTGTGTGGCTATTGAGAAGGGCCTTTTATCACATTTTATAAAAGACCAAAAAGGGATCTGTTTCCTATACCTAATGCTTTTTCAGCTTGTGTTTATTTGGTATTTTTTATTTCCAGGGAGCACTATTTTGCACAAATGTCTTTACATACCACTCACTTTCATTTTCATGCATTATGTAACCTTTACAACAAATATTTCATGACAATTTTAAAGTGATTCAAAACTTACATTTCAAGAGAAAAATGTTAATATCTGTAAAAATCATAGGCTCAAATTCTGATGAAAGAAAGATAAGGGTGCACAGCTGATTTTAGCATGGAGCTTGAAGTCAATGAGTTTTGCTAATGAGTCTGCAAATGAGTAGGTGAGTATATGTTTTTAGATAAACAAAATGTATCTACCCCCCATGCAGAAAGTGTCTCTTATATACAAATCTCTATTGTAAGGTATGAGTAGAAGATTAGAAAAAAGTGTGATACTTGGAAAACTATCTTCATAATGTTTTACTCAGTGCTTGTGTAAAACAGAAAAGCCTTCTTATTCCTTGGATTTTTTTTTTTATTGTTTTAATAGAAAAACAAAGTTTTGATCTGAAATGTCTTAGGTTATTTTTCCTGCCTTTATCCTTAAATCTTAAGTTTCTGATCATGCAGTAAATATTGCTTGGGCACTTATTATGTGTCAGATGCTGTGCTGTGAGAGTTACAAAGCAAAGCAAGACATAGCTACTGTTTCCAAGTCGGAGGGCTGCCATTTAATGATCCGAATATGGAACCAGTAGACTATGGCCTGTGAAGGCCCATGCCGAAGGAGAACCAAGAAGAATTGCCCTGTACATTATATTGACGTAAAACTTTTCACCTTTTAAAAATATATTATTTCCTTAATACTTCCAATTTTTTAAAAGCTCTAGAATATTATCTGAGAAAGCCCATGTGCTTCCTAATTGTTAAATTCTGAAGTAGACGATAAGGTCACTAAAGGATGCTAATGAGATGAATGGAAATGGGAAATTTGAGAAGAATTTTATAGCTATTTAAACACTCCTCACTGCTTAGGTTAAATTTTAAAAAATTATTGGGGAAGTGACATTAGCTCTTTAAGTTCTTTTGATATTTTGAAGACATTTCAGTTAGAATGAACTTTGACAAGGAGAAATTCCCCCCAGGGAGTTTTATTTATAGCACATGAGAAAGGAATTCTGTGTTCTCACCAGGATTTCTACAAAGCAAGGATACTTTTTAAAAACTTTTCCTTGAAAAACATCTTGTATTCAGCATTAAAGCCAGCGATGCATTAAAAGGTAGGCTTCACCGTCTCTTATTTATCTTTGTTAGACTCTGAGTTGTTTGCCCTTGATTGATTTTGAAATAGACAAGCCAGCTTTCAGACCAGAGAATGATTTAATTATTACAGAACCTAAGGCCCAAAATCAGATTTGAAGGTATGTTGAAGCAGTGTTCAGAATGAATTAGTGGACAGATGTAGAGTATATGTCACTGATATTCGATACCCTGGGCTGGCCCAGAAGTAGTACATTTCCCTGAAGATCTTCACCTCTAAACGTCAGATGCTTGAATTTAATGGTGCCACTTAATCTACACTTAAGTCAAATCATGGAAATTCTAGAATCATTAAAGGGTCTAAAGCTGAGAAAACAGAGGGAAGGATGCATGCAGGATATACTGAATTTATCGGATATATAGGGGTCTTGTTTAGGATGACTAAATTAGCAGTCTGAACTTTGATGTCAGAACTGACACCGGAGATTAGCGAAAAGTACAATTTATGTTTTAATAGTTTCAAAGGTCATTGTCATTGTTTGGATCGTTATGAAACATATATTTAAGCCAATGTTTTTATAGAGTTTTCAAGCTGGAGGAGATCTTCAGCTCAGCAAACCTGGCCTCTTCATTAACAAGTGAGAAAAATGACGGCAGGAAGACAGGTTGGAGCAGCAGAGATGGAACTGGGCCATGCGCCCTCTGAGTCTGTCCTCCCCTTTGCATTCTAAGTGTGGTTCACTTTCTTCTTCCACATGCGCCGAGGATAGGGGTCCAGAGCCTGCCATAAGGGAGTGGAGGGTGGACCTTCGTGGTATACATTCCACATTTTACAATCTAAACAGTAGAAAGTCATGAGAAAAATAGGAGGTAAAGTCAATGATTCAGAAGAGGGTTCTCAGTCACAGGAGAAAGGACAGATGAAGAAAATATTGTGGCAATGTCTGCAGTGATGTGTTAGAAGGCCAGGATTCCTGAACTGTCATTGGATACAAAAGCACCTGGGAGACTGGCCCAACGTCAGCGGCTCTGGAACCTGTGAAAAGAAGCAGCCACTCCATTATATGCACATGGGAGGAAACTTCATTTTAAAATCAATGCCAAGAATGACCAGTGTTACAAGCTGGTCCAGCATAGAGGCATTTTGAGATTGGATGAAATTGGCTTGTGTCCAGCTCTGTTCGTACTAGGGTATGAGTGTGGCCCAGTTGTGCCTCCCTGCTGTGCCTCAGTGTTCTACTGAGTGCTCTATCCCATCATTTACTTGGTGAAAGTTAATGTAGCATTTACGATGGCCCTTGCCAGATTATATAGAATAAGGTTATTGACAGCTACCCCAAAAAGGTGTTTTTTTTAAAAAAAATATGAAATTAGATAATATATGAAAACACAGCACAGTTGCCTGGCATATATTAAATGCTCCGTAGGAGATAGAATCATCACTAGTGTTGAACTGCTAGCATAGGAAGACCAAGTTTCTAGCTGAGGAAAAGGAGTAAGGTGATCAAGGATCTGATGTAAATAGGCAAAAAGAGGTTATAAGGAGATAACATGGTTTTGAAGGCAATCTTTCCTTGACACTTAACAGGTAATTTTGAGGGTTCTGTTTTGTTGTTGCTGTTGTTTGTTTGCTTGCTTGCTTTCAGAATTTTTTTTTTAATTAAGGAAGAGAATAAAGTGTTGTAACATATGTTTTTCTCATGTACACCTCAAAGGTGATGCTGCCACAGAGCAGGGGTATGGACAAGATGGAGGTCTTTTACCCTACTTCACCCCAGCCCTTTATCCTGGGTGACAGAGGCACATGGCAGGCCAGCACCACACCTCACCCTTCAACCCAAAGGATCAGTGATTCTAAGTTGCACAGATGGAAGGATGCCAGCCTCTAGCTCATTATCACAGGGCCAGAGAGCTAGGCTAGTGCCTCCAGGGAGGTTGGGTACACTTGTTAAGAAAACCCTTTACCAATTAGAAATAAATAAGACATGAGATTTCCGTGGACTCCCAGCACAGTGGCCAGGGCCACCACCTTACATGAGGCTCTCAGGATAGGTGGCAGAAAGCATAGAACTTTCAAAGGAGTTCTCAGTACCCAGCAGAGTCTTCCTGTGAGGTGTGTGTGTGTGTGTGTGTGTGTGTGTGTGTGTGTGTGTGTGTGTGTTTGTTTGTTTCTGAGCTGGGCCGGCAGCATGATTTTTGTAAACCTTAAAGCCAATGACAAAACCCATAGTCCCAGCTGTGTCCCCAAATGTTCCTCAAGGAGGAGGGAAGAATAAGAGGAGGCCTTTTATGGGCAAGAAAATGTGTTTCTCCTTTAATTAAATAATATTCAGTGTGTAGCGAGAATATTAGGCAACCCCAGCAAATGTGGAGACGGGGAAGTGGTGACATTGACTGGTGGTACATGCCTGAGGTATCCTGGCAGTGGCAGAGGTAACCCACCCTGGGATAAGCCTGGGCAGTGTGGGAAAGTGTCTGAGTAAATGAGTCATCCAGTCATCCTGATCCTAGACATGGAGGCAGATGCAGAGAAGCAGAGGCAGTGGCTGAGCTCAATGGGTTAGGGTAATGTGCAGTGACAGGGGTCACTTACCACCCCAACCACTGGAAGGGTTTCTACTCAGAAATCCTTCTGGGGCTGGTGCTACAGGAGACAGGGGCATGTTCTGGTAGGGCTGCTGAAAAGTTCCCTCTTCTGTTATGGGCTAAGCGTCTATGAAAATAACTCCATGTTCACCAGGATTGGAAACAAAGTGCTTGGAACCGGGCAGAGGTTCCCTGCCCTGTGGCAGGGGCCATCTTCTTCCATGTCAGAACACTCAGGGGTGGGATAGCTGGTGCTGAGCTTATGACAGTTCATCCCAGGTGAAGAGAAGCAATGAGTGATCTGGAGATCCCAAGGAACCTTCAATGATTGGCCCTGGGGTCTTACTGGGAGATAATTCTGAAGGAAATGAAATAAGTTGGATAAAGAAGACAGAGAAATCTGAGAATAAAAAAAGAGAGAGAAAAAAAATTATTTGCTTTCAGCAAATGCATGTTCCATTTGTTGTAATTCTTTTGTTTTTGCTCTTCTGAGAACTTTAGTGTCCTTTAGCCTGGGGATTCCACAGACTCATACAATGTTGGAGCGGTACAGCCTCTTCTTTTTCAACTGGAATCTGTGGGAGGGGAAGTGACTCTTTCATCCACTACTTCCTTGGCTTTCACCTTCACACTTACTGTGTAATGCGATCCTCATGGGAACCTTATGAACTATGTAGGTGTACCTTACTCTCCTTCTGCATGTGGGTTGCTAAGACAATGCAGGAAATCACTGGTAGAGGTGAAATGAGAATCCAACTTTCCAAATAATATATCGAGCACTCTTATGATCATTCTACTTCGTTTAGTAGTGAAATCCTACCCAACTCTACCTTCATTCCTTTAGTTGGCTGTCAGGCATTTATGAGGCATCTTCCATGGTACTTATTGTGTTCTAGGCCTTGAGGATACAGTGATGATTCCCTCTTTCTTCACTCTGAGTTTACCATCTAGTTGGTGAGGCAGCACAGATGTAGACAGTTATTGAAAGAAAAGCTAATAGAGGTATGTCAAAAGCATTATGAGAAGACGAAGACAAAGGTTTTGTGAGAAATATTGTTTTGAACAATGGAAAAGAGCTATAATAGCTATGTATACTAAATACTATGCTAAGTGCTTTGCATGAATTATGCCGTTAATGTATTAGCAAGACCATGTCATTGGTCCTAAATTAACAGTCAGGTTTGTAGTCATCCTGCCTAATCATGTTGGTGCTTATTCTCTTCACTAAGCTTCAGTAGCATGTTCTCCTATCTAATACAATACTGCCTATCAGGAATAGTCTATCACTTTTGGTTGTGGGCAAATATGCCAATGATAACCAGCAATTTGAGACAAGTACATCATTAGGCATTGAGACAAATGATCATTATGGATAATGTAAAATTGAGGGAGCATGTGGTCTCCTGCAAAAACAGAACTCCAGGGACAGTCAGATCGAAAAAGACAGTTGGGGCTAGCATTGGAGCCTCTTATATTAGGGAGGGGAGGGAGGCATGCATGTGCCTCTGAATCTTGAACACCGGGTGAGGAATACTTACAGCTAAAGGCAGAATCAAGCTGTGACATTTTGTTTGCCTAGGCAGCTCTATGAGTGCAGACAGGTTTCCCCTCAATAGTGAGAAACACAGTCTCAACATTCCAATGCATTGAACCTGGCCTTCTCTGCCTTTCACACCTTCTGCCCTGCTCACTGTGATCCCTTTTCTCATTTTCTTCCATTTCTTAATAGGGGCCTTTAAAAATATTTTTTATTCACTCTTTCATTCAATTTCCCTTGTGTGGAGTGAAGTTTTAAGAGAATCTGATTCTTCCAGATAACGCTCAGTGTTCAGCAGCAGACAGATATTCTTTATGAGAGCTTCCTAACTTTAAATACCCAAAGCAAGTTCTGAATATTGGCTAAAAAGATAAAGTATATTTGTGTGTGTTTGTGTATAATATATACATGTGTTTGTATATCATCTATACATCTATATCCATTTATTGAGAGAAAATGAGAACAGGGTAAGATGCAGTGCACAGCTGAGTTTATTATTTTTGTACTTGCAGGACTTGCCAAGTAGAAGAAAGCACTTATTGGAGAGGGGGAGTAGAGTCAAGCAAATAAACCTGAGATTTTTAGGATCATTTTTATAAGTCTTGAATTCGTTGATGATGTTAACAAAAAAGTGAGTATGGATTCATCAAAATAGTGATTTGGTATATTGATATATTTGACTGGGAAGTTCTACTGTAACTTTTCCAGAATCCTTCACTGTTTTCTGTTTAGGAAATAAAGAATTGACAGGTGACTCTGCATGAAGAATGGAAGAGGAAGAAGTATGACAAATAATAGTGATCTTTCTTTTTAGTGGTCCTTTGAGTTTTTCTATCAAATTTTCACTCAAGTAGTTATGGCAATATTAGTTTAGTTTTAAAATGAAAATAAAAGAAATAAAAATAATGTGAAAATTATTCTTAAACTTTGTAGAAAGTATGAAGCTATGCAAACTTTCATTTACAATAGTCACATATTCATAGATTCCTTACATTTCAAGGTTTTTTTTTTTTTTTTTTTTTTTTTTTTTAGAGGGTCTGACTTTGTCACCCAAGCTGGAGTGCAGTGGTGTGATCTTGGCTCACTGCAACCTCCACCTCCTGGGTTCAAGCAATTCTCCTACCTCAGTCTCCCAAGCAGCTGGGATTACAGGCACTCGCCACCATGCCTGGCTAATTTTTGTATATTTAGTAGAAACGGGATTTCGCCTTGTTTGCCAGGCTGGCCTCGAACTCCTGACCTCAGGTGATCCACCTACCTTGGCCTCCCAAAATGCTGGGGTTACAAGTGTGAGCCACCACTCCTGGGCTCAAGGTGTCATTTTTATACAAGTTTTCTCAATAAGAACTGTCAAAAACATTTGAATATATTTTTTATTAAAATGGGCAGAAAGAGAAATATAATTTAATTCTGTACAGAATTAAGTAGTCACCAATATTTATTTTCTAAATCAATTACAAAGGTAGAAATATTGTTTTAAAAATGTAAGTGAAAGTTTAAAGTTTTTACTTATTTTATCAGATCTGTGAAAGTGGATACACTTCATTCTACCTATATTGGATCACAGGAATTTGATAGCCAACAGAAAAAATTCAAAACAAAGTAATAAAATGATAAATAAGAACCATGAAGGAAGTCATTTATTTCATGCCTAAGCAATTAAACTGTTATTATGTTAGTATTATTTATACCTAGAAGTGAACATCCATTCAGTTCCATCAACTATTTTAGTAAATTACTAAAAATCTACAAAGTCTGAGAATTTTTATTTTGTGTTAAGAGAAGCTGAAGTAATAATTATGGTCTCAGATACTGACAAATTGGCTTTTTCTCCTTTTGCAAAGGTAACTGCTGTATGTTGCTGACCTACAAAGATTTCAATTTAGAGGTTTGTGTTTTTTCTTCTGAAGCTGGAAAATAAATGTCACCAACATTAAGCAGTAGGATGTTGCTTTCAGTGCAGTATTTTAGGTGATAGTGGTGACACTAATAGAGGAAATTTGGCATAGGCAGCTATAATAGATGAAAAAACATTTATCTGAAGTTTTTTTTATTTGCCTAAAGGTTTGGTATCTTACAGTTCTCAAAATTGAGTGATTTACTTTTCATTTAATCTTTTCACAGAATTTGACAGCCTTGATTTAAAACACTTCATTTTTTTAATAGTTTTAATGTGTTTTGTAGACACATGTTGCATATGGTTGCCAAAATTTGCTTCCAGGAGCTCATTTTAAATCTCTAGAACTATATTAAGTTATTGTGCCATGTACAAAATTAATAATAAATAAGTCAAATTATATTAAGAATTTTCACATAATGTGGTAGAAATAGCAGCAATAATAATATTTATGTTGATTGGCCAGTTGTTAGATTTCTGATTGCTTTTACATGCTTTATTTCATTGAATCTTCACACACAAGAAAACTATGAGATTATCATCCATATATTACATCTGAGGAAACTAAGTCACGTAGTGAAATGAGTAGCAAAATTGGAATTTGAACTAGAATATAATTGATAATAGACTTGTGCTTCTAAGCAACTGCTTTGCAAATTGGGACACTGAGTTTCCACCTGGGATTTGATATGACTGAAATCCATCAGGTAATCTGGAGTCTAATTTGGAGATGATCTTCCCTGGGGAGCCATATGTCTGTACATCAGCCATCTAGGATTGAGTTTGCACATATTTACCAATAATACACAATTACTGAATGAACACAGAAAGATGGACGTGATTTTGAATGAATGACATAATACCTTAGGTAACTGGATTGAGTCAAAGCAACCCAGCTAGTGCCGAGGCTGAGTGAATTCCAGTTTTCTTTATGGGGAGGAAGTAAGGCATTTTGAGGCATGGCTACTGAGGATTATGTTTTCTGAATAAATAAGAGTAGAACATCATTTAACAAGTAAACTTATGGGAACAACAGGAAGGATTAATTAAAAGTGGGCCTATCCTAGTCTGGGCGCGGTGGCTAACACCTGTAATCCCAGCATTTTGGGAGGCCGAGGTGGGAGAATCACTTGAGGTCAGGAGTTCGAGACCAGCCTGACCAACATGGCAAGACCCAATCTCTACTAAAAATACAAAAAAGTTAGTCAGGCATGATGGCATGTCCCTGTAGTCCCAGCTACTAGGGAGGCTAAGGTACAAGAATCACTTGAACCTGGGAGGTGGAGGTTGCAGTGAGCCAAGATTGCCCCACTGCACTCCAGCCTGGGTAACAGAGCAAGACCTTGTCTCAAAAAAAAGGTGGGCCTCCTAGA
Source organism: Homo sapiens (assembly GCF_000001405.40). NCBI lineage: Eukaryota > Metazoa > Chordata > Mammalia > Primates > Hominidae > Homo > Homo sapiens. The sequence continues at coordinate 136,909,206 of NC_000002.12, forward strand.
AAATGCACCAGAATCATCACTTTCAGCTTATAACACCCAAGGCAAGGACTGAAATGAGGTGTACAGTTCTAAATGCTTGAAATGGCAAGATGGCATGGGAAGATTTTGGAAAAATGAGGGGTGGAGGGTGGGAAATGAGACAAAAAGAAGGAACAGGGAGGAATAGCAAGATAACTTTCCTTTATCCAAAGATAAAGTACTGATACTCTACTGTTTGTGCTCCTGGAACAGAAACCCTTTGAAGGCAAGGCCATTTCTTATACATCTTTGTGCAATAGTTTCTTCCCGCAAAGTTGTGATTCCAGAGTCTTGGTGAGTTTTGAGCTCAATAAATGCGTAGTGAGCAGAGAGGAATGAATGCATGATGAAATACACAAATGACTTTGGAAAATCCATTTGAGCTTATATTTATCCAAGAAACACAGAATACTAATCAAGCAGTATCTAAAATGTAGTCCAAAACCATATTGGAAATAAGGGGAAAAGTGAATGAGGTTGTTAATCGAGGGCTTATGAGCATGTCCTAAACAATGTTTGAAATTACTAAATCAGTACAATCCACACGATGCTTCCATATTTGTAATATGGCCAGACTACTTACATTCTTTCCTGTTGTTGTTATTGATTGTTTTGTTCTAGTTTTGCTATTGTTACTGTTTGGTTTTCTTTACTATTTCCTTAGGGGTGAGCACAGATTACTGGCATAATGGGAGGGCATGCTGAGAATCCTGAGAGTGTAATAGCCTAGGAATGTGGTTGGCAAACGAACAGGATCAGGTCTTCAGATATATATTAACTTTGAGGCCCCTCTGGGGCCTGTGGGGAAATATCTCTGCTGGCTTGAGCACCTTTCAAGAATAGTGCTTTAGGTTTCAGCAATCTGGGAGCAGTTTCATGGAGAAAGAAGAGTCCAATAGTGTGTCCTCAGTCTATGGAGTAACTCTGCCAGGAGGGAGAAAGCAAGGTGAACTACAGACAACTAGAGTGGAGTATAAACAAAACATGCTCTTTAGCAAAAGGTGCCAAGCAGGAGTGGAGCCAAGAGGGAATGAAAAGAGTTCAGAGAGGAAGGGCTAAGAAACAAAACTGGATGTATGGTTCTAGAATGAGTCTTGGCCATGGTAGTGGCATACTGGGTAGTGGAGCTTTTAGGAATGGGGGCTTGTGTTCACTCACATTTGGGATTAGTCATTTACATGTGAGATTTAATGATACCAATATATAGTCAAGATTATAAGTAAGTTGAACCTCAAGAATGTTTTTATATTTAAAAAATGTGTTGTTTTCTAACATGCACATGGGTTTTGGGATTATTGACTTTGTACAGATATAACTTAAGTAGCCGAAAAATTGATGGTCCTGAGGTGTTAGTGAATGTTATGAAAATATGTCTTTATCCAAAGGCTTTTTAGTACGTGGAGAAGAATCAAAGTGCTTTGCATACGTGAACAATTCAGGAGTTATGAATGTGGATTCTGGAAACACATAAACATGAGTTTGAATGCCGGTTTTGCTACTACTTTGCTGGTTTTGCTATTTTGTAAATATTACCCCAAATGATATAATTTTTAATGATATTAATTTAACGATATAATGATATATTTGATTTTATAATGATATATGATTTAATGATATAATTTTTAAATGATATAAATTTTGCTACTACTTTGCTGGTTTTGTTATTTTGTAAATATTACCCCAAATTATATCATTTATTTTAGTACCCAAATTATATCATTTGGGGTAATATTTACAATTCACTAAGCCTTTATGTATAAAATCAGACTTTAAGGTACCTTAATTATAGAATTATGAAGATCAAATGAGATATGATGAAGATATTATGAAGATCATGCTTTGTTCGGTAACTAATACATACTAAGGGATGATGCTGAAATAACTTGGGAAATATTAATTTTGGTCAGCAAAATCAACTTTAAGGTTGGCTTTTGGCCAAGGCACATACTACTATTTTCTGTAAGGGCAGGAAAATTCATGTTTTGCTCTTAGAAATCTTTAATGTTTGTAACCACTGAGAACATTTGGAGTGATGATTATGTTGATATGACCCATATTAATGTTGAAATTGCTCTTTAAATGCCATTCATTAATAATTCTTTGATCATCTGTGTGTTTAACAAAATTGGTAAAATTGCTTTCACTGTTTCTTTCTAATAAAAACCTTTTGGCGTTCCTCTGGAGATTTTATTGATAAACTCTCCCTTAAGCATACATCCAAATTAAATGTGAGAACCTGCAGCTAAAAGAAATTGCTTCAAGGCAATGATTCACTAACGTGAAAAATCAATAGCAGTTTCATTAAGGAAGGAAAGATACCTTAGACATACTCCTACCTAGCTTTCTTCATACTAAAAAATGGAAACAGTTGTTGATAATGTCTTTCCTTATAGATGTAATGTTCATATCTTAGTGCCATGCCTGCTGTATAGCAAGATTGTATGTGTACCTTCTACTCTGCTGTGATTCTTGAATAGAGCTAGTCTCTGCATTTTGAGAAACTGACACTCATTCAAATCACAGTTTCTTTAATAATGCATGCCATGCTACTACTACTACAAGAGAGCGCTTTACAGCCACCAAATCCTACGGATATATTTGAATTAGTTAAATTCCAAATTTCTAGACATATGCTTTAATTCCTTCTTCCTTTCCATCTACTCCATGGTTGATAGCTAGATGAGGGGAGGGACAGATGGATAAATGGATAGATGGATGGATGGATGAATAGCAGGTCTGTGCATTACTGATGGATTGATGGGCTGTTGGATAGCGGAATGCAGGAAGGGAAAGAGGGAGGAAGAAAGGAGGGGCCAGGTGCAGTGGCTCATGTAATCCCAGCACTTTGGGAGGCCAAGGTGGGCAGATCACCTAAGGTCAAGAGTTCTAGACCAGCCTGGGCAACATGGCACACATGGCAAAACCCCATCTCTACTAAAAATACAAAAATTAGCCGGGTGTGCTGGTGGGCGCCCATAATCCCAGCTAGTCATGAGGCTGAGGCAGGGAAATTGCTTGAACCTGGGAGGTGGAGGTTGCAGTGAGTTGAGATAGTGCCACTGCACTCCAGCCTGGGTGACAGAGCGAGACTCCATCTCAAAAAAAAAAAAAAAAAAAAAAAAAAAGGAGAGAGGAACTTAAAAGGTTTAACACAGTGGTATGTGTGCGAGACTCCCTCTCAAAAAAAGGAGGGAGAAACTAAAGGGTTTAACACAGTGGTATGTGTGCTTTCCTGCTGTGTTACTCTGGGCAGTTGATTCAAGCTCTATTTGCTTTGGTTTTATCACCTGTAAATAGGTCATAATAATATTATTAATTGTTATGGTTTAGCTGTGCCCCCAGCCAAATCTCATCTTGAATTGTATCTCCCAGAATTCCCACGTGTTGTAGGAGGGACCCAGTGGGAGGTAATTGGATTATGGGGGCCAGTTTTTCCCCTGCTATTCTTGTGATAATGAATAAGTCTCACAAGATCTGATGGGTTTATCAGGGGTTTCTGCTTTTGCTTCTTCCTCATTTTCTCTTGGTGCTGCCATGTAAGAAGTACCTTTCACCTCCTGCCATGATTCTGAGGCCTCCCCAGTCATGTGGAACAGTAAGTCCAATTAAACCTCTTTTTCTTCCCAGTCTCAGATATGTCTTTACCAGCAGCATGAAAATGAACTAATACAGTAAATTGGTACCAGTAGAGTGGGGCGTTGCTGAAAAGATACCCAAAAATGTGGAAGCGACTTTGGAACTGAGTAACAGACAGAGATTGGAAGAGTTTGAAGGGCTCAGAAGATAGGAAAATGTAGGAAAGTTTGGAGCTTCCTAGAGACTTGTTGAATGGCTTTGTGCCAAATGCTGATAGTGATATGGACAACAAAAATGAAGGCTGAAGTGGTCTCAGATGGAAATGAGGAACTTTTTGGGAACTGGAGCAAAGGCGACTCTTGTTTCATTTTAGCAAAGAGACTATCGGCATTTTGCCCCTGCCCTAGAGATTTGTGAACTTTGAACTTGACAGAGATGATTTAGGGCATCCGGTGGAAGAAATTTGTAAGGAACAAAGCATTCAAGAGGTGACTTGGGTACTGTTAAAGACATTCAGTGTTAAAAGGGAAATAGAGCATAAAAGTTCAGAAAATTTGCAACCTGACTATGCAATGGAAAAGAAAAACTCACTTTCTGGGGAGAAATTCAAGCCAGCTGCAGAAACTTAACGTAAGTAGCAAGGAGCCTAATGTTAATCCCCAAGACCAAGGGGAAAATGTCTCCAGGCCATGTCAGAGGCCTTCATGGCAGCCCCTCCCATTGCAGGCCTGGAGGCCCAGGAGGAAAAAGTGGTTTCATGGGCCAGGCCCAGGATCCCCATGCTGCATGCAGCCTAGGGACTTTGTGCCTTGTTTCCCAGCCTCTCCAGCCATGGCTGAAGGGAGCCAATGTACAGCTTGGGCTGGGGCTTCAGAGGGTGGAAGCCCCAAACCTTGGCAACTTCCATGTGGTATCAAGCCTGTGGGTACTCAGAAGTCAAGAATTAAGGTTTGGAAACCTCTGCCTAGATTTCAGGAGATGTATGGAAACACCTGGATGCCCAGGCAAATTTTGCTGCAAGGGCAGGGCCCTCATGGAGAACCTCTGCTAGGGCAGTGCAGAAGGGAAATGTGGGGTTGGAGCCCCCATGCAGAGTCCCTAGTGGGGTACTGCCTAGTGGAGCTGTGAGAAGAGGGCCACCATCCTCCAGACCCATGAATTGTAGATCCACTGACAGCTTGAACCATGCATCTGGAAAAGCCACAGACACTCAACACCAGCCCATGAAAGCAGTCGGGAGGGAGGCTGTACCCTTTAAAGCCACTGGGGTGGAGCTGCCCAAGACCATGGGAACCCACCTCTTGCATCAGCGTAACCTGGATGTGAGACCTGGAGTCAAAGGAGATCATTTTGGAGCTTCAAAATTCAACTGCCCCACTGGATTTCGGACATACGTGGGCCCTGTAATCCCTTTGTTTTGGCCAATTTCTCCCATTTGGAATAGCTGTATTTACCCAATACCTGTACCCTCATTGTATCTAGAAGTTAGCTAGCTTGCTTTTGATTTTACAGGCTCATAGGCAGAAGTGACTTGTCTCAGATGAGACATTAGACTATGGCCTTTTGAGTTAATGCTGAAATGAGTTTATACTTTGGCAGACTGTTGGGAAGGCATGATTGGTTTTAAAATGTGAGGACATGAGATTTGGGAGGGACCAGGGTTGGAATGACATGGTTTGGCTGTGTCCCCACCAAAATCTCAACTTGCATTGTATCTCCCAGAATTCCCACATTTTGTGGGAGAGACCTGTTGGGAGGTAATTGAATCATGGGAGCCCGTCTTTCCCCTGCTGTTTTCGTGATAGTGAATAAGTCTCATGAGATCTGATGGGTTTATCAGGGGTTTCTGCTTTTGCTTCTTCCTCATTTTCTCCTGCCACAGCCATGTAAAAAGTGCCTTTCACCCCCCACCATAATTCTGAGGCCTTCCCAGCCATGTGTAACTGTAAGTCCAATTAAACTTCTTTTTTTTCCCCAGTCTTGGGTATATCTTTATCAGCAGCATGAAAACGGACTAATACACTGCATCATAAGACAGAATTAAAATGAATTATGTGAAATGTTGTGATCAGTGTCTATTACATGATAGGCATCATATAACTGTATAATTTTGAGCTATATTACCAGAAACATTATTGAAAACAATAAAGAGATAGGCAAGATAAATATAATGAAATTTTAAAGATGGCATTTTAGACTAGAAAAATTCAAGTTAAAAATAATTGCATTTTAGTCTGAAAAAACACAAACATGCCTTCTGGGTTATCTTCGATGGGAGTTGGACTGTTTGGGGCATGAAACATCACAAACAGAAGATGGTTTTATCTCTAGGGGAAGATTTTAAGTGGAGTGGAACCACATCCATGCATTGAAGTGAGATACTAGCCTTTTTCAAGACATTTTAGTATTCACATTTGCTCTGAAATGAGTTAAGGGACTTACAAAAAATCCTTTCCAAAGCAAAGTGAAACAGTTAGTTTTTCAGAGCGTAGAAATAATCGGAGTACTCAGTCCAGAGATGGAGACAGGACTTTATCATAAATTGCTGCACCTCCTCTATCAGGTGTAAATATGGTTATATGATGTTTTTCCTGTGATAGTGGCAGGCAATATAAGTATCACAGAGTTTTTAGGAACTTTATTAGAAAATGCTATTTCAAATTCTCAAGAGTTTAACTACTCTGAACAACTCATTACATTTCTTTCTAGACCTGTTTGATTCACTCAGTAAGCATAATTGCTAACACTTGCTACTTTTTCTTAATGGTCAGGTAGTATTGCAAATACTTTTTATCAATTGTTTTATATTATTTTACCTCACATGGATTGTTAAGAGGTTGGTGCTGTTAGCATTTCCATTTTCTAGGCTGAAGCACAGAGAGGTAAAGTACCTGGCCCATGGTTACACAGCAAGTAAGTGGCAGAGCCAAGGTGCCAAGGTTCAAACCCACTCTGATTCCAGAGCCTGAGTCCTAAATTAGTTCCTTGTACAGTAAGTCCTTGACAGTTTTTGGATGGTTATAATAAGATCTGGTATTAAATTCAACAACAACAAAAGGAGATATCTTCTCAACCTGACAGTACATTTTCAGGTCTATAAGTTTCAGGTCTGTAAGTTTATGTTAAGTGCCTATACTTGAAGTACATTTTAAAACAATTGTAAAGATAATAACTCATCACTTTCCACTCACCTTCTGGCATAAAAGGAGATAAAGAACTATACCAGCTTTCCCTAACGATTGCTTTCTTTCCCTAGTAATTGGTCTAAATTTTGCTAGAGGGAAGAAGTACAGGTACAGGCAATGATGGATGTTTTTGTTTTTGTTTCTTGTTTTTATTTTTTTTAATCCACTACTAGCTACCACACACACAAAAAATGCTGAAAGTTTTCCAGTGCATTTATTAGTCATGAGAATGTGTTGGTTATCTGTGGTCTGTGGGGAATTGGGTTGTAAGAGCATATACTAACCTCTGCCATGATGGGCAGTGAGAATATTCCGGTCTACTGGTTCAGATTGCTCCTTGTGGACTTGAAAGGACTTGGTGGCTTCATGAAGCAGACCTGGTAAAAATAATGGCATTCCTGGAGTGCCTGCCAGGCCAGGCAGACGGTTAGTGTGCATTCACTCATTTCCTTCCACCAGCAATGCAAAGGAGGCTTAGTTAGCCCTGTAACACAAGTGCAAGAGCCAAGCATTAAGTTTAGAAATTCACTCAAAGTCACAAAGTTTGTGAGCAGTAGAACTCAGTTTTGAAGTTGTTTAGGATCTCTAGGATTTGTACCCATTCCACGGAGCGTTTTATTGTAGTCCAAGTGCATGATATAGAAAATGTATTTTCCCCGCTGCTTCTCCCTGTGTATGACATTCAGCTTCCAGATGGTTTAGTTTTCTGGAGTCTCTTACCTTCCCTTGCCTCCTTTTTGATCCAGATAGTTCATCAGTGTGAAGACTAAGTTGCCATAGCACCTGTCTTTACCTCCACACTCATAGGTAGTGATGGAGGAGGCAGATAACACTTAGTAGTTTACAGTGGAAAAGGACCCAAATCCTGATACTGGTTGCCATGAATCAATGGCTTCATTCTTTAGTCTTGGCATTGAACTTCTTTGAATAGACCTCTGGATCCTATTTCTAAAATACACAATTAGAGCCACTCAGCCTATGTTAAAGACAGCATTATTATGAGGCTATAAAAAGAAAGGTTATAGAAATACCTAGAAAAATAGCATTCAAATTGATACTGGTTTTATCAGTCTCATAGAGGAGCCTGCTTGTTTGGATAAATCATCAATAACTTTCATCAGAAACATTTTTGACTATGATATGATTGTTACAAATTATGAAGTTTTCCAATCTCAAACTTTTCAGTTTAAGTTATCCTCCCCGCATCCCACCCCAGCTTATTAATTTGGCATGAAATCTTCAGTTTGGGACAGTGATATTACCATTTCTCACTTTGTTCCTAGTCCCCTAGTTCCTGTTAGTAAATGGAAATATATTCATACTGTAGCAGTATCTGTAGATATATTATTTAGCTTACAAAATAGCAGATTTTATTGGGTTGTTTTAGCAGGAATGGATGGGGCTGATCGTTGCATGGTTTAGTCTGCGGACTCACAAAGCCAGCTCTTGTCTAATTGAGTCAGTGAGTCAGCTTATGTGTATTGAGCTCTCAGCTGGGGGTGGGGTGGAACTTTTAACCAGAATTGAGCATCTGCTCAGTGCTTAAGTAGTATGAGCTTCCAGACTCTGGCTGGCCTAATGGACTCTCCACCACATCTCTGTTATTGAGTAGTGATTAGTATACAGATTGGGACATATTTGGTTTCATTTCAGTCTGTTCCCACAGATGAGGCCTGTGTATGATCACATCATATAAATTATTTAAGGTGCAGAGTCTATGTAACCCGAGCCATAAGTAAAAGTTGGCCTACCGTCTGTTCTGTCACCCTGGAGGACTCTTTATTTTCCAAAGGAAATAGTCCATCTTGTGAACTGACATCATTAGAGTCATAAAAATTCAAATGCGCCTTGAGCGATTTCTTTACTTTGGCATAAAGTCTCAAGTATAGTATCCAAAAGCTTAACATCCTTTAGCTGAAATATACTGGCTTAGGGTTAGGGGAAGACAATTCTAGAACACTAATTGCAGTTCCAGAACAGTGGTAACTAGTTGTAATCTGAGGAAAATTTGAATCTGTAAATTGCATTAATTTTCACTGACTCTGAAAAGTTTGTTATATTTATTTTTTTCATTTGTAAATTTAATTTGATTGTAAATACAGTTGGTTGTGGATTTTGGTGGGGGCAGGGGAATGGCATGAAATGGATTACAGAGATTATTATTATACAAACCTTTTAGTTTGTACCTGAAGAGCATTGGGTCTGGAAACAAAATTGACATGTTGAAGGCTACAGTGTTAGAACTAGAACTTAGGTTATCTGACTTCTGATGGAGGAACCTTTCGTTATATTATCTCCCATCACATAATCCTATTTTAGTAAAGAATGAAAGCCAGGTCTCTTTCATTTTTATTTCTCCACTCCTGGTTTCAGTGAGCTGGAAATGGAAAACTAGTGGAGAACTCAATCCATCTCCCCTTTCCACTTGTTGAATCACCTTGCCAAATATAGTTGCTACGTTATATCTATTCTTCCCTTTGCCTGGATAAGACCTGCTCCCTGAGCCTGTCCTTCTTATTTTTCCTGATGCATGTAATGAAGATGTTGGTGTAGGCTGTGGCAAATGACAGATTCCTGAAGGTAAAGGTCTGATAGTTATAGGCTCACTGCTAAAAGGGTTTGTAACTCTCACTCCTTGGAGGTAAGGATAACGACAGAAGGGACCCAGAACTTTGTTATTCTTCTCCGTGACAGAAGATCTGAATTGGAGTTGCCAAGACCAAACTGGCTTTTCCTATGTCAGGAAGCAATCTGGCCTTTTCAGTGTTTTCCAGAAGTACAACTTTAAACTTGCAACTTCATCTAAGAAAAATACCTAGACTCAATTAATGGAGTTAAAAGGGCATTCGTTTCTTTAATTCAACATCTTTCCTTTCTCTCTCTATATCGTACCATTCTCCTGACCTGGGTTAATAAAATAAACAGCTTCTCTACACTGGGAAGTCCTGGGCATGCGTGAGTGATGGGTCTGGGGTGACTTTGTATGCTCTTCATGAAGGTGTTTATACCTCAGATCCTCCTTGTCATGCACTCAATTTAGAACTCCTTTAACAAGTGGTCTTGGTTCTAGTTCCTTAAATTGGTGTTTCCCAAACCCCAAAGTGAAACAATTTCCCAAATGATGTGTTCCTTAAAAATGCATGCAGTTTAGGAGAGCAGTGGTAAATAATTGGCAACTCAGTAGCTTTAGACCTTTTTACTCTCTCAAAGCTCTTGACTACAGTTGGCAATCTCATAAAACAACCAGAGAATAAATAGTTGCCTAAAACAGTAATATCACGGAGTATATTTTTGCTTCTGCCAAAATATATTCTTGGTAATTAGTACTAACCTCAGGCAAAACCCAAGCAGGCAATATTTTTGTAGTGTTTCCTTCCCTTTCTTGTCTATACCTCACCTTGCAGCAGTCTGCTTTTTGGGAGACCAGCTTGCTTCATTCTGATGACCCAGATCAGACCATGTAAATGGCTCTTTATAATGCCAGTTGCTTCTCATAAGAATGTTTATTTTCTAACAGGCTTATTCTAAATGTACAGCATCTTTCCCAAAGTACTTAAATCTAGGATTGTGGCAGGCAGGATTATTAAAATTGAAGTTCAGGGGACTTTTCTCTCTGTCACAGGATATTTGGAGTGTCACTTTTCCAGCCAGAAACCTCTGTGGCCAGTGGCACCTTTTTCCTAGTTTTTCTTGGGCCTACTGGGCTTGTTCCACCTGCTTGGCCCAGCAGGCTGCATATGGCTCACACTACTGGCCTGGATCCCACACCTACCAAGGGTGAGCCAGGTGCAGAGGGGCAAGGAGTGTGTGAGCAAGTGAGTGTGGGGTCCAGCCACTGTGCACAGCTGGGCATGCCGGCTGTGGCAGGGCGGGCAGCTCTAGGCACTGGCATAGGGACCGGCTCTGTGAGGCTGCAGGTGGACCGCACATATCATAAGCTGCTTTCACTGTGGGCAGCAGGGAACATGGTGGTGCCTGGAAGCTTGGAGATGTCAGGATTGCAGAGCCCCAAAGAGGATGTCACAGCCCTGGCTCAGGGAACCTCTAGGTCTGGGCTTCCTAAAGGGCTGCAGCTCTTCTCTCCTTCTTGTCACCTGCCACATGGCAAGTAAGTGGGGGTGTGTTTCAGCCCTGTTTATGTTACAGCTCTTTCAGTCCTGCCATTCAGCAGGTTCCAAGTTCTTGTCCCATGTTCAGGAAGAATGAGGTGTGTGGACAACTGTAGGGTAAGTAAGGTGGAGAGGAACTTTACTGAGTGACAGAATAGTTCTCAGGAGACCCAAAGTGGCTAGTTTCCTTCCACAGGCAGGTCGTCCTGATGAGTGTCCAGCTCTCAGCAGGGAGGAGACCTGTAGTCGGTAGTTCCTTTCCACAGGCAAGTCGTCCCAGTGAGTGTCCGGCTCTTGGCAGAGAAGAGACCTGTAATGGGTAGCTCCTTTCTGTAGGCAGGTCATCTCAATGAGTGAGACTGGTTGAGTCTGGGGTTTTTGTGTGTTCAGAAAGAAGGAAGTGGGTGCTGATTGGTCCATGGGTGGCCATGGGCAGACCTGGAAAAAGTACTGTCCAATTGGCCAAAAGGCTTCAATGAAGTTCTGTCTCCAGGCCATGGACTTCACCTGGAACTGGCAGCCTGGCCCCCAAACCTCAAGCCTTTCCTGGCTTGAAGGAGGGGTTTCACTGGTAAGCTACCCCTTCCCACCTAGGACCCTGTCTGCCTTTAACATGCCATCCACAGTGCCCAGGCTGTCTGCACCGAGAGGCACCTGTAGGCCTGCACCAAGCTGCCCTCAGCTCCCCTGGCCTGCCTCCTGTGCTTCTTGGCACCCAAAGTCCAGAAGGAGCCGAAGTGGCAGGGGGCTTATGCGTCAGTGCTGCCCTGGCTGGGTTATGACAGTACCTGGGCTCAGCCACAGCTTTGCTCTGCCCCAGAATGGTTGCCAGGAGGAGGGAGAGGCCAAGGAGTGGGAGCAGGCCCTTTGAAGCCTGCAGGGGTTGGGGGCTTCCTGGGCCCCTGAGAGCCCAGGGATGCCAGGGTCTGGAGCTGAACTCGGCATCAGCACCCGGGAGTGCGGCCTTCTGCACTGCCAACTTGGTAGAAGGCGGGGCTCTCATCTGCTCCTGGCTCCCACACCAGCTCTGCCTAGTGCGCAGGCCTGGCTGTGCCTCCCCTGCTGCAGCCAGTGTCCTTACAGCAGCCGCTCCAGATGGGCCATCACTGCCATCATCTGGACACTCAAAAAAAAAAAAAAAAAAACCACATAGGCAGGCCCCTTATTCTGCTTATATGTAAGCCTACTTCTGCTTAGTTATATCTATATATCTCTGGATATAAATGGCCTTCTGCTATGTTGCTCATGCTGTCCCAAACTCCTATGCTCAAGCCATCCTCCTGCCTCAGCATCCTGAGTAGCTGGGACTACAGACACACACCATTGCAACCCACCATACAAGCCTGTGTCTATAAATATCATATGCGGGTTTTTTTTTTTTAATAAGATGAAGGCATAGGCTATGTAAGATGTGCTAAGCTAAGGAAGGTGGAAGATGCAGTTTGATTACAAAGAAGGTAGAATGTTTCAGATTCATTTCAGGTGTCACTAACTATTGACAGTACTGCCTTAAGGATGAATGGCAATTTTAATTTTGCATTTTCTTGATTTTCAAGGTGTTTTAGATTGTTAACATTTTCTTTAATTATAGAATCAATTAGCATGTTAATGGAAAAATCATTAAGTGGTAGAATTCATAAAGGCCCTGTTTTTTGCAACTATTTGTGAAACAGAGTACTGTCGTTTTCATTACAGTCAAAAGAACAATCAGGCCAAATTCACTCTCCCTAGATTGTGGAAGCTCAGATGAATCCTATCTTTCTAACTGGTTATCATTTTGCACAGAGGTGGCTAATTTCCTTAGAAACTTTCTAAGCTGTAAAGAAAGGTTGGAGAAGATAGAGCCTGGGATTCCTTCAGTGCTTTTAGTGTTAATTTCTCCTTAGTTTTTGCTATCTAATCTCAGGTATGCTTTTGTAAACATTTTCAAGGGAATAAAAATCCCTAATTTTCTCTGCATTGTTCTCTTATTTCCCCTTCACTGTCTGTCCTCTTAGCTCTCTGCTACCTGCCCTTCTCTGGTGGATATGAGCAAACAAGTCCAGAGTGACTGCCTAGCATCAGCTTTAACTGAATTCCCAGTTGGCTGCCTGGTCCACATAGGAACTCAGTATGGATGGCCACTGTCGCTACATTCTCCAACCAGAGGGCATTTATGTCGAACAGTATTATGTCACACCATATAATTATATATTACAATTTGGGACCCTTCTCTCTGCACCTGATTCCAATGGGAACATGTCCTGCATATCCTTCCCTTGATCAATTTCTCTTGGCCAGAAAGCTTGCCATTTCCATTTTTCTGAAGGTGGTGGAGAGAGAAAAGGAGGTGTGTTTCATAAAACCACATTATTTTGGAGGTAGCATGTAATTAACTAACCATGATGTAATTTCCAGTTGGTAATCTTTTCAGTCTATCAACCAGAAATTGTACTTAGAAAATGCAATAAGCTTCTCTATTTTTGTATGTTTTCATTTTCAGCTTCTCCAAGGAGCTGGGAATATAGATATGAGACATACATTCTATTTGTTGTACTTGATTGATGAACTCTTGTTTGCTACATTTAACTTTTAAAGTAGATAACCTAGACAGAATAATATATTTCTCTAAAATAAAACCCCATAAAATAAAATAAAAACCTCTTTTCCATGACTAATCTCTGTTGCAGTCAAGCTAACTATACCACTTTTCTATCAAAACAGGAAAGCGAAACATTTAACCCTCCTATTCTCATGTCAGAGTCCACTGATGTCTTTTAACTCTTTCTTGACCCCCAAGTGCCATTCCTCTATTTGTTCATGGAGTTTATGTGAATTTGGATATGTAGTTACGTGAATTGTAATTTTTTACCAGTGTCTTTTTTTATTGTGGCAAAAGGTATCATTAATTTACTATCTTAACTATTTTTAAGTGTACAGTTCAGTAGTGTTAAGTACATACACATTGTGCAACAGATCTCCAGAACATTTTCATCTTGCAACTCTGAAATATTATACCCGTTAAACACTAGATTCCCCTCCTACCTCCCCACCTAGCCCTTGGCAACCAACTATCTGCTTTCTGTTTCTGTGATTTTGACCGCTTTAGCTACTTCATATGAGTGGAATCATACAAGATTTGCCCTTTTTGGACTGGTTTATTTCTCCACAAGTTTCATCTATGTTGTAGTAGTATGTAACAGAATTTCCTTCTTTTTAAAGGCTGCATAATATTCCATTTTATTTATATATTTCTTTTTAAAAATTCATTCATCTATTGATAGACATCTGGGTTGCTTCCAACTCTTGGCTATTGTGAATAATGCTGTAATGTGCATGAGTGTGCAGATACCTTTTCAAGATCCTTTTTCTTCAATTCTTGTGGATATATTTCCAGAATATATCTGGGGTTGTTGGATCATATGGTAATTCTGCTTTTAACTTTTTGAGGGGCCTCCATACTGTTTTTCCTAATGCCTGCCCTATTTTACATCTCAACCAAAATCATACAAGGGTTCCAATTTCTCTCCATCTTCATTAATACTTGTTATTTCTCTTTGTTTTTTAAAAGTTATTCTAATGGGGGCGAGGTGTTATCTCTTTGGTTTTGGCTTGTGTGACTCTTATGATTAGTGACCTTGATTATGTTTTCCTGTGTTTGTTGGCTATTCATATGTCTCTTTTGGAGAACTGTAAATTCAAGTTCTTTACCTATTTTTTAATAGAGTTTTTTGTTATTGTTATCGTGTTATAGAAGTTCCTTATATGTTCTGGATACTAACTCCTTATCAGATATATGATTGGCACATATTTTCTCTCATTCTGCAGGTAACTTTTTCACTCTGTTGATTGCATCCTTTGAAACATGGAAGTCTTTAAGTTTAATGTAATCTCATTTGTCTTTTCTTGCTTTTGTTCCCTGTGCTTTAGGTGTCATATCCAAGAAATCATTGCCAAATCCAGTGTGACAAAGCTTTCCCCTTACGTTTACTTCTAGGAGTTTTATAGTTTTAACTCTTCTGTTTAGGTTTTATTCATTTTTTATTTTTATTTTTTGAGATGGAGCCCTGCTCTGTCACCAAGGGTGCAACCTCTGCCTCATGGGTTCAAGCGATTTTCCTGCCTCAGCCTTCTGAGTAGCTGGGATTACAGGTGCCTGCCACCATGCCCAGCTACTTTTTGTGTTTTAGTAGAGATGATGTTTCACCATGTTGGCCAGGCTGGTCTTGAACTCCTGACCTCAAGTGATCCACCTGCCTTGCTGTTTAGATTTTAAATCTACTTATATTCTTACTTTTTGGTGTATGATATAAGGATCCAACTTCATTCTTTTGCATGTGGATATCCAGTTTTCCCAGACCTATTTGTTGAAGGGACTATCCTTTCTTCATTAGGTAGTCTTGGCAACTTTGTAAAAAATCATTTGGCCATTATTTCTTGGTTCTCTGTTCCACTGGGGGATATATATATATGTTTTTTATGCTAATGCTATGCTATTTTAATTACTGTACCTTTGTAGTATGTTTTGGAATCAGGAAGTATGAGGCCTTGGCCTTATTTTTTTTCAAGATTATTTTGGCTGTGCATGGTCTCATGAAATTCTACATGAATTTTAGGATTTGTTTTCTATTTCTACACAAAGTGTCATTGGAGTTTTCATAAGGATTGCAATGAATTGATAAGTCACTTGGGAAAGCGTGATCATTTTAACAATCTTATTTCCATCTATGAGCATGGCATGCCTTTCCATTTATGTCTCTTCTTGATTTCTTTTAGCAATGGTTTGTAGTTTTTGGTGTACAAGTCTTTTACTTCCTTTGTTGTTTATTCCTAAGTCTTTTATCCTTTTTGATGCCATAGTATTTGGGATTGTTTTCTTAATTTCATTTTTGAATTGACCATTGTTAGTAAATAGAAATGCAACTGAATTTTGCATGTTGATTTTGTATCCTGCAACTTTGTTAAAATCATATATTAGCTGTAAGAGTTTTTGTGTGTGTGTGTGAAATCTTTAGGCTTTTCCACACACACAATGAGGTCATCTACAAGCAGAAATAATTTTATTCCTCTTTTACGATTTACATGTCTTCTATTCATTTTTCTTGTTCTTGCTCTGGCTAGGACTTCCAGTAGTATGTTGGATAGCAGTGGTGAGAGTGGACATACTGGTCTTGTTTCTTATCTTAGAAGAAAAGCTTTTAGTTTTTCACCATTGAGTATGTTATAGGCATGGACTTTTTATCTGCGACTTTTATTATGTTGAGGCATTTACACTATATTCCTAGTTTGTTGAATGTTTTTATCATGAAAGGATGTTATATTTTTTCAAATGCTGGTTCTGCATGAATTGACATGATCATGAAATTTTTGTCCTTCATTTTGTTAATGTGGTCTATTACATTGATTGACTTTCATACACTGAGCCATCCTTGAATTCTTGGTATAAATCCCACTTGGTCATGGTGTATAATTCTTTTAATGTGCTGTTGAATTTGGTTTACTAATAATTTGTACTGAATTTTTACATCAATATTCATTAAGGATATTGGTCTATAGTTTTCTTTTCTTGCTGTGCCTTCGTGTGATTTTGGGATCAGAGTAATACTGGCTTCATAGGATGAGTTTGGAAGTATTTCCTCCAATTCTTTGGAAGAGTTTAAGGGGATTGGTGTTAATTTTTCTCTAAGTATTTGAGAGAATTCTCTAGGGAAGCCATTTTATCCTGGGCTTTTCTTTTTTGAACTGTTTTTGATTGCTATTTTAGTCTCTCTTACTAGTTAGTCAATTTTTAAAATTAATTTAGTGACATAATTTCTATGTTTCTCTTTCCTCCTAAACACACATTTTACTGATATTGTTAGTAAAGGAAATTATATGATGAAATTCCTCTAAAAGTACACAACTGTATAATAATATAGAAATGTTGGGCAGAATATTGAAAGTTTCTTCCAATTCCCTCACTCTCATTCCTCTCTGCAAAAAGCTTCTTGATCAACTTCACCAAGAAAACAACAAACAACAATAATTTGGCCCCAAATCCCACCACCTTCATAGACTCCTACCTGCATTTGCTTGTATATGCATTCCTCCCTCCTTTCTCCCATGTCTGGGGCAGATGGATTCCTCCTATGATTGTGGTCTCATCTTTTCCCCTGGATTCTCCATCCTGTACTATCCCTTCTTGATTAACTGAAGTAGTTCTACTTTTTTTTTATATTGGCTCTGACTCCCTGCCTTTTCTGGCCTTCCTCTTCATCTAAACCCCCATGACATAAGTTTACCTATGTAACAAACCTGCTGTTGTACCCCTAAACTTAAAAAAAAAAGTTAAAAAAAATTGGCCAGTGCAGTGGCTTCTGCCTGTCATCCCAGCACTTTGGGAGGATGAGGCAGGCAAATTACTTGAGTCCAGGATTTTGAGACCAGTCTGGGCAACGTGGCAAAACCCTGTCTCTACAAAAAATACAAAAAATTATCCAGCCATGGTGGTGCTTGCATGTGGTCCCAGCTGCTCAGGAGGCTAAGGTGGGAGGATGGTCTGGGCTTGAGAGGTCAAGGCTTCAGTGAGCCATGATCATGCCACTGTACTCCAGCCTGGATGACAGAACGAGACCTTATCTGAAAAAGAAAAAGAAAAAAAAAAACACAAAAAACAGTGCTCATGAGCAGTTCTGAGAACCTCTTTTGTCCACTTTACTCAATATTTCTGTGAATTGCTGTGGAATCTTCTCAGCCAAGCTGGCTGTATTAATAGACAGTTCATCATCCCAGCCCATCACTCACTAAGTCCCTTTCCCTCAAGTGTTCTATAATTTCTCCTTGTTTTTCAAATGCATTTCTATTCTATTGTTCTTAAATGGGCTCATCTCCAATTTCTGAATTGGTTCAGTTATCTTATAAAATACAAACTTGTTTCTAACACTTTTGTGCTTAAGATCCTTTAGTAATTCTCTACCAGTTTTAGGATAAAATATGATTTTTTTGTACACCAAAAAGACCTTATGATTTGTCTTATGCCTCAGCTATATATTCTGTCTTCTATCACATACAATTTTCAGCAATATGGAACTATTTATCCTTCTAGGAAAGTGCATTTCTCTTCTTGCCAGTTTTTTTTTTTTGCTTCTCCCTCCCACTGTTTCCTGCTTCTCTTTCTCTCCCTCCCGTTTTTCCCTTATCTCTACATAATTAACTTGTTTTAGTCTTTTAAAAACATTACCTGCTGAGTGAGCTGGACCTGCCTCAGGTGGGCAGCCGGTATGCTGACTTCCAGGGCAGTTGTCTTTTCATTATTACGCAAGAATATTAAGAAATGGTTTGAATTCCAGGCAAATTGACTTCTGGAATACTAACAAGAGGTTTTTCCTCTGCTGCCACTCCAGTAGAACCTACATCTTTTGACATTTAGATAATGTTGTGGAATCCTTATGAAATAATTGGCTTCAGGGATGAACCATTGTTCAATGTTGAACAGATAAGGTCACCTATGTACCTAGCAAAAGGCTTAATTTTGTCAAACTGCAGGACATTGAGTTAGCATTTCTGAGGAACAGGTGTTTCCTTCTGAGAACAGTTGGCTTGAACCAAAGTGAATGTTGCGTCTGGGGAATGAAGTCTACTTTGGTTCAAACAAGTAGACTGTAGATAGTGAGGACTGACTGATGACAGACATTGATAGGGCACAGCTAGTGCTTAGGAGTGCAGGAAGTTTGGCAGGAGTGAACTTTTTGTCAACAGCTCAATTTTTGACACTAGTTACTGCACAACAGTTGTTTCTGCTTCCTAACGGAGGGTCAGCAAGTTAAAGCCCTTTGATTGCCTTATAAAGACACTTTCAATTCTTATCATGAATGTCATCTCCAGGTTTGGAAGTCAGGAGGGAGAGAAGTGGGAGAGGGAGATAGGAGTTTATACCTCTCTGAAAGTCAGCCTCAATCTGATATTTTTACAACTTAGCTTACAGTTGTGAAGTTTTTAATACAGATGCTCCTTGACTTACAATGGAGTTACATCCTGATAAGCCCATCTTGAAAATATCATAAGTAGAAAATGCTTATAACACACCTAACCTACCAAACATCATAGCTTAGCCTAGCCTTGCACATGTTTAGAACATTTACATTAGCCTACTTTTGGGCAAAATCATCTAACACAAAGTGTATCTTATAATAAAGTGTTGAATATCTCATATAATTCACTGAACGCTGTACTAAAAATGAAAAACAGAATGGTTGTATGGTTACTTGAAGTGTGGTTTCTACTAAGCACATATGGCTTTTGCACCATCATAAAGTTGAAAAATTGTAAGTCAAACCATTCTAAGTTGGGAACCATCTGCATTTTGAAAGCATTTGTATAGCGTTTGTTTTTAGCCTAACCCACTGCATCCTGTGTTTGACATTATTGTAATCCAATGTACAATTTTATGTTAATAAGATGATGTGACTGTATCCTGGTATACCTGAAAGGATGCATATCTAATGACCTAGGTTGGAAGGTGAATTCTTGGTATAAAAGGCAATAATTGCTTTTGGTTAATGATTCATACAAAAAATAACTGTATTTTACATATAAATTTAAATACCCATAATTCATAATTGAATGATATGCATCTTATTTTAATTTGAGGAAGTCTAACATTAAAAGATTTATACAGAAAAAATACAACAAATATTTAACAGAAGAAAATTATAATTACAGAGTTTTAGGAGCTCATCTGAAATATATCTGCAGAGTGGGTTGATAGAAGAGTCACAAAACATAATATATGCAAAAAGGAATAAAAGCTATTGAAAAATCACTTCCCTTTTTTCCCTTTATTTTAATCATAAAAATCATGAAAATAGTTCTATAAACATGAGTGAGCTAAAAAATATTACCAGAGTATTAGTTACTAGAGAAACAGAAATGAAATTTGAAGATGAGATTTATCATCTTCTCACTTTAATTTGTACTCCTGCTGTACTGTAAATGTAATAGCCATCAACATGAAAAACGTAACAGATTGATAATACCATTGAGTTTTAATTAAACTACTGAAATGAAAAGGACCCAGATGGATAACTGGAAAATGTAGTTATCCTTTATGAAATGTGTGGGATTGCCCGTTTGCTCTGTTTCTTGTAGATTAATACTCTGCCAAAAATAGTGCACCATCAGAAGATTTACTAAAAATTAATCATTTCAGTTTGTAAAACAGATGGTTGCTTTAGTTTATTTAATTTAGTTTTGAGACACTTATCACTCTAAATCAGAGATTGTTTCCTTCCTGTCCCCACTTGCTATGACTTCCCACTTCTGCAGCTTTCTACATAAATCAATCAATAGTATTAAAGTACGTACATCTTGTTTTTCTATATAGTCATTGGTCTTATGTATTTACTTCAAAATGTCAGGTCTTTGTATGTCATCTTAGTAGGTTTTAGGTTCTGTGCATTCATAAGTTAAAACAAAAATGCAATAACATCTTTTAGAAGCCACTCAGGAAATTTTCATCACTCCTCAAAATAACAACCACTGATGTCAGCTCAATTAAGGCAGGAGGAAGTGGTATTTTGTCTTATCAGCTTGATGTAAGGCTAAACTAGCTACTTAAGATTTAGGAGTAAGGTTTTCAGGTGTTTTAGGAGGTAGGTGCTGGTGTCCACAACTGCAGACTGCTGGCCTATTTGTGACTCAGAGCACCAGGTGTTCCCTGTGGGGTAGTTGCTTGCAATGAAGCTGTTGTAAACATGTGTGAATTTCCAGTTTCTGACTCCTGTGTCGCATGACTAGATGAAGATGACCTTTATGCAGTAGCAGAACTGGACATAAACGTTGAATTAGAAACATAACATTTTCATGACAGCTACAGAGAAATAAGACAGATGAGCTTAATCACAGAGAAATCCTGTTTGTTTTTAATTCTAAGATTAACTCTTTAGGGTATGGAAGAAGGTGGTTGTTGGCCTGCAAAGGGCATGAAAATCAAGTTTGTGGTTATGTGTGTTTTATGACCTGCACTGTGAGGAAGACACAAAAGCACATCTCTGCTCTGCAAGTTCTTATAACCAAAATGGAGAAATGGCAGAACAAATAGGAAATAATCAATTACTATATAAATGATTCCACATGAATGCTGTAAGAATTCAAGGAAGGGAGAGATCAGTATGAGTTGCATATAAAAATAGGACAGAATTGGAGCATTAGGCTATAATGAATTATTGGGATTTGGAACAGAGAGAGTAGAGCATTTTAGGCAATAAAATTAGCACAATCAGAGGCCTAGAGGAGAATAACTGTGGCATGATCAGAGACTGTTAAGTATCCCAGAAGAATGGTTCATGCGAAGGAATAGTAGCAGATAAAGTTGGCTGGATAAGGGAGGGCCAGCCACTGAAGAAGCTTTAAGACTAAATGGCAGAGGTTTGATCTCTATGACAGGCCATACAAAACCATGATTGGTTCTTGAATCTAGAAGTAATGTGAAAGTATAGTGCTGGGAAGATGAATCTGAAAGTGGTACCCAGCTAGAAAATGACTGCCAGCATCCAGGCTGATGGATGTAGCTGAAGAATGAATAATGATTTGTGACTTTAGAGAGATGTTAAAGTATATCAGCTCTAAAGAGTAAAGAGTCCAAGATGCTGACATGGTCTTTGTGTAAGCCAGTCTTTGTGTCTGCTCAGAGAGAAAAAATACCACAGATATTTTAAAGAATCGGCCTGAGCCAGGACTAAAGGGGCACAGGTCTCAGCTTAAGACAAATAGGAAATAATCAATTATTATATTATTGATTATATATTTATAATCGATATAACACAGGCCTAAGAGACGTCTGCCCCTTTAGTCCTGTCTCAGGCTGGTTCAATATAGTACTACATTCCCCAGAGCAGTCATTGTCTAACAATGACTATTTATCTCAGTCTGGGCCAATAATAGTGCTTTCCCAGAACTTTTTTTCCTGATTGTTCTGGTTAGAAAAAGCCATTTTTCTTCTAGTCACGAGGCCATAAATATTTAAGACTGGATATGTTTGCCACAATTTTTAACAGCCTCATGGGACTGAATGAAGAGATTGAAGCCCCAAAGTGGCCCCAAATGTAGCCCCAAAGTAGAAGGTTGTAAAGGTCAGATCAATGACAAGTAGGTCGAAGGGAAATATGTATATACATGTGTGTATGTGCAGCTATATATACATGCACACATACATGCATGTGTTAGTACAGCCCTAGAATGCAAACCTCACTAGCCGAATTTTACAATTGAGGAAATTATTGCTCAGGGAATATAGTAATCTGGTCAAGGTTAAATTGCTACTTACAAGGTGGATTAAGAATCAAAGTTTAAGTTTGTTTGGTTCCAAACCAGTGCTCTTTTCTCTTCATGAGACTGCCTCTTGTCAAGGTGATGGTGGAGGTTCATGCTCCATGTTTGGGCTAATGCTAGTTATATTGTGTTTTCCTGATCTTTCCCTCATGCTGGGAGGGTGTATTCTCAGCAAACACAGCCGCTATTGGTCTGCTTGGTGCTGTGGGAAGTTGACTTTTTGCTCCCCATGTCCCTGTGATTCTCTGTTGTATAAAATATGCAGAGCTTTACCTCCTAATAGATGTCACGAAAAGTGTTTAGTCAAACACTAGCCAATAAAGATCCATATAATCCATATAACAGTCCATGATACATTCTACATTAACAATGAAAAAAGTAGACTGTATTGTGCAAACCAAGAGGCAGTAAAAGTAAACCAGGACTAGCTTTTAATATATAACACTTATAGTATATTGGCACATTTAGTTCAGAGGTTTTAATAGATGGAGAAAACAATTTTAGATATTTCAAATAACATTTTAGGCATTTTGCAAATCATTTAATGTAGAAAGTAATAGTTCTGATATTATTTCAATTACCTTTAATGCAGATTTACTGGACCTAACATTTAAAAAATTATATTTAACATAGATAGGACTGGTTCTGATACTTATTTCAAGTACATTGGTGGCTTTCCTTTTTCTTGATATTATTATATCTTTCTTTAAGCCTCTTTGGTATAATTTTCCAAAGTCTTGTTTCTCAAAGTAACACACTAATTATTGATAATTTACCTGAAATTCAAACCTAAACTCAACAGTCAATTTTTAGCTCATTGTAGAAATCAAAGAGTGAGATGGAAAGAGGAAAGATAAGAAGAAGAAAATTATTTTCCTAAGGAAATTTTACTAAAAATTGAAAGAGATAGAATGAAAAAAGGATAGATGTGCAAATTAATCTGCAAATTAATCCCTGAGTTGAAATTATTTGAGTCATGGCAGGAAGATATGGAAACAGTGAAAATACAGTTCACCCTTGAACACTGTGGGGGTTTGGGGCACTGGCCCCTGCGAAGTCAAAAATCTGCTTATAACTTTTGACTGTTTTGAAACTTAACTAATAGGCTATGGTTGACAGGAAGCTCTACTGATAACATAAACAGTTGATTAACCTATTTTGTATATTATATTTTATATACCATATTCTTACAATTAAGTAAGCTAGAGAAAAGAAAACATTATTGAGAAAATCACAAGGAAGAGAAAATATATTTATTATACATTAAGTGGAAGTGGATCATCTTAAAGGTCTTCATCCTCATCCTCTTCATGTTAAGTAGGCTGAGGAGGAGGAAGAGGAGGGGCTGGCCTTGCTGTCTCAGGGGTGGCAGACACAGAAGAAAATCCACATATAAGCGGACCTGTGCAGTTAAACCTGTGTTGTTCAAGGTCAGCTGTTCAGTGTGAATTTGTAGAGTTGGGGGAGAAATCAGGTGGTAAGGAAGGATGAAAGGGGCTCAATAGCTTCCCTTTCAGGCCACCAGGAGGAGGTAATGTTCCAGAAAAGCTTGGAAGGCACCAGAGGCAGTAGGGTCGACTTGGTGCAGATAAAGCATGGGTGGCTTTCACAGTGGTTAAAAGAAAGGCGGTTTTGGAAGTCCAGCTTCTGTTACTGGAGGAATGTCTTAATATCAGACTTGATTCCAGGAGTGACTTCTGCATTTGTAGATTATATATTTTGCCCGCCATTCCTTCCTTCCTTCCTTCCTTCCTTCCTTCCTTCCTTCCTTCCTTCCTTCCTTCCTTCCTGTTCAACATTGACTGTTTCGTTTTTCTGTAATACATTTTCAAGTTGTTTGGACTTGGAAAATAAAAGATAACTTCAGATCTATTATGATTACTATCTAGTGGTTGTCAGAAAATTCTTAGTTTAGCCGGGCGTGGTGGCTCACACCTGTAATCCTAGCGCTTTGGGAGGCCCAGGTGGGCAGATCACCTGAGGTCAGGAGTTCAAGAGCAATCTGGCCAACATGGTGAAACCCTGCCTCTACTAAAAAAGAATACAATAATTAGCTGGGCATGGTAGCTGGCGCCTGTAGTCCCAGTTACTCAGGAGCCTTAGGCAGGAGAATGGCTTGAACCCAGGAGGCAGAGGTTGCAGTGAGCCGAAATCACACCACTGCACTCCAACCTGGGTGACAGAGGGAGACTCTGTCTCAAAAACAAAAAAACAACAAAAGAAAATTCTTAGTTTGTGAAGAGACTCCAACTGGCTTTTTTTTATTATTGATAGATTTTAATTGCATCGCTATCTTTTTAATAATCAATCTCTTCTTCTCTGTCCCTTTCTCTCTGTTCCCTGTCCCCCCATCCTTCAGTATTATCACAGATGTTAAGTCTACTATATTCTCTTTTCATATTCTAATGCTTAATTGTATTAATCTAATTGATATTGAACCTAACTGAAAATTTTATTCAGTTCCTAATGTATTCTACTGACCCAGAGTGGCAGATTACTAAGAAATAAGTGTAAAACCACACAGATCTTCCAAATTCATAGCTATTTAGGTTGCGCTATTAACTGAGGTTCCCAAGCTAGAAGTGTTTTCTCTCTCTTTGGAGATATACCAATTCAGAAATTCAGACAGTTTGCCAGGCAGCCTTTCTCTACAAGCCTCATTGACACAAAAAGGCATTAGTCTAATTAAATTAGGGGCTATTAAATCCACAAATTAGCATACAAAGTTAGAAAAATCAATATCTTATTAGTTTCAAAACCTTTTATCTAACTCCTCTTGAGTTTTTTTCCAGAAACTTTTTATAGTAAATGACATGAAAATTGATTTAAAGCTTTCCAAAAATAGGTAATCAATAATTGTTTTCTAGTCATAGAGAAATTCATTAACTTCTATACTTATTGCATTGCCACATATTTTTATTGAACTCTTTTCTAATCACATTATTTTTGGCTGAAAACATGTTAGCTATAAAAAGTCATGAAATGAGAAACATAACAATATAAAGACTTTGTTTAGGTATAGTAGTTAATGGATTGTTCAGAACAGTGGAACACTCTCATTTCCAGTAAAAATAAAAATTTATGTCTTTCATTGTTTTACACTTAAACATGGATAACTTCACTGCATTATCATTGCATAAACAAATTATTGGCAAATGAATCTGTAGACCTGCAGAAGTTATATTTGTTTTGTTTAGCAAGAGGTTAGGAAGCTCAGTATCTTCTGTAGATGAAGATAGACAACTATCATATATGCACTAGGGAAAATTTATTATGAAGATAGACAAAAATCATATATGCACTAGGGAAAATTTATTACAAAAAGAAGAAATTATTGGCCATTGTCAACTTTAGAAAGTAAGTGTAGTGGAGCAACAATAGATTAGGCATACTTAAGTCATTTTAGAATTTTAGCATACAATTTACCTTTTCTTTTGAGTGCATTTAAAACTTTAATTATTTTGACCTATCTTAAAATTTCTACCAGTTTATTTTACAAAAGTGCTAAATCATTTGTATTAAGATTTTTATCTCATAAATCATTTAAGAATTTTAGCAAATAGACAGATTAATAGTAATTTATAATGCATTATATGTGGAGAATTTAAGAAACTTTCAAAATTAAGGTGAATATAAAAGATACATTCTTCCAAGGTAAAACTGTGGTATTTATGAGGAGTTTGATTATGAGAATAGGATCATGGATTCAAAGGCAATTAGAGGTTCATATTCAGACTTAACAGCATTCAAACACTTCTAAGAAATGATTCAGATATAAAACTACCTTTTTTTCTGTGTTCAAATTTCATTTCATATTTGTATTTATGCAGAACACTTTTTCTCTCTTTTGAGCCTTTGTTATTGGCTTTTGAGTGAGACCCTTTTGAACACTGATTTCACTACCTCCCAGTGGTGGTGAAAATTACTACACTTTTCTGAGCCTCAGTTTTTTAATCTGCATGATGGGGTCATTAAACCTTCATCATGGTATTGTGGTGAGGATTCAAAGAGGAGACTCTATAGAAAGTGTTTAGCGCTTGCCAATAACAGAGTAGTTATTATTTTGTCATTTTTATTCTCCATGATGTAGGGAATAAAACTGGATGGAAGATTTGAATATGTTCTGAGATTCACCAATCACTAGCTACTTTAAGCCATTGATGTATCAACACAATGGGTGAGTTTAGGGGCAGATATTTTTAACTTGATGAAAAAAATCCATGGATTAAAAGACATTAGTATATTGAGATTCAGATTGTGAACCCAGTGTCATTTCTCCAGTATGAAGATGTTATATGTGACTGGTATAATTTACTGTTCCCAAAGCCATGAGGACTGCTGACGAAGTCTGTCATACTCTGGGGATTGGTAAGAACCTGGAGAAAGAGAAGAAAAGAGTGTGCTCTGTGAAGGGGGGACAGTTGGGACAATTATGGCCAGGTATGCTTGGGCATATGCCAAGCTATTTATTACATTCTATAATAATTATATATTCTATTATATAATTACATATAATATAGTTATAATATGTAATATATAATCTTATATAATTATAATTATATAATTATATATTCTAGAGAATATTCTAAATATATTATCTATATATTTTAAATTTAGAAATATATATTTCTAGAAATATATATATAGTCGAGGCCCTCTCTCCTGTTTAACAGCTTTATTGATATAAAATTCATATATGATAAAATTTACCCATTTAATGCAAATCAAAATCACAGTGCAATACCACCTTACTCCCACAAAAGTGGCCATAAAGAAAAAATCAAAAAATGATAGATGTTGGCGTGGATGTGGTGAAAAGCGAACATTTCTACATTGCTGGTGGGAATGTAAACTAGCACAACCACTATGGAAAACGGTGTGGAGATTCCTTAAAGAACTAAAAGTAGAACTACCATTTGATCCAGCAATCCCGCTACTGGGTACCCACCCAGAAGAAAAGAAGTCATTATACGGAAAAGATAATTGCACACGCATGTTTATAGCAGCACAATTCACAATTGCAAAAATGTGGAACCAACCCAAAAGTCCATCAATCAATGAGTGGATAAAGAAACTGTGGTATGTGTATATGATGGAATACTACTCAGCCATAAAAAGGAATGAATTAATGGCATTTGCCACAACCTGGATGGGATTGGAGACTATTATTCTAAGAAAAGTAACTCAGGAATGGGAAACCAAACATTGTATGTTCTCACTCATAAGTGGGAACTAAGCTATGAGGATGCAAAGGAATAAAAATGAAACAATTGACTTTGGGGACTCAGGAGAAAGGGTGGGAAGAGGGTGAGGGATAAAGACTACAAGTAGGGTACAGTGTATACTGCATGGATGATGGATGCACCAAAATCTCACGAATCACCACTAAAGAGCTTACTCATGTAACCAAATACCACCTGTTCCTTAAAAACCTATGGAAATAATTTTTTTTAAAAAAAGAAATGATAACATTTCTCCTTTCCCTCAACTACATCTTCCTAAATGCCAATAGACACACATTCCTAAAACAAATCTCACCAAACCCAGTCATGTCTCTTCCCCTTTTTAATGACTTAATGTAAAAATAAAAAAGATATAATGATAAAAAATTTTACTCATTTAAAATGTTCAGCACAATGGTTTTTGTAAAATTGACTAAGTTGTGCAACCATATTCCGAACTGAGAATTTTCAGCACCGTAACAAGAAACCTCATATTTATTAACAGTCTCCCCATTCTCCTGCACCCCCAGCCACAGGCAGCCCACAAATCGACTTTCGATATCCTCCTTCAATTGTGAGCCTTACTCTTGCATTTACTCAGATTGGAATTCCTATTCTAGCCACTCTGGTGTACTCAAGTTCTCTGGTACTTTGGTTTCTGCTTGGTCATCTCTGTGTTTTTGCCACATCACCTCCTTCCCTCACCTCTTACTTGCTAACTCTGCTCCCCCGCCACCCGCTGTTCTACCTAGACAGTCCTCATCAATCTTCTATCAAACCCCATCTTTTATGTAAAACATTTGCTGACATCTCGAGGTGAACTGATGTGTCTTCTCTGAACTTGGATTGTCCGAGTTGGCAGGCGTACTTTATGCTGCCCCGAGTCAAGCCTTCTGCTGTTTTAAACAGAAATGTTATTAATTGTTCACGCATTGATATTATTCTTCAGATTAATTTCAGGATGCTTGACCCACACATATCCTTGCAGAGTATTTAATGGTGCCTTGTATAGAGTTACTATTTAATAAAATATTACTTGTTGATTTTATCACCAAGCATTAATATTAACTGTCATTTCTATTCACTTATCTGCTTCATACAATTGCCTGAATTTGGCTGGAAGTCATCTTCACTTTCTTGTAATGGAAGAGACCTGCTTCTTAGATGTAGCGTGGGTACTTTGTGTTCAGAAAAAGCTACATCTTCCTTTGCAGTTGAAGAGATTTTGAGTGGAACTGTTGAAGAAATAGTTGAGTAGAGCAGTTGCTTGATTTTGTCATTGAGTAAATAAAATACTTGTCATTATCAAGCATATAGCCTTAGGTAGGTTCATACCACATGAGTAGGGCTTGTATTGAGACACCCTCTGATTCAATCCTATTTTTGTACAGGTTCACTTAGGATAAAGGAAAAATACGTATACTTTAAGAGGTGAAAGAAGTCCAGCAAAGAGTGTGAGGTGCAGGAAGTGGGTGAGAAGTCCAACTCACTTGACTTGGGCTGTGCTTTGGAATTTGCATCTTTACCCACACCAAGATGGGTACTTATGCAGTGGTTTGTAGCTCACACCTGGAGAAAACAGTGCTCAGAGGGAGCAAAGTGCCCATCCTTTCTAAACAGCAGATTGTGAGATTTTAAGGGGAGTCAAGTTTGAAAGGACAGAAAATGAGCCTTGGTCACTGAACAGCTGAGAATGCTAAGGCAGTAGGGGAAAAGGAATGGAAAGAGGTAGAACCCAGAGACTGAGGAGCTGAAAATAAACAATTAAATTTAGTTTAAGTTTATCTTGCAGTGGGGAAGAGTGATCAAGCATATTTTTTTTTGTGCTTTGAAAACACTAAAATCTTAACAGTGAGTCATTTCTGTTTCCCATTTCTCCCCAAATATAACATTCTTATTTATTTCCCTATGTACTGTGTATATTTTTTCATTTGCCTGGCTTTTTTTCAGATGCTTGTATACATAATATCTGAAAAAAACCAAAAACATTCTTTTCCTTTAGTTTGGAGCCAATGATAATGTAATGTTCTCTGCTTTTGTTGCAGCACAGATTAGACTTTGTATTGAGGCACATTTTCCCTTTTTGTACCATAGTACATCACTGGGAAGGTTGCATTTGATGCTGTAATGTGTGGACAGAGCTTTTGAAAGGAAAAATAAGATGAGGACCCAATGGATGATGCCCCCATTGTGTCCAATTCTGTAATAGAGTAATCTGATGAATAAACCAGTCTGACTTAGTGTGGTGTCACAGAGGTGACTGCCAAAATAGGATATTTATTCTCCAGTAGGCTCTAATCACTACAGAATTAATGGGAAAAAAGGAAAATAATACAACCCACACTGCTATAGAAATTAAGACACATCTGTGTGACTCGAAAACAGTAATGGGAAGGATCTTACATGACTCCTTTGCTGTTCGTTGAGTCCCTATTGTCCATTAGCCTACCTGGCCATGCAAAACAAGATTTCATGGCATCTTTCCTAAATATCTTTTTTCAAGCAGATTTTAATAAGAACGACTTTTCCATCCATTTCGTTGGCTGCAGCACTTGCCTGGTTTCTGCATTCCTGTAGCTGGCCTTGACTTGCTTCACTGACTCATTTCTTAAGTGTAACCAATCATCATGTGAATTTCTTCAAAGCACCATTGCGCTCCTATTGCTACCACCCACCACCCTAGCAACATCTTCCAAGTTATTCTCTGCTCTCTTGATGTATCCTTCTCCAGTCAATTCTGGAATGGGAGATATTGGATTAACCTTCCCCGAAACACAAATGCTAACATGTTTCATGCTACTGGAATTTAACTTTTTTTCTCCATTACCTGTAGTAAATAATTCCATTCACTTTTACCTAACATACTGGCATGTACAACTTTTATCACCTTATGCCCCATGATTTTATGGGAGAATTCCTGTCAGGTTGGATCTCTCCTTTCACCAGGCATATGCTGTGTGGAATTCCAATCCAGAACTATCCCCTGAGCCTCAGCTCTTTCCTGTCTCTTCCAAGAAGCCTTCTTTTCTCTCTGACCAATGGCAGTAGATTTTGCTCTTTTCTGAACCATGGTGTGCACATCTTTATTATAACCCTTAAGTGTTATATATGCATCTTACCTCTACACACGTTGTTCCCTTCTCGCTTCACAGGCACAAATTATACCCTTAACTCTGTCATCCATCTTGTCAGTGTGCACTGTCTATCACTGGAAATCTCTAGGCAAGAAAGGTTTGATTATTTAGCACATCCTCAACCTCCCTACCACCACCCCCCGACACACACCACCACCAGGACCATCATTTCATCCTGAAGTACCAAGTGGTGACACAGAGCTTTCATTTTGTGTGCAGAGTGCAGCACTTTTTAACATGTGTAATCACTATCCTAGCCAGGAAGTCCTTCCTTCTGTATGATAAATAGGATATGTGAAACTAACCCCCAAATAAGTTTGGTTTTTTATCTTTTTTAACATTTGTATAATGGTAAAGACTGAGCTTTTAGTGTAACCATCACCCCAACAGTATACATTGTACCCATTAAATAATTTCTCATCCCTCACCCCCCAACCTACCCTCCAACCCTTCCTAATCTCCAGTGTCTATTATTCTTCACCCCAAGTCCATGTGTACACATTATTTAGCTCCTACTTATAAGTTAGAACATGTGGTATTTGACTTTCTAATTCACTTAAGATAATGGCCTCTACTTCCAACCATGCTGCTACAAAAGACATAATTTCATTCTTTTTTGTGGCTGAATAGTATTCCATGGTATATGTATACCACATTTTAAAAATCCCATCATCTGTTGATGGACCCTAAGCTCTTTTTGATAAAGCCTTAATATTTTATCAAACATTAAGTCTTAAGTTTGATAATTTTTTTTTCCTCAATCCTCCCACCTCAGCCTCCCGAGTTGCTAGGACTATAGATATGCACAACCACATCCAGCTAATTTTTGTATTTTCAGTAGAGACAGGGTTTCACCATGTTGCCCAGGCTGGTCTTGAACTCTTGAGCTCCAGCAATCCATCCACCTTGGCCTCCCAAAGTGCTGGGATTCCAGGAGTGAGCCACCGTGTCTGGCTGAGACATACGTGTGTGTGTGTATATATATATATATAATATATATATATATATTTTTTCTTATTCCCATTCTTAGGAGGAAAATATTATTTCACTATTAACTATTTTGTTAAGGGTAGTTTTTTTGTAGGTGTTCTTTATCAAATTGAGAAAATTTTCTTCCATTCTTAGTTGTTTTTTTTTTTTTTAAAGTTCTAGGGTACATGTGCACAATGTGCAAGTTTGTTACATGGGTATACATGTGCTATGTTGGTTTGTTGCACCTACTAACTCATCACTTACATTGGGTATTTCTCCTAATGCTATCCTTCCTCCAGCCCCCCACCCCATGACAGGCCCCAGTGTGTGATGTTCCCCTCCCTGTGTCCAAGTGTTCTCATTGTTCAATTCCTATGTATGAGTGAGAACATGTGGTGTTTGGTTTTCTGTCCTTGTGACAGTTTGCTCAGAATGATGGTTTCCAGCTTCATCCACGTCCCTGCAAAAGACATGAACTCATCCTTTTTTATGGCTGCATAGTATTCCATGATGTATATGTGCCACAGTTTCTTAATCCAGTCTATCACTGATGGACATTTGGGTTGGTTCCAAGTTTTTGCTGTTGTGAATAGTGCCGCAGTAAGCATACGTGTTCATGTGTCTTTATAGTAGCATGATTTATAATCCTTTGGGTATATATCCAGTAATGGAATGGCTGAGTCAAATGGTATTTCTAGTTCTAGATCCTCGAGGAATTGCCACATTGTCTTCCACAGTGGTTGAACTAATTTACACTCCCAGCAACAGTGTAAAAGCATTACTATTTCTCCACATCCTCTCCAGCATCTGTTGTTTCCTGACTTTTTAATGATCACCATTCTAACTGGTGTGAGATGGTATCTCACTGTGGTTTTGATTTGCATTTCTCTGGTGACCGGTGATGATGAGCATTTTGTCATGTGACTGTTGGCTGCATAAATGTTTTCTTTTGAGAAGTGTCTGTTCATATCCTTTGCCCACTTTTTGATTTTTTTTTCTTGAAAATTTGTTTAAGTTCTTTGTAGATTCTGGATATTAGCCCTTTGTCAGATGGATAGATTGCAAAAATTTTCTCCCATTCTGTAGATTGCCTGTTCACTCTGATGGTAGTTTCTTTTGCTGTGCAGAAACTCTTTAGGTTAATTAGATCCCATTTGTTTATTTTGGCTTTTGTTGCCATTGCTTTTGGTGTTTTAGTCATGAAGTCCTTGCCCATGCCTGTGTCCTGAAAGGTATTGC
Source organism: Homo sapiens (assembly GCF_000001405.40). NCBI lineage: Eukaryota > Metazoa > Chordata > Mammalia > Primates > Hominidae > Homo > Homo sapiens. The sequence continues at coordinate 136,941,947 of NC_000002.12, forward strand.
CTAGGTTTTCTTCTAGGGTTTTTATGGTTTTAGGTCTAACATTTAAGTCTTTAATCCATCTTGAATTAATTTTTGTATAAGGTGTACGGAAGGGATCCAGTTTCAGCTTTCTACATATAGCTAGCCAGTTTTCCTAGCACCATTTATTAAATAGAGAATCCTTTCCCCATTTCTTGTTTTTGTCAGATTTGTCAAATATCAGATGGCTGTAGATGTGTGGTGTTATTTCTGAGTCCTCTGTTCTGTTCCATTGGACTGTATCTCTGTTTTGGTACCAGTACCATGCTGTTTTGGTCACTGTAGCCTTGTAATATAATTTGAAGTCAGGTAGCATGATGCCTCCAGCTTTGTTATTTTTGGTTGGGATTGTCTTGGCAATGTGGGCTCTTTTTTGGTTCCATATGAACTTTAAAGCAGTTTTTTTTTCCAATTCTGTGAAGAAAGTCATTGGTAGCTTGATGGGGATGGCATTGAATCTATAAATTATCTTGGGCAGTAAGGCCATTTTCATGATACTGATTCTTCCTATCCATGAGCATGGAATGTTCTTCCATTTGTTTGTGTCCTCTTCTATTTCACTGAGCAGTGGTTTGTAGTTCTCCTTGAAGAGGTCCTTCACCTCCCTTGTAAGTTGGATTCCTAGGTATTTTATTCTCTTTGTAGCAATTGTGAATGGGAGTTGACTCATGATTTGGCTCTCTGTTTGTCTGTTATTGCTGTATAGGAATGCTTGTGATTTTCGCACATTGATTTTATATCCTGAGACTTTGCTGAAGTTGCTTATCAGCTTAAGGGGATTTTGGGCTGAGACGATGGGGTTTTCTAAATGTACAATCATGTCATCTGCAAACAGGGACAATTTGACTTCCTCTTTTCCTAATTGAATACCATTTATTTCTTTCTCCTGCCTGATTGCCCTGGCCAGAACTTCCAACACTGTGTTGAATAGGAGTGGTGAGAGAGGACATCCCTGTCTTGTGCCTGTTTTCAAAGGGAATGCTTCCAGTTTTTGCCCAATCAGTATGTTATTGGCTGTGGCTTTGTCATAAATAGTTCTTATTATTTTGAGATATGTCCCATCAATACCTAGCTTATTGAGAGTTTTTAGCATGAAAGGCTGTTGAATTTTGTCAAAGGCCTTTTCTGCATCTACTGAGATAATCAGGCCTTTTCTGCATCTACTGAGATAATCATGTGGTTTTTGTCATTGGTTCTGTTTATGTGATGGATTACATTTATTGATTTATGTATGTTGAACCAGCCTTGCATCCCAGGGATGAAGCCGACTTGATTGTGGTGGATAAGCTTTTTGATGTGCTGCTGGATTCAGTTTGCCAGTATTTTGTTGAGGATTTTTGCATCAATGTTCATCAGGGATATTGGTCTAAAATTCTCTTTTTTTGTTGTGTCTCTGCTAGGCTTTGGTATCAGGATGATGGCTAGCCTCATAAAATGAGTTAGGGAGGATTCCCTCTTTTTCTATTAATTGGAATAGTTTCAGAAGGTATGGTACCAGCTCCTTTTTGTACCTCTGGTAGAATTCAGCTGTGAATCTGTCTGGTCCTGGACTTTTTTTGGTTGGTAAGCTATTAATTATTGCCTCAATTTCAAAGCCTGTTATTGGTCTATTCAGAGATTCCACTTCTTCCTGGTTTAGTCTTGGGAGGGTGTATGTGTTCAGGAATTCATCCATTTCTTCTAGATTTCTTAGTTTATTTGTGTAGAGATGTTTATAGTATTCTCTGATGGTAGTTTGTATTTCTGTGGGATCAGTGGTGATTTCCCCTTTATCATTTTTTATTGCCTCTATTTGATTCTTCTCTCTTTTCTTCTTTATTAGTCTTGCTAGCGGTCTGTCAATTTCATTGATCTTTTCAAAAAACCAGCTCCTCGATTCATTGATTTTTTGAAGGGTTTTTTGTGTCTCTATCTCCTTCAGTTCTGCTCTGATGTTAGTTATTTCTTGCCTTCTGCTAGCTTTTGAATTTGTTTGCTCTCGCTTCTCTAGTTCTTTTAATTGTGATGTTAGGGTGTCAATTTTAGATCTTTCCTGCTTTCTCTTGTGGGCATCTAGTGCTATACATTTCCCTCTATACACTGCTTTAAATGTGTCTCTGAGATTCTAGTATGTTGTCTCTTTGTTCTTATTGGTTTCAAAAAACATTTTTATTTGTGCCTTCATTTCATTTTTTACCCAGTAGTCATTCAGGAGCACGTCATTCAGTTTACATTTAGTTGTGCTGTTTTGAGTGAGTTTCTTAATCCTGAGTTCTAATTTGATTGCACTGTGGTCTGAGAGACAGTTTGTTGTGATTTCTGTTCTTTCACATTTGCTGAGGAGTGCTTTGCTTCCAACTATGTGGTCAATTTTGGAATAAGTGTGATGTGGAGCTGAGAAGAATGTGTATTCTCTTGATTTAGGGAGGACAGTTCTGTAAATGTCTATTAGGTCTGCTTGGTGCAGAGCTGAGTTCAAGTCCTGGATATCCTTGTTAACCTTCTGTCTCCTTGATCTGTCTAATATTGACAGTGGGGTGTTAAAGTCTCCCATTATTACTGTGTGGGAGTCTAAGTCTCTTTATAGGTCTCTAAGGACTTGCTTTATGAATCTGGGTGCTCCTGTATTGGGTGCATATATATATTTAGGATCGTTAGCTCTTCTTGTTGAATTGATCCCTTTACCATTATGTAATGGCCTTCTTTGTCTCTTTTGAACTTTGTTGGTTTAAAGTCTGTTTTATCATAAACTAGGATTGCAACCCCTGCTTTTTTTTTTTTTTTTTTCCATTTGCTTGGTAGATCTTCCTCCATCTCTTTATTTTGAGCCTAGTGTTTCTTTGCATGTGAGATGGGTCTCCTGAATACAACGCACTGATGGGTCTTGACTCTTTATCCAATTTGCCAGTCTGTGTCTTTTAATTGGGGCATTTAGCACATTCACATTTAAGGTTAATATTGTTATGTGTGAATCTGATCCTGTCATTATGATGTTAGCTGGTTATTTTGCTCATTAGTTGATGCAGTTTCTTTGTAGCATCGATGGTCTTTACAATTTGGCATGTTTTTGCAGTGGCTGGTACCGGTTGTTCCTTTCCATTTTTAGTGCCTCCTTCAGGAGCTCTTGTAGGGCAGGCATGGTGGTGACAAAATCTCTCAGCATTTGCTTGTCTGTAAAGGATTTTATTTCTCCTTCACTTCTGAAGCTTAGTTTGGCTGGATATGAAATTCTGGGTTGAAAATGATTCTCCTGAAGAATGTTGAATATTGGCCCCAACTCTCTTATGTAGAGTTTCTGAGACCCTTTCTTCCACTTGATGGAATTGGCTATTGAAGCTTGTGCATGTGTCACTTGGTTCTTGCGCCATGGTTGTAGAGTTTCTGCCAAGAGTTCTGTTGTTGGTCTGATGGACTTCCCTTTGTAGGTAACCCCACCTTTCTCTCTGGCTGCCCTTAACATTTTTTCCTTGATTTCAACCTTGGTGAATCTGACAATTATGTGTCTTTGGGTTGCTCTTCTTGAGGAGTATCTTTGTGGTATTCTCTGTATTTCCTGAGTTTGAATGTTGGTCTGCCTGTCTAGGTTGGGAAAGTTCTCCTGGATAATATCCTGAAGAGTGTTTTCCAGCTTGTTTCTATTCTCCCAGTCACTTTCAGGTACATCAGTCAAATGTAGATTTGGTGTTTCCTCATAGTGCCATATTTCTTGGAGGCTTTGTTCATTTCTTTTTACTCTTTTTTCTCTAAACTTCTCTTCTTGCTTTATTTCATTAATTTGATCTTCAATCACTGAGACCCTTTCTTCCACTTGATCGAATTGGCTATTGAAGCTTGTGCATGCGTCACGTGGTTCTCACGCCATGGTTTTCAGCTCCATCAGGTCATTTAAGGTCTTCTCTACACTGTTTATTCTAGTTAGCCATTTGTCTAATCTTTTTAGTTCCTTGTGATGGGTTTGAACATCCTCCTTTAGTTCGGGGAAGTTTGTTATTACCGACCTTCTAAAGCCTACTTCTGTCAGCTTGTCGAAGTCATTCTCCGTCCAGCTTTGTTTTGTTGCTGGCAAGGAGCTGCAGTCGTTTGGAAGAGAAGAGGCGCTCTGGTTTTTAGAATTTTCAGCTTTTCTGCTCTGGTTTCTCTCCATCTTTGTGGTTTTATCTACCTTTGGTCTTTGATGTTGGTGATCTACATATGGGGTTTTGGTGTGGATGTCCTTTTTGTTGATGTTTATGCTATTCCTTTCTGTTTGTTAGTTTTCCTTCTAACAGTCAGGTCCCTCAGCTGCAGGTCTGTTGGAGTGTGCTGGAGGTCCACTCCAGACCCTGTTTGCCTGGGTATCACCAGTGGAGGCTGCAGAACTGGAAATGTTGCAGAACAACAAATATTGCTGCCCGATCCTTCCTCTGGAAGGTTCATCCCAGAGGAGCTCCCACCTGTATGACGTGTCAGTCAGCCCCTACTGGGAGGTGTCTCCCAGTTAGGCTACATGGGGGTCAGGGACCCACTTGAGGAGGCGGTCTCTCCATTCTCCGAGCTCAAACACTGTGCTGGGAGAACCACTGCTCTCTTCAGAGCTGTCAGACAGTGATGTTTAAGTCTGCAGAAGTTTCTGCTGCCTTTTGTTCAGCTATGCCCTGCCGCAAGAGGTGGAGTCTATAGAGGGAGCAAGCTTTGCTGTGCTGTGGTTGGCTCTGCCCAGTTCGAGCTTCCCGGCTGCTTTGTTTATCTACTCAAGCCTCAGCAATGGTGGACACCCCTCCGCCTGCTGGGCTGCTGCCTCGCAGGTTGATCTCAGTCTACTGCGCTAGCAGTGAGCAAGGCTCCATGGGTGTGGGACCCACCGAGCCTTGCATAGGATATAATCTCCTGATGTACTATTTGCTAAGATGGTTGCAAAAGTGCAGTATTTGAGCGGGAGTGTCTCATTTTTCCAGGTACAGTCTGTCGTGACTTCCCTTGGCTAGGAAAGGGAAATCCCCCAACCCCTTGCACTTCCTGGGTGAGGTGATGCCCTGCCCCGCTTCGGCTCACCCTCCATGGGCTGCACCCACTGTCCAACCAGTCCCAGTGAGATGAACCAGTTACCTCAGTTGGAAATGCAGAAATCACCCATCTTTTGCATCAATCACGCTGGGAGCTGTAGATTGGAGCTGTTCCTATTCGGCCATCTTGGAACAGTGACCCTCGACAAAATCTTAATGTGATTGTATGTCGCTAAGAGAAAGTCTTTCTTCTACCAGGGAAGGTATTTGAAGCTTTTTTGCTTCCTGTTTATTCTTGTGTTTTCAGCTATTCCACATTGAAAGGCAAAAAGGAAGAGATGAGAGATGGAATGGTAATGATAGACAGTTTGAAATATTTGGTTAATTGAGATATTTTATTAATTATTAAGATTATTTTTCTAATTAAGCATATAGCTTAAGGAATTAAATTTCAAATAATTTTCCTAATTTGTCAGAGTACTTTCATGAATGATGTTATCTATAATAATAACATAAAAATCTGTCAAATGCCAGTCAGGGGTTGAGTTACCATTTAAGTTTCTGTGTTATCCATATGATTCCCTGGAGGAAAGAGAGCTTAAATCTAAACATTTCTGATGATAGACGACCCTGACCAGAGATTATTCTATTTGAAGATTATTTTGGTTTATCTCTCTCTTCCTCTGTCTTGCCCCTGGTCACGTCCCTGCAAAAAAGCTCTTCTGTCTGCCACAGGTGACGGCACATGGGAGGATAAATCCTACATTGGTTTTTGATTCTAAGGTGCATATAAAGTAGGTATCAGATTAATTCCTTTAGATTATGTAGGATTTCCATAGATTATGTTTACATGTTTTTTGCCTCTGCATTTAATGATTGATACATTTTTCTCTGGTCTCTGGTTAAGATTTGGAAACTTAACACTTCACTGTGGATCATTCCAAAGTATGTCTCTCCCTGCCAGGTCCAACTTGCAGGGAAGTGTCTGCTGGGCAACTGCATGGGGGTGTCCTGCAGACACTTCACACTGACTCGTCTACCATGGCTGTCACCTTTACTCACGCCTGATGAACCATCAGTAATGGCACCATCAGCACTCTGAGTTTACATGACCATCTTCATCTTCCTTGTAAACTAAGCCTTATCACTTAACAGATTTTGTTCTTTCTCTCTCCATAATTGTATGTATGTTTTTTTTTAAATGACTAAACCTAGCCTGGAGTGGGTGATAGATTGTTGACTGAATGCATGAAAACCATCATTACTGCCTACTTGTCACACATTGACTTTCTTGAAAATTTAAGTTGCACATGCCATGCCCCTGCTCACAAACCTTCAGTGACTCTCATTGTCTATGGAAAAATTGAGATTCCTTGACCTGTCAGGCAAGGCCCTTACAATTTAGAACCAACTTAATGTGGTATTCTTATGTACTTTTACTCTCCTAGTAGACAAACTTGACTCTCATGGTTGACTGAATGACACCCCATCCCCCATACCTTTCTTTTTTTCATGCCTCATATATATCATATAAAAGAATACACACACACACATGCACACATACACACACCCCTCTTTAAAAATTTGTAGAAAATGCCGTAGAAATTCAGGTGAGGGAAAGATTATTTCCTGCTGGGTGACATTCGGGAAGTTTACTAACGGTATTTGTATGATATGTATAAGAATGTGTATTTATATACATATGTAAGATATGTGTATATATACTTACATGCATATGTGTATAATAAAAGCATTTGAAAAATAGCTAAAATTAATTGAGCACTTACTCTATGTCATGCACAGTGCTAAAAGCTTTACAGATGTTTTTCTTATTTAATTCTCACCACAATTCTAAAATATAAGCAACATGTAGGTCACGTCGTATGTGAGAGATATATTCCTGATCTATGCAGGAAAGATGCAGAATTTAAAACTATTTCTGTAAAACATTGGCTTTTTTGTTCTTATGTGGTAATAATAATAATAATAGAGATATATCTTAGAATTCACTGAGTCTGTTGATTTTGACACTATTGGTTTTTTAAAAAAAATTGTTGGTTTTTGGAGATGAGGGGTCTCACTCTGTTTCCTAGGTTGCTTGGGAGGGGATTTGGCCTGTGTACATTTCTGAGGGACTTCCTAAACCTTACCTTGTCTTAGTTTGAATGGCCTTTTGGAAAGCTGGAAGTCAGCTGGGGGACAATTGTGGTTATCATTGGTACTGATTACCAAAGATTTTGGCCCTTGGCTACTCCACCTTTTATTGTATCCTGCAATTGTGCTTCCTTGCTTCTTTGGAAACAAATGGGGCTCTGAGCCTTGCTTTCACCACAAAATGTAAGTCTCAGCTTGGGGAAAGCTTTAAGAGCAACTGTGTGATTCTCTAAATTAATTTTTTTTCTGCTTCAGCCTTTGTGTGAGAAAGGACTTGGAAGCCCTCTCAGCCTGGTTCCCTCACTAGGAATGATGTAAAAGAAAACTCCAGATGAAATGCATTTGAAGCCAGCTGGACTTGTTTGAAGCCACTGAAATTTCGGAGGGTTGTTTGTTGCCACTGCGTATTCTAGCTGGTTCTGACTGATCAGACTAGGGTCTGCAGTTTGCTGTTTCCCAGCGTGGTTGCTGCGCTGCCCTGTAATGCACACCCACCTCTGTTGAAATCTAAACATAGCGAGGAAAGCCAAGGAGGAACATGCAGCAACTACAGACCAGGAGTTCTCAATACTGGCTCATGTTAGAATCGCCAGTGAGATTTAAAAATACCATACAAGGGGCAGCACCCCCAGAGTTTCTGATTAAATTGGTCTGTGATGAGGCCTGAGAATATGCATGTTTAAAAGTGCCAGGTGTGGTGATTTCTTAAGGATCTAGAACCAGAAATACCATTGGACCCAGCAATCCCACTACTGGATATATACCTAAAGGAATATAAATCATTGTACTGTAAAAACACGTGCACACATATGTTTATTGCAGCACTATTTACAATAGCAAAGACTTGGAACCAACCCAAATGCCCATCAATGATAGACTGGATAAAGAAAATGTGGCGGCCGGGCGCAACACGCCTGTAATCGTAGCACTTTGGGAGGCCGAGGTGAGCGGATCACGAGGTCAGGAGTTTGAGACAAGCCTGGCCACTATGGTGAAACCCTGTCTCTACTAAAAATACAAAAATTACCTGGATGTGGTGGCACGTGGCTGTAGTCCCAGCTACTTGGGAGGCTGAGGCAGGAGAATTGCTTGAACCTGGAAGGCGGAGGTTGCAGTGAGCCGAGATTGTGCCACTGCACTCTAGCCTGGGCGACAGAGCAAGACTCCATCTCAGAAGAAAAAAATAAAAATAAAAATAAAAATAAATAAAAATAAACACAAACCTTCAGTGACTGTGTAATGAACACACCCTAGATGACAGGTTGATAGGTGCAGCAAACCACCATGGCACATGTATACATATGTAGCAAACCTGCACGTTCTGCACATGTATCCCAAAACTGAAAGTAAAATAAAATTTAAAAAAAGATGCCCCAAGATGGTAATATTCTGCCAAAGTTGAGATTCACTGGTCCAGAAGTAGGCCGTCAGCTCTCAGACTTTCTTTTTTACTGCCTGTCCTTGTCATAAACGTGACTTTACGTCTGATTCTTAATATTACGATTAAGCTCAGATGGGGTAAATTTACGCTTAATAATGTTTGAATTGTTTAATTAATTTGTAAAATTACTCATGGAAGATCTCATCGCCTTCTGCAATTATCGCCATTAAAAAAAGATTATTGAGTTGCTAGGATAAAGTAGATGGAGAAGAGGAAATCTAAGCACAGATGGTGGTGTTCACTACTATTTTGCACGATCCCATCAATAATTTTTACATTTCGTTTCAGGGATACTGAAGAAAGACTGTTGGCCCATGGTTGTGCGTGGCATTCTCTTGATGTGGAAGAAAGGACCAAATCAATAACTCCGTCCTTTACTTCAACTCAGATGCTGTTGTGTTTTAGGCAGGTGGTGGGGAGAGATACACATAGGTTGTAATTGTGATAAAGACTCCCACGTTTGGTGGCTAGATACTGAAACTACTTTTAAACAACTGCCTGTTTAGGTAATTGAAAGGCTTCCACCATTGATTTGGTTCTCTGTGGTAGCATCCCCAGAACTGGGTGGGCTAGGAGAGGATGAAGGGCATGAGGGAGGCCTCACAACATCACTAATTGTAGCAGGTGCCATGGGACCCTACTGAGAATGAGTTTACCTTGGGATGAAGCATGCATTTGAGAGCCGGCCTTTGAGAGATAGCTTTATTGAGCAATTTAAGGCTGAGACACATCACAAAATATTTTTTCCTCTCTCTCCCTTCCTCATTTTCTTGTTATCTTCCCTATTCTCTTTTCCTCTCTGCATTTAACTAGTTAAATGATTAAAATGTCCTGTAAATTTGCTTAGGTAAAAATATAACTATAATTTGAATGTAGCAAACTCTGTTGAATCATCTAATTTTTTAAATCAGGAAATGCTGTTAGAATTCATTTATATACCTAAACTCTATTCCTGGCCCATAGGTCTGGGGGAAAAATAGCAAATGTCTAGCTTATTCTGCAGTGAGTAAACTAGAGAGAAAATATGGCATGTCTCCAAAAGGAGAGGAGAATAGTGATTTAAAAATTTTCTCACTCCAGCTTTCTTTCTGACTTCTGTCCTTCATCTTTTGCCAATACTACCAGAGGTAAAGAATAGTATTCTGTGGGGGAAGATGGTTTAATGATTTTGATGGGCTTTTTAATTCAAATATTTCAGATGGAGTATCTATCAACATTATAATTGCTAGTTGGTGGTTGGAAGAAAAGAACTGTCAAAATGTAAAACCTAAATCATAATTCAGCCTTTCTCTGCCATCTACAATGCAGATAAGGCATCAAGTTTTTTTAAAATTTATTTTTATTGGTTTGTTTGTTTTTGTTTTTTTGAGATGGAGTCTAGCTCTGTCGCCCAGGCTCGAGTGCAGTGGTGCAATCTCAGCTCACTGCAACCTCCGCCTCTTGGGTTCAAGCGATTCTTCTGCCTCAGCCTCTTGAGTAGCTGGAACTACAGGCACGCACCATCACGCCCAGCTAATTTTTGTATTTTTAGTGGAGATGGGGTTTCACCATATTGGCCAGCTGGTCTCGAACTCCTGTCCTCATGATCTGTCCACCTCAGCCTCCCAAAGTGCTGGGATTACAGGCATGAGCCATCACACCCAGCCAGTTTTTTTATTAAATGTGTTTTAAATGAAGAAGAAGCCAACCCCCACCCCCCCAAAAAAGCACATATATTGAACTCATTGAAATTACATTAACAAAACATATTTTACTGGGTCATGATATAGAAATAACTTAAATTGTTATTTGTCAATGTAATTGTTTCAATGGGATTCTTCTTGCCCTTGAATATGAGTAATGTACTATAGATTGCATTTCTCAGTTTCCATGAAAAATATAAATGCACTGAGAGACATAGTTTGGGCAGAAAACTTTTTTTTTTTTTTTTTTTGTGGGTGTAAGTTAGTGAATCTATTTTCCTGGAAATATCTGAGATGATTTAATCTCAAACTCGCTCAGTGGCAGAGGACTTATCTTTGGATGATTCTTTTTTATCTGAGTTATTACAGTAAATCATCTAACAGACCCAAACCCACTTTAATAGTTTTACTCTTTGAGAATTGGTATGTAACTTGCATGCTATACCAACACTTCTAAAGAGGTTCTCAAAGAACCTAAAATTTCTATTGTGTTTTATGTTGAGTATGGTAACAAAGAGGTATTCTTTTATTTTTTTGATCGTGTTTTCTAGAGTCAAGTACATAGGCCTTGAGATTATTTCACCTTTGACTTTGTACAGCTTTTGAAGTTTGGATCTCTAGAGATACTCTGGAAGAACATTAAGATAGTGGTTTACCTTCTCCCTTGTGGATATCTGATATTTGCCATTAATGGGAATAAAAAATTCATAAACCAGTTAGAATTACAGTTTCATGTGGATTCTTCCAGAGCAAATTGTTATGGTTATTTATAACTTCACTCAAGTGACATATAATCCATGTGATAATTTCTCAGGAAAAAAATGAAGATTAGGGTAAAAATATGTGAAATTATGTTGGTAACAGGGCAAGATATTTTATTTGTTATTGATCCAATAAAAAGTAACAGAATATTTAAAAATAATAGAAAAGTATATAGAGAAAAAACTAAAACATAGTCACAGCCTTCACTTATAGTTTTTAACTTGTATTTTGAGAACAAAGGGATGGGCAGCAGAGGGCCTCTCTGGAAAGAAAAAAATTACCCTTAGACAAATTTTGTAGGAAAGACAAACTTATTTATTGGATTTCAAGGCTAGCTAATTCCTTCAAAGACACTGCTGCTTAATCTGATTAGTGGCTTTAAAGAACACATTAAGCTGTTTTAAAGAACAACTATTTTCAGCCTGGGGACTTCTCCTCATATGAGGCTGTAATATTTACTACCCAAGTAATATGGGACTCAAACAGAGAAATGGTAAGAAAGAATTATATATCCTTATACTTAAGGATAAGTATATCCTTTTCTTGTACATGTAGAGATTATTTCTAGATTTATTTCCGATTATGCCACTTATGTACAAATGTATGAAAGTCATTAATAAGATTAACATGAGTCAGACTTAAATGGAGCATCACAATGAGAAGAGAAATGACCCCAGGACCACTCCACCATCTTCATGCATTAACGGAATCTTATCTCCCTCATAAAATAATCTTATCAATCTTAAAACCCATGTAAACCCAAAGCCTGCAAATAAACATCTATTGGTAAAACACAAATAATTCCTAATCCTTAAATAGCTTTTCAGTTCTCCTTTTAGGGTCTCATGGACACTCTCTAGTTTACTGTGCTCTTTCCTGTCGAGGTACTTAAGAGTCATTAAAATCACCCACATTTCTAGGGTTCAAATTAAAGAGATGTAAGGGATTTGCTTAATTACAAATGCGTCAGAAATACAGCCTAACCCAGTCATGTGAATAGTTATTTGCCCCAAGATTTTATTTTAGAGTCACATTCTAGGTAATGAGAACTAGATGTCTCAGTTATTCACTCAAAAATTACTTATTGAATTATTTGTTGACATTTCTAGGAGCTGAGAACATGGGCAGGATCCCTGTAGTCACTGAGTTTGCAATAATCGGTTGTTTTAAAAAATCATTAAACAATTCATGATGGAGTCTTAATTGTGAAATGTGGACCAAAAGAGAAAAATGAACTGCTGTGCTGTGGAATTTAATGAGTCAGGGGGCTAATCTGGTTTGAGAGTCCGGAAGGCTCCCTAAGGAGGTGATATTTAAGCTGCGAGTTGAAGAAACCCATCAAAGAGTAGCCAGATAAGAAAAGGTAAAGTGTTTTGCAAATCTTCCTTGGCCAGCTCATCTCATAGTGATTTTCCTCCTCGTTGGATGTATTGACCAGTTAGTGCCTCTGCCTTGTTTTTAAGAAATTACGGCCGGGCGCGGTGGCTCACACCTGTAATCCCAGCCCTTTGGGAGGCCGAGGCGGGCGGATCTTGAGGTCAGGAGATCGAGACCATCCTGGCTAACAGGGTGAAACCCCGTCTCTACTAAAAATACAAAAAATTAGCTGGGCGAGGTGGCGGGCGCCTGTAGTCCCAGCTACTCTGGAGGCTGAGGCAGGAGAATGGTGTGAACCCCGGGGAGCGGAGACTGCAGTAAGCCAAGATGGCGCCACTGCACTCCAGCCTGGGTGACAGTGAGACTCTGTCTCAAAAAAAAAAAAAAAAAAAAGAAATTACATAAGAGCTTTTATACTGTTTATCTTATTGTTTCTTTTGACTGTTATACTAGACTGTGAAAAAGTGCATTTCTGGATCCTCAGAATTCAGCCTTCAGTGTCTCTATATAGGTATTTTATTTTTACATAAAATATATATAGATACATTTGTTTCTATTTTTTTTACTGAGCATTTGCTTAAATGGTTGCATGTAGTAATTCTTTGTGTATTTCAACAGGCTCTGGAATTGAACTATTTTACTTTTTATCTGTAGACAGTAATCTTTCTTAATTGTTTTATGCCTAAAGTCGACGTTTGGGTTGACTTTATCAGAGGGATCCCAGAAGACTAGATTGGAGGGTTAGGAAAAGACCAGTTATGCTAACAATGCAGAAACGAGCATCATGGTTGACCCTAACTGAGTCACAGTTCGGGGAACTCTGCTTTTGTTTGAACCCAAAGACAGCAATATAATTGTGTGCAATTTGAGGTGATGTTTAGAGAGCTGGAATATATTTGATCACCTTGATGGAGCTGATGTATAAATGGAAATTTAGAGAACTATTATTTGCCTAGATCTTTCGCTGAGCAAGTTTCAGCCCATAACATCAAATTGTTGTAACTTAATTTACAAAATCACCTAGCTAAATTAGCCTCACTCCAGAAGGGAATTGGATTTGATATGACTAACATAATCTACTCTGTATAGATTCTTTCTATGTGTTAATAATAGCTTCTCATGCTCTTTAAAAAAGAAACTCTGAGAGTAACAGATATGCCACCTCAGGAAAATTAGTCACAGAACCAGCCCTCAGAGTTCTTTTAAATTTGTAGTTTCCTTTTAAAAAAAGTTAATATCAATTAAGTTTAGGACATGAGTTTTCTTATATTTTAATCCGATCTCTCAGATTCTAAATTGGTATAGCAATTTCTTAGAACGTTGCATCTGAAGGATGTGAATGTAAAAGCAGGGCAATCGTGAGGGCATTTCATTCATAGGAGGCAGCAGAAGACAGAAATATAGAAACTATATGTTTTCTCCTGCCTCAGCCTCCTGAGTAGCTGGGACTACAGGTGCCTGCCCACCACACCTGGCTAATTTTTTGTATTTTTAGTAGAGATGGGGTTTCACCATCTTAGCTGGATGGTCTCGATCTCCTGACCTCGTGATCCACCCACCTCGGCCTCCCAAAGTGCTGGGATTAGGATTATGGGCATGAGCCACCACGCCCGGGAGGCAGAGCTTGCAGTGAGCCGAGATTGCGCCACTGCACTCCAGCCTGGGCGAGAGCGAGACTCCGTCTCAAAAAAAAAAGAAAAAAAAAAAAAAGAAACTATATGTTTTCTTGCACATAAAAAACATTAAGATTCTTACTCTCAGGCAGTAGAAATTTAATAAATCTGTCAAGGAGTAAGATTAAATTTACCCTGAATTATTAAACTGTGTAAGGAAGCTAACTGCATGAATCCTGAACTAAACCTTTGATCTCAAAAGAACTTTGTAAAGCAAAAATGACTGATTTTTAACTATGTGTCAGCAAAATAAATTATTTAGCAGCCTACAGTGCCAGTTTGGCCCCAAGAGAGAATGAGTCTTCCAGTGGCTAAAATGGAGAGCATGGTGGTGTGTTTTGCAAATCTGGGAGAGATCACTTATCTGTCTTTGGAAGCCTTACAAGTTTTTCCATAGGTCTGACCAATAGCCCCGTGTCTCTCTTTTGTATAGCAAAGTGTTCTCCCATCGTTAGTGTCCCTTAAGAATTTTTTTAAATTTTTTTATTTTTTATTTTTTTTTAGTCTGTTGAGTTCAGAAGATTGAGGCTGCAGTGAGCCATGCTCATGCTACTGCCACTCTGGGTGACAAAGTGAGACCCTGTCTCAAAAAAAAAAAAAAATTAGTAAATTGGTCTCTTCAGCAAGAGGAGTTAGATTTCATAAATATTACTTTAATTTTTTTTCTTTTCTTTTTTTTTTTTGAGACAGAGTCTTGCTCTGTCCCCCAGGCTGGAGTGCAGTTGCACAATCTCAGGTCACTGCAACCTCTGCCTCCCGGGTTCAAGTGATTCTCCTGCCTCAGCCTCCTGAGTAGCTGGGATTATAGGCGCAAACCACCGTGTCTAGCTAATTTTTATATTTTTAGTAGAGACGGGGCTTGACCATGTTGACCAGGCTAATCTTGAACTTCTGATCTCGTGATCTGCCTGCCTCAGCCTCCCAAAGTGCTGGTATTACAGGCATGAGCCACCGTGTCCAGCCCCCATAAGAATTTTATTAGGCTTCTTTAGTGGCCGTTTGAGATCTGGCCCACCCAACGTTCATTGCCCCTTCCACTGGTGACAGTGGCTCAAATTTCCACTGCCTTTTTCAGATTGTGTTCCAGAAGGGCTCATCTCCTAGTCTCAGGGGGGAGCATGTGACTTGGCTTGGCCAATCAGTGTCATTTAGTCCCTTTGTTAGTTCATTTACATACTCTGAGGCCTTGGGCTGGTGTAACCAGAAAGAGACTCATTTCTTCCACCAAGGATTGATTCTGAGAGAAGGTAGGACTGTATCTGGTGGCAGCCATCTTGCTACCATGTGCATGCTGAGAATGAGCCAACATGGAGGACAAGGGAGCTGACAGATGGGAGGGAGAGGAGGTCCTGAGGGCACTGTATGAGCCCAGAGTCCTGCTGTAACTATTTTAGCCTTTTCAGTTGCATGGGCCAATACAACGTTTTTTTTTTTTTTTCTTGCTTTGATTAATTCAATTATTATCATAATAATTTTCTTTCTGAAACTAGTACCAGAAAGAGTCCCGACAAATTTAGTTTCATTTGTGTGACTAAAGTATTTCCTTTTTTGTTGTTGTTATTGCAATAAAACCTCCTGAGTTTTGTGTATTGTATGGGGATTAAAGCACTCTACATAATGCGATAGAAACAATCTGATTATGTACATTTTAATACTTCATGTAGTATTATATTTTGTCACATTGTGGATAAATGTGAAAAGTTTGAGGCAAGTGATAACAGCTAGAGAAACCTTGGCTTATTAAAAGATTATACTCGAATTGTGTGCATTAAATTTAAAATGTTAACCTGATAATAGTTGCTAACAGTGTTTTAGCCTAAATATGGTCAGTATTTTTCTTAGCATCTTTAAGTTAGCACAAATGGATACAAAGCTGAAAGTGAGGATTAATATGCTGCCTATGTAAATCAGGATATATAAAGGTCTACAATAACTAAAATAGTTATTTGTATGTAGCAAGATAAATTTAACAGAGTTCTCCATTTTTATAATGGTATACACTGGTAAGATTTGTCAAACCTGTTTTTTTAATTACATCATGTTTAATTCATTTACCAAAACAAATTAATATTCTCATCTTATTTTATGGAGATAAGTTCAAATGTAGAAGTAACAAATGAGGATATAAGGAGAGATAGGAAGGACTTTTTGAAGCTTATCAAAATGCAAATACTAGAAACACATTTATTTAAAAAAGCAAAAGTGACGCTAAAGATTTCTATGAGTGTAAAGAGTCATAGTTGTGTCCTGCAAATAATCTTCAGCCTGCATGAGCACAGGATGACTGTCCTGTGTTGTTTTATCAGCAACACTGGGAAAATAACTTAGTGGTTTTAGTTGATCGCAAGCAAATATGATTTAACAACCTGCTTTACTAACCTAAATGATTAATTTGAACTCATTGATTCAGATGTAGACTAGTTTAATCCAGATATAAAACCCCCAACTTGGGAGGCAGTAGTCACCTTTTATTCTGGGATGATGGAGCCAAGTCTGAAGACTCAGATTGCTTTTGGCATTTCACTTAAGGGATATTGACCAAAGGGTAGAGTTCAGAGGAAAGGGAGAACAAGGCCAAGAAGTCCTGTCACTATTTTGAGGGAATTGGGGAAGTTTACATTAGAGAAAGAAAGACTCTTTAATTATTTTTGAATAACATTTATGTGGAACAGTGAGTTACCTTATTCTGAGCATTGTTGGTGAGCAAACCCAGCCTGATTTACAGGAGGGAGGTTTCAGTTGATTAGATCAAGCTTATTAGATCTGTCCCACCATTGGACAGCTCATGAGACCAAGCAATCTAATAGTCAGAACTGCCCCCAAAGTGAGCTGAATTTCATCTAGAGTGGGTACTTTCAGACCTTTGAATTCTCTGTTCACTCTTGTGTGGGAAACCACTTCTTGGACATAGAATGTGGCGGGGGAGGATTCAGACAGACGCACCTCAGAGGGTGTGGTAATGGTGATGGAGGTGCTGGTGGGGCTAGGGAGGGAGAGTGTACCTGACTATTCAGATTCTCTCCAAGCAGGGATTCTGGGAAATTCTTTAAGGAGTGTAATTGGTTACAAGTGTATCGCAGACAAAGTCCCAAGGAAACTTTAGAGGTTAGACACTACCTAGGGATCATGAACATATCCTCAGGCCAGCAGCTATTTTGATATAACAGTTTCGGCTAACTGGCTTCAGTCATTATACTTGCTTAATAATTTCCTGCTTCTTTGTCTGATAGTGCAGCATTGTGTCAAGACTTCCTTGACTTGTGTTGGCTTAAAGGAGTGGAGATGGAAACAGATAAGCTGTCCCTCTCTTCTCTCGATCAGTAGCTTAGCAGTCATTCACTCCCATTTATAGCATATGTCAAAGTCAGTTACTGAAACTGCACTCATGTCCTTCCTAGTTTTTCTTGTCATAGAACTTCCTATTCTCTGAATTTACTATTTCACTTTTGCCCCTAAAAACAGGTTTTGGTGAAACTTACTACCTTTCATATCCTCTTAAGATTACTTGACTGTCAGAGCACTCATTTCATAAAGTTTTTCAAATAAAACATTTGGTTTGAAATAAATAATCTTGAATTTCCTTGTTGATTTTTTAGAAGGTTGGCTGAACTTCAAACTAATTAAAGCCATTATTCCTTCTTGGCCAAATGTTTTTCAGCCTAAATTCTGGGTGACTAGAGATAGAATAGATTGCAAAGGGGCCGATATTAATGCCCCACTACTTATCTCCATAAATTTATCATAAACACATAAACATAGGAGTGTTTCTCTGCTTATTTGGTTAAAATAATTGTGATATTTATCCTTGACTAGATTTGAGAACTGTCAAGAAAAACTCTGGAGGGGGATTTCAGAGACAGGAATTAGAGATTAAGTTGAGGAAAAGGACCAGGACACTTGACTGGAGGAAGACATTCTTAAATCAGAATCAGAATCCGCACCTGGATTCAGAATTAAGAGCTGAATCGCTAACCATTTGGAGTTCATGGGTTCTGGGTTGTTTGTGTTTGAAGTCATTTTTCAGCAAGCAAATGAACCATTTGTGTATTCATTCAGGAACTTTCTTGTAATGGATTCAGCTGGATGAAATGGTCTCTATTTTTTTATTTTTTATTTTTATTATGATTTTTTGAGACAAGGTCTCACTCTGTTACCCAGGCTGGAGTGCAATGGCGTGATCATGGTTCACTGTGGCCTCCACCTCCCAGGCTCAAGTGATCCCCGCACCACAACCTCCTGAGTAGCTGGGACTATAGGCATGCGCCACCATGTCCAGCCAGTTATTATTATTATTTTGTATTTTTTGTAGAGATGGGGTTTTGCCCTGTTGTCCAGGCTGGTCTCAAATTCCTGGGCTTAAGCAATCTTCCCACCTTGGCCGCTTGAAGTGCTGGGATTACAGGTATGAGCCACTGTGCTTGGCCTGGAATGGTCTCTAACGTCTCTTCCCCATGTAAAGTTTCCATGGTTTTGTCTATCATTGGCAGTAAATACGGGGTAACTGTGGGAGGGGAATGCATTGAACTTTCCTGTGGGCTTTTTCAGCTTCACTTCATTTTTTGATATGGGTTACTTCAAAACTGTTTCTGAGAAGTGCCTTTCAAACAATAGCGTTAACATGTGGCCTTTAGTGTCAGGCCTTCCCTATCCAACAAGATTCCCTTCTCGAATCTCCTTCCATAGAGTCATTCTGGAGCTGCCACAGTTGCTTATATCTTTACAAAGAGAAGAACAGAGGATGATGTGGACTCAGAGGGAAGAAAAACAATGACATGTTTGAAAATGTGAGACTGGGCCGGGCGCAGTGGCTCAGGCCTGTAATCCCAGCTCTTAGGGAGGCCGAGGTGGGCGGATCGCAAGGTCAGGAGATCAAGACCATCCTGGCTAATACGGTGAAACCTCGTCTCTACTAAAAATACAAAAAATTAGCTGGGCAAGGTGGCGGGCGCCTGTGGTCCCAGCTACTTGGGAGGCTGAGGTAGAAGAATGGCGTGAACCCGGGAGATGGAGCTTGCAGTGAGCCAAGACCGCGCCACTGCACTCCAGCCTGGGTGACAGAGCAAGACTCCGTCTCAAAAAAAAAAAAAAAAAAAAAAAGAGAAAATGTGAGACTGGGCAGATTTTAGAAAGTTGTAGGTAAAGATGAAGATTTCTGTTTCTGATTCAAAGCTGTTAACTTATTGGTATTATTGACATGTATTTTTCTTTTCTTTTTTTTTTTTTTGAGATGGAGTCTCACTCTGTTGCCCAGGCTGGAGTGCAGTGGCGTGATCTCGGCTCACTGCAAGCTCCACCTCCCAGGTTCACGCCATTCTCTTGCCTCAGCCTCCCGAGTAGCTGGGACTACAGGCACAACCACCATGCCCGGCTAATTTTTTGTATTTCTTAGTAGAGACAGGGTTTCACCATGTTAGCCAGGATGGTCTCGATCTCCTGACCTTGTGATCTGCCTGCCTCAGCCTTCCAGAGTGCTGGGATTACAGGCATGAGACAATGCTCCCAGCCTGTATTTTTCAATATAAATCGTAAACCTGTGAGGAGATGGCCATGATGGATCATTCCTGGCTGAGCTCAGTACCCCTTACTATGGAGGTCTTCATACATATGCATGTCCAACTGGAAACAAGGAGGAACTTATTACAGATTTACTGCTTCTTTAGCTTTATGTTTGAAGAAGATAAACTATCATGGAAAAGGGGAGTCATGTGGCCTTCGCATGAACGGAGGAATGTGGTGGTCTCTGGAATATGGAAGCAAGTAGAAGCTTTATACAACCTTCGGTTACTAATCACATCAGCAAGGGAATGGGGAACTAAAGACAGTAACTTTAAGAATATAAAATGATTTCTTAGATTTTGTAACATTTCATTGGTGGTAGGAAGACTAATGCCCTCTGTCATCACCAAAGATGCCCATGTCCTAATGCCCAGGATGTATGAGTATGCTAGTTTCCATGGCCAAGTGAATTAAGGTTGCTAATCAGCTGACCCTGAGATGGGGAGATTATCCTACATTTTCTGGATGGACCCAGTGTTATAATCAATGTCCTTATGAGTGGAAGAGGGAGGCAGAACAAGAGTGAGCATCATATTTGCATCTGGAGAAAGACTGCACAAGCCATTGCTGGCTTTGAATATGAGAAGGAGTCCTAAGCCAAGGAAGGCAAGAGACCTCTACAAGCTGAAAAAAGCAAGGACACAGATGCTCCCCTCAAGCTTGCAGAAGGAACTAACCCTGCTGACAGCTTGGTTTTTAGCCCAGTGAGATTTATTTCAGACTTCTGACCTTCAAAACTGTAAGATAATAAGCTTGTGTCAAGTTGCTACATTCGTGGTAATTGGTTTACAGAGGCAATAGGAAAGTAACACACTATACATAAATCTGTTATCTTTTTTTTTTTTTTTTTTTTTTTTTACAATATATGGCAATAAATATTCTAAAAATGGGAGAAGACATTGCATGGGAATAGGCAGAGTCGTGGAGAGTTGGGATGGCGGTATCCTACTCCACAGTCTATTGTGTGTGGGTGGAAAGGAGGAGCAGAGTGTCTTCAAAGTAGCCTGTGTCATGCCCTCCCCTGTAAGGGAAGAAAACAGTCTCTGAGGGCAGGTGGATGAGAAGAAAGGGATGATGTCAAGAGTCAGCCTGGCCTTGAGAAACTACTCCTAGGCTTTAGTTTAGAAAGAAGTACACAAAAGACATCTGAGGAAAAATTGTCACAAAAATGATTGAAAGCACTACAGAAAATAATAAACATTTTTCTGTGAAATACAACTTCATAAAGATAAGTGATCTATTACTTTTCTTATAGGAATTAGAAGTTTGTGGGGTCTTTAAATTTTTTTTTGCCAGTTATAAAACAGACACACATTTGAAAGAAGAATGAAAACTAATATTTCAATTCTGATTTTAGAATACTTGTGTTTTGAAATCAGATTTTGTGGTTTGTTTAGACAAGAGGATTAAAGGAGAAGTCTAAATGAAATGGCAAATGGGGATTATGTTACTGCTTCTACATATCATATCTCAGAGATGGCTGAAATAGGTCAAAATATTGATTTTTGTGTGGTTAAAAATTACAAAATTAAAACAATGTAACAAGGCCAAATGTATGTATAGTCACCATCTCTTTCCTGGCCCAACTCTCTGAAAAATTTGGGTTGGCCTGTTTGACACTGCATGCTATCTCCCTTCCCACCCCCAGTCCTTCCATCTTATTTTTCAGTTGAGAGTAAATTAGTATGAAAGAATAGGAGGATAAATGATGGGTAATTGGCCTTGGAAAGGCTCATTTTTTTCTCATAAGAAATGAAAAAGAATATAGGCAGCAGAAAAGGGAAATTAAAAGGAAAGAACGGGGCTGAATACCCTGGGTGCCAGGGCTTAGGGAGGCCGAGGGTGGGGAATTCCTTGAGGCCAGCAGTTCAAGAGTAACCTGGGCAACATAGTGAGATCCATCTCTAAAATAAAAAATAAAAAATAATACTGGCATGATGGCACATGACTGAAGTCTTAGTTACTCAGGAGGCTGAGGCAGGAGGATTGCCTGAGCCCAGAAGTTCAAGGTTACAGTGAGCCATGATTGCACCACTGTGCTGTCCAGCCTGAACAACACAGTCAGGCACTATCTCTAAAAAATAAATAAATGAAAGAGCAGAGCTTATGCCAACCCTGTGTCACAAAACAGTTTTGATTGGGAGAGTTTTGAGTAAACTGTGTTGAGGAGTTTTGAGGGTGTCTCTGGGTTGAGAGAGTTACTGAGAAGAAAGAGAAAGTGGTATTTGTGTGTTATGAACTGGATCGTCTTGAATGTTTTTGAGCAGTAAATTATTCCTTTTGATAATTAGACGTGTTTGTTAATGTGCTAAAATGGTGAGATTAGGCCACATGAAACTCATCTATTTATTTGGGTTACAACTATATGTGACAGTGTGCTATCATAGGTAGAAAATATTGCTAGCTAGCCATGTTGGTTAAACCCAACTCTTTGTCTGTCCTCTAGTTTGCACCCTTGCAACTGAACACAGCTGGAGAAGAGTACACGATTTTTGTTGCTGAATATTTTCACTTTGAATTTGATACCACGGGATTCCCACAGGAACAAGATTTTACCACATCTCCTTAGTAAATTCCGTTTTTCATGCCCAAGACAATTGTTTCACTTTTTATTTTTTCTTAAATCTTCAGCAGACTCAATTCTCCTTTCACTAAGGGAGGATTCAGAAGAGAATTTTTTCTAATCCTTTTAGGATTAGGAAATAGGCCTGAGGATTGACTCAGGCATGGTGAAGTCTTAGCTACTTAAGAGGCTGAGGCAGGAGGATTGCCCGAGCCCAGAAGTTCAAGGTTACAGTGAGCCATGATTGCACCACTGCACTCCAGCCTGGACAACACAGTGAGACCCTGTCTCTAAAAAATAAATAAAAGGAAAGAGCAGAGCTTAACTCTTAACTTTTGTCTGGGGCAACTCTCAACCTTCTGCTCCAGAATTTGTCCCCCTTGACTTCTCAGGGGAATCACTTTATTAACTACCCTCTTTTTTTGCGTTATCAACACATTTTCTCCCTACTTAAACGTTCCTATGCAAATATTCTCATCCCTATGCAAATATTCTATAACATCTTCCATCTCAAAACAAAACAATAACAAAAACATCTCTCCAGCTGTCATCTCATTTCTCTTCTTCTCTATGTAGCAAACCTGCTTAGCTGGGCGTGGTGGCTCACATCTGTAATCCCAGCACTTTGGGAGGCCGAGGCAGGTGGATCATGAGGTCAGGAGTTTGAGACCAGCCTGGCCAATATGGTGACACTGTGTCTCTACTAAAAATACAAAAATTAGCCGGGTGCGGTGGCACACGCCTGTAGTTCCAGCTACTCAGGAAGCTGAGGCAGAAGAATTGCTTGAACCCAGGAGGCAGAGGTTGCAGTGAGCCAAGATCATGCCACTGTATTCCACTGCACTCCAGCCTGGGTGACAGAGTGAGACCCTGTCTCAAAAAAAAAAAAAAAAAAAGGGTTGTTTATACCAGCTGTCTGTATTGTCTCATTATCCATTAACACTTTTACCTGCTCCATTGTTTTCCCACAGTGCTTATTTGAAATTGCTGTTGCTAAGGTCTCTTCCAAAATCTGATAATCAGTTCTTTGTCTTCATATTATCTGCCTCTCATGTAGCACAGTTAACACGGCTTCTACACTTGGTTTTCAGAACATTCTCTGAATAGGCCCTTTTCTAGGCACTGGAGCTCAGAACAAAGATAACTAATTTGCCTCTCTTATGGAGTTTACTTTTAGACAGATAATAAACAAATAACACATATGGTGAAGAGTGCTGGGGTGAAAAATAGAATATGGGGATGGGAAGAATGTGCTGGCATCACAATTCTAAATAGAGGATCAGAGAAGTCCTCACGAAGAAAATGGCATTTGAGCCAAGACCTGGAGGAGAGGAAGGAGCAAGCCACAAGGAAAGTGTTCTGGGTAGTGGGGACAAGTACATAACTCCTGCCTCCTAATATGACTTCTACACACTTTGCTTAATGAAACCGCTTTCCTGAACCTCACCAATGACTTTTTATTTGTCAATGGCATTTCTAAGGCCCCTTTCTTTGTTCATTTCTCCTTGACATCTCTGTTCTATATGACTCTGTTAGTCTCCCTCCTACTATTTATCTTACTGTCCAGTTGAGATAATGGTTATCCTTTATTTTCTGATTTTTATTTCTTTAGTTTTAATAGTTTCTTTTCCTCCTACCTCCAAACTTGTAAACTTTCCCTTTAGGTTTTTATTTTATTTTATTTTCAGTTTTCTTAAGTTAAAGTGCCTGTTATGGTATTTCCCACGTGGTAGGTGCTTAATATATGATTTTAAAAAAATTCATTAGGAATCTTTTCCACTTTCCTAGATTGAGCTCTCACTTCTCTGCACATATATCCTAGTTCTTCTGCTGACCTAATATTTTTCCTGAGTAAATGCTCTAATTTTTCAAGACCATCTTGGGCTTATTTGTTTGATTAATCAACTTCTGTCTCATTATGCTCCCAGTGCTTAAAATTGAACTGATGCCCTTCCCCCAGATCTTCCCCTCCTGGCAACCTTCTTTCTCACAGTGGTCTCAGGGATCTTGCTGTCTAGACTTCCAACCTCAGAGCTGGTTTTAGCTTTTCCCCTCCTTCAAATTCATTTCATATTAATTCTTCCTAAACATTTTTTTTTTTTGAGACAGGGTTTCAGTCTGTTGCCCAGGCTGAAGTACCGTGGCATGATTTTGGCTCACTGCAGCCTCAGCCCACCAGCCTCAAGTGATCCTCCCACCTCAGCCTCCAGAATAGCTAGGACTACAGGTGCACACCACCACACTCAGCTAGTTTTTGTGTTTTTGTAGAGACAGGGTTTTACCGTATCACTCAGGGTGGTCTCAAACTCTTGGGTTCAAGTGATATGCCCAGCTCAGCCTCCAAAAGTGCTGGAATTATAGGCATGAGCCGCTGTGTCCAGCCAACAACATGTCTTGAATCAGTCTTTTTTATTTTTATTTGAAAAAAACATTTTGAGCAGTCACATTTTAGAGCAGGTCTTTATCTTTGTTTTGTTTTGGCTGCTATAGTTGCCTGGTCTCTGAGTTGTGCTCCTTATCTTCTGTTTATTTTCTTAGCTCCTATTCAGCCGATGACAAAAATCTGGCATCATCCTCTCTTTTCCGTGTCGTCTTTGCTGTTTGTCTTATTCTGCCCAGAGTACCCTCTTTGCCGTCTCCTGAATATACCATGAAGCACCTTCCCTGCCTAAAACAACCTTTTTTCCTTCTTTCTAAGTCCTATACATGTTCCAAGATATAGCTCAAAAGAAACACTAACTGGAAATGACTTTCTTTCACGTAGAAAGTCTATTCTATTCTCTTTCTCTCTTCCTTCCCCTCCCCTACTAAACTCTGTATCATTTATTGTCTCTGCAACTGACCTAGCCTTGACTTTTATTTAACTGCCATTCCATTTTGATATGCCGTGTATCTTCAGCTAAATTGTAAGCTTCCTGGGGAAGCGAATGCTGTTTCTATTTTACTGTGTCCTCTACCGTGCTCAGCATGGTATCCTGCAGGTGGGAGGTACTGAAAAAAGCATTTCTTAGTTGGCTATTGGAAATAAATAATTGCCACAAAATTAAATACTGAAGGACTGTTTCAAGTAGTCCTTCAAAGTCCTTCAAAGAAAGGAAATACTGAAGGACTGTTTCAAAGTTGTTTTCCTCACCTTTCTCCCTGGGAACTTGCTCATATTCCTGGGTTGCCCTACTGTTTTCAATGGTGTATTTATCCTACCAATCACCTGAATAAAATCGTGAAGACATTCATTTCTCCTCGTTCTATTTGTTATTATATCCAGTCATTTGCCAAATTCTATTAATTCTGTCTCATTTCTGGTAACTCTGTCTCATTCTCTCCCTGTCCTCTGCCATTGTTCCAGACTTCATGTCCTTTCCTCTGAGTTGTTGCAATGGCTTTTCCTTCTGTTCTTGAGATATTTTCTTTCTCCCAATCTTTTGCCTTATTCGTATTTCAAAATATGTGTTTATTTGATATTGTTAAATATACTTTGAAAAAATACAAGTAAATGCAAGTTTGAAGAATAATGGTAAAATGAGCCCCAATCCAACAACTCAGGTTTAGAAATACAATATTGCCTGTACTCCCAATGTGTCTCTTTCTTATCACAATCAACTCCCTCTTACCCAGAGGAAAGCACTTTCCTTGATGTTTGTAATAATGTTTTCATTTCTTTTCTTTGGAGTTACCACTGATGGATGCTTCCCTAAAGAAAATAGCTCAGTTTTGAACTTTATGTAAATGAAATTATACTGTATATGGATCTTCCGTGATTTGCTTCTTTCTCTCCACATTGTGTTTCTGAGATTCATCCATATAGTATCACGTCGCTGTATGTTTTTATTGCTGTATAGCCCTCTATTGAATGAATATTTCACAATTTACTTATTCATTCTATTATTAATGGGCATTTGGATTGTTTTCATTTTTATTATTACAAACAGTGCTGCTCTGAACATTTTATGACTGTATCATGATATGGATGTGCATGAGATTGTGTGGGATTTGTATTTTAGAATGCACTGACTGGGCATGTATATCTTCAATCTGCTACGAATGACAGGTTATTTTCCAACGTGATGAAACTAATTTACTTTCCTATTAGCATTATTTGGAGGTCTACAGTATTCCATAGGTTAGTAATTTATGCTATCTTCAGGCTTTTTAAATTTTTTAATTTTTATTTTGTTTATGTGTGTGGATTTAAAGGTATCTTTGAAATTTTAATTTGCATTTTTGTAAATAGTGGTGAAGTTGAGAATCTTTTCATGTTTACTGGCGTTTTGGATTTCCTTTTGTTGAATGTCTATTTAAGTCTTTGTACCCATTTGAGTATTTAGGTTTCTCTTTATTTCTTATAGATTTATAGTGATCTTTGTATATTCTTGGGATGACTGCTGCACTGGTTATATATGATGCAAATATATTTTTCTGCCATGTCTGTATTTTCGCTTTCCTTGTGATGTCTTTTAAAGTGAGAAGTTCTTAATTTTAATGTAGAGATGCTTATCAATAATTTATGAGTAGTACTCTTAGAATGTTGCTTAAGAAATCCTGTCCTACCCTGAAGTTATGCAGATATTTCCTATATCATTTTTTAAAAGATTTTAATATTTAAGTCTTCAGTCCATTTTTGATATTTGTTTATGCTGCTAGGCAGAAAGCAATAGCCTTTAAACTTTTTTGGTTTTCCTTCTAGTTTTTCTCCTCTCCCATCTGTCTAACACTTTGCAACCAGACTCACATCCCTAAAACACAACTTGAATAGTTTGCATATAAAAATTATGCAGCATGTTTCCCAGTACACAGTAAAAATTATATAACTAAATAAACAATATTAATATAATTCAGTTGCCCAGAGAAAACATCCTAACATTTTTATCCCAAACTTTGAGATGTTTGTTCAGTGACCCCAATCTACATTTGCAAGTTTTTACTCACCTCTTGAGTTCATAAAAAGATGTCAGCTATAGGTCTGCTTGCCATTGTAGTAAAGACTCTTGCTTTGATTCTCTTACCTCTGTGTCTTAGACTTCTTGGATTTTTCTTTCAAAGCTCTTTTTGACCTCTTTGTCTATCCAGTTTTGAATGTTTAATGTCCTTCACATCTTATGAAATCTAGCTTATCCTCAAGTCCTTCCCTGGTCTCTTTAGTGAGAAATGTCCACCCTACTCTAATAGTACTTCGTTTTGTTTCTCAGCACATGGCTATGGTAAACCTGTATTTCTAGATCTGACTCTCTGTAATACCACAAAATATTTTACATTAAAGTTAGTTGCTCCAGTGTCTTTGTCTCCAGTAGTTTGTGAACTGCCTTGGAGGGAATATTTAATCTTAATAATGTTTGAATTTCACAAAGCATCAAACATCATGTTGTAGAATCTCGAAAATATTTTTTGAATGACTTCATTAATCAATTCATCCTATGTATTTTCCTTTTCAAAGATTGGTTTAAGGCTATTTAATTATGAGGGTTTTTTTGCAAAAATATTTTGTGAAAATAGTGAAACTATTTAAAAGGCATGAATGGAGACTCTAAGCCCTTGTTTGTTGCCCTGTTCCCAGGGCACATTAGGCAGGAGATAGAAGATTTTCTTTATAGAAACAGTAATCTCAGAAGAAAGACCAAGGAATACTAGTATTTGGGGATCCCAAGTCTCCCTAAAATGTTACCACTTAATCATTCTAAGTGAAGCCCACCTGTTGACAAGCTTCCAATGAGCTTTTCAGTGTTCAATGTGTAATATAATTAGACAGATGGGAATCTTTCCAATTGAGGGAAGCTTCCAATATGAAAGTCATAAACTAGCAAAAACATAAACAAACCCAACCACATGCCTACAAAAGGAATCTGAAGGAAGCGCAGGCAATGTGGTTAAAAAAGAAAATATTTTTTAAAACTTGTGAGAGAAATAGGAGAAAATATTTTATCCAGAAAGTAATATCAGGATGCTTTAAAAATATAAACACTCAGAGGATATTAATGTGTTCTAGAAAATTAAAAATAACATAGAAGAAATAAAAAATATTGAATACAATTTTGGAAGGTAAAGTAGAGGAATGGCCAGGCATGGTGGCTCATACCTGTAATCACAGCACTTTGAGAGGCTGAGGCAGGTGGATCGCTTAATCTCAGAAGTTCAAGACCAGCCTGGGCAACATGGAGAAACCCCATCTCTACTAAAAATACAAAAATTAGCCAGGCCTGGTGGCACGAGCCTGTGGTCCTCCTGCTCCTTGGGAGGTTGAGGCACAAGAATCACTTGAACCTGGAAGGCAGAGGTTGTAGTGAGCTGAGATTGCACCACTGTACTCAGCCAGGGAGACAGAGTGAGTCTGTCTCAAAAAAACAAACAAACAAATAAATAAATAAATGAAAAAGAAAAAGAAGAGTATAAGAAAGTATACAAATAAAAGGAAACATAAGAACATGGAACTATCAATTTGAGAAGTCCAAAATTTGATAGGTAATAATTTCAGAACCACAGAACTGAGAAACTAAAGGAGAAAAATAAATAATACAAAATATTCTCAGAATTGCCACACATCAGTAACTAGATTGAAAGATCCTGCCAAGGTCCAGTTTAGTAAATGAAAAGAAACAATTTTACTCCGAAGTGCAAATCTTGATTTACAGAATACCAGACATAAAGAGAACATTTTAAAATCTTTCAAAAAGAAAGAAAGAGAGTGAAAAATGCACCTTATTTACAAAGCAATGGGAATAAAGATGGCATTGGATTTCTGGATAGCAAGTTTGGAATCTATATAGCATTATATCAAAGCTTTACAAATTCTAGCCTATGGTTAATTAATCTTAAACATACAATAAAGCCACAATTACATGTCCATATTTCAAGAATTTTTTCTGAGAAACTACTAAATATGTTGCAACTAAACAGTGGAATAAACTAAGAAAACAAAAACTACCTGAAAATGTTTTGCACCTAAATAAAGAGAAATACATGAAATCTGGACACAAAATATCTCAAATAGGAATAAGACAAATAAAGTTTCCAGGAAGTCTGTGATGGGCGGTTATAGAACTGTAAATGTGCAACAGGCCCAAAAAAGCCACTAGTTCCAAAAACGAGTACCCATGAAGGGTACTGTTAATTTAAAAATGCATTGATAGGTCATTAGATATATTTGTGTAGATGGTATGTCATGGTATTCTGAGTACAGCCCTGATTTATACTTATGGTTCTGGCATAATCATTGATAACACATACTTTTACTCTCAGAAGCGACACAGGTAGAATATTAAATTACACAGTCACTCATGATATGTTGTACCATGTGAAAAATTGCATTGAAATGTTGCATTGAAAGTTCCCTGTGGTGTAGGAAGAAATAACTATAGGCAAAAAGCAATCTAAGCAAATAAAAAAGCATGTTTTTAATACCAAGGAGCACTAAATATTGTATAGAAAAGAAAATGTAATTATTGCTTATCACTGAAAAAAACTTACATAGATGCAGAACACAAATACAAAGTCACTGGTTTAACAACAACAAATACACACACACACACACACACACACACACACACGATATGTATATACATACATATGTATATATATTATACATATAATAAAATTACATTGGACAATGGAAAAAGGAACTGAGGGCTATTAAAGATACATTCAACTATAACAGAAAATGCCAACTCAGTTTAAATTTAAATTTTATATCTCTCATAATAAGAAGTTTCGAGATAGGGAAGCTACAGCCATGGTACTGGCAGGGATTGGGCTCCACTTCTCTATGAATGTTAATTCTTCTCTCTGCTCTTTTGGCTTTATGCTCAGGCAGATAGCAAGATAGTTGCAGAAGTTCCAGTGATTGCATTCAATTATGATAAAGTCCAGACACAGAAAGCAAATGTACTCTTCTGATACCTCTTATAATCTAGGAAACCTTTCCTGGTAGCTCCCCAGCTACCTTCCCTGAAGTCTCTATGACAAGGTTTGGTTGCATATCTACACCTGCAACCAATCACTGTCAAGGAGAATGGACTACCATGATGACAGAGTCTCAGACCCAGGGTAGACGTTGGGTAGGCATCCAACATTATCTGCTGAATTTGGGATAGGAAGTGCTGAGGGGTAGTGAGAGCTATGTTCTCATCCACCTTGGAAGTTAGTAGATAACTTCCTAACATGATGAATTAAGATATTAAAATATAATTATATTATTTAGAAAAGTGGTGGTCAATAACAGCAGAGATAAAAGCAAAAGCAGTTGCTCTAGCGAATAGGCAGTAAGTAAAGAAACAAGGATTTTGCTTTATTTTTTAACTTTCATATGGTCTTTTAATGTTATTTGATGTTTTAAACAATATGCATGTATGCGTGTATGTATTTGATAAAAATGTTACATAGAAAATAAAACCACAAATATTAAGCCTATTTTAAGTAACATCATTATATTCCATTACAATTTTTCATTACCTTTAGTCAACTTTTGTTGAAATGTATTTAGGTTGTTGAAAATTTTTACTATTGCAAATCAGGAAGGGCGATCGTTGGTTCATTTAATATACTTTAGACACACTTATAAACATTAAATAAACTAGGGTTTAAGACAAGTTATTAGGAAGACAGTACTAAAGGATTAAAATGGTGCTTCTCAATGTTGCATCACATATGAATCACATGGAGAGATGTTGTAAAATCTCAGTGCTTGGACTGTACCCCAAACCAACAAAATGAAAACCTTTTTGGGGGTGTGGGGGCAACTACACAGACATGGGTAGTTTTATCTAGAAATCTCTTCTGGTGATCTAGTGAATACCAAAGTTTGAGATTCAGATAAATTCTTCTCTCTTCTCCTCACTCCCCACAAATTAAATCACGGTTTAAAAACATTTGGTATGTCTGTGGTGTAAGCTGAATCAAGACTAGAATTGTATCATTTCTCATACTCATTACTGTCTTCTTTGGATCTTCTCTTATCTCCAGTCCACTCCAACACTCCTACCACCATCCTTTAAGGCAAGGAATCTTAGGAAGCACAAAGATTATGACTGGTGAATATTTTTCTTTCTTCATTCCTTATTTTGTATTATAATCAGTCTTCTCTTTCCTCTAGAGGAGTAAAAGATGTCCCATCTGTACTGTCCATTCTGAATGTTATGCTTCCTTAGCTGACCTCGCTTTCCTTTCAAGTGTATAATTAATATCTTGTCCATTCTTGTATTGCTCACATTTGGGATTCTTTCATATAGTCTACTGGCTTGCACTTTTTAACGTGGAAAATTTTCTTTCACTTTTATATTCTATTTTGGCAAATAAATTTAGAGACTAAATATCTGTATTTTCCTTTTTTCTGCACTTTTTTTCTTATAATGGGGTTGTATTTTATATCAATATTTGTCATTACAAGAGAAGCAAAATGGATCATTTTCAAAAATTATTTGTGAAAATGGACTTCTGAGTCTTTAATATATTCTGTTATTTTACCAATAGAAAAGTGCATTCAATTTACTTTTTTGATCAAAACCAAACTTGACAAATACATTGTACTGTTATGCCATCTGTAGCAAGCTGTTGTAATTACCCATCTGTTTCAAATTGCTATTTTGCTAGTACATTCTTGCATTTGGTGTTTTGCATAATTAAGTTCATTAAAGCAGCACCCTTGAGTTTTAATATTTAGGGTAATATTTTTGAACTCTGCTGTTTCGGAGAGTATAAGTCAGTATGTGGAGTTTTGATGAAAGTAGATGTTTTATTCCTCACTGATTTGTGTTAATTTGAGACACAGTCTTTTAAAACTAAACTATCATGCGATAATGCATTGTGTAACCTCCTATCTTGAAAGATTTTATTCTTAAATGAAATTTAGGCTAAGTGGAATTGACAAGTAATGATGATTTCAATTATGCTCTTTTTCTCATTGTGCTTTATGTAAGCATTTAATGAATGTTCATCTGAACTTGATATTTATTTTCATCTTGCCATTGATAATTGTTTTCTCCTTGCATTGTATATTGTTACCTCTATAATATTTTAGTATTCTTATGATTCAAAAATGCTTTATATATAGTTTGTATCAAAATATACTGTTTTACTTTAAAAAATTTTTACTTTAAGTTCCAGGGTACATGTGCATGTTTGTTACATATGTAAATGTGTGCCATGGTGTTTTGCTGCAGCTATCAACCCATCACCTAGGTATTAAGCCCAGCATGCATTAGCTACTTTTCCTAATGCTCTCCCTCCCCTGAACCCCCCGCCCCGCACAGGCCCCAGATTGTGTTGTTCTCCTCCCTGTATCCATGTGTTCTCATTGTTCAGCTCCCATTTATAAGTGGGAAAATGTGGGATTTGGTTTTCTGTTCCTGCATTGGTTTGCTGAGGATAATGGCTTCCAGCTCCATCCATGTCCCTACAAAGGACATGATCTCATTCCTTTTAATGGCTGCATAGTATTCCATTGTGTATATGTACCACATTTTCATTATCCAGACTATCATTCGTGGGCATATGGGGTGATTCCATGTCTTTGCTGTTGTGAATAGTGTTACAGTGAACATACATGTGCATGTAACTTTATAGTAGAATGATTTGTATTCCTTCAGTTTTATACCCAGTAATGAGATTGCTGGGCCAAATGACATTTCTGGTTCTAGGTCTTTGAGGAATCGCCATGCTTTCCTCCACAATGATTAAACTAATTTACATTCCCACCAACAGTGTAAAAGCGTTCCTGTCTCTCTTCAGGTTTACCAGCATTTGTTGTTTCTTCACTGTTTAATAATTGCCATTCTGACTGGCATGACATTATATTTTATTGTGGTTTTGATTTACATTTCTCTAAGGTCAGTGATGTTGAGGTTTTTTCATATGTTTTTTGGCCACATAAATGTCTTATTTTGAGAAGTGTCTTTTCATGTCCTTTGCCCACTTTTTAATGGTTTGTTTTTTTTTTTTTTGTAAATTCTTTTAAGTTCCTGGTAGACTCTGGATATTAGACCTTTGTCAGATGGATAAATTGCAAAATTTTTCTCCCATTCTGTAGGTTGCCTGTTCACTCTGATGATAGTTTCTTTTGCTGTGCAGAAGCTCTTTAGTTTCATTAGATCCCATTTGTCAATTTTTGCTTTTGTTGCAATTGCTTTTGATGTTTTCATCATAAAATCTTTGCCTGTGCCTATGTCCTGAATGGTATTGTCTAGATTTTCTCCTAGGGTTTTATAGTTTTGGGCTTTACATTTAAGTCTTTACTTAATTTTTGTATAAGGTGTAAGGAAGGGGTCTGGTTTCAATCTTCTGCATAGGGCTAGCCAGTTCTCCCAGCACTATTTATTGAATAGGGGATGCTTTTCCCATTGTTCATTTTTGTCTGGTTTATCAAAGATAAGATGGTTGTGGATGTGTGGTCTCATTTTTGAGGTCTCTATTCTGTTCCATTGGTCTATGTGTCTGTTTTTGCATCAGTACCATGCTGTTTTGGATACTGTGGCCTTGTAATATAGTTTGAAGTCAGGTAGTTTGATGCCTCTGGCTTTGTTCTTTTTTCTTAAGGTTGTCT
The DNA here is from genome assembly GCF_000001405.40 of Homo sapiens. Classification (NCBI taxonomy): domain Eukaryota; kingdom Metazoa; phylum Chordata; class Mammalia; order Primates; family Hominidae; genus Homo; species Homo sapiens. The sequence continues at coordinate 136,975,658 of NC_000002.12, forward strand.
TGGATGTATAGGCTCTTTTTTGGTACTACATGAATTTTAAAATAGTTTTTTCTAGTTCAGTGAAGAATGTCAATGGTAGTTTGATGGAAATAGCATTCAATCTATAAATTGCTTTGGGCAGTATGGCCATTTTTATGATATTGATTCTTCCTATCCATGAGCATAAAATGCTTTTTCATTTGTTTGTGTTCTCTCTGATTTCCTTGAGCAATGGCTTCTAGTTCTCCTTGAAGAGGTCCTTCACTTCCCTTGTTAGCTGTATTCCTACATATTTTATTCTCCTTTTAGCAACTGTGAATGGGAGTTCATTCATGATTTGGCTGTTTGCTTCTCTGTTTTTGATGTATAGGAATGCTTGTGATTTTAGCACCTTGATTTTGTATCCTGAGACTTTGCTGAAGGTGCTTATCAGCTAAAGGAGCTGAGACGATGGGGTTTTCTAGATAAAAGATCATGTCATCTGCAAACAAAGACAATTTGACTTTCTCTCTTCCTGTTTTATTTCTTTCTCTTGCCTGATTTCCTTGTCCAGAACTTACATTACTATGTTGAATAGGAGTGGTGAGAGAGGGCAGCCTTGCCTTGTGCCAGTTTTCAAGGTGAATGCTTTCAGCTTTTGCCCATTCATTATGATATTGTCTGTGGGTTTGTCATAAATGAATCTTATTATTTAGAGGTACTTTTCTTCAATACTTCGTTTATTAAACGTTTTTAACATGAAGGGATGTTGAATTCTATTGAAGTCCTTTTCTGGATCTATTGAGATAACCCCATGTTTTCTTATCTTTAGTTCTGTTTATGTGATGAGTTACATTTATTGATTTGCATATGTTGAACCAGCCTTGCATCCTGGGTATGAAGCCAACTTGACTGTGGTGGATAAGCTTTTTGATATGCTACTGGATTCAGTTTGCCAGTATTTTATTGAGGGTTTTTGTATCAATGTTCATCAGAGATATTGGCCTGAAGTTTTCCTTTTTTTTTTTCTTTTTTTGAGATGGAGTCTCGCTCTGTCGCTCAGTGGTACGATCTCGGCTCACTGCAAGCTCCGCCTCCCAGGTTCACGCCATTCTCCTGCCTCAGCCTCCAGAGTAGCTAGGACTACAGGCGCCTGCCACCACGCCTGGCTAATTTTTTGTATTTTTAGTAGAGACGGGGTTTCACTGTGTTAGCCAGGATAGTCTCAATCTCCTGACCTCGTGATCCACCCGCCTCGGCCTCCCAAAGTGCTGGGATTACAGGCGTGAGCCACCGCGCCTGGCTGAAGTTTTCTTTTTTGTTGTGCCTCTGCCAGGTTTTGGTATCAGGATGATGCTGGTCTCATAAAATGAGTTAGGGGAGAGTCCCTCCTTTTAAATTGTTTGAAATAGTTTCAGAAGAAATGGTACCAGCTCCTCTTTGTATCTCTTATAGAATTTAGCTGTAAATCTGTCTGGTCCTAAGCTTTTTTTTTGGTTGATAGGCTATTACTGCCTCAATTTCAGAACTTATTATTGGTCTATTCAACTTATTCCTGGTTCAGCCTTGGGAATGTGTATGTGCCCATTCTAGATTTTCTAGTTTATTTGCATAGAGATGTTTATAGTATTCTCTGATGGTTATTTGTACTTCTGTGGGGTCAGTGGTGATACATCCTTTATCATTTTTTATTGTATCTATTTGATTCTTCTCTCTCTTCTTCTTAGTCTAGCTAGCAGTCTATTCTTTTTTATTAGTCTACCTAGCAGTCTATTAATTTTTTCAAAAACCCTGCTTCTGGGTTTGTTGATTTTTTTGAAGACTTTTCTGTATGTCTATCTCCTTCAGTGCTGCTCTGATCTTGGTTGTTTCTTGTCTTCTGCTGGCTTTAGAATTTGTTTGCCCTTGGTTCTCTAGTTCTTTTAGTTGTGATGTTAAGGAGGTTGATTTGAGATCTTTCTAGCTTTTTGATGTGGGCACTTAGTGCTATAAATTTCCCTCTTAACACTGCTTTTGGCTGTGTCTCAGAGATTCGAGTTTGTTGTCTCTTTGTTCTCATTAGTTTCAAAGAACTTCTTGATTTCTGCCTTAATTTCATTATTTACCCAGGAGTTATTCAGGAGTAGGTTTTTCAATTTCCATGTAGTTGTGTGGTTTTGAATGAGTTTCTTTTTTTCTTTTCTTTGTTTTTTTTTTTTTTTTTTTTTAAACGGAGTCTTGCTCTGTCACCCAGGCCGGAAAAGGCATGATCTCAGCTCACTGCAACCTCTGCCTCCCAGGTTCAAGTGATTCTCCTGCCTCAGTCTCCTGAGTAGCTGGGATGACAGGTGTATGCCACCATGCCTAGCTAATTTTTGTATTTTTAGTAGAGGCAGGTTTCACAATGTTGGCCAGGCTGGTCTTGAACTCCTGACCTCAGGTGATCTGCCAGCCTCAGCCTCCCAAAGTGCTGGGATTACAGGCGTGAGCCACTGCACCCAGCCTTGAATAAGTTTCTTAACCTTGAGTTCTAATTTAATTGCGCTGTGGTCTAACAAACTGTTTGTTATGATTTCAGTTCCTTTGCATTTGCTGAGGAGTGTTTTACTTCTGATTATGTGATCAATTTTAGAGTAAGTGCAATGTTGTACCGAGAAGAATGTATATTCTGTTGTTTTGGAGTGGAGAATTTTGCAGATATCTATCAGTTCCATTTAATCCAGAGCTGAGTTCAAGTCCTGAATATCTTTGTTAATTTTCTGTGTCGATGATCTGTCTAATACTGACAGTAGGGTGTTTAAATCTCCCACTATTATTTTGTGAGAGTCTCAGTCTCTTCGTAGGTCTCCAATAACTTGTTTTATGAATCTAGGTGCTCCTGTATTGAGTGCATATATATTTAGGATAGTTAGCACTTCTTGTTGAATTGACCCCTTTACCATTATGTAATGCCCTTCTTTGTCTCTTTTGGATCTTTGTTAAAGTCCGGTTTTTCAGAAACTAGGATTGCAACCCCTGCTTTTTTCTACTTTCTGTTTGCTTGGTAAATTTTCCTCCATCCTTTTATTTTGAGCCTATGTTTGTCTTTGCATGTGAGGTGGGTCTCTTGAATATAGCACACTGATGGGTCTTGACTCTTTATCCAGCTTGCCATTCTTTGTCTTTTGATTGGGGCATTTAGCTCACTTACTTTTAAGGGTATTTTGTTATATGTGAATTTGATCCTGTCACCATGATGCTGGCTGGTTATTTTGCAGACTTGTTAATGTAGCTGCTTTATAGTGTCAATGGTCTGTGTACTTCAGTGTTTTTTTTTTTTGTAGTGGTTGGTATAGGCTTTTTCTTTCCATATTCATTGCTTTCTTCAGGAGCTCTTGCAAGCCAGGCCTGGTGGTGATGAATTCCCTTAGCATTTGGTTGTCTGAAAAGGATTTTTATTTTTCCTTCACTTATGAAGCTTAGTTTGGCCAGATATGAAATTCTGGGTTGGAAATTTTTTTCTTTAAGAATGTTGAATATTGGCTCCCAATCTCTTCTGGCTTGTAGGGTTTCCACTCAGAGGTCTGCTGTTAGTCTGATGGCCTTCCCTTTGTAGGTGACCTGACCTTTCTTTCTTGCTGCCCTTAACATTTTTTTTTTTATTTCAACCTTGGAAAATCTGATGATTATCTGTCTTGGAGTTGATCTTCTCATGGAATACCTTACTGTGGTTCTCTGGATTTCCTGAATGTGAACATTGGCCTATTTTGCTAGGTTTGGGAAGTGCTCCTGGATGATATCCTGAAGTATATTTTTCAATTTCGTCCTGTTCTCCCTGTCTCTTTCAGGTACCTCAGTCAATCATAGGTTCTATCTTTTTACATCATCCCATAGTTGTTGGGGGTTTTGTTCATTTCTTTTTATTCTTTTTCTCTAATCTTGTCTGCCTGTCTTATTTCAAGCTCTGAGATTTTTCCCTCCACTTGATCTATTTGGTTACTGATACTTGTGGTTGCATTGTGAAGTTCTCAAGTTGTATTTTTCAGTTCCATCAGGTCATTTATGTTTCTCTCTAAACTGCTTATTCTGGTTAACAGCTCTTGTAATGTTTTATCATGGTTCTTGGCTTCTTTGCATTGGGTTAAAACATACTCCTTTATTTAGCTCAGTGAAGTTCATTATTACCTATCTCTTTCAATTCATCCATCTCAGCCTCAGCCCAGTTCTGTGCCTTCCTGAAGAGGTGTTGTGATCATTTGGAGAAGAGACACTCTTGCTTTTTTAATTTTCAGCGTGTTTGCATTGATTTTTTTTCTCATCTTCATGGGTTTGTCTACTTTCAATCTTTGAGGCTACTGACTTTTGGCTGGCATTTTTGTGGGTTTTTTTGTTGATGTTGTTGTTGCTGTCTGTCATCTAAAATTTTTTTTTTAAACAGACTCATTTTCCTTAGGGCTGCTGTGCTTTGCTGGGGGTTCACTCCATACCCTATTCACCTGGGTCTCTCCTGCACCTGGAGGTATCACCAGTGGAAGCTGCAGAACAGCAAGGATGGCTGCCTACTCCTTCCTCTGTGCAGTGGCCTGATGGAGGCTGGAAGGCCACAGCTCTCCTCTGTAAGATGTCTGGAGACCCCTGTTGGGAGGTCTCACCCAGTCAGGAGGCATGAAATCAGGGACCCGCTTAAAGAGCAGTCTGGCTGCCCCTTGGTGGAACAAGTGCTTGGCGCTGGGGGGAATCTTGGCTAGGACTCCTCAGAGCCACCAGGTGGGAAAAATTAAGTCCATTGAACTGGAGACAGTGGCCACCCCCTCCCAACAGGGGCTCCTTCTCAGGGAGATAAGAGTTCTGTCCATAAAGCCCTGGCTGGAGTTGCTGAAATTCCTGCAGGGAGGCCCCACCCCATGAGGAGGAGGAATAAATCTGGGTCCCACCTAAAGAAGCCCGGCCACGATCTGTCACAGCTGCTGTGCTGCACTGTAGGAAATTCCTCCCAGTTCAAACTACCCAGTCTCCCTGGCACCGACAGGGGAAAATGGCTGAAATTGATGGTGGTCACCCCTCCCCTGGGAACTTACTTGGTCATCTGAGGCAGTCTCCAGCCTGCTGTTGCTGGCTGCCAGCTGAGCGGTCCCAAGAGTCTTCACAGTTCTGTCCTTGGGAACCAAGGCCCTGGTGGTGTGGGTTCATGAGGGTATCTTCTGATCTGAGGGTTGTACTAATCTGTGGAAAATTCATGGTTTCCCTGGCAGGGTAGCACAATCACTCACCGCCTCTCTTGGCTGGGGATGGGAGATCCCCTTGCTCCATGTGGCTCCTGGGTGGGCCATAGCTCCACCTTGCTTTTCCTCGCTCTCTGGGGTCTCACCAACTGCCTAGTCAGTCCCAGTGAGATAACCTGGATACCCTCAGCTGAAGATGCAGGATTCACTCGCTGTATTCATTGTTCTCGGTGGAGCCACAGTGGGAGCTGCTTCTAATCAGGCATCTTGGCCCCTCCTGTTTTACTTTTATAAAAACTTTTTATACATTATAGTTTGTATTGGGATATTTGTAAAAGAGTGAATGTAACTTTCTTAGGTAAAATGTACTGATAAATTAACTTGAGATATGAAAGTTCATTTGAATGGAGATTGTATAGTTGATAGAGGACTCTCTCAGTGGCCTTAGCCTTGTGAATGGTGGTAAGTGCTGCAGCTGAGGCCTCTAGTTTTATCCACCCAGTACAGTGTGCTGAGATGATTAAAGAGAGCAGAATATTGGACAAAAAGATATCGGTGCTATATACACTATGGGCCCTGGGATGTGTGCTTATTAGTTGTGAGGGTTCACTATCTACCTTAGGTATTTGGTAATTTAATAATCTACATGAATTTTTCTTTGCATTTTGCTCATCATTAACCCTGCTTGTCTCTTCATTTTTTAGTTTAATTCTATTCTAGCCATCCCTCCCTCTGTGCTCTTTCTCTGAGGTGCTCTTAGACATGGAATATTCTCATTGACCTTGTAGCATGGCCTGCAGAAGCCTGGGTTCTACATGATTATCATCACTGCCATGCCTCACGTTCAATTCAAGTTAGTGAACCTCAGTTGGGTGCCCTCTGTTTATTCCTTCGACAAGTTTCCTCTTTATCATCAACTTCTCTGGAAAACCTTGTCTGACTCCTCCAGGCTGAGTAGGAACCCTCTGCCCACTGAAGACTGCACACCACACCTACGTTTAGCACTTGCTGCAGCATCTCGTAGTCTTTGGCTCACCCACCCCTCTTTCTTATCTGCCTGTGAGCTCTATGTCAGGGAGAACGTTGTGTTGCTCATTTGTTGTCCAGCACGTGTCCAGTGTCAGTCGCACTGCTGGCTCTGACAGAGCACTTGGGAACCACTACGCAGGAGGCACTGGGTGAATTTCTAGGGAGATTGACATAAATGTGATGCCATTTTACTCTCAAGGAACTTACAACCTAGTTAGGGAGATAGACACACAAGCCACTAACTGTAACATGGTGTGAACTGTTTGTTTAAAAGCCATGGCAGACAGGCTGATCTTGAACTCCTAAATTCAAGTGATGCACCCACCTCAGCCTCCCAAAGTGCTGGGATTATAGGTGTGAGACACCACACCTGGCCCCAAATTTTAGATATTCTTAAACCTTCTGATCCTTGGTTTCTCTCTCCAAAATACTCTTTCTAGGTAAGATAAAATAAAATAAGGCTCTTACATTTGGTGCTATGTGAGCAAATTGTACTTTTTTTTTTTTAAGTTTTCTTAACAATAGCGACAGGGTCTCCTTATGTTGCCCAGGCTGGTCTCGAACCCTGGGCACAGGGGATCCTCCTATCTCGGCCTCCCGAAGTGCTAGTTTCAGGATTATAAGCATGAACCATCACACCCACCTGTAAAAATGTACTTCTCATTCTCCAGCCTCTTTTATATAAACTGTAGTAAGGGATGTGGGTAATGATGTTATCAGTGAAAATAGCCACCATTTACCCATAAGACAAAACTTTTTAAAGCCTCGTGAGTAAAATGTGGAATTGTCTTGGGAGTCTAACCTAGTATATCAGGCCCTTTTTCACACACACACAAAAAATCCTTTTCAGGATTTAGTGGGATCTGTTGTTTCCCCTAAGTTGAAAAACAACTCTAAGATACTTTTAAGTACCTGCTTGGGCTGGATACATGGTTCCCAGCCTAGGTTTCAGACTTTTGATTAAGGCCAGTTTTAGAAAACTGTGAATTCAGAAAGGTTAATTTAGAAATTTTATAAACAGAATTGTTCATTTAAAAATGAACTGGAAAGATTGTAAATTCTTTCTGAATAATCCAAAAATTATGCATTATTTTCCTTCAAGAATGATAGGGTCAGAATGTGGAATTCCAAGATACCTCTTGACTTCCTCTCAAGTGCCATGTTTGGTCAGTAGAGGCCCATGCGAGCTCAACATGTGTACTGAGAAGTGTTAGTTTCTTTTGGGGCCCATCTACCCTGGATCAGTTTAAAATTAAAAAAAAAAACATTTCTAATGTAAAAAGTATCTCTCATACTGTGTAGATTAACTTCTTGGTTTATATGTAAATATGAATTTTAAGCAAAATAGTGAAAATAACCATCTTGATTTAGTGTTTTTCTCCCATATGTGAATTGTATATACTTAGGTGAGGACAATAAAATCAACTGAACTGTAAGCTTAGAATAGGCCAGAGGGATAATTTTGCACAGCAGCTTTACTAATGGTAGCTTGTTACATTGTTGCTTCAACACACACACACACACAGACACACAGACACACACACACGCACACACACTCACTCTCTCTCTCTCTGTCTGACTTAGGAAGCAAATGGCCAAAGGGTTAGAACTCCCTTTGGAGGTCTTCAAAGCATTATTTGGAGTTGACAATACTTCAGCTAGAACCCAGTAAAATCTGTTTTTTTTTTTTTTTCTGAGGAGTATCCTTAGCATAAATGTGATTATAAACAAAGTACACTTAAGATATATGTATGCAATGACTGCTATTTATACAAAATTTAAATCTGCAAATGGAATCAACATGTTTATGGGTCATTAAAATTGTCTAAATTCTTAGGTTCTGTATAGTACACATGTATTGATTTACAAATAAATGATTTGCTAAGTGATTTTAAAAATAGAAGCTGTGGCAGAGAAATGTGCCACGTTGGAGTGAATAAGCAGCATGGTATATACATGATGTGCAGGGTGGAATTTGGTAAGTCCCTCCTTTCAGGAACCGTCAGTTTGCTAACCTGGACTTCATGAGAGTGTTTAGTATGTATCATAGCCATGTGGAATGGGAAATTTCTGGACAATCCAAATACTTCAATCAATGACAGTAAAGATTCACTGATCACTAGTCTATAGACTGAAGTGTTTTACAAGAAGCAAAGTGTAAGCATAGCTTTTGCTTTTAAGATAGTAACTCTCAAATGGGGAAATATGCCATGAAGGCCTAGAAAGTAAGATTTTAAAAAAAGAGAGCAAGAAAGAAAATATTGGATAAGCACCAACAAGGGAAGTCTGTGATGAATTATCAACCCAAGGTCATACCTATTGAAATGGAAGAGCATGGACCTCATAGCACTTTTCTGTCCCTCCCATCCCACAGAGTGGTGAAGCTGTACAAGATGTGGAATGGACAGGTTTGTTGATATGGTCTGGATGTTTGTCCTCTCCAAATCTCATGTTGAAATGTGATTCCAAATGTTGGAGGTGGGGCCTGGTGGGAGGTAATTAGATTATGAGGGCAGATCCCTCCATGAATGGTTTAGCACCATCCTCTAGAAAATAAGGAGTTCTCGCTCAGTTATTTTGTGTGAGATCTGAGTGTTTAAAAGTGTGGGATCTCCTTGCTCCTTCTCTTGCTCCTGCTCTCACCATGTGGTTTCCTAGCTTTGCCCTTTGCTTCCACCATGGTTGTAAGCCTCCTGGGTCCTCACTAGAAGTCCAGCAGATGTTGGTGCCATGCATGTATAGCCTGTAGAACCATGATCTAATTAAACCTGTTTTTTAAATAAATTGCCTAGCATCAGGTATTTCTTTATAGTGACACAAAGAATGGCCTAATAGAGAAAATTAGTACCAAGAATGGGGTGTTATGTGGAAACAGCTTTGGAACTGGGTAATGGGCAGAAGTTGGAAGAGTTTGGAGGGCTCAGAAGAAGACTGGAAGATAAGGAAAAGTTTGAAATTGCTTAGGGACTGTTAAATAGTTGTGACCAAAATGCTGATAGAAAAATGGACAGCGAAGGCCAGGCTGAAGAGGTCTCAAATGGAAATGAGGAAGTTATTGGGAAGGGGAGTGAAGATCGCCCATGTATACCTTAGCAGAGAACTTAGCTGCCTTGTGTTTGTGCCCTAGGGATCTGTGGAAGTTTGAACTTAGGAGTGATGACTTAGGGTATGTGGTTGAGGAAGCTTCTAAGCAGCAAAGCATTCAAGAAGTGACATGCCCGCATCTAACAACCTACCATCAGATGTGGGAGCAAAATAAAGACTTAAAGTTGAACCTAAAAGGGAGGCAGAGTATAAACATTTGGAAAATTTGTAGCCTGGGCCTGTGGTAGGGAAGGAATCCAAGCAGCCTATGGAGCAACTACTTGCTAGAGAGATTAGCAGGATTGGAAGGGAGCCAGGTGTTAATAGCCAAGACAATGAGGAAAAGGCCTTGAAGGCGTTTGAGAAATCTTCAAGTCAGCCGCTCTCATCACAGCCCCAGAGACCTCGGAGGAGAGAATAATTTCAGGATCCAGGCCCAGGGCTCTTGCTGCCTTGTACAGCCTTGGGATACTGCTCCCTTTATCTGGCTGCTCTAGCCCCTGCCACAGCTGAAAGGGCCCCAGATACTACTTAGGCCACTGCTTTGGAGAGTCAAAGCCACTGTAAGCCTTGGTGGCTTCCACATGGTGTTAATTCTGGCATGCAGAATGCAGGAGAGAAGTGGGGCTTGGCAGCTTCCCCCTAGATTTCAGAGGATGTATGAGAAAGCCCTGGTGCCCAGGCAGAAACCTGCCACAGTGGTGGAACCCTCATAGAGAACTTCTACTACTAGGGCAGTACAGAAGGAAAGTGTGAGGCTGGAGCCCCCACACAGAGTCCTCAACAGGGTACTGCCTGGTGGAGCTGTGGGAAAAAGGCCATCGCTCTCCAGACCTGAGAATTATGTAGCCACCAGCAGCTTGCATCCTGTGCCTGGAAAAGCCACAGCGTTGGAAAACTCTAGCTTATGAGAGCAGCCACAGGGACTGCACCCTGCAAAGCCACAGGGCAGAACTGCCCAAGGCTTTGGGAGCCCACTCCTTGCATCAGCGTGCCCTGGATGTGGTACATGGAGTCAAAGGAGATTATTTTAGAGCTTTAAGATTTAATGACTGCCCTCCTGGGTTTCATATTTGTGTGGGTCTTGTAGCCCCTTTCTTTTGACCAATTTCTCCTTTTTGAAATGAAAATGGATACCTAATGCATGTACCACAATTGTATCTTGGGAATAAATAACTTGTTTTTGATCTCACAGGCTCATAGGTGGAAGGAACCCATTTCCAGATAAGACTTTGGACTTGGAACTTGGGACTTTTGAGTTAATACTGGAATAAATTAAGATTAGGGGGGGACTATTACTAAGGCATGATTGTATTTTGAAATGTGAGAAGGACATTAGATTTGGGCAGCCAGGGATGGAATGATATGATTTGGATGTTTGTCCCCTCCAAATCTCATGTTGAAATTCCCTTTAATGGTGAGTGAGTTCTTGCTCAGTTATTTCATGTGAAATCGAATTCAAAAGTCTAGGACCACCCCCTCCTCACTTTCTTGCTTCTGCTCTCGCCATATGACCATCCATTCTCCCTTTGCCTTCCACCATGATTTTAAGTATCCTGAGGCCCTCACCAGAAACAGATGCTGGAGCCATGCTTGTACAGCCTGCAGAACCAAGAACCAGTTAAACCTCTTTTCTTTATAAATGATGCAGCCTCAGGTATTTCTTTATAGTAATGCACACGGAGTAACACATGCAAGGAAGCAAATAACAAGCTTCTAAAGGTAGAGATAGTTGTAATGTTTCTCCTGCATTTTTTAAGGAAATGTCAAACAGCGCTAGTGTTCCCATGATTTTTTTTTGAAAGTCAGATTAGTGTTCATTATCTGAGAACATGAATTGACAGATAACCATTCCTGCCAACAGTATCAAGTGTACCTTTGTAAACTGCCATTGTAAAATCTTATTTCTGTCACTCTGTCAGCTCCCACTGGTAAGAATGTATAACTGTAAGCATAGCTTATAATTTTGCAAACAGGATCAATGCTGTTTTGATGCCTTAACAATTTGTCTAGTGAGTTTCGGGAATAACTTGGTGCCGTCCCAGAGTCCAGAGACGTTAGTGACAGCAAAAGTGTTGATAGAGAGTTATTTAGCCACCTGAAATTGGACACCTACTTTGTGACAGAACATGCATGGTGTTATTTCATTATCTTTCAGCATTACTGAAAGGTAGTTATCAGTACCTCCATTTCACAGAAGAGAACTCAGACTCACAGTAGTTCAAGCAACATTTCAATATGTCGCATATCTAGGTCTGTCTCAGCTGTCACATATAAACTAGAGAGCAAATAAAAGAGATTACTACTTTTGATTTTGTAAGGCTGTTTAGCCAGGGTAGAGGACTGTGACTCCTACCCAATGAAATACTGATATGCCTTATATGGGAAAGTATGCCACATCTGTAGCAATTCCATGGTGGAGAACCACTGGGGCTATTCATATTTTTACTGCCTTGATGAATGGAATACTTTAAAAAATATAGAGAAGAGAATGAAAACTGAATAAAAAGTTAGCTGTAAATGGAAGAAAAACCACATAGAGAAGTCAGGCATGTGAGGATAGGTTAAAGGTGAGAAATAATGGGCATGTTTTTACTACAAGAAGAGAGGGATGAGGTAGCCGTGGAAGTGGAAAACATGGAGTTAGGAAGGGAGAGACAGAGAAGGGCCAGAATACTGTACTCATGGAAGCTCATTCTTCTCGCCAGCTTTCCCACCACTCAACTTAGGCTTCTGACTTTTGCTCCAAGACTGGTGTCATAACTTTGCTTGGATTATCCCCTCGATATTTCATGTAATCTGATAATTGTGTCCTTTTGCATTTGGTCAAGTGCCAAAGATTGTGCCAAATATTTTACACCTACTCACTTTCCATTTGACAAAAAGGATGAAAGAAGTAATAACAGATTTTTGCAATGGAAATTTTCTCTTCTGGGAAACTCCAGCAACATTATTAAGCCAAGACTTCCCCACATCTTTAGATTAATATGAAGAAAGAAAAGAAGAAATATATTTTTATAGAAAATTTCCCCTTGAAACTGAAGGTCAGGGAAAATCAGCTGATGAAGTCCAAATGTTTATTTTTAACAAAACCTTTATTGAAATATAATATGCATTCCATAAAATTCACCCAATTTAATAATATTTAGTAAATGCACTGAGTTGTTTAATTGTCACCACAATCCGGTTTTAGAATATGGCCGTCTCCCCAGTGAGATTCTTGGTGTCCTTTTACAGTTACTTCTTCTCACCTTCAGCCCCAGGCAATCACTAATGTGCTTTAGGTCTGTACAGATTTCCCAAAGGCTCTATTTTAAGAAAAGCAAGTGAGTCAGGAAGTTCTTGGGCTGGATTTTGGTGTCTCTGGCCTCAGAAGTGGAGCAGGGATGCTAATATGAGATCAGGTATTTCAGTCTGATTTGTAAGTCTTCTGATTTTTACCTATTGTGGAAAAGAATGTCCATGAGCAGTGGAGGAAATAATACCTAATTTGAATTTCCTTCCAAATCTGCCAGAGAGAGTTGATAAATGTGTTTAAAAAGTAGTTTGAGATTGCTGAATCTTTTCTCCAACCAGCGTGTGATCTTGGGTGATCTTACTTGGGAAGACTGGCCTCCACTGGTGTGTGAGTAAACTGGCTCCATGTGTGGAGCTTCCAGCAGAGACCATCCTTGTGGCTGTAAGCTAGAGAACTTTGTCCTCACCCTCTGAAAATTTATGTTTTCCAAAGAAACTTATCACTTGAGAAGTCTCTCATGGATTTCCAATTTTGGGCATGTAAATTTTTCCTGCCAATGATACTTTATTTTTCTGTTTTCCATTCAAAATCTGCTCCACTCCTGCTTAACCAAAAAATCAAGTCTGTCATTTAAAATGTCCAAGAAGTCTTCACTGCCCGAGTAACTTCTTCTGTCATTCCTCCATTTACCAAACATTTGTCATTTTGTGCACTGGCCTAGGTGATAAGGATGCAGGAATGAATCAGAAAAACAATGAATCAGAAAAACAAATGTTCCCCAAAAGTTTACATTTTACCAAGGCTAGAGAAATAATGAGTAGATAAATACAGTAAATTCAGACAGTGGTCAATGATACAATGAAATGAAAGCAGGGTATTGGGGTAAGGATGGTTGATGGGGTTAATATAAATGGGTGGTCAGGAGAAAATCTCTAGGAGCAGATGGACATTCTCATTGAGACTGAAGTCCCACAGGGAAGTCAACCTTGTGAGAATTTGTTAGATGGGTATTCCCAGTAGAAGGAAGAGCAAATGCCAAGCCAGAAGGAGAGGGGTATGAGTTTGGTATACAATACGGTTTGGATATTTTGTCCCCTTCAAATCTCACGTTGAAATGTGATCCCCAGTGTTGGTGGAGGGCCTAGTGGGAGGTATTTGGGTTATGGAGGCAGATCCCTCATGAATGGCTTGGTGCTGTCCTTGCAGTAATGAGTGAATTCTCACTCTGAGTTCATGTGAGATCTGGTTGTTTAAAAGAGCCTGGTGCCTTTGACTTCTCTCTTGCTTGTTCTCTCTCTCTTCCTATGTGATACACTGGCTGCCCCTTTGCCTTTTGCCCTGACTGTAAGCTTCCTGAGGCCTCAACAGAAGTTGAGCAGATGCTGGCACCATGCTTGTATAGCCTGCAGAAGCATGAGCCAAAGAAGGAAACCTAATTTCTTTATAAATTACCCAGCCTCAGGTATTCCTTCATGGCGCACAAAACTAACACAGTATGTTCCAAAGACTAAAGCACTGTTGGTGGGGCTGTACTTCAGGAAGAGAGAGAGTGACCCAAGATGAGCTCAGAGAGGCTGGAACCCGTGGAAGGGAATTTGAATTTATTCCAAGTGCAGTGGGCAGCCAGCTGGGAGAGGGGTAGAGATATGATCTATTTATATTTAATTCATTTTATTCTAAGTGCTGGGTTTAAAATCTAGGTGTCATGGGAGGAAGCTAGGAGATCATTTGGAGGTGATAATGATAGTGGCTAGTACTAGGGTCATACAGCATTCTAATGGTTTCACACATGTGAATTCTTAACTTGATGCTTTCTTTCTTTATTCTGTGTATCTGTCCTGTCTTCTGCTTTCTTTTCTTGTTTTAAAAATAGTCCTCATTGAATTGGCTAACCTAAAGTGACGATGGCTTTAAATCATTGAGTTAGAAATGTTCTTAGAGAAAATATAATGCAATTTTCTCATTTAAGAACTGAGGCAACCGAGGTCAAAAGGGAAATCAGCGACATTTCTGAGTTTATACATGTAGTTAACGGCGGAGCCCAGAGTAGAACTTAGAACTCTCATTGATTGCATTTTCCACTAATGTCCTGCCTAGTTTATGTTCTCATACATTATACTCATTTTTGTCTTCAGTAATGTGAGGGGCAGATATCCTTTCAGATAGATTGGTCTTTGGACAGAGACACCTGAGCTGATAGAACAAGCTGGTGGAGTAGATCGTTGTGTCAGCCCAAGGTGATCAAGATGCCTGAGCAAGAGTGGCCGAGAGTCAGGAAATTGACAGGACTTTAAAAGGGCAGAGTGATGAAGACAGCAGATGGACAGAACTGTAGGGGGGGGACCATGCCAGGCAGGGAGCAGATGAACCTGAGACTGTCTGAGGGCATTACAGGACGTGCAGCAGATGGGCTGTGCTGGAATGTGGGGCAAGAAACACTGTCATTGACACTAATTACTCGTGATGGAGGTGCTTTGCAAAATGTGGGGGAAAATGGCCTTATTTCATAGGACATTTACTGTAATGGCAGACAAGTTCACAACAGCTTTCTACATTAAATACACTAGATTGAGGAATCAGGGAAATATTTGTAGTTTGTTCTTCCCCTTCTCTAATACCTTGTTTGAGATGGAGATACTGATTAGGACACGCCACAGTGCCTGGCCGATGGTGTTTCTTCTGAGTACTGAGCATTTTCACAAATTAAAATTCCCTTTAAGAAGTAAAATATTCAGAGGCGAAACGATGCATAACACAGCAGATGAGGTGGTTTTGTATCACAAATTAGCAGGTAAATCAGAAGAATCAGATGTGGGAAAGACATCAAAACTATCACATCGTCTCTGCTGGCACAGGTGAATACCTGTCCTCCCCAAAAAAGGAGAAAGAAAGATGGTTATGTGTTAAATAAAAAGGACCTGGACAAATGAAGTTCAATAGAAAGGCTGTACATTTTGCCTCATCATAAAGTACTAGGCATATAATTTAGCATTTTAAAACTCAAGAGATTTTTCAGCAGTAATTATGTGTCATATACAATGCTGGGTTTTGGTGATACAAAATAGAGCAAGTCAGGATCCCAAAGCTCAAAGAGCTCACCATTTAGTCAGAGAGAACGCATGCAAAATGATTCTAACATAACTGCTATTGTGGAGGGAGGTAAAAAAATGCTTTGGTCACATGAAGGATATGCTTCTATGATAATAGAGTAAGAAATTAAATAAAAATATTAAAGTCAACCATGTTCTATAGAAAGGTATATTGGCTAAGTGATATATTTGGAATTAAAAAAAGAGAGCGAGAGAGAGTCTCTCTTTTGATTACCTTTTTTTTGTCATGAATATACCTGGGTATGCAGTGGAGAGGGGGACATCTTCTCTCCTGGCTTCTGAAGCTATATTGCTTGGGTTCCAGAGTAGCAGAATACTAAATGCCAGCTGGGTGGTTTTCAGTGCATCTGAGTAGCTGGAGAGTTGGGTAAATTGAGTGTAGTGCATCAGTTTGTTTGTACGCTCTTTCATATGCTGTATATTTATAAGGCAGTAGGAATTAAGGATTCTTGTTGGCCTTATTGTTTGCATTCTGTCCTCATAGCCAATTCTTTCATCCCATTAATTTTTCTTCTGCTTCACTTCTTTTCTTCAGATTCTCCTATTTCCTTGCCACTGCCCCAAGGCCAAATTAAATTTGTCAAGAGTATTTTGTAATTCAGGTTCATTAACTTTGAATGCCAAACTGCAACTATTTGGTTTTCACAATTTTCAGAAGCTTGTCTGGCCCTAAAACGGGATTTCTTATTTGGCTTCTGCCTTCTCCATTAGTCACTTTACCGTAATAAAAATTACAGAGTCCCCTTCAGCAGTCACATAAGCTACAAAGTCACGTTCATGAAAACAAATTAAAATTTTATCCTCATTGTCTCTCTTGCCCAACACACCAATATATAATTTTATTCCAGACTTGGAAAAAATAATTTAGTTGATTGATATAGCAATAAAGATGCATTTCAGATCAACCAAGATAAAAAGCCTGACTAAACTGTCTTTGTTTCACAATAATCTTCCTTCTGAAGTTACCAAGACCTTAATTAAATGACTCAAGTGTGGTAGATAAAATTTGTTCTCTTAGCAGAACTTGTACTGATTGAAGGCTGTAACTGATTTGATAGAGCTTCTGTCTTAAAGTGTAATTTTGGTTTTGTGGAAACCATGGGAACCAATTTAGATAATTGTCTCTTGGTAGCTCTTGCTATTCCAGAGGTATATATGTCTTATTGTGGGTTCTCCCAGTAGCTGACCTGAAGACCACACTTGAGTACAAGGAGTCTACTTGGAAAGCTCAGGAAAAGCCTATGGGGGATGGAGAAGTGATATAGGAAAAAGAAAACAGCCAATAAACGGAGAACTATTAAGGCAGCACTACAGTGGGTGCCTAGACTTGATTCTGAGGGCAGACACTGGGAAGCAAGGCAACACACACACTCAAGGCATGAAGGAGGTAGGACAATTGCACACTTAGTTACAAGACATTGGTTGAAAACTGCCCTGTCCCTGGGGGTGTTAACAACTTGGAACTTCTGGCTTGCCACACAGTAGCACATCTTGGCAACTCACCTATTTATCATTCTAGGAAAAAATGACAGCTACTAGCAATTGTAAGTCAGCCTGATACCAGCCCATAGAGTGGACCCAAGACTACGCATGGGTCATCCGCAATGTCTGTTAAAACATGTTTGCCCAACTTTAGATTATCTGAAGAACTGAAGAATAGAGAAAACAAAGTTAAACACTAAAAGCTTTGCTCTCTTTTTGAGTTCCAACTGTTCCTCTCATCAGCAGTCTAATCAAGAGATGTTAGTTCCTTCATCTTTCTACTCATGCTCTCGCACTGGAGCAAATACTCAGTCAAGTGATGAGCAAAATGAAGGGAAACAAAGCCACCTGAATGATTCATAAAGTGGAGAAACAGACCATGAAAAACCGAGGATTGTCAGTACTGGCCTTTGCAACCAAGAAGGTGCTTCAGATGTTTTGGATGTATATGAGAACAAATCATTGAGTGCTTGTATCATTGTCATCATTAATGTCACACATTTCTTAGGCATCTCCATTTAGATATGACACTTTCAGACAGTATAAAAAGCAAGTCAAACCAGTGTGCTCCTTTCCTCCTGGAATCTAAAATCAGAAACAGACACTAAAATGGACATAAAAGCATAGTCCAGAGTGCACAAAGTGAAATACCCATAAAGGCTATGAAGGTAAAGTGAATGAGGAAAGAAGCCAGGTGTAATAAGACAAATAGTAAGTGACATTTAGCCTTGTAGTCAAGAATCTAATAGTGAGTGATAGAGCCTTTAGTATAACTGAGAGCTTGAGCTTTGTCAAAAGTGAAAATGTAACCATATAGGGATGCACACTCAGTACATCAGTACATAGTACACATATAGATGTTCATGTGACATTACCAAAAGGTTTAAATGAGAAGGTAATTCATACACATTTGAAATACTCTGTGGCCCAAATCTGTTCACGTGAAAAACAACAACAAGAACAAGAACAATAACAACAAAGACACATTTGCTGACCAGCTACAACATACAGGTCAATTTGGCTGGAGGCCTCTGAGACAGGGAAATGTATGAAACCGGATGACCCATGGCCAAAGGTGGGGTCATGTGTGTCTGTGTCTGCGTGCATGTGTGTGCATGAAAGACAGAAGGGGAGACAAAGAATCACCTGATGTGCTCATGATGAACATAAATATATACGTGCATTTATATTTGTGTATATATGTTTATACATACATGTTATAGAAAACAATGAGCTAAGTGTATTTTCTGAGGTTATGGTTGGGGAGAACAGCAGGTATAACTCTTGGATATACTTTTGCTATTTTAATTGTATTCTCACTTCAAGGTCACTCAGCCATTGCCACATCACAGATGACTTGCCTCTGTAAGACAAGATTGTTGCAGGAGGGATTTGCTTGGTGGATAGGTGAATTTGGAAAGAAATACATAATTGACGAGGGCTGGCATAAAATATATTTAAACTGCTCAGTTTGTAAGACAGAGAAAAGCATGAAGAGGTTTGTAAGGCTTTGAATTGTAGCTTGAAAATCTAAGAAAGCCTATAGGGCCGGGCGCGGTGGCTCACGCCTGTAATCCCAGCAGTTTGGGAGGCTGAGGTGGGCAGATCACGAGGTTAGGAGATCGAGACCATCCTGGCTAACACGGTGAAACCCCGTCTCTACTAAAAATAAAAAAAAATTAGCTGGGCGTGGTGGCGGGCGCCTTTAGTCCCAGCTACTTGGGAGGCTGAGGCAGGAGAATGGCATGAACCCGGGAGGCGGAGCTTGCAGTGAGCTGAGATCGCACCACTGCACTCCAGCCTGGGACTGAGGGAAGCTCTGTCTTAGAAAATCTAAGAAAGCCTATGTTGAGAATTCCTGGGTGCTGAGTCCTGAGATAGGTAGTTTGCATATGTTATCTTATTTGATCCCTATAACAATCGTTTATGGTGTTAAGAAACTATTTTAGAGAAGGGAAAACACACTCCTTTACACGTATATGTACAACAAGTGTAAACAACTTGTTCCACATTATATAAATAATAAGCATCAATACTAACATTCAAATACAGATTACCCTCCTGAAAGTATGTATATAATCCTAGACATAAACTTTTCTAAGTAGTGAATATGATCTACATTTTTCTAAAAGTAGGAAAATCGGCATTAACTTGCATTGCTGTGTGGTAATCCTATTTGAAATGCAGTTTGGAAGAGTTGCTAGATGCTGGGATCTTCAGCTAAAGCATGTGCTTTCATGATGCCTGAGCTAGCCTGACTCTGCAGTAGTCCTATCCCATGTGTTTTCTGTAGTCTTTCTAAAAGTGGAGCTAAATTTCAGAGTAAGGTGTTAATCCATCAACAAACATCTCTTGTGATTCAAAGCTGGCATCTGGAGTAGAGTAGGGTAGAAGGATCAATCCTACCCAACCCAGGACTCTATGGCTAAGAATGACTGTCTCAGAGCAAATTCTAGTGGGGTCTGTGACCAGAAGGTGGGAGTTGATGTATGCAGTGGATGTTAAATATGATTTGCACCCAAAGCAGGGAAAGCTGGGATGGTGTGGCAGGAGCTGGGATAAGGAGATGGGAAGATGGGCAGTAGGGAAGCCTAGGATCACAGAGACTCATGGACCAGCAAATCTGCATCTCTGGAATACAGAGGCAGCAACAACATTCCTCACCTCTTGCTTCTCCAAGATCAAGCTCTTCTTCCTGACTATATTTCTATTCTGTTCTCTTAATTTTCCCAAAATGTCCCCTTAGATGGGGTCATTCTGTTTCAAGGAAAGTTTTAATTTGAACTAGTCTGAGTAGTAAAAAGAACTAAATTGTTCTTTTCCTTGAAATAGAATGACCCCATCTAAGGGGACATTTTTTGGGAAAGTGTGATGTGAATCAATATCAAAGGTGTAATAATTCCCTTATTTGGACAAAGAAGAATAAGATGGGTCAATAATTACTTCTCATGACTTCATCATTTTCAGGAGATAAAAATCTCACCCAGACCTCACCTAACAAGGAGGTGGTTGTTACCTGCCTTTGTCCTTGTCATTTTAGAATTAAATGAGAAAAGCTTGTCGAAGGTAGAATTTTAATGCTATATGGAAACATATTTCTCTGGGTTATTCATTTTTAATGCTAGGCCTTATTTATAGATGGATGTAATGAGGACAGGGTACATGTCATTATTGAAGTCAGAGTTAATAACAGTGTATTCTGCAGTAGATTCTGTCAGCTCTCACTACTTGATCCACTTGATTTTTCTCCTAAAGGTTTTGAGGAATCATCTTTACTTTTTATTTCATGTCACATAACATTTTGTATCTTTGAAGAGCAACATATAATTTAAAGATGTAATAGTGTTATTTGCAGTTATGCTGATTTTTATGTCTTAATCCTGTGTGTATTAACACCTCTGCAGAGATGCTGCTGTAGCAGTAATTTCTATTTTCCTTCGTCTGTCTGTGTGCACTAAGCTAGCAGACTGGATGAAGGTACTCCACAACTTAATAACTAATTGGAAAAGACATGGAAACCTATTTTAATTTACCAAAAAATAAGTCAGACTGGTCTCTCTCTCTGTCCCTGTCTCTTTCTTTCTTTCTTTTTCTTTTTTTCTTTTTTCTTTTCTTTTTTTTCAGACAAGGTCTTGCTTTGTCATCTTGGCTGGAGTGCCGTGACGCAATTACAGCTCATTGCAGCCTGAAACCCCCAGGCTCAGGCAATCCTCCCTTCTCAGCCTCTGGAGTAGATGGCACTACAGGCATGTACCACTGTGCCTGGCTAATTAAAAAAAAATTATTTGTAGAGATGGGGTCTTTCTTATGTTGTCCAGGCTAGTCTTAAACCCCTGGGCTCAAGCAATCCACCTGCCTAAACCTCCTAAAGTGCTGGGATTACAGGCGTGAGTCACTGCATCTAGCCACTTTGTTTTTAATGTATGATTTAGAAACACACTAGAAACAGAAATTGGTGCTTTTAATAAAATAATTTAATTATTAATCAATCAATATTCATTGGTTACCCTTGGAAACAGCATGTTGGATGCCAAAACAAATACTTCTAGCAAATGCATAGAAGTATAAATAAATGATCGAGAGAGCTGTCCTTTAATTTTACTAATGAAATATTGCACTCTCTCTGATGTTGGACTAAATTGAAAACACTTATAAACTGCTGTGGACTACAGTGATTGGAGAGTGGGTTATCTTTATTGAATGCATTTTTGAAGCAGTAAAGGAAATTATTTTTTCTTAAATACATATTGCCAAAAATCTAGAACACTGTTTTGTCTACTCTTTATCCCTGGAAATACAGTGTAATAATGTAATTGGTATCTCTTTCCATCCTGGATTTTCTTACATTACCACCAAATTAGTCCCAGTAACATCAAGGATTATTATAAAGTTGAGGAATAAAATACATTGTGCTGACTCTGTATTGAGCTGAAAATATTCCCTGGTGTAGGAAACCACTCCTCTTTTCTTTCTCCCCTTTCTTTCCTTTAGTCTACTCCTTGCCCTCCTTTTTCTTCCCTTTCATCTTTAGTCAAAATCCTACCTAAAATGAAGTTGTTTAATTGACATTTACTTTATTCTTCTAAAATTAGAGTGTAAATATAAGACAACATCTACGTGCTGGGGAGATTTGTTTCATTGGGGATTAAAGAATAAAATATTTTAAACAAGTTTTGTGCTTGATTTTGTATGGATACTGTCATATCCTAGAAAAGATGGAGATAGTATTTTTAAAGTAGTACACCAAATGGGTGTGTTTCTTTTAGGTTACCTTCCTCTGTTGATGCTTAACTTCATTCATATTGGAAAGTGGAAAGCGGGGCATAAGTGCCACCAGAAGTGGGAAGAGGATGTGATAAAGCCCTTAGGCTTCTGATAGCAGAAGCATAGAGGTGGAGGAAACTCATGTAGTAGAAGCAAGCTGTCTGATTCTTGTGTCCTAGTTTCCTCCCTCCAGTTATTGGAAAGTGAAAACAAATGCCTAGTCATAGAGAGGGAATGAGTTAATGACTCCTTGCCTAGTCTGGTTGATTTATGTCATGGAAGTGATTCAGAGGTCATCTTATGACCTTCTGGATGTACAGAAGGAAGCTGAGCTCAAAGCTTGGGACCCTACCACACAGGCCTCAGGGAGCTCAGCTTAAGCCAGTCAAGCGGGAGGACATGGCTAAGACACAAAGGGTTCCTCATGCTACCAAGGGCAAAGGTAAGGCAGAGTGAGCAAGGGAAGGTAACCTGGCCTAGACTAAGAGAAAAAGCCCAAAATTCAGTAGTCACACCGTAGCAGACAACTGAGCAAGGAGCTCGGGACAGGATTAGACCAGCTGGAGACACTGACCACAGACCCACCGAAAAATCTGAAACCTCACTCAATGCCGTGGCCCCATCCAAGCTTTTTGCTACTCTTAGGATGCCATTCTGGGGAGAGGAAGCATTAGGAACCTTGAAAGCCTATAATTTATCCTTAAAAGACAGAGATTACCTCCTAAAATATTCCTATACATGGAAAGAGACTAAAAGGCCAAAAAAAAAAAAAAAAAAAAGAAAGAAAAAAAGAAAAGACAAGACAAGACACCTTTATTAGCAGCAAATCTAAGGTTTTTTTCCCTTTGTTTTTCACTGGGTAGGAATATGCTTTTCTGTCTGTTTTAGTGCAACACGTATAAATTTCAACCCACTACTCACACTTAAATGAGTGAGGATGGCTGCTGCTTTGCTCCTTATCTCATCTGTGGGAGGAAGGGGTGGGCACTCCTAATGGCAGAGGCTGGACTATCTTTATAAAGTTTTACTGAGGAATTAGACTTTTAGTGTGAAGCTTCACAGTATCAAGTTATGTGGCATATCGGACTTCACAAATACCCTTTTGAAAATGACAGACAGAATTTGCTAGCTGTAGAATGGAGAATGTCCTGTTACCTAGCATAGATGTGCATAGTTGCTTTCTTTCATTTCGTACTTAGATCACACAAGAATACTGCTGCTGGTGGTTTCTTTCTGGAGGATAGGAACTTCAGATATCAGGTTCTCAAGTTCTGAGTCTAAAGTTGTTTCAAGAGGCAGAAACATAAGTTTGAGAAGTTTAAAAACATACTTGGTGATGGGGGAGATAAATAATTAGTGGCATGCTTTTTATCATCTGCTGTTTCATGCTCCTTGAATACCCAACAGACACACACACACACACACACACACACACACACACACACACACACACACACCCCTGCTTTCTTTTTATCCAAGTCTTAAGCATGAGTGAAGATCCTGTTCAAGTTTCACCTCCTTGTTGAAGTCTTAGCCAATCACTCCCATCTCTTCCTTCCTTTCAACATCTATTTTATGTATTCCTTATTTAAGGACTTCATTGTATTTTGCCTGCAGAGTTCTCAACAATTTTTTGAGAGATTAGTGTTTCCTCTGAAAAGATTATAAACCCCAAGTAGATAGTAGCCATGGTTTTTGATCTTACCCTACTTTTCTGGCACAATAGAGATAGCTAATAATTGCTAACTATAATGAAAGCCATACAGCTACCCCTAATAAACAGCAAATACTTTTAGAAATTCCTGGTGAATCCTTTTATCTAACCTTTGCTAGATCATGGATTCCTTCATGTTTAGTAAAAGGTAGAATGTGATGAACCTGTGTGTTGACTGAAAAAGAAGGAAAGCTAGGAAGATTTTAGGTAAAAGTAATGTAGGGTGATAGATTTAAATTAGGTATCTTGTTTTTTTTTTTTCAAGCATGATATTGATTTTGACTTATCCCTTTTGTGTGTCAATATGAACTTGGCTGAATTCACCCTCGGAATTTTTAAAATTTATGGCAGCAGGTAAGGGATTAATTAATTTACCAAATCTAAAAGTCTGTTTCCCTACCCTCCTGGCATAAGATTTTGGCATCTGTCTCACCAACAAGCTGCTATGAATCTGCAGCATTGTGAGGAGAAACTCACAATATTTAAGAAATATGAACATACTGTTTAGATTACATTTTTCAAATATTGCACCCCCCTTAATGTCTGACTAAAGCCCAGCTGGAAAGTAATTTTAGTATAGTAGAAGTTGTAAGCCAATTTATATTTTTCAAGTTTTGCTTCAAGGCTCAGTCAAGAGAATCCATCCTGTGCTAACGTGTTCAATTTGGCACATTTTGGAAATGGATGGAGAGCAGTTAGGGTTCCAAATTTAATTGTATGAAATATTCCAGGCATTTTAGGGTAGATTCCAATTCCAATTGAAGAATTTCATTAGACAGTTCTACCTTAAGACAAATTAACACTTCCCGTCTTTTCATAAATTCCAACAGGAATGTATAATGGAAGAGACTGGCTATCGGTTTCTCTCTGGCATGGGGAGGAGGGTTCATCCTTTCAGGAGGCTGGAGGAACAAACACAGAGTTAGGATATAATTGACAAGAGAAGTTCAGTTGCTATTATGCTCTGAAATTTACAAGGCAAAAATGTTTCCTGAGTCCCTCCTCCTTCACCATTTTTCCCCTAGGTTGAGGAAACCCTGCTTAACTTCTCAAAATTTAAGGGGACTGAATTTTATGTAATCTAGAAATTGTAGATTTCCTATCACTCAGAGTTTAACTGGGAAGCTGTGTTGTCATCATAGAACCTACAGTGTCTTAAAGTCTTTTAATGCTTAATCTCATTTAAAGGTGACATATTTTAATATGCATCATAATTGTGATTGCATAAGTATCTTTAGCATTAAGAAGGAAAACTGATACTATGGGGTTGATTATTAACACTGTTATTACATTCTTAGTGTACTCATGAAACTGGTAATGCACCCATAATTTATTTTTATTATATATTTTGGAAGCATTGTTATAGGTTATAATTGGCTCTATATTTTACAAGTTTGCATCACTAATACAAATAAAAATCTGTTTATATTGTTCTTTTGGGAATCCGATTGCATTAAGGAATGATTAGTCTTAATTAAGTTCTGTAGTCTATACTAATTACAATCAAATAAGACTTCACATAAAAGTGTGAAATTAAGCCAAAGTAAATGCATTTTTGATCATTAATTAGATAGCTACCAGGCATACCTTTGGAGATGTTTTTATTTTATTTTTTATTTTTAGTAACTAGAAGGAAACCTCACCTACAAGCCATTGCATTTCAAAAGGGTGCCTCTCATAGTTTTAACAGAAGCCATTTAGTTAATTATAAATTTGAGTAATGTTTGCTTATTTTACTCTCATGAGAACTAAAGTGTCCTCAGCTGTTACTTATCCACCCTCCAGGTAGCAATACTATGTTTACATTACAGAATAAAAATAAGAGGCTGAAGGTTTTAAGAGCATGTGTTCTATTATATTGCCTCATTTAACTTTTATGCACTGCAGTTTTTTTCATGTTTTACGCTTCCCTGATTTCTTTTTAATGCTATAGATTCATTGGGATCATCCTGTGTGAGACGATAATGATACTTCTATCTGTACTTCCCCAGTGTGGTGATGACTGATGAGTTTTCTTTGCCCTTAACATCTGAGTTTTAATACTCTTGCATACAAGAAGCACTGAATTCTATGTATAATGAAGAAACTATAAACAGACTAAAATCACAATTTCTGGCCACCCACATCTTTTTCTGTCCTCTCATAGGAAGCACTAAATGATATTGTGCCTTCACAATATAACACACCCTGGTTCTTGATGCAAGGAAAGGTTCAATAAGTGTTAGCTGAGATAATAATTATTATTAGGATTGCATTGCATTTGGTATTTCTGGAAGTCCAATTTTAGACCAATTAATTGGTTTTGAGCTCAGGAGGAAGAAAAGTATTACATCAGAATCCTCCAACAATTTTATTTCCAGTTCTACATTTATCCTGCTTTGAGATGCTTCAAGTATGGCAACTAAAACGCTTACAGAAGCCAAACTTTCTGGCCTGATGCAATGACCATGAAATGCCCATTTGATGCAGTACTAAAGGCTCCAATTCAGAAATATGTTCAAATCTTTGACCATTTATCTATGTTTAGCTTCAACCCACTTTTTCGAAACCACCTACTCATTCATTTTCTCACAACCAGTCACTTTTCTCCTCTATTTATCAACCCAAGAGCTGTTTTTCTACTTTTCTGACTTTTAATTGCATTTCACTTTCTCTGTTCTTTTTTGTTCAAAACTTTTTCTTTTTTCTTATAAAAATACTTTTGCTTACTCTTCAGAAAGTGTATTCATCATTTTATTCCTGTGTATTTTCCTTTTTTCAGCTGAGCTGCTGATCTACAGGACCCTATTTTCTTTCCCATCTAATTACTGTTATTTCTCTCTGACTGAGTCCATATTCCAGCAAGAAGGTATGACTTTTGCCTTCCGCATATGACTGTTTTCTTTCTAGCTCTGGGTTTTGTGCACATTTTTTGCATTGCCTAATATTCATCTTTTACAGTTTGTCAATAACCTCTACTCATCTCCCCTCCTTGAAGTTCCTCCTCAGAATTATTTTCTTCCAAGGATCTTTTACATCTAGAGTATGGGGTATACCTCCTCATGGGTGTTTCTCTAAAATCATAGACTACCCTAAATACCACTGGGATCATATAGTAAACCTTCTCATGTTACAGATGAGAAAACAGATCCAGACTGGGTCACATGAGCTGCCCAAGATTATGAGATCCTTCAGGAGCAGAATAGGGGACTAGGACCTGGGTGATTCCAAACCCCATGCTGTTTTCTCTTGCATCTGCTGTATCTTAGGACTCCAAAGTAGATTTCCCCTTTGGTATCTTATGAGTTTTTAAAAACTTCCTTCATGTAAGAGGCTCTTTTCCCCCTCAGTTATTTTATGAAATTTTAGAAGACAGAGGTCGCACCCCTTTGCTTTTATTCTCTGTTCTCTATCATCCTCCATAACATCTAACACAAATTGGATTCTTAACAGGGGTCCACTGACTGTTGTTAAATATCATTGTCTGTATCACTCTAGCATTTGAATTTTCTGTGTCTTGTCTTAACCTGTATTTGATTCTATATCACTGTTTCCTGTTTTCCCCTTTTTTTGCCTTAATTCTCTTTCCATACTTCTCATTACTTTAAAAACTATATTTCCCTGAATCATATTAATTCTCCATTTTATGCACAGATTTTTTCTTATACTTCTTATACCAAGTAGATTTTATTTAAAAAATAGATAATAAAATGAGATAAATTGATGGGAAGCTAAAACCAATACCAGGAGGGTCAATGATTGTTGAAGTCACTGAGCATTTTATGGTGTCTGAATAAATTAACCCTGCATATACTAACTCAAGGCTTTTATCCAGTTGACTGCAGTTACCTCATGAATTTTTCAAATGTTTGACATATCTCTGGGGAGTCTCTTTATTTGGTTTGTAAGTCAGGTAATAAGGGTATGATGACCTACCTCATGAGAAGGATTGAACAAGAGGTTATGTTCTCGTGCTGATGGAATGGGAAGGCCACACATGGCTTTTAAAAAATGTATGACATATAAAACTCAGAGGCATATTTTGATTGTCTCAGAGTCCTGCTCCTTTAGAACAATCTTGAAAGGAGTTTAAAAGCTTTGCTAAGGAAAATGGAAAGAGCATTCCAAGAACAAGAAAAGGTGTGATTAACTGCTCAGAGGGAGAGAGGACACAGGTTACTGTATTTTTCTGCCTGTAACAGAAAGTAGAGATAGGATTATGGAGATAAGAGGGGTGTAACAATAGAAGAATTGCTCAAATATTTGAAGTCAGTGACCAGAATCTCTCATTTGAAATAAAGCGGGAATACATGGCATGGCAGTATTGTGAAGTATAATGTAAGATTATTACATTTCACGTAATGATCCTGAGATGCAAAATCATTGCGAGAAATGGTTCCTTCTCTTGTAGCACTGGGAAGATTCTGACTTCCATTTGGGTCTCTTTACAGCAGCTTCTCCAGAAGTCATTCTCCTAGCCAAGACTCCTTATAAGCATCTATTTACTGTGTACCTATCTGTATTAGGCCTCTCCATGCATTTGCTAGCTCTTCAGTCATCACAGCTAATCCTCAGGTGAAAGGTATCAGTTCCAGCTTACAGGTAAAGGAAAAAGAGTCACAAAGCATTGAAGTAAGTAACAAGCCCATAATTAAGCAATGAATGTGGTATATCCAGGATTCAAACCTGACATTTATCAGACTTTACCGCATTTTATTTTTTCTATACTATGTTACTTTTTGGTGCTAAAAATGTTATAAAAACCCAAACCTATCTTTTCTCTTCCATTGATGCCTAAGAAGTGCCCTTCACCCTCCCCTGTTGCTTCCTAAAGGAAATGAGCCTTAAGCTGCAATTCCAATGTTGCTTTAGGGTCTTATTGTGAAAAGATAGAAAAAGTATCTAAGAAAATCAATATTAATTGATACTTGTCTATGAAATTATTTTCTTCATCAGTCAAAAGAAAAAGTGGCATTATATGAGGGCACAAAGATGGCATTCTGTAAAATGAGAAGTCTATGCATTTATACATTATAGATAGGGCTGCTGACCTTTATCCACCTTCATCCTCCTTCCCGTGACCCAGTGTGTGTGCACACGTACACACACACACACACACACACACACACACACACACACACACACACACACAAACTTATTCCAGGAGAACCATTATAAGGTTATGTGACTACAGCTATTCTTTTTACAAAATTACATTAGTTCTTCTTATGGAAACAATTGCTTGTTACTTATGGGTTCATAGTTACCAAAGTCTTTCAATATGCCTCCTATGATGGATTTTTTAAAAGGCAATGAAATACAAAAATACAAATACATCCCACTGGAAAAACTGCTTATCTGACTCAGGTAATTAGTCTTTCAAGAAAATTATGGTCCTATACCAAACTTTCAAGAGATCTATTTTTAAACTCCCAATGACAGTCAGTGTGTGTTTGGATAAATGTTTTCATGATGTTGATACCATCTCAAATTCGGGTAAAATAATCAGATAGCTATTGGACATTTTATTGGACCCAAATATTTGACTAAAATATCTCGTTTCCATATGAATATTTACTCTTAACAATCTGTGGCCTTCATTTTGTTAGGTTTGTAGTGCTTTGAAATATATTCATTAATTCACTGAGTTTTTACTGTAAAATATATTTTACCTTCCTTAGATCACTTCTGTTCTAAATAACTATGAAGAGGTAAACTATTTTATTGCCCTACTATTTATTTTGAAGTTGAATATCATATAAAGATATCATTTATTCATGCATGAGTGCATTTTGTAACTTTTCTTACATTGTGAAAAATAATTTTATAAAACAAACATAGTCTTATTAAATAAATGCTACTGCTCTGAAAATTATAATGAAATATGTATATGCACTATGTAGCAGAAGAGAGTCTATTCTGCCAGTCCTTTAAAGCATTATTTGATATAAACCAGAAGAACTAAAATGTTGTCAGGCTTTTTCAATGAAAATGTGATTTCAGTGCTCAGCCAACTTGTTTTACCAATAATTTTCTTCTTGAGCCACCAAATGTTTATGAACAAGTCAGCTGGAAGAGTTGAAAGGTTCTGAAATCTGCCAAAGCATGTCAGTTGTTTTATGTTTAAATTCCCTAAAGAAAAGAAAAGTAGGGTATAATACAGAAAATATCATCTGCTATCTTTTCTCCCCAGGGCAATGGCTCTGCATTGCCATCAGTGAAACGGCCCATCCTTTACTTTGTTTGACTGGCACCTTGTGACTTTCACGTCAGTGGAGTTGTGAGATCTTTAATGTGCATAGCTCAGACTGTGTATGTTGGCATTACTGCAGGAAGAAATTGAGATATCTTAACAGAAGTAATTGTATACCTGTATTGTTGGCTACTCTGTCATAATTACTTCTGCAATTGCCAAGTTTCATGAATTTAAAGTTAGCCTATTAATTTGGCTTCTATTGTAGAGAAAAATCTAGGCTTTTCAATTATACAAAGAAAAGGAAGAAAAACTTATTTTTTCTAAATTCTTTTGTGTGTATTACAAATAGCAGAATCGTGTTGTATTGTTAGCTGAAATTTCACCTTCTAAAGATTTCATTTCTGTCTCTGCCTTAAAATAAAATAAAAAATAATAAGTCATTGGCTCAAATTACATAGTTTTGGGTGTTACTGGATTGGAGGGAAAACTCATTTAACATTTTATGTGTGTATGTGCATATACGTATGTGTCTGTGTATCCCATAGTTATATAAATTATGTTTATTATATCTTTTCAAATTATCAAGAGGAATAACCTCAACTAATGACAAGGCTGAATGGAAAACCATTTTCACACCTTTAAATACTAAAGCAATAAGAACTACCTCAAAAAATTTGTGACCAGAAATTCCATCTGAGCTGTTTTAATAAATACGTATAGGGCCGGGAGCGGTGGCTCACACCTATAATCCCAGCACTTTGGGAGGCCGAGGCGGGCAGATCACGAGGTCAGGAGATTGAGACCATCCTGGCTAACACGGTGAAACCCCGTCTCTACTAAAAAATACAAAAAAATTAGCCAGGCGTGGTGGCAGGCGCCTGTAGTCCGAACTACTCAGGAGGCTGAGGCAGGAGAATGGCATGAACCCGGGAGGCGGAGCTTGCAGTGAGCCGAGATGACACCACTGCACTCCAGCCTGGGTGACAGAGTGAGACTCCGTCTCAAGAAATACATACATACATACATACATACATACATACATACATACATACATATAGGTTGTATATGAAAAGCATATACATTTGGCTGTGACATGGCCTGGAATTTATGTACAGG
This sequence comes from Homo sapiens, assembly GCF_000001405.40. NCBI lineage: Eukaryota > Metazoa > Chordata > Mammalia > Primates > Hominidae > Homo > Homo sapiens. Next base: position 137,006,508 of record NC_000002.12, read on the forward strand.
AGGCTAAAGGACTCATCTGATAATCCTCATTCTACTGGTTTGCTTGACAAGTCTCTTCTATACTGCCTGTTCACACTCCATTATCAATGCAGAGAATAAATGCCACCAACTCCCCCAAATTCTTTTAGAAATAAGCAAGATATAGCTAAATAACTAAATATTTAGCTCAGCCCAAGTTAACGCTGCAACAAATTTGAATTAATTGAATATTGTATATCTCATTTCCTATTTGTTAAACGTTTTACACTTGACAAAGTGCTTTTGTATGAAAATGCCCTCCATACTAAGGGGCACATTTTACATTTTCTTTGATATTTTCTGTAGCCATACAGTTTTAAAAGATTTCTCATTATTTCATGGATTTGAATATTTTTGAACCAGCACTAATGTTGGACACTATGAAACTGTGAGGTCAAAAACTGACATATAAAAAATTTAAAGAGAATTTTTAATGATAAAAGTGTGCATTTTACTGAAATCAGTATTGCTCAAAACATTTCTTCCTAGCTGTGTAGAGGACAAGCAAATTAATATTAGGGTCATCTTAGTTTTGAAGGTATTGCATTTAAATATATTAGGGTAACTAAAAACTTTACCATGTGGCATCGTTGCATATGACTAATAGTGAGGTTTGAATGCAAACAGACATTCCTGAATGTAAATGTGTAGGCTGTCTCACACCTAAGATAGTAAATATTCATGTTGTAAAAATGGGCACTGGTGAATGGAGCTAGAGTTAAATCAGACATTTGTCACTTTAAGGGAGAGGCTTTGTGGGCAGCTTAAATTATGCCTGAGAATATTTAGATGCCTAAATATACACTAATTATCCACAGGGATGTTTAAATTACACCATGAAGCATTTTAGCAATTAAAAGTTTCCTGCAGATTTGAATCACATTAACACTAATAGAGATAGATGGCCATCTAATGGAGAAATAAAGGCAGAAGCTGTATGGAAAAGACTAGAGGTGTCCAGTTTAATGTATTTTCATATCAGAGAATAAACAACTCATGGAGAAAGTACAAGCTGATGGAAGATGGCTTGTAAAATTTGAATTGGTGAGTGATAAATGAAGTTTCTGGCCTGGTCAGATCTTGAATTCTATACTTGGACCATTGACTGTTGCAAAGGTACAACACAATGAGATAAGAATTGCAGAGACACACTTGTATCATTTTGGTAGCATAAAAAAGAGATTAAGGCATACACAGAAATTAAGGTATACAACAGTAATGTTTCTATAGAGATTATATTGCCAATGAAAAACTCAGAGAAGTCTGTATGATGAATTCACTAGGCCAGCAGTCTTTTTATTTAACTATGAGTCACCTAAATACCACTTTAATTCCAGGTCAATTGATGTTGTCATTAGTTCTTTTAATATCTATAAAACAAATATCCATTATAAAACATGGACAAATATGTGGACCACCTTTATGAACATGATTGATACTAGTTGGCTTGGTTTCAGCAATAGTTAGTTGAGGGGGTCAGCTATCCAGATAAATTTGATATGATGTCAAAGCTATAAGACTTGACAGTTTCATATCTAATCTATTATCTACTAGCAAAGACATGAAAAAGTGTTGTATAATCAAAAAAAAGACTATATCTTAGGTTGGAATGGATCAGAAAAATACCCTCTGGCCAAAATTTCCATTTGCAACAGAAAGTGAAAAGCCCTTTCTGCATTCTACACTCTTTGCAGTGCATTGTTAAATGGTATAATGATAGAGGAATGGGTGGAAATGCATCTTAATGAGCATGTCCTCTGGCAGACAGTGAGTTGAACATGTGGCAACAAATTGATTTAAGAAGGCCCTTTTGAAAAAATTAAATAAAAATAAGAAGGAAATCACTTTTAACTAAAGGGGAACTATAAAACAAGTCATTCAACCCTAAGGGTGCATTGTGTCTTTAGATGTCATCCAGTAAAATGTCTTAATTACCTGTTAGGAAAATTGAATTTATGACCTATTGGACAATCTGAAGTGGTTGGTATAGTACTTTAGTTAACCAGGTAGAAGTAAGCTCTCTTATAATAAGATTAATTTTCACTATACTGTTTTGTTTGATGTGGCTGATTTCTCTGGGATTTGTGTGTGTGTGTTTCTATTCAATGTAAAGAGATAAAACTCCTATTTTCTATAAGAGCTTATCTTATAGATACTCTTATATTTGCATGGGCATCACAATTTGTGGAACATTTTTATTTTACATAAATGTGCAGAGTATAATAAAAAAAATCACTTGCTTATGAAGGAGATAGTGCCAGTTCATAAATTGTGCCTGTTGTAATCCACTAGAGATTAAGTGACCTTAAAGTGTTTTCTTTTTATTTTTTCATTTTTGAATGAAGTCCCCACATACAAACTACAGTGTAATTTCTATTATTTGAAACATCAGCTTGGTCGGTTCTATAAAGGTTGATATAAAAATGCTTTGACAGTCTCTAAACCTAATTTACCATGTGGGGCTCTTTTGTTCTTCTGCAGACAGTAAAGAACAGAATAAATTAAAAATCACTGGGAGTAAATTCACTAACTCTTTGAGGCTATGTGATCTCTGGCAGCAATGCTTAAAACATAGATTAATTTTGACATAAGATTGATACTGAGTGTCAGAGAGTGAGGGTGGGGAAGCATAGTTTGCCTCTGGTGACTCTTTCAGGAGTTGCTTTCCCGTGTGTTACTAAGACATCTTAGACACTGTCCACAATGGGGCTTATCATATACTATTGTCGTTATTTGCCTGCCTTGAATCATTGAAGGCAGGAATTCTTTCTTTGTATTTTTAGGTCTACAGCAGTATTTTTCAATCTTGGGATCATTGACTCTTTGAACCAGATAATTCTTTGTGGTGGAAAACTGTTTCATGCATTATAGTATGTTTAACAGCATATCTGGTCTCTACCCAATAGAAGTCAGAAAAACCTCCTCCCCCATTCATGTCATATTAGTCTGTTTTCATGCTGCTAATAAAGACATACCCAAGACTGGGTAATTTATAAAGAAATAGAGGTTTAATGGACTTACAGTTCCACGTGGCTGAGGAGGCCTCATAATCATGATGGAAGGGGAAAGGTGCGTCTTACATGGTGCCAGACAAGAGAGAATGAAAACCAAGCAAAAAGGGAACCCCTTGTAAAACTATCAGATCTCGTGAGACTTATGACTTACCATGAGAACAGTATGGGGGAAACCACTTCCATAATTCAATTATATTCCACTGGGTCCCTCCCACAACATGTGGGAATTATCCGGGGCTACAATTCAAGATGAGATTTAGGTGGAGACACAGCCAAACCATATCACATGTCAATCAAAAATGTCTCCACACATTGCCAATGTTCCCAGAGGGAAGAGCTCTATGTCTGGCACACAATTGACATTTCATAAACATTTCCTTAAGATATACATGCAGCTATTGCTGCAGCATAAAACAGTAACACCTTTATCAGAAAATCCATAAGGCTGTTCTTACCTAATTCTGAATTAAATTCGGGTAATTTTTCCTTCTTCTTCCACCCTCACCCCCTCCCATCCTTCCCAGACCTAAGCTTGAGGTCTTGTAACTATGCAGTTCTAGCCTAGCACTGACAAAATGTCATCTCACTGTGTAGACATCTTCAATTGATTTTGATTTGAGGACATGTGTTTTCCATTACGATCAGATACAGAATCATGTGCAGAAACCCTCACAGTCAGCAACAGTGGAAGAAACTAGATATTGGCACAGTGAAGATAAGGCTGCTACTTCAGTTATGTGTGTATTTCCAAAATAGTAACACTATATTAATCTTCATATCTAAGCAGTCTGTATAAATGTAAAAGAATCTCATCTTCACCTCTCACCTAGATGACTTGGAACAATTCTGTTAAGTTCCATGACCTGCTATTTTCTTACTAATAAAATAACAGTAATGTCTACCTCCCCTGACACGGTTATGGGTCTCTGCTATGTTCTACCATTTTTTTCTATATTGGAAGACTTATCACACTTGGTTGTAGTTATCGTTTCCATTTTCCTGCCTCTCAGGCTGGCCTGTAAGGTGTGTAAGGGGCAGGCTCATATTGTTTGTTACCACAGTCTCTGCTGTAGTGCCAACACATGTTATTTCTCAAAGAAATGCAAGTGTTTTCTAGTGTACACTATACAAATGTGATCATCATCTATTTGTTCTATAAATATTACTGAATGCCTACTTTTCAAAGCCCAGCTGAGGAGCTCTCTAGACCCGGGAATACAGTGGGTAATAGATGAGACAAAGTTCCTGCCCTCATGTAGCTTGCATTCTACTGGGCCAGGCATTCAATAAGAATTAAAATATCAATCAATCTCTCTCACTATCTAATTTCAAGTAGTGGTAAGTGACTAAGTGCTATGAAAAAATATATAGCACAATGGGATGAGAGTGATGAAGAGTGGCAGGGAGAGGCCTCTCAGGAGGTAATTAACATAATTTTTATCATTATCATGATTAACATTTATCATCAAGGTTGATGTTATTAGCCTTTCATTAGTAGAACTTGTTCTTTGATTTATCTTCCTAATAGTGATTCTGAACTATTTACATTCTCTGACCTACTTCCCCTTCACACCAACAGGAGTAAGTATATGACTTGCCAGAGCTGAAGGTAGATCATTTTGCTTTGAAATAGAGATTTTGACAATGCAATGGATCAAACCTGTGGGCTTAATCCAGCTACTCTGCACTTGAGGCCATCTGTAAGGAAGTTTTACCCCTAAAGCTTTATATTCCATTTGTTTCCTAAACATCCCCCTCTTTCCTTTTTATCTTTTTCAGTTAGTATAAAGAAAGCCAATTTAGTGAGCTATTTCAAATCCTGTTTTAAGCTCTTCTTACAGGAGGGTTTCTGAAACTTAGCTGTTTTGACATTTTGGCCTTGATAATTCTAAGTTGTACGGACTGTTCTGTGCATGGTAAGATGTTTAGTGGCATCTCTGACCTGCACCTACTAGATGCCAGTAGCAGCTCATCTGCAGTTGTAACAAGAAAAAATGTCCCCCGACATTGCCAAATGTCTCTTGGGGACAAAATAGGCCCTGGCTGAAAAGCACTGTCTCACAGGAAGCTTCTCCATCTTTCCAACTCTGGTGCACTGTGTCTCCAGCAGGTGCTTCTGCTGGACTCACTGGTGTTTGCTTGTGCAGCACCACAAGCTCCTTTTCCCTGTCCAATTATCTGAATCTCATCCATCCTTCAAGACCCAGCTAGAGCCACATCTACCGCATACAGTCTCCTCTAAGCACTAGAGTCTGTTCCATCTCTTCTATTTCTGAATTCCTATTGCATTTCTTTTGTTTGATCACTACCGTCTTCATCTATTAGCTGAATCCATCATTGTTTGTTAAAAGGATTGCATTTTATTATCTCTACTAGATTATAAATTCTTGGAAAGGAGAAACCTTGCTTTAGTCACCTCTGCATCTTCATAGACCACATAAAAAATACGTGGAATAAGGACACTCATTAAGTAATGGGTTGAATTTAGCATCAGCAATCCTATTCACAAAAATTCCACTAAAAACCCCATCCTCAATCAGGCAAAGTGATAAATAACACAAACAGTATAATCTTCACAACAATCAATCATTTTGGAAAATTATATTTTTATAAACATCTTCTATAATTCAATTGTAACTAATACTATGGAGGTTCAGTACTGATGGAACTGAGTATGAGTGGAGCTGAGTTTTTAGAACTAATTTTTCCAAAAGAAATTATCAGTCTAGGATGATCCAGAGTTTGGGGAGTCTGACCACTTTAAAAATATGGTCTTCTATTTCATCAACAATACTCCACCTAATTGCTAGCTCCTTATGCAAAAGATGGTTACATAACCACTTGAAACCCTGAGCTTGATCTGTTTTGGTAACAAGCTCTTTTGAGGACAATGTATGGAAAGATGCATCTAATCACGTAAATCCAAAATGTTTCATTGCAGAAGTGAATGGTTTGGTTTAACTCTCGAAGGGAAGTTTAAAAGCTTCATGGAGAAGAGTACACATTCAATTCTTTTTTTTGTCCAAATGCAGCTTATTCAGAATGTGTCTAGTTGTTCAGCAAGTTCAGTGCTCATGTGGCATTCAGGCAATTATTGAATGTTGGAGAACCAAACTCGAGGTCCTTTTAATGACATTTGAGAAGTGTAGGACAACCACAGTTTTCACATCACATGTGGGCAGCTCTGGTTTCCCAGTGTGTTCACTCCACTTCGCATGGAGAGTCATCCTTCTACTTTTATTTGTGCTTTTAACAGAGTGCTTAAGAATTTTTGAAACATGAACTTATACTTTGTCAAAAATAAACTTTCTAAATTAGTAAAGCTAATTTTATTTTTTCCAAATATGTCTCTGGACAACTGGACAGAAACTACCTGGAGTATAGACTTAACCTGAGAAATGCCCATGTGGTGAGAAATTCATGCAGCAAACTCCACACCTACTGAAATAGTTTCATCTTAGCCGGTCAAGATAACTCAATGAAATGAATGTTTATTTACTTTTTTTTCAGGTGAACAAGACTATGATTTTATTTGAAAAATACATAAATCAATTACTTTTAATTCTGTGAAATGTATAAATAACTTTTAGAACAAACACATGCTTTAAAGTTTAAATGCAGACTTCCACTTCTGGCCAAGATTGAGTAACAGGGACTGGCTTACTCTCTTAGCTGAAACAATCAAATAAATTGACAAAATATATGAAACAATAGGTTTGAAAGACACTGGATATCAGGCAAAGAAAGATGGTGATCCCTGAGAGATGTAATGAGGTGAGTGCTACAGCTGCCTCAGTTTGGAGAGTTTCCAAGTCACAGCACAAAGAAAGGGGAACCCAGGTAGACCCAGGCAAACTTCATGAGTTGAGAATAAAGAGCTGAGACTCTGGGGAGATCAAGGCTGCTAGAGTTCTTAGGATAGGGTACAAGAAAGGAGAGAACTGCACAGAGAGAGGAAGTTCCAGAGGTGGGCAGAGGGTTCCCAGCTGAGTGAAACAAATATTTATTAAATTCTTTGTGAGGGTCCAAAGGCTATAACATGTTGAGCATTTTCTGTACTAGCTATTCTACATATAGCAAATGAATCCTGAACACCACCTTTAGTGAGGTTTTGCTGCACAGAATTCCCTTTTGGGGTGCCTACCAACCCCCTGATCCTTCTTTAAAACCCATCCTCCACCCCCTACACTCTGCCCTGCTTCAAGGAGGGTTCTCAGAGCCAGGCTGGTGTGTGTGACCTGCCTCCTCTGGGGCAGAACTGGGCCTACCAGGTGACTTCCTAGGAATTAGAAATTAAGATTTTTAGAAAGGAGTCAGTCCCTTCGAGTAAGTGCTGAAATATAAGCCTGGGGTTTACGGGGAGCCACAGCAGTCTGTTACATTCATGTTGGTGAAACAGAGGATGTGTTGGCAGATATAAAACAGGTGGAGAGATGCAGCCAGTGGGAGAACAGTTGCTTCCCACAGCTTTCTAGTTTCTGCTTCCATTCCCTTGGGAGAGCTGACTGCACGCCCTGCCATCAGGTGGTGTGTCATCATGCCCATCCTTAATGTCATCCTCTTTTGCTTGTGCTCATTGACTGGGTTTCTGCCATCAATACAGCCTTGACAAACCAATTTCCTGTTTTCCTAGTGAGAAAAGTGAAGTTCAAAGATGCCAGCAACTCCTTCAGGATGGTGAAGTTAGGACGTGGTCGAGGAAGGCTTCAGGCCCCTGGCTCAGCATTCACACGTCTCTGCAACTACTCACATGGTTGTGGTTTTCATCAGCCCAGTGTAATGGGGCCAAAAATAATTTTGCATAATAAATGTATTGTGAATGGTCTAGTGCTCGGGCACCTGCATGATGGTGGTCATTTCCTAGGTGCTGCGGAGAGTGGTCAGAGCGAGGCTCATCGCTTAAGACACACTTTTTTCACCTGTAGGCCAAGATCAACTGTCCTTTGCTGCTTTTGCACAACAACTCAGAGCCATGTCTGTTTTCTTAAAGGCATTCCTGTGTCTTGATGTTTTCAACATTGTCAGCCTGGGATTTCTTTCATTTGGTCTATTAAAGTTCAAATACATGTCTTAGTCAGGAGCCCCAATTCAGGCTGCCCAGTGTTGGCCTGTTGGGGTTGGTCTGTTCTTTATGGCCACGGCAACCAGCTTCCGTGACTCCAACATGAGCTGCTCTCTCAGTTTATCTGGGTTATTCAGATTTTCCCTCCACAGTCAGACCTCCGTTTTCCTCACACCGCATCTCAGTCACTTCCCCTCTTGCTTTCTGTGCTCTTGTCCAACTAGACATCTTCAATTTCCTTCACTGCATCAGCCAGCTGTCTCTTCTAGTCTCCGGAGCTCTGAGCACACTGCTCACCCAGCCTGGAACCCCTCCCCTGTGTCCTTCCCTACCTGCCTCTGTCTCAGTGTCATACCTCTGGTCTCAGCTTTCTCCTCACTCCCTCTAAGAGGTCTTCTCTGGCCCCTCAGCTTGGTTCTGTTTCCTTAAATTCATTTTTGTCTCATATCCCCTGCATCGTGATACTTATCACCACTTACTCATATTGCTTTTCAAATGTCTGTTTTCTTTATTAAACTATAGACTCCCAGGGGGCAACGGCTGTATGTCTTGCTCACTGTTGTGTATTCAGAGCCTAGCACAAATGCTAGTGCAAATAGTAATAATGATAACTAGAGGACACGTGTCTCATTCTAAATGCCAGTTATCCAAGAAATATGGCCTTCATTTATTTCTGTGTGTCAACATTATTTTTGACTCTGAATTACTCTGATGGACTGCTGGGAAATTCAGTATTCTTAGACTTGAGGGCTCCCCTCTCACTTCAGTCATGCCACAATCCTGGGGCCTTTTCAGTAATCTCTCACGTGTCCTCAGGGGTTATTGCTGAGGGGGCATATTGCACTAGTACCCCCATTGTCCCAGCAGCTTTCTGCTGCTCCAGAGTCATGCATGGAATTGAGCATCGTGGGTGTGGCTAGGTACTTTCAGGCTTCTGGGCTGATTTCCCTGGACACATCATATTTCATATGAAATTCCATTTGAATTTCATTCTCCCTTGACATACATATTGCATTCCGTAAAGGTAATTGCTGTCTTCCTGGTGCAGCTGGTGTTAAAAGAGCAGAGTCCTCACTATTTTGGAACCAAAACACTCTCCTGCACCGTTACCCTTTACTTTAAAAAGTCTCTTTCTAATCTTGGGAAACTCCTCCTTATCGCCTGCTTTTCTGGCTACTTATCTGTTTTGTAAACATCAGCCACTCTATTTCTCTCTCAGAAGTGGACTTTGATGTCTTATAAATTGCAGAACCTGAACCGGTGGCACACAGAGCTCAGTTCCCCTTTCCTCGAGAGGAGGGAGGGCTTAATGAGCAAAACCTTCTAGGAGATGAAGAGAAATGGAAATACTTGTGCTCTTCTCTTCTAGGACAGCAGTGAATGGTAAAACAGAATAATTCAATTTGCATAATAAAAGAGTCTGCATGTTCATCTTTTGCTACACTAACATTTGTTCAGTGCTTACTGTATGTCAGCCACTGTGCTAAATGCTTTACAGGGGGAAATTGCATTTCATCCTCACAAGAACCTTGTAAGGTAGGTAAAGTGTTCCTCATCTATGAGGAAATTGAGGCTTGGGGGGTGAGGTGGCATTGTAAAGTCACATATGAGGATTCTAGCCTGGCCAGCCTGATGTCAGAGTCTGCAATCTCACCTCCTTTGCTGTTTCTCTCCCAAAAACTGATGGAAGTTTTTGGATGAATAATTAGATAAAAGAAACTCTTGAGAGCTTTGCTAACCTGATGTATGATAAGAGTGAATTTGGGGAGATATTTTTGACAAAGTCGTCTGTCACCATTTCTCTCAAACTCCATCTTTTAGAGGACTGTAACTTTGAATGGTGGTGTATATATTCTTACTTCCTTAGTAAGTTGGACAAACGCTGCCATCTTACTGTGAAACCTACTTGCCACCGCACATGTCTTTCTGGGAAAACTGCTCTGCAGAGCCCCTAGCAGAGAAAGAGGCACACTGTAATTATTTTCTCATTATGTGTTATTTAATTCTCATGGGTATTATCATAGTTTATTTCCTTAACACTACTTTCCATATTTGGGCCAGGGTATATTCTCAGAGAATATTAAATGGTATGTGAAGAATGTCTAGACATGTTAATGCACCTTAATGTAGTACTGTAGCATGAATTAGACCACAATTCTTTAGAGGAACTTCTTAAGTAGGAAACCACTGGTGTTTCATATCAACCTCTGTATTAAACATTTAATGTAAATACTTTTGCAAGTGCTTCTAACTATCAAGATTGGCGTGAAAGATAGTGCAAGTTTACAATTCTTTACCCCAAATCCTTGGGGTCAGATGCTTTTCAAAATACAGATACTTTACAGTTTTCCAAATATAATACAGCACATATATGCTTTATGTTACATAGCACTCCCATTATGTTGTAAATAGGAATTTACCCTGAAGAATAAACAATATAATATTCAGTACAAGTGTAAGTTTCCATGAGATTTGGGTACCAAATGAGCAGATCAGGTTTTGCCCTCAAATGAGTTGCAAACTATTTTTTTATTTTTATTTTTAGAGCTTCTTGCATTTTAGCACTGTGGATGAGGGATTGTGGACCTATAGTATGTATCCGCTATTCTTAACAAAAAAGAAAACAGCAAACATGGAATAGGTAGCTGAGGCGAAACTGAAGTTGAACGAAGGGGCTTCCATGTTTTTTTTTTTTCTCTGTCTCTCTCTTTATAAGAGAAAGTTAATTTTGGTGGTTAGGGGATATAACCAATTTGGGGAAGAGATTGGAAAAGAGACATGTACCATTTGTGAGAACAGGAGAGAAAGGACTGCCAGTATTAGCCAGGACAAGCAGAGGAGAAGATGGCTCAAGTGAGGTTGAAAGAGGGCGGAGCTTGGGAGTCTGGGTCTGATGACCTGGTTTATAAGGTATCATAGAAGCCAATATCATCTGCTGTGTGTCACAGGGATGATATTTGGGTTGGAAATGGCAAATACAGATGTAGAAACAGACTGTCAAGCCAAACTGAGAATGTTACTGAAGCACAGATTCCTGACTCACGCTTTCCAGTGTCAGGACATCCCTTATGGTCTGTCACTCATACAGGCTTCATTAGTCCCTCAGGAATCTCCCATCAGTGCCATATGATGCCTTATTCTGTAAGATGCTTTGTGGCTTTTTCAATTCTAATTTAAAGAGTTGCACATAATCATTTGTAACTTTTAAAGATCACATCAAAAAAAAATAATATCCAGTCTGTTGTTCTTTAAATTCTGAGCAACTGGATTCAAAATTAATGCTGTGTTTCAGCTTGCACTGTTGTAATATTGCCAAAACTTCTGTTACATAAAATGTGGTAAGAGCATCTGTGAGGCCGAGGGAAAGACACCTTTGTCTTCCCTTTTTTTTTTTTTTAAAGCTTCTTTGGAGTTGATCCTTCTCTTTTATGAGTGAAAAACTCTGATCATTTTTTAGCATCTTTAGATGTATATTGCTATTGCTGTGTGTTGAAAATGTAAGTCTTCAATGCTCTCTTTTTAAAGTCAACAATCCTTAAATATAAGAAAAATATCAGGCAAATGCATTTTATTTTATTTTAGAATAAAATATTGTTAAATCCAAAAATGACTTCTAGATAAAATTTTAAACTTCAGAAAATATTCTCATTTAAAAAATTGCAAAATAAGACAACAAAGTATATTTATTTATTATTGTGTTTTCCCATAGGCATAAGGACATTTTTAAGGTTTCCCAAGAATGATTTATTTGTTGTTAATAAAATAACAAAGATGTTAGCAGGTGCAACCAAAGAAAACTAGTAGGAATACAGAAGTACTAAGAATAAACTGAGATAATCTCTGGAAAGGTACATATCTATACCCTAAAAACTGGAAAATTTTGGAAAAACACAAGGATTCACCAGCACATGTTTCATTCACTCTTACAGTGATGCTTTCAACAAATAAAATACAGCTTCTGGAAAATTCCATTGTATACTTATAAATACAGAGTATAAACTTGCAGGGCATTCAATTTGTACAGTACAAGACATCTGAGGAAGAAAAAGCAAATAAAATAGTATTTATTATTGTAGTAAGCTCAAACATGTATTATTTTGGTAAGTGAGATGGCATAGTATTGACCATTATTAGCCAAGTAATCTAATCATTAATATTTAAAAAGTAACAAAAGTATGATGTTATTGTTGTCTGTCAAGTGTTATCCCATTACCAATGTTTTCTTTGATTCAATTATTTTTTTGTTTGGGAATTATTGGCAGTTTCCTCTTGTTTTTAAAACTCTACCCAGACTCTTTCCTCTGCAAATTTACTGTTTTGTTTGTTTGTTTTTACTGTTTCAAATATCTTGGCATTGTCATAATCTCAGTTGGCTAAAGATTTTAGTCTCAGCCTCCAGTCCTCTCTTTACTTCTTTCTTGTCCCTGCCCCCATCCCAGTAAGTTACTACATATTTTAATCATTTCTAAGGAATGGTTCTCAAATATATTTGCATCACAATTGCCATGTCCTCACCCCTTCCACTGCATCCTCTGGGCACCTTCATGTGACATCTCCACGAGGGACACCCCACTCGCCTCCATTCCAATCCATGCCTCATCCTTCATGCTTCTTAACACCCTGCTAAGGAGTTACTGTATTTTTCTGTAATTGTTGGTTTATTTGAGTCTCTCTGCCATTCTACTGAAAACCCGTATTTATGTTTCCAGTTTCAACACAATGCTTGGTACTCAGTATTTATGTGAATAAATAAAAGAACTGACCACATGGAGTGATCATCTGCTTAAAAATCCTTTTGTGGCTGTCAGTTACCACGGAATAACTTCCAACTCCTGTGTGTAACCGAGCAAACCCTTATAACCTGTCTTTGACTGTGTTTCTAGCATGCTGCTGAACTATTTTGAACACTCTGTGGACTTTTATAATTATTTGCCTTTGTCTGTCTAGAATATGTCATCTCACATTTCCATATCGCCAGCCTATCCTTTGCCAGGCTCTTTCCACCTGATACCTTTCAAACATCTTGCAAACCCACTGTAAATGTAACATCTTTGTGAAGACTTATAATTCTTTGTATCTATTTTTACCTAATGCACTTATATAATTATATTGTGAGCACCTATAATTTATTATTTATTATAGTCTCCTTAGAGACTAGCTCAGTGCCTGGCACCTATTAGATTCTCTATAAATGTGATTTGATTAAATGACTGTGCACTCAGTTAATACTGTAGTGCAGGGATAAAAGCACAGGTTTTAGAGATAGAAATAAATATTTAATTTGACTACTGGCTCTGATAGTTACCCGTGGTGTAATTTTAGTCCAGCTACTCAGTAGCTCTGATCCTCTGTTTACTTGTCTGTAAATAGTGATAATAATTCCTATTCAAGGTTTGTGAGGATTAAGTTAGGGATCATGAAAACGCCAGGCACAGACCTCGAAACATATCCTTGCCCAGTCACTTGCAGCTGTTATTATAACTAGCTATGGAAGTCCCACAGAAGGCAAGGTCATTAACAGCTGGGTTGGATTTCCAGGCAGTGTGGTTCTAACTACACGTTAAAGGGCTTATCAAGACCCTACTAAAAGTAGATGAAACAAGTGTCATTCCAGGCAGCAGGAATAGCTTGAGCAAAAGCAGAGGGGGTGATCCAAACTGTGTTCTGAGGGAAGCAAGTGGACCTATGTGAATGGAGCACGGTGGCACATAAAGCCTGGAGGCAGAAAGGCCCAGATGGTCAAGGGCCCTGAATGCTAGACTGAGAGACTATTGACTTCTTTCCAGACCTGCTAAATGCCTGCAATCGCTTTAGAAAATTGATTGTGCTTATTTTCTCCTAGCCTGATCTGATTGCGGTTCATTTAAAAGGAACATACCTCGTGCAAGCCCCACCAGTGGGAACACGCATGTACATAGCACAGCAAGTTCGTCTGTGCCAGGACCCCCCGTTATTTCATTCAGAAGCTAATCATAGCAGTTATGGCAGAGAGGAGAAACCCCTGTACCCTGCACATCCCTCCCCAGAGCTCCACTGACAGAAAGCATCCCCATTAGCCTCCAGGCAGCTGGATTATGAGGGAGCCGCAAGCACTCCTTCGCTTTGCCCCGGGATTGTCTGCTTGTTTTGCAGTTTCATTTGTCAACTTGTCAAAGAGAAAGACCTTTTGAGCAGGGCATCGACTTTTTTGTATTGTGAATGGGGGCCACCACTGCTCATTATCATACTAAATTCCATTTTTCACCTGGACATAAAGGTTGATGGGAAAAGCTGCAATCTACAATAGTTCACACTCATTTTATTTTAAAAGATGGGAGTTTAAGGAGGAAGTGTATGTCTTATCCAGGAGACAGCATCATGTTAATTGGCTGAGGAGCTATCTAGCGAACAATGCTTCTCTGTAAGCAGTTTGTCACAACTGGTTAGTTCTTACTACCATGGAGGGTTCATTACCACTTGTGGAACTGCAGAGTTTTTCGAGTAGAAATGTGTATTTCTATGTAGGAAGTGTGCTTTCTGGGAGTAGTTTTGTGTGAAAAATTTCCTGTCTAATGGCTCAAATTTGGCTACATTTTTAGCCATTCTGGCCCCAAATGAGGGTCTAGAGCCACTCTGTCCACACATTGTTTTAGCCACTAGCTACATATGGCTACTGAGCATTTGAAATGTTACGAGTATGAGAAAGGATTGGATGTTTCTTTATTTTTATCTTTTTATTTGTATAAATGTAAGGAGTATAAGTGCAGTTTTGTTACATGGATATATTGCATAGTTTTGATGTCTGGGCTTTTCATGTAACCATTACCTGAACAGTGTGCATTAAGTTTTTAATTTTATTTAAGTTTATTTAATTTACACTTAAAAACTGATATTTGATTCAGTTACTGAAAAACTTCCAATTATTGGAGAAAGTTGGTTATATGAATCTACTTAAAAAATTAAACTATTTATTTTGTGAATTCACATACATTTGTAAGAAATAGTACAGATTTCCCATGTGTCTTTTACTCAGTTTCTCCAATGTTTACATCTTGCAAAACAATAGTACAATTGCACAAACATGATATTGACATTGATGTAGTTAGATCCAGAGCATTTGTATCACCACATGGTCCCTCATGTGCCTGTTTATAGACACACCCATACTCACCATCCCTGACTCCTGGCAACCACTAATCCGTTCTTTATTTCTATAATTTTGTCATTTCAAGAATGCTATGTAAGTGGAATCATTCAGTAAGCATCATTCTGAGTCTAGTGTCTTTCACTGAATGGACACTTTCTTGGTACTGATCTGGGTTGTAATTATCACAGAGATCAGCAGGGCTCAGGATGGAGGGCCTTGTTTTATTTAGTGCATGAGTCATTTGAATTGCATTTGAATTGTTAAGATTTCTCCATGCTGTTACATGTATCAATAGTTTGTCCTTTTTAATTGCTGAGCAATTAACCATGGTAGAGCTGTACCATTGTTTAACCGTTTACCTGATGAAAGACATCTGTGTTTTTTTCCAGTTTGGGGCTACGATGAATAAAACTATAGTGAACATATGTGTACACATTTTTGCATGAAATAAGTTTTTATTTAACTGGGATAAATGCCCAAGGGTGCAATTAGTGCATTGTATGATAGCTGCATGTTTAGTTTTGTAAGAAACTACCTGTTTTTAAACTGGTTGTACCATTTTGCATTCTCACTAGTAATGTACGAATGAGTCAGTTTCTCTGCATCTTTACAAGCATTTAGTGTTGTCATTACTTTTTTATTTCATCATTCTGATAGACGAATAATGTGCATCTCCTTTTTCAAATGTGAATTTTTTGATTTTATGAAAGCCACACAGAAGTCAAGTATTTGTAATGAAAATTTAGCATCCAAAATGAGATATGCCATAAGTGTAAAATATACATTGGGTTTTGAAGATGTACCACAAAAAAATCTTCGTTTTTTTTTTATATGAATAACACATTGGAAGGATTATAAGATACATGGGCTTAAATAAAATATAACAATTAATTTCACCTGTTCCTTTTAACTTTTTTTTTTGATGTGACTACTAGAAAATGTAAGATGGTCTGGTAGATCACACTTTCTGTTGGACAGTGCTGGTCTAGGTTGTAATTATCACAGAGATCAGCAGGGCTCAGGATGGAGAGCCTTGTTTTATTTAGTGCATGGGTCAGCAAACATTCTGTGGAAGGCCAGCAGCTAGTAAATATTTTAGATTTTGGGGCCATAAAGTTTCTGTTGCAACTACTTAATTCTGCTGTTGTAGCACAAAATCAACTATAGATAATACAATATTTAAATGAATAAGCATGGCTGTGTTCCAAGAAAATTATTTACAAAAATAGACAGTGGGCCCAAGGTTCATAGTTTGCCAATCCCTGGTAATGAATACAAACAAACACACAAGAAGACAGTTAGCTTTATAAGAATGGCTCTATCAAATATGCTGCAGTCAAGAAACAAGAAAACACCATAGGTACTTTAACAAAAGAAATTTAATAGGGAATTGTTTATACAGAAGATGGAAAAGCTGAGAAGCTGGGCAGAGGGTGGTAAACCATCTCTCAAATTAGCAACCACTGGAAGCTGCTACCATTCCTAGACTTGGAGGGACAATGAGAAGGAGCAGAGTTGTTTTCTGAGTTCATCTGGAGAGTCATGTTGGAGACTGTCAGTCAGGGTCTAGGACTGCAGAATGAATGGCTGTCCAGTGGCACCAGACACCGGGGGAGGTGTCTGGTAGCTTCCAGGGTTTCTCTTTGCTTCCACCACTCAGTCTTCTGTCAGTGCCCTGTAGCGGATAACCTGTATTAGGAAGGGACTCTGGGAAATGTAGTTCCCTGCAATTCAAAGCAGAGCCTGGGAAGCATAGGGAAAGGATCTGAGAGCAATGCCATTTTAGTCAACAGATTAAAGCTAAAATTAAAGGGAAGTAAGGAGCTTTGAGCTAGCCTGGTGGCCAAGAACAGAAGCATTTTGTGCAGATATCTCTTTCCTTTGCGTGGACTCTTTTTCAGTAGTTTTACTATTAAATCCCTCAGGGAAAATGGTTAGTTAAGAAAGAATAAGATAAAAGGCCCGAGGACAGGAGTCCTCAGATAGAGTTATCAGTCCTGTCAGTAAATCGTCAGGAGCATGGGAGATGTGATGGCAGTGATGAAATGCTAGCTGGCAGTTTGTAGTTGGAGGAATTGTGACATTTTTTCCCTGTGGGTATGAGCCACCTACATAATAAGAGATTGGAAATAGGAAAACAGGATTTCACTTCAAATTCGACAAATGAACAAGACATTTCTCTTCGTCCTTCTAGTTTTTTTTTTTTCCTTCTTCTTTTACTATCTGAAATAAGGTAAAATTTCAATTTTGCTTCAATCCACTCCTGAGTTCCAAGAACTGGGTTGGAAGATGTTACGGAAAAGGCCATTGATTACACATTCTTATCTTTGAAATGACATCCATTTGTTGAAAAGTCCCTCCTTGGGTCCTCACTTTTACAGATGTCTTTAACACTCATTTATTTGCATTTGTTTTATGAGAGAAACTCTTTTGCCTTTTCTGTTTCTCTGTAGGTAACATTCCTGGACGCGATCTGTCACCTCACTCTCTCCTCAGGAGAATGGGGGAGACTAAACTGATTGGTGGTGGATTTGGGAGAAGAAGCTTTGCATATGTGGCTTTCCAGGCTCTTTCTCAGAAAGTGTGAGCTGGAATTTGCTCTCTTTTGTGGGTTAGAGACCTGACTGCAGTGTAGCCATGCTTTTGTTCAGCCTGAGGCAGGGTGGGGTTTAGTATCATTAGCAAGGCTGCTTCGCTGAGGATAGTACGTTTCTATCATAATCCGCATTACCAATTATAAAAGTCATACTGAAATCTCCCTGCAACTGATTTCTGGATTTTTTTCTATTGATTTCAAATTGAAGAGGAGAAACAGAGTGTGATATATTTCTTAGGTTCCTCAAAAACCTTCAAAATTAGCACCTTATTTCATTATAATAAGGCCTAGCAACATATATTAGCATACCTGTATTAAAAATTGATATTTAATACATAGCCCATGCCAGGTACTCTGATAAAAGTGTACACACACACACACACTCTTCCTGTTCTTCCCACACATAGTCAACTTAATATTCTGTTAGTTTTCTTCATCTCATCAAATAATACCTCTCTCTACTCAGCATTTCAGGCCAAATATATAATTATCATTGGCTCCTCATTTTTGCCTTGCTGACAATATCTTATCTGTATGCAAACCCTTTCAGCTTTAACTCCAAGATATATTCCATCTAATCACACATCAACATCAACACCACTATCCTTCTATGCCAGAGGGGCCCACCACTGTCTCATTCCCGGAGTCCTGCAGCGGCCTCCTGTCTGAACTCATTCTTCCATTTTGCTTATCGTAAGTCATTGTCCATGCAGCAGCCACAAGGATGAAGTAGCCCATCCGTACCAGTCTTCTGCTCAGAAACTCTTCTGCTGAGAGTTCCCCGTTAGAGTTAAAGTCTACCCAGTCTTTTCATGAAGCTGGGAAGATCCAAATAACAGATGGCCCTGCCTCTCTCTTTTTTCTCACTATGCCTCCCTTCACACTGGCCTTTTTGCTTTTCCTTAAAAGCATAAAATTGGTCTATATCTTAAGAGTTTTGTGTGTGCCACGATTTTGGCCCCAAATGCTCATTCCACAGATTTTGCCAGACGTTTTTCTCAACTGAAACATAATCTCTTCAGAGGAACCTTCTCTGATCTTCCTATTTCAGTGCATTGTCCCAGCTCATAGGACATGGCTCTGTCCATCACTCTGTTTTATTTTCTTCCTATTCACTGTTTGGAATCTTATGTGTGGATGTCGATTATTTAGGGTAGGCTGAGTCCTGGTAACAAATAGATCCCCAAATAGTATACTAATACCACTTCTGTGGAGTTTTTTTATTTGCACACACTCAAAGTTGGTTGGCAGACAGCTCTCTTCTGTGTGAGGATTCAGGGTCCCAGATGCTGTGCATCTTGTGGCTCTGCTATTCCCTAGAGTCTGAAGTCAACAGAAGGAGAAAATAAGTGTGTGGGAAGCATTCTCACTTCTTAAAATATTTAGCTCAGGACTGATACATATCACTTCTGTTCAGATTCTTTTGGTGATAACTCATCGCATGGCTTCATCTACTTGCAAGGAGATTGGGGGTAATAGGGAATAGAGTTCCTGACTGGCAGGTTGCACACTACCAATTATAATATATTATTAAAGGAGAAAAATAGATTTAGTTAGATATCAGCCATCTCTGCCACATCTACTCCTCTGGACACAAATTTCTGTGCATAATCTTTTTGTCACATAAAGAATACACTCAACCCCTTCCCAGGTGAGACAGATACTGCTTCCATCTCAAAGTCCAGAATCTCTGAGCAATGCTCAGTTCTTTCCATCAGGTCCACATGTTTTTTCTTGTATTCTGATCATTCAATTAAAAGATGAACTATCCTCCTTCTAGCGCTAATATAGAATGATAGAACAGGGATGGCAGATGTACATGGCAATTCCTATTCAGAGAAGGTAAGATTGAGAAACACACACACTCAGCAGTCCAGGGCCAGCGGTGGAGACTTTGGGACAGGGAATATGAAGATTCTCTGCTTTTCCAGTGGAGAAAGTTCTTGTTTAGAACCTAGATCCCATTTTGGAGGAGTCCTCTTCTACATCGTTCCCTATAGTTCCTTGCTTTGCCCTCTCAGAAGATCTGTCTTGTCCACTTTCTTCCATGGCCACATCTGAAGTGAGTTTGGGAAGTATCTCTGCTTTAGCTGTGTAGTTTCTGCACATGGCTTCTTGCTCGTAAAACTTTGGGAAAAGGATTACCTTAAAAATTTGAGAGTCCATGGTTTTTTATAGTACTAGGCTCATGGCTTCTTTGGCAATAAATTTCCCTCAAAATGAACTAGCCTTTTGATCTTTTTGCTTCCATTCAATGTTGTGTGTCTATCTCCCTACCCCCAGGTATTTCTTATGTATCCTTCTTGAGTCTGCTTTGCTTCTTTGCTTCCTCAAACCCATGCTTCTCACCCTTAGCCTTATTAAGGCCACCTCCTGGCCATCTGAAACAATATATTTGCAACACTCATACTCTTACTTTTGTTTTAGCCAAGTCTATTTGTTTAAATTGTAATTTTCTGATAAGGATTTGTCCTCCTTTTTCACTCTCGTGTCCTGATATTTAGGGTCATTGATCATTTGTCCTTTTTATCTCGGCAGTTTCCTTAGTGTTTGTCAATTTTCCCCTGAGGTTTTCAGTTTTTCATAATACATTGGAAAAGGCAGCAGCCATAATCCAACACATTCCAATCTGCAAAAGTCAAGCTTCTTGAGCTATGGGTTCAGTTTGGTGTTTGGTAAGCCTTTCCCATTATTGCAGGCAGCAGTGTTCACAACTATTTTGTAACTGTATAATGTGGGTCTTTATATTTCTAGCCTGTGATATCTGTTCCATGCCATTCACTGCGTGGTTATTAAATTAATTCCACATATTTTGGTTACATTAATGGTGGCACCAAAATCAAGCCCACACTTCTATATTTTTAAGTATAGTGCTAGCTGCTGTAACAAACAGACCTCATAATATAATGGCTAAGCCCACAGATGGCTCTTTCTCGCTTAGAGAGCAGTCTAGGGAAGGTCTTTCTGGTTGGCGTGTGTCTTTCCTCCAAGTAGTGATTTTGAGTCTCAAAAATCTTCCATATGGCAGCTCCTCTATTCCTTAGGACTTTATCATTGTCTGCATCCAGCTCAAAGAAGGAGAAAAAGAAGATCGAATTACATCCCACACCTGATTTCTTGAAACCTTTGCCCAGAAGGAACGCAAATTTTACTCACATTCTGTTGGCAAAAGTTGTCACATAGCCATATCTATATGCATGAGGAGCTGAAACGAAAGGTAATCCTCACTGAAGAAGTGCTTCCCAGTAACAAACATGTGCTATGAAAGAGGAAATAAAGGTTTTGGTGGACTCAGCCACCTTTACCACAGTATGTGTGCAGGCATGTGCTGCCGTTTCTGTCTATCCTGATTAAAATGGATACTCTAGGAGCACAGGGACTTTTACACCAGTGTTTGTTCACTGGTATATTCTCAGGGCACAGAACAGTGTGTTGCTGAGGGTAGGCACTTAATACATATTTGTAGAATGAATAACAATGAGATTAATAAGGGAGACACTGGGATTTATAGCCCTGACTCTGGCACTCATTGGCCTTGTAAACTCAAGATACTTGCTTCAATTTCTTCATCATCAGAGAGGAAAGTCATATTATCCACCTCATGAAGTAAGGACTAAATTAATTAATGTACATATATTGCTTATCATAGTTCCCTGCACATAATAAGCATTCAGTAAATGTTAGCTAATCTTGTTATTATTATTCCTATATGTATATATCTACACATATGCTTCATATCATGAATTTTTAGGGTAATTAAATAGAGCTTCATTTCTAGAATCTAAATAGATTTCATTATTAAGATGGTTGTTTTTGGACCTAGTTAGGAGTTTGGTGTCAAAGCAATGCAGTCGTCTGGATTCATAAGCTTAGAGAATTGTCTTCCAACTTGAAGCAAACAGAAAGACTCAAGTATGAGCATATGGAACTTTATACACTGCATTGGTTAGACAGTCATGCTGATAAAATTATATAACAAATGGCAGGAATCCCTGTTACTGTTAAAACTGGGTGTGAAGAAAATTGCTTGTAGATAAAATTTCATAGGAAATATAAATTATTGACAGGCTTATCAACAATATCAGCTGCCTTAATAAAATATGTCACTTAAAGGGAAATTTCATTGTTGCTCCAGAATGTAGATATTACATTATCTTTGCCATACTATAGGCAACACATTTAGGAAATGAGAAAACATCTAAACTTTCAATTATTTAGTAAATGTTTATTTAACACCACCATGTTCCAGTTACTGTGCGAGGCACTGGGGTTACAGGGATAAATTGGACAGAGATAGGTAATAGTCTAGAAGGTATATAAGCAAGTAAATGAGGCAATGCAATGCCAGGAAATAAGTGCCATCGTAAGAAAGAGCCCAGCATGCTGTGGACGCTCAAGGTGGGCAACCTACCGCAGTGATGGGATGCTGGAGGTTTCCCAGAGGCAATCGTTTCTAAGCTCAACCTAAAAAATAGGTAGGAACTAGTCAGGTAAATGATTCTTTGATTCTTTCTGATGACTTAGAATTGATATTTTGTTTGTTTTGTATTCAGTTGTTTTAGAAGATATGGAAAAATATATAGACGTACCTATAAATGTTTCATATCCCTCCAAGCAAAGAAAACCCCTGTTAATATTCTAGTTTATTTGATCTCTGTAAATTTTATAAAATTAAAATATATAAAATATGCATATACAATATTCACCTATTTTGTTACTTAGATGTTATAAGCATTTTCTGATGTCTTTGTAAGCTTTTTTTTTTTTTTTTTTGAGAAAGAGTCTTGCTCTGTTGCCCATGCTAGAGTTTAGTGGCATGATCTCGGCTCACTGCAACCTCTGCCTCCTTGGTTCAAGCAATTCTCCTGCCTCAGCCTCCCGAGTAGCTGGGACTACAGGCACCTGCCAACATGCCAGGCCAATTTTTGTATTTTTAGTAGAGACGGGGTTTTACCATTTTGGCCAGGCTGGTCTCGAACTCCTGACCTCAAGTGATTTGGCCACTTCAGCCTCCCAAAGTGCTGAGGTTACAGGCACCATGCCAAGCCTGTAAGCATTGTTCTAATGGGTAAAAAATATCCCATTTTAGACATAGATCCCACCTTTACCCTATTGTTTTATATTTAGATTATTTCCATTTTTTCACATCTTAAAATTCAGTGGGAATTAATAGTCTATCTTAAAACATTCAAAGATATACAAACATACTTGTCATAATATAGCAAAGTCTGCATCTCCTGAGGATAATCTGAAAAATAACATTAAGGAAGAATTAATTCTCTTTGCCAACTATAACTGCAAAAGTAGAATATCCCAATATGTATTACCTCTCTAGATCCAAGGGGTCCTTCAAGTTGCTGGTCAATATTGAGGTAGTTCATTGCGGGATTTCTCAGAGCTGTCAGGGTGTTAGGGTTCATTGTTTATCTACAAGAGAGGAGGTATATCATTATGCCGTGATTTCCTAAGTTACTTGATAATGGTACCCTGTTTTTATAGTGCACCTGATAGCACTAGTGTTCCACGGAGCATAGCCTTGGAAATAATTAATTTATTATAACTCTGAGGAGCTGGTTGCCTGTTGAACAATTATAGGAGCTAATAGGGAAGAGGTATGTCTTCATTCAACTTATATTGGTCATATATTTGTGATCTGTATAAGACTGTGCTACACTACATGGGGTACACGCTGTTATATGAGAAGCAGCTCCTGCCCACAAGGATTTTCTGGTGCATCAAATATATCAAGATAATCTATGTGTGGGTTTTGCATGTGTGGGTGCGTGCATGAGTGCATGAGTGTATGTAGAGAAGGTTGGGTAGTATAAACAGAAATACAAACATTGTTTACATCGTATACAGACAACAAGAGATACTCCAGGAAGGGACATGCATGATGCTTAGAGAAAGGAAAACTCACAGCTCACTGAAAGGCTTAGGAAAACATTTTTTAATATACAAATAGATTTAAAGATGGTTTCTTTGATGCTTTTCATTTTTAAGGATATGGAGTATGAGACTAAGTTTATCCAGAATATAGTCAGACATATTAGTAAGAAGTAAGAACGGTATGGCCCAGTAGGCACGAGTTTAGGCTGTGTGTCAGAAAGTTTTGAGTGTGAATATGAGCTTGAATTTCAGAAGCTGTGAGATCTTGAACAGACACTTTAACGTTGCCAGGTACCAGCTGCCCACAAGGAGAGGCTCAGTATGTTGGGAGGATTTAGTGATAATGTATTTTAAGCACTAACACTCAATAAAAGCTAGGCTGTAGTTCTTACAAAATGGTCTCTTACAGCAACTTGGATGGAACTGGAGGCCATTACTCCGAAGTTACTCAAGAATCAAAAACCAAGTGAGAGCCGCATGTTCTCACTTGGAAGTGGCAGCTAAGCTATGGGTACACAAAGGTATACAGAGTGGTATAATGGACACTGGAGACTCAGAAATGGGGAGGATGGAAAGGGATGAGGGATGAAAAACTACCTATTGGGTACAGTGTACACTATTTGGGTGATGGGTGCGGTAAAATCCTAGACTTCACCACTATACAATTATCCATGTAATAAAAAATCACTTGTATCCCTAAAGCTATTGAAATAAAAGAATTCAAAATAAATAAGTAAATTTTTTAAACCACTAGGTTGTAGTTCTTGTCACTATTGTTATTGTATTAATAATTCATATTTATACACCCACCACCTTCATAACATGAAAAACTAGAGTGCAATTAGCAGAGGCCAGGTGCAGTAGCTCATGCCTATAATCCCAGAATTTTGGGAGGCCAAGGTGGGTGGATCACTTAAGATCAGGAGTTCGAGACCAGCCTGGCCAACATGGTGAAACCCCGCCTCTACTAAAAATACAAAAATTAGCTGGGCATGGTGGCGGGTTGCCTGTAATCCCAGCTACATGGGAGGCTGAGGCAGGAGAATCACTAAAACCTGGGAGGTGGAGGTTGCAGTAAGCCGAGATCATGCCACTGCACTCTAGCCTGGGCGACAGAGTGAGACTCTGTCTCTGAATGGATGAATAAATACATAAATAAATAAATGAAGTAGCAGAAAATATAGACATATCATTGTCTTCTGAGAGTAGTCTCTCATTTTTTGCTAGAGCCCATAGATTTTGTCACACTTTGCCTCAGAGACAGTGTGACAGGGATGGAACCAGACTGTAATCTCCATGTGGACAAGCATATGAAAGTTTTGTTCATCGGTACATATCTAGGGACCAGCACAGTACCTAGCTCATAATAGGAGTTCATTTAATATATTCAAAAAGAGGCATAACAAAATGTATTTAACAAAATAATAACAATAGCAAAATATATTCAAAAAGAAGCATAACAACATGTATTTGACAAATAAAATAATAACAGTAACAAAATATATTCAAAAAGAAGCATAACAAAATGTATTTAACAAATAAATTTACCCATGTTGCCTCATCACATTCCCTTATCCATGTCTTAAATCACTGGCCAACCATGGCATGCTTTTCTTTCCTTTTTTTTTTTTTTTTAGCTGGGGGTAGGGGATAAGGTTTTGCTCTGTCACCCAGACTGGCATGCAGTGACATGCTCACCGCTCACTACAGCCTCAACCTCCTGGGTTTAAACAATCCTCCCACCTCAGCTTCAACTAGCTGGGACTACAGGCATGCTCCAACATGCCCAGCTGATTTTTGTATTTTTTTGTGGTGACGAGATTTCGCCATGTTACCCAGACTGGTCTCAAACTCCTAAGCTCAAGAGATCCACCTACCTCGGCCTCCCAAAATGCTGAGATTACAGGAGTGAGCCACCACACCCAACCCATGGCATGCTTTTCAATGAACTGGGATAGAATCTGAGGTCTCAACACAGCATTCCAAGAACACCCTACTAATAGAGTAAAGTTGGGACATGAAGTTAAAAAAAAAATGCCGTTTAGTGTTGATATTTGACCTCAGGTCTTGTCTGGTACATAGATGCTTCACTTTGACTTGCCTGTCTCTGCTTAAATGGCATTTCCTCAAAAACAGAGACCCTACCCTGTCTTAGTTATCTCTGTATATACTTGCAACCAGTACTGTACCAGACATATAACTGGTTCACATCTGGTGACTTAACCCATAACATTTTGTGCCTATCCCAGTTCTTCCCAAAAAAGGAACAGGCATCTCCAGCAGATGTTCACCAACAAAACGGGGATAGCTTATTCTCTCCCTCTCTCTCTCAGAATAGCCTCTTGACTACCTTAGAATGTGTTAGGACACTTAATAAACTTGGCTTTTTCACACAATTTAGTATAAAAGTTCTTGTAGGCAGGCCCTAGTTGGCTTCAAATCCTGATAATGATAAACCTGAGGTGCTCCTCTATCACATAACTGTATTTCTGAAAAATTGCTTGGAAGGTAGATTTTAGAAAGCAGATTATAGTTTAAATGTGCATTGGAGTCATTTAATCATTTATAATGCATAAAAGTATCATGTAATATGTTTAGTATCCTTTAATTTATCATTGTTAAAATTCTGGTTTTCATGTCTAGTAAAATTAAGATTATGTGCCATCCTTGGGAATGAACCATACTGGATAGCTGGACTTTTCAAGGTTTTCAGATTATTTTCTTTATGTATTTTTAATGGCCACTTCAAATGGAAATATCTCTAAAACATCTTTATGTTTATCTGCCTTATTAAACAGAGGATACTGGGCAGAATTTAATTTTTCCAATGATTCAAGTTCATTGTTATGTGGAATAGCTAATATGTGCTGAAATTAAATTACATCAGTTAGTTATTACTTGATAACAAGTACTCTAAAACTCAGTGGCCCTAAAAATATTATTGTATATGTGTCTACATGCCAGCCAGGTGGTTCTGCTGATACTGGCTAGACCTAGCTGTTCTAGGCCGAACTTGCTCTGACATTTCTAGTCAGTTAAAGAGTCTTCTAGAAGCTGGCTTATCTAAGATGGTTGTAAGTGGTGTGACTCCTCTCTGCTCCAAGTGGTCCTTCATCTTCCAGCAGGCTAGCTCAGGCCGGTTCAGGTGGCAGTAGCAAGGTTCTAACACAGTGAGCAGAAGTGCACAAGTCTCTTGAATCCTCTCTTAGAACTGACAGTCACTTCCATCACATCTTTTGGCCAAGGTAAGTAAAGAGATTGTCAGCCCAGTTTCAGGGGATGGAGAAGTAGACTCCACTTCCTGATGGAATTGTTGTAAAGTCATATTGCAAAGAGAGTAGATACAGGGAGGGTTGACTACTTGGAGTTTTTTTCTTAGATATTATTTTTATTATTTTTATTTATTTATTTATTTTTTGAGTCAGAGTCTCACTCTGTCCCCAGACCTGGAGCGCAGTGGCACAATCTCGGCTCACTGCAACCTCTGCCTCCCGGGTTCAAGCGATTCTCCTGCCTCAGCCTCCCAAGTAGCTGGGACTACAGGTGCGCACCATCACACCCAGCTAATTTTTTTTAACACTTTTTTTTGTTATTATACTTTAAGTTCTAGGGTACATGTGCATAATGTGCAGGCTCCTTACATAGGTATACATGTGCCATGCTGGCCTGCTGCACCCATCAACCAGTCATTTACATTAGGTATTTCTCCCAATGCTATCCCTCCCCCAATCCCCCTACCCCACAACAGGCCCCAGTTTATGATGTTCCACCTCCCGCCCCCCATGTCCAAGTGTTCTCATTGTTGAGTTCCCACCTATGAGTGAGAACATGCGGTGTTTGGTTTTCTGTCCTTGTGATAGTTTGCTGAGAATGATGGTCTCCAGCTTCATCCATGTCCCTGCAAAGGACATGAACTCATCCTTTTTTATGGCTGCATAGTATTCCATGGTGTATATGTACCACATTTTCTTAAGCCAGCCTATCATTGATGGTGCTGGGAAAACTGACTAGTTATATGTAGAAAGCTGAAACTGGATCCCTTCCTTACACCTTACGCTAATTTTTGTATTTTTAGTAGAGACGGGGTTTCACCATGTCAGTCAGGATGCTCTCGATCTCTTGACCTCGTGATCTGCCCGTCTCAGCCTCCCAAAGTGCTGGGATTACAAGCGTGAGCCACCACACCCAGCCAAATTTTCTTTTTATTTATTTTTAAATTTTTACTTTAGGTTTTGGGATACATGTCCTGAACATGCAGGTTTTTTACATAGGTATACATGGGCCGAAGTGGTTTGCTGCACTTATTAACCCGTCATCTAGGTTTTAAGCCCTGCATGCATTAGGTGTTTGTCCTAATGCTCTCCCTTCCCTTGCCCCCAACCCCACCAACAGGCCCCTGTGTGTGATGTTCCCCTCCTTGTGTGTCCATGTGTTCTCATTGTTCAACTCCCACTTATGAGTGAGAACATGCCGTGTTTGGTTTCTGTTCCTGTGTTCAGTGTTAGCTGAGGATAATGGTTTCCAGCTTCAACCATGTCCCTGCAAAAGATATGAACTCATTCTTTTTTATAGCTGCATAGTATTCCATGGTGTATATGTGCCACATTTTCTTTGTCCAGTCTATAATTGATGGGCGTTTGGGTTGGTTTCAAGTCTTTGCTATTGTAAATAGTGCTGCAATAAACATACATGTGCATGTGTCTTTATAGTAAAATGATTTATAATCCTTTGGGTACATACCCAGTAATGGGATTACTGGGTCAAATTGTATTTGTGGTTCTAGATCCCTGAGGAACCGCCACACTGTCTTCCACAATGGTTCTTTCTTAAAAGAGCTCTACAACGTGCTACAATGTTGTCTAGGAAGAATGAGCTCCAGAACTCTGAGGCCCTGATGCTAATTGGTCTCAGAAGTCTGTGAACTTTGAACTTTATCGTTTCCCTTTTTTTGGAAGTTGTGTGTCTCTTATCATTAGGCCATCTTTGTTATCTTTGCTGTCGATGTACCTACTTCTAACAGCCATTTAACCATACCCATCTCTTTTCTCATTTTACTTGACTAGAAACCAATTGACCTACATCTGTTAGGGACGTATGTAAAGTAATTCTCAATAATTTCTGTGGCATGAGGAGCTCTCCTTTTTGCAATGCAGTTTTGCTGCCTAGAATCTTAATTTTTTTTGCTAGTAGAAGATATTGTAGAGAGGCATGTTTCTAGATGGCCAGGGTGAGGTTCTAGATAAGAGATATGTCATAACATTTTTTTATTCCTCATGAATGAAAACATCTTACACTTTACACTCTTAAGTTTCAAGGGAGTGGAAAGGGATAGTGTTTCTGTTTTGTTTTGTTTTTTTTTTTAAACCATTCTATCCTGAGATCCTACCAACTTGTCTAGGGCTCATGATAGGTGGTAGAATGAATGAATAAATACACTGATGATTTGTAGTAGCTCTAAACCCAGGTAGACTGGTGAAAATCCCCAGTGCTTTCTGTGTTCTTAAAAAGTATCGCAGGCAATACTTCCTTGCCTCTGAGGGATATTAGAAGGATTAACTAATGTCAGGAAAGGGCTTTGATATGCCTCAATGAAGGGCATCCCATAACTATAATGTTTTATTGTTATAACACTATAAAATGCTTTTTGGGACATATAGCTTACATATTTTCCATAAAATTAATCCATAAATCATGTACAAAATGTATCAAATCCAAAAGCAATAGCTTTGACCTCAGAATTGCTGCAGCAGTAGTTAGATGATATACTACCTACCACATCAGCAGTACTGTAAAGTACATAAAATGTGCTTTCATATATTCAAAATGTGCAAACACTTAAAACAAATGACTAGGTGCTTTAAAAAAATTAAGTGATTCAGAGTTTTTTATATGTAATGCAGGTATTTTAAATACATTATCATGAATGCTGCAATTCTTAGTTATTTTCACTAATGCACATGAAATACTCACTCTTCATATCAAAACATTCCATAGAACTACCTTACAGTTTCTTTCTTTGAAAGGTAATCTTCATTTCCTTATGCTTCCTGCTTAATAGCCATATACAAATGTCCACAGAGCTTTTAATGAAATGTCAACATGTATAATCTTTTCGTTACATCTTTGTTTTATGTCACCAACATGGCAAATAGAATACTTGCAAATTTTTTAATGGAAATATTCATTTCTCCTTCTCAGTTACACTATCAAATTTATGAGTGACTATATGAGAATGAAGGAAATATATTATCATTCTAATGTTGTCAAAGACTGGTTATTCATTTCAGTATACTTGAAGTAACTATTATGGCTTATAAATATAATTTTCAGAAATATAAAAAGACATACCTGTTTCAAGTAGACTCTTGCTTAAATAAGGCTGTTTTCCAATACCTCTATTACTGTACAGTGCCTGTAAAAGAACTGCAAGTTTAAATCAAAATAGTGTGCACATTCTTTTCCCAGAGGGACTTAGCCAAGTAGGGGAATATTGCTGAAAGGGTATCTGTGGCAGATACAAGGTAACTTTTAAATATTTGCATAGTGTAATGCCAGACAGCAGATTTGGAAGTACAATTACTCATTTCTACTGGAGTTCTTGTCTGTCCGCACAGTGGCTGGGCTGAACCTTTCTCTGTCCACTTATGTCTCATTTTATTGAGCACATCAAGACCATTTGGTATAAATTACTTTCACTAATTTCTTCTGAAACCTTGCTCACATCACCCCCCTTCTCTCTTCCTTCTCTGAGAAGAAGGTGTAGTTATAAAATTCTGCTGTTCATGAAACATTGTTTCCTGATTCAGTAATTTTCTGACTCAGTGTTCCTAAAGCCTTTGTACATTGGTTAGCATAGCTACTCCATAATATTTTGCATTAACATTATTTTTGACTAAGTCCTTTTTTTCCCCTAAGGGATTCCAAGCAATCTGAGGGCAGAGATGATATCTTAAATATCTATTTCTGGCATTTCTGATATAATTCTGACATCTACATTTTCTACATAGCAGTTACATAACCCTGAATTGAATTAAGTTTACATATGTGAGTACTGCAAATAGTACTATTCCAACTCTGAATATTTTTTGTTTACATATTAAGACGATCTAAATATAAATGGACACTAGATTCTTAGCTTAGACTAATGAAGAGCTGTATGAAAATGAAGGTCATGTTTTTGAACTGATATATGTATGTATACGTATATATATATACACACACGCACATAGAGAAGGCATGTTGTGAATACTGTACTTTTGTTCAAAAAGGACAGGGCTTTATGAATCTAGTATATTTTTCCATGTAAATGCAGTCCGCTGTTATCATTTTTCACACTTCTGTGTCTAAAAAGAGGTCTTATTTTTATTTCCCAACAGGTCTTGATTTGACAGGTGGGGAATTGCAGAGGTGGAAATCACAGTTCTGCTTTTTTGCCTGTTTTTCTTAGTCTTTTAAGAAGATAAATATGGATTTATTTGGCTAAAGTACTTTCTGCATGAACAAATTGTATCTTAATATTTTTTTTCTCACATTTTCAACTGTGTGATAAAGTAGCATAAACAGTGTAGTTTATATTAGCTGGATGTCCTATATACAGTATGGAGAAATGATATTAAGAAGACATTAAAAATAACTTTTATGGACATTAAGGAGGATGTTTTAAGTCACAGATGATGGATTAATGGAATCCATGTTGGCCATGTCACCTATGAGAAGGATAATCCCAAATATTTTATGTGTGAAGATTTTCATGTAATGTTTAGCAAAAATAAAAAAAAATGTTTTGTTGATTGCTTCCTTTGGAGAATCAGATAATTATTATTACTATTTACCTTGTAAAATTTTAACATAGGATAGAACTCTAATCCATAGTTTTTCCTTATTATGCATTTTGGGCCCAAATTGGGCCTATGGTGGTAGTTATCACTTGGGAACTTAAGGGCTGTATGTCCCTGAAAGTTGTTGTATGTTCCTTTTACAAGAATGTTTCATGGTTTTTGACGTTCTAGGAGTGGAAAGAGACTGAAATATTTGACGTTTTCTTGAAGAGATTTTTTAAAACATCTTATTAAAACTTCTTCATTCAAAATCACCACAGAGAAGGGGTTGAAAGCTAAATGGTCACATTTAAACCTATCTGATGAAGAAGAGCCATTTCTCTGTGATGGGCAGCAGGTCTTCACTGACCTTTCATGGAAAATCCACACTGCTGATGAGCCCGGCATCCCTTTGGAAAAGAGCTGCCACTGCCCTTGGCCACTCACAGGCATCATTGCTGGGACCTTTTCCAAAGTCCCTTAGTCTTAGACTAGACGGAACAGCTGGGTTATGTTTAATTTGTATTAAATTAATTGGAGGAAGTTGGATCATTTCTAAGTTGTGTTTCTGTGGGGAAGATAAGATTAATCATTTTTTAAGGATGTGGATAGGCAAGGCAGATTAAATGGGGAGGAAAGAATCCTACTACTTCTAGAGATGGCCTTGCAGAAAAGGGTCAAGGAGGCAGGGTTGCAGTCTACAACTGCAATCTGTACCATTCACCTTGGCTCTGCATAGCAGGCTATAGTGGGGAGCTGGCTGTCAACACTGTTGTGAAGTTGGCACATTCCAGTTTGCTTTTCTGTAGGATATAAAGGTGAGAGTAAGTTATATGCTGAGAGTCACCCACCTAGAAAGTGGAGCAGCCACAGTTCAAATGCAGGCTGATTCCAAAGTCTAGAGGTTTTTTTTCTAGAAAAGGGACTGAGCAAGATAAAGTGGAATTTTATGAATTAGCACTGAAATTGATGGAGAGGGATAGTTCTGAAAATTTCTTTATTTGAAGATGAATAAAAACAGAGGATGGGTAAAGCACACAGTTATGTAAACATTACTCTGTGCAGCCAGAAGTTGAACTTGGCCTGCTGAATATACATCAGTGGCACTTCTTTTATTCTTCTTTAAAATACACATTTTAAAGATGTGGAGAATAGCAATGGGTTTCAAGCTCTTGGATCACTGTCCTGAATCTTCCCCTTATTACTGCTGAGATCCTGGATAGGTAATGTGGCTTCTCTGTAGAATGAAAAGTCACC
This sequence comes from Homo sapiens, assembly GCF_000001405.40. NCBI lineage: Eukaryota > Metazoa > Chordata > Mammalia > Primates > Hominidae > Homo > Homo sapiens. Next base: position 137,039,287 of record NC_000002.12, read on the forward strand.
CATTTCCAGGGATTTTTGATAGGATTAAACGATATATTAATAGTCTATATTAGTGGTTCTCTGCTATGGTGATTTTGCTCCCCAAGGGGCATTTGGCAATGTCTGGAGACATTTTTGATTGCCATAAGCGGAGAGGGGGTTGGTGATACTGCCATTTAAAGGGTTGAGGCCAAGGTTGTTGCTAAACATCCTGCAATGCACAGGACAACTCTTTACAACAACTATCTGGCCCCAAATGTTTAAAGTGCCAAACTTGAGGAAGTTTTGTACAGCAAAAGCCTGGTAACAGACAATTCCTCCCACATGGACTTGTTATTCATTCAGGTCCCTCCATGTGTTAGGAGCGTCCATACTTGTCTCTGTCTTTATATGCCTACAAGATGAGATCATTGAAGATTAAAGCAAACAGTGTCCTGCTGAAGGTCACACAGTGCTGAATGGCAAAATCAGGATTTGGACTAAAGCCTGTATAGCTCTGAAGCACTTTCTACAAACTTGCTTCCCCCCGTTTAAACTATTTACTGCCATTGACTCTTTGCTTTGGGTATTTGGAAGAACAAATGAATGTAAGCATTTAAGGCTGATTTATCAGGCACTGTGAGCAGAGCCTGCCTACTCTATTGTGTTTCTGTCCACATGCTGTGCCCAGCTAGTCAGAGGGTGTTGGTTTTCTGGTTGTAGCTGACTGCTTCTATGGAACCTCTGCTCCTTCCCCACTGCCTGCTCAGGCCAGGCTTTCAGATCACTGACAAATGTTCACTTCTGTAATAATCACCCCCACAGTACAGCAAAAGGTTTGGCAGCACTGTGAGCAATGCCCTGCATGGCTTATTGAAATTGCCTCAAGAAAGAAGCAGGGTTACAGAGGAATAATGGAGTGTTTGATTCCCAAAGGAACTCTTTGATGAGAGCTACAAGGGCTGGACAATGCTTACAAATGTGTTCCGGTAGAAAGGTGGACAGGAGGTGTGGGATGGCCACCTCTCCCAGACTAAGTATGAAAGCTTATTTTGATTCTTCTCTTCCTCTAGGTGGAAGCTAGAGGAAACTAGCCCAAGAGGTAGCTATATTTCTTTTTCTTCTCCTTCTCCTCCTCTTTCTTTCTTCCTCTTCTTTTTTTTTTTTGAGTTGGAGTCTCCCTCAGTTGCCCAGTCTGGAGTGCAATGGCGCAATCTTGGCTCACTGCAGCCTCTGTCTCCCAGATTCAAGTGATTCTCCTGCCTCAGCCTCCCGAGTAGCTGGGATTACAGGTGCACACCACCACACCTGGCTAATTTTTTGTATTTTTAGTAGAGACGGAGTTTCACCACATTGGCCAAACTGGTCTCGAACTCCTGATCTCGTGATCCACCCGCCTTGGCATCCCAAAATGCTGGGATTACAGGAATGAGCCACCGCGCTCAGCAGAGGTAGCTATATTTCTTTCTGAGACCTGTAGATCTCACACTCAGTGTACCCCATGGCTTATGTGGTCAGCTAGAAAAAAGTAAAGAGGGACTCTTACTGAGCCTACATCTGTCTTGAACAGAATAAAAGAAAAGCTCAAGTAAATCTTCATGTAGATTATGAAGTGTAGACTTCAATTACCCCAAAGTGGTATAAGCTTTGATAATGTGTTTCATCAGGACAGGAATTATGAGGTACTCAAACTAATTCTCTGAAATCACAAGGGGAATAAAGAGTTCTAATGGCATGTTACAGTAAGTTGGTGCCAAGGGAATAGAATTTTATGGTCAATATTAAATTTCCGTATCTAGTCCATGATTTAATTATTGATTTTTGGAGAACAAGGATATAACAGGGTACAGCTCACTCTAAAATAAATGTAAATTCATATTTTGTGGATGGTTCAGGAATATTGTTGTGTGTTTAATCAATTTTTATGTGGTCTCTGCGTGGATAAAAAACTAAAATTCTTTGACTGTAGGATATCAGTACTTTCCTGTTTGTATTCAAGGGGATAGTCACACATTTGTTTGCATAGAAGGAAAAGAAGCAGAAGTCTCCTTGAGGTTGTTGATGATGGGATGAGCATAAGGGGTGCAGATAAGCAGTAATTTTGGTCATTGAGGTGATACATATTAGATGTGGCTATTAAAGTATACTAACAAAATGTACTAAGAATACTATAATAGAATCAATTGGCAACATACATATATATTAATATGAATGTATGTGCCCACAGAAGAATGTATACATGCATTTATATTATATCTAATATAGTTTATAATAGAATTTCATATTATATCACACATATATATAAAATACATAACACATATATACTAACAAAAACTACATCGTACGTAAGAAACAGAATTGGCTTAAATATATGTAATATATTATGCAATATTATATAATATGTATTTAATATAACATATAATATGTTATGATTATATTAATATATAAGCCAATTCTGTTTCTTATGTATTGTTATATTAATATAATACTGGATTCATGTAATGTTCTTGGCATAGCACACAGAGTCAATAATGCTGTGTTCTAAAATTGGAAGCAATGATTATATTGCTATAATTCGCTAATGTGTGGCCAATAAAGTACATCATGTCATATCCTGAAGTAAAACCCCAGCACAGCACAAGGTATGTTTGAAAGGATGTAGGAAATCTGAACTTAGAGAGCATGTCCTGTAGGTAGGGCCTTTTCACGGTCTGTAAATTAGGCACATGTTCAGTGATTGTTCTGAATTAGTTTGTGCCTTTATAACATTAAGCCTTGTCACTCTTCTATGGGATCTGATCTCATGTCTCAGGACTTTAACAATTGCTCTGCTGATACCCCTGAAATATTCTGATTTCTGCCCTGCGTTCTACCTTCACATTTATTCCTTGTGAACATGTGGCAGATCTCGGACTTTTACTGATGTGTTCATTGTTTTGTGGTTTTATGTGTTCACATCCTGTAAAGGACATAAGTGCTAGGCTTTGGATGGGAAATTGGATTTTAACCTGAACTTATGAGATATGAATCCTAAAATTGAAATTATAAAAATGTTTCCATGTTATCTGTAATCATTGAGGTTAAGAAAAAAGATCATTTACCTCATCTAACCTAACAATAAGAAAGTATCATGCATGCAAAATATTTCTCTCTCTCTCTTTTTTTTCCTCCAGGAAACAGTTACACAGGGAAAGAAGTTTGTGACCCTTTGCACACTAGGGATAAATTCTTGAGGATTCACATTATGTATTAAAAGCCTGGAGGAGTCCTTTAAAAATGAAAACTTTTAGTTTTGTTTAACCCTGTATCATTCCCAAATTTATTTAATAACAAGGATCCTCCTTTCTTACTAAACTCAGAGGGTACAGTGGTTCCACTTAAAACATTTTGGAAAATCCTAAGTAATAATATGTTATCTTCAGTTGGAATCAGATGAGATGATTAATCCAGGAAAGGCAGGGGACAGCATAGTACTCGCTTGTCCCCAGGAACTTTTAAAACTCAGCATTTTCTTTTCAATAGCCTGAGCTAACATTGACCCTAACAAGTGATTAATGAGCCCTTATAATTATTATTTTCATTATGTAATTGTAAAGTCCCTCCGTAATTCAAATGACATTTCTTCAATTCACTTTTTTTGTAAGCTGAATTCTCACAAAGCACTCTGGGAAATTCCAATAATGCAGGGGCTAAAAAGAGTTGACACAGGCTGCAGGCCATTGCTGTGTGCTCGCCCAGCTTGGAAAGGGTAATGAGGATAGATTTTCTCAGTGCACTATTGAGCGAAGGTTTGCATGTCCCATGGGTCTGTCAGCCCCTGGGCTGGTTGGGGATGTATTTATTATTGCAGTACATCTCTGATTTTCTTTAATTATTATACATGGTGGTGATTATTATAGTGGGTATTCCTCTCAGCCAAACAAATTAGATGTGCAAGGAATATCATTTTCTTTAACTTACTTTGATTATTTACTTTGAGCCCTTCCTACCGCCAGGGTCCCCAATTATTTCCTCTGAAAAGTTCACCATTCTTCAGCTGTCAGTCAGTTGAAACTGGTCACTGCTTAGAGGGCTCTTTTTCCTGATAGGCTGGCTGGAGACTCTCTCTAGAGCTTCTGCACCATGCTTGGTTCTTTATGGTACTTTTCCACTGTGCTCAACCTGAGTCCTAGGTGTTTCTCAGTGACCTCGGCCTGCTCTGCCTGGTCACCCTAGGCAGCCATTCGTTCTCTGGGGAAGCAAGGTAAAGGGTCTCTCACTGACATTGAATTTCGATTCTTATCAGTTTTGCTCCGAGGAGGAGAAGAGCAGAGAGGAAGCTTTTGTTTTAATTATATGTATTTTTTGAGGCAGGAGGTGTGTGGCAGAAGCAGAGACTCCTTACCTCAGAAATACCCAAGGTAACCTACATAATGGCCTAGGAAGCTTGCACACAAACCCCAGAGGCTTGTTGGACTGTGTTGACGTTTTGCTCTATTACACCTCTTGTCTGAGAACATGAGCATGGGCCACTGATGACCTGTTTAAAAGGGGCAAGGGGGAAAAGAGAAATATTAGGTGGAAGGAAACAATTGTTTAGGTTGATAATTCAAAAATGTCTTCCACCATCTTCTCTTAATAAATCTGTTTCTATAAACAAAACCTACTTCTTACACACATCTCTCCCATCCTTTAACCCCCACACTGAAGGTGAGTACTAGGTTTCTGACCTAGACTGTACCCTTCAGAACAATAATCTCACTCCACGCTCCTCTAGGGTGTGAGCATGAAGACATTTTGTGGAGAATCTTCCAGGTTTTAGTCGGGAACCTGTATCCTGACAGCTTTCTCGCTGCTTCTGGGGTTTTTCTCAGCTTCTCCTCCTTCCTCTTCAGGCAGAGGAGTGGTCCACATTAACAGCCTTGAAGCACAGCTGCTCCTGGCTCACTTCTTCTTAGATCTATTTTCCTGGATATCAGAGAATGTAATCATATCAACAATCTCTAAAAATATTACATTCACCCCCTTTTCATTTATTCTGCCAATTTTTCTGAAGATATCCAGGGAATTTTAGGCATCCAGGAATTCTTTTTAAAATTAGTCTCTTTGTAAGGCTGCTTTGAGGACTGCATGACATGTTTGCTGTAAAGTGTCCAGGATAATACTGGGTGTATTGATGCTGCGGTTACTATGATGAACCTGTGACCACCATGATAATTTCATCTCCCAGCACTTTTTAGCTTTTCTTGTACAAAAGTCCACCTTTGTTCCTGGGGGATATGTCCCAGGACCTCCAGTAGACACTTGAAACTGTGACTAGTACAGAACCCTGTGCATATTATGTTTTTTCCTATATACATACCTATGATAAAGTTTAATTTCTAAATTAGACACAATAAGATTAATAACCATAATAAAACAGATCAGTTATAGTAATAATATTATAATAAAAACTGTGTGAAAGTGGTCCCTCTTTTTCTCTCTCTCAGAATGTCTCATACTATACTCATCTTTCTTCTTGTGATGATGTGGATCCTAAAATTAACAAGGATAAAATGACTGTGCGATGATATGAAGGGAGGTGAATGGCGTAGGCATTGTGACATAGTGTTAGGCTGCCACTGACCTTCTGAATTCCTGAATCCATGTCACTATTCTGTACTTGCAGCAAGTGGCTTGGTGTCACTTGTTTCAGGGGATCCCTTGTTGAAGTCTTCCTTATGGGCTTAATGCTTTCTGGTGCAACACATTGCCATCAATGGCAACATGTTTCTCTTCCTGTCTTCCACCTAAAAATTTAAGGCCTTTTCCAACTCAGTACTTATGTACTGTGGCTGTAACTTTTGCAGTTTGAGGTGCAACAGCAAAACTAGGATGAATTTCTTTTTCCTTCTTCATAATTTCACAGGTAGAAGATTCATTCAGATGGTAGATCTTAATAACCTCAACATATGACTTGTTTTTTTTTTCTCCTTATTAAGTCTAGAACTTTCACCTTTTCACTTAAAGCTAACACTTTATGACTCCTCTTTGGTGTATCTGAATTGCCAGCATCACTACTCTTGCACTTTGAGGCCATTATGAGTAAAGTAAGGATTACTTGCACACAAGCACTGCCATACTGCAACATTCAATCTTGTAACCCAGAGGGCTGCTAAGTGACTAGTGGAGAGGCAGCATCTGCAGTGTGGATACACCTGACAAAGAAAGGATTCACATCCCCAGGCAGAAACATAAGCAGGACAAAGTGAGACCTCATCATATTATTCAAAACTTATGAATTGCTTATCTCTGGAATTTTCCATTTAGTATTTGGGAACTGCAGTTGACCATAGGTAACTAAAACCACAAAAAGTGAAGCCACAGATAAATAGGAACTACTGTAGTAAGCTGGTATAATAGAATCTGATATGCAATTCTCATTTATTTACATTCTTCAAGGAAAAAGATAATATTTTACTTGTTGAGTGAGATTCCTGCATCATTCTCATTAGAGCTATACTTAAGATCAAGGGTTTTTCTGTAGTCTTGGGTGCTTTAGTACATTACCATGCTAGCCTTGAGAAGACTGGGTACCCCATTGCTGTATATTCCATGGGCTTTATGGAGACTGGGAAGAAGGGATCTATAGAGTTGCAACAAAGAATAACAGGCATTGCAAAAGGATTTGTGAAAAAACAGTATTTAAAAATTCTGTTGGGCACCATTATTAGGTGCCCAATAGAATACAGGTTTCTACCTACAATCATAAACTGAGGAAACACAGAGAAGAGACTTTTTCTCTTCAACTTTTTTTTTTCATTTTGGAAAAATCATCAACCCATTGATGTTGTGAGTTTCTAGTGTTGACATTGCACCTAACTACACTTGGACATGATTCTGCTGCCTATGATGCTACTTGTTCTAGCTTCAGTAATGTGCAATATTAATTAGACCCTAACTGTATGCCTAGTGCTGGGCTAGTACAGGGAATAGAGTAGTGAATAGGTTGAAAATGTTTCTACTTTCATGGAGTTTAGAGTCAACTGAGAGAGACAAGTATTAAACAGTGAATTCTACAATTAGATTTGTAATTGCAAGAGTGAATGCTTTGTAGGAGAATAAAGTACTATCAGAGCAGAGGGAAGAGTTCTCTACAGACATGCCTTGAGATCTAAAGGGTGAGTGGGGATGAATGTTACTGGGCTGTAGCAGGCAGTGCGTCTAATTTGGTTTAAGAGACCCAGCGGGGTGTGGTGGCTCACGACTGTCATCCCAGCACTTTGGGAAGGCGAGGTGGGCAGATCGCCTGAGGTCGGGAGTTCGAGAGCAGCCTGGCCAACATGGCGAAACACCGTCTCTACTAAAAATACAAAAATTAGCTGGGCATGGTGGCGGGCACTTGTAATTCCAGCTACTTGGGAGGCTGAGGCAGGAGAATCATTTGAACCTGGGAGGCAGAGTTTGCAGTGAGCCAAGATCACGCCACTGCATTCCAGCCTGGGTGACAAGAGTGAAACTCCGTCTCAAAAAAAAAAAAAAAAAAAAAAAAATTAAAAGACAGTCCATATGGCCGCCCAGGTATTGGAAGGAGCTTGGCTTATTGGGGGAACCGAAAGGTGGCCAGTGTGGTGAGAAAGCAGTGAGTGGAGGTGGCTGGGCCAGGAAATCAGGACACTAAAGGAGTACGATGGGCCTGATCAAGCAGGCACTTGTATGTTATGTTAATAATATTGTTTTTCTTTATTTTGAAAGGAACAGGAAGCTGTTGATGAGCTTTTCACATGAAAATGATATACAGATGACATGCTGCACCCAAAGTGGTAGAAATTTGAATTATTAAAAGATATAATTAGGTCCTATAGGACCACAATAGGGAAAAGGAATTGATAGCAGGGGTGGAGTGGGGTGCAGCAGTGGATTCTTGAAGGCGGAATGGGAGGATACTCCTTTCATCCATGCGAGAGAAAGCAATGGTCTGCGCCAAGGTTGCAGGTGGCGGTGGAATGGGATGAAGAAACTGGGGCAGAGTGAAATAATGTTTAGGAGACAGAGCTGGTGGGTGATTGAATCTGATCTTTGTAAACCTTCCTGAAAGTCTTCAGCATACCCATTTGACTCTACTGGGTATATAGGTGTTTTAGTTGATTCTCGATAGAAAACAATATTGTGATTATGCCATGTTGTTACCGAGCACAGGCTCAGGTGCTTACTGTTTGAAAAGCCAATAATGAGGAGAAAGCGCAGTGAAAGGAAAGTGACTTTATTTCTAAAGCTAGCTGTGGAGAAGTGACTGGCTTATGCCTCCAGAAACTGCTTCTAATTTTAAACTAGGAAGAGGAGCTAAAAAAAGGAACTTGGAATGGGAGCCATGCAGGAGGGGTGCTGAATACAAGGTCCACGTGTCTTGTTCCAGTGGCCATCTCAAGCCGTGGTCCACCAGTAGTGCGGCTGGCATCATCTCAACAATGCCAGGTTGTTGCTTTGAGGTAATCTCTGGAATTTTGCAGCTAAGTCTCCAGGCTTGGTCTGTCTCAAGATTAGCCTCTGGAACTTCTAAGTAAACACATAATTAGATAACAAGCACACAGCTAGATAAATGTGCATAGGGCAAAGGAGTACATGGTGAGAAAGGGAAGGGAGTGGAGTTTTGGAGTGTCTCAAGACTATATTTTAAGACTAAGGAAGAAGGTCTCTACAGTTTTTTATTTGTTTTTTTATTATACTTTAAGTTCTGGGATACACATGCAGAACGTGCAGGTTTGTTACACAGGTATACACATGCCATGGTGGTTTGCCGCACCCATCAACCTGTCATCTACATTAGGTATTTCTCCTAATGCTATCCCTCCCCTTGCCCCCCACCCCCCAACAGGCCCTGTTGTGTGATGTTCCCCTCCCAGTGTCCATGTGTTCTCATTGTTCAATTCCCACTTATGAGTGAGAACAGTTTGTTTCATGGTTATATGGTCACACTGGGAAGAAAGGAGAAAAGAAAAAAGTTTTATAATGCATTTTGAAAGTAAACTACTCAGTTACAATGTTACTGCTATTTCTCAGATTTTTTTTAAAAAAATGCTAGCTTGAAAATTATTTTACAGACCAGAGTCTCACAGTCTTAAAATTGCAGTTTCAAAACAAAAAATTATTCCTTTGAAAAAAAATGAGATGCACTAAATGTTCTGTCCACCAAAATGCAGCCAGTACCTTGTTTGTTCTCACTTGTATATGGTATGAATATCTGCTACTAGAAAGAGATATGGGTTCAGGTACAAATATACTCCATGTATCTGTTACAGTGGTTGATTCTTGAAGTTAGGGAAAATATTGTCTTGGGTATGCTCTTGTGCAGTTTTTGTCTCAGGCAAAATTAATTCTTGAGTTGCGTAATGGTAAATGAAATGTTTGCATGCTCTCTGCCCTTTTGTTTTACGTATTTTTAAAGCTTGTATGCATAGTCCCAACGTTACTGCCTTGCCTTGACCTCTAGTAGACAACATAAAAGAAAGCCTCCTTTATCAAGTTCAGCATGTATTGATCATTCACTGGGTAAACAGAACTTTATTCTCATTTTTTTGATCAGGGACGCAGCTTAAAATTTTCAGCCTCCCTAAAACATCTTCTAGTTTGCTTTCTGTGTAGTATAAAGCGAACAGATATCTGGTCCTCTTGAGTGAAGTCAATACCTAGGCTTTCTGTAAGCTCAAGGAGAAAGTCCTTCAGGAGAACGTTGTGTGGGATTCAGCTGGTCTCTCTTTCTGGTTTACTCTTTATTGCCATTTCCATTTAACTGATGCAAAACAGCCAAGTAAATGATTTTCTTCCACTTCTCCAGGGAATCCAAAGGGCTTAGCTGAAGCATTTATTGTAAGTAAAGTCAAAGTTGAGTGAAGCCATATTTATGGGATGAAAACATTTCATAAATATCTTTTGACAGGTAGCAGAGCCCCGAGAGTTTTGAGGCCATCGCTCGAACCAGGGCATTGAGCTGGACAGAGACAGGGGCAGGGGCTTTCGGCAAGAGACGGGTGGCGGGGCCTTCGGCCCCACACACCAGCTGCACTCAAATCAGACTCCCTTCTAAATATGTTTTACCCAATGGCTTTGCAAGCCCCATTTGCTCAAGGGATATCATTGCTACAAATAATTAAATTGCAATTGTTGTGGAAGACGTTTAGAATAAGATAGAACTGGAGAGGGCACCTGAGCTGTTTACCTTGTGCAGGTTCTTTGATCTCATGCATTGATGTCCTCAATTGCAAAGCAGAACAATTTCAATAAGGCACATATGGTATTGGGAAGATGATAGTAGGTGTTCAAAAAAACAAAAACAGAAATAATAAACCATGCCTATTACTATTATTGTAATTGTTATTCTAGGGACACATAATTTCTGATTGCTGTCTGAGGGTTCATTCCTGTGCTAAACCCCTGAATCTTGCTGGATGTACTTGAGCAGCAGTTTGACTGATGTTCTCAAGCAAACAAAGGCAGGAAGGATCTCATTTCACATAACAAATAGTGAAGGGACCCTGGGAGCAGCTATCTGCTCCAGGTGACAGACAGTCACAGAGGCCAAAGACCAGAATTAACAAGTGGAAATTACATTATAAACTTGTATAACACAAACAACAAATTGCTTGTTAATGCTGAGATTTTTTGGCCTCTCTTCCCTCACCCACACCTTAGACTGCAACATTTATGGAGCCCTTATTCTTCCCTTGCAGTCTTAGAACTGTTCTAATAGAAACCAGCGTGATATAGAGTTACAAATCACTGGATTGGGTGTGTGTAAATAAAATTGTCAGCCCCATTTTTGCTCCAAATGATTGTGTGACCTTGGGCAAGTCACTGAATTTGTCTAGGCTTTGCTTTTTCCTGCAAAAACTCTGGGCTGTAAGATTCTCTTGCCACTCCTACATTCTAGGAGGTTAGCAGGATGTAGGTTTTAGTGATCCTAAAGACCTACTTGTGTCAGATTGCTGTGAAATATATGAGGTTTGAGAGTCTTTTTTTAGGCTTTAGAATTTTTAGAAAGTAGCATTCAAACCAGAAATATTGATAAACAATTTTTAAAAGGTGGTTTTCTGTCTCCGTGATGTTTGCATTAGCTGATAAGTGGTTCAAATACATGTCTAATCTGCTTTGCTGTCGAGCTACTTCTAATGGATGTTCTAGACACTGGCGACTAATAATTTGTAATCAAAAGTAAGTAACAGAGGCATTTTGCTTTTCAGTCAGAGGCATCTGTCCACAAAGATGAAATGGATTTACAATGTGCTATTAGTGCCAAACAAAAACACAATCATACAGAAAGAGCTGGGAACATTAGCAACAAAGCTTATGCTTACTTGAGGTATAAATATTCCATCCAAATGCTCTGCGGTAGTCTGCTATGGAATCATGAACTACCTTTATAAGTAAATCTTTAAGTGTGTGAAAATGAAGTTGTATATGTTACTTTTGCTGTTGAATTTTTCTGAGATTTATGGGAATACTTTAACACACATATTCAGGCCATGAATGTACCATGAATGTTTTTTATTTTTTTAATGATTTTTATATAACTGAAATGTGTTTTGTTGTTGCAAAAAGTGCAAATGGAATTTTTTAATGAAATGCAACAGAGCTTAAGTTTCCTCTCATTTAAATTCTCGTATGTTTGTGTATTTTCTTTATTTAGTATTATCCAATGCGTAACTCAGTAATGGATATATCTGATGAGCAGGTTTTCATTGCTAGTTTAGAAAGTATTGAGTGACTTTGTGCATCCGCTGCTAGTGGAAGTTATTAATGATCATGATTGATTTAGAAATATAGACTTGGAAACTCTCATCCCTTCCTGTTTCCATCAGTGAGCCTGCCTCCAGGGCTGACTCTCAACTTCTGGCTTGCTGCTATAGATCTAGTGAGCTCTGGGAAACAAAAGCATTAAGATTGTTAATACTGTGTATAAAGTAAGTGTAAATAGGCCTAAAGGAAGGACCAAACACCCTCTTCAGGAGTAAATTGGTGTTACACTTAGTGCACAGCATTAACAGATATTTACTGCCTTATTTATTTTTGTATTCTCAGAATCTAATACACTACTCGTCAAGTAACAGAGAATGAATAATTGTTGTTATAATGAATGAATGTTCAGATGTCACTTTTTCTCATTGCTTGGGTTCTTAGATGCATTTTAGAAAGTGAACTTTCTTAAATAAATGTCTGCTATATAAGAGAGGTGTTATTTTAATTATTCCGTAGTTGATGCGGTAGCTTTTTGAGAAGTAAAAGTCACTACATTAACCTATTGGAAGTAAAGCATCTTATAAGTAAGTCAATGTTGTTTTAAATCCGATTTTGTAATTCTGAGGTTTATGAGTGCTTTGATTTAGTAATTATTCACAAATAGTTTGCTTAAGTTGCTAAAACTCTGCATCATTATTCATGTCATCTCCCCATACCCCTTGCCCAAGTTAAAAATAAAGCAATGTCAGGATAATAAAAGCTGTGACAGGGAAAAATGAAAAATAAAGCAAACATCTCTTCTTATTGCATGCATGGTATTAAATCAGGGTTGCCACTTCAAATAGTGACCAGTACTGTGCAAGAGCTATGGAGAGTGTGCTTATTTTCTTTGTCCTCTGGAGCCTCCTTTTTCGTTTGTTTCAGGCATTTTATTGAACACCACACCTAAAATTCAGGCATCCAGCATGCTTTCTTAAATGTGATGATTTATGTTGGGTGATGCATGCCCCCAACTAATCCAGTTAAGGGTGACTTAATTAAGAGGATAAAATTTGCCTGTGCTTTTCTGCTTCTAGCATTCACATTACAGCATTCACATATTTGCATTTCCTGCAAAAACACAGGCAGAAAAAAAGACAAATCACAGAGCCTTAAATTTGAAAGTGACCTGCGAGTTCATCAGTGCTACCCTTCCAAGTCCAAAGAATTCACTTCTAGGCCAAAATTTTAATGTGTTAATGTGTGATGTGGCTTAAAATACTTGGACTATTCAACAGCAGCTATATTCCTCTCACAAAAAGGGTAGCAAGTTGCAGATATATGACTCTTTACATAATGTTTGCCCAAGTAAACAGATACAGAACTACTGTCCCCATTACATCATTGAAGTACTTTCTGAGAAAGCAACCAGCATGAGTTTTATTAATGGTTTAGAGCTACATTACATCAGTAGTCAAACTTTTAATACTTAAATTATTCTAAATTTTGTTTTATTTTTATTACTTGGTGTCTGTTTTTTTCACTAGGCATATAAAAATTCTTGACATTTAAAAACATAGTTTCTTATGTATTTCTTTAGATTATTTGTGAATACTGTTAATATATAATACATATATATTTTGTAATAAAAGCAAGGTTTTTTTGTATGTAATAAATGTAAAGGTAATATTCTTCTTTCTTCATGCAACTGCTTACATTTTTAATTATTTCTTTTATTTGTGAACTTGGACAAGAGATGTAAGATTTCTCAAACTGCCAGTCACATTTTACTTCAATATTCATGTTTTTTTGAAATGGCAAAACCCCTTAGGGCTGTGTGATTTTCACTCATGTATGTATTGAAAGTTCATAGCCAAATACAACTGAATAAATCATGGAGCACATTTTCTCTCCATGCCTGAGAACTGCAAATGGCTATAGGTCAATTGCTGAAAGGTCTTGTCTTCATCTCATATGTCTTGTTTGTAATTTGTTTTTCATTTATTCCATGTGTGCACAATTCAGTTTGCATTTGCTTGTTATTTACATGTTTTTTGGTTGTCCTCAAAGTTTGCTTTAATATAAGGAGGAACTATTCTAGTTTGACTCTGCCTTTCTAAATGTCCTGACCAAGGTTTATTAACATGCATGTGTCTTACCTCATAAGAGCCACTATCCTAAATTTCCAGGCCAAGGAGTGGGGAGTAATTGTTTACATACTGCCTTCATTACCTGTTCTACTCATACCCAAATGAATATTAACATATATAGCATAATATTGAATTAACTCATATCCAAAATTAATATAGCTTAATATTCCTTTGGATAATTTTTAGAGTTAATATTGGATGTGAGTTAATTTTGGATTAACTCATATCCAAATAGGAGATCATGGCTAAGCTAAGAAACATCTTCAAATATAGCAATTTTAATTACTTAATAGTTATACTTTTTTTCTCCAATGATGCAGAAAAAATTTTGCTGCTTGATGAAATTCTTCATTTGATCTTAGCCAAAAGGCTAAGCAATTATTTGGAAAAATTCTGTAAAGAAAGAGGAGATGAAATCTAAGGGAAGAATAATATTTCTAAAGTTTAAAATAGTAATGATTTCAAATAACCAAAAAAGAGATAGCTTATTTTGAAAGTGGAGAATTTATAATAAAAAAAAAAAGAGAATGTCATAGTCAAATGCTTTAAAAGTAAAGACAAGAGTTACTTGGCCAGATATTCTAAATGAATTAAGTGTAATATTAACTTTTGAAGATTGACCAGAAATAGGTCCAACTTTTCTGATCTTACTTTCATTAATCCATGCAAAAAAAATCCTGAGTGGAAAATTGTGTATGCTTAATACCTAATCAAATAGAGATAAACTGACAGCCATTACTTAAAAATCCACAGTGCTCTACAAAAAAAAATTTCCTTTAACTTTATCCAATAACTGTTTTATATTATTCAAGATTAATTTTAGATTTTAAAGTTTGCTGTGTTTGTATATATTTTGAAATATTCCTTTACTGAGTAACTGTGGGAATTTTGGGGCAATAATAAAAATTTATATGAATGGTCTGACATGATGGACAATGAATAGAACACTTAAACTGAAACTTCTCTAGAACATTAGGACAGAGAAAGCCTCCCAATCACTTTCAAGTAACAAGAAACATCTCAATTTGCAAAGTAAAGAATTGTGAGTAATCTACATTACCAGAATTGTGGGTGGCTGATTAAGTCAGCCCGTGCTAAGATCACCGTTTTCAACGCGTGTTCTCTATACTATAAGCAGTCTGTGCTGGGACAACAGACTGGAGGAAGGTAGTGGGCAAACTCAGGGGCATTTTGGTAATGAAAGCTGACCTGCTCCAGTGAAACCTGTTCTGTTTCAGCAAGAGAAGTCTCTAGTATGTTTTCTATGTTAATCTCTCTCACAAAGTGGCAGAAGGCATTGACATGCTATTGCCAAGAATGCCAGGTGTATATGGCTAGAACAGGGATGTGAGGAAGAATTGAGATGATTAGTTGCATTAGAACCGGACCCTTTTGTCCTACTAAAGTGACAGATCCTCATTTTAGTGTGTGGCCCCAGTGCAGATAACCTGCTTCTCTGGGGATGTATATGTTTCTTCCTAAATGCATGTGATTACGTACATGTCTACTATTTGTACAAATGTAGTGGATGCTAATGAAAATATTTTTCATGGAGTAATTAAACATCATTTGGGGAAGCTGGTCAGATTCAGGGAAAGAGAGAGAGCTTGTGTAAATTCATATGCCTCTTAGGGTCTGAAGTGCCTTATGATCATCACAGTCCTGAGACAGGGGCAAAGGTACCTAGTTAAGCTGATAAAACTTTTTTTTTTTTTTAATTTTAAGTTCTGGGATATGTGTGCTGAACATGCAGGTTTGTTACATAGGTATACATGTGCCATGGTGGTTTGCTGCACCTGTCAACCCATCATCTAGGTTTTAAGCCCCGCATGCATTAGGTATTCGTCTTAATGCTCTCCCCACCCTTGCCCCCCATACCACGACAGGCCCTGGTGGGTGATATTCCCCTCCCTGTGTCCATGTGTTCTCATTGTTCAACTCCCACTTATGAGTGAGAACATGCAGTGTTTGGTTTTCTATTCCTGTGTTCGTTTGCTGAGGATGATGGTTTCCAGCTTCATCCACGTCCCTGTGAAGGACATGAACTCATTCTTTTTTATGGCTGCATAGTATTCCATGGTGTACGTGTGCCACATTTTCTTTATCCGGTCTATAATTGATGGGCATTTGGGTTGGTTCCAAGTCTTTGCTATTGTGAATAGTGCTGCAATAAACATACGTGTGCATGTGTCTTTATAGTAGAATGATTTATAATCCTTTGGGATCAATCCTTTATACCCAGTAATGAGATTGCTGGGTTGAATGGTATTTCTGGTTCTAGATCCTTGAGGAATCACCACACTGTCTTTCACTATGGTTGAACTAATTTACACTCCCACCAACAGGTTCAGATTACATATTTAAATAAAATGAAAGAGAAGAAACTATTTTTTTCATTGTTGTTGACACAAAATGTGATTACTTACTGTCCTTGTGAAAAGATACCAACTTTCTGGATAAGGCCTGCTGGTATGTCTGTAGATGAGATGCAAAAAATATGATAAACGTCAATGGGCAGCTCCCTCATCTGTCCATTTCTTGGACTCTTACCTACACAAATGAATTAGTTAATTAAAAGATCTGGCATATTACAAGCTAATGTTGGAAACTGTACCTGGATCAGTACCCATCAGAAATCAAAATGAGTACACTTCAAGGATTCTAGGGGCAGAATTTCCACAGACAATTCAGTGCTGCTGCTTCTCTTATTACCTTACCTTTCCCCTGCACCCCATTGTTATTTTCATGCAATTCTCTCTGCAAGTACTAACCAAAACTGAGGACAATTATTTTGAAAATGAAAATAGGATACTTTGGCAACTTAGGGTGTTAAACATATCTCTCTTCTGAGCTTCTTAGAGTTTGAGCTGAAAGACTGGAAATATGAAAAATTCTACTTTATTAAAATCCTGGCTTTAGGGCTTTTCTTTTGAATGAAACACCACCTCAGTGGAAAGTATTAATATTGAGTTAGATGTATAGGCTTTGGAACGTAGTAGTTATAATGGTACCAATCATTTATTAAATTTGTATTGTCTACTTGACACATTGTATCATTTATCTTCAGAGCAATTCTACAAGTCGGTGCTTTTATTATCTTCTACCTTATATAGGTGAGGAACTTTCTAAGGCTTAGAAAGTTGAAATAATTCATCCAAGTTTACATTACTGATGGAATGCTTATTTCAACAAGAGTGTCCACATTCTGAACCACTAAATTATGTTGTCTCTGTTCCACCAAAATTCCTAATTTCATACTGCTTGTGTTGGAAAGTGTGTTAATTGACTTCTACTTACCTGTGAATTGCTGAATGTAATCTCTGAGTAATTAACATCCTTGTTTTTCTGCCTGTAGGTCCGTGGGGAAGGTGTACAGGAGACTGTGGTCCCGGAGGAGTCCAGAGTCGGGCAGTGTGGTGTTTTCATGTTGACGGGTGGACAAGTCACCTGTCTAACTGTGGTGAGAGCAACAGGCCTCCAAAGGAAAGAAGTTGTTTCCGAGTTTGTGACTGGCACAGTGACCTCTTTCAGTGGGAGGTTTCTGACTGGCACCACTGTGTGCTTGTTCCTTACGCTCGCGGTGAAGTCAAGCCTCGGACTGCAGAGTGTGTGACGGCTCAGCATGGACTGCAGCACCGGATGGTGCGCTGCATTCAGAAGCTGAACCGAACTGTGGTTGCAAATGAAATATGCGAACACTTTGCCCTTCAGCCTCCTACAGAACAGGCTTGCCTCATTCCTTGTCCCCGGGATTGTGTAGTATCTGAGTTCTTACCATGGTCCAACTGTAGCAAGGGATGTGGGAAGAAATTGCAGCATAGAACTCGCGCGGTCATAGCTCCCCCTCTCTTTGGTGGTTTGCAATGTCCAAATCTGACTGAGTCAAGAGCCTGTGATGCTCCCATTTCCTGTCCTCTTGGGGAAGAGGAATATACATTTAGCCTTAAGGTTGGACCATGGAGTAAATGCAGACTGCCTCATCTTAAAGAAATTAATCCAAGCGGAAGAACTGTTCTGGATTTTAACTCTGATTCAAATGAGCGAGTCACCTTTAAACATCAAAGTTACAAAGCACATCATCATTCGAAGTCTTGGGCAATAGAGATAGGTTATCAAACCCGGCAGGTTTCGTGTACAAGAAGTGATGGACAAAATGCTATGTTAAGGTAGGAGACCTTTGATGCTTGAATTTGATTCACCTAAAATATTTTATAGTGCAACTTTATAAAGCTTCTTTATGATTTTCTACAAAGCGAAAATGGCAACGAGGTTTATAATTTAGGTTTTTAGAAGTTTCATGTAAGAAATTTTTAATTTCACTGGGAGGTTTTCAAAATTGCATAGTTTAGACCAAGCAGTGTTCTAGCATTCTTGTGTGATTAGTAATGCAATTATATATATAGGATAAGTCATATATTTCCACATTTTATCAAGACAGTAACTAGTATAAAAATAGATCTGCCATTACAACAGTGATAGAAGACTAAGGGGCTTCTCATAATGATAAAAATTCAAGTTCAATTTCAAATGTGGGATATGAATTATGTAAATATTTTTGTTTTTCAGAACATTTGTCCTTTAAAATTTTATTTTTGTTTTTATTTGTTTACTTTTGTTTCCACTGTTATCAACATTCTTTGACATCTGTGTTGTACATTTTTTATACTAGCAATAATACCGAAAAGTTGTTCCAAGAGTGCTTTCTTTGGCGTTATTTTGATACAGGTATTAACTTGCGCAAGCAGTAATTAGAATGACGTACTGGAGAAGAAATAAACTATTAAAGCAACAGCTTAGGTTTCAAATTTATGCTTGTTTTATTTTAAATTGTAGTCTAAAACATCATGACATAAACTCACAGAAATATATTGAAAGTAGTATTTGTTTAATTTTACCTCAGAGGGTCTTAAATGAAGCATTTGTGTATTACTAAGTTTCTTCCAAATTAAGATGCCTTTCAATAGTACTTAAATTACCAAACAACATAATGCTTGTCTTTAGAATTAATCATTCTCATCAGTTGCTGCCTTCTTGGGATCCACAGCTGACCAGGAGATGCCCAGAAGACTACCACTGTTGTTTATGAACAAAGTAATGTGATGATTGTTTTTTTTTCCATTTGACTTCACAAATGAGTATATTTTATCCTTGATACTTCATTCTGATTTGTGCCATATGAAATTAGCAAGTCCACTGAAGAGTGATTTGCAGCTTTTTATTGCCTACTTCTTTGAAGTCCAGATTAAGCAAAAGATTCATGCAATTTGTTTGAATGTGTGTGGGGTTGTGTAAATACATTGTTTTCTTAATATTCCGTACTGTATTGCTGAAGTGAGCATTACATAGAATCTTTTCATTTTGTTTGTGCATTTTTGCAGTGTTTTTCTTTTTTTAATAGACTTGATTTTTCAGATCAATTTTTAAATTTTCAGAAAAAATGAGTGAAAGTACTGAGTTCCTGTATACTCCCTGTCTCCAACATATAGTTTTTTCCTATTATTAACATCTTGCATTCATGTGATAGTTTCATAAACAAACATTTCATAGTTACATACACAAACATTGAGTGCATAACACAGTTCAAATTGTGTTCCCCTCCCCAAATTTATGTATCGAAATTCTAACCATGAGTGTAATGTTTTTAGGAGGCATGGGGCCTTTGGGAGGTAATTATGTCGTGATGATGCAGTTCTCATAGATGGGATTAGTGCGCCATGAGAGCTTCCTCTCACTCTTTTTCTGCCATTTGAGGATACAATGTGAAGTCAGCAGTCTGCAAGCCAGAAGAGAGAACCCACCAGAATGTGACTATGCTGGTACCCTGGTCTCAGACTTCCAGCCTCTAGAACTGTGAGAAATAGATTTCTGTTGTTTTTTAAGCCATCCAGCTTCTGGTACTTTGTTATAGCAGCTTGAATTGCCGAAGACTAACTGTTATAAAAATAAATACCATAGTTTGGGAATTTAAATGAGAAATTTATTTCCACAGTTCTGGAGGCTGGAAAGTCCAAATTCAAGGTGTGTCTTGATTTAGTTCGTGATGAAGGTTGTCTTCTTGTCTTAAAGATGGCCATCTTCTTGCTGTGTCCTCACATGGTGGGGGAGAGAGAGAAAAAAAGAGAGCACTCTATGTCTCTTCTTATAAGGTCACCAATCCTATCACAAGGGCTCCACTCTCATGACCTGATTACATTAGAAATTTCCCATATTCAAAATGGAGGTTAGAGTTTCAACATTTGAATTTTGGAGGAACACAATTCAGTGTGCAGCAGGTACATTGGTTACAATTGATGAGCTAATATTGATATATTACTGTTAATAAAGACTATAGTTTACATTAGGATTCATCCTTTGTATTGTACATTCTATTGGTTTGACAAATGAATAATGACATGGATCCACAATTACGGTATCATACAGAGTAGTTTTACTCCCCTAAGTATCCCTTCTACTCTATTTACTCATCCTTCCCTCTCTCCCTGAGAACCCCTGGCAACTACTGACCATTTTACTGACTGTCCCCAAAGTTTTGCCTTTTTAAAAAATGTTATATAGTTAGAATTATATATGTAGCTTTTTCTGGTTGACTTATTTCACTTTGCAATACGCATTTAAGTTTGTTCCATGTCTGTTTGTGACTTGGTAGCTTATTTCTTTTTATCACTGAATAATATTCCATTTTGTGGTACTATAGTTTGTTCATTCACCTACTGAAGTACATCTTGGTTGCTATCAAGTTTTGGCAATTTTGAATAAAGCTGCTATAAAAGTTTATGTGTGTAATTTTTTGTGAACATAGGTTTTCAAGTCATTTGGGTTAATATCAAGTAGTGCAATTGCTGTATGGTATAGCAAGAGTATGTTTAGTTTTGTAAGAAACTGCCCAGCTGTCTTCCAGAATGGCTGTGCCACTTTGCAATGCCACCAGCAATTAGTGGAAGTTCTATTTTGTCACATCACTGGGATTTGTTGTCAGTATTTTGGAGTTTTGCCATTCGAATAGGTGTGTAATGGTATCTCATTGTTTTAAATTGCGATTCCTTAATGACATGTGATGCTGAACATCTTTTCATACACTTGCTTGCCATCTGTATATATTATTTGATAAGGTGTCTATTCAGATGTTTTGTCTATTTTTTAATTGAGTTGTTTTCTTATTGTTGAATTTTAAGAGTTATTTGTATATTTTGGATACCAGTCCTTTATCAGATATGTGTTTTGCAAATATTTTTGACAGTCTATGATTTGTGTTTTCATTTTCTTGATGGTGTTGTTCACAGAGAAAATATTTTTAATTTTAATGAAGTCCAACTTCTCAATATTTTTTCAAGGATCTTTTTTTTTTGGTGTTGTTTAAAAATATCACTAAACCCAAAGTCAACTCAATTTTTCTCTTATATTTTCTTCTACGAGTTGCATAATTTTGTTTATTATATTTAGGTCTATCATTCATTTTGAGGTTTTTTGGTGAAAGGTATAGGGTCTATGTCTGCATTCTTTTTAAAAAAGATTATTATATGTTCAGTTGTTCCAGCACCATTTATTGTAAAGAATATCTTTTCTCTATTGAGTTACCTATGCTTTTTTGACAAAGATCAATTGACTATGTTGATATGAGTCTGTTCTATGCCTTCAATTTTTATTCTATTTTACTATCTATTATTTGTTAGTAACACAATGTTTTGAGTAATGTAGTTTTATAGTAAATTGTAAAGCAGAGAAGTGTCAGTCTTCCTATTTTTTTTCTTCCTATGTGTTGTCTGCAGTGAATCTTTTGCTTTTTCATATAAACTTTGGAACTACTTTTTGATATCCACAAAATAACTTCCAAGATTTTGATTGGGATTGCATGTAATGGAAGATCAATTTGGGAAGAACTAATATATTGATAATACTGAGTCATCCTATTCTGGTACATAGGATATCTCTCCATTTATTTAATTCTTGTTTATTTTGTCAGGGTCTTGGAGGGTTTTTTAAAAAAAATATATCTTGTACATATTGTGTCAGATTTAGATTAATTTACCTTTTTTGGTGCTAACATAAATGGTATTGTGTTTTTAATTTCATATTGCAATTGTGCATTGCTGGTATAATAAGAAAACCGTTAACTTTTTATATTAACCTTGCATCCTGCAACTTTGTTATAGTCACTTATTATCCAGAGATTTTCATTGCTGTAGTTGTTGATTTTTTGAGATTACTTACATAAATAAGCATGTCAGCATGTCATCTGCAAAAAAAAAAGGAAAAATTATTGCTTTCTTTCCAATCTGAATATGTTTTCTTTATTTTATTTTCTTGTCTTCATTAGCCAAGACTTCCAGTACAATGTTATACAGGAGTGATGAGAAAGGACATTCTTTTTTTTTTGTACTGGGAAAGAAATCTATGCTGTCACCATTAAGTGTTTTGTTAGCTATAGGTTTTTTTTTTTTGTAGGTGTTTTGATCAAGTCAAGGAAGTTCCCCTTCATTCTTAGTTTTCTGAGAATTTTCCTTATAAATAATCATTAGATTTTGTTAAATATTTTTTCTGCCTCTATTGATCTGATTATATGATTTTTGTTCATTAGCCTGTTTATGTTATGGATTACATTAATTGATTTTCAAATGTTGAACCAGCCTTGTGTATGTGGAATAAATCCCACTTAGCTGCGACGTAAATTCCTTTTACATAGTGTTGGATTTGACTTGCTAGTATTTTATTGAGACTTATTTCATGTATGTTTATGAGAAATGTTGATCTTTGTTGTCCTTACTTGTAATGTCTTTGTTGTGATGTTAGGGTAATGCTGCCCTCTTCGAATGAATTGGAAAGTATTTTCTGTGCTTTCATTTTCTGAAAGAAATTGTTGAGAATTGGTATAATTTTTCCCTTGAATGTTTGGTAGTGAACCCTCTGGACCTCATGCTTTCTGATTTGGAAAGTTACTAAATACTGGTTTAATTTCTTTTAACAGATTTAGGACTATTCGTATCATCGATTTCTCTTTGTGTGTTTTGCTAGATTTTGTCTTTCAAGGAATTGGCTCATTTCATCTAGATTATCAAATTTAGGGACATAGAGTTGTTCATAATATCCCTTTTTCCTTTTAATAGCTATGGGATTATTAATGATTACCCTTCTTAAGTTTCCAGTATTAATAATTTGTATCCTCTCTTTTTTTTCCTAACCTGGCTAGAGGTTCATTAATTTTATCAGTGCTTTTAAAAACCAGCTTTTGGTTTTGTTGATTTTTTTCTATTGATTTTTTTTCTAATTTCATTGATTTTGACTCTGATTTTATTATTTCTTTTCTTCTGCTTACTTTAGATTTAATTGCTCTTCTTTTTCTAGTTTCCTAAGGTGGAAACTTAGGTTACTCATTTGAGATCTCTCTTCTTTACTATTAGATGCATTCAATTTCCTCAAGCCCTTTCTCTTTGTTCCACAAATTCTGATAATTTGCATTATTTTCATGTAGTTCTAAATATTTTTGCATTTCTCTTGAGATTTTCTTGATCCATGTGTTATTTAAGAGTGTCTTGTTTAATCTCTATATATTTTGGGGTTCTCTATTTTGTTATTAATTTTAGTTTAATTCCATTGTGTCCTGGGAGCATATGTTGTATGATTTCTATTCTTTTAGATTTGTTAAGGTGTGTTTCATGGCCCAGAAATATGGCTTATCTTGAATATTTTATGTGAACTCGAGAAGAATGTGTGTACTCTGCTGTAGTTGGATAAAATATTCTATAAATGTCAATTATATCCAGTTGATTGATGGTGCTGTTCAGTTCAACTATGTTCTTACTGATGTTATTCCTGATGGATCTGTCGATTACTAGAGAGGAGTGTTGAGGTCTCCAAAAACAATACAAATTTTGTCTATTTGCAGTTATAACAGACCTTGCCTCATAGATTTTGACACTCTGTTGTTAGATAATACATATTAATGACTGCTATATCTTATTGGAGAAATAATCTCTTTATTATTATGTAATGCCCACCCCCACCTTAATCCCTGACAATTTTCTTTGCTCTAAATTCTCCATTGTCTGGAATTATGATACCTACTCCACCTTTTTTTGATTAATGCTAGCATAGTATATCTATGCTTACTGACAAAAAGTGTATTCATCTGTCTTGTAGATAACATATAATTGGATGCTGTTTATTATTCACTCTGACAGTCTGTCTTTTAATTAGTGTATTTAGATCATTTATGCTTAAAGTGATCATCAATACAATTGTATTAATATTTACTGTGGTCATTATTTTTCATTTATTGTCCTTGTTCTTTGCTCCTTTTTAATTTTAATTTATTATTTTTTATTTAATTTTTAGCTGTTGTAGGTGCATAGTAGGTGTATATATTTATGGGTTACATGAGATATTTTGATACAAGCATGCAATGCATTGTAATCATATCAGGGTAAATGGAGTATTTATCACCTCAAGCATTTATCCTTTGTGTTATAAACAATCCAGTTATACTCAGCTATTTTAAAATGCACAATTAAATTATTTTTTACTATATCACTCTGTTTTGCTAGCAAATACTAGGTTGTATTCATTCTTTCTAACTGTTACTGTGTGCCCATTAATCTCCATTTTCCCCAATCACCACTACTTTTCCCAGACTCTGGAAACCAGCCTCTATTCTCTAGCTCCATGAGTTCAATTGTTTTAATTTTTCGTTGTCACAGGTAAGTGAGAACATGCAAAGCTTGTCTTTCTGTGCCTGGCCATTTAACTTAACAACTTCCAGTTCCATCCATGTTGGTGCAGATGACAGGATCTCATTGGTTTTTATAGCTGACTAGTACTCCATTGTGTATATGTACCACATTTTCTTTATTCATTTGTTGATGGACACTTGGGTTGCTTCCAAATCTTGACTATTGTGCACAGTGCTCCAGTAAATATGGGAGTTCAGCTATCTCTTTTATGTACTGATTTCCTTTCTTTTGTGTCCGTAGCAGTGGGATTGCTAGATAGTACGGTAGCTCTATTTTTAGTTTTTCGAGGAGCCTCTAAACTGTTCTCCATAGTGGTTGTACTGTGTTCCAACCAACAGTGTACAGTGATTCCCTTTTTTCCACATCCTCACCAGCATTTGTTATTGCTTGTCATTTGTATAAAACTCATTTTAACTGGGATGAGATGATATCTCATTTTAATTTTGATTTGCATTTCTCTGATGATCAGTGATGCTGAGCACCTTTCCATATGCCTGTTTGTCATTTCTATGTATTCTTTTGAGAAATGTCTATTAAGACCTTTTGCTCATTTTTAAATTGTATTATTATATTTTTTCCTATTGAGTTGTTTGAGCTTCTTATGTAATCTGGTTATTAATCCCTTGTTAGACTGGTAGTTTGCAAAAAATTTCTCTTATCCTGTGGATTTTCTCATCAGTTTGTTGATTGTTTCCTTTGCTGTACAGAGGCTTTTTAACTTGATGTGATATAATTTGTCCATCTTCTCTTTGATTGCCTGTGTTTTATTATTCAAGAATCTTTGCCCATTTCAATGTTTGAAGAGTTTCCTCAGTGTTTTTTTGATTCTTTTTGCAGTCGTTTCATAGTTTGAGGTCTTGGGTTTAATTCTTTAATTTTTATTTGATTTTTTTGTATGGTGAGACATAGGGGTCTAGTTTCATTCTTCTGCATAGGGATATCCAGTTTTCCTAGCACAATTTATTGAAGAGACTGTCCTTTCCTCAGTGTATGTTCTTGATACCTTTGTCAAAAATGAATTCATTGTAGATGTATGGGTTTATTTCTGGGTTCTCTACTCTGTTCCAGTGATGTGTATGTCTGCTTTTATGGCAGTACCATACTGTTTTGTTTACTGTAGTTCTGTAGTATAACTTGAAGTCAGGTAATGTGATTCCTCCAGTTTTTTTTTTGTTGTTGTTGTTTTTTCAGGTTAGCTTTGCCTATTCTGGGTCTTTTATGGTTCCATATGAGTTTTCAGATTGTTTTTGCGATTTCTGTGAAAAATATTATTGATATTTTCATAGGGATTGCACTAAATCTATAGATTACTTTGAGTAATAGAGACATTTTAACAATATTGACTCTTCCAATCCATGAACAAGGATTATTTTTCCATTTTTTGTGCCCTCTTCAATTTTCTCCTTTGGTGTTTTATAGTTTTCATTGTAGAGATCTTTCACTTATTTAAGTTTATTCCTATGTATTTTATTTTATTTGTAGCAATTGTCAGTGGGATTACTTTTTCATTTCTTTTTAAGATTGTTAGCTGTTGTCATATAAAATGCTACTGATTTTTATATGTTGATTTTGTATCCTGTAACTTTACTAAATTTATCAGTTTTAATAATTTTTGTGGATTTTTTCGGTTTTTCCAAATATTATGTTATCTGCAAACAAGGATAATTTGACTTCTTCCTTTCCAGTTCGGTTGTCCTTTATTTTTTTCTCTTGTCTGATTCCTCCAAGACTTTCAGTACTATGTTAAATAGCAGTGGTGGCAGTGGGCTTCCTTGTTGTTTTCAAGATCTTAAAGGAAAGGCTTTCAGTTTTCATTTCACTTATTTATTTCCTCTCTTCCTCTGTCCTCTCTGATTTTAATGGAACATTTTATGTTGTTTGATTTTTTTCTTCTTTCTTAGCATATCAGTTATACATATCTTAAACATTTTTTATGGTTTTATTAGAATTTGCAGTGTACATTTACAACTATCCAAAGCCCACTTTCAAATAACACTATATACACTTCACAGGCAGTGTAAGTATCCTATAACGGAGTATTCTGAATTGCTCTCTCCCATCCCTTGCATCATAGCTGTAATTTATTTCACATATATATAACCTATAATTACCAAATACATTGTTGCTATTATTTGAACAGATTATTATTGTTAGATCAATTTGCATATGAAAAATAAATGACATTTTATTTTTCCTTAATTCCTTCTCCAATTGGCAGTTTTTGTTTTCGTAGATCTGAGTTTCTAACCTACATAATTTTCCTCCTCTCTGAAGCTTCTTTTAATACATTTTTTTCAAAGCAAGTCTATTCCTCAATTTTTATATGAGAAAATCTTTATTTCTCCTTTATTTTTGAAGTATAATTTCATTGGATGTAGAATTTAGGTTGATGAGTTTTCACTTTTTTTTTTTTTTTTTTTTGAGACAGAGTCTGGCTCTGTCTCCCAGTCTGGAGTGCGGTGGCATAATCTCGGCTCACTGCAACTTCTGTCTCCCAGGTTCAAGGAATTCTCCTGCCTCAGACTTCTGAGTAGCTGGGACTATAGTCATGTGCCACCACGTCTGGCTAATTTTTTTGTATTTTTAGTAGAGACGGGGTTTCACCATGTTGGTCAGGCTGGTCTTGAACTCCTGACCTTAAATAATCTGCCCACTTCGGCCTCCCAAAGTGCTGAGATTACAGGCGTGAGCCACTGCAACTGGCTAGGTTTTTGCTTTCAATAGCACATGATCTTGCTTGCATAGTTTGTGAACAGAAGTCTGATGTAACTTTATCCTTCCTTCTCTATAGGTAAGGTGTGTTTTTCTCCCTCTGGCTTCTTGAAATAATTTTTTTCTTTGTCTTTGATGTTCTGCAGTTCAAATGTGGTATGCTTGGACGTGGATATTTTTGGTATTTGCCTTGCTTGATTTTCCCTGAGCTACTGGGATCTATGATTTGGTGTCTGCCATAAATTTTGGAAAATTCTTAGCCATTATTACTTTAAACATCTCTTCTGTTATTTTCTCTCTTTATTTTCCTACTGATATTTCTATTACGTGTAGTTACATCATTTGTAGTTCTACCCATAGTTCTTGGATAGTCTTTTAAGTCTTTTTTAATCCTCTTTGAATTTCAGTTTTAGAAGTTGCTATTGACATTTCATCAAGCTCACTGATTTCCTAAACTCCGTCCAGTCTGTTGATGAGCCTATCAAAGGTACTTTTTGGTACTTTACGATGTTTTTGATTTCTGTCATTTTCTTTTGATTCTTTGTTAGGGTTTCCATCTCACTGCTTACAATACCCATTTGTTCTTGCACATTGTCTACTTTTTCACTAGAACCTTTAGTATGTTAATCACAGTTGTGCTACATTTCCAGTCTGATAATGCTAAAATCTCTGCCATATCTGAATCTCATTTGGATGTTTGCTTTAGCTTTTCAAACTATGCTTTTTGTCTTTTAGTGTGCTGTGTAATGTTTTGTTGAAAGCTGGACATGATGTACCAGGCAAATGGAACGGGGGTAATTAGACCTTTAGTGTGAGGTTGTTATATTTACCTGACTTGGAGGTACACTGTGTTTGCTATAGTTGTAGGTGTCAGGGGCAAAAAATCTCCTTTGGTGTCCTTGTTTTTGTTCATTTTCTGTTGTGTTTTTTCTTTTCTGTTGTCTTTGGGTTTTCTTAGAGACTTCTTTCTAAATAAGGTCTGAAACAAGCAATTTTTTCCATTGTAACCCCCTAATATTATTCAGGAGCCCTATTCATGATTGCTAAGTTTCAGGAGTTGGGGAAAGAGTCTTTTGTCCCATGATTAGATTCTCATATTTTGTTAAGCCTATTAAGCCTGTTTGTTAAGACCTTCACAAATTCTTCTCAGTCTCTTCCTATTTTCACTCCCAACTCAGGTAAGACAGGAAGGCTAGAAGGGTATATGCCTTCTTTTATATCAGAGTCTGGTAAAACCCTAGTTTGTTAGGCTTTCCTAAGATAGTTTCCTGTGAGGGCAGAACCAAGAAAAACAGAATTCTCTTGGTGTCTTTCAAAATGCCTACTTTTCCTTTCCCCTGCTGAAACATGAAGAAAATTTTTTCTTATCTTCACTGTGAGAACCTGGCAGGGCTACTGAAGGTATACTCACAAAAGTATAGGGTCCCCACTAGAACTGGGCTCCCTTAAAGTTTTTAACTATAAAGATTGTAGACACTGAGCCTCCAGTAAGTTGTCAATCATAGTTTAAGTTTTTCTACTCTGGTCCTGGTTCTAGTAGTGGTTTCTTCTCCTGGCTTTCCTCTGCTATGTTGTGATTCTTTGTATATGCCTTGCCTACTTTGGAGGCAGCCATTTTCTCTATGACTTCGATTCTCTGATGGATTTAAGAAGGGTTATTGATTTTCAGATTGTTTAGCTTTTTTCTTATTGTGAGGAAAGAGTGACAACTTTGAAGTTCCTTACATGCCAGAGTGGAAACCAGAAGTCACCATTATCTCTTCTGAGTTCTAGACAGCGTATTGAACCAAAGCATTTTTCTTTGAATTATCATGTCATGAAATCTATAACTCTCATTTAGTCTTCAAATGACTATGAAATGGTTCATATATTATCATAAAATAATTAGGTTTTAGAAAAATAATCATGTTAGATGAGGACATTTCTACTTCTGTAACTTTCATTGCCAAAAACAAAAATGTTAACTCTTGACAGTTACGTGATCCCATAGTTGACATTGCTGTCTCATTTCTGTCCAACTTGATGAACTATGTTGGCATACTCTACCAGGATTTTTTTGCTAAAAGGCTCAAATTAATCTCTGAAAAGTGACATTTTTCGTGTGTGTATTTGATGCTTTCAGAAAATCATTAATACCTGTGTATACTTATTGACTTCTAGGATGAACTATAGGTTTCCCTAAAATTATTATAATTTGTTCTAAAGTACAGATTCCTTTTACTCTGTTCATATGCCTAACTTCGGATCTGTTTCCTTTTGGTAGTATCTGTGACACTGTAGGGACAAGTGGCATTCTGTTTCCTCTGTTTTGATTATGGCTACTGTTGGTTATTATGTCATTTGGAACAGGAAGAGCTTGTCTTTACTTCTATAATGTAAACTCCTGTTTGTGACTTGCTGAAAGTCACTTTATCAATCTAGGACACGACAGAGCTTTAATTAATGCCCTTTACTAGCTATCTCATTGATTGCTCTGACTTTTGATAATCGCCTCAAACGATTTTCTTTTCACAGTTATATTTGCAATGTGGTAGGCAGTTGTATTATTCTTGCTGCTACTCTGCTCTCTCATCATTGATTTGCTTCTTGTGCTTAAAGATCTTTTGCTTTTACTTGTCTCAGTGCACATCCTAATTTTTCTTTTTCATTTTGACAGGAGTTTCTCTGAGGTTCCATTATTACATTTAAAAATAGCTGTCATATAGTCTGTTCATCATTCTTTCTCATATATCAATGATGCTATTATTGACTTTTTATAATACCTTAACTTGTGAAATGCAATAGTCTTCTCTCTTCAGTTTTAATTTTTGTTTTTGTTTCACCTTGTTTCCTTTTTATTTTTTTGGAGTAAAAGTACATCTGAATTAAAATATCTGAGCTATAGACTAGGAAGACTGTTTATATAAATAGGAAAGTGATTCATACTTATTGTTTGCATGAATGAAAATCAGATCAATGGGTTTTACTTTTACTTTGATAGAGAGGAACGTTTGGTTTGGGCATCCTTTTAAGAGCTATGATTATTTGGTACATGTTAACCATCTTTCAATTCTCAGAACACTTTAGTTAAATGAATGCACTGTGACTTCCTCATTAAGGAGTGACTGAAGGATAATAAATTTTAAGACGATTTTTTAAAAAGCCATCATCTCTAAAGCTCACTCCTCATTGTTCCCTTGTTTTTTGTATCTGCTGTTAAAGGAGATTTAAATTTTACATTGCTATTCCTCCTTAAACATAAATAAAAATAAGTCCCCAAACAACACAAGTCTTTTTCATAATTTGTTCTTTGAAAGTAGTAGAAATGTATATATTTATATGATTTCTACTGTAAACATATATTACATATAAAATATATAACTATACATATAAAACATATATATAGCTATATATAACATATATAACTATATATCTGTGGAAATATATATGTAGTTGTTTTGTTGTTGTGTTGGTGGGAATGGAGGATTATTTTCCAGTTAGAGATTTTATTTCCACCTCCTCATCCATATTGATTTAATTTTATTTTTGTACATATTGAACATTAACATGTTTCTAAAAATAAAAAATATGCATAGTTAGAGGAATGTCACTAATCCCATGTCCTCTACTGCTTGCAGATAACCAACTTCCTTATTTTCCATTTTGTACTTTGTGCTTGTTTGTATCTTTCTATTTCTCCTTATTTCTTACACAAAAGGTAGCAAGTTATATAATCCTTTTGAATTTTTTTTCACTTAACATTTCCTAGGAATTAGTTCATATTAGTTATTCAAGGTCTTTTTCATTCTTTTTTTACAGTTGCATAGTACTTCATTGTGTGTGTGCAGCCATAGTTTATTTGAACAAATTCCTACACTTGGACATTTAGGTAGTTTTTAATAATTTATAATTATAAGCAATTTTTCAATGTACAATCTACTGCACTTGTATTTTCATATTTTTGGAGGTATGTTTTCAGGATAAGTTCATAGAAATGTGATTGTTGGATAACAGGATAAATGCATACAAGTTGTGTTAAATATTGCCAAATTCTCTTTTTTAAAATTTTTTATTTTTTTTTTAAATTTTATTATTATTATACTTTAAGTTTTAGGGTACATGTGCACAACGTGCAGGTTTGCTACATATGTATACATGTGCCATGTTGGTGTGCTGCACCCATTAACTCGTCATTTAGCATTAGGTATATCTCCTAATGCTATCCCTCCCCCTGTCCCCCACCCCACAACAATCCCCGGTGTATGATGTTCCCCTTCCTGTGTGCATGTGTTCTCATTGTTCAATTCCCACCTATGCGTGAGAACATGCGGTGTTTGGTTTTTTGTCCTTGCGATAGTTTGCTGAGAATGATGGTTTCCAGTTTCATCTATGTCCCTACAAAGGACATGAAGTCATCATTTTTTATGGCTGCATAGTATTCCAAAGTGTATATGTGCCACATTTTCTTAATCCAATCTGTCGTTGTTGGACATTTAGGTTAGCTCCAAGTCTTTGTTATTGTGAATAGTGCCGCTATAAACATACGTGTGCATGTGTCTTTATAGCAGCATGATTTATAATCCTTTGGGTATATACCCAGTAATGGAATGGCTGGGTCAAGTGGTATTTCTAGTTCTAGATCCCTGAGGAATCGCCACACTGACTTCCACAATGGTTGAACTAGTTTACAGTCCCAGCAACAGTGTAAAAGTATTCCTGTTTCTCCACATCCTCTCTAGCACCTATGGTTTCCTGACTGTTTAATGATCACCATTCTAACTGGTGTGAGATGGTGTTGTGGTTTTGATTTGCATTTCTCTGATGGCCAGTGATGATGAGCATTTCTTCATGTGTCTTTTGCTGCATAAATGTCTTCTTTTGAGAAGTGTCTGTTCATATCCTTTGCCCACTTTTTGATGGGGTTGTTTGTTTTTTTCTTGTAAATTTGTTTGAGTTCATTGTAGATTCTGGATATTAGCCCTTTGTCAGATGAGTAGATTGCAAAAATTTTCTCCCATTTTGTAGGTTGCCTGTTCACTCTGATGGTAGTTACTTTTGCTGTGCAGAAGCTCTTTAGTTTAATTAGATCCCATTTGTCAATATTGGCTTTTGTTGCCATTGCTTTTGGTGTTTTAGACATGAAGTCCTTGCCTGTGCCTATGTCCTGAATGGTATTGCCTAGGTTTTAGGTGTTGCCTATGTCCTGAATGATATTGCCTAGGTATTGCCTAGGTTTTCTTCTAGGGTTTTTATGGTTTTAGGTCTAACATTTAAGTCTTTAATCCATCTTGAATTAATTTTTGTATAAGGTGTAAGGAAGGGATCCAGTTTCAGCTTTCTACATATGGCTAGCCAGTTTTCCCAGCACCATTTATTAAACAGGGAATCCTTTCCCCATTTCTTGTTTTTGTCAGGTTTGTCAAAGATCAGATAGTTGCAGATATGCGGCATTATTTCTGAGGGCTCTGTTCTGTTCCATTGGTCTATATCTCTGTTTTGGTACCAGTATCATGCTGTTTTGGTTACTGTAGCCTTGTAGTATAGTTTGAAGTCAGGTAGCGTGATGCCTCCAGCTTCGTTCTTTGGCTTAGGATTGACTTGGCGATGCAGGCTCTTTTTTGGTTCCATATGAACTTTAAAGTAGTTTTTTCCAATTCTGTGAAGAAAGTCATTGGTAGCTTGATGAGGATGGCATTGAATCTATAAATTACCTTGGGCAGTATGGCCATTTTCACGATATTGATTCTTCCTACCCATGAGCATGCATTGTTCTTCCGTTTCTTTGTATCCTCTTTTATTTCGTTGAGCAGTGGTTTGTAGTTCTCCTTGAAGAGGTCCTTCACATCCCTTGTAAGTTGGATTCCTAGGTATTTTATTCTCTTTGAAGCAGTTGTGAATGGGAGTTTACTCATGATTTGGCTCTCTGTCTGTTATTGGTGTATAAGAATGCTTGTGATTTTTGTACATTGATTTTGTATCCTGAGACTTTGCTGAAGTTGCTTATCAGCTTAAGGAGATTTTGGGCTGAGATGATGGGGTTTTCTAGATATACAATCATGTCATCTGCAAATAGGGACAATTTGACTTCCTCTTTTCCTAATTGAATACCCTTTATTTCCTTCTCCTGCCTAATTGCCCTGGCCAGAACTTCCAACACTGTGTTGAATAGGAGTGGTGAGAGGGGGCGTCCCTGTCTTGTGCCCGTTTTCAAAGGGAATGCTTCCAGTTTTTGCCCATTCAGTATGATATTGGCTGTGGGTTTCTCATAGATAGCTCTTATTATTTTGAGATATGCCCCATCAATACCTAATTTATTGAGAGTTTTTAGCATGAAGCGTTGTTGAATTTTGTCAAAGGCCTTTTCTGCATCTATTGAGATAACCATGTGGTTTTTGTCTTTGGTTCTGTTTATATGCTGGATAACATTTATTGATTTACGTATGT
Organism: Homo sapiens; assembly: GCF_000001405.40. Lineage (NCBI taxonomy): Eukaryota > Metazoa > Chordata > Mammalia > Primates > Hominidae > Homo > Homo sapiens. The sequence goes on from NC_000002.12 coordinate 137,072,924, forward strand.
TGAACCAGCCTTGCATCCCAGGGATGAAGCCTACTTGATCATGGTAGATGAACTTTTTGATGTGCTGCTGGATTCAGTTTGCCAGTATTTTATTGAGGATTTTTGCATCAATGTTCATCAAGGATATTGGTCTAAAATTCTCTTTTTTTGTTGTGTCTCTGCCATGCTTTGGTATCAGGATGATGCTGGCCTCATAAAATGAGTTAGGGAGGATTCCCTCTTTTTCTATTGATTGGAATAGTTTCAGAAGGAATGGTACCAGTTCCTCTTTGTACCTCTGGTAGAATTCGGCTGTGAATCCATCTGGTCCTGGACTTTTTTTGGTTGGCAAGCTATTAATTATTGCCTCAATTTCAGAGCCTGTTATTGTTCTATTCAGAGATTCAGCTTCTTCCTGGTTTAGTCTTGGGAGGATGTATGTGTCGAGGAATTTATCCATTTCTTCTAGATTTTCTAGTTTATTTGTGTAGAGGTGTTTATAGTATTCTCTGATGGTAGTTTGTATTTCTGTGGGATCAGTGGTGATATCCATTGCATCTATTTGATTCTTCTCTCTTTTCTTCTTAGTCTTGCTAGCGGTCTATCAATTTTGTTGATCGTTCAAAAAAACAGCTCCTGGATTCATTGATTTTTGGAAGGGTTTTTTGTGTCTCTATCTCCTTCAGTTCTGCTCTGATGTTAGTTATTTCTTGCCTTCTGCTAGCTTTTGAATCTGTTTGCTCTTGCTTCTCTAGTTCTTTTAATTGTGATGTTAGGGTGTCAATTTTAGATCTTTCCTGCTTTCTCTTGTGGGCATTTAGTGCTATAAATTTCCCTCTACACACTGCTTTGAATGTGTCCCAGAGATTCTGGTATGTTGTGTCTTTGTTCTCATTGGTTTCAAAGAACATCTTTATTTCTGCCTTCAGTTCGTTATTTACCCAGTAGTCATTCAGGAGCAGGTTGTTCAGTTTCCATGTAGTTGAGCGGTTTTGAGTGAATTTCTTAATCCTGAGTTCTAGTTTGATTGCACTGTGGTCTGAGAGACAGTTTGTTATAATTTCTGTTCTTTTACATTTGCTGAGGAGTGCTTTACTTCCAACTATGTGGTCAATTTTGGAGTAGGTGTAGTGTGGTGCTGAAAAGAATGTACATTCTGTTGATTTGGGGTGGAGAGTTTTGTAAATGTCTATTAGGTCCGCTTGGTACAGAGCTGAGTTCAATTCCTGGATATCCTTGTTAACTTTCTGTCTCGTTGATCTGTCTAATGTTGACAGTGGGGTGTTAAAGTCTCCCATTATTAATGTGTGGGAGTCTAAGTCTCTTTGTAGGTCACTAAGGACTTGCTTTATGAATCTGGGTGCTCCTGTATTGGGTGCATATATATTTAGGATAGTTAGCTCTTCTTGTTGAATTAATCCCTTTACCATTATGTAATGGCCTTCTTTGTCTCTTTTGATCTTTGTTGGTTTAAAGTCTGTTTTATCCGAGACTAGGATTGCAACCCCTGCCTTTTTTTGTTTTCCATTTGCTTGGTAGATCTTCCTCCATCCCTTTATTTTGAGCCCATGTGTGTCCCTGCATGTGAGATGGGTTTCCTGAATAGAGCACACTGATGGGTCTTGACTCTTTATCCAATTTGCCAGTCTGTGTCTTTTAATTGGAGCGTTTAGCCCATTTACATTTAAAGTTAATATTGTTATGTGTGAATTTGATCCTGTCATTATGATGTTAGCTGGTTATTTTGCTCGTTGGTTGATGCAGTTTCTTCCTAGCCTTGACGGTCTTTACAATTTGGCATGTTTTTGCAGTGGCTGGTTCCGGTTGTTCCTTTCCATGTTTAGTGCTTCCTTCAGGAGCTCTTTTAGGGCAGGCCTGGTGGTGACAAAATCTCTCAGCATTTGCTTGTCTGTAAAGGATTTTATTTCTCCTTCAGTTATGAAGCTTGGTTTGGCTGGATATGAAATTCTGGGTTGAAAATTCTTTTCTTTAAGAATGTTAAATATTGGCCCCCACTCTCTTCTGGCTTGTGGAGTTTCTGCCGAGATATCAGCTGTTAGGCTGATGGGCTTCCCTTTGTGAGTAACCCGACCTTTCTCTCTGGCTGCTCTTAACATTTTTTCCTTCATTTCAACTTTGGTGAATCTGACAATTATGTGTCTTGGAGTTGCTCTTCTCAAGGAGTATCTTTGTGGCGTTCTGTGTATTTCCTGGATTTGAATGTTGGCCTGCTGTGCCAGATTGGGGAAAGTCTCCTAGATAATATCCTGCAGAGTATTTTCCAACTTGGTTCCATTCTCCCCATCACTTTCAGGTACACCAGTCAAATGTAGATTTGGTCTTTTCACATAGTCCCATATTTCTTGGAGGCTTTGTTCATTTCTTTTTATTCTTTTTTCTCTAAACTTCTCTTCTCACTTCATTTCATTCATTTTGTCTTCCATCGCTGGTACTCTTTCTTCCAGTTGATCGCATCAGCTACTGAGGCTTCTGCATTCATCATGTAGCTCTCGTGCCTTGGTTTTCAGCTCCATCAGGTCCTTTAAGGACTTCTCTGCATTGGTTATTCTAGTTATCCATTCATCTAATTTTTTTTCAAAGCTTTTAACTTCTTTCCCATTGGTTCGAATTTCCTCCTGTAGCTCGGAGTAGTTTGATCATCTGAAGCCTTCTTCTCTCAACTCGTTAAAGTCATTCTCCGTCCAGCTTTGTTCTGTTGGTGGTGAGGAGCTGCGTTCCTTTGGAGCAGGAGAGGCGCTCTGATTTTTAGAGTTTCCAGTTTTTCTGCTCTGTGTTTTTCCCATCTTTGTGGTTTTATCTACCTTTGGTCTTTGATGATGGTGACATACAGATGGGTTTTTGGTGTGGATGTCCTTTCTGTGTGTTAGTTTTCCTTCAAACAGACAGGACCCTCAGCTGCAGGTCTGTTGGAGTTTGCTGGAGGTCCACTCCAGACACTGTTTGCCTGGGTATCAGCAGCGGTGGCTGCTGAACAGTGGATTTTGGTGAACCGCAAATGCTGCTGCCTGATTGTTCCTCTGGAAGTTTTGTCTCAGAGGAGTACCCGGCCGTGTAAGGTGTCTGTCTGCCCCTACTGGGGGGTGCCTCCCAGTTAGGCTACTCGGGGGTCAGGGACCCACTTGAGGAGGCAGTCTGCCCGTTCTCAGATCTCAAGCTGCATGCTGGGAGAACCACTGCTCTCTTCAAAGCTGTCAGAGAGGGACATTTAAGTCTGCAGAGGTTACTGCTGTCTTTTTGTTTGTCTGTGCCCTGCCTCCAGAGGTGGAGCCTACAGAGGCAGGCAGGCCTCCTTGAGCTGTGGTGGGCTCCACCCAGTTCGAGCTTCCTGGCCGCTTTGTTTACCTAATCAAACTAATTCGACAATGGCGGGCGCCCCTCCCCCAGCCTCGCTGCCGCCTTGCAGTTTGGTCTGGGACTGCTGTTCTAGCAATAAGCGAGACTCTGTTGGTGTAGGACCCTCCGAGCCATGTGAGGGATATAATCTCCTGGTGTGCCGTTTTTTAGGCCCATTGGAAAAGCACAGTATTAGGGTGGGAGTGAACCAATTTTCCAGGTGCCATCTGTCACCCCTTTCTTTGACTAGGAAAGGGAATTCCCTGACCCCTTGTGCTTCCCGGGTGAGGCGATGTCTCGCCCTGTTTCGGCTGGCGCACAGTGCGCTGCACCCACCGTCCTGGGCCTACTGTCTGGCACTGCCCAGTGAGATGAACCCGGTACCTCAGTTGGAAATGCAGAAATCACCCATCTTCTGCGTCACTCACGCTGGGAGCTGTAGACCGGAGCTGTTCCTATTCGGCCATCTTGGCTCCTCCCCTCCCAAATTCTCTTTTATAGTGGTGGTACCATCCTCACATTCCCACTGCAAATTTACAGATACAGTATATTGTTTATTTGTTTTTTTTTAATCTTTTTTTATTATAGTTTAAGTTTTAGGGTACATGTGCACAATGTGCATATTAGTTACATATGTATACATGTGCCATGTTGGTGTGCTACACCCATTAACTTGTCATTTAACATTAGGTATATCTCCTAATGCTATCCCTCCCCCCTCCCCCCACCCCACAACAGGCCCCAGTGTGTGATGTTCCTCTTCCTGTTTCCATGTGTTGTCATTGTTCAACTCCCACCTATGAGTGAGAACATGCAGTGTTTGGTTTTTTTGTCCTTGAGATAGTTTGCTGAGAATGATGGTTTCCAGCTTCATCCATGTCCCTACAAAGGACATGAACTCATCATTTTTATGGCTGCATAGTATTCCATGGAGTATATGTGCCATCTTTTCTTAATCCAGTCTATCATTGTTGGACATTTGGGTTGGTTCCATGTCTTTGCTATTGTGAATAGTGCCGCAATAAACATACTTGTGCATGTGTCTTTATAGCAGCATGTTTTATAATCCTTTGGATATATACCCAGTAATGGGATGGCTGGGTCAAACAGGATTTCTAACTCTAGATCCCTGAGGAATCGCCACACTGACTTCCACAATGGTTGAACTAGTTTACATTCTCACCAACAGTGTAAGAGTGTTCCTATTTCTCCACATCCTCTCCAGCACCTGTTGTTTCCTGACTTTTTAATGATCACCATTCTAACTGGTGTGAGATGGTATCTCATTGTGGTTTTGATTTGCATTTCTCTGATGGCCAGTGATGATGAGCATTTTTTCATGTGTCTTTTGCTGCATAAATGTCTTCTTTTGAGAAGTGTCTGTTCATATCCTTCGCCCACTTTTTGATGGGGTTGTTTGTTTTTTTCTTGTAAATTTGTTTGAGTTCATTGTAGATTCTGTATATTAGCCCTTTGTCAGATGAGTAGGTTGCAAAAATTTTCTCCCATTCCATAGGTTGCCTGTTCACTCTGATGGTAGTTTCTTTTGCTGTGCAGAAGCTCTTCTGTTTAATTAGATCCCATTTGTCAATGTTGGCTTTTGTTGCCATTGCTTTTGGTGTTTTAGACATGAAGTCCTTGTCCATGCCTATGTCCTGAATGGTATTGCCTAGGTTTTCTTCTAGGGTTTTTATGGTTTCAGGTGTAACATTTAAGTCTTTAATCCATCTTGAATTAATTTTTGTATAAGATGTAAGGAAGGGATCCAGTTTCAGCTTTCTACATTTGGCTAGCCAGTTTTCCCAGCACCATTTATTAAATAGGGAATCATTTCCCCATTTCTTGTTTTTGTCAGGTTTGTCAAAGATCAGATAGTTGTAGATATGCGGCATTATTTCTGAGGGCTCTGTTCTGTTCCATTGATCTATATCTCTGTTTTGGTACCAGTTCCATGCTGTTTTGCTTACTGTAGCCTTGTAGTGTAGTTTGAAGTCAGATAGCGTGATGCCTCCAGCTTTGTTCTTTTGGCTTAGGATTGACTTGGCAATGTGGACTCTTTTTTGTTAAGTTTTTGAATTTTTGCCATATGTAAGAAATGATATCATAGTAGAGTTTTTGCTTGACATGTGTTTTAATATGCACCCAGTTCCTCTAAATTTTCAAATTCATTTGCATAGATGCATATCCTTTATTAAGAGTTCTAACCCACACCATTTTTTCTTTTTATATCTATGTGTTTCTCTCCTCAGCTATTATTTAAAATAGTAATTTGCCTGTTTGGTTTAATTTTTTAGCAGGATTATGGTTTGTTAATTTTGTCTACTATTTTTATATTCTTTACCTCATTAATTTCTGCATTTGTCTTTATTATTTAGTTTTTCATGCTTTCTTTATGTATGTATATATTTTTTTCATTTTCCAACTGTCTGAATAAGAAATTTAATTCATTTATTTTCGTGTGCCTGACATATGTGTTTAGGACTATTAATTTTCCCCTGATAACTATTTGAAATGGATCCCGTAGATTCTTATAGTGTTTTATTATCATACTTTTTTTTCCCAAAAATTCTATAGTTTTCTTGTTTGTATTGCTCCTTTTACTCAAGGTTTGTTAAATGTAAGCTATTTTAATTTCCAGATAGAAAGGCCATATTTTGTTTGTTTTCATTTTTAAATTCTGGTTTTATTGCATTGTAAGTAGAGTGTTGTTTGTGATATTTCTATTTTTTGAGAATCTACTGATGTTTTCTTTGTGTTAGAATCTATAATTTATATTTGTGAATGTTCAACTGGGTGCAGTGGGGCACACCTCTGATCCTAGGATGGCTGAGATAGGAAGATGACTTGAGCTCAAGAGTTTGAGACCAGCCTGGGCAACATAGTGAGAATCCATCTCAAAAAAATAAATCTGTAATTGCAAATTTTCTATGTACATTTGGAAGAAGATATATTCTCTATTATCGATGTGATTTATTAAATATATATGTACTTAATTGATTATATTTTTTAGTTTTTTTATAATCTTTACTATTTTTCTTCAGTTGGCCTATTTTGTACCAAAAATAGTTAAGTTATACTGTTATTAGTATGTTTCTTTCTATTTTTCCAGCATCTTCTGTATTTTTCTACACATAGTTGCTGTTATATGGTGCATAGATATTCAAAACTTCTATTTCTTCATAGTGAAATGTTAACTTTACATTCTAAAGTGTTTTTATTTGTCTCTTCTAATGCTTTTTGTCTTGAATTTTAATTTGTCAGATATTAGGATTGTACAACATGCATTCTTCTTGTTTTAATTTGGCTGTCTTTATCCATCCCTTTATTTTTAGCCTTTTGAAACCACTACGATATGTGTGTCTTTTATATTCTGCATGAACACAGAGGTGGGTTTACCTTTATGTGTCAGTGTAAACACTGAATTTCTCTTAATAAATGAATTAACCTTATTTACTTTTATTGATATGACAATTATCTTTGGCCTCTTCATAGTAGCTTACATTGTATTTACGGTGTGTTTAATTTTACATGTATTAATTGCTTCCTTTATTTGGTGGATACATTTGGCTATTTTGTTTTTTTGTTTGTTTGTTTGTGTTCTGGGATGGAGTCTCACTCTGTCACCCAGGTTGGAGTGCAGTGGCGTGTTCTCAGCTCACTGCAACCTCCATCTCCCGGATTCAGGCGATTCTCTTACCTCAGCCTCCTGAGTTGCTGGAATTACAGGCACGCACCACCACTCTCTGCTAATTTTTTTGTATTTTTAGTAGAGAAGACGTTTCACCATGTTGGCCAGGCTGGTCTCAAACTGCTGACCTCAGGTGATCCACCTGCTTCAGCCTCCCCAAATGCTGGGATTACAGGCGTGAGCCACTGTGCCTAGTCTTGGCTTTTTAAATATATGTAAATATATGTGTGTGTGTGTGTGTGTATATATATATAATTGTATTGTATTGTATTTTGAGACAGAGTCTCACTTCATCACCCAGGCTGGGGTGCAGTGGTACAATCTTAGCTCACTGCAACCTCTGCCTCCTGGATTCAAGCAATCCTTGTGCCTCAAGACTCCCAAGCAGCTGCGATTATAGGCATGTACCACCATGCCCAGCTGTTTTTTTTTTTTTTTTTTTTTTTTTAAATAGAGACAGGGTTTCACCATGTTGGCCAGGCTGGTCTCAAACTCCTGATCTCAAGTCATTTGCTTGCCTTGGCCTCCCAAAATGCTGGGATTACAGGTGTGAGCCACTGCATCTGACCAATATGTTTTGGTAGTTAGGAATACTTGCATTTTTATTTTAGAAGTTACCTTTGTATTTAACTTTGTGTAGTGCCCTTAATTTCCTCACCTTTTCTGGCCTAATTTAGTGCTGTTTGTTATGTCAGTTTTAAATTATTTCCACCTGGTACCTATAATTTTATTCCACTTTTTTACATTTTCTCTCTCTTCTTCTTCTTCTTCCATGTTTTAGGTCTGTTCTATAAATAGAATCTATTCTACTTTTTCATAGCATGAAATATTTACGTTATTCTTCTAGTCCTGACCCCATTCTCATTGTAATATTTGCTTTACAATTGTATATTTGAGAAGTTTCAGTCATTTTGCCAAAGATTTCCAAGTTATTTTTTGGTTGAATGAAGCTTAGTTTCCAGCAAATTCTTGAGGAAAATCACAATATACAGTGTTTTCTGAGTTGGGGAGATTCAAATCTGTTTGAAGAACAGTTTAGCCAGATATATTATTCTATTTACTATTCTTGAAAATGTTACTCTGTTGCAGCCTTGATTTGTATACTGTTTTGAGAAGTTTGTTGCCAGTTTTAATTTTTTTATTTTTTGCATTTTAAAATTGTCTATTTTCCTGAGAACTTGAGAATGTCTTTATTTTAAAGTTTAATCGTTTTACTAGTATATGTCCCAGGGTCGATTGATCTGGATTAGATTTTCAGGGGATATAGTAGTTCGTTTCAATGTATAGATTCAAGCTTTCTTTATTTTGGGGGAATTTGAGGGGTTACTAGAATTTTAAACATTATTTTGGTCAGATGTTTTAATTTTCTTCATATAAAATATAGGTATGTTGGACTATTTTCCATTTCATTTACTTTCTCTAATCTACTTCTATCTTTATCTCATCTTATTTATCTGTATTTTTGGTACTTTCCTTTAATGTTTTCACTGAATCTTGTATGTCATCATTTGAGTATTTCCTTTCTTGGACATCTTGTTATTCATAATTCAATTTTGAAAATTTTTTTGCTTTTATTGTCTTTCTGAGTTCAGTCAATTCATTTTATTATTTCTCTATTTGTCCATTCTGGTCTTAATATTCTATTTCTGATTCAAGGTGTATGTTTTAGTCATATCTTCAAAGATTTTGAGGGTATTTACTGCTGTGTGATATTTTATGTTACAGGGTTTTTCTTTTCAGCTTTGTTCTTGGTTATTTGGAGGAGACTTTGTTAGTAGAAACATTTTCACATTTTCTGGCTTTTATTGCAGTTTTACCTGAAGGTAGTCTGTTTTATTTCAATGTCTATTTATTTCATGAATAAGGTTTCTATTTCCAAAGCATCCTCTTTTGTTGTTTCTGCCCTCTTTTGTGAGGTTTGATTTATGGATGTTGTTGCTGGTAGTGGTGATAGGAAAAGGGCGGTATCTTGTTCTGTCTTTGTTTCTGCAGGATTCCTAATTTCCCTCCTCTAATTTCTTCTCCCTCTTTACTGCATTATCTCTAAGGTCTACCAGCTATTCCGTCTATATATGATTATCCATGACTGCCACTTCCAGTCTCTTACATTTTGAAGTCTGTATCTGGGTTCTGAACTGCCAAGTTCCGAACTGTTTTCTGTATTTTGAAGGCATCGTTGAACTTTCTTTTTCTGAAAATGATTTTGTCTGTGTTTCATCTAAGTCTTTTACTCCTCTGCAATTTTTTTCATGGAATCTTTTAGGATTCTCTTCCTCTACGTTCCACACGCACTGGGTGACATTCATACTGGGTAATCTGTCAGATATTTTTCTACTTACATCTAATTTGAAAGTGTGTATATGTGTGTGTGTTCATGTTCTGTCTCTAGTAATGGAGAATGCAAAGGTAATGTGTGGTTTGGTTTGCTCTGCTTGTTGATTTTCTTTTGTAGTAGTGCTGAGAGGGGAATATCAAACTCAGGCTACTGCTGTTGTTTTGCACACCTGGAAGTCAAGATAGGTTTTTCTTTTCAGTGCAACTTGATTGGTTTTAAAAATTTGAATCTATAACAACAAGAGCTCTCAAATATTTTAACTTTAAACATAATTTCGGTCTAAAAGGCAGGGGAAATTAATTTTAGTTTTGGCCATTCTACAATTTTGCCATGCAGCCATTAGGAAATTACTTATATTTTTGGGTTTCCATTTTCATCTCTATAAAATGAAGGTAATGGCCAAGACCTTCAGATGATTGCTGATATTGCTTATATCTCTAACCGGTTGTACACACATCCACAACTATGTACCTACATATCATTCTTAGTACTCTGTCTAAGAAATTTGGAGAAGATAAAGTCTGTTTTATTCTGAGAGTGGTACTGCATTTTAAATCTCTGTTGAATAATGTTTTCCAGTGACAGAAATTGATCATAATACTAAAAACATTTCATTTTGATATAACATCACACTCAAGGATACTCCTCAGGAATTTAATATCTCAGTATGTCTGTGTGCTTATCTCTATATCTGTAGAACAATCTCTTTATTCCACAGAAGCAACTGAATGGCATATTTAAAACATAATTTCATCCTGCTATTTTAGCTTAACTGCATGATGTTAGGTTTATTACCTTTTGAAAAGTTTAAAATCATGTAAATCAAGATAAGAAATTAAGAGGCATTTTAACAGTGCAGGTTTATTTTATTGAGAATTTTAAAGAGAAAGGCTATGTAACTCAAGCAGCGTCTCCCATTAGTTGTAAACACTAAACTTAGGTAAACATCATTTTTATCAAATAACACCTAAGTTACCTCAGCTTAATCTGGCTAAGAAAGGAGTTATGAAGAAAAGGAAACTCAAATACTCTTCCAGCTAAACTTCTCAGTGATCCTTTATATTTATTTTTTGGTAGTTTAAAAATCACTTTTAATATTTTCAAAATTGCCTTCTCCGTCATATTTTTAAAACTCTTATTCAAATACCTTTGTTAAATTTCACATTGCAGAAGGTGGCAATGCTCACTTTTTGGTCTAGTTCCTATAGCAGTCAGGGTTGTAACATAAACCTTGGTATATGCAGGTTTTTTTCTTCAAGTTGTTCTAATTTTTTATATGTTTCTATTAGTTTGCCTAGTGGCAGAAAAATGCTACCAGTTTAGAGTCAAAATCATTAAAAGTAATAGCATACATTCTGATTTCCCAGATAGATTCTCTTTTGAATCTATCTCAGTTCTGGTTCATTTCTCTTCATTTTTCCATTCACATTTTATTCCTTGGTGTTATTTTCATGATGTGATGTTGCAAACGTTCGCTGAGTTAGAATCTGTAAGCTATAGAAGCAACTGTTCCCTTGTAATTATGCTATAATTTGGGCAAGCTGCTGCCATATGGATAGCACTGTTTTTGTTAAATAATTGGAATAAGCATGATTTCGAATGGCCCACTGTATGATTAAGAGTTTCTAAAGTACTTAGTTGCAATTTCACTTTTATAAAAGTACTTTTTAACTGTAAAGTGTATTTTGGAAGTATTATGTTCTATAAACAAATATTACATAATTTAGAACAAAATTAGTAGAAATTCAAATACCTTCACAATTAGGGACTTTACTCTTATGTTATTAGTTACTTCTAATCAGTATTTTTTCCATATTCAGGGTAGATTAGCTCTCTAGGAATATGTTTATTTATAAATTGGATTATTACATGGTTGTAGCAAAGCTTTGTGTCACATAACTTTTTAGATTTCTGGTTGAACATGATAAAATGAACACAGCTATGTCTGCTGTATTGGGGAAATCTACTTACATGACAGTGAAATAATAAAAGAGGCATAAACTCTCAAGAAAAAATATAATAAAGGACGTGACAGTTGGGAAGAAAGTTCAACAAATTTTGGGAGCTAAAAAGTAAAGCGATGAGTGGTAATTCACCTAGCTGAGTGGAGAAAGTAGAAAGCTCTTCTTCAGTTGGAAGATGTTGAAGAAGCAAATCAATTTACAGGGCATAGCTGCGTTGGGCACAAATCTATGTATTTATGACATTTTACCTCTTCCATGGCACATAGGAAGATATTTCACTGTCTTCTTTGCAGTATATTTGAGCCATTTGGCTGAGATCTGACCAATGACTTGTAGGCAGGAGCAACCTAAGCCACTTCTAAGCCAAAGTCATAAATCACCTTGGGCTACCCTCCTGCTATCTCTTTCCTTTTTAAGGGTGAACTTGAAAGCCACATATTCTAGATGGTGAATCTATAAGGTGGACACAACCTGGATTCTAAGTCTTCACTTAGAACATTGTCCTCTGGAAGAGTTGAACAACCTGCATCAAACTTTATGTGAAAAGAAAATAAACACTTATTTTAACAAATATTCAGATTTCCAGGTTTATTTGTTACCACAGTATAGCCTATTTTATTCTGACAAATACAAGATTATTGGAAGCCTTAGGAATTATAAGTTGTAAGAAACTAAAGACAAATGTGTTCAATGGTCCTAAAAATTACCCCCTTACCTAGAGAAGATAGTGTTAGTATAAAAGATCATACTGTGAAAATGCAGGGTAAAAGTAAAAGTCTATATAGTTTGTGAGAGAACCCTGACAGTGCTCCCTTTCTCTAGTGAGCTGTCATAAAAGCACCATCCAGGTTTATACACATGAAGCAAGAGATAGGGGATTCCTATCCTGAGAAAAAGGCAAGCTAAAAAGTAAAGACTTATGGATACTGGCATTTGTGGAACACAAATAAAACGCCCTGGTCCTTGCATAATCAGCCAATAGTAATGATTAGTATTGGATAAGAGTCACCTATAATCAAAGAGCTTCCAATTTGTGTTTGTGGTGCCACATTCTAATCCCTAATAGCAAAGGATCACCAAAAATGTAAGCTAAGTCCAATGTGAAACAGTGAGGACAAAATAAATAGAAATCAGGAACTAAGAATAAAATGAGATAATGTACAGAGAGAAATAAAATAAAAATATTTTATTATTGTCAATTATGTAAGATGAAATATTGCAGTTATGAGAACAAGATAATATTTAAAAGGAATAATTAAGAAATGAACATTAAAAATCTAATTGCAAAATAAGTTAAAAATTAATAAAAAGTTGGAGACTAATTTAGGGTAAATTACTTGGAAAGAAAGAAAACACAGAAAATAGAGCAAAAATAAAAGAAAAAGTTATATAGGTTAAATATCTGATGGGTGATGGTTCCATAAAAGGAGGACCTGTAAAACACCATACATGAAAATGAATTGATGACCTAAATATGAAATGGTAAAGTGTAAAATTTTCTAAATGAAAAAATATGCGAGCATAGATTTATAGCATTGGGATTGAGGAAAAAATCTCAAGTGTGGCATAAAAACCACAAACTATGAGGGGAAGGATAAATCAAGAAATTTAAAAACTGTATTACAAACACCATAACAAAATTAAAAATCAAATTATAGGAAAATATATTTGTATTATATAAAACCACCAACAGACTACTCTTCAGAATCTATGCATATGTTTCTGTATGTCTGTTGTCAACATCTATGTACATATAAGTCTGTGTGCGTGTGTGTACTTAAACTCAGTAGGAAAAAAATACACGTTAGAAGTCTAAAAGTTGGCTGGGTGCGGTGGCTTATGCCTGTAATCCCAGCACTTTGGGAGGCCAAGGTGAGTGGGTCACCTGAGGTCAGGAGTTCAAGACCAGCCTGGCAAACCCCTTCTCTACTGAGAATACAAAAATTAGCTGGGCGTGATGGTGCACGCCTGTAATCCCAGCTGTTTGGGAGGCTGAGGCAGGAGAATCACTTGAACCCAGGAGGCAGAAGTTGCAATGAGCCAAGATCACGCCATTGCACCCTAGCCTGGGCAACAGAGCAAGACCCCACCACCCCCACCACCAAAAAAAGTCTAAAAGTTAAAAAAAAAAATCTTGTAGCTATAGGGGCAAAACCATTTTCTATCTGCCCACACCCCTTGGTTCCTAACTCGTATCCCTCCAACTCCTGCTTCTGTCTCCTTCTCTGACTTTGACTTTTCTGACTCCCTCTTATAAAGATGCTGTGATGCATTGGGTCCACTGGGTACTCCAGAATCATTTCCCCTTCACAATATTCTTAACTTAATCACCTCTACAAAGTTTATTTTGCCATGTATGGTGGCACATTCATTGATTCCAATTATTAGGTGTGGACATTTTTGGAGGGCCATTGTTCACTCTACGACAATGGTCAAACAGTATGGACCAATTTGCAGAACAGGAAGTATGAAGAGTCATTAATGATGTGAGAGGAACATAAAGCTCATGGTAACCTGGAAAACAAATGAGTTTCCTCAACAAAAATAAGCCTGATGATACCAAGAATTGGGAGCATGTTGAAAAGAAAAAATTTGACAATACTTTATGTATCTGCTTATATAAATATTTATGACCTAACTCTAGGCAATACTCCTAGGGGAAATCTCTTTTACATGTGTAACACATAGAGATATGTACAAGGAGGTTCAATACATCATCCTGTGGATTTGCAAGAAATTGAGCACAACCAAAGGTCCCACTAATTGGGAAATGAATACATAAATTGCCATGTATTCATATCCTGGGATATTACTCAATAATGAAAATGAATGAATTCTATCTGCATGGTCAACATGGGTAGATCTAGAAATCACAATACTACATGAGGAAGATCTTTTCCAGAGCAATATGTATAACAAAAATATTTAAGTAAAAATTAAAAAAAAATATATGGCAATAGTATGTGCTATCTGTAAATACAGGTATATACATCTTAGTTAAAGCATAAAACATTTATACTTATTAATTACACTCTCACCACTCCTCTTCACATAGTACTGGAAGTCCTAGCCAGAGCAATCAGACAAAAGAACTCAAGGCATACAAATCAGAAAAGAGGAAGCCAGCCTGTCGCTATTTGCCGATGACATGATCGTTTACCTAAAGCCTCCTGCAGAAAGCTCCCAGAACTTATAAAATAATTCAGCAAAGTTTCTGGATACAAAATTAATGTACATATATCAGTAGCTCTTCTATATACCAACAGCGACCAAGCTGAGAATCAAATCAAGAACTGAACTCCTTTTACAATAGCTGCAAAAACAAAACAAAACAAAATAAAACTAACCAAGGAAGTGAAAGACCTCTACAAGGAAAACTACAAAACACTGCTGAAAGAAATCATAGATGACACAAACAAATGGAAACACATCCCATGCTTATGGATGGGTAGAATCTATATCGGGAAAATGACCATACTGCCAAAAGCAATCTACAAATTCAGTGCAATTCCTATAAAATATACTACCATTTTTCTTCACCAAATTAGAAAAAACAATTCTAAAATTCATATGGAACCAAAAGAGAGCCTGCATAGCCAAAGCAAGACTAAGCAAAAAGGACAAATCTGGAGTCATCACATTACCTGATTTCAAACTATATTATAAGGCCATAGTCACCAAAACAGCATGGTACTGGTATAAAATAGGTACACAGGCCAGGCATGGTGGCTCACGCTTGTAATCCTAGCACTTTGGGAGGCTGAGGCAGGTGGATTGCCTGAGTTCAGGAGTTCGATACCAGCCTGGGCAACACAGTGAAACCCTGTCTCTACTAAAATACAAAAAAGTAGCCAGGAATAGTGGTTTGTGCCTATAGTCCTAGCTACTTGGGAGGCTGAGGCAGGAGAATTGCTTGAACCCAGGAGGTGGAGGTTGCAGTAAGCTGAGATTGCACCACTGCACTCCAGCCTGGGTGACAGAGCAAGACTCTGTCTCAAAAAAATAAAAAAAAAATAAAATTAAATTTAAAAAAAGGTGCATAGACCAATGGAACAGAATAGAGAACCCAGAAATAAACCCAAATACTTACAGCCAACTTACCTTCAACAAAGCAAACAAAAACATAAAATGAGGAAAGAACTCCCTTTTAAACAAATGGTACTGGGATAATTGGCTAGCCACACATAGGAGAAAGAAACTGGATCCTCATCTCTCACCTTATACAAAAATCAACTTAAGATGGATTAAGGACTTAAATCTAAGGCATGAAACTTTAAAAATTCTGGAAGATAACATTGGAAAAACCCTTCTAGACATTGGCTTAGGCAAGGGTTTCATGACCAAGAGCCCAAAAGCAAATGCAATAAAAAAAAAAAAAAATAGCTGGGACTTAATTAAACCAAAGAGCTTTTGCATGGCAATAGGAACCATCAGCAAAATAAACAGACAACCCACAGAGTAGGAAAAAATCTTCACAATCTATACATGTGACAAAGTACTAATATCCAGATTCTACAATGAACTCAAACCAACAAGAAAAAACAATTCCATCAAAAAGTGGGCTAAGGACATAAATAGACAATTCTCAAAAGAAGATATACAAATGGCCAACAAACATTTGAAAAAATGTTGAACATCACTAATGATCAGCATTATGCAAATCAAAACCACAATGGGATATCACCTTACTCCTACAAGAATGGCTGTAATAAAAAAATAAAAAAAATTAGTTGTGGTTGTGGATGCAGTGAACAAGGAACACTTCCGCCCTGTTGGTGGAAAATATAAACTAGTGTAACCACTATGAAAAACAGTGTGGAGATTCCTTAAAGAACTAAAAGTAGAACTATGATTTGATCCAGCAATCCTACTACCCAGAGGAAAATAAGTCATTATACGAAAAATATAGTTGCACATGCATGTTTACAGCAGCACAATTCGCAATTGCAAAATGTAGAACCAACCCAAATGCCCATCCATCAATGAGTGGATAAAGAAAGTGGTGTGTGTGTGTGTGTGTGTGTGTGTGTGTATATGTATATATACATATATATGTGTGTGTATATGTATATATACATATATGTGTGTGTATATGTATATATACATATATGTGTGTGTATATGTATATGTATATATACTAGTGTGTATATGTATATATACATATACACACACATATATGTATATATGTGTATATATATGTGCGTGTGTGTGTATAAGATGAAATATGACTCAGCCATAAAAAGGAATGAATTAATGGCATTCACAGTGACCTGGATGAGATTGGAGACTATTACTCTAAGTCAAGTAACTCAGGAATGGGAAACCAAACATCATATGTCCTCACTCATAAGTGGGAGCTAAGTTATGAGGATGCAAAGGCATAAGAATGACACAAAGGATTTTGGGGACTCAGTGGGAAAGGGTGGGAAGAGAGTCAGGGATAAAAACTACAAATTGGGTGCAGTGTAGACTGCTTGGGTGATGGGTGCACCGAAATCTCACACATCACCACTAAAGAACTTTAGGAGTCCAAAGAGGGCAGATCACCTGAGGTCAGGAATTTGAGACCAGCCTGGCCAACAGGGTGAAGCCCAGCTCTAATAAAAATACAAAAAATTAGCCGGGTGTGGTGGTGCACCTGTAGTCCCAGCTACTTGGGAGGCTGAGACACGAGAATTCCTTAAACCCGGGAGGCAGAGGTTACAGTGAGCCAAGATTGTGCCACTGCACTCCAGCCTGGGTGACAGAGTTAGAGTCGGTCTCAAAAAAAAGTAAAAAAAGAAAAAAGAAAAAAGAACTTACTCATGTCACCAAACACCACTGTTCTCCAATAACCTATGAAAATAAAAAAATTAAAAAAATAAAAATTTAAAAAATATATATGGCAATACTACATGTGATCTGTATATACAGGTCTATACATATGAAAGTATAAAACATTTATACTTATTAATTATTATGTTTTTATATCTGAAATACAATCAATTTAAGGATAGTAGCTATGTCTGAGGAGACAGAAATAAAACTAGAATTGCATAGAACAGTAGGGATTTCACCAGTATTTGTAATTTTTTTATTATGTAAGGAAATTTGAACCAAATGTTAGTTTTGCTAGAAAGGTATGGAAGTATTTGTTATATTACTCTATTTTTCTATATGTGCGATGTATGATATAAAAGTAGTGGTAAATGGAATGCTAATGAATTGGAGGTAGTTTACCGCTGATTTTTATTTTATAAGAGCTTCTGCCCATATTTGTAAATAGGGAGATTTTCTTACGTTTCCAGGGGAAGTAAGAATTACTAGCGTAATTTTTGTTTCAAATATTTTCTTTATATTTAAATATTTGGGGAGTAATTTACAAAAGACAGCATGTTCTATACATGTGACAGGGGTCAAATTATCACAGTATCTTTTCTAAAAAGGCAAATCAACAGAATAGGTCTGTTTCATTAAGAAGATACATGATTTTCTACGAAAGGATCAATTTTCATTTCTGTGTGTGGACAAAAATTTTTGTTGTGGATTTTAGTTTGTAAGGTCATTCCAATTACACTAAAGGTTACTACAAATCTAAGGGGTGAGTAAATCACATTTTACTATTGTTTCTCTCTGCTGATAATGAAGCTTAGCAGCTAAGAGATTAAGATCGTAATAATATATCGTGATGCAAAGTGCAGGACCCAGATATTTCTCATTCACCATCTAATGCTCCTTTTACTGTTCCAGAAAAGGGCATCTTACTGATCAAATTAGACCAGAGCTCAACATGTTACCTTTTATTATTATTGTTTTAACCAAGGAGTGGGATAGTGAAAATAACATTAAAAATATGTTAATATGTAATCAATAGGACATATGCTATTTCTTGGAAAGAAAACAAGAATTAGGATCCCTTTTCGAAAATATAAAAGCCTCAATTAATTCCTATAACTCCCTGCACATGCTCTTACTGTTGGAGACTTATTATCTGTTCTGCTGGTCCAGGAGGAAAAGTCAATGTGGGAAGGATGAGCAACAGAGAGTGAAAGCTGGTAAGTGGGAAGAAAGGAACCACTACTTTAGCTGTATACAGAGAATGAAATAGCATGGGGCTTTCTTTATGAAGGGAAAAATGAAATCAATCTTGGAAATTGAAACTCATTTTCTAAAAACATACACAAGTTATAAAACTCTTTTACATTTCTGCATTAGTTTGCTCGGGCTGTCGTAAGAAGTTCCACAAACTTGCTGGGTCAAACAACAGATTTTTATTTTATTTTATTTTATTTTATTTTATTCATTCATTCATTCATTCATTCACTCACTTCTGGAGGCCGTATATCCAAGATCAAGGTGGGGGCAGCATTGCTTTTTTCTGAAGGCTCTCTCCTTGGCTTGTAGATGGCTGCCCTCCCGCTGTGTCTTCACATGGTCTTTCCTGTGTATGTGCCTGTGTGCTAATCTCTTATAAGGACACCAGTCATATTGGATTAAGGCCTACCCTATGCTTTATTTTAATCACCTCTTTAGTCACTCTATCTCCAAATAAGTTTGCAATCTGAGGTCCCAGGGGTTATGACTTCAACATATTAATTTTAGAGCAATGAAACTCAGCCTATAACAATTTCTGAAAAGTCAAAACATGGAAACTTCTCGTCGACTTACAGCTTTCTGTTGTATTGCACAATAGAAAGAGGTTGTCCCCTCCCCCAGCCTCTGCTTTACTTGGCAACAGTGACATTACTTTCTGTATTAGATGAGACATTTTCAGGAAAGTTTCTGTCTAGTGGATTTTGATCCCAGGCCCCAAAATTGTCACATTGAATTGAACAGTAACAATGAGACACTGCGCTTTTCATTTTGAAAGGACTAATATTATCTAAATAGATTTTAAAAAAATAAAATATTGAGGCTGGGCTCGATCCTGGGCCAATCCTGGCACTTTGGGAGACCAAGTCAGGTGGATTGCTTGAACCCAGGAGCTCAAGACCAGCCTGGGCAACATGACAAAACCCTGTCTCTACAAAATATACAAAAATTAGACAGTTGTGGTGTTGTGCATCTGTAGTCCCAGCTACTCAGGAGACTGAGGTGGGAGGATCACCTGGGCCTGGGGAGGTTGAGGCTGCAATGAGCCCTGATTCCACTATTGCACCCAGCCTGAGTATCAGAGTGAGATCCTGTCTCAAAAAAATAAATAAAATAAAAATAAATAAAATAAAATATTGGACCAGAGGAAGATTTAGCTTTTCCTCTATGAACACATTAACTCTCAATGGCTTAATGGGGGGTATAAATATGGACATTTACTATCAATATGGCCAAATATGAGCATATTTTACTCTGTCTTCTATAAATGATCGCTCCCCCATTTATGTGTTTTCCCAAGTTAGAAATGAAACAATTTAAGACTTCTTCTTTTTTTGTTTTTTTGAGACTTTGCCCGTCACCCAGGCTGGAGTGCGGTGGTGCAGTCTCGGCTCACTATAGCCCCCTCCTCCCAGGTTCAAGCAACTCTCCTGCTTCAGCCTCCCAAGTAGCTAGGACTACAGGCACACACCACCACCATGCCTTGCTAATTTTTGTATTTTTAGTAGAGACAAGGTTTCATCGTGTTGGCCAGGCTGGTCTCGAACTCCTGACCTCAGGTGATCTGCCTGCCTTGGCCTCCCAAAGTGTTGGGATTATAGGCGTAAGCCACTACACCTGCTCCCCCTCCCCTTTTTTAAACCACATTCAGAGGAACCATTACCAAAATCTCTCTGTCAGTATTTGAACATTGACCCTTTTTTTAGTTTACATTCTTCGAATATTATCCTTTTCCTCCCAAAGTATTGGTTGCCTTTGACTGAATAGAGGAACGAATAACAAGGGACAAAAGGAACAGAATGCCAATTAATATTTGAAATATTATCTCCTAATATGAATCTGATTTCCCTCCACTTGAAATCATTTAATGCCTAATTAAACAAATTTCTTAACCTGTGACAGGAAGCCCTTCCAGAGCAGCTTTCGAAGAACCCTTGTACCTTGTATCTACGTTCCTCCTCGCACTTTATGCTTCAGGAGAACAAATGGGCTCCTACGTTTCCCCAGTGGTGTGCTTACAAATGTTTAACAATCAGTTCTCAGGAGTTTGGGAGAGGAGGCTTGATTTGTAGCATTTGCCAATTTCTGTATTGTAAATACTCTGACTTTGGCCAATTTAAAGTTTACAGGAGGTCAAGTGGTTTGCAAATTCCTGAAAATTTAACAATTGGCTCCTGTGAGCAGGTAGAGCTAGCTCCAGTATACCACTGGTTCCCATCCCCAAAAGGTATGATTTCAAATCTTTGAATATGCTATCGTTTTACTTTAGAATAGTGTTTTCTCTGTGCCTGAGAAGCTCCCATTAATCTTTTAAAAATGTAGCTCAGGTGTCCTCTCTGAGCACCCTTCTGCCTTACCGGGGGTTCATCACTGCCTCTTCAGTGTTTCTCATCATTACAAATGCTTTTATGTTGGGCTGGTCACATTATCACATTATCTTTTTTTTTAATTTTATTATTAGTATACTTTAAGTTTTAGGGTACATGTGCACAACGTGCAGGTTTGTTACATATGTATACATGTGCCATGCTGGTATGCTGTACCCATTAACTCGTCATTTAGCATTAGGTATATCTCCTAATGCCACATTATCTTATCTTTTTATTTATTTACCTTTTTCCTAATTAGACTGTTGGTGCTTGATCACACACACATTTTGCCTATCAGGAAATTAATGCTCAGAGCCTAACAATATGAGGAAATATAATGGCACATTTTCAAAATTACCCAGTATTTACCACAATGGATAGGTGAATATTCTAGTTTATATTTACCTTTTTGATACTGTACAAATTACTTAGCCTTTCTGAGCCTAAATTTCTTTATCTATCTACAAAATGGATATAATAAAATGTAAACTCATGAGCTTGTTGTGAGAAAGTTATCTGTGAAGTGCAGCACAGTTGTGACACCTGAAAACCAGTCAATCCATGGTAATAGTAGGCTAACACCATGGGTGAAAGCAGTCTAGAAGGGCTGGGCGCGATGGCTCATGCCTGTAGTCCCAGTACTTTGGGAGGCCAAGGTGGGTGGATCACTTGAGGTCAGGATTTCAAGACCAGCTTGTCCAACATGGTAAAACCCTGTCTCTACTGAAAATACAAAAATTAGCTGGGCATGGTGGTGTGTTTCTGTAGTCTCAGCTACTTGGGAAGAGGCTGAGGCAGGAGAGTTGCTTGAATCTGGGAGGCAGAGGTTGCATCACTGCACTTCAGCCTGGGTGACAGAGCAAGACTCCATCTCTAAAAAAAAAAAACACAGCAGCCTAGAAGGACCCCCATTATTTCTAATAATACGGATAATACTGTTAAAAGTGGACCCATCTTAGATGTGTATCTTGCTAGAGTGAAGCAGCTTCACTGTTTCAGAAGAAATAAACATTCTTCAAATGTTACACTCTTCAATATTTTTTCATGATGTCTCTAAAATTTTTTAAAAATCTTCCTATTAAACGCTTAAATCAAATTTCAGAGTTTTTTTTCTCATGGTAGGCACTTTATAATGTTAGTTGCATCCATTAATATATGGCCTCCTATTTTCTACTTCTGTTTTTTTCAGCCTTTGCCTTCAAGATTCCTTCCCATTGACTGTTCAGTCCTGCATCATGCCCAAAGACTGTGAAACCTCCCAGTGGTCCTCCTGGAGCCCCTGCTCCAAGACATGCCGTTCAGGGAGTCTCTTGCCAGGATTTAGGAGCAGGAGCCGGAACGTGAAGCACATGGCTATTGGAGGTGGAAAGGAGTGTCCTGAACTTCTTGAGAAAGAGGCCTGCATTGTTGAAGGAGAACTTCTGCAGCAATGTCCCAGGTATTACGCCTTTATGCCTTCTTTAGTGTGAAGGAGGCATAATTTAATGTTGTAGGAATGTTAACAGTAATGAAAGTAGCTGTGACTCATATTTATTGAGTCTTCACTCAGTATACAAGTTCCATACTTGGCAGCATAGGAGAGCGGGTTAAGATCATGGGCTTTGGTGTTGACTCCCTTGGTTTAAGTCCTGTTTCTGTGACTTTCTAATTATACAAATTTCTTCAAGTACTTAATTAGAGTGCCTTAGTTTACCAGCAGTACTTAATTCATCCTGTGTTTGGCACATAGTAAATGCTCAGTAACCATTAGCTATTATTACCTGACACAACACACCTAATTCTCATAAAAACCTGAGAGGCCATTCATGGCATCTCCATTTTACAAATGAAGCTACTAATGTTCAGAGAGATTAAATGATTTCTGAAGTTATGTAGGTAAGGAGTGGCAGTACCCTGATTCTAACTCAGTTCCGTTTTCAAATCTTACTGCCGCTATGTGGTGTTCTTCAATTCCAGAGTCCCTAGGGAGCCAGAGAATATTCGAGAAAGGATTTAACATATATTAATAGCTACATTTTAACAGCATTTTTTTTGAGATAAAAACTCTTGTTGCCCAGGGTGGAGTGCAATGGTGTGATTATGGCTCACTTTAGCCTCCACCTCCTGGGCTCAAGAAATCCTCCCATCTCAGCCTCTCGAGTAGCTGGGACTATAGGCATGTGCTACAGTGTGTGCTACTATATATATTTTTTATTTTGTATAGAGATGGGGTCTCACTGTGTTGCCCAGGCTGGTCTCAAACTCCTGGGCTTAAGCGATACTCCCACCTCAGCTTCTCAAAGTGCTGGGATTGCAGGCTTGAGCCACCATGCTGTGCCTGGCCTACATTTTAACATCTTGATATTGGTTATACCTATCCAAAGACCTGGGTAAAGGCCTGCAGTATGTTTTCCTTTAGGTTGTTGGCTCACAGTGGGCCCAGTTTGATAACAGACAGAAATCTGTTAGGGATGAATTTGTGATATTTCCTGCTGAACAGCTGCCCTGAACTGTATCTGTTAAATCTGTAGCTATTCAAGATAGGCATTTTTCTTATAGTTTCTTGTAACTTCTATGACTAGAAACTCATTTCTGCAGCCAAAAATAAAGTAAGAAAAAAATAGTTTTCTGTATGAATTAGTGATTTGGTGATGTGTGAAGGGTATGGGTTACTGACCCAACAGGTTCTGGTGGTGGGCTGCAGCCTGGCTCTTCCTGAAACCTGATATGAGGTGTGCATTAGAAAGGCAGGTTTCTGTTGTCAAAACTCTTAGCCACTCACATCCCCACTTCCCAGTTGGAACTAGTGTTGATTGAACACAGTTCCTTATATTCTTATTGTTAATATTTTGCTAAAATGACCCCTTAGATTTGTATCATTCCTTATCTCAAATGCAGAAGATGGAGATGCAGTGCATGCCTTTTTACCACAAACTCTCAGCCTCACAGAACCCTTCCTCGTTGTGTTGTGTTGAGTCTCTGAAAACACTAATTTTGGAGTAAAACAGAAGCTTGAAAATGGCATAACTCTGAGATCTCTGTCCCTTTTAACATTGAAATACCTGGATTAAAATTGTATCTTCATCACTTACTAGCAGTATGATCTTGAACAAGCTATACAACTTTTCCAAGACATTTACTTTTTCAGTAGAATGCATCTGATAATACTGCCTGTGTGGCAGGCTAGAAAGGCTGAAGACCAGGCATGTGAAATGCCAGGCCCAGGGCTTAGCACATAGGTGGCGCTGCAAGAAGGATGACCACTATTGTTGCTATTTGCAGGTGTATTTGTTTCCTCCAGAAAGAGAGTATCTCTTTTCCTTAGCATACAATAATAATTTCATGAGGTAGAAACATATTTCTTCTAGATAATTGGGAAATCTTATTTCCCTTCAGAGGCTTACTTCAGAAGGCTTCTTAATGGTATACAGGCAGGAATAAAATCTGGGTTTCATGATGACCTTGACATTGATGCCTCTATCCTTCATTTTTTTTTTCATGGGATAGCTAATATTCTCTACCTGATACTTTCAAAATGTTTGTGATTTATAGGCAATCCTCCATTTTCTTTTTTAATAACAATTACAGTTCTCTTGGAAGTCAGAATGGTACCTTCCTGTCAATGCTAAGAAAACTGAACTACATCTATGTTTGTTAAACAATGCCTACCTTTTATCAAGTACCTACTGTTGGCCAATAATTATAGCAGAGTTATAAATTAACTAATTAAATATAAATAATATTTAGTGTGACATGGAACATTTTTGAGAGTGAAAGGGATGTAAATTGGCATTAAGATTCAAGCACAAATTTACTCAACTCTGAAGCCAGTATTCTTTCCATTATATCACACTGACTTTCATGATAGGCACAGTAAAGATATGCACTAAGATAAGGGTATACCTACTAATATACATGCATTTGTGTGCATCATATTTTTTTCAACAAGATAATGTGGAAAGAAATAATTCAGGATGTACCCAAGATGAGTTTCTGTATGGATCTTCATTTGATAGAACATTAGAGTCTGAAAATAGAGGCTGACAGACTTCACTGGTGATGATCCTGGCCCTCTAGTTCTACTGTTTGAAAATGCCGCTAAGTTTGACACACACACACACACACACACACACACACACACACACACCTTTAAAACGGTGAAGCTGTAGGAAATAGGAGTATTGGAGAATTAACTGAAATACCAATCAACCAGTGTTCCATAGGGAGAATAATGTAACTAATGATTCTACTTGGTTGTGGGAAGGAGAATACATAAGTAACAGCAACTAAACATCAGCTAACATTCTAATTTGTCTGAAATCTGGACTGTGGTCTCTACCATGGGAAAGCATAGAGGCTATGTACTAACATTTGCTTTTGGTTTTATATTAGTGATTAAAATTCATTGTTAACAAGGGAAAGGAAAATGAAAATCTATTAGGGAACAGAAATTCTCGTTTCCTTTCACAGAACTCATAAGCAAGTCATGTGCATCAAGCAAGTTAATTCACCTTATTTCTCTCCAAGAAGTAAATGCATGCCTATTTGATTCTTCATAGTGTTTTTAAAAAATCTTTTAGAATACCGTTTGACTTTTACCCTTCTGCTATCTTTGCTATTTGAGATGTGTTTGTTCCTTCAACAAATACACATTAAGCCCTTGCTATATGCCAAACACTATGTTAAGCATTTGAGATACCTCAGAGAACACAACAGACAAACTTCCCTCATGCCCTGGAACCTAAATTTTAGTGAAAATACACCAAATAAATAATATAAATGGTCCACTTGGTGGAAGAGCTATGGAAAAAATAAAACATCCAAGTAAGATAAAGCTAGAGGCTCTGGAATGCTGTGATGAGGGGTCAGCACAGGTGATGAAATTAAACAATGTCCCTAGAAAAGCATCATTTGAACAAGCAGGATTTGAGGAGGTAGGAAAATCAAAGAAGTAAATAAATTACTCAGGAAATTAGGGGAAAAATATTTCAAGAACAAGGTATAGGTAGAAAAGTGTTCTAGTCCTTGGATATTAATAAATCTTCAGTTGCATGGCTTTGGGGGATACTCTTCTCATTGCTCGACTGTCCAGCATTTTCACACTAAACACTATGAGTGACTGTCCCTAAGGCATGACTCCATGAAGGGAATTGTAACTAACAGGAGATCATTCGGGAAGCATTCCCTGGGGTTACCACACTACCAAGTAGTTGCTTCGGAGCAACTAATTTAACTTGAAAGGAGACAGAGACAGTTTATGTTATGCTATCTTGGGAAATTTTAGAACTACATGAAAATTAGCATTGTATAGCCTTAAGTTTGTTTCGAAGTTGTAGTTTTTGATTAAGGCATATATAGACCCCAGGAAACCTCTTCCTTCAGTCTATTTGTAATTTTATGGACCTCCCCAACCTCTAGTGTGTCATTAAACACTCACAGTGTATACTATGGGTAGGGAATGGACATGAGAGAGAGGATAAATTTGCTTGTCAGTTGCCACCTTGGCTCTTGGTGTGGTTGTCCCCTGTCACTGGGCATCATGATCTTGGATGTCATGTTATTCTATGTCCCCAAACATGATGAGATAGGAGTCATTTAGGATACCTTGGCACTTGGGCACTTTCCTTTGTCCTGACTAACATCTAAAATATTATATCCCAGATCTCAACTAAGGGGAAGGCAAAAAGCATTCTAACACTGCAGGATAAGGCAGTACTGTTTAGTAGATGGGGTAAAGAAAGACAAAGAACGTAGAGCTGTAATAGTGTAAATGCTTCATGTCAGAGAGCTGAGACACAGCCTGATTCTGGAACAGCTATGATTCCAGATCTCTTGCGCTTTAATAGAGAGGCCCATTCTGGTGAAAGACACTGTAACACATTTGAATATTGGAAAAACATCAGCTGCAAACATCTTTCTTAGAAGAGATACCTCAGATGACCTACCAGCAACTCCTACGACCCCACTGGGAGACAACAGTTTTCATATGAAAATGGCTGTTCTGTCTCTTAAATGATCATTTAGAGTATGGAATCGAATGTAAGACAGAACTATTAAATGGTGACAGTGACCAATACCAAGTAAAACTCTTAAGAAAATCTCAAGGCAGAAGCTGCACAGCTGAGAGTATTACCTAGTTTTTGTGATATTACTACACAGAAAAGCCAACGTGTAAAATATCGTTCCAATACTCTGGTCCGGCACTGAATAGATGCGCTCTTTTATTTCATCCTGCCTTGTTTCTGGTATGTATTAATTTATCCTTATTTTGCATGGACTAGAGATCCTTTAAAATAAGTCTGTTTGTGCAAATTTATGCTGAGAGATCTATCTGGGCACCCTGCACCCCACTTTGATTTGCTTGTGAAACAAACCCCTGAGACCAGCCTTGTTCTCCCTAACATCTTTTTGAGGCATTGTACCTAATTTTAGATTTTCTAGACATCCTTTTTTCTTGAGAAAACCCTGGGTATTAGTTGATGAATTTTTAGATAAATATTGAAGCCAGGGATAGTGCCAAGAAAAAGGATGGTAGATGAAATCTTGGCGTGGTTGTTCACCTCCTTTGCCTTTTGAAACAGAGTGCTGTGTTGTGAAGGGATGTTTGTTCAAAACCTGCTTTGGCCTGTCACCGTGTTAACCACTGGAGAACTCATAAAACAGAGAACTTCCAGTCTGTGTTCACTTAGGTTATTTGTCTTAAGAATCTTGTTTGATGTACTCTTTCAAAACTATTGGGTTGCTGCAAAAGTAATTGCAGTTTTTGCCGTGGAAAGCAATGGCAAAAACTGCAATTACTTTTGCACCAACCTTACAGATGGCCCAGAACACGACAATCGTGTCCTTTAAGAGTGCTTAATAGTAATGTCCCAACACATCATCTCATACATATGAATAGGACTATTTTGTTTGTTTGTTTCCTTTTCCTTAGAAAGAGTAGCACCTAGAAAAGTGCCTGGCTCGTAGTAAATGCTCACCAAACATTGAAGGAATAAATAAATGAAGGTTAAAATGTGGAGTAGCTCCAGAACAGTATTATACACTCGGCACTTTATTCCATGTTTACCTTTATTATATAGTAAGTATGACAGACTCAAAGGTATTTTAAAATAAAGAACAGCTGAAATTGGCATCATCAAGGTCAAAAAAGGACATCCACCCAGGACAAGATGGACCCAGGAAGCTTGCCACAGTTCCACAATCCTGCTGATGCTGCATCCAGCTTTCCAGAAAAAAAATCTGTCTGTCATTGGTTATGAGGGTTACTTCAAAAAAGGTGAGGAATGATATCATAGTCTGAATTTGTCCAAGTTTTCCTTCTAGCACACACATCACTTGTTACATCTTTTAAATCTTCTCCTATTAGTTTTCTTTTTGTTGTCATTTGTTTTGAAATGGACTCTCCCTCTGTCTCCCAGGCTGGAATGGAGTGGCGTGATCTCAGCTCACCACAACCTCTGCCTCCTGGGTTCTGAGGTGATTCTCCCACCTCAGCCTCCCAAGTAGCTGGGATTACAGGCATGTGCCACCATGCCTGGCTGATTATTGTATTTTTAGTAGGGACGAGGTTTCATCATGTTGTCCAGGCAGGCTAGTCTCAAACTCCTGATCTCAAGTGATCCACAGGCCTTTGCCTCCCAAAGTCCTGGGATTACAGGCGTGAGCCACCATGCCGGCCTTCCATTGATTTTCTATCACAGCACCGAACACTCTTCACATAGTAGGTATTTAATAAATGGTTGTCAGATAAATTAACAGATTCTCTAAGGAAGCTTTTCAAAAATTGTTTAAGAAGCTTTTCTGCAGCTATTTAGAAGTAGAGCTAGCAGGAGTTTATTTTCATATCCCAGTGGCACCTGGAACACCAGCGAGACAGAACCATTCACTCTCCTGGAAAGGGGGCTGAAGGCGGGGAGCCAAGTGGTCTAGCTCAGCGGATCCCACCCCTATGGAGCCCAGCAAGCTAAGATCCACTGGTTTGAAATTCTCGCTGCCAGCACAGCAGTCTGAAGTCGACCTGGGATGCTCAAGCTTGGTGGTGGGAGGGGTGTCCGCCATTACTGAGGCTTGAGTAGGTGGTTTTCCCCTCACAGTGTAAACAAAGCTGCTGGGAAGTTCAAACTGGGTGGAGTCCACCACCGCGCCACAAAGCTGCTGTAGCCAGACTGCCTGTCTAGATTTCTCCTCTTTGGGCAGGGCATCTCTGAAAGAAAGGCAGCAGCCCCAGTCAGGGGCTTATAGATAAAACTCCCATCTCCCTAGGACAGAGCACCTGGGGGAAGGCGCAGCTGCGGTCACAGCTTTAGCAGACTTAAACGTTCCTGCCTGCAGGCTCTGAAGAGAGCAGCTGACCTCCCAGCACAGCACTCAAGCTCTGCTAAGGGACAGACTGTCTCCTCAAGTGGGTCCCTGACCCCCATGCCTCCTGACTTGGAGACACCTCCCTGCAGGAGTTGACAGACACTTCATACAGGAGAGTTCCAACTGGCATCTGGTGGGTGCCCCTCTGGGGTGAAGCTTCCAGAGGAAGGAACAGGCAGCAATCTGCTGTTCTGCAGCCTCTGCTGGAGATACCCAGGCAAACAGAGCCTGAAGTGGACCTCCAGCAGACTCCAGCAGACCTGCAGCAGAGGGGCCTGACTGTTAGAAAAACTAACAAACAAAAAGGAATAGCATCAACATCAACAAAAAGGACATCCACACAAAAACCCCATCAGAAGTTCACCAACATCAAAGACCAAAGTTAGATAAATCCATGAAGATGAGGAAAAGCTAGTGCAAAAATGCTGAAAATTCCAAAAACCAGAATTCCTCTTCTCCTCCAACGGATCACAACTCCTCGCCAGCAGGGGAACAAAACTGGATGGAGAATGAGTTTGACGAATTGACAGAAGTAGGCTTCAGAAGATGGGTAATAACAAACTCCTCCCAGCTAAAGGAGCATGTTCTAACCCAATGCAAGGAAGCTAAGAACCTAAAAGTTTAAAGGAATCTCACTAACTAGAATAACCAGTTTAGAGAAGAATATAAATGACCTGATGGATCTGAAAAACACAGCATGAGAACTTCATGAAGCATACACAAGTATCAATAGCTGAATCGATCAAGGGGAAGAAAGGATATCAGAGATTGAAGATCAACTTAATGAAATAAAGCATGAAGACAAGATTAGAGAAAAAGCATGAAAAGGAAAGAACAAAGCCTCCAAGAACCATGGAACTATGTGGAAAGACCAAACCTACATTTGATTGGTGTATCTGAAAGTGACAGGGAGAATGGAACCAAGTTGGAAAACACTCTTCAGGATATTATCCAGAAGAACTTCCCCAACCTAACAAGACAGACCAACATTCAAATTCAGGAAATACAGAGAACACCACAAAAATACTCCTCAATAAGAGCAACCCCAAGACACAAAATCGTCGGATTCACCAAGGTTGAAATGAAGGAAAAAATGTTGAGGGCAGCCGGAGAGAAAGGTCTGGTTACCCACAAAGGGAAGCTGATCAGACGGAGAGTGGATCTTTCTTCAGAAACCCTACAAGCTAGAAGAGAGTGGGGGCCAATATTCAACATTTTTAAAAGAATTTTCAAGCCAGAATTTCATATCCAGCTAAACTAAGCTTCATAAGTGAGGGAGAAATAAAATCCTTTACAGACAAGCAAATGCTGAGAGATTTTGTCACAAACAGGCCTGCCTCACAAGAGCTCCTGAAGGAAGCACTAAATATGGAGACGAAAATCCAGTACCAGCCAATGCAAAAACATACCAAGTTGTAAAGACCATTGACACTATGAAGAAACTGCATCAACTAAAGGGCAAAATAACCAGCTAGCATCATAATGACAGGATCAAATTCATACATAACCGTATTAACCTTAAATGTAAATAGGCTAAATGCCCCAATTAAAAGACACAGACTGGCAAATTAGATAAAGAGTCAATACCCATCGGTGTGTTGTATTCAGGAGACCCATCTCACATACAGACACACA
Source organism: Homo sapiens (assembly GCF_000001405.40). NCBI lineage: Eukaryota > Metazoa > Chordata > Mammalia > Primates > Hominidae > Homo > Homo sapiens. The sequence continues at coordinate 137,103,659 of NC_000002.12, forward strand.
TAGGCTGAAAATAAAGGGATGGAGGAATATTTACCAAGCAAATAGAAAGAAAAAAAAAAGAAGCAGGGGTTTCAATCCTAGTCTCTGATAAAACAGACTTTAAACCAACAAAGATAAAAAAAATCAAAGAAGGGCATTACGTAATGGTAAAGGGATAAACGCAACAAGACGAGCTAACTGTTGTAAATATATATGCACTTAACACAGGAGCATCCAGATTCATAAACCAAGTACTTAGAGACCTACAAAGAGACTTAGACTCCCACACAATAATAGTGGGAGACTTTAACACTCCACTGTCAATATTAGATCAACGAGACAGAAAATTAACAAGGATATTTAGGACTTGAACTCAGCTCTGAACCAAGTGGACCTAATAGACATCTACAGAACTCTCCACTCCAAATCAACAGAATATACATTCTTCTCAGCACCACATCACACTTATTCTAAAATTGACCATGCCATTGGAAGTAAAACACTCCTCAGCAAATGTAAAAGAACAGAAATAATAACAAACAGTCTCTCAGACCACAGTGCAATCAAATTAGAACTCAGGATAAGAAACTCTTTCAAAACCACACAAGTACATGGAAGCTGAACAACCTGCTCCAGAATGACTACTGGGTAAATAATGAAATTAAGGCTGAAATAAATAAGTTCTTTGAAACTAGTGAGAACAAAGACACAACATACCAGAATCTCTGGGACACAGCTAAAGCACTATTTAGAGGGAAATGTATAGCACTAAATGCAGACAGGAGAAAGTAGGAAAGATCTAAAACCGACACCATAAGTGTCGAACATCACAAGTAAAAAGAACATCACAAGTAAAAGAACTAGAGAAGCACTAGTAAACAAATTCAAAAGCTAACAGAAGACAAGAAATAACTAAGATCAGAGCAGAACTGAAGGAGATAGAGACACGAAAAGCCCTTCAAAAAAATCAATGAATCCAAGAGCTTGTTTTTTGAAAAGATTAACAAAATGATAGACGGCTAGCCAGACTAATAAAGAATAAAAGAGAGAAGAATCAAATAGACATAATAAAAAATGATAAAGGGGATATCACCACTGATCCCATAGAAATACAAACTACAACCAGAGAATACTATGAACATCTGTACGCAAATAAACTAAAAAATCTACAAGAAATGGATAAATTCCTGGACACTTACACCCTCCCAAGACTAAACCAGGAAGAAGTCAAATCCCTGAATAGACCAATGACAAGTTCTGAAATTGAGGCAATAATTAATAGCCTACCAACCAAAAAAATTGCAGGACCAAACGGATTCACAGCCGAATTCTACCAGAGGTTCAAAGAGGAGCTGGCACCATTCCTTCTGAAACTATTCCAAACAATAGAAAAAGAGGGAATCCTCCCTAACACATTTTATGAGGCCAGCATCATCCTGATACAAAAACCTGGCAGAGACACAACAACAACAAAAGAATTTCAGGCCAATATACCTGATATATTGATGTAAAAATCCTCAATAAAGTACTGGCAAATCGAATCCAGCAGCACAGCAAAAAGTTTATTCACCATGATCAAGTCAGCTTCATCCCAGGGATGCAAGGCGGATTCAACGTATGCAAATCAATAAACGTAATCCATCACATAAACAGAACCAATGACAAAAACCACATAATTATCTAGATAGACGCAGAAAAGCCCTTCAATAAAATTCAACACCCCTTCATGCTATAAACTCAATAAACTAGGTATTGATGGAACATATCTCAAAATAATAAGAGCTATTTATTACAAACCCACAGCCAATATCATACTGAACGAGCAAAAACTGGAAGCATTCCCTTTGAAAACCTGCACAAGACAAGGATCCCCTCTCTTACCACTCCTATTCAACATAATATTGGAAGTTCTGGCCAGGGCAATCAGGCAAGAGAAAGGAATGAAGGTATTCAAATAGGAAGAGAGGAAGTCAAATTGTCTCTGTTTGCAGATGACATGATTGTATATTTAGAAAACCCCATTGTCTCAGCCCAAAATCTCCTTAAGCTGATAAGCAACTTCAGCAGTCTCAGGATACAAAATCAATGTGCAAAAATCACAAGGATTCCTATAAATCAATAATAAACAGCCAAATCATGAGTGAACTCCCATTCACAGTTGCTACAAAGAGAGTAAAATACCTAGGAATACAACTTACAATGGATGTGAAGGACCTCTTCAAGGAGAACTACAAACCACTGCTCAAGGAAATAAGAGAGGACACAAACAAATGGAAAAACATTCCATGCTCCTGGATAGGAAGAATCAATATCATGAAAATGGCCATACTGCCCAAAGTAATTTATAGATTCAGTGCTATCCCCATCAAGGTACCATTGACTTTCTTCACAGAATTAGAAAAAACTACTTTAAATTTCATGTGGAACCAAAAATACCCCATATAGCCAAGAGATATCCCAAGCAAAAGGAACAAAGCTGGAGGAATCACGCTACCTGACTTCAAACTATACTACAAGGCTACAGTAACCAAAATAGCATGTTACTGGTACCAAAACAGATATATAGACCAATGGAGCAGAACACAGACCTCAGAAGTAATGCCACACATCTACAATCATCTGATCTTTGACAAACCTGACACAAACAAGCAATGGGGAAAGGATTCCCTGTTTAATAAATGGTGTTGGGAAAACTGGCTAGCCATATGCAGAAAACTGAAACTGGACCCCTTCCTTACACCTTATACAAAAATTAACTCAAGATGGATTAAAGACTTAAACATAAGACCTAAAACTATAACACCCTGGAAGAAAACCTAGGCGATAGCATTCGGGACATAGGCATGAGCAAAGACTTCATGACTAAAACACCAAAAGCAATGGCAGCAAAAGCCAAAATTGACAAATGGGATGTAGTTAAGCTGAAGAGCTTCTGCACAACAAAAGAAACTATCATTAGAGTGAACAGGAAACCTACAGAATGGGAGAAAATTTTTCTATCTATCCATTTGACAAAGGACTAATATATAGAATCTACAAGGAACTTAAACAAATTTACAGGAAGAAAACAACCCCATTAAAAAGTGGTCAAAGGATATGAACAGACATTTCTCAAAAGAAGACATTTATGCGGCCAACAAACATATGAGCAAAAGCTCATCGTCACTGGTCATTAGAGAAATGCAAATGAAAACCACAATGAGATACCATCTCATACCAGTTAGAATGGTGATCGATTAAAAGTCAGGAAACAACAGATGCTGGAGAGGATGTGGAGAAATAGGAATGCTTTTACACTGTTGGTAGGAGTGTAAATTAGCTAAACCATTGTGGAAGTCAGTGTGGTGATTCCTCAAGGATCTAGAACAGGAAATACCATTTGACCCAGCAATCCCATTACTGGGTATATACCCTAAGGATTATAAATCATTCTACTATAAAGGCACAGGCACACATGTGTTTATTGCAGCACATTCACAATAACAAAGGCTTGGAACCAACCCAAATGCCCATCAATAGGCCGAATAAACAAAATGTAGCACATATACAACATGGAATACTATGCAGCCATAAAAAAGGATGAGTTCATGTCCTTTGCAGGGACTTGGACAAAGCTAGAAACCATCATTCTCAGCAAACTAACACAGGAACAGAAAACCAAACACTGCATGTTCTCACTCAAAGTGGGAGTTGAACATTGAGAACACATGGACACAGGGAGGAGAAGGTCACACACTGGGGCCTGTCATGGGGTGGAGGGCTAAGGGAGGGATAGCATTAGGAGAAATACGTAACGTAGATGATGGGTTGACAGGTGCAGCAAACCACCACGGCACGTGTATCCCTATGTAACAAACCTGCACGTTCTGCACATGTATCCCAGAATTTGAAGTATACCACTAATAACAAAAGTAGAGGAGTCGTGACCTGGATTCTCCAGGTACTGTTTTAGAAAAGAAACAATAGATTTCAAAGAATCTGGAATTGTTTCAATAGAAGACTCTTGCTTTTTTATTGCATTTGTCTATTACTGAGGTATTATTTCACGAGTCCCTATTGTGCCACTTAAAGACCTCCTGGATGGAAGATTTGCTCCCCAGTTAGTGTAAGAAAGTTAACGTACTGCTAAGTGCTGTATATGGCGATAGAAGTCTATTAATAATACATGTGTGGAGTTTGGCTGGCAAAGTCATTTGCACTTCACAGTAGCTTTCCGTAATCAATAGTCCCACTTTATCCAATAAAAAATTACTGGAGCATAAAATGTATAAAGCTTGATCAGTTCTCTTTATTTTAGTCATCTGTTCAGCAAAAAATGACAAGTTAATTCTTTTCTAAATGCATTTACATCTTTAAAAGGACAACAGACATTATCATAAATTAGTCATGCTGCAGTACACTGATTTTTAATATACACATGCATTTAATTTGAATACCTTGCACTAGGGTTTCAATTCCAAGAATGTTTGCAAATCTATATGTGCTCAGTCAAAACATGACCATTAACTAATGCAATTATTCTTTCAATCTGTCATCATTAAATCACTTAAAATTCTATTTTGTGTTGTTCTGCTTTAAATCTAAGCTTTTAGAAGAAGGAGCAAAGAAACCCACACTTTTAAGCAATTCCAAGCCTTTATGAAAGTGATAAAGTTTAGATTTCAAAGGACAGAGGTTGCTGTCTGGCTGTGATGGTCCTGGTTCTATTTTAAGAATAGTTTCTTAAATGTGCCTACTTTTCTAATTTTGGCTTTGCTAATTTAGGATGCCTCTACTTATTGCTTCACAGCTATAAATGCCTTCCTTCTTTTGTCCCCCTTTCCTCCCTCAATTTAGAAAATATTTTAATTATGTGATTCCTTCGGTGGGACAGCATCACTATCAGGAAGTCAAGCCAGCCACTTGAGTTGTTTAATTCTAACTACGGTCTAGACTCAGCTTCTCTAATCCAAAGTTTGTGTCCTGTATCTCTTTATGAGGACGTGTATTTCCACAGTTACAGGAGGGTCCTTTCTTTGATTAATTTTGATTTGTCATTTTAAGCTGCATCTACCTTTTGAGAATGATAACATATTAAATCTTAACTGTTTCTACTCATGCAGATACACTCGTGAACCATTTCCTGAGTAGACTTAAATTATAAACTAAACATAGAGAAATTGGGCAATGAGTATCAGGCATGGGGGGATAAAAGTTCAGAAGACAGATGGTAGGAGGTAAATGAAGAAAAATGAAATTTCACAGCTATAATACGTGGTGTCCTTAATATTTGTGATTTTGTTCCCTTTCCTGAGCTGACTTACCTAAGAATTCAGTGCCAGGAAATTTTGCTGCTAATACGTGGGTCAAAAACAAATTTGGAATCATCCATCACTACTCTCTCTCATTCCAGGTCTAATCCATTAGAAGGTTGTCTCCACCTTCAAAATATATCCCGAATCTAATCTCTTTGCCCTACATTCACTATGACTGCTGCAGTGGAACCCACCATCCTTTCTCCTAGACTGGCAAAGACCTTTAAATGTATAATTTCTTCCACCTCCCTGGCTCCCACAGCCTATTACTTCCCTCAGTAGCCAGGTGTTCCTTAAAAAATTAAAATCACATCATCATGTTACCATTCTTCCCAAAATTGTCCAACGATTTTCCAGCATATTTGGAATAACACTCACAATCTATCCTCTGGCCCAGTGTTCAAGCTTTCTGGTACCAGTGACCAGTTTTGTGGAAGATAATTTTTCCATGAACTTGGAAAGGGGGATGGTTTCAGGATGATTCAAGTGCATTACTTTTATTTATTTTGCATGTTATTTCTATCATTATCACATTATAATGAAATAATTATACAACTCACCATAATGTAAAATCAGTAGGAGCGCTGAGCTTGTTTTCCTGCAACTAGACAGTCCCATCTGGGGGTGGTGATGGGAGGCAGTGATGGATCATCAGGCATGAGATTCTCATAAGGAGCGCGCAACCTAGATCCCTCTCTTGTGCAGTTCACAATAGGGTTTGCACTCCTGTGAGAATCTAATGCTGCTGCTGATCTAACAGGAGGCAGAGCTCGGTGGCAATGTGAGTGATGGGGAGTGGCTGTAAATACAGATGAAGCTTCACTTGCTCACCTGCTGCTCACCTCCTGCTGTGAGACCTGGTTCCTAACAGGCCGCTGACCAGTACTGGTCTGTGGCTCGGGTGTTAGGGACCCCTGCTCTGGCCTATGAGGTTCCACATAACGTGGCTCTTGACTACTCTTTATATCCTGTCTCTACTATTCTCCCCTTGACCCACCTGTCTTAACCACACTGGCTTCTGTGCTATTTCTAGATGGTGCTGGGCACTCTGCCTCCCTGGGGACTTTGGACAGGCTGCCCTTTTCTCTGCCCAGAACACCACTTGCCCAACATCCTTATGCTCACTCCCTCATTTTATTCAGGACTCTGAGGATTTCCCTCGTCATGGCACTGAAATATCTCTCCTCGTCCATCTCTCTCTCCCCACCTGGTAACTGGTGCCATGCCATGTATTGATGCATTTATGTCTGTCTATCCCACCAGAAGGTAATCTTCCCAAGGTCAGGGGCTTTCTGTCTCTCACTGCTGTGTCTCTGTTGTCCTCGGTGCTTAGCTGTGGCTCAACAATTACTTGTTGAAAGAAAGGATAAGTGAATGCATGGATGAGTAAGTGATTCACTTACTGTTTGGACAGGCCTATTTCTTTGTCTAGTCAACCTGCTTTTTAGCACTTTTCAGGCTTCAGTCTTCCATCCATGTCTTTATCTTAACTGAAATGTTCTTGTAGGAGTTATTCTTCCTGTGCATCCAGTATTTGAGTTATTAGCATTCCCTTTCTCAGAGGTTTGGGGTTCAAAATGGCTGACAATGTGCTCTCTCACTCAAAGTAGGGACATCAGAGCTGTTTTTACATAAATGGAGGGCAGGTTTCTCTAACATTTAGAATGAGCAGGGAGCAATGTTGGGAATTTGATTTTGGGGCCTTGAAAAGACATTCTTTTTCAAAAAGTTATCTTTTGCATCTTTTAGTGGGAATTTGAATTTACACAATTAGAGATTCCTTTACTTATGTTTTATTTCTCTTTTAACTTGCAATTACAGCCATGCACTCCATAACATTTCTGTCAGTGGTGGGCCATGGACTGCATATACGATGGTCCCATAAGATTGTAATACTTTATTTTTACTGTACCTTGTTTATGTTAGACATGTTTAGATACACAAATACTTGCCATTGTGTTATAGGTGCCCACAGTATTTGGTAAATTGACATGCTGTACAGGTTTCCAGCCTAGGAGCAATATATACCATATAGCCTAGGTATGTAGTAGGCTACACCATCTAGGTTTGTGTAAGTGCACTCTATGATGTTTGCAAAAGGATGAAATTGCCTAGTGACACATTTCTCCATAACATATCTCTGTCATCAAGTGAGACATGACTATCTCCTGAAAGAGCTGAAATGCATCCCTAGGTGACCACAGGGCTCTCATTATAAAATGATTATCATATATTCTCGAACTGTACTTGTATTTGAGATTAGAAGAGAAGTTATTTTGGCAGTGTGAAATATTATTGGTCAGCAGATTATATTTTTGTCTACACCCAGAACACACTTCCTCGGACCAAGATCAACATTCACTTGTCCTTGTAATGGCTAGACAGGTAGCTACCCATTGTCTACTGAAGTTGCATTCTGTACTACTTGATTGAGCTTTCTGGACTATCTGATTGAGTAAATGGGTTTGCCATTTACCGTTTTAATCTGCCATAGTGTCATTTTATTATGAAGATATGCTTTAGAATCAGGTAAACCTTGCTTTGAACCCTGCTTTCACTCATGTGACCTTGGAAGAGTTACTTACTCTTTATGCCAATTCTGCCATCTGTAAAAGGAGAAATAAGATTTTCTTCATAGGGTTGCTGGGAGGATTAAATGAAGTAATGCCCCTAAGTTCATTAGTGCGGTGCCTGGTATACAGTAAGCAGGCAGAAAATACTGTTATTTGTACTACTTGGAGGATCTGCCCTGATACCCTAGTAGTCCAAACAAATTAATGCCTTGTTTATTCTGTTTAGCCAGACACTTTGAAAAAAGCACACTGATTCACACTCTCACGTTGGTAAGGGGCTATGGAAACTGACATTTCTTTCATTCCATGGCCATTTACTCTACTTGAGGCATTTCCATAGCCAATTTCGAAGTTTCATCTCAGAGGAGGTAGGACGCCGGCCTTTGCAACTCCCCACATTCCCTTTTAACCAAGAGGGCCAAATGAGGCTGCTTTGAAAGGCATCAGAGTTGGGAGATGGGAGGTTGAAAAGGTCTGGTCTTTGACATGGGCTTAGCCATTAAAGAGAGTGTTCCAGGCATCAGAAAGCTGAGTTTTCTGGAGCCTGGAGGACTATCGCTGTAACAACTTCTAAAGGAGAAAGGGAGTAACGTTTAGCTGAGTGGGCTCCTTTGATTTGTTATTCTGTCAGATCCTAGCGACACTTTCTCTGGTTGGAGCAGCTCAGGATGTTCAGTTTTCATGGCTGCCGGGATGATTTGTGACTAAACGTAGATAGGGCTTTTGAAAAAAATAAAGAAAAAAGGTTGAGCAAAGACTATGAAAAGACCCATATTTTTAAAAAAAGGAATATAGAAGTAGTTTATTGGTGTGGTTTTTCCTCTCCCTCTTGCTAGGTTGATATTTTCTCTGAGGTGGTAAAAAAAAAATAGCAATAGTGATAAATGTCTTCTCTAAAGGATTTATCATTTGCCAGTGAATGGAACTTGGGTGTTTTTGGTTAATGAGCTACCAACAAGTTTTTTGTTACTTTATATACAGATATAGTCATTAAACTCTTGTTTTCATTTTCCTTCATAATAACTTCCCAAATTTCTCCATTGCTATTTCTTGTAGGGTCATGTTAAATTAATTGTAAAAGCAATTTATACAGAATGCCCCATTCCTTTCAAACAAGCAAAAAATAACTATAATCTAAACTTTATGTTTCTTTTTTGCTCTTTGTTGAACTGCTGTTGCTGGAACTTAGACCATGGCAACTGTGGATCTCTAATATTAAGACTTTTGATGAAATCAATGAAATCCTCATAAATAAAATGTTAATGTACGTGTGTGTGTGTGTGTGTGTGTTTTCCACATCAGCAATGGGCAAAAGGCACATGTAGAAGGATGCAAGAAGAAAGGGAATGGACACTTATTGAATATTTATTATATGTCAGGCTCAATGATTGGTATTATTATCTCCCTTGTACAGGTAGGAAAACAAAATTGGACCCAAGTCACTAACCAGAAAGCGGTGAAATTCTGATTCAAACCAAGTTGGTTGGACTCCAAAGCATACTTGTCATCTGTACCACACTACCCTCTTTTTGCGTGTCTTCTTTGTTAATGATATCATAGAAGTCTCTGAGTCAGTGGCTGTATCTGACCCCCTTGTTCAGGCCAGAAAGTTCTTCTTTTGGGGAATCCTTGGAGGAAGAGGGTTTGAAATGAGATCTTGGTAATCATCCACCCCAACATTCTCATACCCCATTTCATTTTGCCCTGGATGAAAGATCTATCTGTGCCCTGAAACTGGAAATCTGAAAAACAAGGCTTCTGCTGAGGTGGCCCTGAAGAATAGGGTAAGGACTGACTCTGTGAGGAGAAAGGGTTTCAGAGCCCTGGCTCTGGAAAAGAACTATCCCTGTGAAGAAATGAACTTCTCTTTATTTCTCATACCCAGGAATTAGAAATATATTGTTTTGTGGGGTTTTTGTGTGTGTGTTTTTTTTGTTTGTTTGTTTTTTCTTTCGGAGTTTTGCTCTCGTTGCCCAGGCTGGAGTGCAATGGTGCAATCTTGGCTCACCGCACCCTCCGCCTCCTGGGTTCAAGTGATTCTCCCGTCTCAGCCTCCCGAGTAGCTGGGATTACAGGCATGTGCCACCACATCCGGCTAATTTGGGATTTTTAGTAGAGATGGGGGTTTCTCCATGTTGGCCAGGCTGGTCTCGAACTCCTGACCTCAGGTGATCCGCCCACCTCAGCCTCTCAAAGTGCTGGGATTACAGGCATGAGCCACTGTGCCCGGCCAGAAATATATTGTTATTTATATTCACCTAGGATAGGAAGGACCTGAAGTCTGCACTCCAAACTCTTGTCTGCCTGAGTGACTAATTCATAAGCCTAGGGAAAAAAAAAGTGAAAATTAAGTAGTGAGGCTGAGGGAGAAAAACTCATGTTACAACAAATCCCAGAGGACTGTCCAAATCCTTTTTCTATGGTGGGCTTTTCACAAGACTAATGATTCTCAGCTGATTCTTAGCTTTCAGGCTTTTTAGAATGATGACATTCATTGTTAGGGATTTGTCACTATGAGGTTTCTTGGAGATTTGCTTTCTTATTTTGACATCTGTTACTTGATTTCAATTTTACTCTAGTTTTTGTAAAGCCAGGATCTTGGTGACATATGATTACTTTTATGGCTGGTTTTTCCTCTTTTTTCTTTTAAACAATCACAAAACTGATAAATTTTTCTTTAAATATGAAATGGGACAGCAGATATGTCAATGTTACTTAGGCTTTGTTTATTGTTCAGAATTTAATGAGTCTCTCAGTGTTTTTACGAATGCCGCAAGGTTATACTACTGCTGTGGGCTTAAAGAATACGGTAATAATCCACAAAAGGAAATTCTGCCTAAAATAATTCTCTAGGTATGAATGTAGTAGTGTGATAGTTGTTTTGTTTTCTGTACATTGTATACAAACTCCATTGTGTTTTCCCCCTTATTTGTGGGGATGTATGTGTGTATTTGAGTATTAACCAGTTATAAACTAGGGAGACATATTTCTATATCAGTTTATATAACAGTATGGCTGCATATGTAAAAAAGTATTAATCAGTTATATATAGTGGCACGGTATTAACTCATTTTTAATACATATACTTTTATGTGAATGACATGAAGTCAAATGAGTAAAGAGTTTCTTACATCAAGAAGACTGAAAAGTTGGAGATAGCTGTATGTAAAATAATATATTTACGACTTTACACATTCACACACTGTCCTATTAAGAAAGAAAAGCCAACTTTCACACAAAGTCATCTGAAAGTCTGTGGAGTGAAATCCCATGACAAGTTCAGCTATCAAGAATTAGGCTCATTCGGTTTCCAACTCCTCTCTCTATTCCCTCACTCTCTTCCAGCTTCAAGGCTGAGACACACTCACTGTTTATCCATATCACGTTCCTTTAGTCCAGTCATCTTGTGCTATTGTCATGATGGGCTGCTGGATGTTTTTTTTTTCTAGGAAATAAAAGGGATTTAGTAATTCAAAGCTAGTATACTTCTTTATCCACAGGCAAAGATTTGGCCCTAGAAAGAGAGATTATGCCTCTTGATGTCATGACTTAAGTTTTCCTCAGAGTTGTATATTTTTCTTACTTCTTCTTCTTCTTTTAAATAAACCAAACCAAACAGGTATTCCTGGAGAACTTCTGAATGGAAAGAATGCCAAGTCTCTCTCCTCCTCGAGCAGCAGGATCCCCACTGGCATGTGACGGGACCCGTGTGTGGCGGTGGGATCCAGACCCGGGAGGTGTACTGTGCCCAGAGCGTACCAGCAGCTGCCGCACTGAGGGCCAAGGAAGGTAGGCAGCCAGTTCCGGGACAGATGGTGCACTGCTGGTTGGAAGGAAAATCTCTCCAACTCTCCAAGTATTCTTCTTGAAATAAGTGACACTTAGCATTCACACATTTAATATTTATTTTGTTGACCATTTGTATGCCGCCCCTAAGTTCTTCCACTTGTAACACTTGGGATAGTTAAAAATAGTAGCAAAAATAATATGTCTCCCAAGAGTCACTGTGAAAGTTAAAGGAGAAAATGTAGTTAGGGTGTGTAGCATAGATAAATGCTACAAGCTAAGGGTCTGGTATGCCAGGAATGAATCAGTAATGAATGAATGGCATTCTTTTTTGTTTTTTAATTTTTTGCTCAAAGGAATTTTTATGTGTGTGAATTTTTGAATGTGGAAATTTCTGCAAACATATTCCTTTCAAATGTCAAGGATCCAGGGTTTTGTCGCCAAGTTTTAATTTTTCTGAAGAAAAAGAAGGAAGAGGAGAAAACCATAGCTTTCTCCATAATAAGCTCTCTAATTGGTGGGTGTAACCCAGCAATAGTGTGTTTGTTTCAGAGTGTGGATAGTGATAATATTTAGAGACTGGGAAACTTGCTCAGATTTATGTAAGTCAATGGGTTGAGAAGTCATGAGTAGACAAGGAAGCTTCCACTCTAGAAGAATTTGTGACCTGTTCTAACCACATTGGAGAACCCAAGCAGTACTCCCTGCAGAAGTGGTAAAGGTGGGAATGTTTCCTTGGGCTTGCCAGGTACGAGGACATATTTCCACTGTGGGCTTTGGTTAGGAAGGCAAGATGCAAATTTTCTTGCTATGGTAATGCATCCATTCAATTCTGTAAAGCTTGTCATGCTAGATGTCTTTGTGTGACATAGCTTTGCAGAGTTCATAGGCATCTGTGACCATAGCCTCAGATAAGGTACCTGATGGGATGGTTCTTACAGACTGCTTAGCATTTTGCTTCAACAACTGGTGCTAAAAGGCCACATTGACAGGGCTACAGCTGTTTTTGAAAATAATGATTGAATTTTCTTCCTTCTCTAATTTCACTTTGGAAAATTATAGCTTAAACACTTTTTATTTCAGGACAAAACATGACTATAGTTACTCCTCTGAATTTGTAGAAACAGAATTTAGATTAAAAGGCTCCAGGTTAGTTTTTCAAACCTTGGTGATCTTTCCATTCCAGCTCCTCTCTTCTTTTCTTTGACTACTGTCTACTGTTGGAGGGTCTTCAGGGATCAACATATAAATAAAACTTGTATAGAATTGATGCATTATGACCTACCTATTTTTCAGCTTCAACTTTTAATCTGCTATTGACATTTTCATCTTTCTAAACTTTCTTTTGTAAAAATAGCTTTTCTTATGGATCATCTATTCCTAAAGTTTCTTCAGGCTTAGTCTTTCTAGCTTTTTGAATGGAAACTTACTGGGCAGGAAGATTATAATTAGCAGGAAAGTGGAAGTCTGGTGTTCTAGAATTGGGAATTAGATGCTTACATAGTGTGGGGGTACGGGTGGAATAGAGAAGGGGTGTTAATTGCAGAGTGAGCAATCTATCAAGCCCGAGTACAATCTACTCCAAGCATCTAAAGAGGAGGAAAATGTCTTAGGCCAAAGCACACTTGGAAATTAATATCTGTGTTCACAGGAAAACAGAAAGTACTTAGAAAGCTGTAAGTCTGATAGTCCAGTTCTCAGGGGGAAAGGCTGGATGTGGGACCTGGATGTAAATACATAGATGTGTAACACGACTGTATACTCCTGTACAGAGCTGAATATAGTGAGTAAAACTATGCTGGATAACACAGCACAGCTGCCATAAAGGCACTGTATACAGCTTACTGCTTACCTTAGTAGTTGTTATCAAAGGTTTTATTTTGCTCTTGTGTGGAAGTGAACCAGCGGGGTTGTTCGCCCATTACTTTCCTTTCTTATAAATGCTTTCACTTCTTACTGTTATCATTTATAGATGTACCTTGACAAATCTGGAATGAGAATTTCTTCTTGGCCCCCATTAAACACAGAGGAACAATTGAATTTTTATTGTTAGGAACCTGTGAGTATTTGCCCAGTGAAGTAAGCAGAATATAAATATTTTTTATCTGTCAATGCAATAATAAAGGCCAAAATTGGATACATTTTTAGCATTTCAGTTTCTGTGAACATCAAATTATTAATATTATTGTTGTTATGTTAGATATTCATACTTTGGAGGGAGAAAGCATTTTAGTAGTATTGACTTTGGAAATTCCTTTGTGAGTCACTATTGACATCCCCACAAGGTTAATCTTCCCCTAGACTCAAGGATACTCTCTCTCTGTTCACTCTGGAGTGTGATTGTGATTGCTTAACTTTTCTTCCATACAAAACCCCATCATCCACTGGTGATTTAGCAGCTCTGATTCCAAGCACCTGATTTTAGAGGAATTTACAATCTTGGGGGGGAAAAACAGACTTCATTTCCATGGATCCTTCTTGTAACAGAATGCATATAATTTCTAGATGCCATAATAATAATAATTTTAAAAAATGCTAATTCCCTCCCAAAGGTCTCCAGATCTCTTGGCCTAGGCTGGATGCTGAAGCTAAATCCTGACATTGATATGGTCCTGTTGATGACTTATTTTTGGTGATGTCTCATTCCTCACTGAACCTCAATTCAGGATGTTTGCCGCAAGAGTATAATAACACCTATAGCATATTTAGTTGATACTGTTGTTCATTGTTCATGTGGTGTTTTAAATGCAGCCAAAATAGTGCTGTAACAATCAATGTATGTATTACCAGTAATATTAGCCAAGCCAATAGAATTGGGAATGAAAACGTAGAGAGCTATTTATGATTTTGCTTAACACTTGTTGTTTTAAAGAGAATAGTGTTTCTCTTTTATAAATCAGAAGCAGCAGCACAAGTGATGCTTACCTGCAAAATAAAAGCTTGAATTTGGTAAGAACACTTTCTTCTTGCCTTTTCTCAAATAAAATTAAAGCCACTCAGTTTGCATTCCACAGTCCTTTCTCAGAAAGTAAAACATGAATCAAGGAATGCACTTTCAAAATCTAATAAAGACCAGGGCAAATGTATTCCATGTATGGGAATGTGGCCTAGAGATTAGGATATCAACAAATATAAATTTAAGTGGCATAGAAGTAGATATGTCATATATTGGTATATGGTAAAGCAAAATTTATTAAAGCAATAAACTATATTTAAAAATCCAGAAAAATTTTTGGTGTGGTTGTAGTGGAGCAGAACATTGCTTGAATTTTCTAAAATATATATATTTCAGATTTTCTACTGATAGCATATTAAAAATGGAACACAGTTTAGCTCTGAATTGTTAAATGCATTAGTTGCCCCCTCTGCACTAATAAGATTGTCTTCATTCTGGCCTCAGAGTTGGCATTAAGAGTACATGACCACACAAGGGCACACATTCTGGAATGCTAAGTTGTATTAGTCCATTTCCGTGCCGCTGATAAAGGCATACCTGAGACTGGATAATTAATAAAGAAAAAGAGGTTTAATGAACTCACAGTTCCACATGACTAGGGAGGCCTCACAATCATGGCAGAAGGGGAAAGACATGTTTTACGTGGCAGCAGACAAGAAAGAATGAGAGCCAAGCAAAAGGAGTGTCCCCTTATAAAACCATCAGATCTCATGAGACTTATTCACTACCATGAGAACAGTATGGGGCAAACACCCCCATGATTCAATTATCTCCCACTGGGTCCATCCCACATCTTGTGGGAATTATGGGAGGTATAATTCAAGATGAGATTTGGGTGGGGACACAGCCAAACCATATCATGAGTAGTATATGGAAACTTAATATATTTCAGGTTCTGGGTTTTAATTCTGACTTTGAAGGAAATGTGGTAAACCACATAAATGTTGTACCAGTCTTCTAGTTCATTAATTTGATTTTGAATATGTTGATTTGATGAGTAAAATTACATGACAATCAAACATTTATTTGTTTAAAAAAATTATGTGCCTGTTATGAGTTAGTCTATGCACTAAAGTACATCTGTCATAAGGGTGTCCCCAGTAATTTACAGGCTTTTAGTTGTAATAATAATTGAACTATTGACTACGTATGCTACAGTGACTTAAGTGTTTGGATGATTACATATCTAACATGGTTTAATCCATTTATTGATGCCCAAGAGTAATCTTCATTGAGGTGATATTTAAAAGGAGCTTGGAGAGTCCATAAGCATGTTCTAAGGTGTGGGAGAACACATGAAAAGAAATGGAAAAGTTTGTGTTCAGTAGCAGCCTGTGCACTGGTGTGAAGAGAGCTCAGGGTAAAAGAAAGTTACAATGACGGTGGAAAGGTAGGCCTTCTATGCTATTCTGGAGTAAGACTTTGTTTTTGAGAATATGGATATGTGCTACAGCCTTTTTTCCCCCTACTGTAGATTTTTAAACAGAAAGGAAATCTTCTATTGACTGTACTTAAGCTTGTAAAAACATTAGTATGCTAAGAAAATTATGAGTTATCATATCCTATGTGTAAATGTATCTGACTATCCAGGAAGTTTTTGAGTTATGAAATAAAGTAATTTATATTCTTAGCTGATATCTTAAGGGGCAATTGGAGGAGATATTCCACCATCATTTGAAAGACTGGAAATATCTTTCACCTGTCTTTAGAAATTGGTTTTAAAGTCAATAAAGTCATTTGGGTGTGAGAATAAGGTGTCAGGAAAGTAGTACACTAAGAACTTCCCTTGATGTCAACCCTTAGAGGAGCAATGAGACTGTTTAAGTGGGCTTATAGCATTTTCTCTTGCTTTATGCTAAGAGAGAAGCAGAGATAACGGGATAAAATAACCTTTGCTAATTAACAGCAGGATATTTGATGACAGTTCACATGAGGCCAAGAGAGATAAGGTTCTTGGCTTGTAAGAACCTTGGAAACCTCTTCAATTATTGAAATCATAGGTGTAGGAGAAAGTCAGCAAAGGGTAGCACAAGAGAATTATTAACATGCAGATCTCTGGATTCCTCACAATGACAGGTGGTGATGAAAAGGTGTGGGGAGGGGAGGGAATGAGAAGATGGGTGAAGACAAGCAGTTACTCCAGTGTTTTTTGCAAGAAGGAAGAGGAACGGAAGTGGAGGAAGAAAAAGAAGGGGAAGGAGGAGGAAAGATGAAGGAGGAGGAGGAAGAGGAAGAAAGGAAGAGGGAGAATGGAGCAGAGAGAAGGGAGAGGGGATGGGGAAGGGGAGAGCAGGGAGGAAGGAGGAAGAAACTTATTAAGTCAAACTCTTAGGGATCTTTTCTTTCCATTAGGCTGCATTATCTCTTTGCTTATATCTTGAACCTACACACTAAGGTAGAGTTTAGGACTTGATAGCCATTTCTCCCCAGGTTATTGATGCAGGATCCTAGACTCACAGATGCTCCAGATCTCTAGTGTTAACTCCATCTTCTTCTTAAGTGAGAATAGTTAGCGTGTCACGCTACCTAGGCCGAGTGCAAACAAGCTTCCTTTCCAAATTGTTATCTGTAAATGGAAGGAAGTAGAAGAGTTAGTGAAAGTAATGACGTGTGTTCCATCTTTAAATCCCCACTCTTTTTGCAGAGGCAAACATAGACTTTATAAGCCATATATCTACATATATAGTTCAAATATTCTCTCTAAAAATATAATGCTGGGAAGAGTTAAGGAACAAAAGAAACACGAAGTCAGAAAGAGTCCAAAGTGAGATTGGTTTCTACTGGTTCTGTTTGATTGCATTTGTATCTAAGTTTAGTTAATTTTTAAAATCAAGTGTAACAAACTTATCTTAGTGTGATATAGGAAATGTTTATTGAATTAATGGGCTTAGCAAAAATATTGAAGAGTTCCTACTTTAAGTGTTCATTAAATTATCAGACTGTTCTTGTTATTAAAAATTTCCTAATTTATTTAGCTCAAGGTATAATGCACCTCATTAAACAAGAGCAGGAGAGAGCTACCCTGGACGAATGAGAGAGTCAGGATATTTGAGGAGAAAGCCTAGCACTGAGTAGAGGTTGCTCTGGGAAAAATAAATGGCTTATGGAAAAATTTACTTTTTGAATGATGTGTGAGTCCTGTTTAATTTGATCTCCTGAAGAGGAAGAACATGTGCAATGTGTTATATATTTCTTCAAAGTTAACATGACTAAACTGAAAATTCACTAATGTGTGTTGCTGAAACTAAAGCATGTGGCATCGTGGAGAAGGGAGATTATGAATGACCTAGAACTAGATATGAATATGGATTTTGGCAATGGTTTTACAAGTAATAGTTCAGCTTTCCTAATCCTATAGCCCTAAGTTCATACTCCTGTAGGACATCACTTCTTCCTGATTTCTAACTATTATTATAATAGTCTTTGTCACTCATTTGGCTGTAAAGGCCCTTAAAGGCCATGCTTGACATTCTTCTTTGTATTCCCAAGTGTCAATACTCTTCATGTAAAAGGCAAATAACAAATGTTTCTGGAATTCAAAATGGAAACTCTTAAACACAACAGAATGATATATTGAGTTTGATTGAATTCTCTTTGTTTTTTAGATAGCACAGAGAAAGGAATTGTTTGACTGTTGACCAGACCAAAATTGTCTGCAACCTGGATGTCAGTATTCCATGCCAAAGCTACGTAGCTCTGAGAGCCCAGAATGCAACCAGACAAAATAGAAGGTATAAGGATCCTGAGTGAGGGAAATGGCCTGTGGGGAAAGATTGGGAAGGAAAACAAATGAGAAAGAAACAAGGAGCATTACTGGGCCAGAGAGATTGGCCTGGACTGAAATGGGGGATTTGCCCAGTAGTTTTGGGCTAAGGCAATGCTAGTTGATTTCTAAATGATTTCCATAGTTAAATATATCCCTCTGTTGTTTTAAAGAGGAAAAAGTTTATAGAAGCCATGAAAATTGTTTATTTCTATCAGTGTTACTTTTGACCTCTTTAATGGTATAGGAGGGGAGATGAGCCAGTTAAATAAATAACTATTGAAATGAAACAAGAACCTTAAGAGAAAATAGGAATTTTAGGTAAGAAGAGATTAAACCAGTGAGACATGGGGACATAGGGTAGGTTTGGGGTAAGAAAGCTTTTACCTGGGCCTTAAAGGAAGTTCATGGTTTAAACAGGTGTTCATATGAAAGGGACAGAATCCCAGAGGAAGCAGGCCATGTGTAAAGACACTGAAGTGGAAAGGCAGAGAACATATTTTCAGTAAAACTGGTAATCAAGCTGGCCATGAATATGGGGGAGATGAGGTAAGGACTGTGGGTTTAGGGTAGAGAGATAGAATTGTAGGCTATGATCTTAGGCCTCATGTGATCAGATCATGATATGGTAATACCTGAACTGTTAAGTCTCCATTCCTGTTCAACCCTTGGAGCTCCAACAATGCTGAACATCTTTCACAGTCTCGGGCTTTGGAGCTCATCTCTACCTGCCTGCTGCCCACTATCATATAGTCTCCCTTATTTTCCTCCCTCACACATTTACTCCCTGGCTCAGACCTGTACCTGGATAACCCATGCCTAGAAAGTATCTCTTCTGGGAGTTCTTTGAGATGACACAGGTACCTCTGCTCCTCAGCCACTACAGCACTTTGTCTCACTGCATGATAATTGCTTGTTTATGCATACTGGTCACCTTGCTGCTATGCAAGTCTGAGATCAGGTAAATAACCAGATCTGTGTTATTTACTCTCATCTTCCCAGCACTGGGCACAGTATCTGGCATGTGAAAATTGCTTATACTGAATTCAAGCTTTGTGAACCTTCTCACCCTCCTTTTACCATCTTCTTTCTTGTCCTTGGCTCGTGCTGTGTGGTTTAACTGTCCCATCTCCCTTCCTAGACTGTTAAAGATGTTGCCAGTCCATTTTCAAACTTGGATGAAACACCATGTCGTGGTGTCTGGGATCTGGCTTCCTTGAGTAGCAGCTGAGAGGCTGGATGCTGCAATCTGGAGGATACAGCCTGGAAGTGTAGGGGTCTTAGCTCCCTGTGGGGTGAACCTTGACCAATGAGAAACAAGATTCAGGAGGAGGCCAGGCCACTCACAGTGCCCCTGGAGATTTTTATCATGTACAATTTCTTTTTGCAATCCTACCAAAAACACAGATCTGCTGAGTGATCACTATGTATCTTTGTGGTTTGATGATAAATGGTGGTCAGCAGGATAACATGCCACACAGCATTCCCTCATATTTTCTTTGCTTTACTCCTGTTGTTTCTGCACTGTCATTGCCTCCTGGCCTGGAACCTCCTGAGTAAAGTATTAGCACTCAAATTCTCATTGTAGGTTTTGCCTTCTAGAGAATTTCAGCGATAACGTTCAATGAATGCATGTTGAAAGGAAGAAAGGAGAATGTTTTAAGGATTTATTGCAATAGATGAGATGTAATATGGGCCTGAAGTATGTTGAAGCTGTAAACGACAACTTTTCTTTCTGTTCCTCCTTCAATTTCTTTCTCTTTTTTCTCCCTCAGTCTCATTTCTCTTCCTCTTCTTTTATGTATTTCTCTTTCTCATCACCCAATATTTCTGTTTTCTCTCCTCCCTCCTCCTTTCATCTTGCATAAGCCTTGAGAAGAGGCTTAGTAATTGTGATAGACTTCGCAACGGTTAGCACATTGCCTGGCAAAAGGTAGATAAGAACTCAGTCGATATTTCCTGAACAAATGAATGTAACCCCCTGCATATAGTCTTACCATTCAGTTTTAGGCATTACTTTTCACTTTGGGACAACTTTTCTCTTCATTCCAGTTGTTCGCATACACCTGCACTTCATTAATGAACAGTTAAGTTCTTTTTCTGAGAGTAGAAGATTACATTTGGAAAACCACGCTGAGACTAGTGCATTTACAATCTTCAGTTGAGCGTCTCGCTCATCTTCATTTTGTCAGCTGAACTGGATTTTTCTCAAACACAAAGCCAAGAGGTAATGAGGTTCCTCTTGGCAGTGCAATTTCTGAAACAAAGTTATTGCTTCCAATCTATTTCTCCAGCTTTGTTAAGTTTGCCAATTTAACTGGCAAGTAGGATATAGAAGAAGTATCCACTTACTGCCCAACTCTTCCTGCAAGAAAGTTTCAGAACATTTTCACAAACCTTGTTCTAGTATTTTGCATTTTTTTCATGCTCTAGTTTAAGCTTTACATCAGGTTCTCTTCATAAGAGGACATAGTCACTTAGTAAGATCTCAGTGTGCTTAGGAATAATTAAATGACTCCTTGTGTCTTCTGGCTACTTCCTCAAGCACACAGGGGAAAGGGGGGAGGGATTTATTCCTATGTCAAGAGAAAATCTGGAAAGCCAGTGAACTAGGATGCTAGTTCTAATTCCAAGATCCTGTGTGCCTCCATGTGGAATATATAATTGTAGTTCATTTTATTCTTTTTAGATCTGCTTTTCTTTTTTACCTTTTTATTTTTAAATTGACAAGTAAAAATGTTATGTACTTATGGCATGCAACATGATGTTTTGATGTAGGCATGTATGTGAAATGAGTAAATAAAGCTATTTAACATATGCATTGCCTCACATACTTACCATCTTTTTTGTGGTGAGAACACTTAAAGTCTACTCTGTTAGCAACTTTCAAATATGCAACATGTGATAAACTGTAGTCACCATGAAGCACAAAAAAAATCTTTTGAACTTGTTTCTTCTAAGATCTACTTCTCTAAGACTTTAATTATTTTTTTGACTTTTGATGGACTTTATTAAAGTTGTCCCAATTCTTTTGAAACTCAGTTCTGGACACAGCCATTTCTATTTGAATAATCTATGGGCATTTACAATTTAGTTTTTCTTTTATTGGACCCTTCATCATCTTCCCCACACCCATCTCAGAGTCTTCTCCACTGCTCCAAAATTCAGGAAATTGTCTGTTTCAATTGACTCTTCCTTATACGACAGATTTCTCTGTAGCATGAGAGGTTGTTTGATAGCATTTTACCAGTAGTAGAACTTATTTCAAAATTGGAGTCAATCCTCTCAAACCCTGCTGCTGCTTTTTCAACTAAGTTTATGTGATATTCTAAATGCTTTGTTGCCATTTCAATAATGTTGAGAGCATCTTCACCAGGAGTAGCTTCCATCTCAAGAAACCATCTTCTTTGCTCATTTGTAAGAAGCAATTCATCATCCATTCAAGTTCTATCATAAGGCTGCAGCAATTCAGTCACATCTTTAGGCTCCACTTCAAATTCTAGTTCTCTTGCTATTTCTACCACATGTGTAGTTACTTATTCCACTGAAATCTTGAATACCTCAAAGTCATTCATGATGTTTGGAATCCACTTCTTTCAAACTTCTGTTAATGTTGATATTTTGACCTCCTCCCATGGATCACAAATGTTCTTAATGGCATCTAGAATGGTGAACGCATTTTCAATTTACTTTTCATTTATTTCATTTTCAATTATTTCATTTTCCCAGATCCATCAGATGAATTACTGTCTATGGCAGGTGTAGCCTTACACAAAGTATTTCTTAAATAATAAAACTTGAAAGTTAAAATTCCTCCTTGGTCCATGGGCTACAGAAAGGATGTTGTGCTATGAGTCATGAAAACATTAATCTCCTTGTACATCTCCATCAGGGCTTTTGGGGCATCAGGTGCATTGTCAATGAGAAGTAATAGTCTGAAGGGAATCTCTTTTGTTTTCTGAGCAGTAGGCCTCAACAGTGGGCTTAAAATATTTAGGAAATCATGCTGTAAATAGATATGTTGGGGTTTGTTATTCCATTTATAGAGCACAAGAAAAATAGAGCTAGCATAATTCTTAAGGATCCTAGGATTTTTTGGAATGGTGAATGGGCACTGACTTCAACTTAAAGTCACCAGCTGCATCGGCCCCTAATGAAAGAGTCAGCCTATCTTTTAAAGCTTTAGAGCCAGGCATTGACTTCTCCTCTTTAGCTATGGAAGTCCTAGATGGCATCTTCTTCCAATATAAGGCTGTTTCGTCTACATTAAGAATTGGTTTTCCAGTGTAGCCACCTTCATCAATGATCTTAGCTAGATCTTCCTGATAACTTGCTTCTGCTTCTACATTAGCACTTGCTGCTTCACTTTGCACCTTTTTGCTATTGAGATAGCTCCTTTTTAAACCTTAGGAACCAACCTCTGCTAGCTTTGAAGGTTTCCCCCACCCCCCTGCCCCACAGCTTCCTCAGCTCTCTCAGCCTTCATAGAATTGAAGAGAGTTAAGACCTTGCTCTGGATTAGGCTTTTGCTTAAGGAAATGTTGTGACTGCTTTGGTCTTCTATCCAGAGAACTCAAACTTTCTTTATATCAACAATCAGACTGTTTTGCTTTCTCATCATTCATGTGTTTACTGCAATAACACTTTTAATTTCCCTCAAAAACTTTTTCTTTGCATTCAGAACTGGGCTAATTGTTTGACACAGAGGCCTTGCTTTCAGCCAGTCTTGGCTTTCAACAAGCCTTCCTTTCTAAGCTTAATCATTTCTAGCTTTTGATTTAAAGTGAGAGATATATGACTCTTCCTTTCACTTGAACATGTAGAAGTCATGGTAGGGTTATTAATTGGCCTAATTTCAATATTGTGTCTCCAGAAATAGGGAGGCCTGAGGAAAGAGAGAGAGATGGGGGAATGGTGGGTAAGTGGAGCAGTCAGAACACACACAACATTTATTGATTAAGTTCACTGCCATGGATGGGTGTGGTTCCTGGAGCCCCAAAACAATGACAATAATAACATCAAAGATCACTGATCACTGATGACTATAATATATATATAATAATAATGAAAAAGTGTGAAATAATGCAAGAATTAGCAAAATGTGACACAGAATCACAAAGCGGGCACATGCTGTTTGAAAAGTGGTGCTTACAGTCTTGCTGGACACAGGGTTGCCACAGACCTTCAATTTGTAAAAAATGCAATAGCTGAAAAGTGAAATAAAATGAAGTATGCCCGTATTTAATATCTGCTAGCTGTGCTGAGGAGATTAGAATTTTTACTCAGTTGCATACCACAACGTGATTCCAATCCTTTAAGGAAGAGGAACAGGTGCCCTAACTTACAGTGGCACACCATCAATATTGTTGCTGATAACACACTGCATACCTAATGATACTTAAAAAGAAATCTTTCATTTTGGAAATTGTCAAATGTACATAAGTATAGATAATAGTTATTACTTTTTGGTAAAATGAAATTAAGTAGGAGGAAACACTGAATTGAGAGTTAGATGAGTGGAATTCTAATTCTAACCTTCTGCTGGTGGGCTACCTGATTTGGGCTTCAATTTGTTACTTTTAATAGTGTGAATAATAGAATGTGTTTATTCTCATAGGTATATTAAACACTAGTTTATGGCTCAGGCCTGTAATCTCAGCACTTTGATAGGCTGAGGTGGGTGGATTTCTTGAGGTCAAGAGTTCAAGACTAGCCTGGCTAACATGGTGAAACCCCATCTCTACCAAAAATACAGAAAATTAGCCAGGCGTGGTGGTGCACACCTGTAATCCTAGCTATTCAGGAGGCTGAGGCAGGAGAATTGCTTGAACCCGGGAGGCGGAGGTTGCAGTAAGCTAAGATTATGCCACTGCACTCCAGCCTGGGTGGCAGAGTGAGACCCTGCCACAAAACAAAACGAAACAAAATAAAAAAACCAAAAAGCCCTACTAGTTTAATATAGTATATTAAACACAATAAATATAGGGAAACATAGATGTAAAGGCAGTTGCATTCTGAAGAAAATCTATGTAAATGTAATATTTTCTTTTCTTATTACTGGTAATATTTTCTTCCATTGAACTAAAATGGATTGGGAACACTACAGATACTTTATTTCCCCAAAATTCTATACCTGTAATTTTCTTTCCTGCTAGTTAGGATATACTATCAAATGATGACTCTTTTAGTGTACTATAGATTAAATAAAGCTTACAACACCACTCGTCATTTTTAACACTTATAACTTTAATAAAATAAATTATTTGTGATTTATTAATCTATTTCTACATTAATCTGTTTAGGTTAAGTGTATTATTTCAACTAAGACTTAAAGAAATTGTATTTTGAGATTGAGAAGAATCGAAGTATCATTTAAGCAGTAATTATCAACAACCATTGTGACACAAATCACTCATGGTACTTAATAAACATATTACTTTCTGGGTTCCTCTACTGAAGATTCTGATTTAATGAATCTAGTCTGGGCCTGAAATTTTGAAAATTTTTGTGATATAACAGACGATTCTTACCAAGAGGGAAAATTAGGAAAGATTGATATAACCCAATATTTTTATAGTAAAACGTGCAAATTGAGACCTGCAGTAGTTGAAACTTGCCTGAGTTCTCAATGTTTGTCAGTTGCAGGCCTAGGGCCCGTGCCTTAAACTTCTAGCACTTTAGCCAGGCCTCCATCCACTTCCCTAACCTGAAAGTTAATGTGCTTCTAAAACATGTACCTTCTCTACTAACTTACACTGACTTTTTACTGACACTAATTTACTCACTAGTCTAATTTCTTCTTAGCTAAATTTAGCGACTATTCAAGTTTCAGAGGTTGGAAAGCAGCCTCAGGAATCACAGAGTTCCTATAAGAACCTTTTTCCAATGAAAAGAACTTTAAGTGTCCAGGCTCAATGTGGAGTTTGAAGCTTTAGCATCAAAGCTTGTAATGACTTGCTAACTCTAATTGATTTTTTATAGCTAGGACTTCCTGGATTTTTGTTTCCTGGTTGGTTCTTACATCTTATATAAGCCACGTGGCTTTTTTTCATGACCCTGAAAAAAACCTCCTATTGTGATAATTCTTTGTCAAAGAACCTTGAAAATCTGTAACCTTTTATAAAGAAGAAGATAATTATTTTCTACTCGTTTTCAAGTTGCTTGGGGGTGGAATTAAATCTTAAAAGACACAGTGGTGATATACCAGGCATCAATCAGTATACTCTCTTCTTGCAACTCTGGAGCTCAACTTATTAAGACTTTTCTCTAGATTTCTTTTTTCTCATTAGTAGAGGGGTAAACTCTGTACAGGATAATTTAGACCCTGTTGCTGCAGTCAATGTTATTTGTTCTTTTTATGTCAGATATAAGACTTCTTAAAGGAGTTTTGTTCTTTTTAATTCAATTCAAATCCCCTTTGAACATTCTGTAATTACTTTTTTTTTTTTAAGACAGAGTCTCACTCTGTCACCCAGGCTGGAGTGTGGTGGCGCCATATCAGGTTACTGTAGCCTCAGCCTCCTGGGCTCAGGTGATCCTCCTGCCTCAGCCTCCCAAGTAGCTGGGACCACAGGCCCGTGCCACCACACCTAGCTAATTTAAAAAAATAGCTTTAGAGATGGGATCTCTCTATGTTGCCCAGACTGGTCTCTAACTTTTGGCCTCAAGCGATCCTCCTGCCTCAACCTCCCAAAATGCTGGGATTACGGGCATGAGCTACCACACCTGACCTTATAATACCTTTTAACTCAGCATTACACAGTCATTTCTTAATACCATTTATGATTATAAGTATTTGTTACCTACATTTTGACCATTTGCATTGTTGGGTGGCGGGGTCCTAACTTATGAAATAGTCCTAATTCTAAATATCTCATCACTGTTTTCTAATGAGAATACGATGAGCATTAGTGGGAAAATGTAGAAGGTAAAAGATAGTTTTATTTCAGTATACTTGACATTTGGTGTTGGAGGACAGTTATAAGAATATGTCTGACAGTTTTTATGTTTTTTCAGTAAATTGTCAATGCCAGGAAAAACTGGAGGTCCTTTAGAACTCAAGGAGCTACATTGAGAGGGGATTGCATTGGGAAGCAAGGGAAGGAGACAGCAAGGGGCTGGGGCATAGCACTGACAGGTGGGTGCTGTTTCACAATACCCAGATGAAGTGGATTTACGGCCAGATGAGGTGGATTTAAAAGGCCTAAAATGGGACAGTCACTGAAAAAACACATAATGTATGTCTAGTTTGTTAATATGTTTTAGTAGTATATGTAGCCCTACCCCATTTGCTCAAAGGGCTGTGCTACATTATCGTTTCCATCTCCATAGTTACTAAAATCCTTACTTTTCCCAAGCCTCACCTTTTTATTATTATTATTATTATACTTTAAGTTTTAGGGTACATGTGCACAATGTGCAGGTTAGTTACATATGTATACATGTGTCATGCTGGTGTGCTGCACACATTAACTCATCATTTAGCATTAGGTATATCTCCTAATGCTATCCCTTCCCCCTCCCCCCACCCCACAGCAGTCCCCAGAGTGTGATGTTCCCCTTCCTGTGTCCATGTGTTCTCATTGTTCAATTCCCACCTGTGAGTGAGAACATGTGGTGTTTGGTTTTTTGTCCTTGAGATAGTTTACTGAGAATGATGATTTCCAATTTCATCCATGTCCCTACAAAGGACATGAAGTCATCATTTTTTATGGCTGCATAGTATTCCATGGTGTATATGTGCCCCATTTTCTTAATCCAGTCTATCATTGTTGGACATTTGGGTTGGTTCCAAGTCTTTGCTATTGTGAATAGTGCCACAATAAACATACGTGTGCATGTGTCTTTATAGCAGCATGATTTATAGTCCTTTGGGTATATACCCAGTAATGGGATGGCTGGGTCAAATGGTATTTCTAGTTCTAGATCTCTGAGGAATCGCCACACTGACTTCTAAAATGGTTGAACTAGTTTACAGTCCCACCAACAGTGTAAAAGTGTTCCTATTTCTCCACATCCTCTCCAGCACCTGTTGTTTCCTGACTTTTTAATGATCGCCATTCTAACTGATGTGAGATGGTATCTCATTGTGGTTTTGATTTGCATTTCTCTGATGGCCAGTGATGGTGAGCATTTTTTCATGTGTTTTTTGGCTGCATAAGTGTCTTCTTTTGAGAAGTGTCTGTTCATGTCCTTCACCCACTTTTTGATGGGGTTGTTTGTTTTTTTCTTGTAAATTTGTTTGAGTTCATTGTAGATTCTGGATATTAGCCCTTTGTCAGATGAGTAGGTTGTGAAAATTTTCTCCCATTTTGTAGGTTGCCTGCTCACTCTGATGATAGTTTCTTTTGCTGTGCAGAAGCTCTTTAGTTTAATTAGATCCCATTTGTCAATGTTGGCTTTTGTTGCCATTGCTTTTGGTGTTTTAGACATGAAGTCCTTGCCCATGCCTATGTCCTGAATGGTAATGCCTAGGTTTTCTTCTAGGGTTTTAATGGTTTTAGGTCTAACAGGTAAGTCTTTAATCCATCTTGAATTAATTTTTGTATAAGGTGTAAGGAAGGGATCAAGTTTCAGCTTTCTACATATGGCTAGCCAGTTTTCCCAGCACCATTTATTAAATAGGGAATCCTTTCCCCATTGCTTGTTTTTGTCAGATTTGTCAAATATCAGATAGTTGTAGATATGCAGCGTTATTTCTGAGAGCTCTGTTCTGTTCCATTGGTCTATATCTCTGTTTTGGTACCAGTACCATGCTGTTTTGGTTACTGCAGCCTTGTAGTATAGTTTGAAGTCAGGTAGCGTGATGCCTCCAGCTTTGCTCTTTTGACTTAGGATTGACTTGGCAATGTGGGCTCTTTTTTGGTTCCATATGAACTTTAAAGTAGTTTTTTCCAATTCTGTGAAGAAAGTCATTAGTAGCTTGATGGGGATGGCATTGAATCTGTAAATTACCTTGGGCAGTATGGCCATTTTCACGATATTGATTCTTCCTACCCATGAGCATGGAATGTTCTTCCATTTGTTTGTATCCTCTTTTATTTCATTGAGCAGTGGTTTGTAGTTCTCCTTGAAGAGGTCCTTCACATCCCTTGTAAGTTGGATTCCTAGGTATTTTATTCTCTTTGAAGCAATTGTGAATGGCAGTTCACTCATGATTTGGCTCTCTGTTTGTCTGTTATTGGTGTATAAGTATGCTTGTGATTTTTGTACATTGATTTTGTTTCCTGAGACTTTGCTGAAGTTGCTTATCAGCTTAAGGAGATTTTAGGCTGAGACAATGGGGTTTTCTAGATATACAATCATGTCGTCTGCAAACAGGGACAATTTGACTTCCTCTTTTCCTAAAAGGGTATTCAATTTTTTTTTTTTTAAAGAAGCTATGTAAAGATTTGATTTCGGGAATGTTTATTTTTAATAGGGGAGTAATAGAATAGACCTTTCCTACTGATAAGGCAAGGATACTTTCTTATGTGAGTTCACATTACATATTATCAATATATTAACTGTGCCCAGTATTAAGTGACTGTCTTTTAGCTCTCTGCTAATCCTTCTTTATATAGATAAAGGCTAGACATCAAGATATAACCTTAGCACTATTGCTGTTTTCATTCTTGTTATCTTTACTAACTAAGATAGTGGAATCATAAGGTCTACAATTGGAAAGGAATTCGATTGATTGTCTGGTGCAAACCTCTCTCAGACAGTGATTTCCTCTTGAAGAGTTCTAGAGTGCGGTTTCAGGTTGCATGCTAGTGATAAGTAATTCATTGCTACACAAAGCTGCAATTATTATATAGACTTTTCCCTTGTATTCAACTGCCTCTTGTTAATGTCTATCCATTTCTCCCAGTTCTGTGCTTACAGACTACATGAAATTTACCTACTTTTTCTATAAAAGCCCTTCAAAAATGTAAAGACAGCCACACTGTACTTTTTACAGTTTCTCTCTTTACAAAACACTGACAGTCTGACATTTTTCTCATGGGTCATATATTCAAACTCTTTCATCATAAAGGATGATTAATGAACTCTAATCATCTTATAATGAAGTATGGTTTCCTTTCTGTGTGGTTACTGTCTATTTAAAAATACTCCGTTGACTTTTGCCTTGGATTATTATCACACTGAATACCTAGGAAATCCACTCTCTTTTCCTGTCTTGAGTCAACGGTGCAAAACTGGTTTGTTTTCTCTTTCCACTGTCTCACCTAAAATTCCTCATGTAGTAAGGCCCCGAATAATCTATTTTAAAGCAACCTGAAGGGTTTGTTTGCGTGAGGGTGGAGAGTGGGAATGTTAATGGGAATTCTAGTTATGCAGAGTTTGAAAGAGGAGGAGGTTAGGCAAATGGAACATAAACTTCTTTATTCAATAAAGTAAAAGGGACTCCCACCTCTGCCATGCAGACAATGTAGGAGGTGACTTGGTTTTTCCTATGGAATAGTGGTTCTCATATTTCAATGAGCATGTAAATTACCCAGGGATTTTTTTTTTTAAATGCTGGTTCTGAGTAAATAAAGTTGGCGTGGGAGTGGGATCCTGCATTTCTAGTAAGTTCCCTGGAGATGCCTATGCTGTTGCTCCATGGACCACATTTTGAGCAGCACTGTCCAGCAGAAATTCATTGTGAGTTACAAATGTGAATGACATATGTAATTTTAAGTTTTCAAGGAGCCACATGAAAAATGCATAAAGAAGATAAATAGGTGAAATTAATTTTCCTAGTGTATTTTGTTTCACCAAATATATCCAAAGGACTATCATTTCAACATAAATCAGCATAAAAATAAATAATGAGATAGTTTAAATTATTTCACTTTGGTACCAAAAGTTTGATGTTTGTATATGTTTTACACTTGCAGTGCATCTCATATTGGATCAGCCACATTTCAAGTGCTCCATAGCCATATGCAGCTCTGTGGCTACTGGCTACCATGTTGGACAGTGTAACTCTAGATCTGAAGATTTTGATCTCTCAGAACCTGGAAATAACACAAATAACTAATATGTGTTGAGTATTCACTTTGTGCATGGCATGGATATGAGATGTAAGTGCTATATAAATGCTTCATCTAAGTCATCTCCTAAGACCCTTACAACATCCCAATCAAGTAAGCAACATTATTATTTCCATTATACACAGGAAGAAAGTGAGGCTTTGGACTGGCGGTAACTTGTGTGAAGTCACAATGGTAGAGCTGGATTTTTGCAGCCCATGCTCTTACCCGCTGTTTCAGAGCAGAGGGCCCTCTGAAGGAAGCAAGTCAGCATTCCTAACACTGAGTTTTAATTTTTTTTCATATGTTCTTGTTTTCTTATGGTATCCTTAAGCCTTTAGCACAGTTGATTCCCTTCTGTAGTCTAGCAGCAGTGGTCTCCTGTTGACAGAGCCTTCGAGAATTAAGATTCTTGGGGACGAAAGGGGTACTCTGTGCACAAGCTTACAGTGGGATGGCCCAAGTGTCAGCTGGAGCAGCAGTCCAGAGGATGAGGAAGATAGGAAGTGGTTCAGGCCATGCGCTGGCACTCTAGGGGTGGGGGGCACTGTCAAACCCACTCCCAGGGTCTGGCCTTCCATAGTCACATGGGGCAAGGGCTTACATGATTTTGTTTGTATACCAAAGGGAAACGGCAAACCTGTGGCCCTTCTCTGCCATCTCAACTGTGGGTGAGACACTGGTTATATACATTCCCTCTTTATTCTGGGCTGCAATTTATCTGGAACAAGAGGCTCAATTTTCTTTTGAAAAGCTACACAATCCCTTTGCCTACTTTAGATTTTGATTCCCTCTTAACCAAGTTCTTTCTACCCTTTTTCAGATGTAGAATAGGATTTCATTAACAGCAGTAACAATGAGAGTTTGAGAGGTAAATTACTGTGTGGTGCCTAAGACAGCAGGCCCTAGGCTCAGATTGCTGCCCTCAGAGTCTGGCCATATCTCTTGCTAGCTATGTGACCTTGACTAAGGCACTTATCTCCTGTGAACCTCAGTTTCTTCTGAGCCTAAGATAAGGCTGATACTAATAACAGCCTTGCGAGTCTGTTGTAAGTATTACATAAAATAGTAAACATATAATGCTTAGCTTAGCCCCTTCTGTTTAAAAAGTAGTCAGTAAATGTTAACTCTTAAATTATTATTGCCATTCTAACCCTTATATCTCATTATTCTATTTGCCCAAGCTGAAGGATCATCCAGTTCTTTTACTAATTTTTCTTAACATAAAGTTTTCAAGTGTTCCTTCCATTCTCTTAGCTTTCTTTAGCATTTACACAGGCACAGTTTCTTCTGAGCTTTAGCCCTTATAACATTATTATAATGCTTGTCTGAAGTCACTAATATTTGGTCGTGGTGCTATTTCCTTCTTTCTAAATATCTGCAAGTCCTTAAAACATGTACTCATTGGAGAGCTCCCTGTGCAGCTCAGGAGCCCTTCTTTGGAGTTTTCTTCTCTCAGATCTGCATTGAGATTCCTGCAAATTGATTATCAGAATTCTTTTTTGAGGGAAGCCTACACATTAAAATTCTTAACAGATTTAGCCCATGGCTTTTCTGTGACCCTTTTGAAACTTGCATTTCTAGTCTAGGGTGCAAGTCTAGCTCAGCTCTCTATGTCTGTCACAAAATCTTAGAATACCTGAAGGAAACCCTGGGAAGAGCAGAACCACCAATGGTTGGTCCCTACTTTTAACCCATCTCCATAGTGCAAAAAGACTCAGTCACTCAGTCTCTGAACATAGTCTCTAAATACAGCTTCACTCACACAATGATTTGATGAGAAATGCATGTTTGCCTAAAGATTCAAGAAAAGGAAGAAATGAAGAGTTATATGCTACACTAAAAAAAAAACACCTTAGCAACATTTCTTGTTAGACCATTAGACACACTGTTCTTCTTCAATATTGTGAACTACTTGATAAAGAAAATGTGGCACATATACTCCATGGAATATTATGCAGCCATAAAAAAGGATGCGTGCATGTCCTTTTCAGGGACATGAATGAAGCTGGAAACCATCATTATCAGCAAACTGACACAAGAACAGGAAATTAAACACCACATGTTCTTACTCATAAGTGGGAATTGAACAATGAGAACACATGGACACAGGGGAACATCACACACCAGGGCCTGCTGGGGGGTGAGGGGGCAAGGGGAGGGATAGCATTAGGAGAAATATTTCATGTAGGTGACAGGTTGATGGGTGGAGCAAAACCACCAAGGCACATGTATGCCTGTGTAACAAACCTGCACATTCTTTACTTGTATCCCAGAACTTAAAGAATAATAAAATTCCCTGAAAATGAATTTGGAGGAATGAGACTTTATTCCAGTGAACAGTTCACAAACAAGGAGAAATATCCTTCTGTATAAAATGAAGGTGTTCCAGAGAACAACAGAATGGTTTGGCTTTTATAAAAGTTTTCAATCAGGCCCTCTTATGCAAAGGAAGGATTCAAACTTGCTTTGTTCTGATTGATTGATGCAGCTGAGTTCTGATTGGTTGATGTAGGCCATAGCTCAATGGTTGATTCAAGAGACATGAATGGGCACAGTCAGCTATGAAAGGCGTAAAGTTAAGCAGATGTGTATGTTTTCTAGGAACTCTGAGTATGTGTGTAACCTCTAGTCAACAAATGGCTGTTTGGCTCTTTTTAAATTTTAGGCTCAATTAGCCACTTGGCATTCATCTTCAAGGATTAACTCTTTCAAGTTCACATTATCATCCTCCAAACTCTCATTTTCTGATTGCCTTTTTATGTCATTTTCTTCTTTAAATGCAAAACTTTCATCTTAATTTTTTTCTGAAAGACAATTCATTTTTTATGTTGAAAATACTACATTTAGCAAATCAAAAGATGAATATTAGAAAATTATTGACTATGTATTGCCATTAAATAGGACTGAAGGAAACATAATCACAGTTAATTCCACCTAAATTGCTTTCGCCAATGTTCTCATCTTCCCATTTGTTAGAATTTGTCCTGAGATGACAGTTCCTTTTCCTACTTTCTTTACAATTTCAGGTATCAATGTGCTGTCAGTAGAAGTTTCCAAATGTTCTGATTTTTAGTTAAATGAAGTTTTGGTAAAATATTTGCACAACTGAAATCCTCATTCATACTTTATACCTCTGTGATCACTGAGGTGTAATTTACAAACAGCAAAATGTTCAAATGATGTGTATATTTTGCTGGGTGCCTTTCAAGACACACATTTCTATCACCCCCAGAAGGTTTCCTTCCGCCCCTTCCCAGTTAACTCATTCCACTTCCAGTCCTAACCCCCACCAGAAGCAACCATTCATCAGTTTTCTATCACCTTAGGTTAGTTTATTCTGTTCTAGGATTTTGTATAAATGCATCATGTAGTATGTACAGTCAGGTACTGCATAACCATGTTTCGGTCAATGACAAACCACAAATGAGATGGTCGTTCTTTAAGATTACATTTTTTACTGTACTTTCTGCTAAACTTATGCTTAGACGTGTTTAGATACATGAGTACTTACTATTGTTTTAAAATTGCCTACAGTGTTCAGTACAGTAGCATGCTGTATAGGTTTACAGCCTAGGAGCAATGGGGTATGCCATATAGCCTAGGTGTATAGTAGACTAATTCCTCTAAGTTTGTGGAAGTAACACTTATATGATGTTTGCACCACAAAATTGCCTGATGACACATTTCTCAAAATGTATTCCTATGGTTAAGTGACACATGACTTTTTGTGGGTTTTTTGTGGATTTTTACTGAATTTCATCCATGTTATCCTTTCATTCTGAGTAATATTCCATTGTATGAATATGGCAGTTTACTTACTCATTTTCTTCTTGAAGGGCATCAGGGTTTTGTTGGGTTTGTTTTTTAGTATTATTTATAATGCAATAATGAATATTCTTTTTTTTGAAATAGGGTCTCACTCTGTTGCTCAGGCTGGAATGCAGTGGTGTGATCCCAGTTCACTGCAGCCTCGACTTCCCAGGCTCAAGTAATCCTCCCTCCTCAGCCTCCCAAGTAGCTGAGAACCACCATACCTGGTTAATTTTTTTAAAATAGTTCTTTTGTACAGATGGGGTCCCATTATGTTGCCCCGGCTGGTCTCAAACTTCTGGCCTCAAGTGACCTTTCTGCCTCAACTTCTCAAAGTGCTAAGGCATGATGAATATTTTTTTGGAATAGTTTTGGAATATGAAGGATTTTTTTGTGAAAAATTCTTTCATTTATTTTGAGTAAGTAATTGAGAGTGAAATCACTGGATAATAGTTTGATAGGATTTCTGGAATATATTTTGATCAAAAAATCCAAATAGATTGTACCACTTTATGCACCTGCCAGCTGTGTGTACATATGAGGTTCTGATTGTTTTATATTCCTAACAGCTTTTGGTGTTTGCAGTTTTTTTACTCTTGGCTATTTGGGTGGGTGTATGGTGGTTTCTCCTTGTGGTTTAAATTTGCATTTCTTTGGTGACTAATGATGCTGAGATATTCTGTGTGCTCATTGTATACCTTCTTCTGTAAAGGTGGAGTATTTAAATCATTATAGAGGGTTGTGATGGATTTTCCATCCAGAATAATAATGTGTGGTCCATGTCCTCCAGAAAATTGGGTGGGTTTATCATTCTCTCCAAAGATTACTTCTCTTCATCTACATCTTGTTTTGTTTCTCTCCTGAGCAACCCACCACATGTTTAGATTCATTGTCATCCAAGAAGGTGAGCATAGCTATGACATTTAATAAGAAAATGTGTGGGAAACCACTGTATCTGAAAGTTTTGCAAATTTAAAGTATGTTTCTATTTCCTTTTCAATATCAAATTTGTTTCTTTTGAAGATAATTGTATGTACGTTCTTCTTGAACTCTCCAGCTCAGCAAGTCTTGGTGTCATTTGCAATATCTTATTTACCTCCTTTTGTTATATTTCTAGTTTCATTCTATAAGGTGGTATGATTATGTTATTTTCCCTACTGTCCCTAAGTATTTAGTCCTGTGTATTACTGAGCACATCTTCCATTATTGAATTTTTTCTGTTCTATCACTCAACATTCTGTTCTCCAGTCATTCCATTTTTCAATTTTATATTGGTTTTTCTCTTTCCTTTCATTGTAAAGGAATGGAAATAAATAAAGCTTGAAGTAAATTCTATAATTATTTGATGAGTGTTAACTGCTGTGTTAATATGCAGCCTCTACTGTATGGACATGTTACTGCTGATTGAGGGTCAGTAGAGTAAGTGCATGGAATTATTTTCAAGGAATGTTAACTAGATTGCAGTTAGTCACCTCCATTCTTTTAGATGGACATCTGAGAAATTCCTCAGCTAATAGATTATATCTCTGAAAAAAAATTAGTAGTGAAAGGATCTGCTACTCTGGATCTAGAAGAACACATTTCTGAGGCAATTTGGATGTGGTAGAGAGCCAATGTGATACAGATGCAAATGCACTCACTGACCAGTGCTTCGGTGGAACCCCGAGGTAATATGCTGCAATGTGGCCCAGGAGGCTGCCCAATCAAAGTAGGAACATGGTACTAAGAGGATTTTTTTCTATCTATATTTAGTCATTTGATTTCTAGCTATGAAATCTTAAACTCTCCACACCAAGCCCTTAAGTAGTTTGCCAGCCATTGGGCCAGGATTTTTGGATGGCAGGAGAGTTAGCGATTCCTCCAGACTGCCTTTTGATTGATGTAGATATTACATTTGCCTGCCTGATTCACTGTGAGATGCTCCAGGAATCCCTTCATAGAAGAAATACTCTTGCTGAGATTCTGCTGTTGGCAATTTATTCCTTTGGCTTAAGAAAAAAGGTATTTAAATACAAGTGTCCCTAGTAAAAAGATAACACATGATGTCAAATACTTTATGATATTTTATATCAATGACACTTTAATATGAATTAGTTTAATGAGACTATCTTCCATTTAATTTTTAATTATTCGAATTGGTTTTTATTCATAAAGGAAATGTGTTATTATAAAAATTTATAGAGAGAATATGTAGTGCAAAAAGTTTAAAAATTTTTCATTCATCACCATTTGGTTGAATGTTGAATGTTGCCTGTCCTAAGAATATCAGGGCTAGTTATTATAAATGAATTGGCATAAATAGTTTTTGGTGTAATTTAGTGCATACACACACACACTATATATATATACTGATATCTAGATGTACATGCAGAATATTTTTTCAAAACTTGCCTTTGTCACTTAATTTTTCCAAAATAGTATTTATGTAGGTCCTTCTTTATAACAATTGCTTAATATCCATGGTATAAATTACTTCAGAAAGTTTATTTCTCTTTAGAAAGACATTTAGCATGTTTTTCTTATAACAAACGAAGTATACAGCATCCAGCTATCCTCAAATAATGTTGAGGGGAACGTCTTTCTATGCCTTTGTTCAAATGTCAATATTTTACTATGTTTCCTTGAAATGGAATTGTTGGATTTGTGCATTCTAAATTTTGACAGATACCACCAAAATTTCCTCCAAAAATTCCGTGTCATTTAAATTTCATTAACAGTGTCTAAGCTATCCAGTTTCTTCATTTTCCTGCCAGTTCTAAATATTTTCATTATTCTTAATTTTTTGCCAACTGGATAAGAGAGAATTGAAGTCTTGCTTTTTGGAGTTTATTTTTAAGATAACTAAGGGTAATTTATTCATCGAACAAATACTTATTGAGTGTCCATTTTATGATAAGAACTGTTTTCATTACTTGGAATATAGCAATAAACAAAGCAGTAAGTCTTTTTAGTAGTATTTATGTTCTGATGGGAAGGGAGATAAAATGGATTATTTAACAAAAAAGGAATAAGTGTGATACATGCAATATAGAAAAATTAAGCAGGCTTAGAGAGTAAATAATAATAAACGAATGAGTAAGAGTGGGTACTGCTTCAAATAGGGAAGTCAGTAAAAGTTCTATCTCAAGAGGTGATATTTAAGTAGAGACTTAAGTAAGGAAGTGAGACTGTATCTCTCTATGAAAGGAGTGTTCCAGGCAGAGGACTTAACAAGTGCAAAGCCATAGGGCAAGAGGGTTCCTGGAATGTTCCCCAAGGAGGGTTTCTCACATGGAGGAGTGTGAGGCTGGGGAGAGAGGCAGGAGGGGAGTCTGAGAGCTGGTCCCTTACCAGGGCCAGATGATTCTGAGATGTATTGGCCGAGGCAAGGGTTTGAGATTTAGTTGAGTGACAGGAGATGCCAGAGTTCTCTGAGCATTACCACAGCTCTGTGGTAAACTAAGAGTGTGTCAGTGCCAGCTACAAGCTTGAGAGCAGGGATAAGGATACATCTTCTGTAGAGAATTTATAACAAAACTAAGACCAATCAGAAAAAATAGACAGCAGATTAGAGGTAGCAGAAAGGAGTCTTATAGTGATAGAGCAGCTCTGTAGCTTGATTGAGGTGCTGCTTACATGAATCTGCACAGATGATAAAATTGCGTAGAAACACACATGTGTGCACACACACACTCACACACACACACACACACACACACACAGGAATGCATGCAAAACTGGTGAAATCTGGGTAAGCTCTGCAGATTGTAACAATGTCAAATTCCTGGTTTTGATATTGTATTCTGGTTGTGCAAGATGTTACCATGGGGGAAACTTAGTGAAAGGTACATGGGAACTCCATGCCCCTGTGTGTGTGTATGTGCGTGTGTGTGTGTGTGTGTGTTTGTATCTTCCAGATAAAAAGT
Source organism: Homo sapiens (assembly GCF_000001405.40). Taxonomy (NCBI): domain Eukaryota; kingdom Metazoa; phylum Chordata; class Mammalia; order Primates; family Hominidae; genus Homo; species Homo sapiens. The sequence continues at coordinate 137,141,727 of NC_000002.12, forward strand.
AAAACAATCATATTTAGTTATCACCATCTGCTGGCAATTCTTAATAACAGTGATAAAACACTCCTTCCCTGGGGCAGCCTACTCCCCGTGCCCCACACCTGGTACTCACTGTTACAGTCTAGAAGTTACATTTAATGTTTTTTTGCTATCACCCTTGTCTCCTAAACATTCATGTAGTAGATACAATGAATTCAAGTTTTAATAGAGATCAAGCCATTGGTTTATTTTAACTATTACTAAAAACTTCCCACATATAGTTGTTTTTACATATGACACTCGATACTTTGATAAACAATATTTCAACAACATTCTTTAACCAAAGAAATAATTGCTACAAAATGTAGCAGATGACTTAAAAGAATAAACTTAAAAGAAGTGCCTTAGTCTCTTTTGTGCAGCTATAACAGAATATCACATACTGTGTCATTTATAATAGACAGAAATTTATTGACTCACATTTCTGGAGACTGCTCAAGGTAAAGGAATCTAGTGAGAGCCTTCTTGCTGTGTTATAACATGGCAGAAAGTATCACATGGCAGAAGGACAGAGAGAGAATGAGCCCAGGAGAGGGCAAACCCACTCCCTAGATAAGGAACCCATTCACTCCTGTGATAATGACATTAGTTCATTCATGAGGGAGGAGCCCTCCTGACCAAAACACCTCTTAGAGGTAACTTTTCTCAATATCATTACTATGGCAAGCAAATTTCAACATTCGTTTTTGTTGTTGTTGTTGTTGTTTTTGGAGGGTTGAGCATTCAAACCGTAGCAAGAAGACTTTGAGAAATTAAAGATGATACCTAAAACCTTGTCTATTATACTATCTTAAGCATTCTTACAGGTTTTATTTGATATTATCAAATTTTTTGGACAATAATTGTATATAAGCCATAATATTTATCTTTTCTCACTTAATATTTATAACTTTTATGTCTTTTTTATGTTATCACACTAGGTAGGAAATCTATCACAACATTAGGTCATAGTATGTTCACTGTTATCTTTGCCTTGCTTCTAACTTAAATATTTAGAGTTTTGCAATTCTAAATATGACTTGATTGTTATTTATGTTATATGACATTTATTAAGTAAGGGCGATTGTTTTCTTATTTGTTTTGAAGATTTGGATATTTGATTCTTAATGGCTGTGGAATATGCCTACACAGGCATACACACACTTATTGAGATGAGTTCTTTTTCCTCCCTCAATCTATTCATGCAGAAAGTTACATTAACAGATATTTCAATGTTGAACTATCCTTGAATGGTTTTGGGAAGATAAAAAGTCTAGCATCCTACCAAGGTATATGTAATTGGCCAAAAGGCTATAAGAGTATCCTGCATACCAGGGACTTTAAAAAAATAAATCACCAGAAAAAAAACAGAGAAGGCATTGCATAATTCACAATTATGCCCTGGCTATGCCTGGCTTTTTCAGAATTTCTCAACACGTGCCTGATCTTTTTCTTTTGTGAATACCTACCTCATACACAATTGGTACTATACACATGAATGCTGAATTACATACCTGTTTTAATATAGTCCCCAGTTTTTGTGTGTGTAAATCTAATTCCTCCAGTCAAATGATAAGCCCATCAAAACGTGGAATCACGCATTCTCTTCTCTGGGACTTTTTAACAGTGCCTAGAGAAAGGCTGGTTAGTAATAACTGCTTTGCCTTGAGGAAGCAGGCAGCAGGGTGGAAAGGAGGGATTTAGGAGTTCAACAGTTTTATTCCAATTACAGCTCAGCTGGTGTGTCTTATTTGACAGTGATCTGTGTTAAGGAGATACTTTCTGCTTCCAGAATATTTCCTTTTATGAAGAATGTGTTCTTTCCTTTTAACATTACACTGCTTATTGCTAAGAGGTTACAAAAGGTAAATGGCCTAATGTGGGCACTTTCACACTGTGTCTATTTAAGTTTTTGGACTTTGGGATCTTTAGCAAGTAAATTGAACACGCTGACCTTTCATGCATGCCTCTATTAACCTTGCTCTTATTTCCCCTAGTCATTTTTCATTCTGTATCTTAGTATCTTATTTCTAATAAACTGCACTGGTTAATCTCAGACCACAAGAATCTGTTACTTATATATAGTTCTTCCATATACTGTATTTTCATTGGTTTGGGATCTTTTTTTAACCAATCATCTGAATTTTTTTGATTTGTACATATTTCTGATGTACTGCCTGGTGGTTTTTTTTCCAGCTTTTAATTAACTTTAAAACAATTCATAAGAGTTTATGGCTATAGGAGTGCCTTCTAATTTCAAGATGAAACACTTAAACCAACTTGACTCTACAGGTACTTATGTTTTAAGATTGCACATGGGTAGGGCAACAGACAGCATAAACGGAGTCATCATTTGAATTAAAATGTCATTCCTCTGGGTGGAAGTAATAGCAAGTAGTGCCTTTTGAGGCATAAACTAGAGGGAACAGCTTGGAAAGAAGAGAATAGGCTGGATTTCAGCTCCAACCTGCCCCCTTGGTAAGGTGAACTTTTCTAGACTTGACCTGTACAACCCTATTAAGACCCAGTATATTTGAATTTTAAGGCCATTTCATACTCTCAAATATACATCAAATTGTTGCTACCAACTTTTTCCCTCTTTTATTTAGTATTTCATTTAGAATTGAATTCATATAACCACACTAATTTATTTATGTGTTTATTCAACATTTATTGAGTGCTGACTATCTGCTTGTCAGTATCAGAGAGGCTCAAGTTAAAATGGTCAGCTGGACAGATACAGTGTCTGCTTTTGCAGACTCAGTATCATAGGGGAATTTAACTTAATATATGTGTTCTTATTTAAATATCTACATAGTCTACAGAGGCCTTTCATTGTAGGTAGAATGCTTATTTCAAACTGTGTATTGACAAAAAGACCTGTGTTGTTTTTCTTGGTGAGTGAAAACACACTAATAATGACTATCTGGTGGAAATAGATGATCTAGACCTAACTACAGGGTATTTGCAACCTAATTGGGAAGGAGAAAAAAATATCCATTTCATGGAGAAGAACATCATCATTGCAGAATAAAATGAATAGATGTGAAGTATTGGAGGGATTGGGATATGAATTAATCAAGGATTTTATCTTTTATTATTATTTTTAACTAGAAGCAATAAAAATGAATGAACTAAGCATCAGGACAGGGAATTTTAGGTTGATTTTTACACTGTTGATCTTGAAAAAGTGATATGATCACTCTAGACCTTGATTTTCTCATTTGTAAAAGTAGGATATTATTATAAGATATAATTAAGATCTCATTCATTGTAAGATTCAAGGAGAGAGCACAGCTCTGAGGAGAAAAGTAGGCTGTTATTTTCTTTAGGGTCTGGCTGGCTATTGTTTTGAGACATAAAGCCTCCTTAGGTCATGCAAGTGGCAACTCAGAAAAGGAGAAGCTTCTTTTTTCCAAAAATATAGCAGTGTATGTCAGCTTTTTATTATCATAGATATAAAATAACATAACTATAGATGAAAGGAGTATCATATAATTAGTTGACAATGAATATTAAGAAGAGAGGCCACAGTTAGTTATGGCCTGGTGGCCTGCAAGATGTGTCTTGTCTTTGTTCCCAGGATAAGAATATTAATATATCAGAAAGCAGGAGTGGTTGTAATAGGAGTCTTGTCCTATTTGGATTCTACTGGGCCTGATTGGAGGCAGGATGTTTCTGGATAGGTAATGCTGATGGTTCTTAGATAAAGTGCCTTACCATTATCTGTACTCTCTCTTAGGGAGCCCCTAAAGGCTTTCTGACTTTTGTGCCAAATTGAGTTCATTATTGTAAAGATCTTGAGCTGCCAGAGGTAGGAATATTATCTGAAAAGCCATGACTACTATCCATTGAGAGCCCCCCATGCTGCCAAATATTAGCCATAATAAGTATGTCTTATCTGTGGGCTTCATCGATTTGAACAAAACAGTATTTGTTAGAGCATCTCAATTAAGAAGGTATAAATGCTAAAAAAAAGATTGCTGCACCTGTAGTTTTTCATATGTTATTTAAAGAACTATATTACTTTGAAAAATTCATTTTACCTGTCCTTTTAGAAATATGTAATAACGCTTTCAGAATCAGTGTTTATTTGCATTTAAGAACCTCCAGATACATCCATGCTGTTTTTAGTGTAAAATCATCTAATTTCATTTTTTAATGAAATAATTATTCTCATTATATTTGGTGCTTTCTCTCTCACAACTTCATAGAAGACAACTGTAGTATTTTAAAATGTAAATAATTGTCTCCATTTTATAACCCATTTTCTCTGATGATATATGTATATGTGAAAAATTTAGGCATATACAACTTAAGACAACTTTTTATAACATGTCTGCTATTTAAGCAAAAGAAAAAAATTCATAAAATTCTACAGCATATCAGTTGTTTTTAAGTTTCCATGTTCTCCTCATGCACTAGAATGCTACCAGAAAATAGTGTATCTTATTGGCTAAAGTATTATCTTTAATACAAGTAATAAAATAGTAATAAAAATATAAGCATATAGATTTTAACTACAGGCAATACACAGGTGCTGAGATGCACTGTAGTCAAATTAAAAAGATAGATTTCAGTCTATAGCCATGGAAAAGCACAACAAAGCCGAGTTTCAAATCCTTAATCTGGAAGAGTCTGACATGGTGATAAAGAGGGAAAACTAGTATCACACTCTCTGAGTTCAAGTCTTGCCTCAGCCGTTTAGGAATCATAAAATCTTGGACAGATTTAAAAAAAACACTTCAGTTGTCTCACTGAAAACTGGAGATACTAGTAGTACTCATCTCATAGAATTTTCTTATTAGTTAAATTAGACTATACTTGTATGTTGCTTAGTACATCAATTGTTCAATATGTGATCTAGTCCAAGCATTCTCAGTAGAGGTGATATCACCTCCAAGGGGACAAAAATTAGTTCTTAGGGTTAAATAAAATATAGTACTTATTATACATAAAGCACAAATACACATATAGCACATATGCAGATATATAGCATATGTTTATTTGTGAAAATATCATAAGGGAGGAAAAGACAATTAGGAAAAAAATGTTTACAAAAATTACTGAGGGAGGAGATCATGAAGCTTAGGTGAGAAACACTGTATAGTCTAATATGTTTATTTTGTTGAAGCTCAGTTGCTAAGAGATTGGCCCAGTTCACAGGAGTAGTAGCAGACTCTTAGTTTAATGGTTTTTAAATGAGAGTGTTTTGTCAATTGGCTTGTCAAAATTATACTCCATAAATTATTCACAAGAGTGACTCCCCAACCTGGTAATCATAAAGATTTTTATAAAGTATAAATCCTTGTTGTACTCTCTGCTACTCTGTTCCCAATTTTGACCCAGTGCCTCTGACTTGGGTCTATGTTAGGTTCTGTTGGTTTAGACAGGTTGGAAGCTACTGATTTAGAATACTGGCTGTGACATAGTGAAGAGCTATACAAGTAGGACTTGTAATACATGAATGCACATGGGAAGAAGATGCTTTTGTTCGGTTTTGCAGTAAAGGGGTTATGCATTTCCTCACACAGAAGAATGAACTAATCTGTATTTTAAAAATTCTGCGGACTCTTGTTCCTGTCACTTCTTGGGACCTAGTGAATCCCATGAGCCTTCCTTTGAAGCTGAGTTAACTTGTTTAGTCTAAAATGATTTGCAAATTTAAAGTAGCATACGCTAACAAGGACGTCAGTTACAATGAGGCCTTCATTACTCCTTCCTTTAAAAAAAAAAAGGCACATATTTATTTTAGAGACACAGAGTTCTTACTTGGACCTTGTCTGGTTTTTTTTTTGTTTTTTGTCCCTTATAAAGAGGTTTAAGCTTTGGAGTTTGTGGTGGTGTTTTTGGAGGAGAATGTTATTTTGGAGAATGTGGATTTCTCCTTGCTATCATTATTACAGATTTCCGTTCAGATACTTTTAGGTCAGGGTACCTACCTTCTGAAGGAACACAGGTGAAGATCTGTCTTGCTTGATTCACCCCGTGGGCTAAAAGGGCATCTTGTGACCAGAACTGAAGTCTACGAGACCTAGCTCTGATTTTTCTCACCTCTTTCTTACCGGATCTTCCTGTTCCCTTTCTCTCTTCTCAGACATTCGTATCTCAACCATGCTTTTGTATTTTTTTTAAACATCCTTCTCCCTTCAAATTCTTGATCATTTGCCTTACTGACATTTTACTGTCACCTCTGGCCTTTCTTAATTGATAAGAAGAAAGAATTTGTGCTACTTACATTATAGTGATGTTAGGTGCTTGATATGGTTTAGCTGTGTCCCCACCCAAATTTTATCTTGAATTGTAGTTCCCATAATCCCCAAGTGTCATGGGAAGGACCTGGTAGCAGGTAATTGAACCATGAGGGTGGTTACCTCCATGCTGTTCTCATGATAGTGAGTGAGTTATCATGAGATCTGAAGGTTTTATAAAGGACTTTTCCCCCTCTCTGCTCTGCATTTCTCATTGCTGCTGCCATGTGAAGGACGTGTTTGCTTCCCCTTCCACCATGATTATAAGTTTCCTGAGGCCTCCCCAGCCCTGCGAATCTGTGAGTCAATTAAACCTCTTTCCTATATAAATTACCCAGTCTCGGGTATTTCTTCATAGCAGCATGAGAATGGACTAATACAAAAAACTGGTACTGCAGAGAGTGGGGCACTGCTGTAAAGATACCTGAAAATGTGGAAGTGACTTCAGGAGAGGTTAGAACAGTTTGGAGGGCTCAGAAGAAGATAGGAATATTTGGGAAAGTTTGGAACTTCCTAGAGGCTTGGAGGGCTCAGAAGACAGGAAAATGTAGGAAACTTTGGAACTTTCTAGAGACTTGTTGAATGGCTTTGACCAAAATGCTAATAAGGATATGGACAATAAAGTCCAGGCTGAGGTGGTATCAGATGGAGATGAAGAGCTTGTTGGGAACTGGAGTAAAGGTCACTTTTGGTATGCAAAGAGACTAGTGGCATTTTGTCCCTGCCCTAGAGATCTGTGGAAGTTTGAACTTGAGAGAGATGATTTAGGTTATCTAGTGGAAGAAATTTGCAGCAAAGTGCTCAAGAGAAAGCAGAGCATAAAAGTTTGGAAAACTTGCAGCCTGACGATGCCATTGAAAAGAAAACCCCATTTTGGGGTAAGAAATTCAAGCTGGCTGCAGAAATTTGCATAAATAACAATGAGACAAATGTTAGTCACCAAGACAATGGGGAAAATGTCATCAGGGCATGTCAGAGAACTTTGTGGCAGCCCCTCCCATCACAGGCCTGGAGGTCTGGGAAGGAAAAATGATTTCATAGGCTGGATCCAGGGCACTCCTGCTCTATGCAGCCTCGAACATGGTACCCTGCATCCCAGCTGCTTCAGCTCTAGCCATGGCTAAAAGGAGCCAATATACAGCTCAGGCTGTTGCTTCAGAGGGTGGAAGCTCCAAGCCTTGGTGTGTATGTGGTGTTGGGCCTTTTGGTGCATAGAAGTCAAGAATAAAGGTTTGGGAACCTCTACTTAGATTTCAGAGGATATATGAGAATACCTGGATGTCCAGGCAGAAGTTTTCTGCAGGGGTGAAACCCTCATGGAGAACTTCTGCTAAGGCAGTGCAGAAGGGAAATATGGGGTTGGAGTTCCCACACAGAGTCCCCACCAGGCACTGCCTAGTAGAGCTGTGAGAAGAGGGCCACTGTTCTCCAGATCCCAGAATGATAGGTCCACCAACAGCTTTTGCACTACTTGGGACCTAGTGAATCCCATGAGCCTTCCTGTTCTCTGTACCTGGAAAAGCTGCAGACACTCAATGCCACACTGTGAGGGCAGCCAGGAGGCTGGCTGTACCCTGCAAAGTCACAGGGGTGGAGCTGCCCAAGGCCATGAGAGCCCACCTCTTGCATCAGCATGACCTGGACATGAGACATGGAGTCGAAGGAGATCATTTTGGAGCTTTAAGATTTGACTGCCCCTGTGGATTTCAGACTTGCATGGGGCCTGTAGCCCCTTCATTTTGGCCAATTTTTCCCATTTGGAATGGGTGTATTTACCCAATGCCTGTATCCCCATTGTATCTAGGAAGTAACTAACTTGCTTTTGATTTTATAGGCTTATAGGTGGAAGGGACATGACTTGTCTCAGATGACACTTTGGACTTGGACTTTCGGGTTAATGCTGGAATGAGTTAAGATTTTGAGGAACTTTTGGGAAGACATGATTACATTTTGAAATGTGAAGACATGGCTTGGTGCAGTGGCTCACGCCTGTAATCCCAGCAGTTTGGGAGGCCGAGGCGGGCAGATCACCTGAGGTCAGGAGTTCGAGACCAGCCTGACCAACATGGAGAAAACACTGTCTCTACTAAAAATACAAAACTAGCCAGGTGTGGTGGTGCATGCCTGTAATCCCAGCTACTCTGGAGGCTGAGGCAGGAGAATCATTTGAACCCGGGAGGCAGAGGTTGTGGTGAGCTGAGATGGTGCCACTGCACTGCAGCCTGGGCAACAAGAGTGAAATTCTGTCTCAAAAAAAAAAAAAAAGAAAAAGAAAAAGAAAGAAATGTGAAGACATGAGATTTGGGAGGGGCCAGGGGCAGAATGATATGGTTTGGCTGTATTCCCACCCAAATCTTATCTTGAATTTTATTTCCCATAGTTTCCACATGTTGTGGGAGGGGCTCAGTGGGAGGTAATTGAGATCATGAGGGTGGTTACCTCCATGCTGTTCTCATGACAGTGAGTGAGTTCTCATGAGATCTAATGTTTTTATAAGGGGCTTCCCCCCCTACACTCTGCACTTCTCCTTGTTGCTGCCATGTGAAGAAGGATGTGTTTTCTTCCCCTTCTTCCATGATTGCAAGTTTCCTGAGGCCTCCCCAGCCCTGAACAACTGTGAGTTAATTATAACTCTTTTCTTCATAAATTACCCAGTCTCGGGTATTTCTTCACAGGAACATGGGAATGGACTAATACAGGGCTTAATGAGGGGGTTCCTTCTAAGAGATGCTTTGTTAGATGATCTTGTCTTTGTACATCATAGAGTGTACTTACACAAATCTAGTTGGGATAGTCCACTCACAACTAGGCTATATGGTATGGCCTAATGCTCACAGGCTACAAACCTGTAATGCATGTTACTGTGCTGAATAATGTAGGCAATTATAACACAGTGGTAAGTATTTGTATATCTAAACATAGAAAAGATACAGTAAAAATACAGTGTAAAAGATTAAAACCCGGCACATCTGTGTAGGGCACTTACATGAATTGGGCTCGTAGGAGTCAAAGTTGCTCTGGGTGAATCAGTGAGTGAGTCCTGAGTGAGTATGAAGGCCTAGGATGTTACTGTACACTACTGTAGATTTTATAAACACTGCACACTTATGCTACACTGAATTTATTTTTAAAACGTCTCTTTTCAATAATAAATTAATCTTAGCTTAATTTAACTTTTGTACTTCATAAACTTCTCAATTTTTAAAAACTTTTAACTCTTTTGTTATTACACTTAGCTTAAAACAAAAACAGTTGTTCAACAGCACAATATTTTCTTTCATCTTACCCTTTCTGTAAGCTTTTTTCCATTTTTAACTTTTTTTATTTTTTGTTTTATACTTTTAAACTTCTTTGTTAAAAACTAAGACACAAACACACACATTACCCTAGGCCTACGTAGGGTAAGGATCATCAATATCACTGTCTTCCACCTCCACATCTTGTCCCATTGGAAGATCTTTAGGGGCAATAACACACATGGAGCTGCTATCTCCTCTGTTAACAATGCACATGTACCCTAGAACTTAAAAGTATAAAAAAAAAAAACAGCAACAAAAAGACAATGCCTTCTTCTGGAATACCTCCTGAAGGACCTGCCTGAGGCTGTTTTACAGTTAATTACTTTGGTAAGTAGAAGGAGTACACTCTAACAATAAAAAGTATAGTATAGTAAATGTACAAACCAGTAATACAATTATTTATTATCAAGTATTATATATTGTACATAATTGTATGTGCTGTACTTTTATATGACTAGCAGCACCACAGGTCTGTTTATACCAGCATCGCCACAAATGTAAATAATGCATTGATTGCACTATGACATTAGGATGACTGTGATGTCCTTAGGCAACAGGTATTTTTCAGGTCCATTATAATCTTATGGGACCACAGTTGTCTGTGCAGTCCTTGAGGTGAAGTGTCATTATGTGGCACATGACTGTGTTTGTAGCTAGTGGAGGGTGACCTTTGCACCCGGTTGCCACTCCTTCCCCAGTTTCAAAGCTACCTTAATTTTTTTTTTTTTTTTTTTTGTCATTCTTTGCCCTTTAAGCAAAACTTGAAGAGGAGGGGTGCTTATAGTGAACTCTTTAAATGTTTTTAGGAATGGTCCTACAACTAAATGTTAAAATGAAAATAGTCAATATAAACACATTTCATCCCCTCTCTCAAGCCTTTGGAAATAATCTTAAGTACTTTTTAGATTACCACAAAAATACTCATCTAGCTTCTTTTACTTTAACAACACTTACCTTTCCTAAGGTTTAGCTTGTACTGGTGACATTTTTAAACCTATTTTTTTCTATTTTATCTCATTTCACATATTTTTTGGAAGCAGACAAAATAGTCACTTATTTTTTCCTAGTTAATTATTACTATAACAGCTTACTTTTCTATTATAATTTTTCTTGCAAATACAAAATCATTGTATAGTGTAGTATTAAAGGATATGGAGATTTAAGAAGCCTGGAGTTTGTCACTTATTAGCCTTGTAATTTGAGACAAATAACTTACCTTCAGTTATCTCATCTGTAAAAATAGAAATGATAATTGTACGCACCTGAGTGGTTGTGATGAGTAAATGAGAAATCACATTAAAGCGATTAGCATAGCACCTAGAGCCAAGTGGGTTGTCAATGCCTATTAGCTATTAATACCAACATTAGTTAAATAGGCACTTGTGATCATTCCTGGGAAGACTTGCTTTCATTTAACTGTTGTCATAGTTTCTATGGAAAAGAAAATGAATTATAAGTTACAAAGTGCTGGGTGTGAAGAGGACTCTTGGACCTTTTGAAAGCTCCCCTTCCCTCACATTGCATATTTCTGCCCTTGAAATCTCTGGAAATAGCTCTTTCATTGTACCTGCCTCTCTGCCTTTTTACTTTTTCTCTTTTCTTGACCACTTCCCTATCTCTCACTTGCCGCCTTTCTCTTCTGTGTCATCAATAATGGTGCTTCTCACTTCATGAACTGTATAAGATGTCATTTAGATCAGCTCTTGTTCTTTCTATCTTCTCCATGCCCTTCTTTTATTTCTGAGCCAAAAGTCTGAGAAATAATCAGAAAATAAGTTTCAAAAGGGGGACAGAGGAGAGAACATATGATAATAGAAACATGAATATATGGCTGAAGGCTACTATATTTTTTTCCTTAATTATGTAATTGGTGGCTATTGACTTTGATTTCTTTCTAAAATTATATATGTGCTTCACTTGTTTTGCCTTTATTTTTCTCCTGAGGAGTGTTTTTCTATCTTTGCCTATAGTGCTGTTACTCTTTATCATTAGGAAAATCACTAGTTGATATTCATTTTCTAATTGGCTATATGAAATGAATGAAATTCAGAAAACTTTTTGACATGTGGCCAAATTTTACATAATTATTTCTAATTGCAGGAATTATTTTTATATATTAAATCTGCTGTGCATATACACACATCTTCCTGCCAAATTGTATTGCATGGTACTTTGCCAAGAGAGTCACAATATGGCTAAAATTAAGCTTTATTAGGTATAATAGGATGAGAAGTGATTTAATTCTTTAAGCTGCCTATAAGTTCTAGGAGACAGATTTTATTCTATTTACTAAGTTAAAAGACTGATTCATTGTTTTGCAAATCCCAGTGACAACAGTCAACTGAAACAATGCATGATGCTTCTTGAAGGAAAATGGCTTTATGGTTAAAATTGTAAAATTATTTATCTTTCCCCTTCCACCATTTGACTCCTTCAGTCTGTAGAAGAGGCCTATTTATTTTAGCAGGAGGTAGATTGAGTTTCTGCCAAGTCAGTGTACTCCCTAAATGAATATATCAAGGGCAATATTGTTTCTCAAAAATCATTTAGAAAGTAGCATTTTTACATAAGTAGGCTCTTTCATTAGTTTCAAATTAAATTTGAGCAATTGCTGGTGATTTTTGGTTGTTTCTTGAAAAGCCCATGGAATTGGGGAGTTCTGAGTCTTTGAGTGAGCATTTCCTTTCGGGTTTACAGTGCCTTCATTTGATTTGGAAAACTGAAATGACTGTAACTTCTTTATCTAACTTCTTTGAGGAGGTTGATGTTGTATTCTGGAAATCAAAATCATATTTAAAATTAACTGAAGATAGAATGTTTTATTTGTAGGGTTACTTAGGTACCCCTAAGGTAGAAAGCAGACAAAACAATTTAGGTTTTGGGGGTTCTTAGGAAGTAACAGTAGCTTTATTTTCTTTTAATCTCTACTTTTTTGAAAATGCTGGGGAAAAAAATTAGTATCTTGTGACGAATTCCTCTACCATCTGTAAGATACTTCTTTTTGTCCTAAGGGAAAGATGAACTCCATTATGCCTTGCCAGCATTACCTCAAACACTTTCTGAATTTTGAAAAAGACTGACTTGATTTTTTATCCAGTAATAGATATATTTAAAAACAAGAAAGCGCCAATGACTCTTATAGTACCTCTTTTTACTTTAAGCAAATATAACTTCCTGTATTTAAACTAAAGAGGGATACATGGTTATTAATTATAATTAATTAAATGCTATTATGCAATTCCATTTTAATTTCTTTTTGAGGAGTTTAAATGAACTGAAATTTAAATCTTACAAAATGGCTATCAATAGGGGTGGGAAAATGTATACTCATTGATTCTTTAGCATCTTATTTCTCGGTTAATTCAAATTAGTTTGGAGTAGAGTTTGATTTAATTTCAAAGAATGATACTCATTTTTCTTTACAATGGCAGTCACATACTAATAATCACAACAGGCATTTTTCCTCTTAATTACAATTCATTTTGAATGAATTTGTATGCTCATCTGAATTCACCATGTCATTAAGGAAAATGGTAAACTTTGTTCATATCTAGAATTAAGAACAGTTTTTTTTCCTTAACATTAAACATATCCCCTACCCAGCATATTTTTCCTCCTCTTAATTAACATTCTGTTCATGGAGGAATTCATTATTTAAGGTGACTTTGCAATCATTAGTAGCAGACTTTAACATTTCTTGTGAGACAGGTCAGTTTAATAATTTCATATTGCCAATGAAAATTCCAGTTTAGACACCAGCAAAATATTCAAAATATTAATGACTATTGCATATGTGCAATCACTTATAATACTATAATATTTTCCTTGGCATTTAGAAAGATGCCGCTAGGCAGTGATCCAGATTTGTCTGAGTTATATGTTATTTTGACTCTTTAACATTTTGTGACCATGAAGAGTCTCTGTGGGGATTAACATTGCTGTCTACCAAACCTAAATAGCCTATAAGACCTTGGATAATTGCTTACCTAGTCTGGCAGTTGGTCAGCCTAGGAATGGCAGAAGGCTCCAAGGTGACATGGTCTAAGAGGCAGCTGGAGGAAGTGGGATAGCACAGACCTGCTCCTAGGGCCTCATTGCATTAAGAGAAGACAGAGCTAATTAATAGAAATAAATTTGTTTCAGGCAGTAGTTTCAGAGAAAGGAGTGCAGGTGAATAGAAAAGCAGCAGTTCTTACTACAAACATCGTGGCTGGAGTTTGGCCAAAGAGAACTGAAGACTCAGTAGACAGTAAATTCCATAGATCACCCAACTTTAGGTGACCCAGGAAATGCCTTCACTCCACCCACTTCCTGGGATAAATGTATTTCAATATGAACAGCCACAAATTTTTAAAAAGTATGATAGTCATTTGAACTGGAGCAAATTTTGGTCTCACTGCCTCCTTGATGGGGACCATTTGGGAAAAGACTGGAGTTTTGCAGTAGCAATGAAGGAGGGGAAGGATTTGGATTTTATTTAAAGGTATAAAGGGTTTAAAGTGTTAAATTTATTTAAAGATTCTTGGATCTGTCATGTCACGTGTTGCCTCCAGTTCTGGTCACTGTGATTCATAAACAAAATATCCTTGGTAGAAATGACCACATCTGCGCTATCTGATGTTTTCATTCTATGGAAGGAAAACCAAGAAGGATAGACAGAGATGAGTTGGCCACTTGGGTAGAGGCTTAGCTCTTGCTTTGCTCTGTGCTTGCTGAATGAACTTGGAGAAACCACCCAAAGTCTTGGGAGCTTAGTTTTTCAGTAAAATTGATGAATTAAACTAAATCAGCTCTGAAGCTCACTCTAGCTCCGAAAGTCCTGTTGACTGTTGGAACATAGAAATATCCTGTGTTTTTACTCTTCTCTGGAAGATATGACTTGCTAAGTGGTCTGAAGCTGGTAAGTTCTTTGTGACTTACTCATGATTTATTTCTAGAACAAATTTAGCCTGGGGTGGGCTTAGTGGGTCTGTGATAGAGACAGGCTGACCCAAGCACATTGATTCAGTGTCTAAATGAAGCATCTTAGACTTGTCACCAGACACTGGAATAATTTATTGATATGGATTAAGATTCACTGTCCATCAAAACAGCAGGTGCTGAAGAGACATGACTACTTTGATAAATGGTCTCTCTCCTACCCCTGGTCCTCCAATATGTCACTTAATAGTCCCTGGGGAAATCCCTCCCTGTTCTTTTCCAGCAAACCATGTCCTTCTCTAATTTCAAATCTGAGGGTACCATTAGTTCTAATGTTCAACAGTCAACTAATTGACAGTTAAGTATTTATCAAAGGGGACTCAGGGGACTTAACCTCACAACCCCCATAATCCTCAACAGGCCTCCAAAAATAAGCCACATAAGCATAATATCTGTGGAGACACAGTGTCCTTGACAAACGCAGCTTCAGAACGTATTTCCCAGGCTTTTTACAGCTGCACTGCCAACCATAAGCCCTTCCCGCACAGACATGCTGGGAGCTTCAGATACACTGTAGTGCTTGCCTACTGTGTGCCTGAGAGTTGCTCCGGTTGATTGAGTACTTTGAACTGCAGGGCCCAACATCAAGTACAGAGGTTGTGGCAGCAGCTGTCAGCTGGGTCTTGGGGCTGAGGGGCTTAGAGTATCTTCTTAGTAATGAGAGAGATAGTCATGGCAAGGAAAAGAGGGCAGTAATACAGCTTTCCAGTCTTATTAGGATTTGTGGACCCATATACAATTAATATGAATTCTTGCTGTAATATGGACTCTATGAAGACAGAAACCTGGTATGTTTTACTCACCATTGTAGCTTAAGCACCTAACACTGTGTTAACAAATGGTGTGATGCAGGTCCACTGTGCACTGGTCACCAACTTGTCTGAGTCCAGTGGGAGCAAATACACTCATATGCAACAAGTTATATGAAGCAGATTTATTACTCACAGATTGGCAGCAAGGGACAACAGACGCCTACGATTCATTGTGAGCTGGTGCCCCACAGTACAGAAAGCTGCCCATGGGGTCTCCACTGTGCATATCCCACTTGCACTGCAGATGAGGGACACTGAGAAGTGGCCCATCTTGGGTTTTATACCTTGGGGGATACCTGACATGCTGGGCTAAAAATGTTGAAGGACATCTTGTTCTTATGGGGGACTGGAGCAAAGCCGGGGCTGTTTTGGCTGGCTTCCCCCTTATCTCTGGATGTTGCATTTTCAGCTCATTCTACAGTTATTTTTGGGAGCTACACACAACAAAGAGGGAAAACTGTATCAGTCCAAGGCCACCCAGAGAAGTGTCCTATGCAGGGAAGGTACTTAATATAGGTTGAATGACAAATACCGAGGTCATATAGGGCTGTGGTTAAGAAGACAAACTCAGACCCAGATGCCTAGATCCCAATCCCAGGTCCACTGCTCACTAGCTGGGAATGTGAATAAGTGAACATTTCTGTGCCTCAGTTTCCTTATTTTAAAACTAGAGAGAATAATAACAACATATATCTCAAAGGGAAGTTATGCAGATTAAATGAATTAATGTTGATAAGTGGGTTATAACTAGTGTCTGGCATGCATTATAAATGCTTATTAAACATCAGCTTACATGGCCCACTTTCTTTTCCATCATTACCAAGGTTTTGTTTTTGGAACTAAAGTTTGAGTTTGTGAGAACACATGCTAACATGTATAAGACCAGATTGAAATACACTTCTGCCTTAAGCCATCCAGCTATGCAGCTTTCTATTTATACAATGCTCTGGCACATCTCTTTCATCAGCTCTGTTAAAATACTGCTTGATTTACCCTTTTAGACTGAGAGCTCCTTGTAGCCAGACACTACTCAAGAGTGCCTGATTTAGATGGATGCTCAGTGGTTTGAAACGAATGCATGATTTACTCAATGAATGACTGTCTTGTGTGTGTCTTGATTTCCTCAACCCTGGGGATGAATCACAAACCCCTTCCCCATCTCTTGGGTTCCCCTTTACACACAGTTCATCAGTCTCATCTGTGCATCCCCAGTTCCGGTCACTCCAGCTTCTCATCCTATTGTTCCCATTTCAAGCACAATCTTTGTTTGATTGCCACCTCTTCTCAGCCTCCCTGGGCAATCCCTTTACATTCCCCTAATACCTGTTCTCTCTTCCTTTCTCTGTCCCCTCCACATGGCTTGCAAACTGTAACATTTACATTGGCAATCTTGCTTTGTACTTGCCCTTTATTTTAAGTCATATCAAATCCTTTTGGTAAACTGGAAAAGAATTAATTGCAAATAAAACATTATTATTTTGTTTCGCAGCCTCTCTTTTCCTTTCACCCTCATAAGCAGCTCAGGTTGCCTCATTGTTCATTAGAAATACTTTTTCCCCATGGGTTGCAACTTTGTCATGATGGTATTTTTTTATTTTGCTGCTATTTTGGTGTTCGAAGTTCTGCTGGTCAGTGCTGAAATTTATTTTCACTCTTACCAGATTTGACTCTTACACGTGTTAAGGGTAAGGCAGAAAGTAGATGGTATGATTTACAACTCACTCCTCTTACTGCAGTGTCCACCTTGGAAGCATTTCTAGTGTGCTCAACTGAATAGAAATGACATATCAGAAATATTTAGACAATAGTACAAACTAGTGTGTAAAATAACATTTTCGGAACTTTAACCATTTGTTAAAAAAAACTCTAGATTGCTCCAAAGCCTTCCTAGTTTAGGGTCTCTCTGTGCAAGAGTAATTACTTAATGCATTTGTCTGGTCCTTTAGAGTGTCATCTCCAAGTATTACTATCCTAGCTCCTATAAAATTACAGTCTTCACAAGGATTGGGATCTTATCTTCTCCTTCTTCTGTGTATTCTCATGGTGCCTAGAAAGAGTCTCCTGGCGGCCAGGCATGGTGGCTCACGTGTGTAATCCCAGCACTTTGGGAGGCTGATGAAGGCAGATTGCTTGAGCCCAGGGGTCTCAGAACAGCCTAGGGAACATAGGGAGACCTTCTCTCTACAAAAAGCAATAGAAAAAATTAGCCGATCATGGTGACATTGCACCAGTGGTCCCAGCTACTCAGGAGGCTGAGGTAGGAAGATCGATTAAGTTGATGCTACAGTGAGCTATGATGGTACCACTGCACTCCAGCCTGGGTGACAGGGTGAAACCCTGTCTCAAAAAAAAATTAATTAATTAATTAATTAAATTTAAAAGAGCAAAAAATAAAAAGAAAAAAAAAGCATCTGCATACAGAGGACACATGGTGAACACTGTTGTTGGAAACATGGTTGCTGCGACCTGAAGTGACCTCCATGTGGGCCCACTCTGGGTGCAGGTGCACACCAGGAAGAGACAGAAGCTACTAGTCATTTTCCAAGAGGACATTTGGGCCTCTGTGTAGCCTCACAAATGAAACTGATTTCCAAGGGCCAGTTCTGCAGTCACAGATTCTGAATTTTCTTCTTATCCTAAGTACGATTTTTCTTGTGTATCTTTGCCAGCTCCCTCGCTCAGGGGAGTCGCAGCAGTAAATTGGTTATGCTAAACACTCCACCTGAGGGCTTCAATCTGGATTTTTTTCACAGTGACCTAGTCATTTATATAGATGAGATAGACTCATCTTGAAACTTCACAAAGCCATTTAATTTTTTAAAAAGTCATAACTCTAGATAATTTGTATCTATGATATTTCCAGTTCTCTCTTAGATTCCCAGTGAATACCCTGCAAAGCAGGAATTTCAAGCGCATGCACTTTGCCTCTGTCTTCTTTGCCTTTTCTCAACCAAAATACTAGTCATGTGAAGCTAAACAACACATATTAGAAAGTGTTGATGTTTTCTTTGCATATGTTCTTTTTAACTATAATGTTTTATTTGCAAGACAGGCATGCAAATAAAGGCAGAAGCAATGCTAAGGATGTCCAGAGAATGTGACATGGTCCGTTATCTTTTTGTCCCTCAGTCTCTAGACCTGTGGAAAAGGCATTATGTGTGGGACCCGCCCCGTTGCCCTCTCAGCTCTGCAATATCCCTTGCTCTACGGACTGCATAGTATCTTCCTGGTCAGCCTGGGGCCTGTGCATCCATGAAAACTGTCATGATCCTCAGGGGAAAAAAGGTGAGTGCCTTGTTTGCATGCGCTTCATTTGCTGTCAGCGTACAAACATTTATTCTGGTAGCTAAGTCACTGATTAAGCCTGCTTAAGACAATATTTGTTTGTAAAATTTAGATAACCAGCTCAAGCCTAACGGTATTCAGTTTTAGGGAGGCAACTGGGACATTTCTGTGGAGTGCACAATCTCACCTTGATTTACCTTCAGTTAGACTCATAGCTGACTACTACTCTATTTGGTATAACTTCATCTTTTGTTTTGTTTTGTTTTGTTTTCCAAGATGAGGTCTTGCTCTGTCACCCAGGCTGGAGTGCAATGGCACGATCTTGGCTCACTGCAATCTCTGCCTCCTGGGTTCAAACTATTCTCCGGACTCAGCCTCCCAAGTAGCTGGGATTACAGGTGCTTGCAACCAAGCCCTGCTAATTTTTGTATTTTTAGTAGAGATGGGGTTTCACCATGTTTTCCAGGCTGGTCTCGAACTCCTGACCTCGTGATCTGCCCACGTCAGTCTCCTAAAGTGCTGGGATTACAGGCGTGAGCCACTGTGCCTGGCCACTTCATGTTTTTTATATATAATGGTTATATGGGGGAAATTGGACATGATTTCCACGCTCACATCTGAAAAGAAATGTTTCGCAAATCTATATAATTCTTTTCAGATTTCCACATTTAACATTTGATGTTATATTTTAGATTTTTGCAAGGGTCATTATGTATATTGTTTAGTTTCTGATATTGATCTTGGGCTTAAGGAAAAATCTTCAACCTTTATATTCCTGTTTATTTTTGTAGGCCTCTATGGTCTAGTTTTCTTTAGTTTGTAATCAAAATACGTGTCTTCATCTTCAAAAGTTTACTCCTAGTGATATCTTGCCTTCTCTTTCATTGACCCTTTAGTTTCTATTGATACTGTGTTCCCTTAAATGACAGTACTAAAAAAAATATTTCCTTTACCAAGAGAAATGAGATCCAAGGACATTCCAGAAATTAGGTTCTAGTTATTACATGCAAAGCAAGAATCCATGGCCAAACACTTGATGCTAGCATGCTTGCATACCTAGCACCCTGCTCACTGCTTACTGCTACATTCACTTGAAAACCCACATTTCAGTAATTCCTAGAGTGCTCATATACACACATGTGCACACCCAGACTCACTTACCCCTGTTCCTGGGCTTTTCCTTTCATTCTGACTCTTGTTCTAAGGTAGAAAGGAAGATGTGTATTGGCTTTCAGGCAGGTGGAAGCTAACTTTCATTCTTTTATCAAACCATAGAAATCTGGATGTCAAAGAAGCCTGGAGAGGGCCTTGGGCAATTCTCTTATTTGACATGTAACCAGAATGTCCCCCACGCCTCCGCAGCTTGTGGACACAAATAAGTTTCCATTTATACTAATACCTATAGTTTGCAGTCTTATGATCTACACATATATAGTCAGTTGCATGTAGTTGTATACGAGATTCTTCAGGGTGATTTACATATTTTTAGAACAGTCATCTTATGTTTAGCCTGTGCTGCTCCTGTTTAGGTCACTGTCCAGAAAATCATGTGAGGTTGGACCAAGGCTCCTCCAGTCACTGTGGCTGTGACATCACTTTGCTGCATGAAGTGCTGCCTTCATCTACTTTCAAAGCTGTAGAACCACATCAGACCAAGTAGATCTGGGAGACTCTTGGTTATATTACTTGGGAGACTAATGGTTATAGGTGACAGAAACCCAATTGATAACCAGCCTAAGTCAGAAGAGACTGGTTTGAGCTCATGTAGCTGAAATGAGAAGAGAGGATAGGGCTGCATCCAAGAGTATAAACAGGCCAATGGGTCTCCGTCTTGTTTTCTAATTCTTTCTTTACCTTTACATTTCTCTCTCTCTCCATCTCTTGTGTCTGCTTTTCTCTATATTAGGTTCAATTTAAGGTAGTACATAAAGCAGAAAGAAATGTCTTTTCCATTGGTCCCCGGAAGAGTCCTGGAGTTGAATCTCATTGGCTGTTTTATGTCATGTCCTCATTCCTGAACCAACTACTCTGACTGGAGGATGTGGGGTTTACATGTTCAAATCCTGGACATGTGGCCACCACTGGGATCAGGAGAGGGACAGTTCCCTTCAAACTTCAAAGACAGAGAATGGGGAAATGTGACTCCCTCAGAAAAAAAATGAGGTACTGGTACTGCAGGCAGGTAGAAGCAGTTCTGAGGGTCAGATTTTATAGGTGCTTGTTAAATAGATGTTTACTAAATGCTTTCTCCCCTTCGTTCTGGGCCATGGATTCTCTATGGCAATTCAAAGAATGCTTTTGCCTGCTTTCTTTCTTTTTCTTTCCTTTCTTTCCTTCCTCCCTCCCTCCCTTCCTTCCTTTCTTCCTCCCTTTCCCTTTTCCTTTCACTTTCCATTTCCCTTTCCCCTTCTTTTGAGTTTCACTCTTGTTGCCCAGGCTGGAGTGCAATGGCGTGATCTTGGCTCACCACAACCTCTGCCTCCTGGGTTCAAGCAATTCTCCTGCCTCAGCCTCCCGAGTAGCTGGGATTGCAGGCATGCGCCACCATGTCTGATTAATTTTTGTGTTTTTAGTAGAGACGGGGTTTCTCCATGTTGATCAGGCTGGTTGCCCTAATTCTGTGTTGTGTTTTTTTGTCACTTGAGCTCCAATTTTCACAAAACTCCTGTTAAAAACTGGCTCCTTGAACTTTCAGTTTTATTTTTCCGGATAATTCGGAACTGGCCCATGGAACTTCAGACCCCCTCCCTTGGCCCCATTCCGCCAAGTAACATTTTTTGCCAAACTTTATCCTCATTGGCCTCTATTTCTCTATAGTAAAAGTCAACCTGTGCAGATATACCCTGGTCCATCATTCATAAGACACCACTTGCTGTAGGTTGAATGGTATGCCCCCAAAAAGATGTGTTCAAATCCCAACCCCTGGTACATATGAGTAGGATGTTATTTGGAAATAGGATTATTTCAGAAGTAATGAAGTTAAGATTAGGTCATACTGGATTAAGGTAGGCTCTATTCCAGTGACTGGTGTTCTTGCAAGAAGAGGAAAATTTGGGCATAGTGACATACACAGAGAGGAGAGTGCCATGTGAGGACATTGAGACACAGAAGAAGAGAGGCCACATGAAGATGAAGGCAGACATTGGGAGTAATGTGTTCCAAGCCAAGGAGCACCGTGGAGAACCACAACCACCAGAAGCTAGGAGAGAGGCATGGCACAGATTCTTCTGTAAAGCCTCCAGAGGGAGCATGTGGAGCATGGCCCTGCTGACACCTTGATTTCAGGCTTCCAGCCTGCAGAACTCTGAAGATGATACATTTCTATTGATTTAAGCTACCCAATTTCCAGTACTTAGTTATGACAGCTCTAGAAACTAATACACTGCCCAACTTTGAATCAGCATTTAGGCTCAACAAGGATACAGCACTTCACAAAATGACAACACCAAAGTGTCAAGAAGTAAGGTAATTTGTCTAAAGTCCCATGGTAATTTAATGATGGCCATGTTGGCAGTAAGGATCTGGTTTCCTGTCTCTTTAGTCCAGTGTCCCTCCAAACCCTAAGCTTCCTTAGTTGATTTTCTCCATCAGCCTAAAGAAGTTTGGATCAAAGTACAAGCTCAGTTCTGAGAAGAGAAGCCATCTGCCCATCATGCACCACATTGGTCAGTGTGAGCCATTATGCCTAAGAGCAAATCATTGAGCAGATGCAGGAGACAAGTTATGGGGCATGGGATGTATCTAGTGCCAGTACGTTGTCATTGGATGAAGGGGGAAAAGAGGCTGCAGTTGTGGGAGGGCAGGAGGTTGTGCTGAGAGTAGCTTAAGAGCACTAGATAACCAGAGGTGGGGAGTGTTTTGCCCCAATCAATACTTTTTTCAAAGGGAGACTCAGCCTTTGAAAAGGGCTTAAGGCATCATCACTGGCCATCAGAGAAATGCAAATCAAAACCACAATGAGATACCATCTCACGCCAGTTAGAATGGCGATCATTAAAAAGTCAGGAAACAACAGGTGCTGGAGAGGATGTGGAGAAATAGGAACACTTTTACACTGTTGGTGGGATTGTAAACTAGTTCAACCATTGTGGAAGACACTGTGGCGATTCCTCAAGGATCTGGAGCTAGAAATACCATTTGACCCAGCCATCCCATTACTGGGTATATACCCAAAGGATTATAAATCATGCTGCTATAAAGACCCATGCACACATATGTTTGTTGTGGCACTACTCACAATAGCAAATACTTGGAACCAACCCAAATGTCCAACAATGATAGACTGGATTAAGAAAATGGGGCACATATACACCATAGAATACTATGCAGCCATAAAAAAGGGTGAATTCATATCCTTTGTAGGGACATGGATGAAGCTGGAAACCATCATTCTCAGCAAACTATCGCAAGGACAAAAAACCAAACACCGCATATTCTCACTCATAGGTGGGAATTGAACAATGAGAACACTTGGACACAGGAAGGGGAACATCACACACCGGGGCCTGTCGTGGGGTGGGGGAGAGGGGAGGAATGGCATTAGGAGATATACCTAATGTAAATGACGAGTTAATGGGTGCAGCCCACCAACATGTCACATGTATACATATGTAACAAACCTGCAAGTTGTGTACATGTACCCTAGAACCTAAAGTATAATAAAAAAAAAGAAAGAGTGAAAGAAAAGTGCTGAAGGAGAGGATGGAGGCAGTAGAACCTCTCACCTGAAGGTGGTACTGTCCCCACAGCCTCCTGCAGAGTTTAGGGACATGTTGAGATTGATGAGAATTAGCCGTTTTTTAATAGAACCCATTCTGTGGCTGAATGGCTGCCTCCTGAACTGTAGTCACTGACAGGAGGGATGGTAAGCCCTGATGATTGTTATTCAGGTCTAGGAGTTTGGTATTTTATAAATGCTCCCCTAGAGCAGAGAGAATTTTGGTTTGTAAGGTCTTGTTAAAACCTGCCAGGACCACCTGCCTATATTCCCTCTTGGGAAGAATGAAGAATAGAGTTTTCCCTCTAGGGAAATGATTCTGTTCCTTCAAGGTATCCAAGCATGTTATGATGACAGCAAGTAGTCTTGTTATTTCTACTGACTTGTGTGTATTAGGTCTGAGATCCCCCTCAGTCTTGGTGTCTGTCCCATGATTCTACTGTGAGTAGAATCATGGGAGTTCTGCCAGGATCACTGAGTGGTACAAACTAAAGATACTTCAGAATTCTACAGAAGCTGGGGTACACAGGCTAATGCATTAAACATTGCAAAACTCTGGGATATAAGCGGGAGTGTTTAGCTTCACATCTGAATTCTCTACTCTAAAATGCAGTGATTCCACTAGCAGAAATCTAGGATATTTATACTTTCCTAGATATTTCATACTCTTAAAAAATACACACACACACACACACACACGTGCATGCACACACATACACACAGAAAGATGGAGTATTTAAGAGAAAAGCAAGCAAACAACAGCAAAAAAAAATGAATGTGGAGAGTAGGAGAGAATATCATTTTTCTCCTCTCTAGGCTTTCCTAGTCATCGTGTTATTGCTCTGGTACATTTCCTTTGTTCACATTAAGAAAAAAAGTAGAAAGGAATGGGAAAGTAGGAAATGTTTTATTGCGGAATAGAAGAAATTAGTTACTATAGAAATTATCTTTACATGACTTTTATTCTTAATCAGAAATCCTTCCATTAGGAATCATGGAAGGCTTGTGGCTGTTGGTTATTCAGAGTACATTAGAAAATCAGCCAGTGTTCACAGCCTTCACACCCTTCCATCGCGTCATGACAGGCAGACAAGGGAACCATGATCGGCAGGTTGGTGCTTGTCAAGTAAAGCTAGGATGCCTTTCAGAGGAATTTAAATTGGGTCAGGTTTTATCATTTATTGCTTTGTCTTTGATACACTCCCAGAGTGTTATAATTAGAGATATATAAGAGAATTAGCCTGAAAAAATAAATACTCTTAGACAAACTCTACACATAGATGTGATACATTTTAAAATTTTTTCTTGATATATAGACACACATTTATATGACATCCTTATCCTTTTCAGACATATACTAGAAAGGCAGAATTGCCCACTGAAGTTGTTCTAAAGAGGAATTTGCTGGAGGCTCCCTATAGAGTGTCACAACAGCCAGCTGCTTAGGTGGAAGGACTTCAGGGATTCCTTCCCTCAGTGAGAGCACCCAAGTCCTTAAAAATTCCCAAAGGACAAGATACTTTGAAACTGAGAAGCCATGACTCTTTTTTGAAGACAGTCTTTTATGCTCTTAAACAAATTAGATAACATGCTAAAGTTGGAAAATACTCTCATGTTTTAGATGTTACATACCAAAAATGGGGGATATTTCCATTTTCCATCCTTGTCTGCTAGATAGGCTTTCCCTTGAATGAGAAGTCTATAAAATCATTTTGCTTTCTCATAGATAGGAAATGCTAAGAGATAGTTGTTTCTTTTTTCTGTGTCTATGTGTTTGGGGTGGGTGGGGCGTTCTGTTAACTTCTCATTCTAAGCTTTGGGAGTTCTCATGCTGACTTCACCCTATCAGTGTGTCTTCTTAGTTTCTGGATTTACACCAGGCTGTGGACTAATAATGATACTATAAGATACTATCCCTGCAGGATGGTGGTTGATTTCTAAAGGGTTAGGATTGAAGCTTCAATATGCTCAGATTCTTTCACTCAGAGTTGTTACCCAAAGTTCAGGGCCGCCAGAGAGGAAGAGCAAATGAAGTACTTAAGACAGAATAAGCTTCTGTCCTGTTTGTTTAACCTGCTAGACTTTCTTTTTTATAATTTTTATTTTATTATTTATTTATTTATTTATTTATTTTCTGAGACAGAGTCTCACTCTGTCACCCAGGCTGGAGTGCAGTGGCGTGATCTCGTCTCACGGCAACCTCCACCTCCTGGGTTCAAGCAGTTCTGCCTCAGCCTCCTGAGTAGCTGGGATTACAGGCAGGTGCCACCCTGCCTGGCTAATTTTTTTGTATTTTTAGTAGAGATGGAGTTTTACCATATTGGCCAGGCTGGAACCTGCTGGACTTTCTTCACGCCTGTCCCAATGGAGTCGGTGTTGAGACATAACATTGCCTGTGGATAGCTCATGTGTACACTTCTGATCCACTAACTCATGCAGAAATACAGCCCTCAGATCTGGATATACCCTCCGGAGCCTCTTTTAATTCTTCCATGGCTTCAATTAAAAAACACTGACCCCTTTTCTGCCATCTGCTCGTCTTCCCTTTTCTCTCCCCAACCCACTGCCCATTCTTTTCTAATTATCTCCTGTAGAATTATACACTAAATATTAATTCTTGGAGTCATAGAAAAAAATAAACCCTGCAGATACTAGTTTCACTAAAGGTGAATTGAATCTGTGGTCAGGAAATGTTGATTATGGCTCTCCCCTGCTGTGCAGCATCTAAAATTCCACTGTCCAATCTACTCACCTTTAGTACCTTCAACTAAACCACGGTGCCTTTCAGGTTCACTTTATAAAGTGTGGCGAAAACACAATATCCACAGGAGCCGACTTTAATCTTTTCTTGTGAGGAGGCAATGACTCTGAAAGACTTCTGCTGATTTTCACACCCATCCATTTAATCAGTAATAATGCACCTTTGGAGAAGTAATAAAGTGGCATCTTAGTTTTCACACATGCAAAATGGGAATAGTAACTTATAACATAGTTTTGAGGCTTGATTCATTTAGAGTAATAAAGTTACTGTCCCAGTCTTGGTAAAGGGTGGATGTTAGTTTATGCATGTGCCTTTTTCCCTTGTTAGGTTTTATGCTTTGAGAAGAATACACATTTCTGGTTCCTCCTGTGGCTTCCCATAGTACAGGAAAGTGATGTGCAAATGACAGTTAATATTTATGGAATAATATCATCTGATTAATATGAAACTCAATAAATGAAAGTGATTGGTTGGCTGGCCCCCAACCACTATGGACTTGGCAATTGTCTATCTTTCAGAACAGAAGTACCTGGGAGATGCCTGATGTCTATTGCAGGCATGAACAGCGATGTGTGATTAAAGTTAAGTGCTAGCAAGAGAATCCAGGGTTTTTGTTTTATGCTGAGCTTGTGCTGTGGTTTGATCCTAGTTAGAGTCAGGACAAGGGCAGCACAAATGAAAGACTGAAGGAATTTATTGACTGAGGAGAGGTAATCTATAGATTTATGGCAAGATGGATGCAACTTGATTTATGGAGGAAAACTGAACATGCCCCTCAATGGCATTAAGCTCCAAATAATAGGACACCCAGAATCCTTCATAAAGACTTCTAAGTTTCTGTGCTCAAGTCTGGGCTAGTTGTCAAACAGTGTAAATCATGGTGACTCATGCCATGTCTTGCTCAAAGATAAAATCAAAACAAGCAAAAATATAAGACAATAAATAAGCAGCATGCAGATGTTACATATAAGAATAGAGGTCATTCGAGTTTTGTGGCAGTGAGAGCTCGTAGGTCATTGTAGTTTGATGCTCGTCAAGTGAAGTTTACAGCCGTGTATGCATCTCCTTTCAAGGTGGCTTAGGAAGCAATATGAGCCCTTCTGTAGATTTTATTTGGCTAGTTAATGATATAGACATGGAGGTATGGAGGTATAAAGCACGGCAGAAACCATTATTATTTTTTTTTTAACCGCTCTGATCTTAACCATGTCAATGCCATGAGAATATAGCCTCTGACTGGCTGAATGATTTCTTCCCAAGGTAGCTAATCCTTAAAGAGTCTAGGAGTCTCTTTTAAAGGGAGGTTCTGGGTTATCTTAGGAAAAAAAAAAAAAAAACTCAAAGCACTTAAAAATCCTTACCTAAAATTCTTGCCCAGCCCTGTACTTTGCTAAAATACTTAGTATTTTAGGTAAGGATTTTTAAGTGCTTTATTTGAGGTTTTTTTTTTTTTTTTAATCTAAGTTAACCCAGAACCTCTCTGTAGCTTTTTCTTGTTTCTCAAAACCACATGTTCATTGTGTTCTAGCCTCCTTGGCTGTGCTATTTAAGAGAGGTTGGTCTTTCTCCAACTATACCTTGAGGTGTGTAACTTTTTCATGAGAGAGATGTTACCTCTCATGCTCCCTAACTTGTCCTTCTCCCCTCCCCTTGTGGGAAGAGTGGTGGGATATGCAGCTTTCACTCTGGGAATTGAATGTTCTCTGTGCTATCAAACTCTCTCATTTTCTTTACTTACTCCGAGGAATAAATGAATAACAATTTCTTAAAATGTTATTCATGCAAAACTGTTGGTTTTGTTAAAAGAAAAAGGAATTAAAGGAATCTGTTGATTGAATTTGGAATAGAAACGATGGAAGGTATGAGATCCACAAAAGGTAGACGTAGCCTTTAGAAGTGGTATATCATGGGGGCCAGAGATTGAAAATTTACACTAAAGGGTTCAATCTGGTTCTCAGTCCTTCTTTATTAGGTCACTTTGTTTTTTAAAAATTGTGCATTAGTTTTTATCATTTAAAAATAGAGGGATTTCTGGTTTCTTAGACAAAATGGAAGGATCTGTTAACAGAGGGTTCATGATCTCTAAGGCCAAGAGTCAACGGAAGCTGAATAGTAGTCAGGCATTTTAGAGCAGGCCCATTAACCCAAACACTCGCTGCAGTCTCATGGTTGACCCATTTGCCTCGATGTGTACCTGCTTGACTCCTGTTGATTTGCATTTGTGACTCTCTGGGCCCATAGCATGTAAAATACATCTATGTTCTTATTACAGTCTCTGGCTGGGACTTTGAGGCCCTAGTCCCACAGTACACTTTTTTTAAACATAATAACAATCATTGACCCATGTCTAGCCTGGGTGGAAAGTGAACTCCAAAGAGATATTGTCTTTATGAGGCAGACTGATGTGTAAACCTCAGTGACATGATGCAGATAAATCTCGGAGCAGGAAGTTGTGAATGGTCAGGCGCCATGGAGATGCCAGAGAGGTAATGTATTTTAACCGAATGCAGCGTAACAAGAATGTCAAAATCAACAGCAAAAAGAAAATGTGGATTAATCTATATTTAGATCATTTCTGAGTCTCCATTTATTTTTACTGGTTTATTGATACCATAGGACTTACGCTACTTATTATTCCATTGAATTATGTCTGACTTCTCCAACTCCTAGGTTGTAAACTCTTGGAAGACAGATTTCCTGCTTTTATTCTTTCCCATTCTCTTTTTTTTCTACATCTCATCCTCTCACTTCACATAGAATAAAACACATCAAGATAATACGTGCTTAGAGCGATGAGTACTTGAATAAAACTTTTCATCTCTCACCCAGCTGCTTCTTTTCCTTTCCTGGAAAAGAGTGGAATTCTCTGAAAATTCTTTTCTCTCTCTTTTTAGGATTTAGAACGAGGCAGCGCCATGTCCTCATGGAATCTACAGGGCCTGCAGGGCATTGCCCTCATTTGGTGGAGTCTGTTCCTTGTGAGGATCCAATGTGCTACCGATGGCTGGCATCAGAAGGGATCTGTTTCCCTGATCATGGAAAATGTGGCCTGGGACATCGTATTCTGAAGGCCGTCTGCCAGAATGACCGCGGTATGACCCAGTGACCCACTAGAGGTGTTAGGATGTTAAGTATCAGCCAAATAACACATGACCACCCTTCAATAGATCATTCTCATGAGGAAGAGAAGCACAGCCTTTCTTATCCTTGAATATTTATGTTTACATCGAGTGACACATTGCTGCAAAGTAAGGTGCCGTGACTTAATATGGGTCCACATACTCCATGACAGAACACTATTTGATTGTACTTAAATGCAATACAGCAAACCTAGAGATTTCTTAAGAGTTTTTAATTTGTCAAAAAAACAGAGAACAAATCTCTTGGATAGTGTTCAACTTATCAATATAAAACAAGTAAAAGCCAATGTATAACATGCCTTTATATATTATAAACAAATGTCATCTTGTTAAGAATCCAGGACTGAAACATCCTGCAAGTTAAAAAAAGAACCAAACAAAACTAGGTGGCTTTTTGTTTATATGACATTAGAGTTGAATCAGCTATAGACACAATACTAACATTTCCAAAGAACTGTTTTTAAATACAAGTTGTCAAGATTTACAAAACTATTAACAATGATGTCTTTCCTCAATCAGCAAGCACCTGGTAGGTTATTTGAAATGAAAGGTGATTCAGAAAACATGTGTCATGTGGAAATAAGAAAAGTGACATGTAAAACCTTGATCCTGAACTTGAAAAAAATTTCAGTACCTTGGAAGAATATCGTGTATATTTATTAATCAGCTCTGCCATGAGAAGCCCCACTTATAATGCTCATGATATGTGGAATGAAGCGTTTTGAACTTATGCAGCTAAGTAATCCATAGAACAGAAGTAAATCACAAAATAGATTCAGAGCACACAGGGTTGATATATATTGCAAAGCTTTTCATTCCTTTTTTTCTCTCTCCCTCCCTCCCTCTCTTCATCCTTTCTTCATTTCTTTTCAATCATTACCATAATTACACAGATATAGATTTTGTCAGGTGATGTAATTGGTTCCCTGTGGAAACCAGGTGATTATTTAATTAAAGGGCAATAACAGATTGTATTAGCTACAGCAGAGTTAAAACTAATAGCAACTCCTGTGAATATTAACATATAATTTTTGAATTGTGGTAACATATGTGCAATTTAGTAACAGATCACTTTCGTATTGCTTTTGTTTGTGTGATATTGTGTTTTCTAATAAGACGTATATTTTTTGGTCTTCGTCCCTGGCTCCTTATCACAGAGCTCCTAAAACCCTGGTTATTTCCTGAGATACAGGGGTGCTAGGAGAATCTTTTGTTTTCATAGTTGGTCTTTAATCGTGGTTCCTGACACAGCTCTTAAATCCCTTGGAATTTCCTGAGTGCAAGGCCTGCCTTATTCTAATGAAGTAATGCTTGGTGAGCTTCTGGATGGGAGATGATCACCAGAAAGACCAAACCATGATTAGAAGCTTAGGTATTTCAGTTCACCCACTGGAAACAAGAGAGGGGCTGGAGATTGGGTTAATTATTGATCCTACTTACATAAACACCTCTGAACTATGAGGTACAGAGAGCTTCTGGGCTGCTGGAAATGTGGCAGTGCTGAGAGGGTGGCAGATCCCAGCAAGGGGATGGAAGCCCTGCACTCTGTCCCCCATACCTTGCCCTGTGCATCTTTTCCTCATGAATCTCTTCTGGCTTTTCATGTATATTCTTTGTAATATCCTTTATGATAAACCAATACATGTAAAATGTTTCCCTGAGTTCTGTAATATGTCCTAGGAAATTATAGGACCTGAGGAAGGAGTTGTGGGAACCCCGATGTATAACCATGGGTCAGAAGCACAGGCGACAGTCTGGGACTTGAGACGGGCATCTGAAGTGAGCGGCAGTCTTGAAGGACTGAGACCATAACCTGTGGGATCTAATGCTAACTCCAAATAGATAGTGTTAGAGTTGAGTTAAATTGCAGGATGCCCAGGTGGTGTTGGAGAATTGTGTGGTTACAGAAGTGTTCTGTGTTGAGTTTGGAGTAAGAAGTGAAGTATGGAAGTTTAAAACATGAGCTCTAGAGTTAGATAGGTTGCAGTTTCAACTCTGCTACTCACCTGCTAGGTTGTCTCAGGAAATTTATTTAACTAGGAAGCATCCTTTCTTTCAGCTGCCAAGTGGGGTAATAAAACCTCCCTCTCACTCTTAAGACTGTGAGAGTTAAATTAGTTATATAACAATGATTAGTGAAGTGGCAATGATTTTTTGAATGGCATATAACCATTCCAAAAAGCCATAAACTTATTTTATGTATATTTTAAAGTACAATTATTATTCTACCCGGTCCTGAAGAATTGGTCGAAGAGCATTCTTTTAAAACATGAAAATAATAAGGAGGATTCGAATAGCCATAACTAATTCTTCCTCCCCAGCTCCAGCTAAGGAAACACAAAGATCATTGGTTTGGTTGGAACCCAGTGATAAATGACTCTCATGCTTTGTTATCTCACAGCAGATATTGGAGGGTTGTCATGATATCTCTGTCCACTTGGCTAGGAACTTCTTTCATAATTTATGCTGAGCCTTCTACAATCATCAGCTTTACTGTTTTACAGCAGTTTTAGAGCTTTCTTGCTTATTCCTGTGAAATGACTAATTTTCAGCTTTTGACCTACACACTGAACTTATGTGTGCAGAAGAGGGAATTAATATTTGTTCATATCAGCTCCGTGAAGTCTTTTTGGTTTTTAAATACCTGAATGACTCCCTCATCGTTTGTGGGGCAATGGCCATGGTCGTGGTTCTGGGAACATGCTTGGCCTCCTAGTGGCTGAAGCTGTCTTTTGTTCTGTGTGAAACTGAAAATGTGGTCTGGTTACACTTTTTGTGGTTCAGCTTCAGTGTGAATCTGGGTGATTGATGATAGAAGTTTGGCAGAGAAGTGCTCCTGTTTGACTCCTACATATTATCAGGTTTTTTCCATAACTACAGGAGTTGACAGAACTGTTGACATTAATTTAAATGCCTGGAGAATGACAGGTTTGAGATATACAGTGTCCTTTGATTTCCTTTTGTTTTTTTCTTTGTAACATTTGATATTTTCCTCCATCACTCTTGGTTTATTAATTGCTTCATAGACACTTTCTTTCAGAATTTGTTTTGAATTTAACAGATGAGACCAAAAGAAATACTTTATTTTTGATTTTTTAAAAAACCACTTACATTAGATCTACTCAGACTTGAGGCCTACCTTAATTTGTAAGGGTAACTTGGCTTGTTTACCATTTTTAGGCTTTTACATATGATCTCCTTCTAGATATCCTGCATATAGGTGTTTAGAAAGGAACATTCAACATCCCTGCCAAGTATCTATGTCCCATTCAAATTGTGGAACCATGAGATTTCTACATAAGCTTGACCAAGATTCTGTAGGGCTCTCGACAGTGTCTTGTTGGGTGTCCTTGTTAGCTGCTAGGAAGACATATTGCTCTTCCCCAGGAGTTTGTTTAGACCATTAGCTTACAAACTTCAAAAATATATAATCTATGTCACATTGAAACCAGGGAGTATATGGAAATAGCAATTTCTGATGTGCCTAAACTTTGTGGATTAGTTTAAGAATGTGGTCTACTTTGGGTTATCTTAGATTTGAGTAGTCATCTCTAATTCCTACAGCTATCTCTGCTTTGTTCCATTTTCTACTTTGATTTATTAGCAATACTATCAGTGCCACTGAAGCTCCTCTTTCTCCCTCAAGCCTGTAATTATAGCAAACATTATGTTAGTCAGTGATATTTATTTTCAAGAGGTAAATTGCTTAATAGATTGTATAAATGAGTGTTCTTATTTGGAATCTGATTTCCGAGTCTCTGATTGATGGAATAGCTTTGATTTCTGTCCTCTGCACAATATCTTATCAAATGTCAATAGACATTTACGGAGCGTTGAATATGCATAGGTTATTCTTGTCTCATTGACAAGTATGTTTCCTCATTTCAAAGTAGCACTTGAAATGTAAATGGAGTGAGATTCAAAAATGCAAGCCCAACATATTTCTCCCTTAGAATATCAAATTTACTCACTGCATTTTAAACATCAATTCTCAAACATATAACTGGTTCGTTATTGCCAGGTGTCACTGGTGATTGATCAAAGTTTACCACCAAGTGACATCTTCAAAAGCAAGTTGGAAAAACCCTCATAATGCCAGGCCAGTGGACAGTGTTCCCAGTGGCTGGCAAGTGACTACTATGTATCATCTTTCATGTGCCCACAATGCAAAGTGGGCAGAAGACTCCATGGGGTCATTGGATAAACACCTGTCTGCCTGCTGTAGCAGTCAGACCTGGAGCACTCACCCATAACTTTTGCCCCATAATTTGCCAAATAGGCTATCTTGAAAAAAAGTGTTTACATGTTTCAGCAAACATCTTCATTCAGGGATAATGCAACATACAATCTGCACTTCTAGAAGGCAAATGCCCACACTACTGAAGAGTGTAATAGATCACAAAGAACAAAGTTCACATGTTGAGAGGCATGGAGTTAGAGTTCTGCAGTGTTGCCAAAAACACTCCCTTGCATACAAGGTTTTTTTATTTTCACAGTTGCACTATGCATTTTCCATGCAAATATTTTTCTCAAGCTGTGTATATATTTGCACGGCACTAGGAATGATTTTGCATCATTAAAGTAGCTTTGCTTTTTATTTCAAGGATATTTTTCTAGGGGTCTTTGCCTTAAATCATTAACTGTGAACACTCCAAGAATGTTACCTTTAATCTTGGCTAAAATGGCATGTACTTGTAAGCTCTAACACTGTAAGTACTTTTTAAGGAGGACTTCAACTGGTGGAAATGTGTTAGAATAATCATTTACCTAAGTTGGATCAAATATTCTTTAAATGTTTTTACGTCTGTGATTGGAGTTGAAAGTTTTGTTTTGTTTGTTTGTTTTATTTTTAGATCTCAAAAATGTTCTTTGGCTTACCTGTGAGAGTAATGTCAGACTCCAGACTCCATTCAAATAAAAATTATTTTTTGGAATATTTTGCGATTCACCAGAATTCTAAAGAGAACTCCTTTTGTGTTGTCTTTATTTTTAAACTCTTCGATTATGTTGTATCTCGTGTTGTTAACAAATGCTGCTTTACTTCTGCTCTGTAAGTTTTTGCTTTTGCTTATAAGATATTCTAAATGCTATTTTAGTATAATATTTATTTTCTTGTATTTTAGGATGAAAGAAGAATAGATTATTCATCAGATATTTCTTTTTCACATAAGTATATTCCTTCAGTGAATCAACCTATTTAAAGAGATGCTATAAAATTCGAGCCACCTGAGGATATGTAGGCTCTAAAATAAAGTTAAAATGTGGATTTTCTAAAAGTTTTGAGAAATGGCAACTTGGTTAAAATAAATATGCGGTTTATTAAGATGTGCATTTTAGAAAGGATAATAGTAATCAGATTTTTCTTTTTTAAGAAAGTAACTATCATTTTTTCTTATGCTATCAATTTTTTATTTGTGTAGGAAGACTCCCACTTACCTTTATATAGGGACGAGAATCTTATCTTGCCAACATCTTGCCACCTGTTTGGAAGAATCGAAGAATGGGAGAATAAACATGGACATGCATTTGTATTAGCAATGCAGATTCAGAGAAATGGCCCTTTGGAATAGTCAGAAGTAATGGGTTGTAGCACACACCTTTGTTTCCTGCCCAGATCCCCTTGGCCATTTCCCATTTTTGTGGGTGTCAGCCTGAAATTCCAGCTGATATCACCTACATCTCTTTGCCTAAGAATTGTCTCTGTTCACTGCAGTCTTGCTAGGGAATTGGCAACCCCAGGGAGCAGTCTTCAACTATTGATTGAGAGTTGGTGATACACACCCAGCTTCTTTCTTCTCAGTTGAAATAGCCTGGAGGTGTATGTTTGAAGCTGTTTCCTTATTGATTACCTACTCTTTACCAGGCTCCTCCCTTTCCTGCCTCACTTCCCCACTTTGTGACTGGCTCCCTGGCATGGCTTCCCAATAAGTACTTGTCCGGGAATCTTTGTCACAGAGTTTCATTATGACACAGCTCAAACTAAGACAAAGATACTTGGAAAGATATTTAGTCAATCCATTCCTATAGGAGATACAAAATCCAATTCAAATCATACCATGTTGATGATAGTTTTTAAAGAATTACCTTTCAAAGCAGAAATGATATACTATCTCATGAGAGATCATTCAATATTTTGAACAACCCTCAGTCTTTATTCATTATTTGCCATTATTCAAAGGGCTTCAATATACTGCTTCTGTTTTCCCTATGAAAACATAAAACATATTATTGAATTCCATTTATTTTCCAGTTAGGCCATCTGGGTAACATACATCATCATCTTGAGTCTTGTTTTTCAACTATTGAGTCATGTGTGACTCTGGAGGGGGACTAGGTTACTCTTATTTTCATTTTTTAGTTGATTCCAGATTGTATTGGAATAGTTCTGAAAAAGAAAAAGACAAACAGACCTCTACTGGGTGTTAAGGTAATTACTTGTATAGGAAAATTGGGTCTGAAATGTTGGAGAGACATGGTGCTCTTATCTTGTTTCTTCTAGATCAGTGGTTCTAAAACTAGTAGGCATCAGAATCACCTGGTGGGCTTGTAAAAACACATGTTTCCAGCCCCTACCCCAGAGTTTCTGATTCAGTAGGGCTAGAATAGGGCTCAAGAACTTGTATTTCTGGCAAGTTCCCAGGTGATGCTGGTGTTGATCCAGGGACCAGACTTTGAAAAACACAGTTGTAAGCCAAAGAAGGACAATGGGCAGCTTCATAATGTTAGCATATAACAGAGAAGTAGGCTACAGCATGTCTTACAAGGCATGTCTTACACTTAGTTAGAATCAAGAATAGTATTGGTCCAGGCACAGTGGCTCACACCTGTAATTCCAGCACTTTGGGAGGTCAAGGTGGGCGGATCACTTGAGGTCAGGAGATTGAGACCATCCTGGACAATATGGTGAAACCCCATCTCTACTAAAAATACAGAAATTAGCTGGGCATGGCGGCACATGCCTGTAATCCCAGCTATTCGGGAGGCTGAGACAGGAGAATCGCTTGAACCTGGGAGGCGGAGGTTGCAGTGAGCCAAGATTGCGCCACTGTACTCCAGCCTGGTGACAAAGCTAAACTCCGTCTCAAAAAAAAAAAAAAAAAAAAAAAGTAGTAGTATTGGTCCTAATCTTGTTTCTTGTTTCCTGCTGCAGAAGTTATTCTTGAAATTCTTGAAATATTCCAGAAGCAAGCAGTGAGTAAATTTTTTTTTTTTTTGCTTCTTTATTGTTACCTATGAATTACTAAATGATCAAATAGTGGAAAGCAATAGTGTTCTCTTGCAGGAACAGAAGACACGCAATATGTGAGATGAGTTATTTAGGTTTAGAGGAGAGAATTTTCATTTCAGCAGGCTGTCTTTTGCAGACCACCAACTGGTAGCAGTTTGGTGTCAGTGTCCTTACCTAAGGAAATGTGGTGATGACAAATACATTGTATTAAATTTTGAAATGAACCTGACATTGCAGTTGGAAGTGTCAATAAGATCAGGCTGTGCTGTTCACGCTACAGGAATCAGACTGCAAGGGAGATTAAATTAGAAAGTTTTTGTAGCCAAGTTCCTCGTTCCCTTTCATTTAGTTGTCTTGCAGTGAAATTAAAGATGAAACTCTAATAATGTTTGGCAATGAGGGACTCCAAAAGAGAAAAATAGAGACTCATTCTAATCAGAGTTTCCCCATCCACATTTGACGTGAAGGTGGGAGTAGATGTAAACTGGTGAATCAATTTAAATGCTAAAGAGAGAGGAACTGCAATGCAGGTTTAAATATATTTACTGTATGTTGTCTCTATAAACAGGCATTGTATTTTGAATTACTTCCAATTTCCACCCTGCTGCATACGTAGACATTGCAAGATAGCTTTTGTCTTTTTTCTCCTTTAGAAAGGGGCCTAAATAAATGACTGTTCCCATCACTACTCCACCAGTGTTTCACAATCAGACTAAATGTAATCTGTTTTTTCCAGACTTTAATATTTAGAAATAGCTTAGAGCAAATTGCTTCCTGAGTTGTGCCTGTGTCTCTCATAGGAGTGCTGTCTCCTTTTTCTATCTCTTCTGAAATTCTTCTTAGGCAATCGACTTTCTGTTCCCATTCTATATGATTCAAGAAGCAAAATGAGTCATAGATTGTACTGATATTTCAAAATGTAGCTCATGTGATTAAATGGTCAACCCAACCTTTCAGTGAGAATTAATGTGAGATTGTCACCCTTGCTATCCTTTTCATCTTCCCCCCAGACATGTCCTAAGTTTTTCTATTCCCTATTGTATTCCACTGTAATGCGAATAACAGGGATTAGTTATAGCATTAGTCACAGGGACACAGTTTTGTTTTCACTTTCTGAAATGTATTTTAAAGTGGTATTTTGCTGTTTCATATGACCATTGGCTCATTACTCTTGACACATTTACCAGTTTTCCCTCTATGTAGACACAAAAAAAGTAATGAACATGGATAAAACACTTCTCCATTATGACAGAGTAATTTATACTGGTGGTATGGCCAGTATGACTAGAAAAGGAAAAGTAATCAGAGGTTTACACATTCTGTACCTGTTCAAATGTGTTCAGGAAATATAGTGGGGAAAAAAAAAAAGCCTTCCTAGAAAGGCCCTTCTACCCCATGCAAAATCAATAATTTTTTTTACTTAATCTTATAATCAAATATTTTTTGAATTACTAAATTAATGTATACATATACTTTAACTGATTCATGAGTCAGGAATTCATAGTGTGTAACCTTTTGTGCTCTGAAATTCCATAGCTCATAATCAGTGCTCCTTTACCTCTGTTACCTTGATGGTAATTTGCTTCCACAGTAAGAGTCATGTTGTTCCCCTGCCTGAGATGCTTATCCTCCTCTTCTTCTTTGGCTAATTCTTATTTATCCTTTAAAAACTTGAATTGGTGTCCTTCAAGAAACATTTTCTTCACTCTCACTCCAACTATTTTATGCTGGTCTAGAATCTCAAGTGAATATTATGTTTATCACCTGTGCAAGATTATTTGTCACAGCCATTAATGGTAATTTTATTTCCTTTATAGGTTATTGGTTCAGAAATGGGTAACGTTAAATTTATTTAGGTCAACAAGATATGAGAAGAGGGACTTGAACAAGGAAGGGTGTTGTTTTAATTGCTGCTGTGATCCATCTTATTATAACAGGATATGTAGCTTCAGGATAAAGGCATTACTGTGTACAGTAGGTCAGAGATGGAAAGATACTATGGGTCCTGGAAGATACTGTTGAGCCACTGAATCAACAGTGTGAGCACTGGCTGTTATGTGAGACAATATATTTCCTTACTGTTAAAGCCAGTTTCTATCAGAGTATTTAACAGTTGCTGCAGAAATCATTATAACTGATAGACTGCTCATCGTTTGTGTTATCATAACAGTTTGTGATTCAGTTATCAATGCCTTTACTGTATTATATTAAAATTATGTTTATTTCTCTGTTTCTGCCATTTGACTCAGCTTCTCAAGGGCACATACCTTGACTCATTTATCATTTTATTCTTGGCATGATACCAGAGTATCTGGTATATTAAGGTACACTCAATGTTTATAGAATTTGAAAGAGTTATTTCAATTGATTCACACAATAGGCCAATTGGGAACTATTGTTATTTTTTATTCCAAATTTACTGATGAGAAAATTGTAGGCAGAGATGTTGATAGTTTAAAGTCACTAAACTAGTAATTTCTGATACCAGAAGTTTGAACTTCAGTTGCAGGACTCCAAACCAGTGCTTATTCTGCTTTATGAATCTTGGTAAATGCATGTCACATGTACCAACTACATTGACCCTGCCCTGTACCAGACTATGCAATAACTTTCAATAGTTAAGATGTTATTTTTTGGTAAAGTCCAACTTGGCCTGAGATTTATTCTCAATGCAGCATTAGAGGCAATTGTGCCAACTCAGTGGGCTAGACTCATGAAACCTATTCCTAACCATACACTAAGCATGTTGCCTTTTCTTTCCTTAGTGTGAGCTAAGAGCAAGAGAGATCACCTGTACAACGAAAACATAAAGCCCACACACATTTCCCTCTGGCACAAAGTGAGTTTAAGTTAGATATATAGTACATACTTATCTGGTTTTCCCTGCAACTGTAATTCTAATCTTGATCACATTCAGACAGCTAAGCAGCATAGAATTTATTCATCAGAATGGATTGGAAGGAGAGAGAAGTAGAGTTTCTGAAAAAGGAGATATGTGAAATCACAAAGAAGATAGGAGACAGCTCTTTAGGGATAAACAGCTTTTCACTCCTTCATCGTAGAGATATTCCTAGAGGAGGGTGATAGTGGAGCTGCTAATAACACCATATTGAGATGAGTAAGTTTAGTAAAAAACAAGCAAAATTCGATACACCAAAGTGGTCTTTATTACATCAGAGTTCATTAAATATACTTAACTAAGGATTCTTTGAGAAGGAGAGGTAGTTATTTCTGTGTTGTTCCAGAAGGCAAATAGGTAGAAATAAAAAGATGACAGATGTTGGCCTAACATTAGAATACATGTTCCATTATAGCTGCCTAGCAATGGTGAGTAATGAGCTCAGTGTCACCAGAGGCATATTTACAGAGGCTGGGACCAGCTCTTAGGGTTTCTGCAGGGGAATCTCCTCAGTATCCTGCAAGTGAAGGTAGCTCTGTGGACCATCTGCTGCCACTTTGGACAGGACAATTTTGTATTTTTCCTCGTTGTCCTGCAATTAATGATATGTAGCATCTCTGGCACTCCCCCATGGATTGACAGTCATGTCCCCTCATCATCATGGCAAACAAAATGGACCACATAGTTTTTATTGTCCCCATAAGGCATGGTGATATTGCTCTTGGTAGAAAACCACAGGCAAGGAGATGTCTAGTTTTTCCCAAATTATCAAGATTATGTTTAATTACATAAATGATTTTAATTAATCAATTTTAATATTAAAATTTAAGTTAGAATGGATTAAGGAAATTAGCAGTATATTTTGAGTGCATTGTAATTAAAAGCTAAAATAAGATCAGGCTGCAAGTTTAAATTGGAAACTTCAGGTAAATAGAAAATTCACTTATCCAGAAGGGCCAATCAGCATCCTTATTTGTAAATAGGGTTTCTTTGTTTGTAAGGCGTCCCAGCAGGTATGAGAAGATAATATGAAAGGGAAAGTATAACTACCTCTTTAGAGAAATACTAAGGCATATGGGCATTTGTTTATTGAGACAAGTAGGACCCTGTGCTTTAGGAACTTGGCAGGGAGCACAGTCACAAAATCATTTCCATGCAATATTTATCACAGGCGCAGCTGAGAGAAACAGTGTATGTCCAGATATTCCGAAATCCTTCCCTGAATTAATTCTGACTGGAGAGAGCTGTGTGCCTGGAGAACATAATATTGACAACTTACAGAATTATTTTTACAGAAATGTTCACAGCTGTGATAGTGTATGAAGCTGCCTATAGTGTATGAAGCTGCCTATAGTGTATGAAGCTGCCTATAGTGTATGAAGTTATAAGACTCTTCACCATGAAACTCATTGTCATTTCTTCAAAAGGTATGAGATTTAGGGTCATTACCTTGTATGTTTCCGCATCCTGTATGAGAATCCGTAGGAGTAACACTGGTCAGTTCTAAATCAAACATACTCGCCCATCTCTTTGTAATAATATAGCTGCCAGCATAGGTTGAGTGCACCCTGAAAATTATACTGATGACCGGATTCCCAGATTGTCTCCTTCCTGGACTCATTTTACGTCCTTCCTTTCTTTCATATCATTTGAGTGTCATCGTGTATACTGTGTATCACTCCTAATTTCTCCACTTGCTAGGTGTGTGACTTTGAGAAAGTTACTGCTCTCTTTGGCATCTCAGTTTTGCTGTGAGAAATGGAAATTAGAATAGGACCTACATCATAAATTTGATATAGATGCTGATTTCATCTATGTCAAGTTCTTAAAACAGTTCCTGGCATGTGAATACTGCTGCAGAAATGTCAGCTCTTATCATTATTATAATTATCTTTCATTTTGTGTAAAAAAACTTACTTAAATACTTTATAGAATGAATTGGTGGTATCAGTTAGTGGAAATGACAACTGATTTCAGGCAATTGATTATCTCTCAGAGGCCTAGTTTCCAGACTTATGGTCGTAAGGATGCTATTTTGTAAAATTTTTGTTTTATTAACTCTTTTGTATTTTAAAATCTTTAGATTTACAGAAACATTGAAGAGTTGAGGAAACAGTACAGTGCGTTCCTTTGTATTCCCTGTGCACTGCCCCAATGTAAACATCTCACATAACCATAGTTCAATGATCACAAATTAGAAATTTAACACTGGTATAATATAGCTTGTTTTGAGGGTTAAAAAAGATAACATGAAGGCTTAATGGAAGATCTGGCAGCTATCTTGATTTTTCTGGAAGTTGCTCATATCTGCAAGAGTGGAGTGTCTGGTAATCTTCAGTCAATCCAGATGTTTGAAAGCATTATTTACAAATCATGATTGTAAAAAGTTAGAATATTTGAACTGGAAGGTGCAGGCATAGCCCACATTATAGTCTGAGATCACGTTCTTAAAAAGAATGACTTGTTTTTTTAATTAATTAAAGAAAATGCCTTAGTAATAGCACAATTTACTATAAATCCTGGCATATCCCTCTGGTAATAGGGAGGAAATTTTGTGGCCTCAGGCTCTGATAGTAACATGAGCCAAGCAGCTATGGGATGGGCCGTAATTATACCCAGTGTCAAAACAAGGGACCTAGGTATTGATGGATGTAGGCCTTTACATGCAATAGGAAAGAACATCTATGGAAAATCAATTTCTTTGTTGTGAAAAATGGCTCATTGTCATTTCTAACATTTTACTTTGGGCTGATTTCATTTTTAGTGTTCAAATTTGTTTATGTCATACAATAAGGATGAAAAATGCCTGTGTTCTCTAGCGGTTTTGATTAAAGATAATGGAACCTTCTGTTTATATACTACTTTCCACTTTCAAAATGCTTACTTTCACTTACATTATTTCATTTTACTCCTTATAACAGCCCTGCATGGTGGTCAGGCATTGGTGGTTCTCACAGTTCTGCAAGCTGGAAATCCAAGATCAAGGAAATAGCCAGGTTCAGTGTGTCTAGTGAGGAGTCCATCTCTCCTTCCAAGATGGTGCCTTTTTCCTGCATCTTCAGGAGAGAAGGGACACTGTGTCCTCGTATGGTGAAACGCAGAGGAGGGAAAAAGGGCTAAGCACTGTGAGAAACCTCTATTACAAGGGCCTTAGTCCCATGCAGGAGAGAGGAGCCCTCATAACAAAATCTCTTAATGGCCCCTCTTCTTAATATTATCACATTGGCCATTAAGTTTTAACTCATGAATTTTTGAGGGTACACATTCAAACCACAGCAGTGACTTACTCCCATTTTACAGCAGAGGAGATTGAAAATAAGGGAGGGTTAAGACATGCCTGTGATCACAAGACAAGTGTATTTACAAAGTCTGAGCTCCTGAATCCTAGGATTCTATGTGGAAACACAGTTGAGACAGCTACTATGAAATAATGAAATTTATATATCTAAAAATGTCTATCACTTATGCAATCTAGGGGAATTTTTTAAAATTCCACATGTACATATCCATATTCATATCAACTGTCTATATTTGTCTATATTGTCTATATGTCATATGTCTAAGTCTATATCTATATCTAGCTGCTTCTAACATTCTCATTCCTTAGACCAATATTTTGGGCAAGAGAAGAAAAGAAAGCCAGAGATCCAGAGGCAAGGCAAAAATAATAGAAAGCCCACTGTACTAGAAAACTATTCTTAAGGCATAGATGGGCCAAAACTAATTTGAAATTTGTTTGGAAGTGATAATAGGCATTTGGGAATATGAGGCTTCATTCTACTCTCCCAAAATGAAATTATTGGGAAAAGTTCTTTATTCTCTTTTGAATTATATATAGTTAGTTATAGTCACAGATGAATGACTTTTAGCTTTTTGTTTTGTTTTGTCATTCCCTCATTCTCTCAGGTATCACAACAAATAGTGGACAGCTACATTATGGAGAATAAAAATGGCATGCCTGATCAAAAGCTTTGGGTGGCCCCAAAAAGGAGCCCGAGAATTGGCAAACAGTTATCCAGAAGAGAATATATTTCATACAATAAAAGCAACATATTTATATAACTTATTAAAGAAAAAAATTTGTGTGGAGTCTCTAGCCACAGGGCTGACTGCAAAGTTATATCTCTAGTGCCTTTTTTTTTTCAACTTTTATTTTAGATTCTGGGGGTACATGTGCAGGTTTGTTACAAAGGTATATTGTGTGATGCTGATGTTTGGGGAACGATTGAATCCATCACCCAAGAAATGAGCATACTCCCCAATAGGTGGTTTTTCATCCATCCCTTGCCCCCTTTTATACTCTCCAGTATCTATTGTTCTCATATTTATGTTCATGTGTACTCATGTT
Organism: Homo sapiens; assembly: GCF_000001405.40. Classification (NCBI taxonomy): domain Eukaryota; kingdom Metazoa; phylum Chordata; class Mammalia; order Primates; family Hominidae; genus Homo; species Homo sapiens. Next base: position 137,185,462 of record NC_000002.12, read on the forward strand.
TTAACTCCCACTGATAAGTGAGGATATGCAGTATTTGGTTTTCTGTTCCTGCTTTAGTTCACTTAGGATAATGGTCTCCAGAGCATCCATGTCACTGGAAAGGACATGATTTTGTCCTTTTATACGGCTGCATAGTATTCCATGATGTATACATACCGCATTTTTTAATGCAATCCACCTTTGATGGGCATCTAGGTTGATTCTATGTCTCTGCTATTGTGACTAGCTCTGCAGTGAACCTATGAGTTCATGTGTTTGTGGTAGAACAGTTTATTTTCCTTTGGCTATATACTCAGTAGTGAGATTGCAGGGTTGAATTGTGTTTCTGTTTTAAGTTCTTTGGGAAATCTCCAAACTGCTTTCCACAGGGACTGAACTCATTTACATTCCCACCAACAGTGTATAAGCATTCCCTTTTCTCTACGGCCTTGCCAGCATCTGTTGTTTTTTGACTTTTTAACAAAAGCCATTCTGACTAAGATGGTGTCTCATTGTGGTTTTGATTTGCATTTCTCTGATGATTAGTGATGTTGAGCATTTTTTCATGTTTGTTGTCCACTTGTATATCTTCTTTGGAGAAGTATCTGTTCATATCCTTTGCCTACTTTTTAGTGTGGTTATTTTGTTTTTGCTTGTTGATTTAAGTTCCTTGTTGATTTTGGATATTAGGCCTTTGTTGGATGCAGAGTTTGAAAATATTTCTTCCCATTCTATAGGATGTCTGTTTACTCCATCGATAGTTTTTCTTGCTGTGCAGAAGCTCTTTAATTTAATTAGGTTTCACTTGTCAATTTTTGTTTTTGTTGCAATTGCTTTTAAGGACCTAGCCATAAATTATTTGCCAAAGCCCGTGTTGTGAAGGGTATTTCCTAGGTTTTCTTCTAAGAATTTTGTAGTTTGAGGTCTTCTATTTCAGTCTTTATCTTGAGTTAATTTCTGTATATGGTGAAAGGTAAGGGTTCAGTTTTATTCTTCCGCAAATGGCTAGACAGTTATCCCAGCACCATTTATGGAATAGGGAGTCCTTTCCTTATTGCTTTATGGACTTTGGATGACTGTAGATGTGTGGCTTTATTTTTGAGTTCTCTGTTTTGTTCCATTGATCTTTTTGTCTGTGTTTGTACCCATACTATGTTGGTTTGATTACTGTTGTCTTGTAGTGTAGTTTGAAGTCAGGTAACATGATTCCTCTGAATTTGTTCTCTTTGCTTAGGATTACTTTGACTATTAGGACTCTTTTTTGGTTCCAGATGAATTTTAGAATTATTTTTTCTACTTGTATAAAAAATAACATTTGTAGTTTGATAGAAATAGTGTTGAATCTATACATTGTTTTGAACAGTATGACCACTTTAATATTGATTCTTCCAATCCATGAACATGGATGTTTTTCCATTTGTTTCTGTCATATCTGATTTTTTTCAGCAGTGTTTTGTAGTTCTTTTTATAGAGATCTTTCACCTCCTTGGTAAGAAGTTTTCCTGGGTATTTTATTCTTTTTGTGGCTATTGTAAATGCAATTCCACTTACAATAGCCACAAAAAGAGTAAAATATCTAGTGCCTTTAAAAAATTATGCTCAGAAAATCCAAGTGGCTTATGTGATTGGGTAAAGAAAGTATAGATATGCTTTCCTAGGTGATCTTTCCATTCTTTCACTAGGAGATGTCATTTGAAGTCGTTTTAGTGTCTGTGAAAATGTAGCCGTTGCCAACCCTTTGACATTGGATAGCTATTGTCTTAGGAACTGCTCTGCGAGGACAGAGGCAACACTGAGAATGACAGCATGGCTTCTCCAGGGCTAAGGTGGACAGGTGGCTTGTGAACCAACCAGAGTGTTTCACAAAGGAATGACCTGACCTGCCTGTTCCTCAGGAGATCTGTGAGCTCTACACAGTGACTTGCCACATAGACCATGGTGTGCAAGTTTTTTACAAAGCTCAAGAGCAGCACTTCCTTTTAAGGGATTAGAGGGCAGGAAGTGTTTTGAATTCTCAGTTACTTCCTTTTGCCTGAAGAACTGTCCTGAAACCATGTTTGTAATCTTGAATAAATGCGTTAGATCAATGCACAATGAGTTGCACAGTTGAGACAGGTATCTTCCTGATCTCTGTGTTGTAAGAGGCTAGAAATACAAGATTAGAAGTTGATTTGGGAAGCCTGAAATGAATGCCAGAGTAACTACCACTACCCCAGAAAGCCATGAGAATCCTGAGAAAGGGAGTTATAGCTGTGGTGAAAGAAATATGTTGTTATTTATTTTGCATTATCTTTGGTGGTTAGATAATATCTTGTGTTGATAGACTATCATATTCAACCCATATTTCCTTTGCTGTATATAGTATATAATGTATACTTCATTTTTTCTCAATCTGGCTAATTTATTTTACTTATTTTTAATTTTTGTTCCAATGTTCCCTTCATCCACATCCCCTCCTACCTGTGTATGTACTCCTGATCTGAGATTTTAATATCAAATTTGAAAAAAAAAATTCTGTATTTGCTTTCCATGGGAAATCCCCAATGTTTAGAACTACCAGCTCTAGACACTGTAAGATAAGTCTCATTGTTCATCTGGTATCTCCAACACTTAGCATGGTGCCTGGCTCATGGTAGGTACTCGATATTTAAAGAATTAAATGAATGCTGGATTTACCCAATGACAATGTAGGAATCAAGATGTAAGAGCTAAAAGAATCGTAGGCATTGAATTCAACCCTTTCATTACACTGAGATTCAAAGGAGTTTACTTTTTCAAAGAGAGGTAGTGCTGAGACCAGAATCCAATCACCTTGCAGCCTGCCAAGAGCTCCTTCTCCCTCTCTATTTACCAGCAAATGGATATTTCATGTTTCAGACCAGTGCCACCTTCTTCTTGTTCTTATGAATTGGAGTGCTGAAGGTAGATACTCTATCTGGAAGTCTTCTAACCCATTCATTTAACAGATAATTTTCCAAATTATTTTCCATGGGATATTAGTTCCAGGGCCTCCTAATGAATAACCTGGAAAAATAGATCTTCCAATAAAATAAAAGTGTACAAGACTGCATATTTTATCTCTCTTACGGAAACTCATGATACACATTACCATAGAAAGGGCTGCAGGCAGAATACCTCTGAAGACCTGCTTAATTGTGTTTCCTTGGGAGTGTCCTAAATTGTTGGAACATTGGATATTTTATTTGTAAAGTACATACTGACACTTTGTGGAATTGTTTTCCTACAGATAGCATTTTGGGGATGGCTGTCATCTAACTTCCAGGTTTGACAATGTGTTACCCAGTGTTCTGCAGTCCTTAGGAGCAGCATCTCTTTTCTATGCTGTAGTAAATTTGAAAATGGACCTGGGCACTTTAAGATATGTATATATGGATATTAGCCATACCAGGCATTTATCAGAAACATATATTGAACTGAAGTTTTCACAGGAAAGATGGAGGAAGAGTTTTACATAGAGTGGTCATTTACCCCGGTTTGCTCAGTGAAACCCCATTTATCCCCATTGTCCTGCTGTCATTATGAATGCCACTACATTTCAACTTCAGAAATGTCCTGATTTTGACACATTGTAATTCTTCCAAGCCTAGAGCCACCATATTAGCTATTGTTTTTCTCTTGGCCACATTCTCTTCTCTGGCAGCCAATTCCCATCTCATCTTCCTTCCTTCATTTTCCTCCACACCACACTCAGTTCCCACTTCCCTGGCTGCTGCTTTGTTAGGCAGAGTTGTCCTGTAGCTATATAAACCCAGGGGCAGCTCCTTTTCACCAGAAGTGAGGGTTCGTAAATTCTTGTCAGAAAACTGGTTTCTCCCTATCAAAGGGTTTTCAACACTTGTCAAGAACCTATGAGTGAAAAAACCAGAAAGTTAACAACAACAACAAAAATCCCCCTGTATACATAGGCCCTGTAACATCATCCCCAGCACTGAGCCTTTGCTTGTCCACATCCATTATGATGTTCGCTCTAGGCCCTGCTCTTTCTCAGGGCCTCTAGTGTCACCACTTAGGAAGCCACAAGGTCAACGTCACCCATGGCCTATGCCCTCTAGAGCTTCGTTCAAGTCTGCTCCATCCACAGGGTCCTCCCCATGACCTATGCCCTCCAGAGCTTGGTTCAAATCTGCTCCATCCACAGGTTCCTGTCCTCAGGATTCTTCACACTGACTTTCTGGTCACTTCGTACCCGTCTCTACTTGCCATGGTACCATGCTCTGCATTGCATGTTTTTGTTGCGATTGCTTTTAAGAACTTAGCTATAAATTCTTTGCCAAGGGTATTTCTGACTCTGACTATGCGGACCTCACAGACGGCTCCCTTCTCTCATCTGCTATTTCACACAAACTTCTTACTGCATGGCTTCACATTTATTCAACTCTGTATTCTAAGTTGAGCTTCCTTCTTATATATGCTCCTCAAAAATAGAAACTGTCTTAATAAGTCTAAATTGCCTTCCATTCCTAGCACATTGTTAGACTCGAATCAGTCAGGGATTTTCAATCATAGAAGGTATTTTAAGTACCATCTAGTTCAGTCCTTAAACATGTTCAGAGACTTACGTGAGGTCACCCATTTGTGGAAAGCCAGTCCAGGTTGCCAGGAAGAACTGTGGGTTAATAAGGGGGAATAGCCCACAATTAAGGCTTGGAAGGTCTAGATCACTATGTAGGCTTCCGCTGGATGTGACTAACTAGAGAATTTCTGCTGCTTATTGTCTCCTATTTCTCATAGGCAATAGCATGGAGATGATTTTTTGAACTCTGTGGGTTTGAAATGAAGACTACATGAGACAATGTATATGCCATGTGCTATTCCAAATCTAGGATGTACCAGGCGCTTAGTGCATGATAGTTCATATCAATTTTTTTTCTGATTTTTCATTCTTTTGTGTGCAAGTGGCTTGAAGAACGGAAGCAAGTTGCCTGACTTTGGGCAGCTTATGATGTAGAATTGGCATCATAACATCTGCTCCGAGGTGTCTCTGAGGAGGGTTGGGAGCATGGGATTGCCATGGTGACAGGGATTCTGCCAGACCCGCCTGCAGCAAGGGAGCTTGCTCTTTTTCTGAACCCATCGACTTTGATGACACTTGGCAAAAGTATCCTCGGGTGTTTGCAGCATTGGTTTCTGTACTGCACGGTCCTTCTGGTCATCCTTTCCTGGGCTTTCATGAGTCACAGTAACAACTTCAGTGCTGAATATGGAACCAGAATCCCCTGGGGCTGGTTAAAGCACATATGCATATCTAACACTATAATTCAGAGAGGAAATGATTTACAGTTCACAATGTCAGGTAACATTTCCTAGGAGCATAGTATTTTCACATCTTTTAAGGGGATTGCACCTTTTCCCTCGTGTGGAGAGTTGATGGGGTGTGCTCCCCGTCAGCTGTCACTGCTGCTCTAGGAGAAGGCTGCCCACTGACAGTCTGGCGGCTGTTTGCTGGCAGCGGACTGCTGCGTGTCTCCTTGGGGCAGACCATTTATCACAGGTCTAAGCCAGGACTGAGAGACGCTGCAATTTCACAGCCACACTCCTGCTGACAGGCGATCACCCAAGCTGCCTACTGCAGTGTGCCTTTGCCCTTACAAAAGATCCTGGGGCCCGAGCAGGGTTTCTCTCATGAAGGGCCTCTGGCAGAGTCTGCTGTCTGCAGAGGTGCTGATGATAACCCCTGCAGGTGACACCACTCTTCCTGAGAATGGCAAGCAGGTGTATTGCTGCCTTTATTCCCTTCATCAAGTATGAATTCAACAAAATGCTGATTGTCCATTGGTGGCGGGATTTGTGATTCCCTTCTCGACTTTATTCTCTCCATGTTAGTTTGCTACCAGATGTCATTGTGTTTCTTTTATAATTCATTTATAATTTTATTTTCAAAATTGTATGTAAATCTCCTAACTATTACTTGCATTTTTATTGTTCTCTTGCTGCATCCTCAAGGCTCTGATAGGAACAAAGTATGGGGCTTAAGCTGGGATGAGGGGTTGCCTTTCTGCTTGAGACAGCTGGCTGGGGAGCAGGGAAACTGGTGCTTGCCTGGTTCTGCCGCTTTTCTTACCAGATGTCTGGGTTTTAGTAAGCTGCATGAGGTTCCTCAAATCTAGGCTTCCTCTTGCCTCTGGGCCTTTATTTAACACTATTCCATCAACCTGGAGCATACCCTAGACCATGGCCCCATGGCTGCCCACCGTCCTGCACTCAGTCATCTCAGCTTAGGGGTCATCTCCTCCAAGAAGCTCTCTCTGACCCCTCATTTGTTTGAGTATCCTCAAATGCTCCCCCACTGCAGCCTGTGCACAGGCTTACACAGCCCTACTTCAGCAGCTGTGGATCATATTATATATACTGAATGATGACCTGTCACTTTGGTGTGAGCATTTTACCGATTACACATTTTTTTCTACATTGTCTTTTTTATGGCTTCATTGTATCACAAAGGACAAAGCCACCTCGATTTCTTTAAGGAATTACCTATTGTTGGATATTTGGGGTGTTCCAGTTTTTTGGGGTATTACAGATAGTGCTAAGATGAATATACCAATAACTGAATCTTTATGCTTTCCTTAGGATGAATTGTTGGAAGAGGAATTGCTGGTGTTATCATTTGTGTTTTGTGGGTTTATACCTCCCTACAGTGTTACTGGGATTGGAGATTTAATCAGAAGTGAAAGAAAAAAATCAAAGTGGGAAAAGCCCCTGTGATCCTCTCAGTTTATCCCAGCTTAATCGTGGGTATACATAAATAATATACTAATAAACAGCATGTTTATTCAACACAACAACACATATATATGTGTTCTAGGAGATACTGATGATACATAAAGTAACCTCCAAGTATATTATAGTATAGGCAGTGAACAAGGTGCACATAGAAAGGGTATGAGCAAGGAAAAACTCACAGGGAGAAGAGTGAAGTGATATTCATGATCAATCATGAATGTCATTTCTAGCCAGAGTGATTGGGGCTGGGGGAATTCTCCTGATAAGGTGTTATTTGGAACAAAGCTGAAAGCATTGGTATACTTGTATACTTGAGAAGAGAGATGGGAAATTGAGGGAAAATTCTAAGTAGAAAGAATTGTGAAAGCAAAACTTGAAAGCAGGAAAGCAATGGGCATTTTTCCAGAATAATGAGTGTTTCCAATTTTCATATGAATAAGGAATAGCAGGGCTTTTTTAAAAAAATAAACTCCTGCCATTTACACACTACCTTTATGCATTTTGCTTTAACTGCCTACTCTTATTCCTGAAATCTGGATGTATTTTGAATTTAACAAATCTTGATAATAAATTAAATATATACAGGAAAAAAACCATTTCACTTTAAATGGAAAATCAGTATTTCCTCATTCACCTTTACCTTTGGAAAACCTGGAACAAAGGATGAGGAGCCATAGGAAATGCTGAGTGGGGTTTTTAAATTAAGCTAAATTACTTGACGTGGTGTCTCTAAGTCTATTCTTGAAGTATTTTTCCATAGCTTAGAAAGGAAAGCTTGTGTGTGCGTATGTGTATGTGTGTATGTGTGTATGTGTGTGTGTTTGCATAGCTGATATTCAGAGGGTGTGCACTAACTGTGGAAACAGTTCAGCATGTATTGAGAAATGTTCACTCACCGCTCCACCCCTGCAGCCCTTCAGAGTCCAGCCAATCTCCCAGCGCTTTCCAGACCTCTCCACCGTCCAGTAACCTGATGAGTCACCCTGCCACGCCAGGGGTTAAATATTTGGAATATCACACATGTGTGTATGTATGTGTGTATGTGTGCATATACATCCCTGAACATTCATGTGGATGTGTAACTTGTATGAGTGTGTGTTTGTTCATTTTTATGATAAATTGATAATTTATAATTGCGTAAATTTATGAGGTGCAAATTGATGTTAAATTTATAAACACAGTGTGGAATAATTAAGTCAAACTAGTTAACATATTCATCACCTCAAATACTTAACATTACTTGTGGTGAGAACATCTGAAATGTACTCTCTTAGCAATTTTGAAATGGACATTATTATTAATCATATTCACCACACGTAAGAGAACTGTGAAGATGGAAACAGAAGTGACAGGACACATCTGATTGACAAGAAAGCTTCTTGAGATAGTAGGCTCAGGTTCTGAAGGAAAAGAATGGTGGCAGATGCTCTTGGCAGGTCCTTTGTCCCGCCTTGCCAACACTGAGGGTGTCATGCTCAGTGATGAGCATGTCATTGGACCTTCTGTATGGGAGCAGTTCCCTATAAAATCAAGAATTTGTTGTTTCAAGGACTGTTATAAACTGGAATATAAAAGCCAGAACTCATAAGGTTACGGGATGCATACAAAACTTCTGACCTGCATATCTTGAAGCATTCACCTTCTCTTAGACCTAGATGGCAAATCATAGACATAAACTTGTGCATCCTAGATAATTCTCCTGACTCTGGACTTTCTCGCTCCTGATCTCCTTAACTATTTGACATTAGAGGAGAGTCTGAATTTGCAACCTTGGTTTTCTCATCTGGAAATTGAGCTAATGGACTCACCCAACAGGGTTCTTGTAATGATTAATGGGATAATAGCCAAGGCCATACAGGCCTTCTAAAATTGTTTTCACAACTTGCCTCCAAACACAATAAGGAAATATAAGAGTAACAAGTAAGACCACACAAAATCCATAATCCCAGCATAACTGGAACATGGAGAAAACCCATCTTCCAATAACATTAAGTAGGAAAATAAACACCAAGTCCAGTGAGCTGTCTCCTGTATTCCCACCCTTTGGGGAATGCAGGAGTTGCTGAGGGTGGGGAAAAGGGGCGTGCTGTAGAAAAGAAAGGGCAGGAGAACTTAGCAGCAGTCCTAAAATTGACCTAAAGCTGCCACAAGGGAAAAAGAGACTTCCCTGTGTATGGTATTGAGAGTTTCCTCCAGTTTAGAGCAGCCCCTCCTGGGAAGTGACTTAAAAACCCACACATGATCTGAGTAAGCAGTCTTGGAAAAATAAAGCTCCAGGAAGAGAAAGAAGTGTGTTAGTATTTTTATTTTAATTGAATTAGTTTGTAAATGAACTTAGGGAGAGCTTCTATCTTTACAATGTTGATTTTTCCTTCAAAGAACAAGTGTATCTTTACATATGCTAACATCAACCTTTGAGTCTTTCAGTGTTGTTTCAGTGTTTTCTTCATACAGGTTTTATACATTGCTTTTCAAGATTATTCCTATTCTATCTTTTGTTACTATTGTAAATAATGTTTTCTCTCTTTGTATCCTCTAATTATTATACATGTACCTGAACACTACTGATTTCTTATGTTAATTTTATAGCTTGCTACTCTATTGAATTATTTTATTATTTGAGTTAATTTTATCATTGACTCTCTAGGGTTTTCCAGGTACACACTCATATCATCTGCATAAACATTTTCTTTTACTTCTTTTCATTCAATTTTTATTCAGATAATTAATTTCCCTTTTCTAAATGCACTGGGTAATATATGATTAATAGTGGTAGAAACAGTGGGAAATCTTGCCTTTACCTAATCTTAGTGAAGCCACCTTTAGTGTTTCTCATCAAGAAAGATGCTATCTTTAGGACTGGGGTAAATATCTTTTAATCTATACATGATTCTATTTTGTGAATAATAAGGGACCCTGTTCATAGAGCACAGGGGAGCTCTTTACTGTATTCACAACTTTTTGGTAGATTTAAACCTCTTCTAAAAAACTTTAATAACTGCAAAAAGCAAAACCCTGCATATAGCTATTTGTATGTATATGTATGTGTGTATATATATATATATATACACACACACACACGTGTTTCTATATTTGTGTATAGACATATATCAATTTTTCAGCTTCTTTATTGAGAGAACTGAGAAACTGCCACTTCAGTAGCAACAAGCCACTCCTAGAGCTCAGATCTTGGTTTCTAAATGCCATTTACTACTAAAATAACCCTGGGCCCCTTAGAAAAATAGCTGATTCCTGGTGCGAATCAGAAAAAACAAGATGAGCTTGGGAGATCTTCATGTGCCAAAAAGTAAGAAAATATTTAAATGGTGGGAATATTGCAAAAGAATGCAGGTCCACTTTGAAGGGATTTCTACTGGCTAAATCTATGACAATTTGAGCTCCAAATAAATAATATTTAACTGTTATAACTATTAAATAAAGTATAAATCTGCTTGATATTAATAAATGCATGAATAAATAGATAAATAAGTGGGGAGAAAGCAAAGCTCTTGCTTGCATTAGAAAGCCAACCAAAAAATATCAAATGAATAATGGAATTAAAAAATCAGTATTCGTAACCATCAGAGTGATAATTAAGTCAGGCAAGAATCATCAACGAATGTTGACACTAGTGGATGAAATTTTGACGAGGAACAGGATATTTACATCATCTGAAACTATATACCCACAAGATATATTTTTATTATAAGAGGTAAAATGATAACTTTACAGAGGGAAAAAAATAGCAGACATTACTTTAACTTTCACAGATTGACCATCCCTAATCTAAAAATCTGAATTCCAAAATGCTTCTAAATTTCAAAATTTTTGAGCACTGACATGATCATAGAGATGACATCGTTGGCACTGCACAAAAAGTGCCTATAGACAACAGGGTGAAAAAGTGTGAAGGGCTTTTTGTACTGGAGCAGTGCCTTCATCACAGAACAAGAAATAGTGTTCATTTATAAAATCAAAGAGAGACTTCTAACCCAAAAACCATTGTTAATGAGGCAGATGACGCTGGAGAAAACATTTAAAAAGCCCTCCGGCAGAATGCCTCCTCATCCCTAGAGGGCCCACTTCTTGGTCCTTCAGCTGCTTCTGATGTTTCTTCTAAGCTCAAAAATAAGATACACAATAACCTTTTAATCAAAACACAGCCTTTTAGCTGGAGATGGAAAACCTGCTGTTTTTTTTTTTTTTTTTTTTTTTTTTTGTGGCTGCCGTTTCGCAGCTAATCCAGGTATTCTGGTGATGCTACTGTGCTGCTTAGTTACCCTAAACTTTTAACATTATTTTTTCACTGTATTAATGGCATGTCATAGTTTGATCCCTAAATACTTACGGGTGAATGAGTATAAGAAAATGATTGCTTATCGGTAACATAAATTCAGAGTCAGGAATGATGGTGATGCCAAACAACCACAGATTGTCCATGTGGGTGGCTGAGACAGTGACACCTTTTGCCTTCTGATAGTTCACTGTACAAGAACTTTATTTCATGTACAAAATTATTAAAAATATTGTATACAATTATCTTCAGCTATGTGTATCTGGTGTAAAAGAAACATAAATGAATGTCATGTTTAGACTTGGATTCTGTCACGAAGATATCTCATTATGCATATGCAAATATTCAAAAATTTGCAAAAATCTGAAATAGAAAACGCTTCTGGTCCCAAGCGTTTTGGATAAGGGATATTCAAACTGTAATCAAAGATCAGCGGTAATAGGGCTAATGCACAGCGGGCTCCTCCTGTTACGATGCCCTAAGAGCTCAGCATCAGTTCTGTGCTATGCCTGCCAAAGGTGCAGACCCTGAATCTAATCACACAATCATGAGGAAATATCTAATGTAATCATGAAGAAACTTCGGACCAATGCAAATTAGAGACATTGTACAAAATAACTTCAAAAATGTCAGTCATGAAATATACAGAGTGACTGTGGGACTTTTTCAGATTGAAAGGGATTTGGGATGTGCTACTGAGGGCATGATTAAGATAACTGACAAAATCTAAAAAGGTCCGGAAATTAGGCGACAGCATTATTTCCAGTGTGAAGTTCCACTGCTTATGTACACAGCAGAGAGAGATGGAGGAAGGAAGAAGTTGGAGGAGGGAGATGTGTGAATATTCCAGTTGAGGATGTGCTAAAAGCTAAACTTCGGGCAATCTTGTTGAATGGTATCCAGTAATATTTTGTTTTATTCTTGTGACTTTTATGTAAGTCACAAGTAAAAAATAAAAATAAATACATTGAAATAAATATTAAATGAAGTGATCTGGCTAAATCACCACCAAAAGATATGTCGATTACAATTTGTTTAAAAAAGAAATAAAGATACCATACTTTAAAAAGAGAAATTAGGACCCTGTGAAATGGGCTACTGTTAGAGGTTTGAGTGGATGTCAGAGTAAGTCTTAAACTTTATGAAGATGAATGGGGGAGGCATGCAGTACTGTTGGCGCTTTAGAAATGCTGTTGTCAGAGAGGACAGAAAGAATCCATTCTTGGGTTCTGTGTGTTTAGGAACATCACGGAAGCAGCATCAGCATTCTCTTAACATTTTAGGGCATTGGCACTTTGTTCAGAGAGTGTAGTCCATGTTTGTGAAAGCTGAAGCATGATTCCCTTAAGAGTTAAGAAATGCCCATTGTACTAAATGAGAATAGGACCATGTCTTCAGGTCATTGATAGCCACTTGAATCCTATCTCCATCAAATGACCTGGACAATTTCCTATTCCGCACACACTCATGCACACGTGTATGCATGTGCACAGTATGTGTTGTGGGGAGGTTGGTGAGTTCATTTTTTATTTTCAAGGAGTAGCAAGTACATCTTTCATGCCTCTGTGTCTACTTCATCTTTCTGCCTGCTTGCTTTTCATTATTTAGCTTCAAATTTTCATTACATCTTTACCAAAGGATAAAAAGAGAAATGGAAATACTAATGAGTCTACATAGTCATTTATCAGAAATTCTTCAGAGATGTTTTGAGTCCAGAAATCAATGAGACTGGCATTTCTCTTGTACTCATTTATTTTCTTCCTTCTGGGATTCCTCTTTTCACCACCTGCCCTTCTCCAATTTTGAAAGGAGAACATGAGAGTGGTATTTTCTCTTTATCTTTCAGTGGTGTAACCTGCAACTTTATCCCTAAACCTCTTAGAGGTAGATCCTGACACTGGGAGAGGAATGACTTATGTTTAATAAAAATCTGCTTCAGGAGAGTAAATGGAAAAACGCTTCACTACAGGTCACATTTCCCCTATAGTTCCTCCCCAGCTTAGAAGCTGTCCTTGGAAGACAATTCCCCTACTACTGCCAACCTCTTGGCCTTCTGAGGAAAAGAGACTAACGGTTTCAGCTGCTAGCTTTCAACCATCTGAATAATGACCAGAACATGTCCTTCTTCCCCTCCACTACATATATGCACTTTAAGTGGTAAAATGTTGTTATAAAAAGGCTGGGGGTGGGAGCTTTAGGTGTATAAATGGGAATATATATTCTGATTACCTTACCATTTCTGTGGATTCTCATGAACTTGCTGTATCTCTGAATACAAACTTTTATTCCAAGATATATTGGCAAATGATGAGTTATAAAAGAAAAACTGGAAGACTTTTTGGTGGTTTTCTTTTCTTCAGACTAAGAATTTAAACCACCTTACTGTTGCTGTTTTACCCTTATTATTTGAGTATTATGATGCCTTTGGGACAAAATTGTCATTATTTTGCCAAAGATATTTGAGTCGGGAGATTTGTATGTCCAGGACTTGCACTGTTTATAAGAAATTAACAATCAGAGTAGATGCTGTTAAGGCTTCTTGCCATAACCATAAGGGGCAGAGCTGAACCGCACGGCACTCCTAGTGTAGTCTTTGTGTGTGATCTGCAGTATAAATTGGGTAAATAGTGGTGCTGCTCTCCCATTCTACAAGCGAGTCCTATTAAGTCACTTTCCATGTTTAGCTCTTCACTGACAGTGGTGAACAACTTAAGAAAACATGTTTTTAAAACAAATGCTTTTCCCAGTCATTTCATTTTTCTTTCTTTTCTAAAAAATATATCGAAAGATAATGTATCTAGTCTTTTCTCACTCTAAAAATATGAAGTATAGAAATGTATGCCCACTGTAAATACTTTAAAAATGTTTATATAAAATAAAAAGTAAGTCCCCTTCTCAAAACCTCCTTCCATTTACCTCTTCCCTCTAGTCCCAGTAATTAACAAAGTTTGGGATATTAACTGAATATTTTTAAAGTATTTCATATGTGCATATAAAGATTCACTTAGTTATTTACACTTGTCATGTTTTGAAATACAGATATATTAGCTAATTCCTTTGAGTTGATCTTTAAGGATCAGATCTACTTGGTTTTGTGATGCTCTTCCTGAAATGACTGTGAAAGCTAATTCCAATGCTCATTTTATGAAGTGGAAAGGAAGAATTATGTGGTGATGAATATCACTAAAACACTCTTGATAAAAAATACCATATTGCATTTTTGCTTTTGATAAGTAAGCATAATTTATTTCCCCATATCAGATTATTAAAAGTTATTGTGTATGTTCTCCTTAACTAAGAGAAATATGCAAATATGAGAATTTTGCATTATACTTTTGAACTTTACTTGATAATAGGTTTTAATAGAGAAAATGAAAAAGCTGAAGATAGTGTAAAATAGTTTCCAAAGGCCAGGTGGCTAGAATGATTAATGAGAAAACAATGCTGGTGGCCAAATATTTCTAGAGATGCAACTGAGATTTTGGAAGAAATAACCTCAGCATCTGACTAGACTGTTGCAGAATCTTCACATAATTACATCCTTAAAAGGATGTAATTCCTTCTCAAGGAACGTTGGAAATGTGAATATTTTTCAATCTTTAATAATTTTTCTCTTACTCAAATTTTTAAATCTGTACCACTGCATTCTTCCTTAGATGTTTCAGAAATATAGATTTCTTTCTCTCTGAAGGCTATAAATTATTCAAGGGCATAGGAGTACCTTTTTATTCTTGTATATTCCTGTATGCCTTCCTCATTCCCACCTCAATTTGAGTATGATATGGATGCTGTGTCAGTGCTTCTGGAATTAATGAAAGAAATCAGTTTAGATTTAAATCTCCATTTGAACCCACTTTATTGTGGCATTATATACATACAATTTATGTAAATACTTTACTGTTCAACCTTGTTTTAGGCCAACCTTCCCATTTTTATTTCTTCTTGGTTTGTCAAGTATTTTTTTTAATGAGTTTACATTGTTTATTTTTAAAGAACATTTTTAGTAAAATGTAACATACATATAGAAATCAGCATAAATCATAGTATTCCCTGAATGAATTTTTAAATGCAAACACACATGTGCCTAGTACTCACATAAATAAATAGAAATTCCTGACTTCCCTGAACCTCTCCTGCCCCATCCCAGTCACACATATGGTCCATACTGTAACCACTATTTTTTTTTTAATTTAAGAAACAGGATCTTACTCTGTCGCCCAGACTAGAGTGCAGTAGCACAATCATAGCTTACTGCAGCCTCCAACTCCCAGGCTCCAGTGACCCTGGCTTCCAGTGGTCCTCCTGACTCAACTTCCCAAGTAGCTGGGGCTACAGGCACATGCTGCATGCCTGGCTAATTTAGATATATATTGAAGAGATGGGGACTCCTATGTTGCCCAGACTGGTCTCCAACTCCTGGCCTCAAGCGATCCTACTGCCTTGACCTCCCAAAGCACTGGGATTATAGGTATAGAGCCACTCACCCAGCAAAACCTGTATTTTGATTTGTAACATCATAGTCTGATTTTGCCTGTTTTTGAACTTTATGTAGATGTAGGCTATTTTCAAACAGCATTGTTTCCAAGATTCATCCAGGTTGAACAGTAGTTTTAAATATATGTGTGGTTCATTCTTTTTCATTGCTAAATAGCATTCCATTGTTTGACTATATTGATTGATTGATTGATTCCATTTTGATGGCCATTTTAGTGTGTGTCTTTGTTACATTTAACCCTTAGTGCAAATGACAGAATTTTCTTCTTTTCAAGAGCTGGAAAACATTCTGGGGTGTGTGTGCATGTGCATGTGTGCACACGCACCACATTTTCATTATCTGTTGCTCCATTGGTGGGCACTTGGGCTTCTCTCATGTCTTGCTTATTGTGAATGATGCTGCAGTGAACATGTAGTGCACATATCTCTTTGACATGTTGATTTCAGTTCCTTTTGATATGTACCCAGCAGTGCTGAGATCATATGGTAATTCTACTTTTATTTTCTTGAGAAATCTCCATAGTTTTTCTATAATGCCTGTATTAATTTACATCCCCACCAACAATGTATACATATATTAAAACACATTGTACTCCATAAGTATATATAATCATTATTTGTCAATTTAAAAAATAAACAAAAAACAAACAAAACCAAACCCCAGTGCAGAATTGTTGTATCATATGGTGAGCACATGGCCACTTCCTAGTAAAAGCTGCCCCACAGTTCTCCAAAGTGGCTGTGCCAATTAAGACCCCATCCAGCATCAGTGTGAGAGTGCGAGGTGCCACATCCCCTCATTGGACTTGCTACTGTTGGTCCTTTTCTTTTAACCACTCAGGTGGATGAGTAGCAGGATCTCATTTGTGGTTTAATTTACAATTTCCTAATGACTAAATAGACTGAGCCCTTTTCAAATCTTTATCAGCCGTTTGTGTTTCTCCTCTGGGATGCTCCTGCTCAAGGCTTTGCCCATTTTTTCTGATGGTCTCTATGTCTTTTCCTTGTTAATCTCTCAGGGTACTTGATTCTCTATAGATTCTGGATCTGGGTCCTTTGCTGCACATCATCTTTTCTCCCATAGTGTATTGTGTAATTTCACATTCAGAACGCTGTCTTTTGCAGAAGAGAGATTCTTTGTTCCCATGTAGTAATTTTATTATAATTTTTCTTTAAGGACTGTGCTCATCTGAGTGAGCTTTTGTATGATTTTGTTTTCATTATTTTCTCTGGGTTTTTCAGTAGCCTGAATGATACTTCTCCAAAAGATATCCACATCAAATCCCTGGAACTTGTGAATGTGATCTTAAAAATTTGGGAAAAGGGTGTCTGCTAATGTGGTTAAGGATTTGAGGTAATGAGATAATCCTGGATTATCTCAGATGGACCCTAGATGTCATCCCAAGTGTCCTCATAAGAAGGAGGCAAAGAAGACAGACACCCAGAAGAGAAGACACAGAGGAGATGGCGAGGTGAAAAGAAAGAAGCAGAGCAGAGTGGTTTAACCACAAGCCGGGGGCATCGACTGCCACAGAGCAGTTACAGAACAGGTTCTCCCAGGAGCAGCAGTAGAGAGCACGGCCCTGCCAACACCTAACTGTCAGACTTCTGTTTTTCAGGACTGCTGGAGAATGAGTTTCTGTTGTTTCAAGCACCAAGTTTGTAGTAATTTGTTATAGCAGCTTTGGAAATAAATACAGGGTTATGTAGGGCTTCTTAAGTTTATGGCTCCATGAGTTGACACAGATACACACCAAGAATCAGCAAATGCTTTGAGAAAAGAGAGGCTGTGGTGGTAAGTCAAGTCTCTCCAATTACATCTCTCTGGGATCTCAACTTCCAGATTTCTATTTGACTCAGCAGTTTTCCTATGTCTTGATAGAGAGATAAACAGATGATAGATAGATAACAAACAGGTGATAGTTGGATAGATAACAGATGTGTAGAGAGATGATGGCTAGATAATGGATAGAGGGATAGATAGGTGATACATGTGTAGATAGATATGTGATACACAAATAAGAGATGGATAGAAGGAGGCATGGACAAACAGACATAGATAGATAATGATGGATAAACAGTATTTTGTTTGGCTTTTTTAGTTGTTCTCGGTGTGATTGTTGATATTTTTCAAGCTATTCCCATCACAGCCAAAAACAGAAATCTGATGTAAAATTTTTAAATTGAGAATTCTCTCATTTGTTTCCCTAAATTTACTTTGTTCTCTAGAAAAGTAAATAATAATTTCCTAGTTTTATTCCCTGGTCTAGGGTATGAATAAAATGAGAACTCTTATCTTCCTTAATGGTATTTTAAATACCTGAAATTAAGCTGCTTTATGATTTATCCTTTCTTAAATAGGACTATAATAATTGTTTCAGATTGTCTGGAATTGGCATGGGTGTTAGAGAGTAAGAACAACTAATTCAAACCTTAGTGAAGTATACTTTTTTAGATCTCAATATTTTAATGATAAATACTTTCTAATTTTACTTATTTATTTACATACTTCTTTCTTTACATGTGAAATAGATCTTGACCATGCTCCTGGTTCTAGGCCAAAATTCCATATTTCTTTTTTAGTGAGAGAAGAGATAAGGAAAAAAAACCTTTTTTTATTTTATTAATAGGTATAAGTGTAATTTATTAGTAGCTATAAGGTTTGCTAACATGCTTAAGAACTGAGATAGTTATAGTGACATTGGGGACTTCAAAACATCAATAAGGAATGAAGGGTGTGTTTGTGTATGTGTGTGTGTATGAAATGTAGAATCTATTTAACTTCAGAAAATAGAATATTATGCAGTGTATTTCTTACTTTTAATTGGCATTGATTAAAAATTTTTAATAGAGATTTAGAAAAGTATCATGACACACACACACGTTTGCATGAACTTTGCTCTCAGAGAACTTGAGGACATAATACTATTTCATTGCACCCTCTCCTCACAACCTTTTCCTTGTCAGATAAGAGTACACAGACCACCCAGTGATAAATATGAGTATGTGAAAGAAATATATCCATAGACAATCTCAAGGGAAAAGGAATAGTTTACAGCTGCTAGGAAATCAACATCAAATAGTTTTCAGATTGGTGATGTGATGATAATTGGAATAGAATGATAGGCAAGACAGTTCAGTCCTCTGGGGTTTCTATGTAAAGATCATCTGTTACATGGCACCTGGAGTGGGCACCATGGAAAAAAATTCCCAATATGTTAGTTTAGAGTGACACTTTTATTTAAAGGAAAATAAGGATTGCTTTAACATTGCTATAAAGTAAGAAATATCTACATCAAATTCTTAGTAAAGGGACAAAAAGAGCAAAATTGGGGTTTTCCCTTAGTCTTTCAGTTGAGAATGCGTAGTTATGGTGAAGAGAACTATGCTATATATTAATTTCTCCAGGTGGTATTGTCTTCTGATTTCCATATATTCTGTGTCACAGTGTAAGCTGTGAATTTTTCTTAGAGTTATTTTGCAGGTCACTTTATCTGCTGTTCAGTTGTATTAAGTGTGATTGAGATCTGAGATTACAGGTGAAGACTTTGAGAAATTCTAGTTCACATTCAGTAGTTGATTAGGACACCATTTCAGAAATAAGATGCCATTTGGAAGGACACCATTTCAGAAATGAGACATTTTCATTTACAAATACATATCTATGTATGTAACATATGTATTTTTTATTGAGCACAAATTATTTTAATCTATAAGTGGCTTTGTGCTGGCTTATTGCCTACATGAAATGCATCAGTAAATCAGAAATCAACTATCTTAAGAAGTTATACTGAAAAGTATGATTTGCAGTATGTGTCATTTTTCATAGATTATGATGTAGTAATTTCATCCAGAACTCAGATTTATTGAAAGGAAAAAAAGTCGCTGAAACACACTGGCACTGTTATAACTAAGTAATAGTTAACAAAATTTGGAGTCAATGAGCATCAGTAATGCATGGACAAAATCTTCGTCATCAGGGAATACTGCATTTGAATATAACACCCAATTACTGTGTGAGAGGCTAGGTTAGAATGCACCCACACGGATGACCCAAAAGTTTTCTTCTGTCTACCACACTCATCCATTTCTTTGTTGACTCCAGGTAAGCCTGGGCCAGATCCTACCATAGCCAAAATCTTGATGGAAGGAAGATAGGAGAATGCTTCTGAATACCATTTTGTAATGCCAGTTTTGTTGCTGGATAGAGTGCCAGTGAAGGTGAAAAAACTGTAGGTTTTTTAGAAAAGATTCTTGGAGATTATAAAAGTAGTCATTAGGTATTTAAAAGACTGTCACATAGAACATGTGTTAACTTGTACTCTGTGGTCCCAGAGGAACTCCAGAGAATCCCAAAGATTCTCCTACCACAAATGAAGGGAATTTATAAGAAATTCTTCCAGTCAACATAATTAAGATCTAAGTTTATCACAGCTGAAAAATGTTCAAATAAAGACACACCATTTGCTGAGGATGTTGCCAGGAAATTAATGAAATGCATGGTTAGATTCAATCCTTTAATTTAATTATGTAGTTTTTGTTCCTTTTTTGTTTTTGGTATAACAAAGGCAAGAGCAGTTTTCTGTTTCGTATCACTATTATTTCTGTTAAGTAGATGTGAGGCCTCTGCAATATTATGATTTTAGACATTGAACGTCACTTTCCACTTTGGAAACAAATTTTTTCCAAGTTCATTTCTTTCTACAAAAATCGAGGTGATGGAAACAGCTCCATATTTAAAGGTTCTCAGCTCCTCAAGAGCTCTACTTTTGAATTTAAATATTTGTTACTTTTAACATCATGTGAGTCTTAAATCCCATAGAAGTGATTCTACAACAGCTGTACATTTATTTTACAGCAGTTTGCATTAATTCAGACCCTACTTGCTCTTCTAATACATTATTTATCATTGTGTTAAGAGTAAGAATAATGTCAGTGGTAGATTGTTGCAACATATTTTTACATATTAATACTATCTACTAACTTATTTTCTTCTATTACTAAAGTATATTCACATACA
Organism: Homo sapiens; assembly: GCF_000001405.40. NCBI lineage: Eukaryota > Metazoa > Chordata > Mammalia > Primates > Hominidae > Homo > Homo sapiens. The sequence continues at coordinate 137,205,993 of NC_000002.12, forward strand.
AATCTCTGCCTTTTCTGACAAAAAAATAGTTTATATTTCCAACAGTGATTATCCTTTTTTTTTTTTATCTAAATGTCTTTCATATTGTTTTTTTAAAGGATCAGGAATTGCGGAGGGTGATTTTGGAGGCAGAGTATTTGATTTTTAGTGGGTGATTCTTAAGCAGCTGTTGACTGCTGCATGTAGTCATCTTACAACTGTGTCATTTAATTCTTGACACCTCCCTCAGAGGTAGGAGGAGTCCTTAAATCCTGAGGAGCAAGACATTGTGATTATGAGAGGTGAAATGACTTGCCTAAAGGCATGCATCTAGTAACCAGTACAAACTAAACAGGGAAATGGAAATGATCTTGACTTTCAACAGTATGATTAATGAGGAAGAAAGAATAAGCGTGAGAGTGTTTAAAGTCCCAAATACACAATCACATGTAGCTAGTTGCCACTCAGAGGTTTTCAGCCCTGACTGCGTATTAGTTACCTGTCACATTAGAGTTACATTATCAGGGGGTCCCATACTCAAGCACTGATTTAATTGGATTTGGATTGAATCCTAGTATCAGCATTTTAAAAGAGATCCCCAGGTGATTCTAATATGCAAACAAGGCTGCCAGCCACCACTCCCTATATAAGAATTAAACAGGTCCAGGTGGGAATAGAGAAAGACCATAAAGGATTTTGCTCAGAAAAGCATTAGGGACAGGTAGAAGAGGCATGTTTTGTGGTAATGTATCTGAGTAAGGGCGAGGATGCATTTTGTTTAACTGTATTAGAGAGTCACTATTCACAGACGCATCGTTTGCTGAAGCCCAGTACTTCAGCTTAAATGAATGAAAGCAGAATAATAGATTTGTTTTCATGGTTGGAGCTGTGAATACAAATTAATATATTGAAAGAAATAAAAGCAATTAGATAAGGAAGGATTTCATCTAATTAAAGCAGGAATGTATATCTTTGTGGGATTTCGAAGAAAGGGTGTAATTGATCAGGTGAGGCTTGTGGAAGGTTTTCACTGTTTTTCCAAAAAGGAAAGTTCAGAGGGGAGAGAGGATGTTGATGTTAGGAAGAAAAGACATTTTCATAGGTAATTTAGGACTGTGTCTAAAGGAATGAAGAGAAGCTGCAAGATGTAAAAGTGAAGAGAGGAGGAGGAAGATAATGCATCTACTTTTCAGGGCTACCTATTGTGTTCTTAATGCTTTTATATGTTAACAACTTGACCAGGTAGAGTTTATTGTGGGCATTGTATTACAAATGAGGAAACTAAGCTCAGCAAATTTGAATTATTTGCTCAAGGTCAGAAGATTAGAAATGGGTACATCATTGCTCAGATCTAGGTCTTTCTGGTGCAAAGCTTGGCTCATTCACTACATTCCTTTTCTGTCAAGCACTGCTGCCATGTAAAGGACGCATATTATAAAGAATTAGCAGTTAATCAAGAACTACTGAATTAGTGGATATGAGGCAACAGGTGGCAACAAATTTCTAGATGTTTTTTGCTGTTAATCTTTTAACCACCAGAGTGTAATGCAAATTGTTTGCAAGAAGAAGACCCTATCGATAAATCATGGAGCTTAAAAGCAGGTAGAAAGAGAAATAAAGTGACTATAAGGATAGGCAGCCAGCATGGCTTTCATAATATGGCTAAGAGATGGCACTGGATTGAGGTATTGGTAGACATTTGGAGAGTGGGTTCACTTAAGTGAATATTGGGCAAGAACATAAAGACAGAGCCCTTGACTATACTTCTCTCCTGAGTTTGGTGAGCTCCTACTTATTCAAACCTCAGTCTGTTTGTTACCTCTTCCATGAAGTATATACTGATCTCTGCTTATATTATTGATCACTGTCTGATTTGTGCCATCATTGTGTGATCACCTGATTGGTTCTTCCTGCCCGCTGCACAGACAAAACCAATTCATTGAGACCGTGGTTTTGCAGTAAAGAGTTTAATTAATGCAAGGCTGCCAAGTGGAAGTGTTCCCAGACCAAACAGGGTAGGGCTGCTATTTCTCACGGCCCAATAACGAGATGTAGATGAACTGGGGAGGAAGAGAGTTTTTAATTCTGTAACCGGCTACAGTGAGAAGTCCTGGAAATTATCGCCAGACCAACTCAAAATTACGAAGTTTTCCAGAACTTATATACCTTCTATGGTATGTGTCTATAAGTAAGTGTGCATTCATCTAAAGACATATGTGATTAACTTCTTTTAACCTATAACTAAGGTCTGAGTCCTGAAGACCTTCCACTGGAGCCTCAGTAAATTTACTTAATCTAAATGGGTCCAGGTGCTGGGGTGATTACCCTTATCTGTCTGCTGCTAAATTACCGAGGTTGAAAGAGTTCCTTCAGACCCCCAGTAAACTTGTTTGCGGAGGCCTGGGGAATTTCTTCAGACCCACAGTAAAATTTGTTTAATCCTAAACGGGTCCTGTTAAGAATTCCTTTTTATTTTGTCGTGCTTTAAGGCCCAGGAAAGGCCTACGCAAAACCCTGGGTGGGCTTTTTTTACATTCCAGCCTTTGTACAAGGGCACTGGCTTTTAATATTTAACTTAACCACCCAGCACTGAAACAGTTGTTATGGAGGTCTGCCACAGGACTGGAGGTATCCCTCAAATCAGTCTCCTCAAAGGCTCAGAGGTAGGGTTTTTCAAGGATAATTTGGTGGGCAGGGTGCTAGAGAATGGGGAATGTTGACTGGTTGTGGATGAAATCAGAGGGGTATGGAAAATTGTCCTCAAGCACTGAGTCAGCCCCTGGGTAGAGGACACAGAACTGGATGAGTCATGAGCCATGGGGCTGGGTAGAGTCAGCTGGTCATCAGCAATGCAAAAGTCTGAAAAACATCTCAAAAGGCTAATCTTAGGATCTACAATAGCAATGCTGTGTGCAGGAGTAATTGGGGAAGTTACAGATCTTATGACCTTCAGAATAGTGGCTGGTTATTGTATAACTATGCCTGCATCTTAGCAAAATTAAAGCCCCTCTCATAATCCTAACCTTGTAGACATCATTAGTTTTACAAAGGCAGTTTAGTTTTGGGAAGGGCTATGATTATCCTTGCTTTAAGGTTAAACTATAAACTAAATTTTTTCTCAAAGTTAGCTCAGTTTATTCCCAGGAATGACCAAGGACAGCTTGGAGGTTAGAAGCAAGATGGAGTCTACTATGTCAGATTTATTTTACTGTCATAATCTTTGCAAAGGTGGTTTCAATTGCTCCTTTCCAATGCCTGTGTTATAACACTGATCAAATAGAATATTTGCTTGCATAGCTGACTTTACTAGATTCTGACCTTCTTGAAGATGGGCATCATGCTTTAATTTTCCTTCAATCCATAGCTCTTAGCACAAGGTGTCTCTCCCCATTAAAAAATGGGTGGATTAAAAAGACAAATAAATGTATTAATAAATGGATTGACTTCATTCTTTTTATTAGTGACTATTACAAGGTCCCACAGGGTGCCAGATTTGTGAAACACAGATCACACAATTACATTGTTTACCTGGAAATAATGTAATTACTATTATAGCTATGATTTATTTTTTAAAGTCTGGTCATATTTGTAAACTCATTTGTTTAACATTGAAATTTAAGAACCTGAACTAAATACTGTTGGATTTGGCAAGTGATTAAATCATTCCAATGATGCCTAATAATAGTCACTATAACAATTTATTTATTTACATGCAATTCTAACTATTTGAAAGTTAGACAAGTTACCACGTATTATCTAAATTTAAGAAATGCTAATGCATTTAACGCATTTAAATTACAATAACTTGGCATATGTTATGGGCTGAATTGTGCTCTCTCAAAATTCATATGGTGAAGTCCTAGAACCCAGTATCTCAGAAGATAACCATGTGGTGATGGGGCCTTCAAAGAATGATTAAGTTAAACTTAGGCTGTTAAGGTGAACCCTGTTTGAATCTGACTGGTATCCTTATAAAAAGAGGAAGTTGGGCCTACAAAGGGGTGCCTGGAAGGCATGTATACAGAAGAAAGACCAGTGAGGATATAGCAAAAAAGCTGCCATCTGCAAGCCATAGAGAGAGACCTTAGGAGAGACCAACCCTGTGAAGACTGACACCTTCATCTTGAACTTCCAGCCCTCAGAACTGTGAGAAAATGAATTTCTGTTGTTCAAGCTACTCAGTCTGTGGTATTTTGTTATGGTAGTCCAAGAAAATTAACACAGCATGATACTCATTTTCCTTCTCAATGATGCCTGTCATCTAGGTTCTTTATCATCTATCAAGCTTTCACTTTTTGGCATTTAAGTAGCTATTACCATGAAGTAATCAATAGACATAAGTAGATCATGCCTAAGCAAGTAGACATACAATATTAAAAATTCTGTCATGTGGAGTTGAAAAAAATGTATAATTGGTTCAGAGATATATGGGGAAAAGAAGTATTCTATAAATTATGTTAAAATATATACATTCATTTAAAATTATCCATTGAGGCTGATTTGAAGTATTCGTTCTTACAGTTATGTAGGAGACTCTTTTTTCTTTTCTTTTCAAGTTTAAACATTCAAAACATTCAAGGACAAATCTCTTTGTAAACTACCTAAAAGTCATTGTCAAATCTTTATAAACTTTGAGTGGGAGAATTTTGTAGGAAATTACTGGGCTGACTTCGTTTGATGTATAGTAATACATTTAAACTGCATTTAAGTAGAGATGAGAGGAGTATCGAAGACTGCACCAATAAACATTAATTTCTTCTGAGAGTTTTGACATTTCTCTTGTACAACTTTTATGTTCACTTTTGTATTATGTCATTTAATGAGATTATGTTCTAGTTAAAGTTAAAAAAAAGTTATTTCAGAAGATAGAATTTAGCCCTCTAGGTGTATCAGGCTTTTGAATGTCATATGGCTTTTGAACTCCTTATCTATCTTTCATTTATTCTGAATAATTTTTAGAATAATTCATTTGGGGGAAAAAGGAAAATGTATTCATAATAGAGCTGTTTCTTCCAAACTTTGATTCTGTTGATTGCAGGAACATTAACTATTCTTTCTTAATTATATTTTTTACTTCCCTCCACCTGTTAAAGTGAACATTCATTGAGACCCTATTATTGCAAGATACTTCCTTGACATTTAGTGTTTCAAAGGTATCGGCGTGACCTCAAATATCTTTCACTTTGGCTTCGGAAATGAGATTTGTATAAACAAATAGATACTGGCCATGAGAAAGAGTAATTTATAGTTTAACTGTTTAATTATTTTGTTCACAAAATTTGACATTGAACAATGGGGCATAGTCCATTTAAAACTATTAACCCAGATTGCTTGTCTATTCAACAGACTCTATCCTTCCTACACACACACACACACACACACACACACACACACGGAATATATTATAGATGTTATAGTTGTGCCCTCTCACTGTCTCACACTCAAGATTTTCTCAATAAAGCCAGTGTTTTATGTGAAAAAATTAAACCATCACATTATTAGTGTAATATATGTGTTATGTAATTTTCATTTTCAATCAATTCATTTTAATACTATAATGATGTATCTAATTTTTTAGCTGAATTTTAATATAGAATTTATAAATGATCTTAGTTAGGATGACATGTGGTTAATGGCTTGCTGACTTGGAACAACCCATTTAATCTTCTTTTGCCTCAGTTTCTTTGTCAATATAAGAGTGCTAATACCTTGGTGAACATTGTTTGATTCATGGTTTGTGAAATTGCTTGATAAACAGTTAAGTGTTCTACAAGTATTTTTTTGTTATTTTTGTCACTGCAATTATGATTGTTATTTCAAAGTGTCTTTCATGGCATTTGCATATGCACCTGCCTATTATCACATTATGGAAAGAAAAGGTAAGAATGCAAATTAGCCTTTGCTGTTAGTCTTTCATTCATTCAATAGATATTTATCAAATGAATCTGTACCAGATATATCTGATATGTATCATAGTAAGAAAAAGAGGAACAGATTCTACCATGCTGGAGCTAAATAAACAATAAACAAAGGGGGAATCCTAATGTGAATCACAACAATCACGTACATGTAAAATTACACTAGTATTTTTGGTGATGTTTTCTAATATAACCTCACAAAGTCAAAAATTTTATTAGATATTTATTGTATTAAATATTTTTAAATGCTACATTTTATGTAAAACTATGTTACTTTTGAATTCACTACCTTTGGCTTCACTTACATTAGATTCTGGTCGGTTTTTACTTTTTGTTTGTTTTTGGCAGATATCATAGTTTCATAGGTGGTTTCTCCTAAATTCATTTTGTAATGAGTGAGCTCTTTCTTAATTTTATTCTCAAATTCCATGTCTCAACAATCATTTCAGAACTTATCTCAATGGTACACATAAGTTATTCTATCAGAATTATGAAAAGCCTTCATCAGAAAACTCTTCAGAATATTGACAAGATTTGGGAATGCTTGAAAATTATTCAAAGCCTAATTTGATATGTGAAGATTTTTGTCAAACTGGGTAATTGAAAATGTGTCCAAGAGAAATAGCATGTAGAATAATTTTAAAGCAAATTAAAACATTGTCTGAATTGGGACTAATTGGCTTTCAAAATGGAATGTATTGAGGGCTGAGATGGTAATACTAAATGCTCGAAGGTAGGCCTCATCTCTAAAGCAATTTTTTAGTGCACACAAAAAAAATATCATTTTTTTTCCTGTGACTTATAGTTCAGAAATTCACTGCTTAAGGCAATCCATCATCAGCCATGAAAATATAAGATTTTTAAGATGAGGCTGAGGCTCTTTAATATGTGAAAACATGCACTGAGTCTTGAGGATGGCTCCAGGACAAAACCAAGATGCTATAAAGAGAAGGGTAAGGAACAAACCACAAATGGTGTAAAATTATGGATCAGGAATCAAAGTAGAACTAGAATACTTTCCTCGATAGTTGATACTGGATAAAAGTTCAAGGACAGGAATGTTGTTCAATTCAGGCCCAGATTTATGGCATCTGCCACAACAAAAATTGTTCTAAATTGCATAAGGTGATATCTGTATGCTAAAAAAAAAAAAAAAAAGGTTATACAGAAACGTTGTCAGGTATGTAATATTTTGTAAGCCTAAATTTGAAGGAAGCTGTAAAGTCATTTGAAATACACTAAAGAATATTAATATATTGGGAGCACACAACCATGTACCCTTTGGTCTTAACATTTTCTGTGGCTTTTAAAATTTATATTTCATTGTTAGGTAGCTAGCTAGCTAGATATCAGGTAGGTATCTGACACATATTCTATATATCTGCTGTTATGTATTGCCAACTTTCTCCCTCCATTTGCACATTTTATTAGTAGCAGATAATTATATCTAATATAATGTTATATATATTTATAATATATAATAGTATATATGTTATAATATGTACTATATTCAATATTAGTATTAACTAACCTACATAATATATAGATTATATATTATAATATATTGTCATATTAAGTTTATATTAGGTCATATGTTATATGTATTATAATATGCTATATATATTCTATATAATTTAATAGTATGATATGGTATATGTAATTTATATATGTGGATAATCATATATAATGATACATGATATATAAGATTATTAATTCATAGTAAAATAAAATTAAGTGGCAAGGCAGAGAATTGATCCCCTTATCCCTAGTATTCTCCCTGTTGGATTGGGCTGCCAAAACAGACATCAATAAACCTGTTTTCAAATCTTGCTCATGGTGCTTGAAATCTCAGCCAGCTTTAGCACCAGAATTATTCCCATCCTTGTTTAAATCAAAGTAGATAATGGCTACTGGGTCGTGACAAATGGCAGGTAGAGTTGGCTCACAGAGCCAGATCCTGTAACACTGAGCTATCAGGATCACCCCAGCTGTTTCGTTAGCCCCATAATGATATGACTCTCTATCTTATAAGCTTGACATTTTTAGAATCTACTTACTGTGTTAGGATAGAGTTCTCACGTTCAGAAGCCATGAAGCCATAGGTAAAATTCAGCATCTCATTTAATAATAATAATGGTAATAAATTTTGTTCTGAGATTGATTTTTCATGCCAGTGTGTTTCAGGTGGGAGGAAAAGAAATAAACTAATAAGTTGAAGGCTTTGATTCTAGATAATAACTCGTTCATTTTTGTGTTAATGGCAGTGTATATGTTTTTCTCATATACCTTGTTTTTCTTTCTGGGAAATAAAAGCATTTAACATTGTCACCATGCCTATTTATGTACTTATACCTGGATTTTCCTTCTGTCTACCATCTTCCTTATGTTTACAACATCAAGTTGCTGACATCAGATACCTTTAACAAGTGGAAATTGAACTATTAAAATGACAACATTAACTCTAATAAGCATCTCTAGCTGGTATGTAATAAATATACAAATCATAAAAGTCATACCTTTGGTAGAAAGTAGAGAGAAAGGCAAACATTTTTATTTATTATATTTTAAGTTCTGGGATACGTGTGCAGAACGTGCAGGTTTGTTACATAGGTATACACATGCCATGGTGGTTTGCTGCACCCATCACCCCGTCATCTGTATTAGGTATTTCTTCTAATGCTATCCCTCCCCTAGCCCCCCACCCCCTGACAGGCCCCGGTGTGTGATGTTCCCCTCCCTGTGTCCATGTGTTCTCATTGTTCAACTCCCACTTACGAGTGAGAACGTGTGGTGTTTGGTTTTCTGTTCCTGTGTTAGTTTGCTGAGAAAGATGGTTTCCAGCTTCATCCATGTCCCTGCAAAGGACATGAGCGCATCCTTTTTTTATGGCTGCATAGTCTTCCATGTTGTATATGTGCCACATTTTCTTTATCCAGTCTATCGCTGATGGGCATTTGGGTTGGTTCCAAGTCTTTGCTATTGTGAATAGTGCTGCAATAAACATACGTGTGCATATGTCTTTATAGCAGCATGATTTATAATCCTTTGGGTATATACCCAGTAATGGGATTGCTGGTCAAATGGTATTTCTGGTTCTAGATCCTTGAGGAATCCCTACACTGTCTTCCACAATGGTTGAACTAATTTACACTCCCACCAACAGTGTAAAAGCATTCCTATTTCTCCACATCCTCTCCAGCACCTGTTGTTTCCTGACTTTTTATTGATCACCATTCTAATTAGCATGAGATGTTATCTCATTGTGGTTTTGATTTGCATTTCTCTAACGACCAGTGATGACGAGCTCTTTTTCATGTTTGTTGGCTGCACAAATGTTTTCTTTTGAGAAATGTTTGTTCATATCCTTTGCCTACTTTTTGATGGGGTTGTTTGTTTGTTTCTTGTAAATTTGTTTAAGTTCCTCGTAGATTCTGGATATTAGGGCTAATATCCAGGATACAAGCATTTTAACAGAAACTTTTCTCATCCTATTCTACAAAAGCTGCAGATTCCCAAACAGGTTATATGAGTTCTAAAACTGTGATAATCAATTCTCCCTAGGGGAGGAGTCATTGAAATAAGTGATTCTGAAATGCAAAAAGTAGATGCTGGCCTGGAGAGCTCTGCATGCCCTCAGTCATGGGAGGAAACCTGTTGATCAGGAAGTTAAGACACTATAGTACATTTTAAAATGATGACTGAACGAAGATGACCACCTAGTAATAGTCTTTATTTTCTTGGAAGACCACTTGAACTCCTCTTTAAAGCTTGTAAGAAGTCCAGAGACACATTTTGCAAGGATTATGTTAAGACATTGGCCAAGTTTGTTATATTCTTTATTCTCTTAATCTTTGTGAATTAGCTCTTTGACTACTTTGAATAAGTGGAAATGTTTTTTCCAAATTTTGAATATTTCTTCTCTAAGATACTGAAAGCAATTCATCAGAATAAGGCCTAGGAAATTATGCATTCCTTAAATAGGTTTTTAGATTAAGCTATGTGATAGGCCCAGAAGTAAATAAAGATAGTGAAATTCTATTTGCAGTGTCAATGTTTCAATATTTTATGAAATTAGCAAAGCTTTATTGTATTTTCTGCCTGGGTACTCAATTGAATAAAAGGCATAATAAATAAGAATTCAAAGGCAGAATTTTGTTGAGGGGGAAAATAAATTAGAAACCGTATTGCAGTCATGCTCATATATATTTTATGAATTTCATGCATTCTGTATATGAAAGTTTGTGAAGATATGCTTGTGTTTTAAAATATAGATTAATACTGAAAGTTTTAATATTTTTCTGTTTACATACTTACTGCTTTGCACACATAAGTATAAAAATTCTGCCAAAAGCAGTTGTCAGGGTATCCCTGACCCCTGCCCCCCGCCCCCCACCCCCCTGCATTATGATAACTGAATAGTGAAGAAAATTGAAGAATATTTTCTAGGTTAGAGAAACAATATTGCATTCTCTAACTCTGGGGCTTTCCTTATTTTCAGGCAAATTTATCACACACGCTCTTCTTCCATCTCTTCATCTACATTTGGAAGAATGGATAGAAATTAGTTTTGACAGGCTTGAGATTTTAGGTACACTGATGAATAAGGGAAATGGAACAGAGTCCCTTTTCCATGTTGCTGAAATTATAGGGATCCTGTCACTGCCTGGCAGTAAACATGGTATGATTACTTCTGAATCTGAAACGGGTGCCCCATGGTGCCCAGATGTCCAAGGATGGATTTGGCATGCTCGGCAAAGATCCGTAAGTCAGCTCAGCATTGGCTGGATGTACAAAACGGGTTGGCGATTAAACTTTCATAGTTTGTGAAATTTCACAGCGAAAGAAAATGTGGTTTCCTGAGTTTGGGCTGATCTCCACAAACTTGAATAAGTCACATGAGGCCAGATCTGTAAGCACAGTGATACATCATAGGCTCCAGCTGCCAATGCCAGTGCTCATAGTTTTAAGGATGCTCAAATATCACTGTCTAGGTTAGCTGCCTAGTTGTCTATGGGCAAGTTTGTTCCTGTATCTTCTAAGAGATATATGTAATGCGGATTTAACTCTTTTGTGATTATTCAACTCTCTTCTCTCTTGGCACTTTCAGTCATCTTTTTCTTACCTAAATGAGAGCCCCTTTTGCAAAATTTTCCTTTTGACATGGTCATCCTTCCATCCAGAATTGTTTCTCAACACTCCCCCTGGAGGAATTGTATACTGATGGATATTACCTCAAGCAAAAGCTAAATAACAGTACTGGACAGGTAAACCCACTGCCAAAGCAAGCATACTGACAATCAGATGGTGCCTTGCAAAGCTTTGCATAAATGCCTTTTCATATGCCCATTATTTTTTACACTCTTCCGTACTTTCTTCCTATGTTGGCATAGTTTTTACAGATTTGACTGTATCTGCAAGGAACTTATGGAAAATCTAAAGCCATTAATAGAGATTGGTAGACATATGTCATTATTATTACCAACACATAGTGAACACTTACTGTGTACCTGTTACTTTAATCTTACCTCATTTAATTATGATGTAATTCCTGTGATGTATTGACAGGAATCATTATTTACATATTTAGGTGAAGTAGCCAATGCAAACTTAGAGGTGAAATAACTCACCTAGAGACACCCAACTTAGAATGGCAGGCTAGAATTCAAACCCAGGTCTATCTGCTTGTAAATTAGTGCCTTTAGCAGTATTCATAGCAGTAGAACCTTGATCAAATATATTGATGGTGATACATTTCTAGTCATTTAAAAATTTCCTCAGTTTGTGCTAGCTCTATGGAAACCAAAAACATCTCAGATGCTAAAACATCTGTTCAGCTCAATTATGCTCATTTCAGTTCAATTAGCATTTATTGACTACTTACTATGAGCCAAGTACTGTTCTAAGAAGTGGGGATTCAGAAATACATAAGATACATCATTTTCTTTGGCCAAGGAGGTGATATAATGGGTTAAAGACTTAAGACATTATGCAACCCTGAATTTACTGAGCAGCTGTTTCCCTCCATTTGTTATGTCTCAGGAAAAAATGCATGTGTACAAATAACCTAATAAGTGCAGTTTAACTGCCTAGAAAAATTAGAAAATTATTCTTTTAATCAGTAGGCCAGATAGAATAAGATAAATTATCAGAAATATCTAATGTTCTTAAATTGCTTCCAAATAAACTATGCCTTGCAGGCAATAATTGTCAATATAATTATTAATGATATAATTACAATTTGACCTCTTAAGTAGACATCCAATAAAATAATCCTTATTTCATGGACATGTTTCTTTTTTATTTTAATGCAGAGGAAAAAGGAGTACATGTATTTCAAATGTCTGTATTCTTCATCTTTTTTTACTCTGAGCACACAACTTGACTTAAATGTCACTATTATTGTTCTGAAGTGTTGAGGAGAATTTGACAATGATATAAAGTGATGTTTGGATTTTTGAAACATTTGCTTAAGTTCACTCCTTGTGTTTTGAAATATCTCAGCATATATTTTATTTATATTTAAATATATCTTAAGTGAAAGTGTGATTTCTTTCTGAATTATTAGAGATTGGCTAGAAACATGGCAGTGCCAAATTGAGTGTTGTAATAACTGGTAGGTGAGTTTGGGGAAGATAGACAAAGTACGGTTTGTTCTTCTTTAGAATTCATTCAGTTGCATAAAGGCATTAATATCAGTCTTAAGACAATACTAGAAAAGTATACTACATTAAAGGAAATTACAGTAGAAATCTATACATTCATGATATATGCATATCATTAATTTAGGTGTTATTATTTACATAAATTTCCAACTGATGTCAGCTTGGCTTGAGTAAGAACTTTGGGATTATGCCTTCAGTATTTATTCTCTCCCCATTCTGTTTTTCTGATTGTTATCTTTCCAATATTCATGTGAAGATCTTATTTTTTACAGCTGGTTGGTTTTACTAAAGACTGAACTAAACTTTTAACGGCTCTCTGTTTTCTGTTTGGAGCACAAAACTTCTGATGAGTGAGAAACCTATTCTAAGTATTAGCTTCTATGCTGCCTTGTCTGTGGTATTGTCATACTTTTTTTTCAACTGAGTTTGTGAAAAAAAAAATAGAAAATTGAGATACATTAATTATTTTAAGGTCTTAATTAGTTTGCAAGATTTTGATGAGAAAAATATACAGCATGATTCTCCCCTAGTTCACCACTGCAAACTTTCAATGTAGTTATGTGGTTTGTTGTTTCATTATACTTCTTCAATATAGGACAAAACTAGTCATTAGACCCCTGCCATGTTCTGCAAAATTGAATAGGAACAGTTTAATAGCCAGGGAATCAGGCATGGGAAAAGACATCAAGAATGCCTTTTAAAGGGAAACACTGTGGTTATCCTCTGAGAATTACACAGTCAGTGATGTTTGCCTGCCTTAAACTGTTCTGTTTCTGTAGATTTGTTTTCCCAAGTACAAGAATTCTTAGATGTTGATGAGCTCTACAAATTTTTCATAAATTCCAAAATGTAGAGGATCCAAAGACAAGAACTGGCAATATCATGGTTGCTATAATAGCAGGCATATAATTCAGACAAAAACAGAAGAGGTTACCAACCAACTCAAGAAAAAGGCAAGCTCATCTTGCTTTTTGCATACTTTATTCAAAGTCAAGCTTCCTAGAGGCCTGAGCTGAAAAATGTGTTAGAGTGAAAATGGTTTGCCATGGTCTGTAACTTTCAATATGTTACTGTCACAATTATATCATAAAAACTAGTAGGAGCAAATACTGTAAAAGCAAAAGATTGCTTATGCATTAAGTAGACTAAACATCTTTCCCTTTACTTCTCATTTACTTCTTCATCCAAAATTTATTGAGACCTACTATGTGGCTGACATTGTGCCGGATGTTTGCACAATGTTATAAACAGCAGTCTCACCTTCATCATGGTGCATTATACTAAATGGATACTAAATAATATTTCAGCCACAAGGTAATTTTCATTGCATCATACAGGTTGACAGGATGTTATAGTGCTAGACTCTCAGTTGTTACTTCAGTAAACATTCACTATGGAAAAATTGTGCTATAGAACTGTAGGTGAAAACTAGTGTTGGTGTTGTATACTAGGACACACTGGTTGGAGAATTCACTCTATCCAAAATTATAAAATTATATGTTCTAATACAGAAGTTTCAACTCTCTTTTTTTGTGTGTGTGCATAGAGCAATGTATTTTCTGTTCCTTCCTGAAAATTTGTATTTTTAAATACAAACTGAATACAGCACCACAATCTATACAGGAAAAAGTTAATAAGATGACTTCAGCAAAATTAAAACTTTCTCTGCAGAAGACACTGTTTAGAAAATGGAAAAAAAAAAGACTCTAAAAGGACATTTTCAAATCACATGTGTGACAAATAATTTCTTTCTAGAATGTATAAGGAACTTACAAAACTCAACAATAAAAAAAAATCCCAATTAAAATAATAAGCCAAAGATTTGAAAAGACTCTTCACCAAAGATATACGGATGGCAAATAAGCACATGAAAAGATGCATCATTAGTCAATAGGAAAATGCAAATTAAAAATACAGTTTAATAACACTACCCACCTATAAGAATGACAACAATTCAATAAAGAACAGAAAGAAACTGGTTATACCAAGTGCTATTAAGGGTGTAGAACAGTTAGAGCAATGTAGAACTCTCAAACATTGCTCATGGGAAGGCAAAAGAGTGCAGACACTTTGGAGAACAGTTTGGCAGTGTCTTATAACATCTACACTTGCCATATGATTCAGCAATTTCACCCTTAATTATTTACCCAAGAGAAATGAAAACTTGTAGTAATCTTGCATAGCAGCTTTATGCACAATCGCCAAAACCTGGAAACAACCCAAAAGTCTTTAAGCAGGAGAATGAATAAACAAAACCTTCTACATCCATACAATGCAATGCTATTCAGCAACAAAAAAGAATGACTAATTCATAGAGACAGTAACATGAATGAACCTAAATTGCACTTTGCTGTGTGAAAGAAGTAAGACCTCAAATGATACAGACTGCATCATTTTTTATATATATGACATTCTGGGGGAGGAGGGAAGCAAAACTATAGGGACAGGTGCCTTCTCAGTCGTTCCGAAAAGTTAGAACTGGCTCACGCCTGTAATCCCAGCACTTTGGGAGTCCGAGGCGGGCGGATCACGAGGTCAGGAGATCAAGACCACGGTGAAACCCCGTCTCTCTTAAAAATACAAAAATTAGGCAGGAGTGGTGGCGGGCACCTGTAGTCCCAGCTATTCGGGAGGCTGAGGCAGGAGAATGGCTTGAACCCGGGAGGCGGAGCTTGCAGTGAGCCGAGATTGCGCCACTGCACTCCAGCCTGGGTGACAGAGCAAGGCTCCGTCTCAAAAAAAACAAAAACAAAAACAAAAACAAAAAGTTAGAACTGATGGGGAGGGATTGACTACAGGGGGACCCCTCAAGGGAAGTTTTTAGTGGTGATAGAACTGTCCTGCCTCGTCATTTTGGTGATGGATACAAGACTGTGCATTTGCCAGAACCCATAGAACTATACAACTACAAAGAGTGAATTTTATTGAATGTACATTAAAAAGCTATGTGTGATGATAAATAATGGAAAAAAAGAAAATAGGCAACTTTTTCTACTAAGAACCTTAATGAAGTTTATGTTTTTTGACTTTGTTTTTCCATTTCAAGAAATCTATTCTTAGGAAAGTAATCAACGTGTTATGGTCAAGAATATTTTTGGGGTGTTATTTATCACAGAGAAATTGAAAACATCTTAATTGTGCAATTATAGTGAGGTAGTTAAATAAATTACCATACTTTTCCCATGTACAGACATTAAAGTTATGTTTCTGAAGGTTAATTACAGAGATAAATGATTATTCTTTAGTGATGTGTTACCAATTTACTCTATTGACTTACCCAATCTAACTTAAAAGTTTTGATTTTTCAACTATTTAAGAAACTTCTAGATAATTTGAAGTACTTTGTAAAGGTATACCTCATGTTGAAGCTGGTCCAGATTCTTTTCTGCAGAGCTAGCTAGGCAGCTAAATGAAATGAGTAATATTATTTCTGACTTCATAATCCTTTCAGTTCCTCTTATACTTTTCTAGCTAAGACAAAATTAGGATGAGTAAGAGACATAGTATCTTTAACTCAAATCATTTTTCTATTTGGAATGTCCTTTATCTCCATTTTTACCAATAATAAGAAAACCACATTATGTATAAATAGTGTTTGTAATTTTCTAAATATTATTTTCTATTACCCACTTTGATCCATCATCAAACCCAATAATATAATCAGAAATGTTAGTACTGCCCTTTCCTCACTTATGGCAGGTATCTTAGGCCTAATAAGCTTAATAATTTTCCAGCGTCACATTTTGGTAAATGTCAAAAGCAGAACTGAAATCCAGACGTCCCAACTACTCATCAACTATTCTGTCCATTATAATGCACTGTTTATTTGCTCCAATATTTTCCTTTTGAAGAAACATTTCCTACATTACAGAGGTCACATATTCATTTTATTATTTTATTCTGGATTCATGTTTTGAAAATTATACAGAGTTTTTCTGCAAAACTCTCATGAGAAACAAGGTTTCCATATTAAGTAGATGTCATCAGATCATATTTTGAGATGTTGCAGTCTGCTTTTTTCCTGTATACCTTCGTGGGCAAGAAACCCTCCCCCTGTTGATTTCTGAGGCATGCACTGGAAAAATTTGGATAATTATACCTCAAATACAAACATACAGAAAAGAGTTAGTGCCACAAAATGGAGCTCACATCAGAGACAATAATTCTGAAAGTCGGTAATTCATGTGCAAGAGCCAGGCGTATAGAAGAGTGCTTTGTAAATACCACATAGCTCCCTTCAAATATCAAAAAGGAAGGCCAAAGGACTGGAGTGTAGAGTGTTAGCATAAGCCTGGATCCCACATTGCTGGCTTCCTGGGTCAGAAAGGAGGAGCCTGGGGAGGATGTGGAGAAGATAGTAGATAGTGAGAGTCCCTGGCCTCTCTCATTCTGTGGATGAAATACTGGGCTGAAGAAATGACAACTATGGAAATTTCAGATAGGTTAAAAGGAAACTGAAAGCAGAGAAAATGGTTCCCTGTGTTTAGGCACAGAGTGGGCCTGAGCTAGCTGCTACCCACCCTCCAAACCAGGTCTTCCCAGGCCTGTTTTATCATGTGGGGATAGTCCTGAAATTCCTGAGTGTCCCTGTATGGGCTGTGGAAATGTTGACTGCTCCAGGAAACTAGAACTGGCTTGAAGTCAGGTGTAGGTGGCTGTGAAGTATGTGGACCAGAAGATAGGAAAACTGTGTCATGGACCCTAGAAATTCGCAGTGGCTGCAGGTGCGCTTTCAAGACTAGGTAATAATACACGAAGACCAATTTGATGGCAATAGCTCAGTTGGAGAACCAGCAAAATTCACACAACATGTCCAACATTGTTACGTACATGTTTCTCTGACCCTTGGCTGCTGCCCAGAGAAAATGAGAAAAGAGACAGAGGAGAAACATTGAAAACCTGAGATTGAGTTAAAAATGAAATATCGAGTTTTACCATCCAGTGCTAAGTTACTTTAAATGGATACCTTCTTACCCTGTTCTCACCCACCCTGACTACCAAGCTGAAAGGCTTATCAACAAGTTGGCGTTATTTTTAGGAACAAAAAAAGCCAACATTTTTTCCCTGCATTTTAGTTATAGTAATTTTCAAACTCTTTACACAAATATAAAATAGTGATTGCTTCCTCCTGGAATGTGTGACTGGACCCCCTCAATGTAACATTTCAGCACTGATGTGGTTTGAATTTGTGACTCTACCCAAATCTCATGTTGAATTGTAATCTCGAATATTGGGAGGAGGGGCCTGATGGGAGGTGACTGGAACATGGAGGCGGATATTCCCCTTGCTCTTCTCTTGACTGTGAGTTCTCATGTGATGTGGTTGTTTAAAAGTGTGCAGTATCCTCCCACCCCCGCTTCCTCCTAACTCAGCCCTGTAAGGTGTGACTGCTCCCCCTTCTGCCAATGATGTAAGTTTCCTGAGGCCTTTCCAGCCGTGCTTCCTGTACAGCCTGTGGAACCATGAGCCAATTTAACCTCTTTTCTTTATAAATTACCCAGGTAGTTCTTTATAACAGTGTGAGAATGAACTAACACAACCACTAAGACATTTGGTTAGATTTTTGCTCGATTTGTTGTTTTTGAGCAACTGCAGTTTGCTCCTAAATCATAGAGTCTGTTTCTGCTCTTTCACATCTCTTCTCACCTTGAGTAACACATAGTACAGAATTCGTTTACTAAAGGTGTGATCATACTTACATTTCACTGACTTTCCAGTGGATTGAGCCTTCTGTAGCCAGGTACATAAATTGTCCTGAGAGAGAATAGAACGCTTGAGTATCTGTAGAGCATCATGATTAAGAAACATACTCTGACTAGGTTGTCCATGTCCAAATTCAAGCTCCACGATTTACTTGTGTTTGTTCCTACACAGAATGTTTAACTTACCCAAGACACAGTGCCTTTATTAATAAAGATAGTTCCCACATAGGACTACTGTGAAATTTAAATGAATTAATATAGGTGATTTACTTGGGGCAGAAACTGACATCTATTAAGTACTATGCATGTGTTTACTGATATTAATGCTTTGAGGGTTAAATAAGCTAATACTTGTAGGACATAACAGTATGTTTCTGAGTACATCCTAGGTGATCAAATTGTTAGCTACTATTATTATTATCATTATTATTATTTTGAGATGGAGTCTCGCTCTGTCGCCCAGGCTGGAGTGCAGTGGCGCGATCTCGGCTCACTGCAAGCTCCGCCTCCCGGGTTCACGCCATTCTCCTGCTTAGCTACTCTTATTATATTATTGTATGTTGAAGAACTTTGTATACCCAGTTAGGCTTCTGAAACAAACAGCTCACTTGCCACATGGATGCAATTTTAGCTAATTCCTGGCCTTTGTAATCATGTTTATTTGGAAATATTTTTTTCTTATTCTTCATTTATTATTGCTATTATTTCTTATCTAAAGTATTTTCTTTTTAATGTCTCTTTTGGGTTTTCCTCCCATGTTCATTTTAGCCTTTGCTCTATGTTCTCTTTCTTTACTTCTATCAGTTCTTAGAACTTCAATGTTTTTCACTTTGTGAGCATCTTTACATCATTATTATATTTTTTGCCTGTGTTTGTGTAATTTAGCTCATCATACATTGTACAGTTTTTGCTGAATCTCCCTACTTGAGTCTTTACTTATGTGGCCTTGTATTCTATCACTTCCTCCCATCTCTTCGTTCTGAACTGTCTTTCATCTACTCATCTTTTCTATGTTGGAAAAGCATTGTTCAATTCCACCCCATGCCATGATGCAGTTCCAAAATAATCAAGGTGCCCACTCTTCTGGGCTTGCTCCCCCAGTGCTAGATTTACTGATGAGCTGACAATGAATTGTGTAGAGTCCCTTATTTATGGTTTGGTATTATCTAAAAGTAATGTAAAGAGAAAGATATATGTGAGATATGAACCAGAAAGCAACACAACCCCAATGGATAAGAACTGAGCTTATTACATATTGCAGATCTGCTTTCCAAACCCAGCTCAGACACTGGCTGTGTAAGGAAAAAACTTTGAGAAAGTTTTTTAACTTCTTCATGCCTCAGGTGTAACAATAGTGCCAAACTAATGATATTAATATGAATATTCAGTGAAATACTGCATGTGATGTGGTTAGCTAGAGTTTAGTCCACTCTAAGCTTTCCCAAATATCAGATGCTATTGTTATTTTACTGCAGTTGTTGATGTTGTTTTTGTTATTATAATATTTGACATTGAGTTTCTTTATGTATTTCCTATATGTGTAAGCTAAATAGACAAATATGCTTCCAATTCTGAAATTAGCAAGCAGAGACATTAATTGTGTTGTTAGCAATATTAGGATGTTGTTCATAGCTTCTGTTTTGCCCTTAGCTTTTGTTCCATATTTTATTGGTTCTGAATATAAACATTTCCTTAGCTGGTTAGGGTCTCAATCCAGAAGTGGCCAGGTGCTACTTGCTTTTGAGGACATAATATTTAGATTTTAAAAATGGAATTAAAAGCATATGAGTTCCACTAAATTTGCTACTTACTCTGTTGATATCTTACTCAGCTGTGGGCAAGCATTTAATCAAGGTTTATTGGCATTCTTTTCTTAGATTTAAGTAGGACATAAAATTTTATGACATGTAGAGTATTTTCGATAACTGTTTCATTGTTTTCCATAGTGTAATAGCATACAAGAGGAAATATCAATAAAGTACCCAGTATGCATTATTTTTGGACGAGTAAGGTAGTTTGAAGTTTGTATCATAGCAAAATGTTGGTCTACTTTTCAAATTACACTGTGGATTCATGGTTGTCTAGGTTTTTTTTATTTTCTTTTTCTTTGTACTTTGTTCATATCTTTATTTTTTTCTTTCTCTCTTTAGACACCTGTACTCTAGGGTCAGAAAATAAGAATTATAGACTATGCTGTTTGTTTATTTTTATAAAATATAACTGCTATTTATATTTTATTTTTAATTGGTATATACATTTGAACTGAAAAAAAGAAACATTCTTAAATGATCTTGAGTATATTCATATGTTAAGAATCTTTGTCGTGTCCAAGTGCTTTTGATTCTGCTGGAAATGGGCAGGTATTAGAAGAGTAGTGTGAACTGTAGCCAGAGCCTATTCATCTGGCTATCTATGCCACAGCCCCTAGAATCACCAGTGAGCAAAATTGAGTGATAAATGTGACTCCAGAATTCCACTCCTAGATGTATATCCCAAATAAGTAGAAACAGGTATTCAAACAAGTATATGCACATGCATATTCATAGCAGTAGTATTCATAATAACCAAAATATGGGAACAGCCCAAATGTCTATCGACAGATGAATAAACACATTTCAGTATATACATACAATGGAATATTGTTCATTCATAAAATGGAATGAAGTTCTGAAACATGCTGTAAGGTGAATGTGCCTCCAAAATACTATGCTTAAAGAAGCCAGATGCAAAAGATCACAAATATATATAAAATATTCAGAATAAATAAATTCATAGAGACAGAAAGAATGTAAATTAGCAGTTTCCAGAGGCTGTGGGGAAGAGGTAACAGAAACTGCTCAATGCGTATGGGGCTTTACTTTGGAGTGATTAAAATATTTTGTAACCATTGTGAATGTGCTAAATGCCACTGAAATGTTTACTTCAAAACAGTTAATTTTATGTTATGTGAATTTCATCACATTAAATTATTTTTCAAAATCCCAAGTGACACGGTCAAAGCAGAACGATTTTCCATTTTTCCAGAATCATAACTGGTTTAAATAAGTCTATTCCACAAGGAGAGAACAGGGAGTTTGCTCTTATTGATCCCAGGGAGCCTGGTGAGTGCTGGGAATAATTTTACAGAGCCTTTTTGAAAGATGAATTCAATTTCCCTCTTAAATATATTCCATTTTATTATGACATTAGATTATCCGAGCTTGTGAAAATCACTTTTAATGGCTAAGCTTCTGAACTATGTAGGGCTTTATTTTCCATGCTTGCCTGAGATTTCCATGGTCTCATTGATCCATCCAAGAAAATAAAAACAGGAAAGCATAAATGTTCCTCTTCTGAGATGGGTTCTGTCTGCACAATGGGAAGATAATTATACCAATGTATATGGGCAGATGAGGTTATTTAGGCTCAAGTGCTTTATTTTTGGCTCTTAGATGGTTTAGATTAGCCAACCATGTCAATAAAAGGATCTGTGTAATTATAAGTTTTTAAATATTTTATGTAAACCAATCTATGAAACTGTTAATTGTCATTTGTACAAATATGAATAGTAAAGCAAGTGCTTTTCATGGCTGTGACATAAATATCTAGATTTCAGATGAAGACCATTTTTTGTGGTATATGTCTTTGCAAAGACATTTTTTAAGGTTCCCCTATATTGAGAGCTCACCATGTGTTAGACACCTAGATATGTATGTTGAATAAATGAATCCTAATCCTTAGAATAGCTCTAAAAGGTAAACATCATTATTTGATTCCTACAAATGAAATAATTGACGTTCAAAAATGTTAAGTGATGTCCTTAAGTGACTAAATGTTGGTAGCTACAACTCACCTTAATACACTTAATTGAGTCTGGCTAGACACATTGCAGCTGAAACCTCACTGTGCAGCTGTTTTTTTTTTTTTCAAGATTTCTTTTAAAATAACTCCCACAGGAATTACAGGATGCTTATGACTATTAGTTTTGCTTCCCTAAAGTTCTGATCTATTTGTTCCCTTTTCTGAATTAGCCTGTATAGCCAAACTACCAAAAGGTTGGTGTTGGTGGGAGTATTGACATTAAAGTTCACTGAGGAAATAGGTATATCAGCTTATAAAAAAGCTGAGATTTTAAAAAGTATTTGAGCACCTGAAGTGAATACTGACAACAATGAATGTAATGACAGGGAGGATGGTAAATTTGGGTCATGGGAAACCTGAGTAACTGGGAATTTAAGGAAGGCAGAGATACAATAAAACTTATGTTTCAGTCTAGATCATTTGGAATTTGATGTCAAATAACTCCTCCAAGATAGTCTTTCTCTTCTCATCATGCACCTTCAGTATTAACTATCTTCCAGATACCTCGTATTTTCCTACCTAACCTTTGCTGATCCTTCCAACGCCTGAAATACCCTCCATCCTTGCCACAAGTTCTCAGCCCTTTTATTTCCATTATTGGAGGGAACCATGCCAATCCACTGAATCACTAAAATATTTTGTGTTTGAATCACGCAGTTGCAACTTGACATTTACTTTTGGCCTTCGTTTTACTTTTATGTGTTAATAGCTCATCTTCATCATTAATCATGAGCTCTAGAAAGATAAGTAACAGTGAGCCCATCTATTTTTATCCCATCATATGCCTTGGACATAGTATTTACTCATCAAATAGTAGTTAACAATTTCATAGTTCTTTAATGTAGAGTTTTCTCAAAGCATACTCATAAAAGTACCATTTCTGAAAGAAAGATAGAGATGCTCTTCCAAAAGTGTGGCCCTCGATCAAATACAGGTGAAGAGCACTACATCTCATTTACCTTCTAGGAAACTTACAATGTATATTGGCATTTTCAACACTGAGAAATTTTTCAGTAATGAAACCAATGTTACTATTTTTAACCCAACCCTCACCACCTTTCCCCTTACTTTTATTCATAAAACCCCTACAAATATCTTGTTCCTCAAAAGGTTTATTGCAAGACATAGCTTTAAAGTATTTTGTGCACAGATTATGTTAATAATATTCACAAGTGTGGAAATTAAATTTTGATTAGATGTAGGTTGGGCCTTTTGTTTGGCCTGCCTGCTTCTATACTTGTGAAAGTGCTGTATTGGGTGTGTGTGTGTGTGTGTGTGTTACACACAGTGTGAACTCAACCTGGAAATAGATTGAGACTGAAGAGAGAATTATTGGAACTGGTTTTTCAGCTTGATTATCTGCTAGAACGTCTATTACTTCTCATAATATGCTTGAAAAGCTTTATTTGTACCTCAAGGGCAATGAGCCTGGCCTCATTTACAAATATGAACGCAGATATTAGCTGTGCACTATCTTCTCCTTCAGGCAGTCTTGCTGACTGTCAGCTTGTTTTATTGACTTCCTCAGAAAAAGAATATCCATCTCCTTGGAATTAGACACAGCACGGTTAATGGGAGAAGCAGAAGTTTCAGAGTCAGAGGGTTCGGATTTGCTCCCCAGCTCAGGCCCGTGTAAGCATGAGCAAACTTTCCTCTCTGAGCCTCTGCTCTGAGCCCTCATCTGTGAGATGAGATGGATCACACTTGTCATTCAGAGTTTCTTGTGAGGACTCAATAACATATGCAAAGCCTGAATGATATATGCAAAACACAGTGCCTGGCGCAAGGAGATGTTCAATAAATACTAGTCCCCTTCGCGTTTATTTTTTTGTTTCAGCCAGATCATGACAAGAGAATTTCAAAGCCATAAAGTCATACAAACAAAACCGCCTCTCTCCTATAGTTGCCATTTCATGTTTTATGTTGTTATTTCAAACAATAAATGACGTCACTATTCTTTGTGTCCTCTGTTTTTATGAGGAGACTGTGAATGAGGGGAATAGTAAGAGTTGAGTTATTATCTATAAAAGAGGAATATTTGAATTCTACTAATAGGAAATAAACAACCTGAGAGTTTTAATTAGCCATTGTAGTCATTTGAAATATTTTTCCATTACTTAGAAATTATCCCTTTAGTCCTAACATCTGTTAATTATAAAACTCCATTATTTTATAGTTTCTGAAAAATCATGTTCTATGATATGGTATCAAAGGATTGTAAATAGTATTTACAGAAAGGTACTGAGGCAATAGCAAAATTGAGGATCCTTGACATCTGGTGTGTTTGTGCCATATTTTTGAGTACAGTTATTTTTTGGTTTAGCAATGCATTAGATTATTCAAGGGGGAATATTAAATGTATTAGGGAGAACTTCAGACTGGCTGTCAACTTTATGTCAACACGTTATATAATTTTAGCCACAGGTCCATTTTCATTTTAGTTTCAGATAATTTACCACTATGAAAAAGGAGAACAAAACAGTCATTGTGTGATAATATTGCATAAGGTTGCATATTTGGAGGTGAATGTACCCAAAAGAAAACTAGAATTATAAAATTCCTTTTAATTTAGTAGATTAGAAGGGTCAACATAAATTGTGGTTTTCAGGTGAACGGACAGCTCTGACTTCCGTTTTGAAGAAAAGCATATACTTGTTATATATGGTTGTCCATAACACATCCACCAGGTCCATCTTTAGCCATCCGTGGCTAAATTGTTTCTGAAAGAAGCCAACTTTGTCTCTATGAAAGATTACAAATGGGAGTTTTGCTGTAGTGTCTACCTTTCTAAATGCCAAATTATCTCCTGGCAGTTTTTTCTGATGTAAATATTGTGAATGGCTGAAGAAACTATCATTTTTGGGGGGGTACTTTAAACTGAAGTAATAGATAAAGCAGTGAGGCTTGATTGTGCATTAATCACCAACTGTCTTGATCTTGTTGATTGTAGGAGAAGATGTATCAGGGAGTCTTTGCCCAGTTCCCCCTCCTCCTGAGAGGAAGTCTTGTGAAATTCCCTGCCGAATGGACTGTGTGCTGAGCGAGTGGACGGAGTGGTCATCCTGTTCCCAGTCCTGTTCAAATAAAAACTCAGATGGGAAACAGACCAGGTCAAGAACTATCCTGGCACTGGCTGGGGAAGGTGAGTAACAGAAAAGGTTTTCACTTTGGATTCATTAGCCCAATTATTATCATTTTTCCTCATTGGTGATAGAGAAGTTTATATGGAGGAAATAGTCACACATAGACGATATCTCTATTCCCTGAATCCAGATTAACAGTTTCATTTCCCTCCATGCTTTTTGCTTTGATTCTCTAGTTAAGCTATACTGGCTTAACCCATTTACATGAATTGCTTTACCACATACCTGTGTATGGGCCATGGCAATCAGATGGATGTTATTTTACAGAACCCTTCTTAGACAAGAAAGCAGAATTTGGTTGATACACACCCAAACCAAAGATAGCTTGTGCAGTTGGGAACATAATTAGACTATGTTTAGTAAAAAGAGCTTCAAATTAATAATCAGGAGACATGGCTTCTCAACTGGGAACTGCCACTAACATCTGCAAACTACCTGATCCGTGCATGCTGGTATCCTGTCATGCCAGCATTCTGCAGGAGGGGGGCACATCATGGAGGCTGTGAAAATGGCTTTGATGAAGCTAAAAAGTGCTATGAGAATATAAGTGGGTGACGTCAGAACAAATTAGAGGAGCAGCTGTTCCTGTAATTTATGGTGATGGTCTCTGTCTCCAGCACACGTCATTTCTTTCATGCCCTCCCTTGGCTTTTTCTGCCCATGGCTCAGTTAGAACAGCAGGACAGCATGGCCACTGGCTGTGAGGAGCTACTTTTTAAGTAAGTTTCTGTTCTTTGATCCTGCGAAATGGGGCCAGGGTCAAGATAAATGAAGATTTTCATATTCTTAAAGTGAAGATGGTTCCTTCTCTTTTCTTTTATATTTCTGGAAGGAGTGAATGGGAAAAAAATCAAGAATAACAAAACCAAGGTCACAGATCCTGGGCATTTGGGCCACTGAATAAACCATTAAAGTGTAGAAGAGTAGGCAAAGATCGATGCTTTAGATAAATACCACTTTTTATATGGATATAAAAATGTCAGAAAAGGACAATAATGAAATTGGATTGTCTGACTCATCCAAGAGTCTATGGATGCATATATGTCTGGTCTTCCTGCCAGGGGATAGCACATTGTCAGGTATTATTTCAGAGTTTAAGGAGGGGTTTTCTTCTCCAAACAAACTTCAACAGATATTTCTGGATTTCTCAAATTGCAGTGAAATGCACTGCTTGATAGAGGATAGGTGTCTTAAAATAGTTCTCTTAGAAAAATAATGCCTCTCTTAGGAAGACCGTGCTGCATAAGGGGTGTGTGTGTGTGTGTGCTCATTCAAACTAATATCACTTCGAGGTCATAGACTATTCTAACTGGCTAATACATGAATATAAGAAGCATAGAAATATTTTTTGAAAAGCAGGTTTCTTTGGAGTTTATCTCAGAGATACATGCTGCAGTGGTGGGCAACAGAGTCAATTAATTTTAAAATCTAATTGATGTGGACTGCTGCTTGTTATTTAGTGGAAAGGAGTGTACAATATTTTCCTCAGGTGTTGCTTGGGACAAAAATCCCTGTTCTTAGACTGAGAAGAACAGTGCAGTGGCTCAGGTCTTTGGAAGGCTGTGTCAGCAAAGCTGTCTCTCTAGACCATTAAAGCAGCAGAAACAACAAAAACAAGAACAGCAACCACTATGTATTACCTTTTGTTCTTATTTTTGGCAGGTGGAAAGCCATGTCCCCCTAGTCAGGCTCTCCAAGAGCATCGTTTGTGTAATGACCATTCCTGTATGCAGCTTCACTGGGAGACATCGCCTTGGGGCCCTTGTTCTGAGGACACATTGGTAACTGCCCTTAATGCAACCATTGGCTGGAATGGAGAAGCCACGTGTGGTGTAGGCATTCAGACTCGGAGAGTCTTCTGTGTCAAGAGTCACGTGGGACAAGTAATGACCAAAAGGTATTTATTAGGCTGTTACTGAAAATGCATTTGCTTATTTCATGTTGAGTATTTTTAGTTGAAAGCATTTATCAAGCAATAGATATTTCTGGGTCTCTGATAGAGTAAGAGGGTTTGTTGTTGCTGTTTGACCATTAAAGATTAAAACATGTGCCTCAAACAAAGATAAACGTGTTTATGATATATATCACTGGTGCATTTATAACATGTATTAATATATCAGTTCTTGGATAAAAATGAATAGTGTCCACAAACATTGAATGCTTTTGAATAATCAAATTTTCTAGAGCTGATCTCTGTATTTTTTACTCTTCTCAAATCACATAAAGACGAGGTCAACATAAAGCTAGGTTCTGTGCTTTGAAATATAGGGTTGTGTCTTACTCTTCTTTAGACTCCACAGATCTCTCCTGCATTAAATAGATACATCCATACAGCCATTCTAATTAGACTAATGAATCCATGCCCTCCAGAAGTTTACAATCTCATGCATGTTATACTCTATGTACATGGAGATATAAAACTTTTTAAAGAGAGTAGCAAAATATGGGCTTGGAAACTAGGATATAGATGTCAAAACGATCAAGAACAACTGCAAATGATTGGAGGAAAAAAAGTAATTGACTAAAGAACTGGCTGTGGGAGTTTTATCACTAGACCAAATGAGGAGATGTATGTTTTCCTAAAGTCCCTGTGGGAAGGCTGGTAAAGAAGAAAACAGAAGGGCCCTATGCATTATAGAGAGACTTGTGACTGTTCTATCTGGAAAGATTCCCAGTGGCCATATTTGGAGACCCCACTCCAGGCACAGGTGTGGGCCACTAGGATGAGCTGGTGCCAGCTTTGGTCTAGTGTCATAAGCTAGGCAACATACAGTGCCTCCCCAGGAATTTTCAAGCTGGGAGAATGAAACTCATTTATTTTCTGTTCATCATACTCTAAGCATATGAGCTGAGAGTTGCCACAGACAGGGTCAAGTCTGGTGGAAAAAGTAAAAGGAGAGATTGATTCTGATGCTCAGGAAGAAACAGATATGCAGTTGGAACAAATCCTGGCAGCACTGAACCGTGGTCCTGTCCCTACTGACTACACCCTGCCCTCCATGGCAAAATATGAAAATACATTTGATGTTCTGCCTAATTCAATTTAATTTGTGTTTCTCTCATGGGCAATGGAAACACTGAAAAATTTCATCTGGGGAACCACGGTGAAGGGCTCTGGGCCTGATCCACACTGTCATGGAAGCCACTTTGGCCATGTGTAAGGAAAGTCACCCAAGCTCCGTTATGGGAAATGAACTGCTTACGGCAGCAGATAGAGTGCAGACTGGCAGACACTGCCCAGAGCTTGTGTTAGAGCATTTGATGAGCTGGTGGTTTTGCAAATACACATGAAGATGTGTATTTGCAAGTCGTACTGTGACTTGAAGGGAAGCATAGCCTGGAACACTTGACCTTTCTCTTCTCCTAAATGTGGCTCCCAGAGTGCTGGGATTGGGTGTTCTTTCTTGTTCCAACCCTAGTCTAGCACAGCATCTGGCAGGTAGTTAGTATAAACATTTCTGGAATTTATGAATGAGCTAAACCTATATGTAGAGGAGTGATCGGTTTGCCAAGGATTGGATATGAAGATCAAGGGAAGTGTATGTTTATCTTTTGCTTCAAGAAAAACATATTTAATCTCCCATGATAAATTTTGTTAAAGGGGACTATCATGAAAATTAGTGAGCATATCATACATATGACCTGCTCTTTTTAGCTCATAAATACTGTTTTTGCTCTAGAACCTAACTCTACATTATTAGCAGTGTTCTTGGAAATGTCAACTTGTATCAGTTGTATTTTTCAACTTACCTGGTAGCCATAGCGGCACATGGATTGATTGGACCAATGAATCAATGGAAGTTATAGACAAATATGGACAATAACATTTAGTATCACCTGCTTCAGGTGATAACCTAAGTCATGAGGTTATGGTAAAATTCTGAAAGTTTTATAAAGGTGTTACGCAGACATGAGAACTCCTTTTATCTGAGAAGGATTGAAGCCTAGATAATGTTTATTTTTATGACCTGAATTTTCAACTGCTTAAGAAAAGATGCACGAAAGATTAGAATGAATATAAAAATAAAAATAAGTATGGATTAGATGTAGGAGTAACCCTACATAAAATGCAGCAAACTATTATTCTTTATAGTGATGAAAAATTTTAGCATGCCTGAAGCCTGATCTCCTTTCCACAAAGCTTTTCATCTTTGACCCACTATGACAGGAAAAATCCACTGGACCTGAATGTAGCTTGTTTATTTTTTAGCAAAGGGGCATTAGAATTGAGACTGATACCAATTCCATAAATTATCATCATATTTTAAAGGGCTATTCGGACAGAAAAAGTTGAGTTATATGTTCAAATCAGCATCTATTTCTTCTTGTATCGTCATTATTACTTTGAATCACAGTTTCATGAAGGTTTCTGAGCACATCAGCTTACTCAAATGTTAAAGAGGATTTGAGAAAAAAATCACAGGAACAGAAGTTTGTAGTTTAAAACATAATTCATAATAAGCTAATATGCATTTGTTTTAAAATGTACATAAGTGAGACTAAAATATTATTATTACAGTAAATCATCTCCAGTTTTGCTGTGGTTTACCAACACAGAAAAATCAATTGCACAGATGTTTTCCCTAACATACACACACAAATATAAAAGCATTGCTAATGACTTTCTGTACTGTTAATGAGGCTGGAGACTTAACAACCTAGTTTTAATTCTGACTGTATGTCTCCAAATAATCCTGTTAAACATGAGCAGCCTGCATTGACTTTAGTGAAATTAATTAAAATTCTTGAGGTTAATGAGATTAATTGAGCTAAGAAAATAATACCTAGTGTCCAGTGAAGCACCCAAGGAGATTATCAGCAATATAAAGTATCCTTTGCTATGCCTCCAGAAATATATTTTTGCTCTTTTTCACATGAAAGTCATTGCAGTGGGAAAAGATCCCCTGTCATATATGAAATCTTTGGGATGGGGATAGAGAAATGGAAAGGAAGAAGAAAATATCCTAGAGAAAGAGTGGCCTTCAGAAAACAGAGAAGGACGCATGTCTCCATGGAACGTGTGGTTCAAAATAATGTTATATCTCTAAACCCACTGCACTGAGAGGCATAGAGTTTCTCGCAAGTTCTTGTGTCCCTGGGTTGGTGTTTTGGTTTCCATGTAATTGTACAGGTGAGACTGTTACCATTGTACGAGTAATCGAACTGATCATATCAGAAAATGAGAGCTAGCTGGTAACAACTGAATCAGAGTGAGAGCTTGTTGGGATCTTCCTGAAGTTGTGTTCGGTTTTGTTTTACTATTCAATGCTTTTCTTTCCCCGGTGGCAGTGTACAAAAAATAATGATAATAAAGATTGAAAACACATAACTCAAAGCCTTTCAAAGTTCCTGATAAGGTACTTTCTGCTTTTAATGTGAAAACAACTGGCATTTTGTGAGATACAGCAATAAATAGCTCCATTTAAACATTTAACATTTAAAAGCTTGGCAGGTTTCCCCATCTAGCTGAGTGAGATGAATACATCAGTTCCTGGGTCAGATGACTAATTATGGAGGTGTAGCTAAAAAATGGCAGGTCTTTGTAGCCCAATGTGATGTATTTCAGCACAGTGCTTATAAGAAGCTGAAGCTAGCTGGGCGCGGTGGCTCATGCCTGTAATCCCAGCACTTTGGGAGGCCGAGGCAGGTGGATCACCTGAGGTCAGGAGCTTGAGACCAGCCTGGCCAACATGGTGAAACCCCATCTCTACTAAAAATACAAAAATTAGCCAGGAGTGGTGGCAGGCACCTGTAATCCCAGCTACTCGGGAGGCTGAGGCAGGAGAATCCCTTGAACCTGGGAGGCAGAGCTTGCAGTGAGCTGAGATGGCACGCCATTACACTCCAGCCTGGGCAATAAGAGAGAAACTCCGTCTCAAAAAAAAAAAAAAAAAAAAAGCTGAAGCCTACAGTGAGGCCAAGAGACAAGAGTTGTAGAACATTCCAGTGCAAGTCCAGGAAAATATATTCATTGAAATGGAATTCGTTCCCTTTTATGGAGAGCATTGCTAATCCAAAATCAGAGTATTACATGAAAGCAGGAAGTTAAATTTTGACAAAAGGCAAGGGGCCATGTATGCTTACTAGCTAAAAAGTGAATCCATCTGTTTCTCTGGGTTTCAAGGCTTCAGTTTTGTTGCGGAAATAGCTGGAGAAATAAGTCTAATATTCCCCAGGGATTTATTTGTCTTCAGGCTTTGATAGCACAGAATACTATTCAGTCATTCACTTACTGTTACTAAACGTTTACACTGAGCTAAATATGGGATTTTTAAGGCACGATACAAAATGGAATTCTACCATCAAGGCACTCAAAATTAGTGTATGTACAGCATGTGCGTGTATGTGCACACACACAGCATCAGCACCCCAAAAGTTATCAAAAGTCTTTTCTCTGTCAGTGATAATACAGTGATACAGAAAACCAACTTTACCTTTTTCAGAAGTTGGGGAGAACCTAGGTTCCTAATAGCCAAAGACTGTATTTTTGAAGACTATGAGAAAATGTATGGAAATTGGAAATGTGACGATGCATGAAAGGATAGACAATGTGTAGATAAAGAGGAAGAGAAAGTTGAATCCCTGAGGAAAGGGTAAACCTCATTGGCAGGGGAAGTGACAAAAAGACAATTTCCATTGCAACAAAATATTTGGCCCTTATCAAACCAAAAATAACTTGCATTTCCAGGAAAGCCCACAGTTCATTTCTTCTATAATAGCACTGTAACCTAAGCTTGACCTTTGCCCTTGAGGGAATGATACTCTTTCTCTCTTTCAGACTTAAGAGAAAAAGAGAGAGAAAGGGCCATATCATGGAGAGTTCAAGTATTACCCAGTGAGTGTTTATGGTGAGTGATGCCAGGAAAGGGTCAATAAAATTGACAATATCAGTTCCCTAAAAGAGATTAATGCCTACTCCTAATTGAAGGGGATAAAGTTCCTGAGATATTAGCAACTCTCTATAGAAAGCTTGAAGTGTTGCGCCACAAATATTTCCAGGCTGTTTTGTGAATGTTCGAGTGTTGGGTGGGTCCGTATGGGAACCCTTGTGACTCCTGGGCACAGGAAGTTGGCATCACTCAAGTTGTGTTTTCATTCCCAGCTATCTACCAGGAAAGGATGGAGAAAAGTTAGAATAAATGGCAATTGAATTCATTTTTAGAAGACCTTAAAAATTAATAAGGGACTTAGGAGTGATTTTAGTGTTTTCTTATCTTAACTAAAGTATGATATAAATTTTCCTTACCAGAGTAGCTTGTTTAAATAACACTATATCCTGATAATGACACTCATCTTTCTTTTTTTTTTTTTTTTTTTTTTTTTTTTTTGAGACGGAGTCTCGCTCTGTCGCCCAGGCCGGACTGCGGACTGCAGTGGCGCAATCTCGGCTCACTGCAAGCTCCGCTTCCCGGGTTCACGCCATTCTCCTGCCTCAGCCTCCCGAGTAGCTGGGACTACAGGCGCCCGCCACCGCGCCCGGCTAATTTTTTGTATTTTTAGTAGAGACGGGGTTTCACCTTGTTAGCCAGGATGGTCTCGATCTCCTGACCTCATGATCCACCCGCCTCGGCCTCCCAAAGTGCTGGGATTACAGGCGTGAGCCACCGCGCCCGGCCATGACACTCATCTTTCTTTCTCTTGTTATGCTCATTGAATCAATCTATTTTATAGATGATTTGTGTGTATATATGTATTAAAGATAGTTAATAATAATAATGCCACTAATAAGAATGAATTAGCAATTTTTTCTGGGTATATATCTTTTAATATTAGTTTATTTTTTATCAAAGCGTTACGTGTTTTATTGTATAAGTAAAATAATAGAGGGACTGATGGTGGAAAGCAGTAGGTTCTCAACCACCTCCTCCTCCACTTCATATCCTACTTCCTTAACACAACCACTTTTTTTTTGAAATAATTATAGATCCACAGCAACTTGCAAAAGTTGTACAGAGAAATCTATACACCCTTCACTCGGCTTCCCCCAGCTGTAACATCTTACATAACCATAGTACATTACCAAAGCCAGAAAATGTATTTATATAGCACAACCACTTTTTAACAGTTGCTGAATTTTTTTTCTGTCTCTCTCTGAATTTTGATTGGGAAAACAGACACATAGTTCACCAATATAAAAAGGTGAACAGTTGGAAGCCTTATGCCACCCCGGCTCTCATTCACCCACTTCCGTCCTCCTTCCCTGTCCCCAACAACCACTTTACTCCTTCCTCATCTACCTCCCCTGTATCTTTATGTGGATACAAGCAAATTCAAGTATATATCACTGGCCCTTCTCCCTTTCTGGTGTTTACCTCCTAACTCTAAAGGATGTATTTTTCACAGAAGAGCCATGTAGCTCTGCATTTATCAATTTAAAATTGTCATTCTGTGATTTGCTCCCATGAAAGTAATCAACCTCAGCTCATTTCCACTACTTCCTCTCCCAACTCCTCCCAGAATGTTGGCATTCTCTTGGTTGGTTACAGTAGTACTTTTGATCAAGTTTCTTAGAACCTTTGTCAAAGTCAGTTTGGGCTGCTATAACAAAAATAGCATAGACTGGTTGGCTGAAACAACAAACAGGTTTATTTCTGACAGTTTTGGAGGCTGAAAGTCCGTGATCAGGGTGACCTCATGGTTGAATTCCAGGAAAAGCCCTCTTGCTGGTTTGCAGATGGCCACCTTCTTGTATCTTCACATGGTGGAGAACACAGAGAGGAAACCAGCTACTTGGTGTCTCTTTTTGTAAGGGACACTGATGCCATTCATGAGAGCTCCAACCTCATGATCTAATTATCTCCTAAAGGCTCCACCATCCGATGTTTTCACTTTGGGGGTTAGGTTTCAACATATAGATTTTGGGAGGGACACAAACATTTTGTTCATAATGACTTTGTCTCTTATTTCATTTGTGTTTAGATCAACTCTCTGAACACCTGCTTTGTTGGAGGAGGACATCCAGTGTCCATCCTCTCTCCTCTTTCTAGTTCTCATCCTGTACTCTCTGTGACCAGAATGATGTGTTGGAACATTTTATCCCAAAACAAAATTTATTCGTCTCTGTTTTGCCTATGCATTGTTTCTAAAATGTTAACACTATGAAATTGCTTTCAGATTTATAATTATGTAAGTTGATGAGGTCTGATGTCACTCAGATTCCTCTCCCTTCTTAGATGAACCATTTTTCTTCCTTTTTGCCCTAACAGTTATTAGTTTCTGTTCTGCCTGCCCTCCCTCTCTCCCTCCTTCCTTCTTTTTCTCTCACTCTCTCTCTCTCTGTTTCTTTTTTAGAGACAGAGTCTTGCTTTATTGTCCAGGCTCTGGAGTGCAGGGGTATGATCATAGCTTACTGCAGCCTTGAACTCCTGGGTTTCAGTGATCCTCTGGCCTCAGCAACCCATGTAGCTAGGACTACAGGCATGTACCCCCATGCCCAGCTAATATTTTTTATATTTTTTAATAGACACAGGGTCTGGCTGTGTTGCCCAGGCTAGTGTTTAACTTCTGGCCTCAAGCAATACTCTTGCCTCGGCCTCCCAAAGCGTTGGGATTACTAGTTTCTCCTCTTAACATTTTCTTTGTGTTTGAAATTTGGACAGTCCCTGTATTTGCATGTTGGTCATTTTGTATACACTTCCTGGGTTTTTCACTCTGAATTATCATCTCTTTTTCAATTCTGTAATAGTTAAGTCCATTATTTCCTCATCAATTTTCTCTTTTCCATTTTTCTCTATTCTCTCTTACTGGAAGTCTATTAACTGTCTGTTTAAACTTGCTAGACTGGTGTTTTTTCAATCATAATTTTTTCAGGTGCTTTGTCTCCATGAAGCTTTGGGTCCATTACTTATTTCAACATCTCAGCTTATCATATGAAAATGAAGATTATAATGCTCATCATTGCTGTTAAGAGTAACTGAAAGAATGTAGGCAGAGCACTTAACTCAGCACTGGCTATCCAATACAGAGCTCACACTATTAAACTTTATACACACTGCAATTCTCTTCTTTATATGAAACTTATGGGAAACAGAATTTAAAAACCAAATGTATAGCGTAAAGTGCTTTCCTGTTTTTCTTCTTGGTGTAACACTGTTGTAGAATATAATAAATGTGATTGTTAGCCATCTCTACTCTAAAAACAAGCAAGCAAGCAAACAAACAAAAACTCTCTTGCTATTTGCTGAGACTTTAGTTTTCCAAATAATTGTGACTCCATTAACTATTTATATTACTTTCTTCCCAAGTCTGGGCACTAAATTAATTATCAGCAAAGTAATAAAATCAATATCTTCTTCCTTGTTAATGCTGGTTAGTATATTTGTTATTAACAGGCTGTCATATGTTGCTTCTTCCAACTTTTCAGTCTACGTGTTCTATAGAAATACCTGTTAATTGACTGGGCTCGGTGGCTCACGCCTGTAATCCCAGCACTTTGGGAGGCCAAGGAGGGCAGATTATGAGGTCGAGAGATCGAGATCATCCTGGTTAACATGGTGAAATCCCATCTCTACTAAAAATACAAAAATTAGCCAGGCATGATGGTGCACCTGTAATCCCAGCTACTTGAGAGGCTGAGGTGTGAGAGTCACTTGAACTTGGGAGGTGGAGGTTGCAGTGAGCCGAGATCGTGCCACTGCACTCCAGGCTAAGGGACAGAGTGAGACTCCATCTCAGGAAAAAAAAAAAAAAAGAAAAGGAAAGAAATACCTGTTCATCATTTAAGTAGTCTAGAATTCTGTTAATGATCAAAGATTCCTAGTATTTTTAAGTGTCCATCAAAGATTTTTGTTTTCCAATATATGTTTATATTTCTTTTATAATCCTTTCTTTTGTAGAATATTGCTAAATTGATGTATCACCCTGAATAAAACATTTAAAATAATATTTCAGTTTTTTCCTTCTGAAAAAGATAAAATTAGTTGATGCTGATGGTGAGACACTTTCTTGGCACTCATCTTTCATTGGTTTCAGAGGTTATTTTTTTACTGGTGTAGTGAAAAGTTATTTTGGTCTTTGGATCAAGAGAGCTGAGGTCTGCTTCAGGCTCTGCCTCCAGCTTTGAGCGCTTGGGCAAGTAGCTTCACCTCCAGGAGTCTCTCTTCCCTCACCTATTAAGGGAACATGAGGCCCTTAATATTTTCGGTTCTAAAATCCTATAGTTCTGCGTTCAACGGCTTAGTCTCTCAAAAAGGCATTGACATGGTCTTTTCACATTGACAGATGTCCAGATTCTACTCGACCTGAAACTGTGCGCCCCTGTTTTCTCCCATGCAAAAAAGACTGTATTGTGACTGCTTTCAGTGAGTGGACACCCTGCCCAAGGATGTGCCAAGCAGGTAGGTGGATGCTGCGTTCTTAGTTCTTTCTTCCCTAACCTGATTGTTTCTCCACATCTAAGTAAGTGAGAGGTTGTGGAATGTGAGCACCTTTTTTTTTTTTCATTTGCCTATCACCCTGGAAACAAGTTTGGTAAAGTTTGTAAATGAAGTCTTGTATTTCCAAATCTATCAGAGCTTGGAAGAGAAAACATATTTTCTTATCTTATGTCATAGTTCCACCTGCATGCATTGCAGGAGTATTCATCTTCTACTGACCCCGTTGTGGCATTTTGAACAGTCATTCCCATGTGATTCCTTATAAAGCATCATCACAATCACAGTTTCTATGTGGCTCTTGTGTGTCTGGACCCCAGTTCCAGGTATCCTCATTAGAATATAGGGCTCGAATACAATGCTCACATCACTGATTAATATAAGTACATGGATTACAAGAGCAGATACATTACAAAGTGTTGAACAAGTACAGAAATTGGCAATATATGATTTGTATTTCTTTATTCTTAATGGTGATACTTTATACATCTGGGTATATTTGAAGGTATTTAATCCAGGATACTTAACAGCAAAGTCCTAGATGAACACATAGGAGTATATGCTAAAGTGATCCCCTCTCTTAGAACAGATCTTTCCCCCAAAGTGTATTGCAGCTCCCTGATGGGCTAGTTCATGTGAAGATATAATTAATCCTCATCCCAAAACTCCATTTTGGCCTAAGATCTAGAGTTAATAACTTAGTCCCTCTCTCCTAGTCTCATACACTAGCCTTGGCCCTTTGGATCTTACCATTGCATGGTTACAAAAGGCAAATCCAAGAAAAGGAAAGACAGAAAGAATATTACCTCTAATGCCCAGAGTTCAGTGAGTCTCATCCACTGGTCCCTGGGCTTCTCTTGGCAGCCATGTCCTCTCAAGCAGAGCATGGCTCTCTTGCTGCACCAGCCTCCTGGAAGAAGAAAGAAGAAAGTATGCAGTTCTGCAGAGAAAAAAGCCTGTCAGAGGTTTGCTTTCCTTGGATAATTCCAGCTGTGTGCGTCTAAGATCCTTCAAATGCTCTTTGACTCACATATCTATAGCATCACTTCGTGAGAGTGACGTGAAAATAAAGCCAATATTGACATAGATCTGATGGTCATTCAAACACCTCTCAGTGATTGAAAACAGAGCTGTGGCACCTGTTGAAAATTATCATCTTTGTATTGCAATGGTGGAGTACCAGCACAAAGTTTTATAACTATGGCATTTCATCTTCCTGATGATCATTTGTCACAGAATTAATATAGTAGCATACAATGAGATTTGCTTATGGATAGAATCAGAAATAAATACATTGAATAAGAAAGAGCTTTGAAAATACAGTGCTTTATTTATCTGATCTTTTGAGGGATGGAAACGACAATCTCTTCTAGAAACTCTCCAAAACTTGTTTTTTTCTGAATGAAGATCCAAAGTAAATGAACTGGATGAACAGGGTTTGTTAAATAGCCAGTGTAATGTCGTTTCAAAGCAGGCAAGGATAGAAAAGCTTCTGTCTCTACTCTGAGCCATTTGAAAGGCAGCATCTAGGAGGCTGACTTTGGGAATTTTAATCATAATGTACCTAAAAACATTTCAAGCTCTTAAAGATAAATATTGATAAGATGCAAGGGAATAATATAATCTATGATGATGGAGTTTTGTTGATATTTAACTATTTATTTTAGCTTCTTATTCATGAGAGTTTAGTACAATTCCTGTTAAATTGTTATAAGAAGAGACTGGATTTAAGAGAATACCCCACCAGCAGCCAGAAATTGGTGTTGGAGTTATTGAAGTCTCTTGATACATAGGGAAGCAGATTAACTTTGTTGAGCCAGTGTGCCCTGGTGACCAGAGATTACTTTAGCCACTGCTAGTCCACCTATTCTACATTCAAGAAAATTCTCTCTGCTACTGGAGAGTCTTTTCCTAGCATTGGGTAAAGGAAACGGAATCACAGGGCATGTAAAGTAATTGTTCCTCAAGCAACTTTAAATTTTACTCCAATTTCCAGAAATTCAATTAGTTGTTTAAATCATTGGCATTGTAATGAAAATAGTTCTAAGTCTCTGTGGTCTCTCTTTGCCACCAATTCTTCAAGCCCAGATAATTCTTTTCACAGCTTGGCAGTCAGGGACCTACAGAGGCAAAGATTCAATTTTCAGATTTCTTCCAGCTTTCCATTTCAATCCTATTTACCCTAATTTTTAGTTTATAGCTTGGGACTAAGATATTATTAAGTAACTATGGGTTAATTACAGGACACTATAAGAGGGGGAAAAATTTGGAGGAAATTGTATCTATAAGCCTATGGTTCTCAAACTTTATTGCATTTGAATCACCTGGAAGAATTATTAATATGCAGATTTCTGGATCCATGACTAGAAATTCTGATTCAATAACTATGGGGGGGTGGTGTCCCAGAAATTTTCAGTTGTAAGAAGCTAGGGCCCCCTGAATGGTGACCCTCCTCCTCCTCGTCTCCCTCATTCTGATGGAGCCCATAGATCCATGAGCAAAACTTGCTTTAACGCTAGATATGTGGCCCTTCTTTCAGCTTCTTGAATGTATCTTGTTTTTTTTCCCAGTTTAAGAGACTGTAGATTGGGGCATAAGAGCATGGATGCTGGAGCCAGATAACTGTGGTTGTATTTTCATGTTTGCTATGTAGCAGATATATTACTTAATGTCTCTTTGCCTCAGTTTTCTAATTTGTAAAATGGAGGTTAATAATAACACCTGCCTATAAAGAAAGCACTTAGACCACCTCCTGACACTGAGTAGGCACTGGGCAAGTGTTTGTATAGTTGTATAGTTTGCACCTGCTGTGCATGAGGTTGGCACTCCATTCTCTTCAGCTGCCCCTCCTTCCCGGGTCCTCAGCCTGTGTATCTACAGAGACCTGCCTTTCCCCTGGAATGCTGCTCTCATCTACCAGACTACTGTAGACTCCCCCATCCTCCTCCATTAAGTAGATTATCCCACAGCATCCTATTCATCCCCTTAAATTATCTTTTCTTGTTAGACTTGCCCCTGCTAGATTTTAAGTCCATGAATATAAGGACCACTTCCACCATCTTCACAACTGGATACTCTAAACCCAGCCTAGTATGGGGCATATAGTTGCTACTCAGTGCATATATTTTGAATGTACAGGTGTTGTGTAAAGAGATAGAGGAGTGCGGATTAAAATCTAGGCAGTGGATTTTGTGTCCTTGAGAGTGTCCTTCAACAGACTTTTTGGGAAATGGTGTCCTAAAACAGTACTTCTCAAACTTGAATGTGCATACAAGTCCCCTGGGGATCTTATTAATTGCAGATTCTAATTCAATAGACCGAAATGGGGCCTGGAATTGTATATTTCTATAAGTTCCCAGGTGATACATATATGTTGGGTATAAAGCTCTATGCGGGGTTGGGTTCATTAGAAATTTCTGGGTGAGGCAATGTCTGATCAAAGTTTTAAAGTGAGAAGCATGGACCAGGGACAGACTAGCAGGTGGGGACAGGGTGGGAGGTGAAGGGGAGTGGTTAAAAGTGGTTTAACTTAAACTGAGAGGTCAGGAAGAGATCCAGGAGGAGGATGGACCAGAGCAAGTGGAAACCTCGACTAATGAAGACAGAAGAACTCCTTTTTTTGTTTTGTGGCTATGGCTTCAGGTTGGGTCATCAAAGTTGAGAAGCGGTTATGTCTGTGGTCTTCAAAGTTGACTGCACAATGGAATCACCTGAAAATCTCTGATGCCTGGATCCTACTCTAATACATTCTGATTTAATAGGTTTGTGATAACAACCAGGGAATCACTGGATTATGAAAATCTCAAACCACGTTCATTCTAAACCTCTCAGAAAGCCAAGGTTGTTTATGGGACCAAGTGCACCAGCAGTGATTTGTGACATAGCAATGGATGAATTCCGTCAGGTTTTATTTTGTCCCGGCTTGATTCAAGAGCTAAAACCTTAAAACATAAAGGTATTTTCAAGCCATGGACAATCTCAAGCCATGCTTATGATCTTCTTATTCCTCCTTCTCTGAGTCTCTCCTTAAAGGATCAATGATAGTCTCATATTTTTCTAAGCAAACCAAAGGTCTATCAAGCTTTGGCCTGTTGTGGCCTAATTCTTCAGTCCCTGTAATAAATTCACCAAATTATCACGAACCATTTCCTTTGTACTTTTTTTTTTTTGCTGTTTTCTTCTATTCTTTTTTCAGCCTACAAAACAAATGCCTGCCTAAAGTATCCAATGTGGTCTAGTTAATAATAGCAACAGCTAGCTTATTGCAACATTTCTCAGCCTTTAGTTTTTTCAATGGACTGATGTCTGAGCCTCATCCCAGCCCGCCCAGTCAGAATATCTTTAGGTTGGAAGGATATCTGCGATAAATTCTCCATAGGTGACTTATAAGCAGTGAAGGATGAGAAACACTCATTTAATGCCTAATATTTTACAATATGTCTTCACATACATTTCAGCCTGTTATAGGAGACCATTGATAATTGTTTGCCGAGGTAGTGTTGGAATTAATTATGTTGGCCACTGCTGCCATCATTGTCATTCCTCATGTTTTTACTTTAAGATCACAAATCAGTATTATCCTTTGTATGATTTATATCAGAGAACCTTTAAAGAGCCTTGCTGCATATTTTCAACATTTAATTATATGAAGTTTCAAACATATGCATAAATGAATGCAATGTGAATACAAAGTATTAATGGTTAATACAATGTATTCATGTCATGATGGCTGCACAAAGCAATTATCACCTCATGGACATTCTTATTTTGTCTATACATTAATCCCCACTTCCACACCCAAAAGGACTAGTTGAGATAATTGCCAGATATGTTTACCAGTTTATGGAAAGGGAGAATATGAAAGAGGTAAAGTTACTAGACTGAAGATAAATTATGGTATATTAAAAATAGAATATTCAACAGAATATTTCTAGAAACCATGGAGCTAATGATTAATTATTTGTCAGTCTCAAATAATTGGAGGCTGAAGGAACTCCTTTAACTTTCATCTCTAAGGAGTGAGCTAGAGAGCAGTGTCATGGTAACAGGAAGGCCAACAGCAGAGACTGCTGCTGGGAATTGGTAGGAAACCTCATTTGGTGGAATTCATTTCCTCCTGTG
This sequence comes from Homo sapiens, assembly GCF_000001405.40. NCBI lineage: Eukaryota > Metazoa > Chordata > Mammalia > Primates > Hominidae > Homo > Homo sapiens. Next base: position 137,247,730 of record NC_000002.12, read on the forward strand.
TCAACCCTCCTGGAGTTACCTCTTGAGTTTTCAGTATCAAAAACAGACAGTGATTTTTTTTTAAACACCTAGGCATGTAGCATGGATTCTTGAGTTAGATTTCCTTGATTCAAATCTCATCTCTGCCATACAAATTACTTTAAACTTGCTGTGTTTCAATTTCTTCCTTTCCAAAATAAGGTAATATTACCAGCTACTTCAAAGAGCTGTTATAAGGAGGACAGATGGAACAGTGCCAGGTATATAGAAATTTACTATTGTTTATTTTTATTTAATCTCAACCCCATTGAGTTTTTTCAATCCACAGATGTCTGAGACTCACCCCAGCTCAAACCAATCAGAATCTCTTCAGGTTGAAAGGATATTTTCAGCGTTAAAACTCTCCATAGGTGACTCTTACTAGTGGTGGAGGATGAGAAATACTCAGTACTTAGCATTTATTTGTTATTATTATTATTAGATGATAATGATGATGATAAAAGTTCCTTAAGGTCAGGGAGCTTGTATTATGTTGAGTTCCTGCAATTATTAAGTCCTCTACATGCTGGTATTATGGCACCTGTTTCTATGCCTGTATTGCTCTGGACAGACTATAAACTCAGAGGGTAGGAGTCTTTCATTTCATTAATGAACTTCCAGTGCTTAGTACAGTGTCTGGCACATGGTGGGCATTTAGTAATTGTTGTTGAATGAATGAATAAATAGACACATCTCTTCCCCAGTCAGTTCTAATGCTTAAAGATTTTGCTTTCTTTTAAATGAAACTGTGGCATTAACAGATTATTCCACAGATCCAGGTCAATTAGGGAACTGGTCAATCTGAATGTCAAAAAGGTAAAAATAACCTATTCTGGATTCCAGAATTTTGCCCACTCAAATACATACAAGCACTAACTTGCCTCTTTACTTTCCCCTGTCAAGCATATGTGGCCCCCTCCTCTTCACAGAACCATCCACACCTTTGTTCATCCATTTGTTCCCAAATAATAGAGGGTCTGCTGTGTTTGAGTAATCAAAGCTTTGAGCCTGGAACACTGGCCCAAAAAATAATGTTCAAGGCACTTTAACACCTTGTTCTTCCTTGAGATTGACGTTACCTAAATCTTTTTTGTTTCTTCTGTAAACTTTAGATAATGTTATCTTTTCCAAAGAGTTTTTTGAGAAATTAAACACAGCAAGATGTATAGCTCACATCGATGTCTCCAGACCCAGCTCTGATACATGAGTGCAGGTATCTTTGTCTTCACAGGTGCTGCTGGGTGTAACTTGCTTCCTTTAGTCTGTAATTTAAAGTCCATAGATCGCTACATGGTCCCAGTGCTCAATAAATATTCCTGATAATTTAGTAGGAGGAACGACAAACACTTGGGCTTGTAGAGATTATAGTTTTCAATAATACTTCTGCCAAACTGAGGAGTTCTGCTGATAAAATTCATTAAAAAACACCTTTTCCTATTTCATAGGGGGAAAAAGTTCATGGATAAAATTCTCTCAATTAAATATTATTTTATTTTTTCCTATATATTTTTTTAATTATGGGATCTTCTGCCTGTCTTTATTAAAACCCCGCATAAGAAGTTATCAGATTTGGTTTAAAAAAAAAATAACAACATTGCATTAGAGTCCGATGACCATACTGAGACAAGGAGGAACACTTACATTAGAATGGGAGTTGCTGCTCAGAGCTCAGAACTCTTAGTCTGGTCTAAACTCCTTCAAAGAAATGTTAATCCAAGTAATATCTGGTAGGGAAAGCATTGTCAGTCCAGACTCTTTCCTCTCACTCCATTACTCCGTCTTCTTCCCTCTGGACTAGAGATTGATGTATATTTAGAAAGACCTGAAATCTACAGTATAGTCTACTGGATTTTCTCTTGCATCCTACAGTGGCCCCAGGAGGTAAGTCTAATCATACATGACTAACAGGTGAGAAACACCAAGCTCAGAAAGATGAAGTAACTGCTCCGAGGTTACCCAGTATGTTAGAATCAGAGCATGGTGGAAATCCAGGCTTCTCTCTGGCTCTAGGGCTTATCTGTTTTTATCCCACGACAACGAGCTACTTGCTACATCCATAGGCACAGATAGTCTTTCTTGTCTATTAGCAAATCAAGAATTTGAAGTCCAGTACCTTTATTGCAGGCTTTGCATGTTATAGATCACACATTAATTTGACATGTGCTATCTCATAAATTGTCAGGACAGTTTAATGGTAAAGGAAGAGCTGTTTTATTACTCCTGCTTCACAGATGAGGCAACACACTCCTCAAGGGAAGTTGCCATATGGCCTCAAAGGAGCAAAGACCAAGTTAAAAAACCCAGTGTTTAAACTTGCTACATTGTCTGTCCTGGTGCTCCTGTTCAGCTACAGAAAGGCAAGCTAGACAAGTTTAATTCTTGCCAGTGAAAGGCTATAACTTCAGCATAGTTTTGCTTTATTTCACTGCCTCTTCCTATTAAATTTATAATAGCTATAATTTATATGCATTACTCTATTTGATTACTTCTATTTTAAAATTTTATTTTAATTTGACAAATAATAACTGTATATAAATATGGGGTATAATGTGATGTTTTGATACATGTATACATGATGGAATGATTAAATCAAGCTAATTAATATATCCATCACCTCACCTGCCTAGAGTTAATAATAAAGCATATTTCAAAATTGCCACCAGAGTAGGTTTTAAATGTTCTCACTATTCCATTTAATTCTTACCTCAACCTTATGTTGAAAGAATTATTACTCTATTTTATGTAAAAGAAAATAGGGCTTAAAGATAGAGCCCAAGGTTGCAAAACTAACATTAATAAATACCAAAACCACATGGAATCCTAAGCTCTTAACCACTTAACAACAAATATTTGCTGAATGATCCTGCGTTTCAGGCTGTGTGCTAGGCGCTGTGTGTATATGGATAAAGTAGTGAATGAAACATACAGAAATCTCTCCATCGTAGAGAATACCATCCAGTGAGGGAAGATAGAGGAGTTGAACACAAAACTACCTGAATAAAGATGCAGTCACAAAGTGTGCTATGAAGGTCAGGGCACTATGGAAGAAGGCAAGAAAAGTCTGATTTCCCCTCTGCCTGAATGTCTCCCTTCATCTCTACTGCTTGCCCAAATCTTACTACAGCCTAAATCCTAGCCCCCTCCACAGAGTTTGTTCTGACCCTTCTGCTGGAAATAAACACTTTGCCCTCTGAAGTCCCATGCTCTGTCTGAAATGTTTGCAGTCTGGCTATTGGTAAAGGTGTTTTGTGTTCCTCTGAAGGATTGTGAACTCCTTGAGGGCTTAAACCTTGCCCTTTTCAGTTTTCAGTCCCCAAAGTACCAAGAAATAAACTTAAGGCAGAACAGAACTTAGTAAATCCATGTCAAATAAATAGATGCTAGCAAGAACCAATTTGCTTAAGCAAACCTAGCAAACTGCTGAACGAGAAGTTAGTCTTCCTTCACAGCTCAATTTTCCTCATAAAAATTTGCATAGCTTAATGCAAGAACATATGTGACGACGTTGGCCACAGAGTGTGTGAGACTTAGAGCATCAGATTTGTCTCTGTTTTCCTGGCAAATGTGGTTAAAAGGGAAAAAATTCTATCATTTTTATTTATTTTTTGTGTACTTGTTTGTTCATTCATTTGTCTGTCAGTCTGTCTATTATCTGTAATGAAGTTGTATGACTATCTCAGGGAAGCAAAACCTATTGAATTGCTAATTTCTTAAAGTCATTTCCCACTCGTGCTTCAAAGTCACCAACTGGGGTAGTAGTTACTGTTTTCAACCATATGGTTATGGGAAATGCAATGCACTGTCTGATAGGGTTTCGTTCTTGATAAAAACCCAAGGCCATATATAAGGTGAAATGCAAAATTGTGGTCATGTGCAATCTTTTAGTGTCCTAGACTGACCCGTGGGTAAAACTTAAAGTAATTGAACAGGTTTCTGAAAATGTGGTCCACAAACCTTCAGCTCAGATCTGTGTGGTATGCTTGCTAGAACCCTAAGAGATTCTGATTTTGAAGTTGGAACTGGGGCCTAAAACTCTGCATTTTTAAATTAACTTCCTTAGTGATTCTAAGACACAATAAAGTTTGAAAACCACTATATTGGAGAAGCATTGGATGTAACCATAGACCAACAGATTGTTTGAGAAATGTGTGACAAGCACCTACTGTGTTGTTTTAATCAACTCTATTTTAGTTTTTAAGGATCAAAGAACTTTAAGCTACATTAGGTAAAAGGGGTCTTGGCTGGGCGCAGTGGCTCACGCCTGTAATACCAGCCCTTGGGAGGCCGAGGTGGGTGGATCATGAGGTCAGGAGTTCGAGACCATCCTGGCTAACATGGAGAAACCCTGTCTCTACTGAAAATATAAAAAATTAGCCAGATGTGGTAGCACATGCCTGTAATCCCAGCTACTCGTGAGGCTGAGTCAGGAGAATCGCTTGAACCCGGGAGGCAGAGGTTGCAGTGAGCTGAAATCATGCCACTGCACTTCAGCCTGGGTGACAGAGCGAGACTCTGTCTCAAAAAAAAAAAAAAAAAAAAAAAACAAAGGGTTGGGGGGCTTGATGGGAATTTATAACAGATCTGGCAGATGTCCAAATGTAAGAAAAAAAACCCTATGGGTGTGATGGGAGCTATAAATGCTGGGATTACAGTTTAGATTACAGTTGGAAGTAATGCTGGAAGTGCTGGGATTATAGGCATGAGCCACCAGGCCTGGCCCTTTATTTATTTATTTGTAGAGATGGGGTCTCGCCATGTTGCCCAGGCTTGTCTGGAACTCCTTTTGCTGTCCTTCTGCCTCAGCCTTCTGAAGTGCTGGGATTACAGGTGTGAGCCACTGTGCCTGGCCCTGGTTTGTATAATACTTTTGTGCCAGGTCCCTCAGTGGCTCAGAAGCCTATTGGAGCAGCCCTTGAGGCCAGAGACTCATGTGGAAGGGGAGGGGACAGTGATGCACAAAGGTGGCAGAGAATGATGCAGGAGCATCCCTCCGGAGAGGGCTTGTGGTGTTCCACGGGGAGGTTGGCCTTTCCAACTGGTTCAAGCTCCACTTTTTGGAGGGAATTCAGAACCTGGCTCATCCCTCTCTTGTGCCTCCACCAGTTACACTCTGGGTGCTAAACTATTGGAAGAGACTAGCATGTTTCCAATAGAAAAGGCTTGCTTTTTTTTTTTTTTTTTTTTTTTTTACTTCACAGCTTTGGTTTGAGAAAAGGGCTGTTGTGAATTAGGTAGAAATATAGAAAAGGAAAATGAAGCTCCAGAGAATAGAAATGCAGTAGAATAACACCTTCATGTGGAATAGAAACTGGGAGAATGAGGTACTCACTCTGAGTATGATCTGAGTCTGATATTACTCACTCTGAGTATGATCTGAGTGATATTTTAGTTCAGACAAGCAAAATATGCAGTCTGTGTGTACTTGCATTCTTACCAAAATGCCTTGGCTGTGATTCCTATCAGTGGTCTATGATAAACAGTGCTGTTTGGTTGTCTTATAAAATAAACCAACATACCAAAGAAAACAAAATAAATTTAAAAAGCAGAAAGATAAGCAAATGTAGGTTTAGTGTGTGGAGTTCTGTTCTTTACACCTGAAATGCAATACTATGCTGTCTTAGTTTATATCTAATAGTGACTTTAAAGCACTATTAATTTTCTTCGTGGAACAGCCAGGCTATGTTACCATAAATAAATCCTATGGCACATGGATATTTAAAATGATTTATTATTAGCATTGGTGGCAAAAATCTGTGTTTCCTTCAATATGAGTGTTCTTTCTTTACAAAATGCTTTTGCTTCTGGCTGGTTTCATTCTCATATCTGTAGAATTCTCTGCAGACAATATAATATGATTCTTATTTGTCGATAGAGGTAAATGAGTTGTTTTATAGAAACCAAGGTACCCATTCTAATTAGAAGTATATTTTTAGTCTTTTGATGTACTTCCTATGAAGAAATTGAATAAATTAGCTTTGATTTACCTGGGGTGTTTCCTTCAGTTTATTAAATAATCTTCTGCAATTAAAAAGAATAAATTAGTTATTTTTTGCTTCCTTGGCTTTGGTCCCATTTCAATGTGATTTCTAAATTAGAGTGTGGTTTCCGGAGGTTTTTGACTCACTGGGTTAGCTAATGTGATGGTAGATTTATAAAGTGTTTAATTTATATTATTATAGTAAAGCCTAGAATTAGAGGTGGAGTTAAACATTGGGATCTTAATATATCAATTTGAAACTTCAGGTTTTATAAAAACATCAAATAATTTATGTATGGTTAAAAAATCAACAAGCTACTTTATGCTTAAATGAAATAGATTGCTCATGGTTTAGACAAACAACTTTTAAGTGTCCCCTAGTAGAAAAATCAGCCCTGGATAGTCTGTGAATCTCTTGAAGTTGTTTTGAAATTAAGTTGCTACATATAGATGGTTCAGATAGAATATTTCTGGAATGACATGCTTTCAATGATCATAAATAAAATATCCAAAAATAAGTATGCTAGGAATGATAGACTCTCTGCCTTTTGAAATCTTTCCAAGTTAGATTTAATTTGCTGATATCTAAAATATGTTTGTCATATTGTATTTTGAGACCTTATGGATAACCAAAGGAATACAGATCACACGAATGTGGTGACAAGCTCTGTTGCAAGTGTGTTAATTTCTAACTTGAGCCAGCAATATCCTCTCTCATTGCTGAATGACCACAATGCTTTTGAGTGGATGTTTGATTATATTTAGTTTCGCACTGAATTATATTCTGTCTTAAGCTTCTGTCTTATTTGTTCATGGGTACTGGGAAGAGCTTGACCTTTTTTAGAATCTAACAGACTTCTGGTGGACTCCTGGTATTGTCACTTTTTCACAGTATTTTGAATTTTAGTTAACATCTCTGAAACTATATGCTCATGTGTAACATAGATATAATATGTAATATCTGTAAGACAACTTAACTTCATAGGGCTTTCTTATCCCATGCAAAGTTGCTCAATATGTGATAATTTTCTCCATTATGTATTTTTTCTACCCCAAGTAAATTGTAGGATTCATGACTATTTAAGCTCAAGGCATAAACATTATGAATTTTATAAACAGAAGATACTTAGCAGTGTGTATGTTTATGTGAGTGTGTATGTGTGTGCGTGTGTATGTGTGTATGTCGAGACAGAGAAAGAGTGAGGGGGGGCTCTCATAGTGGAACAATAATAATGTTTAGTATTTAAACATTAGGACCTGTTTATCATGTATAATGTCATTTTATATTCTTGCAATGTAAACATGCAATGTAACATTGCAAGAATGTAAACTTTGCAAGAATATAAAATAACATTATATATGACCAACAAGGTCATACATGGTCTTGAACCTTGAAGAATTCCATCTTTTCCCAAACTATCTTTCCTTCCACCCAAAATCAGAAACAACTGAAAGTTAATCAAAGCAGAGGGAGATCAAAATATCAGCTGCTTCTCAACCCCAGAATTAGACAGGCTTTCCTACCTGGCCACAGCCTGTACTGAATAGCAAAACATTCTCCTTGGGTGAGCACAGCTGAGAAGACAGAAGAATATGTGCATTTTCTGAGCAGACGTATCCCAAAGAAAGAAAAGGAGAGAGCATATCATAACAAGAAATGTATCAGTTTCTTGTTGCCAAAGTCATGATTTACATCTCCACAGGAGATGTAGGTGAGGGAGGTGTAGAGAGTCAAGGCACAAGAACTACTATGGAAGTGGATCTCCCTTCACATGGAAGGCATCATTAAGAGGACTCCACCCTTGCTGTCTGGTGCCGTGCGACTTGGTGAACTCTCACCCTAATACTTTCCACTGCCTCCTTTACTTCCCTTTAGCTATGTCAGCCTCCTTTCTGACCAAGCTTTTTTCCATCTCATTCAGACTTTCACTTACTGTTCCCTCTTTCTGGGAATCTCTTCTAGCCTTTTGCCTGGGTGCCTTTCTAAAACTTTTCACTTTTTTAGAAACAGGGTCTGGCTTTGTCACCTGATGGGGTGCAATGATGCAGTCATAGCTCACTGCAGCCTCAAACTCCTGGGCTTAAGCCTCCTGAGTGGCTGGGACTACAGGTGCGTGCCACCACGCCTGATTATTTTTATGTTTTTAGAGGTAGCATCTCTCTGTGTTGCCCAGGATGGTCTCAAACTCCTGACCTCCAGTGGTGCCTGGCCCTTGGGTGCTTTTATTCAACACTTTGTTTTCAGTTAAAATGCCATTGCCTCAGAGTGTCTGCCTCTGACTACCCTATTTAAAAATCCCCCTTCTTCCTGTTTTTTTTTCTTCTTCATTACTCTGTATTATTTTCTCACAGCAATTATCATTATCCCAACTAGAATGGAAGTTCCATGTCTTGTTCTCTGCTGAAACATGTTGAATGGTGACTGCCACAAAGTAATTACCTAAATATTTGTTGAATGAATAATAATGGATGAGTCAGTAAACCTTTTTCTAGGGCTTACTGTATACCAAGTTTTATGCCAACTGCTAGTTACATTAAGATGAATAAAATGAGGTTACTTTTATCACGGAGCACTTAAATAGAAATTCAGGCATGCAAACACATGTTTTCTATAACAGGAATGAGTACAGGACATTATGGAGCCAGAAAGAAGGGAGTCCTGTGATTGGGGAGGTGAGACTTAGTAGATCAGGAGTTACCAGGTAAACATGGAATAGATGTTTACAAGTAGTAAGTAGCAGAGGAGATATGTGTACAGAAGCTTGGCTGTGTGAAAGTACTTTGTAACTGAATGAATTACAGGTGGCTAATGATGCTTGGGATACACAACCCATATGGGGGAATGATAAGAAATAAAGAGATATGCAGGTACCCGCTCGTGAAGACATTCTACCAAGTTTGTATCTTATCTGGAATTCTGGTGGAATTTAAATTTTAACCATGAGTGTGATAAAATCACATTTATGTTTTAGAAAAAGAAAATAGTATAGAAAATAATGAGGTGAGACGACATTGGAAACCAGTGGAAAAATTAGGGGACCATTCAATTATCTGGGCAAGAAATGAGGAAAATATTTTCTTGAATAGAAAAGGGGAATTGAAGTTATCTTAGTCTGTTTTCTGTTACTTATAACAAAATACTTGAAACTGGGTAACTTATAAAGAAACAAAATTTATTTCTTACAGTTCTGGAGACTGGGAAGTTCAAGGGTGAGGGTCCGCATTTGGTGAGAGCCTTCTTGCTCGTGGGGAGTCTACAGAGTCCCAAGGTGGCACAGGGCATCACATGGTGAAGGGTTGATCATGTGAACTTAGGTCTTTCTTTGGCATCTTATAAAGCTACGGGTCCCACTCCCGTGATCCGTAATCCCATTAATCCATAAATAAAATCCAGTCACCTCTTAAAGGAGCCACCTCTCACTTCTGCCACATAGGGGATTCACTTTTGTCATGAGTTTTGGAGGGGGCAAATATTGAAACCACAGCAGTAGGTAAGCATATGAATTATCATAACTCGATAGTGTTTAATAGCATGTCTTCATGACCTGGAGTGTGCTCAATTTTTCATCCATCCATCCTGTGTAATTCACATAACTGGATGATTATGCAAACACTCTTCCCTGCTCAACGGATTTAATAGAAACAGTAGTAAGCAATTGGCTGGATTTCAGCAAGGCACAGACCCTTTTTAGCCACCTCTTCTGAGTGTGAGCTTCTAAGGAGTAAAATGGTTCCAAAGATCCAGGGTATCTCACAAAGTCCCCACATTCCCATCTCTTCTTATCAGGATCAGGGACAAAATTTGAGGGTCCTGTGCAAAATGGGAAAATGTGGAGTTCAGTGTTCAAAAAATTATTGAGAATTTCAAGACTATTGTCACAGAGCCCTAAACCACCCCTGAGACTGCACAGATCACCTGCCCATCCATCCATGATGCTGGTCCCAGTCTTTATTGGCTTTCTCTCCAGGCCAGGATCCTAACTGGCTTTGAGTTTTAATTTCTGGGAAGAGTTGCCATTAACTCAGATTATTTTATTGGATTGCATTTCTTCAGCTGAGAACATCTAAGGATTGGAGGAAATAGGACCAGGGAGAGGTTCATTTTTGTTACAGGCAACAAAGCGGAATGCACACTCTGGACCCACATTGCTTGGGTTCCAAAGTCTCTCAACCACTTACTGGGACCTTGCATGAGGAACAGAAGCTCTCTGTGTCTCCATTTTCTTACCTGCAAAATGGGAATGACAAGAGTAATTGTTATAGGTTCTTATGAGGATTGAGTGAGTTGATTCATGTAAAGCACTTGGTAAATGACTGACATGGTTGAATTGTTTTTCTTACTGTTTTGAAGATTATAGTCTCCATATTAAACTTTTGTGGTTCCATGTAGTAAAATTATCCCCATTCAGAATGAAGCTTGTCATTTGGGGAAGAGAAATGCTTAATTTTAATGTAGTTGAATTTATCCAACTACGTTATGGCTTTTATTTTTTATGTTTTGAAATACTTTTTTTATCCTAAAGATATAAAGATATTAGCCTATGTTTTTCTTCTGAAATTTTTACATCAAAGTCTTTACTAATTTATTTTTAATATGGTTCCAGGTAGAAATCCAATTCTGTGTGTGTGTTTATGTGGGGAAGTGGTCCTCTTTTGCTCTCATTCCCTCTCAATGATCCAGCCACACCTGTGCTGTTGCTCTGTCTGGAATTTGACTCTGGGCCTTGGCACATAATACCAGCTCTGCCTTGACCTGTCCTTCCCCATATATTACATTAGATGACCCCCTACCTCCTTCAAGTTCTTACTCAAATATTCCCTTCTCATTGAAGATTTTGAAATTTAAAATTGCAAAACCTTCTCCCCTGCCACCACTCGCCCTGCCCCCCACCCGCCACAGGCACACATGGAAAGATACACACAGACACACATACCATGCTCTTTTTTTTTTTTCTGCACATTTTTTTTTATTTTAGGTTCCAGGATACATGTGCAGGTTTGTTATGTAGGTATACATATGCCATGGTGATTTGCTGCACCCGTCAACCCATCATCTAGGTTTTAAGCCCCGCATGCATTAGGTATTTGTCCTAATGCCCTCCCTCCCATGTCCCCCCCAACCCCTGACAGGCCCTGAAGCGTGTTGTTCCCTCCCCTGTGTCCATGTGTTCTCTTTGTTCAGCTCCCACTTATGAGTGAGAACATGCGGTGTTTGGTCTTCTGTTCCTGCGTTAGTTTGCTAAGAGTGATGACTTCTGGCTTCATCCATGTCCCTGCAAAGGACATTATCTCATTCCTTTTTATGGCTGCATAGTATTCCATGGTGTATATGTGCCACATTTTCTTTATCCAGTCTATCATTGATGGGCATTTGGGTTGGTTCCAAGTCTTTGGTAGTGTAAATAGTGCTGCAATAAACATACATGTGCATGTATCTTTATAGTAGAATGATTTATAATCCTTTGGGTATATACCCAGTGATGGGGTTGGTGGGTCAAATGGTATTTCTGGTTCTTGATCCTTAAGGAATCACCACACTGTTTTCCACAATGGTTGAACTACTTTATACTCCCACCAAAAGTGTAAAAGCGTTCCTACTTCTCCACAGCCTAGCCAGCATCTATTGTTTCTTGACTTTTTAATAATTGCCATTCTGACTGGCATGAGGTGACATCTCATTGTGGTTTTGATTTGCATTTCTCTAGTGATCAGTGATGATGAGCTTTTTTATATATGTTTGTTGGCTGCATAAATATCTTCTTTTGACAAGGGTCTGTTTATATCCTTTGCCCACTTTTTGACGGGGTTGTTTTTTTCTTGTAAATTTGTTTACGTTCCTTGTAGATTCTGGATATTAGACTTTTGCCAGTTGGGTAGATTGCAAAAATTTTCTCCCATTCTGTATGTTGCCTGTTCAATCTGATGCTAGTTTCTTTTGCTGCTTGCACAGTATTTTTTGCACGGTATTTAATTACTGTATGAAACACTAAATGTTTAGCTTATTTATTTTCAAATTGCCTTTCTCCCTCTACTAGAATGAAAAGTCCTTGAGGTCAGGAATAATTTCTTTTGTTTGGTTGTAGCTTCAATTTCTAGAATGGTATCCTCTCCTTAGAATATTTCAGTATTCTTCTTCTAGAACTCAGAGCACCTATAAATAGTTCTCATCTTGGGTTTTCTTTATTTGTGTGTGTGCGTGTGGGTGTGTGCGTGTGTGTGTGTGTGGTGGAGGTTGTAGGTTTTGCCTCCTCTTTCCTGATTTCTCTTATCCAGTAAATCCCAGGCTTTCACTATCAGTGATGGAGAAATTTTCCCAACGGCCAGTGCTCCAAACCGTCTCCTGACTTTAATGCTATTTTAGGCATGGATTTATAAAACACTTTAAAAACATTTCAAAGAGAATTGCAAGGCAAACAAAAATAAAAGGAGAAGGAACTTATAGGACATGTCAACAAATTATAGCCCAAATAATGGTTAGATATTTATTAATAATTTAAGAGAATTGGTATAAGTATGTATAATATATTACTATGATATTAAAAACAGTTTTAAAGAGTTATTGTCTTTTAAATATATTCTGAAATATTTGCATGTAATAATGTGCTTTCTGAATTTTTTTAAAGTAATCTGCATGTGTATGTGGGCATGGGTATAGTTGAAACAAGGTAGGTCATATACTGATGGTTATGGAAGCTGGCATATGTGAACTCTGGGTTCATTTGATTTGTTAAAAAATTTCTTAAAAAGGTAAAAATTGTCCAGGCATGGTGGTTCATGCCTGTAATTCCAGCACTTTGGGAGGTCAAGGCGGGAGGATTCCTTGAGCCCCGGAGTTGGAGATGAGCCTGGACGACAAAGGACAACCTTGTCTCTACAAAAAACAAACAATAATAAGGCAGGTGCAGTGGCACACTCCTGTAGTCCCAGCTACTCTGGAGGCTGAGGTGAGAGGATTGCTTGAGCCTGGGAAGTTGAGGATGCAGTGAGTTATGATCTTGCCACTGCATTCCAGCCTAGGTGACAGAGTGAGACGCTGTCTCAAAAAATAAATAAATAAACAAACCTTTCAGCAGAGGTTCTCTAGACATGCAGTTTCCTATATTGTTGGAAGCTAATGTCTCCATCTTCTCATTCAGAAGAATAATGTGTTTTAAATGGCTATATGGTAATTCGGTCATTTTTTTCACTCATTCACTCTTATTTGTTCAACGATTATTTACTAATGCCTACCAGGTTTATTTTATTTTATTTTTATTTGTTTGTTTTTTGTAGATATGGGGGTCTTGCTGTGTTGCCTAGGCTGGTCTCAAACTTGTGGGCTTCAGCAATCCTGCCACCTCAGTCTTGCAAAGTGCTGAGATTACAGGTGTGAGCCACCTTGCCTGGCCCTTACTAGGCTTTAAGCACTACAATAAGACCTAGAGAGGCTCACTGTTCAAAGACAGAGAGTCAAAAAGACAACAGGATGCGACAGAGTTCTTTGTGGAGGTGTAGGAACATGGGAAGAGGGATGCTTAGGTGAGAGTGGGGTGGAAAAAACTTCTTGAAAGTGGTGACCCTCTGCTCAGTCTCAAAGGAAGTATAGGGGTCATCTAGACGAAGAAAGAAGAAATATGCTTAACCTATCCTGCACACTAACCTGTCTCCCAACTAACATTTTTACATGCTGACTAGATGCCAAACCCTGAACTAACTACTTGATATTTCATTACCTGATTATTCTTCTTCAAAGCCCCTAAATCAAGTCTTCTTATTATTGCCCTTTGATGTACTGAGAGATAAGTAATTTTTCTAGGTTCACAGACCTTGGGCTCCAGGTTTACTGATTCTAAAAAGTCGCATTATTTCATCAACATAAAGCCAAAAGAGAAGTTTTGAACACTAGTGACCATGTTGACACTGCAGAAGTAGTGACAGCAATACAAGCATTAACATGTACCTTATGCATAAAAGAGATAGAGAGTGTCTATCTTGTGCTAAAATTTATGGTTAAAAATAAAAAGCCTAATTTTAATTAGTTTGTATTCACAGAGTTATTTTCCTTTAGTCATGTTTTACAACCACCTCCAAAACAAAAATTTTAATATGACAACTGATATTTAATGTCTGAGTAATTTCCCTCACCTTACATTTGGAAAACCAATGTTTCCATATAGACCCATCATGGAAAGGACATTGAGGAAAGTTTGTCAAAAAAAAAAAAAAAAAAAGCCCAGGATTTTTGTGGTTGAGCCATAGCGAGTGATGGGCAGAACATGGCAAGCTCCCTAACAGCAAGTGGTCCAGTGATACACTTCACTGTCCTGTAAAAGCTGAGGATGCAAGGACCCAGTGGTGCTATCTGTGCCCTTTCTGAGTTGTGTCCTCACTCTGCTAGCTTCTCTCTCAAGCTGTCAGCACAATGGTCGGCCTGAATAGCATTCTTAAGGACATAAAGCATTTATAGAGTAGGGCAACATGAATTGTTTTAAAGCATTTTTCAGATATATAGTTCAATATTCATGCCTAATATTGGTGACAGCATCTTCAGCTTCAATTCCAGCAGTATTTTTTCAGCTTATATCTTAGATGACATTTGTGCCCCTCAAAACCTGTCTGTATCCCATGCAGAATGGTGTTTCAGTGTATTTCAGTCTTAATGCTGACAGAATGCAACACATTAGGGGACCTTGTTGTAGCAAGCAGCTATAGTCACTCCCTCTGCTAAAATGAAAGGGGTCAGGATTTGCGGAAAAAAAAAAAAATAAATCCCTGTCATTTCATAACACATAACACATTGACAAGAAGAAAAGACAAGTGCAACTTATCATTATAGGTGTTGTTATTAACCTTCCTTGTTTATACTGCACAATTCCAATCATACCCTTTATGATAGACTTAGCTAGAGGGCAGGTCGTATTTTTTAAATGGGTTGAGAGCTGTAATGGTTTAGCTAGTGTTCCTTTGTTTTCTATTGCTTGGTTAAGCATGCCATATGGTCTTTTTCCTGTTTTACTTATTGGATGCATAAGAAACTCTTCTTTAGTTGTGCTAAATCGGTGGTTCTCCTCCCTGGGGATTTTTTTAAAACATGCTAATACTTCAGCTCCACCCATCAGGGATTGTCCTTTAATTGGTTTGGGTTTCTGAGAGTAGGGTGGGGCACTAGGAATTTGAGAAAGCATCCCTGAGATTCTGATATGCAGCTGGAATTAGAC
This sequence comes from Homo sapiens, assembly GCF_000001405.40. NCBI lineage: Eukaryota > Metazoa > Chordata > Mammalia > Primates > Hominidae > Homo > Homo sapiens. Next base: position 137,262,922 of record NC_000002.12, read on the forward strand.
ACAATGAGATCAGCTATGGATGACTTCAGTTGTGATATGTAGAGACTGAGGAAGGGCAGACTCAAAGTGGGTCACTATTTGATAAGGTTAGCTCTCTCTAAATTGGGGATGTTTTAAGAACAGCAGTGGTTGGGGATAGAAAGCTGAGGATATTGGAAGGAGTCCCTGGAAATTTAGAACTATGGCCTGGGCTTCTGAGTGTGTTGCGTCTGCTACAGGAAGTTTGTATTTGCCTTGACTCTTATCCTGGATAGCGTATGCAGATATAAACATGAATTGCTCTTTCTTAAGTCTATACAAAGGGCTTTCATATAAAAAATTTCAAGTTCACTATATATATAATATATATATATACACACACATACACATATATATAACATTTGAGAAAAACTTTAAATCCCACTTAATTAAGCATTCCTAACAGCTGTCCTGTGAATTGTCTCAGCAGTATTACCCACATAGGACAAGTAAGAAAATTGAAGTTCTGAAAGGTTAAGTGCCTTGCCCAAGGTCATATAGCAATTCAGTAATGAGATGGGATTAGAAATCAGAGCCCTGAAGGTCTTGTCTGTTGCCAGATCCATTGAATTTGGCTTCTGTTGCAAAATGAATGATGATTATAAAAATTTAAGAATATAGAGTACATTTTTTCAGGCAGTATTTCAAAATGAAAGAAGTATATGGATATCCTGAAGCTTATTTTTAACATTCCTGGAAAGCAGAAAAGCTTTGCAATTTCACCTAATTTCATTTGTATATAGATAGATAGAATCTTTAGCTCAGTGTTCATTTTGAAGTACTTCAAGGTTTAGCCTGGGAGAGAATTTTAGGGGAAGATGCTGCTGTTGATGTATCTGCTCTATATATGGAACACCAAGATGGATAGGAAGGAAGTCTATAAAACCTTCCTACTCATAGTTCTACTAGGGCATTGCATTTTTTTAAGCACTTAAGCCTCCATTTCTCCTTGAACAAAGAGAGAACATACTGGATTGATGGATTTGGATAATAAATACAAAGTTCATATTATCATTTCTGATCTCTTATAGAGATCTTTTACGTTATTATCCATCTGTCAAGTTTCACTTCTGCTGCACTGGGTAGATTTAATAATGCATGTATGTACATTTCAGCATAACACCAGCACCTAGGTGAGTTGCCTACATGTAGCAGGTACCTCACAAATATTTATTAATGATGACAACACTGTATGTGGTAAATGCTTCACTCTGATAACTCAGTCACAGATTTAAAGGTGAATAAACTTAGGCTGCCTAATATTGTACTGCCATCTTTGCTGTCTATAGTATTGACTTAGAAACAGCCTTTTTTTTTTTTTTTCTTTTTTTGAGACAGAGTCTCGCTCTCTTGCCCAGGCTGGGGTGCAGTGGCGCAATTTCAGCTCACGGCAAGCTCTGCCTCCCAGGTTCATGCCATTCTCCTGCCTCACCCTCCTGAGTAGCTGGGACTACAGGCACCCGCCACCATGCCTAATTTTTTGTATTTTTAGTAGAGGCGGGATTTCACTGTGTTAGCCGGGATGGTCTCGATCTCCTGACCTCGTGATCCGCCCACCTCAGCCTCCCAAAGTGTTGGAATTACAGGCGTGAGCCACCGCGCCCAGCCAGAAACAGCCTTCTTAATGACAATTTGGAATTTTTTTCCAAGTCCAAGTTGTTTTCCCCTCATATTAATGCTCCTTTTTGAATAAATGCCAAGTCTCTTCAGTATTATGGCATCCATTTGTGATATTTCTGTTATAATAACACATATAGAGTAGCTATGGTTATTTTGAGGTAAGCCCTATACTCTCTTTTCCCATTAATTTTTAATTCCATGTTTCACAAACAGGTTTGTTGAGGGACGCAAAAGAGCCTTCTTTTTTTTTTTAAATTTTTTTTATTTTTTATTTATTATTATTATACTTTAAGTTTTAGGGTACATGTGCACAATGTGCAGGTTAGTTACATATGCATACATGTGCCATGCTGGTGCGCTGCACCCACTAACTTGTCATCTAGCATTAGGTATATCTCCCAATGCTATCCCTCCCCTCTCCCCCCACGCCACAACAGTCCCCAGAGTGTGATGTTCCCCTTCCTGTGTCCATGTGTTCTCATTGTTCAATTCCCACCTATGAGTGAGAATATGCAGTGTTTGGTTTTTTGTTCTTGCGATAGTTTACTGAGAATGATGATTTCCAATTTCATCCATGTCCCTACAAAGGACATGAACTAATCATTTTTTATGGCTGCATAGTATTCCATGGTGTATATGTGCCACAAGAAAAAATGCTCACCATCACTGGCCATCAGAGAAATGCAAATCAAAACCACAATGAGATACCATCTCACACCAGTTAGAATGGCAATCATTAAAAAGTCAGGAAACAACAGGTGCTGGAGAGGATGTGGAGAAATAGGAGCACTTCTACACTGTTGGTGGGACTGTAAACTAGTTCAACCACTGTGGAAGTCAGTGTGGCAATTCCTCAGGGATCTAGAACTAGAAATACCATTTGACCCAGCCATCCCATTACTGGGTATGTACCCAAAGGACTATAAATCATGCTGCTATAAAGACACATGCACACGTATGTTTATTGCGGCATTATTCACAATAGCAAAGACTTGGAACCAACCCAAAACAGCCTTCTTTGAATGTTTGAATGATGCAAGCAGAATTCTGTGGCAAGAAATAAAAAGGTCCAGTGATCCTGTTGAGTAGATAATTTTAAGAATAGCAGTGCAGTCCGTCTACCTTTTCCACACATTTGAAATGCAATCCTGTGCTGGAATGAGAAATAAAATGTACATGTTTCTTATTATACATGCACATGGGGGTGATAGTCTTTGAATGATCATATAATGTGTCGTACAAACCAAGACATTTATGAGAGTGAATGGAGGAGTTATTATTATTTAAGCTAAGATAATAGGTATTGGCTAGAATTGCTGTGAGAAAACAGGATGTTTGACCATCCTATCCATTCCTCTCCAATAATATGAGAACATGGTTATAGGTACTAATTGCCTTGCAATTGTAGTTTAATTTACCAGGAACATGGAATGGTTTTAAGCCATTCATTGTCTGCTCCTAGATGTACAAAACAGGAATGAGACTCAGCTCTGAATAGAAAGCTGGTTTGTCATTTTTTTCTTTTTCTAAATTACAGAAAATTTAACTATTGAAACTTCTTCTATTTTTTAAAATCTTTCTTTTCTTTCTTGAACTGACGTGCTAGAGAAAATTCCTTGCATCTGGCAATGTGTTCATGCTTTACATGCAGTATCTCATGTAATCCTCCTAGCAGTTATAAGAACTAGAAACTTTTAGTTGGCCTGTTTTACAACTTAGGAAGTTGAAGCTTAGCAAGGTCAAACAAATAACCTAAAGTCTAACAGGTGTTAGGGTTGCAACTCAACCCTAGGAAGTATTTAATGTGTGACTATTAATGTGATATTAATCATAAAAAGCATTGGTGTCATCCTTTTGCTTCAATCTTTGTGAGAGAGGAATCACCAGGATGGGTTCAGTTTTGTTTTTGAGTGGTGAATTGTATATATAAGTGAAGAGGAGGAAAGAGAACTTCAGGGTGAGAACCAGGAGTTAAAAGGTGGTAAGCCTGGAACAATACTGGGGCTGTGAAGCATAATAGACCACTGATGTTTAATGGGTAATAGGAATATTTGAGAAACAAGGGAAACCCCTAAAGGTTAATTTTTAAAATCTGTTAGAATTCTGCAGGTTGCTGCTGGAATAACTGCCATGCATTGCTGGTACATAGCTATCCTGCATCTACTCTGCACCTATGCTTGCCTCTAGCAGTGCCCCCAATTTCCTGGCCACACGTTCATCTCCAACCCTGCCTGTCCTATCAGCCAGTGCCTATGTTCACTCCTGTTCTACCACCCACTTGCTGTTCCCCTACTCTTACATTTTAAATTAGTTGCAAACTTAGTAAGTCAGTTCTTTATTGTAGCTCATTAATCGAATAACTCTGACATCAGGGCTCAGCATTCATGACACTAATTCAGTGTGATGTTCCCCAGCTTACCTACCTGCAAATCACCCAAAGGGTCTCTTTACATACTCATTTCTTCTCGCTTTGCTATCATCTTTCTGGAAAAGACTAGTGTAGACCTTCACAAAGAATCTATAAACATCTCTCAATGTTTGTAGCCCATTCGTGTGCTTTCTGTGGTAAATATGTTTCTTAATCTTTAAGTCACCATCTTCTCTAAATGTTATTTCTTTTGACTATAATTAAAAACAAGTTTAATTATACCTGATGACTTAGTGATGATAAAATATGCATAAATCAAAACTGAATTTAAACTAGTTATTTATTAGTCATAATCATGCTTGAGCAATTGTTGATGTTGGCAAACAGGCACTTTAATTTATTGTTATTCTTCTTCATAGGCCTAATGAGGTTGGAAACATCACTCACAAAAGCTTACAAATATGGCACTTTTTTAACACTGAAATCTGTAAGCGAGTGCTATTGAAAAATTGCTTAGAAGGGAAGAAGTATTCCTTTAAAATAACAGAAGGACAGTGATGTAGACTACCTCCCCCCCAAATCCCCCACCCCCGAGTGCTCCCCTCTTTCCCTTCATCATACTATAAAGTCTCTTTTAATGGAAATATCATGGGCCTAATTGTCTGCCTAGTACAGTTTTAACTCTATCTAGTGATTTTTGGGAAATTATTTACCTCTTCCACCCCCCCATTTTCTTATCTGTAAAATGGGAATAATAATATGAATCTGATAAGAAGTTATAATAATAAAATAAGGTAGCATATGCATACGTAAAATGCCCAGGCATGGATCTGACATAGATTAAGATGGTAATTCCTAGAAACATTTAATATGTTTTACACACATAGGTGATCTAAATGTAGTCCAGTGGCAAAGCCACTATCCTCCCCTCTCTATAGCTACTTCCCAAAATCACTTTTTCTTGAGTATTCAGTGGAAAAGGAGGTGTTGTTTGACATCACTTTCTGAGAGCTACTACTTGGCCTTTGCCCATCTTCTCTTACCTGGCTTCAAACCATGATATTGGGGGCTGCCTCAGACTCTACTTCTTTTGTTGCTGGTTACCTTTTGGATTTCTGGAATTATCATTCTCCCTTGACACAACCCTCATGCTGGGTTCAAAATGAGGTGAAATTTTTACAGGAAAGGGATATGGATCCAGAATCTAAGAGAGGATTCTTTATTTTATTTTATTTTTTTTATATACTTTAAGTTCTAGGGTACATGTGCACAACATGCAGGTTTGTTAAGTAAGTATACATGTGCCATGTTGGTTTGCTGCACCCATCAACTGATACTTTACATTAGGTATATCTCCTAATGCTATCCCTCCCCCAGGCCCCCACCCCCCAACAGGCCCCAGTGTGTGATGTTCCCCGCCCTACGTCCAAGTATTCTCATTGTTCAATTCCCACCTATGAGTGAGAACATGCAGTGTTTGGTTTTCTGTCCTTGTGATAGTTTGCCGAGAATGATGGTTTCCAGCTTAATCCATGTTATTATTTCTTGATGATATGCTCAACAAGGTGGGGATTATTCATGCCTCCCTTTTTAGACCATGTAGGGTAGCTTCCTGACATTGCCATGCCATCTGTAAACTGTCATGGAGCTGGTGGTAGTATAGCAGTGAGGACGACCAGAGGTCACTTTTGTGGCCACCTTGGTTTTGGTGGGATTTAGCTGGCTTCTTTACTGCAGCCCATTTTATCAGCAAGGTCTTTATGACCTGTATCTTATGCTGACCTCCTATCTCAGCCTGTGACTTAGAATGCCTTAACCATCTGGAAATGCAGCCCAGTAGGTCTCAGCCTTATTTTACCCAGCCCCTATTCAAGATGGAGTTGCTCTGGTTCAAACACCTCTAACAAAATAAGAAAATCATTGACTGCTCTATCTCAAGTGTACACTGCCTGCCCTTGAGTTTCCCACAACACCACTTAAGTCTGTTGTGTGCAAAGGAGTCTGCTATAGGTTTGGCCATAATTTGAGGCATTTACATCATAAGGACAGGAAAATTCTTTAAAATTGAATGCTAAATATGTCCATTGCAAAGTTCAAGGAAATATACATGCACACACATACACACACAAACACACAGAGAGAGAGAGACTCTTAACAGATAGTTCACACATCTCTGGTATTGTTTCCCTAGCTTAAGATCCTCCCTTAACTCTCTCTCTTCAAAGACATATACATTTTTCTTCGTTTATGCAGTGTGGATCAGTTTCTCCTCTGGAAAATCTTACTTTGATACTAAATGTTGATTTTCACTAGAGGATCCATCCTTTTGAAACTCCATCTGAATATCTGTAGGGCATGAAAATCAATGCAACTGTTTTTCTCAAACTTTAGATTATTTTACCTGCAGTCACACCATAAAGGCAGACTACGTCTGTATGCGAGTGTGTACCGTATGTGTATGGTGTGTGCACGTGTGTGCATGTGCATGTTCAGTGTAAAAGGGAGACATACTGATCCATGCTGTATATGTAGTCTCCCTTGGGGATTCTCCCTCCATGTGAGGTGAAGGCATCCCTTTCGTTTTTTTCTATTGTTTTCAGTCCTTATTTACAGACTCCTAAGGTAATATTTGGACAAAACACACATACACACAAACCCACACTCAAGAAAACATTCTGAGGCTAAATAGTACAGTATAGGCTAAACAGAGATAATACAGTATAATTGACATTAATTGGGAGTAGGGGAAGAGACTTTTTCCTAAAGGCATAATTATTTACAAAATATTCTTCCCACCCAAATAAAGATAGCTTTTTGTATTATTATGATGCAGAGCTATCTTGGTAACCCTCTTTTTCTTTTTAAGCATCTATTTCTAAACTCCTCACAGAACCTTAACTACATTTAAAAAGGGGCCAATTACAGGATTTACTCTTTCAAATAGCAACATGTCTCCTTTGACTTTATTGGCATGTTCTGCCAGGAAAGAGGTAGCCCACTCAAATGGAGCAACTGAGGAAGATTTAATGAAGGGACTATTTACAAAGGATGAGAAGTGTTAGGGTAGACTAACAGGGTATGATGGTTTAGGACCTGGGCTAGTGAAAGTTAGAATCCATAAAGTTGATGGAGGGAGAAACATTTAGTGGAATGAAAGAAAAGTATTTAATAGCTATAGGCAAATGCCCCTCCATAGGAACTGTGGCTTTTGTTAGAGATAGGGAGACAGTGTGAGGCAATACAGAGATGGAATCTGGTGAAATAAATACCTTGATGTCTCTATCCCTCCTCTTGCCCTTTTTTTCTTTTCTTTTGTGTGTCCCATCCCCCCATTCACAAAGCCCAAACAGAAGCCAATAAGCCGGGGGGCTACTGATGCAGCCCATCTCTGGGTATAAAGCAGGTTGAAGAAGAACAAAGAGGGAATCTAGGGGGAACAGATGGAAAAGATCCTATACATCTCCTTAACTTCCAGTTCAAGGTCATAAGATGTGCAAAGGTGTTGGTCTCTCCTCCTTCTGAGGATCTCATTCAAAATGATAGGAAAGGAATTTTAAAAGCCCTAATTCCTTCTCAGAAACAAAAGGAGAGGGCCATTAGTGGAGGACATTAGTGGATGACAGAACATTAATGGGTAATGACAGAACATTAATGGGTAAGACCAAAAAGTAGAGAAATTGATGACACGACATTGGGAGCCATGACCTAATGTAGCAGGAAGGTGGGTGGTGGCAAGGAGAAAGCTCCTCTACCCACGAGGGCTCCACAGAGCCTTGGTGACTGGTCTGATGGAGGACAGGAGTGAGGGGTAGGTCTTAAAAAAATATGGGTTATTAAGTAACCAGTAGAGGCATAAAAAACATCATTATAAAAGATTGAAAGATGGTACAAAGTAAATTGTCAATTACTGCAGAAAGTCAATAGGTAATGTCTGAAGTTCATAAATCAAGAAGTAATGACATAAGCATAGTATTTATAGATTTGGAGGTAACCATAGAAAAATTAAATACAGAAGCAGTTGAAAGTGTTCCCTCTGAAAAGGAAGACAGAGAGTAAGGAAGCTTTCATAGTGGCTGAGTTGCTTCTCACTGTGGGTCTTCTAGTATTAATGATTTTTTTTAAATGCATATATAATTTTAATAAATTCTTATTTCATTGTGCTGGCTTTCTATAAGTTAACTTCTTGATATGGGTAGGTCTATTATTTGTACCAAACCTACCAATTTATTCCATCTTCTCCTACACTGTCTTTTCTCTCCATTCTTTATAACCCTCACTGCGCTCCTCCCTCTCTCCCACCTTTCCCATGTGCTCACACCCAGAGCCGTACTCACATACCTTCCTTCTGAGTGTAGTTACTTGTCTGTCTTTGTAAATAAATGCCTTGCACTCTTACATCTCAGTGCCCTTCTTCAAAGTGCTTCCTTGGCCTGAAATGGCTTCATTCATATATATATATATTATGAATTATATATATATGAATTATAATATATAATTATATAATATATATAATATAATATATAATATAATATATAATATAATATATAATATAAAATCATATATATATTATTCATTCATATATATATGATTTTTTTTCTATTTAGCTATCAAGGCCCTCAAAGCAGACAAAAATCTGTCTCCTTCATGATCCCTCTTCGGTTGCCACAGTCAAAAATGATTTCTGTTTCTTCTATACCCACCTAGCACCGTGTCACTCTCTGACACTGCTCACACTGCAATGTCTTCTAACTAGTCGTATATATGTCTGCCCCTTTTCTTCTTGCTTAATTATAAGTTCTGTAGGTCAGAGATTTGTGTGTGCATTTACAGTGCAAATAGTCTATCTTCCACATAGTAATTGAAGTAGTTGCTAAGCACTTTAACGATAATTGATTTTTGTTGCTGATGTTGATTCAGAAGGCATCTAAAGATTGTGAAATGAGTGCCTCAACACATTAAAGTGAACATCAGTTGTTTTTTAATTGATGTTCCTATTAATACTTCTATTTCTCAGCAAAACCCTGAACTAAACAATATTTTGTTCTTTCCCAATTTTACTGCCTCTTTCCTAAATTCCAATTATATATATATGGTTATAAGGTTATGAGGTTTTGAGGAATAAGAAATCTAATAAACTAATATCCATAAATGAATAGGTGACTAATATATTAATTATTATAGGTGTGTTTTGTTTGCATTATAAAAAATAGCCTGGATGGAGAAATCCCTTACTCAAGGGACTGAGTTGCTAATAATAAAACACCAGAGATTTCAGCTGTTGTTTGGAGATCAAAGAAGGTTTCTGGGGCCCCTTCGATCATGCCATAAAACTTTTATGCCATTGGTAAGGTAGATTCTAATTAAACATATTAAGACAGCGGGAAATAATTATATTCGAAATCACCATTATTAAGTATTGTGTGTTTATTTCATAAAAGTAAGATGGAGTGTTAACTCCTGGTCTTTGCTTGTTATTTTCGTTCCCAGGTTGACTTTCCACATGTGCTTACTTTATCTCTCTCTCTTTTTTTTCAATTGCTACCTGGATTTTGATCTGCATCAACATAAAAGGGCACTATATAATTTTCTTTTTCCTTTACTTCAGGAAATGCCACAGTAAAACAGTCTCGATACAGAATCATCATCCAAGAAGCAGCCAATGGAGGCCAGGAATGCCCAGATACCTTATATGAGGAGAGAGAGTGTGAAGATGTTTCCTTGTGTCCTGTATATCGGCAAGTAGTTACCTTTTAAAATTATCGTTAGACCTACTGTAAATTATAACCTATTTTCTTTCACATAACATATGGTCGTTTGGTGAAAAATAAGTAAGAGGGGATCTGACATTTACATATCTTCAAATACTTTAATATTCTTACCCTCTTATCTGGAACATATTTGGGAGGAGTAGAGATATGAAAGTCTAATTAACAGGGGGAAAAGGAAGCACGTTTGACTGTAAGTGAGCTGCTTGACTTATGCCACCATGGCAGTCCATTTTCAGGATCATGTTCGAAAGAGATTCAGGATGAGATTTTTACGGTTGTTATCTGGGGGCTGGGAGAAGAAATACACACCACACACACGGGAGAAGGAATACACACACACACACACACACACACACACACACACACACACACACAGGTGGTAACTTACCTTCATTCTATTGTTCTCATCCTAACATCTTTAATCAAGAATTAAGAACAAATTTGTACTCCCTTGTTTATTTTAATTAAAAATTTTTTGGTTCTCAATTTTTGTGATACACAATTTCAGAAACCATCCAATTAGAAGAAAACGTTTAACTTAGGGATAAAATTTTTTATTACAAAAAGAAAATGAATAACTTTTAAACTATGTATGTTCCCTGTATATTCCCTCTTGGCAAATTGGTGATTACTATTTAAAAAATAATAATAGGTTTCTTTGCTTACTCACAAACTTCCCCCCTTTTAACACCTGACAGTTTTAAATCTGATTGAAATGCTACTTTAAGGTGTATTTGGATTAAATTCAATCTCTATGGGGTTTTACTGATTTGTGAATATAATCCATGGTCTTAAAAATAATATAGGTTTTATCGGCACACTTATAAATGCCTTTAGCAAAAATGTCCCGTGTTTCTGCTAATTATTTGAGAAACTAAACCTAAAGCTGTGAAATTCAAGGGCTAATTTATTTGGGAAAATACAAGTCATTTCCTTTTTTAAAAGAAGAAAGATATCGTTGAAGAAGGTCTAAATTACTATTGATTTTATCATCCTTTACTTTCATTGTTTTTATCTGATGACCAATTTTGGGAGGATGTAAATAAACACTGGGAACATGCCCAGACTACCATTTTTTTCTCATTAACCACAGGGCCATTGTGGAAACACTGTCAATATTCATCCTTTTGTACAATGTCTAAATATTGAAACTTCTGAGCCCAGCAAAAGAGCTCTCAAGGAAAGTATCCAAATGAAAAAAATTAGCCAAATCAAATATTATTAGACATTTTTATGAACCCAGGGTTGTTATAATCAGATAAAATCAAAAAACTATTAGTGGGATCTTCCATTTCTTTGTCCACTCTTTTTACTCTCCTATTGCACTTCAATTTAGCTACTTGTGTTTGAGCTAGTTTCTATCAATGACCTCCTGCCACGTTCCCCAAAAATCAGTTCTACTGTGTATGAATTGGATCATTGTGCCATTTTTCCTGATGCATAGTTCAAAATGTATCCAAGTTATCAGCATGAATCTCTGCTCCTTAGTGAAACATCCTTGAATTTTGAGCAATATAGTTCCAATTTAGATTTTGCTTTCCCCTTTATTGGTATGTTAGGGAGGAAGTTGTCTTAGGAAGCGAGTTAACGTAGGATTTTATCATTATCTTCTGATTCTTCTTTCTGACTCCATTAAGGTGATATATTCACATGTTTACCAAATTAAAGCAGAATCAAAATGCCTATTTAATTTGTCAAGTGAATTTGAACTTCTCTCAACACATTAAGTAGCTAAGACAGCATGGGCGCCTTTATCCCTATGTAGAATTGGCAATAAGAAGTTGACAAGAGGCTGTGGCTGAGCATCAGAGACAGGACTGGAAACTGGCCTGTCCTGACTTATGCAGCCTGGGACAAATCATTTAACTTCTCTGAGCCTGGTTTTTGAAAGTTTAATAAAGGAATTCCAAAAATTTCTTTCCTCCATTTCAGTCTATTCACCAAGGTAAAGGAGATTGAACTCCTTGGTCTCATTTTGGTCAAGAAGGTCTGTATAAACTCAATTTAAGGAAATTGAGTGAATCAATGACATTTTAGTTCAAAAGTTGGACTAAAATCCCTTACCTTTTGGCTTCTGTATCTTGGAATCATGCAGAATGTATATCTATGCATGTATAAAGTAAATTTATAACAATCTAAAATTAATAGATGATTTCTTTAAATGTAACAGGTTTCCTGTTTAGCTGTTTCCTGATTTTTTTTCCCCAACTCTTCAGCTATTCCCATTATGAAGGCCACTTGAATGAAGTCAATGATGTTTTGCTTTATGTTTCTCACTGCTTTTTTGAAGTAGTTATCAGAGGTACTGGCTCATATGAAAAGGGTTAAAATGTACTAAGTGAAAGAGCAGAATCTGTAGTTATACTTAGGGTTTGGGTTTGCTGGAATATTCTGAAGAGACAGATTTAAGGACACAAGTCATCATCTGCCCTGTGAGTCATAAAAATAGAGTTTTGTTGACCTGAGAAAGAAAAGCCAGTAGAAGGTGAAAAGATTTCCTTCAAGACTGTATCCTCTGAGGACTAGAAATCATGGTATTTTATCAACAGCAGGTCCATTCCTCTTTCCTAAGATTAACTATCAGATAAGATAGTTCCATGGTGCCCGTTCTTTTACTCTATAACCTATTGAGATGTTTGATTTACTTCAAAAGTCCTTGGAAACACCTTATAAAAATTTGAAGCAGAGGATTAAGTGTGAAGGTCTGTACCTCAAGCTTATAAAAATTTTGAAGCAGAAGATTAATGTGAAGTTTGTACCTCAAGCTTACAGATGTTCAAACCTTTATTCTCTAACGCACCAGTGGGACACAGGGATTTTCTCTCTCTTGTTTTCTTGTATTGTTTTTTTTTTTTTGGAAACAATTTTAAGTGCATAAAGAACTAAAGAACTAGACCCTCCAGACTGATCAGTGCCTCTAATGTTTATTATTGCCACTTTTCTATATTAACCAAAGTTTATGTGTAAAATATCCAAATTCAGTTTTTTTCTCATTAGCCACAGGGCCAATTCAAAAACACTGAATTACTGCCTAAATCATGAATCTGGGGTAGAGTGGACTATTGTCATTCTAGTGCTTGCCAAGGCTTGGTTTTATGACATTGATTTCATATCCATTTTTATTGAATTACTGTCTTTACTTTTTTTAAACTTCAAACATATGTAAGTATTTCTTCCTCGTGTTGATCACAGTAAAGTTTCTAGTCCATCGTTTTTGGTAATCACAGGTGGAAGCCACAGAAATGGAGCCCTTGCATCTTAGTGCCAGAGTCTGTCTGGCAGGGAATAACGGGCAGCAGTGAAGCCTGTGGAAAGGGGTTACAAACAAGAGGTATGATGATTTTTACATAGTTTTTTTTTATTAATACGTAAGTTAACATTATGTAACTCATATGTGTTGCTTACTTTTATATTTGAATGAATTGTGATATTATTGGCTTGAATTATTCATATTTATTGATGTTAAATATAAATAGGATTTGGCATAGTTAGCAGTTTATATTAGATTATCTTTAACTATAACCAGTTAGTGTACCTAAGGACTAAAGCAATATAAGCAAATATCTGTTCTCGGTCATAGTGTAGCCCAATGCTCATGTTCCAAATGCATGTTAGATATTACCTAATATCTGTGAATGAAGGTTTTGTCAAGATGAGATTCAACTGTCTGTATACCTTAGATTTTTTGGTGCTAATTAAATATTTGTTGATGAATGAAAGAATAACTGAATGAATTGACTAATCTTAATGATCATAGGATATGTCTTAAATATAATTGTCATATACATACTCATCATATATCTTACATGTCATATGCATAAAAAGGAAGTAGTAAAATTTCTGGAAGACATATGAATAAGCTTCTGGACCTGAGTAGAACTGCTTTTTATCATCAATGTCTAGAAGGTGTGGGAAATCTCTGAAAAGTACTCAGAGAATCATCAGACTGCTCACTTTTCTATTTCATTCATAATCCAGGTGCCAGTTGTAGGAAGCTTGATATGAAGTGCATTATTCTCAAAACCTGACCACTTTCTCACTGAAGGGATATATGTGGCAAAATTAGACCTTGTGGAATCAATTAAATTATACTGGTTTCATAATTAATGTTCTTTTAGAAGGCATATTTAGAATTAAGTTTCTCTTTTTGTTACATAGGTCATACTTTGGAAATAATATCCCTGTCAAAAAATTTACAGATGAAATTTTATTGGTCAGGTAGTTTGATTTAAGATTGCTATGGGGATCTACAGTGGCTTTGTGTAAATTATAAGAATGAACCACTTTCTTAAGACATTTTACTTTCATATATCACTAAATTATTGTAATAATATATTGTTATTTTAATATTTTTGCCTACTTTCTGCTGAAAAATTGTTACAGAATATCCAAATCACCAATATCTACTCCATGAATGGAGCCCTGTTAAAAAATGCCAACTTTATGTAGTGTACAGTTTAAGTAGGACCTTGAATTTGTTACTCTATGATATTACAATACTAAACAAAACCATTTAGTAAATTCTGCAAGGATATTGTATGTAAATGATGTAAAATTATCACATAAAAGCAAGATATTTCATATTTTCTAGAATATGAAATCTCTTTGGATTTCAATATAAATGAAGATTTCTAGCTGGATGCCTGATAGTCCTTTAGATTAGGCAATGAACTTTCTCTAAATTTGACACCAACATTAGAGCATTCCTGGTGTTTAGTTGATGGGCAAGTTGCACTTTTAGCATAGTAGGATGGGTCTTCAATTTTAGGATTATGGAAGAAAGACATTGCTACCTCTATCTTTTCTTTAAATTAAGAACCATAAAGGAAAATACAGAACAATAAGACTAAATACATCTCCAATGAGATCAATCTCCTTTATAAAATCACTCCAAAGAACAAGGAATACAGTAAACTTACTTTCAGGTAAATTAGGAGCCATCGGTAAACTAGGTCATAATATATGAATTTGGAAAGTAAATGGAGATATGGCAAAGTATTTTGCAGAACAGGATTACACCTAAGTGTTGGCAAGGGTGAAGCTGTGGGAGCTGGAGAGAAATAAAATGGTATATCCTGGACAACTCCAGGAAGAAACCACATTCTGCAGAAGGAAGTGTGCAAGAGTGTGTGTGTATGTGTGTTGGGAGTTGAGGATAAAAGCTGGAGCTCTGAAAGTCTGAATAAAGAGCAGGAAAGTTCCTCCTTGTTCAAGTTCTTCACCTTTCACTCTACAGAGTCAGATTTCTACCATTTCTTTTTCTTGTGGGAGCATGGAGATGTATTCTTTGGGAAACAGAGAGGTTTTAGACTCTGGACAATAAGCAGAGGTGGGTGGAGATGCGGGGCTAGACTGAAATCAGGTGGATCAAAGGAATGTCTGAATAAGGAATTATGAGACTCTGATTTCCTCTGAACATTAAACTGCTAAGAGTTGAAGGATAGAGAAATGAGAATATAAAGGGGAGAAAAGTATCAAAGAAATAATACTAGAAAAATACTCATTAAGGAGCCAAAATGATTAAATAAGTCCCATATCAAGGCTTGTCACTGTGATATTTCAGACCACCTGGGGTAAAGTCATGACCCTAAAGCCTTCCAGAGTAAACACCATGATCTCTCACCCAGAGTTTTTGAATAAGATTGTAGGACTTTTCAACATCAGCACTGGAAAGTGGAAGGAAATAGAACAATATCTTCTAAATGTGGAATGAGAATATTTTCAACCAAGAAATCCATATTAAATTATCATTCAATTATTAGGATAACATGAAATGTTTGTAGAAAACAAAATCTCCAAAAGCTTACCTTCATAGCATCCTGTGTCCAGAAGTAAATAGAGTATATGCCTCATCAAAGATGAATAAATCAGTATGCACACTGGGTATCCTCCCCAGAAGAGAGGACATTGGCATTCCTAGGAAGAAAGGGAGGGGAAATTCATGGACCACTGCTGTTCACAGGCCTCGAGCTGTTCACTAGGCTTATGTGGTGAGAGCAGGAGACCTGTAAAGTGTCAGGAGGGATGTCTTAACATTAACAATAGAAAGAATAGAGGACCTGTCAGGTTTGACCTGGACAACTGTACTGAGAAGCATTTCATAGGTATAAAAGCACTTATCCGGATTCATAGAAACGTTTGCAAATAAAAGTGAAAAAATTTCAGGAAATACAAAGTGTTGTAGATAAGAGGTATAGTTACAATATACTTTTTCAGCTTACCTATAAAGAATATATTGTCATAAAGGCAAAAGCATTAAGTTATGGATTTAAGCAAAAAATGTGATTCAACAATGTTGAGAGTTTAGTGAAGGGACCTGGGAGGTGTTGTCTTCAAAAAAACAGCAGTAGAAAACACCTATCATTAAGGAATTGGCTAACGGAGCTATATGAATATATTTTTAGAAACATGAAGTACCCATTAGAAGAAACTGTAGAACAGTAAAAAAATAATTGACTCAAAGTGAGGAGTCAGATAATTATTTGTTTTATCATTATTCAAGTTTCAGTGCTATGAATATGTACTACTTTGGTAAAAATATATTTTTTAACATAAACTGGCCAGGTGTGATAGCTCATGCCTGTAATCTCAGCACTTTGGAAGGCTGAGGTGAGAGGATTCCTTGAGCTCAAGAGTTGGAGACCAGCCTGGACAATATAACGAGACCCTGTCTCTACAAAAATAGAAATTTTAAAAAAAGAGCCAGACATGGTAATGCATGCCGGTCATCCCAGCTACTCAGAAGGCTGAGGTGGGAGGATTGTTTGAACCTGGGAGGCTGAGGCTACAGTGAGCTGTGATCATGCCACTGCATTTCAGCCTGGGTGACAGAATAAGACCCTGGCTCAAACAATAATAATAATGAAATAAAGTGATCGATGCAGTGTTCTAAGGGATTATTTAAGTAAATGCGTTGCAAAATGCTGAAAAAGCTAGGTCCAGGAAGGAAATTTAGATTGGGGAAGGGAGGAGGAAGGACCTGCCTGTTTTATACTGTATGAAGAAGCTTCTGCTGTCAGCATTTTTTGCTGGTTTAAACACATAGGGTCTTGTTTCTTTACGCATATTAATAGGATGGACTGTGCTTCCCAAAAATACATGTCCACATGCTAAGCATCATAACCTGCACATATGACTTTATTTGCAAAAAGGATCTTTGTAGATGTAATTAATTTAAGGATTTAAAGCCTTTATCAATTTGGAAAAGTTTATTTTGTCTTTGAGGATTCTTTGTATCCCAGAGGGAGTTTGAACTCAGACCATAAAGTCATGGGAAAGCCGGCTTGAGGTTACACATTCTCATGAAGGATTCTCCTCTCTTGCTATCCAATGCTATGTTTTAGAATTGCAAGTTGTCTTGCCAAAACCTTGTGCTTACAAGTTTATTTCTATCTAGTTCATCCCTAAACACTAAGGGTGAGTGTTAGTTGCCATTGCTTCTAGTGTGGGAATTTTATAAGATTCTACATAGCCAACCTTATATTTTTTCCTTCTGTGCATTATGAATCCATAAAAGTAAAAACTGGGATCTCCAAGATTTGATAGAAACCCTTGGGATGAAATTTGTCTTGTTTACCTTGCAGGGCCTCGTACTTTCACTCTGTTTGGGGTGTTACGGATTCCTTACTTTCAGACCAGCCCATCAATACATTCAGAAAATACAAATGTTGTCATATGCTTTAGTCTTTTTCATTTGAAAGGATATTTTAGGATTTATATACCATTAGACTGCCAGAAACAGAAGTACCACTTGTTTTACTTCATTATGCATTTGTTGCTGACCTGTTTAATTGGTTCATGGTTAAGATTTCATTCGTGTAATAATTTTTCAGTTAAAAAATAAGAAAAACAAGAAGATAGAACAGCACATAGAGTTATAGCTGTAGCTAAGCGTCTACACCATCTCCAGAAAGATGGGCATTTTGGGTTTCATTGTCCTAGTTGTCTCATACTTCAAGGAGACCCACGTGTTCTTTCTGCCCAGAGTCTTGTGCTTTATCAGAATAATTTTTTTAATGGTGACTTATATTTTATGGCAAATAAAAGTATAAGAGGAAGAAACTTAAACATAATAATACGCTTTCTAGAAACTGCCCTTAAAATGCTAAAACGTTAGTACTAAAAAAAGAGAGAAAGAAAAGCCGAGATGCTGTCGTTTCTGTAAGTGGAGTGTATTTCTCCAGGGACCGATTTTTTGTTTTGCTATCCACAGTAACTATTTTAAAGCTGACTTAATGGACTTTCCAGTATTTTTCTTTTGGACAGAACTTTCTTGTCATTTATCAGCCCGTGAGTATACTCTGTCAGCGACAGACTTGACATTATGGCACTGTAATGGATACAGAGTAGGTACTGGAGATCGAAATCACTTGTCTACGATATCGTTGACTTTCTTGAACTATCTGTAGTCTTTTTTGGTTTATTTTCCCTGAGAAATGTTTAGGTGGACCAAAAGAGGCAGATCTCTAAACTCTGTCAAATCTTTTTGTTCTTCTTTAATTAGTTTTTGTCACAGTTTTCTTACACAATAGTTTTGATGGATTCTGTCTGTTTTTCTTTGCATTCAAGGAACCCCTTTAAAGTAAAGATGTTTTTCTGGGAAAAAAAATTGAGCAAAATAATTCACTTTCAAAATTAGTTGTGGATTACCTTTAGTTTTATTTATTTATTTATTTTTTTACTGGATGATAATGTGACTTTATTTTTCTTATTTTTTATTATTATTATTATACTTTAAGTTTTAGGGTACATGTGCACAACATGCAGGTTTGTTACATATGTATACATGTGCCATGTTGGTGTGCTGCACCCACTAACTCGTCATCTAGCATTAGGTATATCTCCCAATGCTATCCCCCCACCCCCACCCCACAGCAGTCCCCGGTATGTGATGTTCCCCTTCTTGTGTCCATGTGTTCTCATTGTTCAATTCCCACCTATGAGTGAGAACATGCAGTGTTTGGTTTTTTGTCCTTGAGATAGTTTGCTGAGAATGATGGTTTCCAGCTTCATCCATGTCCCGACAAAGGACATGAACTCATCGTTTTTTATGGCTGCATAGTATTCCATGGTGTATATGTGCCACATTTTCTTAATCCAGTCTATCATTGTTGGACATTTGGGTTGGTTCCAAGTCATTGCTATTGTGAATAGTGCTGCAATAAACACACGTGTGCATGTGTCTTTATAGCAGCATGATTTATAGTCCTTTGGGTATATACCCAGTAATGGGATGGCTGGGTCAAATGGTATTTCTAGTTCTAGATCCTTGAGGAATCACCACACTGACTTCCACAATGGTTGAACTAGTTTATAGTCCCACCAACAGTGTAAAAGTGTTCCTATTTCTCCACATCCTCTCCAGCACCTGTTGTTTCCTGACTTTTTAATGATCGCCATTCTAACTGGTGTGAGATGGTATCTCATTGTGGTTTTGATTTGCATTTCTCTGATGGCCAGTGATGATGAGCATTTTTTCATGTGTTTTTTGGCTGCATAAATGTCTTCTTTTGAGAAGTGTCTGTTCATGTCCTTTGCCCACTTGTTGATGGGGTTGTTTGTTTTTTTCTTGTAAATTTGTTTGAGTTCATTGTAGATTCTGGATATTAGCCCTTTGTCAGATGAGTAGGTTGCAAAAGTTTTCTCCCGTTCTGTAGGTTGCCTGTTCACTCTGATGGTAGTTTCTTTCGCTGTGCAGAAACTCATTAATTTAATTAGATCCCATCTGTCAATGTTGGCTTTTGTTGCCATTGCTTTTGGTGTTTTAGACATGAAGTCCTTGCCTGTGCCTATGTCCTGAATGGTATTGCCTAGGTTTTTTTCTAGAGTTTTTATGGTTTTAGGTCTAACATTTAAGTCTTTAATCAATCTTGAATTAATTTTTGTATAAGGTGTAAGGAAGGGATCCAGTTTCAGCTTTCTACATATGGCTAGCCAGTTTTCCCAGCACCATTTATTAAATAGGGAATCCTTTCCCCATTGCTTGTTTTTGTCAGGTTTGTCAAAGATCAGATAGTTGTAGATGTGTGGTATTATTTCTGAGGGCTCTGTTTTATTCCATTGGTC
Source organism: Homo sapiens (assembly GCF_000001405.40). Lineage (NCBI taxonomy): Eukaryota > Metazoa > Chordata > Mammalia > Primates > Hominidae > Homo > Homo sapiens. Next base: position 137,282,761 of record NC_000002.12, read on the forward strand.
TATATCTCTGTTTTGGTACCAGTGCCATGCTGTTTTGGTTACTGTAGCCTTGTAGTATAGTTTGAAGTCAGGTAGCATGATGCCTCCAGCTTTGTTCTTTTGACTTAGGATTGACTTGGCAATGTGGGCTCTTTTTTGGTTCCAAATGAACTTTAAAGTAGTTTTTTTCAATTCTGTGAAGAAAGTCATTGGTAGCTTGATGGGGATGGCATTGAATCTATAAATTACCTTGGGCAGTATGGCCATTTTCACGATAATTGATTCTTCCTACCCATGAGCATGGAATATTCTTCCATTTGTTTGTAGCCTCTTTTATTTCATTGATCAGTGATTTGTCATTCTCCTTGAAGAGGTCCTTCACATCCCTTGTAAGTTGGATTCCTAGGTATTTTATTCTCTTTGAAGCAATTGTGAATGGCAGTTCACTCATGATTTGGCTCTCTGTTTGTCTATTATTGGTGTATAAGAATGCTTGTGATTTTTGCACATTGATTTTGTATCCTGAGACTGCTGAAGTTGCTTATCATTTTAAGGAGATTTTGGGCTGAGATGATGGGGTTTTCTAGTTATACAATCGTGTCATCTGCAAACAATTTGACTTCCTCTTTTCCTAATTGAATGCCCTTTATTTCCTTCTCCTGCCTGATTGCCCTGGCCAGAACTTCCAACACTATGTTGAATAGGAGTGGTGAGAGAGGGCATCCCTGTCTTGTGCCAGTTTTCAAAGGGAATGCTTCCAGTTTTTGTCCATTCAGTATGATATTGGCTGTGGGTTTGTCATAGATAGCTCTTATTATTTTGAGATACTTCCCATCAATAGCTAATTTATTGAGAGTTTTTAGCATGAAGCGTTGTTGAATTTTGTCAAAGGCCTTTTCTGCATCTGTTGAGATAATCATGTGGTTTTTGTCTTTGGTTCTGTTTATATGCTGGATTACATTTATTGATTTGCGTATGTTGAACCAGCCTTGCATCCCAGGAATGAAGCCCACTTGATCATGGTGGATAAGCTTTTTGATGTGTTGCTGGATTCGGTTTGCCAGTATTTTATTGAGGGTTTTTGCATCAATGTTCATCAAGGATATTGGTCTAAAATTCTCTTTTTTGGTTGTATCTCTTCCCAGCTTTGGTATCAGGATGATGCTGGCCTCATAAAATGAGTTAGGGAGAATTCCCTCTTTTTCTGTTGATTGGAATAGTTTCAGAAGGAATGGTACCAGTTCCTCCTTGTACCTCTGGTAGAATTCAGCTGTGAATCCATCTGGTCCTGGACTTTTTGTGGTTGGTAAGCTATTAATTATTGCCTCAATTTCAGAGCCTGTTATTGGTCTATTCAGAGATTCCACTTCTTCCTGGTTTAGTCTTGGGAGAGTGTATGTGTCAAGGAATTTATCCATTTCTTCTAGATTTTCTAGTTTATTTGCGTAGAGGTGTTTGTAGTATTCTCTGATGGTAGTTTGTATTTCTGTGGGATTTATGGTGATATCCCCTTTGTCATTTTTTATTGCATCTATTTGATTCTTCTCTCTTTTCTTCTCTATTAGTCCTGCTAGTGATCAATCAATTTTGTTGATCTTTTCAAAAATCCAGCTCCTGGATTCATTGATTTTTTGAAGGGTTTTTTGTGTCTCTATTTCCTTCAGTTCTGCTCTGATCTTAGTTATTTCTTGCCTTCTGCTAGCTTTTGTATATGTTCGCTCTTGCTTCTCTAGTTCTTTTAATTGTGATGTTAGGGTGTCAATTTTAGATCTTTCCTGCTTTCTCTTGTGGGCATTTAGTGCTATAAATTTCCCTCTACACACTGCTTTGAATGTGTCCCAGAGATTCTGGTATGTTGTGTCTTTGTTGTCGTTGGTTTCAAAGAACATCTTTATTTCTGCCTTCATTTTATTATGCATCCCGTAGTCATTCAGGAGCAGGTTGTTCAGTTTCCATGTAGTTGAGTTGTTTTGAGTGAGTTTCTTAATCCTGAGTTCTAATTTGATTGCACTGTGGTCTGAGAGATAGTTTGTTAGAATTTCTGTTCTTTTACATTTGCTGAGGAGTGCTTTACTTCTAACTATGTGGTCAATTTTGGAATAGGTGTGGTGTGGTGCTGAAAAGAATGTATATTCTGTTGATTTGGGGTGGAGAGTTCTGTAGATGTCTATTAGGTCCACTTTGTGCAGAGCTGAGTTTAATTCCTGGATATCCTTGTTAACTTTCTGTCTCGTTGATCTGTCTAATGTTGACAGTGGGGTGTTTAAGTCTCCCATTATTATTGTGTGGGAGTCTAAGTCTCTTCGTAGGTCACTAAGGACTTGCTTTATGAATCTGGGTGCTCCCGTATTGGGTGCCTATATATTTAGGATAGTTAGTTCTTCTTGTTGAATTGATCCCTTTACCATTATGTAATGGCCTTCTTTGTCTCTTTTGATCTTTATTGGTTTAAAGTCTGTTTTATCAGAGACTAGGATTGCAACCCCTGCCTTTTTTTGTTTTCCATTTGCTTGGTAGATCTTCCTCCATCCCTGTATTTTGAGCCTATGTGTGTCTCTGCACGTAAGATGGGTTTCCTGAATATAGCACACGGATGGGTCTTGACTCTTTATCCAATTTGCCCGTCTGTGTCTTTTAATTGGAGCATGTAGCCCATTAGCATTTAAGGTTAGTATTGTTATGTGTGAATTTGATCCTGTCATTATGATGTTAGCTGGTTATTTGGCTCATTAGTTGATGCAGTTTCTTCCTAGCCTTCATGGTCTTTACAATTTGGCATGTTTTTGCAGTGTAGCTGGTACCAGTTGTTGCTTTCCATGTTTAGTGCTTCCTTCAGGAGCTCTTTTTTTTTTTTTTTTAGAAAAGATGGAATTAGAAATCGGAACAAGTTAAATAATGGAGATCTAAAGTCTTAATTATACAGCAATAATACCTGGTATTTAAAAATGAAAATTCACTGGAAACATATATTTGCATGTATTTACCATTTTTGCCTGATATGCTTTATTTAACACAACATTTCATAATCTAGTCTTTCACTAAGGCTTGTAATATGTGATCGAATCATTAAGAATTGATTTATGGCTGGGCGCAGTGGCTCACACCTGTAATCCCAGCACTTTGGGAGGTTGAGGTGGGCGGATCACCTGAGGTCAGGAGTTCGAGACCAGCCTGACCAACATGGTGAAACCCCATCTCTACTAAAAATACAAAAATTAGCCGGGCACGGTGGTGGGTGCCGGTAATCCCAACTACTCGGGAGGCTGAGGCAGAAGAATCACTTGAACCCGGGAGGTGGAAGTTGCAGTGAGCCGAGATCTCGCCATTTCACACCAGCCTGGTGAGAGAGACTCTGTCTAAAAAAAAAAAAAAAAGATTTATATCATTTTCCAACGTTATATATTACATAAAGTATATATTTATATAAAACAAAGGCAAGTAAGTTGATTGCCTGAGTTGGATTCAGAGAAAACTATTTGTATTGTAGATCTGAGTAGTCTAATTTTCTGATTGAAAGTGTTCTCCTCAGCTATGTTATCTTCATGGAGAGAAGGTTAAAGATATTACCCATCAGCAGCTCATCATCCAACTTTCGTCTGGAAAACACATAGAAATATAGCAAAAACACACACTCTAAAATAAAGATGTCATTATAGTCTATCAAATGTCAAGACAGCCAATCAGCACGTTGTGTTCTTCTTTCTGATGCCAGGTATCCTTGTATTTTAGGAGACAAAGGATACCTCTGGAACATTGGACTTTCATTCTCCGAATGGAAGACACCATAGTCACTTAACGTTTGAGCTGCAGTTTTATTTTCTGCCGTAGCCATCTACCTACATCAGAAGCAAAAAGTCATTTCAGTTCATTCAGAAAGCAAAGCACATATATAGGTTTGAACTATGACTGAACAATAGCAAAAAAACAGAGATAGTCACAGCCATTTTTATTTTGGGTATGGGAGGAGGAGGAGGAGAAAGGTTTTCTGGGAAAGAAAGTAGAGTAGTTTCTTCTATTTACTTCGAGGTTTGGACAAAAATGAGCTACCTTATCCACGAGCTATGGGCATTTCCAGTAGGGGATGCAGAGCAACTGTAGCCTAGCCCAGGTGCCCCTTCCATAAATGTAACTGTATTCTAAGAGGGCAAAGCCATTTGGCAGTGTTTTCTCATGGACTTGAAGACGAGAGGACATGAACTCTCTGTCCAAATCAACATATCAAGGTTGCTGATATAGGCAACAGGCAAATACTTATTTAACCACGCTATTTTTAATAACTTTTGTGAGATAGTTTTTAGTAACTGTGTTCACAGCATAGAAAAAAATGATTATACCCCAATATTTTTGTATTATTTATTATTTTTGGGGAGAATTCTGCCATGAACACCAGAGTAAAATATTGGAGGACATAATATGCTTTATTGATTTATCTAATTAATTAGCACTTGATACCAAATGATGGATTATAAATATTTTAAGGAACTTAAAAAAATCTCTCCTAAATATTATGATTTTTAAGTGGTAAAAAGAAAGGAAGATCAGGTTAAAATGTAGAAATTAGACCATGTAGGGCAACTTTCTAAATTAAAATATCTTCAGATTATAACAAAAGGATGTGTTTTATAACACCAGAGGCATTGGTTTTGAGAGTAAAGCGTTGGATTCAGAACAAAGATTGCATTTTAATCTACGTGAATAATGATTCTGTGAGGTATTTTTCATTTTCTTTGCATGTTTTGGGGTAGGATTATATTTGTGGCTTTTATGGTTGCTTCAGGTAGAATGTGCACACTTTTTTAAATTGATGATAAATTAAAAATAAATATTAAAAGAGATGAGCAACCTAAGGCAGTGATGCTTTAGTAACACAGTATGAACTAACTGCAGATTCAGAGATGCTGTCCTGTGCCAGCCTCCCATTTTTAACATAATAAGCTATGATAAAAAGAACAGAGTAACCCTTTCTTGTACCTCCACTGCACCCACATCCCAGTAGATATTTCATTGATAAAATTGATGTTGGATGTGAAGATGGGTGGGTGGGGGTAATTTTTTTTAAATTGGTGAATGCAGTCATTTGTAAAACTGGTAGTAAGAAATTTCTCTTCTAGCTACACGGTTCTCAGTCACAGAACTATCTTCCCTTCAGGAATGCTAATATGAATTTCAAAGTCTACTGCAAACTGTGTAAATGTAATAAGATTATATGTCTCTTGTTCATGACTAAAATTCTATCTCTTCAAATAGACGTGAATTCCCTGGCTTCCCTTAACACTTAGATTCCTAAGGTCAGGGTATTCACGTCTGTTTATGTCAGGTGCCATCTCAGGATTGCATCAGAAACATGTAATGTTTGTACTTTTTTTGTTTTCATTTCTAAAGAGAACAGAAGGACTAACACTCTTTCCAGGCAGCAGTGAAAGAACAAGGAGACGCCCTTGCTCTAGAGGCTCTAAAAACTAACAGAGGAGAGTCAAAACTCAGCCTCACCGCTACTTGGAATGCAAACAAATACAAAAGTTGTGAAACAATGCTTCTTTATGCCAACCATGTCATGAAAAATTTACATGGTGAGAAAAACAATAAAAAACAAATCACTCTTTTAGCTGAGGTGTATGGGGAGTGAGAATTTAAAACCTACTAGAGTCTATGAAACTTAGCAAGTACATAAAGTAACCTGCCACTTAGCAGGATATGAGAAGTAGGAACTGAAAATGGGAAAGCAGGGGGTTTTTGAAGACTTTGTAATTATGCCAGGAAGGGTTTTGAGAGCCTATAACAGAAGAATGACTTCAGGAATGGATTAGAAGGAGTCTACATAAAAGGCATTTTGGGAAATAAAACAATGGGACTTAACAGCTAACTTTATGTACAGAGCACAGGATAGTGATGAGTTGAAATTTCATACTCAATGGGGTTTTAGGCCAATGAGAATAGGATAATATTGACATTAAAAAGTTCACATCAATAATTGACATAAAAATGCACACACAGCACACATACACAGTGAGAGAGGACTTAAATATGCAAGAATAAGTATTTCTAGAAACATAATATATATATATATATATATTAGAATCATTTGTTTAAAGTTTGAAGTTGATGCCATTTTCTTTTGAAAGCACAGAGGGCATGTAAAGGCCTAAGACCTAGAGGCAAACTGGTGTGATGAAAAGGATGCTCCTTCACTTTGAAATGTGAGGGACATGACTCAAATCATAGTTGTTCCACTTGCTACTTGAGTGAACTTGGTTGAACCACTTAACCTCTCAATATTCTTATCTATGAAGTGGATAATAATTCCAATTTTTTGATACTTTTTTACCAGTGCTTATAGTTGCTCAGGAAATATTAATCTATTTTTCTTTTTCAAACCTCGGAAGACAGCAATCCTTAGAAGGCAGGGAAAATGGAAGTATTACAAGACATGTTTTTTTTAAAGTAAGTGAGTGGAAATTAGTGGAGAGATTCATTGTTATATGAATAAAAGGGTGAAGAAGGGGAGTTTTTGTGACCAAATGATCTTCCTCTTAGAAATCCTCAATTAAAAAAAAAAAGAAAAAAGAAATCCTCAGTAGAGTTAGTTTATTAAAGGCTCTTAGATTGCAGCAATAAAGAAGTGTATTACATTTTTTTTTCTTTTAAGTAACAGAGTTTTCTCAAACTCATTTGCCTGTAGACTGTTTATCATGAAATACCACCTAAGATCTTTATGCTATTTAAAAACGTGGGTATGGTATCACAAAAATCACGTAGGGGCAATTTTTAAAAAATATGTGTGTGATATTGTCAAATGTTTGTAAAATAATTGTGTAAACAAAGACAGAAAAATGATTTGGCAATTGAGTAGCTGTAGCTGAATATATAGACTCTAGTCTCAGCAAGTAATTGTAGATTTTTTTAAATAATAATTTTGGGACTAAGGGCTAACAGCAAACAGATATTGAATAGATGGCTTTACAAAATATTTGCCAAAGAAAACCAAGAAATAAGTAGCTTTAAAACTCAGGGTTCAAAGAGTGATGATAGGACCACCCTGTACAATTATGAAGAAAAAAGAGAAAAAAAAAGAGTGGGGTAAATATACTGAAGGTGTTCGAGAGGGAGGAAATACTTGAGTAAGCATGATTTTTGGGTGAGGGGATATGACTGAATGCATAAGTGAGTTCAGGATTTGGAAAAGAAAATCCTTTTTTCTTTCTTCTAAACTCCAGGCGAAACTCAGAACCAAGGTATAAGGGCAATGTGGAAGAAAGATAAAAGACCTCTTTATAAAATGGCTCAATGTACATAGAAACCTCTCTCCCGGTAGTTACGCATGATCTTCTCATTTTAAATCCAGTAATTACTTTTCAGCCCCAAAGAGTTTTCTTTTTTTTTTTTTTTTTTTTAGATGGAGTCTCACTCTGTTGTCCAGGCTGTAGAGCCTGGAATCTACACCTGGGTTCAAGGGATTCTCCTGCCTCAGCCTCCTCAGTAGCTGGGACTACAAGGCGTGTGCCACCATGCCCGGCTAATTTTTTGTATTTTTAGTAGAGAAAGGGTTTCACCGTATTAGCCAGGATGGTCTCGATCTCCTGACCTCGTGATCTGTCCGCCTGGGCCTCCCAAAGTGCTGGGATTACAGGCGTGAGCCACAGCGCCCAGCCCAAAGAGTTTTCTTTCTGAGAGTCCGTAACTCTACTCCTGTTTTGCAGTTTTCTCCCGATGCTTACTCTGTCTCTCTACTGCTCAGATCCCAAGTCGCTGAGCCCCGCTTCTCTTTCTCCACTGAAACCTTACATGGCATCATTCTTTGAGCTTCTCCTTTTGTGATTTCCATCTTTAATGTCTCCCCAGGTCATCCCAGTTCTGCCCAGGATTTAAGCTCTTTAGATAATCCCTAGGTCTTTATTTCAAGGGAAGTCTCCCTGTCAGCACCAGACTTAGAATTTTCCCCTGCTGAACACCAATCACCTTAGAGACAATATAATGATCATTCAAATTCATTGTTTCTAAAAGTGAACCTATTTTCTCTATCTGAGTTTTCAATCTTAATGAGTTGCATCTCCACTGATCCATTAACAGAGAGAATCAGGCTTGGAATCCCGTCTGTTCCATCTTCATGAGGACTCTCCAGCCTATTCCCTTTTGCTAGACCACTGTTGATATCCACCTGAGAATTGTAGTAACATCCCACTGCTCCAGGCACATTTCTTACAAATCCATCACACTTATGAAGCCAAGGTCATCTGTGTAGAGTCACTCACCTGATTATCTCAATCAACTGCCCAATAATTTTCAGTTTCTGTCCTTTTCTATTCAAAGTCCTTATTACCATGCACACTTTTATGTCTCTAACTGCTCTCTCTCATATCCCTAATCCACTAGCCATTGACCAGGCATTACCCATAATCTACAAACGCTCATCAGCTCTTGCTTTCTCCTTTAACCTGGAAATCTTACCTTTCTTAACTTGTTGGAATCCTATGTCCTGTCCTAGTCCCACCTCATGTATCTCTTTTTCCAAATAATTCCATTCTCCCAGTTGTAATTAAGCAATTCTCAGTATACACTCCCTTCTTACTTATACTTTATGTTTAGGAATTATACCTTAAAGTTTTCTTATTGGATTTTTCAGCTCCCAAAATGCAGAAAATGTACCTTATTCGTCTTTATATCCCCAGTGCCCCAAATAGTCATATATTACACATATAAAAGTTACTCCATAAATGTTTGCTCAATAAATATTAATCCATGTGCCCATTATTGGAGGTTCAGAGCTTTGGCAAAAATACAATGAACAAAAATACATGTAATGAAAGTATGATTTTATTCTGGAAAGTCAAATGCAGAAATTATAACACATTAAAATTACTATGACAAAACACGTTTTCTGTGCTTAAATCAAGTAATGGAAAGGGGAACTGTGCTTATGAGAGTTTAATCTCCTAGAGAGTAGAGGCTCTATCAGCTTTACTGTATAGTGTGCATATTTTACAAATTCCTTCAAAAGTATATTTCTAGTGAAATAAGAATGAGATGATGAGAAAATGCCATACAACCCAATTCTCTGATGCCAGGATTATGAATCAAATTTATATAATTTCTCAGGTGCCACTCTATGAATTTACATGAGACTGAGAGGATTTTGTCCCTTAACTGTAGCAGAGTGGGCCAAAAATGTGGCTTCTCTTTCTGTTTCTTTAGAGTAGTGCTTTTCAATCAGGGGTGAATTTTTCCCTCAAGGGACATTTGCAACATCTGAAGACATTTTCAGTGGTCACAACTAGGGGAGCAGAGGCTGTTACTGGCATAGTTCTGGCATAGCAATAGTGCTGAGATTCAGAAATGCTGCTTCTAGAACCAGAAGGGAAGTGTTGGCTTCACTTCTCATGATTACACAGATCTAATTTGAAAATATTTGTTCATTTTCAGGACTACTCAAAATGCTTCCCATACAAATAATATTTCTTACAACTTGTGCTTATTGCTAATAACATAAGCTAATTGGTTTAACTGTATGTATAGATAGAAATTAATTACAAATGCATTTTAATCTGGAGTAGTGCTAAACACTTTTTTAGAGAATCATTTGTTTCAACATATGGGTCCAAGGCACTTCAGAATTTACAATTGGCTGGTGGATGGTGATATGACAGTTGCAAAACTGCAAACTCACAGTTCAATTCTGAAACACTTGTGTAGACTGAAAATTTGAGTACTGTGTCATCTTATTAGCAACTGCCCTTGGAAGCCTAGGTTTTGGAATGACATGTATGGCATAATTATATTTCACAAAAAGAGCTGTTTATTATGCTTTAGAACCTGTTAAGTGTAGTTTGTATTGGTATTATTATAACAATCCAATCTACTGTTAACATAGTTGGTCTCTAGTAAGTACCTTTTCTTCCTTACATTACCAGAAAAATAATTTTGTCTCCATGGTTGTTGTTACCTACCATATTAGATTATTTATTCCCTGATGGTAACTACCCATATTTGTTGGGCTTAAAAGATCCTCACCCTTTCTTTAACTCCCAACTGCAATTTTAGCCTGCCAGCTATCTTTAGTCACTCTAGAGCACTTCTTCCTCATAACCCTGCTCTGCGTTGGCCATTCCATGTATATCATAACTTCCTCATTAGTTATTTCATCTTATGGGTTAAATTTGTACTTTAATACTCCCTATCTTTACCAGTTACCCAGTCTGAACAGTGCATTTTCTTCTTTAGTTTGTGGAACTATGAATCAAATTGCGTGCCCTCTCCTTGCCATGGGATAGGTGGCATGATTTCCCAGCCATTGCTTAAGGCACTAGTTTCCTGGATTTTGAATATTAAATTGAGTGGGCCCAGGTGGTACTTTTCATCAAAACTTCTTGCTATTAAGAACTGCCTTAGTTTTGTTTTTTGACAGATAGTCTTTTTTTTTTTCTTTTGAGACATGGTCTGTATCATCCAGGCTGGAGTGCAGAGGCACAATCATGGCTCACTGCAGCCTCAACCTCCTAGGCTCAAGGGATTCTTTCACCTCAGCCTCCCAAGTAGCTGGGATGACAGGTGCGTGCCACCACTGCCAATTAACTTTTGTATTTTGGGTAGAAACGGGTTTTGCCATGTTGCCCAGGATGACCTAAAATCCCTGAGCTCAAGTGATTTATCTGCCTTGGCCTCCCCGAAGTGCTGAGATTACATGGGTGACCCACCATGCTGGGTCATAGATAATTTATTCTCCTATTCTGTGAAATACCTCATACCTTTTCTTTTTTCCTTTTTCTCTCTCTCTCTATCTTTCTATCTCTATCTTTCTATTTCTGCCTTTTTTGCTAAGTTAACCAGAATTGGTTCTCTTCATTGCAATTTTAAAACTTTAACTGATGTACCTCAATATTCCCAACTTGTTATTCCAATATTCTGTATCGAACAGAATGGCATCATTGAAAAATTACTCTGAAATTTTCCCAATTTTTAACCAATTATATATTTTATTAGACACAAGATCTTACAGGTTTTACCCCAGATCTATTCTCCTGTCTCCCTTCTTACTGCTGCCAATTTAGTTTAATACTTCATCATGTCACCTGGACTATTAATCTCCAAATCCATGTCAATATTTCTAAATGATTATTCCAACATTGCTATCTCATTATGTGACTATGTCTTTAATATTTTATAATGCCTTGAGTACTTCTAAAACATGAAATATACGGCTATTTATAATCTGGCCCCTGTATTTTATTTTGTAGCTCACTTGGCCCTAACCCTCCAGTACCTAATTCACCTTTACACTTAACTTTCTCCAAAAGGTCTGTCGTCCCTCTGCTTTGACCAAAGTCTTCACAGGGCTTTCAATAAACAGTTCTCTGCTCCCATGGCATCCTTCTTTCATTCTTTTTAAGTGCTAACTTGTAATCATTGGTTAACTCGTCTCTCTCTTTCTATTAAATACCTGTGAGCAGCAAATGTGTTTCATTCATCTTTGTACACTCTACAGGGTAGTCCTGCCTTAGCTGTGGTTTTGTTTTCGATAATTTCAGTTTCCTATGGTATGGTACAATAAGATATTTTGAAAGAGAGGGGGCTGGTTGCAGTGGCTCACAACTGTAATCCCAGCACTTTGGGAGGCCGAGGCAGGTGGATCACCTGAGGTCAAGAGTTCGAGACCAGCCTGGCCAACATGGTGAAACCCCGTCTCTAATAAAAATACAAAAATTAGCTGGACGTGGTGGTGAGTGCCTGTAATCCCAGCTACTTTGGAGGCTGAGGCAGAAGAATCACTTGAACCCGGGAGGCAGAGGTTGCAGTAAACTGAGATTATGCCACTGTACTCCAGCCTGGGTGAAAAGAGTGAAACTCCATCTCAAAAAAAAAAAAAAAAAAAAAGAAAGGGAGAGAGACCACATTCATATAATTTTATTATAGTATATTATTAAAATTATCCTATTTTATTGTTAGTTGTTAATTTCTTACTGTGCTTAATCTATAAATTAGACTTTATCATAGGTATGTATGTATAGGAAAAAACATAGTGTTTATAGGAGTGGGTACTTTCCACAATTTCAGGCATTCACTAGAGGTCTTGGAACGTATACCCCATGGGTAAGAGGAGACTGGTATGCATAGTGTCTGGCACATTTTAGGCACTCAGAAAATATTAGGAAAATCAATGCCTTGATGCTTATCTTTTCTTGTATTCACAGAATTTTAACTAATACTAACTTTTTAAAATTTTTTCCTTATGAAACATTTCAAATATACAACTCATACATGTACCTATCCATGTACCAGTATTTAATACTCACATACTACTTTCATGTTTCATTTTTTTCTCCTTCCTCTCCCCCTGTATCTCTGCTGACATTTGTTTACTTGTCTCAAATATAATTTCCTAGTTGAGTTTACAATTGGCTCAATTTTCTTCACATTTTCTCACTGGAGTTATTATAGAACAACAACAAGCCCTGTTCCAATTAAAACACTAGCTCAACCAGCAGTATCATAACAAATGGTAAAGAAAAAACTTGTCAATTGAATGAGTATTTAGTTTTCCACTTTACCTAGTAGTACAGTGATACATGCTTAGTCTCTTCCTCTAAAATATATCTATTACACAAATGCATATTTTTTTCTTTGCTTCTGTTTTCTTTATATGATTTCTATGGCAATTTTGAACTTTGCTGCATATTATGCCTTCATCAAACAGACAAAATACCAGTCTTACATAGAATATTTTGCCCTACTGAAATTAAAAAATCTTTTTTGTTTTTGTTTTTGAGATGGAGTCTTGCTCTGTTGCCAGGCTAGAGGGCAGTGGTGTGATCTCGGCTTACTGCAACCTCCTACTCCCTGGTTCAAGCAATTCTCCTGCCTCAGTTTCCTGAGTAGCTGGGATTACAGGCACGTGCCACCATGGCCAGCTAACTTTTGTATTTTTAGTAGAAACGGGGTTTCACTATGTTGGCCAAGATGGTCTTGATCTCCTGATCTCATGATCCTCCTGCCTCATCCTCCCAAAGTGCTGGGATTACAGGCATGAGCCACCACACCCGGCCAAAAAATCTTTTTAGGTAGTAGAATTTCCCTGCTTATTTGTTTTTAAATGCTGAGGTTCCATGGTGGCTAGTTTGTTTTCATTCATATCTGGGACCTCAAAACATTTTATCTTCTGTCAGATCAGATAGATTAGGCTTTGCAAATCCATATCCTGTATGATCTGACCTCTTTCACTCACAGAGGATTGAGCTTGTTTGAATTTGTTTTATGGTAGATATTTTACAGTCATCATTAAATAATGGTACAACCTGTTAGAAGGTTAAAAGTCAAATTTCCATTTTGCTCTTGTTGTAAATGGTTTGAGATTCTTTGGGGAAAACAATCCATTTGTGTTGAAAATGAGTTTTATTCTTCACATATTCCATATTGCAAATTTCTTTTGCATGTTTTATATTGACCCAAAAGCTTCAGACTTAGGATAATTCATGTTATATGTGGTTTACAAATTTATTGAATCCTTTGTTTTATGCTCAACTAGAATTTTTTCATAGTTTTCTTCAGCTTAACTCTTACTGCACTTAGGGATTATTTTTCTTGCTTTCATTAGTTTCTTAAAAATTTTATATGCTACCTTTTTAGTTACAGTGACTCAATTTGCTACCTAAACAAACACAGAACTTACAACAAAATAGAGGAATCCTACATCTAAGGGGCTAACATACAAGTTGGTAAGGCTCTATTAGCAAGGCTGTTGAAGCTAGGTAATTATCTATCATGAATGCTGTCACTGTCTTTTGGATTCTGGTAATGAGAACAATGTACTTACCATGGACTATAAACTCATAATGCAGATAGGATCTTAAATCATTTTGTTCATCTGATTTTTACTAATGGTTAATTACCAATACTACCATTGAATGCTAAATGACAGTTTTTACAAGCAAATACTCCACACATGTAGTTTGAGATAAATTGCAGATATTTCTAAAAATGTCCTCAACTCCCTTATAATTATCATTGAAAACAACAACTACACAGAGGAAGGAACAGTAGGGTACAGCTCCTCTCACCTGGGCTCTGTCTGGTTTGGGTGGATAGTCCCTAAGTGTAAGCTCCACTAGCTAGAAACTCAGGGCTGTTGTGGCTTCCTTGCTCATTGATTAGTCCATTGTGATACACTCAGTCTCTCCTCAACTGAAAAGACATCTTCAAACTGGGTTCTTTCTAATTGGCATAAGAGATTCAAATATGTGGTTCATATTTATTGCTTTGCCTTTTCTATTTTTGTCTCCAGTGAACTGCTTTTTTTATTCTTATTATTTTTTAATACTTGGTTTTGTACATTCTTGTTTACGTTTGTTGTCTTTTTCAAACAATTACTGATGTGAATATTGGAGGGGGGTCCCAGAAAGTATCTAGTAGGCCTGGAGTAGTGGCTTGCACCTGTAGTGCCATCTACTCTAGGGAGCTGAGGCAGGAGAAGTGCTTGAGCTGAAGAGTTCGAGGCTTCACTGAGATATGATCGCACCACTATTCTCCAGCTGGGGTGACAGAGCAAGACTCTGTTCCTAAAAAAAAGAAAGAAAAGGAAAAAGGAAAAGAAAATAGCCAGTAGGATAACCCCACTTCCTTCCTCTTTTTTTTTTTCTTCTTTCCCCAGCATTTCCTGTTTTATAGGTAAGTATGTGGAGTTCAACTTGGTCAAATTTGAAGGTTTTTTCTTTCTTTTTTTAAGCTGCAAATTCCAGGTAAGAAATACTCAGATATCTAAAAAGGAGTAAATTGATCACCAAAAGGTAATTCCATAAATATGACAATTTCTGAATTTAAAACAAAGTTCCATCATGACTCACCGAATGTCCTTGAAGTTAGTGTTTGATATGGTGCCCCCACCCAAATCTCAACTTGAATTTTATCTCCCAGAATTCCCATGTGTTGTAGGAGGGACCTAGTGGGAGGTAATTGAATCATGGGGGACAGTCTTTCCTGTGCTATTCTCCTGGTGGTGAATAAGTCTCATGATACTTGATGGGTTTACCAGGGGTTTCAGCTGTTGGTTCTTCCTCATTCTCTCTTGCCGCTGCCATGTAAGAAGTGTTTTTAGCCTTCTGCCATAATTGTGAGACCTCCTCCAGCCACGTGGAACTGTAAGTCCAATTAAACCTCTTTCTTTTGTAAATTGCCCAGTCTTGGATATGTCTTTATCAGCAGTGTGAAAATGGACTAATACAGTTTATTGGTACCAGTAGAGTGGGGCATTGTTGAAAGAATACCCAAAAACTTTGGAACTGGGTAGCAGGCAGAAGTTGGAACAATTTGGAGGGCTCAGAAGAAGACAGGAAAATGTGGGAAAGTTTGGAACCTCCTAGCGACTTGCTGAATGGCCTTGACAAAAATGCTGATGGTGATATGAACAATAAAGGCCAGGCTGAGGTGGTCTCAGATGGAAATGAAGAACTTGTTTGGGAATGGGAGCAAAGGTGACCCTTGTTATGTTTTAGCAAAGAGATTGGTGGCATTTTGCCTCTGCCCTAGAGATTTGTGGAACTTTGAACTTGAGAGAGGTGATTTAGGGTACCTGGTGGAAGAAATTTCTAAGTAGCAAAGCATTCAAGAGGTGACTTGGGTGCCGTTAAAAGCATTCTGTTTTAAAAGAGAAACAGAGCATGAAAGTTCAGAAAATTTGCAGCCTGACGATGCAGTAGAGAAGCAAAACCCATTTTTTAAGGAGAAACTCAAGCCAGCTGCAAAAATTTGCATAAGTAGCAAGAAGCCTAATGTTAATCCCTGAGACCATGGGGAAAATGTCTCCAGGCCATGTCAGAGACTTTTCATGTCAGCCCCTCCCATCACAGGGCCAGAGGCCCAGGAGAAAAAAGAGGTTTCGTGGGCTGGGCCCAGGATCCCTGTGCTGTGTGCAGCTTAGGGACTTAGTGCCCTGTGTCCCAGCCACTCCAGTCATGGCTGAAAGGAGCCAATGTACAGCTCAGGCTGTGCCTTCAGAGGGTGGAAGCCCCAAACCTTGGCAACTTCCACCTGGTGTTGAGCCTGCGGGTGCACAGAAGTCAAGAATTGAGGTTTGGAAACCTCTGCCTAGATTTCAGAAGTTGTATGGAAATGACTGGATGCCCAGGCAGAAGTTTGCTGCAGGGGCGGGGCCCTCATGGAGAACCTCTGCTAGAGCAGTGCAGAATGGAACTGTGGGGTTGGAGTCCCCACACAGAGTCCCTAGTGGGGCACTGCCTAGTGGAGCTGTGAGAAGAAAGCCACTATCCTCCAGACCCCAGAATGGTACATCTACCGACAGCTGGCACTATGTGCCTGGAAATGCTGCATGAAGGCAGCCAGAAGGGAGGCTGTACCCTGCAAAACCACAGGGATGGAGCTGCCCAAGACCATGGGAACCCACCTTTTGCATCAGCATGATCTGAAAGTGAGACTTGGAGTTGAAGGAAGTCATTTTGGAGCTTTAAAATTTGACTTCCCCACTGAATTTCAGACTTGCATGGACCCTGTAACCCCTTTGTTTTGGCCAATTTCTCCCATTTGGTATGGCTGTATTTACTCAATACCTGTACCCCCATTGTATCTAGGAAGTAACTGGCTTGCTTTTGATTTTACTGGCTCATAGGCAGAAAGGACTTGCCTTATCTCAGATGAGACTTTGGACTATGGACTTTTGAGTTAATGCTGAAATGAGTTAAGACTTTGGGCGACTGCTGGGAAGGCATGATTGGTTTTGAAATGTGAGGACATGAGATTTGGGAGGGGCCGGGGTGGAGTGATATGGTTTGGCTGTGCCCCCATCCAAATTTCAACTTGAATTTTATTTCCCAGAATTCTGAGATTTCCCAAGAAATCTCAGAGGGTGAGGCTACAAAATAACAACATGTTAGTGCAGTTACCAGCTTATTTATTAAGATAAAGAAAGATGTAGGGAATATTTGTATTTTATTGAAAAACAACAATACACTGTTTTCACACTTTTAAAAATATTAAACTTGTGGGCTTAACCGGCTGTTAAACGTAAACATTATACATAGTTTTAACTATGAATAGTTGCTATTGTACCATGGATTTTTCTCTATTAAGTATAGGAAATTGATTTTGTACCAGTGAATGATAGATATGATTTTTAAATTTTCTCTCTGTATAGATTTGTTATATTTTTGAGAAATTGCTTTTAAACCATAAAACATGATATTATATGCAATCTTATACATCTGTTCTCTCAATTAGGCAATAAAGTATTGAACAATATTCCTTATAGAACCAGTGCAGTCTCACTGTTATGTGCTTGATGAAAATATTTTGTCTACCTTATGGAATGAGTAGAAGCAGGTGAAGGTTGATTATGATTTCTTAAAAATCTGTTTCTTAAATGGAATTGTTCCTCTACATTTCATGTGCTAAGGGAAATCAAATAGGAATTTTATTATACTTAGCATTTATAAACTTAATGCTATTTTAATTGCTTCTTATTCCTACTTACCCTTGCCCTCTGCAAGTTTCTTAACCAAAGAAAAGTTAATTTATTCCAACTAAAATATCCATACTTATTATAGCAATATTTTTTAATCAGCTGTAATGAAGAACTGAGCCTGGGCAAGTTATTTTGTAATTTACAAAAGGTTATGAAAATTTAGAAGCTTTCCTTCCTTCTTGTCTTCCTTCCTTTGAATGATAATTGTATGATGTGCCATCTCCATTTTATTTACTATTTTACTGATGCAACTTGGTCCAGTGATTGTAGGGTATGTTTGTGTGTGCATGTGTATATGTGTGTGTGTTTTCTATGCAACTGTTGTGCATTAATACATATCCACATGGCAAATTACATTTTCAAAATTTATTACAAAATCTATGTGGAATAGAGGGAATAAGTTGTCCCCAACATTTATAATTTATACATGCCTGAAAATCTAGAGATGGATGATTTATACGAATTCATGAGAGGATGGCATTGCTGTAGAGGAAGGCACATGCTGGAAAAAGGAAAAAGTGAAATCAGCCAAAGAAATACATTTATACTTGTGCTCATGAATAGATGAGTAGTTGATTTGATGCTGGAATATAGGACAAGAAAGAGAATGGTTGAGCAAGTTTATACGGACAAAAAGATGGAAAGAACTCGTGTAGTGACTGAGGAGAGTAGAGGACAAGATAGGTCAGTGAGGACAGAGACATCGGGGTCATGTGGGGAAAAATGGAAGCTCTAGAAACCCCTTTGGTGCTGGCATGATGAGGGCCGGTAAAGTGTATGTGCCTGTGCTAATTATGAAGTCCCTTATTGCAATTATCATCACTATCAAAAGGAATTAAAATCCTTTTACAATTGGAATTTATAACTTTTATTGTAATCCATAAAGCAATATAAAAACCTGCCTCCCACTGGCTCTTTAAAACAAAATCATTCTACCCAGCACTGCATCACAGCTGGCCCGTTAATGTTCACTACAGACATTAACCCAACTGCCCCCAGCTTCCTTTTGAACTGCTGCTCCTGAGTTTCCCTTTATGGTTCCCAGGTGACTGGCTGTGGACCTCATCGGCTTGCAGTATTTGCTTTTGGCTCTTTCTGGCATGATTGTTTCATTATTCCATCACTGGTGTGTTAATTAACAAATGTTAATGATCACCTACTATATCATAAACACCAGGTCTAGATACTGAACTATAGTAATAAACAAAATTAAACTCTTTTACCTCCTGTAATTTATATCATGGTGAAAGAAAATAGATTATCAACAGAAATGGATAGTATATGATATCGGCATGGTGACAAATGCTATGGAGAAAACTGAATCAGGAGAGGAGGACAGAGAATGCAGGAATGAGGTGAAGAGAATGGCTCAATATAAATATATTTCAATGTTAATATATTTTATTTAAAATATTAATTTAATATATTATGTTGATCAAGGAAGCTCTTGCTTAGAAAGTAACATTTGAGCAAACACTAGAAGCAGGGAAGGGAGCAAATGATGCTTATGTCTAGAAAATGCAAAAGTCCCAGGTTAGTAAAGACCTTGATGCATTTAAGGAATAGCAAAAGACAGTGAAGTTTGAGCAGAAAAAATCAGGAGAAGAACAGTGAGACAAGAGGCCAAAAAGGTGGGGGAGAGGTATAAAGCCTTGTGACAACTTTTGATTTTTACTCAGTGAAATGGATGGCTTTTGAAAGCTTTATACAGAAGACTGATAGGATCCGGTTTACATGGTGGTTAAGTGGATAAGAGACTATACTTGAAAAGACCCAAGCAAGGACACCAGTTAGGAGGCTGCTAGAACCATCCAGGGGAATGATGATGTGACTTGGACCAGAGTGCTGTCATTAGACGTAAGAAAGGGCCAGATTTTGAATATGGTTTGAGGGTAGGGTTGATAGGCCCTATAAATGTTATGAGGGAAAGGTTATTCTGGTACGATGAGAGATATAATTTGGGTGGTCATCATCACATAGTTGATATTTAAACAATGGGACTGAATGAGATCATGGAGGGATTGTATGTAACTAGGGAAGACTCCAAGGACTGAAACAAGGCTAAGAGACTGGGGAAATGAGAAAAAAACAGCAGAGACTGAGGAGAAGATGCCAGTGGTGCATGGAGAAGACCCAGAGAGGATGGAGTCTTGGACATCAAGAGAAGGAAATGTTTCCAGGAGGGAAAGAGAATGGATATCTGTGCTAAATGTTGCTGAAAGGACAAGTAAGGTGGGTTGGAGAATTGTCCATAAGATGTAACAATGTTGGCCTTGACAAGAACAGTTATATGAAGGTGGGGAAGGATTACAAGAGCATGCCATCGTGAGTTCAAGAGAAAATTGGAGATAGTAATTGGGAGTAATGAAAAGTAAAGATCTTGTAAAAAGTTTTGATGTGAAGGGAACAGAGAAGTGGGGTAGTAGCTGGTGGAGGGGAAGTGCAGTTAAAGGAGTGTTCTTTTATTTGCTCTTTTGTTTTGTTTCTAATATTGAAATATAATACCTGAAGAGAATGATTTCACAAGAGAGAAACTCATGAGGGAGAAAAAGGAGAAAATTGCTAGAAAGATGTTCTTAAAAGCGAGAATGGATGGATTTTATTTTTAGAAAACTTTTCTGTATTAAAAACGAAGTCATGACCATTTTAAAAAATTGAGAAGAAAAACAGTACAATCTAAATTCACTCTTCCCCTTCATTCTCCTACTACAGTCTTTACTTCCCAAGTCAACTCAAAAGTAACTCGGTATGTAGTTCTCAAATGCAGGTGCAAATATCCATAGAGACACACAGAGGCACTTCTTTATTTTATTATTTTTGAAACGAGGGTCTTCTTACTCTGTCACCCAGGTTGGAGTGCAATGGCACAATCATAGCTCACCATAACCTCAAACTCCTGGGCTCAAGCAATGCTCCTGCCTGAGCCTGCCAAGTAGCCAGTACTACAGGCACGTGCCACAGCACAAGTGCCCACTGCCGCACATGGCTAACTTATTTTTATGTTTTGTAGAGACATAATCTCACTTTGTTGCCAGGCTGATGTCAAATTCTTGGCTTCAAGCCATATTCCTGCTTCAGCCTCCCAAAGTTTTGAGATGACAGGCATGAGCCACTGCCTCCAGCCACTTCTAAAATATAGGTTCATTTTGTACTATGACCTTTGCAATTTTATTTAATATTAATAATGCAACTGTATTTTCACAATAATATGTAGAATTCTTTTTTAAACTTGTATTTAATCTTTTTCTCTGAAAAAGTTGCTGAATTTCAAATGCTTTATTTTATTTTAATAAACAGAATTAATGTGGTCCTCAAAGATTAATCTCAGGTTCATAGAAAAGTTGAGAGATACATTAAGAAGTTGGGGTAGTCATTTATAACTGTAATTGCATGATTCTTTTTTTAATAGAAAAAGTTTAATTGTCCCACTCTTTACAGACATATATAAACACACATTTTCGTGTTTATATATATTAATATATATATTTATATATATTTATATATATTTATATATATATTTATATATATATTTATATATATATTTATATATATATACAGATATATAGTTTCAAATCCTATATATAAATAGGATTTGGAGCTTCTCTGAGTATTCTTTGTATTATTATTATACTTTAAGTTCGGGGATCCATGTGCAGAACATGCAGGTTTATTACATAGGTATACACGTGCCATGGTGGTTTGCTGCACCCATCAACCCATCATCTACATTAGGTATTTCTCCTAATGCTATCCCTCCCCTAGCCCACCACCCCCTGACAGGCCCTAGTGTGATGTTCCCCTCCCTGTGTCCATGTGTTCTCATTGCTCAACTCCCACTTATGAAGGAGAACATGTGGTGTTTGGTTTTCTGTTCCTGTGTTAGTTTGCTGAGAATGATGTTTTCCAGCTTGATTCATGTCCCTGCAAAGGACATGAGCTCATCCTTTTTATGGCTGCATAGTATTCCATGGTGTATATGTGATTCTTCATTGTCATTAGTTTATTTTCATTAAAAATACTTGGACAAATGTCCCCTAAAAATCAGATTGCACCACTAATGTCTAAACACCAAGCTAAACCTTCCTGGATTCTTTAAATTAAATAATGCAAAAAATATCTATCAAGCAATGACTGTGGTAGGCATAATTTTGAGAAGTAGAGATGCAGTAATTGCCAGTGTTGATAAAGCCTTTGCCTCATGCAACTTACTTTCATTTTAAAAATAAGAATAAATTTTCATATATAAATCTAGATTTAGAAATAATAATAGGGAAAGCTTGATTTGAAAGCCAAATTTCTATTAGTGAAAAAAGACTTTTAAAGGAAATACATCATGGGATAATTATTACACTTAATACATTATAAATTAAATAAAAGTTACAAATTACACTTGACTTCATATTATCAGTAGGCCCCCTCATCCTTTTGCAGTTTCTTCACTGGTATATGTATGCTATTGTTTTTCTAGAAAACTCTGTTCTATTAATTGCTTCATATCTGATAATGCCTAGCTTGTTTCATCTAGGAGCCATGGCTCTCTTTAGGAATTTTTTCTTTTCCTTCTTTCCGTTTTTGTTTGTTTATTTGTTTAACAAAACATGATATATAGTTTTCTTAGCAACTGTGCCTCAAAATAATAATTCATAATAATGTAATATTCATAATATTTCTAAGCTATGCATGTATATTCATAATGTACATGAGTAGCTTAGTTTAATGGTGAATGTTGTCTGTTTAATGGTGAATGTTGTCTTCTTGAGGATATACCCATGGGGGCTTTCTAGACCTGCTGCATGATTATAAAATAGGACCTGAACTTAGATTTAGTTCTACTTTTTCTGTCTTGGATTTATATTTAATTTTGCTTGGGTTATTTTTCAGGATCCCTGAGGTGGCAAGTTTTCTGAGATCTTATGTGTTCAAAGATGATTTTATTTTGCTCTGAAACTGAAATGACAGTTTGATAGAGTGTAGAATGCTGGCTTTAAAATAATTTTCCCTCATGTTGCAGGTCAGAAGTCTTATGCCAATCAGGCACTCATTGTACCAGTCGGGATCAAAAGCAGAACCAGTATGGGATATGAGTTTATTACAGAGACTTGGCTTACACAGTTGCTGGAACTGGTCAATCAGTCTTTGTAAGGCTGTCATCTCTGCATTTGATGGTGAAACTTGGAGTCTACAGGACAGGCAGTCAGGAAGAGAATGTCACAAGTAGGCTGGAACTCACAGCACTACTTGGAACCCAGGAGGATGAATTGAAACTCATGTCCATTCATGCTATCTTTAACCTTGCTTAGAAGGGTATCTTGAATAAGCTGGGGCTTCTTTCAGAGTTAAACATAACTTGGAGTCCCAGAAGCTAAAGGAGGGAAAGGTAGAAAAATTGTAGGCTTAGCTGCTGCTTCATGCCCAGGAGGCAAGTCAGTACATCAGCAACAATGCAGATGAACTACCAAAGTCCTACTACCTTCCTTACCCCTTTTAAATCTCTTAGACTCTCCCTTGTGACCCTCTCTAAGCTGAAATACAGTCATGTGTCACTTAATGACAGGGATACTTCCTGGGAAATGTGTCTTTAGGTGATTCTGCTGTTGTGTGAACATCATAGAGTGTACTTACATGACACACATCTAGATAGGATAGCCTACTATACACCTAAGGCTATATGGTATGACCTATTGCTCCTAGGCTACAAACCTGTACTGCATGTTACTGTACTGAATACTGTAGGCAATGATAACACAATGGTAAGTATCTGCTTAGCTAAACATAGAAAAGGTACAATAAAATATAGTACAAAAGATAAAATGTGTACACCTGTGTGCGGCACTTACCATGAATGGAATTTGCAGGACTGGAAGTTGCTCTGGGTGAATCAGTGAATGAGTGGTAGTGAACGTGAAGCCCCAGGACATTACTAGACACTTTTATATGACTGGAGAGCTCAGTAGGTTTGTTTACACAACATCACCACAAACACAGTGCATAATACATTGTGCTGTGATGTTAGGACGTTGCTAGGTGATAGGAATTTTTCTGCTCCGTTATAATGTTATGGGACCACCATTGTCTTTGTGGCCAGTCATTAATGGACCAAAAAGTCATTACGTGGCACATGACTATATACAAGTAATGGAATTCTAGGAACTGTAATTTAAACTAGCCAGGTTGACACATTATAAAACCATCACACTTAAGTATTTTTAGGTAGCCTGTTTTTGTGCCTTTTTCATTCCTTTTTCTTCAAACTTTAAAGATTCTTTTTACCCTGAATTTATAAAATTTTAGAAGGATTTGTCAATGTGTTTATCATCACCATCATCATTATTCTCATCGTCATTTATTGTGATAAGATATTTTGTTCTTATTTTTTGCTCTATACCTAATGGGCATAATTTAAAAACTTACATGTATCTTCTAGTGAAAAAGAATTATATTTTATTATTTTCATGCTGTCCTGTCTTTTTTCTGTGATATCTTTAGACTGATACATGTTTTCTATATTTACCCTTTTATATCTTGAGTTTTCTGTTTTTGTTTATCTCTTTATTTTGCCCTTTTAAAAGTGTTTTCATTTTTTGCCCAGGTATGATTTTTAGCCATGTCTATTCTATTTTGTAGCATGTTTTTAAAATTCTATAATTTCTTTCTTATTTTCTGATTGTTCCTTTTACAAAAAATATGAGGATACTCATAGATAAATAGAACATAACAATATTTCAGGCAAGAACCTGTTAAAAAAAATGCTCTTTGAGAACAGAAGTACTTTAAATTCTCTTCTGTAATCTGCATTGTCTTTGTTCATCTTGACCTTTGTCTAATAAGCTGTTGGCTTTCCACATTTATCTAGGGATTTGGGGTTCATTTATATTTGCAGCTGAAAAACTAGTTCGAAACATGAGCTTCTGCAGCAGCTTTATAAAATAGGTGTAACACCTGAAATGGAAGAATTATTTTGGGGTCAGCAGCTCTTTCAGTTCTAACAACATACACAGACCCTATTAGGTCTATTAGATGAGAAGTTCAAGTTGACTTTAGGCCTTATTCTAACACTTCTGATATTGGTGCTACTAGTAGAACTGTGAGAGGCTCCTTTCCATCCCTCCCACCACAGACCCCCATCAGTCAGGGTAACTCGCAGCCCGCCCAGAATGAGAGGGGACATTCTGTGGTGACACATGGGAAAAGAACAAAAGAGACACCAAACTCTCTAGGAACATGTCTCGACAACCCAGGAATAAAAGGAGGCTGTGAATCAATACGAATTTCCACTTCATCCCTAATCCAAAGGTGAAATCCATTTACCTTCTGAAGACACACACATTAGAAAAGCTATAGACTGCTTTGGATAAATTGCAGCTTTGTTTATTGAATGTAGAAATGGGAATGTCAAATGCCAAATGTTAAATGTGTCCCTAAAAAAGCTTTCAGGCTTCCATTCCTGAGAAACCAAACATATTTTTATGAAAGATGAAAAACAATGCTCATGCACTACTGATAATAATTGTCTATTCTTTGTGCAATTTGGACACAGGCATAAATTGGATTTATGTTGCACAAGCATAAATTACGTTCTTCTTAGAGTAGATTAGCATGTATTTCAGGATTTATCTTACTTGACTTTAATGCTTTTGTTAGTCAGGCAACTCCGGAAGCTGACCAGGAGCGGTGACCCTCTCTGGAGACTGTCTCTTATAATACAAGGAGTCTTATAGGTTCCTCACAGGAGCCACTACTACCTGACAGGAAGTAAGAATGCCTCTGAGAGGGAGGCAGGGGTGCAAATAGGGCAACCATTTTCTACCATGCGAGTCCTTTATCAATCTATCCCGATGCTCTTATCTCATTACATCTGTGTGTGATACACTATGGAAGAGAGAATGGAGGCTTCCCCACGATTATTTCCTCCAGGTGTTAAAGTAACCCCTTCTTGATGCTCCTGCCCACCCCTAGAACATTGTATGCATGTGCACTCACACTCATAAACTCATACTTCAGTCCTAGCGATGATGGAGATGGCTCTGCCCTATTTGAGGTCCAAGCAGAAAAGATCACCAGGAATAAGGGAGCAGGCCTGTTCAGTGTGTGATGATTTTACCGGCTGTGAGCTTCCTGATCAGGTTCCAGACCAGCTTATTGTCTGATTAGTCTTGTATCATCTATTAGGAGAAGATCTGGTTGAAGCATTTCTATGCTTTGAAGTCGTGTGGGGGCTTTATAAGTGACGGAGTACCATGATATGTAACATATCACATGTAAGAAGGTTTATTTTAGACTTCATTCAGAGTCGTTACCCATTGTAGATATATCATATTCCTAAATTGTTCATTAGCACACATTAACTCATACTTGTCAAGTTATAGGTATTGAACAAGCAACAATTTTTTGTTTTATGTGTTTATATAATTTTTTTCTGTTTTCAAAATACAATTTGCTTTATGATTATAAGAATATTATATGTTTTTGAAAAAAATCCCATTGTTTCATAGAATTCGTTGAGAAAAAGGTATAATAAAAATTACCTGAAATCTCACCAACCTAAAGAAACCACTATTTATTTTGATATTTTAATGTACAACCTTCCAAACATTTATCTATATGTATATGTACTGACACACAACTGTTTTTTTCCTTGCTAACACTTTGCAGACATATCTTAAAGTCCTTATTTATTGGTACAAAGCTACTGATCATATGAATGCTTCATTTTGTTGTAACCAGTTTATTGCTGAATGATATGACATTGTTTTTGTATTAGAAACAGCTCTGAACTACAACTTTGTCCATTTTTAACTTTAGGACCTACTTCTATAAGTGGAATTTGTGAGTCAAAGAGCAGGAATCTATAAAGTTTTTCGTAAATATTTCCAAACGGGCTTCTAGAAACATCATATCATTTTATTTTTCAACAATAGCATAGGACAGTGCCTCATTCTTCATTCCTTTAGCTAATGCCAGATCTACTCAATATTTTAATAGTTGTCAATCAAAATGGAAAGGAAAACTCATTTTTGTACTTGAATTTCTTTGATTGCTATTAATATTACTTAGTCATTTATATTCCTTTTCAGACATTACTTCTCAGAGTTTTTTTTCACTATTTTTATACTGGCTGTTTGCTTTTTTGTCTTTCCCTGTAGTGTAAAAGACATAGTTGGCATACTGTGGATAATAAGCCTTTTTGTCACATATTTTGCAAATATGCTCCCAGTTTGATATTTATTTTTAAACTTCCTTATGAACTTATTTGTTTTTTAAAAATTATTGGACAAAGTTCAGAGTTTTATATATATATAATTTTATTTATTTTTTATTATTATTATACTTTAAGTTTTAGGGTACATGTGCACAATGTGCAGGTTAGTTACATATGTATACATGTGTCATGCTGGTGCGCTGCACCCACTACCTCGTCATCTAGCATTAGGTATATCTCCCAATGCTATCCCTACCCCTACCCCCACCCCACAACAGTCCCCAGAGTGTGATGTTCCCCTTCCTGTGTCCATGTGTACTCATTGTTCAATTCCCACCTATGAGTGAGAATGTGCGGTGTTTGGTTTTTTGTTCTTGGCGATAGTTTACTGAGAATGATGATTTCCAATTTCATCCATGTCCCTACAAAGGACATGAACTCATCATTTTTTATGGCTGCATAGTATTCCATGGTGTATATGTGCCGCATTTTCTTAATCTGGTCTATCATTGTTGGACATTTGGGTTGGTTCCAAGTCTTTGCTATTGTGAATAATGCTGCAATAAACATACGTGTGCATGTGTCTTTATAGCAGCATGATTTATAGTCCTTTGGGTATATACCCAGTAATGGGATGGCTGGGTCAAATGGTATTTCTAGTTCTAGATCCCTGAGGAATCGCCACACTGACTTCCACAATGGTTGAACTAGTTTACAGTCCCACCAACAGTGTAATAGTGTTCCTATTTCTCCACATCCTCTCCGGCACCTGTTTCCTGACTTTTTAATGATTGCCATTCTAACTGGTGTGAAATGTTATCTCACTGTGGTTTTGATTTTCATTTCTCTGATGGCCAGTGATGGTGAGCATTTTTTCATGTGTTTTTTGGCTGCATAAATGTCTTCTTTTGAGAAGTGTCTGTTCATGTCCTTTGCCCACTTTTTGATGGGGTTGTTTGTTTTTTTCTTGTAAATTTGTTTGAGTTCATTGTAGTTTCTGGATATTAGCCCTTTGTCAGATGAGTAGGTTGTGAAAATTTTCTCCCATTTTGTAGGTTGCCTGTTCACTCTGATGGTAGTTTCTTTTGCTGTGCAGAAGCTCTTTAGTTTAATGAGATCCCATTTGTCAATTTTGGCTTTTGTTGCCATTGCTTTTGGTGTTTTAGACATGAAGTCCTTGCCCGTGCCTATGTCCTGAATGGTAATGCCTAGGTTTTCTTCTAGGGTTTTTATGGTTTTAGGTCTAAGGTTTAAGGCTTTAATCCATCTTGAATTGATTTTTGTATAAGGCATAAGGAAGGGATCCAGTTTCAGCTTTCTACATATGGCTAGCCAGTTTTCCCAGCACCATTTATTAAATAGGGAATCCTTTCCCCATTGCTTGTTTTTCTCAGGTTTGTCAAAGATCAGATAGTTGTAGATATGCGGCGTTATTTCTGAGGGCTCTGTTCCCTTCCATTGATCTATATCTCTGTTTTGGTACCAGTACCATGCTGTTTTGGTTACTGTAGCCTTGTAGTATAGTTTGAAGTCAGGTAGTGTGATGCCTCCAGCTTTGTTCTTTTGGCTCAGGATTGACTTGGTGATGCGGGCTCTTTTTTGCTTCCATATGAACTTTAAAGTATTTTTTTCCAATTCTGTGAAGAAAGTCATTGGTAGCTTGATGGGGATGGCATTGAATCTGTAAATTACCTTGGGCAGTATGGCCATTTTCACGATATTGATTCTTCCTACCCATGAGCATGGAATGTTCTTCCATTTGTTTGTATCCTCTTTTATTTCGTTGAGCAGTGGTTTGTAGTTCTCCTTGAAGAGGTCCTTCACATCCCTTGTAAGTTGGATTCCTAGGTATTTTATTCTCTTTGAAGCAATTGTGAATGGGACTTCACTCATGATTTGGCTCTCTGTTTGTCTGTTGTTGGTGTATAAGAATGCTTGTGATTTTTGTACATTGATTTTGTATCCTGAGACTTTGCTGAAGTTGCTTATCAGCTTAAGGAGATTTTAGACTGAGACAATGGGGTTTTCTAGTTATACAATCATGTCGTCTGCAGACAGGGACAATTTGACTTCCTCTTTTCCTAATTGAATACCCTTTATTTCCTTCTCCTCCCTAATTGCCCTGAACAGAACTTCCAACACTATGTTGAATAGGAGTGGTGAGAGAGGGCATCCCTCTCTTGTGCCCGTTTTCAAAGGGAATACTTCCAGTTTTTGCCCATTCACTATGATGTTGGCTGTGGGTTTGTCATAGATAGCTCTTATTATTTTGAGATATGTCCCATCAATACCTAATTTATTGAGAGTTTTTAGCATGAAGGGTTGTTGAATTTTGTCAAAGGCCTTTTCTGCATCCATTGAGATAATCATGTGGTTTTTGTCTTTGGTTCTGTTTATATGCTGGATTACATTTATTGATTTGCGTATATTGAACCAGCCTTGCATCCCAGGGATGAAGCCCACTTGATCATGGTGGATAAGCTTTTTGATGTGCTGCTGGATTTGGTTTGCCAGTATTTTATTGAGGATTTTTGCATCAATGTTCATCAAGGATATTGGTCTAAAATTCTCTTTTTTGGTTGTGTCTCTGCCCGGCTTTGGTATCAGGATGATGCTGGCCTCATAAAATGAGTTAGGGAGAATTCCCTCTTTTTCTGTTGATTGGAATAGTTTCAGAAGGAATGGTACCAGTTCCTCCTTGTACCTCTGGTAGAATTCGGCTGTGAATCCATCTGGTCCTGGACTCTTTTTTGTTGGTAAGCTATTGATTATTGCCACAATTTCAGCTCCTGTTATTGCCCTATTCAGAGATTCAACTTCTTCCTGGTTTAGTCTTGGGAAAGTGTATGTGTCGAGGAATTTATCCATTTCTTCTAGATTTTCTAGTTTATTTGCGTAGAGGTGTTTATAGTATTCTCTGATGGTAGTTTGTGTTTCTGTGGGATCGGTGGTGATATCCCCTTTATCATTTTTTATTGTGTCTATTTGATTCTTCTCTCTTTTTTTCTTTATTCGTCTTGCTAGTGGTCTATCAATTTTGTTGATCCTTTCAAAAAACCAGCTCCTGGATTCGTTAATTTTTTGAAGGGTTTTTTGTGTCTCTATTTCCTTCAGTTCTGCTCTGATTTTAGTTATTTCTTGCCTTCTGCTAGCTTTTGAATGTGTTTGCCCTTGCTTTTCTAGTTCTTTTAATTGTGATGTCAGGGTGTCAATTTTGGATCTTTCCTGCTTTCTCTTGTGGGCATTTAGTGCTATAAATTTCCCTCTACACACTGCTTTGAATGTGTCCCAGAGATTCTGGTATGTTGTGTCTTTGTTCTCGTTGGTTTCAAAGAACATCTTTATTTCTGCCTTCATTTCATTATGTACCCAGTAGTCATTCAGGAGCAGGTTGTTCAGTTTCCATGTAGTTGAGCAGTTTTGAGTGAGATTCTTAATCCTGAGTTCTAATTTGATTGCACTGTGGTCTGAGAGATAGTTTGTTATAATTTCTGTTCTTTTACATTTGCTGAGGAGAGCTTTACTTCCAAGTATGTGGTCAATTTTGGAATAGGTGTGGTGTGGTGCTGAAAAAAATGTATATTCTGTTGATTTGGGGTGGAGAGTTCTGTAGATGTCTATTAGGTCCGCTTGGTGCAGAGCTGAGTTCAATTCCTGGGTATCCTTGTTGACTTTCTGTCTCATTGATCTGTCTAATGTTGACAGTGGGGTGTTAAAGTCTCCCATTATTAATATGTGGGAGACTAAGTCTCTTTGTAGGTCACTAAGGACTTGCTTTATGAATCTGGGTGCTCCTGTATTGGATGCATATATATTTAGGATAGTTAGCTCTTCTTGTTGAATTGATCCCTTTACTATTATGTAATGGCCTTCTTTGTCTCTTTTGATCTTTGTTGGTTTAAAGTCTGTTTTATCAGAGATGAGGATTGCAACCCCTGCCTTTTTTTGTTTTCCATTTGCTTGGTAGATCTTCCTCCATCCTTTTATTTTGAGCCTATGTGTGTTTCTGCACATGAGATGGGTTTCCTGAATACAGCACACTGATGGTCTTGACTCTTTATCCAATTTGCCAGTCTGTGTCTTTTAATTGGAGCATTTAGTCCATTTACATTTAAAGTTAATATTGTTATGTGTGAATTTGATCCTGTCATTATGATGTTAGCTGGTGATTTTGCTCATTAGTTGATGCAGTTTCTTCCTAGTCTCGATGGTCTTTACATTTTGGCATGATTTTGCAGTGGCTGGTACTGGTTGTTCCTTTCCATGTTTAGCGCTTCCTTCAGGAGCTCTTTTAGAGCCGGCCTGGTGGTGACAAAATCTCTCAGCATTTGCTTGTCTGTAAAGGATTTTATTTCCCCTTCACTTATGAAGCTTAGTTTGGCTGTATATGAAATTCTGGGTTGAAAATTCTTTTCTTTAAGAATGTTGAATATTGGCCCCCGCTCTCTTCTGTCTTGTAGAGTTTCTGCCGAGAGATCTGCTGTTAGTCTGATGGGCTTCCCTTTGAGCGTAACCCGACCTTTCTCTCTGGCTGCCCTTAACATTTTTTGCTTCATTTCAACTTTGGTGAATCTGACAATTATGTGTCTTGGTGTTGCTCTTCTCGAGGAGTATCTTTGTGGCGTTCTCTGTATTTCCTGAATCT
Source organism: Homo sapiens (assembly GCF_000001405.40). Classification (NCBI taxonomy): domain Eukaryota; kingdom Metazoa; phylum Chordata; class Mammalia; order Primates; family Hominidae; genus Homo; species Homo sapiens. The sequence continues at coordinate 137,314,042 of NC_000002.12, forward strand.
GAATGTTGGCCTGCTTTGCTAGATTGGGGAAGTTCTCCTGGATAATATCCTGCAGAGTGTTTTCCAACTTGGTTCCATTCTCCCCATCACTTTCAGGTACACCAATCAGATGTAGATTTGGTCTTTTCATATAGTCCCATATTTCTTGGAGGCTTTGCTCATTTCTTTTTATTCTTTTTTCTCTAAACTTCCCTTCTCGCTTCATTTCATTCATTTCATCTTCCATCACTGATACCCTGTCTTCCAGTTGATCACATCGGCTCCTGAGGCTTCTGCATTCTTCACGTAGTTCTTGAGCCTTGGTTTTCAGCTCCGTCAGCTCCTTTAAGCACTTCTCTGTATTGGTTATTCTAGTTATACATTCTTCTAAATTTTTTTCACAGTTTTCAACTTCTTTGCCTTTGGTTTGAATGTCCTCCCATAGCTCGGAGTAATTTGATTGTCTGAAGCCTTCTTCTCTCACCTCGTCAAAGTCATTCTCCATCCAGCTTTGTTCCATTGCTGGTGAGGAACTGCATTCCTTTGGAGGAGGAGAGGTGCTCTGCTTTTTAGAGTTTCCAGTTTTTCTGCTCTGTTTTTTCCCCATCTTTGTGGTTTTATCTACTTTTGGTCTTTGATGATAGTGATGTACAGATGAGTTTTTGGTGTGGATGTCCTTTCTGTTTGTTAGTTTTCCTTTTAACAGACAGGACCCTCAGCTGCAGGTCTGTTGGAGTACTCGGCCTTGTGAGGTGTCAGTCTGCCCCTGCTGGGGGTTGCCTCCCAGTTAGGCTGCTCGGGGGTCAGGGGTCAGGGACCCACTTGAGGTGGCAGTCTGCCCGTTCTCAGATCTCCAGCTGCGTGCTGGGAGAACCACTGCTCTCTTCAACGCTGTCAGACAGGGACATTTAAGTCTGCAGAGGTTACTGTTGTCTTTTTGTTTGTCTGTGCCCTGCCCCCAGAGGTGGAGCCTACAGAGGCAGGCAGGCCTCCTTGAGCTGTGTTGGGCTCCACCCAGTTCGAGCTTCCCAGCTGCTTTGTTTACCTAAGCAAGCCTGGGCAATGGCGGGCGCCCCTCCCCCAGCCTCGCTGCCGCCTTGCAGTTTGATCTCAGGCTGCTGTGCTAGCAATCAGCGAGACTCCGTGGGCGTAGGACCCTCCAAGCCAGGTGCGGGATATAATCTCCTGGTGCGCTGTTTTTTAAGCCCATCAGAAAAGCGCAGTATTCGGGTGGGAGTGACCCGATTTTCCAGGTGCCATCTGTCACCCCTTTCTTTGACTCGGAAAGGGAACTCCCTGACCCCTTGAGCTTCCCAAGTGAGGCAATGCCTCGCCCTGCTTCGGCTCATGCACAGTGCGCGCACCCACTGACCTGCGCCCACTGTCTGGCACTCCCTAGTGAGATGAACCCGATACCTCAGATGGAAATGGAGAAATCACCCGTCTTCTGCGTCGCTCATGCTGGGAGCTGTAGACCGGAGCTGTTCCTATTCAGCCATCTTGGCTCCTCCCCCACTATATGTATATATAATTTTAAAACGTTTTTCAGTAGCGTCTCTATCAACTTTTTTTTTTCGTTTCTAGATTTGGTATTATTATAGAAAAGCCCCTCTATCTCTAGATTATAAAAATAACTAACTTGATTTTCTTGTTCTGTTACCTTTTTAAATTTAATTACTGTGTTTAGATGGAATATATTTAGGAGGGGAATTGCAGTAGAGATAGAGTGTTTTGTTTCTCAGATAGCTAGCCAGTTATCCCTAGTTACCCCATGAGTTCAAAAGCTGCCTGTTGTAATTTCTCATGTTAGAATCTCTGCCTGTGCCATTTTACTGATTCATGTCTTCACACATTAGTAATTCCACTGCTTTAATATTGTTAGTTTGATGATGTTTTAACACCTAGTATGCTATTTTTTTCATTGTACAGTTATTTTCAAAATTTTAGATATCTTCTCTTCCCTGTGAATTTGTGAATTCTTTTAAAATTTTTATTTTAACTTTTAAATTCTTGGTATTATGTGTGTTAGTCTTTGATATCATCACAGAATTATTACTTGGGTAATACAATTACTTCAGCAGGATAGATCTGGTGGAAATATGTTGACAATTATAGCGAAGTGGTATATATTTTCACAGATCTGTTAGAAGTTATGGCCTTTGCCTAAGCCTGCATGTGTGGGCGAAAAAAATACCACAACCGATACCTTCAAAATGAATCTGTAAAACTAGGAAGTTGTAGAACTTGGTGAAGGTTAAATGACTGTTCTTAACGGAATGCCACAGTCCTCATTTTGTGCTAAAAATAACCTCTGAAGCTTAACCAAAAAGTTACTAAGAATTTACTCCAGGTTTCCCTGATGAGTTCCCCTCCCTCATTTTTGTACATATTTCCCAAAGATTTTGGAAAAAAGTGATAGGTTCATACAAGTGAATCATCTAAATAAGAACTAACTGCTGTTAAGAAAAGGTGAGGCTGGGCGTGGTGGCTCACGCCTGTAATCCCAGCACTTTGGGAGGTCGAGGTGGGAGGATCACGAGGTCAAGAGATCGAGACCACAGTGAAACCCTGTCTCTATAAAAATACAAAAAGCCAGGCGCGGTGGTGGGTGCCTGTAGTCCCAGCTACTCAGGAAGCTGAGGCAGGAGAATGGCGTGAACCCTGGAGGCGGAGCTTGCAGTGAGCCGAGATGGTGCCACTGCACTCCAGCCTGGGCGACAGAGCGAGACTCTGTCTCAAAAAAAAAAAAGAAAAAGAAAAAAAAAGAAAAGGCGACCAGGTTCTTATGATATGGTAATTTTGATGGGGAGAGGATGGGGAGGAGAGAGTGAGCCAGTAGAAGTGGGATTTATAATCATTGACTGTTGTTAACATTGCATAAATGTATTACTCCCAGCAGATAATTAAGGTTTTTACTCCTCTGAGTTGGTAGGTTCTGACATAATCTGTATTTCAAGAGTAAAAGTAAAACCATAGGGGAAAAAGTGTAGAATTTAGAGTATAAATAGAAGTCTTTTGTAAACATAATTCTTATTCACAGCATTAAACTGATCCATGAAATATAGTTGACAGTTTTTTCCTGGTGATGGAGACAAATTTTTTGTATATCTTGATTTTTTTTCCTGTTCTTTTATCTTTGTTCAGGTATTATTTTCATCAGTGAAATGAGACTATCCTACATACTAATTATCTGATCTATTTTTATTTTCCCAAGAATTCTATGGGCAGTCAAGTCCTTTATGATACAAACATCAAGTATTATTTATTAATGCTACATGCTCAAATAGTGTTTGTTGATATTGTATAATGAGCCTATTTCTCGTAAACCTCTTTATAATGATATGGCGTGTCTACACGTTCTGCAATTACCTAACATGCAGAGGCACCTTTTGAAATATGGTAACTGGACTATCTATTTTTAGAGGATCAAGTGATGTCAAGCAAAACAAACAAATCATAAGTACTCTAGAGCATTCTAATCAAATTATCTTATAGTATATCCATAAATATCTCCAGAGGAAAAAATTTCTCAGATAGTTTCAACATAAACCAGTTTTACTAACTCACAAAACGTGGGCTTTAAAAAGTATTGATGCTGGGCTGGGTAGGATGGCTCCTGGCGATATAATTATGCCTATAATCCCAGAGCTTTGGAAGGTTGAGGTGGGAGGATCTCTTGAGGTCAGGAGTTTGAGACCAGCCTGGGCAACATAACCAGACCTTGTCTCTATAAAAAATTAAAAAGAAATGAGCTGGGCATGGTGGCGCACACCTGTAGACCTAGTTACTCAGAAGACTGAGACTGAGGCCAGAGGATTGCTTGAGCCCAGGAGTTCAAGGTTGTAATGAGCTATTATAGCACCACTGCACTGCCACTGCCTGAGTGACAGAGCAAGACCCTGTCTCTATGGGGGAGGGGGGAAGAAAAAGGATCCATGCTGGTTTAGTTGCAGCTATTCCTGTTTGAGTTCTAAATTACTCCATATTAGTTACATCATACATCTGTTACAGTTACATCTGTAAACCCACTCTATTAGGCAAGATTTTTTGCATTATATTAACAGAAAATCTAACTCAAATTAGGCTAGTTACAAAAAGAGGGACCTACTTTCGCACATAATTGAAAAATACAAGGTTTTGATTTTGCTTCAAGCATGATTAAATCTGGAGACTCAAATGATATCATCAGGGCTTGGGTTTTCTTCCTGACTCTAGTTCTCTATGTTCTGGCTTTATTCTCTAGCCATCTCTGTGCATAAAGAAGTACCTCCTAGTCCAGGTTTAACAACCACAGGATGATGGGAACTTTCCCTGTCCAATGTTGCAGAAAAAGCCCAGGAATTGAGACTTAATGTCTTTATTTGAAGTCATATCTGTGAACCAATCACCATTACTCTCATTGGTCAAGCCTAAGTCTAGTACTCACCCAGGAGGTACAATATAGGGCCAATCTTATCCCAGATACATCTACTGAAAGTAAAAACAGAGGTAATACCCTCACTCCCCCGCCCCCATCCAAAAAAAGCAGGGCACTGAAACAGAGGACAAAGGAGTACAAACTCGGCAACAATAATATTGGAAAACCATGATCCAACATTATTGAAATTTCTCTACTCCTTCCTAGCACAGAAACAGCATAGGATTCAGAACCTAATTGTCTGTGTTTAACTTTTGTCTCTATACTTAAGAGCTTTGTAACCTTGGTTTTAACCTTTTAAAACCCTTTGTCCTTCAGCTTTTCCAACTCTAAAATAGGAATGCTTATCTTTTTTTTTTTTTTTTTTTTTTTTTGAGATGGAGTCTCACTCTTGTTGCCCAGGCTGGAGTGCAGTGGTGCTATCTCGGCTCACTGCAACCTCTGCCTCCCAGGTTCAAGTGATTCTCCTGCCTCAGCCTCCCAAGTAGCCACAGGCACCCGCTTATCTTAAAGGAAGTTCTGAAGATTGAATTGTCTCACAATGGAAAGGTGTAATGAATAACATATCTAGAAACAAGACTCATTAAACAGAATTTTGTAATGGAGGTCATTTACTCGTCTTACTGTTTCTGATCTTAAAATCTTTACTCAGGGTATAATACCTCTTATAAAATATCTTTCTATACTCTCTGCAACTCCACGAAGAAACACGTGTTCCTATAACTTGTGGTTTTTTGAAGACAAAAAAAAGGGAGTTAAGATGACTATACTGTAAGTATATATTTCTTTTTTTTTTTTTTTGAAGGACATGTAATGGGACCTAGGGTTATCTCCTTCACCATCCATGTGGCTTTAGAAATGTTCTGTTCTGTTTCCTACTCTTCTTCCATGTTTTGAGGTGCTTATATGTCTCCTGTGTCTTATTCCATGTGATCTGTACCATGATGTCCACCTCCAGGTTCAAGACTCTTATTACTATCTACAGAGCAATGTTAGTCTTGCTTTTTTCTCTTATTAGCAATGTTTCAATGAATATTGTTGTGATATTTTCTGTGTCACACTATTTATGTTCCCAAGTCCCTTTAATCCAGACCCTTGCTGTTTAATCACTTCATGTTCAATATTGTGTGGACTACAAAACCATTTTATGAAGTGCAAAGCACTGAAAAGATGTTATCATGGCTGTTGCTGCCATTTTCTCATAAGCTCTACTCAACTTATCAGTTCAGATTTTTCATATCAGACACTGTGGGTGGAGGTTTCTAGTTGCCTTCACAATTCTAATTTTCTTCTTATTCCCTAATAACACAAACTTGACTTTTTTTTAGAGGTGCCAGCTTAAAAAATCATTGTTTTCCAGATTTTCTTAAGGCTTGGCGGTGGTGGCGGGTGGCGGGGGTGGTCAAATGAGTTATAAGCATAGAATATTGGGTAGAGCTTCTGGGAAATACCTTTAAATGTTGCTGATTTGGCTTGCCCTCCTCTTGCTCTTGCCTGGCTCATGGATGAGACTCCTGGAGCTCCAGCTACATTCTTGTGGCCTGGGAGATGGAGACATTCACTGAGGATTATGGAGTAGAAATACAGAAAGGTCCTAAGGGAGTTGCTGTGTCAGCTTTGGAGCACTTATCATTAGATTTCTTTTATAAGAGAAAATAAAACTGCCAGAAAATTTAATGTGTTTAGGCCACTATAATTGGATTTCTGTTATTAGCAGCTGAATCTAGTTAACTGATTAGACTTTTTTCTTTTCATAGTAATCATATTTAGCATATGATCTCTTACATGTGCAAAGATACTATATCACATTGTACTCCAGCTCTTATATTCTAATATATGTATATTTACCATATGTATTGATGTATTTTATTACACAGCACAGTATTGTTAATCATTTTTGCATACTGTGTCATACTTATCCAGAAAAACAGTTTGCCCTGTTTCTCTAAAATGAATCATCCAAATATATTGAAAAGTACAACTATTTTGATATCATACACCTTAGTAAGATTTATCAGTCTTTGGTTGAGGAAATGACATTAAATGTGCAATTTGTCCTTTATAAAGCCTTATTAACTTTGAGTTAATCTGTGTTGATTTGGGCCATGTAGAAAATGAATGTGGTATGTGGACTAGTGTCAGGGTTGTAATTATACCCAAAGCCCAAGGTCATGCTTTTCATATTTAAATGGAATAATAAGTTTTATTGTATTTGCTGTCCACAGGCTTTACTGTGAATCCACTAACCATCTAAAAAGTGCTTACAAAGGTGGAATGGAAAGAGATGTGTTCAAATTAGAGAAAAATGTATTAATTCTTTCATACCCCTGGCTTTGGGCCTGCCATTTCTTTACCTTGAATGTCCTTCTTCTTCTTCGACTAATAACATCTGACTTATCCTCAAAGCCCAGATCAGATGGCATTTTTTTCTCTGAAGCCTTCCGCAATTCAAAGAATTATTCATTTCCCTCTAGCTTCCCAGAGCAATGCAGCAAATGCATGTGGGATGCCACAGAGGCTTTCTGGCTTTGAGCGTGTGTGTGCCTTAGACAAGTTACTTGATTTCATTAAGCCACAAGTTTCTCATCTTTAAAATAATTGTAACACCTACACCATAAAGTAGCTGTGAGATAAGTGAGATTAGTTATATAAAGTCCTCACAAAGAAGTCAGCCCATATTTATCCCTCAAATTACAAAAGTTTTCATCATCTTTATCTTAATTAGCCTTATAAAAATTATTCTTTCCATTTTAGGGGGAAACTGAACATATGCTGTAGTTTAGAGTATTATGTCTCTTATAGGCTAAATTATGTATGGTGTAGAATAGGAAATTTTCTGACTCATCTTTGAATACCCTAGACCTAAAAAGTGGATAATTCATTTATTAAACTGGAAGAATCTAAAATAAGTATCTTTTGAATTAATTAATAGTTGTTCAGCCTTGTGCTTTGTATATGAAAGTCACGCACATGCATTCTTAGCTGTTATAATAGGAGTGTTGTGTTTGTGCTAATGAGTTGACATATTCTTATCTGGTCACCTATTCCAGAAGGGATAAGAATGTCTTACCATGATATTAAATAAAATTAACTTCCCCAGATGGGGAAGGTACACATAATCCTGGCTTCATTAGTCTGGCACATCAACAGCTGAATCAACCAATCATAGGCACTTTAGGAATGAGGCAATGTGGTAATCTCAATGTGTAAAGTGGGTTCTTCTGGACTGAAATATATGCAAAGTGGTCTGCAATAGGAAAGTAAGACTCTCAAGGGCCTTCAAATGAACGTTCCAGGATGGTGAGCAGTGCATCCCTTTCAACAACCACCCAAGAAATACAAATATACCAACCATATTGTGTTGTTTCAGTCCATGCTGAATTTCATGGAGTATAAATTCTTGTCCAATCTAAGCACATCTGTTCATAATAATTAACTTCTGTGCCTTGTGAGCAGGAAAGCAGCATCAGCTATATAGTGAGATGCATTGGCTTTATTTCTGTTTGTCATAATGATTCATTGAGACATTATGGGGAAGCAGATGCTTTTTAGGCACTCCAAGACTCTGCATTGTGGCTGCCTTTGCACTGCCATTACTTCTCATATGTTGGATTAAGCAGAGTTTTAAGGTTGTAGAGCATTAAGGTTGTCAAGTGTTAATACCACTGTGGGAATATAATTTTAAAACCTTAAAAAGTCATTTGCTCATTCTAAAACTCAGCTCCCCTTTCCTCCCTGGTGTAAGATCATAATTTAAGCTCTAATCTCAAATTGGAATGGAAGCTTTTACAAAGTTGCAAATCATGGGACTAGAAGTTCCTGTGAAAACTTTAGTTCCCGTCCCAGGTCTGCCACCTTCTCTGTCAAACACATGCAATAACACTTTCTCAGTAGAGACATTATGATGATTAAAATGAAATTAGAGGAGTAGGGCACATAGCATGGAGCCTGACATATAGCAATGATAACAGCCAGAACAGTTACTTTTCAGGGCCTGTTCTAAATCTTTACATGGGTTGTATTTAGTCTTCAAGAAATCCCATGAGGTGGGTACTATTATCACTCCCATTTTATATATAACGAGACTGAATCTTGGAGAAATTAACTTCACCAAGCTCATCTATCAAGACAGTGTGGGACCAGGATTCAGGCCCATTCAGAGTCCAGAGCTAGCATCCTTAACTGTACCCTTCTTCATTTCATAAATATCAGTTGACAGATCTTTAAAGCTAACACAAAAGCAGATTTGACCTTCAGCTGAGATTTGATTAGACATTTGTTAACCATGCATTAGCTGGGTTATCCTAATTTAGGTAGGAATCAATATGTGCCGTAGAATACTCTCTAATCCATTCTGATTTCTAGACTTGGAACATCTCTGTTTGTCATAGAGCCTCACCTTGTTTCCTGATAGGTACAGAAACCTAGTTTTAATGGTATAGAGGGACATGGAGGAGAGGATATTATCTCTGTCATAAACACAACAAGAATATTATCTGACATTTCCACAGCTTTTGTAAAGGAAAGTCATTCCAAAGCTCTATCGACAGGACAGCTTCATGCCATGGCTTTTGTCGCTATGTGGCTCCATATTCCTGACTCTCAGGCAAGCTCACTGGTCACCACCAGTCAACATACAGTGTAGTAGAAACTCAAGGAATGTGATAATAGAGAAGTCAAGGAGGCTGTGATGGATCAGGTTCAATCACAATTCTGAAAGAAAAACTGATCAGAAATGACGGAGTTAAAAAGATTCTACAAAATGGAAGAGTATAAAGACAGTACAGTTAACAGACAGAGTAGACTGGAATGAATGTGAAGTCAGAGGTGGAGGTAGCATGACAGAGACACCATGCCATCCATGAGCAAGGAGACTGGTAGCCTGACTTGTGGCTGCCCTGGCTCCCAGTTCCTGTCCCCCATGAGAAGCTTGATATTCATAATCTCCTCTTGTATTCCTATGAAGTCATTCTCCCTTATTGACCAACATCATAACCTTACCACATCCTTCTACTATTCATTGAGATGTCATAAGATGCTCTTTTATTTCCAGTCAAAAGAATAAATTATGTGTCTACTCTTCACTAACTATGCTGAGAGGTACTGTGTGGCATGAAGGTGAGAATTGTGGCTGCACACAGCTCTAGGCTTGAATCTCTTCTTTGACACTTATTAGCTATTGAGGGAGTGGGGAGTCTGTTTTGATTAAATAGTAGCGACTAAGTGAGTGTTTAGTCTCTTGCTTATGTGAATGAATTTGACTGGAAACCTGATGACAAATTTGTCTATAAGCCAAACTGGCAACAAAAAACTAGGGTGAACTGGTAATTTTGAAAGATATTAATTCCATAAATTTTACAGATGAATATTCATCATTTATATGAGAAAATCTGAGAAGACGAATGAGATTCTGTTTGACAAAAATAAATGCTCTGGCTCTAGCAAAGCAGAATGCCACATTATTGTCAGCAGTAATACCTTTCATTTATTCCCATGTTTTCCCTAAGTCATAATCATTTTGAAAGTGAATTTTAAATAGGAAAATACATCACTCTCCGAGGCTCATAGTAATGAGTGGCCCAAAAAGAGATTTTATCACTGGAGACTTGGATTATCTTTTCCCTCATTGTCACAGCTCCTAAGGATTTAATGTGTTGCAGAGGTAAAAAGTCACTACAGGTCAACTTAGGAAATAAGCACATAGTGTAATTTTCATTTCACTTATCACATCAGTTTTCAATTTTTGATTACTTCTCTGTGTCCTAAATATGCTGAAGCAGAGACCAAGTTCTTTATCATATGCAGCCCTGGAACCTAGTGTAGTTGGACACACAGTTGATACTTAAGAAGTGTTTCTTTAATTAATGGATGAAAAAAATGACAGAAGATACTGTATCTCTTCCCTGAGTTATATAATCGTGGTCGAATTTATAATATTTGAAATAGTATTCCTCACAAGAAAAATGTAGTCAGCCAATAATTAATGACATTCATGTTTATTTCATTCAATCAAAAATTTCTGTGTGTTTTATAATTCTTTCATTCATTGCTTTGAATTTTACTAGGCATCTTGTGAAATAACAAAAAAAAACCTCTGTAGTTCCTAACCTCAAAATGCTTATAGTTAAAGGGGTATAAATTACATAGTTACCAAGAGACATACCATTTTGAGTGCTTGCTGCTTTCTCATATTGATTCTTACAGCAAAGCTTTTCAACCTTTGGGGACAATGGATAATTTAAGGGAAAGTGTATATTTCTAGAGAAATAAAAGTTTAAAAAATTGTTTTGTGTAAATCAAGGGGAATGCTAATCAAATCAAGGGTATAAAAACAGGAAAGGACTGTTTCAAAGATAGGATCAAGAAGACAAATTAAAATTAGGAAGGAGGACAAAATCGAACTCCATATTACTGACCCGTTTCTGAGGACCTTTCTCCCAGGAGGAAGACTGCCTCAAACCATGAGTCAACTTGATCAATGCATGCTTCTTCCTTGCGAATAGAGGTCAGCAAATTCCATTTCATACTTAACTGCATTCAACTGGTTGTTCAGTTTCCATGATATGATACGACAGATTTCCTTGTGGTTTTGCCATAGGCATTGGCGTTAAGCAGTGCGTCTATTCGAGATGTTGTTGCTATAGAAAGAAGTCACTGGACAGGCGGCCACAGGTTAATAACTCATCTCTCTGAATTCCAGCTCCCTTCTCCACCTACATTGTTTTTTGTTTTTTTGTTTTTGTTTTTAATTTTTTAAGCTTCTGGTCACAGACAGAAACTCCACATCTGGGCCATCTCTGAATGGAAGTGAAAAGAAAGCTCTGAACTGAAGTGAAAGCAAGCAGTTAACCTCACTTTGACTTACTTTTCAGCCATGGCTTTTTAAATTTTCCATTTTATGCTTGCCCTGGAAAAGAGCAAGAACAACAGTGAAAGCAGGGTGAAAAATCTCAGTACCCAACAGAATGGTATCACACAGGAAACCTGGTGGTGGGCTTCGCTGGACCTGCACCCTTTCATGTATTGGTTGCCTGACCGTGGTGGAATTATTTATCCTTCATCAGCTTCATGACCTGTAAAATAAAGAGACTAATAACACAACCTCAGAGAGCTGTTTTGTGAGCTAAATGAGATAACTCACAGACACACACACACACAGACACACAAACACACACATGAATACGTTTAGCACAGTGCCCGATACTCTACCCATGTTAACTGAGTTTAATAAATGTAAAATAAGAATGATATATGTTTATTATATTTGAAGAATGTAATGAAGTAACATAAATGTATTTGGAAGGATGCTTTTTTTGCTGCAAGTAATTTAAAATCCTGCTCAAATTATTCTACTACGCAGAACTCAAGACTTGGTGTCTGCTTCGCAGTGCTTCTGATTCTCTTGGCTCTGTCCTCTGCCATCTTCATTTGCTGGTTTTCCGTTGGCTTCACAACCCCAAACTTCTCATTCATGTGTTGCCATAACATCTAAAGGAAAAGAGACATATCTTCCCAGTGTCTTCTCTTAAATGTGAGGGAGCATTTTTCTTAGAAGCCTTCTGAAATCTTTTCTCATATACCATTGACTTGGATCGGGTCACAGTCTCATTCCAGAACCAGTCTCGTTAACAGGGGATTATCAGGAATTGATTGGCTTCAGTTTGGATTCTTGACCTAGTGGATATTTTAAGGGGAATTATGTTAGATCCATCCAACCTTCCTTTGACAATGGTGAGGGACATAGCTTCTATCGAGACCCATGATCATAGCAAGGAGGGGTAGATACCCAAAGGAAAATCAGCATGCCCTTCAGAAGGGTAAGAGTGAATAAATAATGCATAAAAATAAACAACATTATAACAATACATGAACATGCCTAGATCTTTGTCTGGCATGTAGTTGATACTCAGTGTAGATTAATTTCTTCGCCATTCCTCCTTTCTTATCTTGGCAGTTACCACAAAAGTTCTTAAGCCCCCCACACATTCTTAACAAAGTACAAACATGCAAGAAATGAAAACTTGACCTAAAAACAACTAAATGTAAAAAAAACTTCAAAGCAGGTTATACAAAGCCACTTAGATTCCTAAAAGTGGTAGGCTGAATAATTGACAGAGAAAACGGTGGCTCTGTTTTTTAAAAACTCGTGAAATCTACCTGTACTCATACCTCGCAGTTCCCCTTTACTGTCTTTCATAGTAACAAAAGCTATCAGTTATTCCAAAGTATTGATTTCATGCCTATCAAATGCTGAGCCATTTTGGAGATATTAAAATAAATAGAAGATGCTGGAATGAACAGTTTTGGGGGACTTAAAATACAGTTGACAAAACTGGATGTACACAAGTGAATATAATGTGAGTCCTTACAAAGCAGCAAGCACACTAGCACAGATCAATATAAGAATGCCAGAAAAAATGGACCCCTCCCTTGATAAATGCAGTTGCAGTTTCAAACACACAGCAGCCAAGCTTAAGTGTGTTTTATGATAAATGTTTAAGTGTGAAAATAATAAATGAGCAAAATCTCTCTGTGGTCAATGCTGGAATACTTAAGCTTGTTGATTCTTTCCTGCAAAACACATTTATCCACACATTTAATAGTTTTATTTCTATTTGACTAAGTCATCTTTCCTTCCCTTGGTAGTGAGTAGTTATTTGTCATCTCCAATGAAGGCTTAGTGTACTTTTTGCACTATATGCATATTGTTCTATTGAAGTCCCTGATTTAAAGCGCAAGCCTGTTTTAGAACTGAGACAGCTGGACTAGGTGAGTGTCTGGTAAGCCTAGGCCACTGCCAAGCCTGAGACATTCTGTGACATCTGCTGAGCATTGTAGATCTCCTTATTAATCTTTTCTGGTACTGAGTTGAAGATTTGATTGTTTAGCTTTGAGTTTTTACTGTAAGTATTAAAAGTATCTGATTATAATAAATTTTGTTTATAATATGATATCAAGGAGTAGAAATTCAGTATTGTTTTATATGATCAATTATTCCAACCTCTGACATCTTTCTCCTTTTCCTTCCATTCTCTCTTCTCTGTTTTCCTTTTCTCTTTCTCCTCTGCTCTCTATCTCCTCTATCTTCCCATTTACTCTTTTCTTTTCTGTTCTTACATTTCCTTATTCCTTTTGTACTCCCCATCTTGCTTTCTCTTCCACCTTTATCCATCATTAAATATTTATTGAAAGTTTATCATAGATAAATCAATACAAGGAAGTGAGGCAGTTATTTATGGTACATAGTTTTAGGTAGCTCCGACTTTGACATGTAGAAGGCTAGATGTAATAAAAAATGTTTTCAAGCAATAGTTTTAGAATTGTTAGATAATAAAATTAGTTATACTTTCTTTTTAGCACAATAGCTAAACAGTATTAATTAATTATTGTAAAGAAAAGCTGTCAACATCCACAGATGTGGCCTTTGGAGTTTCTAGATTATTCTTTGGGAGCCTCTTTGTGAAAGGTATGCTGACATTTCAAAAAGCAGATAGTCCAAGTTGACATTTTTTTCGCAGCTGGATGAATTTTCAAAACACCACTGAGGCAAAGAATTACAAAGCCGTTGCAATGTTTCTCCCTCATTGATATGGGGATTTTAGTTTCTTATCAGATTTTTACAAGTAATTGGCATTTTTCACTGCTTCTCCTTTACAAGGGGGACATAGCTGCGTGAAATTTGACATCTTATACTTAGATAAATGCGTATGAGTCTAAAATATTAGATAAAGAGAGCATATTATTTTAAAAATGCAACTGAAAATATGGCTAATATTTTCATTAAATTTGCTTAATCCTATAAGAGTTTCTCTACTAAAAATTTGGCAGAAACAGCAACAACAACAACAACAAACACATTTATGCACAAATACAGTCACTAGTTTCTAGTAGCAACAGATTTTTGAATGTCCTCTTACTCCAAGACTTAATTGTATTGAATTTCATAGAGAACACTTTTGAAATGTAATTTAAAACGTTTAAATGTTAGCTAGGATACTGATAATTATCCTTTTATTTTTATTTTACAGTGACAAACCTACAAAAACATTTTTTTTCTCAAAACATGAATCAAGGAAACATAGCAGAATGTATAATAGTAGCAGTTACGCTTCTTCCTTTGAAAATGGACATCAGCAGACTGGTGTTTTGTCTAGTGACATCTGACTGGTTTTACAAAAGTGAACCATTCCTTCCCAAATTCTCTGATATGGTTTGGCTGTGTCCCCACCAAAATCTCATCTTGAATTGTAGTTCCCATAATCCCCACATGTGGTGAGAGGGACCTGGTGGGAGGTAATTGAATCATAGTGGCAGTTTCCCCTATGCTATTCTCGTGATAGTAAGTTCTCATGAGATCTGATGGTTTTATAAGGGCCCCCTCCCCAGCTTTGTTCATCTCTTTCATTATCTCTCCTGCTTCCCTGTGAAGAGGTGCCTTCTTCTATGATTGTAAGTTTCCTGAGGCCTCCCCAGCCATGCTGAACTGTGAGTCAACTAAACTTCCTTTATAAATTACCCAGGCTCAGGCAGTTGTTTATAGCAGTGTGAGAATGGACTAATGCAGTAAATTGGTACCACAAAGACTAGGGTGCTGCCATAAAGATACCCAAAAATGTGGAAGTAACTTTGGAACTGGGTAACAGGCAGAGACTGGAAAAGTTTGGAGGGCTCAGAAGAAGAGAGGAAGATGTGGGAAAGTTTAAAATTTCCTAGAGACTTGTTGAATGGCTTTGACCAAAATGCTGATAGTGATATGAACAATAAAGTCCAGGCTGAGGTGGTCTCAGATGGAGATAAGGAATTTGTTGGGAACTGGAGTAAAGGTCACTCTTGTTATGTAAAGAGACTGACAGCATATTGTCCCTGCCCTAGAGATCTGTGGAGCTTTGAACTTGAGAAAGATAATTTAGGGTATCTGGTAGAAGAAATTTCTTTGTTTGTTTGTTGAGACAGAGTCTCGCACTGTTGCCTGGAGTGGAGTGAGGTGGCATGATCTCAGCTCACTGCAACCCCCACCTCCAGGGTTCAAGCAATTCTCTTACCTCAGCCTCCCAAGTAGCTGGGATTATAGGTGCCTGCCACTATCCCCAATTAATTTTCTGTATTTTCAGTAGAGACGGGGTTTCACCATGTTGGCCAGGCTGATCTTGATCTCCTGACTTCGTGATCTGCCCACCTTGGCCTCCCAAAGTGCTAGGATTATAGGCATGAGCCACTGCA
Organism: Homo sapiens; assembly: GCF_000001405.40. NCBI lineage: Eukaryota > Metazoa > Chordata > Mammalia > Primates > Hominidae > Homo > Homo sapiens. The sequence goes on from NC_000002.12 coordinate 137,329,658, forward strand.
CCCAGCCCAGCAGAAGAAATTTCTAAACAGCAAAAGATTCAAGAGAAAGCCGAGGATAAAAGTTTGGAAAATTTGCCTGACAATGTAATAGGAAAGAAAAACTCATTTTCTGGGGAGAAACTCAAGCCTGTTGCAGAAATTTGCATAAGTAATGAGGAGTCGAATGTTGATCACCAAGACAATGGGGAAACTGTCTCTAGGGCACGTCAGAGACCTTTGTGGCAGCCCCTGTCATCACAGGCCTGAAGGCCTAGGAGGGAAAAATGGTTTCCTGGTCTGGGCCCTCCTGCTGTATGCAGTCTTGGGACTTGATGCCGTGCATCTCAGCTGCTCCAGGCATGGCTAAAAGGGGCCAACATAAAGCTTAGGCTGTTGCTTCAGAGGGTGCAATCTTTAAACCTTGGCAGCTTCCATGTAGTGTTGGGTATGCAGGTGTGTAGAAGTCAAGATTTGAGGTTTGGGAACCTCTGCCTAGATTTCAGAGGCTGTGTGGAAATGCCTAGATGTCTAGGCAGAAGTTTTCTGCAGGGGTAGAGGCCTCGTAAAGAAACTTGGCTAGAGCAGTTTGGAAGGGAAACATGGGGTCAGAACCCCCACACGGAGTCCCCACTGGGGCACTGCCAAGTGCAGCTGTGAGAAGAGGGCCACCATCCTCCAGACCCCAGAATGGTAGACCTGACAACTTGCACCGTGCACCTGGAAAAGCCACAGACACTAAAGCCAGTCTGTGAAAGTGTGTCCGTAATTGGTGGGTTCTTGGTCTCACTGACTTCAAGAATGAAGCCGTGGACCCTCATGGTGAGTGTTACAGCTCTTAAGGTGGCACGTCTGGAGTTTATTCCTTCTGATGTTCGGATATGCTAGGAGTTTTCTTCCTTCTGGTGGGTTCGTGGTCGTGCTGGCTCAGGAGTGAAGCTGCAGACCTTCGCAGTGAGTGTTATAGCTCTTAAGGCAGTGCGTCTGGAGTTGTTCATTCCCCCCGGTGAGCTCATGGTCTCGCTGGCTTCAGGAGTGAAGCTGCAGACTTTTGAGGTGAGTGTTACGGCTCATAAAAGCAGTGTGGACCCAAAGAGTGAGCAGCAGCAAGATTTATTGCAAAGAGCGAAAGAACAAAGCTTCCACAGTGTGGAAGGGGCCCCAAGCGGGTTGCCACTGCTGGCTCAGGCAGCCTGCTTTTATTCTCTTATTTGGCCCCACCCACGTCCTGCTGATTGGTAGAGCCGAGTGGTCTGTTTTGACAGGGCGCTGATTGGTGCATTTACAATCCCTGAGCTAGATACAAAGGTTCTCCAAGTCCCCATCAGATTAGTTAGATACAGAGTATGGACACAAAGGTTCTCCAAGACCCCACCAGAGCAGCTAGATACAGAGTGTCCATTGGTGCATTCACAAACCCTGAGCTAGATGCAGGGTGCTGATTGGTGTGTTTACAAACCTTGAGCTAGATACAGAGTGCCGACTGGTGTATTTACAATCCCTGAGCTAGACATAAATGTTCTCCAAGGCCCCACCAGAGCAGCTAGATACAGAGTGCTGATTGGTGTATTTACAATCCCAGAGCTAGACATAAAGGTACTCCAAGGCCCCACCAGAGCAGCTAGATACAGAGTGTCGATTGGTGCACTCACAAACCCTGAGCTAGACACAGGGTGCTGATTGGTGTATTTACAATCCCTGAGCTAGACATAAACGTTCTCCAAGGCCCCACCAGAGCAGCTAGATACAGAGTGTTGATTGGTGCACTCACAAACCCTGAGCTAGACACAGGGTGCTGATTGGTGTGTTTACAAACCTTGAGCTAGATGCAGAGTGCTGATTGGTGTATTTACAATCCTGACATAAAGGTTCTCCACGTCCCCACCAGACTCAGGAGCCCAGCTGGCTTCACCCAGTGGATCCAGCACTGGGGCTGCAGGTGGAGCTGCCTGCCAGTCCTGTGCCATGTGCTCACACTCCTCAGCCCTTGGGTGGTCGATGGGACTGGGCGCTGTGGAGCAGGGGGCGGTGCTCATCGGGGAGGCTCTGGCCACACAGGAGCCCATGGAGGGGGTGGGAGACTCAGGCATGGCGGGCTGCAGGTCCCAAGCCCTGCCCCGAGGGAAGGCAGCTAAGGCTCGGTGAGAAATCGAGCGCAGCGCTCGTGGGCTGGTACTGCTGGGGGACCCAGTACACCCTCCGCAGCCGCTGGCCCGGGTGCTAAGCCCCTCATTGCCCGGGGCCGGCGGGGCCGGCCGGCTGCTCCAAGTGCGGGCCCGCCAAGCCCACGCCCACCCGGAATTCCAGCTGGCCCACAAGCGCCGCACACAGCCCCGGTTCCCACTCGCGCCTCTCCCTCCACACCTCCCTGCAAGCTGAGGGAGCCGGCTCCGGCCTTGGCCAGCCCAGAAAGGGGCTCCCACAGTGCAGCAGTGGGCTGAAGGGCTCCTCAAGTGCCGCCAAAGTGGAAGCCCAGGCAGAGGAGGCACCGAGAGCGAGCGAGGGCTATGAGGACTGCCAGCACCCTGTCACCTCTCAAAAGCAGCCAGGAGGAGGGCTGTACCCTGCAAAGCCACGGGACAGAGCAGCTGAAGGCCATTGGAGCCTACCTCTCACCTCAGCATGACTGGATGTGAGACATGGAGTCAAAGGAGATTATTTTGGAACTTTAAGATTTAATGACTGTCCTCTTGGATTTCAGACTTGCACCGGCCCTGAGTCCCTTTGTTTTGGCCAATTTCTCCCATTCAGAATGGGCGTATTTACTCAAAGCCTGTACCTGCATTGCGTCTAGGAAGTAACTAATTGGCTTTTGATTTTACAGGCTCAGAGGTGGAAAGGATTTGCTTTGTCTTAGATGACAGTTTGGACTTAGACTTTTGGTTTAATGCTGGAATGAGCTAAGATTTTGGGGGACTGTTGGAAAGGTATGATTGTGTTTTGAAATGTGAGGACATGAGATTTGTGAGGAGCCAGGGGTGGAATGATATGTTTTGGCTGTGTTTCCACTCAAATCTCATCTCAAATTGTAGTTCCCATAATCCCAACATGTGCTGAGAGGGATCTGGTGAGAGGTAATTGAATCATGGGGGCAGTTTCCCTCATACTATTCTTGTGATCTCACAAGATCTGATGCTTTTATAAGGGGCTTCTCCCTTCGCTCAGCTCTGTCATTCTCCTGCTGCCCTGTGAAGAGGTGCCTTCTGCCATGATTGTAAGTTTCCTGAGGCCTCCCCTACTATGCTGAACTGTGAGTCAATTAAACCTATTTCCTTTATAAATTACCCAGTTTGGGGCAGTTCTTTATAGCAGCATGAGAATAGACTAATATATTCCTGTAAAACAGACTTTCAGTGAGCAACAGAATGAGTTAGGTGGCCCTGTAGTATCAATTGTGTGGATCCGAGAACGAAGGAAACCATATTCATTGACTCATTGTAAGTTGCCCAGAGAAATTTTGGGAGGGTCTGTCTGGTAGAGGAAATAGTTGTGCAAATGGAGAGGTAGATTGATGGATGCTAAGAGTTTAGAACTAATCCTGGACGTCTAACCCCCTTCATCCCCTGCCCAGCAGCAGGTTCCGATACATCTACCTCCTGGGAGGACGCAAATTGTCTTCATCTACACCACCACTACTGTAGTTCATACTATCATTTTAATCTATTCTCTACTCTGCAGCCAAAATGATCTCTTATGTATGGAAATCAAATGATACCATTTGCTTGCCTAAAATCTTTCAATAATTTTTCCTTTACTCTTAGGAAAAAGGCACAATCCTCTACACGATGGCAAAGTCCTGTGTGTCTGTACCTTTTTCCAGGTCTGGAAAGTCCTTTCCTCCCTCAATCCAGCTCTAGCTGCACTGATCTGTTTTCAGTTTCTAGAACACTCATTGCTCTCTTTAACCTCTGGCCCTTGGCACATCCTGCACTTCATCCTTCTCTGCTCAGTAAGGGAAACTTTCTGTCCTCCAGACTGCTAAGGTCTCCCTATGACATCCTGTGTCTTCTTTGCACTGGTTACAAGTTTCACTTACGAATTTGTGTGATTAGTGGATTAATCTTCTGATGCCCCAGGCACTTTCTCTTCACTCCCTGCCCTTAGTTTTGTACTTTATATAACTGCTTAGAAACCTTCTGTTATTTTTAGTCCTGGTCTCCTCTAGTTACATCATCCTAATGCTACAGCAGCCACAATAAGAAAAGCAGGAAATGCTCTATGATGATGGGGTGGGGCAGCAAAGAGGAGGTTGAGTGGAAAAGCTCTCTCACTTGATATGACTTATTGTCTAATATGGTTCTAAACCAAAAGTTTGCAAACTCTGCAAAGGGCCAGAGAATAGATATTTTTGGTCTCAGAAACCATATGGTTTCTGTCACAACTACTCAATTTTGCTATTTAGCATGAAAACAACCATAGACAATATGTAGACATGTATGTGTGTTTGCAATTCAATATTACTTCATTTGCAGACAGGACAGATTTGACATACCGGCTAATCACGGTTCCAAATCATTCATTTCTTTCTTTCTCTCTTTCTCTCTCTCTCTCTCTCTCTCTCTCTCTCTTTCTCTCTTTCTCCTTCCTTCCTTCCTTTACCTCAATGCCAGTGGCCATAAATGGAGGAAAGAAGGAGAGAAGTACATTTGGCAAATTGTGTTCCACCATCACTGTTCTTTTCCTCCCTCCTCAGCTCATCCCAGCTCAGCATGAACTCCACAGGAGTGAGAAGTCGGGGAGCAAGAAAGGAAGTGATGGGAGAAGGGAGAATAGACCCTGCCTTTATTTTTCTCCACACCCTGAACCCACATTCAAAGCCCTCAATCCTTTCTGTCACCTCATGTGACTTGTGCCAAATTCTCCCTGACCCTTCAGCTCAATATTAACTCCTCTGCATGCCCTTCATCCTCGGATTCCTCCATTTCTCCCCATTCCTCCAGCCCTACTCTCCTGTAACATCTGCCACAGCAAATCAGCATCAATCACTGACCAAATTAGGACATCTGGTGAGAATGTGTGCTTCCGGCATTCTTAGGGTATTTCTGAATGCATTTTCCCCATACAGGAGTGGTTAGAGAATACAGTTAAATATGAATAGAAATAGATTAACTAGATTTCTGTAACTACTATGATTTGGCTCTGTGTCCCCACCCGAATCTCACCTTGGATTGTAATAATCCCCAAGTGTCAAGGGTGGGACCAGGTGGGAGTGAAAGTAATTGTCTTATGGGAGCAGTTCCCCCATGCTGTTCTCATGATAATGAGTGAATCTGATGAGATCTGATGGTTTTATAAGCATCTGGCATTTCCTCTGCTGGCACTCATTCTCTCTCCTGCTGACCTGTCAAGAGGTGACTTCTGCCATGATTGTAAGTTTCCTGAGGCCTCCCAGCAATGTGGAACTATAAGTCAATTAAAGCTCTTTTCTTTATAAATTACCCAGTCTCAGGTATTTTCTTCATAGCAGTGTGGGAATGGACTAATCCAGTAACCTACCCCAGAAACTTTGTATTTCTATGGGAAAATGTAGTAGCTATTTGGAAATTCAAGTTAATGATTGCATATGAGCTTTTACAATACAACCATTTATAAGTTTAAAAACTACCTCATGATCTTATTTAAGCCAAGAATTGCTTAGTGTTGGACTCTTACGAGCGCACAAAAATAAGGTAATGAAGGCACTGACTGTTAGTTATAAGTGGCCAAGGAAGGAGGACATCTCCAGGGGCTCTATAAACTGATTTTCCTCCTTCTCATTCCATGAAGGGTTGGTAAAACAACACAGAACAGATTATCAACTGATGCCTTAATTCCTGTTTCTTTTATTTTAACCTTTCTTTTATTTTCCCCTCTTGGAAGTAGTTTTTTTCTTATCCACATTGAATTTTCCTCCCAAAATTAATACCCTATGCTCACAACCTCTAAATAAATCAGCAACAGTTGGTGATAATATTGGTTTTTGGAGAGAAATAATGTTTGGCATGCATTGCAGTAGTTAGACAGATTGGAACCAGCTTAAGGACAGAGGGGGTAGTAAGGTGATTTTGAGTTGTAGTTATTGCCCTTCGGCGCACTTTGAGTAAATAGATCAGATGCTGGTTTCGAAGATTATTGATTTTAAGTGATTTTACCTGCACAGAGAATGGTGATTAGAATTCTAGCTGCCACACATTCAGGAGGAAAGTTTCTTAGGTTGTAATTGAAGAATATTGCCCTATCAAGTTTGAAATGTTTGCTTTTCTTTTTTTTTCTTTTTTAGTTTATAGCAGCTTATTTTTTCTACTGATTTATTTGTTTGTATATTTTCTTAATTTTCTTGGGTATTCTTTCTGATAGCAAGCTATTCCATTAGTAAACCATCAATGAATATTATTTAATAACCTTAATTTTCAAAGAAAGCAGCTTCTTACTAATTAGAGAAATATGAGGTCATTGATTAAGTGTTGTTTTCCAGAGACAGAAGAGGGAAGTCCACAATTAACAGTACTAAAGTGTCAGAGAAACAGTTAATTATGAGGATTAGATCATCAAAAATATTCAAGGTGACTTTACATATTTTAGGACTATTTATAATTTTGTATTTATGTCTGTTAAATAATTAACTGCCTTCCAAAGCTGCAATAAAAAGTGCTGATGCAGGAAAAACCAGTAAGTTACCTGCTTCCTCCACAACCTATTATCTTCTGAAACTGAATGATGGCATCTGTCTTTACTCCACCTGAGCTCACGTAAGTTGAGTTTTTATCCCTTCAACTCCTCATGCAATATATTGTGAACAGTGAACGAGATTTTGCAGTATCAGTGTGGCAGCCAAAGATCTTCCCTTTGCATCAGAAGATAATTTACAGAGATGGTGTTAAAGAACTTAAATAACCTTCTATTCCATCCTCCACCTTCTGGATGGGTTTCATATCAAACCAAAATCAAGACATGTGCAAAACTCAGCAGATCAGTTGCAATAACAGCAGTTCTTTTCATGGTCTTGCTCCCTGTGCTAAGACCATGAGGAGCTGCAATGAGCTAGAACACAGGACAGGCAATTAAATTATGAAATTGTGTTCTTGAAGAGAATACCACAAACAGTGTTTGTCTAACTGGAGTTATGTAGCTACTTTTTCTTATTTTTAGACCATTTTATCGAAGCATTACATACATAAAAGCTTTCCATTATTTTTTAAAAGTATTCAAAAATAAGCATTTAAATGTCTGTTCTTCAAGAATATAATGAAGCAACTTTGAAGTCATGCTTAATCCACCATTCCTCCTTCGTATCAATTTTTTAATGTATCAACTTTATATTTACTTTCTATTTAAAATACTTTAAAAACTACAAAATAGTTGCAAAATCATATACTGATTCCTTGTATGCCACCTTTCCCTGTTGTTAACATCTTATGTGAGAATAATAATACCTAATAATTATACCTAAATAATAATAATACCAAATAATATATATATTATAGATACCTAATAATAATACCTAATAATACCTAAACCAGGACATCAGCATTGGTATAATACTATTAATATTCAGAACTTATTCAGATTTCACCAATTATCCCACTACTTTTGTTTTGTCTTGATTTTCCAGTCTAAGATTCACTCCAGAATCCCACATTGCATTTAGTTGTCATGCATTCTTAGTTTTCCCCAGTCTGGGACAGTTCTTCACTCTTTATCTCTTATGACCCTGACAGTTGTGAAGATCACCTCTCATTTATTTCACAGCACGTTTCTCAGTTGGAGTTTGTCTGATGTCTTTCTCATGATTAGATTGAGGTTACACTTTCTTGGCAATAATAGCATCGAATCAGAAGTTACATGATATCAACATGTCTCATTACAGATTAATTTTGATCACTTTGTTTATGTTGTGTCTGGAGGATTTCTCCACCGTTAAGTGACAAATTTTCTCTTGTAATTAATACATATTATGTGTGAGGTTACTTTGAGACTATAAAAGCATCCTGTTTCTTATCATTCTTTTACTCCTTAATTTTAGCAACTATCAGTGATTCTTACCCACAAAATTTATAAATGTGGTGATTTCCAAATAGTGATTATCTAGTTTTCATCAGTCTTACTATTTATTAATTTGAATATTACTGAAAGTAAGAATTGTCTCTTCTTTCCTATGTATTTATTTTTCCAACTATTTATATTGGCCCAGACTCATGGTCAGTTATTTTACTATATGAGTTTTAATCCATTACTATCATTATGTTGTTGCTCAAGTTGTGCCAAATTTGGCCACTGGAAGTTTCTTCAGGATGGCTCCCAATGTTAATTTTTTTTAAGAGGAAAACCATTATATTCTTATGAACACTAATCTGGTTATTTAGTGCTATATACAAATAACCCCAAAATTTAGGGGTTAAAACAACACTGTATTTTCATTCTTAATGCTTCTAAAGATTAGTAGGCTTGGTGATTCTCACTTATCCTTCAATCCGTTGCAGTCAGACAGCGGCTGAGACTGTGCTAAAGGTTTCTTTAGTTTGAAGCCTGGCTAAGAATGGTTGCAGCAGCTCTGAGGTTATTCAGGTCTTTTTTTCTCCACATAGTCCCTCCAAATGGCCAGGTAGGCTTGCTCATATTACAGCAGGCTCAAAATAGTTGAGCATTTTGCATGGCGAATAGCTTCTCCCAGATCAGGAACTCTAAGGGACCTAGGTAAAAGCTACAAGGCTCCTGATGTCCAAGCCTGAGATGTCATGCCATAGTCTATTGATCACAGTGGTTATGGGTCAGGGAATTCAAGGGTGGGAGGTGGGAGGACTGGCCTCTGACTTTCATTGAGGAATTGCTTGCACAAAAAAGAGAAGAAATTCATGATGGCATCTTAGAGACAAACTAAAACATATACCTAGTGTTGATTTACATCCGTTTAATTTTAATGCTACTTATAAGTCTACATACATAAAACTAAGGACATATTCTTTAGTTTACAATGTTAATGAATTATAAAGTAATAAAAATTAAATGCAACAAAGTTTTTAAAACCAATAAAATTCAAATTAACAATATTAATTAAATATGACAGTTGATGTTGCTTCATTGAAACCAAAATTCTGCTTAGGATGTGGTACTGAATGTTATAGGGAAGAAGGTTTTGAATCTGACACACTAAGACATTATCCTTTAATCAATTACAAAGCCTCTGTGTGTACCACACATTATGAAATCTTTTGTTGATGGAGAAAGACAAAGACAAAGGACAGGAAATGTGACAAAGTTCGTGGCTGTGGAGGTTAATTGCTCTTTAGAGATTTTATGAAGGTTCCTTGGCATCTGACAATTGTCTTTTGCATGATTCCATAATGAATTGGCTACTTGTATGTACTCATAAGGTGGCATATAATAGATACATGATCACCACTCTCAAGAAATCTGTAATCTCTTTTTTGATAACATAAAGAAGTAGGAGCCTAAATGTTCTCTTAGAAATTGTTGAAGAATAAATACATTTTTTTCTGAATAAATATCTTTTGAAGATAAATCAAAGACTGATCCCTGATAATGTTCTTCTGAGAACTGTGTCATCAGTTGGAGTCCCGTGCCATTAGAATGCAGCCCTTCTGCTCAGACAAATAAGCACAACTGTTTCTGTCAGATGGCGAGCATCCAGCGCATCCAGAAATCACTGGAGCCAGGTGTGTTTGTGGTAGATGCAAAAATAACTAGAGAAGAGCAAATGAGCACAAGCTCCTTCATGCTCTACTGAGTGCTATGAGAGAAGAAAATATAGAAATATCAAGAGAATGTCTTTCTGGCCATTCTTGGGGATGTGAGAATGGATGAAGCAGAGTAGAAAGCACAGTATTGTGAGGGGATGGATTGGGAGCTGGGGTTCGCTGAATGCCAAACATCTAAATTGAAAAATAATAATTCAAAACACAAATGCACATCATTTGTGGTTTGGAGATTTGGAACAACTATAAGGCAGCTGTTGTTCATAAATTGATCTCTCAATGACAGCAATAAAGAAAAGTGCTTTGACGTAAGTGGTCATCATCATGTGACTCTAGAAGAAAGATCAGTCCTGTGGGAAGCAGCCCTAAGACTCAGGTGGCTTTGGTGAGGAAGGGGACAGACAGGGAAAGGGCTGTTGTTTTTTCTCACTTCCATATAGACATGTCTTTCCCATTTCTGCCTGAACCTCTTTCCTCAGCTTTTTCTTGCTACCTGATTTAACTATGTAGAGAAGCAGCACTGAGTTAAGGAAAGAGGGAAAAGAATGGCCTTTTTTTTTTTTTAAATCAGACCAACCTGTATTTAATCCAGCTTCTCTCCTTATGTATGTTTGCAGGCTGCCTCATCTGCTGATATCCCAGTTTTGTCTGGTGCGAAGGTCTAATAATTCTGTCATAGGATTGTTTTGATATGGAAACTTACTAGTTCAGTGTTTGGTACATTGGAGATAAACATCATATAAAATATATCATTGTGATTTATAGTCAATAAAAGTTGGAATCACTCTCCTTTTTATAGACATTTTATCTTGAACTGAGATTCTACTTCCCACACTTTCCTTTAATCAAATAGACACAAATCTAAAATATATTCTTCATATGTATAATTTCAGGAAAATTCAGACTTCTCTTAAAAAACTAAGTTTCAGATGAAATATATCTTAAAACTCAGGTATAAAGGATGTAAAGGTTTTAGGAGGAATTCAGAGGATAATTTTTATTATAAATTGATAGTTTATAATTATATAAATTGTACAAAGTGATGTTATGATTTATGAATACAATGTGGAATAATTAAATCAAGCCAGTTGACATATTCACTACCTCAAATACTTAAAAAGTTTTTGTGGTAAGAACATAGTATTTGAAATGTACAATATTATTAACTATATTCACCATGCTGTGCAAAAGGTCTGAAAAAGATCATATTCCTTCTGTTTAACTGAGATTTTGTATCTATTGACCATTATTTTTCCATATCCCAAACCCCTGCCTCCATAATTGCCATTCTACTTTCTGTTTCTATGGGTTCAATTGTTTTAGATTCCATGTGTAGGTGAGAATATGCAGTATTTTTGTCTTTCTGTGCCTCACTTATTTCACTTAGCATGATGCTCTCCAGTTCCATTCATATGATTGCAAATGACAGAATTTCTCTTTTGAAATATGAATAGTATTCCATTGTGTATGTATCCCACATTTTCTGTATCCATTCATCTTCTGGTGGACACTTAGGTTTACTTCATAACTTGGCTATTGTGAACAGTACTGCAATGAACATGGGAGTGTGGACATCTCTTCAATAAACTGATCTTAAGTCTTTTGGATAAATGCTCAGAAGTGGGATTGCTGGATCATACTCTAATTCTCTTTTTGTTTTTTTTTTTTTTTTTTTGAGGAACCTCCTTACAGTTACCATAATAGCTGTAATACTATAATTTACCTTCCCACCAACAGTTCCCTTTTCTCGAGGTTCCCTTTTCTCGACATCCTTGCCAACACTTGTTATCTTTTATTTTTTTGAGAATAGCCATTCTAATATGTGAGACGATACCTCACTGTGGTTTTAATTTGCATTTCCCTAATGATTAGTGATGTTGAGCATTTTTTCATTTATATGTTGGCCATTTGTATATCTTCTTTTGAAAAATGTCTATTCATATCCCTTGCCCATTTTTTAATTTTTGTTTTTCTTGCTGTTGAGTTGTTTGAGCTCCTTATATATATTGAATATTAACCCCTTCTCAGATATATGGTTTGCAAATATTTTTTCTTCATAGGTTGTCTCTGCACACTCTTAATTGTTTTCCTTGCTATGTAGAAGCTTTTTAGTTTTATGTAATCCTATTTGTCTCCTTTTGTTCTTGATGACTGCATTTTTGGGGTCAAATAAAAAAACAAACAAAAAATCATTGCCTAGATCAATGTCATGTAGTTTTTTTGTTGTTATTTTTATTTTTCCCCTACATTTTCTTCAAGTAGTTTCACATTTTATGGTCTTATGTTTAAGTGTTTAATCCATTTAGAGTTGATTTTTGTATGTGTTGTGGGATTAAGGTCCACTTTCATTCTTCTGCATATAGATACCCAGTATTCCCAATACCATTTAAGGGATTGTCCTTTTTACTATTGCATATTCTTAGGCACTTTTATAAAAAATCAATTGACCATACGTATATGGGTTCATTTATGGACTCTCTATTTTGTTCCGTTGGTTAATGTGTCTTTCTTTTTTCTGCCAGAAGCATTCTGTTTTAATTACTATAGCTCCATAGTAAAACTTGATATCAGGTAATGTTATACCTCCAGCTGTTTTTTGTTTGTTTTTTTGTTTTTTTATCATGATTGTATTGGCTATTCAAGACTTTTGTTGTTGTTGTTGCTCCATATGAATTTTAGGGTTTTTTTCTATGCCTATATGAAATGACATTGACATTTTAATAGAGATAAAATTAGTATTGAATTGGCATTGAATTGGTAGATTACTTTGGGTAGTGTGGACATTTTAACAATATTCTTTCAATCCATGAGCATGGAATATATTTTAATTTGTATATTCTTGAATGTCTTTCATCAATGTTTTATAGCTTTTTAGTGTACCGTTCTTTCACCTTCTTGGTTAAACTTATTCCCAAATTTATTTATTTTTTGTAGCTATTGCAAATGAGATTGTCCTCTTGATTTTTTTTTCCCAGACAGTTTATTGTTAGTAAACAGAAACACTACTGACTTTTTGTGTTGATTTTGTATCCTGAAACTTTTTGTATTTGTTAATTAGTTCTAACAGGGGTTTTTTTTTTGGTATATTTTGTAGGATTTTTCATATATAAGAAAGATTATGTCATTAGCAAACAGTGACAATTTTACTTCTTTCTTTCCTATGTCGATGCCTTTTATTTATTTATCTTGCCTAATTGTTCTGACAAGGACTTCCAGTACTGTGTTACATAGAAGTTGCTAGTATGGGCATCCTTGCCTTGTTCTAAATCTTGAGGTAAGGTTTAAATTTTTCACTGTTGAATATAATATTAGCTGTGGGCTTCTCATATATGGCCTTTATTGTGTGTAGATGCATTCCTTCTATACCTAATTTGGTGAGAAGATTTTGTTTTGTTTTGTTTTGTTTTGTTTTATCGTGAAACTATGCTGAATTTGTCAATTTTTTTATACCTAAAGAGATGATCATATGGTTTTTATTATTCATTCTGTTTAATGTAATGTGTCATGTTTATTGATTTGCATACGGTAAACCATCCTTGTATCCCAGGGCTAAATCCCAGGTAGTAATGGTGGATGGTCTTTTTAATGGTTGTTGAATTCAGTTTGCAAGTTTTTTTCTTGGGAATTTTCCCCCTTTGTTCATTAAGGATACTGGCCTGTAATTTTACTTTCTTCTAAAGCCTTGTCTAACTTTGATATCAGGATAATGCTGCCACATAAAAAGAATTTCGAAGTATTCCCTTCTGTTTTTTTTTTTTGTTTTTTGTTTTTTGCATGAGTTTGATTTTTTTGCAGGTTTGTTTTATTTTTTTGCAAGAGTTTTGTGTTTTTTTGTTGTTTTTGTTTTTGTTTTTGTTTTGATTGACTTTTTTGCAAGGAATGGTATTAGTTCTTTAAATTTTGGTAGGATTCAGCTGTGAAGACATCAGGTCCTTGGCTTTTCTGTGATGGGAGACTTTTTATTACTGACTGAATCTCCTTAGTCCTTATTAGTCTGTTCAAATTTTCTGTTTCTTCATGATTCAGTCTTAGTGAGTGATATGTGTCTGAGAATCTATTCTTTTTTTCTAGGTTATAGTTTGTTGACATATAATTGTTTATAGTAATTGCTTATTATCATTTGTGTTTCTGTTGTATCATTTGTAATGTCTGAGAGGATAATTGTTTCAGTAATTAAAGTATTAGCCTGAACAGGGTTTTTCAACATAGGCATTATTGGTGTTTGGGGCAGGATGACTCTTGCTGTGCATGACCGTTCTGTGCCAATGCAGGATGTTTAGACTTTGTCCCCAGATACTGCCACTCAGTCATTTTAACAACCATGGCCCTACTTCTTGTTTTAAAATTCTGCTTAAAGGAGTGCAATTACTTTCAGTTGAGAATGTCTGCACTAAAAGACATGTTTATTTGTTTTAGAAGAGAGCACATTTCCATATGTAGGCTGAGAACATGCTACAGTGTACAAATACCACACATTTATTCTTAAAAATGGTAGAAAATATAATTTAACGAATGCATAACTTCATTCTTTTACAATGCACTGAAGCCCTTTGTGGACCAGAAATTGCTAACAAGAAGCATTAGAGGTGTGAAGGAAGCACTAATCTCAAATACACATGTTGAGTTCTTTGAAATGGCCTAAAAAAATAACATTCCTTTGTTATTTCTGAATGGAGAGAAAAAGGACAATGGTCTAAGACAGGAGCTCCCAACACCTGGGCCACTGACCAGTATTGGCCGCATTAGATTCTCACAGGAGAGCAAATCCTATTGTCAGCTGCACATGAGAGGGATCTAGGTTGCAGGCTTCTTATGAGAATCTAACTAATGCCTGATAATCTGAGGTGGAACAGTTTCATCCCGAAGCCACTCCCCCATATCTGTGGAAAAATTGTCTTCCACAAAACTGGTCTCTAGTGCCAAAAAAGTTGGGGACCACTGGTCTAAGACACAGGGAGTTAAATATTTCAGATATTAAGCTCATGTTGAATAATGTGGCTTACAAGTGAGAACAAATGAGTTTTCTAATATGAGAATAAGACAAACTTACCACCCAATCATGGAAGCATCAGACTGTACAGGCCTTTCCACATTTACAGATGTGTTTGCTGCCTGCATAACATTCATAGTAGAGATGAAAAAAGGAGAACTTATAATTTCTGCAGGCTGGCCCACTTTTAAGTGACAAAAAAAGATGCTGCTTTATATGTGACTACATTCTTACAAATAGCCCCGATCGATTTTCTCCCATCCACGGGAGGAATAAGTGGACACAAACCGGGAGTGTTAGAGCTAGTGCAGCTTCCTTCATTTGGAGGAGATATCACCAGTTTGGACGAACCATTTTCTCTCATTATGACATAGAAATGAACTCCTAAAACAAGGGTGCACCATGCCTGGAAGGGGTGGATATAAGGAATAGAAAGAGCATGATGATGGTCTAAGGGCAAATAAAAGGGTGGTTAGTCAACATTAACAGAACAGAAACAAATAGGCTGGCCCTTGCATATCCTCTGCATTCCCACCTAGGTCAAGTGGCAGTGATGAGGGGATATATATGTATGTTATCAAAGGGAGCCTGATATCTGGTAACTTATAAGAATAAGACAAGTTGGTGATACCTAAGTAGAATATGGAGCTCCCTGTACAGAGAGTGACTCTAGAATCTTCTTTAACTATACATTCAGCTACCCAACACCCTCCCTTCTTCTGAAAACAGGCTTGAATGGAACCAGAGGAAGCTACTTCTTGCCTTCCCTAACCCTATAGTGAGGCATAGCATATAAATTGATATATCAAATAATCTAATGGCAAATCTTAATCTTAACTGTAAACAGAAGCAAATGTTGTTAGCCATCAAACATTTAAGAAAATGCAGTATCACCAAGCAAGGAAGAAAACTGAATAAACGGAAGAAACTATTCCCAAGAAGAGAGGTTAATCGAGGAAGTACATTCAGAATAAAACACATTTTGACATTAACTTTCTTATTAAGCACTTTGGTTACATGAAAATAATTGCATAGTACCTTCAGAGACATAAGGAAAAAAATAATTTATAAGCTAGAAATTTATGGCAAACCCACACTATGCATTTGTGAGGAGAAAAAAATAGATATACAAAAACATATGATGCTTTCTAGACATAGACATAGACGTCTCTGAAAGAATTGAAAGATGTGCTTCAGAACAAAGAAACATAATTTGAGAAAAAGAAATGGGGTGTGAGAGACCATGCTACTTGGTCACATGCTCAATCAAACTAAGAGTGAGAGAGAGAGAGAGAATATGAATTAATATGGTATTAAAGAAATAATGACTGTGACCAAGAAGAGCAATTAAAGAAAGAAAAATAGCTGAGCATTTTTCTTTTTTAGACTCTAACCTAGATAAAAGCTGAAGGAAAGAGCAGGTATGTAGATTCCATGAACTAGATAGTATGTGAGTTTAGAAAACAACTTTAGGATGTGAGCAATTCAGCTGATGAAAAAAGAAAAAGGAAAAGAAAGGATAAGAGACATTTTTTAAAAAGCTCAGCACACATATATATGAACAGACACACACACACATATATACACACCCATATATTTATTTAAAAAATATTTGCACCCACTTTGATGACATGTCAAGGTTGCTTGTTGTGGTGGGGGAATAGGGGAGGGAGCTTGCCCTTTTATTTTTGTGAGAGGCTAGGGTGCTATTGGCTGCTTCAGGGCCTCCTATGTCTTCCCTTATCCTCTTTACTTTTGTTTCGAGAGCATTTTTCTAGTGGTAAAAAGCACTTAACATAAAATTTACCATACTAAACATTTTAAGTTTACAGTGCCTAGTGTGAACTTTGTGTCCATTGTTGTGCAACAGATCTCTAGAACAGTTTAATCTTGCAAAACAAACTCTCTAGCCACTGAAACGTTATACTCCTTTTCCCTCTTCCCTAGTCCATCATTTTACTTTATATTTCTGAGATTTTGACTACTTTAGATAGTTCATATAAGTGAAATAATGCAATATATGTTTTATTGCCATGGGTTTATTTCCCTTAGCATGATGTCCGCCAGGTTCATTCGTGTTGTAACATATGACAGGATTTTCTTCTTTAATATGGCTGCATAATGTTTAATTTAATAAGGCTGTGCATAATATTAATATTCCATTCTCTCTCTCTCTCTCTCTCCCTCTCCCTCTCCCCAACATGCCCTTGATTGAGCATATCCCTAAGTAGCATTGACTCTTATACCAATTATTTTCTCAAATTATTTTTCTTCTTTCTGAAGCACAACTTACAGTTCTTCCAGAGTGCTCTATGTCTAGAAAGTGCTATACATTTTTGTATGTGTAATTGTTTTGAAGTTTTATTTTCTCCTCACACATGGATAGGATAGTGTGGGTTTGCTGTAAAATTCTAGCCTATAAATTATTTTTCTTTATCTCGCTGAAGGAACTATGCAATTATTTTATGTTTGTGTGTATGTACTACATTTTCTTTAACCATTCATTCATTCATTGGTCGACATTTAGGTTGCTTCCACTACTTGGCTATTGTAAATAGTGCTGTGCAGTGAATATAGATGCACAAATATCTCTTTGAGATTCTGATTTCATTATTTCAAATAAATACATAGAAGCGGAATTGCTGGATCATATAGTTCTATGTTTAACTTTCTGAGGAGCCTCCATACTATTTTCCATAGCTGCTGCACCATTGCAACCCCACCAACAGTGCACAAGGATTCCAATATCCCCACATCCTCACCAACGCTTACTATTTTCCACAAAGCCTAACATACTTACATCTGTCCTTTTACAGAAAAAAGTCCCCAACCCTTGCTTGATGAGAAAGCACAAAAAATTATAGAATTTAAATATTAATCAACCTTGACAATGTAAAACTACAGGAGCAGAAGTTGAGACAGAAGGAAAAAAGAGAGATGAAGGTTGATATAGACAAGCTAATGCTGTTATGCTACCATGTGGTTTAAGAAACAGAACATTCCTGTAAGTGGGTACGAGTTACATGTTACCATAGTGAGAAGTCAGTAGTGTTCCATTGATTAATAAGTCAATGAAAGGATTAGTATATAATTTATAGTTATGGAAGATTTGACTTTAACAACAGAAGCAGTAGAAAGTGTGGACTCCGGGGAGCTGGAGTGATGGTACCAAGCACTGGGAACGGAGACAACTCCTTTTCACTAGGCTTGTTTGGAATGACTTACATTCACTGATATTGATTTTTTTTTTTTTTTTTTTTAAATAACAAGAGGAGAAGCAGTAGAGCATAAGGAAGAGATACTGGGCTTACTTTGCCTTCTTGGCTCAGCTGCTATCTAGTTGTGTGAATTTGGGCGGATCTCGTTATCACATCCCCCTTTGTTTCCTTAATTGAACTTGGACTCTATGATTGAGTTTGGATGTGTTATATGCTCAAATTTTTTCAACTTCTATGCTTAGGATATAAACTTATACAGTGACTTAAGAGTTATTTACATGAAAAATAGTTCTTAATGTTATAGTTCCACTAGAATTATCATGCTTAGATGTTCATCTCTAAAGCATTAAAATTAGAATTGTCATGATCAAATCACAGGAAGAAGTTATAGAACTCTATTGTATTATGCTCTAAATTTAATTTGGGCCTCATTTTCAAAAAAAAAAACATAGAAAGCATTACTAGAGGAAATGTAGACCAGAGTTTCACAGTAGCTGCACTTAAATTGGATTATTAATCATTTTGTTTGTGTAAATTCAACAATGTGGAAAATTCTATATAGAGGCATTTGAACCATCTTAAAGGCTCTAATGTGAAGAAAGATATTATGAAAGAACCAAATGCAAAATTTTATGAATATCCAATTGATGTAGACACTCAACAGAAGATATGATTGAAATGTCTCCACTGTACTCTCTAGATGCAGATTACACAAGGTGGTGTCAAAAGCCAAGTATGATTTAATAAGTAAAAAGCAATTGTTTGCAACTGAATGCCTACTGAGAGTATCCATGACTGCAAGGCCAGATGTTCATATTCATGCTTTTTTGTGTGTTTTCTCTGGTTTTTGATTTTCTGAGGGCTGTTAATCATATGCCCTCGATATGCAGTGTTCAATCCATTTTGTTGGCCTTTTATCATTTTAAACAGTTACAGATTATGTCTCCATGGAGTGTGCCAGAAATGTCCTTATGTTGCACCAGCCCATGCTTTATGAGATAAACAAATGAGTAATTCAAGCTTTGTAGCGGGTTCGTGTGTCACATAAGAGCTCAGTCATAATTTCTGAATTGTCTGCCAATGCACATTAAATCAAAGTGTCTATCTGAAACAGTAGTAGTATTTCATGGGCTGTGTAGAACAGTTCTTTATCCTATCTCTATGAACTCCTTTTTTTTTTTTTTTTTTTTTGTTCCTTTTCAGTTTTACTAGGGGCATGGGAGTGGAGGGCACAAAAGTTTAACTTAATGTTAAAGCCAAGGTCAAGACACAGGAATCTAAATGCTACATTTTTCATTCCTATTATCTTGAAAGTTTGGTCATTTATGCATATAGATAGTATATACCTGGATGACAGGAGGAGGTTCACTTTTTCTGGAGGGTTCAAAAACTGATACTCTAAAAGTAAATCAACCATATTATAAAATAGTTATAAAATAGTATTTTTCTGGCCATCTAAAATGTTGATTTTCTGCATGTCAATATGTGTAGATGCGTGTGTGTGAGTATGCATATATGTAACTGTTTCCATAAATTGGGATAAAGTTAGATAAAGTTAGTGATTTTTGCCATATTTTGTCCTGTGGCAAAACTCTTTATTTGACTCTACAATCAAAGTGAAAATGGCTGCAGAATCATCCGTTCAAGTCTATTGCTTTGGGAAATCATATGTAAGCAATCATGGGCATCTTCAAATCAAACTTACTAATGTTCCCTTTGGAAACATTATTTTGTGATTTTTAACAGCATTTTTATCCATTTGTCATTTCTTTATGGAATAAAATGATCATGAAAAGGAATATTATCAATTTGTGATGCTGATTGCTTTCCATTCCAGCTGATTAAAGCCAGCTGGGAAACAGTACCCCAATGCTGTTTATAAGAATCATGTCTGGCATATGCAAAGTGCATAAAAATCCTTAGCAATTTGTTAAATAATGTGTCAGATGATAGCTATAGATTTGTAATATTTTAGAAAGGTCTATCTTTAATTCATGAACTTTTCAATTACCTTAAAAACTTATGCCAGGAGGGCAAAGCTGTCTGACTCACTTAGAATTATTGTAAACCCTGTTTTCAGTTACAGTTTAAACGTAGGCTATTGCTATTGCTTGCTGTGTTCAACATTTTGAGACCATTTTTCTTTGACTCTTGAATACCTAGGTAGTTACTTGTGATAGTTATTTCAAACTCTATTCTCTCTCATTTTTTAAATGAGCCCATAATTTTTCAAAATTTTGCTCAATGATCAGTCCGTGACAATGATAATATGCTAAAGTCATAACAACATGAGAACTAACAGAGATTAAGAGGGAAAAAATGTTGTTTAAAGGTATCTATCTTGCCTCCTAAATCCCAGATAAAGCATCAGGTGTGACAATTGTTAATCGTAATTTGCTAGACTAAGTTTCTCATATTTCTATTATGGAACACACAGTTTGGGGCCAGAGACAGTGATATTGCTATCAAGTATCACTTTAAAAAGTCTCTTATGTATTAGATATTTCTCATTAACTTATTTTATAAATGTACTATTCATTAACCTGTTATGTACCAATGTATTAGGGATGGAATACAGCAGAAGATACATGCTTCCTTATGGATCTTTTAACCTAATAGTGAAGTTGTATGTTAAATATTTATTAAAATAGTCAAGTCATGTTCTGATAAGCATTACAAAGGAAAAGTTCAGAGTACAATAAATAAGTCTAATAAAGCTAAGGAATCCTTGAAATTTTTTCTGGAGGAAATATATTAATAATTGAGCCAAGACTGGATGAAGGGAATTAGATTGGTCAGGAAGAGGAGAAAGAGTATTTCCAGTAAAAGTAATGCTATGTGTAAATCCGTGTGTAAGGAAGATGTTAAGTGCAATGGAATAATCGAAATAGAACCGTTGTGGTTAAACTAAATCTAGCAGTGGAGAAAGTCAGAGAGTGGCACCCGGTAAAGTCATATCAGTGAGGAGAGGAGGGGGATCATGGAGGAGTTTATAAGCCACATTCATGTATCTAGACGTTATGATAAAAGCAATAGAACCATTGCAGAGCATGAAGTTGGAGAGCGACATGATTAGATTTATGTCTGAAAGAGATCACTCTGCAAGCAATGTGGAGAATGAGGTGGGGAGGGTTGGGGAGAAGACTGGATTAAGAGAGACCAGGCAGCAGGCAATTTTGATAAACCGGAGGAGACAGGATCGTAGCTTTGATTATCAGTGTGCTAGTGGAGATGGGAAGAAGAGGATGCACTGAAGAGATGTTGGAAAAGTAGAATGCCAAAGACTAATTGGATATAGGAGTAAAAGGAAAGACGAAACCAGGACAACACCCAGGTTTCTGGTTGAGCACAGCATTGATGGTGATGCCACTTACTGAGTTAGTTGTGAGAGTAGAGCAGGACACTGGAAAGATCATCAGTTGAACTCTGGATATGTCAAGTTTGAAGAGCCTGACAAAATAGCCTAGTGGAGATCTCTGGTAGACAACTGGAGCTAAGTGGAAAAGTCAGGCTTCAGATCAAGCCTGGTAATCATTCACATCACCATTGATAATTGAATCCTTGGGATTGGATGAGATCTGCTAGTCTCATAGAGAGGGACAATGTCTAGTGAGAAGAAGGCTTAAGATCATTCCCTGAAGAACTTCAACATTTAAATGACAAGTGTCAGAACATGGTATGAGTCTTAGATGCTATTTAATAATATAAGCTTAATATAGAATATTAAGATAAGCTTAACATAGAAGATATGCAAGATAAGCTTAACATAGAGTATTAAAAGTAATACGTTTAATATATTTTTGTCATCACCGAGGATGTCCTATATGTTCAGCAGGACACAATATTTCACAAATGCAATTTTTGTGACTTTAGGCAAGTCATGGTTTCTAAAGCATCAGTTTATTTGCTGTTAAAATCAGTCTACCCAATGGTCCATGCATGCATAGGCAGAGTAGGTTATCACTAGAGCAGACATTTCCACTAGGGATCATTTCCAACTAAATAGAAAATAGAGGTCTGATAAAATGAAGCAATCGATGAGTGACCCTTGATAGAGTTTAGGAAGTAGATAAAATGTAGAACAGTACGAGCAAATTTTCATGTAATTATAAAGGAAGGATGAAGCCTGGGTGGCTTTCAACATGAGGCACTGATCACATAAGAGGTAGAGGGAAAGCTTAGATGTAGCTAAGACAACCAGGGGATGAAAGGCTTGGAGATCAATTTTGCCAACTACATGTTTTATTTAAGGATGGCCTTTTAATAATATTAATATTAGTAGTTTTCTTTTAGTCCTCCCTAAGCCCACAATGCACTAAATCAAGCTTGTTCAATCCATAGCTTGGGCCACGTGCAGCCCAAGACAGCTTTGAATGTGGCCTAGCAAAAATTCATAGATTTTCTTGAAACATCTTGAGTTTTTTTGCAATTTTTTTTAGCTTATCAGCTATCATTAGTGTTAGTGTATTTTATGTGTGGCTGAAGATAATTCTTCTTCTTTCAGTGTGGTCCAGGGAAGCCAAAAGATTGGACACCTCTGTGCTAAATAGTTGCATTATTTATTCTATTCCCAAAGCAACTCTTTACCTAAAAATAAAAAAGAGAAGGGGGCAGGGGTGAGGGGAGAAGGAGGAGGAGGAGGAGGAGGGAAAAAGAGAGGAGATAAAAAAATTTTCATGTAATTATAAATGAAGGATGAAGTCTTTTCAGGGCAAGAAAAATCGAGATCCTATTCTCCCTCACTTTTGGCATCTGCCTGCAGGATTCTGATGGAGGTTAATGGGCAAATGTTTGAGATGGAATGAACCATGATTGCCTCTGAAAGTCCACATGCCAAGTTGTGTCTCCTTTCAAGGAGGGACAAAAACTTGTTCATTTCCCTGCTCAAAAGCAACTTGGTCATTTCAGTCTCTGTTGGGCCATCAGAGAAGTTGGCTCGTGGGTTAAGCCACTTAGTCCTCCTGGCCTTATAGACTCTTTAATCAGTTTTGTTTCTAAAGTCATCACCCCATGGTTTATGGGGTTTACCTGGAGTGGGTGGCTACAGGATTCAAATTTTCTGCCATGACTTCGGCCCTCTTCTGAGTTAAATGTCCAACTGTGGTTCCTGATATGTAAATTGCTGAGTACCATATTGTATGTCCCTGACACCGCCCTCTAATTATGGACCACGTGTCAGTGCTCCAGTTAAAGGTAACTGATGTAGTGCTTCCCAAATTATAGTTAATGTTAAACTCTTCGTGAAAATGTTTAAGAAGGGTTAAAGGGAGAAAAATGTATTGAGAAAAAATAAACTTCTATCTTTAAAATAAATTCCTCTTTTTAAAGCAGAATTTTTATTTTTCAATTTTAGAGCCATACATATATTATATATATTATATAATGCATTTCTAACAGACAGATTTGGTACATATTTTCTCTAGCTTTTTTAATGGTAGAATGAGCCTTGCTTAAAATCTCCTAGAATTGGAGTTTCCTGGAAGATAGTAGAAATGTAGAGTTAGCCATAAAGGAGACTACACAACTCTTAATTGGCCGAGTTCTGGAATTCTGACAATTGAGATGTTTTGTATTAGGCAGTGACTAATTGATTCAGTCAGATTTTCATTTTTCAAAAGACAGGGAGGCAGTGTTAGAAAAAATGTCAGCAGTAAGTGGAGATGTTGACAGTAAAAGCAGAGTCAGAAAGAAATTGGGTAATGAGTATGGTGGAATTGCCAACTTAGGGAGAAATAGATAACCTCATCTGAAAGTTTAGCAAGATGTGTCAGTTACCAGTTATTAGCTCATTCCTGGTGCCATTAGATTCTGAATGATTGTTAACCCTTGAGTCAGCTATCCACGAGGCCAAGTTGTAGAGCTATGGGCAGTGGTCTGCGCATCCTAGCTTCCCCGTGTATCCTTCACTGACCTAACCAATCCTGTTTCTTTTTCCTTGCAACCTAAGGTGTCTCTAAAGCAGGAGTGGACTCTATGATATCCTGGACATGGCATGGATTTCCCTAAAATAACAAAGAATGAGAAAAGAATGAGAGATCATTCTTCCAGATCTTCTAAAGCTCACTGTAGAATTAGGTTGTTTGTGTTCATGCTTGGCATTCTTTTAAGTGTTTTGCAGTGAGAATTCACTTCAATTTATTCTTTTCAATTTTCTAGACAAGATCTTATGGATAAATACATACAAATCAAAGAATCTTATACCTATTCTGCCAAGTATAATAGAAGCTTCAACCACACAAAAGCTTTCTTTCTTACCTTTCAGAATGTCATGCCATCCCTATTTTACATACTTCAGGAGATTCCACATGTGATTGAAAATGAGGTAGAGTAGGCTTTGGAAGAATTGGGAAGCTGTAGTTACAGAAAGAAAAGAACACATTTAAGTCAATCTTTGTGCCAGTTTTCATTAGAAAAGCCAATCTTAAAACCATCTGGCCCACTTTTCTAGTCTCCCAGCTGAGTCTGATGTCTGATCCTTCTCTGTCCCAGACTAATCCTGTTTGTAACTACATGGCTGGCTCTGCAGACAGAGCTGGTATTTCCCTCCCCTCTGCTTGAAATGATAACTATGTATATAACTCCACTAAAATACCTTACGACATTGTTATTGTAGTTATGTGTTCATATATTTGTCTTTCCCGTGAACTTATTAGCTTCTTAAGGGCTACAGTAGTATCTTATTTGCCTTTGTATCCCCACAGCCTCCTAGATCTTCGATGTTGAATGCACAGATATGATTAATGCAGTCAGAAAAAAAACCTCTTTACTCCAGAAATCTTAATTCTGGCAAATGTGTAATGCGCAATGTTTTACCTTTTAAAACTCTATTTTTAAGAGGAAAGAAAACTTATGAAATTTCCTATAGGTATACTGTCGGAAAGAGCAATAATTTATAATCGTATTCATAGTTTGACCAATTGAATGTATTTTTCTTTAATAATCATCTATTAAAATCATTCCCTAAGCAACATTAAAATAGAATAATATTGTATTTAGTGTCTTTCTTTTATAGATGTCCAAGTATTTTATTTTATAATTTTTAGTATAATGTACATCTAGCAAGTAAGAAATAGCCTTAAGTTAACAGTTTTGAATATAAGTTCTATAGTCATTTTTGACTGAGTCATTGAGCAGTTGCATTTATGGTTATGTATTATGAAATCTATAGTAATCTTGCATTTTTTGTATTATGAAATTTAGAATCAAGGTACTACTTTTGTCCGAAAAACAGCCCATAAACTCAGTCCTATTTCCATTGAAGTTTGGATTTCAGTTCCCTCTGGGTATCTGAGCAGCTGTTTTTTTTTTTCTAAGTCTTGATCATCTAATCAAAAGGGAATATTCTGAATGCATTTTCATTTTATCTAAAATTAACAGTGAAGCTTCAAGCAGATGTTATGAAAGATTGGAAATAACTGTTAAATAAAAAGAATAGCAAGGGACTGCTGCAGTCTAGCATAGAAATGGCAAAGTAAACAGCCAAATCAAAACAAAATGTAGTAAGCATCCACCATGAGTATCTTTAATAGCTTTATTTGAAATGATTTGGGGTTTTGACAGTTTAAGAAAGAAGTAATCATGAATGAATATCAGATCTCAAATATTTATGCTTTTTTAAGAACAGCCACAAACTTTGAGACATTTTAAGAGCTTCATAGTCTTGGGTTGAGTTTTATTTTTGCTGGAGCAAGAGTAATGAAAATAAACCAGTTGTCACCAACTCTAACCCTGAAATGTGAATGGCCATTTAAATACTGCAAAGCCAGAAAAGTAAAATGGCCCATTGAAACTTGTGTTACAAAATAAGTGATATCATATGGCTGACATTTATTTTTACAGGAAATAAATGAGATAGAAACTATCTATGAATGAAACTAAAATGTTTCATAAACACAAAGTTTTTCTTTTGTAAAGATACGTCGTAACACCTATCTATTCTTCTAAAAGTTACTCAATACAAGATAAAAAGTATAAAGAAATATAAATTCACTGTGTAGAAAAATAAACTTATATTTGTTCAGACCTGAGAGGGGACCAGAGTATCATTAAGATTAAAACACAGGAGTATGCAATTCCCAATTCAAGAGTGCTTTTAAAATCAGCATGAACTTCCCAAAGAGTTGCAAATATAGTCACACCATTTACTTTTCTAATGAATCAATCTCCAAGGAAGGCAAACTGCTTAGCTTTGAGTCCTAGCTCAGCTGTGTAACAGCTATTTGGAATTGGAAAGTTAATTAACCTTTCTTTGCCCCTTTTTCCTTCTCTGTAAAGTGGGAATGGTCACAGAAGCCAACTGTAGAGTGTGTAGAATTGTATTGACACATAGTGAGCGCTCTGTAAAGCTAGGCTAACGCTATGCTTCTTTGCCCATCTGCCTTAAGGGATATGCTTCTTTGCCCATCTGAGAGTGTTAGGCATGGTAGTGTGTCATGGACATCCAGTCATGGAGAGAGTAGGCATCTGTGAGATCTACTACAGCTGTGGCTTCTCACTGACACAGGGAGCTGCTGTTGAAGGCTGCTCTGCTGTGGCAGTCCTGTATCATTCACTGGCATCAACTATCACTAAGACATGAAGGCTCTTTGTGTGAACCACAACTGCTAATGTGGATTTTGGTCAAGGGTGCATCACGGTGGGCTAACAAATTTGCATATCTTTATGCTTACTACTTTTATTTCTTATATGTATCCACGTACCAGGGCTATACCTATGCCCGCTCAGGGCTACTTTCATGATCCACCAACTCACGGGCTAGAACTTCTGTCCCCTCCCCTTCTTTCTTTAGGAATCCACCTTAAAAATTAGATCTCTTTTCCTCTCAAATTCTCAAACACCAAGCATCAGATAACATCCTTTTTGGAGCCTAATTGACAAAGTTGCTCTACCATGCTTCTGAAGGAAAGCTGTCTTTAAGTCCAAAAGATGTCTGTGTTAGATTATTATTTTAATAGGTCCTAATGAGTCTCATATTCCAGTATTTATGCCGTTGATGTAGTCCCCTCCAACACTGATTCTGTACTTGCCATGACTTGCTTTGGCTAATAGGACGTTGGTAATCATGACACAAGCCTAGATGTGGTGAAGTCTTGCCCACTGGAGCTTGCACTCTTGGGAGGCTGACCCCACCTTATGAGGGGCTGTCTCGACTCCTCCAGTGTGCAAAACCACATGGAAGAGACGCCAGCTTCTCCAGTGACAGCTCAGTTCAGCTTCCAGTTGACTCTTGAACTGAATACACCTTTTAGGTAAGCCCAGGCAAAACCCAAGGAATTGCCAAGTTAATCCACACTTACTTTAAGCCTTTGTTTTGGGGTAGTTTGTATGTAGCAGTGGATCAGTAATACAGTGTCAATACCTACTTTTTCAAGCTGCTACTTTCAACTATCTCTTTTCCAAGACACACACACACATACACACACACACACACACAGACACACACACACACACACACACACACACACACACACACTTTAACCTCCTTGGTAGCAGACATTGTTATGCTTGGCTTGGAAATGTATTATGTGATCATAGGAAGTATATTTTCTATTTATATTTGTTGAAACATATTAATGACATTATACGTGTATGATTCACTACATCAAAGATTTAGTAAATACCCAGGAAAAGATTTTGGTGGGTACCAAGGAAAGTCACTTTTAAGGAAAATAAATTTTAAACGAATTAAATTGATACTTACAATTAAACATCTTCAAATGTATCTATGCTTCAAAGATATATTTCCCTATTCGAAACAGCTAAGCATACTCCAGTGACTACATAGTGTGAAATATGGGGGTCTTAGGTTTATATCTTAACATCTCCATTTGTTGTTTTTTAATTTGGGGAAAAATAATATGTTTTTCTGAGCTTTAGAGTTTTTTTGTTTGTTTGTTTGTTTACAAACTGAGATTATATATCTTATTTATAGGATTGTTATAAGTATTAGAAAATTATTCCATAAGGTATGCAGCAAAATGTTGGACCCCCGATGCCTTAGTAATTGTTCCATATGTTTAGTGTTCTTTCTTCTTGCCATCACCAATTTTCCAGTTGTGAGGCAATCTGGACATACGTTAAGTAAAAGCACTGGAAAGAATTGGTGTTTGAAAAATAAATTTGGAGAAAATGGATAGCCTAACTTGTCTCTCTCTTTTGAGGACAATGCATGACCAGTTCTCCTACCCACCACTCTCTACTCTTCCACTCCCAAATGTTGAGACATTGATTAACAGTGCTATAGGAGGAGGCAGTAGTGATGATGAAATTACAATAGCCCATGTGATTGTAACCATGAGGAAGAGCAGCAATGATCCTTTGTTCTGCAGCTGACTCATTCATACATTTTAGATCATTTTAAGTGAAGAGTGAGGCTTTGCTCTGTATTTCCAATAGTCCCCTTCTGTGTTTGCATTTTAATATTACCACTTGTTCACATTTCAGAGCAAAACATTTCTCCATTTAATTTCTCCTACCTTGCCTAACACTTTCCCTTTTTTATGGTGATTTTCTTTTCTCTTTTCTTTCCTTTCCTTGCTGAAGTGAACAGCTTTGCCCTCAGGCACCAAACTTGACATGCTGCCTCTTTCAAATATTAGAAAACAAATAAGATGAGCTTCTTTTGCAGGGTGGAAGACTAGTCAGTTTTGTTTGCTTGTTTGGTTTTGTCTACAAACCATTCTAAGATTCCCACTCAAATTTCCTCCCTGAAAAGACACATTTTTTAAATTGCTAGCCAAGGTTCTAATGAGAATCTTATTTCCTCTTTCTCTTGTTTTATAAATTGATTCAAAATATAACTGACCTTACAGTCTCATGTAACAGCATCCGTAAGAGCATTTTTGGTCATGATTATGGACTGATTTAATTTGCAGACTGGATGAGTTCGATGTGGTAGATTATTTAGATGTGAACTTATTACACCTACTCAGAGGACCGAAAAAAATTTTTTAAAGGTGGATGTTTACATGCCAAATAAATTTAACAAAATATCTTAAAAATACCACCCCTCTTATTGTTTTATGAAGGATAGCATCAAAGAAAGTGAAGGGAACTTATTCTGGATAAATTCTCAGATAAGCAATCCTACTGGCAATTTCCATGATTTCCTGCAGTCTATTTTTAGAGGTTCCAGAGAAGCCAGTTGCAGATTGATGAGGAGCCACTTGCAGTCTCTTGAGGTCAGATGCCATATCTTATACTTCAGATCCCCTTCAGTGCCAAACACAGTATCTCACATTTAGAAGGCGCTTAGTGAATTCTTATTCAATGGCTATTTCACCATGGCTTTAGTAGCTCTACTTTTCCAATTATCACAACCTGGGTTTGGATGTTCACAAATAGTGTATATTAGCACCTTTGCTTGTGAATGTTTGTGTTTGTAGGCTCCCTGAGTGCCTGCAGCTTTGTTAAAAGAAGGCTTTTACTTATGGGCATTCATCAGAGATCAAAAACACATATTCCTCAACTGAAAATAAAATAAATTCCACAGATACGCTTTATCTGTAGATGTCAAATCTCTTAATATAGCCCACAAGGCCTTCTACAATTTCATGTGTGCTTACATGTCTTCTTTCCCACATGAACCTTTGGCTTTTAGTCCAAGGAAGGCTAATTGGCTGTGACATATCTTCTCCATAGAATATTTTCCTTCCCCTTATTGTCAAGTAAAATTGTATCCAACCTTCAGGGTCCTGGAAAGGAGCTACTTCTAGGAGCATCTCAGTCCAGGAGCGAGGGCAAGCCACACATGGAGAGTGGGCCAGGACTTTGATGAATTGCATTTGAAAAATAGACCTGGTGGGGCTTAGAGCCAAGACACAGAAAGACCAGCTTTATCTTAAAATAGTGTGAGAGTTAAACTAGGCACAAAAGAGTCAAAACGTCAAGACATCAGAGTAGAGGAAGAGGAGATGAAACCTTGGGGGGTGCTAGTGAAGTCCAACTGTAGTGCTACCAAGGAAAACTACCAAGAGGGGTATGGGGTGGTTTCGGGGTAGGTAAGCGCTTACTGAAGAAGGGTGGTAGAATAGAGATGACGGGATGCTACAGACAGGTCCCTGGCTTTTTATCTGGTCTGGATTTAACCCTGACCCACATTTTAAAACAGAATGATAGGCTACTGTAACCTTGGACACTTGCTAGAACATTTGGTCACCTCCTGGGTACCGTGAACTTCTAGGATAACACATCACCCACCAGATGCTCTTTTTAGATGTGTGTATGTGATACCTCTTTTGTTCTCTTTTAAGATTCTGTCTATATCATGGGATTTCTGCTATACTTATCTTGCTGTTCTTCCCACAGTCCGCCAACCCCACATTCACAAACACATACAGGCTCACAAGACAGTTGGTATTCAAAATATTTGTATTGAATTAATAAGCAAATCAATGAATAAGTACATCACTTGTAATACAGAAATCTTAATGTGAAATCCAATCATAGGAATAAAAGTCAGCCTAAAACAAATCTAGCAGGGCCATATTAAATGGGCAACTGCTATTTGTTTCAAGCTTAGATAATCAATACTAAAAATTAACTTGTCAAACAGGTCATGTAGAAGTTTATGAACTTTTTTAATGAATGTAACAGGGTCCTCGGAAACCGTGGCTCATAACTTGTGAAATATAGATCAAGTGGCTACAGATAACTCAAGTTATTAGCCAGACACAATTGAGGAAGAGGTTTAGAATTTTAAGCTTTGAGGTCCATTCCAAGATGGCCGAATAGGAACAGCTCGGGTCTGCAGCTCTCAGTGTGATCGACGCAGAAGACCGGGGATTTCTGCATTTCCAACTGAGGTACCTGGTTCATCTCATTGGGACTGGTCAGACAGGGTGCACCCTACGGAGGGTGAGCTGAAGCAGAGTGGGGCACTTCTTCCCCTGGGAAGCAGGAGGGGTTGGGGGATTTCCCTTTCCTAGCCAAGGGAAGCCATGACAGACTGTACCAGGAAAATCGGGACACTGCCACCTAAATACTGCACTATTCCAAAGGGCTTAGCAAACAGCACACCAGGAGATTATATCCCTTGCCTGGCTCAGTGGGTGCCAAACCCACAGAGCCTTGCTCACTGCTAGTCCAAGATTGAACTGCTGGGCGGCAAGCCTGGCTAGGGGAGGGGCGTCTGCCATTGCTGAGGCTTGAGTACATAAACAAAGTGGCCTGGAATCTCGAACTGGGTGGAACCAACTGCAGCTCAACCAGGCCTGCCTGCCTCTGTACACCCCACCTCTGGGGGCAGGGCATAGCTGAACAAAAGGCAGCAGAAACTTCTGCAGACTTAAACATCCTTGTCTGACAGCTCTGAAGAGAGCAGTGGGTCTCCCAGCATGTTTGAGCTCTGAGAATGGACAGACTGCCTCCTCAAGTGGGTCCCTGAGCCCTGTGTAGCTTAACTTGGAGACATCTCCCACTAGGGGCCGACTGATACCTCATACAGCTGGGTGCCCCTCTAAGATGAAGTTTCCAGAGGAAGGATCAAGCAGCAATATATGCTGTTCTGCAATATTTGCTATTCTGCAGACTCTGCTAGTGATACCCAGGCACACAGGGTCAGGAGTGGACCTCCAGCAAACTCCAACAGACCTGTAGCTGAGGGACCTGACTGTTAGAAGGAAAACCAACAAACAGAAAGGAATAGCATCCACATCAAAAAAAAGGACATCCACACCAAAACCCCATCTGTACGTCACCATCATCAAAGACCAAAGGTAGATAAAACCACAAAGATGGCGAGGAACCAGAGCAGAAAAGCTGAAAGTTCTAAAAACCAGAGCGCCCCTTCTCCTCCAAAGGAGTGCAGCTCCTCACCAGCAATGGAACAAAGCTAGATGAAGAATGACTTTGATGAGTTGACAGAAGTAGGCTTCAGAAAGTCGGTAATGATAAACTTCTCTGAGCTAAAGGAGGATGTTCAAACCCATCAAAAGGAAGCTAAAAACCTTGAAAAAAGATTAGACGAATGGCTAACTAGAATAAACAGTGTAGAGAAGACGTTAAATGACCTTATGGAGCTGAAAACCGTGGCACGAGAACTACATGATGCATGCACAAGCTTCAGTAGCTGATTTGATCAAGTGGAAGGAAGGGTATAAGTGATTGAAGATCAAATGAATGAAATGAAGCGCGAAGAGAAGTTTAAAGTAAAAACAGTAAAAATAAATGAACAAACTCTCCAAGAAATATGAGACTACGTGAAAAGACCAAATCTACGTTTGATTGGTGTACCTGAAAGTGACGGGGAGAATGGAACCAAGTTGGAAAACACTCTTCAGGATATTATCCAGGAGAACTTCCCCAACCTAGCAAGGCAGGCCAACATTCAAATTCAGGAAATACAGAGAACACCACAAAGATACTCCTCGAGAAGAGCAACCCCAAAACACATAATTATCAGATTCACCAAGGTTGAAATGAAGGAAAAAATGTTAAGGGCAGCCAGAGACAAAGGTCAGGTTACCCACAAAGGGAAGCCCATCAGACTAACAGGGGATCTCTCGGTAGAAACTCTACAAGCCAGAAGAGAGTGGGGGCCAATATTCAACATTCTTAAAGAAAAGAATTTTCAACCCAGAATTTCATATCCAGCCAAACTAAGCTTCCTAAGTGAAGGAGAAATAAAATCCTTTACAGACAAGCAAATGCTGAGAGATTTTGTCACCACCAGGCCTGCCTTACGAGAACTCCTGAAGGAAGCACTAAACGTGGAAAGTAACAACCAGTACCAGCCACTGCAAAAACATGCCAAATTGTAAAGACCATCGATGCTACAAAGAAACTGCATCAACTAATGAGCAAAATAACCAGCTAACATCATAATGATGGGATCAAATTCACACATAACAATATTAACCTTAAATGTGAATGGGCTAAATGCCCCAGTTAAAAGACACAGACTGGCAAATTGGATAAAGAGTCAAGACCCATCAGTGCGTTGTATTCAGGAGACCCATCTCACATGCAGAGACACACATAGGCTCAAAATAAGGGGATGGAGGAAGATCTGCCAAGCAAATGGAAAGCAAAAAAAAAGCAGGGGTTGCAATCCTCGTCTCTGACAAAAACAGTCTTTAAACCAACAAAGATCAAAAGAGACAAAGAAGGCCATTACATAATGGTAAAGGGATCAATTCAACAAGATGAGCTAACTATCCTAAATATATATGCACCCAATACAGGAGCACCCAGATTCATAAAGCAAGTCCTTAGAGACCTACAAAGAGACTTATACTCCCACACAATAATAATGGGAGACTTTAACACCCCACTGTCAATAGTAGACAGATCAATGAGACAGAAGAGTAACAAGGATATGCAGGACTTGAACTCAGCTCTGCACCAAGCAGACCTAATAGACATCTACAGAACTCTCCACCTCAAATCAACAGAATACACATTCTTCTCAGCACCACATCTCACTTATTCCAAAATTGACCACATAGTTGGGAGTAAAGCACTCCTCAGCAAATGTGAAAGAACAGAAATCACAACAAACTGTCTCTCAGACCACAGTGCAATCAAATTAGAACTCAGGATTAAGAAACTCACTCAAAACTGCACAAATATATGGAAACTGAACAACCTGCTCCTGAATGACTACTGGGTAAATAACGAAATGAAGGCAGAAATAAAGATGTTCTTTGAAACCAATGAGAACAAAGACATAATGTAGCAGAATTTCTAGGACACAATTAAAGCAGTGTGTAGAGGGAAATTTAAAGCACTAAATGCCCACAAGAGAAAGCAGGAAAGATCTAAAATCGACACCCTAACATCACAATAAAAAGAACTAGAGAAGCAAGAGCAAACAAATTCAAAAGCTAGCAGAAGGCAAGAAATAACTAAGATCAGAGCAGAACAGAAGGAGACAGAGACACAAAAAACCCTTCAAAAAAATCAATGAATCCAGGAGCTGGTTTTTTGAAAAGATCAACAAAATTGATAGACTGCTAGCAAGACTAATAAAGAAGAAAAGAGAGAAGAATCAAATAGATGCAATAAAAAATGATAAAGGGGATATCACCACCGATCCCACAGAAATACAAACTACCATCAGAGAATACTATAAACAGCTCTACGCAAATAAACTAGAAAATCTAGAAGAAATGGATAAATTCCTCAACACATACACCCTCCCAAGGCTAAACCAGGAAGAAGTTGAATCAGTGAATAGACCAATAACAGGCTCTGAAATTGAGGCAATAACCAATAGCATACCAACCAAAAAGAGTCCAAGACCAGACAGATTCAGAGCCGAATTCTAGTGGAGGTATGAAGAAAGGAGCTGGTACCATTCTTTCTGAAACTATTCCAATCAATAGAAAAAGGGGGAATCCCCCCTAACTCATTTTATGAGGCCAACATCATCCTGATACCAAAGCCTGGCAGAGACACAACAAAAAAAAGAGAATTTTAGACCAATATCCCTGATGAACTTTGATGTGAAAATCCTCAATAAAATACTGGGAAACTGAATCCAGCAGCGCATCAAAAAGCTTATCCACCAATATCAATTTGGCTTCATCCCTGGAATGCAAGGCTGGTTCAACATACGCAAATCAATAAACATAATCCAGCATATAAACAGAACCAAAGACAAAAGCCACATGATTATCTCAAAAGATGCAGCAAAGGCCTTTGACAAAATTCATGCTAAAGCCTTCATGCTAAAAATTCTCAATAAACTAGGTATTGATGGGACATATCTCAAAATAATAAGAGCTATTTATGACAGACAAACAGCCAATATCATACTGAATGGGCAAAAACTGGAAGCATTCCCTTTGAAAACTGGCACAAGACATGGATGCCATCTCTCACCACTCCTGTTCAACATAGTGTTGGAAGTTCTGGCCAGGGCAATCAGGCAAGAGAAAGAAATAAAGGGGATTCAATTAGGAAAAGAGCAAGTCAAATTGTCCCTTTTTGCAGATGACATGATTGTATATTTAGAAAACCCCATCATCTCAGCCAAAATCTCCTTAAGCTGATAAGCAAGTTCAGCAAAGTCTCAGGATATAAAATCAATGTGCCAAAATCACAAGCATTCCTATACAGCAATGACAAACAGAGAGCCAAATCATGAGTAATCTCCCATTCACAACTGCTAGAAAGAGAATAAAATCCCTAGGAATTCAACTTACAAGGGAGGTGAAAGACCTCTTCAAGGAGAACTACAAACCACTGCTCAATAAAATAAAAGAGGACACAAACAAATGAAAAAACATTCCATGCTCATGGATAGGAAGAATCAATATCGTGAAAATGGCCATACTGCCCAAGGTAATTTATAGATTCAATGCCATCCCCATCAAGCTGCCAATGACTTTCTTCACAAAATTGGAAAAAACTACTTTAAAGTTCACATGGAACCAAAAAACAGCCCACATTGCCAAGACAATCCTAAGCCAAAAGAATAAAGCTGGAGGCATCACACTACCTGACTTCAAACTATACTACAATGCTACAGCACCCCAAACAGCATGGTGCTGGTACCAGAACAGAGATATAGACCAGTGGAACAGAACAGAGGCCTCAGAAATAACACCACACACCTACAGCCATATGATCTTTGACAAACATGACAAAAACAAGAAATGAGGAAAGGATTCCCTATTCAATAAACGGTGCTGGGAAAACTGGCTAGCCATATGAAGAAAGCTGAAACTGGATCTCTTCCTTACACCTTATACAAAAATTAATTCAAGATGGATTAAAGACTTACCTGTTAGATCTAAAACCATTAAAACCCTAGAAGAAAACCTAGGCAATGCCATTTAGGACATAGGCATGGGCAAGGACTTCATGACCAAAACACCAAAAGCAATGGCAACAAAAGCCAAAATTGACAAATGGGATCTAAGTAAACTAAAGAGCTTCTGCACAGCAAAAGAAACTACCATCAGAGTGAACAGGCAACCTACAGAATGGGAGAAAATTTTCACAATCTACCCATCTGACAAAGGGCTAATATCCAGAATCTACAAAGAACTTAAACAAATTTACAAGAAAAAATCAAACAACCCATCAAAAAGTGGGCAAGGTATATGAACAGACACTTTTCAAAAGAAGACATTTATGCAGCCAACAGACACATGGAAAAATGCTCATCATCACTGGTCATCAGAGAAATGCAAATCAAAACCACAATGAGATACCATCTCACACCAGTTAGAATGGCAATCATTAAAAAGTCAGGAAACAACAGATGCTGGAGAGGATGTGGAGAAATAGGAACACTTTTACACTGTTGGTGGGACTGTAAACTAGTTCAACCATTGTGGAAGTCAGTGTGGCGATCCCTCAGGGATGTAGAACTGGAAATACCATTTGACCCAGCCATCCCATTACTGGGTATATACCCAAAGGATTATAAATCATGCTACTATAAAGACACATGGACATGTATGTTTATTGTGGCACCATTCACAATAGCAAAGACTTGGAACCAACCCAAATGTCCATCAGTGGTAGACTGGATTAAGAAAATGTGGCAAATATACACCATGGAATACTATGCAGCCATAAAAAAGGACAAATTCTTGTCCTTTGTAGGGACATGGATGAAGCTGGAAACCATCATTCTGAGCAAACTATCGCAAGGACAGAAACCCAAACACCACATGTTCTCACTCATAGGTGGGAATTGAACAATGAGAATACTTGGACACAGGGTGGGGAACATCACACACTGGAGCCTGTCATGGGGTGGGGGGATGAGGATGGGATAGCATTGGGAGAAATACCTAATGTAAATAATGAGTTAATGGCTGCAGCAAACCAACATGGCTTATGTATACATATGTAACAAACCTGCAAGTTGTATGCATGTACCCTAGAACTTAAAGTATAATAATAAAAAAAAAAAGAATTTTAAGCCTCAGTTTTCTCTCCTCTGAAATGGAGGTAATGCCTTGCTTTACATGTGTATTCAGACTTTTGGGAAGGATCAAATAAGAGAATATCTGTGGACAAAATATTTTTTATTACAGTTGATATCACAAATGGTTTCTCCTTCCATCCCCTTCTATGTGTTACATCTACTTCTGCTATTTTTTCTCTTCAAAAGATGCTATTGACATACAATCGTAAAAAAAAAAATAGAAGAAAAACTAGTCCACTGATATTCCTTCCTTGCAAATCTTGCAAAGATCTAAGAAAGGCAAATAAAAGATAAACGTTTTTGATATTGTTATAAAAAATATTTTGAGAGGACTTATGTAATTAAAGTAAAATATAGACATTTTAGTAGATTCACTCTTGTAATATAGTACTAAAATATAGCATTTCTATAACTATGTTTTCTCTTTCTGTTATTTCCTTTGCTATAATCTTTATTATACTATTTCCCTTACAAAAACCCTTTAAATTATTTCTTTAGTCAACATTAACAGAAATACTTTTAAGGAATATAGTACAAGGATGTTTGTTTTCCGTATTTACTTCCAAAGTGATGATATTACATCTTCAAGGTTAATATGTACTCGTTTCAGACTTCATTCACCTGGGTAGATAAATAAAATTTAAAAATGAATGGTTGCTTTTTTTTTTGTTTTGGCTTGAAATCTTTCCCTGGCATCCATGATGCATCAAGTAGCTAAAATATTTGCTACTGTGTTATACCAATGCAGTAGCTAACTACCATATTCCTTAGGCAGGCTGTGCAGTAGAACACCGTACAGATTAGCAAGAGATCTGGATTCCAGACACATTTCTCATTTCAATTACTTGCCTTAGCATGGGCAAGTCACCCTAAATTTCTGAACCTTAGTTTCTTTGTATATAAAAGGAGAGAGAGGGCAGAAATCAGAGTCACAGGCATGAAGCAGGTTACACAGATAGGTTTTTAGGGTAGGAGTAATGCAATTGACAGTGATGGCACTTGTGTGAAATTACAGCTGTCACCCCTATGCAATATACGTTTTGGAAGTATTTTTAATTCTATGAACACAAAACAAAGCAAGTCTGCAGGCTAATTCAAAAGGTCACCAGTTTTTAACCCTTGGAATGAGTCATCTCTGAGTTCCCTTCCAGCTTTAAAATTCTGTAATCTTTCTAACCTATATTAGTCTGCTTCAGAGGGCATAACAAAACACCACAGACTGAGTGGCAAAAACAACAGAAATTTATTTTCTCACAGTTCTGGAGGCTGGAAGTCTGAGGTCAGTGTGCCAGCATGGTTGGGTTCTGGTGAAGAACCTCTTCCTGGCTTGCAGATGGACACCTTCTTGATATGTGGCCTTTCCTCAGTGTGTGCGTTCAGAAAGAGTGAGCATGAGAGAATAAGAGATCTTCATCATTTTATAAGGCTACCAATTCCATCATGACGTTCCCACCCTCATGACCTAATCTAACCTTATTTATCACCCAAAGGCCTCTTCTCCAAATACCGTCACTTGGGGTTTAGGGATACAACTAATGGATTTGGGGAGACACAGATATTCAGTCTATTACATAACCTATTCAGTCTGTCTTTCTGAAAATGTCAGAAAGCATGAGTTTTGTAGTTCAAGACTAAAGGACTCAGGGCCACTTTTCTTGATGGAGTTTGTTGAGAAAGAATAAAAGCCTTCCTGTATCTGAAGATTATGCAAAGAATGTGGGCCCACTTTGTTTTCTGTCCCTGTAATTGAAAGAAAAAGGAACTACCTTCAGAAATTAAAGAGGGATGGACTTTGGGTATATGAAAGAAAAATCATTGTAAATTAACCCAAATCTCTAGATTTACAAAAAAAAAATTTATAGAATTTTACTCTGAAATTTCCTATCAAAATGGTAATCTATATTTTTCTCCTTTTTCCTTTTCTCTCTTTTTTCACTTAAAAATTTTTTAAAAAGTGTTAATCATTATCTTAGGCATTTTTTTCAAGTCTTTTGGTTTCTCCTAGCCCTGTGAAAATTATATTATGAGTAAGGAGGGTAGTAGTTAAATTAATTCTGGCTTTCTCAGCTAGCTTACATTTAATTGTTTGTAAAGATCATGTATCAATGCAGTTTACTTCAACAGAAGCTCATCTTTTCAGTGATACTATATTCCAGTATCTGGGTAATTTTAGACATATTTTTATTATGCTAATTTAGAAAATCAGAATTGAAGATTATACAACCAAGAGAATTTTACTTGTTAAAAAACAGATGTGATCTAATTTCCACAATTTGGAAAATAACTTGAAAAGGAAACTAATTTACATCTCAACCTATGAGGTAAAAGACTGTGTTGAATTTTAGCCTTATCCTGATTCTTTAATTCTCAGTTGCCCCCTACTCATAAAATGTGTTCATTATGTTATTTGCATTTGCAATCATGACCACAAAGATTACCATCATCTAATTTTCAGAATTTTCAATCATATTTAAGGGAGATAGTTATAGAACTCTGCTTGGAATTTCTTGGACTTGGTCTCATTTACTTGGTTCAACTTTTCTAAGTAGTCAGAGTACTAGGAGAATTGAATGTTAGTAGTAACTAAAATGTGTTAAAGCAAAAAATAATTTTATCACTTTCACACCCAAGCCACTTACTTTTTTGAAGTTGTTTTGATTTGAATTTGCCATTGCCCCTTGCTGATTTGTTGTTTTTGTTGTTGTTGTTTGGAGGGGGGGCGGGGGGGACCATATATATATATATATATTTTTGACAACTTTAGACACTATTTGGCATTGCATCCCTTTTCCTCACAAGGTTACAGTTTTGGAAGGAAGCAGATGCCTCACAGTCGCTAATGAGTTTATCTTGGCTGAGAATAAAATGAGATTATTTTGGCTTGAGTTTGTTAATTGCTGTCAGCAGTCTTTCAAATTGATTTCTGGCATTATTTGCTTTAGCAGGCAGCAGCTCTGAGGAGTAGAGATGCCCTCAATGCCAGAATTCATGTCTACTGCTTTGAATTTGCACTGGACTGTTTCTTTGTGACTTATGAAATCAAAGGGATACAGAAATTAATGCTACTCTCCTAGAAATGGAGAAAGAAGAACATGGAAATTAAATCCAAGATTATATTTGGGGGTTGAGTGTGCTAAAAGAGGCTAAAGAGTTCCAGCTAAGGGAAGTGAACTAAGAGCTGCAAAGCAAACCATTGCCTTTGCCTTTCCACGCAACTCAGTAACGATTACTCTCTTTTGTAGGCCCTGGTGTTTCCAGCTAGCTCATCTCTCATTACAAGCAAATAACCATTGTATTTCATCCTCATCATTTTGACCTCTGCTATCAACAGAGTTTTCTCTGTGTCCTGTTCTAATTTCTCCTTCTGGAGGTTAAAAATAAATTACATTGCCCACCCTTCCCAACCAAGGACCCACTTAAGGTGTCAAAAGCCAAGGACTGGGTATCTTTCTTGTATTTTTACTTTGCAATGCTTAATAGAGCTTCTGGCACATAGTAAGCCATTAAAACATGAAATAAATGAATTTGAATAGCTGTCTCTGTTATTTTCACAAAATTGGAAGAAAAAATCTGCCACTTTTTGTTGTGTCATTTTTGTTGAGAAAGATAAATAATAGGTGGACTATCTGGAGGAAAGAAATACAAACGTATGCTCCTTTATATTTTATTGACAAAAGTAGGAAAATTGGACAGGCTTTGCCTATAAAGAACGCATATATGATATAGAATCCTGTATGTCATGTATTTGATCTGGTATGCTATTTCGTATACTTGTGAAAGTATTTTAAAGATGTTAGATTTAATCTGTTTTATTCACTCATTCATTCATTTTAATTTTGGTTTTTATTTTTATCAAATGTATACATGCCCATAATTTGAAAGATATTTCTATGATGTATGACTCCATTTGTTCTCCCCAGCATCAACTACTATCAATTATTTCAGCTGATTATGTTGTTGTTTTAAACTCAATCTCTAAAGAGTGTTTGTTTTGTGATATTTATATTTCAGATTTAACCATTATCTTTTGCTTCCCCACTCTGAATGATAAGGGTTTTGTTTTGTTTTAGACAGAGTCTCACTCTGTTGCCCAGTCTGGAATGCAGTGGCACAATCTCAGCTCACTGCAACCTCTGCCTCCTGGGTTCGGGTGATCCTCATGTCTCAGCCTCCCGAGTAACTGGGATTACAGGCATACACAACCATGCTTGGCTAATTTTTGCATTTTTAGTAGAAAGGGGGTTTCACTATGTTGGCCAGGCTGGTCTTGAACTCCTGACCTCAAGCGATCCACCTGCCTAGGCCTCCCAAAATGCTGGAATTACATGTGTGAGCCACCGTGCCCAGCCCTTAATAATAAGGATTTAAAACTCTTGTCTCATACTCCCCTCATTATGCATGTACACTTCCCATCTTCTCCAAAAGTTATATAATTTCATTAATTAATATATTCAGTGTTTATATTAGTATAGCTATATACACGTTTTTGAAAGGCTTACCATGGGTAAATAAACTATGATAATCTTTTTTTTTCATGCAGCATTTTACTTTTCCTGGAATTATTTTCTATATACTTTTTTGCTTTTAAAAAATCTTATTAAGAACAAACAAAATTTTTTACTAATTGAGTAAATGTCTTCTCAAGATTATCGGATCCATCAGTGACATATTTCTGTAAAACTGTTGTGGAGCTTTCTGACCTATTTTATCTGGACTCAACCTTGATATTTAGTGCAGATCTGCCATCCTGGGATCTCCCTTAAACATTATTCTGTCTTCTTACTCTCTCCCCTACTCTTCCTTGGTCTTCTCTCTTAGAGAAGTGCATCTTGCTCTTCTGCAGGTTTCTGAGAAAGGATGTGGAGGTAAAATTTTTCTAATCACGAATATCTGAAAAGATTTTTATTCCGTTCTCACACTTGAATAATATGGTGAGGTATAAAATTCTAAGTCGGACACAGTTTTCCTTCAGCATCTTGCAGATATTTTCCTTCTAAATTTCAATGGAGACAAGGAATCAAAAGCTGTGAGATCTTTGTCCTCATTGTTTTGAAATTTTATGAAGATGTATCCTTATATGGATGTATTTTAATTAAATTGATTGGACATTCAGTTATCTCTTTTAATTTGGAAAAATATATTCTTGAAATTAGTTTGAATAATTTTTTAATGATTTCCTCCCTGGCATATTTTTGTTCTCTAGTTCTAGAACTGCTATAATCTAAATGTTAAACTTCCTAGATATATTTTTCTAATTTTTTTCTCCTAGATTTCATCTATGTGTTCTTTTACTCTATGTCTGAAAGATTTCTTTGACTTAATCTTACATTCTATTGAATTGTTTTTTTAATTTTTATTTTGCTTTGATTTCTGAAAGATCTTTACTTGCTAAATATTCTTTTCTCATAGTAAGCACTACTGGTTTCATGGTAGAAATCTTTCTGTTTTTCTTCAGTTTAATAGTTTTAGTGATAGTCTTTTCATTCGCAAAGTTTTCTTCCCCTTATCATGTTTTAATTTGTTTCAACTTGTATTTATGACAGACATTGTCCTCAGGTATCTGGTAATCCTTCGGTTTCTGTTTCTTTTTAAGATTGAAGTAAAAAAGTTGAATTGTATGAGTTTTTCTGCTCATACTAGCTTAAGAGTGAAGTGGTCTGGCTGGACTGTTCAGTTGAAAAGCTCCTCATGTCAACATAGGTGACCCTTTCCTCTTGTACTGAATGGACGTCCAAGAGAAGAATTTTTCAGTGGTGGCCTAGAGGGGGAAGACCTGATTGTCAGTCTTCTGGAAGCTGAGTTAGGGAAGATGGCAAGGAGTTTCAGCATTCAGCATGAATGTGGTTAGGTAATCCCCTCAGCTATGCCTTTGGCCCACAGGCCAGAGAGAGTCTGATAATACTCTTTTTTTTTTTTTTTTTTTTTTTTTTTTAATATTTAAAGAGGTTTATTCTGAGCCAAATGTTAGCAACCATGGCCCATGACACAGCCTCAGGAGGTCCTGAGAACGGGTGCCCGAGGTGGTTGAGTTACAACTTGGTTTTATACATTTTAGGGAGACAAAAGTTACAGGCAAAGGTATAAATCAATACATATAAGGTATACATTGCTTTAGCTCAGAATGTCAGGACATTTCAAAGTAGGGGCTTCCAAGTCAAAGATTTCCTGATTGGGAATTGATTGAAGGCATTAAGCTTTGTCTGGAGAATTGAAGTCAATATAAAGAAATGCTTGAGTTAAGGGGAGTTGTAGAAGCCAGGGTTCTTTTTATTTTATTTTATTTTATTCTTATTATACTTTAAGTTTTAGGGTACATGTGCACAATGTGCAGGTTAGTTACATATGTATACATGTGCCATGCTGGTGTGCTGCACCCATTAACTCGTCATTTAGCATTAGGTAAATCTCCTAAAGCTATCCCTTCCCCCTCCCCCCACCCCACAACAGTCCCCAGAGTGTGATGTTCCCCTTCCTGTGTCCATGTGTTCTCATTGTTCAATTCCCACCTATGAGTGTGAATATGTGGTGTTTGGTTTTTTGTTCTTGCGATAGTTTACTGAGAATGATGATTTCCAATTTCATCCATGTCCCTACAAAGGACATGAACTCATCCTTTTTTATGGCTGCATAGTATTCCATGGTGTATATGTGCCACATTTTCTTAATCCAGTCTATCATTGTTGGACATTTGGGTTGGTTCCAAGTCTCTGCTATTGTGAATAGTGCCGCAATAAACATACGTGTGCATGTGTCTTTATAGCAGCATGATTTATACTCCTTTGGGTATATACCCAGTAATGGGACGGCCGGGTCAAATGGTATTTCTAGTTCTAGATCCCTGAGGAATCACCACACTGACTTCCACAATGGTTGAACTAGTTTACAGTCCCACCAACAGTGTACAAGTGTTCCTATTTCTCCACATCCTCTCCAGCACCTGTTGTTTCCTGACTTTTTAATGATTGCTCTTCTAACTGGTGTGAGATGGTATCTCATTGTGGTTTTGATTTGCATTTCTCTGATGGCCAGTGATGGTGAGCATTTTTTCATGTGTTTTTTGGCTGCATAAATGTCTTCTTTTGAGAACTGTCTGTTCATGTCCTTCGCCCACTTGTTGATGGGGTTGTTTGTTTTTTTCTTGTAAATTTGTTTGAGTTCATTGTAGATTCTGGATATTAGCCCTTTCTCAGATGAGTAGGTTGCAAAAATTTTCTCCCATTTTGTAGGTTGCCTGTTCACTCTGATGGTAGTTTCTTTTGCTGTGCAGAAGCTCTTTAGCTTAATTAGATTCGATTTGTCAATTTTGGCTTTTGTTGCCATTGCTTTTGGTGTTTTAGACATGAAGTCCTTGCCCATGCCTATGTCCTGAATGGTAATGCCTAGGTTTTCTTCTAGGGTTTTAATGGTTTTAGGTCTAACAGGTAAGTCTTTAATCCATCTTGAATTAATTTTTGTATAAGTTGTAAGGAAGGGATCCAGTTTCAGCTTTCCACATATGGCTAGCCAGTTTTCCCAGCACCATTTATTAAATAGGGAATCCTTTCCCCATTGCTTGTTTTTCTCAGGTTTGTCAAAGATCAGATAGTTGTAGATATGCGGTGTTATTTCTGAGGGCTCTGTTCTGTTCCATTGATCTATATCTCTGTTTTGGTACCAGTACCATGCAATACTCTTTAACCTCTAGTCTTTTGCAAAGATAAAGGGAAGGTCATACATAGCTCTGTGGCATGAGGGGAGGGAGGGAGGGAGAGAGAGAGAGCTGGGAATCTGGCTGCTTTGTAAACACACAATGGGATATTTCTGATTTTTTAAAGCACATCCTTTCTTTCCATTTAACTCCACTTTTATTCTGTGATGTAAATCAGATTACTTCTTGACTTTCTCTATTCTGCCTTAAAATTTACTATTTTCTTTGGTCTTTTTAATCCTTTACCTCTTGTTCATTGATTTACAGCTTCCAAAATCATGACACTATTTTATTCTTTCCCATTCTCTTTGTCCTTAATGTGTTTAGCACTCACTTATAAAGTTTTAGTGCAGTTATAGAAGGACGTGAAAGTATATTCGAGTTTCCACTGTGCCATCTTTATCGGTAAGTCCAATTAATTTATATTTGTTGTGGAAAATGCCTTCTAAGTGATGTATGAATTTTTTTAACCTAAATTGTAGAA
Source organism: Homo sapiens (assembly GCF_000001405.40). Lineage (NCBI taxonomy): Eukaryota > Metazoa > Chordata > Mammalia > Primates > Hominidae > Homo > Homo sapiens. The sequence continues at coordinate 137,374,591 of NC_000002.12, forward strand.
TGTTTTCCATTGTGTATTAGCATGCTGTGTGTACTTAACATGTCACTAAGTGAAATAAAAACAAAATAATTATGCATAAGTGCTTGCTTTAGTACCAGCTGGCTATGCTAATCTTGCAAGTTCTCAATAGAACCACAGATTACAACAATACACATAAGAGTGCACTCTACATGCTTGTGCCCATAATGTGTTCATGGAGTATTAGGGCTGGAAGGGACCCAGATCATCCAGGTCCAGCTCATTCATTTTGCATATCAATACACTTGAGTTTCCATGAGCCTAGCGAGTGGGTCATGCAGCTATCACAGGTAAAGACAGAGCCAGATTGACCATTCTGACCAGCCATGTTGCCTCCTCAGGTTGTGCTTGGATCGTGGACATTGTCATGGAACTCTTTGGTTGAGACACAAGTTCCACTTGGGTGCTATGAAGACTTGAAGCAAATGTGTAGCATAACATTTTATCAGATCTCATTACAGGTCCAATTAGCCTTGGTAATTTGAATCATCCGGGTGGCCAGTACTACCTCAAAGTAGTCAAATGTGCAAATTTAATATTGTTAGTCACATTAAGGTTAATTACTTTGCAGAGTTTAGAGGTAAAAATAAGTCAAGTTCCTGACTTAAAGAAGTTATAACTCGTGAGACATTGGAAGGCAGTTTTATACTTAGCTAATTTTAACAGGTTAAAAAAAACACTGTACACAAAAAACCGGAGGTCATTTGGTATTGAAATATACATCACTTTAAGCAAATTCAGCTTCACATAAGCACAACATTGGTTGTTTACATTGAAAAATGAATCTTAGAGGTTAAATACCATTATTCTGGATGGAAAGCCTTTCAATAGCAGGCTTCCCTATTGCATTAAAATAAATTCATTTCCTTCATGTTTCTCGCATGCAACTTTTCAGGAATCCATCTACATATTATATGAAATGAGCTGTTCTTCATTAAAAAGTCTTGTGCAAGACACGAAGGTGTATGACTAATGAATATATATAGTATATAAGGACTACAAAATGATCCTCTGAATCCACCATTACTCAGACTTCTATAATAGAATTTTATCAAGTTTGAGATTCTAGAACGGAATTAAGGTGTGACAAATTTGTTTTTTATAAAGAATGTAGCAAATGCGTGGTCTCCAGAGAAACCAAAGAAGATATGGAGATGAATAAACATAATTCCAGCAGCACCTTGAGAGAGTCTATGGAGGAGGAGAGCAAACAAAATGAAAATAAATGCCTTCTTGACATGGCATCAGCTTTGTACATAACAGACGATATATTAAAATAATGGTGATTATGTTCTCATGCAAAGCATGACTACTCATACTGATCTACAAAAAGGAAATCCTTTGTAGAAAAAGGAAAGTTCCTTAGAAGATGTTTTAAATAGCCAGATCCACAAGAAAATGTAGAATATACTTTGGCAAGTTGGGAAAATAAATGTGGATATTGTGCTAATTTATCGTTTCTCTATAGCAATGAGATAATTAATATCTTGAATCTTTGCAGTTGTTTTTCATGGGAGAATAGCAAATTACTTCTAAATTCGGGTTTTACATTCCATTTGTTACTTAGTTACTGTTTCTAGAATGATTATATGACACAAAGTTTAGCTTCCTAATAAATGATGCTGCATTCATTATCTCGATAGCCTATTTCATGGCAGATGTAGTTAGAACCTCAGTCATACACAGGCTTTTTAAGAATATTACTTCTCATACTTCAAGAATAAGTACATTTTTAAAAATCTATAATTACCTGATGCAGTGATTTGGCCCAACTCTTCCCTGTGCCTTTAGGTGAAGTGCAGCAGGTGACTAAAGCACCATCCATCTGTCAAATCCAGAGCAACTGTTAAAAATTACACAGCCCATTTTTTTCTTCTGATTTGGAAGTTAGTTGCACAACAGCTGTTTGAAGAGATACAGGTGAAACTTATGTAAATACTGCCATATTCCTTCAAAAGTGGAATAAATCATACACATGCAGTGTGTGAATTAGCATATTTATTCTTTCTACCTGCCAAATATGCATTTCTCTTGTACATGTACATAAAATAGGGGTTTAAGGAGCATAAAGCTTCTAGCATATTGCGTAGTTATAGGCAATAGTCTGTAGAATGAAGTATGTCTAAATTTTTTTCCCAAATACATAAAATAAATGCCAGAAACTTTCATACAATTTGAATTGAAGACTTCATTCAGCATAAAACACAGAATTCTGATGCAGGAGATATTTCTGAAGGATTTTAGTCTGATGTCTTTTTAGTGGCAGTGAGAAAAATGACTTGGAAATATCAGAAAGCATCTCATCGTTAGCTTTCATCTCTAATGAAGCCATGATGTAGAAAGAAGGAAGGAAAAAGAACACTCATTTAAAAGGGGAGTTAGATGATTTCTTACCTAACAGATTTTTATAACATGGTAAGAAATTAACTTTAATCACCATTCAATGCTTACATATTCTGTATACACTAAAATGCAATTGATTCATAGATATTTATATATTTAGTGCATTTTTTCCGTATGTGGTGGAAATTGGGTATTCTGTGTAGATTATGAGCCCTCTTAGGGAAAAAATTCTGTTTATATTACTGTTATGTTTCATCAACTGACTGTATCCTCCAGATAGTGTTCTGCAGAATTCTAATTTGGTAAATATGACATTGCAGAAAGTCTAGGTGAATGTCTATTTTGTCCTTAATGGAGGATAAAATTTAAAAACAAAATTTTGAAGGTCATAAGCATGTGAAAAGAACTGCATTAATGACAAAATATTAATTCCTTATTTGTGGGTATACTTTTATTTAAAAAAGTTAATATAAATGGTTTAGAGCATAACTTTTGGGAAAATCATTTTTTTTCTGACTAGTAAATGCTTATGATTCCTAAGATTTCTGGAAAGCTGCATCTAATTGACATTGTTTTGTGACGTGATGTCTGAGCTCAGTTTAAAAAAATTACATCATTTAAGATTCAGAATATTTAAATTATGAATTTTTTTTGCAGCAGCTTTGTTGAGATAAAATTCACTTTTTTTTTTTTGAGCTGGAGCCTCCTTCTGTTACCCAGGCTGGAGTATAGTGGTGCGATCCTGATTCACGGCAACCTCTGCCTCCCAGGTTCAAGCAATTCTCCTATCTCAGCCTCCTGAGTAGCTGCGATTACAGGCATGAACCACCATGCCTGGCTAATTTTTGTGTCTTTAGTAGAGACAGGGTTTCACCATGTTGGCCAGGCTGGTCTCAAACTCCTGACCTCGTGATCCACCCGCCTCAGCCTCCCGAAGTGCTGAAATTACAGGCATAAGCTACCGCGCCTGGACAAAATTCACCCTTTAAAGTGTACTATTTGATGACTTTTAGTGTATCCACAGAGTTGTACGACCATCACATTAATTTCACATTTTCATCACTTCCAAGAGAAACACCTTAGCAGTCATTCCCCATTGAATTATTTTTAATGGAAGAAAGTCAACTGAAATAAATGGAGCTACTCCAAGGTGTTGTAAAACCTGGGAGAGGATCACTGATCTATTAAAAACAACAAAAAAAAGCCTGGTTGCGATGAAAGCTCCTTCATATTCACTGTCAGGTCTTACGTTAGAATGATTGCTGACAATGTCTTAAAGAATATGATTTATATGCATTTATGATGGTTTTCTTCAATATAGGTTTTAATATTTCTTTGTAGAAGGAAAGACTTAAAGAGGCAATCTAAAAGGAAGGAGTGGCTAAAGAACTTCTTTTGCAGCTGACTTTGCACAGCGTGTCCACTATTTCTACTCAGAGTGTATATTTATTTGGTCCAGTTTACAGGAGGGAGTAGTTGAGGATTAAGAGATTTGTCTTGCAGCCTCCTTAACAAGCAAGCTACTTTTTGTACTTATATATTTATTTTGGGTGGTTTCATCATGGCTGATGGAGATTATTGGGGTTCAAGACCACTTGTTGTCATGTAAACATCATCCATGGGCTACATTTTGTCTTATTTAACACTTTTCTTTCTTCCTTGGACTTAGGATTCCTAACAGTTATTCTTTCACCGCTCATTCTTGAAAGTCTTCACTCTACTTGTCTGGAAGAGCCTGATTTCCTGACTTGGCTAGGAAGTTAATTTGGAGCACCTGTGATTCCCACCTCCCCCAACCACTCCCTAAGCCAGAGCTGGTCCTAATTATTTTGCTTCCAATCATGGCTGAGTAACTTGACCACAACTCCTAGCATTCCCTCCTGGACTTAGCCACAGCAGATCATCAGCCAGAGTTTAAGATGTTTCTCCTCCCTCCTCTGTGACCCACATGTGTATTAGCTATTCTTTATATCTAATTTATGAATTGTTTGTGATTTTATTTTATCCATTTTTTTCTGAAATGCTTATTCTTGTCAGTCTTTATAAGTGATATGTTGAAGCCAAGAGCCCTATCTGTGTAACTTCTTGGTTTAGCTGGGAACGCAGAGGGCTACAGGGCTCAACAAACGCCTTGGAATAAAGTGAAGGGGTATTTTTCAACTCTGCATTTTCTGGTCTTGTATTAGAACCTAAATAAAGTGTTTCCAGGTTACCTAGGGACTAAGTATATATCACTAGCTTACTAAGCATTTATTTATTTAAAAATTCACTTTTTTTGAGGCAACAATAATTGGAGAATATGTTTCCAACATGCAAAATAAGTTGTATCTTTCCGTAAGCAAGTTTATAATTGGGCTCCTGCAGCCACGCAGCTTTGCATATGGTACTTACGAGTCAATTAAAGCACCCTAACAAGCAATTATGGTTTTATTGTTTAATTCAATTTCCACAACTCATGCTGTTCCCACTCAAAAGTTGCATATATGTCAGCATGTAATCATAAGTACACACTTTCCTCAAACATTGGTTTTGAAGAATGGGGCCTCCAGATATTGTGCTCCCACAAACTGAGTGCAGCACAGGGAGAAATCAAATGCAAGGGGAGAAGGAAAGCAATTGGGATATGGCAAGAACTAGCTTTAACTTCCAGATAGATTTCTTTGTATAATAGCAAGTAAAAGATCTCTTCTACTTACAGATGTCACAGTAATGAGATTGCTAGAACATCCTCTGGGAGGATATGAATATGTAGAGTGGTTGGTTTGTGAAGCTCTAGTATTAAAGTCAGGGGGAAGAGCTGGAGTTTGATCCTCTAATGAGGAATTTGGCCAGGGTGACCTGTCTCTATGCCTGGAAAATGCTAATGCTAGCTGTCCACCTTCCCTGTTCCTCCTGTGCTACTAGGGCTCTTGCCCTGCTCCACACCAGCTCTCTACCTGGTGAGAAGATGAAAGCAATTCATCCTCTTCCCTGCGGCCCAAATAATAGATGCACAGGTAAATTGGGAAGACTCTGTTGCAAACAACTTCCCATTGACAATACCAATGCATGTCCTAACTCTGGTAGTTCTTTGCTCTTAAGCTTCAGGTGGAATATGGGAGTGACCCAGGGCTGCCATTGCTTCTGGTAGACAGTTTAGAGCACGTGTGTCCATTGTAGAGTCAACAAAACACATTTGGGCCAGGCACAGTGGCTCACACCTGTAAAGCTAACACTTTTGGAGGCCAAGGTGAGAGGATCACTTGAGACCAGAAGTTTGAGACCAGCCTGGGCAAAAAAGCGATAACTCATCTCTACAAAAAATAGAAAAAAAAAAAAATAGCCACGCATGGTGGTACACAAATCTAGTTCCAGCTACTCATTGGGAGAATTGCTTGAGCCTGGGAGGTCAAGAATGCATTTGTTTAAAAGACAGCATAGAGTTAGTCTTCTTTTCCAGGACATAGGACTCTCTCTTCCTTCTAGCTGTTCCCACTCCCTTCTCAATACTAGTATTCCTCTGAAAATGTTTTTATCTTCATTTATTCATAAGCTAACAATTGAACTGCAATAGTTGGATGAATGGAAGTGACTTTATAGAAGCAGAGGGACAGATGGAAAGGGATGTGAAGACACTCCCCTGCTGGCTTTGAAGAGGGAGGAAGGGGTTATGTGTGAGGGGTATAGGCAGCCTCTGGAAGCTGAAAAGGGTGAGATAACAGATTCTTTCCTAGAGCCTCAAGAAGGAACCCGACCCACTGCCACCTTGGCATTAGCCTGGTGTAAGGAAAGTGCATGTGCTGTGGTCAAGAATAAGCCAAGGCAGACATCCAGTCCAGCATGACTCAGTGAATTTGGAACGCAGGCATACAACTCCACACATTATGTAACCACACCACATGAGGTGCATTAGGTGATCACCCACATGAGCTCGTGCTTGGCTTAGAGCCACTATTGTCTGTAAAAGGTATAATTACCCTGCTAACACTGTACATATGGCTTGTGCCCATGGCTTGTGCCACGGTGTGTACCCAGGCTCACTCACACCCAGAGAGAGAGTAAAACCATGTCAAAACTGTCTACAATTCCTTGAGTGTTTTTCCAACTACCTGACACTCACCCTTTGACTCCCCTCAGAACTCAGTTAGAACCTGACAATTGGTGTCACAAACAGGATTTCAGAGTGAGTGAGCCTTCAGTCCCCACCGATTCTGGGTCAGCCATGTGGCTGCAACATGGATTGTGGTACCCGGTGGCAGCCGTATTGCTCAGATGGGCTCTGGTAGAAACCTGGGTGGCAGTAGATGAGTCCCCTGCAAGCAGGGAAAGGCACTGAAGCAGCTAGAAGCAGAGAGCACCAAGAAAGAATGAACCTTTGCCAGCAGAGTTGGATGGGCATTTTTGACCACGCTATGAGAAGTACACACCCAGTCCCTGAGGGATGCTGCAGAGGTGAGGACCCTCCAGACGCAGGCAGGTCACCTGGATGCCTGGCTACATATTTCAGAAAAAGAGTTAGAAGCTTCTGTGAATGGGGACCTCCAGGTGCAGGTGGGGTGCCTAGAGGCCCGGCTTCAGAGCTTGGAAAAAGAATTAGAGGCTGCTGTGAATGCAGGCCTGGAGGTCATCAGCAGTACCAAGGGGTCCATGCTGTAAAGAAGGCAAAGATGCCCCACCTGCGGGGGCCTCCCCAGTGAGAGAAAATGGGGCCTCAATGAGTGACACACTCACAGATGCAGATAGATTTGATTTTAGCTTGGGCTGACTGAGAGAAAATCGATAAGCAGCCCAATGAAGTACTCTTAACTTTGTGGAGACAGTTGTCTTTGGAACACCAATTCCAGAAAATGCCCAAGTAGGGGAAGGACATTGCTGTGTGACCCAGTCCCACCCAGGGACTTCAGCTCAAAGACTACGTGCTGCAGCCAGGCTGGGGTGTAAAGCCTTTTCTGTTTGATGAGGGAACTGGCCAAGGTGCTTGGCCACTGGACGACTGGAGGCCACATGTGAAATGAGCGATCCACTGGTCCCCCACCAACGTACGGCAAGTGCTGGCGCTGGTAGACATCAATGCAGATATATTCTGGGGGTGGATGTTTTACACAGCTTGGCAGCTGTGCTGTCTGTCATGAACTTGATGGACCACTTGACGATTGAATTGGGACAGTACCACTACGTGGTGGACTTGGCTAATGCATTTTTTTTTTCTAGAGAGCCAGAAACAGTTTGTCTTCATGGGAGGGCAACAATGAACTTTCACAGGGTTGCCTCAGTGCTATATGCCTAGCCCCACTGTATGTCATGGTCTTGTTGATAATGTTATGTTAACCTCTGATTCTCTTGCAGATTTAGAAGTGGCAACACTCCTCTTGCCTGAGATTGGGATGATGCAGCTGAGACTGCCTTCCTGGCAGCCAAGGGGGCTATTCAGTAGGCAGAAGCCCTATGGGTAGTTGACCAGGAGTGCCCATTTGAGCAGGATGTGCATGTGACAACAGATGGTTTTGGTTGGGGCCTGTGGCAGCACATGGAGCACTTGAGAACGCCAGTAGGTTTTTGGTCCCAATGATGGAAGGGAGCTGAGCACCAGTATTCCTTGATAGAGAAACAGCTAGCAGCTATATATGCCACCCTTCAGGCTTGTGAGAGTATGGCAGGATGGGCTGCAGTCATCATGCAGATGACTTACCCGATAGTGGGATGGGTGCATTCATGCATAACAATCCCCTGGACTGGGATGGTGCAGACATCCACTTTAGCAAAGTGGGGCACCTACTTAGAACAGCAGAGTACACTGAGTACAAGCCCCTTAGGAGCAAAGTTGCAAGAGGTCTTGGGATCTGTAGTCCTAATGCACAATAAGGCCATGGGGTCTGAGGCACCCCTAGACCCTGAGCCTTCACTGTTTAAGGAAGGGTGTCCCCCATTCCCAATGGGACATGGTATATGGATGGGTCTAGCCAGGATGCTGCTGCTGCCTGGACTTCTGTTGAAGTCCAGCCTAGTACTGACACCATATGGTTTGATAGCAGGTGTGGATATAGTAGCCAATGGGCTGAGTTTAGAGCAGCATAGATGGTGATCACCAAGGAAGCGACACCTATGGTAATCTGTACCAATAGCTGGATGTTCTAATGAGGCTTGACCTTGTGGTTAACCACCTGGAAAATACAGAAGTGGCTAGTTGGCCACCAACCCATGTGGGGCCAAGCCATGTGACAAGACCTGTAGGTGGAAGGATGACCTCCTCCAACCAAGCATGGGACAAATGGTAACCTGTTGTTGCCTGCCCCAGTGCCCCTAAAGGTAGGGAAATAAAAACTTGGCTTAATGTATAAAGCAACATTGGGGTAACATCACCATGGGGTGGTTGCACGCCATAACCTGGAGTTATTTGCTCCCTGTATTACTGCTGTGGCCTCTGAGTCCAGGGTTCCACCCTGTGGGTGCATCTCCCCACTAGAAAAACCCTCAGCCTAGGGGGTGGAATATAAGGCCTATGCATCAGACCTGTGTGTCCAAGACCTGTGTCTCCCTTGGCCTTGGGGATGGAATGTAAGGAAAATGGATGTGCTGCAGTCAAGAATAGGCCGAGGCAGACATCTGGTCCAGTGTGACTCAGCGAGTTTGGAGCGCAGGCACGTAACTCCACACATTATGTAACCACGCCATTTGAGGTGCATTAGGTGACCACCCACATGAGCTTGTGCTTGGCTCAGAGCCACTATTGCCTGTAAAATGTATAATTACCCTGCTAACACTGTACATATGGCTTGCGTCCATGGGTCATACCCAAGCACATGCCCAAGCTTGCTTGTGCCCAGAGAGAGAGTAAAACCATGTCAAAACTGTCTACGACTTCTTGAGTGTTTTTCCAGCTCCCTGCCACTTGCCCACCAACACCCCTCAGACCTCAGTTAGAACCTGACACCTGCTAAAACTGATTTTGAATTTCTGGCCCCCAGAATCATAAACAAATACATTTATGTTCTTTTAAACCACTCAATTTGCGGATTGTTACAGCAGCAACAGGAAACTAATATACCCTTGAAACAATTAAGCATTTTTTTAAAAAAATCTCATGGGACCTTCTTTATACTAAAGGACCAAGGGTGTTGAGATTTCCAGCAGAGCATCCAAGTCCTTTGGCACCTGATACCTAGCTTTGCTCTCCAGGCATGTGGTGAACAAACATCCTCTGCCTCCTGCTCCAAGGTGGGCTTCAAAGACTCCAACTACTCTATTTAGCAGAATCCTAATGTGTCTCAGGAGCTTATTAGGAGATACCTCTGGACACAAGCCAGTCACAGGCTTATCTGTCCTGGGACTCAGCTCATGGTAAAGCATATGGATTGCAGGCTTCATATTTTTTAAAATGCTTCTTAATTGATATTCTTAATTCAATCAGATTTCTTTCTCTGCAACCTGTCTGCCATTATAACTTCAGGGAAAGAGACAAGATAAATGCCACTTCAGGAGGGAGAGAGATGTAATTCTAGGGAAGTCTCTGTTAGACAGAAGGGATTAAAATTCTCCTCTTTCTGCCAGCATGGGTGAAGGAAGGGAATAGGAAAGAGACTGGGGTAGGGAAAGGAAGTAGCACAGAAGGAACATGAACCATGACTTCCCCTGACTCAGGACTTGTGTTCTAGAGGTGGAGGCAGGGTCTGTTCAATCTCCTGTTTAGAATCTTGAGAAGAGATGCTCTACAGGGGCCCCACTCCAAACATGGCATGGGCCCTGTCATCTTACAGTCGTGGCCTAGAGTGACTTGGCAGAAGGAGGGACTTAATGCCTTTTCAGGTGCTCCCTGAGTTCTCCCTCTGGAGAGAAAGTCTCCAGAAGTTTCCCCATGGGGAAACTGCTCTAGGAGGGTGTGGTAGCTGATGGTGCTGGCTGGCAGGCTTAGCAGAAGATTCTACCCTGGAACTCCTGGGCCACTCATCACATGGCCCCTACAAACTGGTTCACCCCAACAGGTGCCGAGATGGGGTGGGATGAGGCACCTGACCAGGCTGAGAGAAATGGATCTGGAGTTCTTCAGCCTGAGACTTCAGCAGTGGATATCACCAGGGCAAGCAGTCACCAGGTGGACTCCAGCCACTCATTTCAGAGGATAGCAAAGACCCAGGGAGCTTCAAAGAATTTTCCTGCAGAGCCAAGGCCCCTGCTGGCTGCCACAGACACCCAGGTGCCATCTTGGGAGAAGAAGGGGAAGTCACTAAAAGAGACCGCACCTTTACCTGAAAAGGAATATTTTAAACAAGAAAGAAACTAATTAAAATGGCCAGAACTGAGCTAGTGTTAATTGGCATTTTTACCTTTCATGATTACCTAGTAGGGAGCTCTTAAGGAAGATTGTATCAACCCATGATGAAATAATTGCAGTGGAGTGTAGTTCTGCCCTTAGATTCAGCAAGAGGGCACCTGCCCTGGCCTCCATGCCCCTGCTCTGGCCTTCTTGCTATGCTTCATTTTTGGGCAAGGAATCACAAGGCAGATGATAGCCTCACCAGAGCCCATGCTCCCCCACTCAGTCCCCTGTCTAAACTCTTTCCACAGTACTTGGCACCTTGGAACTTCTGCCCAGTGGTCTTGAGCCAGCTTCCAGGGTTTGCAGGGGCCTCTACTCTGAGTCTTAACCTCTAAGGAAAGCTTGCACCGTCTATGTGTATATCTTAGGCCATGGAGTGGACAAAAGGTGGCCAATTTGTGACTTGAGCATTGGAGGATTGACTTCAGTGTCCACACACACGTGCAAAAAAGTCTCTTCTGGAACAGAATCAAGCTGGGAGTGAGAAGAGAAGGAGTAAGGCCAGAGACCTTCTGCCACCATATTCCATCCTGAAACTCCAAGTCATCCCAGAATTCTTTAATGAAATCTTGGTTTCAAAGTCATTATGAAGGTGTATTTGTGAAGGTGCAGAAATAGAACTAATTTATTACACCTTTTAAAATTTCAATTATAACCTTTAACTCTTTGGACTTGTGGTTCTTAATTCCACTTATATTTTAACCATGATTTCCACAGATGTGGGCAGCCTGATGTAGTGTCATTAAATTAGACACTGAACGTGTAATTATACATATGAGAAGTCTTATCAAAGGGGAATTTAGAAGTTCCTACTGAAGTGAGTAGCATGAGCAGGAAACAAGTCTGTCACATTGCTTGTTTCTCTGCACACCTTTCATGGTGTTACAACCACCTGGCCAAACTCATGCTGTTTTCAAGGGACATGTCCTACTCAGCATTTGTGCATCATTCCTTCCAGAAAGGCTCCACTGACTGGCTGATGCTCGGGGTCCCAGTGCTGTGCTCTTGCAGCCCCCTGAGTGTAGTGAAATTTTATTTCTGTTTCTTTCATCTGTGTATCTTAGGCCACTAGTGCTGGGCCTGACATACAGAACACATTGTAGGAACATTGGTTGAGCTGAGCAATTGCTTCCCACTCTCTCAGCAACTTGATATGCATGTAAATTGAGCTGTGCAGCTGAACTGAGGTCCCCTGCTATTACAGGACAGGAAGCTTTATAGGTAGAGGCCCTCAATTTTTCAAGAAAGTCACCCCCATTTCCTGAAAATTATGACCTCTCGAAATAAATTCTATCCTTTTTCTTTAACTATTAGAGTTGAACTCTGGTCGGAATCAACTTCAGGAAAGTAATTTCAGTGTCCTTGGTGAAGGTGATGATCTGAAGTAGCAAGCTCCAGCCTTTTATAGTTTTTCCAGGGAGAACATTATCATTTCTTTTCATAAGGCCAGTAACCCCTGCCCTCTTCATCTCATAATTGAAAAGAAGCAAAACTTATCACTGCATGTCTGACTATCCAAGTTTAGAGGTGATACAGGGCAAAAAGACCAGCCATTTAGTAATAGTTAATAATCTGCTGATTTGAGACATCATTTAAGCTTAAGAGGGCTGCCTGACTATCCTACCGTTAACAGCAATTCTTTTTAAAAAATTAACTATGAGACACACTGAGAATTCATACAGATCCTCGCTTTGTTTCTTTGCTAAGTTTTTAGATAATTTTACATTTGTGCCAGGGCATTCTTTTTCATGCTGCTAGAATTGAAAAGAATCAGATAACAGGGGGAAGCAATCAATGACTATTATCTCCACTCTGACCTCCCATTTTGGGTGCGTTTCTCCCAAGGCTCACCCTGTGTAGCAATTAAGAAAAAGATGAAGTAGCTGAACTCAGTTCTCTGTGTTATGTAGCTTGTTAGATACTTTGCATAGGAACATGTGGCCTCAGTCATCAAGGAGATTTTTGGAGGGTTCCAGGTCACCCTGACACACCCACTTGCCAGGTGACTGCTCTTATTTGAGTGCTCTTGTCTGAGTGGCTTACCTCAAACACCTGTTTCTCCGTCATTCCCTAACAAGGATACTCAGCTGTCCCAGGCAGTTTCTCAGAGGGCTTTCTGCCCAGAGCTTAAGATAGCTAAATTTCAAACAATACCCAATAATGAGATCCTTATAGAGCTATTTGGAATAATTTTACCTAGGAGTACAATTTTCCTCTAGTAAAGACAACAATATTCCAAGTTAAATAAATGAAATATAATTAAGCATTAAATTGTCCCTCCCCTTAAACAATTCATTACAGGTAAAAATATACAACAAGAAGGGTCAGAAGTATATAAATGTCTTCCCCATCCTAATGGAAAGACCTTTCCCAATAGTATAGTATAGTACTTAGAATAACAGAAAGAACCAAAAAAGAAATATTTTTTCTAAGATTGTGTCCTGAGAGTGATTTGTTATGATCTGAAGGACCCAGGATTTAAGAGTTCAACTAAATAGCAGATGTCTGACAGATAAATTTTCTGTAATACCATATTTTATTCTACCTAACCATTACACGTCCCTTTCATTCAAGATGGAAGTGTCTACTCTTCCCTTCTATGCCAGGTTTCCCATTGGTTATCACCATTATGAAAACTATAATATTGTGCTACTGTTATCTCTCTACCTGCCTGTCACCGACACCACTGTGGCCTCCCAGAAGCCAGATTACTGATATGTATATGTGTGTATATACGCACACACACACAATACATTTGTAATTGTTCACAGCAGACTGCTAACCTCAACATTATCATGTAAGAGAGACTCTAGTAATACTTTTAGGGCTCAAGAGGCTTTGGTGGAATTTGGAAATTCTTCCCAAGGCAAGAACTAAGACAGATGATAGTAGATGCTTTTTTCCTACCATTTCTTACATTTCATTTTCAATAGGCTTTTTCATAATAGTACATACTTCCCAGGGCTCATGTACTAAGTGCTTAGTTTTGTGCAAAGCAATTTATCTGTATCAGTTTATCCTGCAAGGTAGGTATTATTACTCCCATTTCATAGATGAGTTCATTGAGTCTTAATTTATATAACTTAACAAAAGTAACAGTAAAAAAAAAAAGGAGAGTGACCCTTAATTCTTTTTGAGTTTTTTTATTGATATATAATTTCTGTACATTTTTTGTGGGGTACCTATGATACTTTGTTTTATACAGAGAGAATGTGTAATGATTGAGTCAGGGTATATATCACTTCAAGTATTTATCATTTCTATGTGTCAGAAACATTTCAAGTCATGTCTTCCAGCTATTTTGCAATATAGAAAACATTGTCATTACGTATAGTTGCCCTAGTCTCTTATCAAACATTAGAACTCCCTCCTACCTAATTATATGTTTGTACCCATTAACCAACCTCTCTTCATCCTCCTCACCCCCACACATATCCTTCTCATCCTCTGGTAACTCTCATTCTACTGCATACCTCCATAAGATCAGCTTATTTAGCACCTACATGAGTAAGAAAATGCATTATTTGTCTTTCTGCACCTGGCTTGTTTCACTTAACATAATGACCTTCAGTTCCAACCATGTTGCTGCAAATGAGAAGATTTAATTATATTTTTATGAGTGATCAGTATTCTATTGTGTATATATACCACATTTTCTTTATCCATTATTCATTGATGTACTTATGTTGATTCCATATCGTTGCAATTATGAATATTGCTGCAATAAACATGGGGGCTGCAGTAAACATGGAGGTGATATACTGATTTTCTATCCTTTGGATAAATACCCAATAATGGAATTTCTGGGTCATATAGTAATTCTATTTTTAGCTTTTTGAGAAATCTCCATACTGTTTTCCTTACTGGCTGTATTAATTTACATTACCACTAACAGTGTATAAGAGCTCCCTCTTCTCTGCACCATCACCAGTCTCACCATATATCTGTCATATATATATATATATATATATATGACAAAATAATATATATATATAGAGAGAGTTTTTTTTCTAACTAGCATAAGATGATATCTCATTGTGGTTTTGAGTTTCCCTAATGATAAGTGATATTAACTATTTTTCAATATACCTCTTGGCTAATTGTTTGTCTTTATTTGAGAAGTGTCCATTCAGATAGTTTGACCACTTCTTAATGTGATTTTTTTTTTTTTTTTTTTTTTTTTTTGCTGTGCAGTTGTTTGAGTTCCTTCTATATTCTGGATATTAGTCTCTTGTCAGATGGATAGTTTGCAAATATTTGCTTCCATTTAACAGGCTGTCTCTTCACTCTTGATTGTTTTCTTTGCTGTGCAGAAACTTTTTATTTTACTATAGTCCCATTTGTTTATTTTCATTTTTCTTGTTCATGTTTTTGAGGTCTTACCTATAAAATCTTTGCCTAGACCAATGTCCAGAAAAGTTTTCCCTAGGTTTTCATCTAGTATTTTTATACTTTTGCATCTTATGCTTAGGTTTTAAACAATTTTGAGTTGCTTTTTGTACGTGGTGAGAAACACAATGTCTATTTTTATTCATCTGTATGTGGATATTCAGTTGTCCAGCACAATTTATTAAAAAGGGTTTCTTTTCAGCAATGTATGTTATTAGTACCTTTGTAAAAAATCTATTGGCTGTAAGTACATGAACTTATTTCTAGATTCTCTATTCTGTTTCATTAGTGTGTGTTTCTGTTTTTATACCAATGAGATGATGTTTGGGGTTTTGAAGTCAGGTAGTGCGATGCCTCCAGCTTTGTTCTTTTTGCTCAGGATTGGTTCAGCTAAACTGGCTCTTTTGAGCTCCACACAAATTTTAGGATTACCCTTTCTATTTCTGTGAAAAAAACGACATTGGTATTTTGATAGGGATTGCACTGAATCAGCAGATTGCTTTGGGTAGTGTGGTCGTTCTTACAATATTAATTCTTTTGGTCATGAGCGTGGGATGTCCTTCCATTTGTGTTCTCTTCAGTTTCTTTCATCATTGTTTTATAGTTTTTCTTATAGAGTTAGTTCACCTCCTTGGTTAAATTTATTTTTAGATTTTTTTTGTAGGAATTATAAATAGGATTGCCTTCTTGATTATGTTTCAGCTAGTTCATTATTGGTATATAGAAATGCTACTGATTTCTGTATATGGATTTTATATTCTACAACTCATTAGATTTATATATCAGATCTAAGTTTTTTAAATGGAATCTTTATGTTTTTTGAAATATAAAATCATGTCATCTGCAAAGAGAAACAATTTGACATCTTTTTCAATTTGGATGCCTTTCATTTTTTTCTCCTGCCTGATTTCTCTGGCTAGGAATTCCAGTACTACATCGAATAAAAGTAGTAAAAGTGGATATCCTTGTCTTGTTCTAGTTCTTAGAGGAAATGTTTTTAACTTTTCTCCATTTAGTATGATGTTAGCTCTCAGTTTGTCATACATGGTCTTTATTATTTTGAGGTATGTTCCATCTGTGCCTAATGTGTTGAGAGTTTTTATTATGAAGGGATGCTGGATTTATCAAATGTTATTTCTGTCTATTGAGATGATCAAGTAGCTGTTGTCTTAAATTCTCTTTACGTGCTGTATTACATTTGTTGATTTGCATATGTTGAACCATTTTTGCATCCCTAGCAAGAAACCCACTTGATCATGGTGTATTTTTTGATGTGATGTTGGATTTCATTTGCTTGCATTTTGATGAGGATTTTTGCATCTATGTTCACCAGGGATATTTGTAGTGTGGTATGGGGTGTGTGTGTGTGTGTGTTGTTGTTGTTGTATTCAGGAGGATTAATATCAGTTCTTCATATGTTTGGTGAAACTCATCTGTGAATCCATCTGATCCTCAGCTTTTTGTTGTTGTTGAGAGACTTTATATTACTGCTTCAAACTCACTATTTCTTATTGGTCGGTTCAGGATTTCTGTTTGTTCTTGGTTTCATTTTGGGAGGTTGTATGTTTCAGGAATTAATCCATTTTCTCTCAGTTTTCTCATTTGTGAGCATATAGTTTTTTCTTAATAGTCTCTGTTGATCTTTTGTATTTCTGTGGTATCAGTTGTTATGTCCCTTTTTTCATTTCTGATTATGTTTATTTGGATCTTCTTTCTTCTTGGTTTGTTCAGCTAGTGGTTTATCAATTTTTTTTAAAATCTTTTTAAAGAACAGGCCAGGTGCAGTGGCTCATGCCTGTAATCCCAGCATTTTGGGAGGCCAAGGCGGGCAGATCACAAGGATCAGGGATTCGAGACCAGCCTGGCCAACATAGTGAAGCCCTCTCTCTACTAGAAATACAAAAATTAGCCGGGCATGGTAGCATGTGCCTGTATTCCCATCTATTGGGAGGCTGAGGCAGGAGAACCACTTGAACCCAGGAGGCGGAGGTTGTGGTGAGTTGAGATCATGCCACTGTACTCCAGACTGGACAACAGAGTGACATTCGGTCTCAAAAAAAAAAAAAAACCAACTTCTTTTTTTGTTACTCTTTTGCATGCTACTTTTATTTAGTTCTGATCTGATCTTTTTATTTCTTTTCTTCTGTTAACATTAGGTTTGGTTTATTCTTGCTTTTCTAGTTCCTTGAGATGGAATATTAGCTTTAAAATTTGTGATCTTTATACTTTCTTGATGTGGGCATTTAATGCTACAGACTTCTTTCTTAGCACTACTTTTGCTGTACCCAACAAGTTTTGGTATGTTGTGCTTCCATTTTTATTTGTTTCAAAAATGGTTTAAGTTTCTATCTTAATTTCTTCCTTGACTCAGGATCGTTTAGAAATATGTTGTTTAATTGCCATGTATTTGTATAGTTTCCAAAGTTCCTCTTGTTACCACCCCTTTCTAGTTTTATTCTGCTATGGCTTGAGAAGATACTTGATATGATTTCGATTTCTAAAAATTTGTTGAGGCTTGTTTTCAGCCTACAATGTGGTCTGTCCTAGAGAATGTTCCATGTGCTGGTAAGAATGCATATTCTGCATTTGGTGCATTTAGGTAGAATGTTCTGTAAATATCTGTTAGGTTCATTTAGTCTAAAGTCCAATTCACATCCATTGTTTTTTGTTGCTTTTCTGTCTTAATGATCTGTCTAATGCTGTGAGTAGGATGTTTAAATCCCCTACTATTATTGTATTGCTGTCTCTTTCTTTCTGGAGTTCTAGTAATATTTATTTTATGAATCTGGGTGTTCCGGTGTTGGGTACATATATATCTAGAATGGTTATATCCTCTTACTGAACTGATCCTTTTATCATTGTATAGTGATCATTTTTGTCTTTTCATAAACTGTTTTTTATTTAAAGTCTATTTTATCTGATATAGCTACTCTGCTCCCTTCTGGTTTCTGTTTGCATGGAATATCTTTTTCCATCTCTTTTCTTTCTGTCCATATGTGTCTTTAGAGAGAAAGTTAGTTTTTTATAAGCAATATATGGTTGGATCATCTTTTCTTTTTCTCATTCTGCTTATCTATATATTTTAGGAGGAGCATAAATTTAATCCATCTATGTCTTTTAAAAGGAATGTAAATTTAATCTATTTACATTCAAGTTAATACTTACATGTGAGGTTTTGCTCCTGTCATATTTGTCTTTAGGTGAAATTGTCTTTAGGTGAAATTCTGTTGTGTTGCCATTAGATTCCTTTCTCTTCCTTCTTTGTGTGATTATTTTATAAGACCTCTGAGTTTTATACTTTTTATGTTTTTACGGTGGTAAATATCAACCTTTCATTTCCATGTTTAGGAATCCTAAAGATTCCTAAAAATCCTAAAGATTTTTTGTAGAACCGGTCTGACAGTAACGAGTTTCCTCAATATTTGCTTATTTGGGAAAGACTTTATTTTTCTCTATTTATGAAGCTTGATCTTACTAGGTAAAAATTCTTGGCTGCAGGTTTTTTCTTCCAGCTTTTTTTTTTTTAATTTTTTTTTTTTATTATACTTTAAGTTTTAGGGTACATGTGCACATTGTGCAGGTTAGTTACATATGTATACATGTGCCATGCTGGTGCACTGCACCCACTAACTCGTCATCTAGCATTAGGTATATCTCCCAATGCTATCCCTCCCCCTTCCCACCACCCCACCACAGCCCCCATAGTGTGATATTCCCCTTCCTATGTCCATGTGATCTCATTGTTCAATTCCCACCTATGAGTGAGAATGTGCGGTGTTTGGTTTTTTGTTCTTACGATAGTTTACTGAGAATGATGATTTCCAATTTCATCCATGTCCCTACAAAGCACATGAACTCATCATTTTTTATGGCTGCATAGTATTCCATGGTGTATATGTGCCACATTTTCTTAATCCAGTCTATCATTGTTGGACATTTGGGTTGGTTCCAAGTCTTTGCTATTGTGAATAATGCCTCAATAAACATATGTGTGCATGTGTCTTTATAGCAGCATGATTTATACTCCTTTGGGTATATACCCAGTAATGGGATGGCTGGGTCAAATGGTATTTCTAGCTCTAGATCCCTGAGGAATCACCACACTGACGTCCACAATGGTTGAACTAGTTTACAGTACCACCAACAGTGTAAAAGTGTTCCCATTTCTCCACATCCTCTCCAGCACCTGTTGTTTCCTGACTTTTTAATGTTTGCCATTCTAACTGGTGTGAGATGGTATCTCATTGTGGTTTTGATTTGCATTTCTCTGATGGCCAGTGATGATGAGCATTTTTTCATATGTTTTTTGGCTGCATAAATGTCTTCTTTTGAGAAGTGTCTGTTCATGTCCTTCACCCACTTTTTGATGGGGTTGTTTGTTTTTTTCTTGTAAATTTGTTTGAGTTCATTGTAGATTCTGGATATTAGCCCTTTGTCAGATGAGTAGGTTGTGAAAATTTTCTCCCATTTTGTAGGTTGCCTGTTCACTCTGATGGTAGTTTCTTTTGCTGTGCAGAAGCTCTTTAGTTTAATTAGATCCCATTTGTCAATTTTGGCTTTTGTTGCCATTGCTTTTGGTGTTTTGGTCATGAAGTCCGTGCCCATGCCTATGTCCTGAATGGTATTGCCTAGGTTTTCTTCTAGGGTTTTTATGGTTTTAGGTCTAAGGTTTAAGGCTTTAATCCATCTTGAATTGATTTTTGTATAAGGTGTAAGGAAGGGATCCAGTTTCATCTTTCTACATATGGCTAGCCAGTTATCCCAGCACTGTTTATTAAATAGGGAATCCTTTCCCCATTGCTTGTTTTTCTCAGGTTTGTCAAAGATCTGATAGTTGTAGATATGCGGCGTTATTTCTGAGGGCTGTGTTCTGTTCCATTGATCTATATCTCTGTTTTGGTACCAGTACCATGCTGTTTTGGTTACTGTAGCCTTGTAGTATAGTTTGAAGTCAGGTAGTGTGATGCCTCCAGCTTTGTTCTTTTGGCTTAGGATTGCCTTGGCGATGCGGGCTCTTTTTTGGTTCCATATGAACTTTAAAATAGTTTTTTCCAATTCTGTGAAGAAAGTCATTGGTAGCTTGATGGGGATGGCATTGAATCTGTAAATTACCTTGGGCAGTATGGCCATTTTCACGATATTGATTCTTCCTACCCATGAGCATGGAATGTTCTTCCATTTGTTTGTATCCTCTTTTATTTCGTTGAGCAGTGGTTTGTAGTTCTCCTTGAAGAGGTCCTTCACATCCCTTGTAAGTTGGATTCCTAGGTATTTTATTCTCTTTGAAGCAATTGTGAATGGCAGTTCACTCATGATTTGGCTCTCTGTTTGTCTGTTATTGGTGTATAAGAATGCTTGTGATTTTTGTACATTGATTTTGTATCCTGAGACTTTGCTGAAGTTGCTTATCAGCTTAAGGAGATTTTGGGCTGAGACAATGGGGTTTTCTAGATATAAAATCATGTCATCTGCAAACAGGGACAATTTGATTTCCTCTTCTCCTAATTGAATACCCTTTATTTCCTTCTCCTGCCTAATTGCCCTGGCTAGAACTTCCAACACTATGTTGAATAGGAGTGGTGAGAGAGGGCATCCCTGTCTTTTGCCAGTTTTCAAAGGGAATGCTTCCAGTTTTTGCCCATTCAGTATGATATTGGCTGTGGGTTTGTCATAGATAGCTCTTATTATTTTGAAATATGTCCCATCATTACCTAATTTATTGAGAGTTTTTAGCATGAAGGGTTGTTGAATTTTGTCAAAGGCTTTTTCTGCATCTATTGAGATAATCATGTGGTTTTTGTCTTTGGCTCTGTTTATATGCTGGATTACATTTATTGATTTGCATATATTGAACCAGCCTTGCATCCCAGGGATGAAGCCCACTTGATCATGGTGGATAAGCTTTTTGATGTGCTGCTGGATTTGTTTTGCCAGTATTTTATTGAGGATTTTTGCATCAATGTTCTTCAAGGATATTGGTCTAAAATTCTCTTTTTTTGTTGTGTCTCTGTCCAGCTTTGGTATCAGAATGATGCTGGCCTCATACAATGAGTTAGGGAGGATTCCCTCTTTTTCTATTGATTGGAATAGTTTCAGAAGGAATGGTACCAGTTCCTCCTTGTACCTCTGATAGAATTCAGCTGTGAATCCATCTGGTCCTGGACTCTTTTTGGTTGGTAAACTATTGATTATTGCCACAATTTCAGCTCCTGTTATTGGTCTATTCAGAGATTCAACTTCTTCCTTTTTTAGTCTTGGGAGAGTGTATGTGTCGAAGAATTTATCCATTTCTTCTAGATTTTCTAGTTTATTTGCATAGAGGTGTTTGTAGTGTTCTCTGATGGTAGTTTGTATTTCTGTGGGACCGGTGGTGATAGCCCCTTTATCATTTTTTATTGTGTCTATTTGATTCTTCTCTCTCTTTTTCTTTATTAGTCTTGCTAGCGGTCTATCAATTTTGTTGATCCTTTCAAAAAACCAGCTCCTGGATTCATTAATTTTTTGAAGGGTTTTTTGTGTCTCTATTTCCTTCAGTTCTGCTCTGATTTTAGTTATTTCTTGCCTTCTGCTAGCTTTTGAATGTGTTTGCTCTTGCTTTTCTAGTTCTTTTAATTGTGATGTTAGGGTGTCAGTTTTGGATCTTTCCTGCTTTCTCTTGTGGGCATTTAGTGCTACAAATTTCCCTCTACACACTGCTTTGAATGTGTCCCAGAGATTCTGGTATGTTGTGTCTTTGTTCTCATTGGTTTCAAAGAACATCTTTATTTCTGCCTTCATTTCGTTATGTATCCAGTAGTCATTCAGGAACAGGTTGTTCAGTTTCCATGTAGTTGAGCGGTTTTGAGTGAGATTCTTAATCCTGAGTTCTAGTTTGATTGCACTGTGGTCTGAGAGATAGTTTGTTATAATCTCTGTTCTTTTACATTTGCTGAGGAGAGCTTTACTTCCAAGTATGTGGTCAATTTTGGAATAGGTGTGGTGTGGTGCTGAAAAAAATGTATATTCTGTTGATTTGTGGTGGAGAGTTCTGTAGATGTCTATTAGGTCCGCTTGGTGCAGAGCTGAGTTCAATTCCTGGGTATCCTTGTTGACTTTCTGTCTCGTTGATCTGTCTAATGTTGACAGTGGGGTGTTAAAGTCTCCCATTATTAATGTGTGGGAGTCTAAGTCTCTTTGTAGGTCAGTTAGGACTTGCTTTATGAATCTGGGTGCTCCTGTATTGGATGCATATATATTTAGGATAGTTAGCTCTTCTTGTTGAATTGATCCCTTTACCATTATGTAATGGCCTTCTTTGTCTCTTTTGATCTTTGTTGGTTTTAAGTCTGTTTTATCAGAGACGAGGATTGCAACCCCTGCCTTTTTTTGTTTTCCATTTTCTTGGTAGTTCTTCCTCCATCCTTTTATTTTGAGCCTATGTGTGTCTCTGCACGTGAGATGGGTTTCCTGAATAGAGCACACTGATGGGTCTTGACTCTTTATCCAGTTTGCCAGTCTGTATCTTTTAATTGGAGCATTTAGTCCATTTACATTTAAAGTTAATATTGTTATGTGTGAATTTGATCCTGTCATTATGATGTTAGCTGGTGATTTTGCTTGTTAGTTGATGCAGTTTCTTCCTAGTCTCGATGTTCTTTACATTTGGGCATGATTTTGCAGCGGCTGGTACCGGTTGTTCCTTTCCATGTTTAGCGCTTCCTTCAGGAGCTCTTTTAGGGCAGGCCTGGTGGTGACAAAATCTCTCAGCATTTGCTTGTCTGTAAAGGATTTTATTTCTCCTTCACTTAGGAAGCTTAGTTTGGCTGGATATGAAATTCTGGGTTGAAAATTCTTTTCTTTAAGAATGTTGAATATTGGCCCCCACTCTCTTCTGGCTTGTAGGGTTTCTGCCAAGAGATCCGCTGTTAGTCTGATGGGCTTCCCTTTGAGGGTAACCCGACCTTTCTCTCTGGCTGCTCTTAACATTTTTTCCTTCATTTCAACTTTGGTGAATCTGACAATTATGTGTCTTGGAGTTGCTCTTCTCGAGGAGTATCTTTGTGGCGTTCTCTGTATTTCCTGAATCTGAACGTTGGCCTGCCTTGCTAGATTGGGGATATTATCTCCTGGATAATATCCTGCAGAGTGTTTTCCAACTTGGTTCCATTCTCCCCATCACTTTCAGGTACACCAATCAGACGTAGATTTGGTCTTTTCACATAGTCCCATATTTCTTGGAGGCTTTGCTCATTTCTTTTTATTCTTTTTTCTCTAAACTTCCCTTCTCGCTTCATTTCATTCATTTCATCTTCCGTTGCTGATACCCTTTCTTCCAGTTGATCGCATCGGCTCCTGAGGCTTCTGCATTCTTCACGTAGTTCTCGAGCCTTGGTTTTCAGCTCCATCAGCTCCTTTAAGCACTTCTCTGTATTGGTTATTCTAGTTATACATTCTTCTAAATTTTTTTCAAAGTTTTCAACTTCTTTGCCTTTGGTTTGAATGTCCTCCCGTAGCTCAGAGTAATTTGATCGTCTGAAGCCTTCTCTCAGCTCGTCAAAGTCATTCTCCATCCAGCTTTGTTCCGTTGCTGGTGAGGAACTGCGTTCCTTTGGAGGAGGAGAGGTGCTCTGCGTTTTAGAGTTTCCAGTTTTTCTGTTCTGTTTTTTCCCCATCTTTGTGGTTTTATCTACTTTTGGTCTTTGATGATGGTGATGTACAGATGGGTTTTTGGTGTGGATGTCCTTTCTGTTTGTTAGTTTTCCTTCTAACAGACAGGACCCTCAGCTGCAGGTCTGTTGGAATACCCTGCTGTGTGAGGTGTCAGTGTGCCCCTGCTGGGGGGTGCCTCCCAGTTAGGCTGCTCGAGGGTCAGGGGTCAGGGACCCACTTGAGGAGGCAGTCTACCCGTTCTCAGATCTCCAGCTGCGTGCTGGGAGAACCACTGCTCTCTTCAAAGCTGTCAGACAGGGACATTTAAGTCTGCAGAGGTTACTGCTGTCTTTTTGTTTGTCTGTGCCCTGCCCCCAGAGGTGGAGCCTACAGAGGCAGGCAGGCCTCCTTGAGCTGTGGTGGGCTCCACCCAGTTTGAGCTTCAGGGCTGCTTTGTTTACCTAATCAAGCCTGGGCAATGGTGGGCGCCCCTCCCCCAGCCTCGCTGCTGCCTTGCAGTTTGATCTCAGACTGCTGTGCTAGCAATCAGCGAGATTCCGTGGGCGTAGGACCCTCCAAGCCAGGTGCGGGATATAATCTCTTGGTGCACCGTTTTTTAAGCCTGTCAGAAAAGCGCAATATTCGGGTGGGAGTGACCCGATTTTCCAGGTGCTGTCCGTTACCCCTTTCTTTGACTCGGAAAGGGAACTCCCTGACCCCTTGTGCTTCCCAAGTGAGGCAATGCCTCGCCCTGCTTCGGCTCGCGCACGGTGCGCGCACCCACTGACCTGCGCCCACTGTCTGGCACTCCCTAGTGAGATGAACCCGGTACCTCAGATGGAAATGCAGAAATCACCTGTCTTCTGCGTCACTCTCGCTGGGAGCTGTAGACTGGAGCTGTTCCTATTCGGCCATCTTGGCTCCTCCCCACCCCTTTTTTTTTTTTTTTAAACACAAGTCTTGCTCTGTTTCCCAGGTTGTAGTGCAGTGGTGTGACCTTGGCTCACTGCAGCATCCACCTCCTGGATTCAAGCGATTTTCCTCCCTCAGCCCCTTGAATAGCTGGGATTACAGGTATGCGCAGCCACGCCTGGCTAATTTTTTTATTTTTAGTAGAGATGGGGTTTCACCATGTTGGCCAAGCTGGTCTCGAACTCCTGACCTTGAATGATCTCCCAGCCTTGGCCTCCGAAAGTGCTGGGATTACAGGCATGAGGCATAACACTCAGCCTCTTTCAGCAGTTTTTAAACACCTTCCCATTCTCTTCTGGCCTGTGAGTATTCTGCTGAGAAATCTGCTGTTAGTCTGATGGAGTTTCCTTTAAAGATGACTAGGTACTTTTATCTTGCTGCTTTAAAAATTCTTTTCTTCTTTTTGACTTTAGACAGTCTGATGATGATATTATCAGGGTGATTTTTTTCTTTTTTTGCAGTGTATTTGAGGATTGCTGGGCCTTCTGTATCTGGATATCTAAATCACTATCTAGAATAAGGATGTTTTCATCAGTTATTTCCTTAAATAAGGTTTCTAAACTTCTTTATTTTTCTTCTCCCTCAGAAATACTGATAATTCTTAAGTTCATTCAGTTTACATAGTTCCAAACATCTTAAATGCTTTGTTCATTATTTATATTCTTTTCTCTTTATTTTTGTCTGACTAGATTATTTCAAATGATGTGTGTTCAGGTCCTGAGATCTTTTACTGGGTCTAATCTACTATTAACATTTTTAATGTATTTTGAAATTTCTTCAGTGAACTTTTCAGATCTATTATTTCTGTTTTTTTAAATAAATATATCTTATCACCTTGGTAATTTTTTCATTCATATCCTAAATTGATTTTCTAATTTTTTTGTCTTAGTTTTTGTCATTCATATCCTAAATTGCTTTTCTGATTTCTTTTGCATCTCTTGCATTGGGCTTCTCTAAAACATGTACTTTTGATTATCTGGCATTTTGAGAATTTCTTTTTAGCTAGCATCTATTGCTGGTGGAGGATTACTATGTTTCTTTGAGGGTGTTGTAATACCTTGTTTTTTTTTTCTTTCCATGATTTTTGTGTGTTTGCATTGATTTCTGCGCATCTAGAGCAACAGTAGCTTCTTATTTGTGAATTTACTTTTATTGGGAGGAGCACTTTTTCCTGAAGATATGGCTATGATGGTTGGGTAGGGTCATTTGGCTTTGCTTCTGGGTACATGTAGTGGCAAAGACTCTATGATTTCCCTGGCTATAAATAGCTTTAGTGTGGTAGCTTCCTTGAATGCAGTTGTAGTAGTGGTACACTGGGTGGATGAGCAGGCTGATGACCTCTTGGGCAGCTGGGGTGGCATACGCAATGAGGGATGGCAGTGGTCATGAGAAGCTTTTCTTCTTCCTTATCACTGTGATTTTTGTGTTAGGAATTGTTGTAAAGGGCTGTGTGGGCTGGCCTCCAGACCAGTAGGTGGCTTTTGCAGGTTAGAGCCAGCTGCAGTGATAGTGGTAGGATTTATGCCCAACCTCTCTTTCCTGGGAGAAGTGCTCGGATGTCTCACATGGTGGATTGGGCCATGGAACCCCAGGGGTGTGGATCCTGTGCTGTGTCCTGGAGCAGGGGAAGAAGGTAGGTGGAGCTAGATAGTGCAAGCCTGTATTCAGGCCCACTAGTGGCAGGGGCATTTGCCAGCCCTGATGGAAGTGGTGGGGCAGTCCTCAGACCCCCGGTTGAATGGCTTAGGTGAAACCGCTGACATGCCAAAGAGTTAGCACAGTGAGGAAGAAGTAGTCCCAGTGCTTCAGCCTTGGCCAGCAGGAGTGGGATCTTAAAGCCTATAGTTTTATCTGTAGATTTCTACTTCTGATTTAATCCTCAGAAATGTTCTCTGATTTAAGGACACTATATATCTTTAATATTGGCCCCAGAATTATATTGTATGTAATGTATAATTAATATGTTTTTAAACTCTCTTTCCCCAGGAGTTGTGCAATGGAAGGGGCCTCTGAATTGGGTTGTACCTGTGGTTACTTATTATCCCCATTTATGCTTAATTGTCTTCTTTTCTAATTTCCTTTGTGTGTTTGTTTTGTGTGCTTTGCTGATTTTCCAGTCCTGCAGCCTGCCTACTTGCTATTTCTTTAGTATTTTCATACCCTCTAGTATAATTCAATACACAGTAATTAAATTAATGTTTATGAATAAAATGATTGCTTTTATACTAGAACGTTCCCAACAAGGAAATGTTTCATTTAACTTTTTAGTGTTTTCATTTCCAGTGATCTTTTCACACTTGAAAATAAATTAGAATTCTGAACCAGAAGACACCTGAAAACTAATTCCTGGTCTGAACTGATGATTGCATGATCTGTAGCTGCTGAGTTTTTTCTTTCTTTCTTTTTTTTTTTTTTTTTCTTCAACTCTGCAGTTTTTCAATGGCCTTCATCCTTGGGTTACCATTAAGAGAGCTGTGGTCTTCAGGCTAATGTGGGTGCTGTCAAACATCATGTCCTAACTTTGCGTGCATTTGTTGGCATTTAGAAAACCCAAATGCCTCCATTAAACTACTTTACAATACCAATTTATAAAGAAAAACAAACTGATTTGCTCTGCACAGCCCTGTTAATTCAGTGAATGTGTCTTCACCATATCTGAGCTATTGGTTCATTACTGATGCTTACAAATCTAGCACCAAATCCGGCGAAGATGCAAAAATATTTTCTCCTTACCTTTATTCTTCACATACTAAGGATGACCAAGAAACAAATGAGGCATGGTGAGGAGAATGTGTGTACATATACTTGCTTGGAGAATGATCAGCCTACTTTATTTAAAAACAAATATAAAGGATAGTAATAATTAATAGCATTTATCAAGCTCTTTAGTGTGAGACATTGTCTTAAGAATTCTCACTAGACTTTTTTATAGTCTTGTGATACTCATTTTAAAGATGAAAATACTAGGGCATGAAGAATTAAATAACTTATCTTAGTTCAGATAGCTCCTTGTTTAGACTTGAAATTTTCAATTACTACCGTTTGACTACAATATGTGTGAATTCCACCCTACTCTATAGCTATTCTTTCTTAATTTCTTATGCTTTCCTTTATTAATTTGAAAAATTCGATATAGATCTCTGGAAATGCAGTGTATTCTAATTTAGATAGTTTCTAGAACTTGAAAACATCATTCAATTTGGTTTATCATAGCTTTTAAATTATAAACATATTCAAAAGAAATGTGAATAAAATATTCTAAAATAATTTATTATAATTGAAAAAATGTTATTTATATACATCAAGCACAGAGTGGCTCACACCTGTAATCCCAGCACTTTGGGAGGTCGAGGTGGGCAGATCACTTGAGGTCAAGTGTTTGAGACCAGCCTGGCCAACATGATGAAACCCCATCTCTACTAAAAATACCAAAAAATTAGCCAGGCATGGTAGACAGTTGTATTCCCAGCTACTCTGGAGGCTGAGGCATGAGAATTGCATGAACCCAGCAGGCGGAGGTTGCAGTGAGCTGAGATCACATCACTGCACTCTAGCCTGTGCAGTGAAGCGAAACTCCATCTCAAAAAAAAAAAAAAAAAAAGGTTTGAATTTCACATAGCAATGCTTTTGAAAGTATTTAAAATGTGTCTTCATGTTATTCAGTGCATTGTCATTTTGGAAAAAAAAATTAACTTGGCAAGATAAAAGTTCTCTAAATTAACTCTAAATTGGTTATCTAAACAAGCAATTCAAAGAACATTTGCTTGTACCCTACTTGAGATAAAATGTCTTGCTGTATTCATCATTAATGGCTGTAATATTCCCAACAAAGAAAATGCAGGTGATGTTGGCTTGATGTGTGATGGATTTTGTCCCTGCGACGTGGATAAAAACGAAAACAAAAAATATTCAGAATGAATGAATAGCTCCACCTGCCACAGAGCAGATGTACAAACTGGAAAGTATTGTGTGTGCATCCATTGTCATCTTAGCTAATTCCTTGGTTCTAAAGCATTAGATGGGTTTGGCTTTCACCAGTTCTAAAAAAAAATAAAAATAAAAAAAGATAGATTTATGGTGTTCAGACAGACATATTATCTGATGTGCTCAGAATAAAGAACTGAATTCAGAATATAAGAAGAATGGGCATCTGAAAGGAGCCCATATGTACACTTACCCTACATAAGAGAATTTTATATAAAAAGTTTTTAACAACATGATCCTAAACTGTGGTCTTTTTGTTCCTTTCACATAGCAGATTTTAAAGAACTGTAAAAAAGTGATCCTAAACTATGATTTCTTTAGAATGATGAATTCAGCAAATATCCATTAACATACAGCGTGTCTAAGGCATCATGCCAAATATGGGTAGTCGGTAGACAGGGTAGACCAGAATTATGTGAGCCATTTAAACACAAAGATATTCCCTGGTTTCTCACCCAGAGATGTTGATATGGAAGATCTGAAGTGGTACCATGGAATCTGTGTATTCTCATATACATCCATGGTTAGGAATTAGAAGAGGTGTTTTCAACTGTGGCAATTTTGCCCCCAAGGGAACATTTGGCAATGCCTGGAGAGAGTTTTGATTGTTACCACTTAAGAGGGGTGGATGCTACTGGCATCTAATGGGTAGAGGCCAGAGATGCTGCTACATATCTCACCATGCACAACACTTATTTACACACCCACAAAAAAAACTGTCCAATCTAAATTTTCTGTAGTGCCAAGGTTGAGAAATGTTGATCTAGAGAATATAAATGTATATTCTTTGAGAGTCTATAATTAACCAGAGTGAAAAAGATGAACCAAAATATTGTGTATTCATTCATAAATAAAATAAAACAAAATAAATAGCATTAGTCCAGAGAATTCAGTAAAAATTTAAGCAAAATTTTAGGAATGTGTTACCTCACGATTATTATTTTAAGGAACGACTAGAGAGTTCCTAGTTGAAAAAGTGTGTGAGAGAAACTTTGAAAAGCTATAAAGAACTAAAAAAGCTGTAAAGAACTAAAAGTAGAATTACCATTTGATCCATCAGTCCCACTACTCGGTATCTACCCAGAGGAAAAGAAGTCATTATTCAGAAAAGATACTTGCACATGCATGTTTATAGCAGCACAAGTCACAATAGGAAAATCGTGGAACCCACCCAAATGCCCATCAATCAATGAGTGGATAAAGAAACTCTGAGATATATATATATATATATATATATATATATATATATATATATATACACACACACACACACACACACACACACACACATATATGTATATACACACACAATATATATATACACACATACTATATATTTATATACACACACTATATATATACACAGATACTATATATACACACACATACTATATATGATCATATATATGATCGTATATAGTGTATATATAATATATATGATGGAATATTACTCAACCATAAAAAGGAATGAATTAACAGCATTTGCAGTGACCTGGATGAGATTAGAGGCCATTATTCTGAGTGAAGTAACTCAGGAATGGAAAACCAAACATCATATGCTCTCACTGATATGTGGGAACTAAGCTATGAGGATGCAAAGGCATAAGAATGATACAATGAACTTTGGGGACTTGGTGGGAACAGTGGGAGGGGGGTGAGGGATAAAAGACAACAAATATGGTGCAGTGTACACTGCTCAGGTGATGGGTGTACCAGGTTATCACACATCTCCGCTAAAGAATTTGTGTAACCAAATACCACCTGTACCCCAATAACTTATGGAAAAATAAAATTCAAAACATAAAATATATTTGCAATGGAAATGATCTGAATAGACTATGCTTGTGCTTGAAAAAAAATAAAAATTTTAACTGGTCCCTAAAAATTAATAAGGAGAAAAATGTTTATTTACAGACAGCAGAAATTCCTTTAAAAATACTGACTGTATAGGTCTACTTCTGTAAGTGCCATCTAAACAAGCAAAAAAAAAAAAAAAATGACATCTAGGAGGAGCCTAAGTGATTTTTTAAAAGTAGTTTCGTCCTTTTTGTGTTATCATCTTACTCTTATAGTTTCCCTTTCTTAGTTTTATATCATCTCTAGAGATTAGATGCTGAGGAGCAGGAAGTACAATAAATTACTGGAAGTTATTTTGGTTGCTGTCGACGCAGGGTTTGGATTAATAATGAAACCAATTAAATCCTCAAATACCTCCAATGACAACAATAAAAATTTAATTTCCAGAGAGAAATAAGGTTAGCTATGTTGAACACCGTTTGCACCATTTGTGAAGCCCAAGTTTTTAAACATTGGGGGATTCTGCTGTCTTGTCAAAGAACCAGCAGCTGACTGATTTAATCAAAATAATAACAAAAGAATTCATGCTTTTTTTCAGCTGTCTCATGCATCTCTGATGACAACCGGTCAGCAGAAATGATGGAATGCCTCAAGCAGACAAACGGCATGCCTCTCCTTGTGCAAGAATGCACAGTCCCATGTCGAGAAGACTGCACCTTCACTGCTTGGTCCAAGTTTACGCCCTGCTCCACGAACTGTGAAGCCACAAAAAGTAGGCGGCGACAGCTCACAGGTATAGTGTGCATTTTACTCTTTAGCATCAGGCAAGCTGAACATCTCTGGATCTTTTGTGTAGAATATGAGGTCCAAAGGACAGGAATTTGCATCAGGTCTCTTCCTCTCTCTCCATTCGTTAATACATATCCTCAAACTCAGAACAATGCCTGGTACGTAACAAGTACTCAATTAATGTTTCCGAAATGAATGAAAGATGTGAACTGTTTTATAGCTATCAAGTTCCTCTCTATATAGTTTTATAATCTTTGTAGTCATAAAAGGCATTTCATTCACCAACTTCTTTTGAGTAGGTAATGGCAAAGTTTGTCATGTGCTATCATGCCAGGATCTCAGTGAGCTTGAAGGCAATCACTGGTTTGGGAAGATTATCAAAAACAGATCTAACTGACATCATTGTCTTTTGCCATTATCTTATAAGCAATTTGACATTTTAAAATTTTACTAGTGTAAGGCAAAAATCAAATTACATATACTCATTCTGCTTTTGTGGTATATTATTAATTATGAGTTCTGTTTTCAGCTGCAAAAATTTAATGGGAATTAAAGCAACTAATTGTTTAATTGAATTCCTGGGGCAATTTTTGCCTGCAGTATGCAAATAATTGATGCAATAGTGTATTTTACTACGTGCCTAGATAAAAATGCCACAACTTCTCTTAACTTCTTATGTGTTTGTATAAGCAGAAAATGGAGAACCAAAGGAAAATGCCAGAGTAATCACTGAGATAATGAAATTGGTGTTGACATTGAAGAATTAAGCACAGATGACCATTTGTTCTCATGAGCAGTTGAAGGGCTAATTCTGTTGGTTTCAAGACCCTTTTGTCTGAATGCATTGCTTACCTGATCACATTTTGAATTTAAATCACCATTATGGATTTAAGTAATCTGCTAGAGGCTTTAACAGGATTTCTGCAAACAAACTGGGAGTCCATTTGTAAGTGTAGGTGAAATGCATAACCATAAACAGAACACCAAACAAGAAATGCTGTACTTCATGCCCTATCTTCCACAAAAATTTGTGCCACATGATTTTATGCAACATTGCTTGTTTCTAAGATACAACAAATTTCTCATAGAAAAACAACACAGTGAGATAGAATGTATGTGACAGGAATAGTTGAAGTTCAGGGGCCAATGAATGAAACTTTGTTTGCCTGTACAAACATAACGCATCGGAAGCCATTACTCTGGCAACTCTTTATATACTTGAGATGAGAGAGAATTCCCTGTAGAGGAAAGGGAAGTTTTTAATTAGTGGCCAGTTTTTTTCTTTTTTCTTGAAAGTTTATTCATGATAGTTTACACCTACATAATGAAAATGGAAAATATTGAAAATCCTAGGATATTTATTCATTTTACAACCAGTACCATTTTTGTTATGAATTGTTGAAACTCTAATGAATTTGACTTTTATTGAAAATGTTCCTTTTATATAAATATTGAAGAATAGCTGTACATTTTTTTCTGCAAACTCTAAAAATTACTCATACTAAAAGACTGTTTGAAATTTCTTTTCTAAATTATTAACTGCTGTACTTTCAGGTGGCTAATTGACCTTTGTGTATCTTTATGTCTACGTGGCACCAAAACAAGTTAGCAATTTCATGAAATACATGAGTTTTTTTAAAAAAAATAAAACAGTAAAATGAATCATTTAATATCACTGTTGGAAAAAAATCCCACTAATGAATTGAAATATTTTCACTTTTCAAGACTTATTTTTATTGTCATGAAACTAATGCTTGTATTTTGTTATCTCTAAGTAATTTGGTAGTAAATGCAATAAACAATCTCTAACATGAATGCTGCTGAAAGTCTTGTACTCAAACTCCAAAGCCATGTGATTCTTTCTCTCTTTAATGCAAACACACACACTGAAACATATAAACATAAATACAAGCCACTTCATTGAATATGGGGCCATACAGGATATTTAACTTTCTTTTGTCCATTTGTAACAGGCTTTAATTCACTGAGCGTTCTGTATGTTGTACCCAAACTATGTCATCACAGGTTTTAGACTCAATAGTATTTAAAACAATTGTTAATAGAATGCCAAAAAATATTCCATTTATTAGATAGAAAACCTGTCCAGGTTTTATATATATTATATGAGATATAATATATAAATATTTATTTATAATAACTAGATAACTACTACATATTCTGACTTAAGGAAGAAAAAGTCTTTAGAATTGTACTAGGGATTGATTTTTAATATTAACTTGTTCTGAATCCAAAGGTTAATGCTGATTTTGATTAGTATATAATCAAAGTAAAGGATCACTGATAATTTGTTTCTTATTGTGACAACCATTTCTGCATTAACTTGCTTAAATCCTTCATCAAACAGTGATGCTATATAATTAAGAAGGATATCATAAACATAGAGGCAGCATATATTTGTACAGAATATTTGTTTGCTAATAACTTCTGGTCACCTTGTAGATGAACATTATTTTTCTTTTTTCTCCTCCTCCCTCTCTTTCTCTTTTTTCTCCTTCCCCCTTCTCCTTTATCTTGATCTTTTTCTTTTTTTCACAACTTCCTTTTCTCAATTATTCAATGAATATTTTTTTGTTTACCACTTATATGTGCTAGTCCTTGGTGATGGCCTCAAGGGAATCAGTAGACACGATCCTAACTTAACAGAGCTTGCGATCTAATTGGAGATACGGTGAGATTTTTACTGGAGATAATTACAGTACAGCTTCTGCTATAGTTGCTGTTGTATTGGGAGCGGTATTCAAACAAATCCTATTGTTGTAACAAATTACCACAACATTGCTGGCTTAAAGCAGCACAGATTTATTATTTTACAGATCTGTAGTGTTTCACAGATCTAAATAAAGATGAGATGTTGGTAAGGCTGCATTTCTTTCTGGAGGCTTCAGGGGACAATTGTTTCCTTTCATTTTCAAGCTTGTAGATGCTGTGCAAGTCCCTGGCTCATGTTCCCCTCCCTCCGTCTTCAAAGCCAGCAACATTGCATTTCTCTAACCACTCTTCCATGTTCAAGGATGGTTTTCTGGAGGGAGTAACCCATGAGTTTTGATCTGAAGGAGAAGTAGGCGTTAGCTAGCCTAAGGAAGGTGGGTAGAAATTGTGGAAATTTCTGGAGTAAACATACAAAGGCCAGAAGCAAAATGAGTAATTTCTAGGATCTGAAAGAGGCTCACTATGACTGTATCGTAACATGCTAGCGGCAGAGTGGTACAATGTAGGCTAGAGGCAGATACAAATGGGCACAAATCATATAGGTCCTTGATGACCCTAGGAGAGGAGTCTGGATTTCATTCTGTACTATGGTAAGCCACTTCAGAGTTTTCAGTAGACCAGTGATTTGATCAGATTTGTACTTTGAAAGCTGGCTCTGACTGCAATGTGGTGGACAGATTGAAGGTAGTGAGGTATGATGGCATCAAGATCTTGGAGAAATCTGCTGTAATTTCAGCTGGAGATTTGCAGGTGGGGCTAAATATGGGTGACACCCATTGGAATGGAAACAAATGGACTGATGCAATGAATCTTTATGCATTTGAAGTGATATACCTTTGTCATTAATCAGATATAGGGGGTTCAACAGAATAATTCAGGGCATTCCAACTTTTAACTTGGTGATATTGGTAGAATTGAGAAACGCAGGAGAAAGAAACATTGTGATGTAAAGAGAATGGGTGTGATTGGTTCTTTAGATGTAGATTTTTCAGTCTATGGATTGGAAGCTTGAGCAAGAAATCTTGGATGAAGACAGTCATTTAAAATTGAAGAAATATGTATGATAATTAACACTCTTCAAATGGGTGAAGTTGTAGGATCAGAAGAGAGATGAACCTAAGATGTTGCCTTGGGGAACCCCATCAGTTTAAGGGAGGTAGAGAAGAAGAATAGTTCACCAAGTAAAAATAAATAATATATGGCAAGAGAGAGGTGGGGGCATGGGGTGAGGGTGAGGAACAAAAAGATATGTTACGATGGAACTTGGAAAGAATATTTCGAGAATGAAAGTGTAGTCAATACTCTGAACTATCATTGAGTGATTAGACCTTAAAGATAAGGAATAAAAGATATTCCAGGGCTTTGGCTTTGTTTCTTGTTTTTGTTGTTGTTTGTTTGTTGCTTGATAACAGTGGTTTCCAGAAATAAGTAGACAGAATCCAGGGTTAAGTGGGTTTAGAAGAGAAATGAAACTGAAGAGATGAAGACTGAGAGATTCAACAATATTTTATGGAAGTTTGAAAAAAGGGAGGTCTTGAACCTGCTAAATGCTAATAGGAAGGAGCCCCTCACTAATTATTGATATATCTCTCAGCCAGTAAATTTTCATGGCTGTGGTGGAAGCTGTGCTTTTCAAACTTATTCTAGTGTCCTAATGGTAGAGGCAAGTGAATATCTTCTATCAGAAGTGTAGCTGAATCTACTACCAGCTCAACTTCAGGTCCTGCAGAAATTCTTTTTTTTTTTCTTTTTTGAGACAGCATCTTGCTCTGTCGCCCAGACTAGAGTGCAGTGATGCGATCTTAGCTCACTGCAACCTCCACCTCCTCAGTTCAAGTGATTCTCCTACCTCTGCCTCCTGAGTAGCTGGGATTACAGGCACGTGCCACCACACCTGACTAATTTTTGTATTTTTAGCAGAGATGGGGTTTCACTATGTTGGCCAGTCTGGTCTCGAACTCCTGATCTCAAGTAATCCTCCCCCAGTGGCCTCCCAAAGTGCTGGGATTACAGATGTGAGCCACCATGCCCAGCTTAGAAATTCTTATTTATTGCAAACATAAGCATCATGGCAGACCATAGAGCCAATCATCCCATCAGCAACTCTAGAATTGTATGTAATGCAAACCATGTGGCAATGAGAAAGTAGCCCATGCATCAGCTTGTATCAGGCATTTCAGAAAAGCCATAAACACAAAAAATAGACCAATAAAACTGCCTATATATTTTATAACCAGCCATGACTCTAGCTAATGACTCATTAATGAGAAAACAAAAGGTGGAATTATTAGATCTAGGAAAATTTTTAGTAATCCAGAGGAATTGTGTTAACAGCAAAGTTGAATCAAGTTACAGGCTGATTTAGAATCCACTAAACATGATTACCAAGTGTTTACAGCTGTGAAAAATGACACTGCATTGTCTTACTCAGAGATAGGACCAAAACTAACAGGTCCATCAAAGTGAATTGGTAAGGTAAAGTCATATTTCAGAATACTTAAGTTAGAAGAATCTCTCAAAATGAAAGAGCTTTTTCTCTGATTAAATTATCCAGTATGACTTGATCATTTATTTCAATTTATTGTTTGTATAAATGTTTGGGAGCTGCCTGATGGCAGAGACCAAAATGAGTTTAACTTTGTCCATCACATTGCAAGAGACCTCTACTAAGAAGAGAGGGAGTTAACCACTTAGATGCTTTCATTGGTTCCCTGGCGATCGTTAGTCAAGGAGAATGGGGACAGGGTTATCAGTATGTTTTTTCCAGCAAACTTACAGAGAAAATGTTAAATAAATTAACTGGAATTCTCTAGCTGTAGCAAACATCTTCTAAATATTTTATGCCACTCTCAAACATTAAACCATTTTCTACTTTTTTCAAATTAACTTGAATTTCACAGTTGTTCTGGGAGTTGTTTCCGTTGTCTCAGGATTTACTTTCATGACAAAAGAGTGAAGAAAACAAAGGCTTTATTTTATTTAATATTCTAAAAGATTACAAATACAAAAGTGTGAGTGACTTTTAACAAAACAGCAGATAAGCATTTAATATCTTAATGTCTCTTGTTGGAACAGGGAAAAGCAGAAAGAAGGAGAAATGCCAGGATTCTGACCTTTACCCTCTAGTGGAGACAGAACTATGTCCTTGTGATGAATTTATATCCCAACCTTATGGAAACTGGTCAGATTGCATTCTTCCAGAAGGCAGAAGGGAGCCTCACCGAGGACTGCGGGTACAAGCAGACAGCAAAGAATGTGGAGAAGGCCTGCGCTTTCGAGCAGTAGCCTGTTCTGATAAAAATGGAAGACCTGTTGACCCCTCCTTCTGCAGCAGCTCTGGTAAGGAGATGGATGGAGAGTAACAGATGAGAACACTCACACACAGCTCGGGAGGTTTGTCTCAGGTCTAGAATTAATAGCTCTGCTCTATAATAATTGTTTTAATTTTCCTTTGTCAATAACACATTGTCTCTCATAAAATATGGACAGATGAAATGCATACATCTGTATCTCAATGATTATCTGGAATGTGATGGTGCTGGATCCCTGACTCACTTCATTCTCTAATTCACCTTTGTTTATTAGCCGCCTGTTTACTGGTGGTCAGCACTGCTGCTCCACTTCACTGAGAAAGCCAAAGCCAAATACAAACAAATATGTTCCATGCTGTTTTTTCATGCTCTGACCATATACATAGAAGGCATCAGAACTTGAGTGTCTTCTAATGTAGTTGAGAAAAAAAAAAATCAATGAAAAAGTTGATTTTAAAAGTTTTACCGTATAAAGGCCAGGCGCGGTGGCTCACGCCTGTAATCCCAGCACTTTGAGAGGCCGAGGCAGGCGGATCACCTGAGGTCAGGAGTTTAAGACCAGCCTGACCAACATGGAGAAACCCTGTCTCTACTGAAAATACAAAATTAGCCGGGCGTGGTGGCGCATGCCTGTAATCCCAGCTACTCGGGAGGCTGCGGCAGAATTGCTTGAACCCGGGGGGCAGAGGTTGCAGTGAGCCCAGACTGTGCCATTACACTCTTTCCTGGGCAACGAGAGCAAAACTCTGTCTCAAAAAAAAAAAAACAAAAAAAAACAAAAAACAGTTTTACTATATAAAGTATAAGTATACCCAAGTTAATAGAATAAAACTATAGGAAAAAAACAAGAGACAATCTCAGAGAGTTTTGTCAGATGTTAATCTGGGAAAATACTGTTTTTGAACCTTAATTGGGAGAATTTGAAAGATCTGGGTGTATGGAAAAAGAAATGGAGGTTAAATACAGCTGGGGTGAAAATTGGTGAAACAGGCTGAAACCAATCATTACAATGGAGCCTCTGAATTTCCTGCTCTGTTTTTCTTTCTTTCTTTTTTTTTTTTTACTAGTTTTTTAAAAAGAATAAACAAGTCTAGAAACAAATGGGTAGATTTTGGTCTTAGTCATCAAGGTTTTG
Source organism: Homo sapiens (assembly GCF_000001405.40). NCBI lineage: Eukaryota > Metazoa > Chordata > Mammalia > Primates > Hominidae > Homo > Homo sapiens. Next base: position 137,412,980 of record NC_000002.12, read on the forward strand.
TGTACTAATAAACGTTCTCAGTAATACCAGAAAATCAAATTCAATTATAATGTACAAGCTAAGTAAATGATAGTTCTTCTTTATTGCCAGTGTACTAGCTATCTTTATTTAAGATATACCCATATCATTATACAATGAGATTTAATGACTTTTAAATTAATACTCTCATTGCTTTATATAGGCTTCCTAGATTAGTCTACATTAATTTTTTAAGTGATTTGACTTTCAGAAACATTAAATACATCACAAGAAAGTAATGGACCCATTTTAAGGTGATGCTAATCTTTGTTTTTTAGCTTGTATGTGCGCATTGGTTTATTCATTCATTTGAACAAAACGTTTTTATTGACCATCTGCTATGTACCTGGACATCTATGACTTGAGTGTACAGTTAAGGAGAAGTCAGAAACTTGTGGAGTTTACTGTCCAGAGGGGGATAGAAATAGAACAAATACATAAAAAGAATTTCAAGTTTTGATTAGCTCTGAGGATGCTGAATAGAAAATTTTTCGATAGACTTTAGGGAAGCCTTCACTGAAGTGACATAAATCTAAGATGTGAAAGGTAAGAAGGAGGCAGATGTACAAAGCACATAACAAGGTTGTTTTAGTTAGTGGGGTGTCCAGAAGATAAAAGCTAGGAAAGGTGTTTTGGATAAAACGAAAACCCTGTGGTTTGAGTGTAGAGAGTGAGGAGAGAGCTGTGTGAAGTGAAGTTGAAGAAGTATGTGGAATCTTGTGAGACAAGCCAAGGAATATGAATATAATTTAACGGCAGTCATCAGCTTGGAAGTGGGGTAAGTAATGTTATCCAATTTAGAGATTTTAAAGATCACTTTTGACTACTGTCTACAGACTGACTTAAAAGGGGGAAGGAAGCTGCTGGGAAACTCATGTAGTTAATCAAGGAAAGACATGATGGTAGGTTAGACTAGGGTGGTGGCAATAAAGAAATACAGAAGTAATTTTAAGATGTAATTTAGAGATAGAATTGACAAGATTATTCCAAATGCAAGTCGTCTTTTCTATATGTTATCTGTCATTCATCCGTAATTTTGCATGAATTTGTGGAGGGTTTTTTAATTTAGAAAATAATCATTTCAGGTTAGAAATGAAAACATCTTGAAACAAGAGGAGACATTTGTAATTCAACCAATTTGCAATGCCATAGCAAAAGCTATTAGGGAATCTAAGAGACTTTCACCAGATGAAAATCATGCTTTAATCAAAATTTACTGTAGCCTCATAACTTTTATGGTACTTGTATTAAGCTACTTTCACAGTATGTATTTTCAAAAAAAGGTTTTTTAAAAAAAATAGCGAGTGAAAATACCTTATTGTGTCACTTCTAGGGATATGACATATACTTGTCTATCAAAGAAAAAAAAATCTTTTAATGGTTACTAATAAAGACTTAGTGTGTGTGTGTGTATATATATATATCCATCCATGAATTGGGGTATGGCACTGTGGCTCATGCCTGTAATCCCAGCACTTTGGGAGGCATAGGTGGGAGGATCGCTTGAGCCCAAGAGTTTGAGACAAGCCTGGTCAACATAGGGAGGACTTGCCTCTAGAAAAAATAAAAAATTAGCCAGGCATGGTAGCATGCATCTGTGGTCCCAACTATTTGGGAGACTGAGGTGGCAGGATCACTTGAGTTTGTGGGAGGTCAAGGCTTCAGTGAGCCATGATTGTGTCACTGCACTCCAGCCTGTGTGAAAGAATGAGACCCTGCCTCTAAGTATATGTATATATGTATATGAATTAGCTCACTATTAAGAATTATATTATAGGTTAGGTGCAGTGGCTCATGCCTGTAATCCTAGCACTTTGGGAGGCCAAGGCAGGTGGATCACTTGAGGCCATGACTTCAAGACCAGCCTGGCCAACATGGCAAAACCCCATCTCTACTAAAAATACAAAAATTAGCCAGGTGTGGTGGCAGGTGCCTGTAATCCCAGCTACTTGGGAGGCTGAGGTGGGAGAATCACTTGAACTTCGTAGGCGGAAATTGCAGTGAGCCAACATCGTGCCACTGCACTCTAGCCTAGGTGACAGAGCAAGACCCTGTCTCAAAAAAAAAAAAAAAATTATTATCATGGGCAAACTGAGACACAGGATAATGACCTAAATCTGGATCTCCCAATAAGAATGGTAAGTGCTTCCCCCTTTTAAATCTTTACTTGGACTTTGTCTCCCATTTGCATTTTAGACATGAGCAGGATTCCCTACAATGACATCAGGGAGACTTCTTCATGAGGATAATTATTCCTCATCAAGCATAATGTGTTCTATATGGCCCCTATTGGATACACATAACTGTGGGAACACAACTCCATAAATTCTGAGTTATCCATACTAATGGATTCCATGGATAACTCAAACCATTGATAATCACAGCCCAGTCTGCTTGGCTTTCGGAGTATCACAATGAGGAGAAATATTAAAATCACAATTTATTTTTTAAAAAACTTTAAAATGGAGTTTGTCTCTAAGTTCTGTCAGCCCCTATTGGCTCTTAATGAGTTCCATCACTGCCTGATGCAAAAGTGCATGGTGTCGTCTCCATCTGTGTGACAACAGGTCCAATGAAGGGACTACCTAAATTGGGCAACAAAATATCCCGTGACAAAATTCAGATTCTTGAGGTGAGCCACTTCCAACCATGTTTCTTATATCAGTGTTTTTTTTTTTTTTTTTTTTTTTTTCAAAGAACAGGACAAAAAAGTACTCTAGCATGCCAATACACTGAGCTTTATCTCTCCCTGGCCCTGCCTTCATCTCTCCTTTCATTCAGGTCTCTGCTGAATATCCCCTCATATCAAGTCTTTCTGATTCCTCTAATAATTGATCCACCTCATCACTTCCTATTTCCCTTGCCAGTCTTTATGTTTTTTCATAGCACTTAATCACCAACTGACACATTATATATTTACTTTTTAGAAATGAGTGCTTATTGTCTCTCCCTGCAGTCGATTATAAAGTTCCAGGAGAGTGGAAACTTATTAAAAATGTCTTTTATTTATTTTCAACTGCTGTATCCACAACACCTACAGTGTCAGAAATTTCATAGACATTCAAAACATGTTTTTGAAAACATGACTGAATCATCGGGTTGTGGTAATTTTGTCTCCAAAGTATGTCTTGTCTTTTCCTTTCCTTTTTCTATCTTCTGCACATGCTGATGTTATGCTGTTCTGTCTTGACTTATCCACCTGATATCTGTCATGCCAGGAGCCATCAGCCATCATACTGACACGAAAATGTGTCCAAGCCATGGGCCTGCTTGCAGTCTTTCCTGGTCTCTTTATGTAGCAGCTCCTCAGCTGGACCCTCGAGGACTTCCATGAGGATGTACTTCACCTGGCATGCCCTTTTTCCTCCTGTCATGGGACTCTTCATCCTCTGGGTTAAGATCAGGTGCTACCCATTGCAGGAAGTATTTTCCTTTCTTCCGCTCTTGTGTTTTTTTGTAACACTACATTTAACTTTATTTAAAACATCCATGTAGATCTCTATTTCTCTTACTAAATTGAGAGTTCATTGAAATTCATGATTGTATCATGTTTATTTCTCCATCCCCAATACCTATCACAGGCTCTGGCCCCACACAGGCTCTCAGTATCTGTTGGCTGAATGAATGGAAAGGATAGTTTAGATAAGAGTCAACACACATATGCCCATATACAGGTTCTGAAGTGTGCGTGCAGTGTATGCACATGTTTTAACAGCCCCTTGGGTAGAACAGCTGTGTATAACAAAAGCAGATCCATAGAGAAGCCACCTGTGTAACACAAAGAGCACAGAAAACCTTGTTCTATTTTGCCCTCGATGTATAGTTTGGGAATAGAGGAAATGAAATTACATTGCTGCTAGTGGATAAGCAATGTTTTTGAAACAATGGAAGAATGCAGAAGGAATGATTTTTTCAAGTGATCCAGTGACAAAAATGTGAATAAGCTTTCATTCATCAAATTATGAAATGAAAATATAATGTTTTCTATCTGATTCCAGATAAATCATAATTGATTTGTAGGCAATGAATTATTTTCATTAGTATATCATCCACATGTAATTTAGCATTTGCAATTTAACACTTATAATTTCATTAATTTACTGTAATATATAAGTAGGTATAGATAGAACACAAAGCAAAATAATCATCATAATCTAAAGAATCTCTTTTTGGATTTAAGAAATAAATATTTACATGTTTGCAATCACTGGAAAAGTGAATTTAATATTAATGTATTTAGAAAGTTTAGATTTGCTGTGTATGTATTGAATTTTAAATAATTGAAATATTTCTCTTACAACTCTATATGAACAAGTTTATTTTGGTTGAGCTGGGAGAACATGCTTGGGACTGAAAATTACATCTTTATTAATCAAGGTGATTAAAAGAGCTTTTTTTTTCTAATTCCAGGTCTAGGTTCAAAATTAACCATTTTATTTTATTTTATTTTACTTTATTTTTGAGACAAAGTTTCCTCTGTAGCCTAGGCTAGATTACAGTAGCATGATTATAGCTCACTGCAACTTCAGAGTCCTGGGCTCAAGTGATCCTCCCGCCTCAGCCTCCTGAGTATCTAGGACTACTGGCTAATTTTTTATTTTTATTTTTTATTTTTTGTAGAGTTGAGGTCTCCCTATGTTGCTCACGCTGGTCTCAAACTCTTGGGCTCAAGCGATCCTCCCACCAAGGCCTCTCAAACTGCTGGAATTACAGGCATGAGCCACTGCAACTGACCTAAGACAGCATTTTATATATACAGTGTCCTGGCAAAGATTTGTGGATATCAAAGACAGGACACATGTATTAACCTATTGTGAACAGTCTTCATAAGTCCAGTTCATGGAAGGGACTGAATAATTATATTATATCCTCTCTCCCAGAAAGAAATAGAAACTTTTTAGTTATATGAAATTCTTGCCAAATGACTCATTGCCTAAATCCTTTACACCTTTATGTTTATTTACCAAGACATTGAAAGGCTCTTCAATTCACCACTTGGGGAAGAATAATAGTGTCTGGGCTAAGGAGATTTGCATTGACAAGATAAAGAATATGTTTCTATGTTTTCGTGTTGTGATTTTGCCTCTTTTGCTACTTTTGTTTGTTTTAACATGACCATAGATATAAACTTCATATAATATTGCTGTGTTAGAGCTGTTTCTCTCTTCTATCCACTTTTCTCCAGCCCTGTTGCTCTGCCTTAGTTCAGGCTACTTTATGTTTATTGTAGATTCACTGCAGTGGTGGCCCATCCACTGTCCTCACTCAGTCCTTCTTCTGGCCAGCCTCTCTCCCATTTCAAGGACAGGAATCTTTCCAAAAGGCAAATCTGATTATCACTCCCGTAGATTTTAAAACCTCAAATGGCAACCCATTGCCCAGACCCCTTAGAATGGGATACAAGCCCTTCATGATTTTACCCTCCTTTTTTTAATCATTATAAAAGATTTACATATTTTCTGCATACAACTGATAATTTGAAACACTCATATAATCATATCAGGTTAAGTAGAACATTCATCACCTTAAATATCTTTTCTTTATGCTGGAAACATTCAAATTACTCTTCTAGATATTTTGAAATGTACAATAGGTTAATGTTAACTAGAGTCACTCTACTGATCTATTGAAAACCAGATTTTATTTTTTCCTAAGTATATATTTGTACCCGTTAATCAACCTCTCTTCATCCCTCCTATTTTTTCTAGGCTCTGGTAATCACCAATCTACTCTCTATTTTTATGACATCTCCTTTTATAGCTCCCACATATAAGTGAGGACATGTGATATTTGTCCTTCTATGCTTGGCTAATTTCACTCAACATAATGACCTCCAGTTCAATCAATGTTGCTGCAAATGACAGGAGTTCATTCTGTATAGTGGCTGAATAATATTCCATTGTGTATATGTCTCACTTTTTTTTTTTTAAGATGGAGTCTAGCTCTGTCACCCAGGCTGGAGTGCAGGGGTGCAATCTGGGCTCACTGCAACCACTGTCTCCTGGGTTCAAGTGATTATCATGCCTCAGCCTTCCAAGTAGCTGGGATTAGAAGCACCTGCCACCACACCTAGCTAATTTTTATATTTTTACTGGAGATGGGTTTTCACCATGTTGCCCTGGCTGGTCTTGAACTCCTGACCTCAGGTGATTCACCCCTGTTGGCTTCCCAAAGTGCTGGGTTTATAGGCATGAACCACCATGCCCAGCTATACCACATTTTTGATGCAGGATTTTTCTTGGCCCCTTTGCCAGCTTTGCTGCAGGAGATACCCCATCTACTCAGTCTGCCAGGCTGTGCCTGGCTTGTACTCTGGTGCTTATCCTGTAGCCACTGCAATTGAGCTCTCAGCCCCCACTTTTGGTGGGTCCTGAGTTCTTGTCCCACATCAAAGAAGAATGAGGATACACTGATAATCGAAGAGTGAAAAGGACAGAGAATAATGTTACTGAGTGATGAAATAGCTCTCTGCAGAGATGGGATGCCAAGGTGCCCCCCACCTGAAGTCAGGTCATCTCTCCCTCAGTGTGGCTGGGTCCAGGGCTTTTATGTGTTCAGAATGGGGCGTGTGTACTGATTGGTTTGAGTATGCAAAAAGAGGCTAAAACAAAGGCACCACTCAAAGGTGGGCACAACAGTGTAGAAAACCAATTAGGAAAGGGTAGGTATATGTAAAATAGGTGAAGGGTGGGGATCGATCGGTGGAAAGCACAGCACACAGTCAGAGAGGTTCTCAATCTGGTCCGAGAATTTACCCAGGACTGTCTTCAGCTTGAAGGTCAGATTTCACTGGGGACCTGTCCCTGTCTGCCTAGGATTTGTCTGCCTCCTGTCATTATCATTTGCTTTATACATTCATCCACTGATGAACACTTAGACTGATTCCATATTTTGGCTATTGAAAATAGTGGGAGTATAGATACCCCTTTGCTATATTGACTTTATGTCTCTTGAATATATACTCAGTACTGGAATTGCTGGATAATATGGTAGTTCTATTTTTAGTTTTTTAAGGAAACTCCATACTGTTATTCATAATGATTATACTAATTTACATTCCCACTAACAGTGTACGAGGGTTCCCCTTTCTCCATATCCTCAGCAGCATCTGTTATTCCCTGTCTTTTAGATAAAAGCCATTTTTACTGGAGTGAGATGATATCTACCGTGGTTTTGATTTTAACCTTGTTTAATGCCTGAAGCCTCATATTTCATCCACCCCACTCTGAACTCCAGCAGTCCTGGGTTCTAGAATATCTCAATATATACCATTTGCTGGCAGGGGTCTTTTGCCTTCTGTACCTATCTACTTTCCTCCTGCTGTGACTTTAATTTAATTTAATTTGCAACTTAATTCTCTAGTTGATTCCTAATAACCTTTCTGAACTTGTATTAGAAATGTCACCCTTTTTGAAAAACCACAGACAGTCTTGCCCGGCAGCCCTTTCCTGACTCCCCAACCCCTAGAACCCACTAGGAGAGGAGCTTGCCGCTTAATGTTTGTTAGCAAGATATACATTCTCGGTCCTATACTTCTCCTATTTTACCTATCTTATTGCTAATCCATGCTGCCACAGAGGGCTGTGTGCCCCCTGAGAGATGGACCATGAACACTTCATCACTCTATCATCACAAACAGCTGGCAGAGTGTCAGCAAATCACACATACTCAATAATGGCTCACAAAACACAGATTGTAAATTATGCTTATGAATAACTAATTTTAATTCACATATGTGAATTCATTCCCTATGACTACTTTATCAAAACTACAAACTTGGTGGCATAAAACAATGCAGTTATTCTCTCACAGTTCTGAAGGTAAGTAAGAAGTTCAAAATCTGTTTCACTAGGTCAAAGTCAAGGTGTAGTCAGGGCCATGCTCACTCCAAAGGCTTTGGAAGAAAGCTTTTCCTGGCCTTTTCCCCTTTCTAGAGTTGCATTCCTTGCATTCCTTGGCTCATGGCCTCTTCCTGTGTCTTTAAATCCGGTGGCATAGCATCTGGCTTCAGTATCACATTGGATTCTTCTTCTGCAGCAAACCTTTTGACTCCTTATAAAAACACTTACGACTACCTGACCTGTGTGGACAATTTAGGATAACCTTTCTGTGCAGGGAAAAACACGCTGACTGTGTTTTTCCTCTGCCCACACACCAACACAACACCAATCATCAACACAGAAAAATACTTCTGTGACCAAATGTATGGGAGTTTTTCCCCCACACACCCAGCAGCAGATACCAGTTGGTTGTCCTCCAATTCAATTCTAATACTGTCTATCTGGAGATAATATCAGATCCCACAGGTTGGCAGCTCAGAACCTAAAACTGCCTCCCATACCTCCAGGCACCAGTTGCAACTCTGGGCCTCTGAAAATTCTGACCAACTGGCTTCAAGTTGGGGTTCCCACGACTCCCACTTTGGGTTTGATTAATTTGCTGGAGTAGTTCACAGAACTAAGGGAAATAGTTACTTACATTTATTGGCTTATTCTAAAGGATACAGATGAAGAGACAAGAGGGGCATGGGGGTAGGGGGACAGAACTTCCATGCTCTCCCTGGGCACACCACCCTCCCCGAATTTCCATGTGTTCAGCTATCTGGAAGCTCCCTGAACCTGGTCCTCTTGAGTTTTTATGGAAGTTTCATGAAGTCAGCATTCCTTCCACAGGATATAGGGCAGGACCCTCTCTGGGGAGGGTCTTAACACCCACAATCATAAATTTTGGAGAAGATTAGAGTCCTGCCTTGGAGCAGGTGAAAGGAGGGTAGGAGAAGGTTGGAGAGATTCTGTTTCCTGAGGCCTAACACACCCAACATTGTAACAAAAGATTGTATCAAGGACTATGGGAGTTATAAGCCAGGAAACCTGGATGAACACCAATATAAATCGTAACACCACACTTACCATCTCAATATCACATCTGCAAAATCTGTTTTACCTTATTAGGTAGCATTTGCACATTCCAAGGAATAAAACCTGAAAATCTTTGGGCTGTTTTTCACCATACCAGAATATGTTAAGAGGGCAGTCATGTTTTTGAAACTAAACTCCTGAAAGAAGTGCAAGTGAAAAACAATTTGAAACTTTGCTCAACGGTTTGAAGCATTCGCAGAGTGTTATTTTCTTATTTTCCTTGTGTGTAATATCTACACAGGGGACTTTATGTGAATTATATTGAATTGAATTATCTGGAAAACTATTGGGCAAAATATTGTCAGCAAAAATGTTACAATGAAGAAAGCAAATATGGGATTTGAGTATTTCCTTGAACAACATTATATAAAATTAGTATTTCCTTTTACTTTTGTTTTGTTTGTTTTTGCAGGGTATTGGGCATCCCCTTGTCTCCAGGTCACATATTTGCTATATCTTGTTCATTTAATATGTTGTATTTTCTAATTCCAACCTATTTAGCAGTTGCTGGAGACAAGGGCTTACTGATGAATTCTCATTTGAAGAGAAAATTCAGCTACTGACAATGTTTGAGGAGCTCATGTTGTCCAAGAAGTCATCTGGAAAGATCCATTGGGAATAGCGGTTCATTTGCTTATGGATTCATTTATACTTTTAAAAAAATCAATGGAACATCTAGTTTTCATCAGGCATTTTCCTATATATCAGTTTATAAAGATTAACAAGTCATATGCTCTAAACATATTCATAGTCTAATAAAAGACTGTATTAGGGACTTCTAAATTTAGGAATATCTCCTCTCTCTGAGTCAGACCATACTTTAATTTTTTTTAATTACACTGAAGGAAAAATTTCAGGACCTCAACCAGTCAAATGGTTTAATATACTCTATATTTCTAAATCCAGAATTATGCCCAAATATGGAATCAAGATTTCTTTATTGATGATTGAAAATGGACAATGAGAGAAGACATGTCTAGGGCCTTATAGCCTGGTCTGTATGGATTTGATAGGAAAACCTTTCTAGAGAAGGCATTGTATGTTTTGACCCTTCTCAGAGAATAAATTGTGGACCCATGATGAAATCCACGTACAACTTTCTTCGTACCTATTTGGAATAAAATGGGATATATTTTACCCTAAATAAGAAAGTAAACAGAACTTCTAAACAAATGGTTTTTAATTAATAAATTAATATTTATTACTCATTTTTTCTTCAAAAACAAAAGCAAGTAGGTATCTTATGAAAGGCTACAAAGTAACTTTCTCTACCTTGATTAAAGAAAAAATAGTTCAATCTTCCTGAGATCAGGGAAAAAACAAGAATGTCTATTCTCAAATTCTATTCAGCACCATGCTGGAGGTTTTAGCCATGGCAATTAGGCAATAAAAATAAATAAAAGGTATCTATATTGAAAATCCAGGAGTTAAACTACATCTATTGGCAGATAAAATAAACTTATAAATAGAAAATACTAAGAACCACCCTCAGAAAGAAGCTATTAAAGCTAAAGAATTTAGCAGGTTTGCAGAGTATAAGATCAATGGTCGCAAAGCAGTTGTAGGTCTATACACTAACAATGAACAATCAGAAAATGAAATTAAGAAAATAATTTCATTTATAATAGCATCAAAAAGACTGAAAGACTTAAGAATCTATTTAACGAAAGAAACTTATTATACTCTGAAAACTTTATTTATTATACGCTATAAAACATTGTTGGGGAAGATTAAAGAAGACCTAAATTAATGGAAAGATGTGCTATGTTAATGGATGATAATTCTTAATATTGTTAAGAATTGTTATCTTAAAATACCAGTGGTCCTCAAATTAATCTATTTAGTTCAGATTATATTAAAAGCTTAGCTAGCTTTTTTGAATAAATTGAGAAACTGATCCTGAAATTCATATGGAAATGTGAGAGATCAAGAATAGTCAAACAGTCTTGAAAAGGTGGAACAAAGTTGAAAGAGATACACTCTCTAATTTCAAAACTTACTACAAAGTTACAGTTATCAAGACACTGTGGTACTGGCATAAGGAGAAACATATAGATTAATGAAACAGAATTGGCATTTCATAAATAAACCCTTACATTTATGCTCAATTGATTTTCAACAAGGGTACTATGACTGTTCAATGAAGAAAGAATAATCTCTTTAACAAATGGTGCTGGAACAACTGAATGTCTATATGCCAATGAATGTAGCTTGACTCTTTCCTTATACCATGACAAAAATTAACAAAATGAATCATAGACCTAAATGTAATAGCTAAAATTATAAAAAAATTATAAAAAAACTTAAAAGCATATCTTCTAGACTTGGACTAGGCAGAGACTTCTTAGATACTACACCACCCAAAGCACTAGAAACAAAAGAAAAAATTAATTGTCGTTCATCAAAATTAAAAATGTAAGTGCTGTAAAAAATACCATTAAGAATATATAACTAAAGAGGCTAGCATGATCCTTATACCAAAGCCAGAAAAGGACGAAAAGGACACTATGAGAAAAGAAAATTATAGGCCAATAGCCCTGATAAATGTAGATGCAATAATCCTCAACAAAATTTTAGCAAACCAAATTCAATAGCACATTAAAAGGATCATATACAAAGATTAAGTGAGATTTATTCCTGGGATGCAAAGATGTTTCAAAATACAAAAGTCAACAAATGTAATACATCACATTAACAGAATGAAGGACCCAAATCATATGATCATCTCAATAGATAAAGAAAAAATATTTGATAAAATTCAACATCCTTCATAATAAAAACTCTCAATAAATTGCATAGAGTTGGCTCTCCATATTTAAAGGTTCTGCATTAGTGGACTTAACTCACCACAGATAAAAAATATTTTAAAAAATAGGCCGGGCACAGTGGTTCACGCCTGTAATCCCAGCACTTTGGGAGGCCGAGGGAGGCAGATCACAAAGTCGGCAGATCGAGACCATCCTGGCTAAGACGGTGAAACCTCGTCTCTACTAAAAATACAAAAAAATTAGCTGGGCATGGTGGCAGTCACCTGTAGTCCCAGCTACTTGGGAGGCTGAGGCAGGAGAATGGCGTGAACCCGGGAGGCGGAGCTTACAGTGAGCGGAGATCGCGCCACTGCACTCCAGCCTGGGCGACAGAGCAAGACTCTGTCTCAAAAATAATAATAATAATAATAATAATGATAATAATAATAATACAATAAAAATAGTCAAATAGAAACCATATTCTATAACTGTTTACATAGCATTTACATTATAGTAGGTATTAAGAGTAATCTAGAGATGATTTATTTATTTTTATTTTTTATTTTTTCTTTGAGACGGAGTCTTGCTCTGTTGCTGGGCCTGGAGTGCAGTGGTGCAGTCTCCAATCACTCCAACCTCCACCTCGCAGGTTCAAGTGATTCTCCTGCCTCAGCCTCCTGAGTAGCTGGGATTACAGGCATGCACCACCACGCCCAGCTAATTTTTGTAATTTTAGTAGAGGTGGGGTTTCACCATGTTGGCCAGGCTGGTCTCAAACTCCTGACCTCAGGTGATCCGCCCACCTCAGCCTCCCAAAGTGTTGGGATTACAGGCGTGAGCCCCTGTGCCTGGCCCTAGAGATGATTTAAAATATATGGAAGGATATATGTAGGTTACATGCAAATGCTATTGCATTTATATCAGGTACTTGAGTACCTGCAGGTTTTGGTATACACAAGGATGATGGAACCAATCCCCTGTAGAATACCCTGTGGATTCCGAGGGTTGATTGTATTTAAAAAAGTCAACACAATAAAGGCAATATATCACAAGCCCACAGCTAACATTGTCCTCAATGGTAAAAAGTTGAAAGCTTTTTCTCTGTGATCAACAGCCAGACAAGAATGCTTATTCTTGCCACTTCTACTTAACATAGTACTAGAAATCCTAGCTAGAGCAATGATGCAAGCAAATAAGTTAAAGGCATCAAAAACAGAAAGAAAGAGAAAGACTGACCCTGTTTGCAGATGGCTTGATCTCATAGTATATCCTAAATACTCCACCAAAGAACTGATAGAACTAATAAATGAATTCAGTAAATTTGCAGGAAACAAAATCAACATACAAAAATCAGTGGCGTTTTTATATACTAAAACCAAACTGTCCAATAAAGAGATTAAGAATACAATCCCATTTACAATAGCATTTTAAGAATAAAATACTTAGGAATAAAATTAAGGAAGTGGAAGATCTGTAAGCTGAAAACTATAAAACATCAATGAAACAACTTGAAAATGACATAATAAATGGAAAGATATCCTGTTTGTTCATAGATCAAAGTAATAAATATTGTCAAAATGTTTATACTATTCAAAATCATCTACAGACTCAATGCAACCCTTATCAAAACCTCAATGGCACTTTTCACAAAAATAGAAAAAAAAAATCCTACAATTCATATGGAACCACAAAAGACCTTGAATAGGTAAAGTAATATTGAACAAGAAGAACAAAGCTGGAGGCACCACACTTCCTGAGTTAAAATTATCTTACAAAGCTATAGTCATCATTAGCAGTATGGTACAGGCATAAAAACAGACACATAAATCAATGGAACAGAATATAAAGCTCAGAAATAAATGTTGCGCTAGTAATCTTTGACAAAGTTACCAAGAATACACAATGGGGAAAAGAGAGTCTCTTTGATAAATGGTATTGGATAAACTAGATATCATGAAATTGAATCCTTATCTTACATCATGCACAAACTCAAAATAGTTTAAAGATTTGAATGTAAGACTTGAAGCAATAAAACTACTCAAAGAAGACATAAGGGAAACATTCATGACATTGGTCTTGACAATGATATTTTGGATATGACGCCAAAAATACCAGCAACAAAAACAAAAATAAGTGACCACATAAACTAAAATTTTCTGCACAAGAAATGAAACCATCAATAAAATGAAGAGGCATCCCATGGAATAGGAAAAAATATTTGGATACCATATATTCAATAAGGGGTTAATACCCAAAATATATTTAAAAACTACTACAACTCAATAGTGAAAAACAAATAGCCCAATTTTAAAAGGGGCAAAGGATCTTAGTAGACATTTTTTTCAAGGAAGACATACAAACAGCCAACAAGGATATGAAAAGTTGCTGAACATCACTCGTTATCAGAGAAATGGAAATCTAAACCACAATAAGATATCACCTTAGACAGTCTTTTATTAAATAGTCAAAAAGTAACAAATGTTGGTGAGATGTAAAGAAAAGAGAACCTTTCTTTATACAAGGCTCTTGGGAATGTAAATTGGCTTAGCCATTATGGAAAACAGTATGGAGTTTCCTTAACAAATTAAATACTGAACTAATATATGATTCAGCAGTCCAACTTTGTGGTATAATTCCCCCTTCCAAAAAAATAAAATAAAATCACTATCTCAAAGAGACGTCTGCACTCCCATGTTCATTGTAGTGTGATTCACAACAGCCAAGATATGAAAACAACTTATGTGTCTGTTGACAGATGAATGGATACAATAAATAAATTATGGTGTGTGGGGTATGTGCTTGTGTGTCTGTGTGTGTGCTTGTGTGTGTGTGTAATGAAATATTATTCAGTCTGAAAAAAAAACCTTGCCATTTGTGGCAATATAGATGAACCTTGACGTTAGGCTAAGTGAATTAAGCCAGACACAGAAAGACAAATACTACATGATCTCGCTTATATGTATAATCTAAAAAAGTCAAATTTATAGAAACAGAGAGTAGACTGGTGGTTACCAAGGGTTGGGTATTAGGGGAATGCTGATCAAAGCGTACAAACTTGCAGTAATGAGATGAATAAGTTCTGTAAAACTAATGTACTTGAATGTACGTCATGGCAATCATAGTTAATAATAGTATATACTTGAAATTCTCTGTGAGAGAAAATCTTAAGGATTCTCACCACACACAAAAACAGGGAACTATGTGAAGTGAAGTATATGTTATTTTGCTTGTTGGAAATCATTTTGTAGTATATGTGGATATATCAAAACATAATGTTGTATACTTTAAGCATATACAATTTTTATTTGTCAATTATATCAGAATAAAACTGAAAAAAATAATGTATAAGGACAACATACAGGATGGGAGAATTATTTGCACGTCATATATCTGATAAGAGACTTGTATGCAGAATATATAAATAATTCTTACAAGACAACAAATAAAAGGTATTTGTCCTTTTATTCTTGATGTATGATCCAAGGATTTAAGTAGGCATTTCTTCAAAGACAATACAAAAATGGCCAGCAAACACATGAAAAGATACTCAACATCATGTCATTAAGGAACTACAGACCAAAGCCCAATGAGATACTAATTCATACCCACTAGAATGGCTGTAATCAAAAAGATGAAAACAGGTGTTGGTGAGGATATGAAGAATTTGGAATTCTCATACATTGCTCGTGAGAATACAAAATGATTCAGCTGCTTTGAAAAATCATCAGTTTCTCACAAAGATAAACATAGAATTACCATATGACCCAACAGAGATGAACAATATATCCAAAAGAAATAAACACACATCCACATAAAAATTTGTACACAAATGTTTAGTAGTGTTACTCTTTACAGCTAGAGAGTGAAAACAACCCAATTTTTTTTCTGCTAACACATGGATAAATAAAATGTATACTTTCTCTATAAAGCAATATTATTTGGCAATTAAAAGAATGATGTACTAATACCAGCTACAACATAGATGAATCTTGACCTCACTATACTAGACATAAGAAACCAGTCACAAAAGACCAAGTAGTATGTGGTTCTATTTACATGAAATATCCAGAATAGGCTAATTTACTTCTATGGTCTGAATGTGTATGTCCTCCAAAATTTATATATTGAAACTTAATTCCCAATATAATAGTACATGAGTAGGACTTTTAGGGGTGATTGAGTTATGAGGACTCCACCTTCATGAGGTGAATTACTTCATGGGAGTAATGCCCTCATAAACAGGCTTGAGGGAACCTGCTTGTCACTTTTTTCCCCTTCTGCTGTGTAAGGAGAAAGCTAAAAGTTACTGTATGAAGGAAAGACCATCACCAGACACCAAGTTTGCCAGCACATTGATCTTGGATTTCCCAGTCTCCAGAACTGTTAGAAATAAATTTCTGTTGTTTACAAATTACCCATTTGAAGGTATTTTGTTATAGCAGCAGGAATGGACTAAGACATTTATGGAGACAGAAATTTGGTTAGTGGTTGCTTAGGACTGGAAGAATGGGGAGAAACTGCCAATGGATATAGGGTCTCTTTTGGGGGTGATTAAAGTATTGTCAAATTGTGGTAATAGTTGTACAGCTCTGTGAATATAATGAAAAACATTGTGCTTTACATTTTAAATTCATGAATTATATGTGAATTATATCTCAGTAAAGCTGTGAAAAATTAAGTCAATTTAAGATCTAATTAGCAAAGAATAACAATTCAAAGGAATAGTTGAATGCAAATATATATATGAACATATCTGTGTATGTATATACACGTATTATTTATGTGTGTGTATATGCACACTATACACACATTCACACACATTTATAAAATATTGGCACTATGAATTTTGATTCATTTGAAGGATTTTCTGGAGAATCACTTATGATAGGAATAGACGTGTAAATTAATTAAATGTAAAACATACCAAAAGAGAAATTTGAATAAAGTATTCTGGTTAGACATTGGGAAATTTTGGTGTGGTTTTAGGTTTTATAAACAGCGTCTCAGAATAGAGGAATATTTAATCTGAGTTTTGAAGAATGAGAGTGCATTGTTGTTTGGCAATATTGACTAGTGCTGTGTGATTAGGGTATATGTAGGTGATAGAAGACTAGGTTAGAAATGTGGATTGGAGTTAAGCTGTTTAGGAACTGTTGTGCTAAAGAAGCTTTGTTATTTGAGTTGGTTTTATTTTTTTCTGAATTTGAGTAAAGTTTCACCTTGTTTTTTAAAGAGATTCATGTCTAACAGAACTCCAGTGTTAACAAAATGATTTTTATGATAAAATTACTTAAGTAGGGCCAGGTGCAGTGGCTCACACATGTAATCACAGCACTTTGGGAAACCTAGGTAGGAGGATCTCTTGAGCCCAGGATTTTGAGACCAGCCTGGGCAACATAAGGAGACCCCATCTCCACAAAAATTTTAAAAAGAAGTTAGCTGGGTGTGGTGGTGCATGTCTGTGGTCCCAGCTACTTGGGAAACTGAGGTGGGAGGACTACTTGAGCCCAGGAATTCAAGGCTACAGTGAGCTGTGATCATATCACTACCCTCTAAGCCTGGGTGGCAGAGCAAGACCCTGACTCAAAAAAATTTATTTTAATTTAAAATATTACTTAAGTGAATATCAATATAAACTAAGCATAACCTTATGCTTACAGGATATAAGCTATATGAACTGAAAGAGACACAACATTTCACATGTTAAATTTTGATATGGACTGTCCTCTGAGAAATAGCTTCAGATGTCTGCAAAACTCAGCTTTAGGCCAGTAATTCTTCACTTTTTACTCTGGTGAAGTAAAAATACATTTACCCAACAATGTTTCTCTAGCATACCCATCAGAAGAGGAATTGCCCAAGGGCTGCCCCATGGATAAAATCTCCTGCCTGAGGGTGGAAGAAACTCAGGGACTCTGGCCCTAACTTACCTTTCTCTCTCTCAGTGATTCTTCAAATCCCCAGCTGTCAAGACATTGCCGCTTTAGAAAGTTGGGGCATTAGCCAGGGCTGTGATAGGATTCCATGTTTATTTCAGAAAGGTAATTCTGACTTCAAGGTTGAGGCTGGATTTGAATAAAATCAAAGGTAGAGAAACCAGCCAGGAGAGAGTGACGTTGGTCCTGGAGAGTGTGAGACAAGTCAGCAACCATAGGGATGGGGAGGGAAGACACTGACCAGAGGTGCGGAAACACAGAGGAATCCAGAATAAGGTAGAAAAGTGAGCTAGGGATGGTTGATGACATTAACACGGGTAAATATCCAGCTGGTGAGAGGAAAACAAAGAACTGGGTTCTGGATGGTTGGAGGACTGAGCAGAACAATTATTAGTGTCGACAAAAAGAGTCAAACTCTATAAAATATTTGAAGAGTTTTATTCTGGGCCAAATAAGAGTGAACGTGGCCCATAACACAGCCCTCAGGAGATTCTGAGAACATGTGCCCAAGGTGGTCAGGGAACAGCTTGGTTTTATCCGTTTTAGAGAGGCATGAGACAACAATCAAATACACTTAAGAAATACATTGGTTTGATCTAGAAAGTGAGACAACTCAAAGCAGGGGGAGGGGGTTTCCAGGCTATAGGTAAATTTAAACATTTTATGGTTGACACTTGGTTCAGTTTGTCTAAAGACCTGGAATTGACAGAAAGGGAATGTTCAGGTTAAGATAAAAGATTGTAGAGACCAGGGTTCTTCTGAAATCTTATAGTGGCTGCCCTTAAAGACAATAGATGACAAATGTTTCCTATTCAGATCTTAGTTCATCCCTTTAGGATTGGGAGGGCCTGGAAGAAAAAGATCTAGCTATGTTAATAGAGATTCTTTATAGATGCAAATTTTCTCCACAAAAGATGGCTTTGCAGGGCCATTTCAAGATATGGCAGAGAAACATGTTTTGGAATAAAATATTTTGATTTTCTTCCTTGACTTGTAATGTTATGCCAGAGTAAGATTGGAAAGTAAATCACAATATAAAGGGTTAAATAAAACATATCTGATGAGAATTTATGGTTTGTAGATTATGACACCCCGGACCCCATAGATAGGATTTTGGGCAAGATAAAAAAAAAGTAGAGCTTAGTCCTCATTCGAGTGGTTATGAAGAAAACACAACTAAAATATTTTATTGAAGTCAGGAGAAAGAAATTTCTGTAATTTTAGATTTGGAATAGATAGAGCTTTTGGAATAGCTTATAGGTGATAAGAATGATGTTGACAACGGGAACAGATAACCTCAGAAAAACTCTAAGAAATATTTTTATTTGAGATGGTTATGGAAGAATCTGCTTAAACCTACTTCCTGACTAAGAGCTTGTTACCACTGCAAAATTCAGCTGAACTACTCTCAAATTGGAAAGATCTTTATATTTAAAGTCTAAAGGTAGCTTCTTCCATTCATTGGTTCAAATTAACTTCATTTAATTAAAAAAAAATTAAAAACTTGTCAGCGGCCAGGCGCGGTGGCTCCTGCCTGTAATCCCAGCACTTTGGGAGGCGGAGGTGGGTGGATCACGAGGTCAGGAGATTGAGACCATCCTGGCCAACGTGGTGAAACCCCGTTTCTACTAAAATCCAAAAAATTAGCTGGGCGTGGCAGTGTCTGCCTGTAATCCCAGCTACTCGGGAGGCTGAGGCAGGGGAATCGCTTGAATTTGGGAGTCGGAGGTTGCAGTCAGCCGAGATCGCGCCACTGCGCTCCAGCCTGCCGACAGAGCGGAACTCTGTCTCAAAAATAAAATAAATAAAAATAAAAAATAAAAATTGTCGGCATAAGAGGATTTCACAAATTTGAAAAAATATATAATGCTTCCTCCACTTATAAATGTTTTACTCTTCAGGCTAAATATCCAGGATTTTTGTTTTCTGACTCATATGACTGTTTCTAGCCCCTTTCGTTCCTGTGCTCATGTTTTCCTAGGATGTTTCCATTTGGCCACTAAACACTTAAATGGCAGTAAAGGGAACATTGTGTCCCAATGTCATTTTCAACCACACATTTCATGTACCATGTGGACTTCCTCTCACTGTTCCCCACGTGTCTTCTGTCCTTCCAGGACTCCATTTCTTTGCCTGTGTTCCTTCCTCAATTTGATGTCTTTTTCTTTTTAAGGTGGACTTCTACTCAATTTTAAGCCCTAACTCAAGTCAGTTTCTTCAAGAAGCCTTTTCCTCAACTTCACCAGTCTGTTTCTATACTCTTACAGAAATTTAGACAGACACTAATGAAGAATATTATTTATATTAGACTTTATCTCTTTGCTTGTCTTTCTCCCTTTCTAGATTGTTAGCGTCTAATTCTTGGCTCATTTACTCATTAACATAGGACATATTTATTTAATACCTTCTAGATGCCAAAACCTCTGCTATACCTTGGCTATATAGTATTAAACAAGACAGATGTGATCTCTTTACAGTCTAGTAGTTGAGGAAGATATTAAGAAAGTATATACACAGAATATGTAATTTCAAATAGCCCTAAGTGCAAAAAGGAGCAGGGCGCTGTAAGATAATAACAAGATGGGGGACATTATTTAAGTTGGGGAATCAGGGAAGACCACTCTAGGGAAGAAAATGTGATCTAAAAAGTGAAGGATAAGTAGTTGTGTAATAGGCAAAGAACACTCTTTTGGACACAAAAGATGCTCAAAAATGTCTCTTGAACCAATAGGAATACAATATTTGCAATATTGTATTTTGTTTTCTTTTTTTTTTTGAGATGGAGTCTTGCTCTGTCACCCAGGCTGGAGTGCAGTGGCGTGATCTCTGCTCTCAACAATCTCCACCTCCTGGGTTTAAGTGATTCTCCTGCCTCAGCCTCCCAAGTAGCTGGGATTACAGGCAGGCACCATCCCTGGCTAATTTTTGTATATTTTGTAGAGACAGGGTTTCTTCATGTTGGCCAGGCTGGTCTCGAACTCCTGACCTCAAGTGATCCACTCTCCTTGGCCTGTGAAAGTGCCGGGATTACAGGCATGAGCCTCCGTGCCCCACCTATTTTTCTACTTTCTCTAGGCCATTTCAATACTGCTTTTGTGCATGTTTTATAAATCACTTCAAACACTGCTCAGTAGATGACATTTACATTAAAATAAATAAAATGTATACTTTATATAATACCTATTGATGCATTTTCACTGTGCAGTTTAAAAAAACTCTTGAAGTCTGTTTTTTAAGAACTGCTATAAAGTTTTGTAACCCCCAATCTGAGTATATATGTTCAGCTGCCCTTTGGGTACCATAATGCAGAACTGCACTTTTACCTGTATTCCTTTTTATATTCTTAGTTGCTCATTATTCCAGCTTGTTAAGGGCTCTAAGTCTTGACTCTGACATCTCATATATTAGCTATAACTCTCAGCTTTATATCATCCCAAAATTTGATAAGCATGCCATCTGTGTCTTTATCCAAGTTGTTAATCAAAATGTTGGACAAAATAAGACCAAGCATTCCCACTCAGCATTTGTTGCAGGGAAGACATCTCTCAGGATGGCACTGATACATTAATCAACATTGTTTGGGTAGCTACAAAAATCCCTCTAGCTCTTTACATTTGTTTATGAGGGTATCAGGAGACTTTTTGTCAAATTTCTTTCTGCATATGCCATCTCCTTTCTTCTCTACAAGTCTAGTAAACCCATCACAAAAGAGATTAGATGCCTCTCTCTGAGTGATCTAAAGGAGCCCATTTGGACACCTGATGCCCATTTCTTCTTTCTTGAAATATTCAGAAGCTCTTTAACAGTATGTTCATAAATTTTTGTCAGAATCAGGCACTAACATAGGTTTGTGTTAACCCCGTATGGCACTGTGCCCTCTGGTTAGGCCCAGACCTCCTGGGCAAAGATAATATTTCAATGGTTTGAAACTGATGCCAAGTTATACAACTTCCAAAAAGACTGGGTCTTTCACGAGCTCATGGCTCCTTTCAGGTAGTGATGCTGTTCAGCACTCAGGCATGACAATGTGGGGATGTAACTGCAGAACAGATTTCCCACACTGAGTCTTTGCTTTACTGTGTCTGTTTTCCACATTTTGTGTATTAATTTACAGATACTTCAGGCTACAGTGATAGTTCCTCAATTTCTACGGTTATTTTCTCCTTATGATGATGTACGTCTCCTCTACTCCTGATTCAAGTCTTGTTCTCAGTTTTGTACTTTTACTTGTTCATTTATTCTCCCTCTCCCTCAAGGTTGCCTTAAAGCCTATAATTATGTCAGCTGCAAACATTTTTTTCTTCCATTAAGATGTACTTAATCGTTTGCCAAGAGGCTCATTATAGTTCATTGCCTAAAAAACTTACGGTAGTCTTCAGTACTATTACATTGAAAATACTTTACTTTTTATGTCCATCTTTCTTTTTCTTTTTTAAAGCCTTCTTCTAGGAAAAAAATATATTAATACCACCTGTATTCACTCCAGCCCCTTCCCCTCATATCTAAGACTATCATGTCCCAGCAGCTACATTCTGGATTTCTCATTAGTTATATTCCTTTCCACTAATATCATTCCATTTAAGTTGCAGTTAATTAACTTCATAAGTTTTGGCATACTTTTTTGGTTATTGGAGCCATGCCTGAGGATGGTTTGGGGAAAGATACAAACTTTTTAAGGGTATGCCATGTGTTAGGCACTCTGCCCAGGACTTTGCTTATGTTATTTCATAACGTCTGTTTATCAGAGTAAAACCTCACACAACCCAGTCTTGATAGAGTTTCATATTGGAAGCAATTAAAATATTTTAAATCTTTTCAGATTCTTGATGTAATACCAAATAGTGCAATGATGAATCACTATGCACAGAGATCTTAAAGATACTGTTTTCTCCATTCCAGCCCCACCCAATGTCCACTGCAGGGCTTTGAGCAGGAGAAAATTAACAGTTATCTTGAAGGTCATTATCATAGTTTTTTCTGTCCTTATATTTGTACACCTCAAGTTGAACTGAAGAACATTTTCATGTCCACGGGCAATGATCTCTGTGGAGTGCCTAATCAAACTGATATACTATTAGTCTACTCTTAATTTCAAACAATGAGAAAACACTGAAGTAGTCTCAGGTATTGGGGCCCAGGGATGGATACACAGGGAGCTAAGGAAGCAAAGAGGAACTCCTGTGTCTCAGGAGGAAATGCACAGTAGCTCCTGGTTCTGCCCTCTGCATGGCTCCTCACTGTAGGATTCTGTTGTTCAGGTGACTCTGTGTCTTTGGGTCTCCGGATTCAGCCTAACTTTCCAGTTCCTTCCATGCTTCTACCACTTTCTCTCCATCTCACATTTAAAATTCCCTAAGAGAATCTGAGTTACTGCATGCTCTCATCTCCAGTCCATGCACATCCTCCTGTTATTTTTAATTCAGTTTCATAATTTCCCCTTTCAGTCTGTATCCCCAATCCTATTAGCTTCCCTCATATTAAATTTATAACCTTCCACTTCACTCTGCATCTGTTTATATTAATGTATATGTATTCCTGATTATACATATAAATAAATATATATAATTATTTAGCTTGTGTTTTAATTTACAGTTATGATATACATATTCATCTTGTTTATTTCTGATAGATAATGGTAACTGACATTTATTGAGCACTTAAAATATGCTATGTCTTTCTCTAAGTGCTCTCTTTATTAACTAATTTATTCTTATATCAATAGTATCAGTTAGATATTATCTTTATTCTTATGTTACAGATAAGGAAATCAAGGAACAGATAGGTTAAAGAATTTGCACGAGAATGCACAGCTGAGAATGTCAGAGCCTGTTTTGTCATACACACAATTTGATTCCAGAGCTTGTTCCCTATTCTGTGTATTAACTGCCTCTGTTCCTGCTGCTGTTTGTAGATTAGTTTTTATTTGGGGAGCAGTGCATGGTATTCCATCTTTTGCATCTATTTAGCATTTTACATTTATTTCCCATTAGTGATCAATTAGCAAGCCTTCATTCAATTCTTGGCCATTCAACTGATACTGTTATGAACAGTCTTACAACAGCCTCTTGTGCCACAGTATGATTACTAGATGGTTAGTAAAATGGTATGAATATAATTTACAAACAAACCGTAAAAACAAGAACAATAACACAAAAAAATTATACCAAAATGTTAATAGTTGGTAGCCTTTGAATGGTGAGAATGTTTTCTTTCTCCAATTCTTTTCTCGTTTTGCCTCCCATTTCTCATATCTCCACATTTAGAATTGTACTGTTGACAAGCCCCCAGATTTTGAGTCTCAGGTGTGAAATCAAAGCCAGAGCCAAATTTCTACCTGTGTGGCTTGTGTATTGTGTCACTTAATTTTGCACACACCTAGGTATAGGTTAGTTTTACCTAATTATTTCCAATAGCAGCAAAATGAATATTTGTGCCCTGAAATACCATAGTTGTTTCTACAGTATCTCAGTTTTCTTGAATAACACTTGAAGATTTTATCTCATCTTTTTTCCCAGATCATCTTTTGAGATACTAGAAAGATGAATGCAAAGTACATTCTAATCCCAGATGAAATAATCCAGCACTTTCCTGGATCAGAGCTATACTTCAAATGTACACAGCCATAGCCTTGGCAGCCCAAGCTCTGATTTGACAGCTTATGAAATCTTATAAAATGAAAATCCTTACTAATGATGTTGTCTCCCACTCCCCCCATGCATTACCATTATTGTCTAAACAGTCAGTATAAGGAGATGGTCTTGCCTGTGCCCTCACTGCTCCAAGTTCATGTCTAAGGGGATGATGATTGTAGAGAAATTCCTATAAAGCTAAGATGATTGTGAAGAACAGGAGGCAAAACAAAGGAAGCTGTCTTCAACATGTCCTGAATTATATCGCCACTTGACAAAATTATTACCAGCTGTTGAGCATTGTGAAGTTACAGAATTTCATGCACCTTTAAAGCAAGAAGAGACATGAAAGCAACAGATTACAGAAGTCCCTATGAGTCATTTCAAAGAGCTTGGACCTTAATATAGGAGCAAAGGAGGGAACACAGGAAGAGGAACCTGATTGGTGAGGGTGGGATGATAAAGATTTCAATGTAACTGTTTTTATTTAAGGTCTTATGATTTCATCCCCATCGATGCCAGCCTTCAGGCTCTGTGTTCAATAGTTTAAATAATTCTGCTTTAATTAGCAGGGAACTGTTGATTTCTGTATACCAAATGTTAATCTTTACCTACTCTGTTTGTTTGACTAGGAAATAGATAAAAATTCACATGAGCACTCTACCCTTTTCTGCATGCCACAGAGGTTTTGGCCTTGAGGAGAAAACATCATTTTGGGGAAGACTTGAGACATTTGATCTTCTTAAATATGGAATTTCTCAAAATGAAACTGTCTTCCCAACTCCCACTTGCATCTCATACACTGAAGATGTTATATTTTCTTTGTTGGAGAATAATACTAGTAGCAGAAATGGCTAACCTCTTGTTCCAGACCATCTGATCTACAGAGCAATTTGAAGTACTTTCAATAATTACCTCCACTTTAGAGATAAGAAAATTGAAGATTGGAGAGGTTCAATGACAGGCACAAGGTAACACCACAAGTAGTAAGTGTCCTGGTTGATTTTGAACTTAGGTCTTTAAATTTCTAAGCCCATGTTGTTATCTACCATGACACTATGCCTTTCTAATAGAAACAGCAAATTTTCACCTACTGAGTGCTCACTGTGTGGTCAATACCGTTTAATGCTCTCATTTGATTCTCATAATAATCTTATGCAATGGGTACTGTTATTAACCCCATTTGATAGCATTTTCTATAAAAGTCTAGATAGTATATATATTCAACTTTGTCAGCTGTACTGTCTCTGTCACTAGTCACCTCTGCTTGTTGCGGTGTGAAAGCAGTCATAGGCAATGCAGAAATAAATGGGTGTGGCTCTGTCCCAACAAAACTGTATTTACAAAAACAGGTGGAGGCTGGGGTTGACCTGCAATAGTCCCTGCGATGGTTGATAACATTGAAGCTTAGAGGATTTAGGCAGCTCACGTTGAGGTGGGATATAAGCCTAGGTCAGCTTGGTGTGTATCTAAGGCTGCACTCTTGTCCATGTGTTACATTCTCTTCTTTATTATAATCTTCACTCCTCTCTCTAGTAGGTTGAATTTTGTCCCCACAAAAGATATGTTGAAGTTCTGTCCCTCAGTACCTGTACCTGTGAACTTATTTGCAAATAGTCTTTGCAGATGTAATTAAGTTAAGGAACTTGAGATGAGATCATCCTCGGTTTGGGGTAGGCTGTAAAACCAATTATTAGCGTCCTTACAAGAGAAAAGAGAAAGATTTGAGACAGAGAAACAAAGGGGAAACAACCATGAGAAGATGAAGGCAAAAATTAGAGGTATGCTGCCAAGCAAGGGCCACCAGGAGCCACCAGAAACTAGGAAAGGCAAGGATTTTCTCCTATAAACTTTAGAGGGAACACAGCCCTGCTGACACCTTAATGTCAGGCTTCTAGAATGCACCAAAATGAATTAAGCATATATTATGAGAGAGCAATGAAAGAATAATTTTTTCTTTTTTTAAACTACCAAGTTTCTGGTAATTTGATACAGCAGTTCTAGAAAACTAACAAACCCTCTTTTTCTGTTGCTTTTTCTTAGAGGAATATTTTGGTTGCTTTTGATGCTTTTTTCTGGTTTCAAAAGCCTTCTTTGTGTGAATTAGGATTACCCACAGTCTCTTGAGACTTCTATTAGTATAATTAGAAGATTTCTGGCTATTTAATTTTTTGAAGAACATAAAATTAAATAAATAAATTGAAATGTCTTGACCTCTTTTATTTCTTTATTTCTTCCTTCATCCAAGGTATATCATTAAATAAATAAGTTATCTGTCAATTGCAGACAACAGAAGTCTAAATGTAAATCTCTGGATTAGATAATGCACAATCAGTCAGGAAACAAAATTATTGGTAATGGAACAAATTCTCCATTACCAGAGAGCTGTGTAAATCAAAACTGGAAGTTGTATTTAATTTTACACCTTGGTGATAGTTCAAAGGATTTTATGGTAACTTGCAAGGAGTTAATGTACTGTGAATTCATTCTTGTACATTGATTTCTGCATTAGCTCCGTGAAAGGTACAGTTTTTTGGCAAATGAAAACTTTTCGAGGTACATTTTTTTTGTCATGTAATCCATATTCTGATTATAAATCAGAATTTATAATAACTTGTTTCATTGTTCATGATTACAAATCATTGTCTGGATAACCGCACAGTCAGGCAAATAGAAAAATGGATTCTCATCTCTGAAGCTTACTGTGCAGACATTTTATTACATTATGAACTTTCTTCTGTTCCACAGAGTTCTTTGGAGGAGCTAGGCTCTGAATGAAGAACGCTTCCATCTACCTATCTCTAGATATTCATGTTCTAGTTATTCATGATGTCTCTTGTTGCCACCTTTAGGAATTATGTTTGAATGCTGGTGTAGTAATATGTTGAATACTGATAGCAGTGGAAGTTAATCCACCTAATTAACCTTAAAGTTCAGAAACTTGATTGTCATGATCCTCTTCCAAATCATTGCACTTAAATTTGCATTTATAATTTTGTCTTGTTTTTTAAATTTTAAAGACTGCCTTTTTCATTATATAATTTCCAGAGCCCACATGTCTGCTCCAACACTGGCTGGTAGCATAGAGTCTGGCTCCTTTTGAAGATTTCAGACTAGAAAAAGTTTCTGACTCAACTCTTCCTAGATCCCTTCATGTGATGAGTAGGGTGAGCCTGGAGAGGTAGATCTCTGTCTCATCCACCCTCCTCTCCAATAACCATAGCCTCACCTTACCTTTTTTTTTTTTAATTGGACATATGAGTAAGTTTTGGCCTTGTTTCAGTTGGTAAAGAAGTCCTTAGTTTAGGGACTGTAGAATACTGTGATGGCAGATTTCATCTGAAGAGGTCCTGCTATTCAGTTCCAGCCAATTGTTGCTATGCTGGAATGAGAACCCAGGTGTTACCAGATCATCTGCATTTTCAAGGGAAGTCAGAAATGTTTATTTTATGTGAAATCTCCCAATTTTGCACTCCTGTCCTTATAAGAAATACACAAATATATAAATAAATAAGCAAATAAGTAAGCAGGTAGGCAGTAGGTAAATCTACTATTCTGGTCCAATATATTGGCTGGATTCAGGTCAGAGTTTCTTTAGGAACCCTGGGAGATAAAGAAAAAAGAAGAGAAATACTTTTCTTCTAAGCTTATATGTTTCTGAATCCCATGAGACACATAGAGAAATCTATCTACTCATAAACTGGCAATTGCTGATGCTTAGGATTCATTGTATCAGACCTGTCTTCACAGTTGGGAAATGAAGCTGCTATTTAAAGAGCAGATTCATTGGTCATTTTGAAGGTAGTTGTTTCTATTTAGATAGTATATTAGCCATGTGTACATGTCACAACGAGCTAATTATAAGTAATATCCTATCATGTTTCATTATATTGTTCTCTAACAACATGCATATCATTTTTAATTATATTTAGTGGTCTTTTAGCCTAAGGGCAAAGCATTTGCCACTTCAGAATTTTCAAATTGTCTCTTAATCAGGTGCTCTGATCTCATGCTGTCTCTTCTTCATTCCAGTGCCCCAATCAAATTTATACCAGAATTCTTAATCAATTTTCTGAGCCTCCCCAGCAGAACCTCCTCCTGTGGTCTCACAGCACCCTAGCCAAATTTATACTTCTCCTCAAACAAAAATTATTGTAGAGAATATTTGACTTATAAACATTTGGGGTTCATTGTCTTCTTAATTTAATTTGTGGTCTCTCTCCTGCCAAGATTGCCTTCCACATGCCTGTCTATTTATCAAAATTCTGCTACACTGTGAAGGTTATTTATTTTAGGTTAGGCCATGACATATGTAGAGTTGTGCTTTAGGGATATTAATATTGCAGTTGATCAGACATGGAATAGATTAGAAGGAAGAAATTGGAAACCTGCAGCCCAGTTAAGGGGCTATTATAATAGTTCAAGTGAGAGATATTGAGTATCTGGCCTTGGTTGGTAGCAGCAGACTTGGAAAGACAGACATGGAATGAAACAACAATTGATTTATTGACCCAAAACAGAATCTCTCATTTTGTCAATGTTATCCTAGTCTTTAATTTACATGGAAATGAGCTGGAATGAGAAAAGGCACCCAAATTTGAAAATTATTACCCTATAATTTTTCTGCTAAAGTATCTTTACAGAATTATATTTTTTACCAATCACCTACCCCAAAAACATAATAATGAAAGAATATTTCTACTCTGCTATATAGCTTTTAGTAGCAGTAAAATGTTAGTATGTCACTTTCATCATATATTAATTATTTTCCACAGAATTCTACTTCTTATATTTTTTGACCCTCACAGCATTATAAGAAATTAGAAAGGAGAAATATTGTTACATTTTTATTTTCATACAAGGAAATTGAACTATGGAGATTTAATATTTTATCCCAGATGACATAAGGTTAGACTTTGATTTATAATCCATATTGTGAGTCCTTTTTTAAATAATAAATTATATATTTTCCTGAAATATATATATATAAGCTCAACTTTCTGCAAAGTCACATCCTCATTTGATTTGATTTGCCATTCAGACTGTGCTAACTGCTGATCTAGCTTAATTGTATTTTCTCAGGACACCATATTCGCAAAATATTCTAAATATTTGTTTCATTGTGTTCTTTACTTCACCTTCTGAAGATGCTTTGTTGTGCCAAGCTTGATCCATCAGGATGGAATTGGTAATGTTGCAGAAACAAACAGAACAGATTACTTCAAAGTCTCGGTGGTTGAAAGCCACAGGGTCTCTCACTATTCATGTCTATCTTGGGTTGGCTGGAGACTCTGCGCCAAGTCCTCATCACTCCAGGACCTGGGCTGATTGAGCAGCCAGGAATATTGCTGGTCCTTGTGGCATAAGGAAAGAAAGAGTAGGTCAAATTATGCTGCAGCTCTTAAAGCTTCCACCTAGAGGCTTCACACTACATTTCTGCTCACATTTTATTGGCTAAAACAAATTATAAGATCACACCAAACTTCAAAGTGTGGTAAAGTGTTCAGGAACAGAACCTGAAATATTTGGAGAATAGCCTGATGAATACAAGATATGCTCAGAAATCAGCTTTCATAAATGAGAAAATGTAAAGTACATACAGTATGGTGTAGTTTAAGGTGAAATTCTCTCAAGGCAAGAAGATGTAATGAGAAGACTTCATATAGGCACTTGGAGCCACAGTTCTAAGAATTACTCGGTAATATTGGGTTATTTAAATCTGTGTGTCTTTATTGTGTTGCAAATGCCAAGTTTGTTATGTGATTAAAGCATTCAGTCACTTTAATTTTAACAGCACTTATTTGCAGTAATGGGAAAAATAGCTAGTGTACGTACAGTCCTAACTGAACAGTTCAGATTGTTCTGTGTCTAGTCTCCTTTGTCTCTAATATCCTCAATATCGTCTAAGGAAAAAAATATCTTTTCTCTGCCTGGAGGAACCTGGCACAAGGGAGTTAATGTTGCAAGCTCTGCCTATAAGAACAACTGAGATACCATTGTGATTAAATTGCCTGGACTATTCAATTTCAAAGATCAGTTCTTTATAGGATTTGGCTGCTTGATTAGGTTGACACTGATACATTTAGTTGTGGCAAGTGAACCAAGTCAAGCCATTAGCCAAATCCTGTGTGTACCAAGATAAATACTTTTCACAAGAATCTCTTAGAAAATTAAAACCATAATATATTCATGTTATCTCAATTTGTCATAGAATTTGTATACATTATTTGTATCATACAACATATGTACTTGATTACATACCACATTTTTTCCTCATTGATAAGAATTATCTCTTCCCAAATATGAATTAATTAGATCAAGGGCAGGGTTGATTCTCTATCTTGTCAATCCTTTACTAAAGAGAACATTCTGGGCCATAGTAATTATTTTTTTCTACTTGATAGTGAACTATCTCAACCAAGTCTGAGTTTGAGTTCCCGTTCTACTTCTGACTATAAAATGAAGTCTTTTCCTAGGTGATCTTGAATAGCTCATCTACATCCAAAATACAGTACACCAGTGAATTAGTGAATTATATTTTAATTAAGGAAACTGGCTGACACCGAAATGATTTTCCTGGTGGATGTAATATAATTTAATAAGTTTTTGTGCTACAAAAAAGTGAGTTTTAAGGAATCCAGTAAAACTTTTTTGTCAATTAATTGTTTGAACATTGTGTGACTTCTAAATCAGCTACATTTCAGTTATCATATTGTGGATCTAAATGAGATATTTTGTTTGCAATACATTAGCATCATTTATAATATTTAACATTATTTTGTCGATGCTGATGGAGTTTTATAAAAAGCAGTAAGATATTTTCTACTGGTAGACAGTACTTTCAAAACCATCTCTTAATAATTCAGAATTCTAAAAAGAAGAGGTAATAACCTAGGCACTTTTTAACTATCATGTCTCAGGCCTCACAGAGACCTAAACAAGGTTGGAAGCATCTTTATGAGAGTATGCAACTTCTTTTCATGAATGGTATTTCCAAGAAAATGTATACATTCACCAAGGCAAGCTGGTAACTCTATTGCATTTGATTTACATTTTCACATGCTGATGGATTGAGATTTTAAGTAAGCGTTTAACACTGTCAGTTCCTTTCTTCATAACAATGGCAAAGTATTGATCTAACTTCTCAAATTGTCTTTCTTGGACTAAGGTTAAAATAATTTTGCAATTTTTTCTTCACCTTTCCCAAACAAATATGCCCTTTAAACTAATCTGATTGAAGTCATTGGATACTTTTTAGTATAGTGCATTTTTACTAGATAAATAGAAAAACAATTATATTCTCATAGTACTAAAATATATAAGCTAGAAAACTGGATATCCATGTGCAGAAGAATGAAACTAGACCTCTATCCCTCACCATTTACAAAAATCAAATCAATTAAAGACTTAAATATAGGACCTGAAACTATAAAACTACTAAAAGAAAACTTTGGGAAAATGCTCCAGGACATTGGTCTGTTCACAGATTTCTTGAATGAGACCTCAAAAGCATAGGCCACAAAGGCAAAAATGGACAAATGGGATCACATCCAGCTAAAAAGTTTCTGCACAGTAAAGGAAACACTCAACAAAATGAAGAGACAACCTACAGAACGAGAGAAAATATTTGCAAACTATTCATTCAATAAGGGATTAATAACCAGAATATAAAAGGAACTCCAATAGCAAAAACAAATAATCCAGTTGAAAAATAGGCAAAACATCCGAATAGACATTTTTTAAAAGAAGACATACAAATGGCCAACAGATGTATAAAAAAATGCTCACCACTAATCATCAGAGGAAATGCAAATCAAAACCACAATGAGATATTATATCACCCCAGTTAAAATGGCTATTATCAAAAAGGTAGAAACTAACAAACTCTAGTGAGGATATGGAAAAAGAAGAATGCTCGTACACAGTTGGTAGGAATGCAAATTAGTACAGCCACTATGAAAAACAGTATGGAGATTTCTCAAAAGACTAAAAATAGAACTACCATATGATTCAGCAATTTCACTGCTGGGTATGTAACCAAAAGAAAGGGAATCAATATATCAAAGTATCAGCACTGCAATGTTTATTGCAGCAATAATCACAATAGCCAAGATATGGAATCCACCTAAGTGCCCATCAACAGATGGCTGGATAAAGAAAATATGTATATACACAATGGAATATTATTTGTCCATGAAGAGAATGAAATTGACATCCTATCATTTGCAGCAATATGGATGGAAATAGAGGAGATTATGTTACATGAAATAAGCCAGACACAGAAAGACAAATACTGTGTGTTCTTACTCATATGTGGGAGATTTGAAAAACAATATGGATCTCATGGAAGTAGTGAAGAGAATGGTGGTTCCAGAGGCTGGAAAGGGTAGTAGGGAGGGAAGAGGAAAGACAGGTTGATTAATGGGTACAAAAATACAGTTAGATAGAAAGAATAAGATCTAGCATTCAATAGCACAATAGGGCAACTATAGATAACAATAATTGTTGTACATTTCAAAAAAGTATGAGTTGTAATGTTCCCAACACAAAGAAAAGATACATGCTTGTGGTGATGGATAGCCCAGTTACCCCGATTTGATCATTACACATTGCATGCTTGTATCAAAATATCACATGTACCCCATAAATATATACAACTATTATGTATCCATAAAAGTTGAAAAAGGAAAAAACATTAAATAAACTTTAAAAAGCAGGTTTTTAAATATTGAGAAAATCACAACATGCTATTTTAACTCACAAGATTCTCCCGGATCTTAGCTTGTTTAGTATTGAAAAAAAAAAAATCTGTTTCCTTTTTGGTACTATGTTTCATTATTCGAGCACAGTGTCAGTAGATAGAACATAAGCTGTCCAGTGAGATGTTGGCTATTATTTTATATAGCAGGAAAATATAAGTAAATTAATCTAGGTTATTTTCTCAGGATTAATATAATCAATATTTCCTACTTTTATGTCCTTCAAAACTAGATCTTAACAGGAGAAAAACGTGTTTGTACTTGACTGTTGAAGGGGAAAAATGCACATAAGGTAATATTCTGGGAGAGGTTGTATTAATGAGTCCACCTTATTCGGAGAACTGTGCTTACACATACATCCGTTATGCTAACTCAGAGGCTTCAGTCTTTGGGGATTAGAAATATAGACTGAAAAGTCCTTTCATTCCAAGTCTCTGGGCTTCAATTCTATTTGGTAGATCATTAAATAAATACCACTGGTTGTAACATCGATAGGGATAGTATTAATGCATCCTATTCAGTCCATCTTTATCTGTAATAGGATTTTTTTTGAGCATCTACTATGTATAATGAATATGGTTTACAAAATTACAAAGTTTGGTGTATTCTCTACTGATAATTCTGTAATGACTACTTCACCCCTAATTCTATATGCATACTGATAACTAAAATAGAACACTAAAGTATCCCTAGGCCAAGTAATAAGATGGTCCAAGCAATGTATTCTGCATATAAACTGTAGTGTAAAATACTTTTTGGTAGAAAAAACTGCTTTTTTGGTAGCAATGAGGTTTAGATGTGTGAGTGTTGCCGTGAAATATTATGTAGATGGGAACAGAGATTCTGTGGTATATTTTATGGAAATGAGTTTCTTAAACATTAGTGGGACTTCTGCAGTTAGAAATTAGAATATTTAAGTGGCAGGTCAACCTTGTACATAGTCACATTTGATCATATTCTGTTGCCAAAAACTATAAGTGTTAAGTGTGTGGTAAAACTTATCCATTCGAATATGAGATAGGTATAAGAATATGCAAGTATTAATATTCCTCACTATGAATTTTCCTTTGGGGTATACTCTGGCATGAAAATAATTTTCCTGAAAAATAAATGTCACTGTTGCTTAGTCCTGTTGAATTTCAAAATTATTTTATGCTCATTGAATTTATAACCTTGACTTTCATAGAGATCCTCTGGGTTTACTTCTTATCATAGGGAAAGAAAAAAAAAGTATTGCTACAGGCTTGCTAATTAAAATCCTTCAGTATGCAAGTGTAGATGAGAATGATTTAAAATCTCAATTAAAAGGGCATCTACTTCAAATTCTGCTTTAACATAGGGTCTACATAGACATTCAAACATTTAAAGTTTATCTGAAACCTCCTGGAATTTCAGATTTGCATATGTGAAGTATGCATGCCATGAGAGTTAATCCCACCTAATTTCTAGTTTTCCTCTTTCTATTTGGTAGCAAATGAAAGCATTTTGTGACTCAGTTTCTCTATAAAATGAAGTAATGTTGTGACTTCCTTTTAATCCTTTATTTAGCTTTTACTGTGTATCTAATAGTGAATTAGTAATCAAAACTCCTTAGAAATGACTGTAAAATTAAAATTATGTTAGAGGATTAGTCTTTTACGAGTGTCTATTGGAGCATTTTTTTTTCAATTCCAGAAGGATCTTTTCTGATGACTCTTAGATTTTAGTGTATTCTCTCTTGTCAATGACTAGTATTAGGGGAATTTAAATTCATTATAATATTAATCTGAAAGAAATATAAATATGAAATGGAGAGAGAGAAAAAAAGAAAGAAAGAAAGAGAAAGAGAATCAAGGAAACAAGGTTCTGAAAGAGCCTGTAGACCAGGGGAGAAATCAGGTGGAAATGAAGAATGTTCCTTATATAGGAAAATGCAGAAAATGGACACTTTTTTCATGTTAATATGAAGAGAGAAGAAAAAAATATGAGAATGCATACAGACACATTCATAGGAAACTGAAGGAGTCTCATCCATTTCTTGCTATTTTTTTCTGTAAAGGAAGATGTGAGGAAGATGTGAGGTCTTAGAAGTTTGAAAATAGGTGGAGGCTTGAAAGAGCTGTCTGTGGAATCAGAGTGAGAAGAAAACTCAGAAGAATGACCAAGCAGTGTGAGAAACTGGTTGAAGATAGAGTACTTATTAAAGTGTCTCCAGTGTGGTATCAGCATTTTCTTCATCTCTGCTTGGCAGCCCTGTTTTAAGAACAGAAAAGGAAGACAATTGGACCAAACTAAGTCTGAAGTTTTTCCAGCCTGGGATGGCAGAACACTGGGACGAGGCCATCAACCAAATTGGCAAGAGAGTGGTTAAAGTAATGAAGCAGGGAGGCTAAGCTGGTTAGGAAAATAACTCATTTTTGCACGAGCAAAGGCTCGTGGAGAAGATGGAGTAGTCTGTGTAGACAGAATTTAAGATAGAAGAGACGGGAGGGTGGGGGGAACAATAAGTTTGGTAGGCAGTCCTCAGAATCATCTGAATGTGTTTAAAAACTACCCTTTCCTGGCTGGCCGCAGTGGCTCACGCCTGTAATCCCAGCACTTTGGGAGGCCGAGGCGGGCAGATCACGAGGTCAGGAGATTGACACCACGGTGAAACCCCATCTCTACTAAAAATACAAAAAAAATTAGCCGGGAGCGGTGGCGGGCGCCTGTAGTCCCAGCTACTCGGGAGGCTGAGGCCGGAGAATGGCGTGAACCCGGGAGTCAGAGCTTGCAGTGAGCCGAGATTGCGCCACTGCACTCCAGCCTGGGCGACAGAGCGAGACTCCATCTCAAAACAACAACAACAACAACAACAACAACAACAACAACAAAAACTACCCTTTCCTGGGTCCCATCCTCTGAGAATCAGGTGGAATTGGTCTATGGTTTGTCCTGGGGAATGGACTTAGATTTTACAGACAAGGTTGAAAACCATTGCTTAGAGTCTTTTATAAAGAATTTTTGTTTGTTTGTTTGTTTTATTTTTGTAAAGTGTGTTGACTTTTTATTATAAAGGCAATGGGGAGTTAGCAGAGGTTTCAAAAAAGGAGTAATAAAAGTTATTTTGTATTTTAGAAAATGATCTTTTTTCCCCCCCTCAAAGTAATTGACAGATACCAAAACAGAACAATTAAGAAAAAGAAAGGCAGGCTTGTGGAGAGAATATGGCATTATTCTGGGCCAGAAATGGTGAGATCTTGAACTAGGGCCTGACAAAGGAGTTGTGGAATAGGGGACTTATTTATTTGTTTTAATATAAGGATTTGTGACACATTTTAATGTTTGTGTAGAATGATGAAGGAGGGTCTAAGATAACTGGAGATATTTATTTTGGATAACTTCTTAGCTTTTCCATTGTTGCATAAAAAAATACCACAGACTTCACATCTCAAAACAACCTTTATTATCTCACAGTTTGCATGGGGCAGAAATTCAGACAGCTTCTCTGGATTCTCTGCTTGAGGGCTTCACTTGGTTAAAATCAAGGTGTAGGCTAGGGTTGAGATCTCAGCAGAGGCTTGGCTGGGGAAAGCTCCTCTTCTGAACTCCCTCATGTTTTTGGCAGAATTTATCCCCATGCACCTGTGGGCCTGAAGGCCCTGTGTTCTGCTAGCTGACAGCAAGGGGCTGCCCTCAGATTCTAGAGGCTGCTTGCAGTTTCCTGTCATGTGACCATGCCATCAGCATTTCATAGCATGGCTATTTTCTTTTTCAAGGCCAGCAGGAGAATCTCTCTCTCTCTACACAAAAGGACCCAGTCCTCTTTTAAGGCTTTTCACCCAATTAAGCCAGGCCCACCCAGTATATCTCAAACTGATTAACTGATGTGGCATATTAATCATATCTGTAAATTCCCTTCACATTTGCCATATACCATAACCTAATAATGGGAGGGACATTCTGTCACATTCACAGTTCCTTCCCACACTCAAGCAGAAGAGATTATACAGGCATGTACAACAGGATACAGGAATCAGATGATGTTGCAGTTAATCGGGAAAGGAACACAAGAGAAGTATAATTTTTTAGGAAATTGATGGCCTCAGTTTTAGACATGTTGAATTTTCAGTAAATCGGGCATCAAATTAGAGTGGTTCAGTAGATGGTATAGAATTTAGTGGAGAGATCTACATTAGAAGTATATATTTGGTAGTGATTATTAGAGGTGATAGTTAAAACAGTGAGATTATCCAGAGAAAGACCGTTGCAAGAAGTGGGCTGAAGACACAAGCAAGGCCAGGTAGAGCTAGAACTTCCAAAGCTGTACTTCAACCCACATCTCTTGATTTCAGTGCAATATCTCATTTTACAACTTTTTGCTATTCTTCTACTGTCTTCTTTCAATAATATCCCACTCTTCCTAATCTGTGGTCCACTGTCTGTCCTCTTCCCATCCCCAAGTCACATTACAGAATAAACATCTTTTTAAGTGAAAGCCTTGCAGATCATAGACCCTTAAGAAGGATGGACTCTTTTATAATCCCTCTTCTAGACAGTGAATCGTAGGAGGGAAACACAAGGCCTAGTGAGGGGAGATGGCTCCATCTTTAGCCCTGAGCTACCTCATTCCTTCTTATCAGAAACCAGGACTAACTGTGCACTTTTTCCTGTTCCTTTCATCCCAAAATTGCCTACAAAGTGAACAGAGTGGCACAAATTTGAATGCAGATGTCATATTTATTTCTTAAAATTTTGGTCTGTTTATCTGAGAACAAAATTATTGAAGCCACTACAGCAATATTGTTGAAAAAATCCAAACTGTGATCATGGAAATAGAAAGTGAATTTGATCAGTACATTTTAATCAGACTTTCTTCTCTTAAATCTTTTTCTGTCAGGTTACATTCAAGAAAAATGTGTCATTCCCTGCCCATTTGATTGCAAGTTAAGCGATTGGTCTAGTTGGGGGTCTTGCAGTTCATCTTGTGGAATTGGAGTGAGAATTCGATCCAAATGGCTAAAAGAAAAACCTTACAATGGAGGACGACCATGTCCCAAACTGGATCTCAAGAATCAGGTAAAGTGCATGAAGCAACAAATAAAAAGCTAAAAAAGCTATCCTCATTATTATTTCCCATTGAAATTGAAGTCATTCTCTTATTACAAGGAGCTCATTAAAAGTTATCACAATGTCAGAAGAAGGATTAAGAGGGCCAAAATTAAAATAATAGAATTAGTAATTGAAGCTTTGCTCACACCTGGATAATGCTGAGACAAACTTGGTATCCTTAGTAGTAATAATATTTACAAAATCAAATCAAATTGATTTTAAAATAATCTTAAGCTATAATTTTGATATTTTAAAAGTTGGATATATATATGTGTGTATATATATATGTCTAAATATATACATATATTTAAATATAAGTAATAATGTTGGGAGAGTATCACTTATGTCATGGCAATATGATTAGTGGTCTTATCCATCAAGTCCAAAAATGGTGTTCTATTTTTGTTTCACCTAACACTTTATCCTAATGTTTTTCATTCTCAATCTTGCCAAATCTTCCACAACTCTATAAATCTCTTTTGAACTACTTCTTTACCTGCTTTCTCAAAAATCATAGATATTTTCATAAATAAAACCATGATAGATCCCTTTCCATATACATGTCTAATGAAATTGCCATCCTAAGCAATCAAAGTTGATTAGAGTATTTCAGTTGCCTTTGTATATATAACAGAGTCTAAGATTTCATTAAGAATTATAATAAAGAACTCAAATTTCTCCCATGATTGTGTACTGATTATTAGATTAGGACTGATATTACATTAATCAGTTGACTAGGTTGAGTACAAGATGATTTTGATTAAAAGTTTTTTTTATTTTTAGACAGGTGAAGTGTGTCTCATATGAGTTGGTAGATCCTCTGTAATTGGGAAACTTAACAGAATAGCTACACATGCTTCTATTACTAATTCTAGTATATGAATTTCTATCCTCTCAATTCCATTCAGCCTCTATACATGCTGTTTAATGTAAGGAAAATCTCATATGTCCTTTCTTAATTATAATAGCATGTTTAGTACTGCTCAGACTTGAATATCATGTATCAATTCAAGACCAATCTCTTTAGCTATTTTTTTCTAAGTTTTTATAAAAGACATATAACTCACTGAAATTAAAAAAAAATTCAACAAGATATATTTAAGTTCTAAAACAGAGCATAGTTATTATGCTAGTCTTGATTTTTAAGGTTATGTGGTAAAATAATGACCATAGTTTATTCTCTTAAATAAGATATGAACCTTTTAGGGAAAATAAAGCAGAAGATTATAAAATCAATGTAAAAGTTGGAAAAAAAACCTCAAGATTTTGGTGACAGGAGAATAAAATATGATTAATGAAAACTGGAGGGAAATAATTAAAGCAGAGATAGTCTGAAGAGATAATCCTTACAAAGAAAGAAATAATGCAGGTTTATGTTCAGGAGGGAGACTTTTAGGGAAATACTCTGTATGGAGACTATTTGCCCATCCCTGGGGGAATTTTCTGGGCATTTAAAATGAAAAGAACTACTAAGCACTTATAGTTATAAATAATGTATGATAATTCTTTTTGTATCTTCCTCAAAACCGTCAATGAAAGCTAAGCCTTTATAACACCAGTGTTAAACACTCATTTTAATATGCTAATTTTATGAACTAGGAAATTATCAAGGGAATAAAAGGATTTTATTTGAACTCTGAGTTTAAGACTTTATTCTCAGTATGTGTAGGCAAATGTATGGACATGTCTATAACATTTGAGAGTAAGAATAAGATAAAAATAACTCATTTTGTGAAGGGATGACATGACAGTATTTGGGTGCCTGTTGTGACTTAAAGGAAACTTGTTCTAAACAATTCATTAACATATAGCACTTATACCCTTGGGAAGTTGTACAAACTAGAAATTAAATCAAAGTTCAAGAATAATTACATAAATTCAATAAGTAAAGGTAGGTCTGTCTGTAGAGGGTATTTCTAACTTTTGAGTTCCAGAAGGGAGTAGCAGCCTTCCAAAGACATTTTCTCTTTGGTTTTTCTTGATGCTCAAAAAAGAACCCTGTATAATGATCAGAAATATAATTTAGTTTGGCTTTTAGTTTGTTATAAAGAGATTTCAGATATCAAGTATGTATGTGGCTAAATTAAGAACCTCACCCGAATCCATATGTTATATATTAAAAAAAAGTTTATTTATTGTAAGTTGACAATATGCGGGGTACAAAATGATGTGTAATTTATGAATACAGTGTGGAAAAATTAAATCAGGCTAGTTAACATATCAATTACCTCAAATACTTTTTTTCTCTGCTGAGAACATTTGAAATTTACTTTTTTTTTTTTTTTTTTTTTGAGACAGAGTCTCACTCTGTCTCCCAGGCCGGAGTGCAGTGGCATGATCTCGGCTCACTGCAAGCTCTGCCTCCTGGGTTCATGCCATTCTCCTGCCTCAGCCTCCCATGTAGCTGTGGCTACAGGCTTCTGCCACCACGCCCGGCTAATTTTTTGTATTTTTAGTAGAGACAGGGTTTCACTGTGTTAGCCATGATGGTCTCAATCTCCTGACCTCGTGCTCTGCCCGCCTCGGCCTCCCAAAGTGCTGGGATTACAGGCGTGAGCTACTGCACCTGGCTTGAAATTTACTTTCTTAGCAATTTTGAAATGTACAATACACTATTATTAACTACATTTACCATGCTATGCAATATATCTCAATTGAAAATAAAATGTATTTCTCCTGAGATTTTGTGCCCTTTGAGCATCATCCCCCTTCCCTCCACTTCCAGCCTCGGATAACCGCCATTCTACTCAGTGTTTCTATAAACTTGATAGTTTTGGATTCCACATGTAAGTGAAAACATGCAGTATTTTGCTTTTTGTGCCTGGATTATTTCACTTATCATAAGGTTTTCCAGTTGCATCCATGTAGTCTCAAATAGCAGAGTTTCTTTCTTTTTAAGGTTGAATAGTATCCCATTGTGTATCTATATCACATTTTCTTCATCCACTCATCTATTGATGTACACTTAGGTTGATTCCATAACTTGGCTGTTGTAAATAGTGCTGTAATGAGTATGGGAGTGCAGACATCTCTTCAACATACTGATTTCAAATTTTTGTAGTAAATGCCCAGCAATGGGATTGCTGGATCATATAATGCTATTTTTAGTTTTTTGTAGAACTGCCATATAATTTTCCATAATGGCTTTACTAGTTTACATTTGCACCAAATGTGTATAAGGAATCACTTTTCTCCACACATACTTTATATCTTACCATGAGTTAATTGATCAGGACAATAAGTCCTTTCTCTCACTCATAAGTTTTTGAATGGCAAGGGCAAATAATATAGTGAAAAATCCTAAATTTAAAAGAAATTCTCTTCAGAGCCATTCTATCTGTCTGTCTGTCTGTCTGTCTGTCTGTCTGTCTATCTATCTATCTATCTATCTATCTATCTATCTATCTATCTATCTATCTATGTGTGTGTGTGTGTAAGTATGTTTGTGGAAAGATCTCTGTGGTGACTTCATTATACATTTGTTCTTATGTATAGTAGAATCCCATGTGTTTGTTATACTGTACATAGAGCTTTGTTTGATGTTATTCATATTTTCTTAATTCATTTGACAATAAATTGGGTTGTTAGCAATTTTCATGTTTAAAAAATATTCCCCAGCTTCTATTATTTATGGCAATTCTTTAGAGGAGGCCACTATTTGTTTCTCTAGGCTAGGCATATGGTATATTTAGAGTTATACCTACTGAGGCTTTTTTATAAAGTTCAATTTTACTGCTAGCTTTAGGTTATTCGTCTCCTGTCCAATTTGTTTCAGTTTTCTATTTACTTTCCTATTTTTGGAACCAGATTAATACCCTACTGCATTTTTACCCATAAGTAAGAGCTTTAAAAAAAAGTAACCAAATTATAACGTTAAGAGAGGAACACATCTTTACTATTTGGGCATGAGGAGGATACATTATGTGTCAGATTGAACCTAACATACTGTTCAAAAAATATTGAATTTTGATGTGTGTATGTGTTTATGTAAATGTCAGTATATCTGCATATACTTATTCATTCTCCTCCACTGCTTCTCTTTAGAATATGAGGTCTTTTTGAGGGCAAGGGCTGTCTTTCTACTTTTGCAACTCATTCCAGTCCCTGTACATTATCTTGTGGGTTGTCAAATTGTATTCACTGGAAGCCTCATTTGAAAACGTAGCCTTCTCTCTGGATGAGTGGTGCCTAGTTCCACAGAAATAAACAAATATATTAGAACTCTGGTCTCTTATGCTGTGATTTGTCATTAGAATTCTCAAAAATGTGAGCTCTTCTAGAGGAAAGAGATCAGAATCCCCAAATTATCATTGCCCAAAAAGTCTTTACAATTTTCCTGGAACATCTTGGGTGTTTCATTCCCCATTGCAATCTAACACAACAATGTAAATGGGAAGGTTGCTATTATGTACACATGCTCCTCATAAGTTGATCTGAATCTGTTAGTGAAATCAATATTTATCATCTTTCATAAAAGCCTCCTTTTTAAACCAAAACCTATCACCATGATAGCTCTTTCTCTAAAAGTGCCTAAATGACAGCAATACTCGAGTAGCTTTCTGCTAAGTATATTTGTGATGCTAAATACTTTGAGCATGCAGCTTGTCCAAAGCTCTTATCAAGGCATAAAACATCTTCTAAATAGTTTATTATATTATCAGGTTAGTTGGCTAATGCCCTTGACTCTGCTTTGTATATTGAAATACCTAATATATTTTAATTTTTCACAGTCTCTAATGTGTTGAGTAGATTTAAGTGCACTTGCACTGTACATTTTTTGCTACATATTTTTTTAAATGTTGCCTAATAGAAGATTAAATATGAGGACATTAAAGCCCTGTTGGACTTACATTTCCCTTTATGAGTTCTTCACATGGTGGAAACCAACAGAGTTCCAGACAACTATATATTTTGTTTATTAATTACAAAGCACATGTTCAGTATGTTTGAATAAAAATTTTGTATCAAGATTAATTACCTGTGCTTTTTATAAGTACATACTATTTAAATGCATTTTGAAATCATTTTTATTATGTTTGCAACTGAATGAGAGTATATAAATTAAATATATGTGTTCTCTAGAAGCAGCTGCTATTTTAAAGGTGTGTCTTCTCCCCAAAGAGAGGTATTCTAAATTTGGAAATGAATAATGTAATAAATTTTATTTTTCCTAGCAGGGTAATGATGTTTTTAATAATTTCTTGTTTCCAAAGATATACAAATATATTTTAGGATGAAGATGACTTTGGGATAAGAAAAATTTATATGGAGAAGTAGCTTATGCTCATTCTGATACTGCTTTATTAACTATATTAGCAGCATGTTGGGATGTGAAAATAGGATAACTGCCATTCTATTACAATATTTGTTTACACAGAAATATATGGCTATGCTTCAGATTTAATTTGGTTTTATCAGTGTTGGCCTCTTGCATCTTTTCAACCAGCCCGACTCTCTGATCCTGACCTAGGCCTGATCATTCCTGGCAGACTGCTGCTCACTTTGGACGTAGAACTTTGGCAGGAGCCCCAGACTTTACTGGAGCAAGAAATCATCTTCCTGGGTATCCATATGGAAGGCAGCCCAAACCGATCCATGATTGAGCACATTCAGGTGTACTGTTCTTACATGCAGAGGGGAGGTTGGTGGTTTTACCTTGGATAAGAACTTGTTTTAAATGTGAAACATCACATGCCATATAATTAAGGGCTGCAGAGTGATTTATTCCTCAGGACTATTTGGGAGGATTTAATTTAGAAGACAAAACCCCTAAAACATTTTACCTCTCTCTGCATAGTAATAATCCCAAAGCCCAGGCATACACCCTATCTTGGAGGTGGCATAAAATGCCTTATATAAGCTGGTGTTCTTCCATTTGTATCCTTTATGCCGGTCAGCTAGCCCCGACTCTGTGCTCTCAAGTTGTGGCATTGCACTAATTGAGCTGAATGGAGCTTAGAGGAGAGGCAATTTTTCTTTTTTGTTCTTGCCCTGTCGCCATTTCCAAGAAAAATTGTTTTTTTCTCCTCAAGAGATTCCTCTCCCCCAACATTTGTATCCACACACACCCTATTGTAGATCATTGCAAAGTACTACCCCCTCAGGCTTGTTAAATCTTTTGAATCTTTGATCATTATTCTTGCGAGCTGTCAGAATCAATCATGAGAAGCAATTTTCCTGTATCTGTTGTCCATGTAGTCTTACATTTTACTATATTTTT
The DNA here is from genome assembly GCF_000001405.40 of Homo sapiens. Lineage (NCBI taxonomy): Eukaryota > Metazoa > Chordata > Mammalia > Primates > Hominidae > Homo > Homo sapiens. The sequence continues at coordinate 137,457,277 of NC_000002.12, forward strand.
TCATACTGGTTATTGCTACTCTGCATTGCATCCAAACTCAGTTTTAGCTGTTCTTCAAGGTATTTGCTATGCACCTCTAGAATGTTCTCTTCTAGGCTGGCTTGTCAAATGTCCCTAAGGCTGCCCTTGGGCAGGGTTGTCAGGATTGGCTGGAGACAGCTATAAAATTGTGAAGCTGGCAAATTTTGTCTAATTTTGCCATTGGGAGTCTTTCACTGTCCTCCCACATCTCATATTATCCCTAATCCCTTAACTCCTAAAGCCCTGAAATATTAGATAGCATTAGCTTCAACAGGAAAATCAAATCATCTGTAATTTTGCAAAACTGTCTTCTTAACCAAGTGCTTCAAGTAGAAGCTCCCAAGTAGTTTTCTAGAAAAACATTACAACCTGCTTTTCAAATTTTCTCTGAATCAGTCTGTCATTTAAGCTTTAAATAAAGAGTGAAAAGCTCTCCCCTCCTTTCAGGCATTGAAAGAATAAGAATCTGACTGTATGTGTGTAAATTTTTTATACTAAATGTACCAGAGGACTTTAAAAAGTTTGTGGAAAAATGGAATTAACAGATAAAAATGCAAAAGATAAACTTTCTCAACATAATCTCCATCCAGGTCAAGACACTTCTGTAAGCGATGATACTAGCCATTTAGTCCACCCCTAAATAAATGAAGGTTCTGGGAATTTAACCATGTCAATGCAATCAATCATTTTTTACATTATTAACTAAACAAAAATGGGTGCCCTTTCAAGATCTTTTTAAGATTAGGAAAAAAACAAAAAAAAAGTTAGAAGAACCAAATCAGGACTGTAAGTGGATGCCTAATAATTTCCTATGAAAAACTCACAAATTTGCTCTTGTTTGATGAAAGGAATAAGAAGGAGCATTGTTGTGATAAAGAAGGAATCTCTGGTGAAGGTTTCCCAGGGGTCTTTCTGCTAAAGTTTTTATTACCTTTCGGGAAACACTCTCACAATAAGTGGATGTGATCATTCTTTGAACCTCCAGAAAGTTAACAAGCAAAATGCCTTGAGCATTCCAAAAAACTATTTTTATGAACTCTGCTTTTGACTGGTCTGCTTTTACTTTGACTGGACCACTTCCTTCTCTTGGTAGCCATTGCTTTGATTGTGCTTTGTCTTCAGGATAGTACTGATAAAGCCATGTTTCATCTCCTGTTACAATTCTTTCAAAAAAATGCATCAGGATCTGGATCCCACTTTTTAAAACTTCCATTGATAGCTCTGCTTTTGTCTTGCAGCTAATCTGGACGCAATAGTTTTGGCACCCATCAAGCGGAAAGCTTGCTCAAATTTAATTTGTTTTCAGTCAGAATTTCATAATTCTGCAGTAGTTGAGACATCTATAGTATTGGCTATTGTGTATGCTGTTAATCATCAGTCATTTTCAATTCAGGCAATACCAATATAAAATTTTTCCTCAAAAATTGATGTGCATGGTCTGTCCCTTTGGGCTTCATCTTCAACAGTGTCTAATACCTTCTTAAAATGAGTTATCTTCTTGTAAAGTGCTTTTATTTTATTTGGTGCACTGTCTCCATAAACTTTTCATAAAGATCAGTGATTACACCATTCTTGCACCCACGCTTTCCCATAAATTTGATTTTTGTTCTTGCTCTAGTTTTAGCAGAATTCATGTTGCTCTGATAGGGCCTCTTTTCAAACTGATATCTTATCTTTCTTACTGCATCAAACTAGATCCTGTCCAGACATGTTGTAACAAGTTCATATGAGTTGATTTTGGTGCAAAAAATTTTGAAATCTGTGTGTCCTTTTTTCACCATACACATTTTCCATGAACTTTTTAAGGACCTCTTATACTAGTTTGAAAATTAAATCCAAACCGATGGGAGTACAGTATCTTTTAAAAAAAAAATCTAAAAAAGAAATTTCCTAATATCATTTGAGAGTAAGATTCTAAATTGCATGCTAAGTCTCCCATTCTTTAGATTTTTTAAAGCTTTATTCCAATATTAAGATAAAGTGACAGAAAGCAAGTGACCTATGTATTGTCACAGGTTCCTGCAGAAAAACATTTGTTAAAACATGAGTTTATTTTTTTCTACATGACTTAAGATTCAAGATAGAAAGACCCAGTGTGGTGGCTCAAGCCTGTAATCCTAGCACTTTGAGAGGCCAAACAGGCAGATCACCTGAGGTCAGGAGTTCGAGACCAGCCTGGCCAACATGGTGAAACCCCATCTCTACTAAAAATACAAAAATTAGCTAGGTGTGGTGATAGGTGCCGTAATCCCAGCTACCTGGAAGGCTGAGGCAGGAGAATTGCTTGAACCCAGGAAGTGGAGGTTGCAATTAGCTGAGATCGCACCACTGCACTCCAACTTGGGTGACAGAGTGAGACTCTGTCTTTAAAGAAAAAAAAAAAGATTCAAGATAAAAATAATAATCTCTCTAAGGAACCTATCTAGGTCTTTTGAAATCTGGAGTTTATTGATCATAACCGTTATTGGTCATAAGAATGGAAAAATCACTGGGATTGGGAGGAGACTGTTACAAAAACAGCTTTCCAGGCACCTGCTCTGGAATCTGTAGTTCAGTACACTTAGAGTGGATTAAGGAACGTGTATTTGTTAAAACAAAAATGGTTTATTTTTGCTGGTTCTTCTGATCAGGCAGGTTTGTGAATACTACCAGGGTTAAGATTCTTGCCCAATGAAGCCATCATTTCTTCTGAAGTCAGCCATGGAAAAACTTTTCTCTGCAGTTGACTTAGCCTACCCTTTCTAATTCAAACAATGAAAGTAATCACTCCTTGTCTGCATGATACCATACCCAAAGCAAATCTGTGAGTACCCTTCCATTTTACAGAAGAGGAAACTAAGGTTTAGAAGATGTAATAGCTTGTCCAGTGTCACCCACTGGTACATTAAGTGGTTAAGACTCAATCAGTTCTCTTTCCAAATTGAACTTTTCTGAGTCTCCATTTCATAATCTGGTCAATGAGTATAATTGTGACAACTATCTCATAAGCTTATTATGATTATTAAATAAGCTGAAGTGAATATAAACTTCTTATCTTGTTGCTTGATACACGGTAAGTACTTGATAGATGTTAAGTATGAACATTTTTCCTTGGTCTCTAACGTATATCTGCTTCCACATCAGTTTACTTGTATTTATATTATATTGCCTTTTAGAAATAAATTATGCAGATTGCTCCTCTTTTTGCATTTATCTCATGGAGCATTTGGATTCAAATATTTTCATTGTAATGATTCAGCTCAGATGAATAGTAAAAGCTGTTGTCACTGCTTCCTGTATGGAAGCAGTCTGTTTTATTTTATTCCTAAACACCTTATTTGGCATAGCATTTTTTCCCTAATGACAAAAAGTAATATAACTTTTAAATAACTTCCCATGAGTGTGTAATTCTTTGGCCCTTTTTGTATATTTATAAGAAGGAGTGCAGACAGAAAGGCACACAAATCATTAGGTACACAACTCTATGATTTTTCACAAAGTAAACATTCTCTCTCACTTACTACCCAGGTCAAGAAGTAACATATCATCAATATATCAGATGACCCCTCTGTTTCCTAAATCCTTCACGGCCACCTTCCTCTCACCAAATATAACTACTATTCAGATTTTTAACATAATAGATTAGTTTTATCACTGAGGAAAACAACTTTACGTAAGTGGAATTTTGCATTATGTACTCTTTCACGTCTACCTTTTTCTACTTAATATTATTATTCATGATGTTACATGTAGCAATATTTTGTTGACTTTTAGTGCCTTATTTCATTGTATATACTTCATTATTTTATTGTATATACCACATTTTTTCATTTTATTGTTGATGGGCATTTCGGTTATTTCCAGTCTGGGGCTATTACAAATAACACTATGACCATTCTTGTATAAGTCTTTTAATAATAGACACATATGTATGCATTTCTATTCAGTACATGCCTAAGAGTAGAATTGCTAGATCATAGGATATGTAGATATTCAATTTCAGTAAGCAATTGGCATTTCATCTTAACTTGTAAACTATCACAGGTCTTCGTAAATACAGATAGTAGATAATTTTAGATAATGACTTAACATATGACCTGACACCCTGAAAAATAAAAGCCATGGGTGCAATAAACGTTTATCTCAACACTTCTCATCACAGCATATCAGTAACTGCTGCCTAGTCCTGAGTCATATATCTTGTCCCAAATGGCAAAAGTACACGAGCACTACCTTCCCACTGGACTCTGCTCACTGCACTCCAAAATAACCATCATAACCATTATGTTTCCTGTCTCTTATCTCCTTCCCTCCTCCCCTCCTCTTCAATCTATTCTTCGTACAGAAACCTTAATTTTCTACCTCATAAGTCTGATAAGCCTCAAACATTTTCAAAGCTTCTTGTTGCCTTTGAGATAACATACAAACTACATGGTATAGTTTTAAAAACGTTTTATGACCCCTCCCCAATAACACTTTTCTGAGCCAGAGACATGCTCAAATAACCATGCTCAGGTAAACTGCTGAGGAGTCAGAAGGAAGGAGCCACTTTTGTGTTTCTATCTCCTCATCAGCCCTCATCCAGGCTGTCTCATAAAGAGTATGAAAGTTTCATGTCCTCAGGTTGATCATATAAATCAACTGATTGGTATCAAATATGGTGTCTGTTAATTAAACTTGTCTTTCAACTTACTTTGCAAGTCACCAGAGATTCTTTAATGAAATTATACATAGTAATCTGCCTTTGTCTGCAGTTTTCCTTTCCATGGATTCAATTACCTGCATTCAATGTTAAAAGAAAAATTCCAGAAATAAACAATCCATAAGTTTTACATTGTGCAGCATCCTGCATAGGGTGATGAAATCTCATGCCTCATCTCTGTGTCCTGCTTGGGACATGAAACATCCCTTTGTCCAGTGTCTCCATGCTGTATACTCTGTTTACCAGTTAGTCACTTAGTAGTCCTCTTGGTTATCAGATTGAGGAAGAAAAATAAGCAACTCTATATCTGAGAAATGTGAGCTTCTTCAAGTTATAAAAGCTCACAGGGGCATTGAAAATGTAACAGCATTCACTCACTCCCTCTTGAGCTAAATAATTATCTTTTGAAGACACTTGCTGTGTGGGCTCTAGACTAACTGAGACCAAGTAGCCGTCAAATGCTGTGCATGCTATAGTTCACCAATGCATAGCCAATCACTAACCAATGCTATTTCTATAAGCCAATACGAATTCATGACGAACAACTTTTGTAATTGCTCCCTCTCCTGATTCATCCTTTTAAAACAAAATAAAACAAACAAACAAAACTTGAGCCTCTCCTTTGTTCTCCAAAGCACTCTGCAAGGCAACCTGGAAGTGTGTTCCAGGCTGCAGTCCTCAACATTGGCCCAAATAAACTCTCTATATTAATTTAGCCTCAGCTTCTTCCTTTTAGGTTGACAAGATTGGCTGTTGTGGTATTGCAGTGCCTGTGTTCAAGTAAACCTTATTTTACTTAAAAATGGCTCAGAAGCACAAGAGTAGTGAAGCTCACAATTCACGTATGCCAAAGAGAAGCCATGAAGTGCTTCCTTTAAGTGAATAGGTACAAATTCTCAACTTAATAAGGAAAGAAAAAAATTGTATGCTGAGGTTGCTAAGATCTACGGTAAGAGGTAAATCTTCTATCTGTGAAATTGTGAAGAAGGAAAACAAGTCCATGCATAGTAATACAGGGTTTGGCACTATTCACAGTTTCAGGCATCCACTGGGAGTCTTGGAATGTATCCCCCATGGGGAAGGGGGCACAGTACAGTATTTGAGCTTGCTCTATTTCCTTTTTCTTGGAACTGTTCATCACATTCCTTCTACATTGGATTTAAAATCATGTTCGATTGTCATGTAAATAAAGACAGCTCACAAATCTAGAGACAGCAAGGACCATGTAGCGTAAGCCAGGGGGCAACTACAACACAAAGACAGAAATTGTGGTTGCTTTTCTCTGTATTCAGAGCAAGGAGATACAACTGTATTGAACTTATAATTGGTCCAAAATTTTATATTTTGCTAATTTAAAGGGACATTTCACACTTCCATGCATGTATTTTTATACCATATTTTAAAATCTTGTTCAAACTCAACTGCTTTTTTTTTCTTCTCTTTTTCTGGGAGTCTGAAACAAACTCAACTTTTTACTCTTTCCTACCTGACAACCTATTTAATATAACATGCTGCCCCTACCTTCCATCACTCCCCCCATTTACCCTTCTGTGGCTTTTCTTTCTCTACTATCATTCCAAAGACCACCAGGATGGCCAAATAATAGCTACAAGAGCTTTATTGGCAATATTGGTTATCAAGCCTGGAAGTAAAAGTCTCCAGTGTGGACAAAAGATGTTCTCTCTTTGAAGAGGAGAAGGACATATTGGGTTTTTGCCTCACAGAGCCAGTATCATCCATATTTAGCAGGTTTAGGGGAAAAGCTGTACATGTATATGAGGTGAGGTGAGTGCATAAACAATGGATAGACATATATGTAACAAATATCTCATCTTCACTTGGGAGGGCTTTAGCATTAAAATGAGGTGGAATTTTGCACTTTATGTCAAAAAGTTATCTGTAAGACACAAAGGCAGCTTCTGCACAGCCTCTATAAGCTGACTAAAACTGGCTTAAAGTCTGCAATAGCTTATCAGAAAAGGATGTTTGTAAGGCTGGTCCTCTGTGTAATCAGAGTTGTAGGTCTGGGTTGTAAATCAGGGTTGATGGCTCCTATGGTTAGGAGGTTTAGACCATAGGAATATAGATATTTGTCATGCCAGCCGGACCCTGAATCTCTAACTTGTAGATAACTGTTTTTTTAACCTTTAGGTCCATCATAATTGATAGAGGGGCATCTGGTTGGGTCTCTCACATTACATTACAATATGATTTCCTCATTTACTTTTTGGTTTTAATGTTTATCCCTCCCCAAAACCCTCAAAACATATACTACTCAGTTCCCACAAGTGACTTGAAAACTGCTAACAGTGTTATCTTAGGTTGGGTTCTTCCAGAAAGAGTGCAGAATTCAGGAGTAAGATTTTTATTATTAAGTGCAGACAACACCATTAGGAAAGTGAGTAGGAAGTGTTACAAAGAGAAGAAGAAGCCAAGAGAGACACATTATTAAGCCAGGTACCATAGTGGCCACTGAAGTTTAAGCTTGTGGGTAACTCTGGGAGGCTGTGCGAAACACTTGCCTCAGATTTATCTCACCTGAAGGGCCAGGGAGCTGGAATATTCATAAGGAAATTTCTGAGAGTCCCTGGTGGAGGGAATGTTAAGTCTTTGCACTTTGTACTAAGCATAAGCAGTCTTCTGTTCTGGAAGAAACCCTTAGGCATAGAAATACAGATTCCAGTAGTTGGAATTTGGCCAGAGCACAGTGAAAAGTTGCTATTAGTATTATCTCCATATTGAAGAGCTGCTCAATTGACTGTTTAAAAAATTATTTATTTATTTATTTATTTATTTTACTGAGGATAGTGTGTGGTCTATGCTATCCATGTTGAAACCAGAAGTAAATTTTATTTCCAATAAAAATATGCTTTATGATAGCCCAGTGGTCGATTAGATATGTATGTTCAGTCGCTTGTGTTTGGAGTAAAATAGGTGTATAATCATCTCTCTCTGCAATCTTATGTGGTCTCTCCTGAGACTGATTCCTTATCCTTTGTGGATGTTGAATCAAGATTATTGCAAAGAGCAAATCTGGGTGTAGAGCCCAAAGCATGTTCCAATTTAGGAGAGAGAAATAAGGACATGCAAAGGCTTCAGAACAATCCTACAAGGAGCCTTTTTTTTCTCCTTTATGTGCTCTGCCATATATTAATCCTTTTTTCTACCACTGCTACCAAGTATAGTTTTGTTTGTCTGAAACTAGGAGTAAGCAGGAGGCAGAGTAGGGTGGGACTGGGATGTGAGCCCCTTCAATGGCATTCCCCATTCATAAAAAAAAAAAAGAGTACCTGGCTGAACATAACTAAGACATTCCAGGACAATTGAATACTAGAATAAAAGACAGTTCAAGTTGGGAAGAAGCCTAAAAATATCTAATCTACTAGTTGCCAAACGTGGCTGCACATTAGATTTACATGAGATTTATGACCCCTGCTCCTCTTCCTGGACCAATTAAATCAGAATATCTAGTAATGTGATCCAACTGTCTATATGTTTATAAATCTCCAGGTGATTCTAATGGGCAGATAAGACTGAGAATTGCTGTCTAAGGCAACCCCTTCATTCTGTCAATGAGGTAACTGGGACTCAGAGCGGTGATGTGACACCTAATTACTGACTAGAACAGGGGTCCTGACACTTGGTCCATCATTGTTCTTTCCTACTTTGAATACATCTTCCACCCTAATGAATGCAAGTGTAATAAGACATATCAGTAACATGGGTGTGTACTACATGTTCATTGTTCTTAGAGGCAAACAAGCCAGTAGCACTCTGGCTTCATCCTCTAATATTGCCGTCTGACAATGACTCTCTGAACCACTAATGTCAAGTGGCATTTACCATGAGCAAGTAATCTCTTTTGGAAGATGGTTTAACTGAACCTGAAGCTTCCAACAACTTTCTATTGCTTAGGTGGGGAAAGACCTTACCTGATGGCTGTGTATATTCCTCTGAATATGTGGAAAAATAAAATATAAGGTATTTCATGTTCCCATGGTTTGGAGTGGCACGATATGGTGGTAAATATATTTTCCTTTGCATTATTCATTAAATATTATATGTGTATCCTCATGCTATATAATTAAAAGCATTGCAAGTATTATGCAGGTGGGTAAAATGATATAAGTTTATAATATGGATGAGAATTTTGTAGCAAACAGTAATTTGTTCATAAGCCCCAGTAGCTTTCAAAAAGAGAAGTGGTAACAATAAAATGGAATTCAAGGTAACGGTAAATATTTTGGAAGACTTTAACTCAGTGTACTTGTGCTATTATTCATTCGTTCTTTCATTTATTCATCACACACTTATTTTACTCTACTGCTCAATGAGTTTCCATTGAGCACTGGCATTCCAGTTTTGAGTGGGAGGTCATAAAGTGTGAAGTATTGATAATAATGCTCTGGATCAAGCTTGTCCAACCCATGGCCTGCCTGTGGCCCAGGACGGCTTTAAATGTGGCCCAACACAAATATGTAAACTTTCTTAAAACATTATGAGATGGTTTTTTTTTATGATTTTTTTTTCTTAGCTTATCAGCTATCATTAGTGTTACTGTGTTTTATGTGTGGCCCAAGACAATTCTTCTTCCAATGTGGCTCAGGGAAGCCAAAAGATTGGACACGCCTACTCTAGATGCTTTGGCATCTGAGCTGCTTTACCTTTTTCAAATATACATGAAACCAGTTTGCACGCAATCAGCAAAATTGCCCTTTCTCCTCTTTATTAGGATGATTTGCAACTAAAAGAAACCTTAAGCCAAAATGGGCTTGAAGAGTAAGGAAATGCATTACTTCATATAGCAAGAAGTCCAGAGGTTATGGAGACTCCAGGGCAGGTTGGCTCTGTGGCTCAGCAATGTCATAAAGACAGAGCTTCTTTTCATCTCTGTCTGTTTTGTCATCTTCAGTGTTGGCTTCATCCTCTGGTTGTTAGCAAAATGGCCCAGCAGTTTGCAGAGTAGCCTCCTGAAGCAGCAGTGACCAAAAGAATAAGAGAGTGTTGCTGTTCTGGGAATCTTAAGTACAATAAAATTCTCCCAATGCCTCCCCAGCTCCCCCAGAAGCCTTTCCCTCATGCCTCACTGACTGAAGCTGCATGTATGTCCATTCGTGAACTACTCATTGGAAGAAGTCCTGGGAAGAGCTTGATTTGCTCAGACAAGTGGTTTCCAACCTTTTATTTCTTAAACTTCTTGGCACATATAGAAATCTATAATATTTGTCTGACGAACTGGGATACATGTTCAGAACTGCTTAAGGCAGCAGTGAACGATCTGAGACCCTAGGCTCTGTGGGGTGGTGACAGCAATGTCTCAGTCACACCTGGAATACATTTGTTATATACTGGTGTGGGAGGGCAGGACTTCACAGACTTTAATATGTACGTGAATCATCTGACAGATGTTGTTTCAGTGCACATTGTGATTGAGTAGGTCTGGGGAAAGGAGATAGCCTGCAATTCTAACAGCTGCCAGATGAGGGCAAAGCTGCTGGTCTGCAGATTACACTTTGAGATGCTAGTGTGTATTAACTAGTGGGAAGGTTTTTTCGTAGGCTGATCACCTAGGGTGGAATGCTTGTTGAGGAGTAAATAAGAATGTCCCCTATATACACTTAATGTTACTCTCTTTTTGATACCTAATTTGACAAAAGTATAATTAATTTTAAATAAAATGTTGAGATGGGAAAATTAAGTAATGTTTTAAGTCACATATCAGAAAGTCTCATCTGCAATGGAAAAATTGGCCTAATACTTTCTCTATGAGGATGCAAGTTGCATTGACCAGGGCTCTTCCTTGACACTTACATTTTTGGCAAAGGGATGATTCTATCTTGCAAGCTATTTTCTGTAAACAACCTTCATGCCTCACTCAAATGATAAATAAGGAAACCCCAAATCAGATAAGCAATACATGCATACAACACATGTTTCTCCTTCTGTTTTCTCTGACCTCTGTAACTATGTAAGCCTCTTTGGGTTATTTATGAATGATTTAAAGGCATAGTAAAATTATGCACATATTAATGAGTGCTCATAAGAATGCTAATGAAGAAAACTAAGCCTAATATTTTCTATAGATTTCTCCAGAATGTTTTGATCCAAGTTAAACCTTCTGTAGACTATTGAAGTTGAAACACCTTTTAGTAATGCTTGTAACAATAGCAGCTGGCAGGGAGAAGTAGAGCTGCATATTATTTTGCAGGAAAGTGAAATAAGAGCCTGTATTTATGAAAAGAAATCCCAGTGAAAATTGTCATTTAAGGAGATTTATATATTTAGATTTAGATATACAGTTGCTATAAAAAGTTTAAAAAGCCCCAGAGGGATGATACATTCAGAAGAGGTGAGGGTAGAATCTTAGCAAGTGCAAGGCAATGAGACATCAAACACTTAAAGCTTGGTTTAGTATGTACATACCCATCTAGTTATTTGCTATTGTTCTACTGTTTTGCATGTGTCTCTCCTGGTTTGTCCTCTAAACTTGAAGATGCTAGAAGGCATGTGTCTTATCTTCTATCGCCATTATGAGTCTCCAAGGGCTGAGCACTTGGAACCACATGAGGGAAAGTCTGTGTGCCTCCAAACAAAAAAGAAAAGAAAAAATAAAAGCTTCAGAGGCAAATAGATTTGTGTGTGTGGAGGGGTGGGGGGTGGGGGTGGGGGCGGTGGGTAGAACTTTTGACATAGTGAAAATATTACATTATTTTCTCTGAGTAAATTGAGTCACTGGAAAATAGTTAGCATGTATATTTAGATACTTTATTTTCAGATTCCGTTTTTGGCCTTATATGAACTTCCCTATGGATTCTTTATGGTGTTTACATTACCCTCTACATCAGTCAGAGCTAGAAACCAGACAGGAAGCATCAAGCCCTGTGAAAGAGAGTAAAAGGGGAAAAGTTTGATTCAGTCCTTTTAATGTATCGGTGTGGTCAAAAGAGATTGGACCTTTTTATTGACTACTGAATTGCTAATTCTGTGTATTTGTCAACTTTTAAAATGTTGGTTTTTATGTAGTTGATTAGGCCATGTCTATATGAAACTGAAACAAATGGCAAGTTCAATAAAGTCCAGGGAAAATAATTTATGAAAATAGAACATTTACTGGTTTGAATGTAAGACCTATCTGGATCTGTCTAGATTCTGGCTCCTCACCCTTGGGATTACAGGGATTAATATTTAAGTCTCCCATGTCTAAGAGATCAAACCAGAAAGGTAATTGAATAGAACACTGAATAATTCTGGCGAGAAAAATTAGTCAAGTTAGCTGCATAACGCTAAATAGAGATAGCGAAGTACTAAGAGAAAGAAAACTGAATAGAAATAGTTTTGTAATGTAAAAGTGAAATATGAACATTCTGAATTCAATATGCGATCCTCTTTGCATGAATTATTATCAGTCATTTGTAATGCACATTATTCAGAACATCGGAAAAATCTTTCCTGACTTATTTCTTAATTAAAAGAAATGAGCATTTTTAGTTTTTATATAATTTATATCATTTACGTGTCACAAAATTCCCATAATTCTGTTGGCCTTAATCATCAAATAAGTATTGCTGTGCTTAAATACAATCACTTTGCATCCCTCCTCTCCAGCAGATGTTATAAAAGAAACTATCACAGCTGGGGGAAATTGATATGCAAAAGTATAAAACTTAGCAGTGAAAAGATTAATTTTTAATGCCCTTGATTCTTGAAAACTTTAAACTTTTTTCACAGTAAGGACAGTGGTTTCATTGTCTGGTGGGCAGTGGACAGGTGATAACGTTCTGCTCTATTTTACTTTGTGATGAACCAAAGAGCACCGGTTGTTTCTCTAATGACTTTGTAAGAGATGCTTCAATGCTGAAACATTAGCTGCATCTTTTGGACTACTATGATGGGGAAGTGAGAAGTAGTTTTAATAACTTGCTAAAATTATCACCATTAGAGTGAATGAAGCACTAAAATATCCATACCAGATGTTTCAAATGGTTAGATTTGGGGGAAAACATACAATTAATTTACATTTTAGTACTAAGTACAAATTTTAATTTACTCTGATTAACTACTTTATAGCCCATCTAGAAGACTATTTGAAGGAGTTATGGAAAAGCTATAAAAGAAGTTGTAATTGAGAGATGACACTTTATTGGCATAGAAGCAGAAGAGTTTTATGCCCAATGCCCATATTGCTTAGAAGGTTCAAGTTTCACTTTCCCAGAACCTATTATTGAATTACAGACTTGGAATCAATATGGGAAGCAGATTAACTCACTTAATTACAACAATTTTCACCAAGGTTTAATCTCTTCACAGACCAGGTAAATGTTCTAATCCATGACCTTATACTTTGTCCTTACTATACTTGCTGAGCAAAAGGATAAACAGATTTCTTGTTACAAATTATTATAAAAGAGACGGGACAAGTGGAAATGGGTGGTTGAGCTCCTCAGCTTTCCCGTGGATGAAAACAAACAAACAAAAAACACTGGGAAGTATGAATGCTGTTGAAATAGCATGTTCAAAAATCTTAATATAACACCTGGCATGTAATGATAGGTAGCCATTATTATTAATCACGATGCTAGTAAGGATGCTGAAAGAAGAGCACTGGAAACTCCATGATGTTGCAAATTTTCTTCAAGCCCAAACCGTTGTAAGCTAGTGGGCCTCTGGCCAGCTCTCAGCTACAGAATACATTATTTGGACTAGTCAGTGTTTGCTACCAGCTGTCAATTTTTAAAATTAGTTGTCAAGATTTTAAAATTAGAATTTTCTGCATTAAAATTTGGATTCCCAATATTCCTTTAAAAATCAGAATGTCTGGCACTCTTCAGCTGAATCTGAGAATGTCTATAGTCTTTAGACAGAGTATACCAGTATAATGACTGTCTTCCCTCCCTCTTCCACCAGCCCTTCCTATTTCTTTATTTTTCTTTACTTTTTTTTTTTTTTTTTTTTCTTTTTTGAGACAGAGTCTCACTTCATCACTCAGGCTGGAGTGCAATGGCACAATCTCAGCTCACTGCAACCTCTGCCTCCCAGGTTCAAGTGATTCTCCTCTCTCAGCCTCCCAAGTAGCTGGGATTACAGGCACTTGCCACCACGCCTGGCTAATGTTTTATATTTTTAATAGAGGCAGGGTTTTGCTGTGTTGTCCAGGCTGGTCTTGAACTCCTGACCTCAGGTGATCCACCAGCCTCGGCCCCCCAAAGTGCTGCAATTATAGGTGTAAGCCACTGCACCTGGCCAGCTCTTCCCATTTCTAAGACAAACATCAAAAGCCAGGCTCATCCCTTAATATCTGTGATTTGGAGAGGGAATTCAAATACACATCCACATTTCATATGTTTAAATTGTTAAGTTATAAAACAAGCCAACAAACTGTTATATAAAATACGTTTTATCCTTCTGCCTTGACAAATACACCTTCATAACTACCCAGAAAGCTAAATTCAAATTTGTGATCCTCAAAGTTCTGGGGTGGCACGTGGTGCCATAGGAAGAGCCCGTCTTCACACTGTGGTTTGCACTTCTGCTTGTTTGTTCCTACTCTGTCCCAGAAACCCCAATCTACTTGTATAAGTTCTGTCCACTGCCATCAAGGACCCCATGCCTACTCCTCAGGTCTAGGGGTCATCACATGGGAAGAGGGTGCAGTCCCCAGCCTCAAGAGGATAAATCTAGAAAAGAGGCTCACACAAGTCATCGAAGCAATTCAAACCCATTTTGGGGAGAACTTTGGGGTCCAGGGCTTGTGAAATGGGGTTTAGGTGCAGGCTCCCAGTGGCATGTCCCCTAGACTCTGCACCTTCTTCACTGTGGGGAAAGGTGTCGCTGGACGAGGGTCAGAAAATGTTCTTCTGTGCTGAGGGCAAAAGCCAAAAGGCAGTACTGCGGGTGACCATTTATAATGAAACTTGTTCTGTTGTTTTCTTACGGTTGCTTCAAGATGAAAATATTATTCTTGGAATTCAAGTCTCTATCAAAAATGATAATGTGAAAAATAATGTGGTGGGTTTTAAGAAAGTGGAAAGGGCTTAGTTCTTAGATGGAAATTATTTTACCCATTTATGTCACAGGCCTACAATCTGCAGGTGTTGGAGTTTAAGGCCTTTGGTTAGTCATCTTCCTCCTGTTCATATTGCAGTGCTGTGTTTATGTTACATGGTAGCTGCTCATAATATTAACTGCTTGCCTTAATGCCAGAATATGAGATTTGTGGAAAGCTCATTAAATTATTTCAATTGAAATAGAAAAGAAATTAGGAAAGTTTCATCTAAAAAGCCTTTTAAGAAAGCACCCTTAAAATAGTAATTCTCACTTTCTGGTTTCAGGATCCTATACACTCTTAAAAATTATTGAGGACCTAAAAGAACTTTTACTTATATAGCTTCTATCCATCTATATTTACTATAATCAAAACTTAAACTGAAAAGTAGAAAAAGTATGTATTAGTGTATTTAAAATAGTTAAAACTAAATTGTACCTTTATGAAAAATAACTATGTATTTCAAAACAAAAAAAATTAAGTGGCATTGATTGTTTTACAATTTTGCAAACGTCTTTGATATCTGACTTCACAGAAAAGAGCTGAATTCTTATGTCTGTTCTTGCATCAGTCTTTTACAACGGGTTGTTTTAGTAAAGGATATGAACAACTTTCAGCCTTACCCAGATATGTAGGTGGAAAAAGGAGAAGTATTATAGTAGACCATTTAGGTAGTTTTAGATACTCTTTGGTACTACACCAAAACTTGACAAATGATTGGTTTTGAGAGGCTAGTTGCAGTGTGGAATCTAAAATCATAACAATGTACTTTTTATATTCTGTTACTTTAAAATACATTGAGATCTTAGGCATTTTGAATTAATCTTTAATCTATGCATTATTTTCTGACATCGTATATTGGTCATTGGAAAATATTTGTCCATTGAGTTATGCTGGTATGTTAATACATAGTATCAAAAATCATACTCATTAATATCACCACAGATATTATTTTAAAAGTTTTTATGTACTGTGAAACTCCTAAGCTTATGGTTGCAGACACAAGTCTTCCAAATTTCTAATTTTCTTTTGAGAGCTTCAATTTTATCATTGCAAACAAATACTATTAATTGTTTTTTTTTTTTTTGAGTAACAGTCTCCATTCATTCAGGAAAAATTATCCACTAAATAAGCAAGTCTTTATAACCATAGCTTGTCTGCAAAACATTATTATTATTAATATTATTATTTGTTTGTTTGTTTGTTTGTTTGCTTGAGACAAAGAGTCTTGCTCTGTTGCCCAGGCTGGAGTGCGGTGGTGCGATCTCAGCTCACTGCAGGCTCTGTCTTCCAGGTTCACGCCATTCTCCTGCCTCAGCCTCCCACTACAGGCACCCGCCACCACACCTGGCTAATTTTTTGTATTTTTAGTAGAGACAGCATTTCACCGTGTTAGCCAGGATGGTCTCTATCTCCTGACCTCATGATCCGCCCGCCTCGGCCTCCCAAGGAAAACATTATTTTAAGTGAAAATGATGTTCCATTATCAGCTAGTACTGCTTGCAACTCAATCACACAAGTCCTTCATATCAAGAGAACTCTCAAACCTTAGTATGTAGCAGAATTATTTTATGCTCACTTCAAAATTAGTCATGTTGAATATTATAAAGATGTGTGATTGGGAGTGCAGTGGTTAAGAATACAATGACTACTAGTACAGTTCTGTGCCACTCTTCAATTGCTTTTAAGTACCAGCAGTTTACTGTCCTTGCTTTTGCACCCTCACTACAAATGTCTGAGAGGTTTTTAAAAAGCAAAGACATCTGCTTTATGATTATGAAAATAGTTTTGACCTGTAGGCTTTCTGAAATTGTCTCAAGTGCTCCTCAGGCATTCTACAAATCACACTTTGAAAACCACTTTCTTAAAAGTAGAAGGGTGAGTATAGGAACTCCTGAAAGTGGGTGAGGAGGGGATAAAGGAAATGAAACTGCATTTTCCTCTTAGATGTGCCACGTTAGTCATAATAAATTTATTAGAGAAACAACTGTAGAATTTGTTTAAAAGAAGGCTACCTAATCCCTTTGGCCAAGACTTTACAATCTTATGCTTTTCACTTTCAGCAAATTGTTTTCATTCATTACTAAAATTCATGCTACTGAAGTGTATGTACAATGTATTTGTACATATGTTTGACCATACCATTTATAATTCCTCTATGTAAACACTGCTTTCAAATTGCTCCTCAATTTTCTGATGTTTGGTTACTATAGTTTTTCCAGAAATTTACTTTATGTGCCATTAATCAGCTGTTTCCCTGGATTCTTTTCTACTCATTCCTATTCACATTTAAGTCATTAGACCTGGAGGAAACAGATTGAATGGTTTCAGCTTTTACTTGTCAAAGTCCACTCCCTTTGGTCTCCCTTTTCTCTATTTTTTTTCTAGCTTTACCAGTGGCACTTTCTATCCCCAGCGTCCCAATATGGAGACCACATAGTCAACTGAACTTGACTAAGAAGTATGGGAATGCTAGATGTCTCACAAGAAGTGTTTCTTTATTTTCTTGTTAGCTCTCTTTTAGTTTAAACCTCTGGATCATAACACAGACACATCAGGTGGCAGTCAAGATTTTAAAAGAGCAAATTATGCTTTCTAGGTCTATATTTTCATTTGCCTGAATCAGTGAGCTTCTCAATTATGCTGTTAGAGCACAGTTACAAGGGCCTAGGCATGGAATCCAATAGTCGTCCCTTAAAATTCTTAGTCATTTATTTGTTTGAATCCTCAGCAAGATTAAACTCTCATAATCCCAATATCCTTATCACAAATGATGAAAATAGTTTCTATCTTATGTAAGAAAATAATACACAAAAGCCACATACCACAATCTGTGGCATATACTAATCCTTGATCAATGATAGCCATTATCGTAATGTTTATAAATCATTTTAAATGGATTTATATCCCATTTCTATTCACTTCTTCTCTTAGCTTTTTGTAAATCTGTCCAAGTGTAAGTTTCTCTAGGACTGGGTATTCTTGTACTTAAACTTCAGAAAGAAAGAAACTCTTTTCAGACAGGCCAGTGACCTCGATGTGCTTGATTGATGTAATTTACTTTCCATGTATATTGCTAACAGTAGTCTATTGGAGTCTTTGTTCATATGTACTTAGATATACATTCAATTTGGGGAGTCTTTTGACTTTTCAATTTTAAGGTACTTAACACCCTTTGAAAATTGATATATAATGTTTGTATTTATTTATGGGTTACATATAACACATTTTGTTACATGCATAGAATGTGTAATAATCAAGGCGGTATTTAGGGTATCCATTGCCTCAAGTATTTATCATTTCTATGTGTTCGGAAACTTTCAAATTCTCTCTTCTAGCTTTTTTTGAACTATACAATATGTTGTTAACTATAGTCATTCTACTCTCTTATTAAACATTGGAACTTATTTATTCTCTTAAACTGCTTTCTGTATCCACTAACCAACCTCTCTTTATCCCTCACATCTCCAGACCCTTCTCAGCCTCTGGTAATGACCAATCAACTCTACTTCCATGAGATACGCTATTTTAGATCCCACATATGAGTAAGAACATTCAGTATTTGTGTTTTTGTGCTTGGCTTATTTCACTTCACATAAGGACCTCCAGTTCCATAGATGTTGCTTCAAATGACTTTATTTATGGCTGAATAACATATATGTATTGTGTATATTTACATTTTCCTTATTGATAATCTGTTAATAAACATCTAGGTTGATTCCATATCTTTGCTATTGTGAATAATGCTGCAATAAACATGGGGGTGCCAAGATCATTTTTGTATACTGATTTCTTTCCTTTGGATAAATACCCAGTAGTGAGAGTGCTGGGTTATATTGTGTTTATATTTTTAGTTTTTTGAGAAATCTCCATATCGTTTTCCATAGTTGCTTTTAAATTACATTTCCACCAACTGTCTAGAAGAGATCCCTTTTCTTTGTGTTTTTACAAGCATCTATTGTTTTTTCTCTTTTTAATAATAGCCATTCTAATTGGAGGAGGATGTTACTGTACTTTTGCATTTTCTCAATGATTCTTAATGTTGAGTATTTTTTCATATACCTGGTAAGCCATTTATATGACTTCTTTTAATACATGTGTCCTCATGTCCTTTGCATGCTTTTTAATGTGACTATTTTCATTTTTGTTTTTTCTCTTGAGTTGTTTGAGTTCCTTGTATATACTGGATATTATTATAGCATCCTGTTGAATAAATAGTTTGCAAATATTTTTTACCATTCTGCAGGTTGTCTCTTCACTCTGTTGATTGTTATCTGTGTAGAAGCTTTTTAGTATAATAATATGGTTCCGTTTGTTTATTTTTTTTCTTTTTGCTTGTGCTTTTGAGGTGTTACTCATAAAATCTTTGCCTGGACCAATGTCCTGAAGTGTTTTCCCTATCTTTTCTCATAGTGGTTTCATAGTTTTTGGTTTTATGTCTAAGTCTTTAATCCATCTCTGATTGATTTTTATATATGGTGAGAGATAGGGGTCTAGATTAATTTTTTCTGCATATGGATGTCCAGTTTTCCCAGTAATATTTAATGAAAAGGGTGTCCTTTCCCCAGTGTATGTTACTGGTATTTTTATGGAAAATCAGTTGTCTATAAATACATCTCAGCTCACTGCCACCTCCATCTCCTGGGTTCAAGGGATTCCCTTGCCTCAGCCACCACGCCAGGCTAATTTTTGTATTTTTAGTAGAGACGGGGTTTTACCATGTTGGCCAGGCTGATTTCGAACTGCTGACCTCAGGTGATCCACCCACTTCGACCTCCCAAAGTGCTGGGATTACAGGCATGATCCACTGTGCCCAGCCATGATTATTACTTTTATTCCACTGTGGTATAGGAAGATACCAGATATGATCTTGATTTTTTAAAAATTTGTTGATATTTGTTTAGTGTTCTAACATATGGTCTATCCTGGAGAACATTCCATGTGCTGATGAGAAGAATGTGCATTCTATAGGTGTTGGATGAAATGTTCTGTATGTCTGTTAGGTCTATTTGTTTCTAAAGTTCAGTTTATATGCAATGTTTCTTTGTTAGTTTTCTGTCCAGAAGATCTCTCTAATACTGAGAGTGGGTGTTGACATATCCAGCTATTATTGTATTGCAGTCTGTCTCTTCCTGTAGATCTAATATTTGCTTTATAAATCTTGGTCCTCTGGTGTTGAGTGTATACATGTTTACAATTATTATATCTTCTTGCTGAATTTATCCTTTGCCATTGTATATGACTATTTTTCTTTCTTCTTACTGGTTTTAATTTAAAATCTGTGTTACCTTATGTGAAGATAGCTACTCATTTTTGCTTTCTGTTTGCATATAATATCTTTTTCCATTCCTTTACTTGAAGTGTATATGTATCTTTACAGGTAACATGAATTTCTTATAGGCAGCATATAATTGAGTCATGTTCTTTTATCCATTCAGCCAGCTTATGTCTTTTAAGTGTAAATTTTAATTTATTTATACTCATGATTATTATTTATATTTGATTATTATTTATATTATTTATGTATTTATTCCTTTCATTTTATTAACTGATTTCTGGTAGTTTTGTTTCGTCTTTGTTCCTTTCCCTCTTATTTTTTATCATTGCAGTTTGGTGGGTTTTTATAGTGATAACATTTGAGTTCTTTATCTTTCTCATTTGTGTATTCGCTACACAATACACAAATTGTACATGCCATTTTTTCACTTCTAGGTGTAGGACTCTCTTAAGCATTTCTGGTACAGCCGATCTAATTGTGATGAATTTCCTCAGTTTTGCTTGTCTAGGAAAGACTTTTTTAATCCTTCATTTATGAAGGGTAACTTTGCTGGGCATAGAATTCTTGACTGATAGTTTTTTTTTTCTTTCAGCATTTTGAATATATTGTCCCATTCTTTCTTGCCCTGTAAGGTTTCTATTGAGGAATATGCTATTAGTCTAATGGAGATTCCCTTATAAGTAGCTATATGCTGTTCTCTTGCTTTTTGTAGAATTCTCTTTTTCTTTTTTGTTTGACGTTTGAGACTGTGACTATAATGAGCCATGGTGAAGATCTTTTTAATTATATCTATTTGGCATCTGTAAGCTTCCTCTATCTGGATGTCTAAATCTTTTCTTAGACTTGGGAAGTTTTCATCTATTACTTTGTTAAATAGGTTTTCTATCCCTTTTGTTTACTTTTCATTTGCTAAAACACCAAAAATTCACTCTGTGGTGTCCCATATATCATGTAGGCTTTAGTCATTCATTTTTCTTTATTTTCATCTAACTGGGTTATTTTGGAAGACCTATCTTAACATTCTGAAATTCTTTTGTCTGATTGATTGAGTCTGTTGTTGAAGATTTCAGATGTATTTTTCATTTCATTAACTGAATTCTTCAGTTTGAAAATTTCTGTGTGTTTTTTTGTTGTTGTTGTTATCCACCTCTGGTAAATTTCTCATTCAATTGTTTTTCTGATTTTCTTCTATTGTTTATCTCATTTGTCTTATAGCTCACTGAGTTTCTTTAATGTCATTATTTTGGATTCTTTTTCAAAAATTTCATATTTTTCATTGGAATCTCTTGTGGAAGAATTATTGCATTTCTTGGAGGTGTCATGTTCTCTTGCTTTTTCATGTTTCTTGTGTCCTTACATTGATATCTGTGCCTGTAGTGTAACAGTCACTTCTTCTAATTTTTTGAATTCTCTTTAATAGGGGAGGACATTTTCCTAAAGTTGTATCTATGGTGTCAATTGTGTTGGGCACTTTGACTTTGATCCTGGGTGCATAGTATAGTTTTCATATGATTTATTTCACTGTAAACAGAATCAGTAGTGTCTGTGATTTGCTCAGTGGCTTATGTTGGTTGTTAGTGGAGTCTGTGGTGAAAATTTGCTGGTGACAGGGATGTCAAGTAGGCCAACCCTTGGACCCTAATGGTGGCAGTGGTGCCTGTCCTTTGCCCCAGGGAAGCATATGCATATGCTGGCACTGATGTTGGAAAGTCCAGACAGGCTTATATTTGGGCGTCCACATAACTTGCTCAAATGCTAGGAATGGCAGCAGTGGGCCTGGTAGGTGGACAGGTTTTTGGGCTTCTGGGACATGGGCATGGTACAGGCAATGGCAGTGCAGTGGCAGAACAACCCTATCTCCCAAGTGGTCTACACTAGTGTTAGTGGTGGCTGCAATGGGCTAGCAAGGCCAGTCTCCAGGCCCACAGGTGGTGTGTGCAGGTGGGTGCCTGCTCTGGTGGTAGTGGAATGTGAAGTAGGCCTGTTGTTAAGCCACCAGGAGGAGTGCTCAGGTGTCATTGGTGGTGGGTTGTGCCAGGTAATTCCCAGGCTCCCAGATAGCATGCTTGGGTCCTGTGGAGCTGGGCTTGGTGGGCCTGTCCTCTGGCTTCCCAGTGGTGCATGCAGGTGCTGGCTGTGGCAGACAGGGATGGAGTGATCTTCAGGTCCCTGTCAGAATGCTCAGGTTGGAGCAGCAGTTGCTGGGGAAAGTGGGGTTCCTTTCGCTGGGAGCAGCCTTAGGCAGGTGGCTGGGGACCATATGCTTTGGCCCCAGTTAGTGGCTGCAAGCAGGTAGCCTTTCCTTAGTATGCTTGTAAAAGTACAGAAGCTAAGATTCTCTGGGGATAGTGGGGGTTGCTGCCAATGGTTCATGTTTTTGCCCTGGCAGCAGCATCTAGAAATGGTGCCTGGCTGCTGGCAGGGAATATCAGTAGGACTTCAGAGATATAAAGATGCAGGGGCTATTGAGATCCTGGCAGTATGTAGTAGTCTGATGAGGGTTAAGGCCTCAAACTGGTGCTATGCTGTAGCTGTAGCTGCTTGGGACTCAGAGTTTTGTGGGACTCAGCATGAGCTCTCTCTGTAACAATGCTGGTGCACAATCTCCAGGCAGAGCTTTATGTTAGTATCAGGGTCCATGAAGGTCAGGGGGTCTCCCATGGCTAGGATTGCAGGAGTTCACAGTGGGAATGTGGACTTCTTGGGTCTTTCATTTACCCTTTTCCTGCAATGGGAAGCTATCTAGGCACCCAACGAAGTTTGGCTGAGCAGGCTTGCCTCACTTACCTCTCATTCCTTGCCTTAGGTGTTTTCTGTCATTTCTCTCTTGAATCCCTATCTTCTCTCTAGGCGATCTATTCAAAGTGTGATTATCTACTCACTGTTTTGACTCTTCTTTGTAGAGAGGTGAATACTAGATGCCTCTAGGCAGCCGTCTTGAAGTCCTGCTTATAGAAAATCTCCTTTATCATTTGGGATAAGAACATGGTATTAGACTACTATTATTGATTATAGAAATAATATATTCAGTATATGTTTTCATCAGAATTTTCAATCATGGCTATTATTTCAATATTTACAAAACATTTGTGGTCGAGTTATAAAGTTTTGAAAAACTCATTTTGATTTATAGTACATTATGATAATTTGAAATGCCAACATAAGACATCTATCAAAGTACCCATATAGGCCTCACCAAATTCTGTAGTTTAATAAAAAAGTAACTGTAAGTATTAGATTATTTTATTAAATTTGCATGTAGAATGTTCCATATTTTTGGCAATTACATTGAAGTTCTATCTTTATTGAGAAAAGATGAGATTTTTCACTTTTGATTAAGCTAAATTGCATGTTTCAAGAACCGTCCAATTAATTATAACTCAAATAAAGATTTTTCATTAGTGTTTGGAAGAGGCTAAATTTAAGTGCATTAATAAATTAACAGGATTAAAATTTTACCCATGCAATGGGCTACTGGAATTCTCTAGACTTTTTAAAAAAGACAACCTTGTAAATCTTTGAAATCAAATCAGAATTTTATAATAATTTTTCCCAGAAGCACGAAGTGCTATGTACTTCTGCTATGTTTGTGTCTCCTCCAAAATCTTGTTGAAACCTAATCCTCAGTGCAACAATATTAAGAGACAAGGCCTCTTACACGGTCATTAGGTCTTTATAAAAGGTGTTGGGGTGGGGGTGAGTTCACCCTTTTGTCTTTTCTGCCATGTGAGGATACAGCATTTGTCCCCTCTGGAGAAAATAACTTTTAAGCTGCCATCTTGGAAGCAGAGAACGACCTTTATCAGACACCAGACCTACCAGTACCTTGATCTTGGACTTCCCAGCCTCCAGAAAAGTGAGAAATAAGTTTCTATTTTTTGAATTGCCCAGTCTCAGGTATTTCGTTATAATAGTACAAACATACTAAGACTTATGCATACAACTCTTAGTTAAGACATATACATGCAAATCTTAGTTACATGTCAAAACACTGAAACTTTCTTTATAACATGACTTTTGCAGCTCATACAGAAATATCGGGTTTTGATGTTTTAGTTTTATATCTATGACAGTTGTAAAATTCTGTCTGGGCATTAGATAAGGTTATTAGTTAGACACTTTCCAGATTGAATTATTATGGATAACATCTCCTCTAAGATTACTTTTAGAAAGTTGTCATCTGATGTTAAATAAAAAGTAACCCTGGAAATCAGGGTGAGCCAGCTGCTTCTACAAAGTACCAAATAGAAAAAGTTTAGGCTTTGCAGACCCCATGATCTTTGTAAGGATTACTTAGCTCTGTTGTGATATTGCAAAAGCAGCCATGAGCAATAAAGAAATGAATAAACATGAATGTGTTCTAATAAACCTTTATTTATAAAAACAGACATTAGACTGAATTTTACCTTTGGGATATAGTTTGCCAACCCACATCCCACTCCCCAGTAAGATATTAAACATTGGAGAATACAAAAATATAATAGCAGACCCTAGTAGCATTTTCATATATCCAGGGAGTCTCAGGAACGATGCTTATAATTTTAAATGGCATTATCCCCTTGGACTATTGGAAATAACATTCTACAAGAGTTTAGCCGGCTGGCCGCAGTGGCTCACACCTGTAATCCCAGCACTTTAGGAGGCCAAGGCAGGCGGATCACGAGGTCAGGAGATTGAGACCATCCCGGCTAATACGGTGAAACCCCGTCTCTACTAAAAATACAAAAAAATTAGCTGGGCGTGGTGGCAGATGCCTGTAGTCCCAGCTACTTGGGAGGCTGAGGCAGGAGAATGGCACGTGAACCTGGGAAGTGGAGCTTGCAGTGAGCCGAGATATTGCCACTGCATTCCAGCCTGGGTGGCAGAGCAAGACTCCGGCCCTCCCCACCAAAAAAAAAAAAAAAAGGGTTTAGCCATAGATTAATTTCAAATGCATGAAAACTGTTGACTAATCATTAGTAGAGGCCAACTTTTCAAATGTATTTTGCATGTTCACCAAGAAACTAATTTGTATTCTAAGAATAAATCTAATTGCATAAATTCTCATGTTCAAATAATTTCTGGAAACACAGGATTAAATAAAATTAAATTTGTTTATTTACTGTAGGACTTAATAAAACTTCTAATATACTTATGTGCCCTGTGGGTCTCCAATGGGTGGCGCAGGATGAATGTGGCATAGCATATTTTGTTTCCTAAACTTATTTAATCATTGAAGCCCCTACTGAGTAATCACAGAAAGTACAGTACATGAAACATAGTTTGAAAAATACTTGCATAGGTATTCCTGGGCTTGGGTATGCCTGACAGCATTCTTAAATATGACTGGCCATCTGGCAGTAGCTTTCCCAGCTTGAAAGGCTCAATAGCCACCTAAAGAAAACTGTTTTTTTTTTTTCCCTTGGAGCCACCATTTAGGGTTTATTGTTAGTATTGCTTTTCCTTTTTTAGTGTGTACTCATCAGAACCACCGTTTCTACCCTGATTGTGTTCCAGCTTCTCACCTTGTGCCAGAGCAACGAAAAGGACAGACACGGGTGAGAGGAAAGGCAGGAAGTGGGTGGGAGATCCAGATGCCCAATACAGCATAGGATCTCTGAAATGCAGATGAATTGCTCTTCAACCCCTGGGACATAAAAACATTTCAAGGTACTCTGACTGTTAGGAAAAAGCTTAATAAGAGGGAAAGAGTGAGACATTACTAAGTGATAGAAGTCATGACCAAAAGTCGTGAGGGTATGTTCTGTCTCACTTTGGACTGAGATGTGTTCTCAATAGGATGCCTTGGGACCTACAGCTCATCATTCCTTGGTTCTCTGCTTCCCCTGACTGCCATTTATTCTGGTGTTTTGGTGGCTCTCCCACTTGAGGGAATTATAGTATTAAGAGTTCAAACTAATGACCAGAATGTTCTACGTGCATTATCTGTTTTAATTCTTGTTTACCCTGTGAGGAAGGTACTACTATCATGCCTTTTTTGTAAATGAAGAAAGTAATTTCTCAGGGAGGTTTAAGTAATTACTGAAAGTTACATAACTAATAAGTCATGGGTCTAGGACTAAAACCCAAGGGAGCTTGTCTCTAGAGTCTTAGGTAATACCTCTTCATAACCATCCAGTGCTTGAAGGAGCAGAAGCTACTAATTCCACATGCAATGTTTGTTAATTGAAGATGCTGGGCTCTGCCAGGAGCAATGGTTTCAGAAGTTAAAATGGCCTAACTCTTACCCTGAAGGCACTTACACAGCACCTACTTCATTGAACTCTATTATTGTCTATTTATTTTATTTTATTTTATTTCTTTGTAGATGGATTTTTAAAAGCACTGGGGTGGGGACAATTAATTTTAGTCAATGAAGTTAGGGAAGGTTTTATAAAAGTAACAGTGGAGCTGAGCCTGTAGGATGATTCTAACAAGTAGAAAATGGGAGGGAGGCTTTCTGGGCAGGAGAAAGTACAAAGACCCAGAAGCCCCCGCTGGTGGCAGGAAGCAGTGTGTTGTCAGGTATGACTGGTTATAACCTTACGAATCATTTCGGAGACAGAATTTACAGTCCGTGTTCATGGATAGAAACTTGAGGGAGCGAGACCTAAAGAAGAATCAGTTTTCAAGCTTGGATGGCTGGTAGGATGCTAACATCATTAGTGGACAGAGAACACCTTGAGGGCTGGACATTATGCGATTCGTTCCAGACATGCTCGGTTTGAGGTTTCTTTTTTTTTTATTTTATTATTATTATACTTTAAGTTTTAGGGTACATGTGCACAATGTGCAGGTTAGTTACATATGTATACATGTGCCATGCTGGTGTGCTGCACCCATTACCTCGTCATTTAGCATTAGGTATATCTCCTAAAGCTATCCCTCCCCCCTCCCCCCACCACACAACAGTCCCCAGAGTGTGATGTTCCCCTTCCTGTGTCCATGTGTTCTTATTGTTCAATTCCCAACTATGAGTGAGAATATGCGGTGTTTGGTTTTTTGTTCTTGCGATAGTTTACTGAGAATGATGATTTCCAATTTCATCCATGTCCCTACAAAGGACATGAACTCATCCTTTTTTATGGCTGCATAGTATTCCATGGTGTATATGTGCCACATTTTCTTAATCCAGTCTATCATTGTTGGACATTTGGGTTGGTTCCAAGTCTTTGCTATTGTGAATAGTGCCGCAATAAACATATGTGTGCATGTGTCTTTATAGCAGCATGATTTATAGTCCTTTGGGTATATACCCAGTAATGGGATGGCTGGGTCAAATGATATTTCTAGTTCTAGATCCCTGAGGAATCGCCACACTGACTTCCACAAGGGTTGAACTAGTTTACAGTCCCACCAACAGTGTACAAGTGTTCCTATTTCTCCACATCCTCTCCAGCACCTGTTGTTTCCTGACTTTTTAATGATTGCCCTTCTAACTGGTGTGAGATGGTATCTCATTGTGGTTTTGATTTGCATTTCTCTGATGGCCAGTGATGGTGAGCATTTTTTCATGTGTTTTTTGGCTGCATAAATGTCTTCTTTTGAGAAGTGTCTGTTCATGTCTTTCACCCACTTTTTGATGGGGTTGTTTGTTTTTTTCTTGTAAATTTGTTTGAGTTCATTGTAGATTCTGGATATTAGCCCTTTGTCAGATGAGTAGCTTGCGAAAATTTTCTCCCATTTTGTAGGTTGCCTGTTCACTCTGATGGTAGTTTCTTTTGCTGTGCAGAAGCTCTTTAGTTTAATTAGATCCCATTTGTCAATTTTGGCTTTTGTTGCCATTGCTTTTGGTGTTTTGGTCATGAAGTCCTTGCCCATGCCTATGTCCTGAATGGTAATGCCTAGGTTTTCTTCTAGGGTTTTTATGGTTTTAGGTCTAACATTTAAGTCTTTAATCCATCTTGAATTAATTTTTGTATAAGGTGTAAGGAAGGGATCCAGTTTCAGCTTTCTACATATGGCTAGCCAGTTTTCCCAGCACCATTTATTAAATAGGGAATCCTTTCCCCATTGCTTGTTTTTCTCAGGTTTGTCAAAGATCAGATAGTTGTAGATATGCGGCATTATTTCTGAGGGCTGTGTTCTGTTCCATTGATCTATATCTCTGTTTTGGTACCAGTAACATGCTGTTTTGGTTACTGTAGCTTTGTAGTATAGTTTGAAGTCAGGTATCATGATGCCTCCAGCTTTGTTCTTTTGACTTAGGATTGACTTGGCGATGCGGGCCAAATCTACGTCTGATTGGTGTACCTGAAAGTGACGGGGAGAATGGAACCAAGTTGGAAAACACTCTGCAGGATATTATCCAGGAGAACTTCCCCAATCTAGCAAGGCAGGGCAACGTTCAGATTCAGGAAATACAGAGAATGCCACAAAGATACTCCTCGAGAAGTGCACCAAGACACATAATTGTCAGATTCACCAAAGTTGAAATGAAGCAAAAAATGTTAAGGGCAGCCAGGGAGAAAGATCGGGTTACCCACAAAGGGAAGCCCATCAGACTAACAGCGGATCTCTCAGCAGAAACTCTACAAGCCAGAAGAGAGTGGGGGCCAATATTCAACATTCTTAAAGAAAAGAATTTTCAACCCAGAATTTCATATCCAGCCAAACTAAGCTTCATAAGTGAAGGAGAAACAAAATACTTTACAGACAAGCAAATGCTGAGAGATTTTGTCACCACCAGGCCTGCCCTAAAAGAGCTCCTGAAGGAAGCACTAAACATGGAAAGGAACAACCGGTACCAGCCGCTGCAAAATCATGCCAAATTGTAAAGACCATGAAGGCTAGGAAGAAACTGCATCAACTAACAAGCAAAATAACCAGCTAACATCATAATGACAGGATCAAATTCACACATAACAATATTAACTTTAAATGTAAATGGACTAAATGCTCCAATTAAAAGACACAGACTGGCAAATTGGATAAAGTGTCAAGACCCATCAGTGTACTGTATTCAGGAAACCCATCTCACGTGCAGAGACACACATAGGCTCAAAATAAAAGGATGGAGGAAGATCTACCAAGCAAATGGAAAACAAAAAAAGGCAGGAGTTGCAATCCTAGTCTCTGATAAAACAGACTTTAAACCAACAAAGATCAAAAGAGACAAAGGCCATTACATAATGGTAAAGGGATCAATTCAACAAGAAGAGCTAACTATCCTAAATATATATGCACCCAATACAGGAGCACCCAGATTCATAAAGCAAGTCCTTAGTGACCTACAAAGAGACTTAGACTCCCACACAATAATAATGGGAGACTTTAACACCCCACTGTCAACATTAGACAGATCAACGAGACAGAAAGTTAACAAGGATACCCAGGAATTGAACTCAGCTCTGCACCAAGCGGACCTAATAGACATCTACAGAACTCTCCACCCCAAATCAACAGAATATACATTTTTGTCAGCACCACACCACACCTATTCCAAAATTGATCACATAGTTGGAAGTAAAGCTCTCCTCAGCAAATGTAAAAGAACAGAAATTCTAACAAACTGTCTCTCAGACCACAGTGCAATCAAACTAGAACTCAGGATTAAGAAACTCACTCAAAACCGCTCAACTACATGGAAACTGAACAACCTGCTCCTGAATGACTACTGGGTAAATAACGAAATGAAGGCAGAAATAAAGATGTTCTTTGAAACCAATGAGAACAAAGCCACAACATACCAGAATCTCTGGGACACATTCAAAGCAGTGTGTAGAGGGAAATTTATAGCACTGAATGCCCACAAGAGAAAGCAGAAAAGATCCAAAATTGACACCCTAACATCACAATTAAAAGAACTAGGCCGGGCGCGGTGGCTCACGCCTGTAATCCCAGCACTTTGGGAGGCCGAGGCGGGTGGATCATGAGGTCAGGAGATTGAGACCATCCTGGCTAACAAGGTGAAACCCCGTCTCTACTAAAAATACAAAAAATTAGCCGGGCGCAGTGGCGGGCGCCTGTAGTCCCAGCTACTGGGGAGGCTGAGGCAGGAGAATGGCGTGAACCCGGGAAGCGGAGCTTGCAGTGAGCCGAGATTGCGCCACTGCAGTCCGCAGTCCGGCCTGGGCGACAGAGCGAGACTCCGTCTCAAAAAAAAAAAAAAAAAAAAAAAAAGAACTAGAAAAGCAAGAGCAAACACATTCAAAAGCTAGCAGAAGGCAAGAAATAACTAAAATCAGAGCAGAACTGAAGGAAATAGAGACACAAAAAACCCTTCAAAAATTTAATGAATCCAGGAGCTGGTTTTTTGAAAGGATCAACAAAATTGATAGTCCACTAGCAAGACTAATAAAGAAGAAAAGAGAGAAGAATCAAATAGATGCAATAAAAAATGATAAAGGGGATATCACCACTGATCCCACAGAAATACAAACTACCATCAGAGAATAGTACAAACACCTCTACGCAAATAAAATAGAAAATCTAGAAGAAATATTTTGAGGTTTCTTTCTTTTTTTTTTTTTTTTTTTTTTTTTTTTTTTTTTTTTTTTTTTTTGAGACGGAGTCTCGCTCTGTCGCCCAGGCTGGAGTGCAGTGGCGGGATCTCGGCTCACTGCAAGCTCCGCCTCCCGGGTTCACGCCATTCTCCTGCCTCAGCCTCCCAAGTAGCTGGGACTACAGGCGCCCGCCACTACGCCCGGCTAATTTTTTGTATTTTTAGTAGAGACGGGGTTTCACCGTTTTAGCCGGGATGGTCTCGATCTCCTGACCTCGTGATCCGCCCGCCTCGGCCTCCCAAAGTGCTGGGATTACAGGCGTGAGCCACCGCGCCCGGCCTATTTTGAGGTTTCTTAAGGTGTTTAGCTGCAGATTTCCAATCAATAGCTGAATATTTAGATTTGAAACCTAGTAAAATGCTCAATACTATCCAGACTGCATTGGAACTAAAAAGGTGAACTATTTCAACTGATACTAGTTTTTATAATATGTCAGAAGTAACTCATTTCTAACACTTAAAGTATACTGTAAAATAATTATTTAATTAACTATTAAGGTATTCATATGTATATGCACACACATATACCAATATACACATTATATTTATACACCTATATATTTAAAACCAATGTATAGATCATATATGTAATATATATTACATGTGTTATATTTTGAAGAATATATGTGTCTTTTATGAGAAAAGGCACTTTGAGTTTCAACTCATTGATATAGAAGCAGGTTTTCTTAATCTTTAAGATTGGCCCTACCTATAATTTTATCAACTGCTTACAATACAAAATATAGAATTATCAATGATTGATGATGAAATTAGAAGTAGAGGTTCTAGTGATCTGAAAGATGGTGTTTTCACAATTTTCTTCCCTCACTGTCTTTCTCTTCCTTCCACGTGTGCATGCATACAACACAGTGTACTCAAAATCACCCATCTTCTAAGATGAAGAAGCTAAGGCATCTTCTATCAATTTTTGGAGAATGAAACATTCACTTGTATCTTGCCTGAGAGAATAATTACAAGTCAGTCTAAGATTGAATTTGAAATTACCAAATGTTAGAGAAGAAAGAACTTTGTTCATTGGGTAGTCCTGCCTATCCTGTAGGATGAGCCACAGAGAGAGTATATGACTTTCCCAGCTTGATGGGGGACAAATCTATAAGTAGCATGAAGTCTCCAGGATCCCCACTGCTGTGTACATTCTGGCCACCTCAGTTCTCAGATTTTAGGGATAAAGTTGAAATTTCATCTGTGCCAACATAATTTTCCACACTTGTTAATTTTCTATACTTATTGACTAAAAGAAGAACTTAATATTTTTTTCTAGGTTGTCTGTTATGCTAACAAATAGAAATGACATAGCAGTGGATAATTTGGTCTATTGTCTCCCCTTCTTAGGAAAATGTTGGGCTGGGTGCGGTGGCTCATGTCTGTAATACTAGCACTTTGGGAGGCTGAGGCTGGTGGATCACGAGGTCAGGAGATCGAGACCATCCTGGCCAACATGGTGAAACCCCATCTCTACTAAAATACAAAAAATTAGCCGGGCGTGGTGGTGCACACCTGTAGTCACCACTACTTGGGAGGCTGAGGCAGGAGATTGCCTGAACCTGGGAGGCAGAGATTGCAGTGAGCCAAGATCGCACCATGGCACTCCAGCCTGGTGAGAGCAAGACTCCATCTCAAAAAAAAAAGAAAAAAAAGAAAAAAAAAATTAGCCTACCCAATCTCATAACAAGTAGAATCGAGTTAATTAAGTTTTTTTCTTCGATGTTTGCCAATTTAGTCTTATTGACCATAAGTTGTTTTGGTTTGGATTTTAGTTTTAAGAATTGCATTCATTGAATTAAATTCATAGTTGCAAGTTTCTTACAGTAGCCTT